>NC_000001.11:10246290-12746290 GCF_000001405.40 Homo sapiens
CACATATATCAATCAGTAAGTCTTGCCATCTTTGCCTTCACAATATATCCTGAATCAGTTACTTTTTGCCATTTCTACTCTAGTCAAGATAAGTACTGCAATAGCCTCCTGTCTCTCTGCTTTTGCCCTTGTTTCCATGCAGTAGCCAGTCATATTTTAGAAATATACATCAGGGCTGGGTGTGGTGGCTCACGCCTGTAATCCCAGCACTTTGGGAGGCCGAGGTGGGCGGATCACGAGGTCAAGAGTTGGAGACCAGCCTGGCCAACGTGGTGAAACCCCGTCTCTACTAAAAATACAGAAATTAGCCGGGCATGGTGGTGCACGCCCATAGTCCCAGCTACTCAGGAAGCCGAGGCAGGAGGATCGCTTGAACCTGGGAGGCGAAGTTTGCAGTGAGCTGAGATCGTGCCACTGCACTCTAGCCTGCTGGGCGACAGAGTGAGACTCTGTCTCAAAGAAAAAAAAGAAATATAAATCAGATTATGTCACCCCTTTGCAATCAGATCATGTCACCCCTCTGCTTAAAATTCTTCACTGGTTTCCTGTCACATTTATTTCATTTTAATGTAATTTTAAATTTTTTTTGTAGTCAGAGTCAGAGCCTCTGTCGCCCAGGCTGGAGTGCAGTGGCATGATCTAGTCACACTTGCAGCCTCTGCCTCCCAGGTTCAAGCTGTTCTCGTGTCTCAGCCTCCCAAATAGCTGGGACTACAGGTGCGTGCTACCACACCCAGCTAATTTTTGTATTTTTAGTAGAGACAGGGTTTTGCCATGTTGGCCAGGCTGGTATCGAACTCCTGAGCTCAAGCAATATGTCCACCTAGGCCTCCCAAAGTGCTAGGATTACAGGTGTGAACCACTGCGACCAGTCCTTATCACTTTTAGAATAAAACTAAAAATCCTCACTTTGGCCACACAGCCTCACAGAATTTGGCCTCTGGCTAGCTATCTGATTTCACATTTGATCATTGTTTGCCCACCTGGCTATACTGCTGGTCTTGCTGTTCCTTAAATTTCATTCAGATTCCTGCTCAGATATCTCCTCAGAGGTGGCAGCTTGTTTGCTTTTATCTAAAATAGCCACTTCTACCACTTTCACTGTGATCTTTTATCTCCTAACCCGGCTTTATTTTTCTTTCCAACATTATGCTATTTGTATTAGTTAATTGTCTCATGCTGTCATTAGAATGTAAGCTCCATGTAGGCAGGGACTTGTTTTCACTAGGTATCTATAGGTCATGGTAGACATGCAAGTATTTGTTAAATGAAAGAATATTTTGTACATTTACTTTATGCTAGGCCTTGAGCCAAAATGTGAGAATTAAATGACAGTTCTGTATAGTTAGGCACTATTATTAATATGCCCATATTACAGATAAGAAAATTAAAAATTAAGGCTTACAGAGTTTATTACATGCTTATAGATGGACCTAGGGTAATGTTGGATACTTAGAGTGGGATCACATTAAAGCCTCTACAGCAGTGGTCCCCAACCTTTTTGGCACCAGGGACCGGTTTTGTGGAAGATAATTTTTCCACAGACGGGGGTGGAAGTGTATGGTTTCGGGATGAAACCGTTCCATCTCAGATCATCAGACATTAGTTAGATTCTCATAAGGAGCGGGCAACCTAGATCCCTCACATGTGCAGTTCACAATAGGATTCATGCTGGTATGAGAATCTGATGCCGCCACTGATCTGACAGATGCTCGCCTGTTGCTCACCTCCTCCTGTGTGGCCTGGTTCCTAATAGGCCATGGACAGTACCGGTCTCTGGCCCAGGGGTGGGGCCCCCTGCTCTACAGCATTCTACTTCATCGGTAAAATCTTTGAAAATGTCTTCTAGAAATATTTTTAAGGTCACTTTACCTTTTGATCATTGAATATTGGGTCAATTTTGTTGTTGTTGTTGTTGTTGTTGAGACAGGGTCTCGTTATGTTGCCCAGGCTGGATGGAGTGTGGTGGTGCAGTAACGGCTCACTGTAGCTTCAACTTCCTGGGTGCAAATGATCTTTCTGCCTCAGCTTCCTGAATAACTGGGACTACAGGCGCACGCTACCATACTTGGCTAATTTTTTGTATTTTTAGTAGAGATAAGACCTCATTATGTTGCCCAGGCTGGTCTCAAACTCCTGGGCTCAAGTGATCCTCCTACCTCAGCCTCCCAAAGTGCTGAGATTACAAGTGTGAGCTACTGTGCTCAGCTGACATAATCTTTTGATGTATGAATGGACCCATCTCTCTTGCTGCCCCTGCAACACCAGATACTGGGACTCATCGATTTCTGATGATGAAAGATGTCGTTCTCATGGGAGTCTTTATGTTATACAAATGGAGAGCAAAGTTCCCAAACATGCTGCCGTGGTTGATGTGTTCTGTCATCTGGTAATAACTGGAGTTATTACAGTCATCCAAGTGAGAGAAGTGGTGGTTGAACCAGGGTGGTCACGATGGTGGTGGGGAGAAGCCATATTTGGAAAGTAGAACTGATAGGATACATCAGATGTGGAGGATGAAAGAAAAAAGCCAAAGATGGCTCCCAGATCATCTGTGGAATGTTGCTTGTAGGGTCCAGGTCTGGAGTATGCTGTGTGTCCAGAGCAACCTAGATTGAAGAAAAGACCTCAGGCACAGAAGCTGTAAAAGAGGCCTTGAAAAGCAGCTTGAAAAGGTGGATTATAGGAAGTAAAACAATATGAAGTCTATAATACTTTTAAAAGAGTTATTTTCTGACACTAGTCCTCAAAAATATTCCTGGAGTCCATTCTTTGCAGGAAAAGTGGCGACTTGTCCTAGACAAAGCCTACGTGCTGATTCCATGTGACCCTGGGGGTGGGTACTAAATTCGTAACAGCTTGTGGGTGAAAATATGGTTTATATGTTGAATGTGTTCCTTAATTACTGTAATTCTGTTTTTATGTGCATGGTTTCTGTGAAACAAATTAGAAGTCCAACACACTATTTTAGCTCAGTTGACCTTGATACAAGAACTGCTGTGTTAATTATGCCCAGTCTTTCAGTAGTACAATCCTCTTTTTTTTTTCTGTGAATGTTAGTAAAATCTACTGGTATTTTATGTATATATTGCACAGCTATACACTGTTTTTCTTTTTATGCTCTTGAAAATGGAATTTAATCAGAGTTGTACATGACACATGGAGGGCATTCATTTGAGTCCTTGGTATAGGGCAGTATAGAGGATCCATAAGACATGGTCCAAGCACTTTGAGGATATATGATGTTGGGGGAGCATCAGAGATTTGTTGACACATTTAAGTAAGGACTTGAATGTCGTACTTTGACTGTTGGCAAGAAATAGGCTCTTGGCTGGGTCCAGTGGCCCACACTTGTAATCCTAGCACTTTGGGAGGCCAAAACAGGAGAATTGCTTCAGCCCAGGAGTTCGAGACCAGCTGGAGCAACCTAGGGAGACCCTGTCTCTACAAAAAAATAAACAAATTAGCCGTGCATGGTGGCACGTGCCTGTGGTCCCAGTCACTCAGGAGGCTGAGGTGGGAGGATCACTTGAGCCCAGGAGGCTGAGGATGCGTGAGCTGTAATCTCACCACTGCACTCCAGCCTAGGGCGACAGAGCAAGACCCTGTCTCTAAAAGAGAAAAGAAACAGAATTCTTACATTGTGCTTTAGTTTATCAGTTAGTGAACTTTTCTTTTTTTGTTGTTGCTTTTTATTTTTTGTGGAGATGGGGTCTCACTATGTTGCCCAGGCTAGTCTCGAACGCGTAGGCTCAGATGATCCTCCCACCTTGGCCTCCTAAAGTGTTGAGATTACAGGCATGAGCCACTGAACCTGGGCCTGGTGTGTTTTTCTTACCTTGGTTTAAAGATCAAATGGAATATTATCATACCTACTGAATATTGAGAGTTTAAAACAGGGTAAAATACGTATTTAAGAAAAATTAACGTATGTGTAAGTGTTTCACTCCTTTAATTCTGTAAACTAGGTATTACCTCAATTTTAGAGACGACACAGACGTGCAGTCATACCCAAGGTCGTAAAAAACACCTAAATACAGTATTTCTTAACTTTTTTTTTTTTTTTGAAACGGAGCCTCGCTCTGTTGCCCAGGGTGGGGTGCAGTGGTGCAATCTCAGGTCATTGCAACCTCTGCCTTCTGGTTTCAAGCAGATCTCTTGCCTCAGCCTCCCAAGTAGCTGGGGTTACAGGTGCCCACCACCACGCCCAGCTAATTTTTGTAAATACAGTATTTTTAAATTGTTCTTTCATATGTTTAGAATATTAAGCCAGGCATGGTAGCCCATGACTTTGGGAGGGCAAGGAAAGAGGATTGCTTGAGCCAAGAGTCTCAGTCCAGCCTAGGCAACATGGCAAAGCCCCATCTCTGCAAAAAAAATTAAAATTTGGCTTGGCATGGTAGTGCACACCTATAGGCCCAATTACTTGGGAGGCAGAGGTGAGAGGTTCACTTGAGCCCAGGAGTTGCAGGCTGCAGTAAGCCATGATTGAGCCACTGTACTCCAGCCTGGGTGACAGACCGTGACGCTGTCTGGGGAAAACAAATGGATTAGTTGTTGATAGAAGCAGTTATTCTAAAAGCAGCTTGGGGGCGGGTGCAGTGGCTCACACGTGTAATCCTAGCAATTTGGGATGCCGAGGCGGGTGGATCACCTGAGGTAAGGATCCTGTTCAAGGCCAGCCTGGCCAACATGGTGAAACCCTGTCTCTAGTAAAATACAAAAATCAGCCAGGCATGATGGCGGGTGCCTGTAATCCTAGCTACTGGGGAGGCTGAGACAGGAGAATCGCTTGAACCTAGGAGACAGCGGTTGCAGTGAGCCGAGATCGTGCCACTGCACTCCAGCCTGGGCAGCTGAGCTAGACTGTCTCAAAAAAATAAATAAATAAAATAAAAGCAGCTTGGTTTTGAAGATATAAGTTAGGAAAATCTATTAGTTTCAGAAGCTTTAAAAGTCTGGGAGAAAGGAATATTGAAGAAGAGGAAAAGGATTTCATGTGAATTGAGGAAGTTAACTCATTGGTGTAGTTTTTCCTTTCTTTTTTTTTTTTTTTACTAAGGAAAAGAGAACAAAGCGATAAAATCTGAGTAGTCTTTCAGTCATTCTTGGTAGAATTGGTAGCTAAAAGGCTGAGTGAAATATGGCTTAAAAGCTTTATTGGCTGGGCGCGGTGGCTCACCCCTGTAATCCCAGCACTTTGGGTGGCTTAGGTGGGTGGATAACCTGAGGTCAGGAGTTTGAGAACAGCCTGACCAACATGGTGAAACCCTGTCTCTACTAGACATACAAAATTAGCCAGGTGTGGTGATGCATGCCTGTAATCCTAGATACGTGGCAGGCTGAGGCAGGAGAATTACTTGAACCCAGGAGGCGGAGGTTGCAGTGAGCTGAGATCCTACCATTGCACTCCAGCCTGGGCAACAAGAGCAAAACTCCGTCTCAAAAAAAAAAAAGCTTTATCATTTATTTTTTGGCCCTGTCTTATGGTGCAGAGGCTTAAAAGTTTTTTGACAGCAAATTTTCTAGAGGCTAGGAGTGTTTATTATAACCATGTTTTTGAGCGGTGAGGACTACCTCAGAGGGCATGCCTTGTGTCATCATTGTTCTTATTGCTGAGCTACCGAAACCTAGAATCTGACTCACACAATATGACACTTATTTCCGTTTTCTTGGTAGAGTTTGTGTGGTCATTCATCTTTTAGATCTTTTAGAAACTACAGTCCTCCTAGTTCCCACTTTTATATTTATTTATTTATTTATTTTTGAGATGGAGTCTTGCTCTGTTGCCCAGGCTGGAGTGCAGTGGTGCAATCTCGGCTCACTGCAACCTCTGCCTCCCAGGTTCAAGCAATTCTCCCGCCTCAGCCTCCCAAGTAGCTGGGATTACAGGTGCGTGCCACCATGCCTCGCTAACTTTTGTATTTTTTGTAGAGACGGGGTTTCACCACGTTGGCCAGGCTGGTCGCAAACTCCTGACCTCAAGTGATCAACCCCCCTCAGCCTCCCAAAGTGCTGGGATTACAGGCGTGAGTGACCGTGCCCAGCCATCAGTTCCCACTTTTAAATGAGAGGTTCTTTGTTTTTGTGGGGTTTTTGTTGTTGTTGTTGTTGTTGTTGTTGTTGCTGTTGTTACTTGAGACAGGGTCTTAGTCTGTCATCCAGGATGGAGTGCAGTGGCACAATCTTGGCTAACTGCAGCCTGGACCTCCCTGGGCTCAGGTGATCTTCCTACCTAAGCCCCCTGAGTAGCTGGGAGTGCAGGCACACACCACCATGCCTAGCTAACTTTTGTATTTTTTGTGGAGATGAGATTTCACCATGTTGCCCAGGCTGGTCTCAAATTCCTGTACTCCAGCGATCCTCCTGCCTGAGCTTCCCAAAGTGCTGGGATTATAAGTGTGAGTCACCGAGCCAGGTCATAAAGACAGTTTTTTTTTGTTTTGAGATGGAGTTTTGCTCTTTTGTACCCAGGCTGGAGTACAGTGGTGTGATCTTGGCTCACTGCAACCTCCACCTCTCGGGTTCAAGCAATTCTCCTGTCTTACTTAGCCTCCCGAGTAGCTGGGATTACAGGCGTGCCCCACCACGCTGCACTGATTTTTTATATTTTTAACAGAGATGGGGTTTCACCATGTTGGACAGGCTGGTCTGCAACTCCTGACCTCAGGTGATCTGCCCACCTCAGCCTCCCAAAGTACTGGGATTACAGATGTGAGCCACTGTGCCTGGCCAATAAAGAGAATTTTAAACAATGCCTACAGTGTGATTTTAGTGGGGTGGCCACATACATGTAGGTGTGCACATGTATTTCCATGAAAATGCCTTCCTGCCTTTAGCCTTGACAATGCTGCATATAGGGAATAAGCATTTAAATGATGGTGTCTGGGCTAAGAGTGTGAACTCTGGAGCCAAACCCTCCAAAATTGCATCCTGAATCTGCCACTAGCTAGCTCTGGAGCCATGAATAACTTATTTAACCTCTCTGTGATGGTTTATCTATCTGTAAAATGGGGGTAATGAAACATCTGGCTCATTGAGTGCTTGGGAGCATCAAATAGGTTAGTAGGTCTGGTGTGGTGGCTCACACCTGTAATCCCAGCACTTTGGGAAGCTGAGGCATGAGGATGGCTTGAGCCCAGGAGTTTGAGACCAGCCTGGGCAACATAGTGAGACTCCCATCTCTACAAAAAAGAAAAATAATTAGCCGGGTGTAGTGGCATGAACCTGTGGTCCCATCTACTCCAGAGGCTGAGGTGGGAGGATCACTGGAGCCCAGGAGGTTGAGTCTGTAGTGAATTGTGGTTGTACCACTGTACTCCAGTCTGGGCCTCAGAGTTAGATCCTGTCTCAGGAAAAAAAAAGGTTCGTAGACAGAAAGTACTTATGGCTCAGAGTAAGTGTTCTGTGAATGTTGGCTGTTTTTTAAATCTTGCATTTAATTCCTCTTTGGTTAGAAGTATACTTCTTTGCTTGGATTACCATTTGCATGTGGAGAGATGTTCCTTCTAGAACCATGTCTCCTTGTCACATGATTATGTACAGTGTGAGCTTTATTAATACTCTGTCAGCATTTGAGGTTGGAACATAAATGCGTGGCTGTACCCAGTGGAATCCAGCAAGAGAGAGAACTAAGCACCGTAGCAACTGTTGCTATTTGTGTACTGAGCAACAGCTGTGCGAGACAGATTTATTTTTTAATCCTGATCTCACTGATAGCCTGGGATGTGGCCTTGCCACATCTCAAAGGAGTAGATTGGTTGAGATATCCAGTCTTTGAGGAGATTTCATGACCACATGCCATAAAGATTCTGTTTCATTTCAAATATGAGGAGCTAAAGCTTTGTGTGTATGAGTGAGGGAGAAAGATTAAGCTTTAAAGCATTCATAGTCAGTCCCTGAAATATAGTGTGACTGGATTAATGACATGATAAATCACTTTTAATGTGGGTGGTGAGACTTCATGCATTTCAGTCAAAAAAGTAATTTTGCTGTAATGTGGTTCATTTCCAAATTTTGGCTGCTAACTTACCTAGGATGGATAAACATTATCACAGAGTATTTACTGAGCATCTACTTTATACCAGGGTCTTTTCTGAATACTGGTAACATGCAGTTAATTACACTCCAAAATGACTTAGTCTGTGATTCCACTATATACTACATTACATAAATACACACACACTAATCATTTACATACTTGTCAACCTTAGATTTCAGAAATAACACTGTATTTGTAATGAATGCTTCATTACCAAATGCTTTTCTGAAGTACATAGTAAGATCTTTAAAAAGAGCTTTCATGGCCAGGCGCGGTGGCTCACGCTTGTAATCCCAGCACTTTGGGAGGCCGAGGCGGGTGGATCACAAGGTCAGGAGATCAAGACCATCCTGGCTAACACGGTGAAACCCCGTCTCTACTAAAAATACAAAAAAATTAGCTGGGCGTGGTGGCGGGCGCCTGTAGTCCTAGCTACTCAGGAGGCTGAGGCAGGAGAATGGCGTGAACCTGGGAGGTGGAGCTTGCAGTGAGCCGAGATCGTGCCACTCCCCTTCAGCTAGGGCGACAGAGGGAGACTCTGTCTCAAAAAAAAAAAAAAAAAAAAAAAAGCTGCTTTCAAATAGTGGTTGGATTCATTCAATAACTTTCTAATTTTCATTTCTCTTTTTTTTCTTGAGATGAAGTCTTACTCTGTCACCCAGGCTGGAGTGCAGTGCATTAATATCAGCTCAGTGCAACCTCTGCCTCCCGGGTTCAAGTGATTCTCCTGCCTCAACCTCCCCAGTAGCTGGGATTATAGGCACACACCACTATTTCTGGCTAATTTTTGTGTTTTTGGTAGAGATGGGGTTTCACCATGTTCGCCAGGCTAGTCTCGAATTCCTGACCTCAAGTGATACACCTGCCTTGGCCTCCCAAAGTGCTGGGATTACAAGTGGGAGCCACCGCGCCCAGCTCCATTTCTGATGTGTTCCAATATTTCAGGGCTTAACGGGTGCCTTGAAATAGTAATGTGGGCCAGGTGCAGTGGCTCACGCCTGTAATCCCAGCAGTTAGGGAGGCGGAGATGCGCAGATCACCTGAGGTCAGGAGTTCGAGACCAGCCTGGCCAACATGGTGAAACCCTGTCTCTACTAAAAATAAAAAAATTAGCCAGTTGTAGTGGTGGATGCCAGTAATCCCAGCTACTCAGGAGGCTGAGGCGGGAGAATTTCTTGAACCCGGGATGAGGTGGTTGCAGTGAGCCGAGATCACACCACTGCACTCCAGCTTGGGGAATAGAGCAAGACTCTGTCTTCAAAAAGAAAAGAAATAGAAATGTCGTTCATTTCCAAATTTTGGCTGGTAACTTACCTAAGGAGGATAAACATTGTCACAGAATATTTACTGAGCATCTACTTTATACCAGGGTCTGTTCTGAATACTGGTAACACGCAGTTAATGCTGTTGGTCTGGTTTTTCATGTTCCATGTATAAATTACCTCTTAAAACTATGATTGTTTTCATTCATTCATTCATTTTTGAGATCGGGTCTCAAAATAGGCTGGGGTGCAGTGGCTCGATAACAGCTAACTACATCCTCAAACCTCCAGGCTCAAGCCATCCTCCGACCTCAGCTTCCTAAGTAGCTGGGACTGCAGGCATGTGCCACCATGCCCAGCTAGTTGTTGTTGTTTTTTTTTTTTTTGGTATTTGTTGTAGAGACAGGGTTTCACCATGTTGCCCAGGGTGGTCTTGAACTCCTGACCTCTAGTGATCCACCCAGCTCGGACTCTCAAAATGCTGAAATTACAGGCATGAGCCACTGAGCCCAGCCTATTAATTTTTGATTGCCCTATTCAGATTTAGTGGTATGAATTTACTGATTGGGATGTTTTGAACACACAGAATAACATGTTTAACTAAAGAACTTGTAATTGAGTGACTTATAAAATGAAACATTTTTATCTTCTAGGTATTATTAACCCAAAGAATCCAAAGGAAGCTCCAAAGTCCTTCAGCTTCGACTATTCCTACTGGTCTCATACCTCAGTGAGTACCCTCATGCCACAGCACTGCCAGCTCCTGCCTCCTTTCCTCTTTCCTTGCCGATTTGTCTTTTCTCTTAGCTGAGCAGATCCAAGTTTTGCTTCTTAACTGTTGTGTAGCATGAGTTCATTCTTTGATACAGTGATATAGTATTTTCATTCATAAAGTATTTGGGTTGATGGAAAGTTTATGTACACATATACATAAATATATACACATATATACATACAGAACATATTTAGTTTACACCAAATTTATACTGAATGTACACTAAATTTATACTGATTTAGACATTTCTTGAGGATTTATTTATCAGTATCTTAGGATCCTCATTACCAACATTATTGCCCATTGATCTTAGGAAATGCCAAATAATAATAATAATTATTATTATTATTATTTTTCTTCTGAGACGGAGTCTCACTCTGTCGCCCAGGCTGGAGTACAGTGGTGCCATCTTGGCTCACTGCAACCTCCGCCTCCGAGGTTCAAGCGATTCTCCCGCCTCAGCCTCCCGAGTAGCTGGGATTACAGGCGCGTGGCACTATGCCCAGCTAATTTTTGTATTTTTAGTAGAGACAGGATTTGACCATGTTGGCCAGGCTGGTCTCGAGCTTCTGACCTTAAGTGATCCACCTGTGTTTGCCTCCCAAAGTGCTGGGATTACAGGTGTGAGCCACTGTGCCTGGCTGGAAATGCCAAATTAAAATTGCTTAGGGTACTGTTAATTTTAAGTTGAATTTTGAGGGAATGGCCAGCAAGATTGGAATGACCACAGAGAAATTGTTTTTTTTTTGTTTGTTTGTTTGTTTTTGGCTAGGCTGATCTTGAACTCCTGACCTCCTGATCCACCTGCCTCGACCTCTCAAAGTGTTGGGATTAAAGGAGTGAGCCACCGTGCCTGGCCAATTTTTTTTTTTTAATTGTAGTAGAGCAATGTGGGTTCTGAACATTTTGAAAGATGATACCGTGCCTCTACTAAAAATTCCAAAAAAAAAAAAAAATTAGGTGGGCTTGGTGGCGGGTGCCTGTAATCCCAGCTACTTGGGAGGCTGAGGCAGGTGAACTGCTTGAACCCAGGGAGGTGGAGGTTGCAGTGAGCCGAGATCGCACCACTGCACTCCAGCCTGGGTGATGGAACATGACTGTGTCTCAAAAAAAAAAAAAGGAAAGAGGCTGCAGATCCACAAGGGAAACAAAAGATTACCAGTATTACGAAAATGCAGAGTAGGGCCCTTCCTGGTACCCTTACTCAGTGTGGAACCCCAAATGTTGCTGCTTCTTAGGGATTGTTCATAGAGTTTACTTCTGCATCATTCATCTCTTTGTTACATGTTTTTGGTTTTGTTTTTCCTGTTTTGTATTTTTTTTTAAAGACTGAGTCTCGCTCTGTTGCCTAGGCTGGAGTGCAGTGGCATGATCTCAGCTCACTGCAACCTACACCTCCTGGGTTCAAGCAGTTCTCCTGCTTCAGCCTCCTGAGTATCTGAGATTACAGGCAGGTGCCACCACACCCGGCTGATTTTTTTAATTTTTAGTAGAGATGGGGTTTCGCTGTGTTGGCCAGGCTGGTCTCGAATTCCTATCCTCAAGTGATCTGCCCGCCTTGGCCTCCCAGAGTGATGGGATTATAGGCATGAGCCACTGTGCCCTGCCCTGGGGAATCGATGTTTTAAACTATTGACAAAGCCTAATTGTCAAGGGAAGGGACTGAGAAGGGGATTGGAAATGCTGTTTCCTGAAAGCTGTGTTTATTGAGAAATAGTCCCAGTAGCTGGAGTGAGTTCAAAGAAGTATTTTTATATGTGGACTTGACCTTTGGTCTTTTATTCTCATTTTCCACTTAAGAAAATCTTGGCTGTGTGAATGAAAGAGTGATACTTTTAAGGTTATAGAAAGTGAAATGTAATCATGCCAGATAATTTTATATAGATATTTTTATGTATGGCTGACCTGGATGACTCTAACAGTGCATGTGTTTGTGAGTGTGTGTGTGTGCATGTGCGTGTATTTAATGAGAAAAGTAAACTTGTGTATAGGAGGCTTAAAAAATGTGTAGGGAATTTTAGGTGACTGTTCTGATTCCAGACACTTTTATTATGGAAGCAATCAAGTAAGTATAGGAAGAAATATTAATAAAAGGTTATTTATTTCTCCTTTTACTCTTTACAGCCCGAAGATCCCTGTTTTGCATCTCAAAACCGTGTGTACAATGACATTGGCAAGGAAATGCTCTTACACGCCTTTGAGGGATATAATGTCTGTATTTTTGCCTATGGGCAGACTGGTGCTGGAAAATCTTATACAATGATGGGTAAACAAGAAGAAAGCCAGGCTGGCATCATTCCACAGGTGAAAAACAAAACAAAACAAAAATCTTCTCTTCATTATTAGTGTTAGTCTTAAATTGCTTTAACAGTTATTTTTATTTGGCGAACATTTATGCGGGGATTGTTTTATGTCAGGCACAAAGATGAACAACCCATTATTTTCCCTCAGAGGAGCTCACAATTGAATGGGAAGGATTGACATGTACACATGTCTGTCATTAAAGGTGGGAAAGTCAGTGTTTTGTAATGATTTTGCCATATATCCAATGCCATATTATTTTGTCATTTGAAAAGTGTTACCAGCTTGTTAAAGCTCTGTTCTAAGTCCTGGAGATGGGGGGATATTGTTGATCTGATTTTTTTTCAAATTCCATGCATAGATTACCTCTGAAGAATGTGATTATTTTTGGTTTTTTTGATAGCCTTATTCGGAGATACTTTCATTTTATTTTCCTAATTTAATACTATGACTTTAAACTTCAAACACTCTGAGATTCTCCCTCTTTTTTTTTTTTTTTAGAACAGTTAGTATTATTGGGTTTGATCCTTTATTGTTTGGGAATGAAGAAGCGTTCTGACATAGATATTTATTTATTTTTATTTTCATTATTCGTTTCACTTAGGATTTAATGGTGAAAGACATAAGTATTTAAAAAGAACTTCATTATTTACTTATTTATTTGAGACAGGGTCTCACTCTGTTGCCCATGCTGGAGTGCAGTGGTGTGATCTTGGCTCACTGAGGCCTTGTCCTCCCAGGCTCAAGTGATCCTCCTGCCTTAGCCTCCAGAGTAGCTGGGACTAAAGCCATGTGCCACCACACCTAGCTCATTTTTAAATTAAAAAAAAAAAAAATTTTTTTTTTTTTTTGAGGTGGAGTCTCTCTCTGTTGCCCAGGCTGGAGTGCAATGGCGCCATCTTGGCTCACTGCAACCTCCGCCTCCTGGGTTCAAGTGATTCTCCTGCCTCAGCCTCCCAAGTAGCTGGGACAATAGGCACCCACCACTATGCCTGGCTAATTTTTGTATTTTTAGTAGAGGCGGGGTTTCACCATGTTGGTCCTGGTCTGGATCTCCTGACCTCAGGCAATCCGCCCACCTCCGCCTCCCAAAGTGCAGGGATTGCAGGCATGAGTCACCATGCCCGGCCTTTAAAATTTTTTTTTTAGAGACAGGGTCTCACCATGTTGTCCAGGCTGGTCTCGAATGGACCTGGGCTCCATCCTGGGCTTGGGATGATCTGCCTGCCTCGACTTCCAGAAGTACTGGGATTACAGGCATGAGCCACTGTGCGGGGCCTAAAAACTTAAGAAAAAAAAAAGATTAAGTGAGAAGATTGTATTTAAAATTTTCCTTTTATAGTCATGCATCACTTAAGGGTGGGGGTACATTTTGAGAAATGCATCATTAGTCGTTAGGTGCTTTTGTCATTGTACAGATATCATAGAGTGTACTTACACAAACCCTGGAAGGTGTAAACTGCTCCACACCTAGACTGCGTTGTATAGCCTGTTGCTCCAAGGCTATAAACTTGTGTAGCATGCTACTGTACTGAATACTACAGGCAATTATAATAGGATGGTAAGTATTTGTATATCTAAACATAGAAAAGTACATTAAAAATATGATATAAAAGATTTGAAATGGCACACCTGCATAGTGCTCTTACACTGGAGCTTGCAGGGCTGGAAGTTGCTCTGGGTGAGTCAGTGAGCAAGTGGTGAGTAAATGTGAAGGCCTAGGACATTGCTTTGCAGTATTGTAGACTTTATAAATGCTGCACACTTAGGCTACACTAAATTTAGTTTTAAAAACAGTTTCCTTTCAATAATTAACCTTAGTTAAATTACTATAACTTTTTTACTTTATAAACTTTAAAATTTTTTAAACTTTCTGATCCTTTTATAATAACCTTTAGTTTAAAACACAAACAGCCCCAGCATGGTGGCTCATGCCTGTAATCCCATCACTTTGGGAGGCCAAGGCGGGTGGATCACTGGAGGTCAGGAGTTCGAGACCAGCCTGACCAACATGGTGAAACCCCGTGTCTACTAAAAATACAAAAAAATGAGCCAGGCATGGTGGCGCATGCCTGTAATCCCAGCTACTTGGGAGGCTGAGGCAGGAGAATTGCTTGAACCCAGGAGACGGAGGTTGCAGTGAGCTGAGATCGCGCCATTGCACTCTAGCATGAGCAACAAGAGTGAAACTCGGTCTCAAAAAAAAAAAAAAGAAACCACACACACACTTTGTACAGCTGTACAAAAATATTTTCTTTCTTCATATCTTTATTCTATAAGCTTTTTTGTATTTTTTAATTTTTTTTTTCTTTCTTGAGACAGAGTCTTGCTTTGTCACCCAGGCTGGAGTACAGTGGCGCCCTATCAGCTCACTGCAACCTCCGCCTCCTGGGTTCAATTAATTCTTGTGCCTTAGCCTCCTGAGTAGCTGGGACTACAGGCACGTACCACCACGTCTGGCTAATTTTTGTATTTTTAGTAGAGACGGGGTTTCACAATGTTGGCCAGGCTGGTCTTGAACTCCTGGCCTCAAGTGATCTGCCTGCCTTGGCCTCCCAAAGTGCTGAGATTTACAGGCGTGAGCCACTGCACCTGGCCAAATTTTTTTTTTTTTTTTTTAGACAGAGTTTCACTCCTCTTGCCCAGGCTGGAATGCAGTGGCACGATCTTGGCTCACTGCAACCTCCGCCTCCTGGGTTCAAGCGATTCTCCTGCCTCAGCCTCCAGAATAGCTGGGACTATTTTTGTATTTTTAGTAGAGATGGGGTTTCACCATGTTGGCCAAGATGTTCTCGATCTCCTGACCTTGTGATCTGCCTGCCTCGTCCTCCCAAAGTGCTGGGATTACAGGCATGAGCCACCTTGCCCAGCCCAAATTTTTAATTTTTGAAAAAAAATTTAAACTTTTTTGTTAAAAACTTAGGCACACATTTATTAGCCTAGGCCTACACAGGGTCAGGATCATCAAGATATCACTAGGTGACAGGAATTTTCCAGCTTTCTTATAATCTTATGGGGATCACTATCATATATGCAGTCCATCGTTGACCGAATCATGGTTATGCAGCGCATGACTGACTTTATTCAAAGCATTAATCGTATCTTGATGTTTATGACATAATATATTTTGAGATGGAGCAAGAAAGGACGTCTGGCTAATTCATTGAGCACGCGTGGATGACTTAGTACTCCTCTCATTTGTGCTCTTCATGCCTCTCTCATTCTACTTCCCTAGTTATGTGAAGAACTTTTTGAGAAAATCAATGACAACTGTAATGAAGAAATGTCTTACTCTGTAGAGGTGAGTACAGCCGTGAGTTGACACCGTAAGCCCTTGTTTTCCATTCTCTCAAGCATCACTTAAATGGCTCCAAATTATGACTGTGGTACACATCACTTCACCATTCCTTCATTTTTGTCCTTTCAGGCTATTTCTGGGTTTTGGGTATAATGAATAGTGTCCTGCTTTAATCTTTTTTTTGGGGGGTGCGCGGTGGGGACAGGGTCTCACTCTGTTGCCCAGGCCCTGGAGTGCAGTGGCGTGATCACAGCTCACTGCAGCCTTGACCTTCTGGGCCAAAGCGATCTTACCCCCTCAGCTTCTCAAGTAGCTGGGACAACAGGTGTGTGCCACCACCACCCCTAGATAATTGATTTTTTTGTAGAGATGGAGTTTCCCTATGTTGCCCAGGTTGGTGTTGAACTCTTGGGCTCAAGCAATCTTGCCTCCTCCACCTCTGAAAGTGCTGGGGTTGCAGTGTGAATCACTGAGCCCAGCCACAATTAAATCTTTGTTCATAAGTCTGTGCATTTATTTGCAGTTATTATCTTTTGTATGTTTCTTGGTTTTTAAATAATACATTTGAATTGCCAAATGCCTTTTTGGAAAGTAATGCTGGGTAACAGTTTTCAGTCACACTAGGAGGGTGTAAGCACCCATTGTGCCCTTGCCAACATTTTTCTATTTTTTAATCTTTGCTAATTTGATAATGTAAGTATTCTCTTACTTAAATTTTGAATTTCTTTGATTACTAGTATGGTTGAACGTCTTGTAAATTATGCATATGCCTGTTTACATTTTGGGTTCACAATGTCTTTCTGATTCATTTGTGGGAACTCTTCTCCTTTAATATTGTTAATAATGGTTTTTGACAGGCATTGGTTTTAAATATATATAATCAAATCTCCCCCTTTCCCACTTTTTTAATTGCTTATAAAAACTTGGAAAGTAATTATCCATCCTGTGTTTACCCTGGCTCTTTCATGAAGTCTATAGAATTACTTTATACACATTTGCTTATTTGATAAACATTCTCTCTGTTTTGTATGTGCTTAAAGAAGCTGTTTTGGGGCTCATACCTGTAATCCCAGCACTTCGGGAGGCGAATGGATCACTTGAGGCCAGGAGTTTGAGACCAGCGTGGCCAACCTGGCAAAACCCTGTCTCTACTAAAAACACAAAAAATTAGCCGGCTGTGGTGGTGCACACCTGTAATCCCAGCTACTCGGGAGGCTGAGGCACGAGAATCGCTTGAACCCAGGAGGCAGAGGTTACAGTGAGCCGAGATCATGCCAGTGCACCCCAGCCTGGAGTCTGTCTCAAAAAAAAAATAATAATAATAAATAAATAAAAAGAAGAAGCTGCTGTTTCTTTCTCTTCCTCCCTCTCTCTCTCACCGCCACCCCCCCACCACACCCTTTTTTGGTATTCACTTTCATAGTAACTGAAATTATTAAAGTGTTCTGTTACCATGAGTCTGTTTTGAAAAAATAGGCTGCCTTTTAAGCGATCTTGAGATTTTTTTTCTTTTCTTTTTGGTATTTGTTCTGATTCTCTGTAGCCTTACAGCATTTCATTCCTAGTTAATTCATTTAATTGCTTTGGAGTTTTTTCTTCACCTAGAAGGTGTTGCATAAATATGTAAATTCTAAGGAATTCTGTCTTGTGACTGTCATACACCAAAAAGAGAATGTGCTGCCCTAAGCATATTTTGCGTTAAAATGAATTTTCTGAATAGCTTGTCCCATAGTTATTCTTTTTTGAATCAGGTGATAGAATTTTTGAGCTTACAGGTAATAAAAGAAGATGCCCTTTTCTTTTGTATTAGAGTTTCCAGGCTTAACTTGGAGTGGAGCATAGATTCCTAGTTGACACTGTGGTTTCTTGCCACATTTGCAGGACCTCTCTACCTGTCTCTTCTACTTCCTTCCCTGTTTACTCTGCTCCACCCATATTGCCTTTTTTCCTGTTTCAAGAACATACCAGAAACATTCCTGCTTCAAGGCCTCTACATTTACTTCTCCTCTTGCCTGAAATGTTGTTCACTTGGATGTCATTTTGACTAAGTTTCTCACGTTCTTCAAGTCTGCATAAATCACACACTCTCAGTGAGGCTTACCTTGACCACCTTATTTAATATTGTATCTTGCCCTTTACCCCACATCCTGAGCTCTCTTCCCCATTCTATTTTCTTTTTTCCATCATACTCATCATGTTCTAACATGCTTTCTCAGTTACCTATTTTTTATGTTTGTTGTTTATTATCAGTATCCCTTGCTAGAAGCATAAGCTCACTGGGGCAGGGTTCTTTGTCTGCTTTATTTAGTGGTGTATACCAATTGCCTAGAACAGTGCCTGTAAGAGAACGGTCCTCAGTGAGTTGGATCTGCCAGGTGGCATCTGGAGTGGTTGGTGCAGAAGTAAAAGAAATGATGATGGCTTTGGATGGATTCACATATCAGAGCATAAGGAATGGAGCACATGAACTTTTACCTAGATTATTTGGGTTCTCTTTGTCTCACATTTGTGTGAAAAGGTACGAGTGTTCCAAAAGATGTAATATATTCCGGGGATTCAGTATTGTATGTACAAATTTAAGTACACAGCAATGATTGAAGAATCATCTCACTTTCTAGGATGACTTGCTGTCAGAAAGAATATTTGTTGTTCTGTTACTTTACTCTCATAATAGATTAATTACTTTATCTTTCAGAGTTGTCTTTTTTTTTGGAGACAGAGTCTCACTCTGTCACCCAGGCTGGAGTGCAGCGGCGCGGTCTCGGCTCACTTCAACCTCCGCCTCCCAGGTTCAAGCAATTCTCCTGCCTCAGCCTCCCGAGAGGCTGGGATTACAGGCTCCTGCTACCACACCTGGCTAATTTTCTGTATTTTTAGTAGACACAGGGTTTCACCATGTTGGCCAGG
Source organism: Homo sapiens (assembly GCF_000001405.40). NCBI lineage: Eukaryota > Metazoa > Chordata > Mammalia > Primates > Hominidae > Homo > Homo sapiens. The sequence goes on from NC_000001.11 coordinate 10,264,875, forward strand.
CTGGTCTCGAACTCCTGACCTCATGATCCACCCGCCTTGGCCTCCCAAAGGGCTGGGATTATAGGCGTGAGCCACTGCGCCCGGCCTTTTTTTCTTTTTCTTCTTTTTTTTTAAGACAAGGTCTTGCTCTGTTACCCAGACTGGAGTGCAGTGGTGCAAACAGGGTTCGCTGCAGCCTTGACCTCCTGGGCTCAGTGATCGTCCTGCCTCAGCCTCCTGAGTAATTTGCACCACAGGCATGTGCCACAGTGTGTGGCTCCCAAAGTGCTAAGATTACAGGCATGAGCTACTGCATCTGGCCAAGTTCTTAATTTTTTAAAATGGATTTTATTTATTTATTTATTTATTTATTTATTTATTTATTTATTTATTTATTTTTAGAGACAGGATCTCACTGTCACCCAGGCTGGAGTGCAGTGGCGTGATCTCAGCTCACTGCATCCCCAACCTCCTGGGCTTGAGTGATCTTCCCACCTCAGCCTCCCGAGTAGCTGGGAACACAGGCACACACTACCATGCCTGGCTAATTCTTTGTATTTTTGGTAGAAGTGGGGTTTTACCATGTTACCCAGGTTGGTCTCGAATTCCTGAGCTCAAGCAATCTGCCCACCTTGACCTCCCAAAGAGTGGGGATTCCAGGCATGAGCCACCATGCCCAGCCTTTAACTGATTTTAAAACACAAATTAAGGCCAGGTGCGGTGGCTCACACCTGTAATCCCTGCACTTTGGGAGGCCAAGATGGGAGGATTGCTTGAGCCCAGGAGTTCAAGACCAGCCTGGGCAACGTGGTGAGACCCTGTCTCTGCAAAAAAAAATTTTTTTTAATTAGCTAGGCATGGTGGCACGTGCCTGTAGTCCCAGTTACTCCAGAGGCTGAGGCAGGAGGATTGCTTAAGCCCAGGAAGTCGAGGCTGCAGTGAGCCATGTTTGAGCCACTGCACTCCAGCCTGGGTGACAGAGTAAGATACAGTCTCAAAAAATATATAAAAATAAAATACAGTATAAAAATACAGTTAGAGACTGAATGAAAGAAAAAGGCAATAGAAATGGAATTAAGATTCCATTCCAGATACTCTGAAAACATGTCCATAGACATTTAAAGTTTAAAAATGCAGGAGCTGTAATGTAAGCTTGAATAGCTCCATGATACAGAAGGATCTGTTTCCTGGGTAGCATCGTAATGTGGCCTATTGTGATGAATTTACCCTAGTTCAGAGCCTTGTTTGCTTAGAAGTCTGATTTTGTAGATTCATCAAGAAAAGGACTATCCTTACAAGTTAAGACTTGAGTAAAGCTCATTTGACTGATGTTATGAAACCAACTTGTTGGTTTGTTACTTTACCATGAGAAATAACTATTACTAAGGCTAGAACACTCAAGCCATTCGCAAGACTATTTAATATATTTCTGTGGACAGACCTCGCTGTTGGAAGCCTGTTGGTTGTTTGGTGTGCATGGAATTAGAAGGAGAGGAGTTGCTTAGATACATGTTTAATTGCCCCAGGTTAAGAAATGATAGCTTAATGCATTAATCACCATGATCGAATGGTCCTGCCAATGAGACAAGAATTTATGAAGTGTATTGTCTGAGGCTTCTTTCTCCCTCACAAATCTTGGATAGGTCCTGCCACCACCAGCTTTCATGCTGGTCAACCCTCATCCCTTCTGGAGGATACATCGTCCATAGTTAGTAACAGTGTGGTGAGCCTTAAAGAATTAGCATCACCCGTCTGTTTTGTCTTCTCTGCTCTGTAATATTGATATTGTTCCTTGGTTTTAACTCTAATAGAAATCTTATTTCCGAGTTCTTGGAGTAACCTCAATGCAAATCCCAGTTACTGACAACAGTATACATTTTAAAAAACATTGATAACTGATAAATTGCTACTAAAATATCTTTTAGCTGTCACTACATTCCAGAGATAATCTGTTTACCTCTCCCTTACAGAGAAAGTCTGAAGGCTGGTTCTAACCTATTCAGTGTAATTACCTGTGCGTATTGTTAATAGAATAAAAGGGCCTAGAGTTACGGCATTTCACTTTGTAAAGGTTGCTGATCTCTAATCTTAGAGCTTTTAATAAAAGTTAAAAAAATTTTTTTTCTGTATGTGATTTCTTTTGTTTTCTTTTTCTTTCTTTCTTTCTTTCTTTTTTTTTATTAAGACAGAGCCTCACTCTGTCACCGAGGCTGAAGTGCAGGGGTGTGATATCGGCTCACTCTAACCTCCACCTCCCAGGTACAGGCGATTTCTCCTGCCTTAGCCTCCTGAGTAGCTGAGACTACAGGCATGTGCCACCACGCCTGGCTCCTTTTTGTATTTTTGGTAGAGACGGGATTTCACCATGTTGGCCAGACTGGTCTCGAACTCGTAGTTCGAGTGATCTCAAGTGATCCGCCCTCCTTGGCCTCCCAAAGTGCTGGGATTACAGGCGTGAGCCACCGCGCCCGGCTTCTGTATGTGATTTCTTTTTCACTCTAATTCACTTTACTAATTTGTTCATAGGTGAGCTACATGGAAATTTACTGTGAAAGAGTACGAGATTTGCTGAATCCAAAAAACAAGGGTAATTTGCGTGTGCGTGAACACCCACTTCTTGGACCCTATGTGGAGGATCTGTCCAAGTTGGCAGTTACTTCCTACACAGACATTGCTGACCTCATGGATGCTGGGAACAAAGCCAGGTATGGTAGGAAATAGAGTAATGACTGAGGTCTTTGGCACCTTTTGAGGTCCTTTTTTCCCAGTTAAGGGTTTGAGGCCACATTTATAGCTATGAAAGTTGCTTTAATTGTGGAGTCCTCTGATCCTTTGACTGTGCTGTAACAGTGAGGGCTTCAGAGTGTTAAGTATCTTCTCATCTAAACAGTACATTGCTGAAACATGTTAGAGCTCTCATTGAGTTTTACTCTTAGGTTTTGATCAAGTCATGGTAAAATGTTAGTTATCATGTATATATGCGGCTGTGGTAGTAATTGATTCTGGAATAAATGAGCACCAATAAAGAATAAAAATTAAATGCTTCATTGGTTTCTAAAGGGATAGCTGGAGTATGAAAAATGATTCTGATGGGGTGCCTTTGGAATTGGAGAGTAACTTGATGGGCTCACAAATAAGGCAGTATTGAGAGCAATTGTGTAAGTGACAATCTTGCAATCTGTGAATAAGTTTAAGACTATTGCTTGTGATTGTTATGCTTATAATGTGGAGCCTGCTGTCCATTTCAACTCTCATCTAAGAATTCCCTTGTCACGTGGTCACCTTTATGTTTATTTAGGACAGTGGCAGCTACAAACATGAATGAAACAAGTAGCCGTTCCCACGCTGTGTTTACGATTGTTTTCACCCAGAAGAAACACGATAATGAGACCAACCTTTCCACTGAGAAGGTAGGAGAGTTTCAGTCTCTAGGCTTGAGTTGTGAAGGATGGAGATTTTGAGAAGTCCCTTTTGTTGCCCTCTGCTTTTTGTGGAAGGTTGGGTGTTGGGGGGTGCTCTTTTACTTAATGGAGGGTGTTTTATACCTCTGCTTATCATTTTTCTTCCACCCTACACCAGTTTTCTGTATAGGTTCTTAAATGAAGTTGTAAGATAGAGAATAGGGTTAAGAAAAAAACAATCCAGGACTTTGGGTCTCAAAAACTACTCAATACAAGACAGTTAAGCAGTCTTGCAGGAGAAAGTTCTTTCTTTTCTTCTTCTTGACTGAACCTTTTTATTACCTTATTAGCTGCCTTTGGTATGTGTATTCTTTTTTTTTTTTTTTTTGAGCTATGATAATGTTATAGTGGGATTAAATGTTTAAGCAAATGATATGTTTCATTCCTGGAAAATAACTCCACAACAGTTCTGGTGTTCTTCAAATACCTTTCTTTGCTTATTGATTTTTCATTTTCTATAGTGGTTAAATGTCACAGACTTTAGCGTTGGATTGCTTGCTTTGAATTCTGATTCTGCCACTCTTCAGCTATATTACTTTGGGCAAACTACTTAACCTCTTTGTTCCTCAGTTTCCCCATCCATAACAGCCTGATAGGATTGTTAAAAAGATTAAGCGTTAATATAGGTTAAGTGCATACAATAATGTCTGGCACAGAGTAGCCACTCAATAATGTTAATTTTATTGTTATTGTTAGTAATAAAAAATTTATGTTGAATACTACTCTATCTGCATCCCTAAGAAGGATGCACCTGGATTTTTAAGCTTCAAGTTAGGTTTATTGTACTGGCAATTATAAAAGATCCTTTGCCTTATAAAATGAGTACTTTAGACACCACTGTCACTAATTATTAAAATCACCTTTTATTTGTTGACTTATTTCTAGCTGAAAATGATTTTTAAAAATATACTCCTGCTGGGCCGGGTATGGTGGCTCACACCTGTAATCCCAGCACTGTGGGAGGCCAAGGCAGACAGATCAAGAGGTCAGGAGTTTGGGACCAGCCTGGCCAGCATGGTGAAACCCAGTCTCTACTAAAAATATAAAAAAATTGGCTGTGCGTGGTGGCATGCGCCTGTGGTCCCAGCTGCTCAGGAGGCTGAGGCAGGAGAATCGCTTGAACCCAGGAGGTGGAGGTTGCAGTGAGCCAAGATCGTGCCATTGCACTCCAGCATGGGTGACAGAGCGAGACTCTGTCTCAAAAAAAAAAAAAAACACACTCCTACTGGGCATGGTGGCTCACACCTGTAATCCAAGCACTTTGGGAGGCTGAGGCGGGTGGATCACCTGAGGTCAGGAGTTCGAGACCAGCCTGGTCAACATGGTGAAACCCAGTCTCTACTAAAAATACAAAAAATTAGCCGGTCATGGTGTGTGCCGGTAATCCTAGCTACTCCAGAGGCTGAGGCAGGAGAATCGCTTGAACCTGGGAGGCAGAGGTTGCAGTTGGCTGAGGTTGCGCCATTGCACTTCAGCCTGGGTAACAAGAGCGAAACTTCGTCTCAAAAAATATATATATATTTCTTATATAGATGATCAAATAACTTGTTTAGCCAGAGGTTATAATATTAGTGCTATTTATTAGTTAGTGTTTATCTGAATGCCAGCAAAGAACATTGTATGTGAAGGTGTTTTTTGCCCTTCTCCCATGATGTCGAATCTACAAAATTAATGTTAATCCCATAATCATAGCTTTCCTGGTAATTCATTTTGGATACTTTTGTCTAAACTTTCCTGAAGCTTTATTTTTTTACAGTGTTATTGAGGTATTATTGAAGTATACAGTAAATGGCACATATTTAAAGCGTAAAATTTGGTCAGTTTTGACGTATTTGTATACCTGTGAAACTAGCGCCACAATCCAGATAATGATAATTTTTATTCTCAAAAGTTGCCTCATATCTCTTTGTAGTCTTTCTCTATCCCTTCTTCTGTGGCAATTCCCGGGCAATTCCGGACCTGCCCTTTTGTCACTATATATTAATTTACATTTTCTAGAATTTTATATAAATGGAATCATAGAGTATGTACTGTTTTTTGTCTGGAGTCTTTCACTTAGCATAGTGATTTTGAGATTCATCTATGTTGTTGTGTTTATCAATAGTTCCTTTTCATTGTTGATGAGTATTGCGTTATACAGATACACCACAGTTTATTAATTCAACTGTTGATGGACTTTTAAACTGTTGCCAGTTTTTGATTATTACAAACGAAGCTGATGTGAACATTTGTGTACAAGTCTTTGTGTGGACATTTGTTTTTGTTCTGTTGGTAAATACTTAGGAGTAGGATGATTGAGTCTTATTGTAGCTCCTTAAGAAATGTCAAGGCTGGGCACGGTGGCTCACGCCTGTACTCCCAGCACCATGGGAGGCTGAGGCGGGTGGATCACAAGGTCAGGAGTTTGAGACCAGCCTGGTCAACATGGTGAAACCCCGTCTCTACTAAAAATACAAAAAAAATTAGCTGGGCGTGGTGGTGGGCGCCTGTAAGCTCAGCTACTCGGGAGGCTGAGGTGGGAGAATCGTTTGAACCCAGGAGGTGGAGGTTGCAGTGAGCCAAGATTGCACCATTGCATTCCAGCCTGGGTGACAGAGCGAGACTCTGTCTCAAAAAAAAAAAAAAAAGGAAAGAAAATAAATGTCAAATTGTTTTCCAAAGTGATTGTACCATTTTACATTCCCACCAGAAATATGTGATTGTTCCAGTTGCTTAAAGCTTCACTTTTAGTAAGCCATTTAATGAGTTGATGAGTTTTATATATTTTTATAACATACTCTAGTAAATTATGTCATGTTTATCCTAAAGTTACTTTTTTTTGAACCGTGATAATTGCTATGAATTTTGTGCATGCTCTTTTTTTTTTTAATTAAAAAAAATTTTTTTTTAGAGACACAAGGGTGTTATATGTTGCCAGGCTGGAGTGCAGCAGACAGCTTTGAACTCCTGGGCTCAAAGGAGCTTCCTGAGTAGCTGGGACTACAGGCATGTGCCATTGCACCTGCCGTGTGTACTGTTTAAACTAACTGATAGATGTTGTCTTGATCTTTTTGTGCCATATTTAAAAGCTCTAATACTTTTAGTTTTTTCCATACCTTAATCTTTTAAAAAGCATTCTGCCTCTAAATATTTCCTGCTTCTATCTTGCTTATTTTTGAATTGCCCCCATGTTATTGTTCTTTATCAGGTCAGTAAAATCAGCTTGGTGGATCTAGCAGGAAGTGAACGAGCTGATTCAACTGGTGCCAAAGGGACTCGATTAAAGGTATTTATTTTAGCAAATAAATGGCCTGATCAATAAATGGCCACTACCTGTTTTTGTAAATAAAATTTTATTGAAACACAGCTACATACATTTGTTTATGTATTGTCTATGGCTGCTTTTGCACTACAATGGCAGTGTTGTGACAGAGACCGTATGGCCCAGAAAACCTAAAATAATTTGTGTCTGTCCTTCTACGGAAAAATTTTGCTGACTCCTGATCTGTAACTTCAATGGAAGGATAAGTTATCTAACTAAATAGTTAGGGAGCACATCATAGTCAGGGTGAGAGTTGAATTGCATTTTAAGGAACAGGTAGAATTTGGCTAGATGGAATTAAGAGATGGCAGTGGGAATAGGATATACAAGATTCAGATGTGAGAACAGAAATTTCATGTCGATAAGTTGAGGGAAGAAGGCTGCACACATCTGTAAGCTTTTGGAGCACAAATATCTCGAAGATACTTCAGGACTGTGAGTTAGGCATGTGGTCTCAGCATGTTATTATCAAGTGGAAAAGAGGACAGATGGAGGACTAAAGGTTGTTTTTAGAACTTGTAATAAAGAAATATGCTAGCATATGGCAAATCATATTTTATGTTCTGTATGATATAGCAGTAGTAGAAATTCTTCATCATTCTTTCATATTTGGTATTTATTTTAGGAAGGAGCAAATATTAATAAGTCTCTTACAACTTTGGGCAAAGTCATTTCAGCCTTGGCCGAGGTGGTAAGTTTTATACTTCATTATAAGGGGAGTTGTGTCTGTTCAGCAAATATACTTGATGATATTTTATTATTGTTTATGAAGGCTGTCTTTTTGTGGCCCTTTTCTGTAATCTTGCCTTTCTCCTTTTAGAGCTTTTCAGATAAGATACTAGGTATAACACAGTTTGACTTTGTACTGAAAGTAAAAGATACTAAGGAGAACAAAAGTAAATATAGATCTGTAAAAACTAGAGCAAACACTGAAGGTTTGACTCATTTTTTTGAGCCTTATTTTATGTTTCTCACAAAAACCAAGTATATTTATTGTCTCTTCTTTTCCTGTATAATCTTTTCTGAGTAAGATGCAGTATCTTTTGGAGTATTTTGAGCAGTTTGGCTTTGGTGAATGCTGTTGATTTGAGGGCCAGTAGTTTTTTTTTTTTTTTTCCCCCAATAGTTTTGTTCTTTCCTACTCCTTTATGGTAGAACAGTAAAACTAAAACTATTTTTTTTAAATTAGGGGCTTTGTTGTCTACATTATTTAAATTAGTCATTGTGTGTTCTAGTTTAGTTTAAAACCTCTTTTTAATTGCTAAGAAGAATGAAATGCTTTCTTGCTTGCCTTGGAGAAATCATAATCTATGACATGAAATTTAAACAAAATCTAATTTTCTACTTGGAGGCTTATCCTGTGTTCTTATTTTCTCCTTTAAATGCTTTCACCTGTAGGATAACTGCACTAGCAAGGTACAGTGGGGATTGGTAGAGATAAACTAGAATTGACTTTTATGTTTTAAATCCTCACTAGGATGTATGGAGGCATAAGTAGGAATGGAACCTTCAAAAATCTTTTCATCATTTGTTCTCTGGCTCTGGAATTTAGAGTGGCTGTAAATTTAGGGTGACCACAAATCATGAGGTTTCACACCAAAATTAATTTCTAGAACATGATATGCTTTGGAGAAGGAATTAAGAATAAAGGAACAAGGCCGAGCATGGTGGCTCATGCCTGTAATCCCAGCACTTTGGGAGGCCAAGGCGGGCGGATCATTTGAGGTCAGAAGTTTGAGACCAGTCTGGCCAACATGGTGAAACTCTGTCTCTACTAAAAATACAAAAATTAGCTGGGTGTGGTAGCGCGTGCCCATAGTGTCCCAACTATTCACGGGTTTTAAACTGAAGTTTTAGGCCTCAAGGATTACATAGTGGAGTGAAAGTTTGTTCCACTAATCTGAATGACTGAAAGGCTTAATTCTCCCTTGAGGTCTGTGCAATCTAAAATTGAACCTGCTATTGGAAATGACTTTCTGATTGGTGGATTGTGTGTCTGTGGGTAGAGTGGAATGAGATGATGATGATGTGGACATATTTAATAAGAGATGGAATTAAAATGTTTCTTGCCTACTCCCTTTCCTCCTCCTCCTCAAAAAAAAAAAAAAAAAAAAAAAAAAAAAACCCAACAAACACCACAAGACTAGCCACTAAGAGGCCAGCCATGTAGTACCCTTTTTCTGAATAGAAAAAGTGCTTGTGCAATAGTAGGATCATCCTTAGTTTAACCTTGGATTATACCAGGACTGAATTATAAAACTGCTGATTTGCTGGAGTGGTGTTTAGCAGTGAGACCCTGGCTTTCTCCTTAGTAGCTTCTTTTTTTTTTTTTTTTTTTGGAGACCAGGTCTCTCACTGCTGCCCAGGCTGGGGTACAGTGGCACGATCTCGGCTCAGTGCAACCTCCACCTTCTGGGTTCAAGCGATTGTCCTGCCTCAGCCTCCCAAGTAGCTGAGATTACAGGTGCCCGCCACCACCCCCGGCTAATTTTTTGTATTTTTAGTAGAGATGGGGTTTCATCACGTTGGCCAGGCTGGTCTCGAACTCCTGACCTCAAGTGATCCACCCACCTCGGCCTCCCAAAGTACTGGGATTACAGGCATGAGCCACTGTGCCCGGCCTCCCCTTAATATCTTCTTAAAGTGTCACAACGCAGTAGTCAGCCAGCATATATTTGAGTAGCTGTTACCTGTAAAGCATTTGCATTAATTTTTACTTTTAGAGAATATAATTTTTTTTCATTTAAGCACTGCCTTTTCATTGGTGCTTTTTGCTTTGTCCTGTGGTAATAAGAAGGATCATGAAGAAAGCAGAATAAGTAGACTTAATAGAACATTCATCTTTCTAAATTACCAAATCATATCTCTTTCTTAGACCTTTTTACTTTTAGTCTTTGCTTTAATAATTGGATTATTTTTGGCATAATTTCCTTTCAAAGAGACCAAATAAATATTATTTTACAAGAGTTACTAGATTTGCAACAACCCAACCAATGACATGGTGGTTGGCCAAGTAAATTCACTAACTAGATGACTTGCTCCTACACATCCAACCTGGAATGCACAAGATTAGTATTTTCCCCTGTGCAAAAATAAAAATTGAGGATGGGGTATTTGATGATGTTAGGGAATTATTGTTTATTTAATGCACAAGATTAGTATTTTCCCCTGTGCAAAAATAAAAATTGAGGATGGGGTATTTGATGATGTTAGGGAATTATTGTTTATTTTGGTAAGTGTGATAATGGTCCTGTGGTGTTTTGTTTTGTTTTTAAAAAACATGACCTTTTCCTTCACAGTAAGAAAAAGGATAAAAAATGATATGGACAGGATATTAGGTAATAGTATTGTGTTGATGTTTAATTTTTTGAATTTGGTCATTGTTTTCTGTGTAAGAGAATGTTCTTATATGCTGAAGTGTTTAGGGGTAAATGGAGATGAGGTCCGCAACTGACTTCAAAATGGGTCAGGAAAATAAGTTGTAGAAAAGTGTTTGGGGGATAATTGAAAGATGATTGGCAGAGTATTTTGGTAATGGTTGAAGCTGCACGTTGGGTATGGTAGCTCATTATACTGCTCTCTCAACTGTTGTGTATATTACACAGTTTTCAAAATAAAATGTAAAATGAAAAAATTACCTTGTTGCGTGAGTTTTTGGTTTTGTGAAGAATTGAAACTATGAATGATAAACTTCCACAGTGTCGGGGTTGTACTGTAATTTAATTTACTTGGGAATTTTAGACTGATTTGCCTTTCTTGGGAATTTTTTTCCCTAACGAAAAATGCTAAGACCATTTCTTTTCCTTTAATAGAGTAAAAAGAAGAAGAAAACAGATTTTATTCCCTACAGGGATTCTGTACTTACTTGGCTCCTTCGAGAAAATTTAGGTATGTTGACCACTAGTGAAAAGTAGTTATCTTTTTAACTTTGATTATCTTTTGTGGTTAATTGTCCTGTGTCTGTTTTGGAGACAAATAATCTCTAGATATTCATGTTACTACTTGAGTGTTCCTTGCCTGCTTTCATTTTTACTCCTAATTTCAGTTGGTTGGATTCCCTTGGTTTTAAGCCAGGGTATACTCCCATATCTCATTTTCTTCAGGGCATGAACTGTGCAGTAGTTGTCCTCCCGACTCCCCATACTTGCTTCAGATTATTGCTCTTTCTTCGAAGTTATTTCAAAACTCCATGCTTCTCTGAGGTGCACAAAATTAGACATTGCCAACCCTTAATCCTCCTCGTTGCTGATGTTTTCAGACCTTCAAATCACTGTTCTTCATTCACTTCTCCTACTTTTTTTTTTTTTTTGAGATGGAGTTCGTGCTGTTGCCCAGGCTGGAGTGCGGTGGTGCAATCTTGGCTCACTGCAGCCTCCGCCTCCTGGGTTCAAGCAGTTCTCCTGCCTCAGCCTCCCGAGTAGCTGGGATTACAGACACACACCACCTTGCCCAGCTAATTTTTTTGTACTTTTAGTAGAGACAGGGTTTTGCCATGTTGGCCAGGCTGGTCTCGAACTCCTGACCTCTGGTGATCCGCCCACCTGGGTGAAAGAGTGAGACTCCCTCTCAAAAAAAAAATAAAAGAAAGAAATTTGACATTACATTAAATCTTAGGATCTGAGATTACAATATCAGATTTGACACATTCCATAAAATTTTTCTTCTAAAATGAGTGTGATTTGATACTCATGATTAATCTTTTTAGGTGGCAATTCTCGGACTGCAATGGTTGCTGCTCTGAGCCCCGCGGATATCAACTACGATGAGACTTTGAGCACTCTGAGGTACTTTCTTTTGATCTCAGTAACAACATAGACCACATTGCCATCAGAAGCCATTTTGTGATACCATGGATGTTTTTATGCTATCTGGGTAGTTATTTATGTAAATAATGTTCCTTTCCTCTCATAACAGGGAAAACTTAGGGAAAAAGTGATTTGTATTATAATAGAATTTACCTCTTTATGGTTTTCAGTTTCACTGGGAAAGATATGAACTTTTTATTTTTTTATCCCTCATGGATACCTAGATAAGGCAGGAGCTTTTTCATAGGAAAGATTTTTAAATTGCTCAAGTGAGATTTTTGGGTAACTTTTAGGTAATAGTGACATTTTCTTATTCATTTCTATAAAAAGAAGTGTCCCCCTTCTTGTAGTGTTTGTCGTTATAGAAATGCTGAAGTCGGCCAGGCGCAGTGGCCCCCACCTGTAATCCCAGCACTTTGGGTGGCCGAGGTGGGCGGATCACTTGAGGTCAGGAGTTTGAGACCAGCCTGGCCAACATGATGAAACCCCATCTCTACTAAAAATACAAAAATGAGTCGGGCGTGGTGCCATGCACCTGTAATCCTAGCTACTCAGGAGGCTGAGGCAGGAGAATTGCTTGAACCTGGGAGGCGGAGGTTGCAGTGAGCCGAGATGGCGCCACTGCACTCCAGCCTGGAGACAGAGCGAGACTCCATCTCAAAAAAAAAAAAAAATAAATTCTGAAGTCATAATAAGTAATAAAATTATAGGAATATGTAGCAATATTAAAAAATTACCAACATAGCCAGGTGCAGTGGTGTGCACCTGTAGTCCTAGCTACTTGGAAAGCTGAGGCAGGAGGATCACTTGAGCACAGGAGTTTGAGGCCAGCCCAGGCAACGTAGTGAGACTCTGTCTCTTAAAAAAAAAAAAAGAAAAAAACAATTACCAACAGAATGTTCATAAAAAGTTTTTTTTGTTTGTTAGTTTTTGTTTTTGAGTCTTGCTATGTGGCCCAAGCTGGAGTGCAGTGGCAAGATTGTAGCTCGCTGCAGCCTCAGACACCTGGGCTCGTGTGATTCTCCTACTTCAGCCTCTCAAGTAGCTAAAACTATAGGTGCATGCCACTAGGCCTGGCTAATTTTTAAAAATTTCTTGTAGAGATGGGGGGTCTTGTTAGGTTACTCAGGCTGGTTTCAAATTCCTGGCCTCAAGTGATCCTCCCCACTTGGCCTCCTAAAGTGTTGGGATTACAGGTGTGAGCTGCCTCCCGAGGCCTGTATTTTTTTATGTATGAGTAGGTTTCATTACTTTAGTCTGGAACTCTCTACCCTTCTTCCATGAAAGACACTTGATGTAATGGAATAAACACTATACAGTCTCATAAGTTGGGTTTAAGTCCTCTCGCTGTTATTTCCATTGTGATCTTGGGCAAATCACTTAAATTCATCTGAGCCTTTTTCTTCATCTTTAATAGGTACTATAAAGCTTTATACAAATGTATTATTATCAAGGCTCATAAAATGTAAACACTCAGGATATTTGATTTAGAGATAATAGTATGTTACTTATGAGAAGTAGAACATATGAGAAATGACAAGAACAAATTTTCTTTTTGGATCTAGATATGCAGATCGTGCAAAACAAATTAAATGCAATGCTGTTATCAATGAGGACCCCAATGCCAAACTGGTTCGTGAATTAAAGGAGGAGGTGACACGGCTGAAGGACCTTCTTCGTGCTCAGGGCCTGGGAGATATTATTGATAGTAAGTGAATTAAGGATCGTTACAAAATCTAATCCTTTCTTCTTCAGGGTTCTTATTCAGCGTTCTTATATTTAAAATAAACTTCAAGTTAAGGAGCATGATGAAGCTAAATGGTAGTGAAAATGTTTTGTTTTGTTTTGTTTTCTTTTTCCTTAAAAAACCCAATGGAAATGATCTCTAGATTCCTTTATGTAATGTGTACCAGACTATCCATTTGAACTCAGGAAATTAGTTTTAAATCGCAAATATGTCACTAGTATTTTTGTTAGAATTCTGTTTTAGATCAGCAATGAAGTTTATTTGGAACGTTAAACCTGTTATCACTGAGCAATTAATTACTTCATAGAAATGTTATTTGAAATTTTGAGTTTTGTTTCATGGGTTGCTCTGGATTAGTGTCGTGGCAGTAATATAAGAAACGCACCATTCAAGCCTACCTTCAGATAAGATTCACCTTTGAATGGCCCCCTCCTCCTGTAAAATGCTGGAGTGCCCCGTGCTGCCTATGAACATATGAAGGGGAAAAGTTCAATTCCTATGAAGTTCAAGAACTACACTTCCAGAGAGTATTGTTTTACAATGTTGTATTAAAATTTATCTTAAAAAATCTCCGTGATGTGCCTATCCAGTGGCTTATTCAGAAGTTCTCTTAAGTGAGTAAAATGGATTCATATAGGAATAGAATATGGTAGAATATGGGTTAGTTTAGTAAAGCATTTTTTTTTAGTGTAAAGTTAAACTTATATTCCTTGAAGTTCTAATAAGATTTTCAAGGCCTCTTCTAGTTTAATTCTTCTTATTGATTAGAGTCCGAGTTTAGATGAATACCGTTTGTAAAAATGATACCGTATTCTAAGTATTAACTTTTCCATCTCCCCAAATGCCAAAAACTGCTCTGTTCCCTCTCTGTGTCACTGCTGAACCTGAACTTTGACCCTTCTCGTATTTTCCCTCCTGCTTACCTTCAGTTGATCCATTGATCGATGATTACTCTGGAAGTGGAAGCAAATGTGTGTATTTCACATATTGGTTATTTCCAGTACTCTGACTTGCTAATCTGCCTCTGCTGGATCAGCCTTAAAATAAGCTTTGCATGCTGGCAATCCTTACAGGGAAATCCCAGACAGAGCATAGTATAGAATCAGAAATGATCCTATTTTTGCCCTTCTTCATTTAGCAAACTAATCTTTGCTGAATTTCAGTTTGTGGCTTGAGTGAAGTTGAAAGGCTTAAGAATCTCTTGCTGCTTCTACTCTTCAGTTTTTCCCATTGTGATTCAATTAAATCCAAAAATCATAGATGATAGCAACTGACACTTACTGATTTTGCATAATATGCCAGGCCCTATTCTAGGCACCTTGAATATATTGTCCCTTTTAATTCTGTTAATGGCTCTGAAAATATTTTATTATGTTCCTTTTACCAATAATCATTTTTAGTCAGCAAAACTATCTATGATTTAAGAGCTCTGTAGATGTTGGGCTAAGACTCATGAGTGCTTGTGCTAAGTTGCTTTTCTCCATAACTTGGGCCTCGGAATGATTAGATAAACGTTTTTTCCTTTTTTTTTTTTTTTTTTTTTTTTTTTAGACAGTCTCACTCTTGTCACCCAAGCTGGAGTGTAATGACATGATCGTGGCCCACTGTAACCTTGAACTCTTGGGCTCAAGTGATCTTTCCAGCTCAGCCTCCTGAGTATCTGAGACTACAGTTGTTCGCTGCCACACCTGGCTAATTTTTTAATTTTTTATTTGTAGAGGTGAGGGGTCTCGCTGTGTTTCCCAGGCTGGTCTGGAACCCCTGACCTCAAGCAGTCCTCCTGCCTCGGCCTTCCAAAGTGCTAGGATTATAGATGTCAGCCACCACACCCAACCATTCCTCTTTTCATAAGTCACAAATTAAAATAACTTAGGTGTCTAAAATGACTCAAACATTTTTAAAGAGTCACATGAACCTCATTATTCTCTCCACATATATCTTAAGTTGGTGAGGAAATTATTTCTTACCCTTTTAAGGTAATTCATCAAGAAATTGTTATCTTAGAAGAAAAATGTCTTGATTTTGGGGCTAATTTTTAGATTTGTACTGAGTTATTTCTTTTTTTTTCTTTTTTCTTTTCTTTTTTGAGATGGAGTCTTGCTTTGTCGCTAGGCTGGAGTTCAGTGGCGGAATCTCGGCTCACTGCAACTTCCGCTGCCTGGGTTCAAGCGATTTCTCCTGCCTCAGCCTCCCGAGTAGCTGGGACTATAGGTGCGCACCACCACGCCCAGCTTATTTTTATATTTTTAATAGAGATGGGGTTTCATCATGTTAGCCAGGATGGTCTCAATCTCTTGACCTCGTGATCCTCCTGCCTTGGCCTCCCAAAGTGCTGGCATTACAGGTGTGAGCCATCAAGCCCAGCCACCTGAGTTGCTTATTTCTACAGTAAGGCATGTAATGAGGCTTGGCAGACAGTGAGAAAATGCATAGGAGAAACCAAACATAGCCCTGGCTGTGGTTATGAGGTTAGGGCTTAAAGGCACTATAATGTCCTGATACAGAAGTGACTCTTGGACTGCAACAGCTCTGTCTGAGATTTCCAAAGCTCAACGATACTGGTGTGGAAAAGGTGCCTTCTTCTTTTTGCTTTTGTGCTCAAGGTGTTGCTGCTGCCAGCTTGTTGCCTACCTCTTTTCTTAGCAGCTGCGGCATTTCCTGAAAGACCATGCATGACTAAGTTTTAATTCTGTATTCCTGAGGGAAAGCAGCCCTGACTCCTTCTCAGTTTCCATTTTGATCTATTTCTCTTTATTCCTTTTAGGGCTTGCATGTGACCATTGGACCTAAACTCTGTCCATCCTGGTCTTTTCTCCCAATGGCTAATTTTTTGCTCTAATCCCTATCCCCCTTTTAAAAGATGCCTCTTTGCTTGTTGCCCTATGTTCTGTATTTGCAGATGGTGGTTTTCAAACTGTCTTGAAGCAACCACTGGCTTTAAGGGAGTTAAAAAACTGGCTTTAATTAAATAGTAGAGATGAGTAAGCCCAGGGAGAACTAATAGTATTTTTTTCCAGCTATGTGTATTGACTCATCTCCTTTGAGGAAAACTGACTTAGTTTTGATATGAATTTTAGTTTCTCAGGTTTAAAAATAAGCTAATTTTAAAGTTGGATTGCACCAATACTTAAGATTTACCTTTGGTATCTTTTTGCAAAGGATGACTAATGAAAGAAAGTAATGAAAGAAAGTACAAACAGCAAATTAATTAATTTTGTTGTTTGTGGCTTAATTTTTTTTTCTTTTACCAATACTGAGTGTAAAAGCAAAATTAACAGTTCTATTAAAGACTTAGTAAATGGAAGTATGTTCCTAAAACTTGCATTTTATACTAGGAAGCAGGCTTAGCAGTGACCCATGGTTGTACTGTTAGGCTAATTAAGGGCCTTAAATTAGCAAATAATCAGCCTTATTTTTTGCTTGCTCTGACAGAAGAATGGAACCTGCACTAAAACTCATTAATCTGCTAATTGTTCTTCCCTGTTGAGGCAATCAATTAGTCCTGAGTTTTTAACCAGGACTTATACAAAATTCCTCTCATTTCTATAATTACCCCTTTTTTATTTAAGACATATTAAAAATCCTTTTAGCATGTTGAAATGTTGCCATACAAAGCATACTACTCAGTGCACAAATTTTGTTTTAACTGTAACATTTTCTTGGAAATTTTTGCTGAATTACACGTAACACTGAGCCAGACCAATATGGATTATTATTGATAAATAAATGATCATTGTTTTCCCTTACTGTTACAAACTACTGGAAAAGTGTAAATCTGAAGACATTGTAGACTAGGAACACTAGAAAGACTAAATGGAAGGTAGTTTGGCTTTTTTAGGGAGAGTGCCTAAGCAGTATCCTTTGAGGCTCTGGTTTATCCCCCTGCGAGATACAGCGTTAACCTACATTGGAATCTTTTAGTTTGTAAATGCAGAAATGATTCTGAACCTGTAGGATACCACTATTAAAGACAGACATGTTTTAGAACTGCCATCTAGAACAGTTGTAACCTGTGTTTGTATTATAGCGTGTCTTGGTCTTGGCGCTTTAATGCTGTCCTTTCTTACAACGATATTCCTTCCTGTCTTTTTTTCTTCCTCTGCTTCTTTCCCTTTTCCCTACTTTTCCTGCCTTCTCTTCTTTCTATCTCCCAGATCTGAAAGATTTTCAGAACAATAAGCATAGATACTTGCTAGCCTCTGAGAATCAACGCCCTGGCCATTTTTCCACAGCATCCATGGGGTCCCTCACTTCATCCCCATCTTCCTGCTCACTCAGTAGTCAGGTGGGCTTGACGTCTGTGACCAGTATTCAAGAGAGGATCATGTCTACACCTGGAGGAGAGGAAGCTATTGAACGTTTAAAGGTAAGTAATAGTTCAGACTGAATACAAGGTATTCTATGTAGCTCCACAAGGAAGAACTAGGAGTAAAAATCACTAAGATTTCGACTCAGCATATGGAGAACTCTTTGACTCTTAGAAGTGTCCTGAAAATTGAATTTTGTGCTTTGTAAGTTAATTTCTTTTCATTAGAATGCCTGAGTCTGACATGGCCAGGCAGAGTTGGGAGAAGTGCATGGGCAGTTCATAGGCTGGCAAGGCAGAGTAACAGATTAATAGATGTGTACGTTAATTCTGGGATAGTACATCAAGTTACAGTGTAATTGTTTTGTTAGAAATTTATTTGGAAACGTGGTTTCATTGAAAGATGGAATTCTGTGTAGAGCCATGCTTCTGTTAATAAAGATGAAGTTTGGGCCGGGTGCAGTGGCTCACGCCTGTAATCCCAGCACTTTGGGAGGCCGAGGCGGGGTGGATCACGAGGTCAGGAGATCAAGACCATCCTGGCTAACACGGTGAGACCCTGTCTCTACTAAAAATACAAAAAATTAGCCGGGCGTGGTGGCGGGCACCTGTAGTCCCAGCTACTCCTGAGGCTGAGGCAGGAGAATGGCATGAACCCAGGAGGCGGAGCTTGCAGTGAGCCGAGATCGTGCCACTGCATTCCAGCCTGGGGGACACAGTGAGACTCCGTCTCAAAAAAAAAAAAAAAAAAAAAAAAAGATAAAGTTAGAACATTTGAGTAGCTGTTCCAGGTTTATTCAGATAGTTATTAAATTATATCTTCTAGAAGTTCACAGAAAGCCTTGATGCCCTATGATTACTGTACAGGAAGGTTATCTCCTCCTATGCTGGTACCCATGGGGTCACAGGGCCATAGTGCTGCATGTATGCAGATTACTGGCCTATGGCTCCCAGCTTTGCTGTTGGAGGTATTTCCCAGCCCCTTGCTGGCTCTGTCAGGTTCGATCTTATCTCTTTGTATGAATATGAAAGTTAAGAGCAGCAGAGCCTTCTGACTCATAGCTGCTTCTCTTCCTCCTCAATTAATTCAGTGCACAGACAGTTGTCACCTGCAGTGCTGAAAGCTGTTCAGGAATCCTGCCACCCATCAGATGACTGTGACAGCATCATCTGCTTTGAAGCAAATATTTTTTCTTTCCCTACTTGTCACCTCCAGGAAGATAGTTTGACCCATACCTTTTAGCCATTGTGTTCAAGAGTGCTAGGGTAGGGGACACAGGGAGGACAAAAAACACTTTTTAAGAGTCTGAGAAGTTGCAGTCATGCTGCCAGCCAGCAGTCTTCTTCACAGTCACTTGGTATTCCCCTTGACTGCCATTCATGCAAGGACGATAGAGAACAGTGACACATTGACACATTTAATAGGTAAAAGGCTTGCCGAAAAACTCTTTAACACTAAAGTGAATTAAGCTTGATAATTGAATATGTCAGATGCTTTCATTTTAATTTTCATGTGAGGCTGAAAAAGATTTTATATGAAGAAAGAGGTTCTGCTTTTTCTTTCTTAATCAGCCTACCTTTTCCCTTGACATTTTACTTACTTCAAAAGTACAGTGTGGGCCGGGCATGGTGGCTCACACCTGTAAACCCAGTACTTTGGGAGGCTGAGGCAGGAGGATCATTTTAGCTCAGGAGTTTAAGGCTGCAGTGAGCTGTGATTGTACTGCTGCACTCCAGCCTGAGTGACAGAGCAAGACTCTATCTCAAAAAAACATGCTTTAGAAACAAAAATAAGGCCGGGCACGGTAGCTCACACCTGTAATTCCAGCACTTTGGGAGGCCAAGGTGGGCGGATCATCTGAGGTCAGGAGTTCAAGACCCGCTTGGCCAACAGTGAAACCCCATCTCTACTAAAAATACAAAAAAATTAAGCCGGGCTTAGTGGCTCATGCCTGTAATCCCAGCACTTTGGGAGGCTGAGGCAGGCAGATCACTTAAGGTCAGGAGTTCAAGACCAGCCTGGCCAACATGGTGAAACCCCATCTCAACTAAAAATAAGAAAATTAGCCAAGCATGGTGGCACACGCCTGTAATCCCAGCTGCTTGGAGGGTGAGGCACAAGAATCACTTGAACTTGGGAGGCGGAGGTTGCACAGCCTGGAGATTGCGCCATTGCATTCCAGTCTGGGCGGCAGAGTGAGACTCTGTCTCAAAAAATAAATAAATAAAAATAGAAAAATTAGCCGGCCATGGTGACGTGCATCTATAGTCCCAGCCACTCGGGAAGCTGAGGCAGGAGAATCCCTTGAACCCAGGAGGCGGAGGTTACAGTGAGCTAAGATTGCGCCAATGCCCTCCAGCCTGGGCAACAGAGTGAGACTCCATCTCAAAAAAAAAACAAAAACAAAAATAATGTGCTTGTTTCTTCCTTCAGAACATGTAAGTGGAAAGTGAGTGAAGTTCTGCAACACCTAGCAAAGGGAGAAGGAGTGAGAAATCTTTCCATTAAATGTTGTAGGCTGCAGGGTAACTTTTACTGTTGGTAAAATTGACTTTGAAATTTTACTAAAGACCTTAGTGAAGAGGAGTGGTAAGACTCCATTCACACATTTTCTCACAATAGGCGTCAGTGACCATGTTGCTTTGCAGGGCTCTTTTCAGAGCCAGAGTGAGAAATAGGGAGCTCCTTGGGAATGAGAAGTAAAACTCCCACTTACTGAGTCCTTAATATAAAATGTTCTTTTTCTTTGGGGATCTTAAGTCTTAACTATTTGCTTATTAAAGCCTTAGCTCTTACACTTGAGATTACCCTTTCCTTTGACCTTCCTCTTGATGTAAAGGAGAAATTTCTCCCTAACTGCCAAGTGGGACCAATTGAAAATAATGTCACATGTTAGGAGTCAAGACATTAACCAGACTCTTCAAGATTCAGGTAACCCAGTGTCTTCCAAATAATTTCTAGGGAATAACACTGTCATTATTCAGGGAACTCTCCTTCCGACTTCCCTATGTCCCACTAAAGCAAGACAAAACTGTATTACTTCAATCAGAAAACAAATTTCTCTGTTTTAATTCTTCCTTACGCCAAAATAAAGAACTCTTCTGTTTTCCCTAGTTTTATTCTAGAAAGAAAACAGCTTCCTTAGTGTTTTGTGTTGTCTTGAGTTTTTAATGCAGTGTGGTAGTTCACTGAAGCATAAGCACCTTAGTTCTGCTCTTATTTTGTGAATGGTGAGAATTTCTTTCGGGCAGACCTGCATTTTAATGCTGCACGCAGATAACATCTTTCATCCGTAGCGCCAGGGCAATGGTTGTGCAGTAGAAATGCTTGAGAATATCTAGGAACTGGGTTCCTAAGGCATGGTGCTGCAGGAGAAAAATATTATAATGGAAAACAGCAATAGAGGAGGTTAGTTTATTTTCCTAACATTTTATTTCCCTTTGTTTCTTTTTGACTTTAAAAAAGGTCAGTTGATTGGATACTGTTTTTACACATGATGTTGCTGTGGCTTTGTTCACTGAATAGCCTTTTTCCATATGTTAGGTACTCATGTCACACCATTGTAAAGATGTTTTTTTTTTTTGAGACAGAGTCTTGCTCTGTTGCCCAGGCTGGAGTGCAGTGACGCGATCTCGGCTCACTGCAACCTCCGCCTCCCAGGTTCAAGCAACTCTCCTGCCTCAGCCTTCTGAGAAGCTGGGATTACAGGCATGTACCACCACATCTGGCTAATTTTTGTATTTTTAGTAGAGACGGGGTTTCGCCATGTTGGCCAGGCTGGTCTCAAACTTCTGACTACAGGTGATCTGCCTGCCTCGGCCTCCCAAAGTGCTGGGATTACAAGCATGAGCCACCATGCCAGGTCTTCCTGTCAAATAAGGTTTTAAACATGCAGCTGTAGCCACAGCTCTCGTGTTTATTAGTCTGGCATCACAGTCAGTACTGTGAGTGCCGTTGCTTAGGCTTAGCCTATAAATATCCACAAATATCCATTACAGAAGCAGGCAAGGGCAAATGCTGTGCTAAGCAGCCCAAGGGCCACATTTGGAACCCACTTAGGAAGCATGCTATGTTCAGTACAGTAAAACCTTGGTGATTCAATGGCTTCAACAAATGTTCTGTGTAGTAAGTGTTTTTCATGGAAATATTTCTGACTTGTCCTGGTGATTTCTGTGTTTCCTTAACTGAATCATCATCAAGAAGAGATTAAATTGTTTAGCTATATGAACATAATTTATTAACCAGTGCTATACAAATAACTAGAGATGCAGACAGATATGACGTGAGACCAAAGAGTGAATGACACCTGAGCCTGGCATTCCTCGGAGCTTAAAGAAGAGTTCCTGGTGTCCCTCTGTTTTTTGGAATTTTTTTTTTTTCAAAGAAAGGGAGGAGGATTAAAGATTTATCTCCTCAACCCCTCATTTCTGAACCATGAATCCACATTTCAAGTTCATCTTACATTAGGCCCCTAGAGTGGGGTATGGGAAGCCCTGGACACCAGCATGCCTGCCTGCCAGCAGAATGAGTTGATGCTCCTGAGACTGAATGCTGTTTTGCACTTGGCTTCCCTATTTATACTAAGTTTGCTACTCAGGCTTGAACAGAATATCCTTCACTTTTTCTTAACTTAGGGTGAACTGTTTCATAGAACATTTACTTGAAAGCCTATTGATCCTGTTTTATTTGAAGAAAGAACAGTGAGTCAGCAAATAGCTCTAGACCTGTCTCAGTGAGTAGTGTGGGCTCACTTAGCTTCTCTGGTCTGTTGGAACACAGTGGCACCATCTTGGCTCAGTGCAACCTCTGCCTTCCAGGTTCAAGCGAATCTCCTGCTTCAGCCTCCCAAGTAACTGGGACTACAGGTGCGTGCCACTGTGCCCGGCTAATTTTCGTATTTTTAGTAGAGATGGGGTTTCACCATGTGAGCCAGCTGATCTTGAACTCTTGTCTCTGGTCCAGTTTTCTTATCTCGTGAATGGTTCCAGAATAAACGATTTTGCAGGCTTTTTTCAGCCCTGAAGTTGTGCTAATGTGACTCACAGTTATTATTTTCTCTAAGTTTCCCCCAAAGTTTTTAAAAATAGCTTTCTAGACAACCTAAAAATTGCAGCTGAAAACTGTAATAAAAATAAAAGTTGTACCTTACTCATTAAATCTCTTTTCTGCAAAGAGATCATGTTCTGATTTACCCTTCAGTTGGTAAGTAAAATTAGATAAGTCATATTAGAGTTGGCTGCAAAATGGTAAGAGGATTCCTAGACAGTAATTTTGCTTTCTTAGAGTGAGTTCTACAGTTGCCCCAAAATAGGATGGCTTTAATATGACTAGATAATCCTCTGCTCTGAAATAACCTTTTTCTGAAGGTAATCAACTAGGAAGAAATATTTTTAAAATATCTCATATGTCAGTTTGTATTCCATAATCAACAGTGGTTTATTGTGGTTAGTACTATAATAAGTACTAGTCAAGATGCCTTGTTTAGGTCGGGTGCATCCTGTTGTCCTGTCTGTTGAAGGTTTTCACTTTGAGAAGATTGTATAGATTTCTACCCAGCTATCTTTAATAGACCTTAAAATTATGTAGGTTATATCATCAGCTTGTCTTGTATTTGCCTATTTAAAATCATATGCAGGGTGGGGCTGGGAGGAAAAGAAAAAAAAGGAAAAAAGCAGTCATATGCAAAAGCATTTTCTTTTTTTAAAGAGGGGCTCACTGTGTTGCTCAGGCTGGAGTGTAGTGGTGCAGTCATAGCTCACTTATGCAGAAGCGTTTAACACCACTCTTAGTGGTTGTTGAATAACTTTTGTGGTGCTTTATAGATAAACTATTGAAAACTTGGTTCTTGGCCTTCTCACTCCTTAGGGAATTGTGTGGATTTGTCTTGCTCGCTGGCCCTCTAGTATGACACTTTTGTTCTCCATTTGTGGGGCGGCATGTGCACTGCATGGTAATCATTTCTGCTGAGGACTGTGTAGAGATGCCATTCAGGTAGCTGTTTTAGCCTTTGAGCCTCTGTGTGTGTTCTGAAGCCTAATGAGAGCCATTTCAGGTGGTTTTTGTCACTTGCCACCCCCAACTGCAGACTTGTTCTAGCTTCTTCCACCTTGTAAGTATAACTCTTTTCTGAAAAAGTACCTCCTACATGGCTGCCTTACTGATGCCCAGGTTCCTTCTTTAATCTGTTTTGCTCTTTGCCTACCTTTGCTGGTTGTTGTTGTTCTTCATCTTTCTCTTTTTTTTAAATTTTATTTTAAATCATACCCTCCTATTTGTTCCACCAAACTCATATACTACTTTGCTTTTGCAGCTGCTGCTTTGAATCTTTACTCTTGCTTTTTTCACGTGTTCCCTTGCCTTGCCTTTGGTATGTTTTTTGTTTTGAGGTGACATCCAGTCATGTAATATTCTGGAAGTCCAAGAGATCCAGAAAGTCAAACACTAGACAACTTAAGGTTTATTACTCACAAGTCCTTTCTGTGTAGATATTTACGTTTTGGGGTCACAGGCTTCGTTAGTAACCTGTTATCATATGAATCATACATTGAAGTGTTTGATGAACTATAACACTTTTCCTTGTTAATCACTACTAGCATCATTACTATATTTCATTATCATCATCTGACTTTCTTACTTCATCTCCATGACCAGCATTTTCACCTGTTTTGGCATGTGCTCGTCCCCCTTTTTTGTACTCCTTTTCCTTCCATTCTTTGCCTAATTGCTACTTGTCCTTCATTTCTCTGTCTGGGCCTCACTCAGCCTTGATTCACCCATGTTACAGAGACCTGTGAATACTCCAGTTCTAGCTCTTAGTACACTGTTCTCTTATCTCCTACTGTATTCGTTCTCAGTCCTCAGACATGCTGCTCTAGCAACACATTATTCCTAGAAAACTCCAGGTACTTTCCCACTCTCAGCATACCCACATGGCAGCTTCTGCTCTTCTTTGATCTCTGCTCACATATCACTGAGTCTGTGAGGCCTGTCCTGACAACCTCACTTTAGATTGCTCCCTCACCTACCCTTCCCCATGTGTTCTTTCCTCTTGTTGCTTTATTTTTGTCTGGAGCACTTGCCACTATCTGACATACTGTGTACTTATTGATTAAAATGGATTATATCATGGCGGGGCACGGTGGCTCACACCTGTAATCCCAGCACTTTGGGAGGCTGAAGCGGGCCGATCACCTGAGGTCAGGAGTTCAAGACCAGCCTGACCAATATGGTGAAACCTCATATCTACTAAAAATACAAAAACTTGCCGGACATAGTGGTGTGCACCTGCAGTGCCAGCTACTCAGGAGGCTGGGACAGGAGAATCGCTTGAACCTGGGAGGTGGAAGTTGCAGTGAGCCGAGATCGCACCACTGTACGCTAGCCTGGATGACAGAATGAGACTCTGTCTCAAACAGACAAACAAACAAACAAACAAAATAAATAATAGGATTATATCAGTCTCCTTACTACAATGTAAATCTTATGAAGGCAGAGATTTTGTTCTCTGACATATCCATAGGTGCCTTGAAGAAGGCTTGATATGTAATGGGGTTGTATATAAGTATTGAATGAATAAATCATCACTTACTTCTCTCTCTCTCTCTCTGGTATACAGTAACCTCCTTGAGAGCAGGAAACATGTTTTCGTTCTTTTTAAATTAAATTAAATTTAATTTAATTAATTTATTTTTTTAATTTTACTTTACGTTCCAGGATGCATGTGCAGAATGTGTAGGCTTGTTACATAGGAATACATGTGCCATGGTGGTTTGCTGCCCCTATCAACCCGTTATCTGGGTTTTAAACCCTGTATGCATTAGGTTCTTATATTTATATAAGTGTAAACACTCAGCAAGTGATTGGTAAATTGTCACTTCAGTGTGTGTCTTCAGATGCGATTTAATAGTAAACCTTTCTATGTTGACTGCTGGGTTGTGTTCAGGAGGTTAGTGTGTTATGGCGAAATTGTAGTGAAACAAAAGCAGTAAATACGTTTGGGAACTTTATTCTTTTTTTTCTTTTTTTGAGATGGAGTTTTGCTCTGTTGCTCAGGCTGCAGTGCAGTGGCGCGATCTCGGCTCGCTGCAAGCTCTGCCTCCCGGGTTCATGCCATTCTCCTTCCTCAGCCTCCTGAGTAGCTGGGATTACAGGCGCCTGCCACCATGCCCACGTGGATCACGAGGTCAAGAGCTTGAGACCATCCTGGCCAACATGGTGAAACCCCGTCTCTACTAAAAATACAAAAATTAACTGGGCGTGGTGGCACGTGCCTGTAGTCCCAGCTGCTCGGGAGGCTGAGGCAGGAGAATCACTTGATCCCCAGAGGTGAGGTTGCAGTGATCTGAGATCGCGCCACTGCAGCCTGGTGACAAAGGAAGACTCCGTCTCAAAAAAAAAAAAGACTTGGAGGATTTATTTGTTTGGGGTTGATTTAGTTTTAGGTCTAATCTTTATGATTCTTATCTTATGTATTAATAAAAGAAAAATCTCTTTACATTTAATTCTGGCCTGTATCCTCAAAGGGCATGATTTGCTTCTTGCTTTTCTAGCATGGTATGTTAAATTATAAGACTCTTTGCCTCTTTAACTGTGCGCTTCCTTCCTTAGGAATCAGAGAAGATCATTGCTGAGTTGAATGAAACTTGGGAAGAGAAGCTTCGTAAAACAGAGGCCATCAGAATGGAGAGGTCAGGAGGTTAAAATCTGGAAATGTTTCTAAGTTTTCTAGGGGATGTGGATTACTTTATCGTAAGAAAAGATAAAATATAAATTAAAATCAAAGAGTCTGCCCTTCTAAAACACAAAACGAAACCAAAAAAATGGACAGGGATTTATGGCCAGTTGAATTTATGCTTTGAAATGACATCTACATATTTAAATATTATCTAGGGAGTCACAGGTTTATTAGTTACCATATTACATGTTGCTAGGGATTCATAAAAATGGAACATATTGGCCAGGCGCGGTGGCTCACGCCTGTAATGCCAGCACTTTGGGAGGCTGAGGTGGGCAGATCACGAGGTCGGGAGATCGAGACCATCCTGGCTAGCATGGTGAAACCCCATCTCTACTAAAAATACAAAACAAATTAGCCGGGCATGGTGGTGGGCACCTGTAGTCCCAGCTACTCGGGAGGCTGAGGCAGGAGAATGGCGTGAACCTGGGAGGCAGAGTTTGCAGTGAGCCGAGATGGTGCCACTGCACTGCAGCCTGGGTGACAGCAAGACTCTGTCTCAAAAAAAAAAAAAAGGAATAGCCTCTTCTTTTCTTTTTTATATTAATATGCATATCATTTATGAATTATTGACTATCCCAAAGTCAGTTGAGACAAAGTTCTTATCTCAGTGAATATAACTTTAACAAAGCAAGATTTCATTGATTTTGAATGTGATGTTGCTTTTAGAAATAACTTCTCATTAATGATGAGATAAGCACATTATTTTATGTTTGCATTATTGGCTATAAACATGGCCAGTTGTTTTTGCTTTGCAGGCTTTATTTTCCAATTCATATTAGACTGATTTAATTGACATTTTGGTATTAGTGTTCTGATATACCTGTTTTTTTCCTAGAGAGGCTTTGTTGGCTGAGATGGGAGTTGCCATTCGGGAAGATGGAGGAACCCTAGGGGTTTTCTCACCTAAAAAGGTAGGAAACAATGCTGTGAAACCTAATCAGACAGAGACACTTTTTGTTTGTCTTTGTTACTGGGGCACTTCATGTCTTTCAGGACCTACTCTCCCCCTTATTATCTTGATACTTGCCTTAATTTCAGATATTTCTGATTTCATCTTAGAGCATGGTCTTATAGTACAAAGGCAGCCTATTTCTAAAATGCCTATCTTGTTTACTGTTTACAAAAGAAAAAACCTAAGGCAATATGTAACCTTTGGCCATGATTCAGTTTGTTTAGTCATCTTTATTTGTTGCTTTCTCTTAAATTCCCAGCCTAACCTAGCGTACTTTCAGTTTTGGCTACTCTTTCATGTAGATTTTCCCACAGAAGTCGTCTACCCTGCTTTATAACTTTTTGGAACCAATTTCAGCTGTACAGGTTTGTGGAGAATAATACTGCTTCCATTTGCTTCTGCAATTTGTATTATAGACAGCCATTGTACTAAGTAAAGCAATTCCTGTCCCTATCCTTCTAGACTCCTCTGCTTCCTTCTTCATTTTTTAAAAAGTGTCTCCAATAGTTACCTTCCTTTTTACATAATCATAGTTATGAAGTAGTTACGTAGCTTTTAGCTAATTAGAGTAGTAAGGGTTTTTTTGTTTTTTTCTTAAACTAAGTTGCAACGTCTTGTTGGATACTAGAAAATGACTATCAAATGGTTATTTTGTGTGCTTATGTATCAGAAAATAGGAGAACATATATCGATGTACAAAGCATGTATTTTATGCCACTAGTAAATTGTCCTTTATTTCAAGTGACCTCACATTGGCTATTGGAGACTTAAACATCTTTATTCATAGGTTCTGTTGATGATCTCTCTAAGTTAGGATACAAGGGGTGGTGAGTTTTGAATTGGTACTTTTATGTGATATGAAATATTCCTGTGGTTTTCGCTACAATTCTTCTGGTCAGGTTTTTCTATCCTGGCCACATAACTTTTTTTTTTTTTTCTTCCCAAATTCCAATGTGTTATTTTCAACAGAAAAGACTGATGTAAAGACATTTTAGATGCATATTGTAGAATAGAACAGTTAAGTATTTTATATGTTTATATTATGAAAGGTTAGTGGTTTTCACAGTTTTAATAGTTTTTCCTTCAGTAAGACATGTATTCATTCAGATATGTTACTTAGGATTATATAGATTTTAGCAGTTACAGTTTTGGTGGAATTTAATTGTGCCTATGCATATGTCTAATAAAGGTATTTTATAACATCTTACAGTATTAAAGACTGTGAGGAAATTTTTTTTTTTTTTTTTTTTTGAGACAGAGTCTCACTCTGTCGCCAGGCTGGACTGCAGTGGTGTGATCTTGGCTCACTGCAACCTCCGCCTCCCGGGTTCAAGTGATTCTCCTGCCTCAGCCTCCCAAGTAGCTGGACTGCAGGCACATGCCACCACGCCCAGCTAAGTTTTGTATTTTTAGTAGAGACGGTTTCACCATGTTGGCCAAGGGTGGTCTTGATCTCTTGACTTTGTGATCCACCCACTTCAGCCTCTCGAAGTGCTGGGATTACAGGCATGAGCCACTGTGCCTGGCTGGAAAATTTTTATTATAACAACTAGTGAAAATATTATGCATTTAACATAAATCATAAATAACTTGAACAAATGTTGAGATGTACACTGCATGGAATTCCAAAGTGAGATCTCTGCTTCCAAAGCTTTTTCTTACTTTAATTTTACCCATCTTGCTTTAGCTTTCTAGACTTCTTCATGAAAGGAAGGGATATACCAGTGACCACATCCAAACTCAGTCTTAGGACCTGTTTCTGAGATTCCATTTTTCAAATTATGATGTGCTTTAAAGAATGCTACTCACAAAGGGCTTTGACTTTCTCAAACCAGTCAAGTTCTTCAACTACAAAGGGGGATGCTAGTTGAGAAGATGTGGAGGTTTTTCAGATTTCTCTTTAACCATCTTTTATAGTTCCTTTTCCTACCCCCTCATCTGACTCTTCTTTCATTCTTCCACATTTGCTGGCACTCTCTTGAGTAGATTTTGGCCTCAAGACCATGTGACTTATTTTTGGATTCCAGTGGGTTATTTTCACTAAAGAAGGTTGGTTTTTTAAAAAGATTTTAGAAATATTAGAGTTAGATGAAGAGGATTGTTAGAAGATGTTTATCTTATCGAATATCAGTAATTTTACTTTTTTCTTTAAGGTAAAGACTAATAAATTAAAATCTTTTAAGGTAAAGACAAATTAATAACTGGGATCAGAAGAACTGATAAAAATTATAGTGGGAAGTGGTGGGGGGGTATGGGGACATTTTAATAAAAGTAAATATTTCTTGAGATTTTTACCCAGGCATTTACAAAAATTATAATTATTCCGTTCAGAGAATTGGCCTGTCATTTTTTCCTTGTGCTTTGACCTTATCAAAAATTAGGTCTTGTTTTTTTATCCCAGAACTCATGTTTTAAAATGGAATGCCAGGCACAGTGGCTCACTCCTATAGTCCCAACACTTTGGGAGGCCAAGGAGGGTGGGTCAGTTGAGGTCAGTAGTTCGAGACCAGCCTGGCCAACATGGTGAAACCCTGCCTCCACTAAAAATAGAAAAATTAGCCAGGCGTGGTGGCGAACACCTGTAATCCCAGCTACTTGAGAGGCTGAGGCAGGAGAATCACTTGAACCTGGAAGGCAGAGGTTGCAGTGAGTCAAAATCATGCCGCTGTACTCTAGACAGAGCGAGACTCTGTCTCAAATTAATTAATTAATTAAAATAAAATAGAATGCACTTGGTTCCGTTTGGTGAGGCCTGAAGAGAGTGTTTTCTCTTTATTATGGAACCGCAACTAGGGATAAAAAGAAATCCCTCTCTAGGCTCTGTGGAGAGTTGGAGAAGCCTGGCCTCTTGTAGGCCCCTGTTGTTACCACAGCTCTCTCATGGTGCCCTGCTCCAAATTGATCATCTGTAATCTTTTTCAGACCCCACATCTTGTTAACCTCAATGAAGACCCACTAATGTCTGAGTGCCTACTTTATTACATCAAAGATGGAATTACAAGGTATATTTATTTCCTGTTTTGGTCACTTCGTGTGTTTTCCCCCTCTTAGATAATTGAATAACTAAAGGGAAGGGGTTGAAAAAATTAACGTAATGATTTGCTGTATTTTTTGTCTGAAATAGTTACAAACTATGCTCTCTTTCCAAATAATGTGTTTTTGCCACTGGAGCCAGTTACTATGTAGTTTTTCTCTGAAGACCCTAAATAATTTTTTTTTCCTTTAACAAATATACATTCCTTAGGGATTTTATTTGACTCATGTCTTTATAATACTGTATGAGTTACATTGGTATATCAGTGCTCCTTGTTTCTTATTCTGATGTAGAGAGGTTGATCATATGTGAGGATAGAATTCATAGTTGAAAGCTTCTGATGCAACAAGGCAATACCTTTTTTGTACGTACCAAAGGATATTCTTTGGAATAAAGAGGTTCATTGTTTGTAGTGCTTTCTGTGTCTGAATTTCCCTGGGAAACACTTTCTCTTGTGTTCAGGGTTGGCCAAGCAGATGCTGAGCGGCGCCAGGACATAGTGCTGAGCGGGGCTCACATTAAAGAAGAGCATTGTATCTTCCGGAGTGAGAGAAGCAACAGCGGGGAAGGTGAGCATTCCTGGCTGGAGCTTCAGCAACAACATTTTCATTTTATATTATGAGAAATCCTTAAGACTTTGTATTCTCTGTCTATCAGTAGTACTTTCTTATACAATCTAATTCTGAAAAATGGAGAGACCTGGGCTGCTTATGAATGCAGAGATGGACAAGGCTGCTTTACATGAAAATAGCTTGGACAAAAGAAGCCCTTTTTTACTGCCAAGAACTGAGAAGGACATAGGCAATTAGGCTTGGTCTGGAATGTTAATTATTTAATAGAAAAGTAAGAAAATAGCAGATATCCTGGGTAATAGGAGATTTGAAGGACATTAAGTCAACCCAGCAGAATTTATTTTTATCTAAAAGGGAAGAAAAAGTCAGTCTTGATTTTTGCCTGGGTTATTAACAAAACAACAATTTAATGGTTTTTTTCTGTTATATAAGTCACTCATTCCCTTATCAAAATATTAGCTTCTCAGTCTTTAGTTTCTGGTTATTACCTATATCTCATCCTTACAATTTCTGATGGTTCTGAGTTTTATTGACTGAACCGTCAGAGATCCCTGAAACTAATATTTCCTATCATCTTCTTAGGTTTATCAAATAGAGTTAAATGTTCTTGTGTTAGCCATGGCCACAGATAGCCTCTTCTATTGGGGCTAGTTCTGGTACCCCAAAATGAACTACTGTATAGACAACTTCAGCCACTTGATTGATTGCAGGGATTTATTCTACTTACTGCAAATCCTGATAAGCAACTGCTTTCCATTATTTGATTCCAATAGTTTGTAATGATAACATTAGTTTGTGTTTGTTCCTCTTAGTTATCGTGACCTTAGAGCCCTGTGAGCGCTCAGAAACCTACGTAAATGGCAAGAGGGTGTCCCAGCCTGTTCAGCTGCGCTCAGGTGAGACTGGGAGAGGTTTGCCATCTTCAGCAATGTGCACATGGCTTCTGTGACAACTCTAATTTTTGGCTGTTTAAAGGCTGAAGTAATAGTCAGCATTAGGATTTTTGTTCTTGTAAAAACAACAGCTCTGAAAGCTGTCTTTTCACATTAGGGAGGGGTGAGGTTGTTAAATAGATACTATATATTAAAAAAATTATTTCTTAACCCTATTTTTCTGTTTTGTGCTAGGAAACCGTATCATCATGGGTAAAAACCATGTTTTCCGCTTTAACCACCCGGAACAAGCACGAGCTGAGCGAGAGAAGACTCCTTCTGCTGAGACCCCCTCTGAGCCTGTGGACTGGACATTTGCCCAGAGGGAGCTTCTGGAAAAACAAGGAATTGATATGAAACAAGAGATGGAGAAAAGGTAATGCACAGTTACGCAGCCCATATGACTGTTTCTTCTTTTAAACATGTAATACTAATAGCATTCTTGAATTTTTTTTTTTTTTTTTACTTCTAGGCTACAGGAAATGGAGATCTTATACAAAAAGGAGAAGGAAGAAGCAGATCTTCTTTTGGAGCAGCAGAGACTGGTAGGAGTCCTGAATCTGCTAAACTGTTGGGAAAAGGGCAGCTTGTTCCCATACTTTCCCTGTTCCACAGAGCAGTACTCACCCAAATTGCTTCTGTCTCAATGATACCAAGCACTATTCTTTAATTTCCTTAATGGAGAATGAACTTAAATCTCCCGGTAGCCTTAGCCTGAAAAAATAGTCCACAGAGGTACTCTTTTGGGCTTTTTATGTCTTAAAGCCAAATCTTAACTTCTGTTACAACCAAATACTTTTTAAGGAAATAGAGCTTTTCTGGTAGCCTTTGCCTCTTGATAGTGGTTTTGGAATTTGCTTCAGTGGTGGTTCTTTAAATGATAATTACTCTGAATATTGAATTTGGTGAGAGTTTGCCTTGGTTTTGTTTCTGATCACTTGATAGTACTAATTCTCTGCTCTTGGGCTGACTTTGGGATTGTTCTTACGCTGGGCAGACTTTTTTTTTTTAAGTTAAACTGTGTCTAAAAGTGTTGCTGCACAGTTGCATGTGTTACTCCTTTCCTTATCCCCTGCATGGAGTCTGAATTCTCAATCAGGTTCTCAGTGGCATGTGTGGTAGCGGTGGGAGCAAAGGCTGCATACCCAGCCCGGACAGGACAGAAGGCTTGCTTCCTTTGAGGGAAGGAGGATTTGAGTGAGCAGCTGGAAAGTCTGTTTAAGGTCCCAGCTATTGATACAATACTAATGGCTTCAGCGTTTTATAATGGTAATTGATTTCCCAGATTTGATAGAAACTGAATCTCATGAATAAATAAGTTGATCCATTAGTTAGATTTTCATTTTTAAAGCCAACCAAACAACCAATTTTGGTTAACAAAGCTGTGGTTATAAGAACCTTCTCAGCATTCATTTGATATGTAAGAATAAAGTATAACTAACCTTTGGATACTGTGGATGCAGTTTAGGAAGTTCTCATTTTTTAAGATTCAGTTGTATCTTTCTTTTAAGGTAAGGGGGCATTAGGGAGAAAGTTCAAGCACTGGCTTCTTTCCTTAGTATAAAATACAGCATGTAAACTACAGCCTTCTAGTCATGCTCTGTGCTTTGGAGAAGAAGGGGCTTAGTGCTAAGTGGGCCAGAAACGTGAAGGACTTGAGCACAAGCAACCTTTTCCAGAATACCTCAGTTCTCAGGCATGGGCATGGATTAAACCAGTTAGTTTGTTATCTTGTAAATTATAGTAAAGCCCTAAAAAGAATGGATTGTAAGAATAAATCAAGGGTTTGGGGCAAGATAATAGCAGTGTTACCAACAGAGGCTCTTTAGGAGGCCTTTTTAGCATTAAGTTTTTAATGAAAACGGAAAGAACTAGCTACAATGTGATTAGTGGCTTGAAAGGTTTGTGACACAAGAAGATGTCTTTTATCTTAATAATGTAGTACATTCTAATAACATGCCTCTGATGGTCTGTGAGAGATCAAATGAGGACAGGTGTAATTAAGCTCTATTATTAACAATAATGCCTTGTATTTGTATAGTGCTTTATAATTTACAGAGAGCGTTAACATCCATCAATTTATTTGACCCTCAAAACAACCCTCTTTGTTTACTTATGCATATGTATAAGTAAAATATGTAATATTACCTCCAGTTGAGGAAACCAAAACTTGGCTGGGCGCGGTGGGTCACGCCTGTAATCCCAGCACTTTGGGAAGCCTAGGCAGGTGGATCCTGGGACCTCACTTAGAATAACTAAGCACGGTGCTCGCTTCGGCAGCACATATACTAAAATTGGAACGATACAGAGAAGATTAGCATGGCCCCTGCGCAAGGATGACACGCAAATTCGTGAAGCGTTCCATATTTAAAAAAAAAAAAAAAGAAACAAAAACCACAAAAACAAAACAAAACAAGACAAACAAAAAAAAAGAATAACTAAGCACGGCAGAATAAGGATGCCTGGTGCTATCCATAACCAAGAGTTGGTGATCATTCTGTGCCCTAAAATAAAGATGGCCACTAAATAAAGAGAAAGTGAATGTCTAAGACGTATTTAGTTTCTAGGGAATGTACATACCCTGCAGATAATCAGATTCTGGTTGTTGTTTGCTCTGTGTATCTGAAAGCAAGCCAGGATTTCAAGAGCAGCTTCTTAAAGCAAGGAAGTTGCTTTCCTCTCAAAGGTCTGTCTGTTCCACTTTCATTTCTTGACTTAAGGGAGGAACTGATTTCTAACACTTCAGCCTGAAGAATATCTACCAGTAGTAATACTGAATGGAAAATGTCTTTATATATTACCCTGTATTGGTCAATTAACAGATGTATTTCTAATGCACCCTGTGAATAAACATTGAGAGAATACAAAGGAATTATTAATCAGTAAATATTTATTTAATATTTACCATATGTAATCACTTTTTGCATAATGTCAGCATTAAACAATGGAATTCAGGCTCATGAGTTTTCTATTCTGATAGTTCCCAAATGCATCACATTGTTAGGGTGCTGAGTATTTTCTTCAGTTAGTGCTCTAGGATACCCTGGTCCTTTCTGTGCTTGCTTTTTACACACAGTTTTGGGATCTTCTCTCTTCTTATTTGCATAAGTTCCTTGCAGAGTCTCTTTAGGAGGCCTACTTTGCATTTGGCATTTAATGAAAGCCGAAGGATCATTTTGTGACATGTGAATTGACCAGACCTCAGTAGCTTTTCCAACTCCTTAATAAATGAATCTAAATATTTTAAAAATCTGGCCAGGCGCGGTGGCTCACGCCTGTAATCCCAGCACTTTGGGAGGCCAGGGCTGGCAGATCACTTGAGGTCAGGAGTTCGAGACCAGCCTGGCCAACATAGTGAAACCCCATCTCTACTGAAAATACAAAAATTAGCAGGACGTCTTGGTGGGCACCTGTAATCCCAGCTGCTTGGGAGGCTGAGGCAGGAGAATTGCTTAAACCTAGCAGGCGGAGGTTGCAGTGAGCCAAGATCGCGCAACTGCACTCAAGCCTGGGTGATAAAGCTAGACTCAGTGTCAAATAATAATAATAATAATAATAATAATAATATAGATAAATATAAAAAATTCTTTTTTTGACATGGAGATAGGATTTATATCACATAAACTTTGCATACAGTTTTTAGTATCACCATCAATATGTGACAGGGTGATACATTTGAACTTTAAAGAGGACATACTCTACAGAGTCAAAATGGCAGTATTTTAAAAAGAAAGAAAATGACAGCTGCTAGATTTTACTTGAGTTGAGTTCTTTTGGATTTATATAGACTTATTTATATTTTATTTTAGAGTTTAAAGATAACTTTTGTCTCTTAAGCATGATATTAAAACAATTCTTAGAATACTTGTCATTTCCTGAATTAGGTAATATTCATTTCATCCTTAAGCAATTTGAAGAGGAAAAGAAAAACAGCCAGAAAAAAAGTGATAGTTGTTGGTTATGTGGGAAAGAATCAAAGATAATTTGTTTATGTTCTGTAAAATTCAGTTTATACATATTTGCAAAAAATCCTCTTCAGGAGTCAGACATAGTTTTTTCTCTAATATTTATGAATGTCATATTTATCACTTAAAATTAGCCATTATGATTTTAAAAACTAAAAATGAAAAGAAAAATTAATGTAGAGTCTGTGTAAATTTAGCAAACTTTTGTTGGTAAGTTATCAAATAGGTGGGAGTTATAAATGGGCTTAGTACTCATTTGTAGGTCAATAGAAATAATACAAATCAGTGGCAAGATTTTTAAATTCAGAGGCCAAATTATTATTATTATTGTGGAAAGTTACTTTTTTGTTCCTTAGAAAGTGACTATACAGGCAAATCTTTGGTTTTGTCAGGTGTGATGATGTGTGCCTGTAGTCCCGGCTAAGGCAGGAAGATCACTTGAGCGCAAGTGTTTGAGACCAGTTTGGGTCCCTGTCTCAAAAAACAAAGCAAACAAAGAAACAAACAAAAACAACAAACTTTGGTCTAGGAGGCAAGGTACTATTTATCAGTTTCAAGCAAACAAACTCTTCTAGAGATATTTTTGGTAACCACAGTGAATAAAAGATTGACTGTTAGTAACTATTTTCATTTACTAGACTGCCCTGAACTACTCATCTGTGAGTTGAGTATTTTTTTTTTAAGTGAAAGCATGTTTATTAAGAAAATAAAGGAATAGGCTGGGTGCGGTGGCTCACCCCTGTAATCCCAGCACTTTGGGAGGCCAAGGTGGGTGGATCACCTGAAGTCAGGAGTTCAAGACCAGCCGGGCCAACATGGTGAAACCCCATCTCTACCAAAAATGCAAAAATTAGGTAGGCGTGGTGGCAGGTGCCTGTAGTCCCAGCTACTCGGGAGGCTGAGGCAGGAGAATTACTTGAACCCAAGAGGTGGAGGTTGCAGTGAGCCGAGATCGGGCACTCCAGCCTGGGCGACAGAGCAAGATTCTGTCTCAAAAAAAAAAGAAACAAAGAAAGAAAGTAAAGCAATAAAGAATGGCTACTTCATAGGCAGAGCAGCTGAGTATTTTCTTTTCCCAGCAACTTTTATCTCCCGAATAGAAATTCTTTCTAATCCCACTTACTATTTGGAATTCTAAATCCAACATTGCTTTCCCAGAGATCCATGTTATCAAGATTTGCTTGTATTAGTTAAGAGCGATTGCTTATTATCTATACAGCCCTTGAAATTACATTGTTGTGAAGTCAGGCTGCTGTTTTAGGGCTAAGTAAGGTTTTCTGAAAAAGAGGCAATGGTGCAAAGACAGCTGGAAAGACAGAGTTAAACATACCTTTTAAAGTGGATCAATTTTATGTAACCAGAGTATGATCTTTCTGTTTTATGTGTTTATTGGAAGAGTTGTCACTTAAAGTGATATTCCTCAAATAGCTAAAAATGTCCTGGGTTTTCTAGATAGAAAATATCTCTAAGTTGTACTTATTAAAATGTGACTTGGGGAATTTTAAATTATATTCAGTGGAAGTATATTTGCCCAGCTTTATTTTTGTTCGGGTAATTTATTTCTCAAAATTTTGGAGGTGAGGTCTTTATTGATTTGTGTGTGTGAAAAACAAGACAAAACACACCCACTATGAGGATCCTTTAAAAAAAAAGCTTTCTTGTTATCCAGATAACACACTTTAATCGTACGACGGAAATGGATACATTTAACATGACAAAAAATAGCAAATCCTCTGCTCATGGAAAGATGATTTCCAAACCCTCTTGTCTTACAGAAGAAAACATTTGGTTGACTAAGAACTGACATGGTCTGCTCATAGGGATTCTTAGCATTTTTAACATCATCCCTGTTTGACTGCTTCTTTTTCTACATTCTCATCTTCTAACTTTTTTCTAGGGCTGCTCTTTTTAGTAAAGCTAAACAAAACCTGGCGTCCTACAGCCTTACTAACCTTTGTTAATCCGCCTGCTCGTCACATCTTTGTATGGCATCTGTGCTCACTCATGGGGGAAAGAGATTCTGGAAGAAGCAACAGCAATAACCAAGGCAAATGTGGGGAAGTGTCTGCATGGGTTGTTAGCATGATGTGTGGGGCCTAGGTTTTACTTCATTTTCTTCGAATAGTGAGGTCGTTAAGTCACGCCATTTGAATAATTTTGTATGACCATAGGGTGACATACTCATCCCTGTTGTCAATTCTCCTAAGAAATTTGGTGGCAAATTTCATCACTTAAGCCAGAAAGTGGAAATTTGGATTAGGGATGCCAAATAAGCAAATCTTTATATTGATAGAAATGTACATAGGCGTATGTCTTAATAGACTTCCACATTATTGAGGGGTTTTTTTTGGTTTTGTTTTGTTTTTTAGTTTTTTTGGTCTTATTTTTAAATTTGGTTAAGGCTTTTTTGCTTGCTTTTTCTTCGATTTAATTTTCCTTTTTTACATTTTAATTTTGGTTATTTTGGGGCCATTTTTTGATTTTGTTTTTCCAAAGGACGCGGATTCTGATAGCGGGGACGATTCTGACAAGAGGTCGTGTGAAGAGAGCTGGAAACTGATTACTTCTCTGAGAGAAAAGCTACCTCCCAGCAAGTTGCAAACCATTGTTAAAAAATGTGGCCTCCCAAGCAGTGGGAAGAAACGTGAACCAATTAAAATGTATCAGATACCCCAAAGAAGGCGCTTGAGTAAAGATTCCAAGTGGGTCACAATCTCAGATCTTAAAATTCAGGCTGTCAAAGAGATTTGCTATGAGGTTGCTCTCAATGACTTCAGGCACAGTCGGCAGGAGATTGAAGCCCTGGCCATTGTCAAGATGAAGGAGCTTTGTGCCATGTATGGCAAGAAAGACCCCAATGAGCGGGACTCCTGGAGGGCAGTGGCCAGGGACGTCTGGGATACCGTCGGTGTTGGGGATGAGAAGATCGAAGACGTCATGGCCACTGGGAAAGGCAGCACTGATGTAGATGACCTCAAGGTTCATATAGACAAGCTGGAAGATATTTTGCAAGAAGTCAAAAAGCAAAATAACATGAAAGACGAGGAGATAAAAGTCTTAAGAAATAAAATGCTCAAAATGGAAAAAGTCTTGCCACTGATCGGATCTCAGGAACAGAAAAGCCCAGGAAGCCACAAAGCAAAGGAGCCTGTTGGTGCTGGTGTTAGTAGCACCTCTGAGAATAATGTAAGTAAAGGAGACAATGGAGAACTTGCAAAAGAAGAACGTGTTTCCCAGCTGATGAATGGGGATCCAGCTTTTAGACGTGGACGTCTGCGCTGGATGAGGCAAGAGCAAATTCGGTTTAAGAACTTGCAACAGCAGGAGATAACAAAGCAGCTTCGTCGGCAGAATGTACCTCATAGGTTCATCCCTCCTGAGAACCGGAAGCCCCGCTTCCCCTTTAAGAGCAACCCTAAACACAGAAACTCTTGGAGTCCTGGGACACATATCATCATAACAGAAGATGAGGTTATAGAGCTTAGGATTCCAAAAGACGATGAAGCAAGGAAAGGGAATAAAGAAGAGAGCCAAGAAAAAGGGGGTAAAGGAGCTTTTAAGGATCCCCAGTTTCCATGGGGCTCTCAAGGAATGAGAAGTCAAGATCACATCCAAGTTAGCAAGCAGCACATTAATAATCAGCAACAGCCACCTCAACTACGTTGGAGAAGCAATTCTCTCAATAATGGCCAGCCGAAAAGTACGCGCTGCCAGGCATCTGCCTCCGCGGAGTCATTAAACTCCCACAGTGGTCACCCCACTGCTGATGTACAGACTTTCCAGGCAAAGCGCCATATTCATCAACACCGTCAGTCTTACTGTAATTATAACACTGGAGGTCAGTTAGAGGGCAATGCAGCCACTTCCTATCAGAAGCAGACTGACAAACCCAGCCACTGTAGCCAGTTTGTGACACCTCCGCGGATGAGGAGACAGTTCTCAGCACCCAATCTCAAAGCTGGTCGAGAAACCACAGTATAAATCAGTTACTGGACAAACTTGAAATCATGGTGGAAGAAACAGACAGTGTTAGCTCATGATTTGATTTGGTTCTACCTTTGGCCTTGAGTTCTTATTATTTACATTATAAATATTAACTGGTTTTATATTGTTAAGACAAAACACTGGTAAAAGTTTCAACACCTCCCTTTTGCTTGTATACCATAAATGGGCAGTTTCTGAAATTTTGGATAAAGCATCAAGAACTCCTTTTTCTGAAACGTTCCTCCTTTTTTAGTGCCTAATTAATATACTTACTTACACAGACTTGTCCCATCTTGATGTAAGTTTGTTATGTTTTTATAATGCCTATAAATTAATCTGACATCCAGAAAGACCTGCCTCTTAGTTTATGCAGACATTCAAAAGGAGAATTTGATAAGCAGAATTAAATGTCTGTTATTCATAAATGTTAGAAATTGGTTTAAAAATAATAACATGCAACTGGGTGGGCACAGCTTTGGATTTCTCATCCACGTCTGTTCCCTTCTTTAAATATGATTAGAATTTTCGTAAGCCAAAACTAAAGGTCTTCAAACATATCTTGCAATACATAGCTTTGCATCTTCCACACAACTTCCACGTCTTCTTTTATTCTGTATTTTACAAAAAACTCATATAATGGTTTTTTCTTTTGAATGTATCAGAATATGTATGAAATTTGTCATATCAGAATCTATAAATTGGCACTGTGTCTGGGATTCTGTTTGTGGTTTGCATTTTGAAGTTCAATGTATCATTTGACACACATGCACACAAAGTGAACTATTCACCAAAATCATGCCAACAGAAATACCAACAAAAAACTTGTGTAGCTTGTAAGGAGGTTATTTGGCTTGAGAGGGAAGAGGTGGGACAGACATGGGGGACAAAGCTACAGCATATGGCTCTGTGGTGCTGCTTTTTTCCAATAGTTGATGAAATAGTGAAATAAAAGTTAACTTTGGTTGGGCTTGGAATAAAGGAGATGATACATAATAAACTATTCTTTGGTTAGCATTAGTAATGCTTGTAGACACTCAAACAAGGAAGGCGAAGTCCTGATGATGATTTATTGTATCAATACCTCATTTTATTTGGTTGTGGTCTCAGTTTGCCTCACTGGAGAATCCACTAAGAAAGATGGATTTTAATGGGAAGAAAAGAATTATTTTCTACATCGTTCCTCATCTCTTGAGTTTGTCAAAAAGTTTTCTAAGAGGCAGTGTGAAGAGCCAGAGATGTCCGAAATTGCCTGACTTCATGTTTTGGAAGATTCCTAAGTCACATGAAATCATCTATCAAACACTTGTCTTCCAAACGGTGTGAAAAACTACAGCCAAGATAGCAGTTAGCATTCAAGGAAGCCTTAAAGATTGTGATTATGTTTTTTTTTCCTTTGCGTGTGGGCACTATGCTTTATTAGAACACATTATTTTTAATCATAGTATTTTTTCTTTGCCTCTAAGAAAATACTTTCTTAATGCTCAGAAAGTTGCTTCCAATTAATGTTTTTTTCCCCTTAAAAAGAGAAGCTTTGAGAGATATTTTTGCTTTCATAGCTAGAACAGTTGAAGTCTTCAACTGAGGTTTTATAGCAGATTAGACATGGGTAAATGATGTCTGTAATGGGTTGAGTTACTGAGATGACAATCTCCTGTGCCATTTGGTTTGAATGTACTTGATAGGCTGCTTCAAATCAGTCACTTCAATGCATTTTGTGTAAACCCAGTTGTCCTTTTTTATTCCTCTTTAGACATAAATGTGCTAACTATTCCTTTCTATACACAATTTATTTTCTAAGATTAAAAATAATAATTGCTAGGTTTGGTGGCACATGCGTACAGCCCCAGCTACTTAGGAGGCTGAAGCAGGAGGATCCCTAGAGCCCAGGAGTTCTGGGCTGTGGTACACTATGCCAGTTGGGTGTAAGTTTGGCATCAATATGGTGATGTCCCTGAAGCAGGAAACCACAAACTTGCATCAGGACGGGTGAACCCAGCCCAGGTTGGAAATGGAGCAGGCCAAAACTCCCAGGCTGATCAGTAATGGGATCTTGCCTATGAATAGCCAGTGCACTGCAGCCAGGACAACAGAGTGAGAACCTGTCTTTAAAAAAAAAAAAAAAAAAAAAAAAAAAGGTAATATTTATTATATTATTCAGGTTTCAACTCTGTAGCAAAAATGGGCTCTCATTTCCCTAACTTGAGATAACATAGGGTAGGTCCATATATTTTCATTCTTACAGTGGTCTTTTCATGGGAGTGAATGAGTTACTCTCCACTGGTGATTAGGTAATACTGTAGAATGAAGAGTTGTATAATATATTCATTTACAGCTGTGGATTGTGGTAAGGACTATGTCCACAGTGATATTCCAAAGAATTGGGTTTATATTTGTGCTTCATCTGTTAATCCCAGGTGTCCTCATGTTGCTGAAATATTTAGATAGCTAAAATATCCCTTAATTTCACAGATGACCAGGAAGAAATTAACCAAGGTTTTATTGACTGCCATGTATGTCCCATGATGCATTTCTGAGCAAATGCTTATCCTAGAGAATAACTCTGTATGAATAAAATTGCTTAATTGAGTCTCTTACTAAATAAGTAACTAGTGCCATGCTTTTGTGAGCTCTTGGTATGGCCCATATTACTTTGTTTTTTGTTTTTGTTATTGTTGTTTTGTGATAGTCTTGCTCTGTCGCCCAGGCTGCAGTGCAGTGGCACAATCTCAGCTCACTGCAACCTCTGCCTCCTGGGTTCAAGCAATTCTCCTGTCTCAGCCTCCTGGGTAGCTGGGACTACAGGTGCATGCCACCATGCCTGGCTAACTTTTGTATTTTTAGTAGAGACAGGGTTTCACCACGTTGGTCAGGCTGGTCTCGAATTCCTAACCTCAGGTGATCCACCTGCCTTGGCCTCCCAAAGTGCTGAGATTACAGGCGTGAGCCACCGCGCCTGGCCTGTTTGTTTTTTTAACATGATTTTTCTCTAAGCTTAAATACCACAAGGCCAAAGAGAAATGGTCATAATTTAAACCATTATTATATTGTTGAGGTATCCCTAGCTATTATTATAGCAAAGTGGGAAAAAAGTGTTTATTCTATTGAAGTTATGTAATGATCCGACATTAATGGGAATATAGAGGAGTCCTAATTAATTGGTATAATTTCACAAAGCGGAATGGTATTCCTTGGAGAGTTAAAGACATTCTCTTTAGTAAGTGTAAACCAAAGGGCATTTTCTTTATTCCTGCTTCTAATTCCTTCTAGCCCAGTGAATTATTTCTCTTTTCACTGGTAATGTGATGAATGGGAATTGTTTATTACATTGAAGTGACTTGAAGTGACCTTTTGTGCTTTAGGTGCAGGTTGACACTGAAAAAAAAACAAAACACTGAATTTTTCACACCTATGTCTGCATTAAAGGCTGTTTTACTACCGGAAGTTACATAGACTTCCTGCAGTCAGCTGCTGTGCCCCAGTGCCTTACTGGTCCTTTGTAGATTTGCCTTAATGATTTGTACAAATGACTGGGAGGCGGGGATGCTGCCTGTGTCCTGGTGAACCTTAATGAAGGGGCCGTCTTAGGCACAGTGCAAAACAAGCATTTGTCCTGTACTGTTAGAGCCAAAATTGTGATGAGCAATACTGATAATTGTCCAGTTTATGTCATCTTTCCCAGATTTTAAAATCTGTTCTAGATATTCTTAGCTTGAACCACTTTTGATTGTGAAATGTATTAGGTGTTGTCCCATTATTACTGTAAAATGAAGTTTTGAATCTTCTTGTTAATAAACTGTGGATTTCCCCTCTCAATTTCTTAAACAACAACAAAAAAATGCTTGAAGATTGTCTTTGAGTGTAAGATCTGCCTTTTCAGAAAGGGAGTGTTAGTTTGTAATGTTAAAAAATAAAGACCTCATTCAATAAAAGTTGAAGTCATCTTTTAAGAGTGTGATTTCTCTCTATGTGGGAAGAGGGAAAAGGAAAGCAAGGTAATGCTAACTAAACCTGGTTTTGACTTTTATTTATTGCTTTTTCATCTGAAGATGGTTGTAAACTAAATCTTCTTTTTGATATTTCTATGTGAACTTGATTAGTTTTAAAGCTTTTGCTTTAGCTACCCTTTTCTGTTTAACAAAATTCTATCTTAAGTGAGATCTTTCAGCCCTATTTTATGCCACATTTCACTTACATAAAATCTTTTCTCACAAAAGATGAATAAGGATATTACTTTCTGATTTGAGTTTAGTTTAACCATGTTTTCAGTTTTTTCTCTACATACTCTTGGTTTGAAGTTCTTTTAAATGAAATGATTTATTTTCCTTTATATGGGCAGAAACTAAATTTCTAAAAAGTTTTGAGTGACTCTGCAGGTTTTCTTT
Organism: Homo sapiens; assembly: GCF_000001405.40. Taxonomy (NCBI): domain Eukaryota; kingdom Metazoa; phylum Chordata; class Mammalia; order Primates; family Hominidae; genus Homo; species Homo sapiens. The sequence continues at coordinate 10,309,033 of NC_000001.11, forward strand.
CTCCTTTAACCTCTGCTTTTCTTCACCCAGAGTATTGATGGTACACTAGAGAGGAAACAGGACAAAGCAGAATATTTTTCTGGAATGGACCACTAGTCTCATTGAAAATTTGGACCTGACATTATTTTTTAATGTTTAAAAACAACATAATCACGCATCATGGGATAGAATACAAAATCCACATGAGTTTTTAATATGAAATCTGAAACTTTAGAGAAGTGTTATGCCTGAATCGGTCTGCTTCCAGCCTCATACCCTTTTCCTTCAGGTACTTTGTAATCCTTTGCTGTCGGAGAAACTGTTGGAAAAGTTGCAATGTCCCTACCGTTTATAGGGTGACACAGAAGATTACAGTGTGATATGTGTAGTGACACTGTGCTGATGAGACTGTGGCCACACAGTGCTGCTGGTGGTGAGAAGCGAAGTTAAGTGTTGTCAACAACTGGGGTGTCATCTTGGGTGTGGATATTTTCCTTCCAGCTATTGCTTGCTAATTATAATCTGCCATTAGGAGCCAAGCCTTTAATGTCTAAAACAGCCTAACCGGAAAACTCAGAATGGTGATATTGATTTTACTGTGAATATCACCTTCTCAGAGGTGCCTTAATTGTACCACCATCATCTCTCATCGAGAGTACCCTAGCTTGTCTCTTTGCTTCTATTCTTGACCCCTATAATCCAATGTCCACATAGCAACCAAGATCATCTTTTAAAAACATAAATCATATCTTGTCAGTGTCCTCAGGGGCTTTCCATTGCATGAAAGAATCTTAGTCTTACTGTAGTCTCCAAGGCTTTACATGTTTTGGCTGCTTACCTACCACTCTTAACACTGTCACTCTCACACCACAGACACTCTGCCCTTTTTTTTGTTCCTTGTATATGCCAAGTTTCTTCCCACCTCTGGGCTCTTGCACTTCTCAAGCCTGGAGCCCATTTCCATCATGCTTACCTCCCCTTCCAGACTTGAGCTCCTCAGCTCTTTCTGCCCAGCCCACCACAAGTTGACTCACTGTTTTAATAATGATGGCCTGTAATTATCTTTTCTTTGTATTTGTTTGGTTCTTCCACGAGAATGTAAACTCACCTAGAATAAATGCCGTATCTGTCTTATTCACTTCGCCAGTCATATAAATCCATAACCTGGAAGAGTGGTTCTCAAACTTTAATGTCAGTTAGAATTTTGGGGTCTTATGAGAACACAGACTATTGGGCCCACCTTCAGAGTTTCTGATTCACTAGGTCTGGGGCGAGACCTGATAAATTTGCATACCTCATAAATTCCCAGGTGATTCTGATGCTGCTGGTCCAGTAAACACCTTTGATAACCAGTGATCTGGAATGGGGGCTTGGTAAGCATTTTCTGTAAAACACTAGATAGTAAATATTTTAGACTTAGTGGACCATGTGGTCTTTTTTGTGAAACTGTTCAACTCTATTGTTGTAGTACGAAAGCAGCCATAGACAATATGGAAATGAACAAGGGTGGCCGTGTTCCAGTCAAACTGTGTTTACAGAAACAGGCAGTGGGCTGGATCTAGCCCGAAGGCCATAGTTTGCCGACCCCGATCTAGAAGATAGCTACTTCTGATAAATATTTATCTAAAAGATCAGTATGTGACTGTGTATGTAATCTAGAAGACAGATACATGCCAGTTGCTGGGATGAGTGGTAAGTGACAAATGTGTGGTCCCTGGCCTCATAAAGTTCTCAGAGTTATGGAGGGAGACAGCTGTAATAACCACACCAGTAGTGAGTCAGTACATTTGTGACAAGTGCCATGATGGAAAAACACAAGGTGCTCTGAAAGGGTTTAACGGGTGCCTTTGGGAATGAAAAGTGGCCTCTCATTGCTCTTAGCTGACAATGTTTTTGTTTCACTGAGGAAAAAAAGCAATCAGAAGAAACTTTGTTTTCTTCCTTTGTCTAGTTTTGCCTGCATCATCCATCCATACCTGTACTGGGCTTTCCCTCCTGTTAGTGGATAAACTGTCCTTGATCCTCTCCTAGCCCAGCCCTTGCTCCCTGCATTCCATGCCCTCTCAAGAACTTGTTGAACATTTACCCCCTTCTCTTTTACATCATCAGTTTCTCTCCTGGATTATTCCTGCCAGCATGCAAACATGTCACCAGTTGCAAAAGTTTTCTGTACTTATTACGTCCTACTTGCCTACCTCCCATTCTTTTTTTTTTTTTTTTTGAGATAGAGTCTCACTCTGTCACCCAGGCTGGAGTGCAGTGGCACGATCTGAGCTTACTGCAACCTCTACCTTCCGGGTTCAAGTAATTCTCCTGCCTCCTGAGTAGCTGGGACTACAGGTGAACGCCACCACACCGAGCTAATTTTTGTATTTTTAGTAGAGACGGACGGGGTCTCACCATGTTGGCTAGGCTGGTCTTGAACTCCTGACCTCAGGTGATCCACCTGTCTCAGCCTCCCAAAGTGCTGGGATTACGGGTGTGAGCCACCGCTCCAGGCCCCATTTTTTCTTTTCATTATTTCCTATCCTCATTCTTGCTGGAACTCATCTAGTCAGACTCTTGTTCTCCCCTCACCACCAAAGCTGCTCTTATCAGAGTCACAAAAGCTCTTCTTGATGATAGATTCAGTGCATTTTCTCAGTCCTCATCTTACTGAATGTCTCTGGCATTTGACACAGTTGTCTGCTCTTCATGGGACACTTTCTTCTCTTGGCTTCTTTTCCTTGAACCTTTCCAGCTGCTCCATCATGGTCTGTGGACACAGACCTTGGCTATTTCTATATGTTTCTCTGTTCCCCCTTCCATTTTTGTACTGATGATGAAGATAATGATAACTCATATATTGAGCATGTATTACATGTATTAATACACATAAACCTTTTACATGTTTTGACTCATTGAGTCCTCACAACACCCCTCTTCTGTGAGGTAGGTATTGCTTATTCCCTTTTCACATACTTTCCCAGTGTAACACGGCTACTCAGCGGGAGAGCCAGAGCCAGTCCCAGGGAGTCATTCTGTCTGCAAACCTCTGCCCTGCCTCGCCTTCTGCTGACTCTCAGGTGTCCTCTCTCTCCAGCCTGGGCCCCTACCCTGAGCTCTAGATGCTGATGATACACAACTACTGCCTGACATCCAAATCACTGGCAGGCACCTTACATTTAAATCATTTGAACTGGAGCAGCTAGCTCAGGCCACAAATCCAAGTCACCTTTAGTTTCTCTTTTTCTTCACATCCCATGATCAGATCATCAGTAGATCCTGTTTGCTCTCCCTGTAAAACATATCCTGACTCCATCTCTTTTCACCACCTTTGCTGCTAATAACCTGGTCCAAGCCACCACAGTGCTGGACAGTGCTGTGACAGCCTCATGACCATTCTTCTTATTTCCATAGTTCCTCCTGAGTCCCACAGAGAATAATGTTTTTAAAACATATCCCAGCTCTAAACCATCCAGCAGTTTCCATTAGAATAATATCCCCAGACCTTACCATGGTCTATAAGGCCATCTGTACTCCATTTGCTACCTGATTACATCTGATGCATCTCCTACCCGTCTCCCTACTCTGCCATTCCATCCACACAAGTTTTCTTGCTTTTCCTGAAATATGTGGTGCCCCTTTCCATTTCAGGACCTTGGCACTTGCTGTTACTATGAATTTGAGTAGAATAACCCCTGCCAAAGACCTCTGCCTGCTTAACCTACTCAGTCTAGAAGTCTGTCTCCCATTCTTCTCCCTGGTAGTCTCTAACCCTATCTTTATCTTTCTTCATACTAGTACTCGCCACTAAAATCCATCTATATTTTGTTTACTCTTTATCATCTCTGTCTCCTTTGTCAATGGAACCCTTGTCTTATTGACCACTAGCATTTGGCACATAGTAGGAGCACAAAAGGTATTTGCTGAGTGGATGGATGGATAATGGTTTAAAAATCATGCTCTGGATTGCCTGGGCTCAAGTCTCATTTTTAGCATTTGCTTAACCTCTTTCTTTCTCTTTAACATGAGGCTAACTATATAGTACCATCTTTATTTTTTTGTTTTGTTTTGTTTTTTGTTTTTTTATTGAGACAGAGTCTTGCTCTGTCACCTAGGCTGGAGTGTGTGACACGATCTTGGCTCACTGCAACCTCTGCTGCCCTGGTTCAAGCGATTCTTGTGGCTCAGCCTCCCAAGTAGCTGAGACTACAGGCACACGCCACCACGCCCTACTTATTTTTTTGTATTTTTAGTAGAGATGAGTTTTGCCATGGTGACCAGACTGGTTTCAAACTCCCGACCTCAGGTGATCCGTCCACCTTGGCCTCCCAAAGTTCTGGGATTACAGGCATGAGCCACCACGCCTAGCCTAGTACCATCTTTATAAGGTTATTGAGAAGATTGTAATAATTCATGTTTAACATTAAGAACACTTCCTGATACAAAATAAGCTTAAAAACCGGGGTAGATAGGTAGGAGAGAACATTCTAGTAGAGAGAACAGCCAGTGCTGTGCCTTTATAAATATGGGGCATATTTTGAACTAGTTAGGATTTTTTTTTTTTTTTTTTTTGAGATGGAGTCTCGCTCTGTCGCCCAGGCTGGAGTGCAGTGGCGCAATCTCGGCTCACTGCAAGCTCCGCCTCCTGGGTTCACACCATTCTCCTGCCTCAGGCTCCCGAGTAGCTGGGACTACAGGTGCCCACCACCACACCCGGCTAATTTTTTGTAGTTTTAGTAGAGACGGGGTTTCACCGTGTTAGCCAGGATGGTCTTGATCTCCTGACCTCGTGATCTGCCCACCTTGGCCTCCCAAAGTGTTGAGATTACAGGCGTGAGCCACCGTGCTTGGCCATTAGGATTTCTTATAAACATAAATGTCTACTGAAAAAATTATTATTATTATTATTATTACTGAGACAGAGTTTCACTCTTGTTGCCCAGGCCGGAGTGCAGTGGCGAGATCTTGGCTCACTGCAACCTCTGCCTCCTGGGTTCAAGCAGTTCTCCTGCTCAGCCTTCCGAGTAGCTGGGATTACGGCATGTGCCACCATGCCTAGCTAATTTTTGTATCATTAGTAGAGATGGGGTTTCACCAGTCAGCCAGGCTGGTCTCGAACTCCTAACTCACCCGCCTCGGCCTCCCAAAGTGCTGGGATTGCAGGCATGAGCCACCGCGTCCAGCCAAAATATATTATTTTTTAATGTGCCTTCCGTAATTAGTTTTTGTCACAAAATGAACAGAACGATAGTATGTGAATCTCATTAATTAGCCATTTGTTGTGGGAAATGGTGATGATATACAGTGTCCTTTTTAAAAGCTCGTAAGTAGCCTGGTTTGGGGAGGGGGCCAATTCAATAGATGATGTTGATATTTTGACTATCAATTGTGGTCAAAATGCAGTTAAAGTTTTTTGTTTGTTTGTTTTTGTTGTTGTTTTTGAGATGGGGTCTCGCTGTGTCCTCCAGGCTGGAGTGGAGTGGCACAGTCTTGGCTCACTGCAACCTCCACTTCCTGGGCTCAAGTGATCCTCCCACCTTAGCGTCCCGAGTAACTGGGACTACATATGCCCTCCACTAAGTCCGGCTAATTTTTGTGTTTTTAGCAGAAACAGGGTCTCACTATGTTGCCCGGACTGGTCTCAAACTCCTGAGCTCAAGTGATCCACCCGCCTCTGCCTCCCAGAGTGCTGGGATTACAGGCATGTGCCACCACACCTGGCCCAGTTAAACTTTTTAGATTCATAGGGCTATGGGAAATCTTTTCATGTTAGTTTTGGTTACTAAAGCACAGCCACAGCTGTTAGGGAAGGTCATCCTCATACCTTAACTGTCAGAGTCTGAGAATTTTGTATTCATTGGTAGTTTGACCAGCCTGTCAACTTATTCTTGAAGAAATCCTCAAGATAAAGTATTAACATTTTTTTTCTACCTGATGATTTTTAGGTAAAGCAGCAGCTTTCTCTTTTTGCTATAATAATTCCATGTAATGTATAGTTTTTCCCCGACTCCCCAGCTTTTTGAGACATTTGAAACAGAGAAGCTGAAAAAAAAACTATAATGAACTTTTGTATACCCATACTTATATATTTTTCCTGAATTATGTGAAAATTATAGATATCATGGCAGTTTACCCCAAATACTTCCATGCTTATCTCTTAAAATCAAGAATATTCTTTTTTTTTTTTTTTTTTTTTTTTTTAAGACGGAGTCTCACTCTGTTGCCCAGGCTAGAGCAATGGTGCAATCTCAGCTCACTGCAAACTACACCTCCCGGGTTGAAGTGATTCTCCCGCCTCAGCCTCCCAAGTAGCTGGGACTACAGGCACCTGCTATCATGCCCAGCTAATTTTGTGTTTTTGTAGAGATGGGGTTTCACCATGTTGGCCAGGCTGGTCTTGAACTCCTGACCTCAGGTGATCTGCCTGCCTCGGCCTCCCAAAGTGCTGGGATTACAGGCATGAGCCACTGCATCCAGCCAGGAATATTCTCCTAATACCACTATCCCATCTAGGAAATTTAATACTGATTCAATATTGATTCAATATTATATCATGTACAGTCCATTTTCAAATTTCGTTAATTAAATCAAAAATTAGGAAAGAGAGTGTTTTAATCCAAGATCCAGTCAAGGTTTATATATTTCATTTGGTTATGATTTTTTAAATCTTTCATTATACTGGTATTTTTGAATTGTCTAGGCCACATTCTGATTTGTCTGATTATTTCCTCAGTATTAGATTCAAGTTAAATCTTTTTGTTAAGAATGCTATAAAGGGGCCGGGTGCAGTGGCTCACGCCTCTAATCCCAGCGCTTTGGGAGGCCGAGACGGGTGGATCACCTGAGGTCAGGAGTTCAAGACCAGCCTGGCCAACATGGTAAAACCCCCTCTCTATTAAAAATACAAAATTTAACTGGGCATGGTGGTACACACCTGTAGTCCCAGCTACTTGGGAGGCTGAGGCAGGAGAATTGCTTGAACCTGGGAGGCAGAGGTTATAGTGAGCTGAGATTGTGCCACTGCACTCCAGCCTGGGTGACAGAGCAAAACTCCATCTCAAAAAAAAAAAAAAAAAAAAGCTATGAAGGGGCCAGGCACGTTGGCTCACTCTTGTAGTCCCAGCTACTTGGGAGGCTGAGGCAGGAGGATCACTTGAGCCTGAGAGGTCAAGGTTATAGTGAGCTATGATTGTACCATTGCACCCCAGCCTGGGTGACAGAGGGAGACCCTTTCTCCAAAAAAAAGGAAAAAGATTGCTATAATGGTGATGTTGTGTACTTCCTGTTGCATCACATCAGTAGACATAAAATGTCAGTTTGTCCTATTATCAATAATGTTAAAGTTTGGTAAATTTGGTTAATGTGATGTTTCCCAGCTCTCTGCATTGTAAATATATCATTTCCCTTCTTAAATAGATATCTGGGCATGGACTTTGGATCGTATGCATATCCTGTTTCCCATGCATCTTTTACTCAATTATTTTAGCTTTTTGTTGTTTGTTGCTATTGTTGTTGTTTTTAAGATGGGGTCTCTTGCTCTGTAGCCCAGGCTGGAGTACAGTGGCACGATCTCGGCTCACTGCACCCTCCGCCTCCCGGGCTCAAGTGATCCTCCTACCTCAGCCCCTCTAGTAGCTGGGACTACAGGTGTGTGCCATCACACCTGGATAATTTTTGTATTCTTTTGTAGACATGGGGTTTGGCCATGTTGCCCAGGCCAGTCTGGAATTCCTGGGCTCAAGCAGTTTGCCTGCCTCAGCCTCCCAAAGTGCTGGGATTATAGGCATTGAGTCACTGTGCTTGGCCTATTTTAGTATTTATTATCCTTTCTTGATTCAGTTATTACATCTGGGGTTGCAATATGGTGATTTTCCAATTGCCATTTCTTCTGCATTTATTAGCCACCTTTTTTTTGTTTTTTTGTTTTTCAGATGGGATCTTGCTGTGTTGCCCAGGCTGGAGTGGCTATTCACAGGCCTGATCATAGCGCACTACAGCCTTCAACTCCTGGGCTCCAGGGATCCCAGGGGCTGGGCATGGTGGCTCACACCTGTAATCCCAGCACTTTGGGAGATAATTTAACTTTCTCAGAATTAGAAGGCTAGTAAGAAAAAGTGCCAGGACCCCAAACCCAAGCCTCTTTAGCCTCGAGTAGCTGAAATGAACAGGTGCATGCCCCATGCCTGGTAATTAGCTAGCTTTTAAAAAATTTTTATTTAAAGAAGAGTTTCCCCTTTTTCTCTCCTTCTTTCAGTATCACCATGGAATCATGAATTCTTTCTATATTCAATGTACTGTGCTATTTTTCTGTTGATTTATTGGCCAGTGGGATCCTGTGTCCTTTTGAAATGGCCCCAGTGGTGTTTGAGTTCTTCCATCCTTTCTGACACAAAATATTTCAGACTCACCTTGTACTTTCCTTGCTTCAGACCTGGAAGCAGCTATTTTTTTCAAGGAACCCTGGTTCCTTTCAGTGGCAGTGGTACTTAGAAACCAAGATCTAGGTGCTAAGTATGCTTAAACAATAACCTTTTATAAAAAAACATTGCCTGAGGCCAGGCGCACTGGCTCACATCTATAATCCCAGCACTTTGGGAGGCCGAGGTGGGCGGATCACGAGGTAAGGAGTTCGAGACCAGCCTGGCCAACATAGTGAAACCCTGTCTCTACTAAAAATACAAAAAATTAGCCAGGCACGGTGGCGTGCACCTGTAGTCCCAGCTACTTGGGAGGCTAAGGCAGGAGAATCGCTTGAACCTGGGAGGCAGAGGTTGTGGTGAGCCGAGATCGCATCACTGCACTCCAACCTGGGTGACAGAGCGAGACTCCACCTCAAAAAAAAAAAAATTGCCTGACATTTTGATATTGTATTACCATGTAAGAGGGCTTTCACGTGTTTTTAAAATGGTTCATCTCTTGGTCCTTCCTCTAGTACTGTGTGGGTAGGCAGGTCAAATGCTAAAATCTTTATTTAAAGATGAAGAAGGTGAAGTTTAGAGATAATTTAACTTTCTCAGAATTAGAAGGCTAGTAAGAACAAGTGCCAGGACCCCAAACCCAAGCCTCTTACCAGTTTAATTTTTTTTTCTTTTTTTTCATAACATGTAGTCTCCTAAAAAAGTGTGTTTAGATATCTAGTAAAGCTATGTAGTTGGTTCGTGGTCTTGGTCACTGCCTGCCCATCTAAAGAGAACACTTCCTTTGTGAGAATAACTGACAAACGACCAGAACCATAGAGGATATTTGCATCCTTCTGAGCATTGCTTGGGAGCTCCTTTTGTAATGGAGTTTGCTAAATGGCTTTCAGCAGTGCTTTATGATGCATGGAATGTTTGATGTGGGACTTGGAGAGCTCTGTTTGGAAACAGTGGATAGTCATACTTATACCCTTTGTCTCATGACAGCCTGTAATTGGGTCACTGCTAGGGAACCAAAAGAAGCAGGGCTGGGTGCGGTGGCTCACGCCTGTAATCCCAGCACTTTGGGAGGCCAAGGTGGGCAGATCGTGAGGTCAGGAGTTCGAGATCAGCCTGGCCAACATGGTGAAAACCCATCTCTACTAAAATATAAAAATTAGTCGGGCATGGTGGCGGGCACCTGTAGTCCCAGCTACTGAGGAAGCTGAGGCAGGAGAATCGCTTGAACCCGGGAGGTGGATGTTGCAGTGAGCCAAGATTGCGCCATTGCACTCCAGCCTGGACAATAATAGAGTGAGACTCCATCTCAAAAAAGAAGGAGGAAACCCTGGCAGTAAATCTTAAAATGCTATGCTTATGCTGTAATTTAGTATTGCGCTGTTTGAAGGTCTCTTTCTTAACCCTACTTATTTTATTTTCACTAAAATTCAAGTTTTTCAAATTAACAACCTAAGGAAACTTTTTAGACATTTGTCCCCTATTCTCTGCCCACCATGAGAGTTTAATACCTCAGATATACTACATATCTGTATACTGATTATATTTGTACTTCATATATTAAAAGACTAAGATTTTTTTCATCCTCTGAGAACCATTTTTTGGCCCCTTTGGGGTGATATTACCCTTATTGAAAAACGCATGGAGTAGATGGAAAAATGAAGGATACATCTGATTTGTATTACAATAATCCTTTTTTTTTTTTTTTTTGAGACAGAGTCTCGCTCTGTCTCCAGGCTGGAGTGCAGTGGCGCGATCTCTGTTCACTTCAACCTCTGCCTCCCGGGTTCAAGTGATTCTCCTGCCTCATCCTCCCAAGTAGCTGGGATTATAGGCACGTGCCACCATGGCCAGCTAATTTTTGTATTTTTAGTAGAGACAGGGTTTCTCCATGTTGGTCAGGCTGGTCTCGAACTCCCGACCTCAGGTGATCACCCACCTCGGCCTCCCAAAGTGCTGGGATTACAGGTGTGAGCCACTGCACCCGGTCAGTAATCCATCTTATAGTTGCATATTGAAAATAAAGTGTCTTACTTGAATAACTAAATGCAGTCTATAAATTATTTCAGTCCTAATAGCACTATGAGCTTTTGGTTACCTGAAGGCTAAACTCATCCTACTGATCAAAGATAGTAATTTTTCACAAAGAGGAAGCATCAAAGTCTACAATCTTAATTTTTTTTCCTTCCAAAGAGTTAGATAATTGAGATTTTTGATGATACTGGTGAATTTAATCTTTTTCAATATTGTTTTTCTCTGGAATTTATTGATATATAAGATATTACTTGAATATATTCTAACGCTTAAGGTATACACGTGTTATTTCACCTAAAAATTCCCCCTTTCTCCTACCACTACCCCAGATGAAGAACTCTTGAGTCTTTGAGGGAGTAGAAACATACTGCAGTGAGTTTTTTCTTTTTAACATTTACCCATTACAGACCATCTTGTGTGCTTTGTGGGTTTTTTTCCTAAACATTTCCCTGTATGTCTTTTTATTATTGTTTCCTGCCTTTGTCTCTTTTCCTTGTCCTTTGCTTTCTCTACTTCCCCCAATATTCCTTCCATTTCTCTTTCCCTGCCCTCTTATTTCTTCCCTCTCCTACATGTTATCTCCTTTCTTTTCATTCAGGACTATGAGAGTAAATTGCAGGCCTTGCAGAAGCAGGTTGAAACCCGATCTCTGGCTGCAGAAACAACTGAAGAGGAGGAAGAAGAGGAAGAAGGTGAAATCTAGAGACCGAAAGTTTCCTGTGTATATCTTTTTGAAGTTATATTATCAAATTAGTCATTTATGCATAATCAAAGCTGGATTCCTCTTAGTTGGCCCTATCATTTATTGACATTTTACTGAGCCAGTTTACAGATGATTGAATAGATGTGCAGTGTTGAGAATCCAGGCTGTATTTTATGAGGTGGGGATGGGAGTGATGGTGTTCTTAGACCTTCGCACGGTTTCTGAGCACGTTCATTTAAATCCCTTAGGAAGTTGACCTGCACTGTCTCTCATATTGCTGTAGATGTGACTTTTAGATATCCATTACAAATATAGAGCTGAATCTTTGTTAAGACAGTCTGTTCAATTTGAAGCCATTTCTGGCAAATTTCTAATCATATTGCTTAGTCATGTTTGCCTATCTTAGGTTTTCCAGCATTTCTTAGTTGAGTTAGGGCTTTCATTATTACTTATTGCCTTATAATGCAGTATGAACACTTACCACAATTCGTTTTTCTACCCAACCTCTTGGCAATCTCAAGGCTTCAAACTAACTTTGAAGGAACTCTTAATTTATGTATTACATTTCTTATTTATTTATTTACTTATTTATTTTTGAGACAGAGTTTTGCTCTTGTCGCCCACGCTGGAGTGCAATGGTGCAGTCTTAGCTCACTGCAACCTCCGCCTCCTGCCTCCTAAGTAGTTGGGATTACAGGGATGCGCCACCATGCCCAGCTAATTTTGTGTTTTTAGTGGAGATGGGGTTTCACCATGTTGGTCAGACTGGTCTCAAACTCCTGACCTCAGGTGATCTGCCTGCCATGGCCTCTCAAAGTAATGGGATTACAGGCATGAGCCACTGCGCCCAGCCAATTTCTTATTTTTAAATAAGTGAGATGGTACCTTTTTTCTCTCTGTAACAGAAAAAAAAAAAGAAATATATGAAGTCATACAATGTAACAGAGGTCAGGAGTTTGTCTTTTTTTTTTTTTGAGACAGAGTCTCACTTTGTCACCCAGGCTTTAGTGCAGTGGTGCAGTCTTGGCTCACTGCAACCTCTGCTTCCTGGGTTCAAGCAATTCTCATGCCTCAGCCTCCTGAGTAGCTGGGACTACAGGTGTGTGCCACCACGCCTGGCTAATTTTTGTAATTTTAGTAGAGATGTGGTTTCTCCATGTTGGCCAGGCTGGCCTCAAACCCCTGACCTCAGGTGATCCGCCTACCTCTGCCTTCCAAAGTGCTGGGATTATAGACGTGAGCCACTGTGCCTAGCCAGGAGTATTTTTTTTTATTGTGGCCACATGTTATACCTTTTTTTAAAAAAAAGAAAAATTTATTTCTTTGTTGTACTATTTTAAATAAATACAAAAGTAGGATTTTTAAAGATTTTCTGAAATGTATATATTGCTTTCATAATATCAACAGAATTTGGTAAGCTTTACTAAAAAGAAACAAAAGCAGCTGAATGGAGAGAAACTGGAAAACACCTCACCTTGGTAAAAGAGATAAGCTAGAAGAGAGGTGTAATTTTTATATAGTTGTAAGATTGCCATTAAATATGCATCATTCATTCTTTCAGTTCCTTGGACACAGCATGAATTTGAGTTGGCCCAATGGGCCTTCCGGAAATGGAAGTCTCATCAGTTTACTTCATTACGGGACTTACTCTGGGGCAATGCCGTGTACCTAAAGGAGGCCAATGCCATCAGTGTGGAACTGAAAAAGAAGGTATGGAGCAGGAGGACACAGGAGAGCTGGAGGCAAAGCCGAGCCTGCTGTGGGTGCATCTGGGTTCTCACCTTGAATTAACCTTTCCTTTGGGGGAACTCAGCTGCTTTGTGCTATAAAACAGCTTTATATATGTCTTTATTTAATATATGTGGCTGGAACATAGTAGGTGCTAATTAAATTTTTGTTAAATAAAATTTTTAAAACATGTTTTCTAGCTTATTTTACAAATAGACTATATTCCTACAAAAACTGGAGAAACATAGTAATAGAAAAATACTTCTCTTGGGTTTCTGAATAATTTTAATTTTCTTCCACTTTTCTGTTATTAAGTTTGCACCTCTAAGTTTGGTATGCCCCTTTGCCATTGATCTGCTTCTCCTCTAGGGTCTGAGAGGCACTGCTGTGTAGTGGACAAGCACATGCACCCTGGACCCAGACAGTCCAGGTTCCAGTCCCAGCTCCACGAGTGGTGTTGATCCCCCTAGCCCTGTGCCTCCATTCCCCCATCTACATAATGGGGTTGGCAGCAGTACCTGGCACCAAGGGATTTTGTGAGGAATGAAAATGGGCATATGCATAAAGCACTTATAGTGTCTGGCATGGTAAAAGGCAATAAATGTTATTCATTTTTGTAAGTATTACCAAAACTTCACACCAAACCTTAGATTCAGTCTTCTGTATGCCCCCGTGTTTATCAGTTTCTTCACTGCTAAGATTACAGTGGAAGACCATATTGTGTAGTAGGTAAGAGCATGGACCACCTAACTTTGGGGAAATTAATTATCTTCTCCTAGAACTAAATTCTAGTTTTAGGGAATACGATATGTTCTTCATTCATAATCTTGGCAGCCTTTCTCATTTTATAATTATTTATTAGCCACTCCTCTCCTCAAGTAGACTAAATAAAGGCAGTAACTGTCTTTTTTTCTTACTACTGTGCATAGCATTTAATTAATATTAAATAATTGTTTAATAATTGTTGGTGAAACTATAACGTGGTAGGGAGAAATAAATGATGCAATGTCGTGAAGTACTTACCATATTTATTAAACACTTTTATAAAACCATATTTATTAAACACTTTTTTTTATGAGATAGGATCTGGCTCTGTCGCCCAGGCTGGAGTACAGTGGCGCAATTATGGCTCACTACTGCCTCCACCTTCTGGGCTGGGCTCAGTTTGTAGAGACAGGGTCTCACTGTGTTGCCTAGGCTGGTCTCAAACTCCTGGGCTCAAGTGATCCTTCCGCCTCGGCCTTCTAGTGTGCTGGGATTACAGGTGTGAACTTCCGTGCCCAGCCAAATAAATGCTTTTAAGAGCAGTAGTTGCAATCCTCTGAATTTAAAATGGGAAACCTTGCTGTGTTTTCATCCTCTCTCATTAGTGAGGGACTAGATATGCATTTTGTGGTCGACCTTTTGTTCTCTGGTATAAATTCTATAAAAGTCTTCATTCATTCAATCAAAATGTATTTATAAAGATTTTATGCCGGGTGTGGTGGGTTGTGCCTGTGATCTGAGCCGCCGAGGTGGGTGGATCATTTGAGCTCAGGAGTTCAAGACCAGCCTGGGCAATGTGGTTAAACCCCATCTCTACAAAAAATTTTTAAAAATCAGCTAGGCTGGTGATGCATGCCTGTAGTCCCAGGTACTCAGGAGGCTGAGATGGTAGGATCACCTGAGCCTAGGAGGTGGAGGCTACAGTGCTCTGTGATTGCATCACTGCACCCAGCCTGGGTGACAGAGTGTAACCTTGTCCCCACCGTGCCTCCCCTCAAGAAGATTTTCGTATGTGCAAAAACACTGCCAGGCTAGGAAAACAAAGTCCTTAAATAGCTTAATTTGAAGTTAGGGTTATTCCCTATGACTGCTAACAGGTGGCCATATTTTTCAGTAGAAAGTTAGTCACAAGATATTTGTTGAGCACATTCGACCTCTTTCCCATTGGGTATGATTGTATCGTCTCATCTCTGAAGCTTGCTTGCTGAAAACCATTTGTCAATGGTTTATTCTTTCTATTCAGGTGCAGTTTCAGTTTGTTCTGCTGACTGACACACTGTACTCCCCTTTGCCTCCTGAATTACTTCCCACTGAGATGGAAAAAACTCATGAGGACAGGCCTTTCCCTCGCACAGTGGTAGCAGTAGAAGTCCAGGATTTGAAGAATGGAGCAACACACTATTGGTCTTTGGAGAAACTCAAGTATGAAAACATTCATAAAGGCTGGTTGTTTTATTTAGGAAATAACAATGACCTGCTCAAGTGAGCTCCCTCCAGCTCTCCTCTCTCTGAGGACACTGTTGCTTACTTCCCTGTACTTTCTAAATGCTGTTGTTGGCCAATGGTATTACCATCCATCTGTTTTCTTTTAAGTGAATAAATGCACTCCTCACACACTCTGACATTTGTAGATATTTAAGTTTACCCTCCATAGACCCTCTTATAAATTTTAAATATTCCAGTTTCATCATATTTCTGTTACAGATTTGGAACTTATTTATTTTTTCTATCCTGGACCTCAGGATAATCAATAATAAACATGGAAGTTATAATCTGGCTTCTTTTACATGTAGTATAATGAGGTATTTCCCCCGTCTCAGTGTATTTGAGATGTCACATACAGTTGACCTACAATATTCCCCCTTATGACTTTTCACCCGGTAGAGGATAGGTGGCCATTCTTGACTTTTGATGGCTTATCTCTAGAATCAAGACACTTTAGATACTGAGTGTTGGTTTCTGTATTTTTGGGCTTCATTCTTTTTAGTAACATTAAACAGTGGGAGCAACTCCTTTTTTTTTTTTTGAAGAAAATCTTGAACGGAAGATGCTTCCAAAGTGAAAGTTTAATGCAATCTCATTATATTAACCCAATGTGCTTTGTGTTTACTAAATAGGCAGAGGCTGGATTTGATGCGAGAGATGTATGATAGGGCAGGGGAGATGGCCTCCAGTGCCCAAGACGAAAGCGAAACCACTGTGACTGGCAGCGATCCCTTCTATGATCGGTTCCACTGGTTCAAACTTGTGGGGAGGTATGTGATGATTTTGTTGATGTCTTCTTTTAAAATAATGATTAGTTTTAAGTGTTTAAAACCTGAGCAGATAATATAAAAAGTTAAGAGGAAAAAAAAAGGTGTAAAAAGGCCTTATCTATAATCTTATCCACTCACAACCACTGCGTCATTTGGTATATTTCCCTTCAGTTATATTCAGCAGGCATTTTTGTTTCGACTCTCAAACTTTCAGCCAAAGTATTTAAATCTTCCCTGACTTTAAACTTACAAAGTGTTCTGTAATTGATTAAGATAAATTTAGAAGGAAAAGAAAACTTACGCCTGTATCCTACACAGTTTAAATTCATAGTACAGCTTATCAGACACAATCTCTTCGTGATCTGATTTGTTTTTCTTTTTTTTAAAAAGCAATTCATCCCACTTTAGTCATTGCAAGGGTAAATTAATTGCACCTTGGTAGTCCCCTTCAGCCTCATTTTTTTTTTATACATTATTTCCAGCACTTAATGAAAACACATAGTGCCTCTATGAGTCCATATTGAGTCAAGTGTTCTTAGAGGTTTTCAAATTTTCAAAGCAGGGAAATTTAACTTTGAGCTTATGATTTCAGAATTTGAATTGCTTTTTCAATTGCAGAAAACCCTGTGATGTTTTTTAAAGAGGCTGGGTAAAAAGGAGTTGCTGAAGTCATAGTATGTTGTGGAAATGAAGTAAATCTTTTCCACTCTGCTCTGATAGCAAAGTAGTTTTTCAAAGAGATGAATTGGCCAAACACATCTTACCCTAGCAAAGCACATGCTGCTTTGCCATATGCCATTTCATCCATTTTGGTTTCTGCTCCAAAATGACGTGAGAATTTCAGTAAAGACTGAAAGCCTTCTTGTTTCACTTTGATGTTGAGTGGGTCCTTTGAGGCCTGGATGCTGATCTTTTATGTGAACTGGAGAATGTAAACGTGTTATAGCACAGTATTTACCTAGGATGGTCTACTCACGTGTTTCCTTTGCTTTTCTTATTCTAAGGATTAGTCCTTACATAACTTTTTCAACTTGCCCTTGTTCCCTTTCACCTGACCCAAATGATTTATGCTTATTTTATCCTTTTGCTTTTCCATTTGCTTTTATTGTGTTGATTCCCCAGTGGATTCTGTCCTGTTAGCACCTATTGCTTCCTGTTTAACCAACTATTCCTCTCTCCCTGGCTGTGTTAATTGGCGTCTTACCTGGTGTCTAGCTCCCCCATTTTCCACGGCTGTGTGAACGAGCGCCTTGCCGACCGCACACCCTCCCCCACTTTTTCCACGGCCGATTCCGACATCACTGAGCTGGCTGACGAGCAGCAAGATGAGATGGAGGATTTTGATGATGAGGCATTCGTGGATGACGCCGGCTCTGACGCAGGGACGGAGGAGGGATCAGATCTCTTCAGTGACGGGCATGACCCGTTTTACGACCGATCCCCTTGGTTCATTTTAGTGGGAAGGTTGGTGAGGTTATTGTGAGAAAGGCGAAAAGGGACCAGCTCTTGCTCTGAAGGCCTCCCTGCTTGCACAATTTTGGATAACCTTGCATTAGCCAATTCAACTCATGAATGCTCTTTTTCAAGTTCTCCAATACTTCAAGCTCTTAGTCAGTGCTGGTCTGGCTGAGATGGTTCTCAGGCATTGTGTGTGAGGTCCTCAGTCTACTCAGCACAATACGTAGCAATATATGAAGACTGCATGGAAGACACCTTGTCTTAAATTGCCCAGTAATTTTGTTCTGAAGAAGGGAACCCCAAAGGAGAAAGTAAAGCTAAGAGTCAAACGTAGTGGGTTCAGTGAATAGTATTATGGTCTAGATGTTTCCTTTTTAAAGGATTGTGATTGAAAAAGCATATGGAGGTAACATGAGAGAGGGGGCAGAGTGAGGCCAAGGTTTGGCTGAAGAATTTGTGGTACTGCAGGAGTCAGAGGACAAAAGTAGATTCAGGAGTAGAGTTAAATTTATTTTTTGCTTAGTCTACTGAATCCTAAAAAGAATCAGGAAAGTTAAGCTTCTCCTTTACCTAAAACGGATGCCTGTCTTTGGCCAGTTTCACTGAGCCTATCTACGGATCTTTGGCATCTGCTAAAATTTTAACCTATAGGGTTTATAATGATAAAGCTCAGAAAATCATCTATTGACCCCATCAGCAGTGAATATTGGCCAGGCACGGTGGCTCACCCCTGTAATCCTAGCACTTTGGCTCACACCTGTAATCCCAGCACTTTGGGAGGCTGAGGTGGGTGGATAACCTGAGGTCAGGAGTTTGAGACCAACGTGACCCATGAAACCCGTCTCTACTAAAAATACAAAAATTAGGCTGGGTGTGGTGGCTCACGTCTGTAATCCAGCAGTTTGGGAGGCCAAGGCGGCCGGGTCACCTGAGGTCAGGAGTTTGAGACCAGCCTGCCCAACACGGTGAAACCCCGTCTCTACTAAAAATACAAAAAATTAGCCGGGCATGGTGGCGGGTGCCTGTAATCCCAGCTACTTGGGAGGCTGAGGCAGGAGAATCACTTGAACCCGGAAGGCAGAGGTTGCAGTGAGACAAGATTGCACAACTGCACTCCAGCCTGGGTGACAAGAGCGAAACTCCGTCTCAAAAAAAAAAAAAAAAAATGAATATTTGTTTGGTGCTATATGAAACTGCTTTGTGTTAAGACTAGGTCACCAAACTGAGGCATTGTCTCTGGCTCTCAGTTTGTGCATCCATCTTTCAGTGATGCAGAACTCTCTATGCACATGATCCTAATACTGGTGTCTTTGTTCATCTCCAGCCTTCATGCTGAGGTAATTTAAATTACAAGTTCAACAGTAGAGCATGCATTGAATTAACCAAAAAGTATGTCCAGGTTTAAAAGTATTAAATTTAAATTTAATGGTACATTAGAATCACATATTGTTGAATCCTTTATAAATAAGGGAATTATGTCAGTGTTAAATGGATGAGTACCAGTTATCTAAAAATTAAAGGATAGCGAGTCTCCTGACCTAGTAGAGACATAGGTTCTAAAATTTATCTCACCAGGTGCAGTGGCTCACACCTGTAATCTCAGCAACTCTGGAGGCTGAGGCCAGAAGTTTGAGACCAGAGTGGGCAACATAGTGAGACCCTGTCTCTTTGAAAATTTAAAAAACAATTAGCTGGGTGTTGTGGTGCATGCCTGTAGTCCCAGCTCCTTGGAAGGCTAAGGCAGGAGGATAATTTGAGCCCAAGAGTTTGAGGCTGCAGTGAGCCATGATTGCACCACTGCACTCCAGCCTGGGGACAGAGCAAGACCCCAAGTCTACCAAAAAATATAAAATAAAATAAAACAGAATTTGTAGTATGGTATTGGTCACATGGTCGGAACCTCATAACTAAATTAGAAGATGATCATTCTTATGGAAAGGGGGAAAAGAAAAGCTTTTTTGATAGAAATGAAAGCCTCAAGTGTAACTGTAGGTCATAGTATTAGACAGTCTCTGGGTTTTCCAGTGGCAAAGGAGCATTTAGAATTCAGTTTTTCCATGAATAAACATAAAGGGATTATGTGGCCATGAATATTGTTTTCTACTGGCATATCGCCATGAATAGATAACGTAGAATTTCAGAGAAGCTGATTTTTATTAAAATTGAGAAAGGTATGTACAAATAATGGGACAATAATGCTTGCTTCATTTGATGGCTGCCTGTGTTCTTCAGCACGTTTCCATCCTGTTCTAAGGGAGTTGGAAGTTAAAACCCAGTTTCTGGCCATAAACTTTGTCCCAGTGCTAATTACACAGTTTCTAAAACTGTTCGCTTGTGTTCTATACCATTGCAGTGAAGAGTAGGCAGCTTCATCTTACGTAACATGGTGAGGAGAAGCCTGACCTAATTGTCAGGAGAAGCCTTGGGTCCTAGGCCATCTCTGTCACTATGACAAGCAACTTAAAGTGAAGCCTTTGGGCTCTCAAGTGTAAAGTGAATAACAGGTAGAAATAAAGAGCCATAAAGATCTTTTTCAACTTTCATATTCTGTCATCTACACTAGCAAAAATGAATATCCTGGTTAAGACTTCTACTAAGAAGCATTTGTATTTTGAGGAAGTTGTGTGGAAACTCAAGACAATCCCACTTAATGTGGAAATTAACTGAGGATACATGTATTGTTTTCTCTCTAGTTTTATAGTTTTCTTTCTTTTAATCATGTCAGATGTAAGTATAGGTATAAAGCAATCAACTCTATTTTGATTTTCACATAAAATACTTATGGAGCTGTGGCTCAGGAATTGATTTTTCCATTTGTTTAGGTTCCCAAGTTCTAACCTTGCAAGAAAGGACTGGGGGAGGAAGTGAAATAATATAATAGCAATCAGTAAAGTGAAGGATAGCTTTCCATTTTTGCCCTTGACTACATTTCTCTTCTACAAACAAAATTTACAATAATGCAACATCACCCAGTTGTGTAGTGGTCATTGTATGTGTAAGGAAAGTAACTACTTTCCTGTTTTTGTGATTCACAAGATTGGATTTCTCCTATTGGCATATAATTGCCAATATAAATCACTTGTAAAATTTTTAGTTTCTGGCTGGGTGCGGTGGCTCACTCCCGTAATCCCAGCACTTTGGGAGGCCGAGGTGGGCAGATCATGAGGTCAAGAGTTCGAAACCAGCCTGGCCAACATGGTGAAACCTCGTCTCTACTAAGAATACAAATATTAGCCAGGCATGGTGGTTTGTGCCTGTAATCCCAGCTACTCAGGAGGCTGAGGCAGGAGAATTGCTTGAACCCGGGAGGGGGAGGTTGCAGTGAGCCGAGATCGCGCCACTGCACTTCAGCCTGGGCAACAGAGCAAAGACTCTGTCTAGGGGGAAAAAAAAATTAGTTTCTTGTGAAATTCCATTAGTAAGTTTGTTTTTTAGCCATGACTGCCTCTGCTAAAACTTTATATTGCAAGTGAAAAAGAGCTTGTCCCTTTAGCTATTCTCTTATGGCATGCTGGGATGTTATGAACCATCCATCATAATTTGGGATGAAATGTAAAATATTTAAGCTAGTCTTCTGGGTTAAAAGGGGGTTAAAGATGATGATTCTGTGATCTCTCTAAGTACCTTAACTGACATTCTTTCTATAAGTAGCACCATAATTTTGCTAATTTTTCTTATCTTTATGTTGACCAGTTTGTTCCACTTTTTGAAGTAACTTCATTGAACTTTCTGCTAACGTATCCTTTCCATATTCCCCTCTCTCATCCCTGTTCTCCTTCAGTCTGCTAGGTCAAAGTATAAGGATTCTCAAAAATGCAGAGTAATTATGAAAATTCTGTTTAAAAAGCTTCAGAATAGAATGTTTATATAGCATTGATTTGGAGCTAAGGGCTATATTCTGGTAACATAACAAGGTGCTATCTAGTGAATGTGTGATTGTGTAGTCATGGAGCTGATGTCCCTGCCATAGAATTACAGAATTATCTAAAAAGGGAAATCTATAATAATGGCCTTCAATGCTCCCACACTTGGACTAGCCATTGCCATAGGCAGAAAGGCAATCTCATCTTTACTGTGTGTGCAAACAGTACTTTAATGTAATGTGTGCTTAATATAAGCTTTCTTTAAAAAAAAAAAAGGTGGCTCCTGTTTTTGAATAGCTATTTTTAAGATAGATATAGTTAGGAATCTAAATGTGTTCTATATAGTTAATATCCATTATGAGGTGGCTCTGAAAAATCAACCTAGTATAAGTTGGATGGCTTTGCTTTTCTGCTTCTGTTATAACCCATTTTTCTAGAAAAGCTTCCACTTCTACTTAAAGATAAGAGGCAAATCATTTTCCTGTTCCCTTATGCACATAGATGTTCACTTACCAAATATTTATAGAGTGGCCCAGCCCTCTGCAGACAGTGGTGAGCAAAACCAGACATGGTTCCTGCCCTCATAGACTTATAGTCTGATGGATGACACAGACATAAATTAAATAATTGCACAAATAAATGTAAATTATAGCAGTGATGAAATAGTTGTGTGTGTTGTCGGAGATCACATAACGTTGGGGGACCTGTTATGAGAAAGTGGTGTTTGAAATAAGACCTGAAGATGTGAAATCAAAGGCGTGAGGCTGGGTGTGGTAGCTCACGCCTGTAATCCCAGCACTTTGGGAGGCTGAGGTGGGTGAATCACCTGAGATCAGGAGTTTGAGACCAGCCTGGCCAACATGGTGAAACCCCACCTCAAAAAAAAAAAAAAAGACATCAAAGGCATGAGGTGTAGGCATCGAGTGCAGAGAGGACTCCAGGCAGGGGACATGTGCGATGGCTCTTTAATGGCCCAGGCCTTGAAATGGGCAAGTCTAGCTGGGGTGCCCATAATAGAGGAGGGTGATCTGTGTATGTGTTGACTTTGAAAGTGAAATTATCCATTTGATACCTTACGCCAAATTCTTTGTCTTTTAAATTCTGTTGCAGTAGTTGTTGTTTGAGGGTCTTGTTTAGAACTTTTTAGAACTTTTCATTCTTACGTTTTTTTACACCAGAGCTTCAACTCTCTGTTTCTTAGCATTTCTCTCTCTCCTGCTTTGGAGCAGACTGAAAGGGAAGTGGCATTATTTCATCTGATTTAATGTTCATTTGCAGTTATTTTTGTTATATGTTTCATTTGTATTTCATTTATGCTCTAGTTATGTTAACATTTGTTTTTCTGTGATGTATTATGTCTGTTTTCATAATTTTCATTACTTTGAGTTGAAATCCCAAATACCCAGTCTATCCTCCTCCTCTCTTTGTTTTAAAATAGATTTCAGAGCAGGAAAAGCATCAGATAAACATGTATGTCACTTGGTTTTGTTTGATTTATTGATACAAGTGTCTGTCTTTGTCTTTTGTCTTATGTTCGAAGATCAGCATATACCAAATGGGAAGACTGGAATCATAGTAGGAACTAGATTCTATTTCCCTTTCACTAATTGGAATGAACACTCTAGCTTTGTGACCACCAGTTTTTATTGCTTTTTTAAAAAAGTAGTAGCTACACAATAAAGAAGAAAATACAAATGTGATAGGACTTTGCTAGTTTGCTTGAAATATAAAGTGTTAGAGCTATAATTTAGCTTTCACTTATGCATTTCTGAATTAGGTTTTGAACTCTAGGAGCAAACGCAAACCTTTTAGGCATCAACTGTCATCTTCTCCCTTAACATTTATCTTTTTTCTTTTTTTCTCTTGAGACGAAGTCTTGCTCTTGTCCCCCAGGCTGGAGTGCAATGGTGCGATCTCGGCTCACTGCAACCTTCACCTCCTGGGTTCAAGCGATTCTCCTGCCTCGGCGCCCCCGAGTAGCTGGGATTATAGGTGCCTGCCACCGTGCCTGGCTAAATTTTGTATTTTTAGTAGAGATGGGGTTTCACCATGTTGGCCAGGCTGGTCTCGAACTCCTGACCTCAGGTGACCCGCCTGCCTCGGCCTCCCAAAATGCTGGGATTACAGACGTGAGCCACCATGCCCGGCCCTTAACATTTATCTTGATGCCCATTCAGAGTCTCCTCTAATCTTAGAACTCAAAAATTTCTTGCTGCAGAGCTTCTCTGCCCATATGTGTCTGCTGACCTCACCTTGTCAGTCACCCTGCCTGAAGATAATAGTCATTTTTTTTTTTTTTTTTTTTTTTTTTTTTTTTGAGACGGAGTCTCACTCTGTCGCCCAGGCTGGAGTGCAGTGGCGCGATCTCGGCTCACTGCAAGCTCCGCCTCCCGGGTTCACGCCATTCTCCTGCCTCAGCCTCCCGAGTAGCTGGGACTACAGGCGCCTGCCACTATGCCTGGCTAATTTTTTGTATTTTTTGTAGAGACGGAGTTTCACCGTGTTAGCCAGGATGGTCTTGATCTCCTGACCTTGTGATCGGCCCGCCTCGGCCTCCCAAAGTGCTGGGATTACAAGCATGAGCCACCGCGCCTGGCCTCTTTTTTTTTTTTTGAGACAGAGTCTCACCCTGTCACCCAGGCTAGAGTGCAGTGGTGCAATTTTGGCTCACCACAACCTCCACCTCCCGGGTTCAAGCGATTCTCCTGCTACAGCCTCTTGAGTAGCTAGGACAACAGGTGCATGCCACCATGCCCGGCTGATTTTTATATTTTTAGTAGAGACAGTGTTTCGCCATGTTGGCCAGGCTGGTCTCGAACTCCTGGCCTCAGGTGATCCGCCTACCTCAGCCTCCCAAAGTGCTGGGATTACGGGCATGAGCCACCACTCCCAGCCAATAATAGTTATTTCTTAAAGTAACAATAAATGGCCAGGCACGGTGGCTCACGCCTGTAATCCCAGCACTTTGGGAGGCCGAGGCGGGCAGATCACCTGAGGTCAGGAGTTTGAAACCAGCCTGACCAACAGGGAGAAACCCAGCCTACTCAGGAGGCTGAGACAGGAGAATCGCTTGAACCCGGGAGATAGAGTTTGCAGTGAGCTGAGATTGCGCCATTGCACTCCAGCCTGGGCAACAAGAGTGAAACTCCATCTCAAAATAAATAAATAAATAAGGTAACAATAAAGACCCATAGGCCAGGCGCGGTGGCTCACGCCTGTAATCCCAGCACTTTGGAAGGCTGTTGCGGGCGGATCACGAGGTCAGGAGATCAAGACCATCCTGGCTAACATGGTGAAACCCTGTCTCTAGTAAAAATACAAAAAAATTAGCTGGGCATGGTGGCGGGCGCCGATAGTCCCAGGTACTCGGGAGGCTGAGGCAGGAGAGTGGCGTGAACCTGGGAGGCAGAGCTTGCAGTGAGCCGAGACTGCACCACTGCATTCCAGCCTGGGTGACAGAGTGAGACTCCATCTCAAAATCAGACAAAAAGCAACCAATAAAGACCATATGCTGTGATATGGAATTTATTTTAGAGTTATTAACTGTATTTCGTCCCATTTCCCTGCCTTTTTTGTCTCCTGGTTTCTGTTTTATCTATTGGGAAAAATGAAACAAAACCTCTTTATAATTTCTTAAATTAAAAGGTTAAGCTCGCCTGGGCACGGTGGCTCACACCTGTAATCCCAGCACTTTGGGAGGCCGAGGCGGGTGGATCACAAGGTCAGGAGATTGAGACCAGCCTGGCCAACATGGTGAAACCCCATCTCTATTAAAAATACAAAAATTAGCTGGCTATGGTGGCACGTGCCTGTAATCCCAGCTACTCGGGAGGCTGAGGCAGGAGAATCACTTGAACCCGGGAGCCGGAGGTTGCAGTGAGCTGAGATCGTGCCACTGTACTACAGCCTGGCGACAGAGCGAGACTCTGTCTCAAAAAAAAAAAAAAAAAAAAGGTTGAGCTCTTGAATGGGCTCCTCCTCCAACCTGCCCGAGCAGCATTCATAGAGCAGTATCTTGAAAGTCTGCTTCCAGGTGTGACTCTTCTCCCTACAGTAGTTAAGTTTTAGAGCATGATTTGGTGTGTGTTGGTCTTCGTCAACAGTTCTGCCAAGCGTTTGCTTGTTCATTATCTGTGCTGAAAAGGCAGCTGGAGGCAAATCTGAGAGGCTAGGACTGAGAAGGGGTCTTAAGACAAGGCCAGAAGTCAGCTCACAGTTGCAGGAAGATGTTCTCAGTGAATCTGAAAGCCAGTTTATCTCTCCATGGATGTTCTGACATTTGTCTCCTGGTTTCTGTCTTTAGGGCATTTGTTTACCTGAGCAATCTGCTGTATCCCGTGCCCCTGATCCACAGGGTGGCCATCGTCAGTGAGAAAGGTGAAGTGCGGGGATTTCTGCGTGTGGCTGTACAGGCCATCGCAGGTAGGTGACCCTCTTCTGAAATGAGAGCTGTGAGTTCTTTGTCTAGAGACAAAGCAGGCTGATTCTGCGTGGGTCACGCTTATATTACACATACAAACTGTGGGGAGTTTGTATGTGTAATATACAGACACATACTTTGGAGAAAGCCTTTATTGCTCCTTTCTAGCAATTGTTCCCAAGTATCACAAATAGATCCTGCTTAGTCCAGACTACTGCTACTTTGCAATAATGGGGTAAAGAGATTTCCTTAAACATGTTAAAGAACAGCTCTTGCATTAACTATATAAAAGTCATTGGTGTGTTGTTTTTTTTTTTTTTGAGACAGGGTCTCACTTTGTCGTCCAGGCTGGAGTGCAATGGTGCAATCATATCTCACTGCATCCTTCACCTCCAGGCTCAGCCATCCTCCCACCTCAGCCACCTGAATAGCTGGAACTACAGATGCACACCACCATCCCAGCTAATTTTTAAGTTTATAAATTTTATAGAGTTGGGGTCTCATTATGCTGCCCAGCATAGTCTCGATCGAACTCCTGAGTTCAAGTGATCTTCCTGCCCTGGCCTCCCAAAATGTTAGGATTACGGGTGTGGGCCATTGCACCCGGCCAGTCATTGGCCTTTTATTTTGTTTTGAGACGGAGTGTCGCTCTATTGCCCAGGCTGGAGCGCAGTGGCACAATCTCAACTCACTGCAATCTCTGCTTCCTGGGTTCAAGCGATTCTCATGCCTCAGCCTCCCTAGTAAATGGGATTACAGGTGCCCACCATCACACCCAGGTAATTTTTATATTTTTAGTAGAAACGAAGTTTCACCATTTTGGCCAGGCTGGTCTGAAACTCCTGACCTCAGATGATCTGCCCACCTCGGCCTCCCAAAGTGCTGGATTACAGGCGTCAGCCACTGCACCCAGCCTGGCCTAAATAATATATCTTAACTGCTTCATTATTAACAAAGGATTGTTAGGCCTTTGTCTTGCTTAGTTGTTGTTTTTTTGTTTGTTTGTTTTTTTCTCAGAGTACTTGTAATAGACATTTGTTTGGCTGTTGTTTTGTAATGCACGGGTCAAGCTGATATAAGCTGATTGTGGTGGCTCGTGCCTGTAGTCCCAGCTACTTGGGAGGCTGAGGCAGGATTGCTTGAGCCCAGGAGTTTGAGGCCAACCTGGGCAACATAGTGAGACCCCATCTCTTAAAAAACAATTGAAAAAAAAAAAAGATTTTGGTATTTTCCATTTTTCCATGATCCAGCCTATGTTCTGAGGAAAGAATGTGGTCATTTGCTGTAATCTTTCTGTCTTAATTCCCAAATGCTGGGCTGTGTCCAGTGACCTTTCAGCCTTTCCCCTATGGAAACTTGTGACACAATCACCAGTGTTGAGTATATGGAAGTCTCCTCCACAAGTACAATATAATATTTTCAAATACTTGTTGGGTATTATTGACTATTATCTTGCCAGCATGGAGACAGTCAGGATTTCTAGGTATGACATTTGAACAATCTCAAGAATAAAACTGATTCTTTTTTTTTGAGACGGAGTCTCGCTCTGTTGCCCAGGCTGGAGTGCAGTGGTGCAATCTCGGCTCACTGCAACCTCCGCCTCCCGGGTTCAAGCAATTCTCCTGCCTCAGCCTCCTGAGTAGCTGGGATTACAGGTGCCCGCCACCACGCCCGGCTAATTTTTGTATTTTTAGTAGAGACGGGGTTTCACCATGTTGGTCAGGCTGGTCTCGAACTCCTGACCTCGTGATCTGCCCACCTCAGCCCCTCAAAGTGCTGGGATGACAGGCGTGAGCCACCGCACCCGGCCTGAAACCGATTCTTTATTGACTAGTCTCATTTGAGCTGAGGAAGTTGATAAATCTACATGAATAGAGTGCGAAGCAGCCCATGCCGTGTTACTACTTTGGTATCATTCTCTCATGCCAAAGACTTGAGTTTATAATCCAGCAAGAGCTTTTTCCCTCCCTCCCCCTGTGTAGTCTCACTCAATTCTTGCTAATTTTTTTTTCTGCTTTAGCGGATGAAGAAGCTCCTGATTATGGCTCTGGAATTCGACAGTCAGGAACAGCTAAAATATCTTTTGATAATGAATACTTTAATCAGGTGAGAAACCGTCAGGAAGAAGGAAAACCCTGTGGAAAGAGAAAGAATGTTCAGCATTGGAGATCAGTTCTCCTGTAAAACTGAAAAATACAGGGTGCTGGTTGCCACAGAGTAGTTCAATAGAATATGGGACATGTCTAACAATTATGAAGGTAAAGGTGTATAGACTCAATATTCATATTTTATTCATTGCCTTTCCTCAGACAGCCCTCAGTCCATATAATTTTCCAGTCACTATTATTTGTTGGACAGATAAACAGAAGTAAGGCAACTGGGGAAAAATACGTTTTTATACTACTTTACCATGTATCTGCCCCTGCCTTTTTTTCAGAGTGACTTTTCGTCTGTTGCAATGACTCGTTCTGGTCTGTCCTTGGAGGAGTTGAGGATTGTGGAAGGACAGGGTCAGAGTTCTGAGGTCATCACTCCTCCAGAAGAAATCAGTCGAATTAATGACTTGGGTATGTAGACATAGTTTACTGTGCTTGGGGACATTTTCGACAAAGGGAAAATATTGACCATTATCAAGGGACATAGTGGCCTTCATCAACTAGGAATGGAAAGCATGCCCAACTCCCTCCTCTTTGCATTATTTGAACCATCTGTGTCTTCATTTGACCCTCTTTAGATTTGAAGTCAAGCACTTTGCTGGATGGTAAGATGGTAATGGAAGGGTTTTCTGAAGAGATTGGCAACCACCTGAAACTGGGCAGTGCCTTCACTTTCCGAGTAACAGTGTTGCAGGCCAGTGGAATCCTCCCAGAGTATGCAGATATCTTCTGTCAGTTCAAGTAAGCTGCCCCTTTGCTCTGCCTCCCAGCTAGCTGCTAACCGAGGTGACATCTCTTGTGCACTGTAGAGTGCTTTACATGTGTGAGGGATTAACACTCTTGAGACAAAGACTGATCAGTCTCTGAAGGAAAATACTTTCATCACTCCTATGGGAGTGAGAACCAGAAACCTGTCCTGGAATGCAACAGGGTTCCCTGGCAGGAGGAGCATGCTGCACATCCTGCTGCAGGGCTCTGCTGTGAGCGGTCCCCCTTTACCAGGAATGTAGGGTCTGATCACATAAGCCTGTTGATGAGTCTTTCTAGTCCTCTTCATGTTGAAATGTCTTATTAATAAGCCTGAAAGCAATGACTTATCTAGCTAGCAATTACGCCTATTTAATACTCGGGAAAAGGAAAATTTAAACAATGTAAAGAAGGATAAATTCTACATCAACTGAAAAAAGCTAGTATGTAGGGAAGATGTGATACCTCTCATTTCTCATCTACATAGGACTTGCTCTTTCCCGCGGCCCTCTCAAACCCTGTGCTCTGGATGCTTTCTTCTCAAGACTGCCCCAGGAAAACATTTTTTTGTGAATCTTCAGTTTTAATACCTCCAAACTTCAATTTGTCTTTTCAGTACTTGGAAAGGGCCACAGTACAAGAGACTGAAGTGTGACCCCTCCATACCTACCGCCCTCAGTTTGCCACTGGTGCCACCAAGAGGCTGCTTTGGGTTCTGCCATCCCTCTCCCCTCAGAATGTGCCTTGGCCGTCCCATGGGTCCTAGTGCAGTTTATAAAGCTTTTGTATAGGTTTTATCACAGAAAATTGAGTCAAATGTGATTTAAATTAAATGTGATCACTATATAGTAAGCCACTAATATCATTTGCTACAAGTCATAGTTGTTGGAATATTACCCATTGAGCATTGATTTCACCTATTTAATGTGTTTTCACTCATACCCTCAAACTTAGGGCAGGATAGTGTTCACCAGATGAATCTGTTTTTTGGAACTGTTGCTATTATTCTAATCAGGCAACTGATACGTTTTATGGAAAACATCTATTTGGTTAACTGATGTCTGAAGTGACAATAATAGTGAGTTGACCTTTGTCCTACAATCTCCTAAAAAGAGCAGCATCTCTACCTGGTGTTAGCTCTGGGGAAAAGGGCATGTTGCTTCTGTTGAAAGCAGCCTCAAAGGCGTCCTGTGTTTTTATAGTCGCTCCTCTGGCCTGTGCCGGGAAGGTATGGCTGCAGAGCACTGTGAATGAGTTCACCTGTCGTCAGGGAACCCCAGGAATGCTGCGGTGCCAGCAATACAGGAATCAGGGATTTGGAGCACTTGGCAAAAGCATGCTAGTGTTCTCAGACGGGTGAACTAATTTGGAAGACAACAAGTTCATATTACCAGTCTGTCTGTCCCCCCAGTTGAAAATAGTTTCTTTTTCTCCATTTTTTCTTGATGGAAGGGGTGTCCTTCTGATGGATTTTTCTATCTGGCAGTAAATCTTTGTGTTGGGTCCTCTTTAACTGTGCAGTTCTTTTTATTTCAGACTAATAATAGGGAGAGAGAGAGAGAGAACGATAACATCTCACTATCTGTGAAAATAACTAAATATAGCCCATTGTTTTAACAAATCTTTCCAGAGTATCTTCTGTGTGTCGAGACCTGTGGGAAAACGCTTGCTGTCTGGGGGAGAGAGGCATATAAATACATTATTACAGTGAAATCATTGCTATTAAGGAAAAAAACATTACTAGTAATGTGGGAACACAAAGCTGCCAGGGTAAGTCAGGAAAGACTGCCTGGAAGAGGTGACATTTGAATCCACAACAGACTCTTATGTAACTATGCCATCCACAGGCTCTCGCACTAACTGTGGAAGCTTGAGTCTGCTAAATTTTGTCTGTACAAAATGACATTGTTTTTATTTTTAGTAAAAAGCTTTTACAAAGGAAGAGGAGTTAATTGAATGTACTTCTTCACTCTCTCTAAAGCATTCTTGCATATACCTCCATATAGCTAAGTGATCAGGGTCAGTTAATTTTTCAGTCATTTTTGAAATAAAATCTAAAATGCCCTCTGTGCAATATGGAAAAGGTTCTTGACAAGGAAAGTAAATAACTTAAAGAATCTGCTTAAGTGGAATGCTTCTTTCTGTAGGATCCACATTGGGCTCTTGAAAGAGATTCTGATAAAACCGTTTAATGCATTGTTCACGAGTCTTTTTATTTTTTTTATGAAGCTTTTTGCATCGCCATGATGAAGCATTCTCCACGGAGCCCCTCAAAAACAATGGCAGAGGAAGTCCCCTGGCCTTTTATCATGTGCAGAATGTAAGTGACATGGACCTTTTTGCCAAACATATGTTTTTCTGGTACCTTGGCTTTCTCAGCCCGGGAAGGGTGATAAGAAGAGGTACAAGTCACTGGCTGTGCAGGGGGAGAGTAGACAATAGAGGGCGTGGCTAGAGTGGTGAGGTCATCCACAGCGGCCTGAGCAGCAAGCCTTCTTGTCTGTGTTACAGTGGGCCTAGTGAATGTGGGTTCGTCTGCCAATAAAATCTTCCATCAGTTTGAATGCAATGAGTTGTTTTAGTGTTTCTGTCCTAGAAAAATAAGCATGCTTAATAAGAGTTTTATTAAAGTGAATGCATTGTCCTTTAAACCCTAAGATACTTATGTTGCTCGATTGCAAATAACATAAAAAATATCAAATACCTTCTGTAGCTAAATTAAGATTTAGATCTGTTTTCCTTGCAACTGATAGTATAATTAACACATTAATGCCCTTTACAACTGTATTCCTACGTGGAGTAAGAAAACAGACCCTTCCCTCTCTTACGTGAAATTTCATTCAAACTCTATTCCAAAGTCATTATCCTCATCACAATAGCTAATATTCACTGAGAGTTTATTTTGTGTTAGTCACTGTTCTGAGAGTTTTTGTGTAATTTAATCTTTACCTTTATACCATAGATTAAGATAATCCCTGTGTTAGCTGAGATGACTGAAGCATAGAGCAATTAAAGTCACTCATCAGGCTGGGCGCAGTGGCTCATACCTGTCCCGGCACTCTGGGAGGCCGAGGCAGGTGGATCACTTGAGGTCAGGAGTTTGTGACCAGCCTGGCCAACATGGTGAAATCCCATCTGAGACACGAGAATTGCTTGAACCCAGGATGGGGGGGTTGCAGTGAGTTGAGATTGTGCCACTGCACTCCAGCCTGGGCAAGAAAGCGAGACTCCCATCTCAAAAAAAATAAAAAAGTAATAATAAAAATAAAGTTACTCATCAGTGTTACAAGAGGCAGAGATAGGACTTAAGCTCAGAGAAATTTAGCTCTGGTATTCAGGATATTCACTACTACATGAAACTGTCTCTCATTCTCTTGCTAACCATGTCTGCTCTCTAAAGTAAGAGAGGAAAGGAGAACTTCAAAGATGGAACAAGCAAACACAAAATATGCCATCTTCTTTTTCATGTTGGTATAAATATAAGCAAGCATGTATCTGATAAACTTTGATCAGCTGCTGTGCACAAGGATTGTGCCTGACAACTGGGGAATGCAGATGAATCTCAGATGCTCCCAGTGAGCTTCGAATTACGATAGGGGAAATAAAATGCATACATAAACACCAGTCATGCAAAGATGAACATGAGAAAATATTCACTAAATGCAGTGGGAGTGGAGAAAGGGAAAGTTA
This sequence comes from Homo sapiens, assembly GCF_000001405.40. NCBI lineage: Eukaryota > Metazoa > Chordata > Mammalia > Primates > Hominidae > Homo > Homo sapiens. Next base: position 10,341,230 of record NC_000001.11, read on the forward strand.
TTTCTATTAATGGAAAGCTATTTTAAGTTACTTTTTGTTGGGGAGGATAGTTGGGTGGAGAAAGGGGATAGGAAGCTCCCTGAAGGATGTAGTATAAGCAAGAAAAGGTGTGTCAAACTTGGCATTGTGCCTGGCACATAGGCCATAGTCAGTACATGCATGGATGTGCTGGAAGGGCCTTCCAGGCAGGGTTGCAGCCTGGGCCAGTCCTTGGCACAGCTGAGGAGAGAGCAGGTGAAAGGAGCAGCAGGTGAGTGAGTGAGCCAGAATAGTAAGTGTGGGAAGGACAACAGGGGCCAAGATCAGTTGAGGCAAAGTATGGAAGATCTTGAATACCTGAAGCTGGGAAAAGTTACTTTAGAATTAAAAACAACATAGGGGATCCCCTGTTTTTTGTTGCAAGAGTCCTGCATAGTAAAATACCCAGCAGATACTGGACACTCAGCAGCAGTAAAATTGGGCCAGGCATAGTGGCTCATGCCTGTAATCCAGCACTTTGGGAGCTGAGGCAGAAGGATCAGTTCAGCACATGAGTTCAAGACCAGTCTGGGAAACATAGTGAGATACTGTCTCTACAAAAAATTGTTTTAAATTAGCCAGGCATGGTGGTGCATGTCTGTAGTCCTAGCTACTCCGGAGGCTGAGGCAGGAGGATTGCTTGAGCCCGGGAGGGTGAGGCCGCATGAGCCTTGTTTGCGTGCTACAGAGCAAGACCTTGCCTCAAAAAAAAAAAAAAAAACCCAAAATACGTACTAAAGTTCTGATTGAAGCAAAAATGTGTATTTTCTTGTAATCTTTTCCTAATCTTGCTTGGCTTTAGATTGCAGTGGAGATCACTGAATCATTTGTGGATTACATCAAAACCAAGCCTATTGTATTTGAAGTCTTTGGGCATTATCAGCAGCACCCACTTCATCTGCAAGGACAGGAGCTTAACAGGTTTGGACCAGATAAGCAAACATTTTTGATGGTATTGTTTTGATTTTTAGTTTCTCAATTGCTGGAAAGGAAGAAATCTTTTGAGGGATTAAGATAACTAAATAAGTATTCTATATTACCCTGTTTCCTCTTTAGAAACTTCACTATCATCTTATAGCCACCTAATCACTGATTTTAGATAGAGCAAATTAAATTTTGACCAGGTGACCTCAAATACCATCTTTTTGTAGGAAGAGACTTTGAATATGGTAGAAATTTGAGGTAATAGGAATATAACATGAAAATTGTTAAAAATTGTTCCTAATGCCCACAGCTTTATGAAACAGAAGCTCTAAGTACAGTCATCACAACTGCTGAGGAAAGCAACAGTGGGCCTTTCTGATGATGGCAGAGTGTTGGTGTTGGCAGAAGAATTTTTTTATTTATTAGCTAAGACTTAGAGGGAGACATTTTTTAAATGAGATTTAGCCTGTTTCACTATCTAGGATTATCTCTATTATCTGGTATTATGCCAGAGTTGAAAATGGAAAAGTCTGCTTCCTTAAAGGGAATTAAAACATGCTATTGATACCAACATCCAACTCTTTGTAGTCTTTTTCTTTCTCTTGAAAAAACAGGGTTTATTGATTTCTACACTGCAAATAGTCATTACAAAAAGTTTTTTTTCTTTTAAATAAATTCACACAAAGAGAATTAGAAAGCGATGGTAATGACCAGCAAGAGGAATAATAATTACGTTCATCTTAATGTCTGTGTGCCAGTTCTGTTTACGTTAATGTTGGAAAACTCCAACTTGGAATCCAGAACTTCAAATCTGCAAATAGAATGTCTTGAGATAGGCACGTGGAAGTCAAACAGTTTCTCTCTTTTTCCCTGCTTTCAGAAGCTATACATAAAATGTTGTTGCCTTCTGTACTGTCACAGAACTTTTACGTACATTCTCACTCCTACTTGTGAAACCCCTAAAGAGAAGGAAATTCAATTTGCAGTCCAGCACAAAGGGGAGAATTTCTAAAATAAATAACTCTTTATAGTCTTGATCTTTGTCTTCCTTTCTTTGCAGTCCGCCTCAGCCGTGCCGCCGATTCTTCCCTCCACCCATGCCACTGTCCAAGCCAGGTGAGCACTCGCTCCGCTTTTTGCATGATGATCTCTTTGTGAATACATGTCTTATTCTGAATGACTTTTCAAATAGAAGTCATGTTTGAATTCCTATTCTTCTATATATCCACATGTATTCCTGCTCCTCTTGTATGTATCTAGTAGGAACTAGAATTCCTAGTTCCTGATTTAAAATAAGAAGTAAAGGCTGGGCGCGGTGGCTCATGCCTGTAATCCCAGCACTTTGGGAGGCCGAGGCAGGTGGATCACCTGAGGTCAGGAGTTCAAAAACAGCCAGACCAACATGGTGAAACCCTCGTCTCTACTAAAAATAGAAAATTAGCCGGGCATGGTGGCACACGCCTGTAATCCCAGCTACTTGGGAGGCTGAGGTAGGAGAATCGCTTGAACCGGGGAGGTGGAGGTTGCAGTGAGCTGAGATTGCACCTTTGCACTCCAGCCTGGGCAACAAGAGCGAAACTCCGTCTCAAAACAATATAAAATAAAATAAAATAAAGTAATAAAATAAGACAAGAAGTAAGAAACAATAGGGGGCCTTATCTACAAACTCTCTGGTCTTCTATTTGCAGATTTTGATAATCACTCTGTTCCTAAATCTTTCTGCTTTGCATGTAACTTCCCATAACTGTCAGGGGACTAGGCATTTCTTTGCATAGTAAATTTATTCTGTATGTTCAGTGATCTTGTTTTGATTTTTCTTTATTTCTGTCCTTTTTCCTCATTGCCTATTCGCCAAATTCCCACCCCACCCTGTGCTCACTCTCCACCCTCTGTATTCCCCATCTTCATCTGCCTTCAGACCATGAGAGAAAGATTGAGCTGATTCGGTTTCTCGTGTCTGGCTATGTGAATGTGCATATGTTGGACACATTTTCTGAGCACGCCAGTGTGCTTGCATCCTCCGCTATTGCCACCTTCCAGGATGAGGCTGACCCATTGCCGCCTTTTCTCTTTCTGCCAGTTCCCAGCTGCCAGAGCGAGAGGGTACCCAAACGAGATGGTTAGTAGCTGAATTAGCTCCACCTTAGATGTAGAACCATCCTCAGGCGCTTGTCCTGAAGCCTGGCTCTCTGCATATGAAACACTGACATTTCCCTTTGCAACTTGAGCTGAATGTAGAGCTCAGCACATTTTCAAGGTTGTATCACATTTTCTTCCTAGAGATTTGGGAAGCAGCTTCTCTACATGTGCCTCTTTCACATCACCATCGCAGTGGGGGAGGCCTTTGCATTTGTTTTTATGGATTCTTTGCAATAGTATTTTTAATTTTGAAGATTTTACTAGTAGTTGGTTTGTTAGAATACTTCTGGTTTTGCTTTCTGACCCTTAGATGACTGCCAGGATCACTTACCCTATTTTCTTTCTGACTAGCATCACCAACTCATGTGAAACTCAGCTGGGCTGAATACTGCTGATAGGGTACACGTGTGAATAGTGCTAAATGATTCATAAAGCTCCTTTATGTACATTATGTTAGTGGATCTTCATGATTGCTTTTCAAGATAGTAGGCTAAATATTAGGGTCTACAGTTTATAAATGAGGAGACAGACTCCCAGAGGTTAAGCAGCTTAACTAAAGTCACATAGCATCAGTACAGTTAAGAATATGGAGTTTAAATCTGGCCGGGTATGGTGGCTCGCACCTGTAATCCCAGCATTTGGGAGGCTGAGTCGGACAGATTGCTTGAGCTCAGGAGTTAGAGACCAGCCTGGGCAACATGGCGAAACCCTGTCTCTACAAAAAAATGCAAAAATTAGCCGGGCGCGGTGGTGCACGCCTTTGGTCTCAGCTACTCAGGAAGCTGAGGTGGGAGGATGGTTTGAGCCCAGAGGGCAGAGGTTGCAGTGAGCCGAGATCACGCCATAAAAAAGAAAAAAAAGCATATGGAATTTAAATCTGAAGAAAATGTGTGACATAAGATCATTTACAGAATCCTGTATTTATAAATGATACCAGTAGTTGGTTTCCAACTTTGTCCTCACATTGGTATCACCTGGGAAACTTTACCCCTCATGGAGGAAGAACTTTGTCTTTCCCTTAGAGATTGTGATTTAATTGATCTGGGATGTGTCCTGGACTTTAAGGTCCCCAGGTGCTCCTATGTGCAGGGAGGTTTGGGAACCACTGGGGTGGAGGATGGGTCTTTTCTTCAGGACATCAGCTTTGATTGAGCCCCTGTGACGTGAGGCTTTCCAAGCATTGTCTCTCCCACGTTAGTCCCATGCTTTACGTGTCACACAATCTGAGATTCTGGAATTGGAAGGTTTCATGAGCACATTTATTCTACACAAAAGCTGTTTTCTCATCATTAGAGACAGTTTGTTGAGAAAAAAGATACTGATTTCTTTATTTTCCTTGTTCTCTGAATGTAGAGATAACTAATAACTTACAAAGTTTATATTGGTGTTTCTCTGGGTCTTTTGCATTGAAATCTTTCCTCTGACTCTTGCTGCCTTTCCCAAGTATGTCTTTAAAGACTGACATTAGAGAAGCTTGTATTTTTGCTGAGTAGTCTTGGACCAGATTTTGACATACTCTAAAAACTTTTAAAAGTTCCAGCCACCAAGTTAAACACGATGAGCAAAACCAGCCTTGGCCAGAGCATGAGCAAGTATGACCTCCTGGTTTGGTTTGAGATCAGTGAACTGGAGCCTACAGGAGAGTAAGTCCAACTTAATAAATTTTTAAATAAGGCAAAATGTTTCAAATTAGGAAATGCAATTTTGAATCTTCTTGTATTTGGGTTCATGAATCATTGTCACTGTCAAATTCCAGGGATGGTTTTGTTTTTGTTTTTGTTTTAATAGAGATGCAGTCTTGTTATGTTGACCAGGTTGGTCTTGACCACTCCTGGCCTCAAGCAGTCCTCCTGCTTCGACCTCCCAAAGTGCTGAGATTACAGGCATGAGCCACCACACCTGGCCGAATTCCAGTTTTGAATTGATTTTTGGTGGTCTTGGTATTTGAATCAGATGTTTATCAGAGAACTGACTGTTGAGCATAATAATTTGCCTTCTCGTTAGCAACAGCAAAATCATGGAGACAGGCATCTTGTTGTTTTTTGGGGTTTTTTTTGTTTTTTGTTTTTTTTGAGATGGAGGCTTGCTCTGTTGCCCAGGCTGGAGTGCAATGGCGCGATCTCAGCTCACTGCAACCTCTGCCTCCCAGGTTCAAGCGATTCTCCTGCCTCAGCCTCCTGTGTAGCTGGGATTACAGGTGCGTGCCACCACGCCAGGCTAATTTTTGTATTTTTAGTAGAGGCAGGGTTTCACCATGTTGGCCAGGCTGGTCTCGAACTCCCGACCTCAGGTGATCCACCCGCCTCAGCCTCCCAAAGTGCTGGGATTATAGGCGTGAGCCACTGTGCCCAGCAGCACCTTGTTGTAAGGGTTTTATCATAATGGGTTTTATTAGTAGTAAAGCAAAAGGAGCATATTGCATAGAATATGGTAAAGACTTACATTACTGATGTCAAGGAGGACATAGAAGGGCAGAATATTTTCCTAGACCAGGGTTTCTCAACCTCAGCACTATTTGGGGCTGGATAATTCTCTGTTGTGAGGGGCTGTCCTGTGCATTTAGAATATTTTGCAGCATCCTTGGCCCCTACCCACAAGATGCCAGTAGCAGCTCCACTCTATTTGTGACAACCAAAAATGTCTTCAGACATTGCCAAATATCCCCCAGGGAGGGCATCCTCAGTTGAGAACCACTGTCCTAGATCAAAGTGATACCATCAGCTTACTCTGTCTCGATGAGCTGAGTTAGAGTAAGTGATTAATGTAATTGTTGTGTATAATCATCTCTAAAATGCTTTTGTAAAAACACAAATGAAAGAGATCTTACTCTTAGGACAGAGGCAAGGGGCTGTATCAGTTAATATAAAGGGTAGGAGTAAATGTTATCCTAATGTTCTCCTATATGTAATTCTGAGAACCACCATCATGGTCATCATTGGGAAACACTTATTAAGTTCCTACTATGTGTAGGATACTGTGTTAAGTGTGGTATGTAGTTGTTAGTAGTGACAGTGCTTTGAGGAATTTGACTTTTCATAGACAGACTTATGATGTGATTACAAGTTGCATTATGAGGGAGAGGTAGTTACAGTAATTGTTTCTACTGAATTAATTGCTTTCTGAATCTTAAAAAAAACTATAGTCTGAAATTATCTGTGTTTCTTATCTCCTGTCAATTGCCATTGCACTTCTACATTATTTATTGAATACTTAATATCAAGGGGCTGGATGCAACCAAAAGATGTTACTGTCCTTTGACTACTCAAGTCTAGAGAGGATTGAGACATAGATGTGTGGAAAGGATGAGTAAATGCAAATGACTGTATGATTAAATGCCAGCATGGGTGAGAAAGACATGGGATCAGAATTTATCAAAACAAAGACCACCAGGGGCTAAGCCTTGCAGATGAAGTAGCACTTAGTTTTTTCTTTTGCGTTTCTATTTTTTAGGTATATCCCAGCTGTGGTTGACCACACAGCAGGCTTGCCTTGCCAGGGGACATTTTTGCTTCATCAGGTACTAATGAGGGACCAAAACAGGCATCGGAGGGAACACTGAAAAGAATTTAGAATAAGAGACGGAATTCTTTCTTATTCTCTGTTTTCATCTCTATTTCAGAGGGTGGGCGGGGCATTGTCCTGTTGTCATTTTTTTTTTTTTCTGTGTCTGTCTGTAGATATTTCTTCCTCAGACCTTGGCTTATATTTATCCTTGCTTTTATATGTATTTAGAATAGCTATTTTGAAAAATATTTTGTTTCATTCAATTACTCTAATTTGTGTAGCTCCTATGTCACTTTTAATACTTTTCATTTCGTGATGTTTGGAAGCTCTGTGCTTTCACACCAGAAGTTCTTAATAGGAATAGAGGATGAAGGTTTCAATGGACTAAAAATCTGGTTATGAAACATAGGTCCGCTTTTGGTAAATCAAAAGTAGGTTCAGTCAGTGTTCAAAAGTACTTAAGACCCAAGTGGGCATAGGGGCTAGGGATACCATACATTTGGGACATACAATCAGGGCATGGTTGAATACTTATTATACAAGGGGCTGGGATGCAGCCACATAATCTCCTGTGACAGATTATGGTTATTCTTAAAACCATAGAGAAAAAGAATTTTTTAAAAAAGAAAAGAAAACCATATCAGAACCTGACTGTTCCTTAGTCCCTGACACATCTCCCTTTGTTTTGAATAACAATGTGGATAGCATTTTCCGTCTTTCCACACCTCTCCTTCCTGCTCATCCCCCATGCCATGCCATACAGGCCAGAAAACAGTAGACGAGAGGAGATAATAGATTGCTTCAGCTAAATTGCAACCCTGCTTCATTACCTAGGGCATCCAGCGAAGGATCACAGTGACCATTATCCATGAGAAGGGGAGCGAGCTCCATTGGAAAGATGTTCGTGAACTGGTGGTAGGTGAGTACGTTTCATCAGCCAAGGATAGAACCAGGACTTACAGAGATTTTTTTTTTTTTTGAGATAGGGTCTTGCTCTGTCACCCAGGCTGGAGTACAGTGATGAGATCATAGCTCCCTGTAGCCTCAAACTCCTGGGCTCAAGCAATCCTCCTGCCTCAGGTTCCCGAGTAGCTGGGACCACAAGTGTGAGGCACTGTGCCCTGTTAGAGATGTTATTCTTCCCTGTTTGCGGTACATGGAATGTGTAGAAGACCATATTCGGAAACACAGACTATGGAGATGCAGAGGCCTTGAGTTTGAAACTCTGTATTCCTGTTTCTTCGCTCTGTCATTAGTGATATGTTATCCAACTAACTAACTCAGTTACCAGGGAATGGTTCTGTGGTAGAGTCTGTGAGAGGGCATAAAAGAAATCTCTGCTGGCTGGGTGTGGTGGCTCATGCCTGTAATCCCAGCACTTTTGGAGGCTGAGATGGGTGGATTACTTGAGCCCAGGGGTTTGTGCCTGGCCAAGGTAGCAAAATCCCATCTCTACAAAAAAATATGAAAATTAGCTGGGCATGGTGGCACGCACCTGTAGTCTTGGCTACTCGGGAGGCTGAGGTGGGAGGATCGCTTGAACTTGGGAGGTGGAGGTTGCAGTGAGCTGAGATGGCACCACTGCATTCAAGCCTGGACAACAGAGTGGGACTCCGTCTCAAAAAAAAAAAGAAAAGAAAAATCTCTGCTAATTGTGAGCTTGCATTTTAGTTAGGGAGACAGCATATATATGTGCAGAATGCTTTGATGAATAAATACCAAAATGAGGACAAAGGAAAATCTGTGCTAAGAGAGTTAACAGTGAAAACAAGCCAGGAGGACTGAATAGATTCAAGAAAAATTAGAGGGTTTTTTTTTTTTTTCCAGACACAAGCATTTTGAGTAAGAGAGTCAGGAATATGTCTAACATGCAAATGACAAGAAACCCCATGGCCAGAGTGGAGAAAGTAAATTAAGGAGTATTGGCTAGATAGTGTAAACTTTAGAATGACAGTCCGAGGCAAGAGTTTGGAACTTTTGTTGCCATGGACCTCTTTGGCAGTAACGAAGCCTTAGAATTATGTTTTCAAATGTGAGAAATAAAGTATTTAGGATTACAAAGGAAACCGATAATATTGAAATACAGTTGTTAAAACATTAAGCTCTTCTTTACTGATGCATGAAATAACAAGATTTAGCAGTTATTCTAATTACCATAATTTCCAAGTAGTGATCAATGAAAAAGATATCTTGTGTCCAGGCACGGTGGCTCACGCCTGTAATCCCAGCACTTTAGGAGGCTGAGATGGGCGGATCACAAGGTCAAGAGATTGAGACCATCCTGGCCAACATGGTGAAACCCCGTCTCTACTAAAAATACAAAAATTAGCTGGTTGTGGTGGCGGGCGCCTGTAGTCCCAGGTACTCGGAAGGCTGAGACAGGAGAATCATTTGAACCTGGGAGACAGAGGTTGCAGTGAGCCAAGACAGCAGAGTGAGACTCTGTTTAAAAATAAATAAATAGGCCGGGCGTGGTGGCTCATGCCTGTAATCCCAGCACTTTGGGAGGCCAAGATGGGCGGATCACGAGGTCAGGAGATCGAGACCATCCTGGCTAACACGGTGAAACCCCGTCTCTACTAAAAATACAAAAAAATTAGCCAGGCGTGGTGGTGGGCGCCTGTAGTCCCAACTGCTCGGGAGGCTGAGGCAGGAGAATGGCATGAACCTGGAGGCGGAGCTTGCAGTGAGCCACGATTGTGCCACTGCACTCCAGCCTGGGCAACAGAGCAATACTCCATCTCAAAAAAATATATAAATAAATAAATAAGATATTTTGCACATGGAAACATCTGTGGTTTCTACTGGGGACAGAGTCACGGGTACTGGCCAATTCTTCTGTGGTTTATTGCCTTCCTTTGTGATTGAAGGAGATGCCAATTTTTAGTTAAAGGTTTGTGAAAATAAAGATGTAATTTTTTTCCCCATCCAAGCTCAAGGACCCTCTGAATTCTGTCCACAGAGTGCTTGTGTCTCTCTGGACCAGATTAAGAACCTTGGGGCCAGGCACAGTGGCTCACGCCTGTAATCCCAGCACTTTGGGAGGCCAAGGCAGGCGGATCACTTAAGTTCAGGAGTTTGAGACTATCCTAGACAACATGGCAAAACCCTGTCTCTCTACAAATAAGCTGGGTGTGGTGGCTCATGCCTATAGTCTCAACTACTCAGGAGGCTGAGGCTGGAAGCTTGCTTGAACCTGAGAAGTCGAGGCTGCAGTGAACCATGATCATGCCACTGCATGACAGAACAAGACCCTGTCAAAAAAAAAAAAAAAAAGAATCGTTGGAAGGGAGATTATGTTCTCTCTTGTCTGGGGCAGCAGTGGTAGTAGCTTTTCAATATTTTTCATAATAAATTTTTCTTTTTTTAATTTAGTTTTTTTTTTAACTTTATTTACAAAGTACTGAATGTCCTTTGACAAAATAATGTTTATATGGAACCCTAATACCGAAACAGAAGAGATGCTTTCTGACCAGAGAAGGAGAGGGAGGATGCAGAGGCAGCAGTTACTATGGCTTCTCTGAAGGATCCTATGATATATTTTTAGTTTGTTTTATTAACAAACTCTGATGTAGTATTTACCACATGCCAGGTGCTTTTCTGAATGCTCCAAAAATACTAGTTTGTTTAATCCTCATAGCAACCATATATGGAAGGAATTGTTATTCTCGCTTGACATATGAGGGAACTGAGGCTCAGAGAGGTTGAGCCTTAGGCTCAAAGCCTCACAGGTGGTAGGAGTTGGAACCCAGGCAGTCCAGCACTGGAGGCCAAGTCCTTAACGTCTATGCAATGCTGCATCCGCTAGTGTTAACTTGAAAACAGAGTGTAGGATTTTGAGCAAGAAAGGGGTGTAATAAAGTCAGCATGGCCAGGTATGGTGGCTCATGCCTGTAATCCCAGCACTTTGGGAGGCCAAGGCAGGAGGATCGTTTGAGCTCAGGAGTTCGAGACCAGCCTGAGCGACATAGTGGGGCCCCGTCTCTACAAAAAAATAAAATAAAATAAAATAGCTGGATGTGGTGCTGCAGGCCTAAAGTCCCAGTTACTCAGGTGGCTTAGGTGGGAGGATCACTTCAGCCCAGGAATTCAAGGCTGCAGTGAGCTATGATCAAACCACTGCTCTCCAGCCTGGGAGACAGACCAAGACATTGTTTCAAAAAAAAAAACACAAAAAAACAAGAAACTGTCAGTCAGTGGCTTCAGAAGTTGCTGTTAGGTGAGAGTGGAATGGATTGGAACGGGGAGGTGTGAATAGCAGGTCAGAAGTTGCTGTTAGGTGAGAGTGGAATGGATTGGAACAGGGGAGGTGTGAATAGCAGGTCAGAAGTTGCTGTTAGGTGAGAGTGGAATGGATTGGAACGGGGGAGGTGTGAATAGCAGGTCAGAAGTTGCTGTTAGGTGAGAGTGGAATGGATTGGAACGGGGAGGTGTGAATAGCAGGTCAGAAGTTGCTGTTAGGTGAGAGTGGAATGGATTGGAACGGGGGAGGTGTGAATAGCAGGGAGACCAGTTAAATGGCTGTTGCAGGTTCCAGACCAGAGAGGAGGTGGCCTTTTGTGATCAGGGCAATGATATTGTGAATAAAAGTTGGGATGAATGTGGGAAACTCTTTGAATAAAGAATCAATATGGTTTCATAGTTAACTCAATGTGGGAAGTAATGGAGTCAGACCGTGGAGGACCCTACAGGTAACCAAATGACCCTTCCAGCTCCTGAACTTACACAGAGATTTAAAAGTCTCTTTTGGGCTTAATGAATTCATGTTTTGTTTTCAAATGTGTCCGTGCTCTGTTTTTTTTATCCTTTCTTTTAGGTCGTATTCGGAATAAGCCTGAGGTGGATGAAGCTGCAGTTGATGCCATCCTCTCCCTAAATATTATTTCTGCCAAGTACCTGAAGTCTTCCCACAACTCTAGCAGGTGGGACACCCAGAGCAGTGTGAAGAAGTCCACACTTGCAGGCGTTAATTGGTACACCGTTAGGTGCCTTATTCATTAATGACTCCCAGTTCGGACAAAGAAATTAACTCCCTTCTCCCTTCTAGCTTCAAAAATCTCTTTATTTCTTCACCTGCCTGCTGTACTCTCCAAAAAGAAAGAAAGAAAGTATTGCAGATATTTGTATGTGATCAGTTACTCTTAGAGAATGGAAGTGATCCTGTCCCATGTGAAGTTTGAATAGATGTAACAAGTGATAAATGAAAATTGGAGAAAGAAAACAGTATATTCCCCAAGGATTTAAAAGTACGAATTAATTATTGCCAAGATTAAATTTTTTCCTGTGAAATGGTTGCTGTGGAGAGAAAGGTTTCTCTCACTCCCCAAGTATCATGGAAATGTGCCCTCTGAGATAAAATGAAGCCTCTTGTGTTAAGTCTTTGCTGCTGCTGACTATAGGCTCCATTATCCTTAGTATTTGTTTTTCATTTATGCACAAAAGCGATAAATAATATGAACTCTTATGACCAAGATTGGCTGCCATAAATAATAGATTTTACTTTGTTTTTTATTTTAAATGTTTCACTTAAAATTATCTTTTATAATCAGGTGATAACAGACAGTTCGTAAAGTACATAGCCATTCTGCTTTCCTTTGTAAGACTAGAACTAAACCAGCTGGGATCCTCTTACCTCACCCAGGAAGGGAGTTCTCATTGTCTCAGAGGCTCCGTCTCTATATCCTAGGGGCTGGGAAACAGGAGCGGCTGCCTCTTCTAATGTGGGCTGAGCACACTGCCTTCCCACCACAGGACTTTGCTGTGCTTCAGTCTGCTCCTGAAAAACTTGTTTACATCCATGTTGAGAGGAGGGAGGGAAGGAATAAGACGATAGGCAGAAATGGAATGAAAGGTTTGGACCAGGATTAATTTCTTTCTGTTGTTTTCTTGTATTATAGTTTACCATAGGAAAGAGAAAAAAGAAACAAACTTCTGTTTGCTGGCAGGGGCTGTGGAGAAAGAGGGAAGGAGTGAGAGGGTACATATGTATGTCTGGGGAGGGGGAGTGGCAGAAATAAAGAGGGGTGCTTTGACTATCCATGGGCAAAATCACGAGCAATACTATTTCCCTGAAGTCAGCAGTAATTCTGCATAGCTTTCTGTTTTCTGCCAATGTTCAGCCGGGTTTTACCACCACATTTTCTTTGTAGCTATGAAAAATGTATTGTAAATTTCCCTAGGGTACTTAGTAAAATATACAGGGAAAGATGGGCTTTGGTTGAAATACTGGTTATTCTAATTTTGCCTCCATTAGAGTAACTTTAAGAAGTCCTTTAATTCACGCCCAACAACAGGTCAGGTGCTACAAGAAATGAATTTGGCTTTGTTAGAAGCAGCTTATCTTGTGAGTTAGAATGAGTTCATCAAAAAAGGCTGAAGTCAAGAATAACAACAACAACAAAAAACACCTTAAATATTTCTGTTCTCATTTAAACTATATAAATCTACATTAATTTATCAAACTTTTGCTGGAAAGCCATGGCCTTTTCTTTAATTATAAGATCATTTACTGGAGTTCTGATTGTCTTTCTTGCAAAACCACACCCATAATTCATCATCTATGACTTTCAGTTTGGTGGAGCAAGAATTAGAAACCTGTGAAGAAAATCTAAGTTCAAAATCCTTTAAATTTTTTATCATTTATTAACATTAATCATTTAAACATTTTATCATTTTCCCCTTTCTTTTACATTTGTCTCACCCAAACTTAACAGTTATTTTTAAACAACTCACCATTTTCTAACCTTTTGAAAACATTCAACTTAGTTTTCACAGGAACAAAAATTATTTATGTTTTCATATTTCATTGATTTGCCTAATGTTTAATGAAGTTAGATAATAATAATAAGTACAACTGGCATAAACAGATTTGGGACCAGATACTACTGACATTTGATAAGCACTCAACTCTTCGGAGCGAAGTGTCTGGGCAAATGAGACATCTTTGTAGTTTAGAATGCTCAAGGAGAACTAGCCATCAATCTGTATATTTTAGGGATATGGAAAACATAGGTTAATATGGTAAGTGGCAAAATGGAGTTTGGTTAAGAGAACTTTCGTTCTGTTTGTCTAAGGTTTAATGTTTAAAGTTGAACTTACCTGCAATTTGGGTATATTATGTGTGTATCTTAGAGGGCTTTGCTAATACATTGATAGTGGGGTATAATTGACAAGGGACCATTCATTATTCCTTTTCTTCCCAGTCCTACATTTATGTTAATGCATTGACTTGGTTTTCCCTTAACTCCACAGCAACTTCCTATTATTCTCAATACTAAGTCACCACTGAAAGGGGTACTGATGGTGGTGGTCTCCACTTTCCCTCTTATGTCTGGCATTTTCCTTAGTTGGAAGTCTCAGGAGAGGGACCCATGTTATTGTAAGTCCTCTATGGAATTGTGTTCCATGGGATTCTGTGTTAATTGTCTGTCCACTTGAATTCACTTTGCTTATCAGCAAATTTTGTCTTCTTTATATATATATTTTTTCTGATTCTCTCCCTTATTTCTTTTGTTTTTTTGCTGCACTAACTAAAGCCTTTTCTATGTTTTTGCAGGCTCTTTCTTGATAAGGATATTCCTAGGTATTGTCTGTTTGCTTTTTTGCACGTAGGATTCTAGTTTATCAGAATGCTTTCTGTCTTATGTTGCTTTGCCATTTTAATTTTGTAGTCCCCTCCCCATGTAAACCTACTGTACCTAGGATAGAGTAGACCCTGTTCTGTACCCTAAGAAGCGTATAGCTTCTTAAATGATTTTTAGAGTTTCAAATTATTTTTTCATTCCATTTGCTAAACTTGTCAGTTTTATTCTTAGACTCTTTCAAGTTTTCCTCTTCTACATTACAAAGTAGAATGTTTCTCCCTTCATTTCATACAGAATCTCAGGTTTTGTTTTCTGTTTTCCTCTTTATCTGTCTTCTCTCCGTCAAAAGCATGAAGGGTTTATTGCTTTATAAAACCTGAGTCCATTGCAGTCTTGCAAAACTGTTCACTTTCTTCTCTGTTTTGTCCTGTGTGGTAATAGAGACAAATTTGGCTATTTGGATAGCTGAGTCTATGAGAAATATTTTATATATATTTTTTAACATTTATCTTTCTCCTGTCAGGGCTGCTTGTTTTATCTGTTTATTTTCTTCTTTTGGAATAGGAAAAATCCTGGTTTGGTATTAAAGGAAGTTTTTTAAAAAATCTGTCTCATTTAGGGAAGAAAATTGAAGGAAGTGATACATGACAATATAACCTAAAATGTTAAAAAAAATACAACATAAACGGGCTGGGCTCAGTGGCTCACACCTGTAATCCCAGCACTTTGGGAGGCCAAGGCGGGTGGATCACGAGGTCAGGAGTTCAAGACCAGCCTGGCCAAGATGGTGAAACCCCATCTTTACTAAAAATACAAAAATTAGCCTGGCATGATGGTGGGCGCCTGTAATCCCAGCTACTCAGGAGGCTGAGGCAGAGGATCGCTTGAACCCGGGAGGCGGAGGTTGCAGTGAGCCGAGATCGCGCCACTGCATTCCAGCCTGGGCGACAGAGCGAGACTCTGTCTCGAAAAAAAAATACATAAACATATTTATATATTTGACTGATGTTACTGATATAATGATTTTATCCCTCAATTTGGACCCCATTCAGTTTACATTTCAGAGATTCTCCTAATGAACTCAAAAGGGTTCATCAGATGTGACCATGATATAAGAAGGTGGCTTCTGTTTTGTTTTCTTGAGACGGGGTGTTGCTTTGTTGCCCAGGCTAGAGTGTAGTAGCTATACCTGCAGATGCTTTAAAAAAAGAAAAAAAAATGCGGCCGGGCACGGTGGCTCACACCCGTAATCCCAGCACTTTGGGAGACCGAGGCGGGCGGATCATGAGGTCAAGAGATCGAGACCATCCTGGCCAATATGGTGAAGCCCCATGTCTACTAAAAATAGAAAAATTAGCTGGGCGTGGTAGCATGTGCCTGTAGTCCCAGCTACTCAGGAGGCTGAGGCAGGAGAATCGCTTGAACCTGGGAGGCGGAGGTTGCAGTGAGCCAAGATCGTGCCACTACACTCCAGCCTGGCGACAGAGCTAGACTCCGTCTCTAAATAAATAAATAAATAAATAAATAAATAAAGTGCGGTAGCATGATCATAGCTCACTGCAACCTTGAATTCCTGGGCTCAAGCAGTCCTCCCTCCTCAGCCTCCCGAATAGGTGGGACTCCAGACACGTGCCACCATGCCTCGCTAATTTAAAATTTTTTTGTAGAGACAGGGTCTCGCTATATTGCCCACGCTGGCCTCAAATTCCTGGCCTCAAGTGATCTTCCCACTTTTATCTCCCATAGTGCTGGGATTACAGGTGTGAGCTACCACAACTGACCAGAAGTTGGTTTTTAATTGTTCATAAATAATAAATTCAAAGGAATATATCCTTCAAAGCAGTCACCTTGAAACCTGTTTTTCCTCTGATGCTGCTGCTGTTCAGAACATCTTGAGAAATCCATTTGGAATTACTTCTCACCACCTTAGGAGGCATACAGGAAAATATGTCTTGGGATTCAGCCCTGTTTGTAACCCTAAATTCTATTGCCAGCTTGATTAAATTGACATTTCTCCCCAGTCTTGGTTGTATTTCTTACAACCACCTCTCAAGAATTGCCAGTGTAATGGCTCACACCTGTAATACTAGCACTTTCCTACTAAGGTAGGAAGATCACTTGAGCCCAAGAGTTCAAGACCTGCCTGGGCAATGTAGAACTTGTCTCTAAAGAAAAAAAAAAATTAATTAGCCGGGTGTGGTGGCTCGTGCCTATATTCCCAGCTACTCAGGAGGCTGAGGTGGGAAGATCACTTGAGCCCAGGAGTTAGATTGCACCAGTGCACTCCAGCCTGGGCAACAGAGCAAGACCCTTGTCTAAAAATAAAATAGGCCAGGCGCAGTGGCTCACACCTGTAATCCCAGCACTTTGGGAGGCCGAGGCGGGTGGATCACCTGAGGTCAGGAGTTCGAGACCAGCCTGGCCAACATGGTGAAACCCCATCTCTACTAAAAATAAAAAAATTAGCCAGACTTGGTGGTGGGCGCCTGTAATCCCAGCTACTTGGGAGGCTGAGGCAGGAGAATCGCTTAAACCCGGGAGGCGGAGGTTGCAGTGAGCCAAGATCGCACCATTGCACTCCAGCCTGGGTGACAAGAGTGAGACTCTGTCTCAGAAAAATAAATAAATAAAATATATATTTTTTTAAATTGAATTACCACCTTTGGTGGGTATTCTAACAGAACTTGCTGCAGCAAGTCCAAAGCAAAAAAAAAAAAAAAAGAAAGAAACTTTTTTTGACAAAAGAAAAAAATGAAAGAAAAATTTTTCCCTCAATACAGGAAGACTTTAGTGGAGTCAAAATTTCCTTTGTGTTAACCAGGTTTCTGCAAGTGAAATTTTCTCTTTATGTTAAGTGAAAGCTTAGCCTGAAAACAGAAATGTGAAGAGGCTTTTTTAGACAAGTTCAAAACATTTGCCTCAGTTGAAAGAGTCAGTGTCATGAAACCTCAGCAGTGGTCCTGGGAGGTGCCACGTTATGGTTTGGAACTTAATGAAGGCAGCAGCATTGATAGAAATTTCTGTCAAATATCACCAAAGTCATAAATGCCGTCACTCTAAGAAGAGGGGTTTATTTAACTTTAGCATGGATGTATCCAGCCTCTGAAATGGGACAAATAAGCCCCGCCCCTTCTAGGTACTTTGACAAAAACAGGAACACAATAAAAGAGCAGACCTCTGGAGGCTGAGGCAGGAGAATCACTTGAACCCGGCATGAGGAGGTTGCAGTGAGCCAAGATCATGCCACCCTACTCCAGCCTGGGTGACAAAAGCAAGACTCTGTCTCAAAAAAAAAAAAAAAAAACAGATCTCACAATGATACAGTCAGTTCTCAAGTGGCATCTGTTGAAGCAGTGGATGTCGTCACCCAGTATTAGAATATGTCTTAAACCAAATTAAAACTTTACTTTACACAGAGTTTTATGGACACATGAAGGGTTTCCTCCTGTGCCCAGGGAGCCCAAGAACTATAGAAAGGCCTTCATTGTCCATCATTTCTGTTCCTGTTTGGGTCACTTGGTGGCTTTGTCTTTGACTTGTTAGTTGTTTCTCTATCTTCTGTGTCTTTGTAGAGAATTTTCTTGACCCACACTCACTGCCTCAAAGACTAGACATTTGAGAGAGTATTAAGTACTTGAAGAAGACTTAGATCTAGAAGCAGCTATGTTAGATGATCAGACCTCATACACTGCCACTTGGAAGATGAGGTGTGGTCATGGGGTTCAGTTTCAGAAATGTGTTCTCTCTGTTGATCGTTTCTGGAGGAAGAAACATGGGGATGTGTTTAGAGGGAGGATATGCCAGCTACTTATCATAGGAAGTCTAGAAAAGGCAGCCATAGTGAGGTCACTATTTGAAAAGGAGTAAGAAGGAATGTATTGGGCAGGAAAGAGTGTGCATAGACTCTTCTAGGTGAATCAGGTGAGCTGTGTTCTATCTGCGGAGAACTAGTGATGGTGGGGCAGACCAGGCATCTTCCCCTCCACTTGTCATAGGGGTCTGAGAAGGGAAACATGGGGCAGAATTGGGAATCAATCTGTAACACTGCTTTTAAACTAAGTGCTGTATTTCACATTAGACTTGCAGAACTGGAAGATTTAATGTCAATTAGAGTTAATGTTGTTTTACCAGTAGAAAAAAAACGATATTAGAACAATAACAACAAAATAGTTTGTGGGTATCTATTAAATTAAGTTTCCATTTGTTACATAAATGTAAGATTAATTTTTCAAATGGCTTTTTTTTTTAAGCTAACAAATGGTATTTGTCTGGCTCTAGTGTTAACAATTTATTCTCTTTTACTGAAACATCAGTTAAGAATAACCTTGTATTCTTTTATTTAAAATAAGGCTCTCGGCCGGCACAGTGGCTCACACCTATAATCCCAGCACTTTGGGAGGCCAAGGTGGGCAGAGCGCTTGAGGTCAGGAGTTTGAGACCAGCCTGGCCAACATGGTGAAACCCCTCCTCTACTAAAAATAGAAAAATTAGCTGGCGTAGTGGTGCGTGCCTATAATCCCAGCTACTCAGGAGGCTGAGTCAAGAGAATCGCTTGAACCCAAGAGGCAGAGGTTGCAGTGAGCTGAGATTGCGCCACTGCACTCCAGCCTGGGTGACAGAGTGAAACTCCGTCTCAAAAATAAAATAAAATAAAAAAATAATAAAATAAAATAAAATAATGCTCTCTATACTTAAACCCATCTACCCAGTTTCTACCATTAATCCCTTCAGATATATCTGTGGTGTTTCTGAGGCCCAGCAGCACTGGATTGAATGATGTTTAGCCCTCTTGTGATGTGAAGATTGAAGCTGACAAGTTACCAAGCATTCACTTCCTGCTGTCATCATTAACTGACAGGAGAGCTTACATAGTCTTTCTTTCTTCTTTCAGTTTCTGTCCATACTCACTTATCCATTTCATCTTAATCCCTTTGATTGACCTTACTATTTTTATGTTTATAGGCAGAGGCAGGCTTGTCAAAACAAAATTAAAAAAAGCACAACTGGCCAGGCACAGTGGTTCACGCCTGTAATCCCAGCACTTTGGGAGGCCGAGGTGGGCAGATCATCTGAGGTCAGGAGTTCGAGACCAGCCTGACCAACATGGTGAAACCCTGTCTCTACTAAAAATACAAAAATTAGCCAGGCGTGGTGGCGGGCGCCTGTAATCCCAGCTACTCGGAAGGCTGAGGCAGGAGAATCACTTGAACCCGGGAGGCAGAGGTTGCAGTGATCCGAGATTGTGCCACTGCACTCCAGTATGGGCAACAGAGCAAAATTCTGTCTCAAAAAAAAAAAAAAAAAAGCACAACTAAGTGTTCCTTAATGATGGGTGGGGTTGGGAGCAAGAGGATGGGGACCTATCTTTTCCTCCTAGGAGATAAGGGTTCCTCTCTGTTATTAGAGTTTGATAAACTGAAAGTGTCTGTTGGTTGGCGTATGGTTCTTTAGGATGATTGACAGTGGCAGTACCTGGACTAACGTGACTTTAGCTTCTTTTGGATGATTCCCTCTTGTCTTTCTGACCTTAGGACCTTCTACCGCTTTGAGGCTGTGTGGGATAGCTCTCTGCATAACTCCCTTCTTCTGAACCGAGTGACACCCTATGGAGAAAAGATCTACATGACCTTGTCGGCCTACCTAGAGGTGAGGAGACTTGGAACTTCAGTTGATGCCAACAGTCAGCCCTGAACAGTGTGCAGGTTACAGCAGGAAGTGGTCAGCGAAGATTCCACTTGTTTTGTCCTCTTTCTTCCTCCACATCCTTAAGTTTTTCATTTTATTATACATTGCTAACTCTTCTGATTATATTAGACTCTATTCCTGGGTTCTGTTTACTCAAAAAATCACATGACTCATTGCAGCTTCAGCTTTAGTAGCCTAATCACCATTGTTTGAAGAATGTGTGATTTTTAAGAAAATGTCACCTCTTGTTTTTGTAGTTGTGGACAGAGTGTAATAGTGGTTAATAGCCCAGACCCAAGACCCAGCCTGTCGGTTCAAATCCCTGTGCTGCCACTTACTTCCTCTATGTCCTTGGAGAAACTCTCTTTGCCTCAGTTTCCTCACCTATCAGGAGAAACAACATTTACCTCAGATAAAAATAAATGCATCTCTAAGGAGTACTACCTACTCTTGCACATATTATCCATTGGGTGGCTGTTGAAATAATTGGTGGAGCTAAAATCCTTCAGTTCTCACAACTGGGACTCGCTTTCCAAATACGTTCGTGTATAGACTCTAGTCACAGTACTCTGCCTGCACTTCATCAGCACCTACCCTGTCTGCTTTCAGCTGGATCATTGCATCCAGCCGGCTGTCATCACCAAGGATGTGTGCATGGTCTTCTACTCCCGAGATGCCAAGATCTCACCACCACGCTCTCTGCGTAGCCTCTTTGGCAGCGGCTACTCAAAGTCACCAGATTCGTAAGTTTTTCACACAAGTTAGCTTCCAGTGTGTTTGTTCAGTACAACAGAATCATTAGTCCTTAAGTATTCTCGGCTTACTGTCTCACGGTTAGTTTACAGTTTATGAACCATTTTGGTAACTGACACCTGGAATGTACTGACTTGCATGCTGACATTTAATAAAATGTTGATGGATGGACGAGTTATGAGGGAAGGAAGGAATATTACATTGTGAACACGTCTAAAACAATTTTGCAAAGACTAAATTTGCAAAGACTTTTAAATGTCATCATCATTATTTCTAACAGAGTACCATTGAAATTTTCTTCTTTTTAAGATTTGTTATGCATATTTAAGGCATACAAAATATGTCAGGAATAATACAGTGAAGGCCATACACAGTGGCTCATGTCTGTAATCCCAGCACGTTGGGAGGCTGAGGACAGAGAATTGCTTAAGCCTAGGAGTTTGAGACCAGCCTGGGCAACACAGACCCCATCTCCACAGAAAATTTTAAAATTACCCAGGTGTGGTGACACACACCTGTAGTCCCAGCTACTCAGGAGGCTGAGGTGGGAGGATCACTTGAGCTTGGGAGGTTGAGGTTGCAGTGAGCCATGATAGAGCCACTGCACTCCAGCCTGGGTGAAACAGTGAGACCCTGTCTCAAAATTTAAAAAAAAGAAAAGAAAAAGGAAAAAAAAAAAAAAGAAAGAAACAATACAATGAATACCTGTGTATCACCGCCCAGCTTAAAAATAAGTGTTACTAATACAATAGAAGGTATTATACCTCCTACTACTCACAATCCCCAGAAGTTGTTGATTATCATTTCATTCTAGTCATTGTTTCCCTCATATCGTCTCTCTTATAGTAAGAAAAGACAAATTTTTAGTTTTCACATTTATATTTTAAATTTTCTAGTTTATCATTCAATTTTATTCACCCTATTGAAATAAAGTGTTTAAAAGATAGAGATGAGGTGGGGCATGGTGGCTTATGCCTATAATCTCAGCACTTTTTGATGCCAAGGTGGAAGGATCACTTGAGGCCAGGAGTTCAAGACCAGCCTGGGCAACATAAGGAGACCCTATCTCTACAAAAAAACTTAAAAATTAGCTGGGTATAGTGGTGTATGCCTGAAGTCCCAACTACTCAGGAGGCTGAGGCAGAAGGATCACATTAGTCCAGGAGTTCGAGGCTGCAGTAAGTTGTGATTACATCACTGCACTCCAGCCTGGGTGACACAGGGAAACCCTATCTATAAAAAAATTAAATTGAGATGAAAGCGGACTCCTCTAGGAAAAGGTATGCTACTTAGGTTCAAAATAAGAAAAGAGCGGTGACAAATAAGAAATGCCTGGAATTATATTTGAGTCCCTGCAGAGAAGACACTATTTTAAGTAGCAGAAATTGAAATTTTCCTGTTTTTGTGCTTTAAGAGATTAAACAATTGTTTTATTTTCTTCAAATAGGAATCGAGTCACTGGCATTTACGAACTCAGCTTATGCAAAATGTCAGACACAGGTAGTCCAGGTAAGCTCTTGTGGATTGAGGAGGTGATAGTTATCTTTGTGTATGTTTCAAGTATCCTGTATTTAGGCTGGGCACGGTGGCACACACCTGTAATCCCAGCGCTTTGGGAGGCCAAGGCGGGTGGATCACCTGAGTCCAGGAGTTCAAGAGCAGCCTGACCAACATGGTGAAGCCCCCCTTTCTACCAAAAATACAAAAATTAGCCAGGTGTGGTGGCGCGTGCCTGTAATCCCAGCTACTCAGGAGGCTGAGGCATGAGAATTGCTTGAACCTGGGAGGCAGAGGTTACAGTGAGCCGAGATTGTGCCACTGCACTGCAGCCTAGGTGACAGAGTGAGACTCAGTCTCAAAAAAGAAAAAGAAAAAAAAATCAAATTATTAAGTCAGATTTGTTCTGTATTCTTTTTAATGTGTTTTTAAACTGCTCTTGTTCCTCTAGCTAGGCGGAGTTAAGCAGCACTTAGCATTTCTATGTTTGTAAACCGAAACATGAACAAAAGTTAAGGTTTTCTAATAGCATTTGATTAATGTGAGTTTGAGTCATTTTACAGAATATACATGGAAAACAAGTCAGGGCCCACAGGCAAGACTTAGATAAGTAAAGAAGACTTTGAGTATGAATCCAAGTAGCACCTAATTATTATACTATCCAGATAGTTTCTTGAGGAATTTTTTTAATTAATATAAATTCATGTATTTAATATGTAAAACCAGCATAATACTAAAAAAAATTAACAGGAAATAATAGAGGCTAAAGTTCTCTGTCATCTGTCAGCCAGTGAGCTACTGAGTGTGTGTATGTGTGTGTGTATTCCCTTCCGTCTTTTTAAAAATTTTTATTTTTAGGGACAGGATCTTTTTTTTTTTTTTTTTTTTTTGAGACAGAGTCTCGCTGTGTCACCCAGGCTGGAGTGTGGTGGCGCCATCTTGGCTCACTGCAACCTCTGCCTCCTGGGTTCAAGTGATTCTCCTGCCTCAGCCTCCTGAGTAGCTGGGTTTGCAAGCACCCACCACCATGCCCAGCTAATTTTTGTATTTTTAGTAGAGATGGGGTTTCACTATGTTGGCCAGGCTGGTCTCGAACTCCTGACCTCAGATGATAGCCCACCTCAGCCTCCCAAAGTGCTGGGATTACAGGCGTGAGCCATCACGCCCGGCCCCATAGTGTATAGACTACTACAGACTATTTAATATTTCTGCATTTTCACCTAACATCATAATTTTATCATTTTCTTAAATTGCATCCCAGTCTTCATAATTATCAAAGAATGTAAAACTCAGTTTTTAAAAACGTTCAGTTGCTTTGCTATTTAAACAAAATCCCATATATCTTCAGACCAAACTGTCTTAGTTTGCTACGTATAAGAATTATTAATTCGTGGCCAGGCGCGGTGGCTCACGCCTGTAATTCCAGCACTTTGGGAGGCTGAGGCAGGTGGATCACGAGGTCAGGAGATCGAGACCATCCTGGCTAACACAGTGAAACCCGGTCTCTACTAAAAATACAAAAAATTAGCTGGGCATGGTGGCGGGCACCTGTAGTCTCAGCTACTCGGGAGGCTGAGGCAGGAGAATGGCATGAACCCAGGAGGCGGAGCTTGCAGTGGGCTGAGATCACGCCACTGCACTCCAGCCTGGGCAACAGAGCGAGACTCCATCTCAAAAAAAAAAAAAAAAGAATTATTAATTCGTTTTGACCTAAACTTGGAATTGAATTTTTTTTCTGAAACAAAAACTTGTTTCCTCTTGTCTTAGGTATGCAGAGAAGGAGAAGAAAAATCTTAGATACGTCAGTGGCATATGTGCGGGGAGAAGAGAACTTAGCAGGCTGGCGGCCCCGTGGAGACAGCCTCATCCTTGAGCACCAGTGGGAGCTGGAGAAGCTGGAGCTCCTACATGAGGTATCCAGGGGCAGGGTTGTTCAGATGCAAGAACTCTCGGACAAGATTGCCAAAGTATCAGTCTTCCTCCCCGCTGCTGCATGTGATCATAGCTTTTCACTTTTCTCTCCTGAGGTCTTAACGAGCTTTGTGTTTGCTATAGCAGTAGTATTGATCTTCTCAGGTGGAAAAAACCCGCCACTTTTTGCTGCTGCGTGAGAGACTTGGTGACAGCATCCCCAAATCCCTGAGCGACTCGTTATCCCCCAGCCTCAGCAGTGGGACCCTCAGCACCTCCACCAGTATCTCCTCTCAGATCTCAACCACTACCTTTGAAAGCGCCATCACACCTAGCGAGAGCAGTGGCTATGATTCAGGAGACATCGAAAGCCTGGTGGACCGAGAGAAAGAGCTGGCTACCAAGGTGTGAATCCCTTCCTCTTTGCTGAACGTCTTCCCACAAGGCTCCACAAACTAGCCTCTCGGTTTATTCATTTTCAACACCTTTGTTCGAGGTGTTTGAAGGCCTGTGATAATACTGTGAATGTAGAAATAAAAAGACGCAGTTCCTACCCTCAACAAGCTTACAGGGCCAGGCACAGTGCCTGATGCCTATTATCCCACCACTTTGGGAGGCTGAAGCAAAGGGATTGCTTGAGCCCAGGAGTTAAAGACAAGCCCAGGCTAACATAGTGAGACCTTGTCTCTACAAAAACAAAAATTAGGCCAGGCATGGTGGCTCACACCTGTAATCCCAGCACTTTGCAGGGCTGAGGCAGGTGGATTACCTGAGGTCTGGAGTTCGAGACCAGCCTGGCCAACATGGTGAAACCCTGTCTCTACTAAAAATACAAAAATTAGCCAGGCGTGGTGGCGAGCGCCTGTAATCCCAGCTACTCAGGAGGCTGAGGCAGGAGAATTGCTTGAACCCAGGAGGCGGAGATTGCAGTGAGCCGAGATAGCTCCACTGTGCTCCAGCCTGAGCGACAGAGTGACACTCCATCTCAAAAAATAAAATAAAATAATAAAAAATTAAAAAATTAAAAAATATAAAGGTTGCAGAATATTAGGTCACAAGCATATAATAGAGATGTGTGTTTCAAATGCTATGGGAGTCAGAGGAGAAGTGTCTATGGTGGGGAGCTCATGAGCTGACCTTGAAAGGATGCGCAGGAGGGAGGCAGCAGTGTCGACACCTGCGTGATCAGGAGGGAGGCAGTGGTGTCCTGCGTGATCAGGAGGGAGGCAGCGGTGTCTTGCGTGATCAGGAGGGAGGCAGCGGTGTCCTGCGTGATCAGGAGGGAGGCAGTGGTGTCCTGCATGATCAGTCTTGGGGAATTCACGTGGGACTGGAACAGGAGGTGTGGAGTGAAGAATCTTGTATACTGCACTGAAGAGTTTAGAGTGGATGATGGGAGCAAGGCAGAAATATGTTAAACAGGTATTTGTGTTTTAGAAAGATTTCTGGCGAGGGGCGGTGGCTCACGCCTGTAATCCCACCACTTTGAGAGGCCGAGGCAGGTGGATCACAAGGTCAGGAGATTGAGACCATCCTGGCCAACATGGTGAAACCCCGTGTCTACTAAAAATACAAAAATTAGCCGAACGTGGTGGCGTGCGCCTGTAGTCCCAGCTACTAAGGAGGCTGAGGCAGGAGAATCGCTTGAACCCAGGTGGCGGAGGCTGCAGTGAGCCGAGATCGCGCCACTGCACTCCAGCCTGGGCAACAGAGTGAGACACCATCTCAAAAAATATATATATTTCTCTGGCAGCAATAAAGAGAATGGATTGATGGTGAAGAGATACACTGAGGAAGGGAGAATTCTTTATCTTTATTACAGTAATCTGATGAGAAATGATAAAAGCTTTTTAAAATTTTATTTTTTTTGAGATGGAGTCTCACTCCTGTCACACAGGCTGGGATGCAGTGGCATGATCTTGGCTCACTGCAACCTCCACTTCCCAGGTTCAAGCGATTCTCCTTCCTCAGCCTCCCAAGTAGCTTGGAGTACAGGCATGTGCCACCACACCTGGCTAATTTTTGTATTTTTAGTAGAGACAGAGTTTCACCATGTTGGCCAGGCTGGTCTTGAACTCCTGACCTCAGGTGATCCACCCGCCTCAGCCTCCCAAAGTGCTAGGATTACAGGTGTGTGGACGCCCAGCCAGATAAAAGTTTTTTAAAGAAGGCAGAGGTGGCTGGGTGCGGTGGCACACGCCTGTAATCCCAGCACTTTGGGAGGCTGAGGTGGGCGGATTGTGAGGTCAAGAGATCACTATGATGTTTTTATTTTTTATTTTTATCTTTATTAAATTTTTTTTTTTTTTGAGATGGAGTCTTGCTCTGTGGCCCACGCTGGAGTGCAGTGGTGCGATCTCGGCTCACTGCAGCCTTCACTTCCCAGGTTCAAGCGGTTCTTCTGCCTTAGCCTCCTGAGTAGCTGGGATTACAGGTGTGCACCACCATGCCCAGCTCATTTTTTGTAGGTGTTTTTTTTGTTTGTTTGTTTGTTTTTTGGAGAGGGGATGGAGTCTTACTCTGCTGCCAGGCTAGAGTGCAGTGGTATGATCTCAGCTCACTGCAACCTCCACTTCCCGGGTTCAAGTGATTCTCCTTCCTCAGCCTCCCGAGTAGCTGGGATTACAGGTGCCCACCATGACGCCCAGCTAATTTTCTTATTTTTAGTAGTGATGGGGTTTCACCATGTTGGCCAGGATGATCTCGATCTCCTGACCTCGTGATCCACCTGCCTCAGCCTCCCAAAGTGCTGGGATTACAGGTATGAGCCATCACACCCAGCCAGAACCATGGTGTTTTTAGTAATTCACTTTGGTAATCTTGAGAAAGGTTTTTTTAAGCCACTTGCTTTATCTTTATTAGACATACATAGAACTTCCCTTACTATATACTTAGTTCTAATTTCTAGAGCTGTTTGGGCAACATCGGAGCTGCACTGTGGGTTTAGGACATGTTATTTCCCCTCCTGCCTTGTATCCAGGGCTTCATTTAGTCATTGAGGTTTTTGTTTGTTTGTTTTTAAATTTACTGATTTATTAGAAAGGACAGTGCAAAGGAGACCAATGAACGGCAGATGGACGAATGCATAGGGAGAGGAGATGTGGAGCTTCCATGCCCTCCCCGGGAACTCAGCCCTTCAGGAGCCTCCACGTGGTCAGCTATCCCAAGGCTCCTGGCTGTTGACATTTTATGTTCAGCTTGCACTTCTCTTTCTCTTCTTTAGTGCCTGCAACTTCTCACCCACACTTTCAACAGAGAATTCAGCCAGGTGCACGGCAGCGTCAGTGACTGTAAGGTGAGCACATTGACTGTAATTTTTAGCCAGTATGTTGATAACTGATTTCTCCACAGCAGCCCAGATTACCTATTCCTGGTTTTTGCTGCTTTTAAGCAACTTGTCATGGGCATAGCATTGTATTTGAAAATTTATGACATACTGCTCTGGTATTCATTCTAATTTTTCAGAGTCCGAACACTGACTTCTGAAGATAAAAGTACTCCTTTGTGTCTCTTAGAGTGATTATCAGATGGGAAACATTTTGGCTTTTTCATGACTCCTTTGGAGGAGAATATTCTATGGGGAGGTGGTATGTTATTCTTTGCCAGGGTACAAGGAAACCCTGAGGTTCCTGGTGGCATAAAGTTTTATTGACTTCAACAAAGAGTGAAGTAAACACTTCAGAGAATTTCTGTGTTATTCACTCAATTCTAGTCAGCTTGACCTTAAACCCTCCCGGCTCATTCCTGCCTTGGGGTCTTTGCACACCTACTATTTCTTTGCCTGGAATTGCCTTTCTCCAGGTATTGCCATGGTTGGCTCCCTTACCTCTTTCATTTTTCTACTCCATTATCACCTCCTGTGAGTCGACTCTGTTAACACCTGATAATAAATCTGACAGCTGTCTGAAACTTTCTACCTACACCTCTTTCCTGCTTTATTTTTTGCTATAGCACTAATTACTACCTGATGCTTTTTAAAGTGTTTGTTGAGTGGTTTATTGTCTGTCTTAAGCTCCAGGGAGGCAGATCCTCTGCCATATTATTAGAACAATGCCTAGTACATGGAAGGTGCACCACTGTAATACCACTTATATTAATTCAGGGGCTGGGTGTGGTGGTGCATACCTGTAATCCCAGCACTTTGGGAGGCCAAGATGAGGGGATCGCTTGAGGCCAATAGGTTGAGACCAGCCTGGGCAATATAGCACAAATACCCTATCTCTACAAAAAAATTTTTGAAAAATTAGCCAAATGTGGTGGTACACACCTATAGTCCTAGCTACTCAGGAGGCCAAGGCAGGATTGCCTGAGCCCAGGAGTTTGAGGCTGCAGTGAGGTATGATTGTGCCATTGCACCCCAGCCTGTGTGACAGTATTTTTTTGTCTCTTAATGATAACGGACTGGGGGGCTGGCTGCGGTGGCTCATGCCTGTAATCCCAACACTTTGGGAGGCCAAGGCGGGAAGATCACCTGAGGTCGGGAGTTTGCGACCAGCCTGACCAACATGGAGAAACCCCATCTCTACTAAAAATACAAAATTAGCCGGATATGGTGGCGCATGCCTGTAATACCAGCTACTCAGGAGGCTGAGGCAGGAGAATCGCTTGAACCTGGGAGGTGGAGGTTGCAGTGAGCCAAGATCGTGCCATTGCACTCCAGCCTGGGCAACAAGAGTGAAACTCCGCCTCAAAAAGAAAACAAAAAACAAAAAAACCCCCAAAATAATGGGCCAGGCATGGCGGCTCATGCCTGTAATCCCAACACTTTGGGAGGCCGAGGTGGGCGGATCACCTGAGGTTGGGAGTTTGAGACCAGCCTGACCAACATGGAGAAACCCTGTCTCTGCTAAAAATACAAAATTAGCCGGGCGTGGTGGCACATGCCTGTAATCCCAGCTACTCAGGAGGCTGTGGCAGAATTGCTTGAACCTGGGAGGTGGAGGTTGCGGTGAGCCAAGATCGCACCACTGCACTCCAGTCTGGGTGACAGAGCGAGACTTCGTCTCTCCAAAAATAAATAAAGATAATGCAGGAGAGGCCAGTGACAGTGGCTCACATCTGTAATCCTGCCAGCTTGGGAGGTCAAGGTCGATGGATCTCTTGAGGCCAAGAGTTCAAGACGAGCCTGGGCAACATGACAAAAACCCCATCTCCACAAAAAAATACAAAAATTAGTTGGGTGTGGTGGTGTACACCTGTAGTCCCAGCTACTCAGGAAGCTGAGATGGGAGGATCACTTGAGTCCTGGAGGCTGAGGCTACAGTGAGCCAACATCGCACCACTGCACTACAGCCTGGTAGACATAGCAAGACCTTATCTCGAAAAAGAAAATAATAATAATAATAATAATAAGAAGAAGAAGAAGAAGAAGACATAGCAAGACCTTATCTCGAGAAAGAAAATAATAATAATAATAATAATAATAATGACAACAATAATAATAATGCAGGAGGGCAGTAGGAACATAAAAAACCAACCTTGCCCCTTTTATAAATGTCTTGATTCCTGGTGTGGCACTTAGGCCGTAAAATATTTGTAGGCTTGTTTTTTTTCTTTTTTGAAAATATTTTCACCAGTTGTGGTGGTACACGCTTGTAGTCCCAGGTACTCAGGAAGCCAGGGCACAGGAGGATCGCTGGAGCCCAGGAGTTGGAGGCCACAGGAAGCTAGGATTGCATCACTGCCCTCCAGCCTGGGCAATAGAGCAAGGCCTTGTCTCTTAAAATTTTACCTATGTATTTATTTATTGATAAATTATGTATAGGCTTGTTTTCTTAAATGACCTTCTGAAACAAGATGTATCAAAGTGAGGTTCTGGTTGTTGAAACTCCCTATTGTTACTGTAGAGGCAGCTTTTTTCAGCTGAATGTAACTTGTAGTGTTCGGTTTGCTTCCAGTTGTCTGATATCTCTCCAATTGGACGGGATCCCTCTGAGTCCAGTTTCAGCAGTGCCACCCTCACTCCCTCCTCCACCTGTCCCTCTCTGGTAGACTCTAGGAGCAACTCTCTGGATCAGAAGTAAGTACCCAGATTTCACTGAGAGAAGTCAATCTAAGAACCAAGGTAAATGTCAACCTTCCTCTAGCTCAATGGTTCTTGACTGAAGGCAGCACCTTCTCCCTAGGCAGCATTTGGAAATGTGTGGGAGCCTTTTTGGCTATCACAGTGACTGGAGAGGTGCTAGCTACTGGCATCTCTTCACATCATAGCTTACTAACCTTCTGCATCATCAACTCATCATGACTGTCTTCTTCATCCCTTTCTGCTAGTTTTATCCTCCATTCCTACCCCTGCTTGTCTCCCCAGTCATAATACCAGACATAGGAAGTGCTATCTTGGGAAAAATATTTTGAAACTGTTTTGGAAAAAAATATTTTGATTCCACAGCAAATTATGTAGGTAAGAAAAATAAAGACAAGGCCAGGTGAGGTGGCTCCCAGCACTTTCGGATGCCAAGGCAGGAGGATTGCTTGAGGCTGGGAGTTCGAGACCAGGCTGGGCAACATAGCGATATGCTGTCTCTACAAAAAATAAATAAGATACCCAGGCGTGGTGGTCTGTGCCTGTGGTCCCAGCTACTCGGGAGGCTGAAGTGGGAGGATCGCTTGAATCCAGGAGTTCAAGGTTGCAGTGAGGTTTTATTATTGCACCACTGCATTCCACCCTGGGCGACAGAGCAAGACCCTGTCCCTAAAAAAAATAAAAAAAAGACAAATGTAGTCTAGAGTCCATGATTCATCATCATAATCCGTTCTTTGCAACACACCCTCTTGTGCATCTCCATCAATTATGCTCACCTGGTTATCATCCACCTGTCTATCTTATTGTACCAACACTGACACAGGCAAAGGTGGCTGGAGAAAATAACACAACCAGGTAATTTCATTAAATTTAGGATGCCACAGACTGTAGGGACTATTCTGTGCCACTAAGAGAAGAAGAAAAAGCACTGACAACTAACTTAAGCATGCCATCAATTATAAGATGAATCCCAATTTAAGAAATGGTGGCTGAGTGCAGTGGCTCATACCTGTAATCCCAGCACTTTCAGGGGCTGAGGTGGGAGGATTGCTTCAGCCCACAAGTTTGAGACCAGCCTGGGCAACATAGGGAGACCCCCATCTCTACAAAAAATAAATAAAATAGTTGGACATGATGGCATGCGCCTGCGGTTCCAGCTACTCAGGAGGCTCACATGGGAGGATTGCTTGAGCCCGGGAGGTTGAGGCTGCAATGAGCCATGGTTGCACCATTGCACTCCAGCCTGGGTGACAGAGCAAGAAATCAGCCAGGCATAGGGGCATGTACCTGTAATCCCAGCTACTGGGGAGGCTGAGGCAGGAAGATTGGTTGAACCTGGGAGGCGGAGGTTGCAGTGAGCCGAGATTGCGCCGCTGCGCGCCAGCTTGGGTGACAGAGCTGTCACCCAAGCTGGCGCGCAGCGGCGCAATCTCGGCTCACTGCAAGCTCCGCCTCCCAGGTTCACGCCATTCTCCTGCTTCAGCCTCCCGAGTAGCTGGGACTACAGGTGCCCGCCACCACACCCAGCTAATTTTTTATTTTATTTTATTTATTTATTTACTTTTGAGATGGAGTTTTGCTCTCGTTGCCCACGCCAGAGTGTAGTGGTGCAATCTTGGCTCACTGCAACCTCCACCTTCCAGCTTCAAGTGATTCTCCTGCCTCAGCCTCCAAAGTAGCTGGGATTACAGGCACCCGCCACCATGCCCAGCTATTTTTTTTTTTATTTTTAGTAGAGATCGGGTTTCACCATTTTGGTCAGGCTAGTCTCAAACTGCTGACCTTATGATCCACCCGCCTCGACCTCCCAAAGTGCTGGGATTACAGGCGTGAGCCACTGCACCCGGCCACACCCAGCTAATTTTTTGTATTTTTAGTAGAGATGGGGTTTCACCGTGTTAGCCAGGATGGTCTTGGTCTCCTGACCTCATGATCTGCCAGCCTCAGCCTCCCAAAGTGCTGGGATTACAGGCGTGAGCCACTGCGCCGGCCTTTTTTTTTTTTTTTTGAGACAGAGTCTCACTCTGTCGCCCAGGCTGGAGTGCTGCAACCTCTGCCTCCCGGGTTCAAGTAATTCTCGTGCCTCAGCCTCCTGGGTAGCTGGGATTACAGGGGCCTGCCACCACGCCCAGCTAATTTTTGTATTTTTAGTAGAGACGGGGTTTCGCCATGTTGGTCAGGCTGGTCTCAAACTCCTGACCTCAGGTGATCTGCCTACCTCGGCCTCCCAAAGTGCTGGG
The DNA here is from genome assembly GCF_000001405.40 of Homo sapiens. Lineage (NCBI taxonomy): Eukaryota > Metazoa > Chordata > Mammalia > Primates > Hominidae > Homo > Homo sapiens. Next base: position 10,373,506 of record NC_000001.11, read on the forward strand.
ATTACAGGTGTGAGCCACTGCACCTGGCTAACTTGATTTCAAAAAAAAAAAAGAATGAAGTATGAGAAAAAGTTAAAATGGGCTTTTTAGATTTAGTGAGATACAATGCTATGTTACTCTACAAAGATATCTAGCAATACAGAGTATAGGAATTTATTTCTCACACAGTAGTCAAGAGGGCTGGTCCAGGTCCAGGTCAGTGGTGCAGGTCTTCTCTGCACAGCCGTTCAGGAACCCTGGGTCTTCCCATTTGTTTGCTTTTTCTGCCATTTTCTAAGGCAGTGGGCCTCTGAGACTTCAGTGTACATCATCATCCCCTGGGAGGCTTGTTGAAGCCCCCATGGCTCAACCCCACCCAAAGTTTCTCGTTCCGTAGGTCTGGCTTGGAGTCTAAAAATTTGAGTTTTTGAACAGTTTCCCAGGTGAAGCTGATGCTGCTGGCTGGGAGCACACTTTGAGAAACATCGCTTTTGGTGTGGCCATGGGACTAAAAAGAAACATATAAAGGAGTAGAGTTCCTATTCCAGATAATGTGTTCAGAGGGCTTTAATATAGGCAGAGAGATTGTGTGACCCAGTGGCCATCAATGATCAATTTCCTTTCATAACTTCAGAAGGATGACACCAGTTGAACGCAGAGTTAACTTTCTGAAGCCAGCTTGTCTCCTCAGCTGAGCTCTCTGCAACTCAAGTTTGCAGCTGGGGTTTAGGGAGGGCCATTGTGTTCCTCCCAGTGAAACAGTACTCAGTATGCCTTGATTGTAACTGATTCTCTTGTTACCCTTTTCTTTCTAATCTCTCTATTTTAAAGGACCCCAGAAGCCAATTCCCGGGCCTCTAGTCCCTGCCCAGAATTTGAACAGTTTCAGATTGTCCCAGCTGTGGAAACACCATATTTGGCCCGAGCAGGAAAAAACGAATTTCTCAATCTTGTTCCAGATATTGAAGAAATTAGACCAAGGTGAGTACTATATTGAGCAGGAATGCCAGCTATAAAAAACAAATCCACAGGAAGAAGTGACTGGCCAGCTCTTCCCTGTGAGGTCTGTACTGTAGTCTGATGCAATCTGTACTGTAGTCTGATGCAAGTTGAGTCTGGGGTGAGAGGGCCAGCCTGGGTTTCTCCAGTTGGGTCTCATAATGCATCTGCACCCTGGCGCAGCATGTTGCCATGGCACGGTTTCGCTTTTGCCGTATTACTTTGGCAGATAAGATTCTAGGCCAAATAGGTCATTTGCCTGTTTCATCGAATCTAAGGACTTGGCCTAAGTGTGGCGTATTTTGATGGTCCTCAGCACGATTATTTTCTTTTTGTGAGAAACTAACTTTTGTCATATTGTCGTTTTTAGCTCAGTGGTCTCTAAGAAAGGATACCTTCATTTCAAGGAGCCTCTTTACAGTAACTGGGCTAAACATTTTGTTGTCGTCCGTCGGCCTTATGTCTTCATCTATAACAGTGACAAAGACCCTGTGGAGCGTGGAATCATTAACCTGTCCACAGCACAGGTGGAGTACAGTGAGGACCAGCAGGCCATGGTGAAGGTCCGTCCTGCCCTGCCTTGGTTTCTTATTGCCACGTGTGCCCTTCTCTTTTGATTTCTGCACTCTCTGTTACGTGGTGTGAAATTTCCCTATTCTCTCTGGTTTTGAACTTCCTTTGTGAAGTGCTATATGCCTTGGGAATATGGCAAGGCAGTCCCCATTGCTGTCTCTGTAGTAACTTTCTTGTCTACCTGCATTTTTCTTTCAGACACCAAACACCTTTGCTGTCTGCACAAAGCACCGTGGGGTCCTTTTGCAGGCCCTCAATGACAAAGACATGAACGACTGGTTGTATGCCTTCAACCCACTTCTAGCTGGCACAATACGGTAAGAAGTTTTGTTGTTGTTGTTGTTGTTTTTGAGACGGAGTCTCACTTTTTCTCCCTGAAGTGCAGTGGCTTGGTCTTGGCTCACTGCAACCTCCGCCCCCTGGTTCAAGCGATTCTCCTGACTCAGCCTCCCCAGTAGCTGAGACTACAGGCACGTGCCACCATTGCCTGGCTAATTTTCGTATTTTTTGTAGAGACGGGGTTTTACCACAATGGCCAGGCTGGTCTCAAACTCCTGACCTCAAGTAATCCACCCACCTCAGCCTCCCAAAGTGCTGGGATTACAGGCCTGAGCCACTGCACCCAGCCTAGAAGTTGTTCTGTGTTTTCTTTCTCTCTTTGGCTTTTGGCTTCAGGAATATCAGGATAAATAGGAAAGGAAGAATTTTTCTTTTCTTTTTTCTTTTCTTGTTTTTTTTTTTTTTTTTTTTTTTTGAGATGGAGTTTTTGCTCTTGTGTGGCCCAGGCTGGAGTGCAGTGGCATGATATCGGCTCACCGCAACCTCCACCTCCCAGGTTCAAGCCATTCTCCTGCCTCAGTCTCCTGAGTAGCTAGGATTACAGGTGCCCGCCACCACACCCAGCTAATTTTTTTTTTTGTATTTTTAGTAGAGATGGGGTTTCACCATGTTGGCCAGGCTGGTCTTGAACTCCTGACCTCAGGTGATCCACCCTCCTCGGCCTCCCAAAGTGCTGGGATTACAAGCGTGAGCCACCACATCTGGCTTGAAAGGAAGTATTTTTCAAAATAAATTTAAAAGAGAGGAAGGACAGGAGTGTAAATTGGTTGTGGGGTGGTAATGAGGCCTCTGCATCTTGTAAGGCATTGTCATGTTCTGAACCACCAGGGATACTCTGGTCACACATGTGCACCAATTATTTTCCTTCTTTGTCTTTTTGTTCTCAAGAGTTCTAAAGATGGGGCTCAGGGGAGAGAGTAAAGGGAGGACAGTGAGAACCTTAATGGTCTCCCAACCTCCAGCCCTGTGATTCAGCCTCACGTTCTGAGGGCTTGTGTCACAGGGTCCCGGAGTAGACGGCTTAGAGGACTAGGCCTGCGGTGCCAAATAGGAAGATGCTCCAGGAGGGAGCCTCAGAGGGAGAGGACTGTGAGGGGACAAGACTTGTACCCAGACTTCTAATCCTACCTCCCCGTTTGTCCCCCATAGGTCAAAGCTTTCCCGCAGATGCCCGAGCCAGTCGAAATACTAAGTGACTCTGCCGAGTGCCCTCACTCGCCTTCGAGAGATAAAGAAAGCGTTACCTCTCATTTCTCTTTGTGATTCTTGACGGTGACTCTTGTATGTAATCCTGTGGCTTAACTACTTCTCCCTCCTTGTCCAGCACTTTTCTAGCTCTCCCGTTCCCCATCTCCATTGCTCTGTACTCTTTTCTTTTTTCTTGTGCTGAGAATCTCGTTAGTAGCATGTGGCCTAACAAAAGGAAAAAATGTTTTTAAACACACACACACACACACACACACACACACACATACACAGACAAAAACACAAAAACTCTGAGGGGATCTGGTGAATCTCCAAATTATTGTGGGTGTACTTTGGCTTCCTTTTGTATGATAGGTCCCCATCATGACCACCTCTGATGTCTGTGCTGCTGTCACCAGGCACCTTTGTTTTTCAAGACAACATACTTTTTTTTTCTTTTCTCTGTTTGTGATATCACTTTAATTTTTCTTGGGTGGCTTAGAGACTAAGGGAGGAGACATCTGGCCTTTTTAGAACCTGAGAGGAAAAAAAGAGTCTTTTTTTCCCCTCTGTCTCTTTTTGCCATGGCTAATCCCTGCATTTCCATTCAGGGAAAAGGTGGTAGTGAGCATAGAACTGCAACAGTTATATTCTGAGTCAAAGTTGGGGCTTTTTACGGCATAATTATGGAATTTTTATTTACTGGTAGAGAGGAGACGAGAGGCTTTTTCAGTGGGCCTGGGACAGTGGCTGCTCTTGACTTTGTGTGAAGGGAAATGCCAAGGATGCTTCTGGTGGACTTCAGGGGACCCCAGGGTTTGGCCGTGGGCCGTGATGGCAGCAGGCGGTGGGATGCTTGTAGCTCCTCACAGCAGGATTCCTGCCCACTGTTTTTTCTCTGTTGGGAGGGAAGCTCTTTTCTAGGAGTGTCTCAGTTCTGCTTTTGGCATTAGTGATGGTGGTGGTACAGTTGGAATTAGTGCCATGTCATACACAAATGTTCCACAAGGCGGGAGTGTTTCACTTTCTGGTGATAAACTTGATGGTCATTGTTATGATTAAGATAATGCCGGGCAGGCCGGGCACAGTGGCTCACGCCTGTAATCCAAGCACTTGGGGAGGCCGAGGCGGGCAGATCACGAGATCAGGAGTTCAAGACCAGCCTGGCCAATATGATGAAACCCCGTCTCTACTAAAAATACAAAATTAGTCGGGTATGGTGGCACATGCCTGTAATTCCAGCTGCTTGGGAGCCTGAGGCAGGAGAACTGCTTGAACCCAGGAGGCAGAGGTTGCAGTGAGCCAAGATCGCGCTATTGCACTCCAGCCTGGGTGACAGAGCAAGACTCTGCCTCAGAAAAAAAAAAAAATAATAATGCTGGGTAGTGACCTTGTGATTGTTACAGCTCCCTTTGATCAAAGAAATATAGCTTTCAGGCATAAACCTGGAAGTCTCCCTCTGAATCCAGCAGTTGTTTTCATTGATGCTTGTCAGGTTGAAGATGCTTTCAGTGATGCTCTCTATACTCATAAATAAGCAAATGTGGCAGGCTTTGCTTTCTGGATCCCAGGATTAAAACTAACCGTGACCACTACTCCAAACAAAACACAATATGCCTAGGGGCACGGATGAACGTCCAGGGAGCCCGGGCCCCAGGCTTTGTTGCGTGTTCCCTGCTCCTCTCCATCTGGTGTGGAAACACTGCCCAGGGAGAAAGGAGGAAGCTCACTGTGGACAGTCTTCTTTCCTTCTGACAGACCAGGTCATCTGGCTTCCGAGATCATCAGAGAAGATAAGTCTGTCTCTTTCAGCTGCCAGTAAGTTTTCCAGGATGAGAGGGGAAAAAGAAAGCCTCCAGTGACTTCAGTTGCTTTGCCAGTTGTCTTGGGATTGTTTTACACCATCCTTTACTTCCCTTGCTCAGACCTCTCTGTTTCACCATTGCTCAGGCATTCAGGAAAGTATCTGCTCACTCCCACTTGGTGAGTCCTCGGCCTTGAGGTTGCTGACTCTCAGGCGTTAGGCAGCTGGATGACTTCCCGCTTCACGCAGCAAAGGCCAGGGGCTTGCGCGCCTCTGCAGAGTTGTTGCTAGGGAGACTTGTGTCATCATCCACAACCTTGTTTCTCACTTCCTGGTTGGGCTCATCTCTGAAGAACAGGTCTCCCAGCTTCGCTCCTTATCACTGCATTGTGAAGAGGAGGAAAAGTGAATCACGGAGAGAGAAAGGAAAGGATAGAATCACAGGCTGCGTCTGCACCTGAAAAGTGACCCGCGGAAACTCTATGGCGGATTTTTTTTTTAACTTTCTTCTTCCTGTTAAAACATAGGTCACTAACTGTGATGTTATTTGTTTTCTAAGTGGTATGTGAGATTTTCTAATGTAGTTAGAAGTTTCATTGTCTGATGGACACAATATGCCCTTCCGGTTCTATTCAAACCAGCAGGATCTGTCGGTGCTTAGAGATGGCTGCCTGGACTGGAATCAAATCTAATTTCAGGGAAATGAAGATGGAATTTGAAGGTCACTTTTAAAATTAAGTCATTGATGCTGCTGTTACAGAGTGTGACAGAGGATCCATGTCTGTGACACAGGACGGTGGGAAGCCTGAGAGAGAGTGAAATTATGTGATACACTGAAATGACTTTTGTTTTTCTTCTAACTCATACAAAACTGGTTTGGAAAGTCTTTGCTTTGGAAGCGTCAGACATTAGAACAGGCCAAACTGGACTGTCTGTTCATAGCGTGCCTGAATAAGAAGGCCTCTTAGGGAGCCAGAGGGAGCAGAGTGGTCGTGTCCTGCGTGCTCTTCACCCTCTGGGGCGCCCCTGCTGCGGCTGGCAGGTGCAGACAGCCTTTGCTGGTCCCCAGCACGTCCAGGGTGGGTGCTCCCTTGCCCGACAGAACCATCCCCACTGTGAGGCTGTGAGAGATTTGTGGCAGGAACTGTTTATGAGGCTCTAGTTGTTGCTGTTGTGGCGGGAAAGTTAAGAAACATAGCCCTTAAGGAAACCACCTTTATGTATTTTCTTAAAGCACGCCTTTAAATAAGCAAAAACTTTAAAAGGCAGGAAAGAGAATTCTTAGGCAAATTCAGAGAAATAAGTGCTAGTTAATACTAATCACCTCCTCCTCTGTCTCTCATCCTCCTTTCTCCCATCAAAGCAAAATATGGCCTCACCACCAGCCCCAAATCAGTGCTCAGACCCTCTCTGTGTCTGTGTGCCCTCCTGGGAGTCAGTCAGCGCTCAGGCCAGGACTGTGCAGGGCCAGCCAGCCCATGCGCTAGTCAGGAGCACAGGCAAGGGGTGCTTGTGGCAGTGGCCGGGCACCTGAGCCCCAGCTCGTTGTTAAACGTGCTGACGGCAAGGGGCAATGGAGTGAGTTTCCCAACTAAGAAACCACTATTATATATTTTTTCCCTTCAGTCACATAGACTTCAGACAACTCTCCTATTTTTTATGGATTTTTCAGCTCATTTCAGATGAAGGAACTAAGTCATTGTGAACTGTCTCTTGAGATCTAAAAACAAGATGACTTTTCCTGGCACATATTCCAAAGCAAAGACTTTGTTGCCTGCTGCTTATTGTCTAATTTACAGGGATATTTAATTTTGTCAGGTCTATGTATATTTATCCAGCTATACTTACTTGCACAGTGGATTGGAGAGAAAGGATTCTCCAGTGTGCACACTCATCGGTACTCTTTCTGCATTTCCCTCGTGCTGTGTCCCGCTCGGGTTCCAATGGACAGTATCAGGGCTTGTTTGACTTAGGTCTTTCAGTTTTCCTTTCGGTTCCCTTTTAAAAATGTGATTGTTAACCTGCCTCTTGAAAGATTCAACCGGGTGTGGTGGCTCACGCCTGTAATCCCAGCACATTGGGAGGCCAAGGCAGGTGGATCACCTGAGGTCAGAAGTTTGAGACCAGCCTGGCCAACATGGTGAAACCCCGTCTCTACTAAAAATACAAAAAGTAGCCAGGCGTGGTGGCGTGTGCCTGTAGTCCCAGCTACTTGGGAGGCTGAGGCAGGAGAATAGCTTGAACCTGGGAGGTGGAGGCTGCAGTGAGTTGAGACTGCACCATTGCACTCCAGCCTGGGTGACAAAGCAGGACTCCGTCTCAAAAAAAAAGAAAAGATTCATGATGCTGCTGCTCCCAGAAGGTTTGCTGGATGTGTTTACATAGGACTCTAACTTGTGTGCACTACAGTTGTTCACCAGGGCCAGTGATTCACCCCAGTGTGTGGCCAGACCATGACTGTGTAGCAGGAATGTTTTAATTTGTGCTTCCTTAGTAAATTGAAATATCAGCTGAGAGATTATTTGCTGCTGTTATTCAAAAGGCCATTTATGAAGTTAGTATTTGAGCCCCATAAGATCTTTAAAAAGCCTCCAATCATTTAAAGGAAGAAATCAGAGTTGCTATAAAATTCAGTAAAAAGCTCATAGCCAAACGGCTGTGCTCAGATGGAAAGTCTGAGCTGAGGTTGGTCTCTTGCCAAACCGTGGCTGTTGTGTGTTGTTCTTCATGTCTTCGAGTTCATTTTTTTTCATTCTGCCTATTCTGGCATCAGCTCACTTGAGGAGTCCCTCAGCCTTCTTGTATTTAAGGCATCGTCTTAGACTTTGTGGCTCTAAAGTACCTGTCTGTTGAGATTTCAAGTCTCTTGTCACCATCCTCACACATGACAACAAAACCCATAATGCATAAGTGGCCTTTTTGAACCAAGACTTTGCAAACTGATCTCTCCCCCGTGAAGGAGTTGAGCACATTAGCAACAATGTACATTAATTTTGGATTTTCATTTTCATGTTTTATTTTGTAAATATTATCTGATGTTTGGAGCTTGAGTATACAGACTGTAAATATAGTTCTTGTATTTGTACTAATTCTGATTCTTTTGCTGTATAGCCTTAGATGTGCAATGCAGACACTATCTAACTGTGTGTGGTAACCTTGCGTCACGGAGCTGTTAGTGAACGAGGTAAAAATAATAAAGGTACAGCCAGTGCATCAGAAGGTTCTCGATGTGCATTTATTCTTGCACCCCTTGAAAGGTAATTGCACAAAGATTTCTTTTCTTGATTTGCAAAGATAATACCTTTCTAAGACAGAAGTCACGATATCATCGCTTAAGTATTCCTTTCTGATATTCAAAATCGTGGTTTTTATATAACCAAGAAAGCTAATATGGTGCTGTTTCTTTGAAAGTACTTTTCTCCCAAAGATGTAAGTGGTTATTTTAGCTAGAAGATTTGTTGTTTTTCTCCTGAAGCCTCCTTGTATGCCTTCCAATAATTCTGTAGTGTTGTGTTGGCTTCTTTTTTTTTTTTTTTTTCTTTTTGAGACAGAGTCTTGCTCTGTCACCCATGCTGGAGTGCAGTGATGTGATCTCGGGTCACTGCAACCTCTGCCTCCTGGGTTCAAGCGATTCTCCTGCCTCAGACTCCTGAGTAGCTGGGATTACAGGCGTGCGCCACCATGCGTGGCTAATTTTTGTATTATTATTATTATTATTATTATTATTATTTTATTTATTTATTTATTTATTTTGAGATGGAGTCTCACTCTGTCGTCCAGGCTGGAGTACAGTGGCATGATCTCGGCTCACTGCAACTTTCCACCTCCCGGGTTCAAGCGATTCTCCCTGCCTCAGCCTCCCAAGTAGCTGGGATTACAGGCATCCATCACGCCTGGCTGATTTTATTTTTAGTAGAGAGGGGTTTCACTGTGTTGGCCAGGCTGGTCTCAAGCTCCTGACCTTGTGATCCACCCGCCTCAGCCTCCCAAAGTGCTAGGATTACAGGCTTGAGCCACCGTGCCCAACCTATAATTATTTTTTTGAGATGGAGTTTGACTCTTGTCACCCATGCTGGTGTGCAATGGCACCATCTCAGCTCACTGCAACCTCTGCCTCCCCAGTTCAAACAATTCTCTTTCCTCAGCCTCCCAGGTAGTTGCAATTACAGGTGCCCGCCACCACACCTGGCTAATTTTTAAAAATATTTTTAGTAGAGACGGGGTTTCAGCACATTGGCCAGACTGGTCTCAAACTCCTGACCTCAGGTGATCCGCCCACCTCGGCCTCCCAAAGTGCTGGGATTACAGGCGTGAGCCACCGTGCCTGGCCATGTTGGGTTTTTTTGGGTGGGGAAGGGTAAATGGGGATTTGAAAAGTTGAACATGTCAATTTAATTTAACAAGCCCTCATCACGAGCAGAGCATGAGCAGGGGCCACTGTCCTGGGTGTTTGGGGAGAAACAGAAGAAGGGAGGGAGGAGCAGCCCTCAGGTTAAAAGCAATGATTTGTTCCAACCAATATTTGAGTACCCACCCTGTGCCTGGTGTGCTGCTGGGTGCAGTAATTCAGCAGCCAACAAAGCAAGCCCATGCACTTGTGCCCTCCCATTCCAGTGGGGAAGACAATGTTTAAACAAATTTACAACATCGGTCCTAAGTATTTTGGAGGAAAGCAGCTAAATAAAAGGATGAAAGAGGGATGGGAACGAGGGATGTTTAGATGGCATAGTCAGGGAAGGCCTCTCTTCGGAGATCACATTTGAGCAGACTCTAGAATGAAAGGATAGGGTAAGCCATGCAAACCCCTGGGCAAAGAGGTCTCCAAGTAGAGAAATGAAGCCCTTGAGGCAGCAGTGTCCTCAGTAGGTTCCAGAAATAGCAAGGTCGCTGGTACAGAGTCAGGGACTGGGAGCGCAATAGAAGACATCAGAAAGTAGCCAGGGACCAGGATATTTAGGGCTTAGGTGAGGACTTGGAATTTCATTAGAGTGAATGGGAAGCCATTGAAGGCTTTGGAGCAGAGGAGTCACAGGGGCTTATTTACATTTTTAAAAGACCATTCTGGAAAACAGTCTTTGTACTCAGGCAGGGACAAGTGGAAAAAAGGGGCAAAATAAGATTGTTACCCCAGTATTCCAGGGGAGGAGACGGTGGCTCAGACTAAGGTAGTAGAGTATAGGTGGGACGAAATGGGCAGATTCAAGGTACATTTTGAAGTTAGAACAGTTTTCTGAGAGACTTCATGCAGAGTTGTTGGAGAGAAAGGAGAAAAGTAACTAAAAGGGTAAGTGCCTGAGTAAAAGAACAGCATTGCAGTTTTCTAAGGTGAAGACAATTGGTAGAACAAAAGCTGAGAATGGTCATGCCTGTAATCCCAGCACTTTGGGAAGCCAAGGTGGGAGGATCACTGGAGCCCAAGACTTCGAGACCGACCAGCCTGGGCAATGTAGTGAGACCCCATCTCTACAAACAATTAAAAATTAGCTGGGCATGATGGTGCACGCCAGTAGTGCCAGATACCCAGGAGACTAAGGCAGAAGGATCGCTTGAGCCCAGGAGTTGGAAGCTGCAGTGAGCTGTGATCTTGCCACTGCACTCCAGCCTGGTCAACAGAGTTGAGACCCTGACTGTTAAGAAAATAGCACTTTGGGAGGCCGAGGCGGGCAGATCACCTGAGGTCAGGAGTTTGAGGCCAGCCTGGCCAACATGGTGAAACCCCGTCTCTACTAAAAATACAAAAATTAGCGGGGCGTGGTGGCAGGCGCCTGTAATCCCAGCTATTTGGGAGGCTGAGACAGGAGAACCGCTTGGACCCAGGAGGCAGAGGTTGCAGTGATCTGAGATCACGCCACTGCACTCCAGCCTGAGCAACAGAGAGCGAAACTGTCTCAAAATAATAATAATAATTTGATTTGAGTCATGTTCACTTTCAGATGCCAACACATGCACCTAAGTGTATAGTCAACAAAACAGTTGGCTGGACTAGCGGGATTCAAGGGGAGTGGTTGGAGCTGGAGACACACATTTGGGAGTTGGCGGCATGAAGATAGCAGATCGAGCCTCAGGCAGGGAAGGAGACCTGGAGCGTGTGTGTGGCTGACAGGAACCAAGGACTGATCTTGGAGCTTGGTGCGCTCCAACACATGGAGGTCAGGAAGAGAGAGGAGTCCAGCCAGGAGGACAAGCAGTGGCCGTGGAGGGAGAGTGTGGAAGACTGAGGAAGTGGTTGCTTTGTCCAGGGCAGCCAATAGGTTACAGGAAGGACTGAGCAGGGACCACAGGTTTTGTTAACTGAAAGGTGTAAGAAGTCCGAGGGAGCCAGGGGATACCCTAATTTTTCCCAATTTCAGAACCAATTAAGAAACAAAAAATAAGACGATGGGAGATGGGAGACCAAAATACCACCCTTATTACTGATAAAACTGCTGTTAGAAAATGTGGTTACATCTGGGAACACTGGATTTCTTTTCTTTTCTTTTTTTTTTGTGATGGCATCTCGCTCTGTCGCCCAGGCTGGAGTGCAGTGGTGTCATCTTGGCTCACTGCAAGCTCCGCCTCCCAGATTCACACCATTCTCCTGCCTCAGCCTCCCCAGTAGCTGGGACTACAGGCACCCGCCACCGCGCCCGGCTAATTTTTTTTTTTGTATTTTTAGTAGAGACGGGGCTTCACCATGTTAGCCAGGATGGTCTCGATCTCCTGACCTCATGGTCTGCCCGCCTCAGCCTCCCAAAGTGCTGGAATTACAGGCGTGAGCCACCGCGCCCGGCCTGGATTTATTTTGTAAGGCTGAACCTCAGAATGAGGCGGTTTAGAGCAGTGCTTCTTGAACTTTATTGTGCACCAGAATCCCCTGGGGATCGTACTAAAATGCAGGTTCTGATTGAGTAGGGCTTGGGTGGAGCCTGAGATTCTGCTTTTCTAATAAGCTTCCAAGTGATGTCAGTATTGCCATTGTGGGGATCACTCTTTGAGTAGCAGAAGTTAAGAGGAACGCAGCGCATATGTCCCCTGAAGGCAGCCGAGGTTCTGAGAGAGAGGGAGGAAGTGGCCAGGCAGTCTATGCCTAACCGCTCCTTCCAGACTCACAGGAACATTCTAGTAATGGGGCTCACTTCTCATGGAGGGAGGCATCAGGAGTGCTTCTACACTAGCAAGGTCATTGGTGAGGGGAGCATTTGTTTGAGTGGTGCCTAATTGGAGTAGGTTCTAGGGAAAGTGGGAGGAGAGGAGGGTGAAACAGTACAAACAATTCTTTCATAGATTTTTCTGTAAAAGGGAAAAGACAAATGGAGTAACTGGAAGGGGATATGGGGTAAAGGAGAGGCTTTTGTTTTAAAGAAGGGAAATAGCATAGCTTGTGCATGTACTAATTGGAAAAAATGAACTGGGAGGGAAAACCTGGCAGTGGGGAAGACAGTGAGGTGGAGAGAGTTGTGGAGTGGGCCTGAGGGACTGGGGGCCAGTGCACAGCAGAGAGGTAGGTCCTAGATCCAACTGAGCACCCTGGCTTATATCCACAGTGCTGCCGACAGCTCAGTGATAGGAACACTGCAAGTCTCTGGATTGCTAGGACTCTTCAGTCTTAAGTTAATGTCTGGCTGGGCGTGGTGGCTCATGCCTGTAATCCCAGCACTTTGGGAGGCTAAGGCGGGTGGATCACCTGAGCTCAGGAGTTCAAAACCAGCCTGGCCAACATGGTGAAACCCTGTCTCTACTAAAAATACAAAAATTAGCTGGGCATGGTGGTGGGTACCTGTAATCCCAGCTACTCGGGAGGCTGAGGCTGGAGAATCACTTGAACCCGGGAGGCAGAGGTTGCGGTGAGCCGGGATCACACCATTGCACTCCAGCCTGGGCTACAGAGCGAGATTTTTGTCTCAAAAAAAAAAAAAAAAAAAAAGTTAGTTAATGTCAGCTCTAGGGCTTATGTCAGGCCACGTCTTCCTGAAACTGGACTTGCAGTTTAAAATGGGAGATCATCCCCGAATCAGTGCATATTATGCTGGTTGTGCCCTCAACTAGACCTCACCCAGGAGCATGTAGGATTGAATCCTCACTAGGGTTGCACGCTTAGTAAATCCCCATGTCTCTTGCAAAGCTGATAGTTTGGGAAGTCAGGTGACCCATGGAAGCATGCATGAGTCTGGTGCGCTGCTTTTCTTTTGTTGTTGTTGTTTTGAGACGGAGTCTTGCTCCGTCGCCCAGGCTGGAGTGCAGTGGCACAATCTCGGCTCACTGCAAGCTCCGCCTCCTGGGTTCACGCCATTCTCCTGCCTCAGCTTCCTGAGTAGCTGGGACTACAGGCGCCCGCCACCACGCCTGGCTAATTTTTTGTATTTCTTAGTAGAGACAGGGTTTCACCGTGTTAGCCAGGATGGTCTTGATCTCCTGACCTTGTGATCTGCCCACCTCGGCCTCCCAAAGTGCTGGGATTACAGGTGTGGGCCACTGCGCCTGGCCCGGGCTCGTGCGCTGCTTTTCTATCTGGTTCTTCTTGTTATTCCACTTGCGGTTGGATGGGGAGATATTCCACTTTCCCTTAGGAACTCTTGTCCCTGCACAGACCATTTTAGCTATTCTGAGCACATCACAAGCATACTCCTCTGGGGTGAGAATATATAGCCTCTGGGCTTTTTCAGAATTGCTCCTTCTGCTACTCTGGAAGCTAACGTGGAATGATTGCTTGAGTCCAGCAGTTCAAGGCCAGCATGGGCAACAAAGCAAGAACCTGTTTCTTTAAAAAAAAAAAAAAAAAAAAAAAAAGGCGGGGGGAGCAGGCATGGTGGCTTACACCTGTAATCCCAGCACTTTGAGAGGCCGTGGCAGGAGGATCACTTGAAGCCAGAGCTCAAAACCAGCCTGGGCAACTTAGTGAGCCCCCATTTCTACAAAAAATAAAAACAATTAACTGGGCATGGTGGTACACACCTGTAGCCTCAGCTACTCAGGAAGCTGAGATGGGAGGATCCCTTGAGCCCAGGAGTTTGAGACTGCAGTGAGCTATGATGGTGCCACTGGCGCCTGGGTAACAAAGCAAGACCCTGTCTCAAAAAAAAAAAAAAAAAAAAAAAGGAGCTGGGCATAGTGGCATGTGCCTGTAAATGAAAGGCATCATTTCATGCAAGCTCCTCTGAGCCCAGGAGTTCCAGCCTAGCCCAGGCAACAGGGCAAGACCACGTCTCAAAAAAAAAAAAAGTACTCTTTCCACCTAAAATATATTCAGGTCATTTGAGTTCAGTTTGAGTTCAGCTACGAGAATTATTTAGTTGAGTGAGTGTCAGAGCTGGGATTTTCAAATCTGCCCTTACTGGTATGTTGCTTTACACACCCTCTTACGTAAATCAAACTAGGATTCCACCCTGGGAGGTTTGCATAGAGGGCTGTTCTTGTAGAACTTGTGCTCATGCTTTGATTTGGGATTTGGGGAGTTAGGGCAAGCCAGAAAGTTTTTCTGGTGGATAATAATGTGGGTTGACTTTCTTAAGCATTTTAAGCCAAGCACTTGAGTTTCTAACAACTAAAAAGCTAAGTCAGCCTGACACAGCTCTAGCGCGCCCTGGCTTGATTCTGTTCATCCCCAGGGGGAGACTTGCCTTTGTTCCAGTCCTGCTCTCCCAAGCCAGCTTACTGTAGTTTTCCAGCAATTCTGAGAAGCAGTATTTTTTACTGCTGATTAGAACCTTAACATGGAAATGGAAAGTTTGTGTAGCATGTAACATTATTAGAAGGGAAAACATGACTATATGATTAGATACATATTGATTTTATGCAATATGTTTGCATAAAATCTCTTCAGTAGTAACTTGGTTAAATTATTCACATTGACTCAGCATAATTTCTCCCTTGCTAAATCTCAGACTAAAGCAATCAATTTGTTCCTGCAAGAAAGTCTGATGGTAGGCTTTCCTTGTAACTGAGCCCCATAGAAAGAGGAAGCAGCTGCAACAAAGTTGAAAAGGATGCCTGTCACCAAGGTTCTTTTAAGGGAGCCATTGTGTGAAGTTCTACTTGTGAAATTTCTGCAAGTACTGTTTGTTCTCCAAAATCCAGCTTTCCGTTGAAAGTCAATGAAACATCTCTAAAATGCAGACATACCCAGGTTCATTGGGAACACAGTCACTGTGAGTATACATGATTATGTCCTGCTAACCCTATTGGGAAAGAATGCTGGGCTTGGCCCTAGTAAGTAGACTTGGGTTAAAGTTCACCTCCGCCACTAACTAGCTGGGAAGTTCAACTTCCCTGAGCTGAGTTTGTCACGTTAGAGAATATTAATAAATATGAAAATTGTGGAGCAGTCTTAAGTTTAAAAGGAACTTTCATGGACATTAGCTCATTTTGCTGTGCCCACCCTGGGAAGGAAGCAGGACAGGCAGGCAGTGGCATCCCTGTCGTCAAGCAGCCTGAGGACTGCTGTGAGCCTCTGGAGCAAGGCAGGAGTTTGAGGAGGCTCTCAGTCCTTTTGTCCTTTTTTTGAGACAGAGCATCATTCTGTTGCCCAGGCTGGAGTGCAATGGCATGATCTTGGCTCACTGCAACCTCTGTCCCCCACCCTTACCACTGGGTTCAAGCAATTCTTAGGCCTCAGCCTCCTAAGTAGCTGGGACTACAGGATGCACCACCACGCCCAGCTAATTTTGGGGGGGTTTTTTTTGAGACGAGTTTCACTCTTGTGGTCCAGGCTGGAGTGTAGTTGCGTGATCTCGGCTCACTGCAACCTCTGCCTCCTGGGTTCAAGTGATTCTCCTGCCTCAGCCTCCCGAGTAGCTGGGATTACAGGCGCCCACCAACACGCCTGGCTAATTTTTTGTATTTTTAGTAGAGACGGGGTTTTGCCATGTTGGTGGTCTCAAACTCTTGACCTCAGGTGATCCACCCGCCTCGGCCTCACAAAGTGCTGGAGTTACAGGTGTGAGCCTGTGTGTCCTTTCTATTGAGGCTTCTCTCCACATTTTCTGATCCTCAGTCTCCTTATTTCCTGTAAGGCTGAGGTCCCAAATCCAGCCTGTGAAAGAGAAATGCCAGCAGAGGCAGCACCCAGCACAGGATCTATTATTGCAGCATGCCCTGTGGTCAGGGCCTTCAGTAAAAGCCCACAGACCCTGACTACTTTCTGGCGGACTCTGGAGGAAGGCCTTAACCACAGACAAAAGGACAAGGACAGTGCTGTGGAGGGACTGCTGGCTGCTGCAGCGTGAAGAGAATAGGGAATGCACTCTACAAAAATAAAAAAGCATAAAATTGGAAAAAATATATACCAAAAACATTTCAAGGTTCTGGACATCAACCAAAGGCAGGCAAATTAAGAAGCATTTATTCTTGAGAAAAAACTGGCTGGGCACGGTAGCTTGCACCTGTAATCTCCCAACACTTTGGGAAGCAAAGGTGGGAAGTTGGCTGGAGGCCAGGAGTTCAAGGCCAGCCTATGCAACCAAGCAAGACCCTGTCTCTACAAAAAATAATAATGAATAATAAAAAGAAAAAGAGTGGCTCACGCCTGTAATCCCTGCACTTTGGGACGCCTAGGCAGGTGGATCACCTGAGGTCAGGAGTTCGAGACCAGCCTGACCAACCTGGTGAAACCCATGTCTCTACGAAAAATACAAAAAAATTAGCCAGGCATGGTGGCTCATGCCTGTAATCCCAGCAACTTGGGAGGCTGAGACAGGAGAATCGCTTGAACCTGGGAGGCGGAGGTTGCGGTGAGCCAAGATAGCACCACTGCCCTCCAGACTGGGCAACAAGAGCGAAACTTAGTATCAAAAGAAAAGAAAAAGATAAAGAAAAAAAAAGTGCTAGAACTTTTTTTTTTTTGAGACGGAGTTTTGCTCTTGTTGCCCAGGCTGGAGTGCAGTGGCACGATCTCGGCTCACTGCAACATCTGCCTCCCAGGTTCAAGCAATTCTTTTGCCTCAGCCTCCCCAGTAGCTGGGATTACAGGCATGCACCACTGCGGCTAATTTTTTATTTTTAGTAGAGATGGGGTTTCTCCTTGTTGGTCAGGCTGGTCTCAAACTCCCGACCTCAGGTGATCCTCCACCTCGGCCTCCTAAATCGGCCTCCCAAAGTGCTGGGTTTACAGGTGTGAGCCACTGACCCGGGCCGAGAAGTGTACCTTTTTTTTTTTTTTTTTTTTTTTAAATGGAGTCTCACTCTGTCGCCCAGGATGGAGTGCAGTGGCGCGATCTCAGCTCACTGCAAGCTCCGCTTCCCGGGTTCACGCCATTCTCCTGCCTCAGCCTCCCGAGTAGCTGGGACTACAGGCGCCTGCCACCATACCTGGCTAATTTTTCAATTTTTAGTAGAGACGGGGTTTCACCATTTTGGTCAGGCTGGTCTCAAACTCCTGACCTTGTGATCCGCCCTCCTCAGCCTCCCAAAGTGCTGGGATTACAGGCGTGAGCCACCGCACCCGGCCTCAAGAAGTGTACTTTTTTATCAGCTAAAAGTGGCAAAGTTCTTGAGAAATAAACGGCTTGAGAAAGCCGTTTCTTGAGAAAGAAACCCACAGCTTACTAGCCTGAGATCTCAAGTAGCAGACTAGCTAGAAATCTAGGAGACTCTGGAAATGAGAATGCCACAAAAGGATTAGACAGGACCTCAGCACATCACTCGCTGGCTGGAAAACCAGACACGTACACAGATGAGACTTCAGAAAGCCCATAGAAATTAAAAGCCAAGGGAGAGCTGGGCACCATGGCTCACACCTGTAATCCCAGCACTTTGGGAGGCCAAGGTAGGCAGATCACCTGAGGTCAGGAGTTCAAGACTAGCCTGGCTAACACAGCAAAACCCCGTCTCTACTGAAAATACAAAAATTAGCCAGGCGTGGTGGTGCATGCCTGTAATCCCAGCTACTTGGGAGGATGAGGCAGGAGAATCGCTTGAACCCAGGAGGCGGAGGTTGCAGTGAGCTGAGATTGCATCATTGCACTCCAGCCTGGGTGACAGAGTGAAACTCCATCTCAAAAAAAAAAAAAAGAAAAAGAAAAATGTTAAAAGTCAAGGGAGGCTGGTTGTGGTGGGCTCACGCTGTAATCCCAGCACTCTGGGAGGCAGAGGCGGGTGGATCACCTGAGGTCAGGAGTTCAAGACCAGCCTGGCCAACATGGTGAAACCCCGTCTCTACTAAAAATACAAAGAATTAGCCAGGCATGGTAGCAGGTGCCTGTAATCCCAGCTACTTGGGAGGCTGAGGTAGGAGAATCGCTTGAACCCAGGAGGCAGAGGTTGCAGTGAGCCAAGATCCCACCACTGCACTCCAGCCTGGGGAGCAAGAGCAAAATTCTGTCTCAAAAAAAAAAAAAAAAAAAAGCCAAGGGAGATTTAAGAAGTAGGTGATCCCTGAATGCACCGCCAACCCACCCAGATAGGCCTAAATATCTGAGCACAGCCAAGGTGTTTGAGCACAACCTCTTCCCAGATCTTTGGCCACTAAGTTATGGAGACACAAGGCAACCATCAGGAAGTCAAGCTAAAACCTAAAGAATAAAAAAAATCTGGGTGCAGTAGCTCAACCTGTAATCCTAGCACTTTGGGACGCCAAGGTGGGAGGATTATTTAAGTCCAGGAGTTTGAGACCAGCCTGGGCAACAGAGAGAGATCTCGTCTTGTCTCTTAAAAAAAAAAAAAAAAAAAAAAAAGGCCAGACACGGTGGTGTGCACCTGTAGTCCCAACAACTTGGGAGGCTGAGATGGGAGGATTGCTTGAGCCCAGGAGTTCAAGACTGCAGTGAGCCACTGCACTTCAGGCTGGACAACAGAGCGAGTCCCTGTGTCAAAAAAAAAAAGGAAAAAGAAAAGAAACAAAAATCTGGGCTGGGTGTGGTGGCTCACACCTGTAATCCTAGCACTTTGGGAGGCCAAGGTGGGCAGATCACTTGAGATCAGGAGTTTGAGACCAGCCATGGCCAACATGGTGAAACTCCATCTCTATTAAAAATACAAAAATTAGCCAGGCATGGTGGCGTGAACCTGTAGTCCCACTCATTTTGGGGGCTGAGGTGGGATTGCTTGAGCCCAGGAGGTCAAGGTTGCCGTGAACTGTGATTGTGCCACTGCACCCCAGCCTGGGCAACAGAGCAACACCCTGTCTCTGAAAAAAAAAAAAAAAAAAAAAAAATGCTTAACTGCTCATCAGAAACAGTAAAGGCTAAAGCCACTGCAATGGATATTCAAAGTGCTGAAAGGAAAAAACAATCACCCAATAATTTTATATACAGCAAAACTAGCCTTCAAAAGTGAAGGTGAGGCCGGGTGCGGTGGCTCACACCTGTACTCCCAGCACTGTGGGAGTCTGAAGCAGGATTGCTTGCGCCCAGGAGGACCAGACCAGCCTCTACAGAAAAATTTTAAAAATTAGCCAGACATGGTGGCACCCACCTGCGGTCCTAGCTACTTGGGAGGCTGAAGTGGGAGAACTGCTTGAGCCCAGGAGGTTGGGGGTACAGTAAGCTATGTTCAAACCACAGCACTCCAGACTGGGTGACAGACCAAGACCCTGTCCCAAGAAAAAGGTGAAATAAAGACATTCTGAGATTTTTAAAAAGGGAGAATAAGAGAATTATTGCTAGCAGACCTCTCCTAAAAGAGGTACTAAAGGGGCCGGGTGTGGTGGCTCACTCCTGTAATCTCAGCACTTTCTGAGGCCAAGGCAGGCAGATCACCTGAGGTCGGAAGTTCGAGACCAGCCTGACCAACATGGAGAAACCCCATCTCTACTAAAAATACAAAATTAGCCAGGCATGATGGCACATGCCTGTAATCCCAGCTACTTGGGAGGCTGTGGCAGAAGAATCGCTTGAACCTGGGAGGCAGAGGTTGTGGTGAGCCGAGATTGAGCCACTGCACTCCAGCATGGTTGACAAGAGCAAAATTCTGTCTCCAAAAAAAAAAAAAAAAGAAGTACTAAAGGAAGTCCTTCAGCCTAAAAGAAAAGGACACTAGAACAATATCTTGAATTCACCAGAAGGCATGGAGCACTAGAATGATGAAGGCAGCTAAATGTAAAACACTATATATTTCTCTTTTTTTTTTTTTTTTTTTGAGACAGTGTCTTGGTCTGTTGCTCAGACTGGAGTGCAGTGGCACAATCCCGGCTCACTGAAGCCTCCGCCTCCCGGGTTCAAGCAATTCTCCTTCCTCAGCCTCCTGAGTAGCTGGGACTACAGGTGCACGCCACCACACCCAGCTAATTTTTTGTATTTTTAGTAGAGTCGGGGTTTCACCAAGTTAGCCGGGATGGTCTCGATCTCCTGACCTCGTGATCTGCCCACCTCGGCCTCCCTATATTTCTCTTTTATACTTTATATTTTTCTCTCTTTTTTAATTTTTTAAAAAACAAGGTTGTTTAAACCAGTTATAACACATTGCTGGGTTTATAACATATAAAGATATATATATAACACAAAGGAAGAGCAAGGGAAGGGTAGTAAAGTTACTGTATTTTACCAGAATTTTCAGTATTGAGCTGAAATATACTGTAATAAGTTAAAGCTACATACTGCAATCCCTAGACAACCACACAGAAAGTAACTCAAACATATAACTAAAAGGAAAAAACCCTTCAACTTTGGGATCAGGATAATACATACATACACATACACAAATGTAACACAGAAAAAGGAGTTAAAGAAGCCAGGCGTGGTGGCTCACGCCAGTAATTCCAGCACTTGGGGAGGCCGAGGCAGGCAGATCACCTGAGGTCAGGAGCTCAAGACCAGCCTGGCCAACATGGTGAAACCCTGTCTCTACTAAAAATGCAAAAATTAGCCAGTCATGGTGGCATGCCTGTAATCCCAGCTACTTGGCAGGCTTAAAACAGGAGAATTGCTTTAACCCGTGAGGTGGAGGTTGCAGTGAACTGAGATGGTGCCACTGCACTCCAGCCTGGGCGACAGAGTGAGACTCCATCTCAAAAAAGAATTAAAGAGAAACAAAGGGACAACAAAGATGAGAAATATAGAAAACAAGTATTAAAATGTCATCCATATATTCAACCATATCAACAATTACATTAAACATGAATGGACTAAATATTCCAAAGGGCACAGACTGTAAAACTGTATAAAAAAGCAAGATTCAACTATATGCTATCTACAAGAGATCCTTTAGATTCAAAGACACAAATAATAGAGTGAAAGTGAAAAGATATACCATGCAATCAAGAATCACAAGAGAGCAGGAATAGCTATATGAACAACAGTCAACATGGCCTTTTTCCCCAAGTTCTTCCTGCATACATTTAACTCAGCATAGACTTTAATAGTAGTATTAATATTAGAAACATAAAGGAACATTTTATGATGATAATGGCTATATCAATACATTATGAAGATTTAGCCATTATAAATATATACACTGCTAACATTAGTCTCAAAAACAGAATTGAAAGGAAAAATATACAATTGAAAATCCATGATAGGCCCAGTACAGTGGCTCAACGCCTGTAATCCCCGCACTTTGGGAGGCCGAGGCAGGCAGATCACTTGAGGTGAGGAGTTCGAGACCAGCCTAGCCAACATAATGAAATGCTGTCTCTACTAAAAAAAAAAAAAAAAAAAAAAAAATTAGCTGGATGTGGTGGCACTTGCCTGTAATCCCAGCTACTCAGGAGCCTTAGGCAGGAGAATCGCTTAAACCTGGGAGGTGGAGCCTGTAGTGAGCCGAGATCATGCCAGTGTGATATTGAGTCTTGCAAATCCGTTAACATGTTACAATGTCTTATTTAGATCTGTAATTTGCTTCAGCAATGTTTTGTGGTTTTGAGTGTATAGGCTTTGGACTTATTTTATTAAATTCAATATCTTATTCCAAATATTTTATTCTTTTGATGTTATTGTAAATGACACTTTTTTTTTTTTGAGACTGAGTCTCACCCTATTGCCCAGGCTGGAGTGCAGTGGCACCTCCCAGGTTCAAGCAATTCTCCTGCCTCAGCCTCCTGAGTAGCTGGGATTTTTAGTAGAGATGGGGTTTTGCCAGTTTGGCCAGACTGGTCTTGAACTCCTAGGCTCAAGTGATCTGCCTGCCTTGGCCTCCTAAAATGCTGGGATTACAGCCATGGGCCACTGTGCCCGGCCATAATTTTTGAATTTTTTTTTTTTGGTAGAGATGGGTTTCCGCCATGTTGCCCAGGCTGTTCTCCAACCCTGGGCTCAAGTGATACTCCTGCCTCGGCCTTCCAAAGTGCTGGGACTATAAGTGCAGGTGTGGACCACCGTGCTTGGCCTTTTTTTTTTTTCTTTTTTTTTTTTGAGACAGGGTTTTGGCTCTGTCACTCAGGCTGGAGTGCAGTGGTACCATCATGACTCATTGCAGCCTCAATGTCCCAGCCTCAAGCAGTCTTTCCACCTAACCCTCTCGAGTAGCTGGGACTACAGGCATGCACCACCACACCTGGCTAGTCTTATTTTTAATTTTTGTTTTTTTAAGTAGAGATGGGGGTCTCACTATGTTGCTCAGGCTGGTCTCCAACTCCTGGGCTCAAGTGATTCTCCCACCTCAGCCTCCCAAAATGCTGGGATTACAGGCGTGAACCGCCATGCCCAGCAGAAAAATTGTCATTGGAATAAAGTCTGGGGTTTTGTTAAAAGTTTTATATCGGCCGGGTGTGGTGGCCCATGCCTGTAATCCTAGCACTTTGAGAAGCTGAGGGGGGAGATTCCCTGAGCTCAGGGATTCAAGACCAGCCTGGACAATGCAGTGAAACCCTGTCTCTACTAAAATACAAAAAATTAGCTGGGCGTGGTGGCGTGCACCTGTAGTCCTGGCTACTTGGGAGGCTGAGGCAGGACAATTTCTTGAACCCAGGAGGCAGAGGTTGCAGTGAGCCGAGATCACGCCACTGCACTCCAGCCTGGGCGACAGGGCGAGACCTGGAGTGCAGGCACAATTATGGCTCCCTGCAGCCTTGACCTCCCCAGGTTCAGGTGATCCTCCCACCTCAGTTTTTCTATTTTTAGTAGAGCCCTCCACCTCCCGGGTTCAAGCAATTCTCCTGCCTCAGCCTCCTGAGTAGCTGGGATTACAGGCATGTGCCACCACGACGGGTTAATTTTTGTATTTTTAGTAGACACAGGGTTATACCATGTTGCCCAGGCTGGACTTCAACTCCTGGGCTCAAGTGATCCACCTGTCTTGGCCCCACAAAGTGCTAGGATTACAGGTGTGAGCCACCACACCTGGCCAGCAGTTTCTTAAAAAGTTACACTTACCTTAAAACCCAGCAATCCACTCCTAAGTATATGTCTAAAAGAAATGAAAACAACAGGCTGGGTGTGGTGGCTCACACCTGTAATGCCAGCACTTTGGGAGGCTAAGGTGGTAGCTCTCCAGACCACCCAGGGCAACATGGTAAAACCCCGTCTCCACTAAAAATACAAAAAAATTAACCGGGTGTGGTGGGGCACACCTCTAGTCCCAGCTACTTGGGAGGCTGAGGCAGGAGAATCACTTGAGCCCCAGAGGCAAAGGTTTCAGTAAGCCGAGATCGTGCCACTGCACTCTAGCTTGGGCTACAGAGTGAGACTCCATCTCACACACACACACACAAAAGAAATGAAAACAACAATTTGTACATGAGTTCAAAACAGAATTATTTATTTCCCAAACTAGAAACAATCCAAATGTCTATCAACAGATAAATGGATAAGCAAATGATGACACAATTGCATTAATGGAATACCACTCAGCAATGAAAAGGAACAAACCACTCATACCTACAACACAGATGAGCCTCAGAAACGTGATGCTAAGTGAAAGAAGCCAGACCAAAAAAATTATATGCTATTATTCCATTTCTATGAAATTTCTGGAAAAGGCAAAAACCATGCAAAGTAGATCAGAGGTTGGCTGGGGGTGAGAGCAGAGACTGACTACAAATAGGCCCAAGGGAACGTTTTGGGGTGATGGAAGTTTTCTATAAGTGGATTATGGTGATGGCTACACAACAGTATAAATTAAAGGTCATCCAAATGTGTACTTACAATGTTTGAATTGTATGACATGTAAATTATCTCATTAAATCTGTATTTTAAAAAAAGAACTGTGCTGTGAAGTTTGACATATTTTAAAGTAGGATGTCTTAGCCGGGCATGGTGTTGCATGCCTGTAGTCCTAGCTACTCAGGAAGTTGAGGCTAGAAGATTGCTCGACCTCAGGAGTTCAAGGCTGCAGTAAGCTATGGTCATGCCACTGCACTCCAGCCTGGGCAACAGAGCAAAGACCTGGTCTTTATAAAAATTAAAAACCGGCCGGGCACAGTGGCTCACACCTCTAATCCCAGAACTTTGGGAGGCTGAGGTGGGTGGATCACTTGAGGTTAGGAGTTCGAGACCAGCCTGGCCAACATGGTGAAACCCTGTCTCTACTAAAAATAAAAACATTAGCTGGGCATGGTGGCACACACCTGTAGTCCCAGCTACTTGGGAGGCTGAGGCAGGAGAATCGCTTGAACCTGGGAGGTGGAGGTTGCAGTGAGCCCAGATCGCGCCACTGCCCTCCAGCCTGGAGACACAGCCAGACTCCATCTCAACAATGACATCAAAAAAAGGCCGGGCACGGTGGCTCACGCCGGTAATCTCAGCACTTTGGGAGGCCAAGGCGGGCGGATCACGAGGTCAGGAGTTTGAGACCAGCCTGGCCAAGATGGTGAAACCCCATCTCTACTAAAAATACAAAAATTAGCTGGGCGTGGTGGCGGGCGCCTGTAATCCCAGCTACTTGGGAGGCTGAGGCAGGAAAATTGCTTGAACCCGGGAGGCGGAAGGTGCAGTGAGCTGAGATCACACCACTGCATTCCAGCCCGGGCGACAGTGCGAGACTCCGTCTCAAAAAAAACAAAAAAAATCTAAAACTCAAACTTCTGAATAACAATTTCCTCCTAGCAAGAAGGGACTCAGTAAGATAAGAAGCGCTGCTTGGCTACTTTGCAAATGTCTGGCTTAAGATGGCTGGTTTTTTGTATCTGCCTCTGCATTTAACCTGGTCCATCTCGCGGGTCACATAGCCTCTACAAAATGAGAAGGGGTTCAATACCGTTAACTCCGGGCCTGGGTAAAAGACTCAAGTCCTGACCCCATCATACTCCAACCAATACATACCCCGCCTGCGCTGTCTGCGCCTGGGTCTCTTCAACCGCAGTGAGCGGTCGCACGGCTCCACATCAGGGTCGCCCTGAGGCTCAGCCTTCCCCGGCCCCATTCCGAGTGCGCACAGGACTGAACGAGCACGCCCGGTCCCTGCTCCGGAGCGGAGGACACGACGCGGACCCGCACGGTGCACCGCAGTGACCTGAGGAAGGAGCGACGGGCGCTCGCGCCAAAGGCGTCCGAGTGCCTGGTAAACTGTAAAGCGCGGTCCTGCGTGAGTTGCTATGGCTACAGCTGCGCCAGGCGGACGGCCTGCAGGACCGAGGTGCAGCTGGGACGAGCGGAAAGCTCTGCGCGTGGGCGGGGAGCCCGGAGCCTCGCCGGGGCAATGTCATCTAGGTGCTCGGCGCTCCACTGATCCGGCCCCCGGGGGTGGGCGGGCACGTTTGCCTCGGATGGTCTAACAGGCGTCGGGGAGAGCCAATGGTGTGGCTTCATGGCTCCACCCCCTTCCATTCGATTGGCCGGCGCCGAAAAGCCGGGCGTGAGCGGCCGCAGTTTCTGGAGGGAGCCGCTGCGGGTCTTTCCCTCACTCGTCCTCCGCGCGTCGCCGCTCTTCGGTTCTGCTCTGTCCGCCGCCATGGCCCAGTGAGTGACTCGCCAGGGGCAGCCCGGCTCGGCCTCAGCGGGCGGGGAACTCTTTGGGGGTCGAGATCTCCCTCGTTCTCTCCGACGCCTCCCACCCTGGGGGTCGCCTGAGCTCACTTGGGGCTCTGTGACCCTGGCCCTACGGCGTCTCGGGCCCAGAGCTCCTTCCCTGCGGGCCCGGCCCCCTGCCCTCTCGGCCGCGCAGGCATGGGGCGGGGCGGGTCCCTTCGAGGGCCAGGGAGGAGGCGCGGCCAGGCCTCGCCGAGTCTGCAGGGACACCTGCGGGACGCGTGCCAGCGGGAGCCGGGCGCGAGGGCGGGGCTGGGGGCCGCCTGCCCGGCCGAGGCTCTGCAGCGTGCGCGCCCGGCTTCTGGGGGCCCGCGGGAGGCGCGGAGGAAAGTGCAGACTCCCAGTCACGGCCAAATGTGGAAGGACCGGACCCCTGGGTTGCAGCGCGTCGAGCGGTGCTGACTCTTTCCTTTGTTCTGTTTCTGCCTCTCTAGAGCTGACATCGCGCTGATCGGATTGGCCGTCATGGGCCAGAACTTAATTCTGAACATGAATGACCACGGCTTTGTGGTAAGCGGCGTGGGCGCGTTGTCTTCTCTCTGGTTCCCGGGCGCTTTAGCCGAGGCCGGCGATAGGTTTGGGAGCTTACGGGTCTCCTGGCCGTGCTTTGCTAATGTGCTCTGTTGCTGCTCGTGGCATTTTTGTATGGAAAGGAGAAGCACCCTGTAGGCGTGGGCGGGCCGATCCCGAACTTAGTCCTGCGGAGTGTGCCTGTGGGTCCGTGAGGTTCACAGCCCGAATGAACGAATTAGTGTCTTAAGTAGAGAAGAAGGGTGCGGGAGGAGAACCCTTGCTGGCTGTGTAGAGCTCTAACTTGATTGCCTGATGAGATCTGGGGAGAGTGAAAATGTTTCTTCTAAATGTTAAAGTGGCTTAGACGCCAGGATGATCAATAACAACAGATAGAGCCTGTTGAACCGGCCAGTTCCTGGATTTGATTTTGAGTCCTAACACGTTGGGTGTGGATTCTACCTGACACACCGGGGGTAGTTGGCCTTCGCCTCGGTTGTCCGCCGTTTTCATCCTACTGAGGTGACATAACTTTACAGTGAGCCTCCCACAGCTGGGGGAAGAAAAGGCAAAGGCAGGTCTGACCTCCCCAGAACTTGGGTTGAATGGAAAGGTCATTGTTACTTTGGCCACAGTCTGAAAGTCTTGTGTGTCCTGGATCTCCTACTCAGGACTTTTGTCCTTCTAGGTCTGTGCTTTTAATAGGACTGTCTCCAAAGTTGATGATTTCTTGGCCAATGAGGCAAAGGGAACCAAAGTGGTGGGTGCCCAGTCCCTGAAAGAGATGGTCTCCAAGCTGAAGAAGCCCCGGCGGATCATCCTCCTGGTGAAGGCTGGGCAAGCTGTGGATGATTTCATCGAGAAATTGGTGAGGCCAGCTGTGCTCTCAGCTGCTACCACGATAGCAGCTGTTTTTGGTTTCTTCCTTTAGTTCTCCTTCTTTTAACTCTAGAGATTTTTTTTTTTCAATTTCTGCTAAGCTCTGACCAAATGATTGCTTAACTGTTGCAGTGTTGGTTAACTTGATAAGCGCTTATGAAGTAACTTTGTCCTTTGGTGGTAGTAATTCTGAGAATACTAACAGACATTTCAATAAACATTAAGGCGGGGCACAGTGGCTCAGGCCTGTAATCCCAGCACTTTTTGGGAGGCTGGTTCAGATGGATCGTTTGAGCCCAGGAGTTCGAGACCAGCCTGGGCAACATGGCGAAACCCTGTCTCTACATAAAATTAAAAAATTAGCTGGGTATGGTGGTGTAAGCTTATGGTCCCAGCTACAAGCTTATGGTCCCAGGTTCGAGACCAGCCTGGCCAACATGGTGAAACCCCGTCTCTACTAAAAATATAAAAATTAGCTGGGCTTTGTGGCTCATGCCTGTAATCCCAGTTACTCGGGAGGCTGAGGAATGAGAATCACTTGAACCTGGGAGGTGGAGGTTACAGTGACCTGAGATTGTGCCACTCCAGTTTGGCGACAGAGCGAGACTCCGTCTCAAAAAAAAAATGAAAATAAAATCAAGATCTCCTTAGGGAATCCTAGGGAACTGGATGCTTATTTTTGTACCAAACAATTTGTTGGCTTTAGCAGGTATATCTTTTTTGGAAGAAAAAAGTAGGGGAACCAGTGGAAATAATGTGTTTAGATACCCAAAATAATTCTATAGTAACAACTCTGAAAAAACCCAGGCACTCCCATTTAGAAGAAATGTTTTGCTGTAAGCAGTGCAGTGATAGCTCAGGGGAGGCTGAGCATTCCTTTCTAGAGGAGTCGTGTCAACAGTGGGGTTGTTTCCACAGGGAGAAGGATTTGTAACCAGTATGCCACTGTTTTTCAATCAAATGACCTAGAAAGGAAGAACACTGAGTTTAAAAAAAGGACATACTAAATTTTTTGTGTGGCAAGCTGCCTGTAATCAGTTTCAGACAGAGAAAACTGAAAAATGGTGGATTATTCTTCAGTATAGGAAAATACTAAGTAATGTTAACTGGAGCCTTGTAGGGGGAAGATTGAATAATATAATGAAGCCCAGGCTGGGCGCGGTGGCTCACGCCTGTAATCCCAGCACTTTGGGAGGCAGAGGTGGGTGGATCATGAGGTCAGGAGATCGAGACCATCCTAGCTAACACGGTGAAACCCCATCTCTACTAAAAATACAAAAAATTAGCCAGGCGTGGTGGTGGGTGCCTGTAGTCCCAGCTACTTGGGAGGCTGAGGCAGGAGAGTGGCGTGAACCCGGGAGGCAGAGCTTGCAGTGAGCCGAGATCACACCACTGCATTGCAGCCTGGGTGACAGTGCGAGACTCCGTCTCAAATAAATAAATAAATTAATTAATTAATTAATAAAGTAATAATAATAATAAAGCCCAGCCTGGTTGGTGTGCTGTAGGTAGATATTCATGTTCAAGGCTCTGTCTCTTCCTGACCTCCGAACTGTTGTCATAAAATCATTCATTCATACACTAAACCATTTGATATGTATTTACTGAATCCCCACTCTCTTCTAGACACATTATAGTCAGTGTTTAATCTGTATACTTACTTAAAAATAGAAATGGGGTCTTGCTATGCTGTCCATGCTGGTCTCAAATTCCTGGGCTCAAGCGATCCTCCTGCCTCAACCTCCCAAAGTGTTGGGATTACAGGTGTGAGCCACTGAGCCTGGTCAGCCCTAAACTTTTAAATAGTGTGCAGCTCTGGCCACAGAGAGGATTATTGAAGATTAAGTAGGCTGGGTGCGTTGGCCTCCTGCCAAGCCAGGAGGCTTTTAGCCCAGGAGTTTGAGACCAGCCTGGGCGACATGGTGAGACTCCATCTCAAAAAAAATTTTTTTTTTTTGAGACGGGGTCTCACTCTGTCCCCCAGGCTGGAGTGCAGTGTTGCGATCTCAGCTCACTGCAAGCTCCACCTCCCGGGTTCACGCCATTCTCCTGCCTCAGCCTCCCGAGTAGCTGGGACTACAAGGCGCCTGCCACAACGCCCGGCTAATTTTTCGTATTTTTAGTAGAGACGAGGTTTCACCATGTTAGCCAGGATGGTCTTGATCTCCTGACCTTATGATCCACCCACCTCGGCCTCCCAAAGTGCTGGGATAACAGGCGTGAGCCACCGCGCCTGGCCTACAAAAAAAATTTTAAAACTAGCTGGGCATTGTGGTTCAAGGAGTTCAAAGTTGCAGTGAGTCATGTTCACACCACTGCAGGAGTTCAGGGTTTCAGTGAGCCATGTTCGCACTCCTGCATTCCAAGCTGGGCAACAGAACGAGACTCTTTTTAGACTATGTTTATTTGGAATAAATTCTTGTTTGTTTTAATTTGCCAAGGTATGTTTCATTTTTGGTCCATCTTAATGCTGGTGTCTGGTTACAGGTACCATTGTTGGATACTGGTGACATCATCATTGACGGAGGAAATTCTGAATATAGGGACACCACAGTAAGTGTTCTTCAGTCCAGATTCTTCCAGGTTCCGAGAACATTCTAGAAAAAAGTGTCAGCATCGCATATGTGACAGTAGGGTGAACTGCCCTGTGGTACTGATTTTTTTGAGATTACTACTGATACAATAGTTCTCAGCCTTTTTTTCTGTTAAGACACACTTAACAGAAGGGCCGGGTGTGGTGGCTCACACCTGTAATCCCAGCACTTTGGGAGACGGAGGCAGGTGGACCAAGAGGTCAAGAGATCAAGACCATCCTGGCTAACATGGCGAAAACCCGTCTCTACTAAAAATACAAAAAATTAGCCTGGCATGGTGGCATGCGCCTGTAGTCCCAGCTACTTGGGAGGCTGAGGCAGGAGAATTGTTTGAACCTGGGAGGCAGAAGTTGCAGTGAGCCGAGATCATGCCACTGCACTCCAGCCTGGGCGACAGAGTGAAACTCCATCTGAAAAAAAAAAAAAAAAAAAAGACACTTGGTGGGTGAGATTCTCAGTCACACATACAACTCAAAGGATGACTAACTCAGATACAGCAGGCTGAGAATTACGTTTTAACTCCTCCCCTTCCCCTTCCAAGTAATCCATGATATGTCAGTCTATAACTGGTTTAGAACCACTCCTCTAATGGTATCAAATGCTGAGGGAATTCCTGTGTGCTCTGAAGTGCTGAATGGCATTAAGTTGTATTACACCTACTCTTCGTTGAGTCTTATTCAAGGTCTTTTCCAGTAAAATGCCAATGTGTGTTTGGCTTAATTATTTTACTTTGGGGATGAGGTAGGTATCGTGAATGTCCATAGTTGTATTGTTTTGTTTTTTAACTCCTACACATAGGGGATTAACTTTCCTGAGTCATCAGTTATTCCTAGATCCTTGGGTCATTTCCTGTAAATGTAGGCTCTCCATTCCTATCTTATACTTCCTCTCATTTATAAGGGAAACATTTTTGGGTAGCATAATGAAACATGGAAGCATAATGAAACATGGAAGCATAATGAAATTATTTTTCTGTCCTTCAGAGACGGTGCCGAGACCTCAAGGCCAAGGGAATTTTATTTGTGGGGAGCGGAGTCAGTGGTGGAGAGGAAGGGGCCCGGTATGGCCCATCGCTCATGCCAGGAGGGAACAAAGAAGCGTGGTGAGTGCCATCAGCACTGTGCCCATCTCTGTACAAGGGAGCTGGACTTTGAGAACGAATAAGCCAGGAGCAGTTCTGCCACCCTGATCTCTGTGGTGCCCTGAGTGTGACAGCTGGGAGATGCTGGCAATTTCTTTTATCTAGACATTTTGTTGCTTTGATATAGTATATGTGCACAATCCTCTTTTGCCTTTTTTCTTCTGTTATTTCTATCAAGACTGATACCTGACGTTCTAAATAGGCTTTTTTTTTTTTTCCCGCCCAGGCAGGAGTGCAGTGGTGAGATCTTAGCTCACTGCACCCCCCGTCTCCTGGGCTCAAGCAATTCTTGTGCGTCAGCCTCCTGAGTAGCTGGGACTACAGGCACATGCCACCATGCCTGGCTAATTTTTTGCCTTTTAGTAGAGACAGGGTTTCACCATGTTACCTTGGGTGGTCTCGAACTCCTGACCTTAGGCGATCTGCCCGCCTTGGCCTCCCAAAGTGCAGGGATTACAGGCATGAACCACCACACTTGGCCTCTAAATAGGCTTTAAGGAAGCAGTTTAGGTAATGTTCTGTGCAATGTCTGGATGTAGGAATAAGGTCTGCCTCTTTTAGCTGATATATAACCCAAAAGTAACTTAATGTGATAATCGTGGGTAACAGGCTGGGCATAGTGGCCCATGCCTGTAATCACTGCCCAGCACTTTGGGAAGCTGCGGTGAATGATCATTTGAGCCCAGGAGTTGAAGACTAGCCTGGACAACATAGCGAGATCCTGTTTCTACAAAAAAGTAAAACAAACATTTTTTTAATTAAAAAATATAAATTGGCCGGGCGTGGTGGCTCACGCCTGTAATCCCAGCACTTCGGGAGGCTGAGGCAGGCAGATCACCAGGTCAGGAGATCTAGACGATCCTGGCCAACATGGTAAATTCCTGTCTCTACTAAAAATACAAAAATTAGCCGGGCATGGTGGCGTGCGCCTGTAGTCCCAGCTACTTGGGAGGCTGAGACAGGAGAATTGCTTGAACCTAGGAGGCAGAGGTTAGTGAGCCGAGATCGCGCCACTGCACTTCACCCTGGCGACAGAGTGAGAGTTTGTTTCAAAAACAAAACAAAACAAAACAAACAAAAAATACACACACACACACACACACACACATATATATAAATAATTGTGGGCAATCCGATATATATATAAATAATTGTGGGCAATCCGCTTGCCCTGGCCTCCCAAAGTACTGGGATTACAGGCGTGAGCCACCGTGCCTGGTCTGAAATATGATTCTTTAAGGCTGGGCATGGTGGCTCACGCCTGTAATCCCAGCACTTTGGGAGACTGAGATGGGAGGATCACTTGAGGTCAGGAGTTCAAGACCAGCCTGGCCAACATGGTGAAACTCTCTACTAATAATACAAAAATTAGCCGGGCATGGTGGAGGGCACCTCTAATCCCAGCTACATGGGAGGCTGAGGCACAAGAATCACTTGAACCTGGGAGGCAGAGGTTGCAATGAGCCGAGATCTCACCACTGCACTCCATCATGGGTGACAGAGCGAGACTCGGTCTCAGTAAAAAAGAAAAAATGATTCTTTTTTTGAGACGGAGTCTTGCTCTGTTGCCCAGGTTGGAGTGCAGAGTGCAGTGGCGCGATCTCTGCTCACTGCAAGCCCCACCTGCCAGGTTCACGCCATTCTCTCGCCTCAGCCTCCCAAGTGGCTGGAACTACAGGCACCCACGACCACGCCCAGCTAATTTTTTGTATTTTTAGTAGAGACGGGGTTTCACCGTGTTAGCCAGGATGGTCTTGATCCCCTGATCTCGTGATCTGCCTGCCTCAGCCTCCCAAAGTGCTGGGATTACAGGTGTGAGCCACTGCGCCCAGCCAAAAATAATTTTTTTAATTACCTTTCTGGTGAATGAGTCTGGGGATTCTCTTCAGTGTGTTATTAATAAAACACAGAAGTAGAGAGGCCTTTCTGCTTCTCAGAAGTTTAAACAGCTGTGTGTGCAGTGGCTTGCACCTGTAGTGCCAGCTATTCAGGAGACTGAGGTGAGAGAACTGCTTGAGCCCAGGTGTTCAAGGCCAGCCTGGACAACATAGCAAGACCCT
Source organism: Homo sapiens (assembly GCF_000001405.40). Classification (NCBI taxonomy): domain Eukaryota; kingdom Metazoa; phylum Chordata; class Mammalia; order Primates; family Hominidae; genus Homo; species Homo sapiens. The sequence goes on from NC_000001.11 coordinate 10,406,379, forward strand.
GTTTCTTAAGAAAAAAAAAAAAGGTTTGAAAATACTTATCTCGAAGCACCTGCACAGTGAGCAGTTAGAAAGGCAACCAGCAGACAATGCACGTAAAAGTATTTGACATATGGAGTGCTCCAGTTGTTTCCATCAGTTCTCTTTCCTCATACTGTGGTGGCAGAAGTACAAATGGCACCTTTACCAGAAGGACACTGTAAAAGTTCAGTGAAGCTCTGCGGTTTCCGGTGTGGCTGTCTTCATCCCTAATCCTAAATGTTAACTTTGCAACCCTGTAAGATTTCATGTCTGTACCAGAAACTTTTTGTGAGGAAGCCTTGACTGGCCATTAGGGAGCAGAACAGTGAGGGAAAGTCTCAAGAGTAATATATCCGCGTGCTGAGCTGTGGAAGGAATGAACAGCGGCCTTTCTCTGAATGGTAATGTAGCTCTCAAAAACGCTGCCTGGTTCTTAATCCAAATGTCCAGAACCATTCTGTGCCTGGCAGCACACATCCAGACAAATGAAAGAGGGTCTCTTCACTTGCTAAAAGCCATTATAAGGAGAAATAAAGAAAAGGGAAAAAATTAAAAGAGGATCTCTAAAGGAACTTTCGTATTGCCTGCTGTTTGCAATCATACTGTCTGCTGCTGCTGCAGTAGAAATTTCTGAGCCGGGTGCGATGGCTTATGCCTGTAATTTCAGTGACTCAAGAGGCTGAGGTGGGAGGAGTGCTTGATCCGAGGAGTTCAAGACCAGCCACATCAACATAGGGAGACCCCATCTCTGCACCACCAACAAAAAATTAGCCAGGCATGGTGGCTCACGCCTATGGTCCCAGCACTTTGGGAAGCTGAGGTGTGAGGATTGCTTGAGGCCAGGAGCTCAACACCAGCCTGGGCAACATAGCAAGATCCTGTCCCTACAAAAAAAAGTTTTTAATTAGCTGGGTGTGATGGCACACACCTGTAGCCCCACCTACTTGGGAGGCTGAGGCAGGAGGATCACCTAAGTCCAGGAGTTTGAGGCTGCAGGGAGCCGTGATTGTGCCACTGCACTCCAGCCTGGGCAACAGAGTGAGACCCTGTCTCTAAGAAGACATTTCTTCTGGTGCTTTGGTGATGCTTCTGCTCAGCCTTTCTGTCTGTAGTCTCAGTCCGATAGTCCAGTCTGCTTTGAGGGCCCACCAGGACCTGGAGGAGGGGCCAGTTTCAGTCAAGGGTCTGCAGTTGACCTTGAGAACTTAGCACATTCATTATCTTTTTGTGGGCACTTCCACCTCCCATTAGAAAGAAAAAGATGGGCCCAGTGCGGTGGTGGCTTATGCCTGTAATCCCAGCACATTGGGTATCCACGGTGGGTGGATCACTTGAGCTCAGGAGTTCGAGACCAATCTGGGCAACATGGCAAAACCCCATCTCTACAAAATCCAAAAAAATGAGCTGGGTGTGGTGTCACATACCTGTAGTCTTAGCCACTTAGGGGGCCGAGGCAGGAAGATTACTTGAACCTGGGAGGTTGAGGAGGCTGCAGTGAGCTGAGATCACACCACTGCATTCCAGCCTGGGTGACAACGTGAGACCCTGTCTCAAAAAAAAAAAAAAAGAAAGGAAAAGATAGGGGTTGGTGTCTATGGGTATGTTGGTGTCTATGGGTATGGGCTCTCAGCCCGTCTCTTCTCATTAACTGAACCACACTGTTTCTTTACACAGGCCCCACATCAAGACCATCTTCCAAGGCATTGCTGCAAAAGTGGGAACTGGAGAACCCTGCTGTGACTGGGCAAGTTCTGGGCTACTCTTTAAAGCCAATTGGCAACATGGGCGTGTCTAAGTGATGAAGTGCGTGGAGAAAGGCCACCGTGGTCTCCCAGGGGTTAGCTTGGTGACATAAACGTCTCGATCTTTGATTGCTAGAATAGCCAACGCCTAGAATGCATGCCTGCTGTTCACATCTTTGTATCTTAGCTGACTGTTCATAGCCTTGAGGTTGATATTAAAAGCAGCCTTCTATAATTCATCTAAAAGATGAATTCTTTAAAAAGGAATAGGATGAAGTGAAATAAGATTTTTTCGAGCCATATTATTTCATGGCCAAAGGAAAGAATGTCAGAATCAAAAGTGGCGTTTGCTTGCATGGGTGAAAGGTGGAAGATTGAAGGTACTGTTGCTGTGTCAACATTCCATGAACGTGGAAAATTCCCCATCCTGTAGTGTGGGATTCAGGCATTCTGTGCTTGAACAAAGTAACCTGTGGACTTGCACCCTCACTGAATATGAAGGAGGCCTAACCTAGTTCATAGTACAGTGGTGCGATCTTGGCTCACCGCAACCTCCACCTCCCAGGCTCAAGCAATCCTCCTGCCTCAGCCTCCTGAGTAGCTGGGACTGCAGGTGCATGCCACCACGCCTAGCTAATATTTGTATTTTTTGTAGAGACGGGGTTTCACCATGTCACCCAGGCTGGTCTCAAACTCCTGGACTCTCAAGTCATCTGCCTGCCTTGGCCTCACAAAGTGCTGAGGTTACAGGCATGCGCCACCATGCCCGGCCTCGTGTTGCTGTTAAAGTAAACTTTATCTCATATTGTAGTTCAGCCATGCTGTGGATGGAAAAAAGCATTAGGCTCAGGAGACCTGAGTGGCAGTTCTGGCTTTCCATAAACTTAACTGTGACATCAGGCAAGCCACGTCCCTTCATGGACTTCAGTTTCCTTATCTGTAAGATATGGGGTTGGATTACATGATCTCCAAGCTCTCTTCAGCTCCTGATTCCCTTTAATTTTATATCAGCAATTTTAATGTGAATTTTATTATTCAATTTTATTTTATATGAAATCAATGCTGAGGTTGAAATAAGGACTCAGGCCTTTGAGGAATCCGGGAAGCCCTCCCTCCTAGGCCTGCCAGTGCTTGGTGGCTTTGGCCACAGCAGCTCACTTGTCCTTACCTTTTCACCAGTGGTTGGCCATTGAGCTCAGTCAGAATCTGCTTAGGGTAGAAAGAGGCTGGTGCTGGGACTGACGTAAAGAGCTGAGTAATCTTCTCATTAGTGTGAAGGATTGGAAAGGGACCTCTGTTCCCTGACAGTAGATTACTGCGGTAAAAGGCCGGGTGTAGTGGCTCGTGCTTATAATCCAGTATTTTGGGAGGATCCCTTGAGCCCACGAGTTCAAGGCTGCAGTGAGCAGTGATCATACTACTGCACTCTGGCCTGGGTAACAGAGAGAGACCCTGTCTCTTAAACAGAAAAAAACAAAAAGATCACTGCAATAAAAGTGAGTGGTAGCAACTTTTTTTTTTTTTTTTTTTTTTTTTTGAGACAGTCTTGCTTTATCGTCCAGGCTGGAGTGCAGTGGCATAATCTCAGCTCACTGCAACTTCCGCCTCCTGGGTTCAAGCGATTCTCATGCCTCAGCCTCCATTGTAGCTGGGATTACAGGCATGTGCCACCATGCCTGGCTAATTTTTGTATTTTTGGTAGAGATGGGGTTTCACCATGTTGCCCAAGCTGGTCTTAAACTCCTGACTTCAAGTAATCGGCCCACCTTGGCCTCCCAAAGTGTTGGGATTATAGGCGTGAGCCACCGCACCCAGCCTGCAACTTTTTTTTAGATACACACACTTAGGACAAAGTCATGAAGAGAAGCACAGTCCTTGCCCCTACGTGTGTTGATCAAGCAGGCCCTCCTTAGTTCATGGCTGAAGTGGCAGGAAGGGTAAGGTGAAGTAAGATGTTAGCAGCCATGTTACTCTGTGGCCAGAGTGTCAAAATCAGAAGTCAGCAGGGGCAGCAATAGAAACATGGACAAGGCCAGGCGTGGTGGCTCATGCCTGGAATCCCAGCACTGTGAGAGGCTGAGGTGAGTGGATCACCTGAGGTCAGGAGTTTGAGACCAGCCTGGCCAACATGGTGAAACTCCATGTCTACAAAAATTAGCTGAGTGTGGCGGTGTGCTCCTGTAATCCCAGCTCATCAGGAGGCTGAGGCGTTAGAATTGCTTGAACCCAGGAGGCAGGTGTTGTGCTGAGCCAAGATCACACCGCTGCACTCCAGCCTGGGCGACAGAGCGAGACTCCGTTTCAAAAAAAAAAAAGAAACACGGACAATGGAGTCCTGATGTGAGCGTCAGTTATACAACTGACGGTCCAGGTGGTGACAGCCAGGAGAGAGACTGCCCAGGTCATCCAAACACCTGGCCTCCTGGGCAGGTGTGTCCCTGTCATGGAGCTGGGTGTAGATGACTGAGAGTTTGATGCCATGAACTGTTTGGCTCTCGTCACTCCCTTTGTTCCAGTTCTTGACAACTAAATAATTTTCGGATAATCTGGCTTCCCAGTTGCTTGTCTATAGGGCCAGAATGTGTTGACCGGACTAACATTTGTAACCACGAAGATCCATAGTTAAGGTTTTCATCCTACATTCATTAACGGGTATTCTGATTTTATACATCTTGCCAGCTTATAAATAAAGATCTGGTCTTTATTTATAAATATAAATATAAATATAAATATAATGATGGGGCCTTGGAGGGACTCCTTTCTGGGCTTACAAGGTTGAGACCTTGGATCTAGGGTCATTTTACTTTTCAGTAGCCATTAGGAACAACTACAATACATTTATATTTTGAAAAAAAACAAGTGATTTAATTGGCCAATATATTTTAACCTCTAGTTGCTAGAAAAGTGGTAACTTTGGGAAAAAGAGGACTTTTTTTCTTGTGGGTGGGGGCTGGGAAGGTGGGGAGTTGCTTTGAATGATGAGAAAGAGTAGAAAATACAGGCTAGAGAGCCATAAGTATTGAAAGTGAATTCAGGGACTTTGAGAAACCTTGAGAAGAATGAGTCTAGAATTAGTGTTAAATAATATTGTACTGGACTGAAGCTTGCTTTGAATTGCTATATGATTCTTGTATCAAAAATGCTGTACTCATTTTATACTTGTTATTTTTTGTGTGGAGAGGTAGCCTTGCCAGGGATGTTGGCATGAAAGCTGATGTGGACTTCTCTGATGTGTCGCCTGTTTCTCTGAAGGCCTCTTGGTGCTTGTTGTCCTGACAGGTGGGAGATGAGGGAGCAGGCCACTTCGTGAAGATGGTGCACAACGGGATAGAGTATGGGGACATGCAGCTGATCTGTGAGGCATACCACCTGATGAAAGACGTGCTGGGCATGGCGCAGGACGAGATGGCCCAGGTGAGGCCCCGGCACTGCCTCTGTGTCCGTTCTGCAGGGAGTGCTCACTTTGCCACAGACACCGAATCTTTTCTTCATTCCTATCCCCTTGGCCATTCGGGTGGCCTGCATGGACTCAGCCTAATTTGAGGGAAACTGTTAGTAATAGGCCTATACACTATGCTAGTCAGTCACTAAGCAGAAAGTCCCCACAGAGTCTGGGTGGTTATCATCACCACCATTTAGCGTAGCTTACCTGGTGTCAGGCACTGTGTCACTCCACATACCTGTCCCATTTACTCCCACAGTTGTCCCACATGGCAGATGCAGCAGAAGCTTTCTTTCCTGATCAAGTTGGGATTGGCTTTTTGATAGTTAATCTGAAAAGTCAGTCCAAGTAGGGAAGCTGAAGCATTTCCCCCAACATTTTATTATGACAATATTCAACCATGCAGCACAGAAGTTTGAGAGTTTTACAGTGAACACCTGGATACACACCTCCTCCTTTCTCCCATCCACAGGTTCCTGTACTTGCTTTAGCAATGTCTGTCCATCCCCCACCAATTTCATCTTATTTTTTGGATACATTCAAAGTAAACTGCAGGTATCCATACTTTTGTTTTCCCTAAATACTTTAGATGAATGTATCTTTATCATGAGGTAAACATAGATTTTAACTGAAAACATAGGAAAGGACTTTCATTCACCCGCCATTTTTTGGAGGGCCAAGGCCTTCTCGTTAAGTATGGTTTGCTGATGCGCTTTCTAGTCGTGTCTTACCATCTAGAATTTCTAGTTTCAGTTATTTCCAATGGGATGTGATTTACAGACTCTAGCAAGGCATACAGTATAGCTTTCCAGATTTTTTGTTGTTTTCCTCCTAGTTTTTTATTCATGTCATCCTCACTTACTTTGACTATTGTTTGTTTCACTGGATTGCTGTTAATTGTTCTTTCTAAAACATTACCTTAGTTTTCTTTCACAGAAACAGTGCTATTCTTTTTGTGTTCATTTTTTATTGGTATATATAATACTTAACGTGTTCACTCAGCAAACACACGAGTGCTTTACTATATGCCAAGCATGATTCTAAATGCTGGGGATATACTAGTGAAGAAAGCAAAGTGCCTGCCCTCCCGGAGCTGGGAAGACAGACAGAAATAAATATACAATATCAAACTAGTTAGCGATGACTGTGAGAACGAAGAGTAAACTGGGACAAGATCCGGTGATTGCAGAAGGCTTCTGAGGAGGCGACACTGCACAGAGACCTAAGTGAAGTGAGGAGCCCTTGCCTCTGAGGAGACAACACTTCTGGTGGCCAGAAATTCAGTATAACCAGGTTCAGAACAAACACAACTGACTCTGGGTTAGCATAAAACTCAACCAGCAGGAGCAGAAGTCCCCAGGCAGACGCGAGCAGAGCCTGCTGGCAACCGTGAGCATTGGTCAGCGTGGACATTGGACAAGGGGCTTCCTTGCTCAGCCCTCATTCCTCTAACATGGTTCTCTCCTGTGTTCTGCATGTAGGCCTTTGAGGATTGGAATAAGACAGAGCTAGACTCATTCCTGATTGAAATCACAGCCAATATTCTCAAGTTCCAAGACACCGATGGCAAACACCTGCTGCCAAAGATCAGGGACAGCGCGGGGCAGAAGGGCACAGGGAAGTGGACCGCCATCTCCGCCCTGGAATACGGCGTACCCGTCACCCTCATTGGTAATGTTATGCTTTTCACATGGGCCCTTTCGTCCACTATTCTGATCTTGATGTCTGGAGGACAGATACAGACTGGTCTTTAGAGAATCTCTTCAGCCCTCTTTAGCTTTCAGAGTGCCTTTTGCTCTTTCTTGCGTTGAAGAAACTGACAGTGTGAGAGAGGCTGACGCTGCTTTTGATTCTCTTCCTTGTAGTTCTTATCTCATTCGTACAAACTGTGAGGTAAATTCAGAAGTGACTGTCCTTCCTATCCAGTTTTATCTTTGGAATATTTTAGCATTAGTGATGTAATTGTAGTCAGTGATCTAAGATTTTATTTATGAGGCAGGTAACTTGAGTAAAATTTTTCATAGAAAAGTTCATGAATAACAGGGCCGGGCACAGTGGTTCACGCCTGTAATGCCAGCACTTTGGGAGGCCGAGGCGGGTGGATCATGAGGTCAGGAGATTGAGACCATCCTGGCTAACATGATGAAACCCTGTTTCTACTAAAAATACAAAAAATTAGCCAGGTGTGGTGGCACGTGCCTGTAGTCCCAGCCACTCAGGAGGCTGAGGCAGGAGAATTGCTTGAACCTGGGAGGCAGAGTTTGCAGTGAGCTGAGATGGCACCACTGCACTCCAGCCTGGGTGACAGAGCGAGACTTCGTCTCAAAAAAAAAAAAAAATTAGCAGGTGCCTGTAATCCCAGCTACTCAGGAGGTTGAGCCATGAGAATCGCTTGAACCCAGGAGGCAGAGGTTGCAGTGAGCCAAGATCATGCCACTGCACTCCAGCCTGGGCAACAGAATGAGACTCCATCCCCTCCAAAAAAAGTTTGCGAATAACATATGCTTGTGTACTCAGAAATTATTAAAAATTTACTTTTTTCCCCTAGATATTAAAAAGATAAAAATTACCTATCCATTTGAGTCCTCGTTGTTTTGCTAAGTTCCTTCTCCTTCCTCTTTTAGAAGAAAGCCACTATCCTGAAGTTGGTGTGTATCCTGCCCACTTGTTTTATATCTTACATTAGTGAGCTAAGCATCAAACTCAGAAAGATAAGGAAATAATATAAAGAAATAAACATAAAACGAGAGGGGATTAACAATATCAAAATCTTGGCCGGGGGGGTGGTTTTCAGTGTGTTTGTTTGTTTTTTGAGACGGTGTTGTGCTCTGTCACCCAGGCTGGAGTTCAGTGGCATGATCTCGGGTCACTGCAACCTCCACCTCCCGGGTTCAAGTGATTCTCCTGCCTCAGCCTCCCGAGTAGCTGGGATTACAGGCATGCGCTACCATGCCTGGCTAATTTTTGTGTGTTATTAGTGGAGACGGGGTTTTACCATATTGGTCAGGCTGGTCTCGAACTCCTAACCTCAGGGGATCTGCCCGCCTCGGCTTCCAAAAGTGCTGGGATTGCAGGCGTGAGCCACCATGCCCAGCAAAGGTGGTTCTAAGAGTAAAATACATAGACTTCTGGCAGGAATGAAAAAGGAGAACGAAGGATGCCTCTCGTGGTTAATGAGAGGCTGATCTTTGCTTCTGGCAGATTGTTCTCACTATATTAAAACAGAATTGGGCCAGGCGCGGTGGCTCACGCCTGTAATCCCAGCACTTTGGGTGACCGAGGTGGGCGGATCACGAGGTCAGGAGTTTGAGTCCAGCCTGACCAACATGGCGAAACCCCATCTCTACTAAAAATACGAAAGTTAGCCAGGCATAGTGACCCGTGCCTGTAATCCCAGCTACTCAGGAGGCTGAGGCAGGAGAATCACTTGAACCTGGGAGGCGGAATTTGCAGTGGGCTGAGATCGCACCACTGCACTCCAGGCTGGGCGACCGAGCAAGACTCCGCCTAAAAAAAAAAAAAGAAGCATCTCAAAAATAATAAAACAGAATTTTTCCTGTTTGCTCCTCTGGATACAGGTTGCCTTTCTCTCCCTTGACTCTTCTCCCCTTTTGACCTCCCTGTTCATTGTGCCTCGCCCTATTGAACTGTGTGGTGTAAGGCAGAGTAAGGAGGAAAGTCGGTGGTTTCTACAGTTCCGTGCTGTATAGAAGGAAGTTGGCTGCTTTTAGCCGATCTGAGCCATAACATAGGTGAGGAGGGAGGGGCCAATAGCTAGGAGCAATTTATTCATCACGGACTCAAGTATATGTGTAAGTATTAGGATCTCAGAATCCTACTCTCCTCCTGTGGATCCATATACCTCTTCCCCCAGGGTGGCTGGGCCCACCCCCTGCTGGGAGCCATCATTATTTGTGAACTAACAGGGAAGTCTTCCAGCTGCCCTCTCCCCCTCTAACAGGAAGGGTTTGCCTCATAGCCTGTTGCACCAGTCATCTTACAAAGCTTCCTTCTAGAAATGCTAAGTCATCCTGTGTGTGCATTTGGGCCAGGAGAGAGGTAGCTGCTTTTGTGTGTTTGGAGTAGGGTTAGCAGTCTCAAGCCATAGCTGCTCCTCTTTCCTCAGAAATAAAGTCCTCTGTTAGTTCCCTGAGATTTTACTTCATTTTGTCTATGGGGGAAAAAGTGGTTAAAGAGTCATTTATTCTAACTATAAGTTGTCAGTTGAGCAAGTCTTTTATAAGGAATACTTTCTGAAAATACTAAATGTCTTAATATTAAAATACTACATTGACTTTTTAATTCAAATGAAGTAAAGTGGTTAAACTTGAATGATTACGGCTATACTGAAAACCGTAAAATATAAAAACCTAACATTTTTTTGAGAGGTGAGTCCGTAAATGTGACTTATCAATGTAAAATCTTCAAAAAAAAAAATTAAGGTCCTCTAAATTGAATTTGAAATTTTACTCATGGACCAACACTGAGTATTCTACATAACAGTGGTTTTTATTTTATTTTACTGGTTTTAGAGACAGGGTCTCACTGTGTTGCCCAGGCTGGAGAGCAGTGGTGTGATCATGGCTCACTGTAGCCTTGAACTCCTGGGCTCAAGTGATCCTCCCACCTCAGCCTGCCAAAGTGCTGGGATTACAGGTGTTAGCCACCTTGCCCAGCCATAACAGTGGTTTCTATCTCTTCATTTTCCCTCAAAACTCCCTTTTGAATTTCATGTTAATCTTTGTGATTGAATACTCATGTTTGTATTGGAAGATTGTCTTAAGAGTTTTAGTTATCAAATTAACTGTTTAGAGCTTCTTATAAAAGTTCCTTCCGATCCATGTCAACTTTTGTGGCCTAAGGTTGAAACTTTCAGCTCTTTGTATAAACAGACTTTCCTGCTCCACCTTTCTTCTGGTTGCTGTGCGAACTTTGGTAATTTTCATGCGCATCCGTGTGAAAAGACCACCAAACAGGCTTTGTGTGAGCAATAAAGCTTTTTAATCACCTGGGTGCAGGCAGGTTGAGTCCGAAGAGTCAGCGAAGGGAGATAGGGGTGGGGCCATTTTATAGGATTTGGGCAGGTAGTGGAAAATTACAGTCAAAGGGGGTTTTTCTCTTACGGGCAGGGCCGAGGGGTCACAAGGTGCTCAGTTGGGGAGGTTCTGAGCCAGGAGAAGGAATGTCACAAGGTTAATCGCTCAGTTAAGGTGGGGCAGGAACAAATCACAATGGTGGAATGTCATCAGTAAAGGCAGGAACCAGCCATTTTCACTTCTTTTGTGATTCTTCACTTGCTTCAGGCCATCTGGATGTATACATGCAGGTCACAGGGGATATGATAGTTTAGCTTGGGCTCAGAGGCCTGACAGTAATCTGTTTCCTCTTCCCGATCTCCCCATGTAGGAGAAGCTGTCTTTGCTCGGTGCTTATCATCTCTGAAGGATGAGAGAATTCAAGCTAGCAAAAAGCTGAAGGGTCCCCAGAAGTTCCAGTTTGATGGTGATAAGAAATCATTCCTGGAGGACATTCGGAAGGTGGGACACAGTCCCTGGCAGTGGTCTTTGTTGGTCCTGCGGAAGGCAGTGGGGGTGGGGGTTGTGGTGGGAGAACACTCGAGGCCACAGGATGGCAGGTGGAATGAAGTTCAGCCTTGACTTGGATCTTGACTTACAATGTTTTCCTAGAATATTGGCCCTTCTGGGATCTCCACTGCTGATGAGAATAAGACTGGTAGACATAAGGCGGTCACTCTCCTAATGGCAATCCTAGTAGGTCTCTGTGTCACTCTTTAGGCACTCTACGCTTCCAAGATCATCTCTTACGCTCAAGGCTTTATGCTGCTAAGGCAGGCAGCCACCGAGTTTGGCTGGACTCTCAATTATGGTGGCATCGCCCTGATGTGGAGAGGGGGCTGCATCATTAGAAGGTAAGTGAGAGGCAGCCCAGGGTCCGACGGGAAGGACTCACACGGCTGTGCAGAAGTGCGATCTTAGGACACTTAGCTTGAGCAGTTTCCAGGGATGGGCACTTAGCCCCATCACTGGACACTGGCACAAGATAGGCTTAGATTATGTGGTTCCCTTCTTCACTGTACCTCAGTTGCTGTAACTAGATTGTCCACACTACACCTTTTTTTTTCTTTTGAGACCAAGTTTCGCTCTTATTGCCCAAACTGGAGTGCCATGATGCGATCTTGACTCACTGCAACCTCTGCCTCCCGGGTTCAAGTGATTCTCCTGCCTCAGCGTCCTAAGTAACTGGGATTACAAGGGCACGCCACCATGTCCGGCTAATTCTTTTGTATTTGTAGTGGAAACAGGGTTTCACCATGTTAGCCAGGCTGGTCTCGAACTCCTTGCCTTGGGTGATCTGCCCGCCTCAGCCTCCCAAAGTGCTGGGATTACAGGCGTGAGCCACTGCGCCCGGCTCCGCATTACACCTACTACACTACACCTTTTAAAGTACTTCTGTGAACTATCGTGCCCTCTGGCCTTGCCTCTTGGGAATTTTGCTCTGTATTTTCATTGAAAATGCCAAATCATAGAAAACGTAGCATTTCTACACATGACGTTACATCGTTCTCATGTTGGCTGAAGATTCATTTGATGAATCTGATTTTTCTGAAGTAGATGATTCTGGTGATTCAGATGATTCTAATATTAGTTCTCTTTAGAAATAACGCCAAGAATAGTTTTTATATTTTATTTTCATATTGAAAATCGTCAGATTTTCTTCAGCCTCAAAAAGCGTGTTTATGTAAAATTAAATGAGCGCTGGCAGCGAGCTGCACTTTTTTTCTAAACAGGAAAAGGGTTAACAGCTTGAAGAAATGAGAAATGTAACTTTGTTTCACTAGGGTATACATCGGCTTCCAGCTTACTTCCCTGTTAGAGTTAAGATTCATTGCATTTGGCCGGGCGCGGTGGCTCACACCTGTAATCCCAGCGTTTTGGGAGGCCGAGGCAGGCGGATCACGAGGTCAGGAGATCCAGACCATCCTGGCTAACACGGTGAAACCCTGTCTCTACTAAAAATACAAAAATTAGCCGGTTGTAGTGGTGCGTGCCTGTAATCCCAGCTACTGGCGAGGCTGAGGCAGGAGAATCGCTTGAACCTGGGAGGTGGAGGTTGCTGTGAGCTGAGATCGTGCCACTCCACTCCAGCCTGGTGACAAAGCGGGACTCCGTCTCAAAAAAAAAAAAAAAAAGACTCATTGCTTTTTTCCCCCCTTGATTATTTCAGTGTATTCCTAGGAAAGATAAAGGATGCATTTGATCGAAACCCGGAACTTCAGAACCTCCTACTGGACGACTTCTTTAAGTCAGCTGTTGAAAACTGCCAGGTATGTAGCCTAGGGCTGGTGCCATGGTTACTCTACCTCCCTGGGGCCATCAGTTGTGATGTTTGGTTTTTTGTTTTTTTTTTTTGGTTTTTTGTTTTTTTGAGACAGAGTCTCGCTCTGTCACCCAGGCTGGAGTACAGTGGCATGATCTTGGCTCACTGCAACCTCCGCCTCCTGGGTTCAAGCGATTCTCCTGCCCCAGCCTTCCTAAGTAGCTGGGACTACAGGTGTGCCAACATACCTGGCTAATTTTTTTTTTTTTTTTGTATTTTTAGTAGAGATGGGGTTTCACCATGTTGGCTAGACTGGTCTTGAACTCCTGACCTCGTGATCCGCCCACCTCAGCCTTCCAAAGTGCTGGGATGACAGGCGTGAGCCACCGCGCCTGGCCTAACCATCAGTTTTTCATTTACCCACATTGATATGAATGAAAATCTATCCGCGTCACCAGGGGCAGATCACTAATCTCTGGCCGTGCGTTTTGTGCTCAGGACTCCTGGCGGCGGGCAGTCAGCACTGGGGTCCAGGCTGGCATTCCCATGCCCTGTTTTACCACTGCCCTCTCCTTCTATGACGGGTACAGACATGAGATGCTTCCAGCCAGCCTCATCCAGGTAAGCCTGTGGAGCAGGGATTAACCTGGCTGGCCCCTCGGGGGCGTGCGCCATGGACTGTCCTGACCAACCTACTCTCTCGTTTCCTAGGCTCAGCGGGATTACTTCGGGGCTCACACCTATGAACTCTTGGCCAAACCAGGGCAGTTTATCCACACCAACTGGACAGGCCATGGTGGCACCGTGTCATCCTCGTCATACAATGCCTGATCATGCTGCTCCTGTCACCCTCCACGATTCCACAGACCAGGACATTCCATGTGCCTCATGGCACTGCCACCTGGCCCTTTGCCCTATTTTCTGTTCAGTTTTTTAAAAGTGTTGTAAGAGACTCCTGAGGAAGACACACAGTTTATTTGTAAAGTAGCTCTGTGAGAGCCACCATGCCCTCTGCCCTTGCCTCTTGGGACTGACCAGGAGCTGCTCATGTGCGTGAGAGTGGGAACCATCTCCTTGCGGCAGTGGCTTCCGCGTGCCCCGTGTGCTGGTGCGGTTCCCATCACGCAGACAGGAAGGGTGTTTGCGCACTCTGATCAACTGGAACCTCTGTATCATGCGGCTGAATTCCCTTTTTCCTTTACTCAATAAAAGCTACATCAGACTGATGCTCTTTCTCCAGATTCTTAGTCTCACCTCGGCCACATGGAGCCATTATCCCCATTGGCAGAAAGATTTTTCTTTAAAAAAAAAGACTAGAATAACACAAGAAACCACATTTAGGATTATGCTTCACTCAGAGGAGGCAGGCAGGGAGGACACACCAGGGGCTTTAATACACTGGGCATGTTTTCTTTCTCCAATTGGGCAATGGGTACATGGACGTTCACTGTAACGTGCTTTTTCTTTCGTCTTTTTTTTTTTTTTTTTTTTTTTTGCTCCTGGCAAGCTGTGCGTGACATTCTTTATGGCTTTTTGTATGTCAAATACTTCATACTAAACTTTCTAGAGAATTAAACTTTAATGATGGGCTCAGCTTGGTCTGATTTATTTCCTTTCCCACACCTGTCTCTACTTGCTCTAAGCCAGGCCCAGGGATTTTGAACAAGCTAAGCCGGCTCCTTAAACTAGGCTTTTCACTTTATCTTACTTACTCAGAGAAGATAAAACCTGCCAGTGATATTGTTGTGTGGCCTGGGGCCAGTGTGACTGTTCCCTGCAGCGGTTTGACTTCATGATGATTTCCCTGGAGTGTTAAAGTCCTAAGAGTTGCCTAAGAGGAGCGAGCAGCGCCTGTGCCTCGACAGCTGGTGTCTACAGTGTGACCTCTGACCTCTCGGCTAATGTCAGTGAAGGAGACAATTTTCATTAAATCACCAACTTTTAATTTATTTTTCTTTTTTTTGAGACAGAGTCTCGCTCTGTCACCCAGGCTGGAGTGCAGTGGCGTGGTCTTGGCTCATTGCAAGCTCCACCTCCCGGGTTCACACCATTCTCCCACCTCAGCCTCCAGAGTAGCTGGGACTACAGGTGCCCGCCACCACTCCTGGCTTATTTTTTTGTATTTTTAGTAGAGACGGGGTTTCACCATGTTGGTCAGGATGGTCTTGATCTCCTGACCTTGTGATCCGCCCACCTCGGCCTCCCAAAGTGCTGGGATTACAGGCGTGAGCCACCGTATTTTAAAATTTTGTTTAGAGATGTGGTCTTGCTATGATGCCCAGGCTGATGTCAAACACCTGGACTCAAGCAATCCTCGTGCCTCGACCTCCCAAGGTGCTGGGATTATAGGCAGGAGCCACCGTGCCCTGCTACCAACTTTTTAAACTCTGCCTAGATGTGAGTACTTCGCTAGATCAGCCCCCACGCACCCCTCCTGCCCTCCCTGTACATTTAAGAGAAGCCCGAGTAGCCGCACGTGACGGGATTTTTCTTTAAGGCTTGTCAAAGGCACTGTTCGAGGGGGATCTTTTCACCTGGCTCTGAGGCTGAGGGATGGACACTGCTGGAATGGAGAGAGAACAGCAAGAGGTCAGAGGCTAAGTGTCAAAGGGCCCACGATGTTTCAAACAGTAATGATCAGAAGGGAATCCACTCAGCCCCTTTCCGCTTACCTTCCAAAAAGCTGTGAGTGGTGGAGTTTGGTTTCAAATCCAGCCCTCCTTGCTTACTAGCTGTTAGACTTTGGGGAAATTATTTACTATCTGTGTTCTCAGTTTTCTCATTTGTAAAATGGGAAATAATAGCACCTGTGTCCTTGAGGCTACTTTGGGGATTCAGCAAGGGAAGATAGAGCAGTGCCTGGCACATAGTAAATACCTACACCAGTGGCAGCAAGGCTGGGTGCGCTGGCTCACACCGTAAGCCCAGCACTTTGGAAGGCCGAGGTGGGAGGACTGCTTGAGCCCAGGAGTCTGAGACCAGCCTGGGCAACATAGTGAGACCCCCATCTCTACAAAAAATAAAAATTAGCTGGGCGCAGTGGTGCACACCTATGATCCCAGCTAGGTGGCAGGCTGAGGTGGGAGGATCGCTTAAGCCCAGGAGATGGAGGTTGCAGTGACCCATGACCACACCACTGTACTCCAGCCTCGGTGATAAAGCAAAACCCTGTCTCAAAAAAAAAAAAAAATAGTGGCAGCAATTACTACCATTGAGTGTGCCTGACCCCTGGACCCCTGGAGCAGTGGTGGTTTTTTTTTAGACTGGGTCTTGCTCTTGCCCAGGCTGGAGTGCAGTGATTCAATCACTGCTCACTGCAACTTTGAACTCCCCGAATTCAGGTGGTTCCTCCTGTCTCAGCCTCCCGAGTCGCTGGTTCTACGGGCATGTGCCACCACGCCCCACTAATTTTTTGTATTTTTTGTAGAGACAAGGTCTCACCATGTTGTCTAGGCTGGTCTCAAAACTCCAGGGCTCAAGTGATGCTGCTCCCACCTCAGCTTCCCAAAGTGCTGGGATTACAGGCAGAAGCCACTACCCCCTGGCCAGCAGTGCGTGCTGTTTGTACTGAGAGAAACCAGATGTTACCTCTCAGCACCAGTGGTGAATTTGCTTTGCACCCCAGTCTTCAAAAGGTTTCTGGTGGGGGTGCCTCTGTGTGCTGCGCAGCAGGTGTAGAGGTTAAGAAAGGTCAGAGCTTCTCAAACTAACCTGTTACAACTCCCCCACTCCCACCACCACCCCCGAGATTTTGAAAAAATGTAGATTCTGATTCGGTAGAATCCTGAAAATGGCTCTTCGTGGGGTGGAGCCCCATGTTCTGCATTTCTATCTTTTTTTTGAGACAAGGTCTCATTCTGTGGCCCAGGCTGGAGTGCAGTGTGGCACTATCATGGCTCACTGCAGCCTCAACCTCCTGGGCTCAGGTGATCCTCCCAACTCAGCCTCCTGGCTAGCTGGGACTCCAGGTGCACACCGCCACGCCTGGCTAATTTCTAAACTTTTTGTAGAGATGAGCTCTCCCTATGTTGCCCAGGCTGATCTTCAACTCCTGGGCTCAAGCGATCCTCCCGCCTCAGCCTCCCAAGTGCTGAGACCACAGGCATGAGCCACCACGCCTGGCCCTGGGCCCCAATCTTGGCTCCGCCACAAATTCAGCCTTACTTCACAAGTTAGTTAACCTCTATGTGCGTATTTTCTCCTCTATATAAAAGGGATGATGATAACACCCACCTCACAGAGCCGTCTTCCCGACTAAACACAAGGCACTTGCACCAGAGCCACCACACACTGAGCACTATGTAAGGTTTACTGTTTATTACCTGCCTCCTAAAGAGAGGCTGCCAAACAATTCTGAGTGTGGAAGGAGGTGGAAAGAGGGGTTTTGCCCTTAGCCAAGTCAGTCCTGTTCAGTCTAACCACTAAAAGGGACAGATCTGGTGGCTTCTTTGAGGTAGAAATTATAGGCCCCTAATGATGTCTGCCACAACTCTGCTTTACTGGGGACACAAAGGTGTGTTATACAGACAAGGGTCAGACAAGGAAACAGGAGTTTTGTTTTCACTTTTGAGACAGTCTCACTCTGTTTCCCAGCTGGAGTGCAGGGCGCGATCTCGGCTCACTGCAACCTCTACCTCCCTAGTTCACGCAGTTCTCCTGCTTCAACCTCCTGAATAGCTGGGATTACAGGTGCCCACCACTACGCCCGGCTAATTTTTGTATTTTAGTAGAGACAGGGTTTCCCCGTGTTGGCCAGGCTGGTCTTGAACTCCTGACCTCAAATGATCCACCCGCCTCAGCCTCTCAAAGTGCTGGGATTACAGGCACGAGCCACCATGCCTGGCCAAGCAGAAGGATTGCCAAGCAAAGAGACTTTAGGGAAGGATTTGCAGGGGTTACACGTTCTTTGAGGCAGATGTGGAGCCCATCATTTTGGAAGGGGTGGGAGCCTTCAGCACGCTGTTCAGCATGCGGGCGAATGCGTCTGCTCACTCTGTTAAATCTTGTATGCTGTCACAGTTGCTGCGGACTGGTGTGTAACAAACCACCCCAAAGTCAGTGGTGTAAAATAATCACCATTTAAATTTTCTTCTAATTCTGTGGGTCATGAATCTGGAAAGAGCATGGTGGGGGACGGGGGAGGCAGAGGCAGCTTGTCTGCTCCACAATGTCTGGGGCCTCAGCTAGGAGGACTCGAGAGCAGGGGTGGCACCATGGCTCGGGGGCGTGGAGTGTCCTCTCTCATTCATCTCGCGGTGGATGCTGGCTGTTGGCTGGGACCTCAGCTAGGGCTATGAGCTGGAAAAAGTTCATGTGGCCTCATCACATGGCCTCAGGCCAGAGAAACATCTTGTTTGTTGGCCCAGGGTTCTCACTAAGGAGGCAGAAGCACACACGTGGCTTTTAAAAACCCAGCTGTGAATGTTACATGGCAGGATTATAGCCATCCAAAATCGGTTCCAAGCAAGCCGCAAGTCCCCCAGACTCAAGGGGCAGAGGATTAGACTCTACCTCTTGATGGGGGAGTATGAGGTTCTAGAAAAGCACATGGATCAGGAGACATTGTTCTTGCCATCTTCGTAAATTACAGTCTGCCACATATGCTGCCCCTGAAAAGGAAAATCTGTTACATAGCAGAGTTGGGAACCGGCACTATTTGGGGCTTTTCCTGAGGGTCTCATATAGTATATATACTACTAGCTAACATTGAGAGCATATGCCAGGCTCTGTAACTCATTGAATGCTCGCAGCACCCTCTGAAGTAAGCACTATTACTATCCCTAATTTAGAGATGAAGCACACTGATATTAAGTAATTCGTCCAAGGTCAGAGCTACTGAAGAACTGGAATTGAACCCCAGAGATCTGGTGCCAGAGTCCATACACTTAATCATGAAACTGACCTGTCGGCGTGCACAGTTCATCGCCCCACTCATTCAGTCATTCGGCATGTTTATGGTACACCTACCATGTGCCAAGCATTGTGCTAGGTACCCTCTGTCGGGGTGAGAGAAGTCC
Organism: Homo sapiens; assembly: GCF_000001405.40. Lineage (NCBI taxonomy): Eukaryota > Metazoa > Chordata > Mammalia > Primates > Hominidae > Homo > Homo sapiens. Next base: position 10,424,936 of record NC_000001.11, read on the forward strand.
AAAGTCCTGACCTCATGTGCTTACAGGATACATATAATATTTAACGATAATTATTTTTAAATTTTTATCTTCTCTTGAATAAACCTATGAAATGGAGATTGATTTTTTTTTTTTTTTTTGAGATGTAGTCTCACTGTCACCCAGGCTGGAGTGCAATGGCATGATCTTGGCTCACTACGACCTCCGCCTCCTGGGCAAGCGATTCTCCTGCCTCAGCCTCCTTAGTAGCTGAGATTACAGGCGTGCACCACCATGCCTGGCTAATTTTTGTATTTTTAGTAGAGATGGGGTTTCACCATGTTGGCCAGGCTGGTCACAAACTCCTGACCTCGGGTGATCCACCCGCCTCGGCCTCCCAAAGTGCTGGGATTACAGGCATGAGCCACCACGCCCAGCCAAGATTGATTTTTGTATTGACATTTTACAGTGCAGTTTTTTTTTTTTTTTGAGACGGAGTTTTGTGGGGAAAAGAAAGATCAGATTGTTACTGTGTTTGTGTAGAAAGAAGTAGACATAAGAGACTCCATTTTGTTTTGTACTAAGAGAAATTCTTCTGCCTTGAGATGCTGTTAATCTGTAACCTTACCCCCAACCCTGTGCTCTCCGAAACATGTGCTGTGTCAACTCAGGGTTAAATGGATTAAGGGCTGTGCAAGATGTGCTTTGTTAAACAGACGCTTGAAGGCAGCATGCTCGTTAAGAGTCATCACCACTCCCTAATGTGTCCGGAATTGGTGGGTTCTTGGTCTCACTAGCTCCAAGAATGAAGCCGCGGACCCTCGCGGTGAGTGTTACAGCTCTTAAGGTGGCGCATCTGGAGTTTGTTCCTTCTGATGTTCGGATGTGTTCGGAGTTTCTTCCTTCTCGTGGGCTCGTGGTCTCACTGGCTCAGGAGTGAAGCTGCAGATCTTCGCGGTGAGTGTTACAGCTCATAAAAGCAGCGTGGACCCAAAGAGTGAGCAGTAACAAGATTTATTGCAAAGAACAAAACTGCCACAGCGTGGAAGGGAACCCAAGCGGGTTGCCACTGCTGGCTTGGGCAGCCTGCTTTTATTCTCTTATCTGGCCCCACCCACGTCCTGCTGATTGGTAGAGCCCAGTGGTCTGTTTTGACAGGGCGCTGACTGGTGCGTTTACAATCCCTGAGCTAGACACAAAGGTTCTCCAAGGCCCCACCAGAGTAGCTAGATACAGAGTGTCGATTGGTGCATTCACAAACCCTGGGCTAAACAAAGGGTGCTGATTGGTGTATTTACAAACCTTGAGCTAGATACAGAGTGCCGATTGGTGTATTTATAATCCCTGAGCTAGACATAAAGGTTCTCCTCCTCCCCACCAGACTCAGGAGCCCAGCTGGCTTCACCCAGTGGATCCTGCACCAGGCTGCAGGTGGAGCTGCCTGCCAGTCCTGCGCCATGCGCCCACACTCCCCAGCCCTTGGGTGGTCGATGGGACTGGGCGCCGTGGAGCAGGGGGCCACGCTCATCGGGGAGGCTCGGGCCACACAGGAGCCCACGGAGTGGGTGGGAGGCTCAGGCATGGCGGGCTGCAGGTCCCGAGCCCTGCCCCACAGGAAGGCAGCTAAGGCCCAGTGAGAAATCGAGTGCAGCGCCGGTGGGCTGGCACTGCTGGGGGACCCAGTACACCCTCCGCAGCCGCTGGCCTGGGTGCTAAGCCCCTCATTGCCCTGGGCGGGCAGGGCCAGCCGGCTGCTCCGAGTGCGGGGCCCGCCAAGCCCACGCCCACCCGGAACTCCAGCTGGCCCGCAAGCGCCGCGCGCAGCCCTGGTTCCCGCTTGCGCCTCTCCCTCCACACCTCCCTGCAAGCTGAGGGAGCCGGCTCTGGCCTTGGCCAGCCCAGAAAGGGGCTCCCACAGTGCAGCGGTGGGCTGAAGGGCTCCTCAAGTGCCACCAAAGTAGGAGCCCAGGCAGAGGAGGTGCCGAGAGCGAGCGAGGGCTTTAGGACTGCCAGCACGCTGTCACCTCTCACTAATCTCAAGTACCCAGGGACAGAAACACTGCGGAAGGCCGCAGGGACCTCTGCCTAGGAAAGCCAGGTATTGTCCAAGGTTTCTCCCCATGTGATAGTCTGAAATATGGCCTCGTGGGAGGGAAAGACCTGACCGTCCCCCAGCCCGACACCCGTAAAGGGTCTGTGCTGAGGAGGATTAGTAAAAGAGGAAGGAACGCCTCTTGCAGTTGAGACGAGAGGAAGGCATCTGTCTCCTGCCCGTCCCTGGGCAATGGAATGTCTCAGTATAAAACCCGATTGTATGTTCCATCTACTGAGATAGGGGAAAACCGCCTTAGGGCTGGAGGTGGGACAGGCGGGCAGCAATACTGCTCTTCAAGGCATTGAGATGTTTATGTGTACACATATCTAAAGCACAGCACTTAATTCTTTACCTTATCTATGGTGCAGAGACCTTTGTTCAAGTGTTTATCTGCTGACCTTCTCTCCACTATTATCCTATGATCCTGCCACATCCCCCTCTCCGAGAAACACCCAAGAATGATCAATAAATACTAAGGGAATTCAGGCCGGCGGGATCCTCCATATGCTGAACGCTGGTCCCCTGGGCCCCCTTATTTCTTTCTCTATACTTTGTCTCTGTGTCTTTTTCTTTTCCAAGTCTCTCGTTCCACCTAACGAGAAACACCCACAGGTGTGGAGGGGCAACCCACCCCTTCAAGTTTCGCTCTTGTTTGCCCAGGCTGGAGTGCAATGCACGATCTCAGCTCACCGCAAAACCTCCGCCTCCCAGGTTCAAGCGATTCTCCTGCCTCAGCCTCCCGAGTAGCTGGGATTACAGGCATGCACCACTACGCCTGGCTAATTTTGTATTTTTAGTAGAGACAGGGTTTCTCCATGTTGAGGCTGGTCTCGAACTCCTGACCTCAGGTGATCCGCCTGCCTCGGCCTCCCAAAGTGCTGGGATTATAGGCGTGAGCCACCACGCCCGGCTGAACTAAATATTTATGGAACCCTCCTTAATGCAGATGAAAAGGATTAAAGAAACCCACCAAGGTCTTTGTCTTATTTATGGTGAGGGCAGTGGATAAACCGGAAACTCGGAAACCAGCCTAATAATCAAATCTGGTCTCTATCACTTCCCAGTAGTTTAGCCTTGGGCAGAGTTCTTTCACCTGTTTCCTCATGTAAAATGGGGCTAACAGCACCTACTTTTGAGGGCAGATGAGATATTAAATGAGTGCCTAGAGCGAGGACAAGTGCAAAGTGCTCAGTGTCATGGCAACATTGCCAGCGGGCATCCCTGGCCTTGCTTCACGCTGTAGTGCAACACTGACATCTAGTGGCCAGATTATAGGGCTACTTCTTCATCAAGTAAGTTTCAACCAAATATTAATATATCCTTTTTTCATTATTTTTTTTAGAGACAGTGTCTCCCTCTGTCACCCTGGCTGGAAAACAGTGGGGCAATCACGGCTCACCATAGCCTTGAACTGGGCTCAAGTGATCCTCCTGCCTTGGTCTCCCTAAGTGTTGGGATTACAGGCTTGAACCACCACACCCAGTTCCATTTTCTGTAATGAATACCTCAACCCTCGACCTATTTCTCAGACCTTTTTTTTTGAGACAGAGTCTCGCTCTGTTGCCCAGGCTGGAGTGCTATGGTGCGATCTCAGCTCACTGCAACCTTCACCTCCCGGGTTCAAGCAATCCTCCTGCCTTAGCCTCCCAAGTGCTAGGATTACAAGCATGTGCCACCATGTCTGGCTAATTTTTGTATTTTTTGGTAGAGACAGGGTTTCATCATGTTGGCCAGGCTGGTCTTGAACTCCTCACCTCAAGTGATCTACCTGCCTCGGCCTCCCAAAGTGCAGGAATTACAGGTATGAGCCACTGCTCCTAGCCTCTGAGGCTCTTAAGTGCCTCTGTATTGCACACATGTCACTGGAATACTGTTCTTTAATCCTGGGAAGCAACTGCTTTAAAATGAGGGAACACACAGGTACAAAGCACAGGAACTTCCTGGGACGAATTGTTACAATTTCTTTAGCTCTTATGTGAGGCAATTGTTTAAAACCTGACACCTGCCCTGTGAAGTTGGAACTACTGTCCCCAGTTGATAAATAAGGGACATGAAGCTTGGCCACGTCCTGTGACTTGCTTGGGGTCACCAGGCTCAAGGGAGGGAGCTGGGCTTTGCAGCCACAGTGTGCTCTAAATGGGGCTGCTCACCAACCAGCGACCGGCCTTCTCTCCTGCTGCAGGCTTGGTCTCACTCTGGATGGCCTGCCCTGCCCAGCCCCATGCTGCCCATTAGGGGAATCCGTCAGAGGCTTGCCCTGCTTGGGCAGGAGGACTGTCCAGGTAGACTGGGATGCCCACAGAGAGCAGTGGACAGAGGCGAGAAGTGCCTGTCATTTCCAGATGCCACCCACTGAGCAGATGCAGAGGAAAGTCCTCAGAAGGCTGATTCCTCCAAAAAGCTTTGATCTGGGTTTCAGCCCCTGGCAAGCTTAGGGAACTTGAGGGACGTCCCTGGGAAAGGAAGACAAGGAGTGGCTTTATGTGCTTTCCTTCGTTCTGAAAGTAGCACCTGCTTGTGACAAATGCAGAATACAGAAATATAGGCAATAAAAAATAATAAAACAAAAACCTAGAAATACAGGCAGGGCATGGTGGCTCACACCTGTAATTCCAGCACTTTGGGAGGCTGAGGTGGGATGATTGTTTGAAGCCAGGAGTTTGATACCAGCCTGGGCAACATAGTGAGACCTGGTCTCTACAAAAAATAAAAATTAGCCAGGTGCGCTGATGCAGGCTTGTGGTCCCAGCTACTTGGGAGGCTGAAGTGGGAGGATCACCTGAGCCCAGGAGGTGGAGGTTACAGTGAGTCTTGGTGGTGCCACTGCACTCCAGCCTGGGCGGCAGAGTGAGACCCTGCCTCTCAAAAAACTACAATAAAAACAAACCAAAATTGGGTTTGATGGTCTCACTTCATCGTTAACATAAAGGAAAAACAGTAACACTTGTGTCAGAACTATACTCCTGCCAATGGCAACAACGCAGTTCCTGTTCCACTCGCTGAATGAGGTCACGGGTCGTTCACTCATTGTAGTCTTTGTGACGCTATTGTTGGTGATAGAATGATAAAGTTGATGGTCGATTTTGCAAGATACACCTGAGGTACAGGTGCATGGAGCTCCTGATAATGTGTACTGCGTTACATGATCTGTAAATCGTGGGCTACGCATCCTCTACACCCGACTGGAACACGCTTTGCACCTATGCGCACACGTGTTTCGCGGAGAGTGGTGCTCAGCGTTGTGCCAGGCGCTGAATCAGGCTCTGGGGTGCAGCAGTGACCTCGGTGGTCATGTCCCCGCGTCGCCCGGCCACCTCCGCAGAGCAAGCTGAGCAGGGGGCTGGCTGGAGGCCGACGGCGGAATCCCCTCAACGGAGCGCCGCCAGGGGGCGCGCGAGGCAGGGCGGAGCTGCGTACTTTGTCCGCCCGCGCGGCCCGTCGCTCGCGCCGCGGCGGGAAAATCCGACCTGGCCGCGCACCACCGCCCCTTCTCGGCCCTCCTGCGTTTGCCCAGGGTCGGCCCGCAGTGATGGAGGAGGAGGCGGAGACCGAGGAGCAGCAGCGATTCTCTTACCAACAGGTACAGGAAAACGGGGGTCGGGCTGGGCTGGGGCAGGACGGCGTCGAGTTTCTGGACAGAAAAGTACCCGGCAGCCCCCGGCGGCTTCTCATCGGCACCCCGCCCCCGGGCGCCCCCCGCGGCTGCGCATGCGTTGGCTTAACTGCCGCGGGTGGTGCTGGGAGGCGGTTTCCGCGGCAACGCGGCTGGACCCTGGCCTGCGCTGGCTGGGGAGGAAGCGGTTCTAGGGGAGCGTGCGGGCGCCGGGGTCCGGCGGCGAGAGGCCACCTTCTGGCCTTGCGATGAATCCTCGGTTTCCCCTTCTCAGATGGGGTTTTCGTGAGGGTACAACGTCGGCATTAGACATTCCAGGTGACGCCCGTACGCGGTGGGCGGTTCGGGCCGGAGCTCTGGAACGCTGGCCCTGGAGGCGTCGACCCCTCGTTACTGATGCAGGGACGCGGTGCGGACCAGTCAGGCCCAGAGCTCGTCCTTAGATGTGGGTTCGAATCTCTGCCCCGCCAACTTGTGATCGTATCGACTCGGCCCAGACGCAATTTTCTTCTCTGCAAAATCGTCATAAGAATAATCACTTGTCAGGGTAGCTGCGGGCATCCCATTCGTTCCTTTCATCAGCGCCGGGCATATGGGGCGTCAGAGGCTGAGAACGTTGCCGTGAAGAGGCTTAAAAGCAAGACCCGGAGTGGCGACCTTAAAGAGGACGGACTGAAGAAACGCGGGAATGAGCTCCAGACGCGGGAGTTTCCTCTCTACAAAGTTACACTGCAGCAGCTGTCTACCCTGCCCCTTGTCTTTTGAGAAGTTCAAACCTTCAGAAAAGTTGCAAGAACACGGTACAGAATGCCCAGATGCCCGTCACCTTGATTCACCACTAGTTAGCATTTTGCTCTGTTTGCTCCCATGCTTCCCTCCCAGCCCCGCGATTGGAGAATTAATTGCAGATATTTTGACACTTCGCCTTTACATTTTAATTCTTTAGTACACATCTCCCAAAAACAAGGCATTGGCTGGGCGCGGTGGCTCACGCCTGTAATTCCAGCACTTTGGGAGGCCGAGGTGGGCAGATCACTTGAGGTCAGGAGTTCGAGACCAGACTGGCCAACATGGAAACCCCCTCTCAACTAAAAGTACAAAAATTAGCCGAGTGTGGTGGCAGGTGCCTGTAATCCCAGCTACTCGGGACGTTGAGGCAGGGGAATCGCTTGAACCCGGGAGGCGGAGGTTGCAGTGAGCCGAGATCGCACCATTGCACTCCAGCCTGGGTGACAGAGCGAGACTCCATCTCAGAAAAAAAAAAAAAAAAGGCATTCTCCTACTACATCATTTCAATAAATTGTCCCACTCAGGAAGTGGGACAATTAATTTTGATAAAACTCTATTGAATGTGCATTGTCAAGTGCCCCCACTTGTCCTAAAGATGTTTCTTTTAACTGTCTTTTTTCCTTCATCCAGGATTCAGTTAAGGATGGTGCATTGCATTTAGTCATCTTTGGTCCTGCCTACCCTGTTTTTTTTTGGTTGGTTTTTGTTTTTTTTGAAACGTAGTTTCACTCTTGTTGTCCAGGCTGGAGTGCAGTGGCTCCATCTCGCCTCACTGCAACCTCCACCTCCCAGGTTCAGGAGATTCTCCTGCCTCAGCCTCCTGAGCAGCTGGGATTACAGGCCCCTGCCACCACGCCCAGCTAATTTTGTATGTTTAGTAGAGACAGTTTCACCATGTTGGCCAGGCTGGTTTTGAACTCCTGACCTCAAGTGATCTGCCCGCCTTGGCCTCCTAAAATGCTGAGATTACAGGTGTGAACCACTGTGCCCGGCCTGTTCTTAGTCCCTAGAACAGAGCCTGGCTCTCAATAGACCAACAAATGCTTACTGATGAAGCTGCAAAGATGGGCTGAGAAATTTGCCCCTCAGCTGTGATTAGCTTGTAGACGATTTCCCCCCATTCATGTAACCAACTGTTCTAGGCACTTGGTAGGCAGCAGTGAACAAAATTGACAGGGTCCTGCCCTTGAGGAGTTTAGTGATTTAGCCTCTAAGTGCAGTGATACCCCAGCCCAGCCAGGGGGAGGGGAGGAGGAGGAGGAGGAAGATCTGAGAAAAATTCCTGGAGCCAAGAGCATTCAGAAGAATTCATGTCCTGTACCCTGACCCCCACCCATACCTAAAAAAGATGACCTTGAGCCGGGCAGGGTGTTGTGGGCCTGTAGTCCCAGCTACTCAAGAGGCTGAGGCAGGAGGTTCACTTGAGCCCAGGAGTTCGAGGCTGTAGTGTGCAGTGATCACACCTGTGATCTTCGTGCCTCCCAGGTTGATGCCTCTTTGGCTTCTCCTACCAGAGGCCTCAGCTTACCTAGTCTTGTGAGGTCTGAAATTCAGGAAAGTAGATGCCCTCCTCATCTGTCTGGCCTCTATCCTGAGTTCCTGGACTTGGGTTTTGGCAGTTCCTCCTCCTCTTGCCTATGCGTTGAACACTTGCTGGTAGATTTTATGCCCTTGTGGGTTCAGCTGTCATCACGTGCAGCTCAGCTGTGTCTTCGGCCCCGAGGCGGAGTACCCACAGGTGGGCTCAACAGAACTCTGTCGACACGTGGCTGAGACCATTGCTTAGCTTGTCTTGCAATTGAGGCTCATCCTCCCCTCTCGGTAATTTTCTGCAAGGGGTGGAGAGATCTTTTTCAGTATTGAAAAGGTTTGCCAAGGAGCAGTGAGGGCCCCGTGGAGGTGGCCTCCCAACCCTCCAAATCGAGAGGGGTGGGTGTGCCCTCTTGAGCCTTTCCCGTGTTGTACTTCTGTCCTCTGTGACGTGCAGGCCTGGGGCTGCCAGGGGCTTGCAGCAGAGGGATGGGATCCTTCTGTATTGTTGATTAACTGCCTTAAGGGCAAAGTTCCCTGCCCGGTTTTTCATTGTTTCCCAAACACCTAGCATATGCCCTTACTGAGTTGGAGCTCTGCAGATAGTTTGGAATAAGTGAGTGAAACCACTCAGGGCCTTGGCAGGCATCAGTCTGACCTGTCTCCCCACTGACTTGCCATCTAATTTCTTATCTTTACCTGACATAAATCATAACCATTAACAAGGAAGTAATGTTTCCACAAGTCGCACTCCAGTGGGTCTCATTAACTTATTAGTACACTTGAAAAGCCACTCAGCCATTATGGAAAGCGCCAGAGGGATTGGGCTGAGCAGACCCTCTCCTTGGTCTTCATTTTTTAAGGCGTGAAAAGCTCTTATTTGCAGCCTTACCCGTGAAATATTTTGATGTTTTTCCCCAGAGGCTAAAGGCAGCAGTTCACTATACTGTGGGTTGTCTTTGCGAGGAAGTTGCATTGGACAAAGAGATGCAGTTCAGCAAACAGACCATTGCGGCCATTTCGGAGCTGACTTTCCGACAGTGTGGTATGAAGCTTCGGCCTCCCCAGCCATGTCTGTAAACCCCAAAGGTTGATTTCACCTGGGAGCAGTGCGTGGGTGGGAGCTGTGGCGAGTCTGACCAGCAGACCAAGAATATTATCATCCTCATGCGTTCTTCGTGAAACACTTCTCTTCTTGGCTGTGAGATGTGGATATTTTATGGGAAGAACTATTTTTTTCCTATTACACTAACACTGGGGCATTAACGCCTTTATTTTATTGTTTTAAACTGCCCTGATGGCTAGAACATTAGACATTAAATTCTTTATTTCAGTGCTTTATAACGTTTTTATATCACCCATAGTTTCTTTGACAGCTGAGCTTGTAGCATTGGTATTTGCTTGACTTCAGAGGGGAAATGAAAGACCTCACAAGCCTTAACTGTAGCAGAAGTTAAAGGATAGTTTCTAGAAACCAAAGGCATAGTCACAATTAACGGAAGACTTGCCATGAAGGGTGAAGGGCTCTGGGAAGGACAAGGAGATCGTCATGAATAAAAAGCTACAGGCTCTTATGGAATGGTGGGGCTGCTGGAAATGCCTCCTTTCACCTTTAAGAGGGTTTGTTATATTAGTCAAGTCACTGTACTGGCTGTAGAAATCAAGGCTTCACTTTTTCTGCTTCTGAAATTAGATGGGAGGGTGCCTAAAGTGTGTATCTTTTTTTTCTCTTTCAGAAAATTTTGCCAAAGACCTTGAAATGTTTGCAAGGTGGGTAGAGAACTTGATTATCCGACACTGCGTCTGTGTAGCTTTTTGGGGCCTCTCCATCTGGTGGGTTATTTCAGGAGAGCTTTAGCTATTCAGTTTTCCGTGTGTTTTGTGGAGGCTTGTCTCTAATCATGGTTCTGCAAGAACATGACGCCTCCTTCAATCACGGTGATTCACACTTATTTGAACATTTTTTGAAGTTTTCCAAGTATTTTTTGTTAAAGAACCCAAGTTATTCAGTCCCAAGTGAAAAAGGTGTGAATACCATCTCCAGGACCCTGAATGCTGGTGCCTGTATTAAAAACCATGTCTTCGGGTGGTTTGATTGCTCAGGGTTTGAGAACATGGTGCCTGGGGGTGGCCGCCCCTCTGCGGAGGGAGCTGCAGCGTGTCCACGGTGGTAATTGCTTGCAGGTGTACACAGAATGGCAGGCAGGGGTTTTCATTTGCCGCATTTGTTCCGAGTAAGACGCACTCCTTGGAAAGTGGGTGACTTGCTTTCAGCTGCTAAAGCCTCAGCTTTTACAGGTGATTTATGCTCCGCTCTTCAATTAGTACCGCAGGTAATTGAAAACAATTGCACCAAATTGCTTTTATGAAGCAATTTGAATGACGAAGGCCTGAAAGGGCGAAAGTGTTCTAATTTGCTGCCACTTGGATTCGGTGCCAGCCTCTCCCACACCCCTTACTTTTCACCTTGTTCCCGTTAGCTCTTTGTTTCTCGGGTGCGTGTTTTGAATGAATTAAAGCAGTGGGTTCTCGGAGGGCAAGCTCTCAATCTGTCCTATTCCTGTGGATATTCGTCCCTGAAAACCGCTTAGCATCTTCAGCTTGGCCAAAAGGGATAAGGTAGTAGGAAGGGATACCGATAGCTCATGTGGCTTAGTCATTGCTGATTCAGGCAGATGCCCCTTATGTGTGGCCCTCCTCCCCGGTGAAAGATATTAATACCTTTACTTGTTATTTATTAGCTGTGGGAAAAAAAAATGAAAAATTTAAATACTTAAAAATAATATATATATATATACACACACACACACACACACATATACATAAATATTTATATTAGAGACACAGCGTCTTGGTATGTTGCCCAGGCTGGTCTTGAACTCCTGTGCTCAAGCAATCCTGCCTTGGGCTCCCAAAGTGCTGGGATTACAGGTGTGAGCCACCATGCCCAGCCTGAAAATACTTCTGTAAAAATTCTATTTAAAAAATGAAATTAGAAAGAGCATGGTAACACATTAGGCTTTCGGATATTCTGTGTTTTTTAAAGTATATAAGAGGTTGATTTTTTTTTTTTTTTGGAGACAGAGTCTCACTCTCGCCCAGGCGGGAGTGCAGTGGTGCAATCTTGGCTCACTGCAATCTCTGCCTCCTGGGTTCAAGTGATTCTCCTGCCTCAGCCTCCTGAGTAGCTGGGATTACAGGCATGTACCACCACATCTGGCTAATTTTTGTATTTTTAGTAGAGATGGCGTTTCACCATGTTGGCCAGGGCGGTCTTGAACTCCTGACCTCAAGTGATTTGCCTGCCTCAGTCTCCCAAAGTGCTAGGATTACAGGCGTTGAGCCACCGCGCCCGGCAAACAGTTGATTTTCTTTTGCTGGGTACTGGTGGGGAAAGGGGTATGTGCGTGCATGTGAGTGTGTGTGTGTATGTGTGTGTGACTTAGACCATAAGCTCCACAAGGAAGGGCGACATCTTTTATGTAAAAGTGTTTGTGGAGGCCGGGCGCCGTGGCTCACGCCTGTAATCCTAGCACTTTGGGAGGCTGAGGCGGGTGGATCACCTGAGCTCAGGAGTTCGAGACCAGCCTGGGCAACAGGGTGAAACCCTGTCTCCTAAAATACAAAAAAAAAAAATTAGCTGGGCGTGGCAGCATGCGCCTGTAATCTCAGCTACTCAAAAGGTTGAGGCAGGAGAATTGCTTGAACCAGGGAGGTGGAGGTTGCAGTGAGTCGAGATCGTGCCCCTTCACTCCAGCCTGGGTGACAGAGTGAGACTCTGTCTCTTTAAAAAAAAAAAAAGAAAAGAAAAGAAAAAAAAAAGTTTGTGGAAACGCTTTGTCTGAGAACTGAGTGAGTGCAGAGTCCAGTGATGAGGCTCCAGGAGTCTGGGGTGCAGCCAGAGGCAGGGAAGCACCCCCTCTTCTTAGCACAACCCACAAGTACAGGTTTCCTTTGAAGACTCATCTTGTGTGAATTCCAGTTTGCTTTCATACAAAAAAGCATTGTTTTATCCCTGAATAAAATTGATATTCCTGGAAGGTCAGCTTTGGTTATCTTGTGGATTTGAGTTGTCCCTGTCACACTTCTCTACTCCCAAGACTATCATTACCCCAGTTTGAGAAAGATGGACTGTTTCAAGTCAACTATATGTTACATAGTCTCTGTAGGCTGGCCTGGGAACCTAATGAGTATTCGTAACATTGTTTCATTAGGACAAATTTATTTTCTTGTTTCTTGTTTCTTTTTTTTTCTTGAGACAGGATCTCTCTGTTACCCAGGCTGGAGTGCAGTGGCAGGATCATAGCTCACTGCAACCTAGAGCTCCTGGGCTCAAGTGATCCTCCCACCTTGGCCTCCCAGAGTGTTGGTATTACAGGCATGAGCTGAGCCACTGTGCCTGGCATCTTTTTTCTTTTTGGTGAGCTTGTTATGAGAAATTTCTATGAGAATACACATTTAGATTCTTATTTCTTATTTCTTTTTTTTTTTTTGGAGCAGGAGGGAAACTTGAGAGCAGGGGCTGTTTTTTTTTTGTTTTTTGTTTTTTGTTTTTAGATGGAGTCTCACTCTGTCGCCCAGGCTGGATTGCCATGGCGCGATCTCAACTCACCGCAACCTTTGCCTCCTGGGTTCAAGTGATTCTCCAGCCTCAGCCTCCCAAGTAGCTGGGATTACAGGCGCCTGCCACTATGCCCAGCTAATTTTTGTGTTTTTAGTAAAGACGGGGTTTCACCATGTTGGCCAGGTTGGTCTCAAACTTATGACCTCAGGTGATCCACCCACCTCGGCCAGCCAAAGTGCTAAGATTACTGGCATGAGCCACTGTGCCTGGCCAATTTTTTTTTTTTTTTTTTTTTTTTGAGACAGAGTCTCTCTGTCGCCCAGGCTGGAGAGCAGCAGCTCAATCTCGGCTCACTGCAGCTTCTGCCTTGCGGATTCAAGTGATTCTCCTGCCTCAGCCTCCCGAGTAGCTGGGACTACAGGCAAATGCCACCACACCCACTAATTTTTGTGGTTTTAATAGAGATGGGGTTTCACCATGTTGGCCAGGCTTGTCTCAAGCTCCTGACCTCAGGTGATCCGCCTGCCTCGGCCTCCCAAAGTGCTGGGATTACAGGTGTGATCCACCATGCCTGGCCAGAGAATACACAATTAAATTCTAAATAATCAATTCACTAGCAGACTTTGGAAAGCAACTGCCAATCTGAATTTTTGTTTTGTTTTGTTTTGTTTGTTTTTTGAGACGGAGTCTCACTCTGTCACCCAGGCTGGAGTGCAGTGGTGTGATCTCGGCTCACTGCAGTCTCCGTCTCCTGGGTTCAAGCGATTCGCCTTTCTCAGCCTCCCAAGTAGCTGGGATTACAGGTGCCCACCACCATGCCCGGGTAATTTTTGTCGTTGTAGTAGAGACAGGGTTTCACTGTGTTGGCCAGTCTGGCCTCGAACTCCTGACCTCAAATGATCCACCCACCTCGGCCTCCCAAAGTCCTGGGATTATAGACATGAGCCGCCACACCTGGCCTGAGTTGTGAATTTCTTTATTTAGCTTTGAAATCTCTAGTCTCCTAGTATTGTTAACAATCAAACATTTTGAAGAAGATAGATATTCTATAGGAAATACATTCTGGAAACTTTTGGGAATCGTCTTTAAAGCCCGTGTTACAAAGCGTGTTATATGAAAAATTGCTTTTGATTTTCCCTAGCTAGAGTAATTTTCTGGAGTTGGAGGTTTGACTTAGGAGAGTCTGTGATATGCAGTGGCGGGCAGAGGATGCCCTGCCCCTCCATTGAGGGCCTTAGTGCAGAGATAGCAGAGGCCAAGCTGAAGTGGTGGAGAGGACTGAGATCGTTGTTTCCTAAACGCTTTCTCGTAAACAGATAAGTTCACTATGTAAACAGTTCATTGTGCTTATTCCTTTTACTGTACTTTAAGAAGAATGTAAATACAGACAGAGCAGCCTGGTTGTGAGGTTGAGACTAGGCCACCCTGTCCATGTGCACTTAACATTCTCCACCCAGAACGTCTGTGGACTGACCTCATTCTTTGTGGCTGCTTTTATGTCACCTCTGTCTTTTTTCTCCCCTGTGTCCTGGTCCTTGCAGGTTGCTAATTAGAAAATTATCTCTTGAAGTGGGTATTAATGTCATGACAAGCAGATATTGTCAATCACGATGAGATGACACGTGATATTTGTCTATTTAGCAGAATGTAAAGGATTAATTTGGCCAAATTATGGAGAATAATTTCTGTGTTGAATTTATCTTTTAACTTAGCAGTTGTTCAGTGAGGACTCACCATGTGTGCTGGCCAGTTTGCTAGTTATTAAGGATGCAAAGATTCCTATTTATTCCTGCTTACAAAGTACCTGTGTATTTTGTGGGGAAGTTAGAAATGGAAGAAGGGTGTAATCAGAGTAATATATTATTGAATCGAGCTTATTATCTCAAATTACCTTTCCTAGCAAAGATAAAAGGACTAGAATGAGAATTTGAGTCCAACTTGTGAGCAAGAAGCAGACTCCAGTTTAAAGGGTGTTCTTTGTGGCTGGGCTTGGTGGCTCACGCCTGTAATCCCAGCACTTTGGGAGGCAGCTGGATCATGAGGTGAGGAGTTCAAGACCAGCCTGGCCAAGATGGTGAAATCCTGTCTCTACTAAAAATACAAAAAAATTAGTGGGGCATGGTGGCGGGCGCCTGTAATCCCAGCTACACAGAAGGCTGAGGCAGAGAATTGCTTTAACCCGGGAGGCGGAGGTTGCAGTGAGCCAAGATCGTGCCACTGCCCTCCAGTCTGGGCGACAGAACGAGACTCTGTCTCAAAAAAAAAAAGAAGAAAGAAGGATGTTCTTTGTTCTACCTGGGTTATTGCGGAGGGAATGCATTAACTACTTGTTGGGAATGGGGCCTTAGGAGGTGCCTGCATATGCTTTTTCCTGTTAAGTTAGCCCTTGGAGAACATCAGGATCTTGACCTAAGTAAAGCCATCCTTTGTGGAGGTTCTCTTTGTTCTTCTATTTAATGTCTATTTAAGCAGGTGCCCTCTGTATCATGAGGCCCATTTTCTCTGCACTAGAGTTGTACACTGACCTTCTTGATTTTTCTGTGGCCTTAGCTGTGGCCAAGCAAGCCAGGTTTGGAAGGGCGCTAAGCCCCCAGCCTCCTGTCTGTGCTCTTATGCTTCGGGTACCCTTGGCCCTAAGCGGAGGTGGAGAGATGGGCCTCCGCATTCTCCATCTCTTTACTTAATTGGGGTCTTAGGAACTTCACTAATTTTTGTGTCACTTTTGCTTAATGCCCTTTATCTAAAAGGATGGGCTACTTAGAGATCCCTGCTAGTTTGAAGTCTGACCGTGAACTTCTGTGTTTCATCAAAACTTTAAATAATACCAAACATTTTGGTGACTTGCTTCTGCCCTTTCTGCAGACATGCGAAAAGAACCACAATTAACACTGAAGATGTGAAGCTCTTAGCCAGGAGGAGTAATTCACTGGTGAGAGATGAATTTCTTTCCTCACTCCCCTTTCCCATCGGAATACATTATTCCCAATCAATCACTTGAAGCCATGAAGTTATTCCCCAGGGCACCTTGCATTAGAAACTAGAGGTGGCTGAACCATTCAGACCTGCCTGTAATTTACAGTCTTGCTTTCATTATGATGGATCTTGCTAAGCCAATTTGAAATTTTCTAATCAGCACTCTCTGGATTTTACAATTTGCCTGTTTTTGTAATACCTCAAAACTTTGGTCCCATGTTTCATTTACAACATGATGTCAGAGACTGGTCACAGGCCAATCTGCAGGGATAGTTTTGTTATTGTATTCACAGTTCTCCGAATAGGCCAGGTATGGACGGAGTTTCCGTATGGCTGGATATGCAGGAAAACACATTTTCCATATTTTCAAGTCTAGAAATCATTTGACCAAGCCTCCGTTGTTCAGGTGAAGACCCAGAGATACTCTGGTCATCCCAGGCTAGTGGCTTTGGCCAGTAGCAGAGCCAGGACAGCGGGGAGCTTTCCTGACTGAGTGTAATGCTAGACATTAAAGCACGTGATGGCTGTGATAGAATGTGGGCCCCACAAGAGCAGGGGCTTTTGTCTCTTTGTTCTCTCTCCATCTGTGTTGCCTAGAACGCACCTGTGTGCCTGGCACACAGGAAGGGCTCAATAAATAGTTGTTGAGTGAATGAATTTGTATAGCAGTTTACAGGGGCTTTTCCAGATACTATTTTACGTATATTATTTAATGCTCACAACTTTTTTTTTCTTTTTTTAAATTTTGGACATGCAGTCTCTCTCTGTTGCCCAGGCTGGTCTTGAACTCCTGGGCTCAGGCAGTCCTCCCGCCTTGGTTTCCCTATATGCCAGGATTACAGGCATGTGCCACAACTTTTTTTTTTTTTTTTTTTTTTTGACGGGGTCTCACTTTGTCACCCAGGCTGAGGGCAGTGGCGCATCATTGCTCACTGCAGTCCCCGTCTCCTGGGCTCCAGTGATACTTTCACCTTAGCCTCTCAAGTAGCTGGGACTACAGGTGCATGCCACCACACCCGGCTATTTTTGTATGTTTTGTAGAGACGGGGTTTCACCATATTGCCTGGGCTGGTCTCAAACTCCTGGGCTCAAATGATCTGCTTGCCCTGGACTCCCAAAGTGCTGGGATTCCAGGCATGAGCCACCGCACCTGGCTACAACTCTTTTTTTTTTTTTTTTTTTTTTTGAGATGGAGTCTCTCTCTGTGGCCCAGGCTGGAGTGCAGTGGCGTGATCTCGGCTCACTGCAAACTCCGCCTCCTGGGTTCATGCCATTCTCCTGCCTCAGCCTCCCGAGTAGCTGGGCCTACAGGCACCCACCACCACACCTGGCTAATTTTTTGTATTTTTAGTAGAGACGGGGTTTCACCGTGTTAGCCAGGATGGTCTCGATCTCCTGAGCTCGTGATCTGTCTGCCTCAGCCTCCCAAAGTGCTGGGATTACAGGCGTGAGCCACCGCACCCGACCTCTGGCCACAACTCTTAATAACACAACTTATTGGCTAGGTGTAGTGGCTCATGCCAATAATCCCAGAACTTTGGGAGGCCAAGGCAGGATGGCTTGAGCCCAGGAGTTTGAGACCAGCCTGCCCACATAGTGAGACCCTCATATCTACAAAAAATTTAAAAAAAAAGAAAAAAAAAATTGAAGCTGCGTTTAATTCTTAGAAATGTAACCCAGGCTTTGGCTTTTCTACCCAAATTCTTTGAGTCAGAGGTGGTTGTGGAGGGTTTAGTTTCGTTTGTTTGTTTATTTAGGTTTATAAAATGGTTACAGCCAGATATAAATACAGATTTTTTTTTTATAGCTAAAATACATCACAGACAAAAGTGAAGAGATTGCTCAGATTAACCTAGAACGAAAAGCACAGAAGAAAAAGAAGTCAGAGGATGGAAGCAAAAATTCAAGGCAGCCAGCAGAGGCTGGAGTGGTGGAAAGTGAGAATTAAAGTCCCTCGCCGCTTGGAAAGTGCAGCCTTCTACAGGTAGAGCCACCTAGAAATGCATATGGCTGCAAAGGAAACTTTGAAGGGTTAAATAGAGATTTAAAAAAATAAAATAAAAAGGCTGGGCTAGGGTGCTTTTTGTGCTGAATTCTCCACATTGTTAACTGCCAAAGCTAGTTTTAGAGAATGAGAAAGTCTTAAGCAAAATACTCCCAGGTCTCACTCCAGAACATAAAAATGGTGTGTGATCAAATGGTATATATTAGAAATTACATCTGTTGTAATTAAAATTGTGTGAGCAATTAAACATGGTTGACTTTTTCAAGCAAAAATCAGTTCATCTTTTGATGTAATTTTCTAGGCTAAATGGCAATCTCTGAAAGATGAATAAAGCTATATTTATTTAGCTTTTCTGGTTACTAATGTTGTTTTTAAACACATGCCGCCTTTGGTCACCAGGTAAAAGGGCATATGTTTGGGAATGGCCCTTTTGACTTTTTTTTTTTTTTTTTTTTTTTTGAGACGGAGTCTTGCTCTGTCACCCAGGCTGGAGTGCAGTGGCACGATCTCAGCTCACTACAACCTCTGCCTCCCGGGTACAAGCAATTCTCTGTCTCAGCCTCCCGAGTAGCTAAGTTACTGGCACCTGCCACCATGACTGGCTAATTTTTGTAGTTTTAGTAGAGACAGGGTTTCACCATCTTGGCCAGGCTGGTCTTGAACTCCTGACCTCATGATCCACCCACCTTGGCCTCCCAAAGTGCTGGGATTACAGACGTGAGCCACTGCGCCCAGCCTTTTTATTTTTTTATTTATTATTTTTTACTTTTTTGTGTGTGAGACAGAGTCTTGCTCTGTTGCCAGGAGTGCAATGGCGTGATCTCAGCTCACTGCAACCTCCGCCTCCCGGGTTCAAGCGATCTCCTGCCTCAGTTTCCCAAGCAGCTGGGACTACAGGCATGCACCACCATGCCCAGCTAATTTGTGTGTTTGTGCTTTTTTTTTTTTTTTTTTTTTTTTTTGAGACAGAGTCTTGCTCTGTCGCCCAGGCTGGAGTGCAGTGGCGTGATCTTGGCTCACTGCTGCAGCCTCTGCCTCCCGGGTTCAAGCGATTCTCATGCCTCAGCCTCCTGAGTAGCTGGGACTACTGGAGCACGCCACCCCACCTGGCTAATTTTTGTGTTTTTAGTAGAGACGGGGTTTCACTGTGTTGGCCAGGCTGGTCTCAATCTCCTTGACCTTGTGATCCACCCGCCTCGGCCTCCCAAAGTGCTGGGATTACAGACGTGAGCCACTGTGCCCGGCTTTTACTGTTTTTTTTTTTTTTTTTTTTTTTGAGATGGAGTCTCGCTGTGTTGCCCAGGCTGGAGTGCAGTGACGTGATCTCGGCTCGCTGTAACCTCTGCCTCCCAGGTTCAAGCAGTTCTCTGCCTCGGCCCCCTGAGTAGCTGGGATTACAGGTGCCCGCCACCACGCCCAGCTAATTTTTGTAGTTTTAGTAGAGACGGGGTTTCACCAACTTGGCCAGGCTGATCTTGAACGCCTGACCTTGTGATCCACCTGCCTTGGCCTCTCAAAGTACTGGGATTACAGGCATGAGCCACTGCACCCAGCCCAGCCTTTACTTTTTAAAAGTGATTTTCTCTAGGTGACTTTTTTTTTTTTTTTTTTTGAGAGGGAGTCTTGCTCTGCCGCCCATGCTGGGGTGCAGTGGTGTGATCTCAGCTCACTGCAACCTTCGCCTCCTGGGTTGAAGCGATTCTCCTGCCTCAGCCTCCTGAGTAGCTGGGATTACAGGTGTGTGGCACCACGCCCAGCTAATTTTTGTATTTTTAGTAGAGACAGGGTTTCACTATCTTAGCCAGGCTGGACTTGAACATCCTGACCTCAGGCAATCCTCCTGCCTCGGCCTCCCAAAGTGTTGGGATTACAGGCATGAGCCACTGCACCTGGCTGTCTGTGACTTTTCTCTATTTTGCAACAAAGCTATGGTTCTGCTCAGGGAAGTTTTGCCTGAGGGGAAATCTGGGACTGCTAGATCAGAACACTTCGGCATGTCATCCTGTTTTAGTTTGTGAGAGAAAACGCTCCCAAGGGTGCCCGTCCTACTGTCTTCTCATGCCTTTGGATTTCTTAGAGGTCCAGACATGCCTTTCCCTTTACCCTTCGGCAATATGGTGAGGAGAAGGGGCAAGGGTTTGTGGAGCCCTTTCTGTGTGCCAGGCACCCACTGGATACTCCGTGTATTACCCCACCGATCTCCACAACTTGATCGGTGTGGATCTGATTCTCCACCTTCTCCCCATGAGCAAATGGAAATTTGATGAGGTTCACCAGCTGCCCAGGGTCACCCAGCCATAGTCAAGAGACAGTGTTCACATTTGGGGCTGCTCACTGTAGAATGGGTGAGAGAAAACGGCATTCATTTGGAGTAGAATTTACACCACCTGTGCCCAAATATGATCAGCAAAAGATACCCCAAAGCCTGACTCTCAAAGGGAGGCACTAAGCTATGGCCGGAGTAGGGCACCGAGTTCACACTTCATGGTTTCGGATCTGCAAATGGCTCAGCACTTGTTCTTATGTTAATTATAGTATCTGTGTGTCATATCAGTGAATGAAAAGTGAATCATAAAGCCTTCCATCCTAGTACGTTCAGCCAAAGGCCCGTATGTTAGCAGTTTCATTTTTGGATAAGCACTCTTTAAACTCCTTATTGGCCAGGTGCAGTGGCTTGTGTCTGTAGTCCCAGCAACTTGGAAGGCTGAGGCAGGAGATTCACTTGAGTCTGGGAGTTTGAGACCAGCCTGGGCAGCACAGTGAGACCCCATCTCTAAAAAAAGTAAAAAATAAGTTAGGCATGGTGATGCATGCCTGTAGACCCAGTTAGCTACTCAGGAGGCTGAGGCAGACGGTTGCTTGATCCCAGGAGTTCAAGGCTTTAGTGAGGTGACTGTGCTACTGCACTGCAGCCTGGGTGACAGAACAAGACCCCGACTCTAAAAAATAAAATAAATTCGGGAGGCTGAGGCAGGAGAATCGCTTGAACCCAGGAGGCAGAGGCTGCAGTGAGCCGAGATTGTGCCACTGCACTCCAGCCTGGGTGACAGAGTGAGACTAAGTCTCAAAATAAAATAAAATAAAGTAGAATAAAATAGATAAAATAAATAAATAATAAAACTCATCAAGAAGAGTTTAGGGAATAGATACTATAGACTTTCCAAAGGTTGAAAGATCTGGGTTTGCTTCTTGGGTTTGCAACCCTAGTAGCTGTATAACTTTCAGAGACTTTGTGCTTTTTTTTTTTCATTGAGACAGCGTCTCACTCTGTCACCCAGACTAGAGTGCAGTGGCACAATCATGACTCACTACAGCCTCCACCTCCCAGGCTAAAGTGATCCTCCTGCCTCAGCCTCCTGAGTAGCTGGGACTACAGGCATGCGCTACCATGCCTGCCTAATTTTTTAGTTTTTTTTGTGGAGATAGGGTCTCAGAATGTTGCCCAGGCTGGTCTCAAGCTCCTGAGCTGGACTCAAGTGATCCTCCTGCCTCAACCTCCCAAAGTGCTGAGATTATAGGCATGAGTCACTGCACCTGGCCTTTTCTTTTTTCTTTTCTTTTTCGAGATGGGCTCTTGCTGTGTACAGTGGTATATCACAGCTCACTGCAGCCATGAATTCCTGGGCTCAAGCAATCCTCCTGCCTCAGCCTCCCAAGTACCCAAGACTGCAGGTGTGTGTTACCACACCTGGCTAAGTTTTCTTTTCTTTTTGAGACAAGGTCTCACTTTGTCGCCCATGCTGGAGTACAGGGGCTCAATCTTGACTCACTGCAGCCTCTACCTCCCAAGCTCAGGTGATCCTCCTGCCTCAGCCCCCCAAGTAGCTGGGGCCACAGGTGTGTGCCACCATGTCCAGCTAGTTTTTTTTTTTGTTTTTTTTTTTGGTAGAGGTGAGGTTTTGCATGTTGCCCAGGCTAGTCTTGAACTCCTGGGCTCAAGTGATCCTCCTGCCTCAGCCTCCCAAAGTGCTGGGATTATAGGCATGAGTCACTGCACCCGGCCTTTTTTTTTTTTTTTTTTTTTTTGAGATGGGCTCTTGCTATGTCAGCCAGGCTGCAGTACAGTGGCATGATCACAGCTCACTGCAGCCACGAATTCCTGGGTTCAAGCAATCCTCCTGCCTCAGCTTCCCAAGTGCCCGAGACTGTAGGTGTGTGTTGCCACACCTGGCTAAATTTTTTCTTTTTTTTTTTTGTCATAAAGTCTCACTTTGTCACCCATGCTGTAGTGCAGTGGCACAATCTTGGCTCACTGCAGCCTTGACCTCCCATGCTCAGGTGATCCTCCTACCTCAGCCCCCTAAGTAGCTGAGACCACAGGTATGTGCCTCCACGTCCAGCTAATTTCTGTAGAGATGGAGTTTTGCCATGTTGCCCAGGCTGGTCTTGAATTCCTGGGCTCAAGCGAATCTCTCGCCTCAGCCTCCCAAGTAGTCAGGACTGCAGGTGTGCATTGCCATGCCTGGCTAAATTTTTGTTTTTTTTTGGTAGAGATGGGGTCTTGCTATGTTGCCCAGTCTGGTCTTGAACTCCTGGGCTTAAGTGATCCTCTTGTCTCCACCTCCTAAAGTTTGTCACCTTCTTGAAACAGTCATTATCAGTTCTCATGAAGCCTTCCCCAATTTGCAGCACATTCCCCTTTGCACACTTCTTCTCGCACTGAAAAATGTCCTTGTCTTTCATTTGTGTCTATGTATCCGATTTCTTTGAGGCTGCAACACCTCTGTCAGGGTGTGGGTGGTGTGGGTCCCTTGTGGTATTGCAAGTTCCATACTGGGTGCTCAGAATGTTTAATGAGCTCATTGAATAAAATTGGCACACTAGACTAACGATATAGGAAGCTGGTGAGGCCGGGTGTGGTGGTCTCATGCCTGTAATCCCAGCACTTTGGGAGGCTGAGATGGGTGGATCACTTGAGTTCAGAAGTTTGAGACCAGCCTGGCCAACATGGTGAAATCTCTACTAAAAATACAAAAATTAGCTGGGCGTGGTGGCTCCTGCCTGTAATCCCAGCTACTTGGGAGGCTGAGACAGGAGAATCCCTTGAACCTGGGAGGCAGAGGTTGCAGTGAGCTGAAGTTGTGCCACTGCACTCCAGCCTGGGTGACAGAGCAAGACTCCGTCTCAAAAACAAAAAGAAGCTGGCTGAACTGCTGTGAATGTCTCATCTGCAAATATAACTCAAAATTTTTAGTGTCATTTGTGGGAATTATTTTGGTACAGAAATAAAAGATGGGCCAGGTGCGGTGGCTCATGCCTATAATCCCAGCACTTTGGGAGGCCGAGGCGGGCGGATCACGAGGTCAGGAGATCGAGACCATCCTGGCTAACACAGTGAAACCCCATCTCTACTAAAAATACAAAAAAATCAGCCGGGCGTGGTGGTGGGCACCTGTAGTCCCAGCTACTCAGGAGGCTGAGGCAGGAGAATGGTGTGAACCTGGGAGGCGGAGTTTGCAGTGAGCTGAGATCGAGCCACTGCACTCCAGTCTGGGCAACAGAGTGACTCCATCTCAAACAAAAAAAAACAAAAAACAAAATAAATAAAAGATGAAGCAACATACGATGTATAAGCCTCTGGCCAGCAGGCCATGCTGATCTTACCTAGGATTTTAACATAAGCAAAAAGACTGTGACAAATTCAAGATTGAGATTTCCCTGCTGAAGGTGTAAACCAGGACTTTGGAAAACTGAAAACAAACATGTTCACTTCTAGAAAGTGCCGGCAGTTTTGGGTTGCGTTACCTCAATTTATAGCCTTGCCTTGGATGCTGGTCATCTGTAGCAGGTTTGGGTGGATGTTTCAGATTTTACTCGGTGTCTCGTTGGGCAAAGGGGTCTGTGCATTTGTCTGTGTGATTCAGCAATGAGGGCCTGTGAGGAAGAACCAGCAGGTGGCACAGAGAGGGACTCCATGGTCTGCACTCTCAGCAGTGGTGCCAGCCTCAGGAGGAGAGAGAGCCCTGGGAGCTGGCCAAGGGCAGGGCCGGGCACTGCTTCCCAAACTGACTGTGCCCTGCAGTAACAGCACATCTCACACCTGACACACACAATGCGAATCATTATTTATCCTTACTACGGGTGATGCACACTAATTTTAATTTCATTCGAAAGGAAAGTACTGGCCTATGACCCACAAGTGGGTGGTCAGGAGCAGTTTAGAAAACACTGGACCAGGCCGGGCGCGGTGGCTCACGCTTGTAATCCCAGCACTTTGGGAGGCCAAGGCGGGCAGATCATGAGGTCAGGAAATTGAGACCAGCCTGGCTAACATGGTGAAACTCTGTCTCTACTAAAAATACAGAAAATTAGCTGGGCATGGTGGCCAGCGCCTGTAGTCCCAGGTACTTGGAGGCTGAGGCAGGAGAATTGCTTGAACCCGGGAGATGGAGATTGCAGTGAGCCAAGATCATGCCACTGTACTCCAGCGTGGGTGACAGAGCGAGACTCCATCCAAAAACAAAAAGAAAACACTGGTCCAGGCTGGGGGCAGTGGCTCACACCTGTAATTCCAGCACTTTGGGAGGCCGAGGTGGGTGGATCACCTGAGGTCGGGAGTTCGAGACCAGCATGACCAACATGGAGAATCTCCGTCTCTACTAAAAATACAAAATTAGCCAGGCGTGGTGGCACATGCCCGTAATCCCAGCTACTCGAGAGGCTGAGGCAGGAGAATCACTTGAACCCGGGAGCCAGAGGTTGCGGTGAGCCGAGATCACACCATTGCACTCCAGCCTGGGCAACAAGAGCGAGACTCCATCTCAAAAAAAGAAAACACTGGACCATCAAGAGTTCGAGACCAGCCTGGCCAACGTGGTGAAACCCTGTCCCTACAAAAAATACAAAAATTAGCCAGGCATGGTGGCGGGTGCCTGTAATCCCAGCTACTCGGGAGGCTGAGGCAGGAGAATCACTTGAACCCAGGAGGCGGAGGTTGCAGTGAGTTGAGCGCGCCATTGCACCCCAGCCTGGGTGGGCCAGAGCCCGGCTGCCCCAGGGCCAGCAGTGCCTGGGTGCTTGTTGGAAATGCAGCTCTCAACTCCTCCCTGCCCCAGTGCATCAGGACCTGCCTGCAAAGTGATCCGTCTGCACTTCAGTTTGAGAAGGCCTGGCCTAGAGGACAGTGGGTCTGGCATGCTGGGCTGAGAGGCAGTACTGGGAGCGATTCTTGGGGCCTCCTTGCCGACAATTGGGTGAAACCAGCGGATACGATCGTAGCGTCTCTGAGCCCCCATTGCCTCCTTGTTTCTCTGCCCATAGTAGAAGAATGTCTCTGAAATTACTGGATGAGTTTCAGTCATACTTTCACATGGGCACAATTTCACATTCAAGCTCCTTATCCTAGGCTAATTTTATATTATGTTAAATCACTTGTTTTTGTTCTCACGGCTTCCTGCCTGCTATAGGCATAATTACGAGGAAGCAGAACTTCTCCAGAAGCAAGCGCACATGCGTTCCAAAATAAGAGCAAATTCGCTCTAAACACAGGAAAAGACCTGAAGCTTTAATTAAGGGGTTACATCCAACCCCAGAGCGCTTTTGTGGGCACTGATTGCTCCAGCTTCTGCGTCACTGCGCGAGGGAAGAGGGAAGAGGATCCAGGCGTTAGACATGTATAGACACAAAAACAGCTGGAGATTGGGCTTAAAATACCCACCAAGCTCCAAAGAAGAGACCCAAGTCCCCAAAACATTGATTTCAGGGCTGCCAGGAAGGAAGAGCAGCAGCAGGGTGGGAGAGAAGCTCCAGTCAGCCCACAAGATGCCATTGTCCCCCGGCCTCCTGCTGCTGCTGCTCTCCGGGGCCACGGCCACCGCTGCCCTGCCCCTGGAGGGTGGCCCCACCGGCCGAGACAGCGAGGTGAGTACAGTCCCGACGTGGCCACACGCTAGCCCACTCTCTGTCTCTTGTTGGCTTTTTGGCCTGCATGGTGTGTGTGTGTGCACGTGTGTTGCACTTCACAGCTTGGACAGGACACACGGCTCAACTTTGTAGTGTTCTTGGCTGGCCCGAGGTACTGGGATGCCGCATTCAGACCACTGATCCTCAGTTACATGTCCCAACCCATGAAGCCTGCTGGAAACCTGTGCAGCTCAAGGAGGGCCCTCCGTCGGGTGTCTGGGAAAGGGGAAGCGAGTGTACCCGTCCACTGCAGGGCAGGCATGGAGCTGCGACAGCCCTTCCAGAGCCTTCAGTTATACATAGCACAGGCTCCCACTGGCTCAGAGTAATTGGCATCATTACATTTTCCGTTGTGAGAATTTGTAACTTCGTGAGGTGATTGATTGTTCTTTTTTCCATTTTGAGAAAGTTCCAAGAAAGGGTATATAAAGTTGAGCATTAAAAATGGATTTTTCTCTAAAATTACCAGATGAGTTTCAGGCAGGCCATTTATCAGCAGATTACTCCCAGAAGCTTTCTAAGGAATTTGAAAAACCAGAATATAACGTTTGTTTCAGTCCCATCGTCTCAGAAAGCAACTTGTGAACATCCAGGAGTGTGGCCAAAGGTGGGAGAATGAGTAAATTAGCCTGATCCAACTCCGGGCTTCTCAGCTGCCAGTCACTGAGGGGAAAATGGCAGATTTCCCGACCTCTCCTAATTAAGGACCTTAGCAGAGTATGGAGCAAAACCAGGTTTCTTCCCTTGACTTAAAATGACCAACTTTTCTCTAATTAAAGCAATTTCTTTAAGGTATTCTCTTCACTTTCTCATCCTCATCCGTTAAATGGAAATGAGGCTTATCGCTATGGAGCATCTTTTCATTTTAATATTTTCTTTCTCTTTTCTCCAGGGTAGTCTTTTAGATCATTTTTTTTTTTAAGTAAGGAGGAGATTGCATATCTTTGAATGCTTGCTGCCTGAGCCAGATTGCTGAGTTTTCTTTCCTTTGCCATCTGCTTCTCTTTAAAAGCATATGCAGGAAGCGGCAGGAATAAGGAAAAGCAGCCTCCTGACTTTCCTCGCTTGGTGGTTTGAGTGGACCTCCCAGGCCAGTGCCGGGCCCCTCATAGGAGAGGAAGCCCGGGAGGTGGCCAGGCGGCAGGAAGGCGCACCCCCCCAGCAATCTGCGCGCCGGGACAGAATGCCCTGCAGGAACTTCTTCTGGAAGACCTTCTCCTCCTGCAAATAAAACCTCACCCATGAATGCTCACGCAAGTGTAATGACAGACCTGAATAAAATGTATTAAGCAGCAGTGATCTTTCCTCTCCTCCTTCCCAAGTCATTTGAAAAGTGTTTGTTATTTAAATTCCAATAATGCCCAATACTGACGTGTCTTGAGTAATTTGGAACCCAAAGTGAAGATCTTTGATAAAGATTTTTTTGTGGTTCGACTGGACTGTGCTGAGTGCGGGCACTGGGCTTTTCTTCTGATGTTCATTATGGTGCTGGGAAGCTCTGTCTTTGATTTAAAATAAAATAGCTAAAGGCTACACAATTAAGAGTTCAGAATAACATCTTATTTCAGTTTATGAATTGATATGAATTGTCTAATTTAAAAAATATTTCCCTCACATTAAAAGCAAATTTTTAATATCAGGCTCGAAGAGCAAAATGATTATTCCTCATGTTTTAGCTGAAATTAATTTTAAAACATATTAAACAGAAAACCTGCTGACATGCCTGTGAAACTGATACTCGAACTTGCTGTTATGTACCAGTTTTAATTAGTAGCTTAATGGGTTGCAATTCTTTTCATGGATTATAGCTTCAGATTTGCTTTGGGAGGAATGAAGGCTACCCACAGAATTTTTTTTTTTTTGAGACGGAGTCTAGCTGTCACCCAGGCTGGAGTGCTATGGCGCGGTCTCAGCTCACTGCAACTTCCGCCTCCCAGGTTCATGTGATTCTCCTGCCTCAGCCTCCTGAGTAGCTGGGACTACAGCATGCGCTTCCATGCCTGGCTAATTTTTTTTTTTTTTTTTTTAGATGGAGTTTCGCTTTTGTTGCCCAGGCTGGAGTGCTATGGCACGGTCTCAGCTCACTGTGGCTTCCGCCTCCGAGGTTCAAGTGACTCTCCTGCCTCAGCCTCCCAAGTAGCTGGGACTACAGGCACACACCACCACGCCTGGCTAATTTTTGTATTTTTAGTAGAGACGGGGTTTCTCCATGTTGGTCAGGCTGGTCTCGAACTCCTGGCTTCAGGTGATCCACCTGCCTTGGCCTCAGAAAGTGCTGGGATTACCAGCGTGAGCCACTGCGCCTGGCCATGAAGGTTTTTCGATGCTAAACTTCATTGGGAAAACCAGCAAAGGCTGGCTGGAGGACACGGGAATATTCTCTTCTCTGGACACCAGGGGAGCGGACTCCCTGAGAATGGCTGCTGACCGTCCGTTGTTTTCTGCCGAGCTGAGCTCATATTCATAATTACTAGCTGAATAAAGTATAATGTGATGGAAGAGACTTAATAGCATCCACGTTTCCAAACACAGCAGCTTTAGGAGACCAGGAATTGGGTCAGTGCACTGGTGGAAGATGCCTGCCTGAAAGGCCAGCTAACCTTCCAGAACTTTGTTTTTTTTAAAGATTTTTTCTAGAAAGAAGCCATGCTTATTGTTTTTCAGTTTTTAAATTGGGGTCGGCAGGGCGCGGTGGCTCATGCCTGTAATCCCAGCACTGTGGGAGGTTGAGGCAGGCAGATCACTTGAGGCCAGGAGTTCGAGACCAGCCTGGCCAACATGATGAAACCCTGTCTCGACTAAAAATACAAAAATTACCCAGGCGTGATGGTGCACCCCTGTAATCCCAGCTACTTGGGAGGCTGAGGCACGAGAATCACTTGAGCCTGGGAGGCGGAAGTTGTAGTGAGCCGAGGTCATGCCACTGTACTCCAGCCTGGGTGACAGAACGAGACTCTGTCTCAAAAATAATAGTAAAATAAGATAAAATAGGGGCTGGGCGTGGTGGCTCACACCTGTAATCCCAGCACCTTGGGAGGCCGAGCTGGGTGGATCACCTGAGGTCGGGTGTTCAAGACCAGCCTGATCAACGTGGTGAAACCCTGTCTCTACTAAAAACACCAAAAATTAGCCGGGCTTGGTGGCACATACCTGTAATCCCAGCTACTCAGGAGGCTGAGGCAGGAGAATCACCTTAACCCGGGAGGCAGAGATTGCAGTGAGCCAAGATTGTGCCACTGCACTCCAGCCTGGGCGACAGAGTGAGACTCCGTCTCAAAAAATAAAATACATTGGGGTCATCCACACAGACTTTAAGATTGGGGATTTTACCTTTTAACTAAGTAGTTATCTGTAGGATAATGAGGCTCTACTAGTGCTACTGCCAGGAAATTCAAGTCTAAGCCTACCTTAGTTCAGGGGACTTCATACGACATTAACTGGCATCAGCTGCATGTTAGACCAGATGAATATGCTTGTGATTAATAAATCAGGGTAAAATGGTCATTTCCCACCATCTGGTTTTTGGTGGCCTTTTCTGTAGTTCAGTAGAGTCAGGTGTGTAGATCTGGGTAATCAGGCCCTGGGCAACTTCAAGTTCATGCTCTTGTTATTTTGTCCAGGATTTGGCACCAGAACAGCTCCCTAACTGCTGAGGAGGAATGAAGGACAACAGACACTCACAGCTTTCCTATTTCAGGGCTGGCAGCAAAGGATTCCAGGCTTTAGGAAACTCCTCAGACTGGGAAGCTCAGGGGAGATACTTACCTTGATGTAAGCAGCACCTGTTGAAGGGCAGCCCGTCTTTTTTTTTTTTTTTTTTTTTTTGAGACAGAGTCTCCCTCTGCCACCCAGGCTGGAGTGCAGTGAAGTGATCTTGGCTCACTGTAAGCTCCACCTCCCGGGCTCAGGTCATTCTTCTGTCTCAGCCTCCCGAGTAGCTGGGACTACAGGCACCCGCCACCACACCCAGCTAATTTTTTCTATTTTTTTGTAGAGATGGGGTTTCACCGTGTTAGCCAGGATGGTCTCGATCTCCTGACCTTGTGATCCACCCACCTCAGCCTCCCAAAGTGCTGGGATTACAGGTATGAACCACCGCGCCTGGCCAGGGGCAGCCCATCTTAAAAACAGTAGCGTTTTCCATAGAGAGAGAGGTTTCATTTGGAATGTTTTAGGCCGTTCTTGTGCTGCTATAAAGAAATACCTGGCCAGGTGCGGTGGCTCACGCCTGTAATCCCAACACTTTGGGAGGCCGAAGCAGGCGGATCACAAGGTCAGGATTTCCAGACCAGCCTGACCAAAACGGTGAAACCCCATCTCTACTTAAAAAAAAAAAAAAAAAAAAAATCATGGCACCAGGCATCTGCTCAGTTTCTGGTGAGGCCTCAGGAAGCTTCCAATCATTACAGAAAGCCAAGTAGGACCCAGTGTATCACACAGTGAGAGCAAGAGCAAGAGAGAGACTTGGCCTGAGTAGGGGGATGCCACACACTTTTTTTTTTTTTTTTTTTTTTTGAGAGGGCGTTTCGCTCTTGTTGCCTAGGCTGGAGTGCAATGGCGATCTCGACTCACTGCAACCTCCACCTCCCGGGTTCAAGCAATTCTCCTGCCTTAGCCTCCTGAGTAGCTGGGAGTACGGCTACAGGCATGAGCCACTGTGGTACCACCCCTGGGCTATTTGTAACTTCTTTTTTTTTTTTTTTTTTTTGAGACGGAGTTTTGCTCTTGTTGCCCAGGCTGGAGTGCAATGGCGTGATCTCAGCTCACTGCAACCTCCGCCTCCCAGGTTCAAGCGAGATTCTCCTGCCTCAGCCTCCCGAGTAGCTGGGATTACAGGCATGTACTATCACGCCCGGCAAATTTTTTATTTTTTTTAGTAGAGACAGGGGGTTTCTCCATGTTGGTCAGGCTGGTCTCGAACTCCTGACCTCAGGTGATCTCCCTGCCTCGGCCTCCCAATGTGCTGGGATTACAGGCGTGAACCACCGCGCCTGGCTTTTGTAACTTCTTATAATGCTAGTAAAAATAGTAATTTCTCTTTCCCATTTTGCATTTGTAATTTAAAAAAGTATTTGTCTTATTAAAATAATCAGTCTGGAGGAAAAGCTAGAATTTTGGGGGTGATAGTTCTTTTTTTTTTTTTTTTTTTTGAGACGGAGTCTCGCTTGTCGCCCAGGCTGGAGTGCAGTGGTGCAATCTCAGCTCACTGCAAGCTCCGCCTCCCGGGTTCAGGCCATTCTCCTGCCTCAGCCTCCCGAGTATGGGACTACAGGCGCCTGCCACCACGCCCGGATAATTTTTTTGTATTTTTAGTAGAGATGGGGTTTCACCATTTTATCCAGGATGGCCTCGATCTCTTGACCCCGTGATCCGCCCGTCTCGGCCTCCCAAAGTGCTGGGATTACAGGCGTGAGCCACTGCGCCCAGCCTGGGGGTGATAGTTCTTATAACATGATACTGAAAAATACAGCCAGGTGTGGTGGCTCATGCCTGTAATCCCAGCACTTTGGGAGGCTGAGGACGGTGGATCACATGAGGTCAGAAGTTTGAGACCAGCCTGGCCAACATGGAGAAACCCCATCCCTACTAAAAATACAAAAATTAGCTGGGGGTGGTGGCACGCCCCTGTAATCCCAGCTATTTGGGAGGTTGAGGCAGGAGAATCCCTTGAACCTGGGAGGTGGAGGTTACAGTGAGCTGAGATAGAGCCACTGAACTCCAGCCTGGGTGACAGAGCGAGATTGTCTTAAAAAAAGAAAAGAAAAAGAGTGAAGAAAATCCGCTATCTATGCATTAATCTGTGGGCTCATTTCCTTGCAGCCTTGTGATTGCACGAGTGTTGTCTGATATCATTTGAGCAAGTTGTCAACTCTAAGGTTCTGCAACCTGTAAATGCAGTGCAGCTCCTGGGGAGGGCGTCTGTCCCCCTGGCTGGAGGCTCTCAAACAGAATGGAGACCCTCACTGTCAGACCTATTGGGAGGACTCAGGCGGTGGATGGGGGTTCAGACTAGATCATGTCCAAGGTCCTTAAAAACCACAAGGTGTATAAGATGCAGCCAAAATGATTTAAGGCAAAACCCCACAAACAAGATGGACAAAAACCCTCAAGGTGAAAAAGAAAAAAAAAAAAAAAAAAAAAAAGCTTGAACAGGTAATTAGGAAATTAAACAGCTAAATAATGTGGTTATTTATTAAAGATACATTAATAATTCTTGTAATTGATGCAGGTTTTCTTTTTTCTACAGACTACTATTATTTTATTCTTGTCTCTCTGGAAAATGAAAAATCCATTAGTTTTTCTCTTTTGCTTTTACCCAGAAATTAAAGGTTGGTAAGTGGTAATTAGCGTAGCTCCTGTCAAAGCCAGTTGCCTCATGAGGACCGACATTTGACTTAAGCTGAAATAATGGAATATGGCTAATGTAAAGTTCATTAGTCCCAGCTGCTTTCTTTGACATTCTTTTCTTCTACCACAAGAACGGGCATGCCCTGCCCTCTCTCACTCCTATTTTTAGACGTATTGCTGCGCTCCTATGTGTCTATTCTACAAGGCTGGAGGCACAGTGGTTATAGGGAAGGTAAATGGTAATGGGACAATATGTCTGTGACCACGTTCATTACACATCTGGGATAGAGCTCTGACTCTTTGATAGAGGACTCCAGCACCCCATCTGTCTGCCCCTGAGAAACGAAAGAGAACCACTCTCCACTGTCTACTATATGTTAGGTACTAGGATTTTTCTCATTATAGCACTTCATTCCTTTCTTGGGGGGGACTGGATTATTTATTTTGAGACAGGGCCTCACTCTGCCACCCAGGATGGAGTGCAGTGGCACGATCACAGCTCATTGTAGCCTCGAACTCCTGGGCTCAAGTGATCCTTCTGCCTTAGCCTCCCGAGTATCTAGGATTACAGGCATGTACCACTACACCCGGCTAATTTTTATTTTTTACATTTTTGTAGAGATGGGGTCTTGCTATGTTCCCCAGGTCGGTCTGTCGGTCATGTGGTACTTCATTTAGGCCAGGCGTGGTGGCTCACCACCTATACTCCCAGCACTTTGGGAGGCCAAGGCAGGTGGATCACTTGAGGTCAGGAGTTTGAGACCAGTCTAGCCAACATGGTGAAACCCTGTGTCTACTAAAAATACCAAAAAAAACTTAGCCGGGTGTGGTGGCGGGCACCTGTAATCCCAGCTACTCTGGAGGCTGAGGCAAGAGAATCGCCTGAACCTGGGAGATGGAGGTTGCAGTGAGCAGAGATTGTGCCACTACACTCCAGCCTGGGCAACAGAGCAAAGCCTCAAACAAAACGAAAACGAAACAAAACAAATATAGTACTTCATTTAACCCTTTCAAGCTTGGAGCCTTAGACTAACTGAGAGGTTAGACTCAAGCCGGTTTGTCTCACTCCCAAATCCACAGGACATTTTCCATTATCCACCCAGTTCAGCCGCTTGGTGGGCTTGCTTCAAGTACAGAATATTAACACTAACGCCCAGACGAGTCAACGAACGCTCTGTGTGTCTAACAGAAATAAAATATTCTGGCTGGGTGTGGTGGCTCATGCCTGTAATCCCAAAATTCTGGGAAGCTGATGTGGGAGGATTGCTTGAGGCCTGGAGTTTGAGACCAGCCTGGGTAACATGGTGAGTTTTAATGTACCCTGGATTTCCTAGGAATGTAGCTACTCTGTAAATCAAGGACAGACACGTTTACTGTTCTGGGAAATCCCATTTCCAAGGGCAACGCTGCTGACGGTGTTTGAGCTGACAATCCCCGTGCCCCATGTGCCAATCAGCCTCTGTCGGATGCACAGCGATTCCGTGTGTAAGTGCAAGCATCTGACAGTGAAACACACACCACTTTGTTGGAAATTATTTTCCTTTTTGCCCTGAAACAGTACATCTGGGGCATTATATTAATGCTTCTGTATGAGTGTAGGTAGCTTATCAGCGGTGGCTTCTATTAAAGGATAATTAAGGAGGCATTACAAAATAAGCTATAAAAAAGGAAATGTTGGGGTGAGAGCCAATGGAGGGCATTAGTAAAAGGATGCTGAGTAGAAGATCTAAGCCCTTCTTGAATCACAGGAAAAGGAAACAGTTGTTTTTGTTCTATTTAATTGTTTTCTGTACCCCCATCTTTACCCTAGGACTTATTGTGATTTTCTTTTTTTTTTTTTTTTAAAGACAGAGTCTCATTCTGTCACCCAGGCTGGAGCCCAGTGGCAGGATCTCAGCTCAGTGCAATCTCCACCTCCTGGGTTCAAGCGATTCTCATGTCTCAGCCTCCTGAGTAGCTGGGATTACAGGTGCCCACCATCACGCCTGGCTAATTTTTGTATTTTTAGTAGACTGGGTTTTGTCACGTTGGCCAGGCTGGTCTCAAACTCCTGACCTCAGGTGATCCATCTGCCTTGGCCTCCCAAAGTGCTGGGACTGCAGGTGTGAGCCACTGCGCCCGGCCTATTGTGACATATTGTGATATTTCTTTCTTTTTTGTGTGACAGTGTCTCACTCTGTTGCAGGCTGGAGTACAGTGGCACAATTTCGGCTCACCTCCACCTCCACTTCCTGGGTTCAAGCAATTCTCATGCCTCAGCCTCCCAAGTAACTGGGACTACAGGCGTGTACCACTACACCCGGCTAATTTTTTATAATTTCAGTAGAGACGGGGTTTCACCATGTTGGCTAGGCTGGTCTCGAACTCCTGACCTCAGGTGATCCGCCCACCTTGGCCTCCCAAAATGCTGGGATTACAGGTGTGAGCCACTGCGCCCGGCCTATTGTGATATTTCTTTACTTAATAACTAGCAGATGAATCTCTTAACAGTATTCTGTTTTCCTCTAAGCATGCATAAAAAGTGGTCAAATAAGTCCATGATGACTCATCACCTTTTCCCTGCAAGGAGTGTACTGTAGATTACCAAACCTGCAGAAGCCGTCTGTGTGGAGACAGGAGGAGGACAAACCAGGCTTGCTCTGCTTCACACCCAGAGACCTGGAGCCACAGCATGTGGAAATTGCTTTCATGACCTTTTATACCCCCTGCTGATAAAGCAATTAGAAAACTGAAGAGTTTCACGGTGGTGAGATAGAATTTCACAATACTGAGTGAGATATTAGCAATGGACTCTCCGTATGTCCCTATGGTCTACAAGCTTAATATGTATCTTTAAACAAACACATAAAAAAATTCATTAACTGGAGAAACAAGATTGTGGCCATAGTCAACACTCTATAATGTCACCATCTTCACCACTATCTCTGCTTAAAATTCTGCCGTACTATCTTCAGAATAAGGATAATGAATTGGAAATACGACCATTTCTTTTCATTGCCCTTGATGGTTACCTTTTTAAAAAAAAAAAAAAAAAAGTAGGGTCTTACTCTATCATCCAGGCTGGAGTATGGTGGCATGATCAGCCTTGAGCTCCTGGGCTCAAGTGATACTCTCGCCTTAGCCTCCAGAGTAGCTAGGATTATAGGTCAGTGCCACCATGCCTGGCTAACTTAAATTTTTTTTTTGTAGAGACAGGGTCTTGCTATGTTGCCTAAGCTGACAATTACTTTATTTAAAAGCTTTTTTTTCTGGCCAGGGGTGGTGGCTCACACCTGTAATCCCAGCACTTTGGGAGGCTGAGGTGGGTGGATCACCTGAGGTCAGGAGTTTGAGACCAGCCTGGCCAATGTGACAAAACCCTGTCTCTACTAAAAATACAAAAATTAGCCGGGCATGGTGGCACGTGCCTGTAATCCCAGCTGCTCAGGAGGCTGAAACAGGAGAATCGCTTGAACCTGGGAGGTGGGGGTTGCAGTGAGCCGAGAATGTGCCACTGCACTCCAGACTAGGTGACAGAGTGAGACTCTGTCTCAAAAAAACAAAACAAAACTTTTTTTTTTTCTTGAGATACGGAGTCTAGCTCTGTCACCCAGGCTGGAGTGCAGTGGTGCGCTCTCAGCTCACTGCAACCTCTGCCTACCGAGTAGCTGGGATTACAGGCACCCGCCATCATGCCCAGCTAATTTTTGTATTTTTAGTAGAGACGGGGTTTCACCATATTGGCCAGGTTGGTCTTGAACTCCTGACCTCATGTGATCCGCCTGCATCGGCCTCCAAAGTGCTGGGATCAAAGGTGTGAGCCACTGTCGTGCCTGTCCTTTTTTTTTTTTTTTTTGAGACAGAGTGTCACTCTGTCACCCAGGCTGGAGTACAGTGGCATAATCTCGGCTCACTGCAACTTCTGCCTCCCCGGTTCAAGCAATTCTCCTGCCTCAGCCTCCCGAGTAGCTGGGACTACAGGCTCCTGCCACCACGCCCAGCTAGTTTTTTGTACTTTTAGTAAAAACACGTTTCACTGTGTTAGCCAGGATGGTCTCGATCTCCTGACCTCGTGATCCACCCGCCTCGGCCTCCCAAAGTGCTGGGATTACAAGCGTGAGCCAACACGCTCGGCCTGGCTTTTTTTTTTTTTAACATGTTCCATATGGGGCAGGGCTAAATGTTAGGCAGTGCGCCCATAGTCACTGCCAATTACTTTTTTTTTTTTTTTTTTTGAGACGGAGTCTCGCTCTGTTGCCCAGGCTGGAGTGCAGTGGCGCAATCTCAGCTCACTGCAAGCTCTGCCTCCCAGGTTCATGCCATTCTCCTGCCTCAGCCTCCCAAGTAGCTGGGATTACAGGCGCCCGCCACCATGGCTGGCTAATTTTTTTTGTATTTTTAGTAGAGACAGGGTTTCACCATGTTAGCCAGGATGGTCTCGATCTCCTGACTTCACGATCCGCCCCCCTCGGCCTCCCAGTGCTGGGATTACAGGCGTGAGCCACTGCGCCTGGCCAATCACTGCCAATTACTTTTGAACAGAGAACATCATATGTAATTAGAGGAGGCGGGATATTGTTGGTGCAGCTATATCATTCAAAATTGGCAGAAGTCCTGAAGCTGGTGGGGCTAAAAAAAAAATTGGTGGAACGGCGTATGTTGAGACCTGGAATAGCTTCTCTGGAAGGTGCTCTAAGGCAGGGGGTAGAGTAGTACATAGGTAGTCAAATGATGAGGCTGAGGGTGTCTACCAATAACACAACGCCACAGAGCTTCCTTGGCACACTTCCCGCTGCTGCTATGTGGGATCCTGTCTGGCTCGCTTAGGATTCTGCAGGTCACCAGGTGGTGAGGCCTTGCTTGCTGAGATGCTCCGGAGAGAATGCAAGCTCTGCGTCTGCTGCAGGCGCAGGGCGAGCTCCCGCTCACAGGCCTCCTGAACAGTCTCCGTCTTCTTTATGTCCCAGTTCAAGGCAACAGCCAGTGCTTTGGGGTCTTCCTTGGTAACCAACTGCAGCAAGAATAAAAACCCCTGAGAACTGGGCCTTCTGTGCGCCTCTCCTGCTGCTCTCCTGACTCTCTTTTGGGGAGTGCAATGAGGCAGTATCCGTTTATGTTACCTCTTTACACTGAAATGCCGGGTTTCCTTTACCATTAATTGCCACGGGCTTTTTGTTTTTTGAGACGGAGTCTCGCTCTGTCACCCAGGCTGGAGTGCAGTGACACTATCTCGGCTCCCTGCAAGCTCCGCCTCCCGGATTCACGCCATTCTCCTGCCTCAGCCCCCTGAGTAGCTGGGACTACAGGTGCCCACGACCACGCCTGGCTAATTTTTTTGTATTTTTTTTAGTAGAGACGGGGTTTCACCGTGTTCGCCAGGATGGTCTCGATCTCCTGACCTTGTGATCCGCCCACCTTGGCCTCCCAAAGTGCTGGGATTACAGGCGTGAGCCACCGCGCCCAGCCTGCCATGGGCTTTTTTAAGACGGAGTTTCACTCTTGTCGCCCAGGCTGGAGTGCAGTGGCGCGATCTTAGCTCACGCAACCTCCACCTCCTGGGTTCAAGTGATTCTCTTGCTTCAGCCTCCCACCACCATGCCAGGCTAATTTTTGTATTTTTAGTAGAGATGGGGTTTCGCCATGTTGGTCAGGCTGGTCTCGAACTCCTGACCTCAGGTGATCCACCTGCCTCGGCCTCCCAAAGTACTGGCATTAACAGGCGTAAGCCACTGTGCCCGGACAAGCATGGGCCTTTTCTTACAACACCAACAGGAAGAAGTCCTTGGAAAGTTTACTTGGAGCAACTCTAAGGTCCTCCACCTTCAGGAAATTTAGCCAAGCTCAAGTCAACAGTTTCCTTCCCTTCTATCTACAATAGGGAGGTACTTATGACAGGGACAAGGACAATGAATCAGAAGTAGCACCCACCCAGGCAGGTTCCCTTCCTCAAGTTTTTAGCTCCCTGGTCTTAGCCAGCAGGCGACGATCCCCTCAAGTTTGCCTTTTCCTGTGACATTGACAGACCTCAGGACGGACTATAGATCTTCTCTGACCATGGAAAGACCCAGAAGCCATCTCAGAAGATTGGGCCCTGCTATTCCTCCCTGTCAGGAACAGTCATTTCATTACCAACCTTGGACCAGAGTCTGTTTGATGATCTGAGGAAGTGTATGCATTTTTCTTTAAAGCTATTTTGATTTAGATTAATGAGATTTTTGCAAATGCCTTGGCATATAATAGGCAAACTGGCAGCTAGGATTCACAGTCTGCAGAGGTGAACAAAAGGGCCCACACACCTCTGCATGATACTACTACATCCCAGGGCATGTCCTCCTCTGTAGCTCAGTGACCCTGGTTTCCGCCCACCTCCAAATCCTGACTAGATAAGCTCAGCTCTGGAGCCTGCTTCTCCCTCAGTGCAGTAAGGATGTGGCTCGCCAGCGCAACGTCCGAGGAGGTCTCTCTGCTGATACCCGTGTCTACTGCATCCACCTCCTCACCAAAGGCAGCTTTGGACTCTGCAAAGGAGACACGAGACAGAGATCAGACGTGGTGTGACCACACAGCCACATGAACAACTCGCCAGAATAACTGGCCGGGCAAGAGAGAAACGTGCCCGTCCCGCATCCCAGCAGCCGCGGCTTCAGTGGCCCTGGCTACATCACAAATAGTGTCCTCCCAAGGGACGCCTCCATCAGCCCTGAATTCTCAGAGTGACTCTGCCTGCAGAGAGTCCTACCTTCCTGCTTTGACAAGAGGCTGCCCTCTTTCTCCAAAGCCTGGAGGTACAGCTGCAGGAGCTGCTTGGACTGACGCACTTCCTCTCTTTGGTCAAGCACCTGTTGGAGTGTGTGCTGCAGCCGCTGGACGGTGGCACAACTCTGACGTAGTTCCTGAGCCAGGTCTGAGCAGGGAGCGTCAACAAGCATCTAACAAACAAACACAGACGCTTAGAAATCTACAGGGACTTTCTGACTTTCTTTTTTTTTTTTGAGACGGAGTCTGCTCTGTTGCCCAGGCTGGAGTGCGATGGTGTGATCTCGGCTCACTGCAACCTCCGCCTCCTGGGTTCAAGCAATTTTCCTGCCTCAGCCTCCCTAGTAGCTGGGATTACAGGCATGTGCTACCAAGCCCAGCTAATTTTTGTATTTTTAGTAGAGACGGGGTTTTGTCATGTTGGCCAGGCTGGTCTTGAACTCCTGACCTCAGGTGATCCACCCGCCTTGGCCTCCCAAAGTGCTGGGATTACAGGTGTGAGCTACTGCGCCCGGCCTACAAGGACTTTCTAAACACGGTGTTCTACCTCTCAAATACATCCATTTCAGAACTCAATGCATCCATTTCCCAAAGTTACCTACTATGATAGTTGGCAGACAGTCAAGAGAAAAGCATGTAATTTTTCTAATTTTTTTTTTTTTTGAGACAGAGTCTCGCTCTGTCACCCAGGCTGGAGTGCAGTGGCACGATCTCGGCTCACTGCAAGCTCCGCCTCCTGGGTTCACGCCATTCTCCTGCCTCAGCCTCCTGAGCAGCTGGTACTACAGGTGCCTGCCACCACGCTTGGCTAATTTTTTGTATTTTTAGTAGAGACGGGGTTTCACCGTGTTAGCCAGGATGGTCTCGATCTCCTGATCTTGTGATCCACCCGCCTCGGCCTCCCAAAGTGCTGGGATTACAGGTGTGAGCCACCGTGCCCGGCCAATTTTTCTAATTTTCTTTTAGTGTTAAAATTGGGAAGAAGGGTCGGGTGTAGTGGCTTACACCTATAATCCCAGCACTCTGGGAGGCTGAGGTAGGAGGACTGCTTGAGCTCAGGAGTTTAAGACCAGCCTGGGCAACATGGTGAAACCCTGTCTTTACCAAAAATATAAAAATTCACCAGGCATGGTGGAGTACGCCTGTGGTCCCAGCTACTTGGAAGGCTGAGGTGGGAGGATCGCTTGAGCCCAGCAGGCAGATGGTGCAGTGAGCTGAGATTGCACTACTGCACTCCAGCCTGGGTGACAGAGCTAGACCCTGTCTCAAACCAAACCAAACCAAAACAAAAAACACCAAGAAATCATTTCCTCAAAGAGGCCTTCCTCCGTGTTCCAGTCTAGAGTAGCCTCCATCACTCTCTGCATACCACTGTCTGATATGCTTTCCTGTTGCTTTCTGCCTCCCTTCATCAGAATACAAGTACCGTTAGAGCAGAGACTGTGTCTGGCTTGTTCGCCACTGCACACCCAGTGCATAGAACCATGACAGGCACAGGATGGGGCTCAATAAATATGTTTTGGGTCAAGCACAGAGGCTCATATCAATAATCCCAGCACTTTGGGAGGCCAGGGTGGGAGGACTGCCTGAGCCCAGGAGTTCAAGACCAGCCTAGGCAACCTGTGAAGACCTCCTCTCTATAAAACATTAATTAATTATTTTTTTTGAGACTGAGTCTTGCTCTGTCACCAGGTTGGAGTGCAATGACGTGATCTCGGCTCACCGCAACCTCCGCCTCCTGGGTTCAAGCTATTCTCCTGCCTCAGCATCCTGAGTAGCTGGGACTACAGGCACACGCCATCACGCCCAGCTAATTTTTGTAATTTTTTTGTTTTTTGAGACAGAGTCTTGCTCTGTCTCCCAGGCTAAAATGCAGTGGCGTGATCTCTGCTCACTGCTACCTCCCCCTCCCAGGTCAAGTGATTCTCCTGCCTCAGCCTCCTGAGTAGCTGGGATTACAGGTGCTTGCCGCCACGCCTGGCTAATTTTTATATTTTTAGTAGAGACGGGATTTCACCATCTTGGCCAAGCTGGTCTTGAACTCTTGACCTTGTGATCCACCCTCCTCAGCCTCCCAAAGTGCTGGGATTACAGGCGTTAAGCCACCGTGCCCGGCTGTATTTTTAGTAAAGACGGGGTTTCACCATGTTTGCCAGGATGGTCTTGATCTCTTGACATCGTGATCTGCCCGCCCCGGCCTCCCAAAGTTCTAGGATTATAGGTGTGAGCCACCACGCCTGGCTTTATTTATTTATTTATTTATTTTTGAGACAGGGTCTTGCTTTGTTGCCCAGGTTGGTGTGGTATAGTCATGGCTCACTGAAGCCTTGACCACCTGGGCTCAAGTGATCCTTCTGCCTCAGTTTCCTGAGTAGCTGGAACTACAGGCACACGCCACCACACCTAGCTAATTTTTGTAGAGATAGGGTTTTACCACATCAAACTCCTGAACTCAGGCAATCTGCTCACCTTGGCCTCCCAAAATGCTAGGATTACAGGTATAAGCCACTGCACCTGGCCTACAAAAATTAAAAAAAAAAAAAAAGAAAAAATAGCGCAGTGTGGTGGTGCAAGCCTACAGTCTCAGCTACCTGAGAGGTTGAGGTGGGAGGATGGCTTGAGCCCAGGAAGTCGAGGATGCAGTGAGCTATGATCATGCCACTGCACTGGGTGACAAAGCAAGACCCTGTCTCAAAGAGAAATTTTCTTTGAATGAAAACATACTGTTTTTATCCCAATCTTTTTTTTCTTTTTGAGATGGAGTCTCTCTCTGTCACCCAGGCTGGAGTGCAGTGGTGCGATCTCGGCTCACTGC
Organism: Homo sapiens; assembly: GCF_000001405.40. Lineage (NCBI taxonomy): Eukaryota > Metazoa > Chordata > Mammalia > Primates > Hominidae > Homo > Homo sapiens. Next base: position 10,466,263 of record NC_000001.11, read on the forward strand.
AAGCTCCACCTCCTGGGTTCAGGCGATTCTTCTGCCTCAGCATCCCGAGTAGCTGGGACTACAGGTACAGGTGCACACCACCAGGCCCGGCTAATTTTTTGTATTTTTAGTAGAGATGGGGTTTTACCATGTTAGCCAGGATGGTCTCGATCTCCTGACCTCGTGATCTGCCCGCCTCGGCCTCCCAAAGTGCTGAGATTACAGGCGTGAGCCACTGCACCTGGCCTATCCCAATCTTACTAGAGAGAAAACACAAGGAGAGAAGCTAAGCTACTGGCTCAAAGTCGTGGTGACAGCGCTGGGATGTGAAGCCATCTACTCCAACGCTACATTCTCTAGCAGGGCATCCCTGACCCCAGCGTCCACCTAACTAGGTTTAGGGTGGATCCCAGGCATTTGTATTAAAAAAAAAATCTGGCCGGGCACGGTGGCTCACGCCTATAATCTCAGCACTTTGGGAGGCTGAGGCAGGTGGATCACTTGAACTCAGGAGCAGCCTGGCCAACATGATGAAACGCTGTCTCTACTAAAAATACCAAAATTAGCCAGGCGTGTTGGTGTGCACCTGTAATTCCAGCTACCTGGGACGCTGAGACAGGAGAATTGCTTGAACCCGGGAGGTGGAGACTGCAGTGAGCTGAGATTGCACCACTGCACTCCAGCCTGGGCGACAGAGTAAGACTGTGTCTCAAAAAAAAAAAAAAAAAAAAAAAAAAATCCACAGGTAATTCTGCTTCGTGACGAGGGTTGAAAAATTACTCTAGGTGAGAATGAGAAGATGAAAAATCTTAGTTGTAATTTAAGAATTATTTAAAAATTAAGATTAAAACAAAGAAATTGCTATGGCAAGTATGGAAGCTAAGAAGGTGCTGGGGCGGGGGGCAGAGGCTGGATGAACATTGTTGCAGGTTGTGGAGGAGGCTTTACCTGGAGGTCCTCCTCTGATAGGAGGATGATGCTGGACAGATCTTCTTTCAGCTGCCTGGCCACATTCTTCCACTTCAACCCTGCCCCGCTGTCTGTTTCATCTACATCAAAGGACTCTTGGGAAATCCAAGCTGTACCTCCATCTGACACATGGGAGAAAATGCCAGTCACAGAACAACCTGAAGTGCTGTTTTCACCTCCTCCCCCAGCACACACAGACCTCTTGAGGATCTAGATTAATTTCAATGGGAAAGAAGCATCTTATCTCAAGGATTCACAGGAGGGTCAATATCCATCCAGGACCTTGATTTTCCCTCTTCTTTCATTTTTTTTTTTTTTGAGACAGAGTCTCACTCTGTTGCCCAGGCTGGAGTGCAGTGGCACGATCTTGGCTCACTGCAACCTCCACTGCCCGAGTTCAAGCGATTCTCCTGCCTCAGCCTTGCAAGTAGCTGGGATTACAGGTGCCCACCACCATGACCAGCTAATTTTGGTATTTTTAGTAGAGACGGGCTTTCACCATGTTGGCCAGGCTGGTCTCAAACTCCTGACTTCAAGTGATCTGCCCACCTCGGTCTCCCAAAGTGCTGGGATTACAGGCATAAGCCACCGTGCCTGACCCTCTTTCATCTTTATCTCTGTGTGCAACGGCTCTGTATTCTTCCATAGAAAAAGCCATTTAAACCCAATGTGTGGTCACACCTACAAGGAATCCAATCACACTTCCCTTTCTGGTTTCTGTGTGTCCAGGTGTGTCCTGTTTTTTATACGAAAACGGTCATTTGTGCCAGCATTTCTCTGTGCTTGGGGATTGGTCCCTTCTTTAACTGGCAGAGCTGTAGCCATCGATTGCTGTCCCTTAGGCCTGAGCACAAAGGTGGCTGGTAGGGCCACTGCTGTAGGATGACTTCCTCAATTTTGTGGCACACTTCAGGACACTTTTTTTTTTTTTAAGTCCCTCCCTAAAACTAATCCCCTCTCAAGACACTTCTTGATCCTTGGTCACCAATGTTAGTCCCCTTTCTATCTCCTGTGATGATGATGATGGCAGGGACAGGTAACAATTATTGAGTCCTTAACTATGTGCCAGGTAAGATCTAAACACTTCATATCAGTGGTTCTCAAGTGGGAGCAATTTTGCCCCCCAGGAGACATCTGACAATATCTGGAGTCATTTATTCTTGGTTATCACAGTTGTGGGGGGAGGTTCGTAACATCTAGGATGCTACTAAACGTCCTATCATACACAAAGCATCCTCTTCACAACTCCAGCCCCAAATGTCAGCAGTGTCATTGAGAAACCCTGGTTTGATATGTACTATATTATCTTTACAACAATCTTAGGGGACAGGTTCTATAATTATTATGTCAACAAGGCACTGAGAAGTTATGTAATTTGCACAAGGTCACCTGGTTAGTAAATGGTAGAGCCAGGATCCAGACCTCAACAGCTGGACTGCAGCCTGCAGCACTGAGCTCCCTGCCAGGCTGCATTTCAGTTGCTGTCTGTCCATGAGTTAGTTGAGAACTGGGCCCATGTCTCATTCATCTATTTTTTTTTTTTTTTGAGACAGAGTCTCGTTCTGTCGCCCAGGCTGGAGTGCAGTGGCACAATCTCAGCTCACTGCAACCTCCACCTCCCAGGTTCAAGCAATTCTCCCGCCTCAGCCTCCCAAGTATCTGGGATTACAGGTGCCTGCCACCATGCTCAGCTAGTTTTTGTATTTTCAGTAGAGATGGACTTTCGCCATGTTGGCCAGGCTGGTCTCAAACTCCTGAGCTCAGGTGATCTGCCCACCGTGCCTGGCCTCATTCATCTTTATCCCCAGGACTCAGCACCATGTCTGGCACATAGAAAGTGCTCAGTAAATATCTGTTGAACAAATGCTTAAAAAGCCAGACAAATGGCAATTGTCTGTGCAGTGAAAGTAATCATGATGGATGCTGTACTGCATAGGCCGTTTTATACATGGCTAGAGTTTCTTACCTGAATTGTTGTATGCCCATTTCTCATTACTAGCCAATGCCACAAACTTAGTATTGGAAGGTAGACACAGAAAGTAATCGTCATCATCCACTATGGTGCCATCCTCTGCCAGGACCAGGGTGACTGGTGTCAGGGACTTATCAATGGCCAGAATGTCACAGGCTGAAAAGAATAAAATATTTGGCAAATGACAAATAACCGTAAGGAAATTACATCTATCCCTGCATCTCAAGTATGTATGGCTCCAGAGCTGAGCAGAACTCCTGGTAGGTAATAACTAGAATCACAATCATCACTTCTAGCACTACCAGAACACTCATCACGTGCCTGATTCTGTTCTAAGTGTTCTTTTCTTTTTTTTTGTAGCAGGGTCTCACTCTGTTACCCAGGCTGCAGTGCACTGGCGCGATCTCGGCTCACTGAAACCTCTGCCTCCCAGGTTCAAGTGATTTTCCTGCCTCAGCCTCCCGAGTAGTTGGGATTATAGGCGTGCACCACCATGTCCGGCTAATTTTTGTATTTTTAGTAGAGACGTGGTTTCACCATGTTGACCAGGCTGGTCTCGAACTCCTGACCTCATGATCCACCCGCCTTGGCCTCCCAAAGTGCTGGGATTAGAGGCATGAGCCACTGTGCTCAGCCCTAAGTGCTTTTCTTTCTTTCTTTTTTTTTTTTTTTGAGACAGGCTGGCGTGCAGTAGTACAATCTTGGTTCACAGCAACCTCCGCCTCCCGGGTTCAAGCAACTCTCTGCCTTAGTCTCCCGAGTAGCTGGGACTACAGGCACCGGCCACCGTGCCTGGCTAATTTTTGTATTTTTAGTAGAGACGGGGTTTCACCATCTTGGCCAGTCTGGTCTGGAACTCCCGACTTAATGATCTACCTGCCTCGGCCTCCCAAAGTGCTAGGATTACAGGCATGAGCAACCGCGCCTGGCCTAAGTGCTTTTCATATACAGTATTTAATCTCATAATAATCCTGTAAAGTAGGTACTTTTATTAGTTCTGTTTTATAGATGATGAACCCAAGGCTCAGAGAGGTTAAGTAACTTGTCTAAGATCACACAGTAAGTGGCAAAGCTGGGATTTAAACCCACAAAGTCTGGCTCCTGAAAGTATGTTTACTCCAGCTACTCCACACTCATGTATGGTAGGCATTTGAGTTTTTACTGGAGTGAACAACCAATCAAAGTCTAGTTTGATTCCTTGCAAACAAGCAGTCTCTCATTCATTTATTCAGTTTTCCTCTTTTTTTTTTTTTTTTTTTTGAGACGGAGTCTCACTCTGTCGCCCAGGCTGGAGTGCCCAGGCGCTATCTGGGCTCACTGCAAGCTCCGCCCCCCGGGTTCACGCCATTCTCCTGCTTCAGCCTCCGGAGTAGCTGGGATTACAGGCGCCCACCACCACGCCCGGCTAATTTTTTTGTATTTTTAGTAGAGACGGGGTTTCACCGTGTTAGCCAGGATGGTCTCGATCTCCTGACCTCGTGATCCGCCCACCTCGGCCTCCCAAAGTGCTGGGATTACAGGTGTGAGCCACCGGACCCGGCCCTCAGGTGTCCTCTTAAATTCTCCTATGTGTAAAAATGTCAAAAAATACACCAAAAAGGCCAGGCACGGTGGCTCACGTCTGTAATCCCAGCACTTTGGGAGGCCGAGGCGGGTGGATCACAAAGCAGGCAATCGAGACCATCCTGGCTAACATGGTGAAAAACCGTCTCTGCTAAAAAATACAAAAAATTAGATGGGCGTGGTGGTGGGCGCCTGTAGTCCCAGCTACTCGGGAGGCTGAAGCAGGAGAATGGAGTGAACCCGGGAGGCGGAGCTTGCAGTGAGCCGAGATAGCGCCACTGCACTCCAGCCTGGGTGACAGAGTGACACTCCGTCTCAAAAAAAAAAAAAAAAAAAGAAAATGCTTTTTGTTCTTTACAGTATCTTCCTTAGCAGCTTCTTTTCTAACCTATGGGAAAGTATAAAAGAAGTGGAAGCTTCTATCAGTAGCTTTTCATATCATTATCATTGGCGGAGAGGCTTTCTCCAGGACAGGTCTGTACTATTCCATTTAGTGATAGCAATGCTTCAAATACTAACGGGACTGGAGTGATCAGAAATAGCCAAGAGACTACAAATATCCTTCAGCGGTGTTGTCTACCACCCAATAGAACAGCAAGGCATGTATGCGCTGGACTGCAGAGAACACCAGCCTCTGTGCCACGCACATCCAGCCACGGCACTGAAGGGGAATTAGAAGTAAAGTAATCTAATGTCAGGAAAAAAAATACATAAATGCTTATATGCAAAATCCATGTTACCAAAGCATTTATAATGCTTTGGCTGTTCATGGGTCTCTGAAAATTTCCATATGATTTCTGTTGGTGACTGAGAGGAAGCAACTGTGCCCTCTGACACACACTGTGACTACATGCCTGGGGCTGGCTCACACATGTAACCTGTAAAACTTCTTTGGGTAAGCGATTTGTTGCTACTGGCTAATAAGACTTGTAAGTCACTTAAATATATCATCTTATTTGAGAGAACCAACAACCCTTTGAAGCAGGGCTATAAATATTATACCCAATTTGCTGATGAGAAAACTGAGGGTTGAGAGCTGGTTAAGTGCAAGGCCAAGCAGCTGGTAAAGGTATGGGGCCGGGCTCGGAACTTCCGTCGGCTCCGTCACTTACAACTCACGTTCCTTGTCTGGACCTCCAGAAATGGTCAGTAGCAGCTCCCTCTTTCCTGCATAGGTTCCTGCCAGAGCGGACGGTGGAAACCCCTCCCCACACCGCCGTGGGCTCAGCTGGGGGTTCTTGTACCATCTGAGTGTGGCGGAGTGGCAGGAACCCAGTGGGGTCCGTTTGGTCCAACATCGAAGTGATTTCAGGCAAGAGACCTAAGCCGAGTCTGGCTTAATTTGCACATTGCTTCCTGGCTGTCTTCCCACCACCGTGGAGTCTCACACGAGATTAATTACGCTCAAGCGCCTTAAATCTGTAAATCGCTATGCCCACTCGGACCGTTTCTGTCCCAAGCCTCCACCCGAGATACAAGAATCCCCAAGTCGCCTCTCCTGACCCCGCCTCGCCCCCGCCGGACGTCCTCACCCGGCCCTGGCTCCCCCACACCCTCGCCCGGGGTCCCGAGCCAACCCTTGCTCCTCAGGTCTTCGAGGCAGGAGGCGGCCACGCCGTGCTGTTCGCGGCTGTAGTTGCGGCGCAGCAGACACGGCTTTAGAGTCCGGATCTCGCCAGATTCTGGTACCCCGGCGTCCCCGGTCACCTCCATCCTCCACAAGGTGGGACCTGCCCACCTTCGAGAAGTCGCGGGAGGCCGGAGCGGCGGTCCTTCTACTCGACCCCCTTCCGCAGCCTGCCGGGAGATGTAGTTCGTTCCGCAGCAAATCACACGTGAGACCAGGGCACGCCGGGAAATGTAGTTCTAGTTGCCGCTAATCACGTGTGGCGTCGAAGCATGCCGGAAACTGTAGTCTCTGGGTTTAAAGCCGCTTTCGTTCTATCGCGCGATTCAGCCTAGGAGTTGTTTTTAACTTTTAGGAGCTGCATTCGCGCGTTCAAATATAAGGCCAATAGAGACTTATTTTGCATGACGATGCACACGCATGTATACTGTATTGAATTTTTAGAGCATTCCTATTCGCATATGAGATGCATAATGCTAATACAGACACCCGCATGTTTCCACCCATTCTATTTCCTGCTTCAACTGTGCAAATTAGTTTGGGGTCTCAGAACAAAACGCTTAAATAAATATAGTAAGCATTAAAGTCTCAAATGCATCGGAGAGGAAAGGGGAAATGCGACTCGGCACTGTTGGAGATTGTTCAGATGCCTCTTGACAACATATTCATCTTTGTTTTAATACTGCTACTATGGAAAAGTTTGTTTTTTTCCTCCTGAAAAATAAACATCTAAGATTAAAAGAATAGTAATAAAAATGATCAAAAAGTTCCTCTCTTAAAAGAGGGCATTTTATGTAAACTAGAAGTAATTATCTGCTCATATTTATTCATTCGGGGGACACTTTCCTTCCTTGTTTCTTTTTTCTTTTTTTGAGACAGCGTTTCGCTCTGTCTCCCAGGCTGGAGTGCAGTGGCGCGATGATGGCTCACTGCAGTTTTGATCTCCTGGGCTCAAGCAATCCTCCCACCTCATATTTTGTTTATAAAAACGTGGGCAAGGGCCCCGGGGGCGGTGGCTCACCCCTGTAATCTCAGCACTTTAGGAGGCCGAGGCGGACAGATGATCTGAGGTCAGTAGTTTGAGACCAGCCTGGCCAGCATGGTGAAACCCTATCTCTACTAAAAATACAAAAATTAGCCGGGCGTGATGGCGCACGCCTGTAGTCCCAGCTCTTGGGAGGCTGAGGCAGGTGAATCGCTTGAACCCGGGAGGCGGAGGTTGCAGTCGGCCCAGATCGCACCATTGCACTCCAGCCTGGGCGTCAGGAGCAAGACTTCGTCTCAAGCAAAAACAAAAACAAAAGCAAAAACAAACAAAAAAAACGTGGGAGAGGAAATTGGATATTATCTCAAGAAAAGTTTAGACATTTAAAACAGCGTTTAGTAGGAGGAATTATTCATTAAGTCATCCCTTTTAAGCAGTCTATATTGATCAAAACACAACTATAATAGGAGCTGGCGGTTAACTCTAATGTATGTATCCTTTTTCATATAATTTCATTTTTTATTTTCTTATCTTATTTTTAGACAAGGTCTCGCTCTGTCGCCCAGGCTGGAGTGCAGTGGCATAATCATAGTTCACTGCAGCCTCAACCTCCTGGGCTCAAGGGATCCTCCTGCCTTGGCCTCCTAAAGTGTTGGGATTACAGGTGTGAGCCACTGCTCCCGTCCAATATTTAATTTAAAATCTAACAATTAAAAAAATCTAACAATTCAACCAGTGTAAAATAATGACGTTTTGTAGAAGCCTCTTCTCTTCAAAATGCCCCCTTTTATGTTCTCCCAATAGACCTGCACACTTATCCGAGTCCTATCCCCATAATACTGTAATTGTAAGTGTGTTTGGCCTGGGCGTGGGAGTAGGGATTGAGTCTTGAATGTTTTTATTTCAAGGCCTACCAAAGTCCCTAGCATATAGTAGGCACTCAATGAATGGAACTGAACTGATGTCTAAAAATTAATTTCCAAGTTTCTTCGCATTCATCCATTGGCAAGTCCCTAAATGTGCCCATGGCACTGTGGGGATGGGCAGAGATTAACTCAATAAGAATAATATGGGCCGGGCGCTGTGGCTCACTTCTGTAATCCCAACACTTTGGGAGGCCGAGGCGGGCAGATCACCTGAGGTCGGGAGTTCGAGAGCAGCCTGACCAACATGGAGAAACTCCATCTCTACTAAAAATACAATGTTAGCCGGGCATGGTGGCGCATGCCTGCAATCCCAGCTACTCGGGAGGCTGAGGCAGGAGAATCACTTGAAACCGGGAGGCTGAGGTTGCGGTGAGCCGATATCGCGCCATTGCACTCCAGCCTAGGCAACAAGTGCGAAACTCCGTCTCAAAAAAAAAAAGCAAAACCAGAATAATACACATATAACAACGCAAAGAAGATATAGACTTGGGATCTTCCTGGAAAGCAGAGTCTTAACGGAAACTATGCAAGGTGACCCGGACACCCGGGCTCCACCCCTCTGCCCCAGTCCCCTACATCGACAGGCTCTGTTCCGGCTACCTTAGTCTGGGCGGGAGGGCGAGAGCGAGGGCGCCTGGGAGAAACCTCGCCCAGCGGCGGTTGATTAGTCAGGCCTCAGAAAGATGGCGTCCTCGGAGCAGGCAGAGCAGCCGAGCCAGGTAAGGGGAGTGGGACTGCCCCGCTGTGCGGCGGAGACCCCGGCTGGAGGGGGCGCTCAGCATACGGCTGGGAGCCGGGTAGGGACCCCGAGTCTCCGAAGCTGGGGACCCCGACCTCTTGCCCCCTCCTGAGCCCCGCCCCTCCCCAGGTCCTCCCCACCCGGCCCCTCCCCCCGGTGACCCCTCTTTGACCACATTCCGGAGCCCGGGCTCTGGTGTTTGGCTGTGCCCCCGGGTCCCCACTTCCCGCCTGCCAGCACCTCTGGTCCCACTTGAGCTTGTTGGGGAGGGTGACGGGACCCTTGGGAAGTCCCCAGCCTTGAGCTGCGAGGGCTTGAGAAGGAGAGGATAGATCGATCGTTCCCGGCTGTCCCCTCCGGGGAGGGGCCTGTTTCCATTAGGGTTCCCACTCCCTCACGGCCTCAGCCTCCTGGAGCGGCTGCCAGCCTCTTCATCTGTGGTCACCTTTGCGCTTCTCTCGTCAAGTTGGATAGTCAGAAATAATCTAGTCGAGCCCTCTCAGTGCGTTGATAGGAAAGGGACGCACTGTGACTAACAGACGCCACCAAGCTTTTGGCTGAGGACCCATCCTCGCTTCCCTGGGTTTGGTTTTGTTGGCCGAGGGCTCCGCTCTAGCTTTTCACCTGCAGATTCAGACAAATCCCACTCCAATAAGGGGACCATAAGGACCAGCGTTGACGCCTGTGCCTCTGCGGCCGGGAGGCAGTGGATGATAAGGTCTCCGAAGGGGTTTATAGTCCAAAGGTGGGGTAGGGTGGGGTGAGGAGAAAAGGGCTAAGAGACATCTTACATTTAACTGCCTGTGTGGTGTCATGTTGAGCACAAATTACATCTATTATCTCGTTTAGTGTTCACTACAACCTTTATGAAGTGCAGGCTACTAACCTCCATTTCACAGAAATGAATACTAAGGGTTTGTGACATGCCCCAAATCGTGTGCTCTGTTGAGCCTGTATTGAACCTGTGTGACTCCACTAGTCATCCATACATTTTTGAGTTTAGTTAGGATTAGAATGAGGAAGAAGAAAATAGTTTCAACTTGGGGCCTCATTCCTCCTCTCCCATCTCCTTGAAGCACCTCTAAGAGTTTTCAGCAACTTACTAGTATTTCACTTCCTTCAGAGGCAGAAGACCACCGCTTAGTGTTTCTTACTGTCTTATTCTGCACGTCTGTTACAAGAATTGAACTTAAAGGAGTTGGTGTGTTCCCCCATACCAGTTTCTATTAGCAGTGTGAATGATTCAGGAAGAAGATGTCTTGATTGTAAAACATGGGAGATAACAAGGACTGATTCTGGCCTTCTCACTGTCAGGTGTTCTGGAGTTTGGCAAGTGTCTCGAGAGGAGGGCCTCTCCTTTCTTGCCTTACCACATTTAGTTTGCTGAAATACTAAGGCATCTTGGGGTCTGGGTTTCTCTGAATTGTTTTGTGTTAGGAATGCCCACAGGCTGGGATTGAAGGGTGTCCTCAGTTCCTGATTCTTTTTTCTTTCTTAAGACGGAGTCTCTCTCTGTCGCCCATGCTGGAGTGCATTGGCGCAATCTCGGCTCACTGCCTCCCGGGTTCGAGCAATTCTCCTGCCTCAGCCTCCCAAGTAGCTGGGACTACGGGTGCCTGCCACCACACCTGACTAATTTTTGTAATTTTAGTAGCGATAGGTTTCACCATGTTGGCCAGGCTGGTCTTAAACTCCTGACTTCAAGTGATCTGCCCGCCTCAGCCTCCCAAAGTGCTGAGATTATATGCGTGAGCCACCGTGCCCGGCTCTGTTCCTGATTCTTATAGGACATTTAATTTGCCAGTGCTGTAAACAGTACTAAAAATCTTGCCACTTGGAGCCACTGTTATGCCCAAGGATTCTTTTGGTTTTGCAAGTTTGCCCTCTCTGTATATGTATTTAATAGAAAAGGATCTAAGGTCCTTTAAGGGGGCATGGCCATCACTTGTTTGATTTTCAGCTCTGCTTCTCCTTTGCCCTCCTTTCCAAAGCTGGTGGAGGTAGGATTGCCACAGAACATGCTGGCAGCCTGGGGGAAAAACTTGAACTTTTCTTTTTTTTTTTTTGAGACAGAGTCTCGCTGTGTCACCCAGGCTGGAGTGCAGTGGCGCGATCTCTGCTCACTGCAACCTCCGCCTCCTGGGTTCACGCCATTCTCCTGCCTCAGCCTCCCTAGTAGCTGGGACTACAGGCGCCCGCCACCATGCCCAGCTAATTTTTTGTGTTTTTAGTAGAGATGGGGTTTCACCGTGTTAGCCAGGATGGTCTTGATCTCCTGACCTCATGATCCGCCCACCTCAGCCTCCCAAAGTGCTGGGATTACAGGCGTGAGCTGCAGTGCCTGGCCAAAACTTGAACTTTTCATAACAGACTCTATGGCTATCTAACAAGAAGCAAATGCACGCTTTTTGAATGAACCAATGCTCTTCAGCAATTGCCTGTTTCATTTTCAAGTCTTGATCAATCCAGTTTCCCATTTCTCCGATTAAAGCAGAGTAGGATTGAAAGGATTGTTTAGCTAATTCCCCCACGCCTTGTTGTGTAGGGTTAGAACTGTGGGGCTGAGCCAGTATTCTGTCTTTCACAGAAAGTTTGTTGGTTAGCCTTGTCATATCAATCTCTGGTTTCCAGCTATTAAAGGTGAATAACCTTCTCTTCCCTTGAGAGGCAGTGTAGAATAGCGGTTACAAGTATAGGCTCTAAAGCCAGACCCACTGGCTTGGAATCCTAACTCCACTAACTTACCAGCAATGTCATCTCGGACAGATCTACTTAATTTTTCTAGACTTAATTTCTCCATGTGCAAAACAGGGAAAATACTAGGACCTATCTCACAGAGTTGCTCTGAGGACTAAATGAGTTATTTATTTATTTATTTATTTTTGAGACCGAGTCTCACTCTGTTGACCAGGCTGGAGTGCAGTGGCGCGATCTCGGCTTACTGCAACCTCCGCCTCCCAGGTTCAAGTGATTCTCCTGCCTCAGCCTCCCAAGTAGCTGGGGCTACAGGTATGCACCACCAGGCCTGGCTAATTTTTTTTTTTAAGTAGAAATGGGGTTTCACCATATTGGACAAGCTGGTCTCAAACTCCTGACCTCAGGTAACCTGCCCACCTCGGCCTCCCAAAGAGCTTGGTATTACAGGCGTGAGCCACTGCACCTGGCCTTAAATGAGTTATTTATGTAAAAATGCCAGAACAGTGCCTGAAACAATGTGTTGTCTATTATTATTATTATTCAATTTAATAAGCTCTGAGTTTTCACTCACAAATGGATCTAAACCTTTCTTCAAGTTCTATTACGACATCTTTTGGGGTATGATTTTTCATGTGTTGACTACTTGTCTAGTAAAGTTCTTTTATTCAGAAGTAATTCCTTAAAATTTCAAGGAATGCCCTGAATGCTAGTGTTTATTCTAGCTGTCCTTCATGACTTTTGCATTTCAGGAACATACTTACTTTTTCATAATGGTATAGTCTTTTTAGTCTATCCTCAAGACGACTTGCTGGAATTTCATTTATTGCTTCCTTTGTTCTGTGTTCCCCACATTGCTCTGTTTTATGTGGTTGATCTATTGATTGAGACAGGGTCTCACTCTGTCACCAGAGTGCGGTGGTGTGATCATGGCTCACTGCATCCTTGCCCGCCCAGGCTCAGGCAATCCTTTCGTCTCAGCCTCCTGAGTAACCGGGACTACAGGTGTGCACCACCATGCCTGGCTAATGTATTTTTTTTTTTTTTGAGACAGAGTCTCGCTCTGTCGCCCAGGCTGGAGTGCAGTGGTGCGATCTCAACTCACTGCAAGCTCCGCCTCTCGGGTTCGAACCATTCTCCTGCCTCAGCCTCCAGAGTAGCTGGGACTACAGGCACCTGCCACCACGCCCGGCTATTTTTTTTTTATTTCATTTTTAGTAGAGACGATGTTTCACCGTATTAGCCAGGATGGTCTCGATCTCCTGACCTCGTGATCCGCCCACCTCGGCCTCCCAAAGTGCTGGGATTACAGGTGTGAGCCACTGTGCCTGGCCTGGCTAATGTATTTTTAAAACAATTTTTGTAGTGGTGAGTTCCTGGCTGGGCGTGATGGCTCATACCTGTAATCTTAGCACTTTGGGAGGCTGAGTTGGGAGGATCGCTTGAGGCCAGGAGTTTGAGACCAGCCTTTGCAATATAGGGAGACCTCGTTCCTACTGAAAATTAAAAAATTAGCCAGGCATGGTAGTGCTTGCCTGTGGTTCCAGCTACTTTGGAGGCTGAGGTGAGAGCATCACTTGGGCCTGGGAGGTTGAGGCTGCAGTGAGCGGTGATTGTGCCATTGCCCTCCAGCCTGGGTGAGAGAGCAATACCCTGTTTGGGGACGGGGGAAGAGACAGAGAGAGAGAAAGTGCTGAGATTATAAGCATGAGCCACCACGCCCAGCCAGCATGGCTGATCTCTCATTGAAGTCCTTTCTAGTGTGTACACGTTGGAGCCCGTAGGAATGAGAAACGTTATCTCTATTTCCCAACTTTCCTACTAGCTTTTCTTCCTTCGCTGAACAGCAGAGGCATGGTTCAATCTGATTACTTCACAGTTACTGAGTATCGAGTATTATTGCAGAAGGTAGATTTCCTATCTGTGGAGGTTCACTGGGTACAGTAAATTTTGCATTGAGAGGCTACAGAAGCAGGCAGGGAGAAGAGCAGAGTGAAAGAGTGGAAGAGCATGGCTTCGCATCCTGGCAGGTTTTGGTGGAACTTCATCACTCACAACTATTGGACTTATCACTCCACCTTTCTGAGTATGTTTTCTCCTCTGTAAAACGAGAGCAATAATAGTTACCCTTAAAGCTGGGTGTGGTGGTGCATGTCTGTAGTTCCAGCTACTCAGGAGACTGAGGCTGGAGGATTGCTTGAGCCCAGGAGTTGGAGTCTGTAGTGCACGATGATCACATATGTGAATAAACCCCTGTACTCCAGCCTGGGCAACAGAGTGCAACCCTATCACTTAAAAAATAAATAAATAAAATAAAAAATAATTACCCTTTTAGTGTTGACTGAAATCACAGATGTGAAGAGCACCTGCTGCATAGTAAGTGCTCAGAGTTAGTTTTCTTCTCCCAGTCTTTACATGTAGTTTTGAGAGTCTGTTGAACTCTTGAATAACAGCAGGTCAGACAAGGTATTTGCCCTCTCAATGTTTTTTTTTTTTGTTTTGTTTTGTTTTTGAGATGGAGTCTCCCTCTGTTGCCCAGGCTGGAGTACAGTGGCTCAATCTCGGCTCACTGCAACCTCAGCCTCCCAGGTTCAAGCGGTTCTCCTGCTTCACCTGCCTCAGCCTCCTGAGTAGCTGAGACTACAGGTGTGTGCCACTACGCCTGGCTAACTTTTTTTTTTTTTTTTTTTTTTTTGAGACGGAGTCTTGCTCTGTCTCCCGATCTGGAGTACAGTGGCACAATCTCGGCTCACTGCAACCTCTGCCTCCTGGGTTCAAGCGATTCTCCTGTCTCAGCCTCCTGAGTAGCTGGGACTACAGGTGCCCGCCACCATGCCCAGCTAATTTTTTTGTATTTTTAGTAGAGATGGGGTTTTGCCATGTTGGCCAGGCTAGTCTTGAATGCTTGACCTCAGGTGATCCACCTGCCTCGGCCTCCCACAGTGTTGGGATTACAGGTGTGAGCCTGGCACCTGGCCTCAACTTTTTATTTTGAAAAATTTCTCACGTATAGAAAAGTTGAAAGGATAATACTGAGAACTTCTGTAAAATTCCCATAAAAACTTAACCAAGATGCACTGTTCACATTTTGCTGAATTTGCTTTATGTCAGTCTCTCTCTCTCTTTCTCTCTCTCTCTCTCTCTATATATATATTTTTTTTTTTGGAAGGATTTGTGGTAAGTTACAGACATCAAGGATATTTCATCCTAGAATATTTCACCTTATCTCTCATAAGAGTAAGGTTATTCCCCTGTATAACCACAATATCATTATCACACAAGAAATTTAAGTGTTGATAAATAGTATTATTTAAAACAGAATCTGCACTCAAATTTTCACACTTAAAAAAAATCAGAATCTAGTGAAGAAACAGAGATTGCATTGATTTGTCTCTTTAGTCTTTTTTTTTTTTCCTTTCCTTCCTTTTTTTTTTTGTTTGAGACAGAGTCTTGCTCTGTTGCCCAGGCTGGAGTGCAGTGGTGCAATCTTGGCTCACTACAACCTCCGCTTCCTGGGTTCAAGCAATTCTCCTGTCTCAGCTTCCCAAGTAGCTGGAATTACAGGTGCCCGCCACCATGCCTGGCTAATTTTTTTGTATTTTTAATAGAGACAGGGTTTTGCCATGTTGGCCGGGATGGTCTCGAACCCCTGACCTCAAGTGATCCACCCACCTCGGCCTCCCACAGTGCTGGGAGCCACCGCGTCCAGCCTTAAACTTTGTTTGTTTGTTTGTTTGTTTTTTGAGACAGGGTCTTACTCTGTCACCCAGTCTGGAGTGGAGAGGTGTTATCACAGCTCACTGTAGCCTTGACCTCCTGGGTTCAAGTGATCCTCCAGCCTCAGCCTCCCGAGTAGCTGGGACTATAGTCATGCACTATGATGCCCAGCTAATTATTTTTTGTAGAGGTCGGGTCTCGCTGTGTCGCCCAGGCTGGTCTTGAACTCCTGACCTCAAGTGAGCCTCCCACCTCAGTCTCCCAGGCTTCTTTTACTTAACACATATTTTTGAGATTCATTCATGATGAGAACAGTGACAGTTTATTATCACTGCTTTATACAGTTATTGTATGAATGTGTTTGGCCATTTATTATTAACCATTCTACTCTTTTTTTTTTTTTTTTTTGAGACAATGCCTGGCTCTGTTGCCCAGGCTGGAGTGCAGTGGTACGATTTCGGCTCACTGCAAACTGCTTCCCAGGCTCAAGCCATCCTCCTACCTCAGCTCCCCTGGTAGCTGGGACCACAGGCGCATGCCACCACACCTGGCTAATTATTTTTGTATTTTTTGTAGAGACGGGGTTTTGCCATGTTGCCCAGGCTGGTCTTGAACTCCTGAGCTCAACCAGTCTGCCCGTCTGGGCCTCCCAAAGTGCTGAGATTACCAGTGTGAGTGACCACATCTGGCCACCATTCTACTTTTTGTTTTTTGAGACTGAGTCTTGCTCTATCACCCAGGCTGGAGTGCAGTGGCATGATCTTGGCTCACTGCAACCTCTGCCTCCCAGGTTCAAGTGATTCTTCTGCCTCAGCCTCCTGAGTAACTGGGATTATAGGCACTGGCCACCATGCCTGGCTAATTTTTGTGTTTTTAGTAGAGACGGGGGATTCACCATGTTGGCCGGGCTGGTCTCGAACTCCTGACCTCAAGTGATCCACCTACCTTGGCCTCCCAAAGTGGTGGGATTATAGGCGTGAGCCCCTGCGGGTGGCCCATCTTACTTTTTTTTTTTTTTTTGAAATGGAGTCTCGCTCTGTCACCGGCTGGAGTGCAGTGGCGCAATCTCAGCTCACTGCAACCTCCGTCTCCCGGGTTCAGGTGATTCTTCTGCCTCAGCCTCCCAAGTAGCTGGGACTACAGGCATGTGCCACCATGCCCGGCTAATTTTTGTATTTTTAGTAGAGATGGGGTTTCTTCATGTTGGCCAGGATGGTCTCGATGTCTTGACCTCATGATCCACCTGCCTTGGCCTCCCAAAGTGCTGGGATTACAAGCATGAGCCACCGTGCCTGGCCTGAGCCATTCTACTTTTAATGGACATTAGATTGTTTCACCTTTAGGGTCATTACAAATAGTACTGCTGTGAAAATACCTGTACGTGTCTTTTTGTGAACATAATATGTGCATTTCTGGTGAGTTCATCTACGTTTTTTATTTTTTATGGTATTGACATGTTTGGAGAGTCTGGACTACTTGTTTTGTGAAATGTTCCACCATCTGGATTTGTCTGATTTGTTCCCTTACATTTAGATCCGGGTTAAACATTCTTTTGTGAGAATATTATGTAAGTGACGTTGTGTCTATCTGTGTATCATATCTGGAGGAACGAGTCCCATTGTCGAAGATGAAGTTTGATTGTTTGGTTAAGGTGGTGTCTATCACATTTCTCCATCATAAAGTTAACTTGCTAAATTAGTTGCTTTCTTTGCAACTTTGCTAGTATTGTTTTAAATTTTTGAGACAGGGTCTCACTCTGTCACCCTGGCTGGAGTGCAGTGGCACAGTCATGGCTCGCTGCAGTCGTGACCTCCTGGGCTCAAGTGATCCTCCTGCCTTGGCCTCCCAAAGTGCTAGGATTACAGGTGTGAACATGGCCAAGTTTTTCTTTTTTTCTTTCTTGAGATGGAGTCTTGCTCTGTCTCCAGGGTGGAGTGCAGTGGTATGATCTCGGCTTACTGCAATCTCCACTTCCCAGGTTCAAGCGATTCTCCCCCCTCAGCCTCCGGAGTAGCTGGGACTGCAGGTGTGCACCACCATGCCTGGCTAACTTTTTATATTTCAGTAGAGACGGGGTTTCACTATGTTGGCCAGGATGGTCTCAATCTCCTGACCTCATGATCCACCCGCCTCGGCCCCCCAAAGTGCTGGGATTATAGGCGTGAGCCACTGCGCCTGGCCTGGCCAAGTTTTTTTTTAGTATTTTAGTTTAATATTGTATTGACTGACAAAGTCTTATGGCCTAAACTTTACTGTGGAATTCTAATAGGTGTGTTGTGATCAGTTTGAGTTTTGACAAATTGTATATACGTGTGTAACCACTACCACCCTAAACCTGTGTAACCACCACTGCCACAAGCAAGATCAACAGTTTCAGTATCCCTAAACGTTCCCTTACGCCCCTTCCCATTGAATCCTTGCCTGTGGTCCTAGGAAATCTGAACTGTTTTCTATTACTATAGAGTATATTTGTCCCTCCTAGAATTTCATATGAATGAATTATGTATTCTTTTATGTCTTTTTTGGCTCAGAATAATGTTTGTGAAATTTATTTGTGTTATGGTATGTATCAGTAATTATCAGTAATGAATTACCTTTTTTTTTTTTTTTTTGAGATGGTATTTCGCTCTTGTTGCCCAGGTTGAAGTGAAGTGGCTCAGTCTTGGCTCACTGCAACCCCTGCCTCCTGGGTTCAAGAGATTCCCCTGCCCCAGCCTTCCAGTAGCTGGGATTACAGGCGCCCACCACCATGGCCGGCTAATTGGCTAATTTTTTTGAATTTTTAGTAGAGACAAGGTTTCACCATGTTGGCCAGAGTGGTCTTGAACCCCTGACCTCAAATGATTTGCCCACCTCGGCCTCCCAAAGTGCTGGGATTACATGTGTGAGTCACTGCGTCCAGCCAATTTTTTTTTGTTTAGTAGAGATGGGGTTTCACTGTGTTGGTCAGGCTGGTCTCCAACTCCTGACCTCATGTGATCCAACTGCCTTGGCCTCCCAATGTGTTGGGATTACAGGCGTGAGCCACTGCGCCTGACCATGAATTACTTTTTACCGCTGAGTAGTATTCCATCGTATGGATGGCTATATCTCAATTTGTTGATCTGTTCACCAGTTGATGGACATTTGTAGTAGTTTTTGATTCCTGCGTAACAGTATTACCACAAATTTAGCCGCTTGGCACAGCACACATTGATTATCTCATGGTTTCTGTGGGTCAGGAGTCAGGAAACCACTGGGCTGAGTCTCACCAGGCTACTATTGAGAAATCTGTCAGGACTGTGGTCGCTGACTAGGGAGGGGTCTGCTTCCTAGCTTGTGTGGTTGTTGGTGGCATTCAGTTCCTTATGGACCATGAGACTGGAGACTTTAGTGTGTTACTGTCAGCCAGCGGCCGCCCTCAGTTTCTTGCCAAATGAGTCTTCCCACTTGCCTCCTCAAAGCCAGCAGAAGAGAGAGTCTCTTAGTAAAGTGGACATTACCACGACGTATCTCACCCACATTAATGCAGTCACGTACATGCTGTCACCTTTGCCATATTGTGTTGGCCAGAAGCAAGTAACAGATCCTGGCCACATTTGAGTAGAAGGAACAGCACAGGGGCATGGATACCAGGAGGTGGGGATCATGGGGTCACCTTAGAGTCTGTTCCCCACAGGATTCCTTCTCATTCTGGGCTACTGTGAGTATTTGTGTATGTGTAAGTGTTTGCGAGGACATATTCTTCATTTTTCTGGGGAAATAACCTGTAAGTGGAATGGTAGGCTTATGTAGTAAGTATGTTTAGCTTTGTAAGAAACTGTCTAAATTGTCTAAATGTTTTTAGCCATTCTGGTGAGTGTGTAGTGTTATTTATTTGTGTGTGGTTTTTTTTTTTTTTTTTTTTTTTTAAGAGACAGGGTCTTTTTTGTCTTTGTCGCCCAAGCTGGAGTGCAGTGGTGCAATCATACATAGCTCACTGTAATCTCCAAGTCCTGGGCTCAAGTGATCCTCCAGCCTCAGCCTCCTGAGTAGCTAAGACTCAGGTGCATGCCACCATGCCCAGCTAATTATTTTTTGAATTTTTGTAGCGAGGGGGTCTTGCTGTGTTGCGCAGGCTGGTCTTGAACTTCTGGACTTGAGTAGCCCTCCTACCTCTGCCTCCCAAAGTGCTGGAAGTACAGGCATGAACCACAGGGCCGAGCCTAAATATTTTTTTGTTTTCAGGATACTGTTATATTTATGGATTTTATTTTTTAATTATTCAATGCTACTATGTAGAAATAAAATTGAATTTTATATATTGGTCTTGTATCTGCAACCTTGTTAACTTATAATTCTAGTAGTTTTTTTTTTTTTTTGAGACAGACTCATGCTGTGTCACCCAGGCTGGAGTGCAGTGGCGTGATCTTGGCGCACTGCAACCCCCGCCTCCTGGGTTCAAGCGATTCTCCTGTCTCAGACTCCCTAGTAGCTGAGATTGCAGACGCCCGCCACCACGCCTGGCTAATTTTTTTGTATTTTTAGTAGAGACGGGGTTTCACCATGTTGGCCAGGCTGGTCTTGAACTCCTGACCTCAGGTGATCTGCCTGCCCCAGCCTCCCAAAGTGCTGGGATTACAGGTGTGAGCCACCGTGCCCGGCCTCTAGTAGCTTTTTTGTACATTCCTTGTGATTTCTCTATAGATGATGGTATCATCTGCAAATAAAGACAGCTTTACTTCTTACCTTCCCATTAATATGCTTTTAATTTTTCTTGCTTTATTGCACTGTCTAGGACTTTGAGTGCAATGTTAAAAGTAACAGTGGAAGTGGATGTCCTTGCTTTGTTCCCCATTTTGGGGGAAATATTTTTAGTCTTCTACAGTTAAGTGTTAGCTATAGGTATTTTGTAATAGGTGCCTTTGTCAAGTTGAAGAAATTCAACCTTCATTTTTAGTTTGCTGAGTTTTTTTTTTTTTTTTTTTTAATCATATGTGTTTTGAGGCCAGGCACAGTGGCTCACGCCTGTAATCCCAGCACTTTGGGAGGCTGAAGCAGGAGGACTGCTTGAGGCCAGGAGTTCGAGACCAGCCTGGGCAACATAGCGAGGCTCTGTCTCTATACAAATTTTTAAAAAATGAGTCTGACATGGTGGCACATACCTGGAGTTCTAGCTACTCGGGAGGCTGAGGCAGGAGGATGACTTGAGCCCTGGATTTCCAGCTTACAATGAGCTATGTCACACCACTGCACTACAGGCACTACAGGCTGGCTGAAAGATGGAGACTCTGTCTCTTTTTTTTTTTTTTTTGAGACAGACTCTTGCTCTGTCACCCAGGCTGGAGTGCAGTGGCGCGATCTCGGCTCACTGCAACCTCCGCCTCCTGGGTTCAAGCGATTCTCTGCCTCAGCCTCCTGAGTAGCTGGGATTACAAGCATCCACCGCCATGCTTGGCTAATTTTTTTGTGTTTTTAGTAGAGATGGGGTTTCACCATCTTGGCCAGGCTGGTCTTGAACTCCTGACCCTGTGATCTGCCCACCTTGGCCTCCCAAAGTGCTGGGATTACAGGCGTGAGCCATTGCACCCAGCCTGAGGCTCTGTCTCTTAAAAAAAAAAAATTATTTTTGAATGTTGTCAGGTGCTCTTTTTTGTCTCTATTGAGTTGATCCTTTTGTTTGCTTCCTTTCTTTTATTAATATGGTGATTTATGTTGATTGATTTTTGAAATGTTAAACCAATTTTTTATTCATTGGATAAATTCTACTCGATGTGTTATGCTTTTTATATATAGCTGGACTCAATAGTATTTCGTTAAGGATTTTAACATTTATGTTTGTGAGGGATATTATTCTATAGTTTTTTTGTATGTGGATGTGTAAAATCTTTGGTTTTTATGTCAAGATAGTACTGGCCTCATGGAGTGAGTTTGGCAGTTTTTTTTTTTTTGTATTCTTTGAAACAGTTTATATAAGATTGCCATTATTTCTTCCTTAAATGTTTGATAGTATTTACCAGTAAAGCCATCTGGACGTAGAGTTTTCTTTTTAAGTTTTAATTATATACTTTATTACTTTTTCTTTCTTTCTTTTTTTTTTTTTTTTTTTTTTGAGACGGAGTCTTGCCCTATCGCCAGGCTGGAGTGCAGTGGCGTGATCTCAGCTCACTGCAACCTCTACCTCCCAGGTTCAAGCGATTCTCCTGCCTCAGCCTCCCAAGTATCTGGGACTACAGGCGTGCGCCACCACACCAAGCTAATTTTTGTATTTTTAGTAGAGATGGGGTTTCACCATGTTGGCCAGGATGGTCTCCGTCTCTTGACCTTGTGATCTGCCCACCTCGGCCTCCCAAAGTGCTGGGATTATAGGCATGAGCCACTGTGCCCGGCCTACTTTTTTTGTTTTTGAGGTTGAGTCTCACTCTGTTGCCTCGGCTGGAGTGCAGTGGCTCGATCTCGGCTTACTGCAACTTCTGCCTCCTGGGTTCAAGGGATTCTTCTGCCTCAGCCTCCTGAGTAGCTGGGATTACAGGCATGTGTTACCACACCTGGCTAATTTTTGTATTTTTAATTGCGATGGGGTTTCACCACCTTGGCCAGGCTTGTCTCGAACTCCTGACCTCAAGTTATCTACCTGCCTCAGCCTCCTGAAGTATTGGGATTTCAGGCATCAGCCACTGTGCCTGGCCTATTACTTTTTTTATTTACATATTTTTAAATTATATATTTAGTTTTAAAAATAGATGTGAGGATATTAAACTTTTTTATTTTTTCCAGAGTCAGTTTTGGTATGTTGTGTCTCAAGGAATTTGTCCTTATCATTTCAGCTATCACTGCTCTCTACAACCTCCGCCTCCTGAATAAAAGCGATTCTCCTGCCTCAGCCTCCTGAGTAGCTGGGATTACAGGTGCCTGCCACCATGCTCGGCTAATTTTTGTATTTTTAGTGGAGATGCGGTTTCACTGTACTGGCCAGGCTGGTCTCAAACTCCTGACCTCAGGCGATCCACCCGCCTTGGCCTCCCAAAATGCTGGGATTACAGGCGTGAGCCACCGCACCTGGCCTGAAATTTTTATTTTACATATTATACTTTTCATGTCTAGAAATTCTATTTTCTTTTTTTTTGAGACGGAATGTCACTCTGTCGCCCTGGCTGGAGTGCAGTGGCGTGACCTCGGTTCACTGCAAGCTCTGCCTCCTGGGTTCACCCCATTCTCCTGCCTCAGCCTCCTGAGTAGCTGGGACTACAGGTGCCCGCCACCATGCCTGGCTAATTTTTTTTTTGTATTTTTAGTAGAGAAGGGGTTTCACCGTGTTAGCCAGGATGGTCTCGATCTCCTGACCTCGTGATCCATCCGCCTCGGCCTCCCAAAGTGCTGGGATTACAGGCGTGAGCCACTGTGCTCGGCCTCTATTTTCTTTTTATACCTTACATTTCTCTTCTTACTGTGACATGTTTTCATTTAAATACTTGAGTATAGTTGTAACACCTGTCTTACTGTTCTTGTCTACTAGTTATATCGTCTGGTTTTTCTTATTGTTATTGGTTACATTTTCCTGCTTCTTGACATATGTTGAAATTTTTAAATTAAATTTTATGTTTTTGAGACTGAGTTTTGCTCTTGTTGCCTAGGCTGGAGTGCAATGGCGCGATCTCGGCTCACCGCAACCCCCGCCTCCTGGGTTCAAGTGATTCTCCTACCTCAGCCTCCCAAGTAGCTGGGATTACAGGCATGCACCACCACACCCGGCTAATTTTTGTATTCTTAGTAGAGACGGGGTTTCTCCATGTTGGTCAGGCTAGTCTCGAACTCGTGACCTCAGGTGATCCGCCCGCCTCAGCCTCCCAAAGTGCTGGGATTACAGGCGTGAGCTACCGTGCCTGGCCATGTGTTGAAATTTTTTATTGGATGCTGGATATTGTGAGTTCAGTATTGTTGAGGTTATGGATTTTGTGGTCTTTAAAGAGTGCTTAAAGCTTTTTTCTTCTGTGCAGTTTTTTATGGTTTACTGTTATCATTTTGAGTCCTGTTTTTTAGCTTTGTTAGAGTGGATCTGGATAATCTTTAATCTAGGGATCATTTGACCTCTGGTCTCTCCTGAATGCCCTGTGAGGACACTCCAGTCTGGCTGCTTGGGACTCATGATTCCCCTGAGAGTTCTAAGAAATGTCAGCTCCTAGCTTCTTCTTCACTGTGGAGTTTCACCCTATGCATGCACAAATTTTAGTATTCAGCAGAGACCTGAGGGAACCTCCAGACAGATTTCTGGACCACTTTTTCTGCATAGCTCTTTCTTTCTGAAGTCTGTCCTGCAGCTTTCAGCTGCCTTGGCCTCCCTGAACTCTGATCTCTGTCTCTTCAACTTAAGTGGGTGGCGTGCTCTGCTGGGGATCCCCGTCTCTCTCCAGGGCCTGAAATGTGTCTCCTGGCAGGAAGCCAGAGTGATTTTAGGGCCCAAGTAATTTGTTTCTCTGCTTTCAGGGATCGTAGTCCTGCACTGCCTGCTGTCCAATGTGTACACACAGTGGTTTTATTTATTTGGCTTAGTTTTCTAGTTGTTTACAGTGGGAGGGCAAATCTGTTCCCTATCACTCCATCATGACCCGAAGTGGAAGTGCATTGGTTGACTTTGAGCAGAGGAGTGACATGAAATAACTTATCATCTCCTCTAATCCCAAATGTGAGGTGGTGGTATTATTCCCGTTATTCCCATAGATGAGGAAACTGAGGCTCAGAGAGGTTGAGCAGCGTGCCCCCAAATCACTGAGTTCTTAATGCCAAAGCTTGTGTACTTTCTGTCATGCCACTGCATCTCAAAGGATATTGGTGGGATCGAATCTTATTCTTCCCAGCAGAGAACTACACAGACTGGCTTAGGACCTATCTGGAGTCACAGTCACCGGGCAGATGCAGGATGGGTTCTCCTATCTGAAGTCGCAGTTACTGGGCAGATGCAGGATGGGTTCTCCTAGACCTGGAGCTTTCGCCAGTTGCTCAAATCTGTGAGCTGCTTGTGAGGTTGTTCTTTGTTGGACAGCAGGTCAGGATCTGGGAACGCCTTCCAGTTGGGGAAGGTCAGCGCCTTGGCAGCAGGAGTGAGAGCACCTTTGTCTCTACCAAAAGAAAAGCATTTCTCTCTCTGCCGCCGTAGTCTTTGCCTGACTTGTTTTTTTAAAGCAGTTTTCTGCTTTTGCTTTCTTCTCTTCCTGCTCTCCCCATTCAGGCCTCTAAGGATCCTGGGCATGGATTGCCTTAGGTCCTTTTCTTACATCGTTACAATAGATGCCTGTGGGTGGTTTCTAAGCCTTTTTTTTTTTTTTTTTTTCTGAGACAGTCTTACTCTGTTACCCAGGCTGGAGTGCAGTGATGTGATCACAGCTCACCACAGCCTCAACCTCCTGGGCTCAGTTGATCCTCCCACTTCAACCTCCTGGGTAGTTGGGACTTACAGGCATGTGCCACCATGCGTGGCAAATTTTTGTATTTTTTAGTAGAGACAGGGTTTTACCATGTTGCTCAGGCTGGTCTCGAACTCCTGGGCCCAAGCGATCCTCCCACATCGGCCTCCCAAAGTGCTGGTGTGAACCACCATGCCCGGCCTTGTTTTTTTTTTTTTTTTAATCATGGACTACTCTGTGAAGATTTCCAGGATCAGTTGGAGATGAGGTTTTGCTATGTTGGCCAGGCTGGTCTTGAACTCCTGACCAGGTGATCTGCCTGCCTCGACCTCCCAAAATGCTGGGATTACAGGCGTGAGCTACTGTGCCCGGCCTGCTTCGATTGTTTAAACAGCTAGCATGGTGGAAGATTTTAAAAAAATGTTCACAGGGTAGGCCATGATTAAAAAAATAAAAAAAAGGCCAGGTGTGGTGGCTCACATTTGTATTCCCAGCTTCATACTGGGACTGTGGCTCTGGGAAGCCATGACTTGAGGAATTTGGAGTGTTGCTGTTTCAAATTCCATGGTAGGAATATGCATACACATGCACCCTTTTTTTCTTTTTGAGACAGAGTCTTGCTCTGTTGACCAAGCTGGAATACAATGGCACCATCATAGCTCACTGCAATCTCTGCCTCCTGGGATCAAGCGAGCCTCCTGAGTAGCTGGGACTATAGGATGCACCACCACACCCGGCTAATTTTTAAATTTTTTGTAGAGATGGGGTCTCGCTGTGTTGCCCAGGCTGGTCTCAAACTCCTGGCCTTAAGGGATCCTCCCATTGTACCCTCCCAGAGTGCTGTGCTGGGTTTAAGGTGTAAGCCACACTTGGCCATGCTCCTTTTTTTTTTTTTTTTTTTTTTTGGAGACAGAGTCTCACTCTGTCACCTAGATTGGAGTGCAGTGGCATGATCTCAGCTCACTGTAACCTCCGCCTCCCGGGTTCAAGCGATTATTGTGCCTCTGCCTCCCGAGTAGCTGGGACTACAGGCATGCACCACCACACCCAGCTTATTTTTGCATTTTTTTTGTAGAGACGGGGTTTCGCCATGTTGGCCAGGCTCATCTCTAACTCCCGGCCTCAAGTGATTCGCTCACCTTGGCCTCCTGAAGTGCTGGGATTACAGGCATGAGCCACTGCACCCGGCCGGCCATGCTTCTTATATGCTTTGAATATCCTTGGCAGAATATATAAGGAACCAGCGTCAGTGTGGGTCCCCTAGGGTTGGAATGAGAGGGAAGCTTTCTTTTTTACTTTTAATATTGAATTTTCTAAAACAATTCATTTACATGGCTTATAATTTAAAAGGTACTAAAGGGTTTATGATGAAAGAGACTTATTTGGCACTGTGTACTGTTTGAAGTTTTTCCCTCTGGTAAATACTAGCTATTCAAGGGATGAACTAATTTTAAGAGCAGTTCCTTGGTGGAAACAATTCATAGTGATTAGTTTTATTTTAGGAAGAAAGTTTTGGGTTAAGTCAGAATGGGGCTTCCTAAATACTAAAGCTGTTTGCTTTTGTGTGTTTTGTCTGGTCAAATAACCTACATTATTATTTATGGGGTAGCATTAAGGTTGTTGCTTAATAAAATGTGGTTTAAACAAAACTTGCTTATTTTGATTAAGTAGAAGGGTTCAAATCCCTGTAGTACCAGTTACTATCTGAGTAATCATGGGCAAGTTATTTAACCTCTTTTGCCTCAGTTTCCTCATCAGCAGTAATTTGATATACTTATTGTGAGAATTAAAGGAGGAAAGAGCTAAGTGAATGTTAGCACTTAGTATCTAGCAAATGGAGTAGAGGAAACCCTCAGGAAGATAATGAACGGAAGAATCTAAATAATCCATTCAGCTGAGTTGTTGCCATTGTTCTGTTTTTTTGTTGCCCATTCATTCATTCAGCAAATTTCTATTGAAGGCCTCCTCTGTGCCTGGCACTGTCCTAGCCCCCAGGGATACAGTGATAAGCAAACACAGGCAGTTTCTGCACACGTGGAGTTTATAATCTGGTGAGAGAGACAGGCATCAGTCCGATAGTCACACAGATGTAAAGTTGCACATCTGCTCAGGTCCTTGAAGGAGAGGCAGGTGGTGTTACCTGAATGTGTCACAGGGAGATCTGACCTAGTCATGGATGTCAGAGAAGGAATGCTTCCCTGAGGAAGTGTCTTAGCTGGATCTGAAGGATGAACTAAAGGGAAGGAAGGGCATGTGCAAAGGCGCAGTGACAGAGAAAGCAAAGGCCAGTGCGTCTGTCAGGGGGCAGAAGTGGGCAATGTGGTGCCGCTTGAGACCTGAGGTGTAGTCAGAGTAGACGTGAGGCCTTGTAGGCCACGCTGAGGTTTTTCTGTCTTCTAAGAGC
Organism: Homo sapiens; assembly: GCF_000001405.40. Lineage (NCBI taxonomy): Eukaryota > Metazoa > Chordata > Mammalia > Primates > Hominidae > Homo > Homo sapiens. Next base: position 10,493,197 of record NC_000001.11, read on the forward strand.
AAGGAGAAGCCCTTAAATTTGTTGTGTTTACTGGGGTGAGTGGGTGGACAAGGGATGGGACGAGCAGATTCTCCTTTGGAAATGATAGTCTGTTTGCATCCCAGAATATGAATTGGAAGAGCGCCAGCACTGATGAGAAAGCTGACGCAGTGGTCCAGGCAGGGGATTTTGGTAGCTTGGACTGAAGTGATGGCAGTAGAGATGGAGAAAAACGGATGGATTGTTTCCATGGACTTTTTAATTTTTTTTGAGACAGGGTCTGGCTCTGTCACCTGGGCTGGAGTGCAGTGGTGTGATCATGGTGTACTGCAGCCTTGAATTTACAGGCTCAAGGGATCCTTCTGCCCCAGCTTCCCAAATAGCTGGGAGTACAAGCGCACACCACCACACCTGGCCCATTTTTATATTTTTTGTAGAGACGAGGATTTGCCATGTTGCCCAGGCTGGTTTCAAACTCCTGGGCTCAAGCAATCCATCCTCCTGGGCCTCCCAAAGTGCTGGCATTTACACCACTCTTCCATGGATATTGAGGAAGGAGTATGGCAGACTTGATGTAATGAGTTAGCTCTGGGAGCGAGGGAGAAAGAGCTGTCTCAAGATGGCCTTTTGGATTCTAGTTTACATCATTTGGTGAAGTTTGTCCCATTCATGCCAAGAGGGAATGCTGGAAGAAGACATATGTGTCAGAGAGGACTGTGAGTCTGCTCCAGGGCAGCTTAACTCCAAGAAGAGGCAGGAAGGCAGTCGGATGTGTATCTCAGAGGGGTGTGGGCTGGAGCTCTAAAGGTTTGAAGTTACCAATGCCTGGAGCTTTGGGAGGACAGGAGGCAGGGAGGCAGGGGAAGCTTGCTCACATTCCCTGAGACGGACCCTCACTTTCTAGATCGTTTCCTGCTGGCTGACCTCTTGTCCTGGGGTGGTGAGGCTCTTGGGACAGGACTTCGGATGGAGGGATAGAGGCCTTCACCCAGCAGAGTGCTTGCCACTGTGCTGTGTGCCAGCTAATGTGGTAGTAGCTGGGCATGAGGAATTTTTGGGAACCCTCTGCAGACCGGGCCTCTGTCCTTTTCCAAGGCGGCCTGGCACTTCCATCTGATCTGTAATAGCCGGGAGAATGGAGGCTGCAGGCTGTCTCCTGGGACACACAGATTTTGCTGCACTTGTCTGGATATTAACTGTAGATAGATGGCAATTGGCCTGACCATCAGTCACAGTAAACTAATCATAGCTCACTTAGCAGCATACCTGCTTACTTTATTCTTTTGGAGATTTGTAAATTTCTTCAGAATCTGTCTCTACCTCTGCCTCTCCCTTTCTCTAAATTTTGGCCAGATCAGTCAAGGGTCGAAGGCGCCTGTGAGGGTGAGGTAGTGGCCCCAAGGAAGAGGAAACGGGCTAGAGCCAGGGCCTCGGCCACAGTGCTGCCTGCTCGCCTGGAGGTTGGTCTGCTTATATGCCAGCCTGTCACTAGCTTATTTCCAAGAAGGATTTAAGCCTGGGGCTTTCTTTACTATTGTGGGGTGGTGTCCTTAGTGGCAGGTGATGAATAGGAACCTGTGTAGTTTACTGGCTTCTGGGCTCCAGAAACTAGATGCCCAGAGAAAATCCTGAGCGTGGGCAGCTGGGGCCCCCTGGTGGTGGAATCTGGTTCTCCACTGCTGCGCGACTTTTCTTCCCAGTCCCCTGACGTTGGGGAGGTGGCAGAAAGAGGAGGTGTTGTGCTCTCTCTTCAGGCCTTTTCTCTGGACTCTACTCTTCCCGTGGATTTTGGGATGGTCCCCAGCCCTTGCTGCTCAGTAGGTGATCGTGGGCCTTCCTGAGCAGAACCAAGCCTTGTTCTTGGAGTGGTGTGACAAGTGAACCCAGAAACAGTCTTCATCTTCCCTGGTGAATTCAGACTCTTTGGGCTACTTTTTACAGGTAGTCCACTGCAAAATACTCTTGTGTCGTGAAAAACCAGTGAGAGATGTGAGAAAGAGGTGCCAGCGTGCATCGTTTGAGAACGGAACATCTTTGGTTTTTTGATGTCCATTGGGTGGCACTGTGATCTTATTTTTGTTTCCATTTTTCTCTGCAGCCAAGCTCTACTCCAGGAAGTGAAAATGTGCTGCCTCGAGAGCCGCTGGTAAGTACCCAAGATATGTGGTATCACTTTCTAGTAATTAAAATGCCACGCGAGTGAAAAGAAACCTTCTGTTCCTATGGTTCTGCGTCAGTAGTGTCCCTTTAAAAGTAGCTGTTACCTAGAGACTGCCTCTGTCAGTGACCTCTGACTTCTCTTCTCGCGTGTGGGGACGAGTGAGATCTCTCCTTAGTAAAGGCTGGTCCTTTCTAGGACTAAAAGCATCCACCCCAGATGGTCCTGCACCACTTTGTTTGTGGCTGATCAATAGTAATTAGTGAGATTCCTGCGCCCGTGGGAGGCTGAGGTGGAGTGAGGTGGCTGGGCTTCTAGATTGTTTGAAGTAGCCGCCCTCTGCTCTGCCCCTCAGGGTGCGAGCGCCTCAGTGGTCTTTAAAGAACAGGTAAGCGATGGAATTCTGGTTTTGCCTGGTCAGTAATTGTGTGATTGTCATTCCCAACGCTGTCTTCTTAGACTATGGATAGGGAAGAGGCCTATTAAGCACTGCAGGTAATTTTCTCTCCCAAGTGCTTTTCATTTGGTGGCCAGAGTCCCAGGCTGCCCACCCCATTTTCATTCTTTTTTGCTTTTCAGGGCCTGCTGTAAGTCCTCTTGGCTGGGTAGTAAGACTGGCTCTGTATAAACCAGATAAGTTTGATGGGAGAGCCAGCTCTAGGTTTAACTTTTCAGAGCTTTTTCTTCCTGCGTAGCGATAGCAGGCGTAGGGCTGTACTGCCAAGGCTTTGTTTCAGCAGGGCCTGTGGTTTCACCTGTTCTGCTTCACTCCCCTTCTGGCAGTCGCGGGAGGAGATGACGTGAGGGACTTAGCGGGTATGAACACGTCTGAATTCCAGTGTGTACGAAGGCTTTCCCAGGCTGAGGGCGAGTTGGATCCAGTTGAGCTGTCTGTAGAAAGGCCGAGGTGATACAAGCACTGCTGGGACTGTTTCAGGGGAGCAGTGTTGTCATTCATGTCACCTGCTGTTACGTCACCAGTTACGGGCTTATATCCCAGCACTCCCACGGTGGCCTCGTTTCACTCTTTTGGTATTGCCCAGTTCCTTCCTTGAGGTCATGGTGGTGGGAAAGCCCAGGAGGCCCCACCTTGCTAGTCTCTCCGGACGTCTGCCTGCTTCCCTGGGGCCTGCCTCAGTGCCCCTCAGGCCGAAGTTGTGGTTGTTTTAGACTGAAGTGCAGATTGAACACCATAGGCCGCTGCAGTCCTTTCCTTCCTCTCTCTTTTCAAATTTTGATGTACCCATTTAACTGGTCATCGGAGGAGTGGCCAGTCCATCTTTTGGGGCTTGATTCGACAAGCTCTTTGGGAGCCCTGAGCAGTTGGCCAGCTCACTGATTTCTGGTATTTGGAGCCCTGCAGACCCCTTGCTCTGCTAGTGTTTCTGTGCCCTGCTCTTCCTGCTGTACTGTGCATCTGCTTGTTGGTTGGTTGTATTTTTATTTCTTTCTTTTCTGGGAGGCCCTGAGCAGTCTTCAAACCCTAGTAGCCTGTGATCGTCCAGAGTTCAGACTCATTCTCTCCAGGCCAACTCCACAATTACCTTATATTTAATTAATATTTTTTCTCCTCTTTACGTACTTGCTGCATAATTGCTCAGAGGAAAGAAAACACATAGCGGCAATTTATATATATATATAAAATAATAATTAAAAAAACCCCCGAAATAAACTCCCATCTCATTTGGGCTGATCCTATGAGTTGGGTAATTAGGGCCCTATTAAAAGGTAGACCCTTTCTCCTTCCCCCACTTTTTTGTTTATTAAATTTTTTATATTAAACTCCCACAGTCTCTCAGTCATGCCCTTATTGCTTTTGGCCAAGCATTTGCAGCAGCCTGATTAAACGGGGGCACCAGCTGAGTCGCGTGGTCTTGTGTGAACTGCTTCTTCCTCCTGGGAGTGGTGTTGGGAGGGTGTCAGGCAGAGGAGCCCGCTGAGGACTCGTGTGGCAGGGCGGGGGCACAAGATGGGCAGCCCCCTTGCACAGAAAGCCCCACAGCTCAGTGTGGTGGTGTTGCGGTTTGTGAAAACACACAGCAGTCAGCCCTTCCACAGGGAGGGAGCTTTCTCAGGCCATGTGTATTTGCTGTCTCCTGCATGCTCAGCTTAGCTCAGCTCAGGCCTGAGGATGGGGAACAGACAATTGAGGAATAAAACTAAACCTTGTTCTTGAGTAATTCACGTGTTTTACTTTGGGAAGAAAAGGCATTTATACATATGAAATAAGAGCAAACTGCACACGACTGTATGTAATTTTAGCAAATAGCACAACATTGTGTATCATTTGGTGCAGAGCTGCCTGGTTGGGCGTAGAAGAGAGCCCCAAGTTATTCAGAGCAGGAAGAGCTCTGCGGAGGGCGAGGGCCACTTAGGGATGGCTTTTGGGAAACTTGAAGCCAGGCCTTGAGGAATGGGATATTTCAGTGTTGGGGGAACACACTGCTAAGTTGTTTTGTTTTTGTGTTTATTATTGTTAATTTTTTCATTTAAGCTTCGGGAAATACATATTCTTTTTGTTTTTAACTGAATGCATATTTTTCATACAATTCCTTAATGGAAGTTGCCTGGTCTCTACACTAAAGGCAAATAATCTTATTCTTTGTCCCAGACTAGATGATCACTTTGAAATAATTTTTCCCCTTATTAAAAAAGTAAGTTACTGGCCAGGTGCAGTGGCTCATGCCTATCATCCCAGCACTTTGGGAGGCCAAGGTCGGGGGATCACTTGAGGCCAGGAGTTTGAGACCAGCCTGCACAAAATAGAGAGACCCCATCTCTATTATAAATTTTAACATTAGCCGGGCTTGGTGCCTCATGCCTATACTCTCAGCTGCTCAGGAGGCAGAAGCCAGAGGATTGCTTGAGCTCAGGAGTTTGAGGCTGCAGTGAGCTATGATCAGGCCACTGCACTCCAGCCTGAGCAACAGAGCAAGGCCCTGTCTCTAAAACAAAACAAAACAAAACAAAACAAAACAAAACAAAAGAATGAAAATAAAAGTAAATTACGACAGAAGAAGTTCTATTTAGTAGTCAGTGCGGTGCAGGTGACATTGTGATGTAGTCAATATGTGCATGATTGTTTTGTTTTATTTGCTAGGCAAAGAAGACTTGATTTTCAGTTCTGTCCTCTCTGAATCATAAAAACTGTCTCGAGATTTTGTGGTGAGAAGTGTAATCTTGTAGTCTCTAAACGACACATTCGTGTTTGTAGCCAAATCCTGGCCTTGATTCTAGCAAAGTAGTGAGGCTGCGTGTTTCCTTTTCTTGCCCGTTCAATCCTGCCTCGATCCTGGCCTCCAAATCAAACCAACCCAGCAACATTGACCGTCTCAGAGGAGTATTGCTCTCTAATATCATGTCATTAGGGCTAGAGATTGGTGAACAGACCAGTCTTGAGAAATTCTGCAAACTCCAAGTTGAAATTCTCTGTTGTTGACAAAACTCCGCCAAAGTTAAAATGGCTGGTTACTTTTTTCTCTTTATACTCTCTTCACTGAGCTTTGCCTGCTGAGGCAAGGAGTTCGGACAGGCCTCCAGAGTACAGACCTCCAGCTTCTCCCAGATCTGTGAAAACCTGTGAATTTCCCACAGACTCTGGTTTTCTAGCCACAGTTGTGTGCCTGTCCTTAGGCCCACACAGTCTCTGGATCCAGCTTCTTGTGCTGTCCTAGTAGGACCAAGTCCCTGCCTGGTCTATAAGTATTTTAGAATGGGCGGACAATTGTCCACATGTGCATGGGGTAATTCAGTTCCCATCTTGTTTGGATACTGAAACTTGGGTTAAATAAACTTTTGAGCTTTCCATTTAGTCATATGATTTTTGGTTATTTGAAGTAAGCAGTAAATAAGGTTTGATTTACACATCTGCTCACTTGTTTCAATTCAGTTTCTCAATGTTCAGCAATACTATAGCTCATCTACTTTAAACAGTGCTTATGGATTTTGGCTAAACTAGAATTTTAGCTTTTTGCTCTTTGACACCAAGTTCTCTCTAATGGATGAGTCCTTGGCCATCGTCTCTTCCTTTAACTTTTAGGTGTAGGTTCTTTTTGTTTTTTCTTTCTGTCCTCTTTCCTGCATCTCTCCACCAAAATAATCCCAAAGAACAATTTTTTTTTTTTTTTTTTTTTGAGATGGAGTCTTGCTCTGTCACCCAGGCTGGAGTGCAGTGGTGTGATCTCGGCTCACTGCATCCTCCACCTCCCGGGTTCAAGCGATTCTCCTGCCTCAGCCTCCAGAGTAGCTGGGATTACAGGTACGCGCCGCCATGCCCAGCTAATTTTTGTATTTTTAGTGGAGACAGGGTTTCACCATGTTGGCCAGGATGGTCTGGATCTCCTGACCTTGTGATCTGCCCACCTTGGCCTCCCAAAGTGCTGGGATTACAGGTGTGAGCCAACGTGCCTGGCCCCAAACTACAATTTTTTCTGTAACTGATGACAGCAATTTCTACTTTATCACCTTTTTCTGGGATTACTATTTTTTAGTATGCTGAATTCTTCAAAATAAAGATGCTCTGCAGTTGCAGATCTAGGTTGCGTCTCAGTAGTTTTGCTCTCCAAGTGCCAAAGTGCCCTCAGGTTTCTTCCTGAGGCTCAGATGGAACCTTGTCCAGGGGGTTCTACATCATGTATTTGATCTCAGTCCTGGGGAAGCTCATCCATCTTACCCCTGGGACACCCAAGATTTTCTCTTTGGTTTACAAGCCAATTAACCAGAGGCTGGTAATCAGAAGGCGTATTTTGATGGATTCAGGGAGCCAGTACTGTGATCTCTGTAAGAATAGGCAAGGCACGGTGCTCACGCCTGTAATCCCAGCACTGTGGGAGGCCGAGGCGGGTGGATCACCTGAGGTCAGGAGTTCGAGACTAGCCTGGCTAACATGGCAAAACCCCGTCTCTACTTAAAAAAAAAAAAAAATTAGCTGGGTGTAGTGGCAGGTACCTATAATCCTGGCTACTCAGGTGGCAGAGGTTGCAGTGAACCGAGATCGCGCTACTGCCCTGCAGCCTGGGCGACAGAGCCAGATTCTGTCTCAAAAAAAAAAAAAAAAAAAAAAAAAAAAAGAAAAGAAAAGAATAGCTACAGCCGGTTGCCTGTCTGCCAAAGACCTCTAACATGTATTCCTGGCACAGTCTCCTCAGCATTTGTGTCTTCTGTGACTTTTGTGGTTAGAATACTTTGGTGTACTTGTCGGCAGGTTCACTGTGGATAAGTGGTTCTCATTTTTTTTCCCACCAAAACATTTCTTTTTTTGAAGCGGTGTCTCGCTGTGTCACCCAGGCTGGAGTGCAGTGGTGCAATCTCCGCTCACTGCAACCTCTGTCTCCCGGGTTCAAGTGACTCTCTTGCCTTAGTCTCCTGAGTATCTGGGACTATAGGCGTGCACCACCACGGCCAGCTAATTTTTGTATTTTTAGCAAAGACGGGGTTTTGCCATGTTGGCCAGGTTGGTCTCGAACTCCTAGGCTCAAGTGATCCTCCTGCCTTGGCCTCCCAAAGTGCTGGGATTGCAGGCATGAGCCACCACGTCCGGCCCCACCAAAACATTTCTGAAGAATGACATTAACATGTTTCTTTGTGTGCACTCATGTATGCATGTGTATGACAATACATATATATTTTATAACATTTAAGCATTTTGTGGGGAAATAAAATTGATTTTGATGCTGTATTCATGAAAGTGTTTTACAAGCACATGGGTAATGAAACCAGCCATTTAGGGATTTCAGGAACTTGTCATTTTCCAGGAAAAATATATAAATATGACAAACCTAACTTTGAAGTATTAAACGTAATTATTTAAAAAGTCTGTAGTGGTTGATTTCTGTGCAGAGTTAGGTTTGCTGAAACTAGTTGTCACTTCCACCTCTTTTTCCTGCTCAGGAATGTCTGTCGGGATGCAAGTGATTGGGGGTGATATTATAGGGATAATTCAGAATCCGCCCTATCAGTTTATTTTTATTTTTATTTTTATTTTGAGATGCAGTCTCGCTTTTGCCCAGGCTAGAGTGCTGGAGTGCAGTGGCACGATCTCGGCTCACTGCAGGCTCTGCCCCCCAGGGTTCATGCCATTCTCCTGCCTCAGCCTCCCGAGTAGCTGGGACTACAGGCGCCCGCCACCTCGCCCGGCTTTTTGTATTTTTAGTAGAGACGGGGTTTCACCGTGTTAGCCAGGATGGTCTCAATCTCCTGACCTCGTGATCCGCCCGCCTCGGCCTCCCAAAGTGCTGGGATTACAGGCGTGAGCCACCGCGCCCTGCCCCTATTAGTTTATTTTTAAAAAGCAAATCATTGGCTGAGCGTGGTGGCTCACGCCTGTAATCCTTGCACTTTGGAAGGAAGAGGCGGGAGGATTGCTTGAGTTCCGGAGTTTGAGACCAGATTCGGCAACATAGTGAAACCCTGTCTTTACAAAAAATTAAAAAAAATTTAGCCAGATGTGGTGGCGAGTGCCTGTAGTCCTTGGGAGGCTGAGGTGGGAGGCTTACTTAAGCCTAGTGGGTTGAGGCTACAGTGAGCTGTGATACCCCCACTGCACTCCAGCTTGGGCAACAGAGTAAGACTCCGTCTCAAAACCCACCCCCCTGCCCAAACAGTAAATCATCTACAAAAATTTTGGTGCTTAAACCGTTACTAGCAACATATTCATCAGGGTGCCCCTCACAACTGCTGCAGAGAAACTTGGGGACTAAAATCAAGTATAAACCACGGATGGGCTCACGGTGCACTTCACTGAAGGTAAAATTGTCATGATTATCAGATCCAGCATCCTGGGCCTGAGATGTAAGCACTTTTCAGAGAGGAAAAAAGTGTTGGCTGTCCTCTTTCCTCACTCCTCTCTCATCAACAATATAAAGGTATCAGTGAAGAAAACGTTTTTAACACTAGTGTCCGTGTATACTGACTTCTGGTTGGGAAGGTGCCTGTGATTCCCACCTCCTCTGCCAGATCTGCCGAAAAAAGCTAAGAACTGGATGCTGAAATGGATGAACTTGAGCAAAGCCTCATACTGTTTCTGGGTGGTTATGATCTCTAGGCCACTTACTGGTTTTGAAATTACTGCCTCTTCCTACTCTGTCCTTCCTATCACAGACAGCAGGTTTATTGCATAGACTAGGCGGTGCCCTTTACATTGTTTCCTCTTTCAGGTAAATGAAGAGGTTGCTTTCCAGTTTTAAGGTGCCCTTTTACAAATAATTATTAGATGAATCGAAACTCTTAGGAGTAATAATTAAAGAAATGGAATTTGAAAAAGTTATTCAGCTTTGTTTGTACTTTAGGTTCCTGGCTTTTATAGTAATGCTTTATATTTGCTGTTGTTCCTGTAATCAGAGGCCCCAACTCTTGGATAAATGGGCAGTGTCCTTATTTCGAGGATATGGGAACTGAGGAACTGAGCACTCAGGTGCCTTTTATCAGAGCTACTCAGTGATTGGGGAAATTCAATTTTCTTTTTCTTTTTTTTTTTTTTTTTAATGACAGAGTCTTTCTCTGTCACTCAGGCTGGAGTGCAGTGGCACAATCATGGCTCGTTGCAGCCCCCCACCTCTTGGGCTCAGGTGATTCTCCCACCTCAGCCTCCCCAGTAGCTGGGACTACCGGTGCACACCACCATGCCCAGCTAATTTTTTAAAAAAATTGTGTAGAGATGAGGTCTCACTATGTTGCCCAGGCTGATCTCGAACTCCTGGGCTCAAGCGATCCCCCCGCCTCAGTCTCCCAAAGTGCTGGGATTACAGGTGTGAGCCACCACGCCCTGCCTGGAATGCAGTCTTTAATCTTATCCCTGGCATCATTCTTTCAGAGGGAAAAGTTCTGTTTCCTCCCTTTTCTCCTAGAGGCTTAGGCATGAGAATCACTTGAACCCCGGAGGCAGAGGTTGCAGTGAGCTGAGATTGTGCCACTGCACTCCAGCCTGGGCAACAGAGCAAGACTCTGTCTCAAAAAAAAAAAAAAAAAAAAAAAAAGAAAGAAAGAAAAGAAAAGAAAAAAGAAAAAAGATTATCCTGGAACATGTAGGCACTTGGTTATCTTAACCAATACAACAGTCAGCGGTTTTCAAACTGGGGGCTTTTAGATTTATCCTGAGTTTGCTAATCTTAGAGCTCCTTTACATGCCCTACCATTGCTGAAGACGTGATCTACAAAACTTTTATTTGGGCAGAGGAAATAAAATTTCCTCTGTTAAAATGTTTTTCTTTTGATTAAAATCAGTCATCAGTTTCAAAGAATTTTCATGTAAAAGTGTTTTTTTAAGTGTGATCTAAAGCATAGGTATTCCATGCGGCAAACTCAGGATAAATCTAAAAGCCCCCAGTGTGAAAACTGTTGACTGTTGTGTTGGTTAAGATAACCAAGTGCCCTACATGTTCCAGGATAACCTTTTTTCTTTTTTCTTTTCTTTTCTTTTTTTTGAGACAGTCTTGCTCTGTTGCCCAGGCTGGAGTACAGTGGCACAATCTCAGCTCACTGCAACCTCTGCCTTGGGGGTTCAAGTGATTCTCATGCCTAAGCCTCTTGAGTAGCTGGGATTACAGGCGCCCACCACCATGCCTGGCTAATTTTTTAATTTTTAGTAGAGATGGGGTTTTGCCATGTTGGCCAGGCTGGTCTCAAACTCTTGGCCTCAAATGATCCACCCGCCTCGGCCTCCCAAAGTGCTGGGATTACAGGTGTGAGCCACTGTGCCCGGCCCATTTTCCAGGATAATTGTAATTTAAAATATTTTAGCTCATTGTCAAACCACGCAGAATGATTTTTGGCTCAAAAAATATGATCTTGTAGTTAGTCCCACTTCTGAGCTGTGAGAAACCGCAGGAAGATAAAGTGGTGCTTTGGAGAAGGACGTATTCACCGCCCTTCCTTCTTCCCTCCCAGCTCTCCTTTCTTTTATGGTTTGTAGTTATAACCGAGATTTATGCTTGTTGCTCCACAAATCTTCTCTCTGCCATTATGAGTTTGTCTGAACAGTCTAGAGATGGGGCCGACACTGAGTGATTCTTGAAGTAAATCTATCCAGGGGCACTCCTTGACAGTCAGAGGCAGAGAGGAACTAACTCATAGCCCCCAGTGGAGCAGGAGTCTGGATAAATTACCCCTGTCAGGAAGAAGACATGCTGCCACTTTTGTGACCTCTTGCCTTCACAGTGACCCTGGGGGCACAGCTCTCCTGTTTGTGTGCAGAGTGTGTGGGGCGGTGCTCTGGGTCAGCGATCATTCCCTTTACCCAGCTGTGTCTGCCAAGAGGCCTTTCTCTCTGTGTTGGCCCAGCCAGGCCCGTGGCAAGTGGGTCTTTAGGACCAGGGCCACTTTTTGCAGCCGTATGGTAGCAAGGAGTTGCTGACAATCAAGCACACAAGTTGATTGATTCCTTTTCCTTTTCCTTTCCTTTCCTTTCCTTTCTTTATTTTCTTTCTTTCCTTTTCCTTTTCTCTTCTTTCCTTCCCTCCCCTCCCCTCCCCTCTCCTCTTTTTGTTTCACTCTGTCAACCAGGCTGGAGTGCAGTGGTGCCATCTTGGCTCACTGCAACCTCCGCCTCCCAGGGTCAAGCTGTTCTCCTGCCTCCTCCTCAGTAGCTGAGATTACAGGTGTGCGCCACCACACCCAGCTAAGTTTTTGTATTTTTAGTAGAGACGGAGTTTCAACATGTTGGCCAGGCTGGTCTCAAAACTCCTGACCTCAAGTGATTTGCCCACCTTGGCCTCCCTCCCAAAGTGTTGGAATTACAGGCATGAGCCACCATACCTGGCCAATGATTATTTCTATAAATGGTTTCATTTAACTAGCATTTACCGACAGTGGATTTTGATGGAGAAGGAGAATAAAGAACAGGTATTAAACATCTTTTAGGCTAGGTATGGTGGCTCACACCTGTAATCCCAGCACCTTGCGAGGCTGAGGCAAGAGAATTGCTTGAGCCCAGGAGTTTTGAGATCAGCCTGGGCAACGTGACGAGGTGCCATCTCTATAAAAAATGCAAAAATTAGTGGGACATGTGGCTCGAGCCTGTAGTCCCAGCTACTCTGGAGGCTGAGGCAGGAGGATTGCATCAACCCAGGAGATTGTGATTACAGTGAGTCTGGGTGACAGAGCGAGACCTGTCTCAAAAACAAAACACAATCTTTTTTCCCCCCCTTTACCATACTTTTCCTTTGCTGTATCTTGTTGTCTTGTGTGTACTTTGAAATTTTTATTTTATTTAAATTTTATTTAAATTTTTATAGAGACAGGGTCCCACCGTGTTGGCCAGGCTGGTCACAGTCTCCTGGGCTCAAGTGAACCTTCTCTTTAGCCTCCCAGAGTGCCAAGATTACAGGTGTGAGCCACCCGGCCCAGCTTGTGTGTATTTTTTTTTTTTTTGAGACGGAGTCTTGCTCCGTTGCCCAGGCTGGAGTGCAGTGGCATGATCATGGTTCACTACAACCTCCGCCTCCCGGGTTCAAGTGATTCTTGTGCCTCAGCTTCCTGAGTAGCTGGGATCACAGGTGTGTGCCACCATGCCCAGCTAATCTTTGTATTTTTAGTAAAGACAGGGTTTTGCCATGTTGGCCAGGCTGGTCTTGAACTCCTGGCCTCAAGTGATCTGCCCGCCTCAGCCTCCCAAAGTGCTGGGATTACAGGCTTATGTGTACTTTTGAGAGTCGTTTAGAGTCTTTTGTGAAATGAAGCAGGGGTATCAATAAGAACATATTTTTAAAACTGTGTCAAGAGCTTGCATTTGGCATCCCTGTCTGACCAACTTGCTGTTTGGGTCCCATGGAACGTACTCACCAGGCTCTTGGTGCTCTGAACAAGGCAGGTCCTCAGCCAGTCTCTCCCACACTCATCTGTACCCCAGGAGCTAGTTTGTCCCTAAACCTGTGTCCTTGTATTAAACATGATGTCAACAGGTGAACTAAGAGTGTGAAGAGAGGGTTCTGCAAATATAATGTGTTCTTTTTTTGTGTGTTTTTTTGAGATGGAGTTTCGCTCTTGTTGCTGCCCAGGCTGGAGTGCAATGGCATGATCTTGCTCACTGCAACCTCTGCCTCCCAGGTTCAAGTGATTCTCCTGTCTCAGCCTCCTGAGTAGCTGGGATTACAGGCATGCGCCGCCATGCCCGGCTAATTTTTTGTATTTTTAGAGACGAGGTTTCTGTATGTTGGTCAGGCTGGTCTTGAACTTGCGACCTCAGGTGATCCGCCCGCCTCGGCCTCCCAAAGTTCTGGGATTACAGGCGTGAGCCACCACGCCTGGCTATAATGTGTTCTATAAAAAGAAATGTGAAAAGAAAGTTTTATGAAAACTAAGTTAAATGCTTTGCTAAATGTGAATTGCTAAAAACATTGCTGTCAAATTAGGTGTGAGCGAGATGACAGTTAAACATTAGAGGAAGATCATAAACATCTAGAAGGATTCTGTACTTTGATTGCTTTACTGATGTCTTGAAGTTCTTACTTTGCTTTAGAAATTGTGGAGGCTGTGTTATGGGTAGGGTTTATGCAAGAAAGACGTCTGGGAACTTCAGTCTGTGGGCCCACACTCAAAGCAAAGGGCTTGGCTTTACATCAAAAGATCAGCAGTGACTGAATGTTTATAGGTTTTCAGTTAATAGAAAATGTTTTCAGTATGTGGAGCAGGTTCCATTTTTGATTCCCTGCTTTAACTGATTTTTTGATTAACCGAACAATTACTAGCTCCGATCACATAGGCCAGGAGGGCTTCTACTCTGTAATATTCTGGCCTCGCTGTTGGTGTCTTTATTTTGGTCTCGCTGTTGGTGTCTTTATTTTGGTTACTTTGTTTGATTCCAACAAATTTGTGAGAATTACTCATTTTGCAGTGAGGAGACTGAGCCCAGAGCATTCAAGTTCCTACAGCTAAGAAGTGGCAGGACTGGGATTGAAAGCTGGTGTCCATGCTGCTGAACCTGTGCAGACGGGGAGAGCAGGTATGGGTGCGGTGTGGACCGCGCTGTCAGGCACACTAGCGTGCGTGCGGGGCGCCCGCTGCACAAACGTATCTTCAGCCGATGCTCAGTGCTGCCTGGTGATTCTGTACCTCCTTTCTGAGGCTGCTGCCTTAGTGTGCTCTCCGTGGTTGGAGTCTTTTGTGTGCATCTTAGCTGTTGAAAAGGCGCCTATTAATTTATCACAGGTGATGTGTGCCTCCTTGTGCTCAGAGGAGGCGTCTGCACCCATGTACCTCACTAATGACAGGTTATGGGATGGAGAGGAGATAATAGGATCTTTTCATGTGATGTCTATATAGCAAGGTGCTATGCCCCTGGTAGCTTCTAGGGGGCAGCAGCCGCTTGTTGTTCTGTCTCTTGCTGGCGGGGAGAAGGTTGGACAATTGAGCAATTTGCTCTGGACTCCAGCTCTTAAAGTGGTGCCTGCAGGTCTCCAGGGAGTCACTGGAATCCGCATAAGTAAAGAAAATACAATATCCAGGATCTTTTATTTCTACTTTCTCTGCCCCCTCAGGTAAATCCTTTATCTGTGTTTCTATCAACATCCACAAATTCCTCATTGTCAGAGTTAAGGCAGCAAAGTTCACCTGCTTTGAAGATAAGAGAATAGAGATGTCTTTAAGAGAGTAAAATCTTTCTGTCAGATCTTACTTGTTGCCAAGAGCTAGACATTGATAACCCACTCAAATAATGTTTAGAGGTTTTGAAACTTTCCCCCATGGGCACGTGTCTTTAATTCTGTTGGGAATACCACTGTCATATGGTTGATTACCTGTTCTTCCTGTCAGCATTTCCCCCCAACCCCACTCCCTCCCCCTATCCAAACTAGTCTTACAGAGGTTTCTCTTCAATTCTAAATGACTTATTTCAGAAACACATGAAGGGGAACATTGCAGATGTGCCATTTTTTTGTTTTTTGTTTTTGTTTTTTTTTTGAGACGGAGTCTCGCTCTGTCACCCAGGCTGGAGTACAGTGGTGCGATCTCGGCTGTCTGCAAGCTCCGCCTCCCGGATTCATGCCATTCTCCTGCCTCAGCCTCCCGAGTAGCTGGGACTACAGGCGCCCGCCACCATGCCCTGCTAATTTTTTTGTATTTTTAGTAGAGACGGGGTTTCACTGTGTTAGCCAGGATGGTCTCGATCTCCTGACCTCGGCCTCCCAAAGTGCTGGGGTTACAGGCGTGAGCTGCCGCGCCCGGCCTTGGATGTGCCAGATTTTTAGATTGGGGGCCCAAGACTGACATATGGGCAACTTGTGCCTTGTCAGAGTGAGTCCCAGCTCCCTCCCCCCCAGAAGTGCACCTCCTACTGTGCCCTCTGAATGCTCCTGCCTGCCAGATCTTCCAGCTGTGTGGCTGAGGCAGGTGCCCAGGAGGAGAAAGGCTGGTTGCAGGCAGAACCAGATGGTTGCAGTCCACACGGGGAAGCAAATTGGCCGTGACATTTCAGCCATGTGAGGTTTATTTAGGATTAGCTAAGAATTCTCAGCCTTGACTCCACTGAGGGAGGAGCGGGTGACCTAGGGCCACTTTCTTGTGGCTTTGCATTCTTTCAGGCTTTCATCTGAAGATCCCAGGGTACTGGGGAAGGGTGGGAGTTTCCATCCAGCTCCACTGCAGAGAGTGGCATTCCTGAAAGACAAAGGCATGCCTCCTTTTTTTTTTTGAGACGGAGTCTCGCTCTGTCGCCCAGGCTAGAGTGCAGTGGTGCGATCTCGGCTCACTGCAAACACCGCCTCCTAGGTTCACGCCATTCTCCTGCCTCAGCCTCCCGAGTAGCTGGGACTACAGGCGCCCGCCGCCACGTCCGGCTAATTTTTTTGTAATTTTTTTTTGTTGTTAGTAGAGATGGGGTTTCACCATGTCAGCCAGGATGGTCTCAATCTCCTGACCTCATGATCCGCCTGCCTCGGCCTCCCAAAGTGTTGGGATTACAGGCGTGAGCCACCGCGCCCGGCAAAGGCATGCCTCTTAACCTCACCTCTCCAGCTCTCTGTTGTCTGAAAAATGGCAGTTAATAGAATTTGTTAATAAACAGAAGAAATAACGAGAAATAGTGGCACATCATTTGACAGTAAGGTGGTTTATAATTTCTGTTTATCAAATGATTCTCATTATTATTATTTCTATTGGATTTTTGAAGAATTCAGCCTGGTCCCCAGAGCCCCATTTGTAAGGCATTTTATTTCTTTATAATATCTAGAAATAACTTCAGTTCCAGTGAAATCCAGATCTGTGGTCCCATCCCACTCCCCAGCCCTGGTTCTCTCCCCTTCCTCTCTGCTTGTCTTCTGTGACCTCAGCGGGCTCCATCAGGTGGGGGTATCCCCTACTGACCAGACTGGCAGAGCTAATGCCGGCTGGAGGAACGCTGCCGTGTTTGTTTTTGCAGTTCCTGGATTTGGTTTAATGTACAATTGATTTTTTAAATGTATTTAATCATTTTTTTCTTACCTCTTAAGGATTAACCTGCACAAACCTCATTTTATCCTAAGTGTGGCTTTGGGAGGAAGGGAGGAGAAAATTGAGTTTCTCCAGCTTATTTTATTCTTTTACGCTTTATTTTCCAAATGGCTTTTCCTGCCGAAGCAGCTTTGTATAATACAATGTATTTTCGTGGCCATTACTTACTCATTACTAACTGGTCTCTCCTGCTTCCCTTTGTCTGTGAACTAAATACAGGGGGCCTCAAGATAATTGGTAGCTCCATCACTGACCCACCAATTATAGATCAGCAGGGAAGGCAGCCCAGGGATGGTTTGTGGTTGGCACAGGCTGCCCACCTAGAAATGTGAGTTATTCTCTACCTGCCACCAAGTTGGGCTTGACTAGATCGATCCTTTCCTAATTTTGGACTTTGGCATCTCTAATTGCATCACACGGCTCCCTGGTTTACAGGTTTCAGCCTCATTTCATCCCTACACGTGCTGCTGGTGTCTTTCTTAGTTCATGCCTCCTTGGCATGTCTACAAAGTATTAATTTGCAGAGGTTTTGTTTGTATTTTCCTTTGAGGTTCCCTGGTGCCTAGAATGGTTAGATGGCAGGCTGCAGATAAATAATTCTGTTGAAACAGCAGGTTTCTGTGCATTTTTGTCTGGTGTGTCCAAGTAAAGGCAAGTCTTTGTGGGCACCATATTAAGCCCCCTTTTTGAGCATTTATCTGATTTGTGTTCCAGCTTATCTACTTTGCTCTGGCATGGAGAAGGAAAAGTCCCATTTCCTGCTAGGCTGCCAGGCACTTATGTAAGACTTTTAGGTGCCAAAGTAGGAAAGGAGTCCCTGTGTTGTATGGCCGTATATATTTTGCATGTGTGTTTCCTGGCTGTTTGGCACCTAGGCACTTTGCTAAGCCCTGTATGGGTTGGGCATATACCGTATTGCTCAGCTCCTGGCAGAAAATAGGCACTCATACATATTTGTGGAATGAGTGAGTGTGTGTGCTCACTTATGTGCGATGGAGATGATGAGCCAAGGAGTTGGATTGCACAGTTGCTGCCTGGCGTCCTGCTAGGAACTTAGGGTGCAACATTCCCACTGGGCCACACATATGCCGATGTTCAGTGGATGACTGCTACGCAAGCAACATAAAGAGGCCATTTTATGAAAGGGAACATCAGAGGAAACATTATAACTGAGACCTTTATAGCCTTTCCATTATTATGGTTTAAATCTTGACAGTCTTTATTTGCAATGACACTGGGACCAGTAAAGACAATGCTCACTCCCACCTCCTCGTTCTCCACATCCTGTTCCGTAGCTGTGGTGCACCGATAGGCATCGTTAAATGTGCAGGCAGCAGAGCTGCTGGTTTGTCTAGAAACAGCCCCTTTTGACTCAGAAGTTGGAACCCAGATGACTCACCATTCTATTTGTTTTATTGCAACTGTCATTTCATAAAATGCCCTGACAGCTTTAAACTGTAAATGCCAAAGTGAGGTTTTTGTCTTTTTTATTTTGTTATCTCCTGTTTTTTCTAATCTTTTATATTTCTATTTTCTCCTTTCTTTTCAGACTTATTTTCTCTTTCATTACTGTCTCTTTCTCTGTCCCTCCCTTCCTTCCTGCCTCCCCCCTTTGATGACTCTAATGGCATGAGTAGTTGAAGTGGTTTTTGCTAACATCATGGTGCGTTCTTTCCAGCTTTAATGCTATCTGATTGAGCGTGTCTCCCCTCAGATTTTTGTGTAGGGTTTAGAAATGGAAATGACCATGCACATCAGAGTTTAAATTTTCCTAGGAAAGTCTGCCATGAACTGTAGGACCTATAACTTCTAGAGATGGAGGGACCCCTGACATCTGTGGACTATGGACTCCTGACTTCTGTGGACTCTAGAATTTATGACTTCTGTGGATTGTGGGGCCTCTGACTTCCATAGACCGTGGGACTGTGACTTCTGTGGACCCAGGGACCTCTGAATTCCATGGACTGTGAGACCTCTGACTTCTGTGGCCTGTGAGATCTCTGACCTCTGTGGCCCGTGGGACCTCTGACTTCTGTGGTCTCTGGGACCTGTGACCTCTTTGACTTCCAAGTCTTCTGTGGACTGCAGGACCTCATCAACACGTGTATTGCCAGAAGAGAGGCTTGATTGTGTTAACCTGTTTCTCTCCAGAGGTGTCACATACTAGAATTTCTGCTCAGTCTTATGGCTTAGGTGGGGTGTTGAGTCTAAATATATATATTTTTTGAGACGGAGTCTTGCTCTGTCACCCAGGCTGGAGTGCAGTGGCATAATCTTGGCTCACTGCACGCTCCGCCTCCCGGGTTTACGCCATTCTCCTGCCTCAGCTTCCCGAATAACTGGGACTACAGGCGCCTGCCCCCACGCTCGGCTAATTTTGGTATTTTTAGTAGAGACAGGGTTTCACCATGTTAGCCAGGATGGTCTCGACCTCCTGACCTCGTGATCTGCCCTCCTCGGCCTCCCAAAGTGCTGAGATTACAGACGTGAGCCACCGTGCCTGGCCCAAGTCTAAATTTTTAAGGACTAGAGCTCTCAGACCAGGACTTTCTGGATCTTTTTTTCTGATACCCAACACTGTGGCACTTGACTAAGTCACCTGATTGATGACATGAGCATTGCTGGGTGTTGAAACACCTGGCCAGGGAAACAGAGACTTCTGTGGATTCATCCAAAGGATGGCAGACAGATTGTGGAATTTTAATGAAGGTGGGGTGGATCCCTGATGTTCGCCTGCTTTGAAGCATAGCAGAATCCCAGCATTAACTTCAGGGGTGTTGGTTGGAAACCTGCACTGGCGTCGGTGGTTATATTCCACATTTGTCAAATCCTTAAATCCAACTGAACTAATTTTAGAAGTAGCTAGTTATAATGAAAAAGAACAATATATTCAGATGCATAGGATCGTTTTTAAATGAAATGCTCCCTGTTCTTTTCCTTCTTTTTTTTTTTAACTTTTATTTTTTATGATGGAGTCTTGCTCTGTCGCCAGGCTGGAGTGCAGTGGCGTGATGTCGGCTCACTGCAACCTCCGCCTCACGGGTTCAAGCGATTCCCTGCCTCAGCCTCCTGAGTAGCTGGGACTACAGGCGTGTGCCACCACGCCCGGCTAATTTTTTGTATTTTTAGTAGAGATGAGGTTTCATCGTGTTAGCTGGGATGGTCTGGATCTCGTGACCTCGTGATCCACCCACCTTGGTCTCCCAGAATGCTGGGATTACAGGCGTAGGCCACCGTGCCCGGCCCTTTTCCTTCTTTTATAAAAGGCCTTTGGTCTCTTTTGGCCTTCAGGGTGAGCCATCCTTTGACTTATATTAGAATACATTTTTTTTCCTGTATGCCTCCAATGAAGGAGAGTGTGAGAGTGTTTTCTATGATGTGAGTGGGAGAAAATAGCGTGTTTTCACAATAGTTAACAAATTGATGGCTGTGAGTTTTGAAAGTGAGTTCTGTATATACACTGGGGTAGGATTCCACATAGAATGCTGTTTTTCACCCACCTGGCTGGTTGTCTGATTCTAACATAGCTGCTATCCCTGATTCTAGAAATCAGAAAACCACAGGCTGTTCACATAATACTCTACCCTTCTGAGGCTAAGGTGGGAACAGGATGGTGGCGGGGTTTGAGTCAACATGGTCTCAGTTCCCACCAAAGACCAGTGTGTTCCCCTGTTCCAGCCGACAGCTTGAACAAGGATTCTAAAGTTTCTGGCCGTTTTAATTGAACTGCAGTGAGGGGTGGCCCGATAGCCTGCTTAGGACATGGGTAATTACTCCTAGGGCCTGGGAGCCAAGTGTCCCTCGCAGGTTCCCTCTTGGTTCTCTACCTAAGGATATCTTCCCCTTCCCTGGGCAGGGCCTCTGAGGAACAGAAGGATCATTTAGTGCTCATGGCCTGCTCATTCCTTGGCTTCTCTGCTGAGCTATCCAGCAGGGGTGCCAATTCTTCCATTTAGCTGACTATTATATAGCCCTTAAAAGGGAAGGGTTTATTTTAGCTGGCTGCTATATTGATTGCTATAGGGACGTTTCTATTTTCACTGGCTGCTATATTGACTGGGAAAGGGAAAGGGGCCGTATTGCCGGGAGCTGTCATATTGACTGTTACAGAAAAGATCTGTATTTAAGCAGTACCAGTGCACTGGGATCTCCCAGGCAGGATATTAATGCTAATTCATCCGCTCACCCCCTGCTGTGAGTGTTATTTGTTTAAATCTGTAGATTCCCACAGCGCGTTTATATCCTCACTAGAGTGAGCTCCGCTCCCTGTAATTATTTAACATTATATGCTGATATAAATTGTAACAGTTAAAGAATGGTAATGAGTAGCCAAAAAAGAAAAAAAGAAGAAAGAAAAGAAGGAAATAGAAAAAAAGGAAAAAATGTATAAAATAATCTATGCCTCTGTGTGTGTGTGTGTGTGTGTGTGTGTGTGTGTGTGTGTGTGTATGGTGTTAGAAACGGCAGAGTCACCTTCTAAAACAGCAGTGAGAAACTTCTGTCATCCTTTCTCCCAGTTCAGGTTGATTTGTACGGTGCTGCTCAGCCCACGTATTGTGCATCTGTATGTGTGTATGTGCGAGCGCCTGTGTACGCACGTGGTCGTCACCCGCCAGAAAGATGCCATAGTGAGGTGTGCTATACTGTGTTGTTTGTGCACGTGTGTAACAATATACAGTGTTTGTTCAATGTCCTGGCAGGAAATTGGTCTATTAGCGATTCACCTTCTTGGTGAGTAGCTAATACCTTATTTTGTTCAAGGTTCCACGTTCACACAGGAACTTTGGGCCTAAGACGCAACTCAAGGGAAAGCCATTGGGGAATGCTCAGTTGGGATTGAACTAATAGGCCATTGGGTGTCACTGTCGCTCTACTGGCTATAGGAGAAAGAGGGGTTATCTGCTGGGGAAACTGGATTTCAAAAGAAAGAAGTTTTTCTGCTTGAGTTGGAGGTGTTGTCTCTTTGAGATGTTTGTCTCTCATTTGGAGATTCCTTTAAAAAAGTAGTTGTTTGCTTGTTTTTGCTACACCAAGCTTCTGGCATTTTTATTGTTCTTGAAAATTGTGTACTGATTGCGATCTGTTCTGCTATCACCTGCAGTGCATCTAGATGAGAACTTCTGTGTGCAGAAAACTGTCCCCCTTAAAAGCCTGGGTAACAAGGAGAGCTGATTTGGGCAAGAACTTGAAAAAGGAGGGAGAAAATCTCCTTGGGCAAATGCTTGCCACTCCCCTGCCGCCTGCCCCTGTGTAGGTGGGAAGAGAGCGCAGAGGGAGAGCCAGGCTGCTGCCTGGTCACAGAAGAGTGGGCTCCGTCCTCCAGCGGGCTCTCCAGCAGCATGGATCTGTGCCAGGCTTCACCACAATTCATACTGTGTCAGTTTAATAAATGCACTACTTAAATTATGAAATTACAAAAGAAAAAAGAGAATGCACTTATTCAGACTCTTAATACATTAAAAATAAGGCATTAAAACTCTGACTTTTTTTTTTTTCTTCCAGAATCAATAATGAACAGGAAGGGTTGTAGACATTAACAGTCATGGACATTCAAACTCTTATACATAAATTATCTTAGAAAAATGCACATAAGACTTGAATAATGTAAATACATTAATGCATTTAATAATTTAAACATTAAAGCGCAAGCAGGAATTTGAGGCCGAGGCTGTTCTGAGGTAAGGGATTGGTCCTAGAACTCGTGTGTCCCAGGATCGATGGGTGATTTCCCCTTGAGACACCCTGGAAAGAGAGTGCCTGGCCGGCTTGTGTGGCCGAGGATCCCTGGACATTCCTGATCTCAGCTGCCTCCCAGCCTCTTATTTTTGTGTATCCTGAGCTTCGTTCTCAGTTTCATGTTCTCTACTCCTGTGCTTCTAATTGTTTGTTAGAAAACTAAATGTTTCCACTTCATAGAACAATAAACTTTGAGAATGTCTTGGTTGAAAAACCAAACCAAAGTAAAAAATCCTTCACCCGGCTCTGGCTGCTTGTCTGCTTGTGATTTGAGAAAAAGGAAGTGGCTGCTCCTTGTGATCAGCCTGTCATGTCTCAGCCTGGAACTCCACTGTGTGCTGTGGTCAGGGGATCCAGGTTGTGACATGCTGACAGATTTGAAGACTGGATCTAATGGGAGAGCAGAAACGATATCCTATATTAGCCTCTGTGTGTTGGGCATAACGATGGCAGGTAGCCATGCCAGGAAACAAGACAGGTGCCATGGAGTTAGACTCAGTGGTCTGTGATCATACCTTACTTTGATTTGAGGGTTTAACCATTGGGTAGACTGATGCTACTGTTTTTTCCCCTTTCTTCCAAAATTGTATTTGCAATAGCAGAAAGTCACTGGAAACTCCTTTTCTGGCAGAATACCGAATGATCTAATTCAATTTTTGACATCTGCACTGTGAAATACCCTGGGCAGAACTAAGAAGCCAGGCCTATGTGTCTTAAGTTTTCATTTATTAATGCTAATGCTGTTCTCTGGTTGTTCCCTAGCCCTGTTTTATAGTCCAAATCACAGATGAGAAACTAGAAGAACTGTAGAAACTGTGTTACTGAGTACATAGTCTGAGAACTTTGTCTCTCTTTGTAGAAGAGTGTGTCTATTTGGTCAGTAATGCAAATGTTGTCCCACTGGGTTTGCTGTGGGACCCACTAGGTTTGCCGTGGGACCTTGAGAAACGGTTATCAGATGGCGGTGACTGAACCAAACCTGTTTTCATTATTGCCAGGTCCGTGGGAGTCTTTTACAGGATCTCAAATCTCCTGCCTGAAACTTTACCTGGGATTGTCTTGATTTGACCCAAGCCTCGTCTGTGCTGGCATCTGTGACTTTGTTTGCAACCCTTTCTAGTCTTTGTTGTGGCCAAGGACAGTCTGGTCTCCCAGCTAACATGGGTACAAACCAGCTTCTAGCTACTTGCAGGAGAATAGCTATGGGTTGACTTGGCATCTGAAGCAGATACAAACAGATTAGGCTGAGCTGCCCCAGAACAGCCAGAAGGAAAACCAGTACTTTAAAAACTGGTCGTCAGGTATTGGTTTAGAAAGAAAGTAGTTTGGAGAATGGGTGAGGACAGCCTGGTGAGTGATCCCGAGGTCACGGGCTGTCCTTGGGATGTGCTCAGATTCTTCTCTAGACCTGGAGAGCAACAGCCGTGCCTCACAAGCCCTTCTCCACATGTTTTGTTTTAAGATGGCAGAGCCTTTCTTTGCAGTTTTAGTTCAGCCTTGGGATGACGGTCAGACCTCGGTTTGTTCTTTTCTTTTCCAGTTTTCAGAGCCCAAGCCTGCTCCCTCTGTTGCTTGTCCAGCCTTGACCAGTGACTGTCTTCAGCCTGCACTCTGCATTTCACCCCAGCAGTAGGAAGAAGTGAGGTCAGAGGAGCACGTGAACCAGGGAGAATCGAATTCTCTTTGGATTTTGCTGGTCACACCCAGCAAAGCTGCTTTCTCTTCCCTTAAGTTCCAAGAACTGTTTGATGGCCTTAACTGCACAATTGGCTTGTGCCAGATTGAGATGTGTTGAACTGGGCAGTGGAGGTGGGGGTGAGGGGCAACTCCCTCTCCTATTGGGGGCAGAGTGCTGGCTGCATCAGGCAGTGATCAGATAGGCACTGATCGGGTCGGTTCACCCTCTGATATAGCCCGTATGCAGACTTCCTTTGAAGAGAGAGGAGTCAGGCTCATTAATTAAAGGAGCCTGGCTTGAGAGGCCTGTAATTATAGGTGCTAGAAATCTGAATTTTAAGAGGTTGTGCAGCTGCATTTTGAAAAATGTAGGGAGGCACCGAGAAGTACTGGTTGTGGGCAAGAATGTGGCTGAACCAGATTTTGGAGGTTCAGGTTTTGGCAGAATTCCCCTCCAAATTCATATTTATTCTTTCTTTCCATTTTGTTCTTTTTTTTTTTTCTAAATGGGAAGCAGAACCTGTGATTTTTTTTTTTTTTAAATGAAGGTTACACCCTGTGACCGAGAGGCTAGCATTGTCAGAGTATATGGGGGGCAGAAAGGAGTTGCTGTGAACTAGAAGATGCTTAGTTTTTGAGGAAACGGCACATCTTTGGGCCTTAGGGATTCAGTATTTGAAAAAAATTAAATAATTTCTTTCTTGAAATGAGTGAGGGGAGCAGGGAGCAGAAGCCCAATTTGAATGCAGTCTAGGGAAGTAAGTCCCAGGCAAATGGTGGACTCTAGAACCTTTGTCCCAACTTGACTTCCCCAGAAGTGTCTCTTCCTCTGTCATGCGTTACTTTTCCATGTGAACCCTGAGTTACAAACAGAAAATTTCAGACCTTTATGGGAAGTCCTGACCTGTGCCTTTTCTCTCTCATTTCCTCAGTTATTTGTAGGTTGACCTTTTGTTTTGGGTGCTTTTTCGCTCTCCTCTCCTTAAAAAAAAAGTATCCCTCTTTGCTTCTTGTCAAAAACCTTTATTTCGGTCCCTGACTATTTGCATCTCTGTTAATTAAGCATGGCTAATTTGATATGTAGATGGGATGGGGAGGGTTAAGGGTTAGATGAATAGAGGTCTACTCCCTGCCTCCCCCGGGTGGTGGGCAGGGGTGCTCCACAGACCTGCAAGACTGAACAGCTACACACGGCTGATGGCAAACCCGATGCCAGGGGGAACCTCCTCTCTGCCTCAGTGGTTTTGTCTCCTTGGGGATATTGAGAGCGTCATCCCGTTTCACAGACTGGACCCTCTGTGAAGGGCTGAAAAAATAAAATATAAAGGCCAGTTCTCTGTGCTCTTTTCTTACATTCTTGTAGTGTATATATTGGGAAATCCACGGGTGAACCCTTACACTGTAGAATAGAACACAAGTGTCCAAGACTCTCACTTGGTGCATTTACAATATGCAAATTCCAATTCCAATTAGATTGAAATCTCTATTTAGCAGAGTGGTTTTGTGAAATAAATAACTTTTGAAGAAGGAGGCCTGCTATATGTAATAAATATATATTTTTCCTTCAGTTGCCTGCATGGTGCTTCCTGCGTTCCCAGCCCTTGCCCGAAATGCTGATTCCGAAGCATCTTTGGGCTCTTTACAGAAGAGATGCTTCTCCTTCCCTTCCTGGCACAAGGATTTCATCCTTGATTTACAGTGCTCAGCTTGTTAGTGCCGGTGAAGGGGAGAGATGGTGTGAAGGTCGTTATGTCCGTTTTGTCCTCTTGGAGAGAAAGTGAGGGAGTGTGTTTCTTGCCGTGTGCTTGTCGTGGTAGTGGTGGAGTTGGAGAGGCCCCCACTTCTGTCAAAAGGAGTCGAGCCAAACTCTCATCCTCTCTTCTTCACCCTGTATACTACACGTTGTCCAACAGGGGGTGAATGATTTCAAAAGCGGAATTCAGAATTTCAGGAAGAGTAGCACACCACCGAGTAGAGGGCCTCCCCCTAACACCCCCCTTTTCATCATTCTCCCCTCCTCAGCCCAGCCGTGACAAACTGACAGATAATTAACAGATCAGACCCTCCTATTAGGCGTGCCCTGTGCTGGAAGCTGCTCTGGCTTTATGCAGTCCTTTAGCAGCTCTGTGTGTGTGGGTGGTGCCTCACTAAGTGGCCATAGCAGAGGGCAGGGAGTGCTTTGGGAAAAGCAAACAGAATGCTCTTTGGAAGAGAGAGTGCTTAAGAGGGAGAGCGGGGGCAGTAAGGTGCCTGGCTTGAAAGCACCTGGCGAAAAGACTCGGACTTTCAGGGTTGTGATCCGGAATACCACCGCCTGTCTCAGGGAATGGTGCGCTGGGTTATAATAGGATGCCTTATTACAAAAAACATTTTGAAGGCCACTTCCCAGGTCAGGCTATGCATTAGGTGCACTCTTCCTTCGGTGTAAGACTGTGCTGGACTTGCAAAATTGGAAGTGTGCAGCCTGTTGTGTTTCAGCCTTGGCATTAAATATTTCTACAGAGACACTGCCCTATGTGGCTTTCTCTCAGCTACCTAACTTTTCTTTCCCTGGTGGAAAGAAGAATTCATTGTGAGAATATTCATTTCTACTTACTAGTGACTTTTAAAAACTACTTTTCTTTGTTTTTGGACACAGGGACTTGCTGTGCTGCTCAGGCTGGAGTGCAGTGTGCAAACACGGCTTACTGCAGCCTTCACCTTCCGGCCGAAGTGATCCTCCCGCCTCGACCTCCATGTAGCTGGGACCATAGATGTGTGCCACCACACCCAGCTCATTTGAAATTTTTGTTGTTGTTGTTGAACAGAAGTGGTGAGAGTAAAATAAAAATAAATTAAATAAATAATATGTTTTGGTAGTGACAGGGTCTCACTTTGTTGCCCAGGCTGGGTCTCAAATTCCTGGGCTCAGGCGATCCTCTCACTTCAGTCTCCCACAGTGCTGGGATTACAGGCATGAGCTGTTGTGCCTGGCCTTCTTCTTCTTTTTTTTTTTTTTGTTTTTTTAACTAGAGACAAGGTCTCACTCTGTCACCCCAGGCTGGAGTGCAGTGCTGCGGTCATAGGTCACTGCAGCCTCAACCTTCTGAGCTCAAGCGATCCTCCTGCCCCAGCCTCCCAAGTAGCTAGGACCACAGGCATATGCCAACATGCCCAGCTAATTTTTAAATTTTTTGAAGAGACAGGATTTCACTGTGTTGTCTAGGCTGGTCTCAAACTCTTGGCCTCAAGTGATCCTCCCACCTTGGCCTCCCAGAGTGCTGGATTATAGTCATGAACCACCATGGCCGGCCCTGAAAACTACTTTTCTACTTCCCTTATGGTGGCCACCCTTCTCATCTTCATGATTTGAATATTAACATAAAGATAAATTTAGCAACATGTAGGGGCTACACGTAGGCTCAGGTCCTTAGGCCTGGCATGTTGGAGCAGAAAGAAACACCTAATTGCATCAAAACCACTCTAAGTTCATGTATGTGGAGCCCATCAAGCTGAAAGCATCCAGACAGCATCTGCTGTTATCAAATCACTCGTGAATCCAGCTAATTAAAATAGAGCTTCATTTTTCTGAACCATTGTTTGGCAGGAATTCGAAACGGGTCTAACCCAATTTCTGCATGTTTATGAGCCTTTATTATATCAGAGGTACTTTTCTGTAAATGTACAGGGCAGCGTTAAATGAATTGATCCACACAGTATCACTGTAGACGCACTATGGACTTGCTAATGATTTCTCTTCCAGCTTTCTGGTTTCCAGACATACTCTTGAAAGCTTTATCTTCTCTTTTTCTATCCTCTGCTCTTTGCCGTTGTCTTTTTTTTTTTTTTTAAACATTTTGAACTTTCCTTTTACTTTTTAATCTTCTTTTTTCTTTGGAAACAGGAAAACTATCCC
Source organism: Homo sapiens (assembly GCF_000001405.40). Classification (NCBI taxonomy): domain Eukaryota; kingdom Metazoa; phylum Chordata; class Mammalia; order Primates; family Hominidae; genus Homo; species Homo sapiens. The sequence continues at coordinate 10,521,060 of NC_000001.11, forward strand.
CTTAAAGAAGTTTTCTTTTCCATTTCTCTTTTTCTTCCTCTCTTCCTGTTTTTGTTTTTCTTCTAGTGGATAAGATTTGTCTTTTCTTCCTTTATTTCTTGCTGTTTTCTATTCTCTCCTTTTCTTTTCTTTTTCTCTCTTATCTTTTCTCCCTTTTATACTTTCTCCCATTCCTTTTCTCTAACCTTCTCTTTCTCCTTTTTCTCTTCTTTCTATCTCCTCCCATTTTCCCTAATAAAATATCCTTATACCTTTGTCTCCACATGCAAATACTGACTAGGGAAGATGGGGGTGCCCGTGGAGGCAGAGCTATCTGGCTGCTCTAAGATGATGTCAGCTGAGTTTACTTCTCTGAATTTGCTTTCATGCTTTATTTTAGGTTTTAAAAAGATTTTTCAAGCCACATCTACTCTACTTTATAGTCTGTAATCCTACTTTGAAGATGAAAAGTGTTACATAAATGCTAACTAATTATTCCTTATACCACTTTGTGAGTCTCTAAGCAGTATTAGTTCCAGTTTACAGATGAGGAAGCAGGAACGGGAAAGGTAAGTAGCTCTGAAAGTTACTGAAGAAGTTGGTGACTGAGTTAGAATTAAACCTGGCTCATCTTTGGCTTTGCTTTTTGATTACCACCTTATGGGTGTTGACTTTTTTCCCCCCTAAGAATCATACATATTTAAGGTGAGGTTGAGTGAATACCATCCCCTTGGCCCCTTCTCATTATATACTTTTAACCTTCTGAAGTTTCATTTGTAGTCTTTAGATGTTAAATGAATTTCTAGGTAATTCCTGGGAAAGAAGGATGCTGAACCACTTGTGGGCTGGTAAAAACCCTGTCTATTAGTCTTAAAGCAGAGTGCTCACTTTCTCTTTCCAACAGCTTCCAGTAAGTGGGCCCACGTCACACACTGGCCCCAGTGATCGTAGTGTTGTAGGAAGCGCTGCCATATTTGATTGAATTTAGCCATTCTGGAATGACGTGTTCATGAAGTCGGCTCTTGCATTACCGTGGCCTTTATTATTGCTAATGCATTCTGACATTACAGGTGTAGCCTTGGCTCTCCCAGAAAGGGCAAGGCTGCTCTTACCAAACGAAAGAGCAGAATTTATGAAACTGTTACACAGTGAGGCCAGTGTTCACCTTTAGTTACTAAGCAGAGTAAGGGAAATAAATGCTTTTATAGAAAAGATAGCCAGTGACAGCAGTCTATCCTGATTCCTCACCCAGCACTGTTTCAAAAAGTGGATCAATTAATATTGTTGCCAGACAGAGAACGAGGACCAATGGTTAGGAGGTTCAGGAAAGTAGATTTCAACTCAGTTTAAAGAGGCACTCCTGAAAATGAGCTGACAGTCTCTTAAGGGAGTAGTTTCCCTGCTCATTATGAGCATTCAAGAGGAGGCTTCCTGATCATTTGTCAGGGTTGTTGGAGAGGGGAGTCCCTAGGTCATGGGTGGGACCAGATGGCTCAAGATCTCTTTTGGCTTGTTTCCTCATCTTAGATTGCTACAGCACAAACAGCATCTTTCCTGCTTCTATTTTGACTTTACAAGTGGCTGGTGTACCGTGAGGACCTGTGAATGCTCAGTAGCTATTCATTATTTAATCTCTGGCTTCCTGCTTCTTAATCTAACATGAATCAAAGCTGTTCTTGTTCAATTCAGGAAAACCACCATCTCTGGCACCTCCTAGAATGAGGCATTCTGGATAGTTACGTTTTCTGGATGGTCATCAGGAGCCATTTGAAAGCAGAACAAACAAAACACTTTAAAACTTTTGGCTGGGAATTATGTAAAATGGATTACATACTTTCTTGCTTTATTAAGCTGAATATCTGGAATATAATTTAATCGTGATGACTCAGTATTGTCATTTTAGATGAACGTGTTTATATGGTGTTATAAGCATAGCTGTGTTTTCAAAACCTGTTGAAATATAGATGTGTTGTATATTTGCCCCTACTTGAAATGACTCCACCGATTCTAAATGACCCCAGACTAATAAGCTTTTTGAATTTTTTTGTTTGCTTTTCATGGATGTTTCTCTCTTGGCATTTGCTGTTGGGCTTTTTTTTGCTGTCACATCTTTGTTTGGTGTTTCTGTACTAGCTGGCTCCTTCCTCTCTGTTCTTATTTGCAGCTTTTATCTTCTATGATTTGGATACCAGATAACTAAGCTTGTATATAAAATAAATAGTAAGTAGCGTGAGTAAAGCTTCGCAGCGTATAAAATATATGGAATTTGTAATATCTTTTTTGGCTGCCCTGATTTCTTCTGCTATTCCCTGTCTCCTCCTTCTCTGTTGGTTTTCTCCTTTTTTTGAATTGGGTGTCAGCTTGGAGAGATGAAATCTGGAAAGACTGGGTCTTGTCCTTGACCTAAGCCCATATCTCTGGCCCAGGTATCAGCGACTGCCTCATGGAATCAACTTAGAAATTATAAAATGGCACAGGTAGGGGGTCCTGAAGGTCATCTGTTTAACCCCTTATTTTATAGCAGTGAAGGAATCTGAGGCACTGAGTGGGGACATAAGAGGCCAGGTTCATGACAGTATTTGTGTAAGGTAAAAAAAAAAAAAAATCTTGTAGGAAAATTCTCTGCTGGCTTATCAGCAAGTTCAGAATTAAAGTACATAAACCAAAAAAAGGCTTCTGTTTGTGGCAGCGTTTGGCTGTGTTTGCACTCAAGACTATTATCGATATTCTAGGAGAAGCTTTAATCCTTTCATTCAAACTTACAAGAAATGCTGTTTCCTTTTAGTTAAAAAAAAAAAAAAAAAAAAAATCCAAGAGAGCATTTGATTTGAGGAACCAAAAGTCTAGAAAATGTATCCGGGAGTCCTCGTCAATTTGGGGCATAATGAAATATAAAAAATACTCAATAAAAGCTCCTTTATTACTTTAACTGTTTAAATGTGGAGTTTTTAGCCATCAGGTTAATGTTTTGGTATCATTTTTTTATTTGATTGTGAGCACTTTTCCAGGTAGCTCTGCCACTCGAGCGCTAATCAGATTCCCACAGATAAATGGTGCTAGCTGCAGCCTGACATCACTGCGTTTTTGCTTCAACATTATTTTATTTTATTTGGTTTTCCTGTAAAAGTTAATAACTCCATGTCCATGTGTTTAAACAGGCAAGAAGAGAGAGAGAGAAAGGACAGTGAGCAGAAAAGGATGAGGGATGTTTCAGGAAGCTTGTGCAAAATTGAGGAAATTTAGGGATTTTTGTAATTTCCAGGTATCTTACCTTATGAACAGTATGTGAAGAACCAAGAAGGTTACAAAGCAAGATGGTAATTCATAATCCTTCAGATAACAAAAAGTGAACTTCTCTGTTTCTCAGACAGAGCTGGGAAGAATTTGAAAGGAGTTACCATTGATTTAAAGGAGGAAGATGCTCAATAAACTGATTTGCTTAATGGTGAGAATTGTGTAAATTTTGTGTTATTCATAAGTAAATTACATGCTCATCTGGCTTCTCCTAGATGACCAAGATGGGGAAGGGCATCAGATATAGGGCATAAAGACCCTCCTTTTCATCTTCCCATTATTGGTAGGACACAGTGACTCTTGGCCAAGATGGCTCTGGTGCTCAGTAGGCCTTTGTGGAATCATTTGATTGATTGATTGATTGATTGATTGATTTTTAGAGACGGGGTCTCACTCTGTCACCCAGGCTAGAGTGAAGCAGTACAATCATAGCTCAGTGTAACCTCAAACTCCTGAGCTCAAGCCATCCTCCCACCTAGCTCCCCAAGTAGCTGGAGCGCCACTACGCCAAGCTATTTAAAAAAAACAAATTTTTTTTTGAAACAATGGAGTCTCGTTATGTTGCCCAGGCTGGTCCCGAACTCTTGGCCTCCAGCCATCCTCCTGCCTCAGCCTCCCAAAGTGCTGAATTATAGGCGTGGGCCACCATGCCCGGCCGGATCATTTATTTTTTAAAGTGTGTGTTTGTTTATTGGTAGCTGTGCTGGCTAATAATAGGGATGTTTATGGTATTTAGTGAAAGGTTGCTGAATGGTTCAAAGCCATGAGGACTACCTTTGGGTTCTTCTTGTGTGTGATGGATTTCCTCACTGAGCTGAAAATTTCTTAATTGGGGTTTATCAGAGAAGGCAACTGGACTGATGTCTCTTGATTCAGTTTCTCTTCCAAACTTGTACCTTGATACTAAAGACAGTCCGTGGGTACAATCTGATGATGGCTGTGATAATCAGTTTCACAGCCCTTATGTCATTACTTCTGAAAGATGTGTAAAAAAAAAAAAAGACATTTTCCTCATCTGCGTCAGCGGTATAGCTTGTATTGCTTTCCTGTGTTTCACACTTTGTGTTGATATGTTACTTGTGAAGTCGTCTACAAGGGTGTGACCTGTATTAGATACCGCTTTTTTAGAAAATGGAACCTGACCACCAACTTGTCCCTGTGGAGAGCCCATTTCTGGCCACTCTCTGGGGCTGGTGTGCTTGGTGAGGAAGTTGACTTTCCTCTGACAGTAGCTGATTGTATATGACTGTTTGAATAGTAAGTTTCCAATCCTTGTCATTCTACTGTCAATTTGAAGATTTTTTTTTCTTCAAAATGGAGTGTCACTCTGTCACCCAGGCTGGAGTGCAATGGCGTGGTCTCAGCTCACTGCAACCTCCGCCTCCTGGGTTCAAGCGATTCTCTCATTTCAGCTTCCCGAGTAGCTGGGACTGCAGGCACATGCCACCACACCCGGCTAATTTTTGTATTTTTAGTATAGATGGGGTTTCACTAAATTGGCCAGGCTGATCTCGAACTCTTGACCTTGTGATCCGCCCGCCTTGGCCCCCTAAAGTGTTGAGGTTGCAGGCGTGAGCCACTGCGCCTGGCTGATTTTTTTTTTTTTTGAGACAGAGTCTCATTGTGTCTTCCAGGCTGGAGTGCAGTGGTGTGATCTTGGCTCACTGCAACCTCTGTCTCCCAGGTTCAAGCGATTCTCCTACCTCGACCTCCCTAGTAGCTGGGACTATAGGTGCGTGCTGCCACACCCGGCTAATTTTTTGTATTTTTAGTAGAGACGGGTTTCACCGTGTTAGCCAGGATGGTCTCGATCTCCTGACCTCGTGATCCGCCCGCCTCAGCCTCCCAAAGTGCTGGGATTACAGGCGTGAGCCACTGCGCCCGGCTGATTTTTTTTTTTTTTTTTTGAGACAGAGTCGTGCTCTGTTGCTCAGGCTGGAGTGCAGTGGCGTGATAGCTCGCTGCAGCCTCCACCTCCTGGGTTCAAGTGATTCTCCTGCCTTAGCTTCCCAAGTAACTGGGATTACAAGTGTGAACCACCACACCCAGCTAAGTTTTGTATTTTTATTACAGACGGTGTTTCACCATGTTGGTCAGGCTGGTCTCAAACTCCTGATCTCAGGTCATCTGCCCACCTTGGCCTCCCAAAGTGCAATTTGAAGATTTTTAAGTCTGCCAGTTGACTGCATTATGAATTACACTTTTGGAACCCATACTTTAGTTTTTTTGTTTAGGCCATAAAAGAATCAAAGGTAATACAGGTTGAGTATTCTTGATCCCAAATGCTTGGGACCAAAAGTGTTGGATTTTGGATTTTTTCAGATTTTGGAATATGTACATAATACTTACTGGTTGAGCATCTCAAATCTGAAAATCCCAAATCCGAAATGCTCCAGTGAGCATTTCCTTTGTGCATGACCTTTGACTGTCATGTTGGCACTCAAAAAGTTCTGGATTTTGGAGCATTTTGGATTTTGGATTTTCAGATTAGGGATGCTCATCCTGTAGCAGGATCTAGGACTTGGTGGCATCCCGTTAGTAGCAGATCTTGATTGTTGACTTTCTTCTGTTTTCTGGTGGGTCTAAAGAAAATTCTTAGGCTGGACACGGTGGCCCACACCTGTAAATCCCAGCACTTTCGGAGGCTGAGGTGGGCAGATCACTTGAGGTTAGGAGTTCGAGACCCGCCTGGCCAACATGGTGAAACCTTGTCTCTACTAAAAATAGAAAAATTAGCCAAGCGTGGTGGCATGTGCCTGTAGTCCCAGCTACTCAGGAGGCTGAGACAGGAGAATCGCTTGAACCCAGGAGGCAGAGGTTGCAGTGCCAAGATTGTACCACTTTACTCCAGCCTGGGTGATAGAGTGAGACTCTGTCTCAAAAAAAAAAAAAAAGAAAATTTGTGGGCCAGGCATGGTGGCTCACGCCTGTAATCCCACACTTTGGGAGGCCGAAACTGGCAGATCACGAGATCAGGAGATTGAGACCATCCTTGCCAACATGGTGAAACCCTGTCTCTACTAAAAATACAAAAATTAGCTGGGTGTGGTGGCATGTGCCTATAGTCCCAGCTACTCGGGAGGCTGAGGCACAAGAATTGCTTGAACCCGGGAGGTGGAGTTTGCAGTGAGCCGAGATCACGCCACTGCACTCCAGCCTGGTGACAGAGCGAGACTCTGTCTCAAAAAAAAAAAAAAAGAAAAAATTTGTTTCTAAATTTGAACTCATTCTAGGCTATGAGTAGTTCTTTTTTTTTGTATTCAAATTTATTTTTTAGCATTAGGTCATTCTCTAATTTTCTTATGGGGTGTTTGGTAGAATTGCCTTTTATTTATTTATTTTTTTGTTTGTTTGTTTCCAAGACAGAGTCTCACTCTGTCACCCAGGCTGGAGTGCAGTGGTGCGATCTTGGTTCATTGCAACCTCTGCCTCCCAGGTTCAAGTAATTCTCATGCCTCAGCCACCCTAGTAGCTAAGACTATGCACCACCACACCTGGCTAATTTTTGTATTTTTTTTAGTGGAGATGGGGTTTCGCCATGTTGGCCAGGCTCTTCTCAAACTCCTGGCCTCAACTGGTCCACTCGCCTCGGCCTCCCAAAGTGTTGGGATTACAAGCGTGAGCCACTGTGCTTGGCCTAGAAGTGCCTTTTAAAGACTCCTTGAAGGTTTTAGTTTTGTGCAGAGTGTGGGTTGATGGTACACATAATTTTTTGGTCCAGAGCTTATCTTCCTTGGAATTCAGGAGCCCATCTTCTTGCCCTTAGGGCAGGTGGCCCTAAGCCCTTGAGGGGGATCCTGCCTTGCACCAGCTGGTGGTCACCTATTCAGTAGCTGACCCCCAGTGATGCCTTAATGTTTGAGGTTGCCATTATCCATGACACAACCTTTCTTCGTCTCCTTCCTAATCATCCCGCAGTTCAATAGTGCATGACTAGAGAGCTTCACCAATCTCCATCTGGCCGAACTTCAAAAGAAGTGGAAGCTGAAGCAGGGTTTCATCTGCTGAGCATCTGAAGCTGCTGGAGGTTAGGAGAAATACCTTTCAGAAAGCATGAAATTCAACCAGTGGTGGAGAGAAAGAGACTAGGAAATAGAGGCAGTGTTATCATTAGGGAGGTGCTGGGGACTGTGTGCCACATATTTTTAGTGTTGGAGTCACCCGCCACCGTCACTGTGTGAGCTCACAGTTCTCTCAGGGAGCATCTTGGACACTGAGTCATTACATTCCTTTAGAGTGATTTAACTCAACAGCTTGACACCTTCATTAATTTTACAACACGAAGCCTGGGTGCTCTCTGCTTCCTCTTTAACAGTGCAGGGAAATTAGAGGAATATTGAAAATATAAAACCAGGGGATACTGGAAGAAGGAGCAGTCAAGGAGCTGTTGAAAAACATCATGTTAAGGAATTGAACTACTTGTCTTTCCTTGGTATCTCTTGGGATCGAGCACCCAGCTCTTGCCACTCGTCTCTGGCACATAAACCTTTTATTTCCGTTCCTGGCACGCTGGCCAAACCTCCAACTTGCAGCCAGCTCGTTTGCCTTCTCTGCTGAGGTCACTGCTACCGTGATCCGTGTATAATGGCATTTTCCTCCTCTTTTCAGTATGAAGGCTATTACAGTTTCTTCTCTAAACAGGACTTCAAACAATTTGCTGCCAGTTGCATTTCAAAGGCAGGGAAAAGGCAAATGTCATCCTTTTTTCCTCCCCTCTTTGGGTAACTGCTTTGTTGGTTGCATCAAAAATTAGAGGGGCTGCTATCTAAATTCAGGTGGGGATGCGTGGGGACAAGGCATTTAAATGTGCTTTTCTTTCTCCCTGAAGGAGAAAAACGCTTTTCCTTCTCAACCTTTCCTAAAAAGGAACTTTGATCTTCCCAACCCACAAGCAAGGGTTTCATTTCTTCCAGGCCGGCGTGTACTCCACAGCTCCTTCTGTGGCGTGGTGACCGTCACCCGCTGCATCAGCAGCTCTGCTTTTCAAGCTGTGCTCCTCCACTGCACCAGCGCCCTTTGGGCTGGAAGTTGGCACCCAGAGTCCTCGGCTGGACACGGACACCTCTCCAAAGTCACCCTTACGTCCCTAAGATCACTGTCCCTTGACATTAAATAGTGCGTGGTGGTTTAAGATGCTTTTTATTTCAATATACATTTCTGGAAGAACTACTTTAATCAAATAACAAAACAATGACATTCTGGCAAGCAGTTCATGCAATATTTTTAACTAAGGCCAAGGGAAAAAAAATAAATGGCAGAGATATTTCACTTTGAAAGGTAGTTTTTGTGCATGTGAAGTTGCCACTTTTCATAAAGGCTTTTACTACATATATCAATGAGTTTTAAGAGAGACTAGGGTCAATAATGCATGCTTTAGAATTCCCTAAATACAGATTTACACAATAGCCTTAAAATATATTCTGTTCTATCATGTCAACTCCTGTGCACTTCTACCAGCGGAATTTTATTTCTTTAATGTGAAAAACAAAAGGACAGAGGAAAGTAAAGTAAAACAAAGGAAATTAGGGCCCACAAGCTTAATTAGTATAGTGTTGTAACCCAAATCAACAATGGGAAGGACACAGTGACAAAACCCAGGAAATTCCAAGTCGAAAGAGAGGCTCTTTCCTTTAACTCCTTGAGTGCCAGGGCACTTGCTAGCCAGCTCCTTACCCAGGTGCAGGAGGCTACCTGAGTACAACTCACTGTCTTTATTGTTGAACTTCCTGGCTTTTGTTGACTTTCCCTTCTCCTTTCCTCCCTTAATGTACATGAAACATACCTTTGTGTGTGCGTTAATTATAGATAAATGGGCTAAAATTGCCTCTTGGTTTTGTAACCCTCAGAGAAGGGGAAAGAGTACAAAAAAAATTCCTGTCACTGTCATCTGTTCATTTTTAATGAGCAATTTTTAAAAATTGAAAATAAAAGAGGAAAATGAATAGGTGTTGAACCAGCCCGTGATATGTAAATGCCAACTAGTAATTACCTAAAACCTCAATTTTCATTCTGTTTCATCTTGCAAAACATTTCATTTTCCCTGAGTGAAAACACTTAATTTGGGCTGTGCGAGTTAGCGGAGCGGCCGCCCCGGCCTGCGCCTCCGCCGGCTCCGGCTAGGGGGCACTTTGGCTCTGCGCTTCTGCCGCCTGCGGGCTCGTCCACCTCAAGGTTATTCCCCTCTTGCCATTCCAGTGGTTTTACTCCGAGTGTGCAGGCCCCTCCCCCCTACTCCCACTAGTCTGGTTTCGGGGAGCCTGTTCCTCCTTGTCCTTGCAGAGGCGCGTATTGAATTTTGGCTGACCGAGCCTTCCTCTGCATATTAACTTTCCCCTCTTACCTGGCTATTGGGCCCTTGGCGTCCCTGAGTTGCAGTCACACTCTGAGAGCAGCTTTCTGGAAGCTTTCTTTCTCCCTTTGAGGTTGCACACAGAACTGCCTCTAGTTTTTGTTTATTCCTGCTGCTTTTTTAGTCTTTCTTTTCATTTTGGCAGCTGGGGAAATCCTGGATTGAGGCTCACACACATTTGCCCTCCTGCCACACTGAGAATGACAATTCCGACGCTTGCTTTCTTTTGCATACTTGTAGATTTTTCTTCTACTCTGGTTTAGGATATGTCACCTTTTGGATATGTTCGTGGAATGTGGCTTGTGGTTGCCGCTGCTTCCTTCCCTCCCCAGCCTGTTCCCTAGCTAGAAAGAGAGCGTGTAGACTTGAGAAAGAACAGGGAGCCCGGCATTGTGAATGGTAGATCAGAGAGGAGCCTGCATGTAGAAAACCAGAATTATGTTGTCCTAGGACCCTGGATCCGAGAGTGCTCTGCCTGGAATCTCAAGGAACACGGCCTCTTTAGTGAGATATATAGCTTCATAATTAGCCCGTTGCATTTTTTCACGAGTGCTAGCATCAGCGTTCTACGATGTGTTTCTCTGATTAACAGCTGCTTTGCAACTATTTCCCTGTGCCGCCGATGACCATATTTGTCAAGGAACTCCTGACAGAGTACTGATTTCTTACTAAAATGCAGCATTTCTGTTTGAAGAGGGTTCTCTCATTCTTGGCAGTGCCTGGCTTTTTAAGTCAGTCCTTGTTAAAACTCGAGTTGGCTTTGGTCTAACGCTTGTTAACAGGATTCTGGGTATCTACTTTAGTGTATGAACGTAGGAACCTTTCACAGGCAATTTAATCTTCTGAGCAGCGCACGTGGAGCAGTGCGGCGCTGGAATGGGGTTTCGGGCCCGTAGATTATATTGGTCATTTTCTTTTGCCCTCTAGTTGTGATCTCTGTGGGTTAAAAGGACTTGGCTTTGGTTGTTAGTGTCATTAATTTTTGAATATTTTTAATATTTTAAGATGGCTAATGAATGCTCACATCTTAGGAGATAGATGTGTATGTAGTACACAGGAGTGCTGGAATTGGTGGCATTCCAAATAAGTGTCACTGGAGACAATGCATCAGGTTTACATGTCAGGTGCAAAGTGCTAAGGCTCCCTCAAACCCCAGGTTCATTATTAGGCAGGCTCTGTCCTCCTGTCCCCCTCGTGCAGAAAATAAAGTGTGTATTCTGAAGATTACAATGTGCAGGTCTTTTGTAGGAGAGTGGAAAACACATAGGAAGCATCTCTTTGGTGAGGACTGTCAGGAACCTCAGTTCTTCTCACTGGGGATTACTTACCCTACACAATGCATTTAACAGCACATAGTTCATAGTAGATAACCCCTGAGTATACTGTATTCCATTGATTTATACAGTTACAAATCCTGCTCTCTCAAATACAAATCTCTCTCAATTGGCCAGTCATCTTAGATCTAAAGGTGTTTTTCAACCTGAAGTCCCCCCCGCTTTTTTCCAAGTTGCTGACAGTGACTCCAGTGACTCCGGTGTAACCATTGTTATGAGACTGCAAAGACAAGAATTTACTCCTCTTCCTTGCACCTCAGTTTTATCTCTAAGTGACACATAGTGAAAATTATGAAATTTCCCCAAAATTGTGGAATTGGTGGTGGCAGGGTTGTTTTATTTTGCTTTGGGTGGAGAAGGGGACAGAAGGTAGGGTCAGAGGGATGGGGGGCGGGGAGAAACTGGTCTGTTTTCTTTGGAGTTTGTTGTCTTTATTTTGATTAAACTAGCTATTGGTAATTCGAGGTGCACTCATTAAGAACTCAGTGCAAGAGGAAGGGAAAGGAACGCTGATTCCATATTTATCACAGGCTCACCAGCAAGCAGCTTCGACGGCGGCATCAGCAGCTTAGTGCCAGAATTCTCCCTGGCTTGCTGCACTCCCACAACATGTGCAATAAAGTTCCTGTCTCCGTTTTACATCTTTGACATTGAGGCGGAAGATTTGGCCTGAATTTATGTAATTTAGTTGGGCACAAATATAACCCATGAATAGTCACATTCATCTTCTAATTAGAAAATCAAATGATAATACAGGACAGGCTGCAGGCACCCCATCATCGAATCCAACAAAAGCGTGTTGTGTGTGTTGGGCCTCTGCAGAGGAAAGTCAGTTGAATTGCTTCATGAAATTAATGAAAAGTGCCCAACAATAGGTGGGTGAAAGGCACAAACCGAGTGCCCTGTCAGTTATTTAGTGTGTGAAGATGTTAGCATTATGGGTAAAGAGTTTTGCAAAATCTTCTCCCATCGATGTATGAATCATGGGGCTATAAAATTCTAGATTGGACAGGTCCTTCCCCCCATTTTGTAGTGCCAGTTCCTTGCGGGGAGGGAGGGAGAAGAGTCAAGAGTAACTGAAGAAATAATTAGTGAAAAGAGGAGAGAGGTTTTCATATGTTCACACTTACATGTAGCCACTTCTCAGGGTGTCTTTCTTATTCAGCACATTAGGTTGGGGCTATTTGAGTGCTTTATATTTTTGCATCTAGTGTAGTGATGTCGATGCTGTTAAATATGTGATTTGCCTGTCGCCTGCATTTTCAGACAAAGATCAAGAGGAACATAAACAAGCCCCAAATATACTTTATGTAGGTGTTTGGCAGTATTATTTTATATGACTTGAAATTAGTGAATGGAAACTTTAAAAGAAATTGTTCATATTTTTGCAAGTTTGAAGTGTGCCGGGACTTTGTCAAATTCCCGTTAAAATAAATACGTCAATTTCATCTCCCTTCCAAATTCATTTTTCTTGCTTTTTTAAAAGGTGTTTTCTACTTTACCTGATGTTTAAATTGGATTCGCTCGTTTATGCTGTTCTTTGCTATATCCCCCACGTTCTTCTTAAATGAATTACTAATGACAGAGCACTCCATCATTCCCTCTCTGCAGCCACTTTAAGGAAAGCATGGTGATCTAAACCTTTTAACCTATTAAAGATGATTTTTCCCAATTGAATCAGACCCACCACAGGTGTAATAACTAATCATTTAAACTACACCTGCTATTATGTATTTTTAAGCCATTATGCATGTTGGATAGATGATAATTCATGTTTATTGCATTGTCCGATGGATCCGTTTTGCCTACACTAGGCTGATTAATGTATTTAAAGAAATAAGAGATGCATTTTTTTAAAAAAAATTGATGGAATGCGCCAAGCACTGCATTGAGTGCACCATTAAACCCATCAGAACTTTGCTCTCTGACCAGAAATGCATATACCAAGGACTATATTAAAAAAGCAAGGTGAAACCTGTGTGTTCCAGTGGTGGGATTCTGTTTTCTTTCTCTGTCATGGAAAATTTTGGAAGGATGAAGGAAAGCTTTCTGTTTCTATGGGTAAATGATAGGAGCTGTACTACTAGCATCTTCTGCTTAAGACCTGTTCATCCACATTTCCGCTGACACCTGGTACACGTGTCACACACAGCATGCAGACTACCGCATGATACGAGTAGTGTAATTTTCTTGTGTGTTGAAGGTGTATTTTTTTCTCCAGGTGAAGAACAACTATCCCCACGCCATCTGAGCTGTGCAGACTGGCGCTGACCCTGGGGGCCAGTGACTGGGTACCTGTTCATTCTCTTTCCAGAGCAGGGGCCTCGCTTCCGTTGGTTTTTCTGCTTGTCTCTCATTTCTCCTCTCTCCTTTTCCCCCTCTCTCCTGTTATAGCTCCTTGTGTACTGTTGCCTTCTTCTCCCCACCTTTCCTACCTCTACCCATCCCCTTTTCTTTTTTCTCTTTTTTCCTTCTTCCCTTCTCCTATCTCTTCATTAAAATGCATCAGTGTTGTAGATGTTTGTTAGATTTCTCTTGATTTTGGTGTGACCTGAGGCGATCTGGTTGAGTATGCCGTTTGGGGTCTCTAGAATCTCGAGCATTCATTTTTCTTTAGTCCAGAACTGGTCTATTACTGTGGTTCATGACGGTGGTTAGTACTGTCGGCAGCATTGGAGGACAGATGATAATCTGTGCGGAGCTGGGCTTGGCTGTCAAGGGACACTAGTATGTCCTGTTGGTGACAGGCCCAGACCTGAAAAGTCAAGATACTGAGTTCATCCTTTAGGGGAATGTCTAGGTAAGCCTCCCACGGAGGGGTTGCAGGGAAAATGAATACAGGCTTTTCCCTGGCTTTTTTTCTTTGGTTTATCCTCATATCTTTTGTTCCCCAAAAGTCTGTCTGGTCTCAGGATTACATTCATATAAAATATGGGGAAGGAGATGATTTGTAACTTGTATTTCACTTACAGTCACAGTACTTTCTGTTTGACTGCTTCCCTTAGTTTGAAGGATCTTAGAAAACTTCCTTACATCTAGCCTTAGAAATTTTTTCTTTCAACAACTTATGAGTGAACTCAGGGCCTGTTGACTTTATCTGTAACATGAGACCATATTATTCCTTTGATTTTGATGAGGTGAATAATAGCAGTCATTTAAAACAGCCCCTTTCCTACCTGGGGCAGGTGGGCGTTTCCCATCCATAGGGCTGGTGTCTGGGGTGGAAAGTAGACAAGCCAGGCGTAAACACACACTTCGCGTGTGCTGAGTGATGTGAAGGTTAATACCTGCAGCGGTGCCCCTTCCATCCCCTGCCCGGCTTATGTGGAGATAGGAAGATTTCATTAAATAATATTCATTACCAGAGGCAGGTAGACAATCTGTCAATCTGTCAGCTTTTAGCCATGAAACTCCAAACTTTGCCCTTTGAAGGGTCTTCAGAACTCAGCTCCATTGCAGAAGGGGGGCCAGAGTGAATGGCAGTGGGTGTTGTCTCCGACATAATCCCTTCCAGCCGGGACGCCCTCAACACTTTGCCAGGCTCTGGAGAGAGTGTGGTCTCTGCCCTTCACTTGCTTGCAGCGTAGTTGGGGAGGCAGGCTGAACATTAGAAGATGGTGTAATTATGTCTTCAATTATATGGTACACAGTACAGGCACTGAAGAATTGAAGAGAATAGGGAGATCAGAGATGGCTTGCTTATTTAGGCAAGGCTTCGAGGAATCAGAACAGACTATAAAAGGGCTGTGCTGATAGAGAACGTGTGTGTGTGTGTGTGCGTGTGTACGTGCGCGTGGGGTAACGTTTAGACAGGTGGAGGCAGGAAAGGGAGGCCTTCCAGAAAGACAGCATACAGGGCACAAGGGCGGCGACATGGGTGCGCATGGCCACACCTGCCGGGGAGTATGAAGAATCAGCTCGAATGGAGATCAGGAGGAACAGGAAGGATCGTCGCAGGCCTGAAGCTCGGCAGAGGGATTAGATTTGACAGACTCAGATACAGGAAGCCAGTGAAGACAGGGAAACAACATCGCCTTTCATTTAGGTAGATTTTAAGTTTAAGAAATAACTGGTTATAAATTTGACCACAATAGTATGCTTGTCTCTGTGGAGCTGGGAAAAACTCCTAGGATTTTTAATCTTGAAATTCAGACTATTGAAGTGAAGTTTACTCCTCTATTTTCTCTCTCTCACCAGATTGCCACGGCAGTGAAGTTTCTACAGAATTCCCGGGTCCGCCAGAGCCCACTTGCAACCAGGAGAGCATTCCTAAAGAAGAAAGGTACAGGTTCCACAGGGCTGTGCAGCACGGCCTACAGGGGGACTGGGGCTGGGGCAGATGGAAGCCACGGTGCAAGGCAGGTGCTGAGCTGCCAGGACTTCCTAGAGCTGCCCACTCATGGGGCAGTGGGGCTGAGGCGAACCCCCCAGTGGGGCATGCAGGTTTCTTTCCTGACAATGGAGCGGCAAGATGACACGATTCGGGTAATTAAGCACGGATGACTTAGTCCAGTCCATCATGGCAAAGGCAGCATTCAGTAGCAGAGTCGGCCCATTGGATGAGACTGTGGAGGACTTCTGGTTTTTGGTCTGCTCTGTGTCAGTGACCCTGGCTGCAGGATGACTAGCTTAGGTTAGGAGTTCAGCTGCTTCAATAGAGAATGAGGGAGAAAGAAATGAAGGGCGAGGGAAACGAGATGACTAACAAGGTCAGGTTAAACTCAAGCTTGGGGTCAGTCCGATTTACAGATTGAAGCGGTAAATTAGTGGTTTTATGGTATTTCTGTAAACAGGGATAAAGTGGACCCTGACAAATTCAATATTGTCTGAAGAGACAATCTATTCTGGTTCTGTTGGACTTCAGGGTATTTTTCTTTTTTTGTAAAATGAAAACTACAAAGAAACCTGACTTTTCAATTTTTTATACATGTAATTTTCTAGAAATCTAGGAAGTCATTTACACATCCTTATATACCATGATGGGCAAAAGTAAGCTTTCTTCCTCCCAAAGCAAAACTCTTTTTCCTTAAGGAGCTGGAATGCCAGCCTTGAAATTCTGAGTTTTGAGCTTTCAGTCATTTTTGGCTGGAATAGGTGGGTGATATTTCCTAGGTCTGCTCTGTGATGTCCCGCTGAAGGGATGCAGCATGAACCATTGGTCCCTTCATGCGATCATGTCCCGGGGCTGCACTAACAGGGTTTGGGCAGAAGAAGCCCAAACATTTCACCACAGGCAGCTGCTTCGCGGCAGCCCCAAGGCTGGGTCCCTGCGACAGAGTTGGTAAGGAGCACTGCACGGCTGCTCACTGGCTGCATTGTGCCAGCACCCCCCCCCCCCGCCATCATTAGGAGATTATTAAAATTTGGAGTGTGTTGGCTGGCCTCGCCACTCCGCAAGCATCATGCCATAAAAGAGTTTTTCCTTGAAATATGTGTACCTATGGGGAGTAATTAATCATAAAAGCTTAGGGATTTCAGCTCTCTCATCAAAGCATTGAAGCTGGGGAAAGCTGAGCCTAAAAGCTGAGCTGATTACCCGGGGTAACCTGAGACAAAATCTATGGTTGCCGAGAGATCCTTAGCTCCAGTATATTGTGCAATATTATAACTGCCTGATCTTCTCTTCCACCGACAATGACCAGTTAGTCCTCATTTTCTCTCAAACGCAGCTGGGTTAGAATTTCATTTGCAGAAGGTATTTAGAGCAATTTAGAGACAAATGTCTCTGGTGTTTGCTCGGCACTTCCCCACCGCAGGCTTTGCTGAGCAGTTTTAGTATCAGGAGCTCCATCTAATCTGTTTAATTTTAATAAATCCCTGACTGGGAGAGGGAGTGAAAAAAAAAAGAGAGAGAGAAACTCTGGACCAAATAATACTTCTTTTGAGTTACTTGGCTAATAATTACTGTAGAGAGAAAACTTTTTGTGCAATTATGATTCGTTGCTCCTTTAGCAAAAAAAATCCAACTGATCAATTCATCCAAGAGTCATTGTGCACCCTATGCCCTGTCCCTGGACTCCCATCAGGAATTTAGCAGAGAACCGAACAGACAAAATCCCTGCCCTCGCAGAGCTTAAATTCTAGTGGAGGGAAGGCAGACGATTAACAAATGGGAAAATGAAATAGGTCGGATGTCAGATGCCGAGCGCCATGGATACTGATGAATGAAGCAGGGAGCCGGGGTGAGGAATGCCAGAGTTGGTGTGGGCTGGACTGTGATCTTAAACAACATGAATGTCAGAGTGTCTCTAAGAGGGTGGCACATGAGCAAAGACTGGAAGGTGACTGTTTATTGGTACAGTGGACATAATTCCTTCTTGACCCCTAATTTGGGTTAGAGTTTTTAGAATTTTAGGCATCTGGCACCTTGAGATGCTATCCTGCCCTTCGTCCTCTAAAGAGAACCATGTGAGTTTATCCCGTACTTAAACCTGGAATCTCTGAGGTTAATCACCCATCTCCATTATCCTCTAAAATGCTGCTTCAGTCAGTAATTATCCATTTCCGAGTTGAATCCCAATGGAGTAGGTTCTGGCAGGACCTTTTCTGGGCAGAGAATTCCAAGGTTTGATCGGTGTCTGGGGAAGAAAAGCCCCTTCGCAGATTTAAGCTTCACTTTTCAAATTTCGGGCTGTTCCAGGGTCAGGTTTCCGTGCTCAGCACGGCCTGGCACCGTCTCCGATGGGGATGAGGGTGAACATCTACTGGGTCCCTAACAGTAGTTGTGGCAGGAAAGCAAATTGGCTCGCTGGCCGTCTGGACCAGGAGGGGCCTGGGTTCTGGCACCCGTGCTCTTGGACTCCCTGCAGAAGCCTTGCAGTGCTGGGCTTGGAGCATGGGCTCTGGGAGGGCTCTCAGCTCCTGGAGTCTTGGCTTTTCCTAGCAATGTCACTTCAGGGAATTGCAGTGGAGCACTGACTTGAATTATAATCTTGACTTTCTTTTTTTTAATAAACATCTCTTTCCTGAAAAGGCAAATCCAATTTTGTTTTTCTTTTAATATTATTTAATATTTAATATAGAAATTGAGGTCCCTGTAGTGCATGTCAGTTCAGTGGAAAATGAGGCGCATCAGCTGAGTTTGTTTCATTGTGAAACCGCAGCTGGGAGCAGGGGCTGCATCCTGTCCGTGTTACCGACTGGTTAAGTGTTGTGCTCTGTGACTTCTGGTGGGGGTGCTGGGTGAGGGTGAGTAGGGAATGAGTGGTATAGGGATGGAAGAGCATTGGTTTGCAAAGGTCTTTCCTGTTACTTTTTTTTTGTTTTTTGTTTTGAGATCTCTTTCGGATGCTTTAAAATCTGAACATGGAGCCATTAATGAGAAACGTGAAGTTATTAGAATCATTTATCATTTTCTTTGAAGTTTGTACTGCCATTTTGTGTAATTTACAACATTTCTTCCTTTTATCGGGAATATTTTGGATGAAAGAAAAAAGCAGCTGCTCACCTTCAGAGTATTAGAATAAATGTTTTTGTTTTCCTTCCAACCACTTGATTCTGCAGATGACACATCAACTGCGGAGTCAGCCACACATCAAGATAATTGGACTGTGTGTGGGGTTTAAGCCCTCATAGAACCAGTCTATATATAGAAGCAGTTCTTGCCAGGCAGGCATCATATCTGGGGCTTTAAGCAGGCTGCAATCCAGGAGGTTAGAGTAACGTAAAAACAGCAATAGAATCAGTCCAGAAAGTTAGAGGCTTGGAAATTGTCGTCAATAGGCTTGTGTTGATTTGACACCCTATCCAGCCACAAAATGTAGGAGGCAGTCTGCTTCCAAAGATGTTTGGCAGGCTGAGGATGAGGTGGGTAATAGTGATGCTTGCTTGTGAGGGGGGTGAGGTGGGGGAGGGGGATAGAGTTGTCTGTTAACTTACTCTAACATATCTGTTGCAAAGCAAGCTTCTAGGAAAGACAAACATCATCTATTTTTCTGTATAACCCTGCATAGTGGGGCCTGGGTGCTGTTGGCTCACACTTACTGTGTCCTTCTCAAGTGTCTAAGTAAAGGGCTTTTTCCTGCCTCATCCAAGAAATGGTCCTGGTTGGGGTAGGCAAATGAAACAAATAAAACACACCACCATACTTTCTCATTCCAAAAGGTGAAACTAGATCTTATCCTTCTACTGTTCCTGGAAGTAGAAACCCCGGTAGCAAAACCGCCTCCTTGCTGGAAATGAACTTGAAGAAACCTGGCGGTCCCAACCTTGGTAGTGGGCTAGAGGTAAAGGGCTTCTCTGTAGAATATTTCAAGGGGGAGTAAATTCTTACACAGATTTCAATTTAACTCTCTTTTATTACTTTTCTTTTTTTTATCATTTACGTCTATTTCATGAGGTAGTTTGCATGTCCTTGAATGGAATCTCGTTACCATGAAAGCTTTTTTAGCATTGATTTCATAACAGTCTTAATTTAATAGCTCCGTCATTACTGAGAAGCTCTGGGAGTGGGGCCCTGGCTTTCCAGGTCACTGACCTTTTAATTACAAACCTTGTTCTGATGGCCAGGTTATCGACTGGACAGCTCCCAGCTTGTGCCCCCAGGATGAAAACGAAAATAACTGTGTTTCCTCCCCCATCTCCAGGAAAAAAAAAATTGTAACCTCTTGTGTTTCTAAAATTAATTTTCTCCTTCAGCTTTACTTTATAATTAATTCTTTAATGTGTCTTAGTGAAGCCAGAAGTCTTTTCACAAAGCTTTTCTTCCTAGAGCTTGGGTCCAGCAGATAGCTTGGGGGGAGGGCACGGAAATCTTGCCAGCTCCCACCCCTTGCTTGCGTGTGGCCCATTTCCTCATCCTCAGAAACTCCTGCGGCTGAGCTGGAAGGAATACAATTGGCTCTGTGAGGGGCTGTCTGGCCCTTCTGATTTTTTGTTAACGAGACATGGATTGTGGCATCAAGATTTAGATTCATTCCTCTGTTTGTTGGAGTCATTGAAGCCAGTATATCCTGGACATTTTTTAAAGAGGTCCCCATTCTGAGAAAAGACAGGAGTTGAATGTCTTATTGATTCTTACCTTTCTGTTCGTTATAGACGACCAGAGGAAACAAATGCCCGACACGGATTCGACTCAGTCATAAGTGTGAACCAAATAGGCCGATCTGGGTTCTCTCACTGACTGAAGAGGAAGAGAAATAAGAGAGGACAGTGGGCAAAATGTAGGGTGACAACCAAGGGTTCTGGTTTGCCCAGAATTGCCCTGGGTTCAACCCTGAAGTTCCCATGTTGTGGACAGCCCCGTGGTCCTAGACAAACAGGTCACCTTAGCGGTAAAAGCCTTTCTCAGGAGTGAGAGCTACCAGGGGAGACAAAACGGGTTTGGTTTTGGAACCTGGAGGAAGAAGGCAAAATGAGAAGAGTCCACTGGCAGTGAGTCCCGGAGAGGCCCGCCTGCAGCAGCGTGGCATCTTCCGCACCCACTTCCTGCTCTTTCTCCCGTAGCCCTGCCCTAGTGTGGGTCCAGTGCAGAGCCTCTGGGGGCGGGGCCGTGCCCTGCAGGTGAGCGAGGAGCTGCTCGTGCGGAGCAGGCAGGGCTGTGTGGCAGCCGCGCTTGTTCCTGAGGATGATTGAGCATCTCCATCCATCTGTTGTGAACGGACCGTCTTCCTTCCCTGCCAGTCTTGCACCTGCATATTCGTCACCTGCTGTTCTGGCCCAGCCTATTCATCACACCGACTGGTCCCCCGCATCAATTTTCCCGCTCCCCCTGTTATCCAAACTTGCCTTGAACTCCACAGATTTTTCTCGGCATCCAGGACGAGACCTACGGCAGCTAGGCCAGCCGAATGTTGTAGAAACAGAGATGCCCTGGCTTCCCCATTCAGAGCGGGAGCTGATAGCACTTGCTGCCCCAAGAAGGCTGAGCTGAGGGGTTTCCTCCACTTCACCCTGCGATGGGGAAATAGTGCAGAGGAGTTTGCGGGGAGGGAACACTTTCAGATTTACCCAGTTACTTTTATGTTTTCCCTGCAACTGAAGACTGATTCTTTTCTTAAACTTGCGTGCCTGTAACAATACTGCAATGAAAAGGAAAGTGACAAAATGACATTGGCATGTATTAGTAAAAAAAAATTTTTTTTACTTTTTGAAAAGGTAAGGCATATACATGGTCTTAAAAATTCAAACAGTAGAGAAGGGTATACAGTAAAAAATAAGTCTTCTCTTCTCATTCTCTCATTCCTGTTCCCCACCCGTTCTCTTTTGCAGAGGATGCTACAGTTTCTTATGTATCATTCCAGAGATAATCTATCCACATGAAAGCATGTTAATATGTATTACTCCCCCACAGAAACACGAATGCTTTCTAAATACAGTGGTAGCATATTTTACACTTTACTCGTATACTTGGTGTTATATCTCGGCAGTCATTCCACATCGATACATACTGACTTGCTTCATTCTTTTCAGTGGCTGCATAATATTCCATTATATGCATGTGTTATCCTTTTAAAAACTAGTCCCGGCTGGGCGCGGTGGCTCACGCCTATAATCCCAGCACTTCGGGAGGCAGAGGCGGGAGGATCACGAGGTCAGAAAATTGAGACCATCCTAGCTAACACGGTGAAACCCCGTCTCTACTAAAAATACAAAAAATTAGCTCGGCGTGGTGGTATGCGCCTGTAGTCCCAGCTACTCGCGAGGCTGAGGCAGGAGAATCGCTTTAACCCGGGAGACAAAGGTTGCAGTGAGCCGAGATCGTGTCACCGCACTCCAGCCTGGGTGACAGAGCAAGACTCCATCTCAAAAATAGAAACAAAAACAAACAAAAAATTAGCCCCAAATTTGTGAGCATTTAGGTTGATTCCTATCTTCTGCTGT
Organism: Homo sapiens; assembly: GCF_000001405.40. Classification (NCBI taxonomy): domain Eukaryota; kingdom Metazoa; phylum Chordata; class Mammalia; order Primates; family Hominidae; genus Homo; species Homo sapiens. Next base: position 10,542,837 of record NC_000001.11, read on the forward strand.
CTCAAGCAATGGCCCAATGAATATTCTTGTCGTATACATTGTTGAACGCGTGTTGGTTTGGCACCATGCTGAAGTCAGAGCATTTTTGCATATGGTAAGCAGGATAGGGGATATTTTTCTTGCTTAAATTTCATGGGATTATGTTTCATAGTAAAGAAGATAAAACTTTTTTAAGGTAAACATGGACTATAGGTAGAAGGAAGTTAATAAGAGGAAAAAGAGTAACAAATTGCGGTTAACACTTAGCACAGATTTGGATTTTGAAGGGATGGACATTCTGGTTATGTGAAAAATTCTTGCTTTCTTTTTTTGTTTTGAGACGGAGTCTCGCTCTGTCGCCCAGGGTGGAGTGCAATGGCACAATCTCGACTCACTGCAGCTTCTGCTTCCCAAGTTCAAGCGATTCATCTGCCTCAGCCTCCCGAGTAACTGGGATTACAGGGGCCTGCCACCGCACCCAGCTAATTTTTGTAGTTTTTGGTAGAGATGGGGTTTTACCATCTTGGCCAGGCTGGTCTTGAACTCCTGATCTCATGATTCACCTGTCTCGGCCTCTCAAAGTGCTGGTATTACAGGCATGAGCCACCACTCCCGGCCTGCTCAGTTTTGACCTAGCCATTGAGGGAGGCAGTGGGCACAGAGAGAAAAGAGCAGGAAGGCCTTCGTTAGTGAGGGGAGGCTCAGGCAGAGACGCATGTGCCAGTCGCTGGATTGGCGTGTGAGGAAAAAGAAGGGAAGAGAATTGAGGCTGGTGAGATAGGAAGTGAGGGAGGAGCTGGGGTTAGGACCCAATATTATATAACAGTATTGCCTAGGCTGGAATGTAATGGCATGATCATAGCTCACTGAAGCCTTGAACTTCTGGGCTCAAGCGATCCTTCTGCCTTAGCCTCCCGAGTAGCTGGGACTACAGGCACGTGCCACCACACCTGGTGAGTTTTTTTGTAGAGACAGGGTCTCACTGTGTTTCCCAGGCTGGTCTCAAACTCTCGGCCTCAAGTCATCCTTCTGCCTTGCCTTCCCAAAGCATTGGAATTACAGACATGAACCACGGCACCTGGCCCATGGAGCACAGAGAAACTCTGTTTGAGGAAGTTTACTCTCGGCTCTGTATTGAAACTGACTTGGCCTGGCAATAATAAGACCAGCCACAAAGATGGTCCTGCTGAGTCCGTCTTCAGGTGTGGGGGATCTGGGCCGGGTTGGTAGCAGTAGAGATGGAAATAGAAATGACAGCATATTTATGTAGACAGTTCTACAGTTTACAAAACACTATCACATAGTTGATTTTTTCACTATGACCCTAGTATGTAGTGGGCAGGTTAATGAATATTAGTTGATTTTTTCGCTGTGACCCTAGTATGTAGTGGGCAGGTTAATGAATATTTGTTAAATGAATGAAAACATTATTTAATGAATCTCAGAGTGGCTCTTTTCTCCCATTTTACATAGATGAAGAAATTGAGGTTTAGAAAGGCTAAGTTGAGCTAATACATGGCAGAAGTAGAACTAGAATCTATGTCTTCTGACCAAGATTCTTTGAACTATACCACGTACTTTCTGGAGAGGAAGGACAGAACCACAGACATGGCAGAAGAAAGAGTAAGCCATGCTCAGGAGGGTGTGTGTGGCAAAGGGATGGGCCGAAGATGACTCTCAGGGTTGCTTTTTTTGTGTTAAGCAGCTTTATTGAGGTGTAATTGACATACAGTAAACTACACATATTTAATGTGTGGTTTTAAAAAGTTATGACATATGTATAATTGGGAAACTATCATCACAATTAAGATAATGGACATGCCCAGCATCCCCAAAAGTTTCCTCCTACCCCTTGGTAATCCCTTCCTCCTGTGGTCCCCCCAACCCCCATATCCTGGTTTGCAAGTATGCATTGATCTGCTATCACTATAGATTAGCCTTTTTTTTTTTCTTTTTCTTTTTCTGAGACAGGATCTTACTCTGTCACCTAGGCTGGAGTGCAGTGGCGTGATTACGGTTCACTGCAGCCTTGACCTCCCCGGGATCAAGTGATCCTCCCATCGCAGCCTCCCAGGTAGCTGGGCCACAGGCACACGCCACCAAACCCGGCTAATTTTTTTTGTATTTTGGGGAGATAGGGTTTCACCATGTTGCCCAGGCTGGTCTCGATCTCCTGGGCTCAAGTGATCTGCCCACCTTGGCCTCCCAAAGTGCTGGGATTACAGGTGCAAACTACTGTGCCTGGCCCTAGTTTGCATTTTGTAGAAATTTATATAAATGGAATTATACAGTGTGTAATTTTTTTTGTTCTGGCTTTTCCACTCAGCATAATTACTTTGAAGTTTGGCCATGTTGTTGTATATACTAGTGGTTCATTCCTTTTTATTGCTGAATACTATTCCATTATATGGCTATACTACCTGTTGATGGACATTTGGGTTGTTTTCAGATTTTGGATATTAAAAATAAAGGTGCTGTCAATATTTATAAGTTTTTGTAGGGACATATAATTTCTTTTGGGTACATACTTTAGGATGGAATGGCTGGATCATATAATAGGTGTGTGTTTAACATTTTAAGAAACTTCTCAACTGTTTTTGAAAGTTGTTATACCATTTTACATTCTCACCAGTCATGTATGAGTGTACCAGCATTTTGAGCCTGGAGAATAGGAAGATGAAGGTGACAAATTTTCTAGTAATGAAGCCACTTGACTTTGGAAATATTCTTAAGAGTGACTAAATAATAGGTCATGTTTGGACTACTTCAGCTTTAGAGGCAACAGTGCATAAACTATCTGGGTTTGAATCCTAGCTTCACCACTCTTTAGCTGTGTGGTCCTGCATAAAATACTTAACTTCGTGGTACATTGGTTTCTTTATCTGTAAAATGGGATTAATGATAATATTTACTGCAAAAAATTCTTGTAAGAATTAAATGAAAATTGGCTGGGTGCGGTGGCTCAAGCCTGTAATCCCAACACTTTGGGAGACTGAGACAGAAGGATTGCTTTAGATGGAAGGGTTGAGACCAGCCTAGACAACACAGTGAGATCCTGTCTCTACAAAAAAAATTAAAAATTAGCTGGGCGTGGTGGCGCATGCCTGTGGTTCCAGCTACTTGAGAGGCTGAGGCAGGAGGATTGCTTGAGCCTTGGAGTTTGAGCTTACAGGGAGCTATGATTGTGCCACTGCACTGTAGCCTGGGTGACAGAGCAAGACACTGTCTCAAAAAAAAAGATTGAGGAGGGGGTAGAATTAAATGAAAATGATATGGAAAGTGCTTAGCAGAGTGTCTGGCACCAAAATAAGGGCTTAATTGATGACAACAATCATCAATAGTATATGTTCTCTTAGAAGATATATTCTTAATGGGCTATAGTCAGTTTGCTGTAATTGTATCATAAGAATTCGTGCATCAGGAACCTCTAGGAATTTTGAGCAGAGAGGGATTTAATACAGGCAGTTAGGCCGGGTGCAGTGGCTCAAGCCTGTAATCCCAGCACTTTGGGAGGCCCAGGCAGGTGGATGACTTGAGGTCAGGAGTTTGAGACCAGCCTGACCAACATGGCGAAACCCTGTCTCTACTAAAAATACAAAATTAGCCGGGTGTGGTGACGCTTACCTGTAAACCAAGCTACTTTGGAGGCTGAGGCAGGAGAATTGCCTGAACCTGGAGGCAGAGGTTGCAGTGAGCTGAGATTGCGCCATTGCACTCCAGCCTGGGTGACAGAGCGAGACTCTGTTTCAAAAAAAAAAAAAAAAAAAAAGGCTAGGTGCGGTGGCTCACGCCTATAATCCCAGCACTTTGGGAGGCCAAGGTGGGCAGATCACAAGGTCAGGAGATTGAGACCATCCTGGCCAACACCGTGAAAACCTGTCTCTACTAGAAAAAAAAAAAAAAATCAGCCGTGCGTGGTGGTGGGCACCTATAGTCCCCGCTGCTCAGGAGGCTGAGGCAGGAGAATGGCGTGAACCCGGGAGGCGGAGGTTGCAGTGAGCCGAGATTGCGCCACTGCACTCCAGCCTGGGTGACAGAGTGAGACTCCATCTCAAAAAAAAACAAAAAACGAACAACTACAACAACAGCAAAAAAACCAGATGGTTAGGCACTTACTCACTTAGTGAAAAGGCTAGGAGGGTAGACCCAAGGTTAGGCCTTCAGGAATGACTGCCAGATAATTTGCCAGGGTAGGTGCTACCTCTGTCCTGATCAAGCAGTGGGGAATCAAGAGGCTGTCACTGGAGCTGTGGAGCTCAAGTGCATGTCCTTGCAGCTGTGATCCAGGGACCAAGAAGTTGCTGCTGCCCCCACTGCAAGTGTTGTGTGACACCTGGAAAAGCAACGACAGGACACTGGAATGTGGGCTTGGCTTCTACTTCTGTGAAGATTGGCTCTTGACCCCCATGAAGCTGGAGACTGGACATTACAATAGGAAACCTCAGTGTTTCCAATATCCTGCCTGCCCATCTGCTGATATTTGCAGCAATCAAAAGCAGCAAGAACAGCAGTCCTCTGCCTCATTTCCACTTTCCAAATTGTCCATGAGTGCACCTAATTGGTGGTACCTAATTCCCATCCAGAACTCTAGCTGCCATGGAGGGAAGCATTTTGTGCAATATGGCGCAAATTATGGGTGCGTTAGTCCCCGCCTTAACCACGGAGGAGACGTTCCAAGACCTCCAGTGGATGCCTGAAACCTCGGCTAGTACCGAACTCTGTATGTACTATGTTTTTCTTATGCTTGCATACCTTTGGTAAAGTTTAATTTATAAGTTAGGTACACTAAGAGATTAACAGTGTTAACTAATAATAAAATTGAACAGTTAAAACAATATACTGTCATAAAAGTAATGTGAATGGACTCACCACCTCTCCCAAATTATCTTATTTTCAGGTAACTGAGACTGCAAAAAGCAAAACCACAGATAAAGGGAGACTTCTGTGTATATGTGACAGAAGGATACTTTTATGCTTTTTTAGTCTATTATTATTTTTTTAGAAGACTTGGGCCTTTGTTAGCAACTGTAATGATATACTTCCAGTTTGTCCAAGAGATAAATATTGATGTATTCTGTATCATCACTGGCTTTCGAGATGATTTTAAGAAAACTTGTTGGCTGGGTGCAGTGGCTCACGTCTGTAATCCCAGCACTTTGGGAGGCTGAGGCAGGCAGATCACCTGAGGTCAGGAGTTCGTGACCGGTCTGGTCAACATGGTGAAACCCTGTCTCTACTAAAAATAAAAAAAATTAGCCAGGCGTGGTGGCGCATGCCTGTCATCCCAGCTACTTGGGAGGCTGAGGCAGGAGAATCGCTTGAACCCTGGAGGCGGAGGTTGCAGTGAGCTGAGATCGCGCCACTGCACTCCAGCCTGGGTGACAGAGTGAGACTCTGTCTCAAAACAAACAAACAAAACAAAACAAAAAGAAAAATTTCTTTCTTATCTGGCCTCACTTAGGGATGGAAGTTCTTTTAATGAGATTTATCTGCTAAGGGTAGACAAGAGAGTTTCCACCAAAGGGACTACATGATATGCGGGCTTATTGGAACTGTTGGAAAATGTTAGAAGCAGGGATTTTTGAAACTTAACATAAGGTATAACATAAGGCAATCTCTACTGAAAAACATTTTATGTTGATTGGACTGTAATTAGAAAGATTTAAAAATAACTTTGGATAGTATTCATTAATTTACCAATCCATTGTTATATTCAACACTTTTGAGCTGATGTCTTTTAAAAATCTAAGTTTATCTGTTGGGGGGTGGTGTATGAATTAGTGTATCTGTAATTGTATGAATACGGAGTATTCTTATCTTTGTATGTGATGGTGTGCTTCTATTTTAAATTTATTTTTAACTATAGATAGGCTTGCTAGGTTGGTCATTCCACAGCTTGGTCTTCTTTCCGTTTTTGAAGTAAAGGTAACTCACTAATGGTCCTCAGTAAACAGAGTGATGGGGCAAGCTGACTTATATTTCAATTGTTCTGAGAATTGAACAACTCTACTAATGTTTCCTTTCCAACTTCAAACATACCTGTTCAGTTTCTTCAACATCCTGATAGGAGCTGATCTCCTCAGAACTCTCCCCTCTCATCAGACAGAGGACTTGGGCATGCTCTAATCTCTTACTGTTAATTATTCTTTTTAGTTTTAAAGCCCTTTAAAGTAATCTTTCTGTAATTAGATTGTTGAGTAGATTGTCTTTAGTAATACGGTGGTCTTAAATTTTGTGTGGATTTTCAGATTGTTAAATGGTTGCAGAGGCTTTCATTCATGAAGTTCAAGTTTACTATATCATGGTATGTCAGGAAAAAAAAAATCATGACCCTCTGTGATAAATTAAATATCACAACCACGTAAATGTCATCTTTTCAATGAAACTGAAAGTGCATAGGAATGGGACTCTTTTTCAGTCTGTTTTGGCTTTAAGCTGTAAGAAAAATATTTTAACACTGACAGTAGTAAACCTATGAAGCTAAAGAACAAAGCCATACTCTCCCCAGCTTTATAAGTCACACGCGGAATTGTGAATTAAATTATTCTAATTGCAAAATTTGGGGTCTTGGCCGAAAGAACACAGGTCGAATTTGAAGAAGAGGCAGCTAGAAAAATCGGTGTAACTTTTACGTGAAGATAATTTGCACAGAATGTAATTGAAAGAGAATAAATATGGAGCTCCATGATGTCCTCTTTGAGTCTATTTCTCATATTTACTTACATTTTTTTTTCCCAATCAAAGGCTCTCCTTTAGGCAGTCCTGAAAAGAGGAGACACAGTGCTGAAATAGAAATAAAGGTTAAGTATCTCCGATCCAAAATGCTTGGGACCAGAAATGTTTCAGTTTGGATTTTTTCAGATTTTGGAATATTTGCAGAATATTGTGTTGGTTGAACATCCCTATTCCAAAATCCTCCAATGAGCATTTCCTTTGAATGTCATGTTGGCACTCAAAACGTTTCAGATTTTGGATTATTTTGGATTTCAGATTTTTGGATCAGGGATGCTCAACCTGTAACAGGCAGAAATAATAGAAAATAACAGAAATAACATAAAATAGCACTGTTCTTTGGAAGATCTTAGTACCTTATTTGGAAAGATTTTTACTATTCATTCATCCACCACCCATCCATCCATCCATCCATCTTTCCATCCAACAAGTATTTATTGAGTGCATGTATCTTACAAGGCATGGTGCTGGCCCTGGGAGTGAGGATGTAATGTTACCATTTACATAAAACAAACAGAGGCCTGGGGTGGAAGCAGACTCCACAGAAATATGAACAAACAAGCAAAATACAGATAAGCAAGGTGCTGTGAGAGAGAATAATGGAGAGGGTGGGGTAGGTTTGCATTGGGAAGGTTGCTGAGACCAGAAGAATGATAAGTGGTTCTGTGAAGAATGAGAATCCCGGGCAGAAAGGACAGCAAGCTCTCAAAGACTCCAAGGCAGGAAAGGAGCTTGATTTGATCTAGGAACTCCTGCAGCAGTGAGTGAAAATGAGAGTGACATTTTATAGCTTCCATCTGGAGACACCATGGAAAATAAAAGTTCTATTCTCCCAGTCTAGAATTGTCCATGTCAGCTGTGACCAAGTTCAGCTCTGTTCACCAAGCATTCCTCATCTGCTGTTTGCCAAGTGCTATGCTAAGTGCACTGGGGACATAAATGGTCCACACCCTTAGAGAACTTGGTGATGAGGCTGTAGAAGCTACTAGTAATACAGATGTTTTAATTTACAGGCAAGCCTGAGATGATACGGTACAGACTGTATAATAGCCACTGGCATGTGTATTTTGCTTTACAGCTTAAAAGCATTCACACATACATTTGCCCATTTAATTTTCATGGTAACCTAAGTCATTTCCTCAAAAAGTGTAAACATGGGCTTATGAGACATATGGAAGCCCACCCAATTTGAGGAGCAGGGTCTCTGTCATCACTGAGTTGAATTTCAGGGTGTAGTCTGCGCCTGTGCTCTCCCCTTGAAGAATCACATTGTAGAAAATGAAATCTAGAATGACTACAGAGGTTACTTAGTTCGTCTATACCTTTTCATATACATTTCAGTAATTATTTTGCTACATAGGAAGTGAATTTAATTTGGAGTTTTTCCTGCTGCCTTCCATGAGGGCTTTCATCCTAAGCCCCATTCTTGTGTGTGAGAAGAGGAAGTCTTGGGCTTGAGTGTGGCTCTAAAGTAAATGCCGTTGACTTTGTTGTTCTGTATGGACGCTTTTATCAGGACAATAAAGGGTACATAGGGTGACCTCTGCTCCTGTGGAGAGGTCGAATGGTTACATTACACAATCTTCTAGAGCATCTTGCAGCAAATACATGGGTTATATTAAAAATTGCAATCATATCATTTTTTATAGTAAATTGCTGACCTTCTGCAGCGGAATCAGCTTTATTGAATTTCGCCAAAAATGTGTTTATAATTCTGCCATACACACATGATATTCATGTCCTTGCTGTCCATGTGGAAATGTCCCTTTTTATAATGTTAAACAAATTAAATCGACTTTCTCCTGAGCTTCCGTGCCTCACCTTTAAGATCCATTCTCAGGAGTCGAACCTCCATGAAGCCGAGCTCATCTCCATTAGCGTGGATGTCATTACACAGCGCGCTGGAGGCTGGTGCATTAGGCAGCTTTATCCCAGCAGCACGGATTCGGCTTGGAGATTCTTTAGAGGTGACTCCAGGGCAGTAAATGTATTTCACGCATACTGCCTGAACACTAACAAGGCCTTACCATAATTACTCTGTTTGTTTTGGGGAAATGGTAGGTATTTGTTTAAAAGGATTTTGTGGTGAACCAAGAATATACATGTGTAGTTAGTTCTCGCTATTCACTTGTGAATGATGCATTGTAGAAGTTTTATCTTATACCAATTTTTCTTTAATTTTCTGCAGCTCTACTTCCCTTCCAACCAGTTTGGTATCAGGGATGCAAACTAATTTTAATGTTAGCCTAACAAAAATACAATCAGAAAGTTATGGCCAGGCACGGTGGCTCATGCCTGTTTACAGTCCCAGCACTTAGGGAGGCTGAGGCAGGTGTGGAGTTCGAGACCAGCTTGGCCAACATGGTGAAACCCCGCCTCTACTAAAAATACAAAAATTAGCCGGGTGTGGTGGCAGGCACCTGTAGTCCCAGCTACTCAGGAGGCTGAGGCAGGAGAATCTCTTGAACCCGGGAGGTGGAGGTTGCAGTGAGCTGAGATCGTGCTGCTGCACTCCAGCCTGGGCGACAGAACAAGACTCTGTCTCAAAAAAAAAATAAGTTATACTGCATACTGCATACTTAGATGAAACATAAACATTTAAAAACTATCTCCGGGCTGGGTGTGGTGGCTCATGCCAGTAATACCAGCACTTTGGGAGGCCGAGACGGGCAAATCACGAGGTCAGGAGTTCAAGACCAGCCTGGCCAATGTGGTGAAACTCCATCTCTACTAAAAATACAAAAATTAGCTGGGCATGGTGGCGGACGCCTGTAATCCCAGTTACTCAGGAGGCTGAGGCAGGAGAATCGTTTGAACCTGGGAGGCGGAGTTTACAGTGATCTGAGATCACGCCATTGTACTCCAGCCTGGGCAACAGGGCAAGACTCCGTCTCAAAAAAAAAATCTGCTTTTTAGATTCATTTACTCTAAGTTTGTTCATGCCTGTTATCTATATATTTATATCTATGTTTGTATCAATTGTTGGTTCCCAGTTTAGCACATAGAGGCAGTATGATTCACTGGAAAAATCATCTATCCATTTACTAATTATTAAATATCCATTTCCTTCATGTGCCAACATTTGTGCTAAACATAAAAATACAAAAATAAGATTTAATATTTGTAGTTTAGTGGGGTTCCATGATATATAAACAGATGTGGTGTGGGTGATAAAATATTATAGGTGCTATAATAGGTATCTGAGTGGAGGCCTGGGGGGAGAGCGATCAGTTTTGTGGTAGGGGAGGAGAACTAGTGGCGAAGAGGTTAAAAAGGTGCCTCCATTCATGGAGGAGGTCCCCTTTATCCGAGCCCTGCAAGAGGATTAGTTGTTTTTAAGGTCTGAAGCGGATTGGTGACTTTTGTCCATGCAGAGGATGTGATGGGGCATAGCCACTAAGGCGAGAGATCGAGGAGACAGCTTGGAAAGGTGGGCAAAGGTGGGATCAGGGAAGACCTGGCATGTGTTACCTCAAGAGTGTGGATTTTGTTATGTGGACAGTGGGGAAACCACGGAAAAGTTGTATGTGGAATAATAAGTTTCATGCTAGCGTTTTAGAAAGCTCTCTCAAAGGTAGGGCGGGCATTTAGGAGAGGGGAATGATGGATGAACCAGGGCAGTTATTACGGGGATGGAGAGGATGGATTAGAGAGTGAGGAAGCAGAATCTCCTGGGAATTGGTGGCTGAATGGATGCAAGAGTGAAGAAGAGGGAAGAGTCTGGGCTCACTGTCCAAATTTTTGGCTTAGGGAGCTGGTGTGGAGGATAGCAGATGAAAGAGTAGACCAGGAGTGAGAGACGCTGTGAAGAGAGAAGGCCCAGAGGGAGGTGCGGGGGACCCTGTCACGTGGTTAGTGGTTGGCCAGAGGCGGATGCCCCACAGTCAGGCAGTGGCGCTGGCTTCTGCCTTTCAAAGTCGCTTCTACAGGGTGACCGTTAAGCTTGTTCTTTGACACCGACATTGTTAAGTGGTTTCACTGAAATTTGAGACTCTCTGAAGAAAGGGAAGATGGCATTTATGAAGCAAGTGTTATTTTATCTGGAAATGATTTCTCAGGGGTAAGCCTGTCACTCTGCCTCTGGTAAAGTCTGCTTCTCCCTCCAAGAAGAGAAGGTCCCACTGATTTGGGTCATGGTCAGAGTGGGCCGCTACTCCCACCTTCCACTGAAAACTCAGCTTCCAGAAAGCTCCTCTTCACTCCTTTGTCATCTGTTTCCTCATCTGCTCTTCCCTGAGTTTGTCCTTCTCTGTTATATCTGCATGTGTTTCCACTGATCTGCTTGTGACAGTCAACCTGTTTGCTGATCTGGCCTCGGCAATTTTCAGGGCTTCCCTGCACACCTGTGACATGACGGTTAGTTCCCTGACCTTGCATGCACCTCGGTTTTCTGGTAGCAGATGGTCTTTGTGGTACCTTTACTCTTACAAATCAGTGGAGTCAGAAGTTTACAAAATGTGGGCCGGGCGCGGTGGCTCACGCCTGTAATCCCAGCCCTTTGGGAGGCCGAGGTGGGCGGATCATGAGGTCAGGAGATCGAGACCATCCTGGCTAACATGGTGAAACCCCGTCTCTACTAAAAATACAAAAAAAAAAAAAAAAAAAAATTAGCCGGGCATGGTGGTGGGCACCTGCAGTCCCAGCTACTTGGGAGGCTGAGGCAGGAGGATGGCGTGAACCTGGGAGGCGGAGCTTGTAGTGAGCCGAGATCGCACCACTGCACTCCAGCCTGGGTGACAGAGCGAGACTCCGTCTCAAAAAAAAAAAAAAAAGAGAAGTTTACAAAATGTGTGGAGCTGAGGCAGAAAGCCTAAAGGGCAGACTCCAAAAGGGCAGACTCCAAAATGATCAGGACATTAACTGACTTGCTGGGAGATCCCAGAGCACACGCAGAGTCATTGAACTCCATGATACTCATTCCAGGTCACCTTGAAGAGGCAGGGAGAAGGGCATTTTCGCTTCTTGAAGCTTCTGCTCCTCTGCCGGTTCAGCCTGATCTTAGAGCTCTCTTGGCATTGCAGCTGCAGTCAGGTTTTCCTTTTAAATGACTGCAGCCTTCAGATGCCCACACAGTGCAGTCCAGATCTCATGCCTGGGGCTGAAGGTGGACCTGGTTTGGCGGTAAATTATGATCCACAGCTTTGAAAGCATATAGGCTGTATGCTTTTTTTTCTTTTTTTTTTAAAGACAGAGCCTCACACTGTCACCCAGGCTGGAATACAGTGGCGCGATCTTGGCTCACTGCAACCTCCATCTCCTGGGGCTCAAGTGATCTTCCCATCTCAGCCTCCTGAGTAGCTGGGATTACTGATGCGTACCACCATACACCCAGCTAATTTTTGTAGTTTTAGTAGAGATGGGGTTTTGCCATGTTTCCCAGGCTGGCTGTACACCTTTTAAAAATAAAGCCTATCTGAAAGCAAGTTGCTTCTCTAGAGGCATCTTCCTCAGTCTGCTTTTGTCCAGCCTTCCCGTGGAAAGCAGCCTTCTTCTTGATCTGGGGCTGCAGTAAATCACATGCTGGCCATCGCGGGAACACATCCCATCCCTTCCCAAAACCACCTGCAGGACTGACCCTACCCCCCAATAACACACCAACCTGCTGTGTTTTTTACTGACCATTCCTGTCCGGGATAGTCACTGTAGCAGTCTACTTTGGTGGGCTTTTACCTCTCCTATCTGCTTTTTTTTTAATTTACAAATTTTAAATTAAAAAAATTTAAATGAAAGGTTTGGACATTGAGTATTGTTACCCACTCACTTCTGGTGACTCTTCAGACACTCACTCGAAGAGCCTTCCTTCTTCCCTACATACAGAGTCGGGGGGAGAGATGGGGAAAATGACGGAGGAAAACATGCTAAAAATGATTTTCAATGTAAAATAAGGGAGGGAAAAACGAATGTTTGAGGAAACCCAAAAAAAGCACCTCTCATTACAGTAATTAAACCGCAGCGTTTAACCTATCAGAATGTGCTGCATATGTGAGAGACAAGCCAGGGAGCTCTGTGTTTGAAATTAGAGCTCTAATCCTCAGGGAAGAGAATAGTTAAATAATTTGTTTTTGAGGTGTGAGAGCAGAGCCGGCAAGGTGTGAGTGTGTGTGTGTGTGTGTGTGTGTGCATGCACCCGTGAGGGTGAGGGGCCGCAGTGCCTGTGTTTACCAAGAATATCCTGGAGGTAGATATTTATCAGCACCTGTGTGCTGTCAAGAAGCACACAAGCTGCTGTTGCCCGTTCATTAGGTTTTCAGAAGAGTCCGGGCCTCACCTGTGGCCGGGCGTTGCATCATAACAGCAGAACTTGCTTCATTCTGGCCCTCTGGGACACACAGGAATAGATTTGAGAGACAGGATGAGACATACAGAGAAAGACACAAGCATTAGGGGAGGAAGAAAGCCGAATGATCCTGGAGCATGTCCTTGGCGCAGGCACTGCTGGACAAAGCAGTCCATCTCGGTGGGCTGGCACTGCGGAGCCAGCGTGGACATTCCACCGAGCACGAGGCGAAAGGGGCAGCCCAGAGGCCTGCCACTGAAACCGCCTTCTGCAGGCACCGTCTGCCAGTGCTCAGCGCTGTTAGCAGGGCTCCTCCTCTGCTGGGATGAGGGGTTGGGATGACAGGGGTTCACAGTGTCCTGCCTGCCCCTTCAGCAGCATAACCTTTGTCTTTCTGGACTCCTGGCTGGAGCTGGTGATACTGTGAACATGCTGCCTCTCTGGAAGCTGCTCCATGTCTCCCTATATCCCCAGAGCATGGCAGCTGTGATCAGAATTCCACAGGGTGGGGCTGATGAGGATCCATGCACATCCGTCCCTGTACCCCTCATTAGGGACTTGGGTTGGGGGGTGCCTATCTGCACGTGTTCTTTTTCCTCTCACGCACTTTGTCGGTCTCTGTGCAGGGTTTCTATTATACTAATAAGGAGCACTGGGGACGCTGGCGACAGTGTGATAATCGTCCCCTTGGAGGGCCAGAGGCAGTCGGTGTGCGCTGACCTCATCCTGGGGGAGTGCTGATGAAACTCTGGCTTGGCCTTACTGCCTGAGCACTGCGCCTGATGTGGAGGGTTAGGGGGCAGGGTTGCCGGGCTGTTTCTTCTACGGCTTCATTGTTACCAGCCATGCTTGTCTTTGGGGCATTTCATCAAAACTTCTTTAGTTTTGCTTAAGAACTTTAAAGAGCTGATGAGCCTAATGGAAACTTTTCAGTAATAACTCAGTACAGGAACACACTTCACAAATACCAGCTAATTAATCCTCAGAGCACCCTGGGGACAGGGGAGAGTATGGTAATGGCACTGGTGATTTTTATCCCCATTTTATAGACTGAGAGACTGAGGCACCTGGAAGAATCTGTGACTTGGGCCAGAGGGAGGGCACAAATCTGGAAGCTGAGGTTAGAGTGCTTTGCCTTTTGGCCTCTCTTGGGACTGTTGAGTCTTACCTTAAAGTCATTTGAGTAAGTCATTAAGTAAAGCCAGTCACCTTAGATTTTGCCTCTTCTCTCATCTTTCTTTTTTTTTTCCCTGCTTGATACTAGGTCTTGGATGTAACTGGTATCCATCAATACAGATCTCTAGCATCAATTTTAGTAACTGCCTTGTGTTCTGCTGAAAATATATGCCATAATTTATTGTAACCCAGTCCCCTTGATTATCTTCATTTTACACAATTATAGCAACTCTTCTTTAAGTATCCTTGGGAAATAGGTATTACTTTTGTGATTACCTTTGTGGGGTAAAAACCTCAGAGTTAGGCTGGGTGCAATGGCTCACGCCTGTAATCCCAGCACTTTGGGAGGCCGAGGTGGGCGGATCACTTGAGGTCAGGAGTTTGAGACCAGCCTGGCCAACATGGTGAAACCTCGTCTCTACTAAAAATACAAAAAATAGCCAGCTGTGGTGGCGGGCGCCTGTAATCCCAGCTGCTCGGGAGGCTGAGGCAGAAGAATTGCTTGAACCCTGGAGGTGGAGTTTGCAGTGACCTGAGATCGTGCCACTGCACTTCAGGCTGGGCAACAGAGTGAGACTCTGTCTCAAAAACAAAAAGCAAAAAACCTCAGAGCTGCTAATCCTAGGTTAAAGAAAATGGACTTGTTTTCATTTTAATGTACATTGCTAACCTGTGCTTTAAAAAGGTGATTTCAGCTTACAGCCTCAACACCAGTTGGCCAGTGCCCCGAGCACAAGTCTCAAACTTCCACATTGTCAAGTTCACAGTTTCTTCCTTTGTCTAAGCATGGAAAACCCTTCCCCCACTGCAAGGGCATAGAACTATTTGCCTACCTTTTTTTTTTTTTTTAATGATTTTAGTTTTCTTTTATGGAATTTGTGTTGTTGCTAGTTGCGTAACAGGGAATATAACTTTATTTTTTCCTGTTGACCAACTGGATAGTCTCAGCACCATTTATAGAACGATTTATTTCTTTCCCCACTGATTTGACATGTCATCTTTTTCATCTGCTAAATTCTTAAATATACTGATGTGTGATCAGGGACATTCTATTCTCATTCATTGCTGTACTTGTCTGTTGTTGTGCTAATGCTGCAATGTTTTTATTATTATAGATTTGTTACACACTGTATTTGTTAGTATTCGTTGTACTCTTTTGTACAAAAATATAAAAATTTTGTATTTTTAATAGAGATGGGGTTTCTTCATGTTGGTCAGGCTGGTCTTGAACTCCTGACCTCAGGTGATCCGCCCACCTCGGCTTCCCAAAGTGCTGCGATTACACGTGTGAGCCACCGTGCCCGGCCTGCTTGTATATTTCTTAAGACATTTTAGAATCACTTTTATCATCTTCTTCTTGATCCCACCCCACCCCTACCCACTGCGAATCAAGAAAGAAGATCCCTTTGAAATTTTGATGATAATTACATTCAACATAGAAATTACTTTGGAAGCTGGACGCTGTGGCTCATGCCTGTAATCCCAGCACTTTGGGAGGCCGAGACAGGTAGATCATTTGAGGTTAGGAGTTCAAGACCAGCCTGACTAACATAGTGAAACCCCATCTCTCTACTAAAAATACAAAAATTAGCTGGGCATGGTGGTACACACCTGTAATCCCAGCTACTCAGGAGCCTGAGGCAGGAGAATCACTTGAGCCTGGGAGGCAGAGATTGTGGTGAGCTGAGATTGCACCACTGCACTCCAGTCTGGGCGACAGAATGAGACCCTGTCTCAAAAAAAAAAAAAAAAAAAAGAAAGAAAGAAATTACTTTGGAAAGAATTGGTGTCTTTGCAGTATGCACTCTTTCCATCCACGGATGTGGGGTATCTTTCAAGTAAAATATGTAATGCCCCTCACTGATGGTTTTGTACAGTTCTTGCATAGTTCCTGCACATTTCCTTTAATTCTGAGTACCTGTATTTTTAATTTATTCTTCTTGCTTTAGGATATTTATTTCCATTATATTTTCTAATTGATCTTTGCCAATAGTTAGGAAAGCTGTTGATTTCTGTGTTTTTAGAATTATTTTATTATTTTTAATAGTCCTAATTGTTTTTGTTGGTTCTCTTAGGTTTTCTCAGTAGCATATCACATGAAAATAACATTTTCCTTTTCCAATGTCGTATGACTTTATTATTATTATTTTGACTGGCCCTTCTAGAACAGCTTTAATTAAATATGAGTGCACAAGGAGGTACATTGGGAGGTACAATCACCCCCTTTTCTTTAAAGCATTAATTTAGAGATGAAGAGCATAGGAATATAAGAGACATAGCCATGATGATTCCTAGACTTTTCAAAGTCCTTGCTTTGCAGGACTTTTTCATCTATTTTATTTTTAGTTTTTCACCTATTTGGTCCAGTATTTATTCTTTGGCCAAAAATGGCTTGACATGCTGAAAACCACCTTATTTTAGAGAAGAAAATACACATTATTTCTATTTTGTCAAGCGGAAAAGCTGAAAGGCATTGGAAATAACTCCCAGTCCCTTGGCAAACAGATCAGTGAGTAGACCCCTGTGTGAGACAAAGCCACTGCCTGGAGAGGATGGTGCGGGGGCTGGCGGTCCATTGCCACGGCTGCTGCAGCTCTCAACACCACGGCAGCCTCCCCCCACCACCACCCAACGGTGTACAGCCTGAGTGGAAAGGGCAAGTTTTTGGCCGAAAGAGTAAATGAAACATGGACGCTGTAGGACATCATCAGAAGTGATTATTTATTCTACAGAACTAGAGACTTCTCTTCTCTCAGAGGACAACTGACAGCAGCTTCTGTGTCATCAGGCTGCTGCCCTCACCCTGAGACAGATTGTGGTAAAGGATGGAACAGGGGGTCATTTGATGATCTTAGGCCTGGGGAGCTGCGAGGCTGAGTTCTTGCGTTTTCAGTCTCGCCTCCCCTGGTCCACTCTGCGTTGCTGCCAGATGATAAGATTCCAGTTCTGCTTTCGGCGTGTGTCTTCCCTGCACTCCTTTGGGTAGTTCCCATTGCTCCTAGGATCAAGTCCTGTTGTCTGCTTGTATTCTTTCTAATCTGATTTTTTTCTTCCATCTATTTTTTTTTTTTTTTGAGACGGAGTTTCACTTTTGTTGCTCAGGCTGGAATGCAATGGCACGATCTTGGCTCACTGCAATCTCTGCCTCCCGGGTTCAAGCAATTCTCCTGCCTCAGCCTCCCGAGTAGCTGGGATTACAGGCGCCCGCCACCATGCCCAGCTAATTTTGTATTTTTAGTAGAGACGGTGTTTCTCCATGTTGGTCAGACTGGTCTTGAACTCCCAACATCAGGTGATCTGCCAGCCTGGGCTTCCCAAAGTGCTGGGATTACAGGTGTGAGCCACCATGCCCGGCCTTCCATCTTTTATATTTAACAGCTTCAAATTTCCAGAAAAGTGGAATAGCGTATGAACACCCAATTACCTTTTCTTTCTTTCTTTTTTGGAGATGGGGTCTCACTCTGTCACCCAGGCTGGAGTGCAGTGGTGCCATCTGGGACCACAGGTGTGCACCACCAGACCCAGCTAATTTTTTGTTTCTTTGTTTTTTGGTAGAGATGGGGTTTCGCCATGTTGCCCAGGCTGGTCTCAAACTTCTGACCTCAGGTGATCTGCCTGCCTCAACCTCCCAAAGTGTTGGGATCACAGACATGAGCCACCATGCCCAGCCTCCCAGATACCTTTTATTCAGTTTCTTAGTTGTTAACATTTTGCCACCTTTTTTTTTTTTTTTTTGAGACGGAGTCTTGCTCTGTCGCCCAGGTTGGAGTGCAGTGGTGCAATCTTGGCTCACTGCAACCTCTGCCTCCCAGGTTCAAGCAATTCTCCTGCCTTAGCCTCCCAAGTAGCTGGGATTATAGGCGCACACCACCACGCCCAGCTAATTTTTGTATTTTTAGTAGAGGCGGGGTTTCACCATATTGGCCAGGCTGGTCTCGAACTCCTGACCTTGTGATTCGCCTGCCCTCGGCCTCCCAAAGTGCCGAGATTACAGGGGTAAGCCACTGTGCCTGGCCCATTTTGCCACTTTTACTTTGTCTCACTCTCTACACACACACATATACACACACACAAACCCTAATCTGACCATGTGAAAATAAATTGTAGATATCATGACACTTCACCTGTAATTACTTCAGCATATACCTCCTCAGATACGGCCATTCTTCCACACATAACCACACCATGTTACCACATAGAAGAAAATTAACACTAATTCCATAAGATCATCTGCTATATATCCCATATTTACATTTTCCCAGTTGCCCCCACATTTCTTTTGTATCTCAGATTCAGGGGACAGTCGGGGCTTGTGCTGTGCATTTCACTGCCATGTCTCTTTATCTAGAACTGCCCTCTTGTCTCTTCTCATTTTACTTGTCATTAACATTTTTTGAGGAGTTCCAATCAATTGTTTTATATAATATCACACATTCTGCATTTGTCTCATTGTTTCCTCTTGATAAGATTAAGATTAAACATTTTTGGCAAGAACAGTTAGTAAGTAATGTTGTGTGCTTATTATTGCATTACAATAAAAGGTGAGAAAGATCAGATTCTTCCAGTATTGGTGATGCTAATTTGATTGGTTAATGAGGTGACTACCAGAACTCTCCATATTAAAGGTACATTTTCCCTTTTGTAATTAACAAGTAATCTGAGAAGTGCTTCTTTGAGATCATGTTATCTGGTTACTCAACAGCCTTTCATTCAGTGGTTTTAGTATCCATTGGAGATTCTTGTTTCAACTGACTGTTTCTCTGGAACTTTAACAGTTGTGATTATGTAACTGTATTATTACTCATTTATTACCTATTATTTTTCTGTAAAGAGCTCTCTCCTCTTTCCTCTTCTGTTTCTTTCTCTTCTCACTTTCATTTGAGTGTTATTATGTACTCTTTAGTTCAGAGTGCTATAATCTATTATTGTCATTTTTCTTCCTTTTTACCCGAGACAAGGTCTCACTCTGGCTATCTTCCTGCCTCAGCCTCCCGAATAGCTAGGATTATAGGTGTATGCCACTGCGCCTGGCTAATTTAAGAATAATTTTTTATTTTATTTTATTTTTTAGAGACAAGGTCTTACTGTGTTGCCCAGGCTGGTCTTGAACTCCTGGTCTTTAGCAATCCCTTCATCTCCCCTGCGCACTGCCCCCTGCTGCCCCAGTAGCTGGGATTACAGGCATGAGTCATGAGGCCCAGCTCTTTTTCTTTTTCTCTCTTTTCTTGTCTTCTTTTCTCCACCCACCCCCAACACATGTGTATGTATCAAAATCAAGAAGATAACTATACAATTCTATGATCAGATGTACAGACCATATTCAAATTTAGTCAGTTGTCCTAATAATGCCCTTTATAGAAAAAGAAAAAGATTTTTTTCTAGCCCACCATCTAATCCATGATCGTGAGTTGCATGATTGTCCTATCTCTTTACCCCCCTTAATTTGGAACAATGTCCTGCAGTCTTCCTTTGTCTTTTATTACCTTGACATTTTTGTAGGATAGAGGCCAGTTTTGTACACTGTACTTAATTTGGATTTATCTGATGTTTCCTCATGACTAGATTTCATTTGTGCATTTTTGGTAAGAATACACAGGAGTGGTATTGTGTCTTTCCGGCATCATAAAAGGACATTGATTTTGATTTGTTCTGTGATTTCACTTTGATCTGTTGGTTGAAGTGGTATCTGCCAAGTTTCTCCACTGCAGAGTTATATTTTTTCCCTTTATAATTAATAAGTACCTTCTGAGGAGATACTTCGATCCTTCGACACTATATGAGTAGCCTGTTTTTATCAGCTTCATGAACATTGCTAATGATTCCTCACTGAATCAATTATTATGAAGATTGCTGAATCTTCATATCAGTTATTATGAGGATTGCTGAATGGTGATTTTCTTTTTTTCTTTCTTTCTTTTCTTTTTTTTTAGAGACAGAGTCTCTCTCTGTCGCCCAGGGTGGAGTGCAATGGCATGATCTCGGCTCACTGCAACCTCCATCTCCCGGGTTCAAGCAATTCTCCTGCCTCAGCCTCCTGAGTAGCTGGGATTACAGGTGCACACCACCATGCCTGGCTAATTTTTTTTTTTTTTTTTTTGGTAGAGGCGGGGTTTCACCATGTTGGTCAGGCTGGTCTCGAACTCCTGACCTTGCGATCCACTGACCTTGGCCTCCCAAAGTGTTGGGATTACAGGCGTGAGCCACGGCGCCTGGCCGCTGAATGGTGATTTTCTAATCCTCTTACTATTGAAATGTATTCTTGCTGGTATAGAACTCTAGATTGGCAGTTATTTCCACACTTTAAAAATGTTATTTCAGGCCGGGCGCGGTTGCTCACGCCTGTAATCCCAGCACTTTGGGAGGCCGAGGCAGGCGGATCATCTGAAGATGGGAGTTTGAGACCAGCCTGACCAACATGAAGAAACCCCATCTCTACTAAAAATACAAAATTTTTGCATTTTTGTATTTGTATGCCAGGCATGTGCTGGGCATAGTGGCACATGCCTGTCAGCTACTCCGGAGGCGGAGGCCGGAGAATCCCTTGAACCCGGGAGGCGGAGGTTGCTGTGAGCCGAGATCGTGCCATTGCACTCCAGCCTGGGCAACAAGAGCGAAACTCCGTCTCAAAAAATAAAAAAGTTGGGCCGGGCGCAGTGGCTCACACCTGTAATCCCAGCACCTTGGGAGGCCGAGGCGGGTGTATCACGAGGTCAGGAGATTGAGACCACGGTGAAACCCCGTCTCTACTAAAAATGCAAAAAATTAGCCGGGCATGGTGGCGGGTGCCTGTAGTTCCAGCTACTCGGGAGGCTGAGGCAGGAGAATGGCGTGAACCCAGGAGGCGGGGCTTGCAGTGAGCCAACATCACGCCACTGCACTACAGCCTGGCGACAGAGCAAGACTCGGTCTCAAAAAAGAAAAAAAAAAAGTTATTTCATTATTTTCTGGCTTCTATTGTCATCTTTCAGTCTTGTTATTGCTCCTTTGAAGAAGGTGAAACATGTTTTTATCTTCTGGCAGCTTTTAGATTTTTTTCTCAATCTTTGGTGTTTTTTTCAAAAGTAGTTTTCCTATGTGATGTTCCTGAGGTGGTTTTCTTTGTAGTTATCCTATGTAACATAGAATCTTTGAATATTCGGCCTGATTGCCTTGTTAGTTTTACAAAATTATTAATTATTCTCTCTTAATATTGTTCTGTCTTGTTCTCATTCTCTTCTTTCCTGGACTCCAGTTGTAATTGTGTTAGACCTTCTTTCCATGTTCTTTATGTCTTTTGCTCTGTTCTACATTGTCCATCCGCTTTTCTTTTTCTTTACTGATCTTTCAGTTTACTAACCCTTTCTTCTGCTATATCCAGTTTGCTGTTAAACCTGTCTGTTGAGCTCTTAATTTCAATTATTGCATTTTACAATTACCTTGTTTGCATTTGATTTTTTTTTTTTTTTGAGACAAAGATTTCACTGTCTCACTCTCTTGCCCAGACTGGAGTGTGGTGGCACAATCAAGGCTCAAGCCATCCTCCTACCTTAGTCTCCCAAGTAACTGGGACTACAGGTGTGAGCAACCACACCTGGCCTGATTTTTCTTTTTCTTTCTTTTTTTTTTTTTTTTTTGTAGAGACAGGGCCTTGCCATGTTGCCAAGGCTGGTCTCAAATTCCTGAGCTCAAGTGATGCCACCTGCCTTGGCCTCTCAAAGTCCTGAGATTATAGGCATGGGCCACTATGCCTAACCTGATGCCTTTTAAGTTTAGTTTTCTAGTAAACTTCTCTGTTTTGTCACCTGTTTCATTGAATATATTAATTAGTTCTTTTAAAGTCTTTGATAAATTTTAACACTGGGCTATCTATGAGTTTGGGTTTTTTAAATTCATTTTCCCCCACTTGGTCCTATTTTTTGTATATCTTTTTTTTTTTTTTTTTGAGACGGAGTCTTACTCTGTCACCCAGGCTGGAGTGCAGTGGCACGATCTCAGCTCACTGCAACCTCTGCCTCCCAGGTTCAAGTGATTCTTCTGCCTCAGCCTCCCAAGTAGTTGGGACTACAGGTGTGCACCACCACACCCGACTAATTTTTATATTTTTAGTAGAGACGAGGTTTCACCACATTGGCCAGGCTGGTCTCGAACTCCTGACCTCGTGATCTGCCCGCCTCGGCCTCCCAAAGTGCTGGGATTACAGGCATGAGCCACTGCGCCCAGCCTTTTTTTGTATATCTTAAAATATTTTATTGCATGACAGTGAATAATTGAGAAGCTCTGAAAGATACTATTTTCCTCTGAAGTTTACTTTATGCTTGTGTAAAGTGGGACTTATGACCTTGATCAATCAGGATTTGGCCTGAGTCAGGTTGCAGGGTTTTAGAAAATAAGTCTGTCTTCCCCTGGTCAATCCATGTTCCTAGGGTATAGCCCTCTATGGGTCCCAACAAAGAACCTAAAGTTCTTCATGGCTCCTTTTCCTTGGTGGGGTGAACCCTAATTTTTGTTTACTGCTGTTGAACTTTTACAAGCTATTTCATCTCAGTTAGACGCAGAAAGCCTCTCAATGCTGTTTTGATTTGAATTTCTCTTTTGAACTTAAGAGCCATTTTTATTTCCATATCTACAAATTGACTATTCATGTATTTTACCCTTTCTTAGGATTAGGAGATTAATGTTTTAAAATGGATTTATAATTTTATATTCTCAACTTTGGATCTTAAGCTCTAGCCTTACTCAATTTAAAAATTGTAACTGAGTGCAATGGCTTGAGCCTGTAATCCCAGCTACTTGGGAGGCTGAGGCAGGAGGATTGCTTGAGGCTAGGAGTTTGAGACCAGCCTGGGCGACCTCATTGCTACAAAAAAACACAAAAATTAGATGGGTGTGGTAGCACATGCCTGTAGTCCCAGCTACTTGGGAGGCTGAGGTGGGAAGATCTCTTAAGCCCAGGAGTTCTGCTTTGTGAACTCCATTTGTTTATTTATTTACATGTCTGTCTATTTACTTACATCTCTCTAGTCCATCTGAAGATGGACAAAAGCTCTGCCTCAGCATCTTATAGGGTATTTGCTCACCTTTCTGCAGTTCCCTTCTCACTGAGATCTTGGACTCTCAAGTCTTGGTTGCCTTGGCAGCTCCCCAGTACTTTCAATCAGTTTGTTTTTCAGTTGTTCTCAGCAGTATTGTTGAACTTTTACAAGCTATTTCATCTTGGTTAGATGCAGAAAGCCTCTCAGTGCTGTTTTGAGTTGAATTTCTCTTTTGAACTTAAGAGCCATTTTTATTTCCGTATCTACAAATTGACTATTCAGGTATTTTACCCTTTCTTGGGATTAGGAGATTAATGTTTTAAAATTGATTTATAATTTTATATACTAAGGAAAATAGCCCCATGTCTGGGATTTGTGTTACAAATATATGCTATTAGTTTGAAATTTGTCTTGACTTTGTTTATGATGCTTTTGTCCAGGCAGAATTTTTTTATTTATCTATCATTTCTTTTATGACTTCCTTTTTTTTTTTTGACGTGGAATTTCACTCTTGTTGCCCAGGTTGGAGTGCAATGGCATGATCTTGACTCTCTGCAACCTCCGCCTCTTGAGTTCAAGGGATTCTCCTACCTCAGCCTCCCGAGTAGCTAGGATTACAGGCATGTGCCATCATGCCTGGCTAATTTTTTTGTTTGTTTGTTTGTTTTGTTTTGTTTTGTTTTTTAGTAGAGACGGGGTTTCTTCATGTTGGTCAGGCTGATCTCAAACTCCCGACCTCAGGTGATCCGCCCGCCTCGGCCTCCCAAAGTGCTGGGATTACAGACGTGAGCCACCGCTCCTGGCCACCAGTATTATTTTTTAAACCTCAAGTTGTTTTTTTTTAAGTAATCAGGAATTTATTTCAGTGTATAGAGTATAAGGATTCAAGTTCAGTTTTTTCCAGCTAATAAAATAATCCAGCATCCATTATTGCAAGGGTTGACACACTTTTTCTGTAAAGAGCCAGATAGTAAATACTTTAAGGTTTTGCAATTTGTATGGTCTCTGAACACTACTCATCGCCACTGTGGTAGCACAAAAGCAGCCGTTGACAGTGTATAAACTAATGAGAAATAAAACTTTATTTATGGACACTGAAATTTGAATTTCATCTAATTTTCATGTATCATTAAATTCTTTTTTTGCCTCCTAACTTTAAAAAAATGTAAAAACCATTCTTAGCTTGCAGGCCATCCAAAAATAGACAATGGGCTAAATTTGTCTCCCTGGCTGTAGTTTCCCATCTCTGCAGTTTTTCTCCATTGATTTGCAATGAAGCTTTATCCTATGTTAACTTCCTGTATATATCTGGACGTACTCTGTTCACTTGAAATGTTTCTTTGTGTCCAATGTCACACTATCTTACATGTTTTATTATCTGTTAAAATTAATTTTGCCTCAGCATTTTTTCAATTATTTGGAATTTTCTTGGCTATTCTTATTTCTATATAATTTTCAAAATTAGCTTGCCCAGTAAAAAATGAAAAATAAAGATTTTTTTTTAGACAGTCTTGCTGTGTCACCCAGATTGGAGGGCAGTGGCATGATCTCGGCTCACTGCACCCTCCACCTCAGGAGACTGAAGTGGTTCTCCTGCCTCTGCCTCCCAAGTGGCTGGGATTACACGCATGCACCACCACGCCGGGCTAATTTTTGTATTTTTAGTAGAGACGGGGTTTCGCCATGTTGACCAGGCTGGTCTTGAACTCCTGACCTCAAGTGATCCGCCTGCCTCATCCTCTCAAAGTGCTGACATTACAGGTGTGAGCCACTGTACCTGGCCTAATTTTCTTATTTTTTGTAGAGACGGGGTCTCACTATGTTGCCCAGGCTGGTCGCAAACTCCTGGGCTCAAGTGATCCTCCTGCCTCAGCATCACGAAGTATGGGATTACAGGCATGAGCCACTGCACCCAGCCATGTATCTTTTTCGTTACTACTTTGAATGGGATGTATTCTTTCATTATGTCTTTCAGCCAGTTCTTTAATTTGAAGGCAGTTTTTACATACTGATTTTGAATGTTGACACCTAGCTAGATACTTATATTGTTTATGGTACGTTAATTCATGTCAGTTTTTCCAGGTGCTATATGTAAATAACACTCTCCCCTCTTCTTTTCCGTTGCTTATATCTATTACTACTTTTCTTGTCCAGTTGCATCAGCAAATACCTCCAGAACAGTGATAAATAAAACTGATGATTGTGAACGTATGATGTGTTTCTGATTTTAAATAATATGCTTTTATATCTTTTTAATAAAAGATGATGTCAGCTTTGGAGAGTGACACACATATACACAAGTAGATACTCTTCCCCCCCCCCCCCCCACTCCCACTAACAGATAATCATATTCAGGAAGTATTCTTGTATTCTTATTGTATTAGAGTTTTTACTAAGAATGGATATCGAATTATATCTAATGTCCTTTATCACTTACAGAAATAATCATATAATTATTGTCTTTTGATCTAATATGATAAAGTATATTAATAGATAACAGTGAATCATTATTATATTATTAATATGAATTCCAGCCAGTTGTAGTGTAGTATTTTTTAAATGTGCTAGATTCTTTGTGCCATTATTTTATCCAGCAGTTAGCAGAATAGCCGTAAGTATGTGTTCAAGCCCTCAGAGATGATGAATTTGTTCATGCCTTTGTGTTCATGCCCTCAGACATCATGAATTTGAGGATATTTGGAAAAATTAAGGTAGAGTGTTTTTTGTTTTGTTTTGTTTTGTTTTTGAGACAGAGTCTCACTCTGTTGCCCTGGCTGGAGTGCAGTGGCGTGATCTCGGCTCACTGCAACCTCCGCCTCCTGGGTTCAAGTGATTCTCATACCTCAGCCTCCCAAGTAGCTGGGATTACAGATGCACGTCACCACACCTTGCTAATTTTTGTATTTTTTGTAGAGATGGGGTTTCACCACATTGGCCAGGCTGGTCTCGAACTCCTGACCTCAAGTGATCTGCCCACCTTGGCCTCCCAAAGTGCTGGGATTTACAGGCATGAGCCACTGTGCCTGGCTTTGAAGTAGAGATTGATGGAGATCTAGTTTATTTTCGTAGTATTGGATGCATTAAATATAAACAGTGCTAATATTATAAATATCAAATTCTAAGCATTATAGTACTAAAGCAATATTCATGCTTTAGTAAAATCATGAATACTAATTATAATAAATGTGAAAAGTATGTAACTATTTTTTACAAGTGAGCCATGAAGTATGTGATAGTTGTGCTTTCTCTTTTGTAAAATTTTTTTTTCATAGAGTTAATGGACTCTATTTGGGGATGGGGCAGATTGCTTAGCTGTGTACTTATCACTGATTAATCCTCACTCAGCTCAAGCTGTAAAATTCCCCTCGGCACCATCAAAGACATCAGGCAACTTACTGTTTTCTTGGTGCCATTTCTGGAGCCCTCTGCCCGCCCTCCCACTGCAGTCTGGACTGCGCTCTCTAGACCTGTTCCCCAGTTGTCAGCCTTTCCCGATGACTCTGGGAAGACCCTTTTCTCTATCCTGTGGTTGAGTTCCTGTCTTCCAACTTCCATGTGGTCTTTCTTGGATTGCTTCTTTGGGTTGGTAGAACAGATCCTCCAGTAGCTTCCTGAGAAGGTGTGCATGGGAGGTAAGCAGCTTTTTTAGATCCAGTATCTGAAAACATCTTTAATGTGCCTTCATGATTTCATCTTTAGGTTGGCTGGGTTTAGAATTCTAGGTTGGAAATGATTTTTTATTAGAATCTTGAGGACATTTTCCATTGTTTTCTACCTTTCTGTGTTGCTGCTGAAAAGTCTGAGGTCATTCTGATTCCTGATCCTTTCTATACAAGCTGTTTATTTCCCTCTGAAAGCTTTACCGCTTGTCTTTATTCTACATATTCTGAAATTTCACAGTGATGTACATGAGAGGGTCTTTTAATGTGAAATCTTCTTGTATTATTTCTTTAATAATTTCCTCTCCTTTGTGTTGTATATTGTTTTTTTAGAACCTCGATAGTTGGATGGTAGATGTCCTGGCTTGACCCTCAAGTATTTAAGAAAATATATTTTCTTTCCTATCTTTTATCTTTTTTGCCCTACTTTATATGTAATTTCTTCTAATAGTTTGTCTTCTAATAATTTTTTTTTCCAATGTTTTTCCTGGGTATTGAATGATTTTCTGCTCTCAGGTGTTTATGAGAGTTCTTTCTTTTCTGTGTGTGTTCCCTTTTTTCCCCCACATTCCATTCTTGTTTCATTGATGCAACATTACTTCTTTTCCTCTGATAATTAATTTCTGTTTCTTCCAAGCTTTTTTGTTTGTTTTTGGATGGCTGTTTTTCATTTTCTTTTTTGAGACGTGGTCTTGCTCTGTCGCCAGGCTGGAGTGCAGTGGTGCGATCTTGGCTCACTGCAATCTCCACCTCCCGTGTTCAAGCGATTCTCCTGCCTCAGCCTCCTGAGTAGCTGGGACTACAGGTGCACGCCAACACGCCCAGCTAATTTTTGTATTTTTAGTAGAGATGGGGTTTCACCATGTTGGCCAGGATGGTCTTCGATCTCTTGACCTTGTGATCCGCCCGCCTCAGCCTCTCAAAGTGCTGGGATTACAGGCATGAGCCACTGCACCTGGCTCTGTTTTTTCATTGTTAAGTTTTCCATTTTCCCTCAAATGTCTGGTGATCTTTGGCTATCCAGTATTTATGACAGAGGCCATAAGAAACTGATTGGAGCATCTGTGGGCATGAGTCCTTCCTAACATGTAAGTGTAAGATGACAAAAATCAACCAGAAGTATGTGTTCAAGCTGCTATGTCTAACTGGAAGTTTCTTTAGAGAAAATGTCAACAGGGTTTTTTTTTTTTTTTTTGAGATGGTATCTTACTCTGTTGCCCAGGCTGGAGTGCAGTGGCGTGATCACAGCTCACTGCAGTCTTGACCTCCCCAGGCTCAGGTAATCCTCTCACCTTAGCCTCCCAAATAGTTGGAAGTACAGGCACACGCCACCACGCCTGGCTAGTTTTTTTTTTTTTTTTTTTTTTGTAGAGACGGGATTTTGCCATGTTGCCCAGGTGGGTCTCGAACATCTGGGCTCAGGCAGTCCTCCCACCTCGGCCTCCCAAAGTGTTAGGATTACAGGTGTGAGCCACTGTGCCCGGCCTTCAACAGTTGTTTTGACATACACAATTTTCACTTTGTACACAACTTTAGAATCTAATTTTCAGCTAAGATGTGATTCCATTTTATGTTCCAGATATTAACACCAGTTGCTTCTGGATGGTGGAAATGTGTGTTACTTTTCACTTCTGGTGCCTTTAAGCTTTTCTGTATTAAAAAAAAATGTGTTTCTAAAGAATGTCATATGGTATTTACCAGGGGGTGGGGGTGGGATATAGGGTTTTCTTGTTTATGATGGGTACAGAGTTTCAGTTTTGCAAGATGAAGAGTTCTAGAGATGGATGGTGGTGATGGTTGGAACAGTGTGAATGTACTTAATATTGCTGAACCATACATTAAAAATGGCTAAGATGGGCCGGGCACAGTGCCTCATGCCTAGAATCCCAGCACTTTGGGAGGCCGAGGCGGGCGGATCACTTGAGCTTAGGAGTTCGAGACCAGCCTGGGCAACAGGATGAAACCCCATCTCTACTAAAAATACAAAAATTAGCTGGGTGTGGTGGTGGGCGCCTGTATTCCCAGCTACTCGAGAGGCTGAGGCAGGAGAATCGCTGGAACCTGGGAGGCTGAGGTTGCAGGGAGCCGTGATTGTGCCACTGCACTCCAGCCCGGGCAACAGAGTGAGGCTCTGTCTCAAAAACAAAACAAAACAAAAAAGCAGTGGCTAAGATGGGACATTTTATGTGATGTTTATTTTGCCATAATTTAAAAATTTTCAGTTTTTGAATGTTCATAATCAGAAAAAATAAAGGGAGGGAGTTTTCATAATCTTCCCTTCAACCATCATCAGTTTGTAGGATATCTGGAAAAATGGAAACAGAACACGGAGCTTCCAGTTTATGTAGTACAATCAGATTGCCAGATACTGGACACAAGTTAGAGATTTTACTCAGCTCTTTCCTCAGATTGAGAATTTCCTGAAATTAAAGGGCTGACAGATCTAACTTGTTAAACTGCTTACTAGATTACATGGCAAAAGTGGTATCTTGTTTACTGACCTATCTCCCTGACGTCTGACATAGTAAGGTCTCAATAATTACATGTTGATGAATAAATAAATTAACAGGATATGCCAGTACTCCAAAAGATTGTGCTGGAGTAATCATACCCTTACCTTAAACTTATACAAGTAAGGAGGATAAATCTATAAAGCACAAGAAAAATGCAGGAGGATGTCTCCATGAGCTTGGATTAGGCAAAGATTTCTTAATTAGGTCACAAAGCCTACTAACCATAGAACAAAAAGGATGCTACATCAAAATCAAGCACTTCTATTCATGAAAACTGAAAGAAGGCAAAGGGACAAGCCATAGAGAAGATATTCATAATACAGTCATGTGTCACTGGATGACAGAGATACGTTCTTTTTTATTTTTATTTTGAGACGGAGTCTTGCTGTCACCCAGGCTGGAGTGCGGTGGCGCAATCTCAGCTCACTGCAAGCTCTGCCTCCTGGGTTCACACCATTCTCCTGTCTTAGCCTCCCGAGTAGCTGGGACTATAGGCGCCCCCCCCACCACGCCCAGCTAATTTTTTGTATTTTTAGTACAGATGGGGTTTCACTGTGTTAGCCAGGATGGTCTCGATCTCCTGACCTCGTGATCCGCTCTCCTCAGCCTCCCAGAGTGCTGGGATTACAGGCGTGAGCTACCGCGCCTGGCCAGAGATATGTTCTAAGAAACGTGTCATTAGACAATTTCATTGTACAAATGTTATAGACTGTACCTACACAGACCTGGAGGGTATAACCTACTGCATACTTAGGCTATCAGGTATAGCCTATTGCTCCCAGACTACAAAGCTATACAGCATGTTACTGAAAAGGATACTGTAGGCAATTGTAACACAATGGTACATATTTGTGTTTCTGAGCACAGAAAAAAGGTAATGAATTGTGCTACAACATTATGATGGCTGTGACAGCACTAAACAATGGGAATTTTTCAGCTTTACTATAATCTTATGGGACTACCATCGCATGTGCAGTCCATCGTTAACTGAAATATCATGTGGCGCGTAACTATATATTTTATTCATCTGACGGAGGTCTTGTATCTAATATATAGAGAACTCCTACAAATCAGTAAGAAAAAGCCACATAACCTAATTTTTAAAGTGTACAGGCTTTTTGAAAGTATACAGGCTGGGCGCAGTAGCTCACACCTGTAATCTCAGCACTTTGGGAGGCCAAAGCGGAGGATTGTTTGAGACCAGACTGGGCAGCATAGTAAGATCCCGTCTCTCTTAAAAAAGGGTGTACAAAAGACTCAAATATTTACTTTATTAAGGAGCATTTCCAGAGCGTTAATAATCATATAAAAAGATGCCTAATATCCTTCCTCATCAGGGTAATGTAGCTTAAACCACAGCAAGTCACCATTATACACACCCATTAGAATGGCGAAAATTTAAAAGGCTGAGAATAGCAAATGTTGTCAAGAATGTGGAGCAGCAGTAACCCTCATGCATTGATGATGAGTGTAGCTGCCTTTAAAAAGCTGGCACTTTCTACTCAAGTTAAGTACATGCTTGTTTTATGACCTAGCAATTCCATTATTAGACATAAACCCAAGAGAAATGGGTGGATCTATCCATAAAAAGACATGTAGAAGAATGTATATAACAGCTTTATTTAAAACAGCCAAGGCTGGGTGCGGTAGCTCACGCCTGTAATCCCAGCACTTTGGGAGGCTGAGGTGGGCAGATCACTTGAGATCAGGAGTTCAAGACCAGCCTGGTTAACATGGTGAAACCCCATCTCTACTAAAAGTACAAAAATTAACTGGGTGTTGTGGTGCATACCTGTAATTCCCTGCTACTCCGGAGGCTGAGGCAGGATAATCGCTTGAACCTGGGAGGTGGAGGTTGCAGTGAGCTGACATCGTGCCACTGCACTCCAGCCTGGGTGACAGAGTGAGATTCCAACTCTAAATAAATAAATAAATGAGCCAAAACCTGGGGGGAAGTGTCCCATCAACAGAAAAGTGGGTGGTTTATGAAACACATACAAAAGGAAATATTACATAAGAAGAAAAAAGAATGAATTACTGGTCAATGGGTCTGCATGAATGAGTCTTAAAGAATTCTGTCAAAGAAGCCAGATATAAAAGAATACATATATTTTTATGAAGTTCAAGGACAGGCAAAACAAATGCTGATGATCAGAGTTGTAGTGGCCCCTCTGGAGGAGAGTGAAGATGCCTTATGGAGTACTGGGAGATGTTCTGGATCTCCGAGTGGTTGTTACACAAGTATATGCATATGTACAAATTCTTCAAGCTTTGTGCTTAGGATTAGTGTAATTTTGCATATTAAACCATGTATATCATCTCAGCTTTTAAAAATTAGTGCTACTCATTATTAGACTAGAGGAAAATAGGACTTAGAACTTGCAAATCACATTCTGGGGGAAGAAAAGATGATCAGCAAAGGCTAGGAGAGAAAAAAACAGGAGATGCTACACACAATATATAATCATGGGATTTAGGAAATCCCCTATTAAAGAACAGATCCCAAACTCAGTGAAACCTGAAGAAAAAAAGGCCAGTTTTATGCGTCAACAAGAGACATAACTAAAATAAAACAACACAGGAAAGTTGAAAATAAGGGATGGGCTGGATACAGTGAGCAAATGCTAATCAAAAGAAACAGAATTGGCCGGGTGTGGTGGCTCACACTAGTGATCCCAGAGCTTAGGGGGCTGAGGCAGGAGGATGGCTTGAGGCCAGGAGTTCGAGACCAGCCTGGGCAACATGGTGAGACCCCCATCTGAAAAAAATTCGTAAAAGATAAACCAGGTATGGTGGTGTGCACTTGTAGTCCCAGCTGTTCAGGAGGCTGATGCGGGAGGGTAGCTTGAGCTGCACTCCTAGACAACAGAGCAAGAACCCGTCTCTTAAATAAAAAAAAAAAAGGAAGAAAAGAAAAAAAGGAAACAGAATTGACAATATTAATATTAGGCAGATTAGAAATTCAAGTTTAAAATATTAAAAAGAATGCATTGTCAATTTATACCATTGCAAAGTTCAATGTACCTAGAAGATGCAATAATCATGCAACTTTATGCACTGAAAAACGTTCTATCAAAGTATATAAAGCGAAAGCTATTAGAAATATAGAAGAATTTAAAAACGCATAGTTGAAGATACTAACACACTTTAGAAGTTCATAAATCACAGGCAAAAAGTAAATGAGAATATGAAATAGATAACAGTAAACTTGTTATATATAAATAAATGGCATTTTGTACACATAAAATGGAATATTTAATTTTTCAACACCCATGGTACATTTATAAAAAGTTGTTAATTGGCCACAAAGAAAAATTCCGATAAAGCCCAAAAGGCAGAAATCACATAGCCCCTGCTTCTCTGACCATATGGCAATAAAGCTAAAATTTACAATAAGAAGCCCTGAAAAAAAATTTGGCCACTTGGAAAATTTAAAACACTCTTCTGCATAATTCCTTTCATCTACTTTGTTTGGATTTTTCTAACGTTCTTCTAGTTTCTTGAGATGAGCACTTAATTTATTTTCTTTCTTTCTTGTTTTTTGTATAAAGGAATTAGAAAAAAAATGGTGACTAGCATTGTCTGATATTTTCTCAAAATGGATTCCTGAAATGTGGAAGTGTTGACTCATAGGATATGATGGTTTTAAGACTCTGGGCACATAGTGATAGTTTTCTGAATAGGGCATAGTAGATCCTTCACCAGGGGATGAGAGTACCTGTCTCAATATGCTACTTGAGTGTGGTCACTAAAAAATGACCAAGTAGCAACAAAACAGCTTTCTCATATTGTTTTCATTTGCATCTGTTTGATTAGTAACAGTTGAGCTTTTGAAATATGTTTATTCTCAGAAATGTTTATTCAATCCTTCTTCCCACCATTTTCTATTGGGATATTAGTGCTTTACTTATTGATTTTTAAATACCCTTTATATATTAAGAATATTAGTTCTTGGCCATGTTTGCAAACATTTTCCCCACCGTTCCTTGCCTTTTATATTTTTTAATATATAAAAGTGATTATTTTCACATAATCAGATCTACCAATCTTCTGATATTTCCTCTATTATTTTTATGGTAAGAGATTCCATCCCCATAATTATTAAATAGTAATAATTACAGTAACAGCTAACATGTATTGAGGGCTGATTATGTGTCAGGCAATAAGCTAAGTCCCTTATTTAATCACAAAAACCCTACGAGGTATGTATTTTTTATTGTCTTCTTACAATTGAGAAAGAAACTAAGGAAAGAGATGAAATAGTTTGTCCATAAACACTGAACCAGTGATTTAAATATTCATCCACATTTCGTTTTAGTTTTTATGGTTTACGTTTTTATATTTAACTCTTTAATCCTGAAATTTGTGAAATGGTGTGAAGCGAAGCTCCTTTCAAACATTAGTTTTTCCCTGACCTTCAAATGAATAAATCATTTTTCTCCCCAGTTGTTTAGTATGCTTCCTCTATTATAAATTAAATTTTAATACATAACAAGGTCTCTTTCAGGGATATCTATTCTGTTTTTATTGACCTATACATTCTTACACAAGTGCCACAATGTTTTAATTGCTGTACTTTTTTTTTTTTTTTTAGATGGAATTTTGCTCGTATCGCCCAAGCTGGAGTGCGTGGCGCGATCTCAGCACACTGCAACCTCTGCTTCCCAGGTTCAAGTGATTCTCCTGCCTCTGCCTCCCAAGTAGCTGGGATTACAGGTGCCACCATGCCCGGCTAATTTTTGTATTTTTAGTAGAGGGGGTTTCACCAGGCTGGTCTTTAACCCCTGACCTCAGGTGGTCCACCTGCCTCAGCCTCCTAAAGCTCTAGGATTACAGGCGTGAGCCACCACACCCAGCCTAATTGCTGTATCTTTATTATCAACTTTAATATGTACAAGAGCAAGGCTCACTTCATCATTCTTCTCTTTAAAAAACATTCTGAGGCCGAGCGCAGTGGCTCACGCCTGTAATGCCAGCATTTTGGGAGGCAGAGGCAGGTGGATAACAGTTCAAGACCAGCCTGGCCAACATGGCGAAACCCCATCTCTACTAATAATACAAAAATTAGCTGGGCTTGGTGGCACATGCATGTAATCCCAGCTACTTGGGAGGCTGAGGCAGGAGAATTGCTTGAACCTGGGAGGCATAGCTTTCAGTGAGCCGAGATTGTGCCACTGCACTCCAGCCTGGGTGACAAAGTAATACTCTGTCTCAAAAAAAAAAAACCAAAAAAAAAAAACCAAAAAACAATTCTGAGAGTTCTTGGCTTTCAGTCATGGTGGAGTAGCTTGTATTAGAATAATACTCCCATATGGCAACAACAAAAATAAATTTTGGACACTATACATATATATATATATATATATATATATATATATATTTTTTTTTTTTTTTTTTTTTTTTTTTTTTTTTTTTTTTTTTTTTTTTGGACAGAGTCTCGCTCTGTCACCCAGGCTGGAGTCCAGTGGCGCAATCTCGGCTCACTGCAAGCTCCGCCTCCTGAGTTGGGAGGGTTCACGCCATTCTCCTGCCTCAGCCTCCTGAGTAGCTGGGACTACAGGTACCTGCCACCATGCCCGGCTAATTTTTTGTATTTTTTTTAGTAGAGACGGTTTCACCGTGTTAGCCAGGATGGTCTTGATCTCCTGACCTGGTGATCTGCTATACCCAGCCTGGACACAGTATTTTAAAAATATAGTTTGAAGGTACTGGAGAGCCACCAAAAGCAAGCAGAAATTGGAGTGAATTTGATTCTTGAAAGAAAGACCCCACCCAGGGGAGCCACCTTTATAAGGCTTTTTCCTTGAGGTATTCCCCAATCCATCAGGTGCTAGCAAATAGAACTCAAGCAGAAAGCTGTGTCATATTGGTTTGAGGAATCAGGGGATATTTTGAGACTGTGTGTCGGGAAATTGAAGATGGCAATCATAGAAAGGAGAGAACCATGCTGGGGATCACCCCGAAGTACATATAAACACCCCTCACATGCTAGACTAACTGCTGAACTGCCCATGCACAGGGGAAGTGCCACAGATTCCAGCAGAGATTTCAGTAGCTGCCTGCTGTGGGAGAGAGAGAATTTGGAGGTGGAGTCTTGTCAAGTTAGAGGCGATTCGATAAACACCTTGGACTTTGCTTTGAAATCCCAGAAGGGCTACCCCTTAGGGGCAAATACTACTCCCCAGGGCTATGGCATTTTCCCTAGGACTAAGGGCAAAACAAAAATAAAGCATAAAATTGTGCCTACACCAGATCTACAGGTGATTTAACTGTCTACTAGAAAAAACTGAATTCTGCAGAAGAAAACAGAATCCAGAGCCTCTACAAACTATCACCTTCAACATCCAGTATAAAATTAAAAAACTACTAGATGTGAGAAGAAACAGGACCCTGTGACCCTTACTGAAATGAAAACTCAGTTAATAGAAACAAATTCACAGGTGAACAGTAACTTTAACTATGAACAAATATGTTAAAAGAATTTACATGAAAAAAATGGGAGAAAGGGTAAAGAGGTGAGGAGTTGCAGTGGAGATAAGGAAGTTGTGAAAAAGAACCAAATGTAAATCTTAGAACTGAAAAACACAAAACCTGACACTGAAATTTCCCTGGGTGAGAGACACAGCAGATTGGGCATAACAGAAGGAAGCATCAGTGAACCTGAAGACAGGTAAACAGAAATCATCCAAACTGAAGTATGGAGAGGAAAAATAGCTGGAATAAAAATAGGACCAGAGCCTTAATGACCTGCAGGACAAAAATCAAGCTGTCTAACATAGGGTGACAGCAGTACTCCCAAAAAGCAGAGAAGGATGAGGCAGAAAAAGTATTTGAAGCAATATTGGCTGAGAAATTTCCAATTTTGATTAAAGTAACCCCACACAAACAGCAGCCCAGGAAGTGTGGCCAATTACAAGTAGGATAAATAACAAAGAAAATTGCATCGAGGTGTATCACAGTGAAACTGCTAATATTAAATAAAAAGGGAACAATGATGAGAATTAT
Organism: Homo sapiens; assembly: GCF_000001405.40. Classification (NCBI taxonomy): domain Eukaryota; kingdom Metazoa; phylum Chordata; class Mammalia; order Primates; family Hominidae; genus Homo; species Homo sapiens. The sequence continues at coordinate 10,579,189 of NC_000001.11, forward strand.
GGCTGACTCATAATCAGAGACAGTGTAGCACACGGGACAATGGAATGATGTTTTCAAAATGGCGAAAGAAAAAAGACACTTTATCTAGAATTCTCTGTACAGTGAAAATACCACTAAACATGAAGGAAAAAAATAAAGACATTATAAGATAAAAGCTGAGAGAAATTGTCACCAGCAGACATGCATTGAATAAATATCTGTGTGAGATCTTCCCATTGAAGAGGAGATAATACTGTTACAAGAAAGAGAAATCTGTTAGGGAAGAGGTCCCAATCCAGACCCTAAGAGAGGGTTCTTGGATCTCACACAAGAAAGAATTCTGGGCGAGTCTGCGGTGCAAAGTGAAAGCAAGGTTATTAACAAAGTAAAGGAATAAAAGAATGGCTACTCCACAGACAGAGCAGCCCTGGGAGCTGCTGGTTGCCCATTTTTATGGTTATTTCTTGATGAGATGCCAGACGGGGTGGATTATTCATGCTTCCCCCTTTTAGACTATAGAGGTTAACTTCCCGATGTTGCCATGGCGTCTGTAAACTGCCATGGCACTGGTGGGAGTGTAGCAGTGAGGACAACCAGATGTTACTCTCATGGCCATTTTGGTTTTGGTGGGTTTTGGCCAGCTCCTTTACTGCAACCTGTCTTATCAGCAAGGTCTTTATGACCTGTATTTTGTGCCGACTTTCTGTCTCACCCTGTGACTTAGAATGCCTCAGCTGTTTGGAAATGCATCCCAGTAGGTTTCAGCCTCATTTTACCCAGCTCCTACTCAAGATGGAGTTGTTCTGGTTCACATGCCTCTGACAATACTAGATGGAAATTTGGGTCTTCAGGAAGGGATAAAGAGCCGTGGGAATGTTAAATACATAGGAAAATATACAATACTATTTTATTTTAATTCTTCAGTTCTGTAAAAGTCAGTTGACTAAAGCAATAACAATAATGTAGTGTTAGATTTATAGTATACTCATATATTTATATGTAATGAACATTTTACAACAAGAGCACAAAGGACAGAAGGGGTGTAAATGGAATTAAGACTCTTTTTCTTTTTTTTGAGATAGGATCTCACTCTGTCACCCAGGCTGGCATGCAGTGGCACCATCTCAACTCACTGCAACTTCTGCCTCCCAGGTTCAAGCGATTCTCCTGCCTTGGCCTCCCGGGTAGCTGGGATTACAGGTGCATGCTACCTCGCCTGGTTAATTTTTGTATTTTTAGTAGAGACAGAGTTTCACCATGTTGCCCAGGCTGGTCTCGAACTCCTGAGCTCAGGTGATCCACCTGCCTTGACCTTTCAAAGTGTTGGGGTTACAGGCGTGAGCCACTGCACCCAAACAGGCGTGAGCCACTGCACCCGGCCAAGATTCTTAATAAAATGTATTATCAATATAAACAATAATACAGTATAGTACATACAATTATATGTATCATATTAAAGTTCTTAATATGTAACATGGTGTAATATTAATTCAGAGTAGACTGATAAGAATGTATATTGTAATCCCTAGAGGGACCACTTAAAAAAAAATACTAAGAAATATTTAAATATCCAGAAGAGGATACTGAATGGACTACCGAACATTCCTAGCTGTTCTTTTTTTTTTCAGTGCATTATTTTTATTATATTTTTATTCATCAAGTTCATATGCTGCTTATATATGCCAGGCATTGATCTATAAAAGTAGTACCTTATTTAATCTTTATAACAACTTTATTCCCATTTTACAGATGAAGGACCTGACTCATAGCTATTAAGTGTCAGAGCCAGGATTAAAACATAAGCCACCTTTTTTTCTAATTTTTGCTTTTAACCACTATGTTATGCTTCTAGTGGAGGAAGCAGCTGACACATAAATTAACAAATAAGTGTCCTATTGATATGAGCGACAAAGGAAAAGAACAGTCTTCTCTGTCTCAGGAAGGGTTCAACCAGAGAAGCAGAACCAATGGGAAATAGTATGCTGTTGCCACGTCTGAGGCTGGAGCTTGAAGTCTACATGGCAGGTAGTCAGAAAAGGAAAATTAAGAGCAGTCTGGAATCCCATGAGGGCAGAATGAAACCTGTTTCCATTCTTGTTGCCTCTGACCTTGGTGTTAAACGAGGATCTTTGTTATCCTTTTTTTTTTTTTTTTTTTGAGACAGAGTCTGGCTCTGTCGCCCAGGCTGGAGTGCAGTGGTGCAATCTCGGCTCACTGCAACCTGTGTCTCCTGGTTTCAAGCAATTCTCTGTCTCAGCCTCCCGAGTAGTTGGGATTACAGGCGCCCGCCACCATACCCTGCTCATTTTTGTATTTTTAGTAGAGACAGGATTTCACCATCTTGGCCAGGCTGATCTTGAACTCCTGACCTTATGATCCACCCACCTTGGCCTCCCAAAGTGCTGGGATTACAGGCGTGAGCCACCGTGCCTGGCTAATCCTTGTTATTCTTATTTGTGCATTCTCCCAGATAAGCTTGAGGAACATCTGAGATAATTTAAAATAATTGGGATTTTTTAATTGAAATTGTGTTAAACTTATAAAATAATTTATAAGTTTATAATAATTTATATTTTATTTAATTTATAATTTATAAATTTATAATAATTTATAAAATAAAAATAAAATAATTTGAAAGGCTTTTTCGTTTGTCTCCCTTTATTTCTCTTTGCAACATTTCTTTATACTGATCTAACATTTTGTAAGACTATAGTAATTTTATATTTCTCATGGCTATTATGAAAGGAATTTCTCTTCATTTTATTTTTTAATTATTGCTGGTACATAGGAGTGCTACTGATTTTTAATTTTATGTACTATATCTTGCCATCCCACTTTCTCATGATTAAATTAAATTTTATAGGTATATGGTCAATTGATTATTTTGTAAACTTGTCTCTAGTTCATAGACATTTTAATTTTATTTCCTGCTTTATTACATAGGATGAAACTCCAAGAATAATGTTAAATGTTAATGATGACAGTGATAATGAGTTTTATGATAAACAGCTTTTTTTTTTTAAGAGGGGAAAAAAGGGATTATCATGAAGTACTACAAATATATCTTACAGCTATTGAAAATCTGCAATTCATGAAGCACCAGTGTGCTTTATTCACATTTATTCACACATTGAACAATTATTTGGTGAATGACCACTATGGGTTGATCAGTATTTTAGGTTTTGGGGATACAGTAATGAATAAGGCAGAGAATAAAAGTTCAACACCATTAAAATCCTCAGAAAACCATATAAGATAAAAGAAAGGTTACAAAGCCATCTATGTTTGACAACCAGAGGAGTATTGTCTAGATAGTAATTGCTGTAGAAAAGTACTTCTACCTAGGGTGATCACAGAGGAGCTTTGGTGATGGAAGAGATAACCCGGAACAACTGACAAGCTCAGAGTAGGGTTGGGAAGAAGCTACTCTGATGGCTGGAACATCAGGGGTGGAAGACTGATGCCTGACTCTCTCCAGAGTATAAGGCATATCAGGGGCTGATGAATAAACTAGTTTGCTTTATTTAGTACAGGGTGAATATATGGTAACAGGCATTTTGTTTTGTTTGGTTTGGTTTGGTTTTGAGATGGAGTCTCACTCTGTAGCCCAGGCTGGAGTGCAATGGCACGATCTCAGCTCACTGTGACCTCCGCCTCCCGGATTCAATCAATTCTGCCACCCCAGCCTCCTGAGTAGCTGGGATTACAGGCGCCTGCCACCACACCTGGCTAATTTCTATATTTTTATTAGGGACGGGGGTTTCACCATGTTGGCCAGGCTGGTCTTGAACTCCTTGACCTCAAGTGATCTGTCCCTCCTCGGCCTCCCAAAGTGCTGGGATTACAGCCATGAGCCACCATACCTGGCCTGGTAACGGTTTTTATACTTACCTCTGGGGATTCTTGGAGATTCTGAGGAGATATTTCAGGGGCAAAGAGGGAATCAAGAAGGTGGGACTCTGATTTTTCTCCGTACCCCTCCGGACCTCTCAAAACCTGAACATTACTTTTGTCTGTTTTACATATTGGGGTTTCCGTTTATTTATTCTTTCTACACTTTTTTTTTTTTTGAGATAGAGTCTTGTTTTGTCACCCAGGCTGGAGTGCAGTGGTGCAGTCATGGCTCACTGCAGCCTTGACCTCCTGGGCTCAAGCAGTCCTCCTGCTTCAGCCTCCCTAGTAGCTGAGACTACAAATATACACCATTGCACCCAGCTTTTTTTTTTTTTTTTTTTAAAAAGGTGAGGTTGCACTATGTTGTCCAGGCTGGTCTTGAACTCCTGTACTCAAGTGATCCTCCTGCCTCAGCCTCCCAAAGTGCTGAGATTACAGGTATTAGCTACCACGCCTGGCTTTTTACACATTTTTATTGAATACCTACTAGGTGCCAGTAGAACCTAGGTGTTTTAGGTACTAGGAACATAGCAGTGAATAAAATAACCCCAAATGCAATGGTAGAGTGGGAGGGAGAAGACAGTAAATAGAATAAAATATAAACATGAGTAAGAGCAATAGAGGATTCTTCTTAGGAATTTGCTATTTTAAATGGGATGGTTTGGAAAGGCCCCTCTAAGATAACATTTTGAGCAAAAACTTGAAGAAAACGAGGAAGCAAACCATGCAGATTTCTGGGTAGAAAGAGTTTCAGGAAAAGGGAATGACCGATGCAGAAGCTTGAAGAGGAAGTTGTGTCTGGCAAATTCCAGGAACAAGAATGGTAGGCCAGGTGGATAGCAGTGAGACACGAGGTCACAGCATTCACAGGGAGTAAGGTTGTGTAGGGCAACAGTATCTTGGTAAGGACTTTGGTTTTATTTTGAGTAAAATGGAAAATCATCAGAGTGTTTTAAGCAAGGAGTTATACCATCTGATGTAAGGTTTAATAGGATCACCAGGGTGGAAGCTGGGAGACTAGTCTAGTGTTGAGATGTGATCAGATTCCCTGGATATTTTTTTGGAAGTAAATCCAATAGAATAGCCTGATTTGTGGGATCTGGATATGAAAGAGAAGTAGAAATTAAGGATGACTCCAAGGTTTTTGGCCTTGTGTGACTACAAGTTTGGAGTTGTCATTAACTAGGAATGGAGCAGTTTGGTGGGGCAAGATTAGGAGTTCAGTGTTAGACGTATTAAGTTTGAGATATCAGACATCCAAGTGGAGGTATCAGGTGGGCAGAGGGATATTATGAATCAAGTTCAGAGGAAAGATCTGAGCTACAGATATAAATGTAACATTGTTAACTTCTTGATTTTGATAATTATTCTGTGGTTATATACAAGCATGAGCTTCCCCGACTCCCACCCCAAATTAAGACATGCTTACTGAAATATTTAAGGGGTAGGGTGTGATGTCTGTAACTTAGTCTCAAACAGTTCAGGGAAAGTAATCATATAGACAGATCAATAGAGAATAATAAAGCGAGTGTGATGAATTTAACATTTAAAGAACCTGGGTGAAAGATATATGAGAATTCTTTGTACTATGCTTTCAGCAGCTTTTCTGTAAATCAGAAATTATTTCATAACAGAATGTCTTTTAAAAGTGAAGGAAAATACAGACATTTCCAGGCAAACAAAAAGAGAAAATTCATCACCAGCACACTGTACTGAAAGAAACACTAAAGGAGTTTTCAGGCAGAGAGAAAATGATCTTACATGGAAACATAGAAATGGCAGGAAAGAATGAAGGACAAACAAAAGGACACATATCAACGAATATTGACTGTGTAAAATAAGAATGTCTTTCTTGTGGATTTTAACATACATTATAATTGAAATGCATGCCAGTACACAAAAGGAGGGGTGGAGGGAAAGTTATATGTGCGAGGATCTTTGGGGGAACAGTAAAATTTCTCATTTATATCACACTATAGTAAGTAAAGGATATATTGTGATGTCTAGGGCGTTGGTTCGCAAGTGTTTTAGTCTCAGGACCCCTTTCACCCTTAATTGAGGATCTCCCATTAGGCAAACATCCAGTAATTACTGTTGCAGACAAATTCCATTGACGGGTGCTAAAATGAGATGAAGGTTTCAAGAGAAAGAGCAAAGTGTCTTTTCCGAGCTATTTATTAACTCTGAAAGAAAAGATAGTAACTTTGCAGTAGAGAAATCCATCAGAAACCACCTTGACTACAAGGTAATAGAGAGAAAAACTGAATTAAAAAGAAGACAGGAGAGAAAAGAGAGCACTAAACAGGTCAAAAGGAAAACAAATTGTAATATGAAAGATATAAACCCCCAAAGTTCAGCATTTACATTAAATATAAATGGAGTAAATACTCCATTAAAAGCAGTTGGTCAAGATTAGATTTAAAAGACTCAATGCTGCTTGCATCAGACACACCTTTAGTATAAAGATATTTAAGGATTAAATGTCAAGTGATGGAAAAAGATACACCATGCAAACACTAACCACAAGAAACTCGGTAGTAATACCAGACAAGGTGGTCTTAAAAGTAGAATCAGAAGGCCAGGCGTGGTGGCTCACACCTATAATCCCAGCACTTCGGGAGGCCGAGGTGAGCAGATCACCTGAGGTCAGGAGTTCAAGACCAGCCTGGCCAACATGGCGAAACCCTGTCTCTATGCAGTGGTGCATGCCTGTAATCCCAGCTACTCCGGAGTCTGAGGCAGGAGAATTGCTTGAATCTGGGAGACAAAGATTGCGGTGAGTGGAGATCACGCCACTGCACTCTAGCCTGGGCGACAGAGCGAGACTCCGTCTCAAAACAAATAAAAAAAAGTGAGTCAGAGATAGAAAAATTTCAGAATAATAAAATGGTCAATCACCAACAAGATGAACATTTCAAAATAGTTACACACCTAACAAACATAGCTTCAATATACGTAAAGCAAAACTGGACAGACCTGAAAGGAGGACTAGACAAATCTATCATAATGGGACGTTTCAAAACTTCTTTCAAAACTTCTTTCTCCATGTTTGGTAGTACAAACAGACAAAGCAATCCAGATTCTAACAACACAATGAACAAACTTGCCTTATTACGTAGAACGCTGTACTCAATGAAGATGATAAACAAACAAAAAGTATTCAGTCTCGGTCGTTGTCAGAGAAATGCAAATTGCAATCAGAATGTGCTATCCTTCACACCCACCAGAATGACTAAAATGGAAAAGACTGAGAACTTTGCTGCTGGGTGTGGGACAGCTAGAGCTCTTCTACTCTGCTGGTGGGAGTGTGAATTGCTGTGACCATTTTGGACATTGTTGGCAGTATCTGTTAAAGCTGAGAAGATGTGCACTCTATAATCGAGCATTTCCCCTAAAAAAATACATATTAAGAATGTTGATAGCAGCATTATTCATAGATGGTCCAAAACTAGAAATACATTCTTTTACTGTATAAGACTACAATACAACAATTTGAATGAACTGTGGCTATGTGTAACAACAAGGATGACTCGCAAGCATAATGTTGAACAAAAGGAGCCGTTTACCTTTTTTTTTTTTTTTTTTTTTTTTTTTTTGAGACGGAGTCTCGCTCTGTTGCCCAGGCTGGAGTGCAGTGGCGTGATCTCTGCTCACTGCAAGCTCCACCTCCTGGGTTCACGCCATTCTCCTGCCTCAGCCTCCCGAGTAGCTGGGACTACAGGTGCCCACCACCATGCCCAGCTAATTTTTTTTGTATTTTTAGTAGAGACGGGGTTTCACCATGTTAGCCAGGATGGTCTCAATCTTCTGACCTCATGATCCACCGCCTCGGCCTCCCAAAGTGCTGGGATTACAGGTGTGAATGCTTTCCGTATTATCCCACATATATAAAATTCAAAAGCAAGCAAACTGAATCTGTGGTATTAGAAGTTAGGTGGTGACTGGGAGGAGACAAGGGATGTTGCTAGAGGCTGTTACTCTATTTTTTGATCTGGATGGTAGTTACATAAGTGTGTTCACCGTGGGAAAATTCATTAAGCTGTACACTTAAAAATGTGCATGCTTTTCTGTATATATTCAATGCCAACAAAAGTTTCCTTAAAATTATAATGAGGCTGTGTGTGGTGGCTCACGCCTGTAATCCCAGCACTTTGGGAGGCCGAGGCAGATGGATCACGTGAAGCCAGGAGTTTGAGACCAGCCTGGCCAACATAGTGAAACCCTGTATCTACAAAAATACAAAAATTAGCAGGGCTGGTGGCACACTCCTGTAATCCCAGCTTCTCGGTAGGCTGAGGCACGAGAATTGCTTGAACCTGGGAGGCGGAGGTTACAGTGAGCCGAGATGGCACCAGCCTGAGTGACAGAGTGAGATTCTGTCTCAAATAAATAAATAAATAAAATAACGAGACAATTTTTTAACCTTTCAGAATGGCAAAGATAAAAAGCTTAATAGCATCATGTAGGCAAGGTTGAGGGAATGTGAGTGGAAACAACCTGGAAGAAGGTTTGACAGGTCTTATTAAAATTAAAACTGCACACATCTGAGTCTATTCCTAGGGATATAGTTTACACATGTACAAGTGGTATATTCAAGGTCCTTTATTATGGCTTTGTTTGTAGCAGTAAAGGTTCAGTAGGGGATGTTAAATAAATTATAGTACATCCATACCAACCATATAGCCATTAAATAGAATGAGAGAGCTCTGTAGATACTAATATGGAGTATCCTCCAAGATAACCTAATTAAAAATAGCAAGGTATAGAACAGCATGTATAGCGTGCTATCATTGTATAAAAATATACGGACACACATATGTATACACACATGTGCTTTTTTTTTTTTTTTTTTTTTTTTTAAAAAAAAAAGAGATGGAGTCTTGGCCAGGCACAGTGGCTCATGCCTGCAATCCTAGCACTTTGGGAGGCCGAGCGAGTAGATCACGAGGTCAGGAGTTCAAGACCAGCCTGGCCAAGATAGTGAAACCCCATCTCTACTAAAAATACGAAAAAATTAGCTGGGCGTGGTGGTGCCTGTAATCCCAGCTACTCGGGAGGCTGAGGTAGAGAATTGCTTGAACCCAGGAGGCTAAGGTTGCAGTGAGCCGAGATTGCACCACAGCGCTCCAGCCTGGGTGACAGAGCGAGACTCCGTCTCAAAAAAAAAAAGACATGGAGTCTCACTATGTTGCCTAGATTTGAAATCCTGGACTCAAGCAATCCTCTTGCCTCATCCTCCCAAGCAGCTGGGATTATAGGTGTCCACCACTGTGCCCAGCTACATGTATGCTTTTTATATAAGAAGCTTTAGCAATAGTTGCCCCTGGAGGATGTAACAGGGTGGCAGGAGTGGGAAGGAGACTGATTTTTCACGATAAAGTGGACCCCCTTTATCCATAGTTCTGCCTCTTATGCTTTCAGGTACCCGAGGCCAACCAAAGTCCAAAAATGTTTAAATGGAAAATTCCAGAAATAAATGATTCATAAGTTTTAAATTGTGTGCCATTCTGAGTAGCTTGATGAAACCTCCTGCTGTCCTACCTGAGATGTGGATCATCCCTTTGTCCAGCTTATCCATGCTGTGGACGCCTCCACCTGGCAGTCACTTAGTAGCCCTCATGGTGATCAGATCGATGGTCATGGTATCCAAGTGCTTGTGTTCAAGTAAGCTCTATGTTACTTAATAGTGACCCCACGTGCAAGAGTAGTGATGCTGGCAATTCAGATATGTCAAAGAGAAGCCGTAAAGTGCTTCCTTTAAGTGAAACAGAGAATGCTCTTGACTTAATAAGGAAAGAAAAAAAATCATATGCTGAGGTTGCTAAAATCTATTGTAAGAACAAATCTATCCATGAAATTGTGAAAGAGGAAAAAAAATTTGTGCATAGAATGTACAGAATTTTGTATTATCTGTGGTTTCAGGCATTCGCTGAGTGTCTTGGAATGAATCCCCCCACAGATAAGGGTGGGCTACTGTATACCCTTTTATATCTTTAGAATTTTATACAGTGCAAATATTTTTTAAACATTAATTTTAAAAATAATTGTTAAAAGTCCCTTAGAAAGATGTTCTCTCAGTAAGTTCAGTAGAGCCCACATTTTCCGTCACACTGAAACAGATCTTTGGTTTAATACCAGACGACATAGTCTGCATTGCATGTGAGTGCCAAGCTGTGTGGGGGAAAATAGCCTGTGACATGGTGCTCAGATTGCAAGGGTATATGGGAATGAGGTGATGAGGGCACAGCGGGTTCAAACATCCGGTCTTGTGCTCACTGGAAGATGCAACACTTGTGGAGTGAAATGGTGAGCCCATCCCCACCCCAACCGGGTGTAGTGTAATTTCCCTCTCTCTCCCCTTCTGAGCAAGTGTAAGTTGAATTCAGAGTGTAAGTTGAATTCAAGTCTCAAACCTCCTGGGCTCAAGCAATCCCCACCTCAGCCTCCCAAGTAGCTGGCACTACAGGTGTGCACCACCATGCCCAGCTAATTTTTGTAGTTTTGTTTGTTTGTTTGTTTGTTTGTTTGTTTGTAGAGATGGGGGTCTCACTATGTTGCCCAGGCTGGTCTCAAACTCCTGGGCTCAAGCAGTCTGCCCGCCTTGGCCTCCCAAAGTGTTGGAATTACAGGCATGAGCCACTGAGCCTGGCTTTCTACATAAGTCTTTTACTACATTATTTTATTATTTCTTAGAAGCAAAATGATTGAGTCAAAGGTATGAACATTTTTAAAACTCTTGCGATAGAGTGCTGAAGTGACTTCCAAAGTTTCTCAGTTTGCTCTTCCACAGCACCCTCACTGGCATTGGGCATCCTCTTGTTTAAAAGCAGTTTTTAATTTGAAAAACTCCAGTCTTAATAACTTTGCCAATACATCTGAATGATAGGCTGGAAGTCAGAGATGTCAGTGTTACCTTTCAGCTTGAATGGGATTTGGAATATTCCACCCCCGCCCCATGCTGTATAGAGAGTAGTGCTGAGGAGCCTGGGCCTGGGGTCCGAGCCTGGCCCTCCACCCTGCAGCAGTGAGATCTCAGATAGGCCGGTTCATGTCTGTGAGCCTCAGGCTCTTCCCCTGTAAATGGGGAGAATCAAGTGTCTACTTCTGGCACTGCTCGGAGGTGCCACAAAACCGTGAGCCTGCAAACAGAACCGTGAGCCTGCAAACAAAACCGTGAGCCTGCAAACCGTGAGTCGTGCCCCTCGGCAGGCCTGCACAGGGTTAGCGTGGAGCTCAAAGAGTTAAAGATGTAAAGAACTAAAATGCTCTGCTACACGTGGGTTTAATACACTTGGCTGTTATTTTGAGTGAGGGGTGGAAATATGAATGATTTCTTTTTTGTTTTTTGTGTGCTTTTCTTTATTTTCCATGTTTTCTGCAGTTGACATTTTGTTATCAATATATAATCTATATTATTCTATATACTATACCTATTATACATTACAGATAGAGAAACAGACAAAACTCATTCAACGTAAGAAACTGGGGGGTAGGGGTCCTAGGGAGGCTCCCATTTAACAGGTAGGGAAAATGAGATCTTGCACTCTCACATTGCCTAGCAGTAAATAAGCACTCAAATATTTATGGATTTGGTTGAGTGCTACATATTTATCTCAATACTAATAATGTTGACAGTAGCAACCAATACCAGATTCATTTGAGCTACACAGCTAGGTGGTGACAAAGTAATTTATGTATTGACCTATTAGGACATAGCATGTTTTCATGTGTTAATATCAGATTAATGTGAGGACTTGCAAGAACATCTGATGCCTGCATGGCAGCTTAAATCTTTAGGAAGTAAGCTGAATGCCAAATAATAGACCTTCTGATCACATATTTAAGATTCAAGATGCAGAAGAAAACCCCAAAGGAACATTTATAGCATTCAGCTGGGTGACTAAAGAGTGTGCCCTAGTGCACCAAACTCTTGTGACAAGATTTTCTTAAAGGAACAAAAAATCTCCACCTTGATTTGTGTCTTATAGTGGAGTTGTTTCCCAAATCAGGCTGTTTCAAAGAACATATGAGACGGCGTATGGCTAGCCCTCCCATCCCAAAGCAAATGTTTGTTTTGTTGCAATGATGGAAACATTTCCATTGGTGAAGCAAATATTTAGAGCTGAAAGAAACATTTGGGCAGCCAGGATGTGTCAAAACAGAACAGATGTCTGCCTTTTAAAAACACATTAAAAAAAAGCCACCTTGTACTTGGCTGCTGTGGTCGCAGCCACAGTGGGTTAAGCAAGAAGTTAGAAATTGTGGGTGTCTTTCTGTTATAATCCTAGCTCCTAGACTTGGCTTGTATCTTCTTCTGTCTTGGTTTTTCTCTTCCAGAAAACGGGGTGAACCATTGTGATCTTGTTAAGGATCAAGTCTGGTTGGTTTGTTTTCCCCAAATATTTTCTTTGTTCTTAAATTTATTTATTTGAATCAGAAATCTATTCACAGGGAACAAAATTCATAAGGCTAGGCAGTGAAAAGTGTTCCTCAATCTCTGTTCCCCAGCAACTAGTCCTCTCTATAACCAGTGTTACCAGTTTCCTGTCCTCCTTTTCTTTCAGGTATACACACTGTGTGTGTGTGTGTGTGTGTGTGTGTGTGTGTGTGTGTGTGGACTTCTCTGTACCCTTCACCTAGTTTTCCCCCATGCTCCTGATGTTCTCTTTGGCTTTCTTCTTTCGGGGGTGTTAATTCTGAGAGTTTGCTTATTTAAAATATGCAGACTCTGTCAAGTGGCAGAGGGCAGTAGGTATGTCAGGCTGCCCATGCTCCCCGCCCCCTGCCCCTGCCCAGCACAGAGAGCCCCGTGTGGGAATCCAATTCTGGGGCTCACATGGGCTGTGGGCAAGTCCATGCCCCTCTCTCTGTCCCTTTTTCTTGATCTATAAAACAGAAGGAAAAAAGAAAAAGAACAGGAGAGAGGTCAGATAAACTCCAATTTTTCTTGCAGTTCTGAATTTCTTTGTTTGGTTGTCAAAGGCAAGTTGATTCCTTTTTTTAAACCACCCTTCATGACCTCTTCTGAAAACAGGAGCAAGATTTAAGTATCACTAAAAGTGTTTATCAATTTGACTTTTCCATGCATGCACAAACACACGTTTGGCTTACTTGGCATTTAAGTAGCAGAGATTCCTGATTACCCTTCCCTTGGTCTTTAGGGACACAGTTTCTTCCCTAGGACTTACTCAGTATACTGTGGGAAGGGCTGACTTTTCTACCTGTTGCCAAAGACCTGCTGTCTGTGGCAGCCGCAACGATATTTGTCCTGCTATTAATCCTCTGGAATCGATCAAATATCAAAAATAACTTCTCTTTGTTTTTGTTTCTAATTTAGCAGAGAGGGATTAAAAGAAAAAAAAAACCTTTAGATTATATAGATCTAAAAATAGACATCATGGATGCTGATTGGAAACCCTCCCAGTCGTTCATATGAGAGATCTCAATTTGTGTTACATAGAGGGGCAGCTCACTTCTGTCTTGTTCGCCAGTTATACTACTCCCCAGAGAAGCTCAATAAATTTTATAGGAAAGTTTCCTCCTTATGTGGAAGGAGCTAAGCTCAATGACTGGTGTGTCTGATATAATTTAGGGCTCCAAGGGAGTACGTCTGCCTTGTGGAATAACCTATCAAAAGTAAATGTACAGAAACTTTCGATCTTGGTTGATTTGGCTATGTCATTGAAACTGCTCAGCACTGGACCCCGTGAACCCAGCCTGTCTGCTTTGGAATTAAACTGCTCCCCCAAACTCACATTCGATTCACTGTTAAAGCGGCCTTTTGTGTGTCTCACTGGTAGTGGCTTCTGGGCTCGCCTGCTGTTGTTCCACGGTTTCCACCGCTGGCCCTTTGAAACCTCCAAACTTGGACGTGGTTGAGTTTTTACATCCCTCTTTGCCTCTTCTGTTGACATTAGGAAAGCAGACCTGCCTTCTCTTTAGGCTTCGAGTGGAACAAGCCTGCCAGTTTCCTCAGTCTTTCAGCTAGCAGTGAAATACATTTTGCACTGGCTTTTTTACTCAGTGATTTACACTGGGAGACGTGGCTGGGTGATGTCCAGTGTCCTTTTGTCTTTGTGTTTATTTTTCTTCCACATTTAATGTATTTAAAGGATATATTGTCTTTATGGTTCACTGGGATAAGGAGGGATTGGTGCAAGTTTTAATGAGAGGTGCCCCAGCTCTCTGTGTTGAGCTGAGAATTATCTTCTTGGTTAGATATCTTTCTTTCTTTCCTTAGGTGGCAGGAGGCAGTGTTTTGCTGCTTTTTGAAATAATGTTTCTGCCTAACGATTTCTAGAAGGATACCGAGAGGACATTCAGCTTCAGGGCATCATCAGCAACTTTTTCTCCTGTTGTTTGAACTTCCCTCATTTAAGGAGAGGGGAAAGTCTCAGGTCTTGTTCTTGAATTTACATATCAATATTAAGATGATGGGAAACAGCCCCCTGCCACTCCCCATCATCTGATCAATTCTTATAAAAACTCTTGCATTCAGGGTAGTGACATGTGGAACTAGTTTTCTCAGAAACTGTTTTCACTGCTTGGGAATAGTTAATCAGTGGAGGAAAAAGTGTTTGACTTATCTGCTTAATATTTTAACCAAGTGAATTAGACAGGTTGGGGGGCTGGGGGAGGGGATAAGAAAGTGGGTGGGGGAGGCCCCATAAACAAGGTGATATATAATATTTTTTTTGTTCTCCTTTTAAATAAATACCGATCAGCTTTATGTTCAGAGACAATAGAAGCCGTTGGCTTAAATTTGCAGTTTACTGTATTTATGGCTGTAATATCAAGGTGCTGCCGTCGTAATTTCATGCCCCAATGAGAAGAGCAAGGTCGAAGCAAATGCTTCCATCGGCATCTGCTAACACACTAACTCATAAACAAGGCCCGGCTGGATCAGGTGGCACGGAATAATACAGGCTAATGAAATACAGCACAGCTTTCCATTACTGTTAGTTTTTACAGTGTCGTCATTACGTGTAATTTATGTTTAAAAAATTCAATTTTATACAAGGCACTGGGAAATAGGGGTCTCCAGGTCATCCTACGACTTTTAGAGGCTCTGAGAGTCCTTATTGTACTCTACTGTTCCAACAAAATGTTCATAAAATAAAATAAAAATACTTTTCCCCTTCCCCTCCCTGAACCTTTTCTGAGAGAGTTGATTTTTTTCTTTTAATTTGGGAAGTATTTTTAGCCAGCTGTCTTCTCTGCCTCATCTCCTCCCAGAGTGTGCCGGGGCAGATAACTTAGTTGTTCTGAGAGAGGTGACCCCCTCTCAGTGTCCATGAGTCCCAGATGAATTGGCCAAGTCCTAGAAATAGAGGGGCTGCAGAGCGGGGAGGAAGAGGTCCCAATGACCAGCCCTTGACTGCCACCGTTTGTCACTGGCCCCCTGGCCCTGTTCCCGTGATCCCAGTCAGATGCCACATTTTTATAATAAAACTAGGGCTGAGCAGGAAGGCGCTGGCAGGAGTTCATTACCTTGCTTATTTTCAAACTCTTCCTAACCCTTCTGTCCTGGTTGTTGTTTGACCTGAAAGATGAAGAGAACACTGCTGTCTTCTGTCATCTGTCTTTCTGCTTCACCTGCACAGGGCCAAGCCCCGTGGCAGTGCCCAGCGGTCACTGGGGACAGTGCTGAGGTTACTTATCCTGAGAAACCCTTGCACGGCCTGTCCCGCAGAGAAAAGACAGCCCTTCCGGGTCCCTGGTTTGGTCTGAGTCGTGGGAAAGGACCCTAGGGCATCACAATCGCAGCCTGTACCCTGCAGCTCACAGAGTCAATCAGTTTGGTTTTATTTGCATTTGAACAGAAACCTTGAGAAAAAGAAAGCCAATTTGTTTATCTTCTAGGGGATAAAAATAGGCAAGTGTGGCAGCCCTGTGGCCACGCAGGTCAGACACTGCAGCAGTGACACTGGGGTTTTATTAATCAATAGGATGTAGCTCACTTGTTCTGTCCTTTTAAAAAAAAAAGCCCACCCTGGAGAAGAGATGCTTGGCCCAGCTCCTACACAAGGGCAGCAGTCATCTCCGGTCCAGGGAGCTCTTCTGGAGGTTTTTGCAAGTAGATTCTAGAGAACTGAGAGAACAAGAAGTCTTCCCCACTCTGGGCACATGGAATCTTCATTCAAAGAGTTTGGTTTGAATTGAGAGCTCTCAGTTTTGCATATCAGGTAACTATGATGTGAAAAGATGAAGCGGCCTCTTTACCTCTCAGAGTCAGCCCAGACCCTCTTCGCCTCCCCTCCTCTCAGAGAAGCTCCCTCGTCCCTTTCTCCTCCTTTTGACTAGAGCTAGTGGGTGGAGAGAGTAACTGAACGGGAATTTCTTAGTGTTATTCTCTATCAATAATATATTTTAATTGTCAGTGCTATAGACTGGGTGGCTGGGGGTTGGGAGCTGGTGGCTCTTGAAAATCACCAAGTGGCAGAAAGGAAGTTATAGGAAGAACATAAAGGCTTAGTGCCAGTGGTGTCAGGTAATGCATATTGATACCTCAACTAAAAGAACATTTGGGGCTTTATTAAAATTGACTAATTCTTCCAAAGATAGCAGCTAAAGGAGGACTTAGATGAATAGAGGAGGGAGGAGGCTTGCAGGACGGTGAAGCCCTTTGCTTCCAGCTCTCTGCCTGCTCAGCCATTGCTCCGTCCCTCTGCAGTTAGATTATTCCTTGCAGATAGCAATCAACTGGAAGGAAGTGTCTGTGTCTAATTTGCATGAGATTATTTAAAACAACAACAAAAAAAAGGTCTGCATTAGTCAGGGTGATGGTAAACAACGCAAAGAAGATGCCTTTTATAATCTAGCCTGTGCCTCAGCTTTCAGAGCCAAATATAATTCACTTACAATTGGCAGTTTCCTTTATTATTCCTTTTAACCTTTTGGATTCTGCAAGGTCTCAATCTAAGATCAGCAGTTTGTCTTGGCAGTAGTGGGAAAGATGGGGCTAGGGCACCGGGATGTCCTATGTTGGCTCCATGGCAGCACTTTGACCCTGAAGGCAGGGTCATCACAGCACCAAGAGCCAATGACTGGGCAGATAACTAGTTGTGATCTGGAGACAGGTGGGTGTTCCCACTCAGTCTCCCTAAGTTCCAAATGAATCACCTGAGTCCTGTAAATGCAGTCTTAAAGCTGGCCAGTTCTGCCTAAGGTGGGGACATTCCAGAGGAAGATGACACTCAAGGAAGCCTATGACAGGCATTTGGACTTGATTTCGGGTTAGAATATTAGAACGAGAACAAGATGAGGACATTCTACCTTTTTCTCTCTAGTATTGTTCAAAAAGTTGTCCAGGCGTCATTTACAGATAGGAGCCAGGGGTTAAGTTCCTGTATTGTTTCAATGTAGCCCCAAAACAATATTCACTGGCTCCTTCCTGTAGATGAGAGTGGCGGGGTAGGGAGAAGAAAATGTAGTCCTTCTCCCAAGCTCTTTAACAAGTCTGAAGACCTAGGACATAGTTTGAGTCTGCCATTTGATGTTTTGTAACTCTGGTGTAGTGGAGAGTCACTGGGCTGAAGAGGGAGAGCCTTGAGTGCCCATCACATCACCACTCTCTACAAGTAGGATGTGGGGCATCGTTTCTACCCTCCTTGGGCCTCAGGTTTCTTATCTGTTAAATGAGGGCAGTGACTGGGATAATGGCCCGGCTCTGAATGTGATTCAGTGAGATTGTTAAAACGCTTACTTTTAAAAAGAAGAGAAAGGATTCATTTACTGTAACTAAATCAAAATCCTGCCTCTCCCAGAGAACCAGGGATATCAGAATTTCAGCCAATATAAATTTTGAGCCTCAAATGATAACGTCTGTGAAAAACAAGAGCTTGGAAGGAAGTACTGATGCCCTTTCAACTGTGGCCTCACTAGTGGGCTCGGCTGCGATAATGCAAGGAACATGTTTTATTAGGAAAATAGGCTTCATAAAAGCTCAGGGCCAGAGGGCAGAACTGCGGGCAGGGCGTCCTGTCCCTTTAACCAGCTCCGGCCCTCAGGGCCACAGCACAGTCTGTAACTTACTGTATATTTCCCCAGTGTTAAACATTATTGTACTTGTTTATATTTGAAAGAGCCAAAAGGGAAAATGAGAATGCAACTGAATGCTCCTTTTGGGAAAATTATCTTCATTTGCAGCCAGCGGCTGACAAGGCACACGAACCACCAGGTTTATAAAATTCCGTAGTGTACCAGTGACCATCAGCCTGTGCTGACATCGCAGATGCTGCTTTCTTCTCTAATGGCTGATTATGAACTGGTTAAAACAATGTCTTTCCCACCAGGGCTCCGAAAGGGGTTCCCCTTCCTGTTTAGTCGGAGCGATCGGCAGTCACTACACAGGCTGGAACCTGAGAGGCACAAACTCAGGGCGGGGGTATTCTCTGTTGTTGCCTGGCTTGCCTGTTGGTCCTGTCCCTGTTCTTCTTGGAAGGTGAAATTATGGGTAAAGCAGTCCCTTTGCAGCAAGCACCCCCTCTCTAGCTCCACTCTACTGACCTTCAGCTTTTGTCTTTGGAAGGTGGTACGTGATGCGCTGTGAACCCTGGAAGCATTTTCATCCAGCCCACCAATCTGTTGAGAGCATGGTGCTATCAGGGCAACCCGGTGGCTCTTCAGACTTCCCAGTGGTGAGGCTGTGCCTGCCCTTGGCCAGCTCCACTGTGTGAAGAGGGTAAAGAGGGGAACAGCTGCAGTTTTAAATGGGGATAGTCCTCAACTCCTCAGCACAGAGAAGGGAAAAAAGAGTCCAGGGCTGTTTAGAAAAGTTCGGGCATTTTCCTTTGACTAGCTGTGGTAGGGCATGAAAAGTTTGAGGGGTGGCTGCAGTCAACTCATATGCCAGTATGGTGCAGGGCGGAGCTGTGCTTTAAAGCATTAATGTGCACCATCTATTAGCCCCTAGGCATGGAGTATGAGGCACCATCCTTTTGAAGATGCTGATCCTCAGAACCTCCTTGTACTTCATCTACCCCCAGGGGCAAATATACCATGCTGTGGGCCTCTAATGGAGAGCTGCCGACCAGATGTGGAAAAGCTCTCGGCTGTAGTTTAAAAGCTCTGTGTTGCGGCTCGCTTGGATGTTGGGATTCCTGGAACAGCAAGGGCTGGCCGAGTGGTCTTTTGCAGACTAACAGTGACCTCCCACCTGCTTTTCCCACTCTCAGCAGCTGGAGTGCCTTTGTACACACAGCTACTTCCTGAGCTGGCCCCGTGTGACCGCTCCTTTCATACTTGAGCGCCACATTTCATTCTGTTCTTTGGGTTGGATGGGGCTCTCTTCCTCCTCCCAAGAGTCAGTGTCCCAAATTGGCTCAGACCCGGTGGAAATATCCCAGCTGTGTCCCCACTGGAAATGCGGCCTTCATGGGTTTTCATTTGCCTTTTATTCTTCTGTGGGCAAATCCTCTCCACATGGCATAGCCACTGCAGATGGCGCCCTGCCACTTCCTGATGTCCCATGTATGGTGTGGTTTAGAGTGTCGGGAGGATTTCAAGAAGGGAAAAGAAAAACTAGCCAAAGGCGATACAGGCAGCGTGTGATAGGCTAGAATAATAATCATCTGAAAGTTTGGGCCTGGCCTTGTTTTGATCTGTTTTCTTGTTTTATTTTCTTCTTTACATTCTATATCCCATTCATACTAATCACAGTCAGTCCTGATTTTTCTTTTTATTTCTGCATTTGTCATAAAATAAAGCAAATTATTCCCGTCTTCAGAAACGATCTAGACTAATTAGTCGTCTCACCCAATAATTAGTTTTTTGTTTCCCTGTCTGTTTTCGTGCATTATTGTTAGTTTTTTCCCCTCTTTTTTTTTTAACACCATTACAGATTAAAATGAGCCACATTTGCAGTTGATGGTATCTGTTTTCGGGGGAAGAATGGAGAATTGCAGTACCGAGCGACTTCAAAAGCAGCAATAAACTCAAGGATAAATTAAGGAAATTGAATGAGCCACATTTGGAAGCAGTGTTGAGGCTAATATTCTGTCGCTTAAGGTTAAATTGCAACTGAGAGAGGTTCCGGAGAATCTGAAATCGGGGAGGCAACTTACTAGGATGCGAGGCATTCTGTGGCTGTAAAGGTCTTTGCTCAGTGAAGATTCTGTTGCAGCTATGGACACTGACAAAAGGTACTCACCTGCAATGATGTCCTCTTCTCCCCAGGGCTGACAGATGAAGAGATTGATATGGCCTTCCAGCAGTCGGGCACTGCTGCCGATGAGCCTTCGTCCTTGGGCCCAGCCACACAGGTGGTTCCTGTCCAGCCCCCTCACCTCATATCTCAGCCATACAGTAAGTCACCCGCTCAAACTCCTGCTTAACCTTGATTGGGATTCAGGACTCTGGCCAAAGGGCAGTGTTCTGTATCTCCCAGACTTAGCAAACCAGGAGAAACTGGGAGCAGCAGAAAGCTCTTGGGTTTTTCCCAAGGAATGTGACACACCCCAGTCTTCTAGACAAACTTTTTAAAGTATGTGACAAAGGTTTAAGAAGAGACAAGGGATCAGAATAAATGATTTTATTGTTGTTTCAGGTATTTTGGTTACATGCAGAAAACCTGTACAACTATTTATTGATTCTGTTCCCATCTCCTCATACCAGTGCTTTTGAATGTTACTGTTTCACTAAAAACAGCGTGACCATCTGACTCATGGGTGCATTCTTGTTTGCTCACTGCAATAACCTGTCTCCCACTTCTATTTTTTTAAGTTAATATTTGTAAGTTTAGGTCAGCCTCCATTTCCCTCCCTCCCTTGTCCTGGCTATACTTTGTACGTTTATGTAGTAGCGGTCTGTTAGGGAATTTCAGGTTAAAACATGAAGTTCCTTTTTGAATGTTTCTTTTAATTATACGAGATCATGACCCATGAGGGGTCTTTCGTTGTCTTAAATGAAAGCTACTATAGGAATAAAGTTTCTTCAAACAAGTTATAAATGCATACCTCCAAAATGCAGCCAGAAGCCCTCCTTGAAATCACTTATAAAAAGTTTAAAAAGGCTAAAATTGACTACAAAGTTATGGAAAATAGCTCCATTTTGTTTCTTTAATGAAACTCAGCATTGGGCCGGGCACGTTGGCTCACGCCTCTAATCCCTGCACTTTGGGAGGCTGAGGCGGGTGGATCACCTGAGGTCAGGAGTTCGAGACCAGCCCGGCCAACATGATGAAACCCTGTCTCTACTAAAAATACAAAAAATTAGCCAGATGTGGTGGCAGGCGCCTGTAATCCCTGCTACTCAGGAGGCTGAGGAAGGAGAATTGCTTGAACCCGGGAGGTGGAGGTTGCAGTGAGCCGAGATCGTGCCACTGCACTCCAGACTGGGCAACAAGAGCGAAACTCTGCCTCAAAAAAACAAACAGGCAGGGTGCAGTGGCTCACATCTGTAATCCCAACACTTTGAGAGGCCAAGGCAGGCGGATCACTTGAGGTCAGGAGTTCGAGACCAGCCTGGCCAACGTGGTGAAACCGTGTCTCTACTAAAAATACAAAAAATTAGCCGGGCGTGGTGGCACACGCCTGTAATCCCAGCTCCTTAGGGGGCTGAGGCAGGAGAATCACTTAAACCCAGGAGGTGGAAGTTGCAGTGAGCCGAGATCACGCCGCTGCACTCCAGCCTAGGTGACAGAGTGAGACTCTGTCTCAAAAAAAATAAAATAAAATAAAGAAACTCAATACTGGATCTGTGATCTCTCAAAATGCCTTTTCTATAATTGTTATTCTCAGAAGTTTTATTTTTGCAAAAAATGATTTAAAACTGTTAGATATCAGATTTTAAGGCCGGGCGCAGTGGCTCCCGCCTGTAATCCCAGCACTTTGGGAGGCCGAGGCGGGTGGATCATGAGGTCAGGAGTTCGAGACCACCCTGGGCAACAAGAGCAAAACTCCATCTCAAAAAAACAGACAGGCCGGGCGCGGTGGCTCACGCCTGTAATCCCAGCACTTTGGGAGGCCAAGGCGGGCGGATCACTTGAGGTCAGGAGTTGGAGACCAGCCTGGCCAATGTGGCAAAACCCTGTCTCTAATAAAAATACAAAAATTAGCTGGGCATGGTGGCGGGTGCTTGTAATCCCAGCTACTCAGGAGGCTGAGGCAGGAGAATCGCTTGAACCGAGGAGGTGGAGGTTGCAATGAGCTGAGATCATGCCATTGCACTCCAGCTTGGGTGACAAGAGCAAGACTCTGTCTCAAAAAAAAAAAAAAAAAAAAAAGTGTTAGATATCAGATTTTAAAAGGCATATTTTAAAATGACAGATTCGTTTTGATCCCCCAGCACCTGGTCTGAAGCTGCCTTCTTTCCCTCACCTCAGCACTGTTTTCATCCAGCTCAGCTGCAGCTAGGCAGGTGTGATCTTGGCAGTAGAGCCAAAAAGGCCTTCTCTTCTCCGGACTTGCTGAAGGGCCAGCCAGTGGGTTGGAATCTGCTGTCTGTGTTACGGATCTTATTTAGAGATCTCCTCCTTTGGCTGTCCACAGAAGGCTGAATGGGGGAGGCCAGGGAGTGTGTGCTCAAGTGTGTCAATCTGTCAGTGCCTTGCATGGGTGACCCACTGCAGGTTGCAGAGCTTCAGTGGTGAGCCTTGTCCTGTATTTGGGCTACTGGGTTAGCACCTGTGACTTGTCAGCTTGGGGCTCCTTTCTCCTTCCTGGCCAGCATTTTTTCCAATCCATTGTAGTTGCTTTGGGTCCTAAGCTGACTTTATGTGCTTCTTTTTAACCAAAGGCTGAGTCTCCACACTTTTTCTTTAGTTGTGTCCCTGGGCCCAGCCGTGTAATGGGATTTGTTGAGGATAGGCAGCGGCAGCTGGGGTGCAGAATTTTCTAAGATGCACATCTGTTCTGTTCCAGCTGTTTCCTCCAGTGGCTTAATACCGAACAGGTCTCTCGGCTACTTGGAAACTTCTTACTCAGAACAAATTGTTCTGGTTGATCACAGAGTTGGCCTAAAACATCATATGTTCACCTACTTTCCATAGACACAAAGGGTTAAACTGTTAGTCTTTCTGAAAGAGGCAAAAGAATGGGGTGGGGAGGGGCAATTCAGTTATTTAAATCATACTCATGTCCAGATCGCTCTGAGAAAAAGCAATACACGTTGAGGTATTTAGGTAGGAATATTTTTAAGAGCCTTCCAGCCCCTAAAAATAAAATACACATTCTTAGACACAGACTTCTTCCTGCTTTGACACTAGTGTAAAAACAATGGTAATGATAATTTTAAATACCTGAAGTTTTTAGTTGTCATCATTGAGCTTCATTCTTCTCATACCGTTACATTGCTCCTCTCACTCCGGGGGTGACTCTACCTCTTCACTTCTGTACTTTTGCCAAGAGGTGTCAAAACTGCTTAAAAAAAAAAAAAGCTTGATTTTGATTAATATAGAGAAACAAGACTTTGCCTGACTGATAATAAAACTGATAAATGACATTTGAATTACTTGTAGCGGTAATTTATTACATAAAATATCTTTTATTTGACATGCGATTAGTTGCTGGAAGCATCACTCAATCTGACTAGTTTAAACATGCTCCAAAATGAACCCCAGTAAAAACCAGGGCTGTCTGCTGCTGGCATTATGAAATATACTAATCCTGGAGTGAGGGAAAAATCTGACTTTAAATATTTAAATGATTAATTGGGTTTATATATTTTTTTACTTTTCTAACCCCCTTAATTACAAGCAAACTCAGGGGAGTTTCTGAACTAGGTGCACAATCTGCATGCTTATCACTGAGGCATTGTCTGCGTCGGGAGGGATTTATGGCCTCTATTCATGTGTGTTCCTGCCGATTTTACATCTAGATCCCCGGCAGCCTTTTCCTTCCCATTTCTTGGCTTTTTACGGACATTCCATCTCTGAGCCCAAGGCTAGAAAATGGGATCCCCTGGGCCTAGCCCCAAACACTCAGGTCTCAGGGTAGGGTAGCTTTTCCAAGACCACCCCAGGGAGCCCAGTGCTCTTCACCTTTGAACCTGCTGGCCCACCTGCTCAGTGGCAGGTGTGCCACTGAGTGCCTCTTTTGGCATCTCTGTTCTTTGGTGAATGTGGTTGACCTTGAGATGTTAGCAAATGCCAGTGTTGGCAGAGAGAACGTAGAGACCTGCCCAAATAGTAACAGTTCAATTTCTCAGTATTTTTATTAACCATCTACTATACGGTCAGTACTATATCATGCGAGAGATCCAAAACCTGATCTTTAAGCATCTTGCTAAGCTCTTTGGGAAAGATAAGATAAACTCTTAAGAAAAGGATAATAATATAAGATGTTGTGATTTAATGCCAAAATTAATTATACAGACAAGAAATTCTGAAATTCTGAAATATAGAAAAGAGAAGAATTAATGTGGGCTAGAGTCAGGGAAGGCTTTTGTGAAAGTGATAGGAGGTTGGCACCAAGGGGAAGCTTGGTGTCACCTGGTGTGAGCATAAACCAGTGCTCTCGGGGGCTAGAAGAAAGTTGGTACAGTTCAGGAGAAGTCAGGCTGTGATTCGAGAGAAGATTTGAAATTCTCCATTTCTCATTTTGGTTTCTTGTCTGGCTTTACATCGGGAGTCAGTGCATGTGTATAGGTGCAGGCCTAGCCCAGTCCTGAGCAGAGGTCTGATAAATGCTGGTTGATTGATTCACGCCAAGCTGATTTGTCTTCGTCCTCCCAGAGAGACCAAGAAGCTTTGAGATATAAGCAGGACCAGTGTAAATTTTGTAGGATAATAATTTCTTCTTAGATTTGAACATTTTCCCTCCACTGTCTTTGATAAACAATTTAAACCCCTTCAAAGACTGACCTAGAGCTTCAGTTGCTTCTTCTCAAAATAGGATGTCAGCATCTGAGGCCGGTGAAAGGTTTTGAACCATTTGATTAGAAATCCTGAGAGAGAGTGAGTTATTCCTCTGTTTATTTCTTTTGTAGCCCTGTGTAGTAACACAAACTTATCTGTGGTTATCTTAATTCACTGAGCAAGCATTGTTATTGAATGCCTACTGTGTGCCAGACCCCTGGGCTAAAGAGACTAACAAGACCTGGTCGCTCTCTCTGGTTGCTCCCGTCTGGTAGGAAAGACGGTTAGGCCAACATAGCAGTGCCTGTCAGGTGGTCCCGGTGAGGACGGTGGCACAGAAGAGGCGACGGGAAGCTTCAGAGAGCAGATGTCTAACTGGATGTGGCGGGCTGCTTGGTTCAGTGATCAGACAGGATAGACAAGAGCATTCCAGGCTAACACAAAAGCATATAGATGTGAAACTGATGAATTTAAGAAACTCCAGGTTGTTGGACGTGGCGCCTGTAATCCCAACTCTTTGAGAGGCTGAGACAGGAGGAGCACTTTGAAGCTAGGAGTTCAAGACCAGCCTGGGCAACATAGTGAGATGCCATCTCTGTAAAAAAATTTAAAAAACAAAACTAGCCAGGCATGGTGGTGCGTGTACTTGGGAGGCTGAGGTGGGAGGATTGCTTGAGCCCAGGAGATCGAGTCTGCAGTGAACCATGGTTGTACCCCTGCACTCCAGCCTGGGCTCCAGAGCAAGGCCCTGCCTCTAAAAAACCAAAAAGAAAGAAACTCTGAGTTGTTCAGAGTGGCTGGAGCATGGGATGAGAGTCAGAGGAAATGGCTGGAGAAAGGGTGGCTCTGTCAGCTCCGACAGAGGACAGCCAAAAGCACAGTGATGTTTTACTTTGAAATGCATCATCTAATTATTTTTGTGCCATACGACCTATTTGGCCATTTTATTCTTAGATTAATATTAAAATTATTTGTATCATCTCAGCAGGTGCCATGAGGTTAGTTAGGGGAGACATGGGTGGGGGGGCATCAGCCGGAGGCCATTGTTCTTGTGCCGAGCCTGTAGTGCCTACCCTGTGTGCTCACTGTTGTTCTCCATGGTTGGGCCAGCACTCGCTCCTCCAGGGAGTCTTTCCAGTGCCTCCATTCTGACTTGGAGGGAAGCTCCCCTCAGGCCCCTAGACTCCCCACCCCGCCCCACTGCACTTAAACATTTATTCCAGTGTCTCCCCTATTAAACTGTGAGTTCTGAGGCTTAAAAAAATCTAGTGGCCTGAGGCTCTGACTGAGCAGGTGTTCTAGAAATGCTTGTGGAATGGATTAACAGGGGTGGAAATGTGCTTGAGAATGGAAGGGCTATCATGTGGACGAGCTGCCCTGGTGGTCGGTCGGTGATACGGTCTGTGAGCCCAGCTGGTGCAGACTGCTCTGGGCAAGCTATGGAAGAAGTAGGGGATGGGACCCACCTTCAGGAGCTGCTGTTCATCGTAGAGGGAAGCCCTCCATTGCTTGGAGAAAGACAGGGAAGACCATCCCACGTCACCTTGCATGGTGAGAATGTTGAGAGCTTTCAGAATTTGAGAACAAAGGAAATTCCCAGAACGCTAGTCTTAGGCAAGGCTTTCTAGAAGGGGCAGGACTTGAACTGGCTTTGAAGATCAGTCAGCCATAAGGTAGACCCAAGGTGTCAAGGAAGACATCACTGTGGAGAGGGAACAGCAAAGGCCCGGGGCCAGGGTGGCCTGTGCGTAAGTGATACTGAGGTGACAGTAAACAGAAAGCATGCATGGGTGGCCTCGGGGTTCCCGTCAGAAAGCAAAATAGCAAATGTCGCCTCCACCTCTCTCTCTGTCTCTTCCATTTCTCTCTCATGCTTCCATTTCTTTCTCTGCTGGTTTAGCAGACAAATCTCTCTTTTTGCTACCTGAAAGTTACTGGTTTGTATATGAAGAAAGTATTTCTTTAATTTTGAGGAAATTGTGTTTTCTTTTGTCCGTGGTGCCGGTTTGGATTAGCAAGCACCCTCTCCATTTTGTTGCTGTGTGTTCTGCCTGGTGTGGTGCCACATGGGGGCTGAATAAATGCCATTCGCGGATGTTGAAGAGGGTAAGTATCACGGGAAGGAACCGAAATGAAGTGATCCTTTCCTTAGGTTTCTTGGACCATTACAAGTCTTTGGTGTTGATGGCAGTTAGGATTCTGGCTGTGCTGACAGTGTGTTAGTTTTAGAAAATTCTGCTACAGGTGACAGAGAACTCCAAACAAGAGTGGCTTAAAGAGAGAGGAATTTTTCTCTATTACATAAATGTAGGCAGCCCAGGCTGCCAGGAGGCTCTGTGGTCTGCAGGAACCCTACTCTGCCTCACTGCTCTGCATTCCTGACTGGCTCTCATCCGTCTCGTGGTGCAGTGTGAATGCTTCAGCTCCAACTATCCCACCTGCTGTCCAGCCAGCGAGAGCGGGGAGAAAGCGGGAAAAGGGCAGGCTGCCTTCTAAGGACACCTCTTGGAAATTGCCCATGTCCCTTCCACTTTCTCCCCATTGGCTGGATCTTGCATGGCTATCCTTGCCTGCGAGTGAGGCTGAGATGTAGTCCTGATCTCGTCAGCACATGTCCTCAGCTTTCCATATCCCATAGGAGGTTTGAGTTCTGATAAATACTGGGTTTAGGATAATGGTTGCCTCTGGGCTGGGGAGGAACACATGGCTAGCTTCAGTGGTATTTGGAAAGTTCTAGCTAGTAAATTAGGCAGGTTTAGAATTGCTCATTGTATTCCTGTTCTTATAACTTAAATAAATGTTATATTCTTTTGTATGTGTCAAATATTACAGGGTATGTTTTTTAAAGTTGCATTAGAATTCTCAGGTCTGGCTTCTTCTCTTGGTCCCAGCTGCAAGCTGTGCAGAGAGAAAACTTAGAGCCTACACCACTGGGTAGTGTTCCCAAGCACTCCTGACTTCCTGTAGCTCTTTTTTAAAAAAAATTCTGAATGGATTTTTTATTTTTTAAAAGTCTTATTGAGATGTAATTTACGTAAAATAAAATACACCCATTTTAATTGTACAATTTGAGTTTTGATAAGTGTACATTTCCATATAACCATCACTACATGACAGAACATTTCCAATACCCTGAAAGGTTCCCTTGGGTCCCATTTCCAGTCAATCCACCCTCCTTGATCCTGGCTTGAGGGCAACCACTGATCTGCTTTCTATTACTACCTATTAGATTTCTTTCCTAGAGTTTTTTTTCTTTTTTTAATATAAATAGAATCATACAGTATTGTACTCTCTTGTTTCTATTTTTTTTCTTTCCGCTCAGCGTAGTGTTGCCGAGATTCACCCAAATTGCTGTGCGCATCCGAAGCCTTTTCCTTTTTACCATTGGGTGGGTGGTATTCCATTGTAGGGATGCACCACAGTTTGTTTATCCATTCACCAGTTGATGGACTTTGGGTTGTTTCCAGCTTTGAGCTATTACGAATAAAACTTTTGTGAACATTCGTATACAAGTCTTTGTATGTTTTTATTTCTCTTGGGTGAGCGCCTAGAAGTAGAATTGTTGGTTTATATGTTAAGTGTATGTTTAACTTTATAAGAAGCTGCTAAACTGTTTTCTGGAGTGGTTGCATCATTTTACCTTCCCACCAGCAATGTTTGAGAGTTCTAGTTGCTACATATCCCCAACAGTTGGTCTTCTCAGTCTTTTTAATTTTAGCAGTTTTAGTGTGTATATGCTGGTATCTCATGGTGGTTTGGGTTTATATTTCTTTGATGACTGATTAGGTTGAACCTCTCTTTGTGTGTTTATTGTCCACTTGCATATCTTTCTTGTGAAGAGTGTGTTTCAGTATTTTGCCCATTATTAACAGTCTTCTTACTGAGTTGAATGAGGTTTTTAATGTATTCTGGATTCAAGTTGTTGGTCAGATACATGTATTATGAGTATTTCCTCCCAGTTGGTGGCTTGCCTTTTTATTTTCCTAACATTACCTTTTGAAGAGCACACAATTTTAATTTTGATGACATATATTTATCTTTTTTTCCTTTTATGATTCATGGTTTTGCATCCTAAAGAAGACTTTGTCTATTCCAAGGTTGAAGAGACTTTCTCCTATATTGTCTTCTAGGAGACACTGTCTCACTCTGTCACCCAGGCTGGAATGCAATGGCCTGATGTTGGCTCACTGCAACCTCTACCTCACGGGCTCAAGTGATCCTCCTGCTTCAGCCTCCCAAGTAGTGGGGACTACAGGTGTGTGCCACCACACCTGGCTAATTATTGTATTTTGTGGAGAGATGGGTTTTCACCATGTTGCCCAGGCATGAGCCACTGCACCCAGTTTATAGCGTTAGTTTTTATGTTTAGGTCTGTGATCTATTCTTAGTTAATTTTCGTGAATGGTGTGAGGTGAAGGTCAAGGTTCGTTTCTCCCCATAAGGATATCCAGTTGTGCCTATACCTTATGTTCAAAAGATTATCTTATCCGCATTGAGTTACATGTCTATAAAAAATCAACTCACAGCCAGGCTTGGTGGCTCACATCTGTAATCCCAGCACTTTGGGAGGCCAAGGTGGGCGGATTGCCTGAGCTCAGGAGTTCGAGACCAGCCTGGCCAACATGGTGAAACCCGGTCTCTACTAAAAGTACAAAAATTAGCTGGGTGTGGTGGCAGGTGCCTGTAATCCCAGCTACTCAGGAGGCTGAGGCAGGAGAATGGCTTGAACCTGGGAGGTGGAGGTTGCAGTGAGCTGAGATTGTGCCACTGCATTCCAGCCTGGGTGACAACAGCGAGACTCCGTCTCAAAAAAAAAAAGAAAAAAAAAAAATCAACTGACTATATATGAATGGGTCTGTTTCTAGATTCCTCT
The DNA here is from genome assembly GCF_000001405.40 of Homo sapiens. Classification (NCBI taxonomy): domain Eukaryota; kingdom Metazoa; phylum Chordata; class Mammalia; order Primates; family Hominidae; genus Homo; species Homo sapiens. Next base: position 10,608,729 of record NC_000001.11, read on the forward strand.
TTTAAAAAAAAATAAAAAAAAAAACAAAGCTATCGAAGTATACTTTATATGTCATACAACTCATCCATTTCAACTATACAATTCAATGATTTTTAGTAACTTTACCGAGTGATGCAGCTGTCACCATAAATCAGCTTTAGAGTACTTCACCTCCCCTGCAAGATCCTTTGGGCCCATTTACTGTTAATCCCTCTTCCCACCTCTAGCCCCAGGCAACCACTAATCTCCTTTTCATCACTATAAATGTCCCCTTTTCTGGACATTTCAGGTAAATGGAATCAGAATATGTGATCTCTTGTACCTGGCCTCTTTCACTTAACCTGATGTTTTTGAGGTTCATCCATATTGTAGCATGTATCAGTAATTCATTCCATTTTATCATGGAATAGTATTCTGTTGTCTGGTTGTACCTCATTTTGTCCATCAGTTCAGCAGTCGATGGACATTTAGATTGTCTCCAATTTTGGTGAAGATGAATAATGCTGCAAAGAACATTTCTGTGCAAGTTCTGTGTGGACATACGTTTTCATTCCTCTTGGGTAGATATCTAGGAGTGGAATTGCTGGATGTGGTAGTTTTATGTTTCTGGATCCTTCTTAATTCTTTTCTTTCTAATTAGCTTTTTGTAAGTATAATTTACATACAATAAGATACATCAATTTTAAGTATACAATTCAATGAGTTGTACAAACAAGTTGTAACTCATTTAACTCCTGTAACCAACACTACAATCACAATATAGAAAATTTCTATCACCCCAGAAAGTTGCTTTGTGCCCTTTATGTCGTCCTTTTCCCCTGCCTCTGGTTTCTGTTAACCACCAATCTCTGCTCTGTCACTGTAGTTCCTTGTGCCTTTTCAAACATTTCTTATAGAACAGGTGCAGTGGCTCATGCCTGTAATTCCAGCACTTTGGGAGGCTGAGGAGGGCGGATCACCTGAGGTCAGGAGTTCGAGACCAGCCTGGCCAACATGGTGAAACCCTGTCTCTACTAAACGTACAAAAATTAGCTGGCCGTGGTGGCGGGCGCCTGTAATCCCAGCTACTCGAGAGGATGAGGCAGGAGAATCCCATGAACCCGGGAGGCGGAGGTTGCAGTGAGTTGAGATTGCACCATTGTACTCCAGCCTGGGTGACCGAACGAAGCTCCATCTCAAAAAATAAATAAATAAATAAAAATAAAACATTTTGTATAAATGGAACCATATAGTATGTAGACTTCTGTGTCTGGTTTCTTTACCGTAACATAATGGTTTTGAGATTGATTCATGTTTTTATATACATATATATGTATTGATATATAAATACATATTTATATAAATACATATAATTTTATTCATATATAATTTATATATGCATTTCTATATTATATGTAAATATATGTAATATATATTTGGAAAATACATATAAAAGGAATGAACTGTTTATGTCTATATCATGATTGTGATTCATGGTTTTTGCATCCTAAGAAGCCTTTGTCTACCCCAAGGTTGAAGAGACTTTCTCCTATATTGTCTTCTAGGAAGTTTTATAGTGTTAGTTTTTTGGAGACACCATCTCACTCTGTTGCCCAGAGTATATTTATTATATATTTATATATATTATACACAAATATATATAACTTTACATATATATATATATATACACACACACACACACACACACACACATATATATATACACAGAGAGAGAGAGATATCATTCTTTTTCATTACTGAGTTGTATTCCAGAGATCAGTGGGCTTTCTTTTTCGTTTTTCTTTTTTTTTTGAGATGGAGTTTCACTCTTGTTGCCCAGGCTGGAGTGCAATGGCGTGATCTTGGCTCACTGTAACCTCTGCCTCCCGGGTGGGTTCAAGTGATTCTCCTGCCTCAGCCTCCCGAGTAGCTGGGATTATAGGCATGCGCTACCACGCCTGGATAATTTTGTATTTTCAGTAGAGACGAGGTTTCTCCATGTTGGTCAGGCTGGTCTCGAACTCCTGAACTCCTGACCTCAGGTGATCCGTCCGCCTTGGCCTCCCAAAGTGCTGGGATTACAGGCATGAGCCACTGCCTGGACTTTTTCTTTAAATGGGTATATTTTAGACTTTGTGAGCCACATATCTCTGTCACATGTTTTCCTTCTCACCTTTTTCTCTTCTCCCTTCATCCTCTCTTCTTTCTCCTCCTTCTTCCTCTTCCTGTTCTTCTTCTCCCTTTCCCATGACCACAATTCTTTAAAAATTTAATAACCAGGCTGGGTGCGGTTGCTCACGCCTGTAATCCCAGCACTTTGGGATGTGAGTTGGGTGGATCACTTGAGGTCAGGAGTTTGAGGTCAGGAGTTTGAGGTCACCATGCCTGGCCAGCATGGTGAAACCCTGTCTGTACTAAAAATATAAAAATTAGCTGAGCCTGGTGGCATGCCTGTAGTTCCAGCTACTTGGGAGGCTGAGGCAGGAGAATCACTTGAACCCAGGAGGTACAGGTTGCAGTGAGCTGAGATTGCGCCACTGCACTCCAGCCTGGGTGACAGAGCAAGACTCTGTCCCCCCACCGAAATAAAAAAAAAATTAATAGCCATTCTTAGCTCATGGCTACATAAAAATAGGCTAAAGTAGGATTGGCCAACTGGCTATAGTGCCAACTTCTGTTGCTCCATGTACCGCAATTTCTTTATCTGTTGACCAGTTGGTAGTCATCTGGCTTGCTCCCAGTTTGGGGCTATTATGAGTAAAGCTGCTGTGAACATTCATGTATAAATCTTTATGTGCACTTATACTTTCATTTCCTAGGAGTGGAATGGCTTAGTCACATGTTAGGTCCATGTTTAACTTTAAAAGAAACTGTCAAACTATTTCCCAAAATGGTTGTAGCGTTTGTGTTCCCATCAGCAATATGTAAGAGTTTCAGTTGCTCCATATCTTTGTCAACACCCGATAGTCTCATTTTTGAGTTTAGCCATTCTAATGTGTATGTAATGGAACCTTATTGTATAGTACTTTTAATTTGGATTTCCCTAATGGCTAATGACATCAAGCATATTTTCATGTACTTATTGGCCATTCGTATATCTTTTGTACAGAGTCTCTTCCAATCTTATGCCCATTTTAAAAGCCACTTTGTCTTTTTATTATTATTGAATTGTCAGAGCTCTTTATGTATTCTAGTTACAAGTGCTTTGTCAGATATATGCTTGGCAGATATTTTCTCCCAGCCTATGGCTTGTCTCTTCATTTTCTTGACAGTGCCTTTTGAAAAGCAAAAGCTTTAAATTTTGATGGTGTCCATTTGATCAGTTTTTTCCTTTTTGGTTCATGCTTCTTATATCTTAAGATGTTTTTGTTTACCCCAAGGTTGCAAAGATTTTCTTCTATGTTTTCTGATTTCTTATAGAAGTTTTATAGTTTTTGCTTTCTTGTTTAGGTGTGACCCATTTTGAGTTAATTTTTGTGTATGGTATAAGGTGAGAGTCAAGGTTCATTTTTTTTTCCTATGGATATCCAGTTGTTCAGCATGGCTGTTGCAAAAATTATCCTTTCCCCATAGAGCTACCTTGGCCTCTATCAAAAATCAGTTGACCATGTAAGCATGGGTCTATTTCTGGACTCTTCTGAATTCTTAACAGCTTAATTAGAGCTCATATTTTTTAATCTATGGACAGGGGATATAGATATGCCTCTCGGTGTCCTTCCTGCCTAAAGATGACACTGCTAATGGCATTGTAGCCCATGAAAAGTGGAAAAGATTGTCTTTCATGGGATGTACGTGTAAATACAGGCTTTGCATTTTCCAACAGGACTACTGTTGGGCTACTGTGGTGCCTTTTGCCATCCAGGCTGCCAAGTCCTTCTGTTCAGAGCAGAGACGATCTGTTTCTGTTGCTGCTCTCTGGGCCTGTCTTTCTGCCCACTGCCAGCCATCCACAGCCATGTGCTTCAGGGCCCACCCCGCCCCCAAGCTATAGCCAGCCCTTCTCAGCCCAGCCAGGTCCCCGTCTCTCTGCACTTGTGCTCTCCACCTCTGTGCTGTAGCAAGCACTGATTTGGTGGGCTGGCTTTATTCCAGGACCTTACTGGGAGTGAGCCTGTCTTGTCATTTAATTTTCAGGGTGGCTTCTGAGCGAAGCTGATGGGCTGATGTGAGAAGCTAGAGACACTGCTGTATAGAGACATGGCTCCAACCCTGATGAGCCTGGAGGCGACCTCAATGGGCTGGCCCCGTTTCTACCACTGCCTTGCCCATGCTTGGGCTGCCAGCCTCCCCAAGGACGTGAGAGTTCTCTCCCTCTTGTCAGCCAGCACATCACTGGAGTGCCTGTTGTCTCGGCAGGATGGTTCCGTGACAGCTCTCAGCTCTGTGTTGCCGATGAACCTTTACTGGATTGCAGGATTTCCATGGTGTGGATCGGTCTGTGACTTGCTCAGCAAGGTTTCAGGCTCAACATTGCCGTGTTGTATGCACAAGTCCTAGTCCTGTGCATGTGTTCTTAGTTGATGATGTTTGTTCTCACCTGTTAGGTGAGAATTTGGTTGGTGGAGGTATAAAGAAACAGAGTCATGTTGGTTTTGTTGGTGTTCAGTGAATAGTTAGGAGCTGTGGGGATGCACCTCTCCTGCCCCCGCTCTACCATGGTTTTACCCAAACTGGAGCCTTTGCGCAGGCTGACCTCCATGGAGCCGGGCAGAGCTTAAGCTAGTTCGTGGAGTCCTTGGAAGGTTGGGTTTTGAAGAGCTCCATGCCCTTTGCTCTATAGCAGTTTATCCCCTGACCTCATTGCAGCCCACAGCGCCACAGCGTAGAGGCAGTCCAGGAAGGCCCAGGTGTGCAGGATGAGGATTGCCACCACAGATGCCCGTCTCTTCAGCCTTCACAGAGATGCCAGGGCTTTGGTACTGGTGAGGAACCCCTGCCACGCAGCTAGGGCGCCGGTCCTTAGACAGCTGGGCTCTGAGTGAGAGTGAAGATATCGCCTGTTCTTGGATTCTTTGGGGCTCACAAAGCCCTGCCACCTTCAGTCAGTGCTTGATAAGAAGAGAAAAATGTCCTTGGAACCCCCCTGGCTGGTGGTGGCATGAGGGTTTCTGACCCCAGGCTTGTTGCCCACTTGCTACCTTGTCTGCCTTGTCTGCATGGCAGGCCAGTCCCTGCTTCCAGAGTGGAGACTCGAAGCATTTAAAAAGCCCACTCATTCTCTTCCTTTTCTTCCCAGCTAGAGAAGAGTGACTGCCCCATCTCCTGCCCTTGTCTTTATACCTCCGGACATTCAGGGAGCCTGGTGGCGGGGAGGTGTGTTCCCAGGCGCCCTGCTCTCAGTTCCCTTGCGGGGTCTGCACCAGACTTGGAAAAAATAGGCCCCAGGGTGGGGAGGGGCAGGACTTGAGGTGGTCGTGGCTGGGAGTTTGAGCTAGTGTGGACTGTGCTAATGTTTTTGCAGTAGCCTGGTCTGTTACCCTCTGAGAGCCACACAGCGGGTAGGAGTCATCTCTATCCGAGTTTTTCTCTTTTTTCATTTTGCCACAAGACAGAATTGTATCACACATCTCCAAAACGAGTAAAATGGCATTTCAGCTTCTTGTCTTTATAGACTCTCTGAACTTTAGGAAAGATCATTCTGGTCCCTTTTCATTAATAATGAAAACCAGGGGGCAATAAAATGTTCTTAACGTGAGCATGGCAGGAATGAGGAGCGGTGAGGGGTGAAGGGTGAGGCTGCAGGGACCACAGGTGTTTCTTGGGGCTGGAATAGCTCAGAACTCTGGAAAGTGAGGCAGCTATTGGGAGGGTCCTGGTCCTCAACCCACACAGCCAGCGTCTGCTCAGCCTTGACAGCCCAGAGGGCCCCAGAGAAGGCTGTCCTTCTCATGGCGGGATGTTTGCGGGTGAGCAGAGGAATCCAGCAAACTCCAGGTGCTGGTCAAGCTTTCAGCCAAGTCACAGCTGCTTTCTTGCAAGAGGCTTCATGGTGTCTGAGAAATCAGTGGTGAATATGGTATTCGGGCCGTGGGCCCCGTTCTGCACTTGTTCTGCCTGAGGATTTTGGCTGCAGGGAGGGATGTTCCGGGTATGGATGAAGGCCCTCCTGAGCAGGGACTCTGAGAGAGCGGGGTGGCCAGGTTGCTCTGTCTTCACTTTTTCCTCCTGAAAATGGACTTGCACTAGATGTCAGGTTTTGTATCTGGAGCGCCAAGCAAAGCTGGCTAGAAGAGGGGAGACAGAAGAGACACCTGACCAGGACTCCAAGTGCCCGGCTCCTTGGGGTCGAGGTGAAAGATCCGTCTGCCTCAGTGCTCTTAGAGCTCCCTGTATAACGAGAGGTGATTTGTGTCGGGTGGGGGTGTCCACCATCAGTGAAGTAGCACTGTCCCCTTCCCATGGCAGTTTCTTAGACACCGAGTGTCACTGCACAGCCTGGGAAGGGAGTGGGGGAAGTCCTTGCTAACCATAACACAAACCCCAGAACCCATAAAAGAATAGATTGATAAATTTGTATAAAAACCTCTGCATGCGACAAAACACCATTAGCAGAGTCAAAAGAAAAATAAACCAGAGAAGATGTTTGCGATGCAGATCACAGACAGCGGGCTAATATCCCTGCTATATAAAAAGTCTCTCTAAAGTGACAAGGGAAAAGAAATCAAGTAGAAAAGTGGAGAGCATACAGTACACCGAAAAGGAAATGCTGATGAAAACATGCTCAATCCTCACTCAAAATGAGATCAATGCAAATTAGAACTAGAGTGAACTTCTGTTTTCCTGCTGTGGTATTGGCAGGAATCTCTGCGTTTGAATCGTGCATTGTGTGGGCGCAGCCGTGGGGAAGCAGGCATTGCGCAGCGGCTCAGGGTGAATTATCGGCCCCATGGAGGCAGGGTGGCAGTATTTCTCAAAACTGCAAATGCACACGCCCTGGGACCACCCTCTGGGGGTTCTGAGGCTCACAGGGTGCGTGTCCCCATGTGGGAGATGGCACGTGTGCACGTTGTTGATGGCAGCGTGGTGTGCAGTAGTAGAAAGTTGGAAATGAGCTGGGTGCCCATCGGAGGGCAGGTGAAGTGGAATATCCTGCAGCTGTAGAAAACAAGATTGAGAGATGGGGAAACGTGAAGGAAGAGAAGACATCCTGTGCCACCTTAGGTGTGCACACAGACTCACTGGAAGGATAAATGTAAGACTACTAATGGCTGTTGGTGGTGGGGAAGCCTTTTTTCACAGACTGCCCTGTGCTATTCGATGAGTAAACTGTATGCGTGCTACCTGTTCAAAAAGTGTAAAACAGAAATGGGAGTTGGGGACTGAGGGAGAGGCCCTATGTTGATTACAGTTTTGGGACCGAGATTCCAGGGCTAGGACACACCGGGGAGTCTCGCATGGAATCCGCAGGCAGGGAGGGAGTTTGGTGGCCAAGGAGGGACTCCAGGCCCCTCCAGCCCTGTCGTCTCTGCCCCCTGAGAGTGCCATTCAGCAGCCCTGGGGGAGGGGGTGTCTCCTTGCCCACTCGGAGGTCTTTGCGACTTGGATCCGCCTGGTGGGGCTGCGTGCCAGCAGCCCCTTCCCCCTCATGCCACATCCTGCCCTGAGCTGAAGGAAAGAACGGGCCTTCTCCTCCCCTGTGGTCATAAAACGCCAGGACATGGAAGGTACCTCTGAAAACTTACAGGCACAGGTGAGAACTGAGGGCAGAAGTCTCTCAAGCAGCAAGTCCTTCAGCTTCACTCGGCCGTGTTGTGACGTTCCTTCCCAGAGTTCAGAACGCTGCTGATTTTCCCTCTCCCCCTTTCTCCCAGATGAGCAGCACACTGTGGGGGCGCCTTCCGGATAGCTCTCCACTGGTGCTGTGATCGCCTTCCCCGCTGGTCTGTGTCCCACCCACGCCCCTCCTGATGACAGATCCTTCGGGGGGAGGCAGAGCACCCGCCACGTGGCCTGGAGATGGCCGCTCCAGAAAGGTGTTCGCAGTGGAGACGGGGCTCTCCCGCGTGCCTTGGAGGATCAGATGAGGTTGTGGACGTGGGAGCACTTTGTGAACTGGGCATGGGAAAGAGTGAAGGTGGAAACTCTCCCCACGTCAAGTAGAATTGCATTCAGGAGGGCACTTTGCTATGTGCCGTTCTAAAGAGAATCGGCCGGGCGCGGTGCTGCTCGCCTGTAGTCCATCTGCTTGGGAGGCTGAGGTGAGAGGATTCCTTGAGTCCAGGAGTTCCGGGCTACGGGGCACTGTGCTGATCGGGGTTCTGCACTAAGTTCTGCATCAATATGGTGACCTCCTGGAGCAGGGGACCACGAGGTCGCCTAAGGAGGTCAGAAATGGAGCCGGTCAAAACTCCCATTCTGATCAGCAGTGGGACATGCCTGTGGATCGCCACTGCACTCCAGCCTGGGCAACATAACAAGAGCCCATCTCTAAAAAGATTACTTAATACAAATAAAGAGAAGAGAACGGGGCCAGGTGATCTTCCATGAAGACTGGCTGCCCTTCACAGCAGCAGCAATGTGTTCTCCTGAGACATTGCCCCACTCCCTTCTTGCCCTCTGTGCTGGTCCCAGTCCCTCTCCACCTCGTGAACCCTTGCAGCAGGCTCGCCCCAGCTCTTCTGCCTCTGCGGCCCCCACTTCTGACCACCCTCAGAGCCTCCCCAGTGCTGCTGTCCAGGGTCATGGCACTCCCTGATTCACATCCCCCAGTAATTCCCATTGCTTAGGAAAGAATATTCGGCTTCCTTGACCACACAGTCCACCTGGTGCCACCTGTCTACCTCTTTCCTGCCCCGCCCCAGCCCCCACTGTACCTGCGGCTTCCTTGGCTCCTCTCCGTTCTCCCCAGCACCCTGCTCTTGGGGTCCTCTGGGCCAGAGCAGCTCTCCTCTCTAGTCAGGCCCAGGGTGCTCACCTGGTCTACACCCACCTACCGTCTCTCTTTTGTGCTTGCTCCCCTCCAGCCCCCAAGGGCCTCAGGGCTCCTCCAAGGCCCTGCTGACCCCAGCCCCTCTCCCCTGCCACCCCCATCCCTTTTGATAGGCGTTCTCATTCTCTGAAGCCTTGCTCAGTCATTTGGAGACTTGTGTTTTCTCTCCTCTGGCTCCAAGCGAGAGCAGGGCTGGGAGGTCTAGTTTACCACAGCCCACCCCCGTGCCCCCACCCAGCGTACCACGGTCCCCCTCTCCACTTCGCTGAGGCCCCGCTTGGTTCTGCTGTGGCCCCCAGCTTATCGCCAGCTATAGTAGGGCATATATGGGTATATTTATGCTCCCCTAAACATACTCCTGTTATCCTCTCTGGATCTTTTGTTCCTGAGGTAGAGACCATGCTGTTGGTCTTCAGATCACCTCTGCCACCTGACTGCCAACTCAGGTCTCAGCTCACTGCTAGATACCTCCACCCACAGCCTGCAGTCAGGGTTGGGTGACTGGCATCCCTTGTGTCCCAGTTGAGGCAGTGGGAACAGGAGGGGTGGAGCCGGCTGCTGTTGTGATGATCATGTGCTGCCTTCCTGCGTTGGAGTGTTCCACTTGCCCATTGTTGGAGGCGAGGAGACTGTGCCACTGAGGCACCTGTGCCAGCCCCCACCCGAAGAAGGACGCCATGTGCGTCTTCTAACCCTCCTCCTCTTCCCGCCTGTAGGTCCCGCAGGCTCCCGATGGCGAGATTACGGCGCCCTGGCCATCATCATGGCAGGCATTGCATTTGGCTTTCACCAGCTCTACAAGGTGAGTCACCCCCAGCGGCTGCAGGTGCTGTGCCCCTGCCACCCTGTGGCATTCAGCACCCTTTCACTGGTTCCCCTGCATGGAGGCACTGCCGTGCTCTGCCCTGGAGTGTGTTGGCAGTGAGAGGCTGTGGTAGAGGTCGGGGTTCACAGCTGGATCCAGGCAGACCCTGCCCTGCTGTGGGGCTTGGCAGGCTCTGCCCACCTTTTCTCCAGTGCTCAGCATATACCACCCAGATCTCCACTTGCAGGGGCGTCGTGAGGTCTGTCCCTTGCCAGCCCATGTCAGGCACTTACAGTAGTGCCCGCACGGGGAAGCCGTGCGAGCAGTTTTGAGACACAGAATAACATAATGGCGAAGAGCATGGACGCTGGGCCAGCTGCTTTGCTGAGCCCTGGCTCTGCCCCTCAGGAGCTTGGTGATCACAGGCTCTGGTCTGTAAAATGGGAATAACAGTCCCCACTTCACAAGGTTGTCGTGAAGTCCGGAAGAGTCAGTCTCCCTTGTAGAGGACTCAGAGCCATGCCCGGCACATGGAAGTGCTTTATACACCATTGTTCTGCCACAGCATTTAAGAGCGGCGGTGAGAACCTCAGTGTCATCAGATGTATGGGAGCTGTTCTTTTTGCTCTGTCTGTTGTGCTGCCATCTATAGAAATCTAGGATTTCCCAGGCTTCTCAAGTCAACTTTCAGGATCCCAGGTTCATTGCTTGCAACAGAACTGCAGGCATGACGTGAACATTGACTCCCTTGTGAAGGCCCAACTTGGACGTGAAGCAAATGAGTCTAGAGTCTAGAAAATGCAGGCCAGGGTAGGTGCCCAGTCCAGATCTTGGGACCCTGTAGAGAAGCCTCTTTTCTTTCGAGGCTGCCAGCTCCTCCACCCCTGATTGGTGATTTTTTTTTTTTTTTTTTTGAGATGGAGTCTCGCTCTGTCACCTAGGCCGGAGTGCAGTGGCATGATCTCGGCTCACTGCAAGCTCCGCCTCCTGAGTTCAAGCAATTCTCCTGTCTCAGCTTCCTGAGTAGCTGGGATTATAGGCGTGCTGGTGCATGCCTGGCTAATTTTTGTACTTTTAGTAGAGATGGGGTTTCACTGTTGGCCAGGCCGGTCTCGAACTCCTGACCTCAGGTGATCCGCCCACCTCGGCCTCCCAAAGTGCCAGGATTACAGGCTTGAGCCACCGTGCCCGGCTGGTGATTTTCTTTTTTAAACAACCTGAATGAGCACTCAGACTCGCCATGGTCACTCTTAGCACATGAAACATGGTCAGCCATGGTATTCCAGATTCTTCATTTTTGATGTAATACAAAAGCTAATGACAGTTGTAGCAGAATATAATTTTTTAAGTGTAGCATGTATTCCTGGAGCTGGACATTTCCATGTTAGAAATTGAGAAACAAGGGCTGGGCGCGGTGGCTCACGCCTGTAATCCCAGCACTTTGGGAGGCTGAGGCTGAGGATCCTGACTTGATCACGAGGTCAGTAGATCGAGACCATCCTGGCTAACACGGTGAAACCCCGACTCTACTAAAAATACAAAAAATTAGCCCAGCATGGCGGCGGGCACCTGCAGTCCCAGCTACTGGGGAGGCTGAGGCAGGAGAATGGGGTGAACCTGGGAGGCGGAGCTTGCAGTAAGCCAAGATCATGCCACTGCACTCTAGCCTGGGTGACAGAGCAAGACTCCTTCTCAAAAAAGAAAAAGAAAAAGAAAAAGAAATTGAGAAACAAAACATCCTGGGTTGGCCCAGGTGCCGTGGCTCACACCTCTAATCCCAGTACTTTGGGAGGCCAGGGCAGGCAGATTGCTTGAGCCCAGAAGTTTGATATTAGCCTGGCCAACATGGTGAAACTGTGTCTCTACCAAACAATAAAATAAAATAAAATAAAATAAAATAAAATAAAATAAATAAGCTAGGCATGGTGGTGTGAGCCTGTAGTCCCAGCTATACTCGGGAGGCTGAGGGTGGTGGGAGGATCACTTGGGCTCGGGAGGTGGAGGTTGCAGTGAACTGAGATCACACTACTGCACTCCAGCCTCGGCAACAGAAGGAGACCCTGTCTCAATTTAAAAAACAAAATAAGCCAGGCGCAGTGGCTCATGCCTGTAATCCCAGGACTTTGGGAGGCTGAGGTGGGCGGATCACTTGAGGTCAGGAGTTTGAGACCAGCCTGGCCAACAAGGTGAAACCCTGTCTCTACTGATAATACAAAAATTAGCTGGGTGTCATGGCGTGCACCTGTAATCCCAGCTACTTGGGAGGCTGAGGCAGGAGAATCACTTGAGCCTGGGAGGCATAGGTTGCAGTGAGCCTGCAGTGAGCCGAGATTGTGCCACTGCACTCCAGCGTGGGTGAAAGAGCGAGACTTTGTCTCAAATAAATACATAAATAAACAGAACAGAACAAAAACACCTCTTGGGACCCGGTTCTTCTCCCTCTGAACTGGTGCCCCCTTCAAATCACTGACTGTATACAAGCACCAAGAAGAATGTGACACGAACGCCAGAGTCCTCAGATGAATGCCCTGGCTGTAATGAGCAGTAGGCACTGTCACATGGCCACCCATGGAGGGCCTGTGGCCTGACGGGAGCGGGAGGGCAGCTCGGCAGCCCGCCTTAGCGTGGGCACTCACACGGAGCTGCCACTTGTAGTTTCTACGAAGCTCTGGGCTCTCCGCTCTGTTTTAAAAAGAAAAGAAACATTGCAATATCAGTCACAATGGTAACAAGAGAATTTCTAAAGCATCTGCTCAGTTTCTCGAAATTAAAAAAAAAAAAAAAAAGAAATGGTAAAAAGCCCTCGACTGGCTTTATAAGCACGTGAAGACTTTGGCTAGGGCAGCGTGTCTGCTCCTGCCCTTAGGACTTCTGATCTCAGAAATGGGGTGTTTAGTTGGTTACACACACATATATGAATTCTTTTTTTTTTTTTTTTTTTTTTGAGACACAGTCTAACTCTGTTACCCGGGCTGGAGTGCAGTGGCATGATCTCTGCTCACTGCAGCCTCTGCCTCCCGGGTTCAAGCGATTCTCCAGCCACAGCCTCCCGAGGAGCTGGGATTACAGGCATGCGCCACCACACTCAGCTAATCTTTATATTTTTAGTAGAGACGGAGTTTCACTGTGTTGGCCAGGCTGGTCTCGAACGCCTGACCTCATGATCTGCCCACCTCAGCCTCCCAAAGTGCTGGGATTACAAGCGTGAGCCACCGCGCCCGGCCAAGAATTCTTTACCTTTCTTGCTGAGGACATTTCATCCTGAAGTGTAAGGCTACCTTTGATGAGTTTTGGCTCAGTTGTGGGTAATAGCTCACACTGTGGTTGAAAAGCACTTTGCAAAATAGAAAATGCGTCTATACATGTGCTGCTGAAGAATGATCTTCACTTAGGAGTCACTCTGGAAATGAGTTCCCACAAACCCCTTGTGAGAGAGCTTCTTTTCCTTCCCTGGTACAGAAACCGTAATGGAGAAGTTTCCGTCCTCTTTCCTATCTGGGCCCAGATAGATTAAGAACCAAAGTTATCCCCGGGCAGCTCCTGCCAGGCTTGCACTGCACTGCCTCTGGCAGTGCCCACTGAAGGGGGCAGCGGGTCTCACTCCTCACCTGGGGGGCTTTGTCTCCATGTCCCGAGTGGCTGGACGTCAGTGCACATGTTCCTACACGCAGCTGTCCCTGCAGGCCCCACCACCCACCTCCACCCCTCCACACCCTCACCTCCAAGGCAACCAAGAGCACCAGTTGCCAGCCCTGCCCTGCCTGCCCCCTTCCTGAACGGCTCCTTCGGGCATCCCTGGTTCTAGGCCCCTGTGAGGGGTGGCCCTGCCGCATTCACTTTCTTTTTCCCCAGAGCCAGTTTCTTCTGGTCCTGCGCCTTCCTCTCCCTTCTGCCTTGTGTTTCCTTCTGGGGAACTCGACTTCTTTTGACTCTTACGTGAAGGAAGTTTGTTCTGAGGATTCAGGCTTCATTTAGAAAAAGACTGAGGTGACCTCTTCCAGCAGCCTCAGAGCGCACATGTTATCCCCTGGCGAGAGAACCAAGGGTCCCAGAAATGTGTTGTTGATTTTCCTTTAGTTTCTCCAGCGATGTTTTGTTTATTAATTTACTCGTTTGTTTCTGAATAGGTGATTCACTCACAGGTTCAAAATGTTCACAATTCAGGAGAACATGCCGGGAAGAGCTGCCCCGCCTCCCTCGCCTCCTGGAGGCTCCAGCATTATCTGTTGCTTGTGTGTCCATCCACATTTATATCTTACAACTTTGACAGTAGAGTTTATAACTTTGTGTTACAGAAATAGTGTAGCATCACTAAGAAAAGTAAATAAAGGAACCAAAAAGTTCCCATCACAGCAGATCCAGCTGACTCTCCCTGTCCACGTTCCCTCCTGGTCCTTGTCCTTATTCAGGCAGAATTTTTACGTGGTTGTAATCGCAGTCTCATAACTTTTTCAAATATCTTGTTCATTTATGGTGTTTGCTTAGGGTTTCCAAAACCCAGGGATGACAGGGAGAAAGTTGGGCGGCAGAATTTGAGAGATTGTTGGAGGATAACCCCGGGTCCGTATGCATTCCTCACCCTGTCCCGCTTCTTGCAGAAATACCTGCTCCCCCTCATCCTGGGCGGCCGAGAGGACAGAAAGCAGCTGGAGAGGATGGAGGCCGGTCTCTCTGAGCTGAGTGGCAGCGTGGCCCAGACAGGTAAAGATTAATGACTCCATCAAGTCACCCCTCACAGCCTTCTCCAAGCAGCCCCTTCTCTGCCCCTCCCCTCTCCCTCTGTCTCCACTCTATGTGGTGACTTCATTTATCTGCTCTGAGAATCTGTTCACATTTGCAAATGAAGCCGCCGTCATTTCGGTTTAATTTGAAATTGCTTGTTTACTGTCGGCGCGGCCTCAATTAATTATGTTTTTACGGAAAGGCTCCCAACCTCAGAATATTAATAAGGGGAATAAAATGACAGCCTTTCTAAGGGCTGTAAAGTTCATTTTTAATTTCTGCTTCTATGAGGTTTTCAGGGGGGTTTTCAGTGATTTTCCCCCTTCCCTCTAAGACTCGACTGTGGGGTCAAGAGAGTCTGTAATTACTGTGGCTCCCGGGACCCCAGCCACCTCCCCTGTTATCGACTCAACAGGGCTCGCGTTCATTACCCAGTGCCCCAGCGATGGCCCAGATTAGCTGGGACCTGTCGCGCCAGAGGTGGCTTCTCTTCTTTATAAACTTGTTTACTAGACGGCAGCTCTGAATCTAAAAACCAGAGCAAGGCCAATGAGAGAGCCACCTGTCCCAGGCAGGAGTCTGTGTCCCTCTGGAGCACGTTTGTGAAGCTCACAGAAACCCTCTGACACGTCCATCCTGCTGCCGTTTGCTCCTGCGAGGCTGACATTGGTGGCAACAAGGTCCTGAGGGGTCACGGGACACCAGGGAGTTGAGCAGGCAGCTTGGGTCAGGTGGGGAGGGTGGGAAGGAGCAGTGGGAAACAGGACGTGCGGCTTGAGCCACTCCTGGATGTGAATGTGGCGGGGACCTGAGATGCATCTCTCCCAGCATTGGAGACCCCAGGAGTTTCACAAGGACACTGAGGCCCAGGAGATGAAGGACGCAGGCGCCAGAGAAGCCGGGAGAGCTCAGCAAATCATA
Source organism: Homo sapiens (assembly GCF_000001405.40). Lineage (NCBI taxonomy): Eukaryota > Metazoa > Chordata > Mammalia > Primates > Hominidae > Homo > Homo sapiens. Next base: position 10,624,064 of record NC_000001.11, read on the forward strand.
GCCAGCTCTAATTAGAGGGGAGAGGTTCTGGACGGATATACTGTTGACCATGGACAACTACACAATGGAAAGATAAAGTAGAAATACTAGAGGTTAGATACAGTGCAGGCAGATCACCCAGAGTGCAGATAAATTAGATGGATTGCGGGGGCTGGGGGTGTCTGCAGATAAATTAGATGGAGCGGGAACACGGGCAGCTCCGAGGTGTGCGGACCGAGCGAGGGGAACGTCTGTGCCTGTGAATTTGCCAGCGCCGTGACTGCTTTCTCCTCGCAGTGACTCAGTTACAGACGACCCTCGCCTCCGTCCAGGAGCTGCTGATTCAGCAGCAGCAGAAGATCCAGGAGCTTGCCCACGAGCTGGCCGCTGCCAAGGTACCTGTCTCTGCTGCACAGGGCCCTCCAGGCCCAGGTCTGTCCCATGTGCCCTTCACTCTTGTCCCTTGGGCCGGGCTTGCCACCTTCGGGAGCTGGACTTTGCCCCAGTCTCACAGTGGTTACACAGCCGTGGCCGATGCTGCCCTTTCTCTCCTTGTAGAGACAGGAGGCTGTTGCTGGGCAGTCAGTGTGACGTTTAACTGTCGAGGCCATCCTTTCTCTCTCTATGTCACCTCCCAACAGGAGGAAGGAAAAGCTACCCTCTGCCTGTGGAGATCTCATGGCAGCCACATCCCCGCAGCTCTGGAGGCTTTCTGTGTAGACATGGGACGGTCTCTACCTATAAGTTAGGTTGCAGGTCACAGCATGGCCAGGAGGGGTTCTGGAACAGACAGGGGAGAAGCGAGTCGCAGTCAGTTCACCAGCACCAGCCCCATCCACACCGCAGTGCAGCGGGCAGGTTCTCTAGACTCAGGTTCCATGGGTTCTGGCAATCCTAGGGAGCCAGAACCAACTCCCAAGGCAGTGTCCTTGCCTCACTGCCCAAATGTGAAGAAATCTTGGCGTGGCAGCTTCCAGGATCAGGCTGAATCCTGGTCCTGCCACTTGTTAGCTGTATGACCACAGGCAAGTTACTTAACCTCTCTGAGTCTTAGTCTCCTCATCTGTAAAATGGAGCCATAACGGCACCTAATTCCTGGGGCTCTTCATGGGTTCAAGAGGGTGCCTGGCTCCAGCCAGCTCGCAGGATTGCAGGCCTAGGTTCTGTGGGTGGGTAACAGAGGTCATCCCTGAGGCGGTATCAGACAGACCGGGCCCAGGAGACAGTGGCCTGGTAGCTCCAGAACACCCACTGGCTCCTCTCTCTGTCCCTTGTCCCACAGCTCTGTGGCCGGCGGACACTGCTCCCTGTCTGCCCCCACAGCCTGGGCTCTGGAGAGTCCCATCCCGAGTTGCTTACCCAGGGAAAGCCACTCCTAGCGTACGAGTTGGCTTGAGCCAGCACTCAGATCTTTTGCATTTGCAAAAACCATGAAAATGACAATCTTTCCATGGAGTCTGGGGTGTCTCTTGTGAAGAGGGTCCCAGGAATCTCCCCCCTGGATATCCAAACCACACACAGAGGTGCCACCTGCTCTTCCTCCTGGGATGGCTGTGGGTACTGGTGACCACCTCCAGCCACTGCAATGCGTGTTCTCCACGGGTGGCCGGTCCCTAAAGCACCAGGAAGCCCAGCGACAGCCCTGCCTGCTCTCCTGGGTCAGGTCATCTTTTGGATCCATGCTCTGCCTGTGGCCAGAAGCCATTCCGGAAATTGGAAAACTGTTTTCAGGCCTTACGCCTGAGATTAAGACCACATGTTGTGTTTAAGAAGCAGTGGGGGCCCGGGATGTGCTTGGTGGTGAGAGGGGTTGGGCCCCTCAGAGTCCCTCGAGCTGGCTTTGCTGCCGCTGTCCCTGGCCCACCCCAGCCTTCTCTCCCGAGCTGCATGGGGCCACTGGCTTGGCATCTAAACGCGTATGTGTGAGGACTTTGGTTACCCCATAAACCAAAGACCCAGAGCTGTGTTTTCTCAGCTGTAATGTAAGTTTTTATATCTGGCTTCCAAACTCCTACTGGAGCACTGTAAAAAATTAAAAAGAAGAGCTTTAAGTAATTAAAAAACCTACATAAAACTGAAGGCTATGAGTTTTCTACAACTGTTTTTTAAAGAGGCTGGCTAAAAAGCCCCAGATGTCAGATTTTATTTCTAAATCCTGGCATCTGGCACCATATGCGTTTGGAAATCTGAGTCCCTTGTAGGCCAGTGAGTGGAAATTGTGCCCTTGTTCATGGGCTGCTGTAGCTTTCAAGGTCTCAGAGAAGCCAGAGCCGTGGCTCCTGGGTCCTCCCTGTCTGGCGGTCTGGAGTAGGAACCCTGAGGGGCTGTGTCTGGGGGTGGTGGGTGACACGCACTCACTCTCAGACTGCCCGGGTTTTCCTTCCTGAGACCTACAGGCCCTCTGAAGGACTTCTCCCTGCTAAGGTGTGCCAGCTGGACTGCTTGCTGGGGTGAGCCCACAGCAGCCCCCGACCCCACGTCAGAGGCCAGGCCTCTGTAAGCCAGCCAGCGGCCCACAGCACACTGGTAGGGAACAGCCAGGGAACGTCCCCTCTGCCCACCTCGGGGGAGCAGTATCAGGAGAGCTGGCAATATTCATCTGTGCACTTAAAGATGGCCTGGGGTGGCCTTCAGCCTGGGCGAGGTAGACCTCACACGGAGGCCTCGTGGCATTGTCCTCTGTGCACATGCCACAAGCAGGTTGCCACCAGCAGCTCGCATTTGGGGACCTCTGGTTTGGCTGTCCTCTTCCCCGTCTATACCAGCAAGATTTTCCAGAAGTAAGATGTAGTTCTGTGAAGTTTATTTGGAAAACAGTGTTACCTTCAAAGGGGAAAGGTGTGCATGGAAGGATGGGGTTTGTCAGAGATGGTGGCTGTTTCCTCTTTCCACCCCGGACCATCTTAAATCCCAGACATCATCCCACTTCATACCGCACCCGCACGCCTCCGCATGTCTCTAAAAGACGCCCACGATACCATTATGTCACCTAAAAACACGTAATGATTCCTTACGTCATCAGATGTCCAAACAGAGCTGTGGGAATGTTTAAGGATGTTGTCATCCAGAGACGTGGCAGGCAGTGGGCAGTGGCAGAACCTTCCCCCGGGTTCCCCAGAACAGACCCAGAAGGCCCCACCTGCTGCCCCCACCCAGGTCCTCCTGCAGCCGCAGGCCCCGCCCGTGCCGCAAGGCGCCCGCCCTGAGCCTCCCTGTGCTCTGCTTTCAGGCCACCACATCCACCAACTGGATCCTGGAGTCCCAGAATATCAACGAACTCAAGTCCGAAATTAACTCCTTGAAAGGGCTTCTTTTAAATCGGTAGGAGGGAGGAATGGGGACCCTGTTCTGGTCGGGCCTGGAAAGGAGGACTGGGAGCTCTGGGGCATGGGAGGGGCATGACGCCCACCCCCACCCCCAAGGACCCCATCTGTCTGGGCGACTCAGGCACTGAGTCTGGGGCCTTTTGAGCTTCTCTCTTCATTCCCCAGTTGACACCCTCTCCACTCCAGAGGTGACGGTCTGTGGCACACAAGTTTTGAAATACAGTTCCCAGGCCTGTGAAGACCTGGTCAGGGACAGCTTGAGCCAAAAAGCAGGGCCCTTGGAGCAGAGGAGAACTTCCTGGTTTGGCTCCTCCTTCCTGAGCTCCAGGTGACCACTCAGTGACAGCTTTGTCCCAGGGAAAGCCCCTGCGGGAGAGTCTTTGTGTTTTGTACTTGGAAGGGTTCCACAACTGAAGACGTGGGCAGAAGCAGGCCCTGCCCCCCGGCTTCTTGGTTGTCCCCCTGTTGTCCCTCTGTAGCGACAGCACATTGTCACCAATGCAGCCTCAGAGGTAGGGTGACCAACTTGTCCTGCTTTGCCTGGGACTGTCCTGGTTTTATTTATTTTTATTTTTATTTTTTTTTGAGATGGAGTCTCGCTCTGTTGCCCAGGCTGCAGTGCAGTGGCACGATCTCGGCTCACTGCAACCTCTGCCTCCCGGGTTCACGCCATTCTCCTGCCTCAGCCTCCCGAGTAGCTGGGATTACAGGCGCCCGCCACCACTCCCGGCTAATTTTTGTATTTTTAGTAGAGGTGGGATTTTGCTATGTTGGCCAGGCTGGTCTTGAATTCCCGACCTCAGGTCATCTGCCCATGGCCTCCCAAAGTGCTGGGATTACAGGTGTGAGCCACTGTGCCTGGACTGTTCTGGTTTTTTAAAACTGAAAGTCCAGTGTCCAGGAGCCACTCTGTCCTGGGAGCCGCAACTGTGGGCCATCCTCCTGGGCTGATGCCCTAGTGGGCCTTGCATGGGGTGTCCTTGTTTCCCTGCTGGGCTGGATTTGTTGGGAGCTGGGTGAGTGGGAGGGTGCAGGTGGGCTTTTCACTAGGGTCCAGGATGGGGTGCAGAGGGGTCTTGCGGCTCCAGCCAGAAGACCCCATTTTCCAAGCCACCCAACTTCCCGGTTTTCCCTGAGGAAAAGAACATGTCCTGGAAAGAGATGTGGCGCTGGCAGAGGCCAGAGCATTGTCATTAGGAGACAGCCTCCATTTTCCCTAACCGAGACCAGTGCCTTGGAGGCTGGGGATGGAGGCCAGGCCATCGGGTGACCGTGGGGGCCAAGAAAACTGCACATGGAATTTCTTGTTAGCGTTTAGGATGCTGGTGAATAAAGCAGGCCGTGGTGTGTGCCCCACTCAAGTGGGGTCTGTGGTGGGAGAGTTGTGTCTAAGGCCCCTGCTGGGGGACAGCCCTGCGGGCAGGGCTTTGTCCTCTTGGCTCAGGCAGAGATGGGCCTGCCTGTTGGAGAGCTCTGTCTCTGAGCCGTTGCCAAGTGGACCTGACCTCCCAGGTCCCTCCTGGAATTGGCTTTGGTTTGGGCTGGCTGCTGGCCCAGGAACGGAGTACGGAGCAGAAGGGAGAGCTGCCTCTTCTGCGTTGAAAGTGTTGAGCTCAGAAGTTTTCTAGCAAAGGGCATAACCACCGCCCTTTTGGTTCTGATGTGTCTGACCCCCTGCCAGTGGCCAGGGCTCCCTGCCTCCACCTTTTGCTCAGGCCATAGACAAATGAGGACTGTGGCTCAGGTGTCTGGAGTCCCCAGTCATAGCCCTTTTGGACTCCTCACCAACCTGTCTCTCTCCTGGCCACTGGGTTGGAGGCAGGGATGGTGCTGAGGATCAGAAGGAAGCAGGCTCCCGCATGGCAGGCAGGCCCCACTTGGCTTCCAGCAGCTGCCCAGGCAGATGGGCCTTGCCCAGGGTGGGGGCCCGGGGGGACCCTGGGCTGTCTGTGGGGGCACAGGACCCGCTTGGCATCTATCTCAGCTGTAGGATCTTTGCTCCTGAAAGGAGGGGTGGAAGGGCTCCATCCTGTCCCTTGCCCAGTGTCCCTGGGGGAGCAGCTCACCATCGCCGAGCCCTTGCGGGTCAGGGAAGGCGTGGCCCTTCGAAGGGGGGCGTCCTGAATGCCGCCACCAACCTCCTCCCCTTCTTCTCCCTCTAGGAGGCAGTTCCCTCCATCCCCATCAGCCCCGAAGATCCCCTCCTGGCAGATCCCAGTCAAGTCACCGTCACCCTCCAGCCCTGCGGCCGTGAACCACCACAGCAGCAGCGACATCTCACCTGTCAGCAACGAGTCCACGTCGTCCTCGCCTGGGAAGGAGGGCCACAGCCCCGAGGGCTCCACGGTCACCTACCACTTGCTGGGCCCCCAGGAGGAAGGCGAGGGGGTGGTGGACGTCAAGGGCCAGGTGCGGATGGAGGTGCAAGGCGAGGAGGAGAAGAGGGAGGACAAGGAGGACGAGGAGGATGAGGAGGATGATGATGTGAGCCATGTGGACGAGGAGGACTGCCTGGGGGTGCAGAGGGAGGACCGCCGGGGCGGGGATGGGCAGATCAACGAGCAGGTGGAGAAGCTGCGGCGGCCCGAGGGCGCCAGCAACGAGAGTGAGCGGGACTAGGGCTGCGCCTGCTGCCTCCAGCCCTGAGGATGGCATCTAGTGTGCCCGTGCGTGGCCATACCCTGCCTCCCTCTCTGGCCCTGGGAGGGCAGCTTGGAGCCCAGGTAGGGGGCAGAGCTGTCCTCAGCTGCACTGCGGCCTGGTGGCAGTGTGGGGAGTCACACTTCTGTCCACCTGGCCTCCTCTCGCCTGGCCGCCAGCCCCAGCCCCAGCCCCAGCCCCAGGCCCAGCTGCCTTTGGCTTTGATCTCAAGTCAGGCTGAAGGCAGCGAAGCCTCGGGGCCCAAGCCCCTCCCCAGCCCCCTCTCCCGGACAGACGCCTTGCCCAGGGTGTGTTTGCTGAGTGTCTTGACTACCGTGACACCACGCATGGCCAGAGCTAGCGTCCCTACTGCCTCCCGACTCCTCAGTGGAGGAGGAGCTGCGGTCCCTCTGGTGTCTGCCATCCCCCTCCCTCCCTGGGCCCGGCCCTGGACCCGTCAGGTGCCTGTCCCCAGCCCCAACCCCACTCATGCCCCGTCGTCCTCCCAGACAAATGAAACCACGCTGCGCTTCCGATGCCCCCGCTTGCCGTGTAATGGTTCAGCTAATCCCATGGCGAGATGGGGGCTCACTCCGGAGGAGGAGCCAGGCAGCAGGGCCTTCCTGACCAACAGCCAGCTCTGTCCTTCCCCCCAGGAAACACATGTTCATTTGTGTGATCATGTATAGACCTCAGAACGGAAGATAGGACTGTATATAATTGTAATAAATACCAGTTGCCACTATTTAATTTCTGCCTGTGGCTCCCTGTCTGCTCATGGCACCCTGGGCCCGGGGGTTCGTCTCAGCGCAGCCTCCAGCTGGTGAAGTGTGGGTGAGGGCCCATGGGCAGCTTCCGCCGCTGCTGAGCCAGAAGCAGAGGCCTTGTTCAGGTCCAGTGGCTGCCGGAGGGCGACACTTTGCTGACCGCAGGAGGATCAGGGACCTCGTGTGACTGTATATAGACCTCATGTGGAGTGAGGAGCTCTTCCTTAAATGGACGAATGCTTCCCGGGGAGGGGAGTGTGGCGTCCTCTCTGGCTCCCTGTCTCCCCTGGCTCTTTTCCTCCCAGTCTCCCTTTCCCCTTCACAGAGCATTTGGCTAAAACCAGAAGAGCAGAGCCATGGGCTCCTTGAGGGGCGCTCCTATTCCCTGCAGCCCCCAAGTGTCAGGACCAGGCTCGTGGGCCGCAGGCGCCGTGATGTCCATGTGCCTGTGTGGACACAAGGGCTTCGGAAATAGGAAGCCCTGGGCAGTCCCTGCGGGTGCGACCTCCATGTACCTGCTCCGCCCTGCCCCTCCCTCTGCTGGGGAGGGAGGAGGCCATGTGGTTGGGCTCAGAGACTTGGTGTTGGGGCTGTTTTGTCTCAGATGTTTCGCTTTTGGCCCCTGCAGCAAACCCTTCTTAATGCTGGGAACACAGGTCCTGCTAAAGTGACGGGTTTCCAGGCCCGGGCCGCCCCCGCTCACTCAAGAGTCCCTGGGACCCGGCTGCCTCCACCTGCTGGAGGGACCCCTGGAGCAGGTCCACCCCCACCCACTGGAGGGTCCCTGGGAGCAGGTCTGCCCCTACCCACTGGAGGGTCCCCAGTACTGGGCTGCACCCACCCACTGGAGGGTCACCGGGAGCAGGCTGAACCCACCTGCTGGAGGGTCCAGCCCCAATCTGGTTTCTGGCCTGCGGGTTGTGTCTTTCATGCTTGTCACCTGGAAGGACACTCCTGCATTTCCTGTTTCCAGCTACGTGTTCCCCAGGGACGAGCGGAGCCCAGTTCAGTGTCACACTATGGCTTGTTCTCCTTTTTCCCTGGCCTCCTTGCTGTCCCTGAAGAAGCAGGTGTCTCAATTCCCAGGGGCTGCCACCCTCACCTGGACGAGGGGGTCCTGCCTACCAGGACCCCAGGAGTCCCAGTGTCTGGGAGCTGCGGTGGGCAGACAGGTGGGCCAGGCCTCGGCCTGGCTCTGGGGACAGTGACTGCCTGTGTCCCACCCTCAGACCTGCTGGGTCACAGGCCTGCATCTGGACGGATCGGTTCCTGAGGAGTCCCCGCCCCCTGTCATTTGCTGCCTGGTGGCCATTGTCTGTAACTTCTCAGAGGTCCCTCCTCCAGTGGGACTAGAAAGGGAGACCAGAGGGCAGATACCCTGGGAAGGAAGGGAAGCCAGGGCTGTGGGGTTGGTGCTGTGGAAGTGAAGTGCCAGCTTCCCGGCTCCATTTCTCCCTGGAGAGCTGGGGCCACCAAGAAAGGGATTCCCTGGGGCTTCACTATCCCTGGGGTGGGGGCAATGGAGACCTCACAGGGCAAGCACTCTCCATCCTGGGGGTCAGTGGGCTGGCACATCCCTGAGGCTCAAGCGTGGAGGAGAAACGGACAGAAACCTGGGCCCGGAGGCCTTTTGCCCCTGTGGGTCCTGAGCACCGAATTCGGCTTTTGAGGACAGAGTCTGGCGTGATTTCAGGGAGAGAAAAACCCCTCCCCAAAACGGCAGGAGTGCTGCCTAATAAAGCCAGCTGCTGGACCAGGGAAAACAGCCCTTTGAAAAAAAAAAGCCTTTCATTAGAAAAATAATGCATTTCATCCAAATAAGGTAAAAATATTCGGAATGGGGCAGAAGTAAGCAGCAGGCAGCGCCTGTCAGGCCCTTTCTGGAAGGGAGAAGATTATTAAACTCAATTACAATGTATTTTTATAAAGTGTCTTTTAGGAAAGAACTAGCCCCATGCTTGGAGGCCGGGGGACAGCTGCCCTGACCTCACCCCGGACCAGCTCCCTCGGTCCCCGGGGTCTGTCCCGGCTCCTCCGGTAACTCGCTGGTTCTGCCTTGGGCAGGGGCATCTACTTTGGGAAGGACAGGGGACCTCCCTTGGTGTTTGCGACTCGCAGGACAGGCCAGGAGGCGGGGGAGTTGCCTTCGGGGGATGGTAGGGTCTCCGCCCGCCTGGGGCTGCCAAGTCCTTCAAAAGCCAAGGCTCCCAGAGCCAGTCCCATCCCAGGACCCTGGCTGGGACAGGGAGCGCCTGGGTCAGGGGAAGGGGCTGCTGAGTTTGTACCCACAGGTGGGATGTGTAGCAAAGCCAATCCACATAGAAGGGGACAGAGATGCGAGAACCTGCCACCTGCCCATCGGCTCCCTGTGTGCCCACAGAGTCTCTTTCCCTCTTTCTTTGTTTTTAATAAACGCATCTGAGCAAGCTGTGTTCATCTTTCGGGGCCCTCACACCCAGGTACAGGTGGAAGAGTTTTCTAGAAGGTTTCGCTTCTGCCCTCCTGGCGGCCCAGCCAGGAGCATGGAGGCGCTGGGTCTCCGGCCTTGCCCCAGACCCCTCCCTCTCCAGGTGACCACCCTGTCCCTGCCCCAGACCCCAGGAGGGAAGGGGAGGGCAAGCAGGGGCCATTCTTCAATGGCCAGACATCTCTGTCCCCAGGAGTTGACTTAATTTGTCTTTTGTTTAAACTGGTTTCTGCCAAGGCACCAAAAGAAGAGGTCAGAGCCTCCAGACAGGGCAGGCACGGAGGCGCCAGTGAGACCTGCATGCAGGTGGGAGCTCCAGCCTCAGGTGAGGTGCGCTCCTGAGGTGTAGCACCCAGGTAGACCTGGAGGGCCTGGCCGCTCTTCCTCCTCCTGCTCCTTTGCTGTGTACAGGGGCTTCCCACCTAGGGACTGGCCACCGCCTGGCCAGGGGGAGCCACGCCCGAGCTGGCACATGCTGACATGCATGTGCGTGCACATGTGTGTGGCACCCTCACACTCACGCAGGGCCCAGTGGGCCCTTTTCAAGAGGTCCCCATGTCCTCCTCCAACACGTGCCCATTGCAGGCCACAGCTCAGACCACAGCCTTGGCACTCTCTTTAATGCAAAACGGGTCTGAAATCTCGCCTGGCATTGAGGGATGACTACCTGAATCATGAATAAACCTTAATAATTTACTTTCATTGAGCACTTTATAGTTTGTGTTCTCCTAGAAGAAGAAATGAGATACATGATATGTTCATCAGAAAGATGCCTGAAACCTTTCCTTGCTCCACGACAGATACTGGAAGGACCTTCTTTCAAGCGACAGGGTCATGGCTTTAAACACCACCATGACACTTGGCATCCAGATGCGTTATAGCCCCAGGGGGAGGAGCCAGCCTCAGGGAGGCTCCGGGCAGCGAGGTTCTTTCTTGGGGATCCCTGCCTCCTTCCAGTGGTGTGGGGCATGGGGCTTACTGGAGGCCAAGCCACTGGGTCCAGCTGCTCCAGCGCTGGCTGTGGGCCCCCTGGGAGCTGCCGATTCCTCCCTGACCTGCCCCAGAGGGTGCGGAGGCACCTCCCAGCAAGGATGGCCGGGGCCTGGCTGCTTCATTCTCAGACAAGGCTCTGGGATTCCAGCCCTTCAGAGGGCACTGCTGCCAGCCCTGGTCCTAGACCAACGCTACCTGTGGGGCCAGGGCCACCTCCCGTGACAGTGGATGGGCAGCTGGCCTTTGCCCAGTGGCCTGGTATGCTGCCCAGAAAGGGGGCTGCCTGTCGCCATGTCCAGGCTGGGGCAAGGCCGCTTCGTGAGCGCCAAGGCCCGGCGCCCACGGGTGACTCAGGTTGCTGGTGGCGCCCCTGCTGGGCCAGGTCCGTGGGAGGTGGGCAGGCCCCTGAGCTCAGCCCTGAGCCTGTGCGGCGGGTTCTGGCCCTTTCCAGGAGGTTGCAAAACACTTGAATTTGCCCCAGTTTGGGTGTAGGAGCATCACACACCACAGCTAATTAAATCCCAGAAGGAAAGCATGCTTTACTGCATTTCCTACTGAGTCCAACAAGCCACAGGGAGTGCCGTGGGACCTGGGCCCATCCCAACCCGCAGCTGCAGGCCCCCTCCCGGCTCTTGGGGGCGGTCTCAGAGTGGGCAACACATGCCTGGTGGGGGTACGAGCTTCTCTCCACCCTCTGGGGCGGGGCCTGGGATGTGGCATCATGGGCTGGCCTGGGTGCAGCGTCCTGAGGCCTTGAGATGCCTCTGAGAGGTCCCCGAGTCCCCGTTCCCCTTCCTTGGGCTGGACTCGGGGCCCTGCTTGTCGTGAGGTTGGTTGACCCTGGGTGTGGTCCATCCAGGCCCAGAAGACCAGGGGGCAGTTTTGGGGTCTGGCCAAGGTCAGCAAACCACCCTGAGTCCCCATTCTCCCTCCCCTGGGCCCCAGGAGTCAGTGCTGCCCCAGAGAGCTGCCCACTGTGCCGGAGCCTAGAGGGAGCTCTGTGGCTGCACCACCCACCCACCGGCTGCTCAGGGCTTGGCTCCCTGCCTCGCTTCAGGCCCCACGGGAGGCCCACCAGGGCCTGGGAAGCTCCAATAATGGTTTTAATTTGTTGAACTTGTGTTTTATCCCATAAATTAGTCACTGTTTTATTTAACAGAATCAAGATATCCGCAAACAATAGGCGAGTTCCAACTTGAACATTTTAATAAGACAGAAAAAAGTATATATTTTCATGTCTGTTACAAACATATTTATGTAAATAGCCTGTGGGCTGCATTCCAGGAGGAAAGAAGAAAGGGAGTGCCCGCGCGCCGGGGCTGGGCTGGAGACGCACTTCTGCGGTGGGAAATGACACAGGCCTGGGCGCTGTGGGCTGAGGCCACTCCCCTGCCGTCCCTGGTCCCTGGTGCCTGGTGCCTGGCCGGCTGGTGCCAGGCTCAGTGAGGGAGAAGCGTGCTGCGATAACCGAACCTCTCCAGCCCCCAAGTCTGCCTGTTTCCTCATCGGGCAAGTGGTTGTGACATCCCTGTGGCTGGGGTGTGATGAGCCGGTAAGACTCCTCAGCGTGGAAGAATGTGGCAGATCCCGCACACATCCCCTCCCCAAGGTCCCAGGAAGCTCCGGCCACCTGGAGTCCAGCTCAGGGAGGGGCTGCCAAGGTGATTCTCACGATGTGGTGTCGTGAGGAGCCGGCCATCAGTTGGAAGTGTCAAGACAAACTCTCGGAGCGCCTGGGAGGCCTGTACTCCAGGCTAGGTCTGGTGGACACTCCGGCCACTGTGCTTCCGAGGGAGCCAACCACGGTGCCACCAGGGCTGGCAGCTCAGGCTCTGGGCTGGTGGCTACGGACCCAGGAATTATCGGCCCCTTCTGGCTCTGCCACCCTGTGCTCCAGGCAGGAGTCGCGCCAGCATCCGGATTGGATCCGGGTACGCGCCGTTCCCAGCCCGGGCAGGTCCCTGCAGGAAGGAGGAAGGAGCCGAGGGAGGAGGCAGGAGGGTGGCCCTGCCAACGCCGGCCCAGCAGCCCAGGAGAGGAGAGGGTTGGCTGGGGTGGGGGTCCTGGGAGGCTGCAGGGCCTTTGTCCGACGACCCAGGCCTTGGTGTCAAATGGCTCTGCCCAAAGATGGCTCCTGAGCCCCAAGTGGGGGCTTCAAGCAGGGCTGGGGAGGAGGCTACCCTTCTGGCCAGGCCAGGAATGAGCCCCCTACCTCTGTCCCCAGCAGCCCGGGGACAAAACTGGTCTGTTCCCCGCTTTTCCTGCCAGGGTCGAAGGGTGCCCAACTCCTCCCGTCACCCCACCGGTGTAGCTGGGTCATGGCCAGCCGATTGGGGGCGATTTTAAGAATAAAAGATAACTTGATAGATTTTTTTCCAGTTTTTATTGAGTGAAAATGTCAAACCTTGCATCAGTCATGCAAAAAAAAAAAAAAAAATCAAATAAATAAAACACATATATTAAATTTCTAATAGCACTAAATTCAAGTGGAAAAATATTCAGTTCTTAATAACCAGGTGCCGAGGAGACCAGATTCAAGTAATCAGAGCACACGCTGTTCAGCTCGGGTTTCACGTTCTGTATTTTTTTTGTCTCAAAACCTCTCTATATATCTCTATATATCTATATATGTATATACATATAGATATATACACACACATATGTGCATACATATTATTTGATATTTATATATATACACATACATAGTTATAAAACATTAAAAAGAGCATTGGTGGATCAAGCATTGTTTCCCCACAGAAAGAAAATAAAACAAAAATTACACGTTAAAATTCAAAATGAGCTAGCAATGGCTTATAGTCCTAGTGTGCAATATGAAGTTTACAAAAGGCTAGACTCCGCACTGTCGGCATCTTCTTCTTTTCTTCTTTTTTTTTTTTAAGTTTGATTTTGCTACATTGAAAAAATGTTTGTGTGTGTGTGTTTTTTTTTCCTTTACAAAACTCCTTCCACAGACGCCCGGGGCCTGTGGCGGGTCACTGTCTGGGCAGATGCTCACAGCAGCACGTGGTGCCCACAGAGTTCAGGAGGCTCTGGTAGGGGCTGTTTTAGAAAATAACTGATTTCCTGTTGAATCAGGTACGCTCCGTGCGACCACTCCTCCCTCCCTGCTCCCTGTCCAGTTCGGGTGGTCCTGGCTTTCTGGCTGTGGGCAGCTGAGAGGACAAAAGAAAGGAAGAAAAAAGGGAAAAGTAAACCACTGCCCCCCAGTTGAGCCAGGTTCCTCCTGGAGACCTCTGGGGAGGAGGCTTCTGGATGACAGCCTCCCCGCCAGCCTTCCATTCCCTCCTAGGCCTGTTCTCTCCCGGTGGCCCAATCTGACACCAGCTGGTGGCCTGGAGTAGGGAAGGTGGGCAGGTGTGGCCTCGGGCAGCCTGCCCTCGCAGGGGACTCGGTCCCCGGGGACCTCAGAGCCACTGGCCAGGTGTGTGCCTGCCAGGTCAGGCCCTGGCCCGGGCTTCGATGGCATCATCATCTCCAGGAAGGGGGATGTTTTGCAAAGGGAACCCAATCTGGGTAGACTGCACCAGCGAAGAAGCATCCCAAACAAAGTAATAAAACAAACTGGAAAAAAAAAAAAGCCCTATAAAGCCACACGCATCACCAAGAGAGAACTCAAATGTTAAATTAACTACAAACTTGGATCAACAGTAATAGTCCTTTTTTCTTGTCTCTACAAAATTCAAGTTAAGAGTTGGAATCACGCAGCTCCCATCAGTGCTATTGTGAAGACAGACAGCCTCAAACAGTTAAGGCCTCTACAAAAACCCTGGACCAAATCCCACAGGATAAACGGGACTGAGCCTCCAACCTCAGGCCGGGCCCAGGCGGGTCTGCACTCTCACCACGCCTGCTTTCTTCCTTTTTGTTCTATGTAGAATAATAACCTTTACAGGAAAAATACTGTACAACTTTCTTGTATTTTTTTCCATTTTGAACATTAAAGCCAAAACCAGGCGCATCCTTCCTGTTTGCACCACCAGGGTGGCCGAGACCCCGCCCCGGCCCCCAGCGGGCTACTCTGGGTTTTGGACGCAGCCTCGGTTTCCCTGGGGCGGAGGCTGGGGCCAGGGAGTCGCCAAACAGACCCGACCCAGGCCTGGGGGAGCAGCCGGGCCCTGGGGTGGGGCTGAGCTGGAGCTCCGCGGCTGCTACTCCCGTGAGGCTTCCTCCACGGTCCCTGTAGTGTCACCCGTGCTGACTGCCTTCTGCCCGTCTCCCCCTGGGCAGGGGGGAGGATCCTAGCTGCATGAGGGAGGCCCCGCCAGCGGCTCCAGGAGCCACCCCGCCCTGGTGGCGCGCGGTGGGGGTCCCGGTGGCCCCCAGCGCCCGTCCCAGTCCTGAGCAATGGTCGCGGGGCCGAATCGGCCGCGGGGAGGGGCGCCGGGGCAGCGGCCGGGAGCTGCGCCGCATTCGCCCGGGACCCCTGCTCCTAGGTTCCCTACCCCGGGACAAGAGCACCTTCTGTTTCCCTGAAGAGACCCGGCCTCCCTAGAGCAGGGCCACCGCCGCCGCCTGTGTCCTCGGCCGCGGAGCACCAGAGGGGTCCCCGCCTCTGTCCTGAGACGGACTCGGGGTCCGGAAGCACCGGCGGGGCGCGGGGCTCTGCCCAGGGGCCGCTTCGCGCGGGGCGGCGCCGCTCCCGAGGCCGAGGCCGAGGCCGCCGCCAGGGCCACCCGCGGGCGCCGCTAGGGCGAGGAGGCTGCAGTGGGCGCGGGGCCGGGGGCGCCCAGGGCCGCCAGCGCCGCCAAGGCCGGGGTCCGCGCGCCCGCGCCCGCCGCCTCCGCCGCCGCCTCGGGCAGCGACTCCTCCGAGTCGGTGCGCAGGTCCTCGTCGTCGTCGTCCTCGTCGTCGTCCTCGTCGTCGTCGTCCTCGTCGTCGTCCTCGTCCTCGTCGTCTTCGGCCTCCTCCTCCGGCAGCTCCAGCTCCTCCTCCTCGTCCTCCTGCGAGGACTCCCCAGCTGCGGCGGCGGCGGCGGCGGCGCCCTCGCGCGGCCCGGGGGCGGCGGCGTCGGGCGGGCCGGGGTCGCCCGCGTCGCCCAGCGCCAGGCCCAGGCCGGCGGCCGCCGACTGCAGGAAGAGCAGCGAGCCCGGCTCGGCGCCCAGCGACAGGGAGCCGTCCAGACTGATGGGAGGCCCGGGCGCGGGGCCCTCTGCCGCGGGCTCGCCGCGCTCCTGCTTCTCGTGCTTGCGCTTGTGCGAGTCCATCTGCGACATGCCCACCACCGTGTGGCGGCAGCCCGGGAAGGTGCAGTGGAAGTGCGAGCACTTGAGCTTGTACTTGCAGTCGGGCACGGCGCAGTCGGCGCTGGAGCTGAACTGGCAGAAGCCCGCGGCGCTGATCACGTCCTGTTTGCCGTGGTGCTTGCGATGCGCCGTGACCTTGGTGCTGTCGGTGCAGCGGAAGCGGCAGCGCAGGCAGTGGAAGTGCGTGCTGGTGCCCGAGAAGGGGCAGTCGGCGAAGTGGCAGCTGAGTGAGGCCTTGAAGCGCTTGAAGTCGTCCAGCACCAGGTTGTCCACGCGGTCGTGGTGCTGCGCGTGCTTGTACATGTGCGTGCGCCCGCAGAACTTGTAGCCGCAGTTCTCGCGCGTGCAGTGGTAGTGGGTGACCTTGAGCGAGAACTGACAAGCTGCGTCCTTGCAGTCCTCGTAAAGGTCGAAGCGCCGGAAGCCCTCCAGCATCATGCCCTCGTCCAGCATCTTCCGGGAGGACGCCGTCTTCCGCCGCTTGCCGAAGGGCGACATGTCCTCGATGATCCAGAAGCGCTTTTTGGCCCCCGAGGCTGTCGGCATAGAGATGGTGTTCCCTGGGGAGGGGCAGGGAGGTCAGTGCAGAAGAGGGACCCACGTGGGCACCATCAACAGGGTTACACCCACATGGGACCCCTGATCTGGCATGGCGCCAGAGGGCGGCATTTAGGGAGCCCTCGGCTTCCCCTGGCTTGGGAGGCCTCTCCTGCCCCGCCCCCTCCCTACCCTGGCACAGCAGGGGTCCTGGGCTTCCCCTCCTCATCCCTGTCTGCAGAAGGGCCACACAGGCCTCTCCCCCGGGGGGTGGCAGCCCAACCAGCTCTGGGGGACGTGGTGGCTGCTTCCTGGCCAGTTTGGGTGGGAAGTGAGGACACGTCCTGGCGCTAATTGAAGCTGAAGGGGGAATCTAGGTCGGCAGAGTGCAATTAGCCAAGTTGGACTCGGGCCAAGACGCCAGCTATAGCTGCCTCTAATGAGGGACAGGCCGGCTCCTTTCCCGCCGGCTACCCGGCTTCCCTGGCTGCGCCTGTCTGCACAGGGGGAGCTGCCTACTCACAGTAGGGGTGCCAAGTGCCCCAGGGCTGTGCGGGGCTGCAACTCCCTGCCCTAAGGAGCACCTTGTCCTTGGTACCAGAAGGTTCTTTAAGGTCTTGTTGGGGTTTTCTACCCCAAGGGCTGGGAGAGGGCAGCCCTGATGGAGGACCAGGACTCAGGGAGCTCAATGCCTCTGCCCTCTGCTCAGAGTCGTAATTTACCTGGGTCAGGACCAGGGCAGGGGCTCAGCCATGGGGAGCGGAGCCCATTTATGTCCAGCTGGCCCAGACTGCTTCCTGGGATTTAGGATGCCCCCCTGCCAAGGCCAGGGTTGTAACCCTTTCTGGGAGGTACCTGTGCCCCTATGGCCATGGGTGAGGGGAAGCCCCAGCTCCTGCCAGAGGCACAGGCAGCTAGTCCTGGCTCCCCACGCCACCCTCCACAAACAAGAGAAGCTCTCTGACCAGCCCCACCAGAGCGTGGGTAGCCTCTGGGCTCCTCCCACACGGCTGACCTGCCTGGCTCCCCCAGAGCCTGCTTAGAAGGCCCAGCAGTCACTCTAGCCACCAAATGTCTGCCCTGCCCATTTCAGGCCAGGCCCCATAGGCCACCCGGAGTGGACAAAAACGGAGAGAGACTAAGGGCTGTGACGGTGTAGGGGCACCCAGGCAGGGGGCAAGGGATGGCCTCAGGCCCAAAACCTGGTGGGTGAGGAGCGGCTTTGGGTCTGAAGTCACAGGGTCTGGTTATGCCAGAGTGGAGCTTCCAACAGCCGGAAGTCCCTGAGGAGGGGGAGGCTCGGCCCTGCCCTGGCCATAACTCCTGGGGCCTGTACTCAGGCAGCACGTGAGGCAAGAATTAGCAGAGGAGTCCGAGCCCGGGTGGTGTCTACGCTCAAGGGAGGGGGCGGGCAGATGCCATCCCGGTGGGTATCAGATATGGGGGTGGGATGGGAGGTGCCTCTGCCCCTGAGCACTGCCGGGGCCTGAGTCCACAGAGACTTCCCTTACTGCTCAGCTTTGGGCGTGGCCCGGGGCTCAGGCTGGAATCTGGACCCTCTGAACCTGGGCAGGTCCCAGACCCCAGCAGACCTTCCCGAAAGCCTCCTCTATCTCTCCCTAGTGCCAGATCCCAGGGGGACTCCTCAGAGTAGAAGGGACAGGTCCTGCCTTGCCCCAGGCCGAGGAAGGCAGACCCTACAGGGCCTCCGGCAGGATCAGCCATCTCTGGGACTCTGAGCAGTTGTGAACAAGGGAGAATCCCTGGCAGCAGTGCTCTGGCCTGCCCAGCACTGAGCAGGAGCCACGAGGAGTTGTCCCTGGGATGGAGACCACGCTCTCTAGTCTCGGGGATGCTTGGCTGTGAGGGGTGCAGAGTGGCCCCGTCCTTGGCCTGGCTGGCTGCAGAAAAGGGTCAGGCCCCGGAGCGTGGCCTGGAGGGTGGGTTGGGGTGATGGACAGCGGTGAGAAGGCATGTGCGCGTTACCTGCAGCATCCTGAACTAGGGGGACGTCACTTTTTACTGGAGTTGGAGTGGCAGTGACGGGCGGGAAGCTGGGCGGGCTGCAGGTGGGATGGGCCAGGCCCCGGCCGGCTCCGAGAGTGGCACTGAGCAGAGAGTATGAGAGACAGGACGGAGAGAAGAGGCAGGGGAGGGGGGGGAGGGGCGGCCGGAGCGTGGCCGGCGAGAAGGATGGAGTCGCTGGCGGCTGCGGGGCCGTGCGGGCAGCCTCATCACCAGCGGCCGCAGGAGGAGGAAGAGGAGGAGGAGGAGGAGCCGGGCAGCCTGGAGAGGGTGGAGAAAAGCAGAAAAAAAAAAAAAAAAAGAAACCAAAACAAAGAACAAACAAACAGAAAGAACCAAAATGAGAAACCCGATGGCAGAAGCAGGTATGGCATGAAAATGTGTGCACGGATGAGCAGAGAGAGGGACACAAGAAGAAGGGGCAGGAGGAGAGAGAGGCGGGGCAGTGCCAGGGGTCACGTGGGCAGGTGTGCCGGGCAGGACCGGCGCTGGGCCCAGGCCGGGTGGGAGGCAGCGGAGGAAGGAGGCTGGGGCTGCGCTGCTCCCGCTGTGGCTCAGAGAGGACGGGCCCAGGGTCCTCTCCCGGAAACTGACGCAAAGGGCAGTGCCAGGGAGGCGGGAGGATGGCGGGAGGGGCCTCGATGACCCAGTCCCACAGACCAGCTGGCTCTGCTGCACGCCAGCCTGTCCTCCTCGGAGGCCGCGTGCCCCGGACCTTCTGTCCCAAGCTGCACCCAGCGGTGCTGGGCTTTGGGAGTGGGGCCTGGCCCTGCCAGCAGCCCCTGCCTGCCGCTCACCTGCCGCGGTGCTCTCGTTACCCACGGGGGTGCTGGAGCAGCTCCGGTCCATGGTGGATGACTCAGAGGACATGGCGCCTGGGCTGCAGCCAGTGTAGTCCATGCACTCATCTGTCTCAGCATCCATCAGGCCTGGGGGGCCCTGAAAGGACACGGGGGTCCCTGAGGAAGTGGGGCTGTGGGGTATGCTGCCCACAGAGGGCAGGCTGAGGCTCCATGCAGCACAGGCCTGAGAGTGAGCGTGGGACCATGATGCGTTCCCGCCACCCTGGCTGGGCTCTCACCTGGGGGGGGCTCTCACCTGGGAGGGGGGCACGCGGTCGAAGTTCTTCCCCAGCATCCTCCGCATGTGCTTCCGCGCGTGGGAGGTCATCTGGTGCTTGAGGAGGAAGGAGAACTGGCAGCCCTCCCGGATGCAGTGGAAGTGGCTGTTCACCTGGTTGTACTTGCAACCTGTGGACACAGCCCCACCTGGCATGAGCCCCCAGCTGGCCAGCGCTCATGGCTTCCAGGTCCTGTTGGGCACTGTTCTGGGCATGGGGGCAGTGTGGTCAGTAAGGCAGATGGTATCTGGGGAAAGGGCGCTGAGCCGAGGTGGCAGTCTTAGGAGGAAGGTCAGGAAGTCCAAAGCCCCCTGGCTGTCCAAACCCTGGGCCTCCTCTCCAGCCTGGCAGAGGCGAGTGACAATGCTGGGCAGGCCCCCATCCCCTGGCTCACACACAGGGAGGTGCACAGTTCCAAGGCAAGGGACCCTCATGGTCCCTGCACACTGGGCCAGCTACCTCCCAGGAAGCCACCTGTCCCCACATCTCTGCTGGGGAGCCCGGGGTGCTGTCTGCCCCTCTGCCCAGGCCCCAGCACCCACGGGGCCTCGCTCTGGGCCGAGAACAAACAGAGCAGGCGGGACTGAAACAGCATCATGGGGCAGGTGAGGGCCTGTCCGCTGCCATGGCGCCCAGGCCGGCCAGGTGTCTTCTGTCATCCCCCAGCTTTGTTTGGCCCCAACTATCGCCAAAAACACCACAAGTTGAGTAAATAATAGCAACTGCAGAATACCCTGACATCTGTAAACTGAGCCCAGGGACAGCACAGGCCGCAAGTGTTGACGCTTATTGGCATGGCTACCAGTCCTCTCCCTGGCCGAGAACTCCTTTTTGAATTCATACTTGAAGGCAAGGTTTGTTTCCTTTTTCTGGCAGTTGACTTTGAGGATGTCACCTTTCACTTTTGGAAGGACCAGAATGCAGCAGCCCCCACCCCTGCTGCCCTGACCACCAGGCCACAACGGGCCTTGCCTGCAGCCCAGGGGCCTCTGCTGGGCGGCCTGGCTCCCGCCTGCCCGTGGGTTCTGGTCTCTTCCTAGGGAGAGTCCTGCCTCATCAGCAGGCTGTGAACAGGGGCCAGGGGCTCAGCTCCCAGCAGCACGGCTACCTCTCAGGCATCAGTGGCCTCCCTTCCCAAAGCCACAGCACCCCTTCCTGGGTTCCGGGTCACGGGTGCTCCAGCTGAGCCCATGGAGAACTTGACCGTTCCCCATTAGATCTGAGTCGCCACCACTGTCACCACCCCCACCCCTGTGACAGCACCCAGCCTGGCACACAGCTGTCCCTCCATAAATAACTGCAGAATGGATGAATGGAAGAACAAACTGTAGCTCACTGCGGACAAAAACCTCATCATGAAAGCCATGGAAAGAGATCCCAGAGCAAAGAACGTTGAACTCCTAAAAATTCCCTGCTCGCCTTCTTGATAAGAAAAGGAAAACAGAACCACGCCCAGGCCCTGGATGCTCAAGATGAGGTCCCAGGGCGGCTGTCTGGGGGTGGAGGGGCGGTGCCCTGCGTGAGTCACCCCCACTCTTCTTGCTGGGCTTTGTGGGTTTGGACTGTTTCACAAGCTTGACAGTGCCTAGCCCGTGATATCTGGGACACCTTTAACAAAACGTGGAGCCTGCGGTGGGGAACAGGACGCGGGTACCAGGAGAGGCGGCCCAGGCCACGGGGGCCATGGTCTTGATGCCTGCTGCAAGTCCCTGCCCGCAGCCCCAGCCCTCGGTACCTAGCCTGCCACACTCCTCGCGCTTGGTGAAGTATTTGAAGCCATTGGCTGCCCGCCGCTCCGCCTTCTCATGCTTCTTGATGTGCCAGGGGAGCTTGGTGGTGATGTTGGTCACAAAATAGCAGCCGGTGCGGAGGCAGTGGTAGTGCCCACGCATTCGGAACTCGCAGTGCTGCAGGGAGACACGGGAGGGTCAGGACAGGCGGGTGACTTTCAAGAGCTCCTGCCTGCCCCGGGCCTGAGGCTGTGGTGGGCCCTTGGCACATGTGTTCTTCTCTGCTCAGAAGCTGATGATCATAGAAACACCTTTCACATGTTAAAAAGCAGCGCAGGGCCGGGCGCGGTGGCTCACGCCTATAATCCCAGCGCTTTGGGAGGCCGAGGTGGGCGGATCACGAGATCAGGAGATCAAGACCATCCTGGCTAAAGAGGTGAAACCCCGTCTCTACTAAAAATACAAAAAATTAGCCGGGCGTGGTGGCGGGCGCCTGTAGTCCCAGCTACTCGGGAGGTTGAGGCAGGAGAATGGCGTGAACCCGGGAGGCAGAGCTTGCAGTGAGCCGAGATCGTGCCACTGCACTCCAGCCTGGGTGACAGAGCGAGACTGTCTCAAAAAAAAGGCAGTGTCTGCCCTTAGTCACTGCACTAAAGCATCCTAGCCTGGTAACCTTGCAGGCCATCTGCAATCCCATACCTAGAGCAGACATCGCGAATCTATTTTAACACTCTTCCCTGTATGTCTAGACCTGGGCAGACATCACTGCTCTATACTAGCACTTCTGGGCCCAGTTTCCCCCTCAGGCAGCCCCTCCTGGTCTTGGGAGTCAGGCCTTTAAGGTGAATCTGATCTGACTTTCCTGTGTGGGCACGGACAATGGGCCTGTTCGAAAATTCTAGGGCTTTGGAAAAAGGGGGCATAAAGCTAGTTCCAGGATAGGCAAGAATGATGTCAAGGGCACGGTGGCTGCCCAGCATTGAGTCACCACTCGGGGGTTAGACCTCACCAACTAGCACCAATCTGGACCCCTGCCCAGGGGTCTCCAGGGGCCTAGGGGCAGATGGTGCTCTTTCCAGAGTCCGGGAGGCCCATTTAAATAAGCAAGGTGTGAGAAATGGAGCCTCTGCCAGGAGGTGACTGTCCTGTGCCCTGAGCTAGCCCTGCACCTCCCTGCCCCCTACTCTGCCCCTGCGCCGTGTACCGCCATGCTGACCTGGTTGGGACAGAGACACTGCAGAGAGTAGTATGCAAACTGGTCTCGCACGTTCACCAGGTTGTTGTTGGGGTTGATGTGGTCCAGGCAGTGGGATTCGGCCTTGCCAGACGTTTTGCAGACGTACTTGCAGTTCCCAAAGAGACAGTGGAAGTGGAACTTGTTGGCGTACTTGCAGTCCGTGGCGAGGCAAGGATCGCTGGAAGGAAACCACAGCCCAGAAGGTCATTGCCATTCTCAAGCCCTCCCTGCTGGTGTCCTGACTTCACTTGTGTTGGAGTTCACTCCCCCACGACCAGCGGTACCACCAAGAGGGATGGCCTGGGCTGCTGTCCTGCTCAACAGGATGACTCAGCTGGAGACTACAGATCCCAGCATGCATTCCTGCCTCCTTTTAGGAGCTCTGCATGGTGCACAGGGATTGCAATATGCAGGGTGCCCAGAGCATTGCATGCTGGGACAAGTAGTTTCCATGGCCACACCTCAGGATTATAGATAAGGATGGCTGTAATAACTTCTTGGATCGGAAAATAAGGATGGTGCTGCCAGCCCTGGCGGGGTGCCGTGAGGCCCTGGCTGGCGTGGCATGGGCGCCACCGTGGATGTGGCTGACAGACTGCAGATGGGTGCTCGGCCCCACCAGGAAGCGCTGCTGCCACAGGCCCTTAGCAAGCAGGAGCGCGTGCCTGGTGTCAGCTCCTGGGGGCTCACAGCTGCTGGGCTCCCCAGGATCAACTCGGGGCCCATGGTGCCCACCCACTCAGACCTCACTTGCCGGCGGAGTGGGAGAGCTGCTGGGGCAGAGCGGGTGTGCTGGCCTGCCCTAGGCCGCCTCCAGGATGCAGAGGGGTGCAGGAGGACACTGGTCCCAGCCTTCAACTCTGGTTGGCAACACTGTAGTCCCCTCCCAGGGGACCCACGGTGGGCACTCTGACCAGGCCAGGGAAACCTGAGCTGCTACTCTGGGGAGGAGGAGGGGGAGGGGAGGCTGGTGGGGGGGACGGAGAACAGTGCTGGGCCCCTTCCATGCTGTGGGCCCAGCCCCAGTTGCTCAGAGAGGGAGGACAGCTGCCACTCAGGCGATATAAATAATCCAATTTATTACTTTTATTGAGAACAGGAAGCCGCACACATGACAATACAAAGTCACCGTTCTCCCTGCAAGGAGCCACCACCATCCAGTGAGGAGGGTCCCTTCCACCCAAGAGCTCAGACCACTGTGCAGGCCAGTGACGGCCTGGAGGGGCCTGGCCCCTACCCGTGACTTCACGTGCCCTGCAGAGATTCAGCCATGGGTGTGAGCCACAGAGGAGGCCAATACGGAGGCTCGGAGGGAGACGCAGCCCTCCTTGTCAGGCTGGGAGTTGTCCTCTGAGGACCACCACGCCCAGTCCACCCCACCTGGCCCTGGCAGGATCACCACATGCCCTGCAGGAGCAGTAGCCACTGCCGCCACCATCGGCCCACGCGGGCTGGCCTGCTCTGGGACAGGCAGTGAGGTAGGAGCAGCAGCATCTTTGGCTAGAAGGACATCACCCGATGGCCATGCCCCAGAGAGGCTGGGGACAGCAGCACCATCCGCAGTGAGGAACAGGGCCTCCTAGCGCCCTTGCTAGCACCTACTCCCGAGACGCGAGGGGAACGCGGGACTCCCGGCTCATCGAGGGACTCACTTCTCCTGGAACTGGAGGAATCCGGGTTTGACCTGGGGCTTGGCGTTCTCTAGAGAAGTCGTTGCCAAGGGCGAGGCGGGCAGGTGAGGCACTGACGCTGGGATCTGAGGCATCTGGGGTATGGTGGAAGCCAGCTGCTTCCAGGCGAGCAGGGTGGGGGTGGAGGGCACGGAGGCCGGGCTGGGAGCGGGCCCCTCCAGAGAGGACACCGTGGCCGTGGTGACAGGAGGGACCGGAGGGGACGAGGGGGCCATGGGAGGTTTGGTCTCGGCGGCCGAGGCCGGAAAGGCAGCCTCTGTGTTTCCTTTTGCTGCTCCTCCCTCTGTCCGGAAGTGGAAGCTGCGAGAGGTAGAAGAGGGGGTCTCATGGGGGGCAGTGAAGACAGGTGTGGAGGGGCATGCATGTGACCCCATCACAGGCCTAGACCCCGGTGTCCGTCCCTACTCGTCCCCATCACTCAGCTCCAGAAGTCCCCTGTGACCCCACCAGGACAGAAGGACTGGAGGGCAAACTGCAGCGTCCCCTGGTTCCGAACTTGGTCTCCTGGCTTGGGCCTAACCATGCCTTCCTACTTGTGCCCTTCCTCGGTCCCCAGCTCCTCCATATGTGTGACAGCAGGCCCTGCCCCAGGAAGCCTCTTCCTTCCAGAACCTGCTCGGAGGTCTTAAAGGTAGGATTCTCAGTATTCACAGCAGGCTTCCCCGCGGGCTACGGCCGAGGGTGCCTACGCGGTCGGAAAAGCCTTGGGAGCACTGCAGGTCTGTTTTAAACGATTTCAAGTTCTGAGTTCCCTTATAAGTGGGCGGCTAGGCTCGAAGCCTTTTAACTCAATGGGATTTACAAATTCATTTCATTATGTTTAGGTCAAAGGTAACCTAGAGATGTAATATTGTGGCTTGGAAAGGCCTTCAGCTAGGGTTCCTGCTCCAGGTCACAGCCGAGTCTCTCCAGCTGGGCTCTGTGCCCCTCTGGCCTGCTCTGCAGGGAGCACGTGCTGGGACTGATGGCTGCCCTGGGGACGTGGGTGCAGCAGCAGCTGTTGCTCAGGGTCCCAGGAAGGGCCTGGACAGGGGCTCAGAGCCCCCGGCTGAGGGCTGCATGTGTGAAGGAGGATGGGAAGCCCACCCTTGCTGGGGCAGCATCTCCGAGAAGCCGGCTCAGCTTCTGTGGCCCAGCGGGAACTGCTGTACCAGCCTGAGCCCCACCCACCCCAGAGCCAGGCTGGGATCCGTGGGGCTCTGTGGAAATGGCCCCCAGCACCCTACTCACTTTGCGTGCTTGATGGCCCCGTCCAAGGTGCTGAAGAGCGCGCCGCATTCCTCCACCACGCAGTGGAAGTGGGCCTTGTGGAGGAAGTCACACTGGCCGTCACAGAAGTCCTTTGTACCAAACCTAGCCAGAGGAGCTGGCGTTAGAGGAGAGCCTGGGGCTCCAGGGCGGGTGCGGGGGGACGATGGGTGGACGCGGCCAGCAGCCCCTCACCTGCGCAGGTACACCTTCCAGGGCTCTGCCAACTTCTCCTGAACCAGCGCCTTCACGGCCTTGCCTAGGAAGGGCGAGGGCTCCGCAGCGGGGCTCCCCTCCGCTTCCGCCTTGATGTTCAGCAGGCTGCCCAGGCCAGGGTTGCCCTGAGACATCTGTGAGGGACAGAGGCCGAGCATGGGGCTGGGGTAGCTTAGAACACAGACACGGCAGCCTGGGGAGCAACAGCCGAAGCTCTGGGCTGCTGGGACCCACCCAGCCCTCAGAGCCAGCAGAGAATGCGGCCCGCCTACTTGGCTCTGGCTGTGGCTGGGCCCTCTCTGAACAGAGAGCCTGCTGTGCTGCCCCGACCCCAGGAGCTGCGAGGCCTCCTCAGGGCTCCTCCACATGAGCCCGTGCCGCGGGATCCATCACTCAAGCCGAGGCCGCGACTCAGGGTGCACGCTGCAGCCCATCTTTCCCCAGACTTCGCGGCTCCCTGGTTATTTTCCTGCCAGAAGGTTTTCAAAAGAAGCGCAGAAGGAGGAGGGATGGGGGAACCCCTACGAATTCCTTGAGAACAAGAGGAGGCCCACAAAGGAGAGAGAGGGAGGGAGGGAGGGAGGGAGGCTCACGGGTGAGACCCAGACAGGCTTGCTGCAGCGGCCGGGAGGGGGTCATTGCGAGGATCCAAGGGAAGGGAGGGGGTCGTGGGGGCGGAGGCCAAAGGAAGGGGAGGGGGAAGGAGAGCAAGAGGGCAAGTGGCCAAGGAGTGGATGCCACGGACCAGTGAGGCTCCTTCCCCACCGAGTGCCCGGCTGGGGCCCTGCGGCGAGAGGTCCGGCCCGGGCCCGGCCCCTCCTCAGGGCAGTCACTTGTGTACAGTAACCGAATTAATCTTGCTGTAGTCAAATGTATCATGTGAAGGGGAAAAATGTATTTGAGATGATGTATAATTTACAAAGACCCTGCATTATTTAAAATAAATATTCCGGAGCGACCTCTCCGGAAGGCGTCCGAGACCATTACTCAACCGGAAAAGTGGAAATTGATGTTTTGCTCCCACTTTAGTCCCCCCTCCCCCATCCCCTTTTAAACAAACAAAAAATATATATAAAATAAATAAATAAAATTAATAACGAGGCACGAACGAAGTTGAAGGGCTCTGGAAAAGCTTTTGGAGCCCTCCATCTGAAGGGAAAAAAAGGTGTCAGAGGCTGGAATATATTTCTTCAGCCAGTTCATTAAATTAATTTGTAAGCAGTGGCTCTGAAATTATATCCGATGAAAAATGGCCTCAAAATTTAAATGGTACAAACTCATCTTATTAGAGGCAAAACATTAAAAAACAAACACATCCCCCCACCCCCCAGCACAGCTTTAATTTCTCTGGGTGGGGGAACGGGAGGCGTGTGATGGATGGCTCTTACCTTATTCATAAGCGAGGATAAAAGAGATGAATTTGCCGGGACTGCGTGGCCATTTGATTCGTTGCTAGAACACACAAACCAAGGGACTTGAGCTCAGACGGCCGGGGCCTGGGCCCTGGGGCTCACCTTCCCTGCCCGACCCTGGGGCTCCAGCCGAGCCCGCTGCAACTGCCTGGGCGGGACCACCCCGGGGCTCCAGCTCGAAGGTGTGGTTCCCGGGGCTGGCTCCCATAGGGGGCCTCGCCTCACCTGGGCTCCTTCACAGTCAGGTCTAGACTGCGGTCCTGGGAGGCTTCGTGGGGGCCTGGGGCGCCGGTGCTCTCACCGGGTTCCGGCTTCACTTGGGCCGGGGGGAACCTGGCTGGGGTGACCTGCTGCCCGCTTCCTGCAGGGGAGGGGTGGGAAGATGCGTCAGAGGGGCTGAAGGCCTGGCCCGGGCACAGACAGCCGCCGTGCCCCCTGGAGGGAGGGCAGTGGGCTGGGTGGGCCCCGGCTACTGGTCAGCGCTTCTCCCGCTGACGTGATCGCTCGCGACGCTCGCTCCTGTGTGGCAATTCTTCAAGTGATAATTATTGCAAAATTATGTCAAAGTTGTCCTGGCTCAGGGCCTCCTGGAGGAGAAGGGCGGGAGGCTGGGGAGGGGGCTGGGGTGGGGGCGGGGGCCCTTCATTTTCTCCACCAACTGTCACAGTCGATTTGTGGGGCTGCCGCTTAGGCTTTTATTAAAGACTCTGTTAATGCTGAGGGAAAGTGGCAGAT
This sequence comes from Homo sapiens, assembly GCF_000001405.40. Taxonomy (NCBI): domain Eukaryota; kingdom Metazoa; phylum Chordata; class Mammalia; order Primates; family Hominidae; genus Homo; species Homo sapiens. The sequence continues at coordinate 10,651,451 of NC_000001.11, forward strand.
CTGGACTGGGAGGGCCCCTCTGTGGTCCCCAGCCCGCGGTTGCTGGGGTGACGGCCCCCGCACGGAGCATGCCCAGGAAGGGCCTCTGCTGTGTCAGGGCGATGGGGCCGATGGCCAATCAGAGCGGCCACACCGGGTGACCTCGCAGTCAAGCTATCCGGGGCAGGGACACGAGGCCAGGCTGGGCCGAGCTGGGTCCGGAAGGGAGCTGGGCGGGTGAGGCCGCAGGAGGCCAGCAGAGCAGGGGTAAAAGAAGTTGCTGACAGGGCCATCCAGCGAGCTTTCCCCTACAATCCCCCAGTGACGGAAATATGAATTTGCCCCAAGGTGCTGTAGCTGACAGAGTGCTGCTTCAGAAACAGCAAGTGGCATTTTATTAAAAAATAAAACGGCCCCCTCCCCTGTGCTTGATCTTTCTTTTGGGAGAAGGAGACTTTTCTAATGAAAACAAAGTACTTGACAGTCTGGCCACCGAGCCCACGTGGCCCTGGAGTGGGCCCTGCCCCATCCATCAGGCACCTGGCTGGAAGGGCGTGGCCAGCGAGGCCCCACCCATGCCTGGACCAGGAGGCGGTCCCTCCACGCGGCCACCGGGCATGAGCGTCCTATTGGGCCTGTGAGAGTTTTCAGACCTTGGGACTTCACATTCCAGCAGCTCTCCAAAGTCACCTGCCCAAGGTCCCAGGAAAACGGCCCAGCTCCCCTGCCAAGCACTGGCAGCCTCTGCAAGGTGTGGGCAGAGCCCCAGACTGGGCCACAGGGACCCTCAGTCTTGGCTGGTTCTGAGAGGGTTTCGAATGGGAACAGGGCATCTAGGCCCAGGAGCCCCACTCCTGCGGGCAGCGCCTTGGTTCACCACTTCCTAGCCATGTGCCCGGGACAGACCATCCCTGACCGTCTGCTGGCTCCACGGCGTGGGGCTCTGTCTGGCGTCCCGCCTGCTGTGTCCCCAGCACCCGGCTTGGAGCCTGGCTCTCAGCAAGCATCAGTGGTTGTTGAATGAATAAGTGAAATGAGCCACATCCCAGATGTGAACGGAACTCTCCTCAAGGATTCAACAAATAGGAACTACCCAGAGCAGGGAAACTGGGAGAGGAGTGAGGTAAACAGAAAACACCCTCACCCCAATCCAGAGAAAAATGGAGGGAAATTTTTTTAAAATGGATATTTATGAAATTATAGGAAGGCAGGAAAGAGAACTGCGCCCCTCAGTGAACCAGCGTGAAGAAGGAAGATGCAACTCCGGGGCTCTGGCCCTTTTCTGTCTGACGTGGCAGTCCCTGGCCAAGTGTGGTTGTTTAAAGTGACAATCCCGCTTCCCAATCACAGACCCAGCTTCAAGCACCAACAGTCACACGTGGCCAGTGGCTGCCAAGTCAAACACTGCAGAATAGAAGGCTTCCAAGGCCTGGAAAGTCCTACTGCAATGGCACTCATGGAGGAGGGAGCCTGGGAAGGGCGTCCCTGGGCCTGGAGGTGTCCAGGTGTGAGGTGCAGCCCCACTACCGCTGGGCTGGACGCAGGCCCTGCTCCAGGTCAGCTGGAGGAAACGCTCGGCACGCCAGGGGCCCTGGGCCTGCTCTTATCAGGGTGGACTTGGGATGTGGGAGGGTGAGCAGACAGGGAGGGGGGACCTGCAGTGGCCCCAGGGATGCAGGGCAGCCGAGGAGGCAGGGACCATCGCCCCCAGCTCACAGATGGGGAAACAGAAGCATGGCCCCCCTACTGTGGGGAGCCAGAACCAGGGGCCCCACATAGAAACCAACAGGATGGGGGCGAAGATCAGGCAAAGAGGGGGTGCTGGCAAGCAGGGGCCACACGGACACTTCTTCCAAACACCCCCCGACTCTGCTCTGCAGCCTGAGGCCAGGTGGCCACCCCAGTCCAGAAGGTGCCTGCTTTCTGGGCAGGACCCAGCCTGCTCACCTGGGTCAAAGGTGGCAGAGGGCTTGAGGGCAGCTGCAGCCAGCCTGGCCATCATGGGCGAGATGAGGCCCTTGCTTGCAGAGATCCTCTCCATGATGGAGGCGGGTGGTGCCGGGACAGAGGCGGCAGCCACGGGGGCTGAGTCTCCAGCTCCCGAGGCGACCAGCGTGGGTGTGTCAGGGGTGGCTGAGGCTGCTGACCCAGACGACACGGCACCCAGGAGGCTGGGGGTGCCCACAGGCAGGGAGGTGCTCCCACGGCCAGCCAGTATGGGGAAGTAGGGCGTGGGGGTGGGCAGGCCCGAGTTGGAGAGGGCCAGGGCCAGGGGGATTGAGCCAGGCAGGCCCTGGGGCAGCAGCCCCGAGATCTTGCTGTTGGGAGGTTTGGTGGCACTGGGCCCAGCCTCGGTGGCGGCAGTGGCGGCAGCCAGGGACGCAGAGGACTGCTGGCTGGTAGGGGAGGCGCTCAGGCTGGAGTTCTTGCTGCTCAGGGCGGAGAAGTCAACAAGGTCGTCGTTGCTGGACTCCTCGTGCTCCGTGTCCTTGGCGCCCAGCAGCGAGGGCGGCAGCCCCAGCGCGCCCGAGGAGCGGATGTGCCGGCGCTCATGCTTGCGCTTGTGAGAGGTCATCTGGCTGGTGGAGGTGAAGGTGAAGCCGCAGCCGGCGCGGATGCAGTGGAAGTGGTTGGTAGCCTTGCTGTACACGCAGCCCTCGTACTTGCACTCCTCGTACTTGTAGAACTTCTTGAAGCCGTCCTTGGCGTAGGCATCGTCCTTGATGTGGTAGCTCTTGTGCTTCTCGATGTCACACTTGTTCTTGAAAGTGAATGTGCAGCCGGGGCGCCTGGATGGGACATTGGGAGCCTGTCATGAGACCCAGAGGAGGCCCCACCCTGCTACACCATGGCCCTGGGAGGGACAGTCCCCCGGGTGGAAAACCCAGGCTGGACACCGAGGCAGGGGCCTGAGCCGTCCCACGAGCCTGGGTCCTTGCCTTCCCTCCCCGCTTCTGCCCACGAAGGCCCCCACCAGGCTCCCGCTTACCTGCAGTGGAAGTGCGTGGTCTTCTGTCCGTAGAACTGGCAGTCGGCTGTGCCACAGTCTTCGGTGGCTCGGAAGCGCTGGAAGCCGTCGTTAATGAGCTGGGTATTCTTCTTGTGGAAGTTCTCGTGGGTCATCACGTCAGACGTGCTCGTGTACACCTTGTTACAGCCCACCTGCACAGGACGGGATGGTGGTCAGGCGAACGGAGGCCAGGTGCTCCTGGGCCGAGGTCGACACCACTGTGTGTGGCTGGGGCCACTGACTTCCCTGCTCAGGGAAGCTTTGGCACCTCTGACTTCAAACTGGAGGCCTCGGGATGTTGATGTAGGAAGCAGAGTAGAAAGCCTCCAACAGCCCCTCAGGCCTCCACAGAGGGACCAAGTGCTGCTGGAGCCTGGCTCCGTCTGTGCTGAGGATCAGGGCATCTCCGGAGACTCAGGGCACTTTTTGGCCCAGGGGAGGGAGCTGCATCCTGCAGGAGTTGGATTTTGAGTTCCAATCCATGGCCCTACCTCTAAAACCCTCAGTGGGTGGACAGGGGCTGGACCCTGGAGGTCACCTTTAGCCCAGGGATTTGCTTAGTGGACAGTCCCTGGGCACGGGGCCCTCCCACCCCACCCCAGCTGGGCCAGGAAGGCAACGTTGCCATATTGAGTAAAAACCCGTGGAATCCGAACACTCTCGTAGGCTGGGCCGTGCCAGTGTCTGCACCATCTCAGAGCCCAGAGGGTGGCCCCCCTCTCCTCGTGGCCCAGGTTGTTCACAGAGGCCATAACAACTCCTGACAAATACCGGGGGAGGCATAGGGCTGCTATTTGCAACCCAAAGTCGCTCCTCCTGGCCCTGACACCTTGAAAAAGCCCAGACTCTGCGTGGCATTAAAACAAAGAATTAAACAAAAACCTCCTCAGGAATCATTTGCAATGCTGCTCTTGGTGTTAAAGCCTGAAAAATGTCCATCTGTATAAACAGCTCACTGAATTTCATCCACACCAAGTATGGCCATGGGGAAGGCCCCACCCTGGCCCACCAGACGCTGCCCAAGCCTGAACCCCCAGGACCCTCCTGGCTCGCTGGCCATCCCTGTGCTGGGCCAGGGGAAAGAGAGGCTCCTGATCAACTGGGGTCCCTGCCCATGGGGCAGCCCTGCCTCTGGGAGTGGGGGGCTCAGAGCCGGGAGGGCCTGGGCCAGTCCTGCAGCTGCCCAGTGGGCCCGGGTGCGGGAGGCACCTGCATGCAGTGATAGTGGGTGCTCTTCCCATTGAGGTGGCAGCCGTGGTAGTAGACGCTGCAGTCGTCCAGCGGGCTGAAACGCATGAAGCCGTGCTGCAGGGAGTTGTCGCGCTTCTTGTGCATGTTGTAGTGGCGGATCACGTCCTGCTTACTCGTGAACCTCTGCCAGGAGACAGCGCCACGTGGGCAGGAGCCTGAGCTCCCCCTCCGCCCTTCCTCCCATATGCCAAGAGCACCTGGGCCAGGTGCTGGCCTCAGGTCTCCCTAGAAAGAACCCTGCTTGGGGTCAAGGCAGCCCAGATTGTCCAAGGCCAGTGGCAGGCACATCAGCCCTTGGAGGGAACCATCCCAAAGGTTCTAGGACCATAGATTCTTCCCCGATGCTCCCCTAGGTGCCCAGTGGCCATCCCCAGGAGCACAGATGATGCATTGGGCCAGGCCTTGAGGGCAGGGGCTCTGATGCTGACAGCTCATCCCGCCCAGTGCACCTCTGGACTAAGGCAGGCTGGGATCCCTGGCAAGCCAGAGGGAGCCACCCCACGCAGGCTGCCCTGACTCTCCCCCCACTCACCAGCCCCGCGCTCACTGGCGGGCAGCCTTGGGCACAGTGGCACTCTGGCTGAGCCACAATTTTATCATCTTTAAGATGGGGCAGTAATGCTAACCTTCTAAGGCCACTGCAAAGAGTCAATTAGGCAAGGCTCATAGGCTGGCTGGCATGGCCCTGGGCACGTGGGAGGCTCTCAGTCAAAGGGGACTGGAATGATCACCACTGGGAGGTCACTGGCCCCCAATCGTAGGAGCTGCTCTGTCGGCAGGAATCGGGGAATGTGGGCAGGCTGGTGGTTTTGCGGGCCCTCTACCTGCTCAAGTCAAGTTTGGGTGGTGCAACTAGAACTAACCCCCCCCACTGCCGTCCCCGCCTGCCGACTTCTAAGCGCCTCCATGCTGTGCTGGTGGCGGAGAGGCGGAGCCCATCTGGCTGTGGCCGTACCTGGTAGTTACACTCAGGGTCAAGGCAGTGGTAGTGCTCGCGGTACTGGTAGGCACAGTGGATGTGGCCACAGTGCTGGCTGCCCGAGAACCTGGAGGGAGGAGGGGTGGGGTCAGGGCCCTGCTGTGGGTGACAGTCCCAGCCCCAGCCCCAGCCCCAGCCCCAGGGAGGACTCTTCGGGCCCTGTATGGGATGCAGAGGGGAGGTGAAGTTGCAGAGGCCCAGGCAAGTGACTGGGCCTGGCGGGAATCCCAGGCCCATTGAGGCAAAGAGGCCTGGCCCCAAGAAAGGGGCAGGACAACACTGAGGTGGCCAAAAGTCAAAGTAGGGGGAGACAGATGGGGCCCGAGCCCTGGGATGGAAGGGAAGGCAGGCGCCCCCTCGGCTGCCCACCTGTCTTTTCTGCAGGGGCTACCTGCCCCACTCCCAGCCCGCCCAGTTCTGGCCAGGTGCAGAGACCCTGGCTGGGCCAGCCGGGCTCTGATGCTGAGAGGTGTTAAAGGGCTCTCTCTGTCCTGGGCTTTTCCTGACACTTGAAACAGTGCAGAGCTATGAATTTTTAAAGCACAGCATCTGTTTGGCTTCCTACAGCAACGAGCTCACTCTCCAGCCGCCGCCGCCACCGCCAGGAACCTGTGCTGCCTCCCAGGAAACCCGTCCTCCTCCAGGCCCCAGGGCCGCTGGGACGTGGCTCCCACAGCCTCGGTGACGGCCGGCCGTGGGGAGGCCACTCTGGAGAGGCCACACCATGACGACTGTGGAGAAGGGTGTGACTCAGCCCGCCTGTACCCCTCCAAGACTGAAGTGAGATTGCAGGAGACACAGAGAGAAACCCCATACTGTAATGGGAAAACCACGTGCAAACAAATATTTAGGCTGAAGTGGCCAAAAGGGCCATCTGCGGAGGCACTAATAATAATGGTAATAATAATACCACAGAGGAGACAGCACGGGGCAGAGCTGAAGACAGAGTGGGACAGGGGGGCGGAGACAGTGGGATGGGGGTGGACAGAGACAGAGCAGGACAGGGGATCGGAGACAGAGTGGGACGTGGAGGCGGAGAGACAGAGCGGGCGGGAGGAACCTGGAAGATCTGCGGACAGACAGGCGCCAGCCGCTGGGTGCTGCCCCATCAGAGGGCAGGCGGTGGGGGGGTGGGGGCGGGGGGTGTTATTTGTGTGATTTGGGGGAATCTGTTGAGGCAAAGGCTCTTCACTGCCAATCCCACTGCCTTTGGGATGGAAAGGGGTTGGTCTGGAGTCAGGTGGTGTCAGAGCCTCACTGGGGAAGTGCATTGGGCTGTGTCAGAGAGGACGACAGCCCACACCTTCTCTCTCGCTTTCTCTCTCTCTTTTTTTTTTTTTTTTTAAAGAGATAGGGTCTCACTCTGTTGCCCAGGATGATCTCAAACTCCTGGCCTCAAGTGATCCTCCCATCTTGGCCTCCCACAGTGCTGGGATTACAGGCATGAGCCACTGCACCTGGCCTGCCTCTACCTTCCCAGCCCTGACAGTTTCACGGTGGCCTGCACCCTACTCAAGGCTCTGTGTGACAGCAGGACCCAGGCAAGCTGGGGGAGCTGCACTCACCTGTGGCCAGGCCCTGCGTCGGGACCCCGGCCCTAACTGGGGGCACAGGCTGCTGAGGGAATGTGTGGCCTGGACTACACAGAGCGGAGGGAGGCTCCCAAACGGGCGTGCAGGGCAGCCCTCGGTGCGGTGGAGGGACCGAAGTGGATGGGGATGGGAGGAGGCAGCTACCTTGGCCCTAGAGGTCAGATATCAAACGAATGGCCTCAGAGTGCCCGGTCAGTCCTGGCCCCCCACCTTCTCTCCACGGCAGGCTCCTCCCCAGGGGCCTACCTGGCAATATATTTCTGGTAAATGTTTACATCTTCAGTGACGGCTGGTTTATCTGTGGGCAGTCCGTTCCTGGCAAGAGACACACAGGGCACAGCCGGTGAGCAGATGGGGCAGCCTCGTGTTACAGGGGCATCTGGTGGGCAGCCCCTGCCCTGAGGCCCCAGCCCCTCTGCTCTGCTCTGCAGTGTCCGAGGCACCCACGGTGGGACTGAGGACATCCCTGGCAGAAGCTGGCCAGAGGTTCAACGAGCCCAACTCTGGGAGGGCAGTGCCATCTCGTGCAGGTGGGGCTGCAGCCCCCTTGGGCACGGGCTGGCAAGCCACAGAAGCCCGGGCTCGGCACCCAGCATTCAGGGAGCATCAGGAGGCCGCTGGCTGAGGGGCACCAGGCCTCCCAACAGGGAGGGATTCGAGGTGGGGGCAGGCAGCTGGGCAGGGGAAGTGTATCCTTCCCCAGGCAGCAGGGGCCGCCCTGATCTGCTCCAAGGCATGCAGCCCCCTGGGGTCCGGGAGCCCCCCCAGGGTTCAGGAGGAGCTCTGGGGAAGGGTCTCGCTCAGCCCCACACCATCCACTACTTGACTACCCAGGCCGTTCCCCTGCCCATGGGTTCAGGCTGTAAGGGTGTATGCACCTAACCCCGGTCACTACCTTTGCTTCCTGCCTCCCCCAGGGCCCAGGCTCTGAGCCCAGGAGCCAGGGCCACCAGCATGGACCCAGCATCCCCAGCCAGGGTGGCGCCTTCTCAGCCAACCACAGGCCTGCATTCAGCACCCATGGCAGCAGGTAGAGAAAGCCTGTCATGGGCAGATGGGGTGTGCTGTCATGGGCAGTCCCGGTGTGCATGCTAGCAAAAGGCAGAGCACACTTGTGCCTGGGAGTGTGGGCGTGTGTGGGTGGCGTGTGTGGGGGGCGTGTGCGAGGTGCACGCGCAGGTCCAGGAGCGGGGGGGCGCTGCAGGAGGGCTCACGCATGGTTCTGTAGGTGCAAGAGTGAATGTGAGTGCGGCGCGCACCTGTGTGTGTGGAAGCGCATGGATGGGAGCCTGAGTGTGCACGCGCCTGGATGCACAGTGGATGTGTATAAGGTGTGAGCGGCAGGTGTGTCCTCAAGCACGGGCAACCCTGGTGAGGAAGGAGGCCTCCTGTCTAGTCTGGCTCCTGGCTCTGGGCATTGTGGGGTGGGGAGCGCCTTACTTGACAGTGGAGACGGTCCCCGTGGTGATGGAGTCTGTTTTGGAGAAGGTTGACTTCAGGTACTCGGGAGTGTTGAAGGACAGGGAGGCAGGAGGCTCTGGCCCTGGCCCGGGGGCGCTGGGGGCACTGGGCACGCTGGCGAGGGGTGCGGGAGCCAGGCTGGGGGTGGGCGGAACCTTGGCGGGGCCTGGCTTCTGGATGCCCCGGACGTCGTACTTGGAAGGGCGCCCCACCTTGCCTGTCTTGAAGGCGATGGCCCCGCCCATGTCGGGGCTGCCCTCCCCGGGTTTGAAGAGGTGCAGGTACTTGACATTCTCCAGGTCGTACTTGGATGGCTTCTTGTAGGTGCTCCCGTTCTGGGGCCGCAGATTCTCGCCGGTCTTCAGTTTTTGGATGAAGAAGTCGTACTTGGAGGCCCGGGCTACCAGGTTCTGCATCTGGACACTGCTGTGCGACGGCAGGGGCAGGATGGTGGCCTTGGTCTCCAGGTGGGCCGTGCTGCTGGGCAGCCGCAGGCCGGGCAGGGTGCCCACCACCTCCTTGCCCACCCGCTCCTCGGTCTTGGTGCTGGGGGCCGGCCAGGAGAGCTGCTCGCCAGCCTTGAGCTTGCGGATGTACTCCTCATACTTAGAGAACCGCGCCCGCTTGCTGAGGGTATCCTCGGAGGTGGGCAGCATGGAGGAGGTGGCTGCCTCCGGGGTGGAGCCCGCGTGCAGCTTCTCAAAGCTGATCTTCCTGGCCAGCTCGTCCCGCGTGTTCTGGTCATCATAGCCAAACATGCCGAGGAACTCGGTCATGGTGGAGGCCGCGTAGTCCCGCAGCGAGGAGGCCTCTCCTGCAGAGGAGGATGGGGGCGCATCACCTCTGGGAGGGAGTGGGAGGGACAGGAGGTCCCCCCACTGGGGGCCCCCACCCATAGAGGGAGGGGGTCAGTGTGGGGAGGGGCGGAGCAGGACACGATCTATGGACGTTTGGCTCACTTGTTAGGTTTTACGACTCTTAAATTAATTTGTTTTAAAAAAAAGTAATTAATACTGGGGTAAAATAAAACGAGTTCATCAATGCCAGGAAAATCAATTTCCTAAATGTTCTGGCCGATGGCTTTTCAGTACATTAAACAAAGTTTCATAAATGTCTCCGCTCTCTCGCCTTGGCCTAATATGAAAGAGAAGTCATTTTACTGGAAGTAAGGCCAGATCCCAACCTGCCTCCCAGGACAGGGAGCGGCAAGAACCGGGGACAGGTAGGGACGTGGGCCAGTGGGCAGCTGGGTGGGAGCCCAGGGGTGGGGAAGATGCTCTGGCCGGGGTCGGGGTGGGCCTGGCTGGAGGACCTCCCTTGACCCCACAAATGGATCCCCTGGGCAGATGAAGGGTCCACTACAAGCCTTCCTAGGACCTGGCCTCTTGGCCTCCCCACACCTTCCCAGGTGCTGAGGGTCCCTGACAACACAGCTCAGCCAGGGGCGCAGGTGTGTGGATGTGCCCCTGGCCTGTGACATAGGACCTGGACACGTCCTCCAACCCCCTGGCCTCCTCCAGTCACTTGCAGTCACACAAGGTTGGGCCACCCGGGGAGGGCAGGAGTCCGGGCAGGGCCTGAGTGCAGCCTCCTTACTGTGGCCACCCCGGGCACACCAGGAAGCCTGGAGCCACCTCCCCACAGTGACATACACACACATTCTCACATATCAACACACACTCACACACACAAACCCACACACAGTCACATGCACATGATCCCATACAACACACACATGCATTCTCACACACACACACACGGTCACATGCACACAATCACATACAACACACACATGCATTCTCAAACACACACACAGTGACATTCACACGATCACATACAACACACACATGCATTCTCAAACACACACACCCAACACGGTCACATTCACACAATCACATACAACACACACATGCATTCTCAAACACACACACGGTCACATTCACACGATCACATACAACACACACATGCATTCTCAAACACACCTACACAGTCACATGCACACACACACAAAACATACACATGCATTCTCATACTCTCACCCACAGTCACATGCATTCACAACACACACATCCATTCTCACACACACACCCACAGTCACATGTACACAATCACATACAACACACACATGCATTCTCATACACTCTTACACAGTCACATGCAATCACATACAACACACATATGCATTCTCATACACTCTCACACACCCACAGTCGCATGCACTCATACGCCATCACATACACACTCACATAAACCCAGTTAATTACATGCACACAATCACATACAACACACACATGCATTCTCATACACTCTCACACACCCACATTCTCACAATCACCTATAACACACACGCATTCTCACACACACCCTACACAGTTACATGCACACAATGACATACAACGCACACATGCATTCGCATACACTCACACACCTACACACAGTCACAACACACACATGCATTCTCATACACTCTCATATCCCCACGCACAGTCACATGCAATCACATAAAACACACACATACATTGACACCCACCCACCCCCACACACAGTCACATGCTCACAATCACATACAACACACACATACATTGACACCCACCCACCCCCACACACAGTCACATGCTCACAATCACATACAACACACATGTGCATTCTCATACTTTCACACCCACACACCCAATCACGTGCATACAATCACATACAATACACACATGCCTTATTACACACTCTCACCCGCACATACGCACAGTCATATGCACACACATGCCATCACATACATAAACCCACACACGGTCACATGCACACAGTCACACACAACACACATGCAATCACACACACTCTACACACCCAGTCATGTGCTCACAATCACACACACAATCACACACACTCTCACATACATCCAGACACGCAGTCACATAAAACTCATATACTTGCTCACCCCCACACAGTCACATGCAGACTCTCACATAAAACACACATACCCAGACACAACACACACACTCATACAGACTCACAGACACCACACACTCACACACCTCACAGACTCTTGCGCTCACACTCGGGCTCACCAGCTCCCATCCCTAGCCGCCTTCCTGCCTCTGCAGACATACAGGTACACAACCCCCTGAACCCCTGCCCTGGGTCTCTCGGAATGAGGGAGAAGGCGGTCAGTCCCAGGCTAATTCTGAGCTGTTCTTGCGGACCCACCTCTTCCGCACATGCCCCACCCCATGGCCGAGCCGTGACCCCAGTGCACACGCACACCTGCCCCTTCACTGCCCGTGTGCTACATGCCTCCCGTGTGCCATGCCCTGCATCAGGGTTAGGTGCACCCGCGAGACTGAGACCTGCACGGCCCCCGGGGACACCATGTTCTCTCTGCTCATGTGCAAGCCAGCCACGTGGGCACACTTGGGGCGGCAGGACCCCAGGCTGACTACACAGCCAAGGGAAGGCGTGGCTGGGGGGTCTCCTCCCAGGCGAACCTGCCAGGTCTGGGATCCTCAGAGACACCTGGGATGGGGGTCTAGAGGGGCAGGACTGGGCCTGGGGAGGGGAGGACACCTGGCGGGATGTGGAAGGAGAGGCTGTGGGCTCCGGGGAGGGCCTGGGACCCGGCTAGGGGAGGAGAGGACAGTCACAGGCAGCCACCTGGCACCCAGGGTGCACAGAGGGACTCAAGAAACCAAAAGACAGCTGTTCCCCTGGGGCGGGGCTGGCGGGTCAGCCGCTGTCCTGACCTCAAGCTACACAGGGTTGGGGGGCCCAGCTAGGGAGGAGTGGGCTCTGGCTGCTGGATTCAGTGGCTCAGGGACCAGGGAAAGGGGCTAAAAATAGCTGGAGGCAGCTGAGCCCTCGCTATATATGGCAGAGAAACAGGCTTCGAAGGGCAGGCAGCTTGCACAGGGAGGGGACCAGGCAGGGGTCCCTGAGGGGGCCCACAGGCCTGCATGGCCGAGCCCAGGGCCCAGAGAAGGTGGCTTGGGGGCCGAGCCCACAGAGGCAGCCAAGGCTCCGCTGTCTGTGTCCTCCAGCGCTCAGCGCTGAGTAGGCAGTCCCAGTGTCGGGCTGAGGGGGCGAGGCCTGGATCCCTGAGGCCATTGGCAGTTCCAGGCCCGCCTCTGCCAGCCCCGCTCTCCACTCCTCTGGGGGAAGGAGGCAGGGGCTGAGGCCCACTCCGCTCCCCGTCAGCTGCGGGCAGAGCTGGCCTGGGTGGGGGTGTGGAGGGGACGGTGGCCCTTGTCGCGTTCCTCTCCTCTCCTCTCCTCAGGCCCAGCACAATCACCTTGTGTCTGGCAACGGCAAGGGCTTTTCCTATCAGAGGAAACTGAAGGTCACACTTTTCCTCATTGATCTCGCAATGTTTGTTAATTACTCTGTCACTGATGTGGCGAAGGATAATTAAACAGCTCTGTTTATATCTTACATGCATAATTATGTGGCTGCGCAGGGCTCCCCGCACGGGGAGGAGATGCACCCCTTGCTGCAGGGGAAGGGCTAGGGGAGCGGGCAGGGGAGGCGCAGGGCACCGGGCACAAGGCTGGGAAGGAGGCCGGGGGCAGAGAGAAGGCCCAGACCTGGGGGCTGTGGTCCTGGCGACCCCCTTGCCTGCTGGAACCCCCGGCCCACCCTCCCCTGAGCAGAAGGCGCGCAGGGCTGCTCTCGATCCCCAGGACATGGACATGGAGACACCAGCAGAGCAGGGCCTCAGTGCCTCGTGGGAGAGAGGTCAGCCAGGGGACCGTGGCCGGGGCAGCTGGCTGTAAGAGGATACGCTGGCCGGGCTGGCAATCCATGTGGCCCTGAGACGTCCTGCTGGGAGGGCCAGGGACAGCGGTGTAGGGAAGGAAGAGGAGGCCAAGGGGAGTGGCAGGAGAACAAAGCTTGTCCTGGGCTCCTCCGAGAAAGCTCCGTAAGTAGCAGAATGTGCAGACAGCAGGCTCACAGGCTCATGCCGTTGACCGCTGCGCCCCTCTTGTGCCAGGTACTGTGCCCGGTAAGCTCAGGCCTCACAGGTGTGTGTAAAGAGTCACCTGCCCACCATCTGTCCAGCCATCTATCCCATCCGTCTGTCTATCCACCCACCCGTCTATCCCTCCCTCCCTCCCTCCCCACCTGTCCACCCCTCTGCCTGTGGTTTCTTGAAGACCCACTGTGTGTGGGGCAGCTGCAGCCCTTCCCTTCTCACCTGGGGTGCCCCTCCCCGTCCTAGTCTCTCCCACTCCAGGAGCCCTCCCTGGGTGGGATGAGGGGCCGGTATTTAGAGCAGGAGTGAGGAGTCGGGTGTGCTTACCAGACACACTGCCCCTTCCCCACTGGCCTCCCTGTCCTGGCCTTCAGCCTCCCTTCGAAGGCCAGGCACCCACCTGAAGCCTGCCTGGTGCTGGGGCCGCTGTCCTCCTTGGAGGCTGCCCCGTCCGAATCCTTCTCCTCCAGGGCACCGCCGTCCTTGGAGGGCTCCTCCGCGTGGTCTTCCTCATCGCTGCACCCCTGGGGCTGCACCATGTAGACACCCTCGGGAGGCAGCTCCAGGCCCTCGCGGGCAATCCGCCCCAACACGGGTGTGGGTGCCGGCTCCTCGCTGTACTCCCCGTTCACCCACTTCTCGATCACTGCCCGTCTCTTGTCTTCCTCGCTGCGGGGGGCCCGGGCTGCCCCAGACTCAGGGCCACTGCGCTCTTGGTCCCGGGGCTGCGATGGGCTGCCCTCCGTGTGGGAGCCGGCGTCAGCTCGCTTCTCCACCACCACCTGGCGGCTCAGCTTGGCGCAGATGGCGTTCAGCTTCAGGCCACCCTTGCGTTTGGGCGCCATGGCGGGCTTGCCTGCAGGCGGGTCCGTGCACCGGGTGCCCTCAGCTGCAGGGATGGAGGAGAGCACGGAGGTCAGAGGCGTGCAAGGCCAAGAACAACCCACCCTCCCGAACAGCCCTGCATCCCCCAAGCTGCAGGCCTCCCCCATTGACCACAGTGCCATCAAACTGCCCTGAGACTGCCTGGCATGTGTCTATCTCCCCCACTAGTCTATGAGCTCCGTGGCCATGCTTGAGAATCACTCTACTTTCTGAGCCTGGCAGGGTGCCTGGCACAGAGTAGGTAGTTCAAGAACTAGTCTGTAAATGAACAAATGAATGAATGAATGCCTCTTCAACTACAAGGGGCGCCCAGGTCCTGGAGGCATTTCCTAGGCTTGCTGGGCCCTGGGAGGGGGTGTGCCCTTTGACACACAAGGAAACTGAGGCCCAGGGAGGTTAAGGAGCCGGCTATGCGGTCAGGCTGTCAAGGGACAGCGTGGCATTCCTGGCAGCTTGTTCCGCTTGGGAGCGTCCTGCCTTACCACACGTTCCTGGGGAGGAGTCACAGAGAGCCAGGGACCAGCTTGTGCCAGCCTCTTGCCTCACTGTCCCGGCAGCACTTGGCTGGCACCCTCCCACCCGAGCACGTCAGCCCCTGGCGGCTCCTCTGCCAGGCCAGGTCCCTGGGCCCTACCTGACTCCAACCCTGCTCAGCAGAGAGCAGAGATCTCCTTTTCTCCCAGCCACTCAGGACCCTCCCGAAGGCCTCCGTGTTCCTCAGTCTCCTCCCTGCCTCAGGGTCTTCTCCAGCCCTTGCCAGCCCCCTCTTGGCCTCTCTGTCCATTTCCTGTTGCCACTCCCTTCCCCAAGCCTCAGTCAGAGCCATCCAAGTGGAGTTCCTCATGGCACTTCCTAGGGCCACTTGTCCCTATCCTAGGACCTTGCTCCCCAGCCTCGGCCAGCCTCTGCAGCCCCGGAAGGCCTGGCCAGCCCACTTCCCAGCCCCCAGGAGCTCCAGCAGGTGCAGGGTGGGATCGCTTAGGTCCCTCACGGAACGCCCCGAAGCGCCGGTCACAGCACCTAATCCCCGAATGTGACAGCCCGACACACACAGCCGGAAGGAAGCCCTCATGAGGCGACTTGAGAGCCAGCGACCTCCCTCGCGGCCGCATAGCCCAAACTCTGTCCCTGATAGGGCACCGAGGGTCCTGGGGGGGCATACGGCAAGCCCACCCACCACACAGCCTGGGACCTGCCACAAAGGCTGGCGAGGGTGGACACACACACACGCACACACACGCGTGCACACACAGCGCAGCCACATGGAACTGTCTGTCTGTCCGTCCATTTAGTGAGCTCCTTCTGTGGGCCAGACCCTGTGGTGGGGCTTGGGGACAGCGCAGTGGCCACAGCAGCAGGGGCTCGGCTCACACTCACTGTGTACAAAACAAAATGTGCCTCTCCATGGCCCTCACGGGAGGAATGGGCGTGTCAGAGTCTCCACATAGGCGGGAAGGCTGAGGGCAGGGCCCCCCGGCTCCATGGTCAGAAGGGGCTTCACTCTAATGATCACCCCCTGCCAACTTTCCACATGCCAGGAAACCCGATGAGAGGCCTACCCAGGCGGGAATGGCAATACCTGGGTCCACCCAGGGGCCGCATCCCTGAGGTGGACTTGACTCATACGCACAGATAACCGTCCCCTGATAGACACAGTGCCTGGCCGTCCCAGCCAGATCCTTCCCTTGTAGCCAGTGGCCAGTACGGATGGCTCACTTGGCCCAGACGAGACAGGGTGACTCTAGCCCAGCCAGGCCCACTGCCAGAGAAGGGTCTTCTCAGCCCACTCCCAGGCCTTCCAGTCCTGTGACCCTGGCTTCAGGGCCTTAGACACTTGCCCAAGCCGATGCCCACTCTACCCAGGTTCGTCCACATCTCCAAGTCTGTGCCACCCACACCCAAGACCCCAAGCACGATGCGGGGCCCCTCTCGAAGTTCTGAGACGGGGCCTCCTCTTCACAGCATCCCACTCGACCTCGGAGCTGCCCAGCAGGTTCTGTGACGCCGGGTGTCCTCCAACAGGCCTCCGGGGAAGCGGGCCTCACCTGGTCCCCTCATCCCTTGCCCTGGATGGGGAAGGGAAGGGGGGAGTGGGGGAGCCTGCACTATTTTTACCAGGAGGTAAGCAGCCAAGTGTGGATGGCAGACAGCAAATGAATCTGTAAATATTTATCCTAAGGAAGAGGGAAGCAGAAGCTCCCAGGGCCGCACTTGCTGCTGGTGACGCCCCCTCCCCGGGCCCCCACCCATCCTGGAGCCTCCCCGCACTTTGGCCCACCCAGCCCAGCCCACCTTCTCCCCATCTCGGCTGTGTGCCTGGCTCAGTCCCTGCCCGGGCCCCCACCAGCTGCGGTGCAGCTGTGTACCCAGGACCCGCCCCCAGCCCCAGGCCCCTTTGCTCCTGCCGACTCCCCCGGCACCTGCCCTCCAGCTGCCGCGCTGCCCCAGCCCACCTGCCTTCCAGATGCTGCCCTCCCTCTCCCTCTCTTGCTGGTCCCAGGGGTGGAGGTGGGAGGCGTGTGGGCCGGGGACACAGGGGCAGGAGGCAGAGGTAGGGCTTAGGTTTGTAAGTGCGAGCGCGTGTGAGGCTGGGCGGCGGGAACAGGGGTGCGTTGGAGCTGAGGTCTAAGCTTTCCGCCGCCTTCCGGCCCAGGGCCCTGGGATCCATAGACGATCCGCCCCCCACCCCGCTGTGGTCTGACCCCAGACTCCTGTCCATGTAAACATTCCTCTGACTTTCTTCCCTAAAATATAAACGCCGTGGCCAGGCCTCAATGGAAGGAAGCCATCCGTCCCCGGCCCTGTCACTGCCCCTTTCATCTCCTTCCCGCCACCAGCCTGCCCGCTGCTCTATTTACACTGGACACTTCCTCTGGGAACAATACTGCCCAGGAGGCAGGCTTGGGCCAGAGGGTGGGAAGGCGAGGGGACTCCTGCTCTGCTTCCCCAGAGACGGGAGAGGCGAGGGGAGGGGCTGCCGAGGTGGGCTGGGCCGGGGCCTGGGACCCACACACAGTCAGAGCCCACTCTCTGCTGGTGGCGGTGCTCTTGGCCTCCAGCCTCTGGCCCCACGGGCTCTGGCGCAGCACCAGGGTATGGCCTAGCCTCTGGGGTCAGGGAGTTGGGAGCTCACGGCGGAGCTCTGCCCTGCGCTAGCTCTGGCCCTGGGCAAGATTTTTCCCTGTAGAAAGGCGGCCAGGCTGTTAGGTGAGAGAGGGCACCTGTCTGTGCCAAGCACAGGGCCTAGCAGGGATGAACCTGGGAAAAAGCAGCTGAGCCCTGGGAGGGCCACCAGGCAGATGTGGTGCCACACGTGAGCTTGAGATTCCAAGGCTGAGAAACCTTACCTGGCCTGGAAGAGGCAGGGGACAGAGAAGAGGCCAGAGGTCTGGGGCAGGGGCGGGCTGGCCTCTCAGCCCCTCCTCGGATTCCTAGGTTCGGGACCTTCCCTCTCAGGGCGCCACGAGCAGCAGGTCTCCCCGCAGGTCTCTGAGCTGAGGAGACCCTGCACAGGGTTGGGGAAAACGGGCATGGACTGGACCGTCCACCTTTCCGGGCACTAAGGCATGACTTGTAACGGCCCAGCGGAGCCGGCACTGTCATTGTCCCATTTCATAGAGGAGGAGGCTGTAGACACTCCAGAGCCCAAGCTCACCCTGGCCAGGAGCTCCCGAAGGCTGGGACTTGGCCCCATCCCCATTAGGGCCCCTAAGCCGGCCCTAGGAAATCCCAGGCCTCTCTGCGGGGACTCCTTCCCCTGCCCCGTCCCCTCCTCACCCTCGCTTCCTGTTCCCATAACACGGAGCCCCTTAAAGTGTTAACTGCGATGGGTAAAATGGTGCAGCAGATTGCTACAATAAATAATTTACTGATATTTATAAATATTCAAATCAGCCGGCTTCAGAAATCAAATGAAGGGAGGGCCTCGGGAGAAGGCCCCGTTATGGCATGAATCTCATCACCCCCTCCGTAGGCGGGGGCAGGCCAGGGCTCCTGCCAGCTCTGGGTGAGAGGGGCGTTCCTGTAGCTGCACCGCATCC
This sequence comes from Homo sapiens, assembly GCF_000001405.40. Classification (NCBI taxonomy): domain Eukaryota; kingdom Metazoa; phylum Chordata; class Mammalia; order Primates; family Hominidae; genus Homo; species Homo sapiens. The sequence continues at coordinate 10,669,608 of NC_000001.11, forward strand.
CCAGTCCCCTGATCTCACTGCTCTCTGGAGGTAGCCTGCTCACCTGGTCAGGGCCAGGCCCCCTCCCGCAGGCATCCTGGGTTCAAGGGGAGGAGAGGCTGCAGTGCCCACCGCCCATGGCCCTGGGTCTCAGAGTTGCTTGTCCTGCCTCAACGGTGGGTGGGTGGGGGTCTGTCCCAGGGGGCCGGGCAGGCCTGGCAGCCCCTCCCCAGCCGTGAGTAATGTGTTCTGGGGCCGGGCTGCCTGTCAGCTCCCAGGCTCCGGGTGCTTTATGGGCTCTGCTTGGTGGCTCTGAACTCCCTGGTAGGAAATAAAGTTCTCCCTGCGCGTCCCTTCTAAACATTTCACTCAGTGGAAACGGTGTTCAAGAAAAATGAGGACATATTTCTTCCTAAGGATGCAGTATCCCCTTTGGGCGGCCTAATGCCCGCTGTATATCAGGAGGTGGGGAGGCAGGGGCCAGGAACCAGACCCCTGGGTTGGGGGTGGGCTGGGGCCCTGCCTTCCCACTGCCAGGCAGCTCGGGGGCCACTCTGGTAGCTGCCCTGGGCCATGGTGTCTGGGGCCATAGAGCAGCTGGCATCCTCTGAGCACCTCGTCTGTGCTGGGTGCCTTACAGTGCCACCTTGGTGATGCCCCCAGGATCTCCACATGGTCGGCTGTCCTGTCCATTCCCACATAAGGAAGCAAAGGCCGCGAGGCTGGTAGCTGCCCACAGTCAGTGCTGGAGCCCAACTGCCACCAGGCTCAGATGCCCAAGGTCATAATCTTCAACCCCACCTGTGTCCCCCACAGCCTCCCGCCTAGGCATCCTGGAGTCAGGGGCGGGCGGCTGCCGGGGCTTCCACCCTGCCATTTACTTCCGAACTTGCAGCTCACAGGCCACAAGCCCCAGTTTTGGGGTGCTGTGCTGGTGTCCTTTCAACAACCTCTCTCTTGAGTACCGTGTACAGACCAGACCCTGGGCTGACTCCTCAGGCTATGATGTGGGCACACAGGCAGCCCTGGCTCCTGTGCCGCGGATCCTCAGTTCAGACTTGGGAATGAACACTTCAAAGCCAGTACAAGAGCCATCTCTGTAGTGGGCATCAGAGGTGCCACAGGAGTGGCAGGTCTGGAGGCCAGCAAGGGCCAGGAAGGGCCCAGGCATCTACCCCTCCTCCCTCCTCTACCTCACAGCCCATTTCCGCCTGAACGGTTCCTTCCCCATCCTTCAGCTGTGACCCCTCCCCCACCAGCCAGGACCCGTCCCCTCCATCCCCTCCGAGAAGGGAGTCCTTCCCTCTTGGACCCAATTCTATCCCCAGCTCCAAACAGAAGGGCCTCTAAGTTCTGTGGGAGGAATGGTTGCTGCTCCCTAGGGGTTCAGCCAGGGCCCGAGGGGTTCAGCCGGGTCCCCTGGCCCTCAACAGCTCCAACTTGGGTGGGGGGCATGCTTGGCCACTGGGCCCTAGCTTGCCCCACTTTGTTTATTTATTTATTATGATTTTTTTAGTCCAGTTAAAAGGTTCGCTATCCAGACGCGTCTAAGTGGCCTCACTTAGCGTAAGTAACTCTATAAATCAGGGGAACTGTTAGCATCCACCGCACAGGCTGGCTATCAATCTCCCCCAGGTCACAGCCAAACAGGAAGGGGAGAAAAAAGAGAGTTACCACCCAGGGGAGATTTAAAACACACACACTGAGCAAACGCGCACAGACCGCGTGCATGCCTGTGCGCGCGCACACACGCTCGGATGCCTGTGTTTGTACAATCCCGTTATATTCACATGTGCACATGTGGAATCTCAGAGTGCTGCGTGTGGTCGTGGTAACAGAACACAAACATGGCTCCTGCAGCCATGAGGGGAGACAGATGTGAGGGAAGGGGCTTCGGGTGAGCCTAGGACCCCCAGGGCTGGGCTGACTCTCAGTGCCTGAGCTGCCCTGCTCCGGGCAAGTGTCTCTGGAGGGCAGTGGAAGGGGTCTGATTGGTCCCCTCCCCTCTCTGTGGCCCCCACCTCTGCCAAACCCAAAGGGCCCAAGCTTTTCCCTTTCCCAGCCCCAGGTGGGCACTTGGCAGGGGGGTGGAGCCTGGAAAAGGAGGCAGGAGGCTGTAAGCTGTGGGCCACCGCAGCGGAGCATGATGTCACCTCGGGTCCTTACTCGCTATGCCCGAGGCTGGCACACCCCAGATGCGGCACTGGGCTCAGGAAAGGCAGCATCATCTAAATGGGTGGCCAAATGCCATGCAGTGCACTGGAGGGTGCGAGGCTAGGATGATGGCAGAAACACCCTGCCTTTTCACGGGAGCAGGTGTGGCTGGCTGGGTGTCCACACAGCCTGGACTGCCCTGGAGAGGCCCCAGACCTAGACAGCCCCACAAGCTGTGCCATGCCAGAGACCGGAGTGGGAGAGGCGGCTCCTGGCATCTGCTCTAGGTCCCAGAGACGGACATGGGCAAGGCAGCCCGAGGTGGGGGACCTGCCCAGGCCACCTCCTTTCCCTGCTTGCCCGAGAGGCCTCCCCGGCTCACCCGCCCGCCGCATCTCCCCATGAACTCTATTTCTCTTTCCTCTCTGAAAACAACTGAGCTGTAAATACTGTTTAACCTTCTCCCCCCTCCCCCCGCCACCCCCTCCCCTCCGCACTATAAAAACACAAATATGCCATAACTCAGCCGCCCGGCCGCCCAGCCTCCAACATGCCCCGCGCCCGGGCCTCTCAGGAAGGTCATTACAAACGACTTTCCGATTCACTGCTCCTGAAATAATTTTGTGTATTAAAACCTGAATCTGCACTTTCTGGGGCCGAAAGCCTCGCTTAATTATGGCGGGTGTCCTTGGGACGGACAGTGATCCTTCACTCGCCAGCCCGCGCTCCAGCCCTCCGCCCGCCGGCCCGCCCCCCTCCCCGGGCCCAATCTGTTTTCAAAGTGTGTCTGTCCTTTATTAAATTGTTTTCTTTTCCACATTATCAGTTGCCATGGAGACCTCATCTCTCGGATTATTTGAATTTCATTATATCTATTGATTTGGGAGCATTTCATCTTTTTTATTGTTTTTCTGTCAATTTTCAAAACGAATAACCATCTAATTTGCGTCAGTGCTGATTATGTTTGTCCCTCAATAGAGGTCGGCAGCTGCGCTGGGGAAACAAATCAATGAAAAACCATCATAAAACTCCCCACTCCAGTCTCCAGGATGTGTGGGTGACATTCCACGCCTGCGAGAGACACACTCATCAGCTCCAACTTCGGCGACGGTGGCGGCGGCTCCGTTCCACGTCCGCCTCCTTTGGCCTTAATATTTAATTTTGCGATTTGGGGCATTATTAGTGGTGTTTTTATTAGCGCGTGTGCCTGTGAGTGTTTGGAGGTGGGCTGGCGGTTCCATTAATTTGTGGGTGAGGCAGGGAAGCCCCAGAGGAAGGCACGGTGGACGGCGTTGGGGTGCAGTGGCGAGTGGAGAAAAGAGGGGAAAAGCTCCGAGGGGGGCGGGAGCCTGGGGACCGGGAGGGCCCTGCGGAGGGGCTGGAAAAGGGGGACCGAGTGAAGGGGAGGAAAAGAGGGAATTCAAATTGCTTACTTTGTTGGTTTTTTTAAATAATTTATGCAATTTTAAGCATTTATGTATAAATTTTTTAATAAGCCACCCTGGAGCAGGATGGCCATTAACATCCAACGTCCTTCTGTCCAATGGGCTGGCGGAGAGGATCAATTTCTGAGAGTACTTTCCCTTTTTTATGACATGATAAAATGCTTTTAAAGCAACTTACACAAATATGGAAATTTTTTTTCGTCCCCTCTCCCTTCGCCTAACAGCCTTCTTATCCGCCAGGGAGGGGGAGGTTGTGTGTGTGCACACACGCGCGTGCACGCACACACACTCTCTCGCACTCTTGTGCTCACGCTGCCTCTCTCCTGCTGGGGAGGGGGGCTGAGGGGGCTGGCAGGGAGACAGCCCCAGTTCTAACTGGAACTGGCCGCCTGTCCTTCTAACAAGGGCATAAACTTTCATTACCCATGCACGCAGTCAAAGACAATTTAGGGAAACGCGCTGCTTGGAAAAGGAAAACCTCAGCGATTCGTGGCCCATGCTGCTGCCACCATCTGGGGGGCTCTCACCTCCAGCTCTAGGGAACCCGGTCCCTGAACCTCTGGCCCTGCCAGCAGGAGGTGGGGCGAGGGCAGGACAGCTTCCATGTGGACCCTCCGTGGGCAGGAGAGCCCAGAGAGTAAGGGTCTCCTCCTTGGCTCAACAGGACCATCCATGCCTCGGGCTGAGGCCAGGCGCCCTGGGTCTTGCCCTCCTTGCCCTCTCTGGATGGCCTGTACTAACCCCAACCAGGGCTAGCCCTTGAGGGCAAGTGCAGGCCTCTGTCATCCCTGCCACCGCAGTGCCTGGATCAGAGCAGAAGCTCAGCTATGCAGACGGACAGACTGACAGATGGACTGAATGGCGACAAGGCAGGGAAACAGGCCCTAAGGTATCCTGAGGTGCCTGTAGGGGCCCCACAGATGCTGGGGCAAGATGCCCTCCCCAGGTGCCCCTGCACTAGAAGCAGCTCTGGTGCAGAAGTGCCTCTTCCTACAGAGTCAGGGCATTGGCCACCATCACCCCTACCTGGGCATGAGCCCCTGACTTCCCCGGAGATGGGAAGACCTTCTAAGAGGAGGGCCAGTGCCTCCAGGTCTCAGGGTGACCCTGCCTCACCTGCCTGCTCCCTCTCCTGATGAAGGCAAAGAGGAACCTGAGAGATGCCCGGCCCAAGCCCCCACCAGCCGACGCAGACAGTCCTGAATCCAGCGTGGGGTCCGAGCCTTCCCCGGCACCGCTGCTGCGGGAGGGCGTCCAGCCCTCTGAGGCCACCGTGGGGCACCTGGGCTTTGGCAACTTCCACATAAGACAAATCGACTCCAGAGACCTGGCCCCTTGGAAAGCTCATCACTTCAGCGTCTTCCCTGCCCTGGGCTCGGGTCCCCAACTGTAACACAGCGTTGCTGAGGGGATGATGTGGGCACACGTCTGGCTGGGGCTGCAGAGCACACGGTGCCTCCCTGATGCTCCACGGTGACTGTGGGCAGAGTCCCCTCCTCGGAGCCGGGAGCACTGCTTCCTGCCTGGTAACTGCAGGGCACCGCGGACCTGGAGTTCAGCCCCGTGTGGCCCTGCTCACCTCTGCCTGGGGATCTGAGAGCTGCCCTAGGCCTCCTGCTCCCATCCCCGCTAAAGCCAACTTCTTCCTGGGCCTCACCTGCCCCAGCCATCCAGGCCCAGTCTGGAGCTGACCAGTGGGCAGCCCAAGAAGGTCCCCATGGGTCCCTGGGCCCTCTGTCGTGGCAGCAGGGGAGCAGCCCTGGCTGCCCCAAGCCCTCCGTGGGGATGCAAGGGGAGCGCCCACCCCTCCTGTTTTTCTGTGCTCAGATACCCCCCGCAACCAACTGTCATTAAAATAACAAGTTTCTGTTACAATCTAAACATTCCCACATCGCATAAAGGGTTATATTACACCCGAGTCACTCCCGGCCCATGTTTGCACAGAAAAGCTCACGGCAGGTCCCCCCTCCTGACGAAGTGACTTATTAAAGTTTAAACAGTAATTAACAGAACAATAAAAATAAAGGGATGTTTGGGGAGTCGTAGCGCACACAGGGTTTTTGGCAGTGCCAGCAGTTTTTCAGTGCCCTGCGCTGGCAGCAAAATGTGACTGTGAAGCCAGTGGGGACAGAGGACGGGGCCAGGGTCGAGCCAGGGAGTCCTGAGGCCTAAAGGGCCAGAAACCCCGAGGCAAGGCTGGCGGGAAGGAATGGGGGTCCTGGGGTGGCAGGGTGGGCACAGTGCGAGCAGGCGGGGTGGTCTGGCATGGGCAGGGAACAGGCCTGGGTGGGGAGGCTTCAAGAGGGGTGAGGCCAGTGCCCAGCTCAGCCTCAGGCACTTCCGGGAGCCCAGTGCCTCGGTCACATCCGGCCAACTCCGCACGGACCTGGCTGGGGGAGGTGCCAGGTCCCCCGACACTGCGGGCATTAGGAGACCCTGCAGTTAATGATTCCTGGGGCTGGACCCCAGCCACTCTGGGCTCCTCTCCCAGTTGGGCAGGTACCCCTACCCCTGCCTCTGGATCCTGTGGCCAGGGCACTATGGGAACTCTCCTGGCCCCTATTAAGCATGGGTAAGGACTCGGGGGCCAGCCAGCCTAGCACATGACCCCCCCCCCACCCCCAACAAAGGGAGAAAGTGGCCAGCTTCCTGGGCCAGGTGGGTCCCCAGCGGCAAAGTCCTCTTTCCCCAAGGTTTGCAGGGAGCTGGCCTGGCAGGCCGGTCCGGGCCAGAGCTGCCTGGGATGGGCAGGGCTAGGCCTGTTACCCTCAGCCTTGCCTCTTCTCCCTCAAGTTCCATCCCAGGGGCTCAGACACCTGCCTGCCAGGGATGGCAGAGACAGTCAGGATGAACCAGGCGCCCAACCCCAGCAGCCAGGGAGGGGCCCCAGGAAGAGGGCGGGGCTCCCCCTGGACCTAGGCCTGCTCAGAGGCTTGGGGGCCAAGGAAGGAGGGACAGCAGGAACCCCTGAGGGTCACACAGAATGTGTGATCTCAGGGTGGTGACAAACCCATGCCAACCAAGTGACAGACACCAAGGCCCTGCTGGACTGGCCCGGACCCCCGTCCCCCATGCTGCTTCTCATTCCCTCTCCCGGAAGCCCTGGGCTCCCGCTATTGTCGGCCACGTTGAGGGAGGGCCCCTGCCTGTCCCATGCTCACCCCTGTCCTTCCTCTCCAAGGAGAGCCACCACAGAAGCAAAGCTCTCACTCCATCACACAGCGTTAGCCCCAAAAGGTGACCTTTCAACAGAACATCCCCAATGCAGGCTCTTCCCACCAGGACAAAGAAGACACCAAGAGCCCCCGGGGAGGCCTCTCCACCATCCTCTGAACAAAGGGGCTCTCCTCCTGGGCTCCTCCATCTCTCTCTGTGCCTCTCCATCTCTCTCTGTGCCTCGGTGGACCAACCTGCCTAGGGGTGCCCTGGGATCCTATTTCCACAGCAGGCCTCCCTCCACCTTGGTGCCTGCCCTCGACCAGCCTACAGCTCAGAAACGAGCCCCTGGCCCGGGGCGAGCAGCCCCACAGTTTCCTGACGTGGACGCCTTTGCTGGTTCCTCCACGTCCCAGCCACACAGGCCAGCAGGAGCCTCTGTGAAGCCTGCATGGAGAAGAGATGCTGGGCTGGGCCAGAGACTCTCTCTAACATCCTGTCTCCCGGGATCTAGGTCCTGGCAGCTGGCGGGTATCAAGGGCATGCACTCTGTCCGGGCTGAACCCCATACTGCCTGGCTCTGCCACTGCCTCTCGCTGAGGCCCCTGTGGGCACAGCCAGTCAGGGGGTGCAGGGCCCCACAGACTTCAGTGCTGCCTGGGCTCTGGCACGTAGGACGTGAAGGAAAGCCAGCAGCTTTTCTCCCCCTCTTTCCTGGGCAGAGCCCCCTGGGGCTCCATCGCCCCCCGCCTCCAAGATGAGTGAGTCACGGTGAGGGCAGAGTGGAGGGTCGAGACAGAGAGAGCTCAGGAGGGGGCAGGTGATGCCTCCCAAGCCTCCAGCCGCTCTGCTCAGGCTGGAAGGAACGCCAGGAGCTCACACTCCCTCGCTGCTGGAGGAGGCAGACGGAGTCACCCAGCGCCAAAGCCTCGCTGGAGCAGGAGGGGGCAGGGGAAGGCACCTTCAGGGTCAGGGGAAGGATTGACAGAGGGCAAGGCAGAGGGTGTCTGGGTGGCACCGAGGAGGGCAGGAGGGGACAGGGGCCTTCTCATGGGTACGTCTAAAGTGGGCAAACAGGGAAGCAGCTGCTCGTCCTGACCCACTGTTTCTAGAACCTGTGTGTGGGGCATGGCAGGGGTGTGGCAAGTGGCTCTGGCTGGACACGGAGCTAAGGAGGGCAGCCTGCACTTAGGTCCAACGCACCTTGGGACAGGGGACAGCTATCAGGGTGGAGGCTGTCCTAGGTGCACAGAACTTTAGACCTGGAAAGGGACCGAGGTCCAAGAGGCTGAGAAACTTGGCAAAAGCCCAGGCCACTCACTCGTGAGGACTAGGCAGATCCAGGGGCCCAGTTCCCAGTCTGAGCCCTCTCCGGCCCAGCAAATCCAATGCTACACATTTCTGTTTCAAAGCAGAGCTTTCCGCAGCCTTGGAGATTGCACCAGGCCCCTCGGGCCCCAAATACCACAAAGGCCCCCTGCTGCGGAGGATTTGAGCCACACATGGCCCAGTGGGCAAGGACCCCAAATGGCTCTGAACCAGCACCTGCGGTGTGCGAGGCCTGGAAGCCAGGCTCCCCCGTTCTCCAGGGGAAGCAAAGTGGAGGCTGGCTGCGTGGCCTGGCTGACCCACCGGAAATGGGTAGGACGTGTGTGGCAGGAGGGGACCTTTCTCTTGCAGGGACTGAGACCCTGAGACCTTCCAATGTGTGTTGATGGGGAGACAGGGCAGGCGCTCTCTGGGGATGAGAGGGAAAGCCTGGACTAGAGAGGCCCCGGACAGCAGGCCCAGCCCAGGAGAGGCGGCGGCGTGGGCAGCAGGTGGCAGAGGAACACGGGGTGGCACACCACCCGCCCTCCCTGCAGCCCGTCTCCACAATCCCCTTGCTGAGGCCAGCGACGGCGACCATGACGAGGACATGAGGGGACTAATTTAGGAGTATTTTTAAAACGGTGGCCCTGTGGAGGGCTTGAGCAGTTGTCAGCCATCTGGAAGAAGGAATTACAATCACCTCCCTAATCCTATATTCCCTAAACCCTAAAGCTGGTTACAGTGTGAGGGAGAGGCAGCAGGTGGGTGGGGGTGGGGGGGTCTGTTCCAGAGTGGGGCAGAGCCCAGGGAGGTGCCCACAGGGCCGGGGCAGCACCGCCCCCGCGAGGGGGCCCGAGGCCGGGGCTGAAGATCCCAGTGTCCTCTGAGCCCACCCAGCTCCCCCACCCGTTCACGCACACTCGCTCCCTGGGCCGCGCCGGCTCGCGCAGGGGCCGTCAGGTAAATTAGATCTGAAAGCTGACAATTTCTGACCATATTTCCTTGATTATTTCAAACAAATGCACAGCAGCCGCTGTAAGGAGATTAAAGTGACATAAACGTCCCGAGCGGGAGGGGGGAGGGCAGAGGATTCAGGTCACCCCCATCCGTCCCCCGCCTGACAGACGCTATATCGCTATCCAATCCAATAAAAAATCCCCCCCTTTTGCTTTAATTAATTTTACAGCTAGCTTGCTTAATTACTTTCAATCAAAATCCTCCTGCCATCGCAAAATTAGAGATGGTTGAGCTCCATTAGCCTAAATTCTTCATTTCCATATAGAAAAGAGGCTGTCTGCAGAGCCAGCCTGGGCCCCTGGCAGGACAGACGCCCGTCTGCCCGCCCGCTGTGAGCCAGCCCACCCCTGGCTTCCGCTCTCTGGCTATCTCTGGCCTATGCGTGTCCCCTCACTCTCCTCCATCACTGCTCCCTGGGCCATGAAGAGCTGAGGTTCAGGAGGGGTACCCGCTGCCCCGACTTCCCAGGATTCACGAGGGGACTGCAGGGCTGGCACAGAGCTCTCCGCCAGGGCCTGCTGCTTTTGATGAAAGCATAGGCTGATCCTGGGAGCCTGCTGCCCTGCCAAAGGGCCCCTGCTGCCTCCAGGACAGAGCCTAGTCCCAAACCTGAGGCAGACAGGTCTCCTGGGCCATCTGCACCACATGCCCCAGGAAGCGGTCCCTCTCCCAGCAGGCGGAAACACTCCCAACCCCGGACTTAGGCCCCTGTCAGAATAGACCCCTGGAGCCAACGCCACCCAGGGCTCCCTCTGCCGATTCCAGGCTGGAGTCATTGTTCACCATCAGGATGACTCGGGCCAGCTGTCTCGATGGTGCTACCAAGCAATGTAGCAGCCCCCACATACTCTGGCATTCTCCTAGGGCCCCCCGCGGGCCCCTCCTCCCCATACCATAGTCCTGGTTCCCAGCCTGCAACAGCTGCACCTCCACCCCCAGCCTGGGTCGAGTGGGTGGTGGGTCTGGGCTCTGTCCACATCCTGTGCCTGCACGGGCACCCTTCTCCTCCCCTCCACCTGCCTCATCTTCACAGTCCCCAACCCCAACTCTGGAAGCTCCACTTCAGGTTTTCCATACTACAACCCCGAGTGTCACCACAGGGTCCGGCCCAACCTGGGCTCCAGCTGATTAAGGATCTGCAACAGGATGTAGGGATTACAGTAAAACCTGGCTCCGGATCTGCAGGGGCAGCAGGCCAAGTCCCAGCCCTGGGACTCCCCTCCCCTACCCTTCCAGCATCCCTACCCATTACCCGTCCCAAACCCAGCTGCCAAGTGAGGGAGGAAGGCTGAGCCCCTTGGCCCTTAGGGGACTCCTGGCTGGACTCTAGGGGGTCTGGACTGAGAAGGGGTGGCATTAAGGAGCCCAGGCCAGCTCCTGCAGAAAGGCTGGGGTGGGGCAGGCTGGGGAAGGGGAGTGATGGCTTTATGCCGCCTGGCTTCCTTCTCAGGGAACCAATGTGAAGGTGGGGTGTCCTGGGCCTGACCTCTGGGCAAAGGCTGAGTAAGCAGGGAAGGAAGTACCCTAAAGGCCAGGAGAGCCCCTTCCAGGCAGAAGGCCTTACGATGCTGCCGGAGGGCTCCGGCTGGATGGCACGGGGCGGGGCGGCGGGGGATGGTGGAGGGGAGGGGGGTGCGAGGCCGGCTCTGGGGGTGGAGGAAGGAGCTGAACTTGGACCCCCAGGGCCTGTCTTCTGGACACCAGGGACCCACAGGTCTGTCTGCAGGCTCCTCATTAGTCCTGCTCTAAAGGTGAACTCAAATCCTCTCCTCCTGGCTTGGTTGAGTTTCTCAAATATATCCTGAGCAGCTACTGGCACTGCCCCCTCTGCCCTAGGGATCCTGGGAGGATGGCTTTGGGTCTCAGGGGGTGCAGTGTTGCACGCTCCAGCATTACTGTGTCACACTCCAGAGCGCAAAGGGTAGGGCAACTTTGGGCTGGAGGAGGGCGTCCAAGAGGCCACACCCCGGCTGGGCCCTGAGGTCAGCGGGTGGAGAAGGTGAAGGGGCAGGCGGGCAGACGGACTTGCTGCTGAGCCCAGCTGGGCCCTCTCCAGTTCCTCCATGCAGGTCTGAAGCCTCCGTCCCACCCCACTACCAATGAGTCACCAGCAACAGGGACTAGGAAGCGGGAAAGCAGACGCAGCCCCAGTCTTTGGGGACACACACTGACTTCCCGGGTGTTCCCCCTCCCACTGGGGCAGGGCTGGGGCCTCACCCCCATCTTTCTTTCTTTCTTTCTTTTTTTTGGAGACAGGGTCTTACTCTGTCGCCCAGGCTGGAGTGCAGTGGCACAATCTCGGCTCACTGCAACCTCCACCTCCTGGATTCAAGCGATTCTCCTGCCTCAGCCTCCCAAGTCGCTGGGATTACAGGCGCCTGCCACCACACTTGGCTACTTTTTGAATTTTTAGTAGAGACGGGGTTTCGCCATGTTGGCCCGGCTGGTTTCGAACTTCCAGCCTCAAGTGATCTGCCCGCCTTGGCCTCCCAAAGTGCTGGGATTATAGGCAGGAGCCACCGTGCCTGACCTTTTTTTTTTTTTCCTTGAAGTCTTTTATCCATTACCCTCATCCCCATCCTCACCCTGACCTCCACGCCTGGCCCAGGTGGGTCGGGATGGTGGAAGGGTGGACAGAAGAGCATGTACGGGGTCAGTCACTCAGAGATCAAAGGGCACAGCCCAGACCCTACTCCACCTGCCAGCCAGCCCATGTGAGGCAGCGCCCGCCTCTCCCTGCCAGGCCCTCAGCACGCTGCCCCCTCAGCGGCAGAAACTGCTCCTTCACCTCAGAGCCCGGCCACCCCTCCTCCTACACAGCCTTCATGGGTCCCAGCTGACATTTCACTTTCTCTGGGCAGCCTCCCGGGACTGTCCTCTCCCTCTGTCCTCACTGCACCCTGTCCTAGTCTTAGCACTTTCATAGTAACTTGTTTAATTAGACCTCTGCCTCACCAGACTGCAAGATCCCTGGGACGAGACCACTGTTTCAGCGCAGTGTCTGGCCCAACAAATATTGACTGAGTGAATGCAGAAAACCCAGTGCTTCTGGAGCTCGTTAGGGTGGCGCTGGGCCCCAGGGACGTGGCCTGGCTTCTGGACTGACCCCCTCGGGGCTCCAGGAACCTTTCCTGGAGGGGTGGGGTGGGGACTCCCTGGGTGGGACTGAGCTGAAGCCCCTTCTCTTGGGTCTCTGGCCCTCTTGAGCCCCAGGCTCACCTCCAAACGCCCTTCACAGGGCTCTACCCAGAGAACAAAAGAGGCCCCAGTTGTTCGAACATTTCTCGGCGAGAGGAACAACTGTTGCTGGCCAGTCCCTTTCTGAATAAATCCTGCAACTGTTTGCAGTGAAGTGCGACTCTCTCCCTCCACCTCCTGTCCCTGTCCCAAAAGGAGAAAAGGGGATTGAAAAAAAGATGGGGGAAAATCCCATACCAAGCCCCACCATCTCCCTACATCCACTTTCAAGTTTGTCTGAAAATGTTATAAACACAACACACAGGGACAGCCACCTGCTGTCCCAGACAACTGGGACAGCCGCAGCTAAGGGTGAGGCTGTGAGATCAGGACCCAAAAACAGGAGGTGAGACAGTGAAGGCTGGAGGGAAGTGGGGGGTGCCGGGACGGGGAGAAGGGGCAACGGGAAATATCACCGTGAAGTGGGAGAGGCAGAGGGCAGGGTTGTACTCAGCCCTGCAGAGGCAGAGGGAGGAGTGTCTGTGGATCAAGGGCCCCGGAAGACTCCTGGGGGCCCGGCGGAATCCGGGAGGCAGGAGCTTCCAGTGGGGCAGTGGATACCGAGAGGGGAAGTAGAGGAGGGAGAGAAGTTGAGTGGGGAAGAGGGAGCGAGGTCTATTAAAAACCTCTCAGTGCATAACACAAAATGTCAGGGTTTATAGCTTCATTCTTGGCTTTGCCGGGACTGAGAACCCTGAACAGAAATGTCACCGCTTGTCATGTTTAATCACCTGCTGTTTGTTAACACCTTCCCTGCAAGGAGCCTGTCTCAATCTGTCCCTGGGCCCCCCAGGGACCAGGAAATAGAAAACATCTCCATCTCCTTCTCTGGGCTCTTGGCCCTGCCTAGGGGCTCTTCAGCTCCATCTGAAGGCCTCCCGAGGAGCCCCAAAGTGATCCTTCCTATCAGGGAGGCCAGGGAAAGGAACCCCATATGGCCCTTGGAGGCGTGGTGCCATCTGTGGCCCTGCGTGGTGCGCTTGGTGTGGCTGGGCCGGGGCCTGTCATCCCCCTGCTTCTTGTGCCTGGCTCTCCAGGCCTGCCTGTCCATTCTAGCTATTCCACTCGGTCCTCTAACTCTGCGGGTACGCAAAGATAAATAAAGGAGAGCCCGCTCTGATCTCTGCAGTCTGGAAGTCACCAATCTGTCTGCTTAAACAGCAACGGTCACATAACATCTAACAACCAAAGCCACCATCCTTCCAGTTACAATCGGATCACACCATCTGGGGTTCTGGCTTGGCTCTCTGAGCGTGCTTTCCTGGGTTGTTTAGGCTAGGAATTCTCAGCCCTACTGCCCCACGTTCCTTCCTCTGGGTTAGGAGTAGGTGTGGGGGAAGGGCAGCACAAATCTTCCCCACCTCCTAAAGCACAGTGTGGTCTACACTGGGAAAGAAGCTGGTTCACTCTCAGATTACAACCAAGCAAAGACCTGGGCAAACTCAATACAGCCCCCAGCCTAAAACCCCACCTGGGACAGCTGCCTGCAAAGCAGTGAGTTTATCACGTGGAGTTCCCAAGGCAGCCCCATCACCTCTAGTAGCAAAGAAAGCCAGTGGAGACACCCACCGCAGAGCTGAACTGAAAATGGTCTCCCAGTGAACCGGGGGGCAAGGTCCCCATCTTCCCTTCCAGCAAGTCTCTGCTTACACAGAAACATATCCAGCAAACATGCATCGTGAACCTGTCTCCTAGGAGAATGCCCGTTCGGTTAGACATGCTTCCTGAAGGGCTCTGCGTCCAGTCCTTTCACTTCCATTTCACCACAGAGACAAGTCGGAGTGCGTTCCACCCACCTGCAACCCTCCCCTGCGGACAGATGGGAGCACTCGTTTCTGCAAAGATGGGCACTCCGGGATGCCTCTAGAAAAGGAGGCTTTCCCCCAGAAGCTCAAAATGCATCTGCATCAACAACTACATTTTATCTTGCATCCCTGCAGCCCAGGGATGTGTTTGCAGACTACAGGTGGGGTACACATCGGGGCCAGAGATGTTTGGGGACGTGGGCCAGGCAGCACGGTAGATACCTAGGGCTGGAGGCCTGTGTGTCCTCACTCAGTGCTGCCATTTGGAACAGTGCTCAGGGGCGCCCCGCACCAAGTCCTCTGACATTTAGCATTTGGGAACAAACCCAGCAGTATCTCCGGGCCTCCAGCTTCCCCACTTAGGAAATGGGACAGCTCCTTGTCTTCCTCCAAGGGAACTGATGAGGAGAGATGATATGTTAGGTGTGGCTCTCTCGGAAGGAAGGCGCTGATAAACTTACGGTGGTGGGGGAGTGAGGGGCTTGGGGGTGGGGGTTCCCTTGTCCGCATCCTCTCCAGAAGCCCCGTCTGGACTGTGATATGTTTGGGGGGAGAAGGCTCAGTGTTAAAGGGGTGGGATCACAGCTGCAAGCCCTTTTCTAGGCCGGGTCAAGCTTCCAAGCAGTGCTCTGCCATGCCTTGGAGGGGGCGGGGAGCGGGGGACACGAGCATGCCTGCCCCAGCACACGCGCCTAGTGGAACGCAGCGGCCTGGAAGCAAGTTTTGGTAGCGCAAGGGGGTTTAAGTGGAGCCAGCTGCAAGTCCTCCTCCTGAACAGAGACATGGTCCATTCAGGAGGTGCCTGGGCTCTCCAGGACCCTGAGGGTGGGACCATGTCAAGTAGCCCATCCTCCTGCCTCCAAACAGGGCTGACTAAGCCTCCCAGTTTGCCCAGGACTGAGGGGGTTCACACACATGGGTCTTTGCAGTTCTGGGCAAACTGGGGTGGTTGGTCATCCTATCGCGAGACACCACGATGCTGACCACACAGTCTAAGAGCTGGGAACTCGGCCTGGAGTCTAACTCGCATCTGCTCCTGGGGGCCCACACTCTTGGGTGTCAGAAATTCTCTCTTTCCTGGGTGAACTGATGACACAGGGCCTCTCATGCCCGTGGAGGCCAGACCTGAGCCTCTCCCATCTGTAGGTTTTGAAAAGCTGGTTCCCATCACTGAGAGGGACGCTGAGCACACATGGAATGTGTCCTCCCAACTCAGCTGCCCACGGGGGAGCCCAAGAGGAACCCCCAGTGTGGGACCTGGACCAAAGGTCGGGAGCCTCCTGGAATGGAGCTGTCTTGCCTGAAACCCTTGCATTTATCAGATGAGCATGGCCTCCCTGCCAGGCCCCCTGGTATAATCCTTTCATTAATTTACTATTACATTGGAAATTACTCCTTACCCAGGAATATAAGTTTTCATCTTATTTTAAGTTAGATTCTTAAAGCAATTACCAAGGCATCTGGCAATGACTTCACCACTGCGGCCGGGCCCTGCAGGGGAGAAGGGCGGCCCTGAAGCTGCACAGGCCCTAGAGGGGAGTCTGGGGAGAACTGGGAGGGAAGTGGGGGGCACACTGTCATCTCTGATATTTGCCGTTTATGGAAAAACTCCTTTCCAGTGCCACCTGCCCCATGAACCCGCTGGTGACAGTTGCTGAAAAACCTCGGCAGCTGGGGCCTCGGTAGCGTGTTCTATTTTTAATTGTTTGATCAGAATATTCACTCATCTAGGCCCATTCCCAAGACGCATTTCCCAGCCAAAGGGTTCCCCCATTTCTCACACCTTCCTCCCTCTCTCTCTCATCAGAAATCAACTTTGAAATTAATAATCAGAGACACAGACCTGGGTGAGTTTGTCAGGGAGCATGGCACTGGAGAGAAGGGAGGCTCCTCCCCAACCCGGGAGCCCTCAGAGTGGCCTCCGCTGTTTTCTCTCTGAGCCACTGATCCTCAGCCCCCGGGCACGAAGCTGGCCCCGCATGGCCTGCAATTGCCACGCCTGCCTGAGCCCCACCCTTCCTGGCAACAGGAAGACCCCAGCCTCCCCCTGTCCACTCCAGTCAGCCCACTGCCTCTGCTTCTTCAAAAACCTCGAGGGCAGGGCAGAGGGGCTGGGGATACCCAGGAAGCTCCTGGGAAGGACAGGGAGGGGACGCTGGGAGAGAGGCACGTGCCCCTGGACTCAGAGGAGCCGGAAAGAGGCTGACTTTCATTTCAGCTTCCATTTACCAGAGGAAGGGAGCCCACAGGGGCAGCTGCTGGCCTGTCCCCCAGCCAGCAAGTCACACAAACCAGCTCCAGCTGGTGTCACTGGGGCCTGAGGTAGACCATGCTGCTGGGAAGAGGCTACTGGGGCCAACCTGACCCCGTGGCCCCCACCTGACCCCTTCCCAGGAAGGGCCCCCCACCCAGCACGGGGGCCTGTGGGCGCCTGGCCGTCCTCTCCTCTCCTTACATGCCCTTGGCCGAACCACTGTACTCTTCCCTCTCAAGGTCACAGGGCCGTCCACACCAGGAATATTTACTCACTGGACTGGCCCTGTTAGCAGCACTCACCACAAATATGCTTTCTGATAAAGTTGGCAGAAAAAAAATTCTAGAGCTCAAACCAATGTCAGAAATCATCCCCCGCCCCTACCAAGGGAGCACGAGGTGGGGCCTGGAAACAGGTCACACACCAACTATGGGGCAGCCCTGGGGGGGCTTGTATCACGCCCCCTCTCACCTTTCTCCTTCCTGTTTTACCTGGGACAGCCTGTTGCCCAGGGGACCAAGGGCTGGGGACAGTTCTAAGCCGAGGACTGGGTCTTGGGGACACTCGGGCCTCTGGAAGACAAGGCGGGTAGGGTGTCACCTGGGCTTCCCCCCAGGCCGTCTCAGCTCACTGCGCCCCTCCCCGCCACCCTCTCTTGGTGCACAGGGGCTCTGCATGTTTTTATTACCTGTTTGACTCACCGCCTTATTGCTTCTCCCCTTAATGGGGCCGTAACCGTGGAAACGAGGAATAAACGGCCACCAGAAAATGAGATGATTAAACAGGTCACCCTGGCAAACAAACTCAGCCAAGGAACCTCTGGGGGTGGGGACGCTAGGCTGCCCCTCCCCCACCCGTGGCCAGAAGGCCTGGACCAGGTCCTGACCACATTGCCCCACACCTAAAAGGATGGGGGGCAGATGCCGTGGGGCACCCCCTGCCGGGCAGTGGAGAGCCGGGTCATCCTTTTGCGAGGCAGCCCGGCTTCCTGTGGCCTTGGGTTCCCAGGCTGAAGGGGTGACAGACAGGGAGGCACTGGGCTAGAGGGCGGTGAGGATCACAGCTGCAGGGAAGAGGCACTTCCCGGTGACAAAACTTCCAGGAGTCTCTCCCAACAGGCCTCTGGGACGCCTCCTGCTCTCCCGCTGCACTAGGGTCCCCCCATCTAAAGCTCTGCCCGGCTCCTCCAGTCCCCCATTCTCACACAGCGCAGTCCCTCCCAAGGCCCCCTTAGATCACTGAAAGAGCCCCATAAGAAAAGGCCAGGCGACCTTTGGGAACACCTGGTCTCTGGAAACACAACATGTGTCCGTTTCCCAGCTCCTGCCTTCTCCTCCAAAGCCAGGCAGTGCCCCAGCCTCAGCCAGGTGGCATCAAGAGACAGCCCTCTTGGCTTTAGGAAGGGTGTCAGCAGGTGAGTGATTACAGCACCAGCAGGGCCCAGAAGGGCCAGAGGAGACCCCAGAGTCAGGCCTGTGGGACATTCTAAGAGCAGATGCCCCGGCCAGGAGTGGCCCACATACCACGCCCGGGGCAGAGGCCTGAAGCCCTGGCGCCTGGCTGGCCCTCAGTATGGGTGTATCCCTGTCTTTCTGGCCTCACTCCCTGCCCTGGGTTTGTCTAGCTGGAGGGATCCCGGAAGCGGGGAAGAGAATGAGAGAGGGCAGACATGCAGTGGTGAGGTCTGCTCAGGAGGAGAGAGAAAGGGGAGAGGGAGATGGGCAAGGGAGGAAGTGGAGAAGGGCCCAGATCACCCTCTGGCTGCAGCCATCCTGTCCCCACTGGGCAGCAGACTGACGTCCCAGTCCCAGGCCATGGTCATGGTTAGGAGTTACTGTGGGTCCCATTCAACCATCAACACTCCTGTCTTTATCCTTAGGGCTTCCCTGCCCCTTTCACGTCATCCCAAATCCCAGCCTCGCTCCTTCCTGTAAACCAGGCTCTAGAAAGCTCTCAAGGAGCTAAAACCCAGGTCCCAAGGGAATTGGCCAACATTTCCTGCCTTCCTCCTTCTGCCCCCACTAAGAAGCCGGGGAGGCACTTGGGGAAGAGGCACATCAATCAATCAGTTCCACCAGCACTTACAGCAGGAAGGCGTGAGCCCCGGCCCGTACCAGGCCCGGGGAGGAGGTGGCAGTACACCAGCTACCATCTAATGGTCACCATTAGGAGCAGCCGTGGCAGAGGAAAACAAGGGCCCTGGCCTCCTGGGGATCAGGGCACATGAGTCCGAGTGCTGGGTCCTGGCACAGCAACGTCACAGGTCTACCCGGAGCCCCAGAACAGCAGGCTCGCAGCCAGCAGCTTCTCTATCTTTTTCCAGGGCCAACGGGGTGTGAGGCTGGAAAGGTTGCATGGGGCAAGAAAGGTAGCAGGGAGGGCCCGGCTTTAGGGAGCTGGGTGGCCTGGATGAAAAAGACAGAAAAACGTGGTTGCAAAATGGGAAGCAAGAGTTCTGCTCTTGGAGGGAGGGGGAGGACAAGGCGCAGAGAGAAGGGGCTGGCTAGGAGTCTAGAAAGCATGGTGGCGGAGGGAGGTCCCTTAAGGCCACTCTTTCACAAAGCTGCATGGTCCCTGGCTCCTGGCTCCTCGGCCTGGTGGGACAGCAGACCGCTCCTCTCCCTCCACTAGGCAGACGCTGCCAACACAGGGGCCCGGGCAGTCCTCATTTCCGTCCCTCTTGCTGCAGGAGAGCCTCCCATGCCTCCTGGGTTTCAGGCCTCGCCTCCCACATGGGTGTCTTACATCCTGCTGAGTCGAGGGTGTCAGGGTGCTGTTCTGTGGCCAGGCAGCCAGAGGGGTGTGCGCTAGACCACCAAGCTGCTGCCCTGCACAGGTGGTCCCGGCGAGGCTGCCCCTCCTCTTTTGCACACTGGGGCTGCCCGCCCTCCTCCTGCTCCCAGCTTCTCCCTACTCATTGTACCCTGGCCCAGCTACCCCAGAACAGCTGCTGCTTGCCGTGGGGACCCACGGGCGGTAATTACTACAGTGCAACTTCCTTCCCCCTCTGAAGATGAGGAGGAGAAGGAGGAAAAGGAGGAAGAGGTGGGAGCAGCGGCCAGGGTGGTCAGGGTGTAAAAATCAGCTCAGGGAAGGCCGTGTTAGAAGGTGAGCCTTGGGGCCTGGGGGCATGGGGGGTGGGCCAGGTGGAGAAATGGCTGAGCCCTGGAAAAGTGTTGGGCCAGCCGTTCTAGAGGA
The DNA here is from genome assembly GCF_000001405.40 of Homo sapiens. NCBI lineage: Eukaryota > Metazoa > Chordata > Mammalia > Primates > Hominidae > Homo > Homo sapiens. The sequence goes on from NC_000001.11 coordinate 10,689,164, forward strand.
GGCTGATGGAGGCTGGGGCTGCACCACTGACCTGGCAGGACCCAGGAAGAAGAGGAGTTGGGGCCAAGAGCCTTTCCAAGCCCCACCCAATCCCCTGCTCAGGCAGCGGGCACGGCCTTGAGCCAGGGCAGCCACTTTCACGAGGAGATGCCGCTGCGTGGCTTAGCCCTCCAAAGGTGCCTGCATTTATTTTATTTTTCCATCATAAAAACCCAAGCTGCAGCTCAGCCAGATTCTGGGGCTGTGGGGGCTGGGGGAACACCAGTAGTACCGACAAGGCCAGTAGAGAGGTCTGAGTAACACTCACATTCAGTGCCTTTCTTGGAGAGGAGAGTGAATGGGTTCTCCTCGCTGGTCCCTACCAGGGAAAAAGGGCCAGGGGTGGGGTCTCTCTAGGGAGCCTTTCGGACCTGCCCTTCTGCCTCTGCCTCTTGTTGGGGAGGAAAGGCTATGCTAGGCCTTTTAGCCTCAGTTTCCTCTGACGTCTTGCAACTAGAACCAGGGCTGGTTCAAAGGGTCACTTCACAGCCCAGAGCTGCCTGTCTCCAATGCTCTCCACCAAAGAAAAGGTCCAAATAATGTGCTCCTCACCTCGTCCACTCACCCCCTACTCCCACCCGCCAGGACTGCCCCACTGAACAAAATCAAGTTGGGAGTCAGACAGCTGAAGATCTTAAAGGTCATCTGATGCTCAAGTCCCTCTAAATGTCACTAACCGGTGCACAGCACAAACCTCTGTTTGAATGGTACCAGGAAACTCATGACTTCCGAGATGGCCCATTCTGTCCCGGGCTCTGACAGCTCCTTTCTGCCAAGATGGCCCCAGAGCACCTACCCCCTGCAGCAGACTGGCAAAACCGGTGCCCAACCTGGCTACAGGGGCTGGCCCCAGCTTAGACTGGTTGAGTGGGTGTATCTGGCCAAGTAAAGGCTGGAGGAAGGAAATTGAGAGCAATCTGCTCTGCCCTAAACCCGGCGTGGAATCTCTTCCTCCAGTACAGCACAGGAACCTTCTCAGTCCCCGGTGCCTGGCAGGTCGAAGGTGTAACCAGAGCTAGTGAGGTTCCTAGAAGCCTCCACACTTGGCAAGGCTCTGGCCTTGACCTGGCAGCTCATGGAAGGTCTGATCTGAAGGTGGTTGACACTCAGGGCAGGGGCCTGAGCAGCACACACTGGGGCTGGGTTGGGGATGCCAAGCTCTTTGCTCTCTCAGCTTAGACACCGTCTAGAAGAAGTCTGCGGCCTACCTCAAGACAGTATGCTCTCAAAGCATGGGGCTACTGAGAATCAGGAAAATGAGCCAGCCTGGCCCAGCTTCTGATCCCACGCTTCCTGGCCTCCCCACAGTTGAGGCCTGGGCTGTCTGCGATGGGGGATCTGCTGGCAATGCAAGGGGGTCCTGGCCTGGAGCCCCAGAAGGAGAAAGAAACCGGCCGGGCTTCCTCCCATTGACCCGCCTCGACGACAAGGCTGCAGCCACAGCGACACATGGGCAGCACTGTCCCTCACCGGCACCCCCTGCAGTCCGTGGCCATCCCTTTAAAGTTGCCCTCTTGCCTCTTTGGCCCTTGACCTTGTAGAGCCTATCTTGGCTCCTCCGCGCCTTGGACAGCCCCACCCCTTTGTCTCAAGAAGAGAAGGGGCAACTATCATCAGATCCCCACGAGTCAAGGGCGAACGCCTGCTCAGAGCTCCACCCGTGCTTCACCGCCATTTTCACCCTGGCTTCTAGCTGTGTTCAGGGCCTGGGAATCAGCCTGGTGGGACCTAACCCTGGGAGCTTCCCAACTGCAGGATGGATGTACCTGTGTCTGAAAGCTTCCTCCCATCTCCCCTCCCCCCTTCCCGCTCCCTCCCCCAGGGAAATCACTCTAAAAGGGCCTAATGGAACTATGTCCTCCTCTCTTCCTCTCTCCCCTCCCTCCCTCCCTCCCTCTCTTTCCTTTTTTTTTTATTAGCATTTGTGGAATTTATTCCCAAACTCTCCTAATCTTCCGTACACAACCATTTGATTTGCATAACCCAACCCCCTCTCATAAAAACTGGCTGCTAGTTTAATTAAAAAATGTAAATTTGCTGTCATCTCGGGGCCTGGTGAATTAGGACGACATCGGCATTTTTTATTGCTAAAGACGTCCAGATTGATCCAGCCCTTGGCTGAACTATGGTGGGGGAAAGGGGGTCCACATGGCCCCTGAGGGTCCTGAGGTCCTTCTGTCCCCTCCTGAGAAGGCTTGGCTCTCCCACCACTGACTTCCTCATGGCTGAAGGCCTTCAGGACCTAGATGTGTCCGGGGCCGCGGGGATGTTAACCTACGATCAGGGAGGCATGGTGGGTCCATGATGCCAGCAGCCCTTCGAGGCCTGCGCCCCTGGCCTTGGACTATGTCAGAGAGGCCCTCGGCTGAAGCTGCCCACGCTGCCCCAGAGGAAGGGACCCTCACTTCACCAGCCACGAGCCCCGGCCAGAGACGAGGCCCATGGCCCCAGCTGTATGCCGTGTGCACTATGAAGTTGAGGGAGCTGTTCCCAGCTCCTGAAGATGAGCATGGAGTCAGCCCAGGGACCAGCTCAGAGGGGATCTCAGCGTCCTCATCTGCTTCCCTTTTTTGGTGAAGTGGGGGGAAGACTGCTTTTCTTCTGAAGTTCTGAGATTATAAGTGAAACTTCCAAGTTCAAAGAAGAGACTGAGATGGTATCACCAGATGACTCCTCCAGGAAACAGTCAGAACTCTGCCACCCTGGGCCTCCCCTCTGAGTGGCCAGAGTCCAGGCCTGAGTCCCACTGGGAGTGCTCTACTCCAGCTACAGGAGGAAGCAGCTGACCTCAGGGTCCCTTCTAGCTTCTAGGAAAAGTTTCCAGAGCCTGTCCCTGGAGTGCTGGGAGAAGTCAGTCTCCCTAAGGCCCAGGAGAGAAGCCACAAGAGGCTCTGCCACCTGCCTCCTACCAGGGCTGGGAGGCCCTCGCTCCAGTCAGGACACCCTAGAGAAGGGCTTTGGAGTACTGTCCCCACGACAGACTTGGAGGGACTGGTTGGTGGATGGCAGGAGGATGGACGCTGGCTCCAGCTGGCACCCAGGTTAGGAGGAGGCCGACCAGAGGGCCTGCCTTCCAGCTCTGCAATGCCTGGGTCCTGTGTGCTGGCCCACAAGCAGAGGCTCTCCTGCCCCAGGTAAGGGGTGGTGCATTGCCACCAGGCCCATCTCTGAGGTCTGCTTCTTGGCTGGGATGGGTGGGGGCCCCATTTCCGAAGAAAGGGGGTGGGGCCTGAGAGGGAGGTGATGAGACACCGACTGGAGGTGGGGGCAGGCAGGTTCTCTGTGGGAGTGGAGGGCAGGGAGGGGCAGGGTGGCAGCCTTGGCCTTAGACACCTTTACCACTTTGCCCAGCAGGGGGTGTCACACCCTTCCCGGGCGCAGAGGTCCCCAGGCCCTCCACGTCAGACCAGCCAAGATCACACCTGGTGTCACACAGTCCTCAAACTCTGCAAATGACACCTCCCCCCAACAAACACAGGCCCTTCTTCACCGGCCACCGTGCCACCCATCCTCATCCCCTCAGGGCTGCCTCCGGTCTCTCTGCCCACTGACCTTTAGAAGGTCAGATATCAGCTCATGGGTCCCAAGGGCCGATGCTGTGAACTTGGGCCTATTATAAACAACAACGCTAACAGCCACCAGTATCACCTATCCCATCAATGAACCAGGAGAGTTCAGAGATCAGTCTCAATGAATGATCGGGCTGCTTGTTTCTTTTAAAACATTTAAGAAGACAGCTGCTTTTGTCAACCTAGCACGTGAGGGTCCTGGTCAAAATTTGGTTTCAATAGCCAGGGCCCATGGGAAGCCCGCAAGAGCTGAAGGCAAAAACACTGGAAAGAATTAGATTAAACCCAAGAAAACACCAAAATATCAGGATAAACTGCCCCAGGTGAGCACCAGGCCTCCTGGAGCCCCCGGCCTTGTCCCACAGGAGGCCCCCAAACCCAGATGCCTACGTTGAGTAGTCTGTCTGGTCCATCACCACCCCTAGGGTGGGGGCTAAAGAGGCAGGTGGGAGACAGTCCGGGGCCCCTCACTTTGAACTGATAACAGCCACCTCATCCCACAGATTCTCAGGTGAAAAATACTCATTAGCCATAATAAGCAGCTTGATCATCCGACACAGCCTTGTCCCAAATAAATTAAATTCCTTTACCTTGAGACAGTCGCCCCGAAACCAGACTAACCACCTTTCCCAACAGGACGCTGCTTTCAAAAACTAAACCACCCCCCACTAAAAAAATAAAAACACACACCCCAGAGCCAGACACACAAAGATCTTTGCAGAGAACAAAAAAAAAAAAAAAAAAAAAAAAAAGGCACACACACAGAAAAAAAACACGAAGCCATACAAAAAACACGGAGAACAAAAACCCCACAAAAACCCCCTAAATCCTCTCTCTGGGTGCCCCCCAGCTCCTGCTCCTCTCGGTTCTTTCATAATGACAAGCATCACATTAGTCACAGCCTCTAAGCAAGTGGCAAATAACAACAACAACAGCCTCAGAAGTCGCCGATCCCGAGGCCGGGACGCCGGGAGGCAGCCGCCCGACCCTCCCGGCCCCCACCCGGCCCCGCCGCCACCTCATTGGGCTAAAAATAAGAACTTCCGTAAAAGAAGCGAAAGAAAAGTGAAAGAGCCGCCCCTGCGTTCCCACCGGCCGGTACCTGTTCCAAGATCCATTCTCTTCTCCTTGGTCCCAAACTCTTCGCAGAACGCCACCAGGGGAAGACCGGGAGAGAAGAAACACGGGGTTAGCGTCTCGCGGGACCCCGGCCGCCCGCCCTGCTTGTCCCCCGCCCCGCAGGAGCGGCCCGTCCCGGGCGGGCGCCGAGGCCGCGGCGGAGAAACTTTCTCCTCCGCGCCGCCCGCTTCTCACGCTCGGCCCCGCACGCGCCCGCGGGTCCGCGCCGCCTGAGTTTCTCCAACTAAGGCAGCAACTCTCGGCCGGCGCGGCCCCGGCTTGGGGGCCCTGGCCGGGGGATCCGCGAGGCCCAGGGGCGCCCCCGTCCCGCCGACCGCGCCCCGCGCCCGGGTCGCCGCCCGAGACCGCGGCCCCCGGGCCTCCCCCGCCCGCGCCCGGTACTCACCATAGTCGGAGAGTCGAAAGCCGAATTCACTTAAATAATCAACTTTCATAATACTTAATTAATGCCTAATTGCAACTGATTACTCCCCGAATAACAAGTTGTTTTAAAGCCCTGATGTCATTGCTCCTGCCGGTAACACTCAGGGTAACAGTTTGGCAGGAGGGAGCGGGCGGGCGGGCGCGGCCGGGGGCGCTGCCAGGCGCCGCGGTGATTGGCAGGGCGGCCGCGGCGCCGCCTCCTCGGCCCGGCCCGCGCCGGCCCCGGCAGGTGAAAGAGCAGAGCGCGGCCCCGCCGCCGCCGCCGCCGCCGCCGCCGCCGCCGCCGCCCGGTGCGCCCGCCCGCCGCCCGCCGCCCGGTGCCGGAGTGAATGGGCTCGCGCTCGCTCGCGCCCCCGCCGCGCGCCCCCGCCGCGCGCGCCCGCGCCGCACTGGCAGGGCGGCCGGCTCCATTGGCTCTGCGATTCCCCAAACCTCTGGCTCCGGGAGGAGGAGGCGGGGACTTGCGCTCAGGGCTGGCGGGAGGGGACCCGGCGCGGGGCGGGGAACGCGGCCCGAGTAAGGCGCCCGCGGGCACGCGCCCACTCTTGCCGGCCGCCGGCGGCCGCGCGCGCGCTCGCATGCTGCCAGCGGCCGCTCGGGCCCCGCGAGCGCGACCGACGGCCGCCGCGCGCGCCTGCCCCACGACCCGCGCGGCCGCGCTAACTTTTCCGCGAGGGCGGGCGCAGGTGTGAGGCGCCGCGGGGCCGCGCCCGCCAGGCCGCGCGCTTCCCTGCTCCCCTGCCCGCTGCCTGCGGGCTCGGGGCTCCTGGGGTAGCACAGGGATTTCGTGTTCCCCTCACAGCACTGGCGGCTTCTGGAGCTGGAGGAACAGGAGCGCGGGGCGAGGCGGGGCAGGGCGCAGTCAGGCCCGCGCGCCCCCGCACCCCGCGCGTCCCCGGCCCTGGGCCCCAGGAGCGCCGGCCTGGGACACGCAGTGGGGTTTCCTCGGCGTTGCTTTGGTTTTGCCCTTAAAACGGGTCCAAGTGTCCTCCCAGAGCCTCCCCGGTCTTCCGGTCTTTCTGCCCACTCCTCCCTCAAAGTTGGGCCATCCGCCCCGCAGCCAGACGAATGGAGATCGGCGCCCCACTTTCCCCACAGCCCCCGACCCATGATCCCGGCCATCACTTGCGCTTCCTCCCTGCCTTGCCCCTCTGGCCGCTGCCCTAGGAAGGGCGCTCAGTAGAGCACAGGCACCCTCAACCAGGGAGTCTGAGGCCCATCCCGGCTCCTCCTCCCCTCCCCGCCACCCCCCCCCCCCCCGCCCCACGCCGTCTCCAGGCCTGTCCCCTTCAACGTGGAACCTCATTTCCTGCCAGCCCATGGCCAGCCAGGCGCTTTGTGCTGCCCGTGCTCCTCTTTCTTTTCTGCCAGAGAAGGCAGTTTGAGGGTTCTCCCCTCCATGAACCGTGCACCATGGGACATCCCCAGATGTCCCTGCTGCAGCCATATATTTTGAGAGTCCTTATATGTTGGTGACTTAAGTGACGCATCCGGCCCAGAGGGCCTCAAGGAAAGAGACGGTGGGGTGAGCAGGGCCTTGGGCAGCCTTGCTAAGGAAGGACCTGGTTCTCCGTCCCTTCTTCACCTACCCTGCTGCCCTCCTCGCCTCTCCCAGCGCTCCTCTTTCAGGAGGGGCCACACTGCCTTCAGATGAGGGGAGGGGAGCAGGGCCCAGGCTTCCCTGGTCTTTGGACAGCATCCAGCAACATGGCGCTGGCCTATTTTTGCAATATTTCTATTTTGCAAAGGGAGGGGCCAGGGAGGCCTTGGGGCAAAGACATCAGGGAGTTAACAATCTACTCTTTCTCCTACTTTCCCCTCATTTTTCTCCTTTTTTCCTGCTTGCTCTATAGTTCTAAATGGCCTCTCAGGGAGTTGGGCATCCCTCCCCTACTCCACTGCCCTTCCCACTGCCTTCCTGGCAGTCCCCACTCCTGGCCGTCACACAGCCTCATTGGCTCTGTGATTCCCCAACCCATCCCTACATAGGAACAGCAGCTGGAGAGGCCTAGAAACCTTACTGAGCTGCCCCTGGCCCCAAAACCCTGAATAAGGGAACAGAACTACCCCAAGTCTAAGCCTGGGAGTATGACTGCCCGTACCGGGCACCCAGCACAGAGGACTGTGTGCCTCTGCTCCCGACATGGGATCTCAGAGAGGGCATCTGTGTCCAGGACCGCTGTGGGGTATACACATGCCTCTGGGTGCTGCTCCCAATGACTCCCCAAAGCAAGGCATCGTAACAAAAGGCTTGCAGCTCTGGCTGGTGACAGCAGGTGATCAATCCCCACCCCAATTCTGAGCCTCTGCTCTCCTATCTGGGCAACTGTGTGTAGGAGGAAGCCTGGAGGCAAGGGATAGAAGAGGTGATTTCTGGGTGCATTTGAAGATGTCTGCAAAGATGGGGAGCTGCTTGCATACGTGACCCACACAGCCACTGGCTGGCTCTGAATGTCTTCCTGGGCTTCAGCTGATAGTGGTCAGAGCCTGACCCATGAGGAAGGTGTGGAGGGGAAAAGGAAAGCATCTTCCCTCCAGCTGCCCAGGCAGGACCACCTGGATTGGCCACCCAGTAACTCGGGGGGTCTCAGGCAGACAAAGGCTACAGAGGAATGGCGGAAGGGACAGGACTCGAGAGAGCTTGGGGGATGGCAGCCAGCAATGGAGGGAGGTGTGGGGATGCCTGGAAAGCCTCCACTCTGTCAAGTCCCTGGCCAGGTAGCCACAGGCTGAGTGGGCCCTGCCCAAGAGGAAAAGGCCTTCAGTGGAGGAGCAGCGGTCAGAGAAGCAAGAAACAGGCCAACTCGGAGCGCAAGGATTTATGAAGGTCAGAGAAGGCGGCGGAGGCTTCGAGGTTGTGGGGTATGAGTCAGAGGCTGTGTCATGGAGGGGCCCCCAGATTATGCGCCCCCCCCTTCTCTCTCTTTCTCTCTGAGTGTATCTGCTCATACCAAGAGGAGAGGCATCTTTTGAGGCTATGGCCCATCTTTGCCTTGAGGACACCTGAGACCCCAAAGCCAGGCCACAGTGAGGACCTTCATGCCCGGGACTCAAGGGATGGAAGTCCAATGCCATAATCTCTTCTGATCTTGAGTCCCTGGGCCCAGAGCCTCTAGCTCCTCCTGAGACAACCCACTCACAAGAGAAAAAGAAGTGGAAGGCAACCCAGCGGTTCCCCCCAACCCAGGCTCCCCACATCAGCACCAAGGAAAGCCATCTGCCCTTCCTGTCACACTGCTATCGCTGGTTCCTGTTACCCCCCCCGCACCCCCAAGTTGCCCACCTACACTCTCTCCCTCCCGAGCCTGGGGCCTTCTCACTCACCAGCCTGTTTACACACCAGGTATCTCATGCTTTATCTGCTCTCATTTTGAATTTGTAACTTTCACATAAACTTGAACAAAGCTCCTTTTGTTATTGCACCCCACCCCAGGATCCCAATAAACTGGTTCCATCTGAGGCGACTGGGCCAGGGCACAGAAGCCTTGGCCAAAGGACTGCGTGTGCCTGCGAACAAGCATGTTCGCACCTGCGAGGGAGTCCGTGTGTTTGCGTGTGAGCCCGCTCCGGGGCCGATGGAGGGAGGGTGTCGGGAAAGCTGTGAGCCAGCGAAGTGGACGGGAAGCATGGGGGCCGAGGGAGGGCAGAGCCAAGGCACCACGGCATGGCCACGGGCACGGGAGGTCGTGGGCCACAGACAGGTGGGTGTTGGGGCAGGGGGTCAACAGGATGAGAAGGAAACAAAGGGGAGAAAGGAGCCACAGAGTGGGTGGCGGAGCGAGGGCCGCGCCGAGTGTAAGGCAGACGCAGGGATTGCATTATGGCAGGAGAGGGGCTGGCACAGCCGCACGCTCGGCCCCGTAATCCTGTTAGCCAGCAATCTCCATTCCGAAAGAGCTTCATTTCTTTGTGAATATTTGTAAACTAGATATCTAATGGAAAATTATAGGAAAATTATAGTGAAATTCATGACGGAGAAATCCGATTATCCCTAATTCAATTATGCCATCTTAGCCCACACAGCACATTTCCCATTTTTTTCCCATAAATACCGATGCCAGGGGTCCCGGTAATCAAATAAAATTGAAAATCATCTTCCCATTAAATTCAATTAGCCGCAATTTCTAAAGCCTATCAGAGATTTTAATTACTAAATTATAAAATTCTCCAATGCTAAATTGAAACCAAAAAAATTGCACATCCTTATATTTCAGAGAAAAAGAAAGGCCAGCAAAATCCTTGAAAAATGCCCTCTTCTCTGTGGCCGGCTCCGAAGCAGGCTCCCCACCTGGAAGAGGCCCACCATCACTGCCTACTTGTCCAGCTGGGGATGAAGCCAAGGGGCCAAGGAGGGTCCCTGGCAGGGGAGGGCTGAGGGGGACTGGCTTAACAGAGGGGCAAGCCGCACCTCCAACCCCAGCGAGCTCCTCCAAACTGGCCTTCCTCTCGTGGGCTCTCCTGGCTCCTGAGAAGTCCTCAGCTCTGTCTCATACCAGGAAGCCTCTAACTCCCAGTGTCACCTTCTTGGCCCATGAATTGGGCTCAGGCTTAGGTCACAGCTTGGCCTCAGGGCTCTGTGTGGCTCCAGCACAGCGGACCGGACCGGAGGCAGCCAGCTCTTACCCAAGCACTGGCTCTCCAGCCACTCAGCTCCCCCACCGCTCCCCCACCCATGGCCTGGCCTGGGTTGGGGGTGGGAGCAAGATGGAGCCTGGGGTTGGGGGTGGACAGGTATCACACATGGCTCCATGGCCCAGAGGCTGCTTGCTCCAGGGCGTTCTCAGGGGCCCATGAGGCCTGGCAGGGTACCAGCCTTCGGGGAGAAGAGCTGGGGATCGACATGGCCCAAATCTGGCCTCTCCCTGCACTTCCAGCTCATCCTCCGTTCTCCTTCCCCTCTCCTGGGAAGTCAACGGCCCTGAACTGGCCAGGAGGAACGCCCTTGTGCCCTGGGAGAGGATCACACTTTCCCCCCATTTCCTTTTAGGGAAGTGCTGGCCACAACCCCAAACAGTAGCCCCTCCTCTTCCCCCAACCCCCACATCCCACTTACCCTGCTCTAAAAGGTGCTCTCAGAGTCAGTAGAGCCTGGGGATGTGGCATCGGTGGGGGCATAAAGTGACCCAAGGTCTGAAAGCCAAGGTAGGTTGTTGGGTGGGCAGCTGGCAGCCCTGGCAGATCCAGGACAGTCGGCAGAAGTCTTGCTGGCAGCCCAGCACCCAGGGAGCCGGGAGCAGGTTTAATTTGCCAGGCAGCCAGGAGTGCCAGCAGGGGAGGCACCCGCAAACAAAACAAAAACAAAAAAGTTAATTATCTTTGGCTTTTTCTTAATAAATATCCAAACTGGCCCGGCCGGATCCTCCACTTTGGAGGGAGAGAGAAGGAGGAAAAAACCCCAAACCAAAATCCAACAGACTGATTCTCTTGTGTCTCCCTTCCCCTTTGTCTCACCCTTGTAGGTTTCTCTTATCAGAAGCAGCGACGGTTTCACATTAATTTCCCAGTTTTTGTGAGTTCAAGAGTGTGGCCACAAAAACTTTAAAAAAAAGTTTTGGGGTGGAAACGTGGAGTGTGAGAGAAGAGAGAGGTAGGTGGGAAGAAAAAGGTGAGAAGAAACAGAAGAGAAGCAGAGACAGAGAGAGAGAAAGAGAGACAGGCAGAGAGAGAGAGAGAAACAGAGACAGAGAAAGAGAGAGAGAGACAGAGAGAGAGAGAAAGAGAGACAGAGAGAGAAAGAGAGATAGAGACACACACACACACACACACACACACACACACACACAGAGTATGAAGCAGGGACCTGGGCTAGTTGGGTTGCCCTGTGGGCCTGGCCCAGCCTGTGGCCCCAGCCCGGGCGGGGACCTGTTCTGGAATGTTGGGTTGGCATTTTGTCTCAGTTACAATGATCAGCTGCAGAAGATATGGGATTTCTCATTTTAAGCTCTGAAACCACTTAGGTTTCTCTGGCTACTTCAGTTACCCTGTTGCTGCTGGTTCCTGCTCCAAGCCTCCCTTCTAGGAGCAGGGCTGGGGAGAAGCCAAGGGAGGGGTCCCAGGAGGGGAGGCCCGCTGTCCTTATGGGAGGTGTGAGGTTTTCTATGTGGAGCTGCCAGCGTACTTGGGGAGAAGACACGTGTGCTGCTGCCTGAGTCTAGGTGTTTGGATGGTGTATGTACACGCCTGAGCCTGAACTGTCAGACACACATGATAGGCACATGTGTGTCAGGGGTGGGGTGGGGGTTAGCCAGGACATCAAGCAATCCCTCATGGAGCACCAGCTCTGGAGTCTCAGTACCTGGGTTCACACCGCAGCTCCATCTTCTACAGGCTCTGCTCCCTGAACCCAGGCACTGACCCTCTACCTTCCCAGCATCTTCAGGAAATCATCGTTAGTGGAACCCTAGGTCTGCTGATAGTGGGGGACAGAGAGGGACTGCTAATGAGTACAGGGTTTCTTCCTGGGGGAATGAAAATGTTCTAAAATTAGATAGTGGTGATGATGGTACAACCTTGTGAATATCCTAAAAACCACTGAATTGTACATTTTAAAAAGGTGAATTTTATGGTATATGAATGATATCTCAATAAAGCGGTTATTAAAAAGTGGGGGAAAGACGGGGGATCATATTAGCACTTCCTGAATAGAGTTGTTGTCACACAGCACTCAGCCCGCACACAGTCAGTGCTCAATAAGGATTAGCTGTTAATATGGATCAGTCCAAGGCCTGGGCTGGTGTCCATGGGTGTATACCATTGGTGCTTACAAATATCTACTTGGGCCCCTGATGCCAGGGCCAGCAGGTTGTCAAGGAGCTGAGCTGCCCCAGGTGTCTGGTGGGGCTCCTGGGCAGCTGCTCCCTGGCAGGGAAGCGGGTACGTGGCCCTCCTCCTGCCTCCTGCCCGGGTCCCTGGAGAGGAGGCTGCCCACCGTGGCAGCCGGGTTCCCGTGCGCACTCTCCCTGTCTCGCAGACACTCATATTCTCCATGTGCAGCAGACCGTGAATTCACCTTCATACTAGTTACAGGGTTATTTAGCTTCTCCTGATGCTGACAATCACAAACTTTAATTCGCTGCCTGGCTTCTCCCTGCTGTGCCCTCTGCCCACCCCCAAAATCCTTGGGAGAGGATGGGAAGGACTTAGGTCCAGCCCCCTCTCGCCAAAGCTCGCCCTTCAGAGTGATGGAGTGATGGGAGGAGGGGGGGCGCGGTCAGAAGAAGGAGATAACGGGCAAAGGGCTGGAGGGAGAACAGTGCGGGAGAGAGGAAGTACCACCAGGGCTAAGGGGAGCTTCTGTCCTGCTCCTCCAGCCTGACACTAATGTATTCAACCTGACATCCCATCTTGTCGTGAATGAAGACTCGGCCGATCAGGCTGCTGGTTTGAGGGCTGGCAGCCTTGGCCGGGACGGACTGGGGCCAGGGCTCAGGCCTGGGGCTGAGCCCCTAGGACCAGGCAGCTGACGGGGGGCTGGCTTTCCTGCCTCCTGCTGAACTAACAGGTGCTCGTCCAGGAGCCGACCTGAGGGAGCCCATTCCTGCCAGCCTGACAAGCCAGGCCTCAGTTTCTCCACCTCCCCCGGCCCATCCCCCGTTGGGCTGAGCCATCCTGCCTACTGAGGCTTCTCTTGGGCTTCCGGCCCCGCTGCCTGGGCGGCGTCTGTCTTCCTTTGCGGACAGCAGGTGGATCCACTCAGAGCTACTGCCAAACATTAGATGGGAAATAGAGACTCCGAGACGTCCCCTACCAAGCACTCGAATCACACAATCCTGAGATGAGTGTGGGTACAGGTCCCAACCTAGGTGACACATGTCCGCTTCCTTGCCTGCTGGGAGGAGCTGCTGCTGCCTTGCTCCCCGCAGGCCAGCCCTGGCGGGGTCTTCATCACCCTCTTGCCTTGGCTTCAGCAGATCCCCTGCTTTCTGTCTTCCCTATGCACCTGCACCCTTTCAAGGAGCGCGCCCAGCTTCCAGAAGGTCCACAGAGGCCTCCCACTGGCTCAGAGGCCAGTGAAGGTCAGAGATCTCAGACCCCTCCTCTCATCCACCACCTGCCTCCTGAAGTGGCCACCATCATCGTTCCCCAAAGCCTCCTGGGCTAGTGAAGGAGGAAAGATTTGCTCTGAGAAGCATCTGGGTGGAACAGGGAACTCACCCACAAAATCCAAGCCAGCCCCATCAGTCACTTGTTAGAGAGTCCCAAGGGCAGAAGGCCAAGCCAAGAGGAATCACGAAGACCAGAGGCCTGGCAATGACCCGGGCCAGGGAGCTTGGAGAGGGAGACGCGGGGCTGGAGGCAGTGCTGGGAGGAGAGGGAGGCCAAGAACCCCATCGGTGGGTCCAGGTTTGTGTCTGCCTCCTCCCAGCCCCATTCCACTGCCCCACCCCTGCCAGCGGGGGAAGTGGCCACGGTGGCCTGGGCAAGAGAGATGTCAATGGGGCCGATGGGAGAAGGGGCTTGTTGACTGCAAACTGTCCATTATGGGTTAGATTATAAGCATATTGCACAGGGCTCTCTGCACGATGCCGGGGAAATCCAATACGCTGAAAGGTTAATGCAATCAATTAGGGTGACAAGGAAGTAAAGTAAAGCCTTCCGAGTAGATGAAAAGGAGAGAGAGGGAGAGGCAGAGAGAGAGAGAGAGAGAGAGAGCGCCATGGAGTTGTGGGGGTGCTATGGGTGGTGGGAAGGCAAGGAGGAAGAGGAAATAGAGGGATGCAGAGAGGAGGCCTGGAGGGGAAAGAGAGATGGACAAAAGGCCAGGAGCCCTCAAAAAGAGGACAGCAAGAGAGACGGCAGCAGACCTAGCACGAGAGGAGGCCCAGCAGACTCTGCAGCAGACCTCTGGCCGCGGCCGCAGCTCCCGTCTCCTTGCCCACTCCCTTCCAGCCTTTCCTCTCGGGCTTGGAGCCTGATTCCCACCTTGGCCCACAGCAGTAGAACCGGGCCAGGGCGGCCTTGGTCCCTGGTCCTAGACAGAGCCAGCACCCACTGTGTAACCTCCAGGGCCTTCTCAGCCAGACTGCAGCCTGGTTCCCACCCACCACCTATAGGCCCAGTCTCAGACCTGGACTACCCCCTCAGCCTGCTTGCCCCTCAGCAGCTCCCGATAACTCAACCTTCACAGCTTCTCCCAGGCACCCCAGCTCCTCCTTGCCACAAGCCTGGGAAGCAGACAGCAGTTTACAAATAGAGAAACTGGCGCTCAGAGGTTATGCTGCTTCCCAGGGCCCTGACACAGAAATAGAAGACCCAGGGCTGCCAGTCCACGACCTGTGGGGCTTTTTTTTTCAAGGTGCTCCCTGGAATCAGGAGCCCACCCTTCTCCATAGGGTCAGACTCCGAGGCCCCCTAAAGTGCAGGAGCTAAAACCTCTCGAGCGGGGGCCGGAAAACTTTTTCCCTAAAGGGCCAGAGAGAAAATCATTAACCTTTTAGGCTTTGTGAGCCAAACAGTCTCCGTTGTAGCCATTCAACTCTCTCTGCAAGTATAGAGTGAAAGCAGCCATAGCTAATACCTGAATAAATAGGCATGGCTGTGTTCCAATAAAACTTTATTTATAAAAGCAGACTGTGGGTCAAAGGGCTCTGCCAAGCCCTGCTCCAGAGAATGGAAGCACTTGGGGCTGAATTTCAGGACACGGAATGGCTGGCTTCACCCTGCTGCCTGGGGACGGAGTTATCTACCCTGTCAGGACCTCATGGGCGGAGGTTTCTAGAGGAAGCAAGGTTCTCGTGATCAGAGGGTAGAGCAAAGGAAGGGACAGAGAACAAGGCACGGCGTGGGAAGCCAATATCCAGGAACTGGTCCCAGCTTGGGGCATCCTGAGGAGCCTTCCACGGCACTCAGATCCTCATGGACCATGTGAAGGCATGGAGGCTCGCAGCTCTGAAGATTCTAGAATTCTCAACTCCATGAGACAGGGGTGAGGCCATGGTTAAGAGGAGGACGGGAGTGGCCAGAAGGGAGCAAGAAGGGGCACCAGGGAGAGAAAGGCCGAGAGGACCCGGGATGGAGCTGTAACCAGGGTGGTGCTGGCGGCAAAGGGAGGAATCCACCGGCCCCAGCGAGAGTGCAGGGCGCGGGCCGGGCCTGCCCTACACCGGGCCGCCTCTGATCACGTTTTCAGGGCCACTGCCCGCCAGCGCAGACAATGCTGGGGGAGCCTTTGAAGTCCGAAAGGGATGCCGCGGTGGGAGCCGGGGAATCTCCTCCCTTCTCCGTCCTCCTGGGGGGAAGGGGGCCGGTAGGACAAAACCCAGAGCCGGTCGGTCGCAGCCGGGGCCCGAAACGCGAGAGACAAAGGGAAAACAAACAGGTTTGGAGCCAGGCGCACGGTGCCGTGTCTGTCCCCCGCCCCGCCAAGCGGGGATGATGGATGGCTGCAGCCAGCCAGCTCGCCCGCCGGGCAGGCCCCGCTATTTACATAACACTGGCGTTCCACCGGTCACCTCTGACACAGCACTGCCTGGGGCCCGAGGCCCGGTGGCCCCGCGGTTTCTCGCGCCACCACCCCGGGGACTGACACAGCCCGTGAAGGCTGGGCCAGGCTGGGGCAGCCCCGTATGCTTGGACTTCAGGGGAGCCCCGTGCCTGAGGAAAGGCAGGACATGGCAGCCTGTCCTGGCCTCGGCCGTGGCCTTCTCCCTGCCAGCCTCTTAGGGAGGATGGAGGAAGCCACTAGGGGTGGCACAGCCTCCGAGGAGCGAAGGCAGGACTGGGGTTCTGGGGCCTTCGAGTCCATGCGGTTCTTGAGGCAGAGCTTGGGCAGCACGTCCAGGCACAGCCGGCCACCGCCACGGAGGCAATAGCACTGTGAGAGCGGGCACCGCAGGCTGGGTAACCTGAGCCCAGCCACCACAGGTGCCCCACTGCCCCACACTGCCCTGAGCACGTTCCTTCCCCAAAGTCTGCAATCCATATGTCCCCAGACCATTTCCAGCCTAAAAGCCAAACCGAGGGGATCCTACTGGCGGGAGGGCATCTTTTCCCATCAGGGCGGAATGGGTGGGGTGGCTGCAGTTCCCCATCTCCACCTTCTCATCTCCCCCTGGGTGCTCAGCAGGACTGAAGCCAGCCCAGGGTGACACGTGCATTAGGTGAGTGGTCACCAGTCGGGGAGAGGACGCGAGGCTCAGGGAGGGGCTCAGGCCTTACCTCGTAGCAGGTCCTAGAACCTCCTCGGATGTAGCTGGGGGTGTCACTTCATCCTGGAGAGGCAGAGAGAGGAGCCCTGTTAGCTTTTCCAAGCCCATGACTCCCCAGTGCACGCCCTCCATCCCTCCTGAGTACCCAGGCGCTCCCTGCCCCACATGGGCTGAGGGGCTGATGCTCCAGGGCCAGCCAAGAGGGCCAGAAACTCAGGCATGCCGGGTGGGCTCTGATTTGGCTCATTCAGGCATATGCCAGCCACAGTTTGCAAAAACGTCAGAAAGTGGTAGGAACTGACTGCAGGGGCAATGTGGTCCTCAGGACCTCCCTAGCCAGGCGGAGAAGAGTCAGCCGTGCCGTGCACACTGCTCCGTGGAGGAGGCCGGGAGTGGGGGTGCTGGTGAAGTGGCCTGCACGCTCCCGTGGAGCTGCAGCGGCCTAGCAGGGATGCCTGGGGACAATGACAGAATACAGCAGCAACTGCTCCTTTACTCTCTTCCCCGGGGCCCCTGAACATAAAAATGACAAATGCCAAACTGTTCGCTCTAGCAAGTTGGTGACAGAGGGGCAAGGGCGGGCCAGGGGCCAAGGCATCAGGAAGCCTCCATGCCCCAGGATCAGGCTGCCGACAGCACCTTCCACCCCGGGGTCCTACCCATGAGTCATCACAGCCCATGTCCAGAGACCGTGCAGGGAGAGGGACGATGGTCAGACAACGTGGAGGCTTTAACCAACACGCGGCCTGGCCCAGCGTGCCAGGCTGGGGCCCTCCTGCCCAGATAATGAGTTTGGGGAGCCAGGTTCAAAGGGGCAGCCTGTGTGTACGTGGAGAGAAAACACAGGGAGTCCCCCCGCCAGCCTGCTGGCCAGGCCCCCCAACCCTTGCTCAAGCCAGGCCCTGCCCCTGCAGGCCTCAGAACCCTATCCAGGCTTGGGGAGGGCTGTCTGTTACGTTTTCTTCTCCCCCTCCCTCATTTGTGGCTTATCAATGATGCAAGAGGAATAACACCAATTTCCTTAGGCTATGTAATCCCCAAATCAGATTGGGGGGATTGTGGGAGATGAGGTGACCTTGTTGAGGGCTCCCGGAATGCCACCCAGTCCCACCGCCCGCTCTCCGGTTCCCAGGACATATTTAGACAGATAATGCTAATTGTACTTGACACGTCCTCTTAAGGAGGGCTCGGCTCTCCACCAGCTTTCGCCGCTTGTGTTGGGCTGCCCGGGCAGAGGGTGCCCACTGGGGCGGAGCCTGCCCTGCCAGATACAGGGCTCTGGGAGGGCTGAGAGCCCGGTGGGTTGGTGGTTAGGAAGTGCTGCCCCACGGGCCTCTGATGCCCATCTCATCCAGATGATGAGAGGCGGGGGGGTCTGCAGAGAGCTGGGCGGACCCCTGAGACAGGGGGCGGTAGAGAGGATGGGGGGCTGTGTAAAGGGGGAATAAGGAAAAGAGAAGGAGCTGGCCAGGAGAGGAGAGGATGGAGGAGGAGGCCGGCAGGGAGGGTCACAGGGTCCGGGGATGGAGACCCCCAGGCCTCCACTGCAAGGCACCAGGTGGGCTCAGCCATCAGAGCTCGAGTCCTGGCCGGTCAGCCCAGGGCCCTGGCTGGGGTGTCATCTTCACTGTCCCGTCCGTCCCACACACTCCTGTCTGAGATCTCTCAAGGTGCCCTGGCCAGCCTCCTGTGGACCCCCAAAGCCCCCCAACTCCACAACTCTGGTATCTCCCTTCCACCACCTTTCTCTCCCCTCCCATCCTCCCTGGCAACTGTGCATTTATTAATTCATGAGGCACTAATTAGTTCTTTGTTTAATTTTGTGTTAAACAGACTGACCGGAATGATAACGACTTGCAGCGCGGTGTTGCCGTCCCCAACCACCCCTGTTTTCTGACAACAAGGGAGCGCGGGAGACCGGAGCGCTGAACCCAAATCCCTCAGCAGTTGCACTTCATTAAGTCAAAATGTGACAAGAAGCTTAGAGAGCAACTTGCAGATCTGATCACACAGAACAATCAGGGAGGAAACTTTCCAGGAGTTGGTCGGGGGTGGAGGAGGGAGGGGAGGGCCAGAGATGTGTACGTACAGGGACCAGGACATGCACGGGGTCCTGTACCCCACCTGCCCAGGGCAGGTGTCCTGGCTGATGGGAGCAGGGAAGCTGTCCCTGGGTGGGATCTGGGACCCTGGGATACTGGGACCCCAGTGGGGGCCTAAGAAGTAGCTGAGAGTTCATCTTGGTCTCTTCTTCCTTCTCTGGGCATCTTTTCTTGTCTCTCTGCCTCTCACTGTCCCCACTGTCTGCTTTGTGAGTGGCCCATATGAGTGAGTGGCCAGCACATCTGGGACCTGGTAGCTGACGTAGTTAAGGAAGGATTCTCCAAGGCCGGGGGAGAGGCACAGTACTGGGAAGACCCAGAGGACAGCAGGGGCCCTACACTCAGCGGGGCTGAAGTGAAGTGAACTCTTCCAGGCTAAGAAAGAAAAGCCATGTGCTCAGAGATCATGGCAGAAAGTGCCTAAGAAATGCCAACACACCCATTCTCTGCCAGCCGTCTGTCCATCTGTCCATCCATCCATCCAATGTTCCTAATCTTAAGTACTCTGGCCAAAAAACTGAGGACCCAAAGGTTCAGAGTTCTGTCCAGAGGTAGATGGCAAATCAGAAACAGAACTGGGTCCTGGAGCTTCCAGGCTATGGGGCTGATGGTTGGTTGGTAGCTGAGCTAAAAGTGACAACAGCCTTCTGACCTCCTTCCTCCTGTCCATGTGAAAAAGCAGGATCTTGGCCCCAGAGGCATCAGGCTGCCCATCCCACCATCCCATTGCACAAGTAAGGATGAGTGATACCAAAAGCAAACCCTGCCCTAAACTAAGGGCAGTGGCCCTACCCACCTTTTACCCACCCTTAATCTCTGAAGACACCAGCAATGTCTTGGGTAAGAAGAAGAGCACAGAAGGGATGTGAGGAGGAGGAAAAGAAAAACAAAAGTACAGAGAAAAGTTGGCAAACGTGAGCCCTTATGTGTGCAAAGAGCCTGGTGCCTTCTTCCTATCGGCTGCTGCACCTGCCCAGGTGAGGCCCGGCACTCCCTCCATCTCATCCCTGGGGCCTGCTGTGAGAGTGAGCCTGGAGGCAGCCTCATCCAGCCCTTCTCCTGGCCGGTTCTGAAGCACAGTGGTCTCTCCCTGAGCCCGGCAGCCCTGGGCTGGCTTCTGTTAATTTGCTGTCAGGCTGCCTAAGCAAACCAATTAAAACTAATCATTAATTATAAAAGAGAGTGAGAAGAGGAGGAGAGGAGAGAGTGAAAGACAGAGGGGAAGAGGAAGAGGGAAGGTGGGCTGGAGAGGGAAGACCTGGGGGCCTGCAGGCGGCTCGGAGTGGGGCCTGGTGGGCTGGGCGCTGGGAGGACCAGAGGCTCCTCCGGCACAAGAGGTGCCAGGGTCGGGGGAGGGCAGGAAGGAAGCAAGGGATGGAGGACGGGGAGGGGGGGGGCCATGGGTGAGGGAGGGAGGGAGTGCCACGAGAGATGGGACGGGGGAGAGTGACAGGCGGAGAAGTGGCAGGGACCAGCGTACCAGGACCTGAAGGGGCCTCCTCCATCTGCAGTTCCCTCTTGCTGGAGCCGCTGCTGGTCCAGGACTTGGCTTTGGAGCCTCTCACCCACAGCTGCCCAGCTCCATATTTATGAAGCACCAGGCCAGGCTCCTCGGCCAGCACTCCTACCTGCTCCCCAGGCCTCCCGGGGCCATGGGGGCTCGGGGCAGCTGTCGGGCTGCCCATCCGCCCCCGCACTCCACTGCGTCTCCTTCCCCCTGCCCCCAGCCCCATCCTCACGCACAGCCTCTCCCTGGCCAGCCCTTTCACAGGGGCTGGGGCCATGTCAGCCCGGCAGTGTGAGGAGGGGGGCGGCATAGACAACAGGGGCAGCGTCATGGAAACGGGCACTTTCCCGGAGAAATATTCTGTTTGGCCTCCTTCCTGTATTGAGGAGCTGTCAGGAGCCCGAGTGAGAGTCTCACTACCCCGGGACCAGGCGTGACAAAACCTATTTTCTGCCTCAAATTTGATTGATTAAAAAACTTTTTAGGAAAAGCATGTTAAAAGAGTGAAAAAGAAAGAGAGAGCGGGAGAGGGGGAGAGAGAGAGAGGGAGAGAGAGAAAGAGAGGAGAAAAGAAAGCGAATCAAAGTGCTGCCCGGAGGACGGCTGGGGAGAGAAAGGCCCCAGGCAGGGGCTGAGCAGTGCCCCGGGCAGTGCCGCAGGGGGATGCGCACCAGGGGGATCCCATGGCATAACCAGGCAAAACGGAAAGGTCAGAGGAAGCCCGGAACTTTTACACAGCAGTTAGCAGGACAATGAGGGGGCCGGCGGCCCGCACAGGCCAGCAGGTGCCCGATCGAGACAGAGGCCTCGGGAAAGGAGCCTGGGCCCCGGACCAGGGAGGGGCGGTGGGGGTGGCTGTCCAGACCCCGGAGTCGGAGCAGGCCTCCGGATTGGCTCTGGGCTCTTTCCAGGCACAGTCTTGGTTGGAATTGGGCCAGGAACCTGAAAAGTCTACATAGGGTCAAGAGGAAGGGCCCTCGTCCTTTGGGGACAGGAAATGGGTTTTCCCACCTTGCTCTCCCAAGACCTGGCTTAAGAAGTGTTTTTAATCATAGTAATTTTTAAAAAGCAGGAGACCTCAACTTGACCCTCCACCCTGAGGCTGGCTCAGCACCAGCTTCCAGCCCACCTTTGCCTGTCTTGGACCTTCCCCAGTCAGGGCCTCAAGTCCTTCATGGGATGTTGCCCTATGTGGTCCCCATGCCTGGCCAGGGACTTCAATGGTGAATTCGAGGCCCTGCCTGACTCTCTCAAGGCTCCAGGAGAAAAGCTGGCCTCCCCACCCCTCCTGAGACCCCCTTAGGAGGAAGCAACGCCTCCATTTCCCAGTGGCCCTGCCCGATCTTCTTGGGCAGGACCCCTAGTCTCCCCAGGAGGAAGGGTCCAAGTTGGTGGCCTAGTTTGCTCTCCTTTTCTCTAAGGGCCTTGAAGGTCAAGATGAGGAGTGGTTCTGGCAAAGGAGTCAGCAAGAAGATTTTCCCAGGTGCTGGGAGGGTGCTTAGCAGTGCCCACTCCAGTCTCTGCCAGCTCAGGGCTCAGCGTGGTAGGCAGTGCCTCCTCTCAACAGACAGGCACGTCGCCAACAGATGCACAGAAAGACAACACCTGCTCCAGGCTTTCCCCAGCCCCTGTGCCAGGTCAAGTGACCCTAGATCTCTCTTGTCCCTGCTCCACAGCGAGATCATCAGGCACTCACTGAGCACACACTGTGTGCGTGACGCTGTGCCAGGCACAAGGAAGAGAAAACAAGAAGCTTACAAAAGGCCGGGGGCAGTAGCTCATGTAATCCCAGCACTTTGGGAGGCCAAGGTGGGCAGATCACCTGAGGTCAGGAGTTTGAAACCAGCCTGGCCAATATGGTGAAACCCTGTCTCTACTAAAAATACAAATATTAGCCGGGTGTGGTGGTGCACGCCTGTAATCCCAGCTACTCGGGAGGCTGAGGCGTGAGAATCATTTGAACCCGGGAGGCAGAGGTTGCAGTGAGCTGAGATCATGCAACTACACTCCAGCCTGGGCGACAGAGCGAGACTCCGTCTTGGGGGGAGAAAAAAGAAAAAGACAGCATACAAAAGTCGAGTTGGTGAGAATTGAGTTTGAATCCTGCCTCTGCTGCCTCCTGCCATGCAATTGGGTACGCAGGCTGCTTAACCTCTCCAGGCCCCAGCTTCTTCCATTGAAAAGTGGGGGCCCATGAGTACCTAGCTCAAAGGAAGTTCATTCAGTATTTCTTGGGCACCTACTACATGCTATTAGATCCTTGTCCTAGACCTAGAGAACATTGGCAAACCAAAGACTCAACCCTCAGGGAGCTTCCATTCCTGTGCTGTTGAGGACTCGCGGAAATAATGGTTAGCACAGTAGGTGGCACATAGCAAGTGCTCAATAAATATGGCCTCTTATTAGTTTCCAGGGTCCCTGCCTTTAAGAAGCTAGGAGAGATGGTGCAATTCCATTCCCAGGCATATACCAGAAAAAATGGAAAACAGGTACTCAAAAAAAAAAAAAAAAGAAAAACAAACAAAACCTTGTGCATGAATGTTCATAGCAGCACTATTCACAGTAGTCAGATGGTAGATACAATTCAAGTGTCCATGGACTGAGAAATGGACATACAACATGGAGTCTGTCCATACTATTGAATATTATTCAGCTATAAAAAAGGAGTGAAGTTCTGATATGGGCTACAATGTGGATAGACCTGGAAATGTTGAACGAGAAAGGAGCCAGACAGACACAATAGGCCACAAGTTGTATGATTCCATTAATATGGAATATCCGGAACAGGCAAATCCACAGAGACAGAAAGCAGTGGTTGCCAGGGACTGGGGGAAGGGGACAGTGAGGAGGGACTGCTAAGGGGTTCAGGGTTTCTGTCTGGAGTGATGAAAAAGTTCTGGAACTAGCTTAATAGTTGTGCAACTCTGCAAACGTACTTGATGCCACTGATTTCTATACTTTAAAGTGATTACAGGCCGGGCGTGGTGGTTCATGCCTGTAATCCCAGCACTTCGGGAGACCAAGGCAGGCAGATCACTTGAGGTCAGGAGTTGGAGACCAGTCTGGCCAACATGATGAAACCCCGTCTCTACTAAAAATACAAAAAGTAGCCGGGCATGGTGGTGGGCGCCTGTAATCCCAGCTACTCGGGAGGCTGAGGCAGGAAAATCACTTGAACCTAGGAGGTGGAAGTTGCAGTGAGCCACAATCGCCTCATTGCACTCCAGCCTGGAAGACAAGAGTGAGACTCTGTCTCAAATAAATACATAAATAAAATAAAATAAAGTAAAATAAAATAAAATGGTTACAATGGTAAATTTTACGGTGTGTGCATTTTGCCACCATAAAGTAAAATAAAATGATATCGCTTTTTTAAAAAAGCAACTGCTAGGGAGAGAAGGAATTTGTCCCCATGTGGCAGCTCAGGGCAGGTGCTGGGGAAGCCAAGCCAGGGGGGTGGGTAGGTGAGACACGGTGACTTCAAATGGGCCCTCTTTCCCCCTCTGCTTGAGAATCCACCATCCGAGTGGGGCTCCCGGGGCTCCACAGGATGTGCTGTGTGATCACTGAGGGAGAGGACGAGGCAGAAAGGCTAGGATGGTTGCAGTGAAGGGACCTCCCCTTAGGACCCCCCCGCTCAAGTGCCTGTGATTCCGCACCCCCGCGGGCTGCCGTTCCCGGCACACACACAGCGCTTCTCCTGTGCGGATCCCAATACACACGGCCCAGCCAATCCATCTCTCCACCATGCTCCCCAGATAACTTTTGCTGCCGCTCAGCATCTTAGTGCAACAAGCGCCCCTCTGGATGGGTCTGAGTCGATGACTTCCCCACCCACAGGGCTCCAGGGCTTCCCAAGGTCGAGGAGCCCCACCTCGAAGGGAAAGCCTGGAATAACCAGGGAGCCAGGCTCGTGGGGCAGCCCCCTCAAGCTCCTGCCCCCGCCCTCCTGCCTGTTCCAGAATGCGTGTACATATATAAACCCCTGCCTTGGCCCAGGAACTGTCAGGAGATCAACAAACAAAAGCTGCTTCTTGACAGGGAGTCATTTATATTTTAGCTTCGTTCCATTATCCTAACGAATCCTTCATCAGCAGATGCAATATTAACAGCAGAAAATCAGCTCATTACATCCGGGGGGATTTCATCAAGACGGCAATCATGTGCCGCTCCCAAGCCTTCAAGAGGCCAGTGGGGCTGTTATTTATTTATTTTGTTACTTATTTATTTAATTTTTTGGGTTCTTTCCACATAATTGCACTGCATCTCAAATCTTTAATAAATAATTTGTAGGTCCTGAACTGCAGACAGCTTTGCTCTCTGCCATGAGAGCCTACATTAGCCAAAATATTTACTACAATTTAAGAGTCATTAGAGTCAGGAGGGATGTGAGGAGGGGTACCCTGTTCTTCCGGAAACAGCCTGGTTTGGGGCTGTGGCGCTTGGCCCTCACTATAGTCCTCTAACCCCCTCTCTGGTTCTAAGGCCAGCCATCCTGGACTGGAGGCTCCCGGAAGGCAGGCCTCCATCTGTTTCCCTCAGCTCTCTTCGTTTGGGTGAGGATTTCCTGGGAGCTCTTACAGAGAGACAAGGCCATCTCTAAGTCCCCTGCTGGGCTTCTCCAGGCTTGATGAGGACAGGTGGCTGATGGAAAGGACACACGTCGTGTGGGGACAGCCACCTCTCACATGCTTGAGCCAGAGAGCCCTGCCGGGTTGGCATTGCTGGCCGCCCCTGTGCCAGAAAACTCTGCAAGGGGAACCTTCTCTGTCTTCCAGCAGGCCCTGGCTCAGGAGCTCCACCACCGTCTGACCCATCCCTCTTGGCTTCCCAAGGTTACGCCTTCAACTTCAAAGGAGAAGAAAATTCAGTGGGTCCAGAGGCAGACTGTCCCATTTTACAGATAAGAAAATGAAGGTTAAGAAACAAGCTCTTGCCAGGCGTGGTGGCTCACACCTGTAATCCCAGCATTTTGGGAGGCTGAGGCAGGTGGATCACCTGAGGTCACGAGTTCGAGACCAGCCTGGCCAACATGGTGAAACCCCGTCTCTATGAAAAATACAAAAATTAGCCGGTGTGGTGGCACGCACCTGTAGTAGTCCCGCTACTGAGGAGGCTGAGGCAGGAGAATCGCTTGCACCTGGGAGGTGGAGGTTGCAGTGAGCCGAGATCGTGCCACTGCACTCCAGCCTGGGCAACAGAACAAGACTCCATCTCAAAGAAAGAAAGAAAGAAAGAAAGGGAAGAAAGGAAAGAAAGGAAAGAAAGAAAGAAACTTAAGCTCCCTGCCCGAGGCAGCACAGCTAGGATGAGGCACAGAACTGGAACTCAGACTCGGCAGTGGCTCTGCTGAGCCTCCACACCTTCCACTACGCCAGAGCCTTCCAACGACCGGCCCTCCCAGTGCTCCTGGCTCCGGCCCACGAGGCTGGAGTGGCCACTGGTGCTGACGGGCACCCCCCGCCACCACCACTGGGCTGGCCGTGCTTTCACAGGTTTTTCCCAGCGGGGGCTGGATTTCTGCCCAGCCAGGAATGTGCTCCCAGGATGTCAATTCTAATCTCCCCAGCGCTCTGACAGAATTAAGCTCCAGTTTGTCCGACAACATCCCAAAGTTTCAGAAATCCAGGGCAGACTCTCTAATCAGGCTGCAGGACAAAGGTCTGGCCTGACCCTGTCACTTCCATTTATTCCTCCTGTCTGTCTCCAGGCCTCGGCCTTTCTGCAGTTTCCTCCACCCTCTGCCCCTTCCCTGGCCAGCCCAACCCCCACCCTCTCCTCAGAGCTGCCTTGTCTCCACCCAGCCCAGCATTGGCCCTCCCCAAGCAGCCATGCCAGTCCTGTTGCTCCAGCATCCAAAGCCGAGGAATTCCTATGAGACCCACCTGCCGCCGCTCAGCCGCGGGCCTAACCTTGGTCCAGGTTCCCTTCCTTCCATTAGCTGACTTTAGGGAGCACACGGGCTCCACCTTTCCTCGGCTCCAGGGACTAGGTGTCCAGTTCAGAGTTACTCTCCGAGTCAGCCCACCCTGGCCTCCGGTTGGCCCAACTCTGGGCTCCGCATAACTGCCCCAGAAGCATCCTCTGGCCTCAGCAACCTCCATCCTGTTTGAGGGGTCGGCTTGTGGGCCTTGGCAAGCTTTGGCCTCTCGGCCATGTTTGGGGACAACTATGTGGGCAGAGACCTCTCTTCCTCAACCAACTCTGTGAGTCACCTCTTGGTGACTGTCTACGATGGTAGAAGCAGTCCTGTACCCGCGCTAGGCAGGATCTGCGGTGAGAACCCCAAGCCCTTGGCTCTGTTGGATCGTGCCATTAGGAAGGGACAAGGAGCCTGGGAGCAGCCGGGCAGAGAGAGGCAGCAGAGATGCCTCCTCCACTCCCCACAGCACCCAATCCTCTCCCCACAGCACCCAATCCACACCCCACAGCACCCAATCCGCCCCCCACAGCACCCAATCCACACCCCACAGCATCCAATCCGCACCTCACAGCACCCAATCCGCACCCCACAGCACCCAATCCGCTCCCCACAGCACCCAATCCGCACCCCACAGCACCCAATCCGCACCCCACAGCACCCAATCCGCTCCCTGCAGCACCCAATCCACACCCCAGAGCACCCAATCCGCTCCCCACAGCACCCAATCCGCTCCCCACAGCACCCAATCCACACCCCACAGCACCCAATCCACACCCACAGCACCCAATCCACACCCCACAGCATCCAATCCGCACCTACAGCACCCAATCCACTCCCCGCAGCACCCAATCCTCTCCCGGCAGCACCCAATCCACACCCCAGAGCACCCAATCCTCTCCCCACAGCACCCAATCCGCTTCCCACAGCACCCAATCCACACCCCACAGCACCCAATCCGCTCCCCACAGCACCCAATCCGCTCCCCACAGCACCCAATCCACACCCCACAGCACCCAATCCACAACCCACAGCACCCAATCCGCACCCCACAGCACCCAATCCGCACCCCACAGCACCCAATCCACACCCACAGCACCCAATCCACACCCCACAGCACCCAATCCGCTCCCCACAGCACCCAATCCACAACCCACAGCACCCAATCCGCTCTCCACAGCACCCAATCTGCTCCCCACAGCACCCAATCCACACTCACAGCACCCAATCCCCACCCCATAGCACCCAATCCCCACCCCACAGCACCCAATCCACACTCCACAGCACCCAATCCGCTCCCCATCCACATGGCTCTCGGGTAGACCCGGAGTGCTGATACCTGCCTCCATTTCCAGAGGAAGTCACATGCACAAGCCGGCTAGAAGAGGCACAGGCAGAGAGGCATGGATGGGGACCCCGGCTTAAATCTGGCTTGCTCACATCAAAAGATTCATGGGGAGCAGTGGGCAGAGGGAGACGTATGGACCATCTGGGGGGATACTGAGGGTGGCTGCACTTGAGCCCCTGTGCTGAGCGTAAAGCCAGACCCAAGGGAAGGGGCTCCCCAAGCGAGAGCAGCAGAACGAATGCCCCGGTGCAGAGAGTAAGAAGAGGAAGAACAGGCGGAAGTGGCACTCTGCTGTTCTGCTGACCCTCTAGACAGCACAATAAATCTAGACTGGCCAGGATGGAGGGGCTCCCCAAGAGCTGCCCAGTGGCAGGTAGCACAGAAAGTCCTGGAATGCCACTAGTAGGCAGGGCCAGGCCACCTCCCTGGGCTGAGACCCGGCCCTGAGCATGGAGTCAGTCCATCCCCCAAAGGCTTTCTCAAGCCTTCCCCTCTCCAGCTTCCTTAGCCACATTGTACAGAGCGGGGGTCCCTTTCTTGGAGTTGCAATGACAGGCGGCTCTCTCTCCCTGGCAGTCTCTTTTACGTTCGGTCAAACTTCTCCCCCATCTCAAGGCTGCCCCTGCCTTCACCAGCACAGGCAGGCGGGGCACAGACCTAGCAGAGGGCTGGGCCTCAGGGCTCCCCTAGAGAGACTCAGATGGGCTGGGCTGCTGGAGGGACAGGAGCAGGAGGGACAGACGGCCAGCGAGGACACTGGGGAGGGCGTGTCTCCTTAATAAGCCCTTTCTCTGGAAGAATCAAAATCATTATAGTATTTTTACCTAATGACAGAAAAATCTACGAACGCCTGCCTATCAGCACTTTCCAAAAAGCCCCTGCAGTTCCCACGGAACCCACTCACCCCACCCCCAGCCTCTGCAGCTCCCCAGTTCCCCAAACTTCCCACTTGGCTTCTCTGCCTTTCTGTCCGATGCATCTTTCCTGCCTTGCCGTGCTGGGGTGTTGGTGAGTTGTTGGAGGTTTTTTTTTCTTTTCTTTTCTTTTTTGCTATTTATCAGCAGGTTGTGTGGAGCTGAGTGGTGTGAGCCTCACCCTGCTAAATAAAGCTTTGGT
The DNA here is from genome assembly GCF_000001405.40 of Homo sapiens. Lineage (NCBI taxonomy): Eukaryota > Metazoa > Chordata > Mammalia > Primates > Hominidae > Homo > Homo sapiens. Next base: position 10,717,475 of record NC_000001.11, read on the forward strand.
ATTTCTGATAAAGCCATCAAATTCCTTATCGCACTGACACAAAGTGCATTTAAAGAGACAGACACCCTGTCCCTCCCTCCTCACCAGCCCCTGCCCCCTCCAACCAGTTCAGATTTCCAGCTGCTCAGACACTTTGGGATCAGACACCAAATACGGCTCCTGAGGACATGGATGGGGGGCAGGGGGCAGGGGACAGGGGCGGAGGTAGAAAACCCTTGCCAATTCCCCCCCAACTGATGTCAGAGCTGCCGGCACCCTGAACTCGGTCCCAGGGCGTGGCATGGGGCTTCCTGACCCAACTCTGGAAGCCGAAGGGAGCTATGAATAGAGACGTCCTGCACCGGAGGACGTCCTCATAAACAGAACAATCCTGTGGTAGGACAACAGCCATCAGTGGGAGGAAGAGTCCGGGCAGGCTGGTGGGCCTTTAAGGCTGTGCAGCCGCTGCGAGCACGCCTGGTCGCCTCAGCGACCAAAGCGGGTGCAGGGACGGGCCGAGGGGGCTACGGAGGCCCATTCAACACTGGGCAGACACACTCAGCAAAGCCTGACTTCACACATCCCTGGGAGGTGGGTGGAACTGCCTTCCCATTTGACAGATGAGGAAACTGAGGCTGGCCCAATGCCACAGGGCCAGGGGCAGGCCCAGCTGGGGCCCCAGCCCAGGCTTGTGGACAGCAGGGCTCGGCTCTGCTAAGTGAGAGATGTTCCTCCCCCGACTGGTTCGCAGTCTCCCCTTCCGCCCTGTTGCCGTCCACTCCCCATTTAGGATCCCACAAGACAGGCCTTCCTGTGTCCCCGTGCCCACTCCCACCTCCTCGGCCCTGACTCGGCAGCCCAGGCCCTGCGCCCACACACAGCCTGTTGGTTGAGGAATCAAATTTATTATTTTTAATTATTTTGATTTATCAAAGCAGCAGCTACAATCATATTAAACCAACTTGGCTTCTTGGCATTTAACAGATATAGCTGCCGCAGGACTCCCCCAGACTCCATAAAACATCCAGTCTGTCCACCTGCTCCCCAAGGAGGGCACGCCAGGCTCCTTCTCCAAGAACCCCAAATTGGAAGGCCACTAGGCCCCCACTTCTGGTTCTGCCCTGCCAGAGGCACATGCAGCCAAAGTCGCTGAGGGCCAGAGGGTGGGAAAGGAACAGGCTGGGCAGAGCTGCCAGTGCCTTGGGACACAGTCACCTCCATGCTTTAGCCCAGGAGACCCTGCCGGAGTCCTGACCCACTGGGGAGTGGGCAGCAGACCCAGGCCCACAACGTCTCCACTGGCATCCGTAGGAGTCTGCTCTATCCCACACCTATGACTGGGCACTTAACCTGCAGGAGCCAAATCATTCTGCAGAACCTTGCCCACAAGAGGAATTACTGCCTCTTTCTTTTTCTTTTCTTTTCTTTTTTTTTAAGACAGGGTCTCTCTTGCTCTGTTGCCCAGGCTGGAGTGCATTTGTGCATTTGGTATTTCTGATAAAGCCATCAAATTCCTTGGTGTGATCTCTGCTCACTGCAACCTCTGCTTTCCGGGTTCAAGCAATTGTTGTGCCTCAGCCTCCCGAGTAACTGGGATTACAGGCACTCGCCACCACACCTGGCTAATTTTTTTTTTACTTTTAGTGGAGGTGGGGTTTCCAACCATGTTGGCCAGACTAGTCTCGAACTCCTGACCTCAAGCAATCTGCCCGCTTCCGGCTCCCTAAGTGCTGGGATTACAGGCGTGAGCCACCGCACCCGGCCCCGTGCCCCTTTCTTGTAAGGGGAGAGCCTGAGGTTCGGAGAAGGGAGGTCTGCCAGCAAGGCACAGCTCCTAAGAACAGTAAGGCTGTTTCTCTTCTATTTGAATCAAAAGCCCTCATTCTTTTGACCGTACCCCACTGCCTTCCCTTTAGACCTGAAAAGCTGCAACCTGCCCACGAACTGTGGAGAATGGTAGCCCAAGACAAGGGACCCTGAAATTCAAGGTGATGTCCTAAGGCTGCACACGCCATGCATTTAGAATCTGAGTGCTTGGGAGAAGGGATCCCTAAGAAGCAGCGCTGTGGGGAAGGTGGCACCGAACAAGTTTCTAAGGGACACTCAGGTCCACCTGGAGCACGAGGAGAGGCTGGCCACCTGTAGGGCATGGGGAACGGGGGCTCAGGTGAGCAGATGCATGACTCAATTCAACCAGGGAGCTGGGCCATGCCCTCAGGTACTGCCCAATCCTGAAGCCCGTGGGTCCCAGAGCCTGGCACAGTGAGAGAAGAGGCAGCAGGGTATGGGAATAGAGGAATTGGGCACTTCAACGTTCCAAGCAAAAACTGCACACAAAGAGCATGGGGGATCCCCACAGGCCTGGAACAGGCACCTCCGGGGTTCAAAGGCCCACAGAAGCCACCGGAGGCAGCTCCCAGCCCCTGAGAGGAGGCAAATCTTGTCTTCTTGGTGCAGTGAAGAGGCCAGCAGTGCAGAGATATGGTGCCTGAACACAGGTCCTCCGACAGCACCAGGGTGCGGTGTGTTTGCGCACAAAAAGAATAGTCAGCTGGGATCAAACCAGGAGCCAGGCGGCTGCCGGTCCCCACTGCTCTGCCCAGAGGCCCTGTGGCCTGGCCACAGAGAGCTTGGATCCGGCTGCAAGTTCTGAAGTCTGGTAGGTACCGATGGGCATGTGATCTGGCCTCTCCGAGGTTCAATTTCCTTGTCTATAAAATGCACGCGATGATCGTGCCTGTCGCAGGGGGCTGTGGTGAGGGTTTGGGGAAGCGATGAGGGTAAAGCTCTTAGCAAAGTGTCTACACATTTCTATGTGGAAAATGTGGTGCCAGTCATCATTGTGATCATTGTCATCATCATCGCCATCGCTAAACACTTCTCTAACCAGGATATGGTAACTAGGAATCGTGCCTTTGGGGCTGGTGATGGCAGAGAGACTGGCAGCACTGACCAGCCCTCCCACTGTGCTCCCCAAAGAGCCTGGGGAAGCTCAGAAATGTCTAGAGGAGGCCACCCCTACTGCCTGCCCTGAAAACTGACGAAAGCAGCCACCAAGGCCCTGGACTGTAAGGCTGGAGGGGAAGGTGGGAAGACTTGGGCAGTCCCATTTGCCTATCAAAAACTGTACATTCGCTCGGCTTTCCACGGGACTCATGTCCTAATATGGGCCCAGCAGCTTTCTGGGTTATTTCGAGTACATGTGATAATGACTCCAGGCTTCGCTTCTGCTGCCCCCAGAAAACTTTCCATCTGGGGAGAGGGAGGACGGCTGGCAAAGAATGAGAAGGGCGTAGGGAAGCCCAAGGTCAGAGAGTGGGGAGGAAGTGGACGCCGGTGGGTGAGCTGAGGGAGGGTGAGTGGAAGCTGGAGGGTTAGGGCTGGCCAAGGGACCAAGGGGAGAGGCAGGCATGGGTGCCGCGTGGGCCCAGCCAAGGGCTCCAGGACACGAGGTGGACACCCGACCTCATGCCCTGCCTACCACCCACCGTCCCAGGGAAGTTCACCCTGCTCAGGGCCACAACCGGCTCTGGAGGGAGGGATTTAAGAGCAAAGCCACAGAGGGCCCTCATCCTGCCTCCTCGCCCGTAACTCTGGTGGGGGTCCCTTTTGTACAGGAGCCAAGCTGGGCTCCTGGGCCTCAGGCAACTGCCCGGTGCCCAGGGTCCCCTTGGCTCCTTGATTTATTTGCCTATTAATTATCTTTCTGGCCAAGCTTGGCCACCAACTCCAGACTGCACAGGGTTAACTCCAGACAGAGGGGCTGGCTGGCTTTCCTTCACTCTACCTCAATTTCTACTGCTCCTATCACCTACCTCCCCCACCCCCTGATCTTAGGGAAAAAAAAACCCATCAAAATAACTATTTTATGTCTCCAAATATGCAGATCATTTTCTTTAATGAAAGATGCTTGACGTCTCCGATCCAATTAATATGCAAATGCAGGAGAGGATTTATTTGTGACATTCTGTCTGGGTGAGAGAAAACAAAAAAGGCCTGTTAACCAAAACACTAATTGCTGTGACTGATTGTCACATATCATCATTTTCATAGGATCTCCTCCATTCCCGGCTCGCAGGGAGCTTGAAACCAGGACTGGTTCCATGCGGGCATCAAGGAGAAACAGGGCAACTGGCTACCTGCCAGCGTGGCCCCCTTGCCATCAGAGCCCACGGGGGGCTGGACGAGGGTGGAGGGTACGCCAGTGACCTCCCCTCCTAAGCTGCACCTCACCACTGACCTGCAAGTGCCGACCTGCAAACCAGGAAGTGGACGGCCCCAGCCTCTATCGGATCTGGCAGGCCTGGGGAGGCCTCAGGCAGCTTCAGCCCAGCAAGTCTCTGGGTCGTGGTGGAGGCCAACTGCCTTTTTGCTGCCTGACCTGCCTGCTAGGAAGCAGAGGCGGGCCCATGCCGAGGGGAAGAAGAGGGGCCAGGGCAGCCTCTTCGGGTCCGCCCAGCTGCCACTCCCACCTGTCTCTTCCTGTGTTTCTCCTGCTGTATCTTTTACCTTGAGCACCTGTTGACAGAGGCCACCTAGGGAAACTGAGGCACAGCAGAGCATCTGCTCGTTAAGATGACACAGGCATCTATGGAAACGTTGGAACCAGGCATCCGCTGTGTCTGGGCAGACACCTGCGTCTTGGCCCCGCCCCTTCGCAACCTGCACTGAAGTGGGCCGTCAGCTGTCACAGCCACCGTCTCCCCTGAGCGGCTCAGGAGGCCATGAGGGCTCCTCAGAGGACCATGAGGCTTCCTTTACCCCATGGCTTTAGGGAGAACAGGCAGGAGAGTGAGTGTTGACGGGCACCCCATTCTCAAACGCCAAGGGGGAACTGGAGAGGAAACAACATGTTTTGCTGAAGACACTCAGTAAAGGATGAGAAGGTTCTGGTGCCACGCAGTTCCAAACTCAAGGCCAAGGGGCAGAAAAAGATTCCCTAAAGCAGCCTTCCGTCCCACACGGGCCAGCGAACAAGGGGAGCCTACAGGGCACGGACTTAGGGACCGAGTACCTTCGAGGGCAGATCTCTTTCCATTCAAGCTCGAACATTCTGGGTGCTCGGAGAAGGCTTCTTCTATCTTCCTATCACCTTCCCAGAACTCCTCCAAGTTTCCAAGGACACTGAAAACTGGGTGCTGGGAGCCCAAGTGGGCAAGGCCCACTCACAGGGGGGCAGCTAAGAGGCAGGTATCCAGTGAGCACCAATTCGGACTGGCCCAGGGCTCCATGTCTGCCCCCAGCAGAGCCGTGGTGGTGGCTGAAGGTGGTCCCATCTCACTCGACTTCCATTTCAAACATCCCTGTCTCCTGCCCCAGCCCAGCTGCCTCCCTCTGGCATTACTGCCACAGGCCTCTAGGAAGAGCTGGCGCCAGGGCTGCATGGGGCAGACACTCTCCCCCCCAAAAAGGCCTGCCCCCGCACCCCAGAAACAGGCCCAACAGGATGCCATCCGGGGGAGCTTGGAAGCCTTCCGGGAAGAGCACTGCCCTGGCACCAGTCCTGCGGGAAGGAGGTGAGCCGGGTCTGCCACTGTCTGCGCTCACCTGATGTGCGCCCACGGCAGCTGAGCACCAATGGGGTGTGCGTGGGTGCAGACGGGAGGTGCGCATCATGGCGCCAGGAGCCAGAGGAGGAAGGGCAAGTGGCTGGGAGTGGCAGCAGGCTGGCTGGTCACTGAACAGTGCCCTGGCTGTAAACCGGACGTGGGAAGGCCCCGCCTGCCAGTGTGGATGGTGGGTGGGTAGGGGGACAAGAGGAAGGGTTTCATCTGAACACCCAGCCAGAGGGGCCCACCTCCCCCTGGCCTGTCCATCACCACTGCACAGTGAGTGGGGGCAGGCCTTGCTTCTACTTCACTTGTGCCCATACCACAGTCACTCACAGATACAGCCTCCTAGGGGGCTCTGGGGTGTGGGGGCTCTCACTGTGCCATGATTTAGAGCCCCTTTAAAACCAACCCATCTGTGCATTAAAACCACCCATAAAACAGAGGAGCCACTGGCTGTGGCTCTGAGCAGTCTATTCAAGCCAGGCGCCAGCCTCTCACCTGCTGCCTCACCCCTGCCCCGGTGCCCAGCCTGGGGGCAGCACATGCCCTGTTGGACACGGCAAATTTGGGTGGGGTTAGGCCAGCTTCCTGGCACTGGGCAATGGGGTCCTGCGCTTTGCAGGTGCCTTTCTCATGGCTTAGAGGAAAGGACCCTCCAGGGCATCAAATCAGCAGCCCTGGCTGGAAGCTGCCCCCATCTCTGAATCTTCCTTGGCCCTGTCTCCCACTCTCTTTTCTCCATGGCCTGGGTCCTTCAGGACTAGATGCCCAGGAAGCTCATCCAGCGGTCACATTTCCCTCTAACTCCCCCTGCAACCTGGCTGCTCTCACGGTCAGCTTCAGTCCACCCGTCTCAGGTGGCCTCCCCAGTTCAGCACTGCCTGGGTCATGTGCCCCAGCCCCAGAGCCCACCTTCTCCTCTTCTTTGGGGGTTCTTCCCGAGTCCAAACCATGCCAGCAGGGGTTCAACCCTAAACTCACACCCAACCGCTAGCACCTGCCCCAGCCTCCCATATCACTTTGGATTCCTGGTGAGGACAAGTCCAGTTTTCCAAACCGACCTTGGAGCTCTTTGACCACAGCACACTTTGGGAGAAGGTGGAAGAGTCCTCCCCATCTTTGCCAAAAGAGGTGTCAGGCTAACGTTACACCAGCTTTAAAAATACCCCAGCACACGATCCACAGGGTGAGAGCAAAGGCCACGTGGTCAGAGCCGGGCTATAAATAGCCAGCAAATCATTTCCCAGAGCCACGGCCCCCTCCCCAGCACCAAGAACCTTTCTGAGGAAATCAAAGTGAACGCAACTGTTACCAAGTCACTACTAAAATATTTACCAGCCTGGCGAAGTGCCGAAGGTGCTTGGCACCGAGTGTTTGCTTATTTACAAGGCTGTTTTAAAGGGTAGAAAGCAAAATAAGGTAACCTGAGCTATTAAACCCGGGGGCCAGGTGGTACCTACCAGCTGTCAGCCACCCCAGGCATGTCGGGAGCTAGAACAGTCCTGGTGGAGATTCCCTTGAAATGGGTCAGGAAAGCAGAGAGAGGCTTTGGAGCCCAGGAATCACCTAGCCCTCAGGGGTAGGGGCTCAGGGAGTGGGAGCAGAGAGTGTTAGAGGTTAGAGAAGCACTTCTCCCCCAGCCAAAGCAAGCAGGGCCTAGCACGAGCTCCAAGGTTGCCCCTGGTCTTCGCTCAGAGGGGCACCCCAAGGGCACTGCCCAGCCAGAGGCAGGGGCAAGGGCCCTGGGAGGGAGAGGCAAGGCGGGGAAGAGGAGGCAGAGGAAGGCAGGTGGGGGGCTGGCTGGGAGCCTCGGAGGATGACATAAGGGGGACACAGCCAACCTGGGGAAGAGAAGGTGCTCAACTTCTCTCTTTCTCCTCTTTCTCTGAAGTTTCCTTGTGGTTTGAATTTAATTTTGATTTTCTCAACTTCAGCAGATTGAAGTTGAAATAACCTACAAATTACTTAATGTGTTGTAAATCTGGGGGAATTCAGGAGTAATTGGGACCACATGTTGGCCGGGAGGGAGCCCACAGAGGACGGAGGGAAGCAGCCCTCGCAGACGTGCAGGTGGCTGTTCTTCCCTGGAGGGAGGGGGCTTGGGCTCCCCTCGGTGGGGGTAGGATTCCCTAGTTGGCCAGGGAGCCCTGGATGGATACGGCGAGAACGTGTTAAGACCAAGGAGTGACCATGTCACTGCCCAGGGCAGCCCGGTGACCGTGGACACAGGGCGGCCAAGTAGGCTGGGTGCCAGGCGTCTGCCAGGCCCCTCCACCGTGCCAATGCCAACACCGTGGCCGCCTCCCGCTGCATGCGTGTGGCTGTCAGCTGAGCTCCCCTCCCGCCCTCCCTCTCCGGCAGGCTCCTCTCAAGTACTGAGCCATATGGTTCCAGTTAAGCTCCATATTTTTCCTTGTCGATTGAAGAGACACACTTTCCTCTTTGCCAGACAGTTTGCAGATTGCTCTGTTGGCTCAATTTCTTATTGGATTTCTCAAAAAACCTGACATTTTAAATTAATTTACAGCCACAACAAAAAGAGTTCAGAATTTTAATGGTGTTGTAAGTAATTTTTAGGTAATCCACTCCAGATTTTGATATTAACCTTTGAAACTGGAGTTCATTCAGCTACCATGTTACAATCCAGTCACACTCCAGGCCTGGGGGAGGCCAGGCTTGGGGAGGAGGTGGAAGCCAGGTTCTGGAAAGCCCTTTTTTTTTTTTTACTAGGAGACCCCAGAGAGGATGATCCTGGGGAACCCTGGACAGGTGAGTGACAAGACAGCGGCAGTGGGGTGGGGAGGGAATGGCAAGGGGGGCCTGAAGACAGCAGGGCAGGTGTAAGAGAGTCATTGAGGGGGCCAGAGGGCCTGCCGAATGTTCTAGAAGGATGGGCCGGACTTAGGAGGGGGCAGCATCCTCAGGATCCCTTAGTAGCAAGAGCAGGGTGAGGCTCCACCTCAGTGCACTAGGAAATAATGGTAATAGCAATAATAATGACAGCTAGCATTTGCTGAGCAGTCACTATCTGTCAGGGGCTGTACCATCTCATTGATGCCTCCAACCACCTATGGGGCAGGGCCTATACTATCACCACCACCACTACTACCAGTACTACTACTACTGCTGCTACTACCACCAGCATGACCATTAATTGTTAGTGTTTATGGAGGGCTGACCGCGTCCCAGGCAGAGTGAAGTCGGTTTTATAAACCACCTCATTAAACAGCAACAGAAACCCTGTAGGAGACACCACTGTTCATGCCCTCATTTACGGAGGAGGAAATGAGGCTTGGGGAGGTGAAACCGGGTCTCCCCAGCTTGGGGCTACTGACCAACAGCCACGCTCTGGGATGCCGCCATCCTCAGCCTACTCCGTATCTCCTTTCAGAAGATGCTATGAAATACTCATGGCCATCACAGTCCTCCTGGCTGGAGCCGGAGGGAGGAGGAGGGCGGTGTAGTCCTCCAGGCTGGCCAGGCTGGGGCCGGTGGAGGATGCCACCTTTTCCTCGTGCCGCCTCAGGCCAAGCTGAAGGCTGCATGCCAATCCGGCCAGAGGAAACACCGGGCACGGGGAATGGAGCCCTCGCCAGCGTCTTTACTAGGCCCTGGCGCTGTGCGGCCCCTGCCTGGGTGCGGTGCCAGCTCACTACACCAGCAGATCGTTAGCATTCCTTTCCTGCAGGAGCTGCCCAGGGCACCCAGGAAAGGAGACATGAAGATGAGGCCCAGCCAAGGCCGCTCTGGTCCCTGGGGGGTCCTTGCTGCAGCAATCACCCAGGCCCTGAAGAGAGGCCAGGGAGAGGCTAGCATGGGGGTGTTCAGAGGCCCAGGGGGTCTTCCCTGGCCTGCTCCGTGTCCTGGGGGAAATGGTTCAGGGAATGAATCAGCACCTGCCAAACCCACTGAGGTGTCAGGTAAATAGCACCATGTGGGGCTTCCTGGCCAGTTTCTCTATCACGAAAGCCAGGACGGAGGGGAGGGAGACCGGGAGAGGTGACTGGCAAGGTTTTCACTTTACCCACTCTGGAAGAGAACACAGCCTGTGAGTGAGGAGGACTGAAACGAAGGCAGAGGGGGAGCCATGGGCGCCAATGTCAAGCCCAGCCCACCAGGGAGGGTGGCATGGAAACAGCCTGGAGAAGGAAGAGGGAAAAGGGAGAGGTGGCCAGGGGTAGGGAGAGGCCCGCGACCGTCCCAGGCCTGTGGGAAGCTGGGAGACCAGGGCGTCTTGCAGGCAGGGGCTGCAGAGCCATAAGGCACCTGCTGTTTGAGCCCAGCCCCAGCCCCCACTCCAGGTCATCGGCCATCCAGCTCTTCATTCACAACTCTCCATGTGTGCTATTCTGGGTACCAGGTTTGCACAAGGCCTTTTAAGTCCAGAAAAGAAAAAAAAAAACAACCCAGCCTCCCAGAAGCTCACAAACACCCCAGCTCCTTGAACCCCCGGGCCCAGGGGATTCAGCACAGCCCAACAGTGCCCCAGTGCCCACCCTCTGAAAGTTGGGAAGCTTTTACGGTTCTGTCCTGAAGGACTCTCTTCCTTGGTCCCCATAGCCCCCAAGCCAGGTTCCTAGACTCCAAGAATGAGAAAACCCCTTTCCCAAGGTGCCAGGAGTTACAATAGGAACTTCTGCCTTCCCACCATGTCCAGGAAGAAAAAGTGTCTGCACCCTAGGGTTCAGGGTGCTAGGAAGCAAAAGTGGAGCTGAGAAGCTGGCCTTCACCTCGTTCCTGATCAGAGGCTGAGGAAGGCCAGGCAGCAGCTGCCAGGGCTGCCCTCAGCCCTTGCCCAGACTGTGCCGACCTGGGAACCTGTGGAGCCCCTGGCTAGTGGCCAGACAGCATGTATGAGTGTTGGGGGTGAGCTGGGGGGAGAACTCAGGCTTGCCATGCCCCGGCACCATGCCAACACGTGGAAGGTTGAACTAACCCCGGGCGCGATGCCACGTGCCCAGAAACTGGGCATCTGCTGGCACAGCAGCACGTGAAGAACGAGGGGTCCTACCACCGCCTATGCTCCGGGCTCCCCGTCAACACATCGCGGTGGTAGGTCTGCTCCTTCCCCACATGGCACTGGGTATGGGGCCTTCCAGTGTCCCCTTGGCACCATGCCTGCCACATACTGTGGGCTATCCCCATTGGCACCAGGCCGCACACGGGAGGACTCAGACACCCTGCTGGACTCTAGCCAAGCTCTGAATGGCTCTTCCCACTGGCCTGAGGCCATCAACTGGGCACCTCTGGGTTTGGGCCCCTGGGACCATCCATTTACTCTAAGGGCCCATGGGACCACCCTCCCGCCCCCTCTGTGCCCACAGACAACCACGCACCATCATTTTATGGACCACGGGAAAAGGTCAGAAGCTTTTGTAAAACTAGGTGCAATGTGCAAACTATCTAAAAATGAAAATGAACGTCCTTCCCCTCCGGTCACCAGGACAATCCTGTCCCACTGGTTAAATTTTCATTTGTGTTCCAATCGAGGGCGCAAACCCCAGAAACTTTCTGAATTGTTTCTCTCCCCAGCTGTCTACTGGCCTCTTGCTCTCTTTCCAACTCTTTCTTTCTTGGCTTCTTTTTTTAATTATTATTATTTTATTTTTTATTTCCCCCTCTTGGTCAGGTTAAAGCGCTCCTGAGGGGTGATTGACGGGGGTTGCCATGGAGACCCCGGCTTGAAAAAAAGCCTCGTTAGTTGCCAACTCTGTGTGTTGTTGTTTTACAACTGTGACCGACCGTCACATGAGAGGGGGGACAGCTGGGGGCCGGGCTGCACAAAGGGGAATGGCTTTTTAATGGAGTGCCTGGCCGGCGCTTGAAGACTCAATAAAGAGTTGCTGGTGAGTCCCCTCGCTGGGCCGGGCCCAGCACACGGGGGCCGCAGGCCCTTTGTTCCACAGGAGCTGGGATGGGAAAGTTGGGAAAACCAGCCCCTGAGAGGTGAAAACAAGAGGCCTTCCCCCCCCACTCTCCGGACAGCTATTTTCTGTCACTCTCACGGTGCCCGGACCGAGGGGACAAAACCCTGTCTTGGACAGGCTGCCATGCTGGGGGAGGCGGTTGGGAGGCAGCTGGGGGAAGGGGAGTGGGGAGGAGAGGGAAGGGGTGGGGAGGAGGGGGCGGCCGGCCTGCGGCTCCTGCCCCCCAGGCCCTCGGCGTTGAAGGCAGGTGGCCAATGGGAAACTAGGCCGCTGCAGGGCGGGAGGCCAGAGGGCCCAAGACAGGCCTGCGCTGGCGCTAATGGGAAGCAAGACGGCTGCAGGGGGGCTTCCTGGGGGAGGAGGACCAGGCTCTTCTAGCTGTGGGCCAGGAGCATGCACACATTCACAGGCTGGCACTGCGGGGCAGCCGGGCCCAGGTGGCTCCTCTCCCTCTCCCCGGCCACCCCATGAGAACTCCCCCACCCCCTTAGCTATCTTTCCCACCGCAGCTCCTCATCTGTCCCGGACAGTCCAGGGAGCCAGGAGGAGTTGCTGAGTGGCAGTCCACCATCAGGCCAAGAACTCAGCCCCTTCAGATGGCAGAAACCAAGTGCCAGAGCCCTGGGGGGCTTAGGGGAGCAGTTCGCAAAGCGTGGTCCGCAGGCCTCTTCCCGAGACCCTCTCAGGAGGCCATAAAGTCCCCATAGTGGAACACAGTTTCTACGTGCCCTATTCAACGTGGGGACATTACGCTGACAGCGCAAAGGCAGCGGGTGAGCGGAACTGCCGGCGTCCCGGCACAGACCACAGCAGTGTGTGAGAAGGCATGTGTTCCTCAGCACACGCCCTTCCAGCTCGAGAAAAGCCATATTCACTTTATTTTATTTTTTTTTTTATTTTTGACATGGAGTCTCGCTCTGTCGCCCAGGCTGGAGTGCAGCGGTGCTATCTCAGCTCACTGCAACTTCCGCCTCCCAGGTTTAAGCAATTCTCTGCCTTAGCCTCCAGAGTAGCTGGGACTACAGGCCTGTGCCACCACAACTGGCTAATTTTTGTATTTTTAGTAGAGATGGGGTTTCACCATGTTGGCCAGGCTGGTCTCGAACTCCTGGCCTCAAGTGATCCACTCGCCTTAGCCTCCCAAAGTGCTGGGATTACAAGCCATATTCACTTTATTTATTTATTTATTTATTTTTCAGACAGGATCTTGCTCTGTCACCCAGGCTGGAGTGCAGTGGTGTGATCTCGGGTCGCTGCAACCTCTGCCTCCCAGGTTCAAGCAATTCTTCTGCCTCAGCCTCCCGAGTAGCTGGAATTACAGGTGCCCACCACCTCAGGTGATCTGCCCGCCTCGGCCTCCCAAAGTGCTGGGATTACAGGTGTGAGCCACTGCGCCCGGCCCCATATTCACTTTAAAATGTCCTTGATGAAGCTGCAAATATGATTAACTTTTAGGAAGTCTTGACCCTCGAGTATGCATCCTTTGAATATTCGGGGAGGATGAAAGGGAAGCATGCCTAGGGCCTTCGAGTCCAATGCCTGTCTGAAGGACATGGACCCGTGTGACTGAGCTGAGAGTGGAACCAGCTGCCTGCTCCAGGGAACACCATCTTTACCTGAAAGAGTGACTGACAGACAAATTGTGATTTTTCAGATTTGAGTGTTTGGCAGCTATTTTCTCAAAAGTGGACAAAGTGGGCCTGTCACTTCCAGGGGAAAAAAACCTGACAATATTTGTTGCCAATGATAAAATCTGAGCTTTCCAGTGAAAATCAGACTTTTGGAAAACTTATATCTGCCACTGCAACCTTGACGGCATCCTAATACTTAACAGCTTTTCTGATGAGACCAGTAATGATACTAATGACTGTGATTTTTAAAAAACATCATATAGGCTGGGTATGGTGGCTCATGCCTGTAATCCTAGCACTTTGGGAGGCTGAGGTGGGTGGATCATGAGGTCAGGAGTTCAAGACCAGCCTGGACAACATAGTGAAACCCCATCTCTACTAAAAATACAAAAATTAACCGGGCATGGTGGCGTGTGCCTATAATCCCAGCTACTTGGGAGGCTGAGGCGGGAGAATCACTTGAACCCGGGAGGCAGAAGTTGCAGTGAGCCAACATTTCACCACTGCACACCAGCTTGGGCGACAGAGCTAGACTCCGTCTAAAAAAAAAAATCATATAATGAAATGTGTCAACACTCTGAAGACCTGCATTCCTCAGTGAGCCAGTATTTTCCACATAACTGATGTGTGAGGTTACAAAGTCTCACATCAGGGAATGAGTCATTCAAAGTGCTCATAGAGCAGCTTGAGCAACATAGTGAGATCCCATCTTTACAAAATAAATAAATAAATAATTTAGCTGGGCGTGGTGGCTCATGCCTGTAATCTCAGCACTTTGGGAGGCCGAAGCAGGAGGATCACTTGAGCTCAGGAGTTTGCGACCAGCCTGGGAAACACAGTGAGACCTTATCTCTACTAAAAATAAAAAAAAAGTAGCCAGGCATTGTGGCATGCGCCTGTGCTCCCAGCTACTTGGGAGGCTGAGGTGGGAGAATCCTTTGACCTGGGAGGTTGAGGCTGCAGTGAGCTCTGATTGCGCCACTGAACTCCAGCCTGGGTGACAGAAAGAGACCCTGACTTAAAAACAGAAACAAAACACACACAGAAAAACAAAACGAAGTGCTTATAGATCAGTGGGGTTTACTGAAACAGTACACAAAGTTCATTGATGTGGTTTCAGATTCCACCTTGGAACTAACCTGTGAGAGTCTGTGATAGTCTGCAAAGGCCCTTGAGATACTCCTGCCTTTGCCAACTACACATCTGTCTCCAGCTGGATTTTCTTCATAGACTTCAACCAAAACAACCTATCAGAAAGGTTATGCGAAAGAAACTTGCCAAAAAATGTAAAGCAACTCCACTCTTCTCACTAAAATTTTGTTTTGGAAAATACAGTTATTCTCAAAAATATGTTCTTTATGTTAACACATCATGGACTTATTGCTGTTATTTTTTAAATGAATTAATAAATAATGATTTTTAAAATTTCTCAGTTTTAATGTCTTAATATGCTAAATATCCATATATATAATCCATGCAGGCCAGGCATGATGACTCATGCCTGTAATCCCAGCACTTTGGGAGGGTGAGGCGGGAGGGTCACCTGAAGTCAGGAGTTCGAGACCAGCCTGGCCAACGTAGTGAAACTCAGTCTCTACTAAAAATATAAAAATTAGCCAGGTGTGGTGGCACAGGCCTGTAGTCCTAGCTACTTGGGAGGCTGAGGCAGGAGAATCACTTGAACTCGGGAGGCAGAGGTTGCAGTGAGCCGAGTGCAACTGCACTCCAGCCTGGGTGACAGAGCAAGACTCCGTCTCAAAAAAAAAAAAAAAAGAAAATATATATATATATATTCCACACAAACCAAAACTTTAAGAGCCCCAATACTTTTTAAGATCATAAAGGGTCACTGAGACCAACAGGTGTGAGAACCACTGTCTTGGGGAACTAGGGGCAGAAAATACACGTGGTGGAACGCAGTGGAGTAGGGCTTCAGCTGCGATGATTCTCTGGCCCACAGCTGGCCTTAGAGGTGGTGTGGGCCTGCTTCACTGATGCTGCCAGGATATCTGAGGGGAATTACACATCACATCCTAGGTGAGAGATTCAACCTCGGGCAGGATGGTGACCCTGGGATGCAGAGGCAGAGGAGGGGGAGATGGTCCTACAAGTAGTAAAAGAATCACCCGGGGAGGTGGCCCCTTCTGCCTTGGACTTGAAAAGGGTCTGGCTCCCATGGTGGCAGCAGCAGTGCAGGGGACGTGGGATCCAGGTGAGGTAACACTGCCCTGGGCCACACTTGCCCCATCAGGGCATAAGGAGGAGCTGGTGGAGAGGGTGCCTAAGAATTTAGAGCCGAACAGGGAGTCTTGCCACCAGTGTGCAATTCACAGGATGCCCTGGGCCCCTTCCCAGGGACGTGTTAATTATCTTCCCCCACTGGTCCCTGGGGGTAACCAGGCTGGAAATGAGCAAAGGCGGGCTCTGGCTCACCTTGCTCTGTTCTGCCTGGGAAAGCCCATGGTCCTCGGCCCCAGGCTTGGCTCTAGAGCAGAGATGTGGAATTTTCCAGGGAAACTTCAAAATCATCACTGAGAGGGGAAGACATTTGAAAACTGATCTTAAAGAGGAGAAAGGAAAGAAAGAGGGCAGGCCAGGCTTCCCAGGGTCGCCTCCAGCACGGGGGACTAGATGTGAAAGACAAGGCTGTGTGTTTTCATTTCACACCCAGAGTCCCCAGGACAGGACCCAAACTTGACCTGGGGCCCCAGATCATCCTTCCTCCAAGAATGTGAAGCTCAGGGACACACAGGCTCTGTGGCCTCTGCTGAGAGTGGCATGTCCGACCAGCTAAACCTCTGTGTCCAGAGACCCTGACACTCGCCACTGCCGAGAGGAAGCTCATGGTACAGCACCCTACCAGGGCCACCTGCACGCCTGTCCATCCCACACACTTCCCAAGAGCTGGCTTTGTATCAGGGACCACATTAAATGCTAGAGGCTCTTCAGGGACAATGGCAAAAAGGGCTCCACCCTCACTGGTCCCTGCTCTCAGAGGTGAGCAGAGAAGTTACCGGGCAACTATAACTCAGGGACGGGCACTGAGACTGTAAAGCTGTGGGAATATATGAAGAGAGGCCCAACTCAGTCTCCACTAATCCTGGAAGGCTTTTGGGAGGAGGTGGCATCTATGATAAGACCTGGAAGATGAGCTCAGAGGAACCAGTACAGTGTAGTCAGTACTGGGCAGCCTGGACTCTGGGGACACAGCTGGGTTGGAATCCTTCCCTGCTACTTCTTAGCTCTGGGATCCCCAGCCTTGGCCCCCTCTTCTATAAAATCAGAGGTGATATTGGCACCTGCCTCACAGGGCTGCTGAAGGAGAGTCCATGAAATAATGCAGCTAAAGGGCGTGGCACAGCACTTGGCACATACTAAGCAGTGAATAAATGTTAACTGTTACATTAATAACTAGCGAAAGTGCTAGTCTCACCCCTAACAGGTCCACCTGGCCAGGCCCCCAGGCCGACCCAACCAGGCAGAGCCACCAGCCCAGGAGGAGCGCTGGTACATCCCCAGCCCTGCTCTCTCAAAGTACAACAGCACACATGGGTGGGAGGGGACAACCCCAGGGCCTGCCCGAGCAGATGACAGGCAGAGGTGGCAGCCGCCCCCCTTCCTGAGCCTGTGGAGTACTGAGCACCACTCATGCTGATCTCAAGGAGTGTGTCTTCCAGCACCGAAACTCCAAGTCACCTGCCTGGGAAGAAGCAAGAAAAAAAAAAAAAAAAATCCCATGGCCGTGCCCTCCCTTGGAAAAAAAAAAAATTCTAGGAAACAAAATACAACGACATCTTTTTATTTTGTTTTTTTTCGGTAATTATACTAAAGATGAAAAACTCATAATAAACATCTCCCAGTCCCCACCTGCTAACAGTAATTATAATAGACTCAACAATAAATGGTAAAGCAGGGCAGAGCTGCATCTCGGGAATTCTCTAGGGCATGTGGATTAGCTCGGAAAGCCTGAATGATTAAAATACACTAATTAAAATTTTGTGTTCCTTGGTAACTCGTCTGCCTGGGCCCCTGGTGTTGGCAAAATGGGAATTAACGTGACAAAAGCAACACAGAGGGTTTTTGTTTTAAGTAAAGAAAAAAAGAGAGAGAGAAAGAGAGAGAGAGGGAGAAGGGAAGATCTATATAAACAAGTTAGACACCAGGAGAGAAGAAAGGCAATGTGGTTTTCTCTCTTTCTCTAACCGGAGCACCACAATGTTTGGGGGTGGAAGGTGTATGGCACAGTCCATGCCATTAAGGAGAGGGCCCTTTACACCTGCCCTGGGGTGCCACGGAGGATCTGAGGAGCATGCATCTAGGGGTCACTGTTTAAAAACAATTACTGGAGAGAAGAGGGTGGGAGAGAGAGAAGTGGGGGGCCACAAGGGCCCACCCAGTCCGGCTTTCCAGAGGCATCCCTTGAGGGCGGCCACATACTCTCAACTCCCCGCCCCATGACCAACGGGACCCTGGGAGGACGCAAGGGAGCTTCTACCCCATTGCAGTTGCACAAAAGAAATTGAACACTTTTGAGTTGCCCTTAGCAACCTAATTGCATCAGTACATTGCACACAGGAGCCAAAGTAACTGAATTTTGATGAAAAGACGGCGGTAATTTACGGCATCACAAAATTAGTTGTCATGGCGACGGGTTAATTACATCTCAAATTAACAATGCAAGTGTGGTGAAATTAAATATAAATCATATTTTCTGCATAAATTATAGGGGTTGATTAGACCGGGGCTCTGGGAGAGGGAAAGGTTGAGCCGCCACGGGCCCCAAGCTGCATTCTGAGCTGACGAGAGAGGCGCCTGCAAACGCAGGCGAGGCCCGGGAGCTCTGGGAGGGGACGGGGGACTGGCGGAGTCAGGCGCCAGGGCTGCCTCCCTCTGCTCCCGCTGCCACTTGCAGGCTCAGCCAGCTCCACGCAGCGCCAGGGCTGTCCCCAAAGTTTGGATCAAACTTTGCCTGGGGGAGGGGGTGTGCTGCAGGAAGGAGGGATGGCTGGTGCCTCTTAGCCAAGTGCCACGGACAGAAGTTTTGCCTTTACCCATCCCAAATGACTCTCCCGGTTTCTGTGCCCTGAGCTCTCAGAGAACCCACCACAGATGGCCAGCTGAACCCTCAGTTCCTTCGGTTAAATGAGGTCAAATGCTTTTCAAGTCACGGGCATCTGCCTACCAAGGGACAGGCCCAGTGTCATCTGACAGGCCATCAGTGCCTCGCTCTGGGCTGCACCAAGGGGACACTGGGAGTTGTAGGTAGTCAGGGAGCCCAGAGGCAGTGGCTTAGGATCAGGGGCAGCCCCAGGCACATCAGGTTGAAAATGTGCTTTTTCAGCCAGCTCTGGTCAAGTAGCTGCCCTGCGGACACCACTCTCTCCTACCCAGGGGCAGGGCAGTTTGACCTCCTTAAGACAGGGGGAGAATGCAGAGCATTAAAGGCAGAGGAAACCCCAAAGATCACTCTGTCCTGCAACAGACCACCCCAAGTCATGAACGATGTCCCAGTGGCCACACCCAACCCCACCCACCTGTTGCTGATGGGCGGTACTGGCAGCATTTCTGGGCCCTGCCACCCAGGACCACTGTGCCAAGTTCAGCTCAGTCTCCAGGAACCCCCAAGCCAGGCAGCTTCACCAGAATGCCCAACTGATGGACGCTTCAGAATCGCACCTGCCTCCCTCACACTCCTGGTCCCCATCACTCAGGTCCTAGAGAACACACACGTAACTCTGGGCTCACGGTCAGCATCTGCCACCTGGACAAAGGGATCAGCAGGCAACGAGACGGGAGCTCCAGACCTTAGTGAGCAGCATGGCACTGAGAACCCCGAACCCGGGGAGTCCTCAGGCCCCTCCCTGGGATGTTCTGATCCCGTGAGTCTGGATGGAGCCGGGCTTGTTGTTTTTAACCTGCTCCACCCGGGATTCTGATTTGGGCAGTCCCAGACCCACACTTAAGAAACGCTGGCAACACTGCTACTAATCCCATTTTGCAGATGAGTACATGGAGTCCAGCAAAGCGTGATCACTCCCCAAAACACACAGGGCAGAGCGGAGATTCAAACCCAACTCTGAGTTCTCATTCATCACCTACGAGGCCCCTCTCTCAAGGATGTGTCGGGCACCATGCCAGGCCACGTGGGAAATAAGGACGAGTGAACCACCAGCTTGTCCTTGAGGAGTACACGGTCTAGTAGCGGACACAGGGCCAGTTAGACAGCCACAGCCCCACGTGTCCAATCCATCACTGAAGGACAGGGACGTGGGAGGAACTATGGGGACAAGGGGAAGGCAGGGACTGGCACGCCTGGGTGGGAGGTGCCCGGGCCTGCAGGTGCTCCTGGGGCCGTGGGCTGGGCTGAGTGCCCACTGGAGCTGTGCCACACTTCACCTGGCCCAGGTGGGAGGAATTTCCTGAAAGGCTTCTGCAGAGAGGGGGAGAAGGAAGGAAGAGAAGGCCCTTGGCAGTCCCCTGACCACGGATGTACATGTGCAGTTCATGAATATTTCAGTGGCCATTTATTTATCCCTGCTCCATCCAGCTGCTGGGGCCACAGACCAAGGTGGATAAATATAGCCACTGGGCGATCAATGAGGCATCCGCTCCCCACCCAGCCACATCCATTAGGCCCCTCGTTCCCACAACCTGCTGGCTGGGCACCTTGTCCTGCTCAATTGGTTTCCGATTTTCATTAGCGGTGGAGGCACAGCCCCGCTCCAACCCTGGGCGTCCCCCTCACCCTCGTGGGCCCTCCCCTCTCAGGCTGGGCATGGAGCCCAGGGCTGCCGTCAGCCTGGAGGGGCCTTCAGAAGTCCCAGCCCACCGGAGCGGTGAAGTGAGAGAGGACACAGAACTCAAGGACCAGACCTCACGTCCTGGCTGCCCCGCTGGAGGGCAGAGAAGTGGGTGGGGTTTCCCTAGGACTCCAGCCACCCACACGTGACCCACCAGCGAGCACAATCTAGACACAGAAAGCTGGGCTGTTGTTTGCATACCCTGAGATATCTGGGGGACCTCCCAGACCTGGAAGAAGGGTGCCCAAGGGAGTTACATGGCTGTAAGGGTTGGGGTCTGTGGGCTGCCACGGGGGACCCTCAGCTCCATTAGCCTCTCCTACTGCCTGCAGCTACAAGATCAGCACAGGCCACCCGGGCCTCCCACTCACCAAGGCCAGGGCCTGGCCCCAGCCTGTCGCCCAAAGGAGCGACAGTGGGCCGAGGTGCTCGGAGGGCTGTGGATCAGCCCGGAGGCCCCGGCCCACTCCAGGCCTGCTCTTCCTGCCAGGCTGAGGCCATCTCGGGAAGGCTGGGCACAGCCCTGTGGGGCGCTGGGTGCAGTCAGGCAGTGATGCTGGGGACACAAGCTCAGCCCTGGTAGGGTCCCAGTCCCCTTTCACTCATTCCACAAATAGTCACTCAACACCCACAATGTGCCTCATGTTGTCCAAGTGCCGGTGGGGCAGCCCCAGACAGGACGGCTGCAGGTCCCTCCTTCGTGGAGTTTACCCTTGGCAAGGGTGGGGGTGGGGACGAGCAATCGAGCAACTAATAAATGACAACTAATGAGTTCTATGAAGGCAATAAAACAAGGAGAGTGACAGGGACTGACCGAGAAGAGAGGTGGGGCTGCTTCAGCTACCTCTAAAGAGGTGGCCTTTGAACCAGAGACCCAAGGGAACAGGGCCGCCTGGGCCTTCCAGGTGAGGAAGGCGGGAATGGGGAGCCCAGAATGTCTCAGTCCCGGGACGCTGACGCGGCAGGAAACCCGGAAGGACGCAGAGCACCCCACCCACCCCCTCCTTTTGGTGCCAGGTGGCCAAAGGCCCAGGCCAGTGGCTGGCAGGACGGGTGCCCACAGCAGGCCGGGGAAGGGGGAGGACAATGGCTGGCAGAGAGGCCACCTGCCTGCTGGCTGTGGACACAGGCTCCTCCTCCAGAGCCACTGCCAGGATAGGCCAGGTGGGATCCTGCCCGCACAAGGAGGCTGCAGGGCCATGGGGCGACCTGGGCCAGGGCTTTCTCCAGCCCTTCGACCCCATCCAAACCAGCTTCAGAGAGGCAGGGCCTCGACCCAACTGGCCCTTTGCAGGGAGGACACAAAGGTGGGGCTGAAGGTGAGAGGAAAAGATCAAGCGTAAACCCCACAGGGAGAGGGGGAGGAGAGGGAGGCAGGCCTGTGCCTTTAAAAGAATTTTCATTTAAAGGCTCTTCTCTCTTCCACCATTTCAGTGATCTATATGCAAATATGCTAATGCATGCAAATTAAGACACCACTTTTAGTCCCAATTTAATAGAAAGCATTAAAATACCATTTTTTTTTTCCAAAAAACTCCATATGCATGAAGGAAGGTTTTTTTTTTTTTTTTTTTTTTTTTTCACTTTTCGCTAAAGTCACATTCCGGCAGCAATTTTATGCTGTCAAAATGTTCTCAACAAGGGGAGATTTGACTGGCTTCTCTGAGAACCAGTCATAGGAAGCTTGGGCTCTGCTTCTTATTGAGTTCTTTTTTAAAATTTTGCTGGGGGTCCGGGGGAAGAAGGAAAAAAAGCAACAACAATAACGAGAAACAAGTCACCCAGGCATCTTGTGGAGGGTGGCTGCTCTTTTCAGGCCGGCGGCCAGTCCCCGGGCGTACAGCGTGCGGTGCAACCTGCAGCTGCGGGACGGGTGCATTCACGAGGGGGGTGTGTGCGCCTGGGGGTCACCCCTGCTGTCTCTCTGGGTAGGGGTGCAGGTGAAGCTCACATGTGCCACTCTGTGAGTGTCACCGCGAGGGAAACCCTCCCAGGGGCCCGGGCCCAGGGTGGCCACGGTGAGGAGGAGGAGGACCACATGCGCAGGGAAGGGCATGGGGCACAGCATGTGTGTGGCCCACACAAGGGCGGTCTGCTCTCACTCCCCTCGCTGCTCTGTAATTAAGCTCAGCTGCGCCCACTCAGGCTTCCAGACCTTTCCCTGAGCCCTCCGCCCCCCGGGCCCACTCCCCGTTCTCCCAGCCTTGCTGGCTACTTCCACTCCCCAAAGAGCCTTCAGGGGCCTTCTTGTCGTTGATCAAAACAACAGGGCCACCAGCTCCTCAAGAGTCCAAGCTATAGTTTGGCCCAAATGTCCCGGCCAGGGTGGCTCTGTGTCAAAGGCCCTGCAGCTCCTCCCTCCTGTTTCTCTGGGCCCTCTCTTTGGGGTTCTGGTTCCCGATTAAACCTTGACCTCTCTAGCACATGCCTTTTGCCACCTCCCCCACTGGTCCTGGCTCTTCCTTCCCCGCTGAAATGAGTTGAGGCTGAGACCTGGGAAGCCGCAAGGTGCTGGGATCCCAGACGAGTCCCTCCTGAAAGGGCGAAACTCAGTCGTTCAGGGAGAAAGGGACCACAGCCAACCCACCACACAGGTGGAGCCCATGGACAAGGTCTCATTCCAGTGGCCCGGTGTCACAGCGTGTCCTCATTTGCAGCTAGGATGAATGCCAATTACCACCACCCCATAGGAAAGCTGCCCCCCTGGCCAGCACCAGCCCAGGCGCCTGTTAGGTTTTAGTTCACTCACTCCTCTCTGCAACCCCATAGGATACGAGTTACCGATTCTATGTCACAAATTGGAAGAGTGAGGCTCAGAGAGGCAAGGCCACTTGCCCAATGTCTCACAGTGGCTCAGTGTCGAGGCAAGGCCTGTGTATCTTCCCCATTCCCAGAACCTGCTGGAAGTCAAGGGCAGCACTTCAGGCCCCAGCTCTGCCCCGTTCCAGTGAGGAACCTGAAGCCAGCACAGCCCCTCCCACTAATCCATGCGCCCCAGCCCGGGCTTCAGCTCCACATCTGTATAATGGGAGAGTGAGGTCCTGGGGATCTATGGCTCCTTCTGGCTTATGCCTGTGTAACAGATGGGAGAGAAATGAAGATAGGGCTGAGGGTCCCCCCAAGCCAGGGCTTTGAGGCAGTGTCTCCCCAGGGCAGCCACACCATGGTGGAGGCCCTGAAGGCAACAGGCTGGGAGGCCAAGCAGAGCTCAGAAGAGGTGGGAGAGAAGGGTCTAGAAGCAGGAGGTGGAGGAAGAGAAACTGCAAATTGCGGGTAGGAAGTGCTTAGTAAAATCAGAAAAATTTCAGGGCACAATCGCTCATGCCTGTAATCCCCGCACTTTGGGATGCCAAGGCGGGTGGATTGCTTGAGGCCAGGAGTTCAAGACCAGCCTGGGCAATACAGTGAGACCCTGTGTCTCCACAAAAAAAATTTTTTTTTAAAATTAGCTGGTTGCGGTGGCGCACACCTGTAGTTCTGGCTCCTTGGGAGGCTAAAGTGGGAGGATTACTTGAGCCCAGGAGGTGGAGGCTGCAGTGAGCTATGATCGCTTCACTGCACACCAGCCTGGGCGACAGGGTGAGACCCTGTCTGGACAAAAAAAAAAAAAAAAAGAAAAAAAAGTCTAAAAAACACTTAGATTTTTTTTTTGACAGTCTTACTCTGTTGCCTAGGCTGGAGAGCAATGGCACAATCTCAGCTCATTGCAACCTCCGTTTCCTGGGTTCAAGTGATTCTCCTGCCTCAGCCTCCCAAGCTGGGATTAGAGGCATGTACCTCCAATAATTTTTGTATTTTTAGCAGAGACGGGGTTTCACCATGTTGGTCAGGCTGGTCTCCAACTCCTGACCTCAGGCGATCCACCCACCTCAGCTTCCCAAAGTGTTGGGATTACAGGCGTGAGCCACTGCGCCTGGCTCTATATTGGGCTTTAAACGACATGAGGGCAGGGACTTGTTCAAAGAGGAAAACAGCAAAGCAAAGCCTGGAAAAGAGCCACCAGCAGTTGTCCTGGGGGTGGGGGCGGCAGGGCACAGGGAGCAGACACAGGTGCACACAAGCTCCAGCACTGGCCCAGGCTGAGGGTGCTCAGCGCACACAGCTCTCCAGTAAAGATGAGCATGGGCAGGGCTGGCGTGATGAGGCTGGTCTAGCAGAGCTCACGGTGGAAAAAAGAGATTTAGATATTTACGGGAAATACATTTGTTGGTGCCAAACCCCTGGTTTTATTATCCGGGAGAAAAACAAACCCAACCACCGAAACTCACCCTCAACTGAGAATCCACAAGGAGGGAAACAATTTCCCCATCAAACCAGTTTTATTGGATATAAATATCTAATTATTCCTACTAGGCCCTGGAATGCCAGACATTTTGCAGCTTTTATAACATGTGTAGGAGTCTTTACAAACGACTTTTATACATATTTATATATATATATAGTTATATATTAACAAACCTGATTCGAATCTCATCTGAATTATTTTTTGCTTACTGGGCAGTTTGTGCGTATCTGTGTGTTTTTTCCCCCAAAGCCAGGAGAGATCTAGAACATTTTGGTGCTATTCTGAGACCTAATGTGCCTAACCCAGCAAGCGCCGAGACACGGACCCCTCACCGCTTCTCACGTGCCCCCAGCCGCAACCCCACCACGGCTGCTCGGTGGTTCCGAGACACACTGGCTCCCAGCACTTTGCAACCACAGGGTCCACGGCTGCAAGTCAATACCTCACCCATGACATGAACGTGATGTCCCAAACAGACAGAAGCATTGACTTCTCAAACATCAAGCACACGATTAGGCTTCATGCCACCCCGGTGTCCGCTTTTCAGAAAGCAAGAACCACGGAGGAGGACAAAGAGCTGGGCAGAGGGGCAGGAAGGCGGGAGGGGGCGGAGGAGAGGGGAAGTTGTCTTGCAGGGAATAATGTGGATCAGGCTGTCATCTGGAGACCCATCTTCATCTAGAATTAATGCACTAAAGTTATTTTGTTTTTCCTCTAAATGGTTTTAAAGAGACAGTGAATTCTCGGCTCGGACGCGGGGCTTGGTGTGTAGCTGGTCCAGGCTGTGTAAAGTGAACAGGCAGAGATTCCAGCCAGGCCTGAGTCCATTCTCTCCCCAGTCCCTGGCCTGGCCTCACCTCCTGCCCATGTGCTTTCTCTCAACTTGTCGCAGAAAACAAAGTTTAAGATCCCTGTCTTTCATGGCTCCCCATAAAAAGGCTGAATCTAGAAGTGAAGAACTTGAAATCCTCCAGTCAGGGTCAAGCCCTTATCTGAGCGCATTGAAAGGAAGGAGAGGAAGGGGAATGGGTTGGTGAGGAGTTAGAAGCCTCTGGCCGGGTGTGGTGGCTCATGCCTGTAATCTCATCACTTTGGAAGGCTGAGGCAGGCGGATCACTTGAGGTCAGGAGTTCAAGACCAGCCCGGGCAACATGGTGGAACCCTGTCTCTACTAAAAATACAAAAAATTAGCCAGGCATGGTGGCACACGCCTGTAATCCCAGTTACTCGGGAGGCTGAGATGGGAGAATTGCTTGAACCCGGGAGGCAGAGGTTGCAGTGAGCCGAGATCACGCCACTGCACTCCAACCTGGGCAACAGAGCAAGACTCCATCTCACAAAAAAGAAGAAAAAAAAGCCTCTGAGCAAGAAGCCTGGGCCAGTTCCTGGGGGTGGAGCAGCCCCCTGAAAGCAGTACTGAAAGAGAGCTCGGGGAGTATTCCCAAAGCCAGTTTTCCCCAAATAGGAGTCCCTATGGTCCCTGAAGCTCAGGCAGGGCACTAGAGCCCTCAGGACAGAGGGGCAGAGGCTGGGGGACAGGAGGAGTCTGGGGCATAAACCGGAGAATCCCAGGGGATTCTGGGCGAAATCAGGGTCCAGTTAGCTGTCCCTTGAGGCCCAAGAGGCCAAGGGAGACATTCAAGGGTGAGTGATATTTGGGGAGACTCTAGCCTGAGGCTGGCTGTCCCCACGGTCGGAGAAGGAGACTACATCTCCAAGTACCCCCACTCAGACCCATCGGTTCATGGGGAGAAAGGGCTCAGAATGAAGGAGAGCCCTGGGAGAGCCCTGGGCCTCCACCGAGAACCTTCTAAGTGTACCCCGGCATCCTCCACGTAGAGACCTGTACTCAGGGGGATGGGCTGGGGGCCGGGGGAGCTGAGAACAAACAGCGGCAACAGGAACAGAGTTGAGCCATTTCAATTATTCATATGCCAGATGGATTCTTTTCCTGCCTTTTTTTTTTTCTATAAAAATAAGGAGGGAGGGAGTAGGTCTTATGACAGTCTCCAAAATGGGGGGGCGGGGTGCGGGGGGAGGAGAAGAGGGAAAGGGAGAAAAAATAGAAATCCAGTGCCCTGTTTGTGCCCCTCTCCAGCCTTGGAGAACCCCGATCCCGTGACGGGAGGGCAGGCGGGATGGGAGATGTCTTTTAGGTACCCGATGAGCAGAGAGCAAGAAGCGAGGGAAATTGTTGAGGAAAGGGAGGGAGGGAGGGAGAGAGAGAGAGGAGCGGGGAGCATGGGGCGGCGGGGGGAGGCAGGCAGAAGAGGGTTCTGACCTTCTGTGAAGGATATAAAAAATCCAGCCGCCTCAGGGGACACCCAACTATCTAGCATATTGCTGTTAAAATGTCTGCAAAATTTAATACACTTGGCATACCACCTAATCAGTCCTTGGAAACTCGGGCACTCTCTCCCCCTTAGACTCAAACTGCTTCAGCCCTTACGCCTAGGGTACTCCCACCCCGACCCTGCCCCCTGATTTTAGATAAAGTTGCTCCCTCCCCACCCGTAAAAACAGCTGCTGTGGCTTTTAGGACACATTTAATCCTGAAACTTGCCCAAAGTCCAGAATTCAGTTTCTAGGAAGCAGGTGGCATGGTAAAGAGAGCCAAGGGTGGGGTCCTGGGGCGGGAACTTTGGTACCGAGACTTCTTGGGGGTGGGGTGGGGGGCATTAGCAGAAGAGAGACACGGCACCACGAGCAGGCATGTCCTGGGCACCACGAGCAGGCATGTCCTGGGCACCACGAGCAGGCATGTCCTGGGCACCACGAGCAGGCATGTCCTGGGCACCACGAGCAGGCATGTCCTGGGCACCACGAGCAGGCATGTCCTGGGCACCACGAGCAGGCATGTCCTGGGCACCACGAGCAGGCATGTCCTGGGCACCACGAGCAGGCATGTCCTGGGCACCACGAGCAGGCATGTCCTGGGCACCACGAGCAGGCATGTCCTGGGCACCACGAGCAGGCATGTCCTGGGCACCACGAGCAGGCATGTCCTGGGCACCACGAGCAGGCATGTCCTGGGCACCACGAGCAGGCATGTCCTGGGCACCACGAGCAGGCATGTCCTGGGCGACAGGGGAACACAGTCCCAGATGGGCGGGCAAGGACTGTATGTCTGGGTAGCCAGCGAGAGCCATTCATCCTGACAGCTCTTATTTAAAGAGCTGCCTGGCACGCAGGAGAGCCGTGACCTCACCAGAGCACACAGGCACCCCGGTACACGGTACACGCAGACGCATGTCTGCCATGTGCTCCGTCAATCCACCCAATACCCCCTAAGACTCCACGGCCACTCCAAGTCCCCAGCAACCGGCGAGGAAGTTTCCAGATGAGCCTACGGAATAGGCCACCTGACCTTCTAGCCCCAGCAGAGCAATCAAAGCCCAGTATGACCTGGATATTTTTGGCAGGTCACCATTTGCTTTGCTTGACAAAGAAGATCCCACAGGGCTCCTAAGTGGGACTGGGAGGACCGATCCCCAAAAGCTTCACCCTCTGCCCCAAGGAAACAGAGTTCTTACCAAATTTTCTTTGTCCTTTTATTTTGATTTCCTCACCTCTGACTCACATGAAGTCTCGGGTGGCCTTAATTAGGTCTGAAGTCCCCTAAGAGACTCAGGGAACCCCAGGCAGCCTGCATCATGCCTATAAGACAGAGGTCAGATGGGACAGGCCAAGAATTGGAAGAATCCAGTGTGTTCCCCAACTGCGAGAGTAAGCCACAGTACCAGGGACACGAACACAGACAGCTTCTTGACCTTCCTTGCCCTTCGCCAAGTGGATTGAAATAGAGGCAAACAGCAAAAGGGGACTCAAGGGGGTGTGGGCAGGGCCGGCTTCCTGGGTGTGCAACCCATGCAGCCACACAGGGTCTCATACTCAAAGGGCACCTGCTGGGTTGAACGTCCTGCTGTCAGTGTTGTGAAATTCTGAATCAATTTAGAGCAAGAGGCCCTGCATTTTCATTGTGCACTGGGCCCCACAAATGATGTCGCCAGTCCTGGGTGTGGATTTTGGAAGATCAGACGACCTGGGTTTGAATCCCAATGCTCTGTCCCCTCTAAGCCAAGAGATATCAGAAAAGCCACTCATTATCTCTGGCCATAGGGCACCTATGGCCCTACGGGTCTAGAAGATGGAGTGATCACACCTGCTCACACAGAAGCTGGGAGAATTGAGAGGGACAAAAACGGGGAAGAGCCTTGGGCACATGATCATGAGCTCCTATTCAAACACAAGGTGTGGATCAAGAGGGGAAAAGGAGGCCTGGTGGCCGTGGTGCTGGCTTCCTCCCGCCCTGGGGGATCGCCTTACTCTGCTGGGTGAGAGGTCTGCCACTAAGCAGTGCAGAGGGAAGCCTGTGGCGTGCCCGGCCCACTGGCCCCATTCACAGGTGAAGAAACTGGGACAGAGTCAACAGATGACCTGCCTGTCGTCATCATAGAGTGGCCTCGAGGCAGGGCGAAGCTGAGGACATACTGTTCCCGCTGTCCAGGCCTCTGCCTTGGCCACAGGACACTTGAGATGAAGAGAGTGACAAGGAGGCAGGATTTGGAAGAGCGGGGAGGGAAGGGCCTCATTACACTCCATCACTCACACGTGCGCGCACACACACGCATGCACGGCAAAATTAAAGCTGAGAACTCGGCCAAAAAGAAAAATCCTACCCCTGTTCCATCGAAACTTATTTTAGGGCAGGAGGTAATTGCCAAAGATCCAAATAAAAAGCCAACCACAGGCTGTAAACGGCTCCAAGTCTTTAATTAGACCCCAGGAAAAAATAGTGGCAAAAAGAAAATGAAAGTAGGAGAAGCTCCCAGAGGAAGGAGTCTGCGCGGGATCCCTTCTGCCTTCCCAGCCCCATGGCTTCAGATGAGGGCCCCCTTGCCTGGGTCTGGCATCAGGGTTGTCTGCTAAAAAGGCTGGCAATGCCTACTGCTGGAGGCAGGTGCAGAACCAAGACAGCACCTTGCACCCCAACCAAGGGCCAGCCTGGACCCGGGACCTTCTCCTAGAGCCGTCCTAGACCCCAGCCCATGTCTGGCCTCATGTTGGGGCCACCACAGGGCAGAGGGACAGAGCGGAGGGTGAGCTTTTTCTACCACCCCTGGAGGTGAGAGAGCAGGGAAAAGAAAAAGCTCAGATCTGGAGTGGCCTTTGACCCACTGGAAAGTCTGCCCATCAAGCCAAAAGCCCTGGCTCCTGGGCCATGGAGCAAAGGATGCACATGTCACCTTCCCCACTCCCAGGAGCCGTTTTCCAGGCTCCCACTCCCTGCCCCTTCTCTAGGGCCCATGTGGGGTTGGGTAGCTCTGAGATCATGTGGGCAAGATGGATGACCCCATGGCTTCTCCCCTCATAGCCCCCGCTAACCAGGAGTGGACGCCCAGAAGTCCATGGAGTGACAAATGGCATGTGATGGCCACCCAGTTGGCAGTGCCATTCCCCTAACGCAAGGTAAGCACACACAGACCCTTTGCCCCAGGAGGCTCCAGCTACTCCACCAGCTACCCCCATACCCTCTGAGCCTCTGGCCCTTGGAGACATAGGCCACCTGAGACTAAGGGTGGGGCTGGGAAGCAAAGGGGAAGCCGTCCTTGGGAAGGTGGGGTCTGCAGAGAGAGGCAGGGTTCTGAATACGCTCATCTTTCGTAGATGCAACCCAGCAGACAAACCAAATCCCATGGGCAGGGATTCTTACCAAGTGCTAAGTCTAGCACCTGCCAAACCGTGGCGGAAGCAATGGCTGCCATTGAGGGTCTAACAGTGGCCAGGTCCCAGCGGCAGATGAAAGGCGTTCCACCCAGATGTCAGGGAAGAACCCTGGAGTAGAACACATCTCAGCACACCTCCAGTGAGTGAGCAGAAGCTGCAGTCCCTGTCCCGGGCTTTGCAGAGTGGGGAGAAGGTGAGGTGGGCTCAGGGTCCCTAATCAAAGCCCAGCCCATGTGCAAGAAACGGGAAAGAACCTGCCTTGTGACATCAAAGGCTGACATCAAAGGCTGCAGGGTCGACCACACTGAAGACCCCCACTCTGCTCTCTTGTGGGTCACTGCAGCTGCCTGGAATTAGGGGTGTCTCACCACACCTAGCTCCCCCTCCAGAATGAGCAATCACTGGGAGAGGGTACACAGTACACTGTGCTCACCTGCCTGACTTTTTTTTTTTTTTTTTGAGATGGAGTCTCGCTCTGCCGCCCAGGCTGGAGTGCAGTGGTGTGATCTCAGCTCACTGCAAGCTCCGCCTCCTGGGTTCACGCCATTCTCCTGCCTCAGCCTCCTAAGTAGCTGGGACTAGAGGCACCCGCCACCACGCCCGGCTAAGTTTTTTGTATTTTTTAGTGGAGACGGGGTTTCACCGTGTTAGCCAGGATGGTCTTGATCTCCTGACCTCGTGATCCGCCCGCCTCGGCCTCCCAAAGTGCTGGGATTACAGGTGTGAGCCACTGCGCCCGGCCATGTGCTCGCCTTTCAAAGGCTCCCTGCATCCAACTCCCCTTCTAAGCCTGGCAGAGGAGAAGGTGATTGCCAGGCCCGGCCTGTCCTTACTGCTGCAGCAGCTACTCCTGGGCAGGGGTGGCAGGCCGAGCCCTGTGTGTATACCATGTTCTTCACCTATCCTGGGCAGGGGCGGCAGGCCGAGCCCTGTGTATATACCGTGTTCTTCACCCATTTCCTTTCCCGTTTCTCAAACAGACGTTAGCGACGACAAATTAGGAGTGGGCCTAACAGTGACAGAGGCAGCAGTGACCCCTCACTCAGTACCTACCAGGTCCCAGGTCCGGTCACAGGCATTTTAGAGAACGCATCCCTGCAAAGACGATGCTATTGTGCCCATTTTACAGAGGAGTACAATGAGGCTAAGCTTGCAGAGTGACGGCCATGTCTATAAAACAGTGGGTCTGAACTGCAACTCAGGTCAGCCTGGTTCCAGAGCCCATCTCTCTCCATGGTACCTCTTTCTCGCAGTCAGCTCCCCGACCTGACCACTAGTTCCAGGCAGGGGCAGGCCTGGTTGCCCCTTCACCACTGCTTGCTCCTCGTCTGGGGTCTCTGACCACTGGTTTTATGCCTGTAGAGTCACCTGAACTGTAATGTAGGTGACAGTCATAAACTCCACAGTGTCTCCAATTCCCAGCCACCCACCATGCCCTGCCATGATGGCCAAGGCCCACGTGGCCAGAGCAAGCATGGAGGTCTTCTCGGCAGAAGCAGCAGATGCGAATCAGACCTCCTGAGGCAGCCCTAACATCGCCACGTCAGTCTGGTGAGGCCTCCCTGCCAGGTCCCCCAACTCGCTTCTGTCTTTGGGGGTCAGGTTGCAGGCATCAGGATGAGACGTGGGATTCCTCTTTGATGAGGAGCCCTGCGGCTGCTGCGTCCCAGCTTCCTTCCCAGCTTGGGAATGGGTTGGGAGAAGCAGTCCGGGGCCCTGCACAGACAGCAGGAGCCCTGCTAATTAATGAGCTCTCCGTCTTCCCTGAGTGCTCATAGACACAGCCAGATGGTCTCCACGACATGCCCTCCACCCTGTCCCCATCTTGCAACCACATGGCGGCTTCACATTCCACCCTCCCTCCATCTTTCCCCCCTATTTTTTTTTTTTGAGACAGAGTCTCACTCTGTCGCCCAGGCTGGAGTGCAGTGGTGCAACCTCAGCTCACTGCAGCCTCCACTTCCCTGGTTCAAGCAATTCTCCTGCCTCAGCCTCCTGAGTAGCTAGGACTACAGGCGTGTGCCACCATGCACAGCTAATTTTTTGTGTTTTTAGTAGAGATGGGGTTTCACCATGTTGGCCAGGATGGTCTCGATCTCCTGATCTTGTGATCCACCCACCTCGGCCTCCCAAAGTGCTGGGATTACAGGTGTGAGCCACCACGCCCGGCCTATCTTTCCTTTTATGCTGCAAACTTCAAGACAGCCCCATTTCCCCCTTCAGCCAGGTGTGGCCCAGACAGCCCCGAATGGACCAGGCGAATACGGAGACTCTTGTAGCAGGAGGTTCTAAGTGGGGCCTCTTAATCTAGACAAGGTTCCAGTTTCTCTTCTTACTTTCAGCCAATTCGGCTGGGGAGCTGGGGTTGCGAGAGGACCCAGGGCTGAGCGTGCCCCTATTTCTTAGAAGTGTTAAAAGATGACCTTACATCTAACAAATATTAATACTGACTTATAACCCCCAACAACCAAGGCCTGGCTGCTCCCTGCTCCCCAGAAGGGCACCGAGTAGAAGTTGCTCCAATTGGAAGCACAGGCTCACACGGGTCTCCGGAGCATCACAGACACCCCTGCTGGCTCTCTGTTGGCACCTCTGGGTCCTAGGTGGAGTGGTGGCTTGCAAGGTATATAACTGTGCCCTCTGGACAGCCGGCCTGTGTGCAGGCAGCTTGCCTAGACAGGGGCATTGCATGACGAACTGGCAGGGGCCCGGGGGCAGGGAGAGTCAGGCCAGAGCCATGGCTCTGAGAAACCCTGGCACACGTGTGGCCCAGGAGCCAGGGATGGGCTCTTCTGCAATGAGTTCTGTTTCAGGGCCGACTGCACAATGACAGCAGCCCGGGGGTTGTGTGACATGAGGCCTGGCTAGTGACGCTGCTTTGCTTCGATTTTCTTTTCTTTTCTTCTTCTACTTTTTAAGAGACGGGGTCTTGCCCTGCTGCCAAGGCTGGGGTGCAGTGGTGCGATCACAGCTCACTATAGCCTCAACCTCCTGGGCTCCAGTGATTCTCCCACCTCAGCCTCCCCTCCCAAATAGGTAGGACTACAGGTGCGTGCGCCACCACACCTGGCTAATTTTTATTTTTTAATTTTTTTTTTAAGAGATGGGAGTCTTGAACCCCTGGCGTCAAGCGATTCTCGCCTCAGCCTTCCAAAACGCTGGGATTACAGGCGTGAGCCACTGTGCCCAGCCCTGCTTCACTTCTCTGGGCATCAGTTTGCGCACTTATAGAAGGAGGCTGAGGCTGGGCGAGGTGGCTCACACCTGTAATCCTAGCACTTTGGGAGGCTGACGCAGGTGGATCACATGAGGTCAGGAGTTAGAGACCAGCCTGGCCAACATGGTGAAACCCCATCTCTACTAAAAATACAAAAATTAGCTAGGCATGGTGGCGCGACCTGTAATCTCAGCTACTCAGGAGGCTGAAGCAGGAGAATAGCTTGAACCCGGAAGGCAGAGGTTGCAGTGAGCCAAGATGGTGCCACTGCACTCCAGCCTGGGTGACAGAGCAAGACTCTGTCTCAAAAAATATATATATATAAATATAAATAAAATAAAAAATAAAAGGAGGCTGAGCTGGACGCTCCTGGGGTCACTGGAGGATTTGAGAGCTGCTGCGTGTGGAGTGATCGCCAAGACACCAGTGAGCACATGGTGAGCACCCTGTGCATGCTGGCTGCGATTGTAACTGTCATTGCTATTATTATTATTAATTATTATTATTATTATTGTGACTCTTTGAGTCTGTAAACCTTGTTTCAGATGCGGCTAAAAGGGAATAGGAAAGATCTGAGCTTACAACCTAGAAAAGCCACATTTCCTAAATTATTAATCCCCAGAATCAAAACCAGTGAGGACAGGGTGACAAGGATCTGATTAGAGGCCCTGAGGGGGTCTGGCCAGGTTTTGTGAGCTCAAGTGACCCAGACCTGCCTGGCCTAGAATCCAAGACACACTGACCTCAGAGTAGCCGACAGAGGGCAGAGAAGCCGACAGGGGCCAGAAGCCGACTTCTGGCCCCATCTTCAGGGGGATGATCTTTAGGGTGAGGCATATTTATTTAGGGCAGCAAGGGTTAACACCAGGGCTGGGAGAGGCCAGGCAGCACGGAGCACTCCCTGTTTATTAATAAGCTATTTATCACCAGCTTTGCTTTTAATGCCATTTGGGCTTAATGTTGTTAATGAAATATAAATACCCACGCTAATGATGTTGGTCAGAGGCAACACGGGCAGGAGCTGGCTCGAGAAACGGGGCCAAACCACCGGGCAGGCTGGGGAAGAGGCTGAGAGCTCGGGAAGCGGAAGAGGTTCCCACTCGTGCGGCACCCCCGGCCCCCTTCTGCTCACACCACAAGATGCCCTGGCTGGCTGTGCCGGGAAAGGCTGGGAGGAGGGCAGCCCAGGGGGCCAGGGCAGAGGAGGCCTCCCAGGGCACAGGATGCTGTTAACTCCTAGAGAACAGAGCCAGAGCAAAGAGCTCCCACCTTGGGGCACTGCCCGCCTGGCATCAAGCTCCTTGGCTGCAGGAGGCTGGACCTCCACCAGCTGGCAGCCCTAAGCTCTCTGTCCACAGGAACGGATCTAGGATGTGAGGGGTCACCAGAGGGAGCAGTAAGGACCCCATCAAGCTTTCCACTCCAGACTGGCCCTCCCCTCCCTGCCCGCAGTGACAGCCCAGGCAGGCCAGCACCCTGCAGGGCACACCCTCCCCAAGGAGCTAGCACGGGCTGCCCAGTTGGGGTGGGCATGGAGAGGGCAGCAGACGGGGATTCTTGCTCAGTGCCCAAAGGTCCTGGAACACAGAGGTGGCCCTGCATAGCAGGCTGTCGTCCCTGACCTTGTGCCTGGCCTGGTCCAGCCCCTCCTACACAGTGGGCCATCCCTGCCCACCTCTCCCTGGGCTCAGAACAGATGCCCTTAGCGGATGGTCATCTTTCCAAATTACCCCAGAAACTTCAGGTGGCCTCCTCTGGAGAGGCCCCTAGACTATTCCTAGATAGCAGCCTCACCAGGGAAGGCGGTCCTGGGGAATTGCTCCCCAGCCTGGTGGCCACAGATGTCCCTGTGGGGACTTAGACTCGATTCACCCAAGGGCCACCTGGGCCCAAATACAGGTTGGGAGACTCCAGCAAGTGGCCGGCGTTTGCCTCCATCCTCCTCTCCCTGTACTGTGGGAGTGGAGGTCATCGTGACCCCAGCCCTGCCTTGCTTGCAAAGTCCCCAGGCAGCTCCCCAGGGAGTGCTGGCTCTTCCAGAAGGAGGTCCCAGCTGCCCTGGAGAGGGAGCCCCCCTAGTTGCCAGCCCTCCCTGCTTAGGGCTGCCAGAGAAAATACAGTATGCCCAGTGAAATGTGAATTTCTAATAAACAATGAATACGGCCAGGTGCCGTGGCTCACGCCTGTAATTCCAGCACTTTGGGAGGCCAAGGTGGGTGGATCACCTGAGGTCAGGAGTTCGAGACCAGCCTGGCCAACATGGTGAAACCCCGACTCTACCAAAAATACAAAAAATTAGCTGGGTGTGGTGGCGGGTACCTGTAATCCCAGCTACTGGGGAGGCTGAGGAAAGAGACTCACTTGAACCTGAGAGGCGGAGGTTGCAGCAAGCCGAGATTGTGCCATTGCACTCCAGCCTGGGCAGCAAGACCAAAACTCCATCTCAAAAAACAAAACAAAACAAAACAAAAAACAATGAATACTATTTTCATATAAGTATGTCCCAAACATTGCATGGAATATACTTATACTAAAAAGTCCGTGCTATTTGTGTGAAATTTAAATGTACTAGGTATCCTGTATTTTTATTTGCTAACTCTGGCAGCCCCGTCCTGATGACTCAGCAGGTAGCCCCCGGCAGGGGGGTACAGTTCCTACGGGGTGAGCAGGACAGAAGAGGCAGTGAGGGGGAGTGGAGGTCCCTGTCCGTCTCAGGACAGCAGATTCTTTTCAAGAGGCTCTTCTCATCACTTTCTGCCCTGCCCAGCCTCCTCCCTCACCCGTCACTGCTGCACTGTCCAATACCACAGCTCACCTGCGGGGGTCCCCTCTCACTGCACCCCGCAAAGTCACCTCCATGTCCCCAAGGAGCACAGGGCTCATTTGCTGGGGCTTGGTGGAGCTCAGCTCAACGGCTAATCCCCTGGGTGGCTCCTGTCAGATTATTAATTAGCTAAAGCGGATCGGTCCTGGAACAACATGCGCTTGGACTTCAGATAAAGCAGGCCAGGGAGGCGGGTGGGGGTCTGCTTAAAGTGACAAGACCCTGTTTCTGAGCGGCTCCCCAGAAGGACCGGGGAAAGGAGGCCCAGGCTAGAGCAGGGCAAGTTCCAGACAGACCCCTCTGTGCCCTCTCTGCCCGCTCCCAGATGAAACATCGAGAGAGTGCATTCAAGAAGGGCGATCCGGGCACATATGCGACCTGTGAGAGGCGGAGTCGGTGACAGGTGGGTCTTGTTTTTTAATAAAGAGCTTGTTCCTAATCAGATCATGGCACTCAGAACTCTTCAAAAAGCTTCTTATTTCACTCTGGGTAAAAGCCAGAGTTCTCACAATGGCCTGCAAGGCCTACGGGATCTGAGGGCCCCCCACCCTGACCCCCTCGACTTCAGATGGCATCTGCCCCTCACTCTGCTCTAGCCACGCTGGTCTCCTTGCTTCTCCAACACGCCTCTGGGATCTCACACCTGCTATGAATGCTCTTCCTACAGATATCGATTAGGTTGGCTCACTCCCTCACTTCCTTTCTGTCTTCACCCAAATGTCACCATCGCAGTGACCCCTTCCCTGGGAGCCACATCTAAAATGACAAACCATCCATCCACCTGCCTCTCACTCCCTATTCTAGTCTGCAAAGAGGCTCTTGTTTTCTCCTTCCCACGCATCGCCATCCAGCACATCCTTTATTCCTTTTTCTCCTGTATCATTTGGCTCCCTCCATCCGAATGTAAACCTCATGAGGGCAGGACGTTGGCCTCTTCTTCATTTCGAGCACCTACAATGACTACCCACAGTGTCGCTGAATGGAAATGGAAAATGAATAGCCAGAGGTGACAGGTCAGGACTTGGACCACCACCTCTTCCGGCTCTGAACCCCTGAGGCTGAGCCCTGGCCCAACCCAGTGGGCTCCTCAAGCATCCAGTTCCTCTCCCCTGACCCTACTGGACCCCAGGCTTCCTCAGTCCTGCCCCCTAAACCAGGTGCTCCTCACACCCTCGTCCTAAGCATTTTCACTAGGATGCATTTCCAGGGTCTTTGGAGGGGTGCCCGAGGGGACCCATCTCTGTGTCACCAGACCTCCTCCCCGCAGCTGGGACCGATCCTCTCTCTGCCTGGAGAGCAGCACGGCGTGGGACTCACAGCTGCTGCCCGGGCCCAGCTCAGCTGCTGGCAAACTCCTGGGCTCGGATTGTTTTGACTTGAGTCGGTGAAGCTGAAATATTGAGTCACAACGGCCCTAAACTTCATTACCAGCTCTTAACACAGATTACTAAGGGAAAAAAAAGTCGCTTTTAATTGCTTTTCCCGATTAGCATTTCTGGAGAAGAAACTAGTGTTTAATTACACCTTTCCTCCTCTTACCCCGTTGGCCACGGGGGTCCCAACCCAGCTACCATAGCAAGGCCCAGGCTCAGAAAAGCCCCTGCTTCGGAGGAAAGCCAAGGAGCCGGACCAGAGAGAAAACTCAGGTGGTGAGTGGAAGGGGAGCGACCCCCAGGCCTGAAGGGCAGAGAGCAAGCGGCAGTGGTGTGGGTGGGAACGTGGCAGCATCCAGGGGTCCCGCGGAAGGTGGGCAGCAAGGGGATCACTGGCCGCCTCATGCCTCAGGGTGGTGGCTCTGGGCCTAAGGGCCTTCACCTGGACCAGGCTTATCCCTGGGTAGATTCCAGAACAAAAGCACATGGGGGAACCTGGCAGGAGACCGGAGAGGAGGAGCTTGAAGGTCTACACGAGGAGATGATGCAGTCAGGACTCCGGGACTCCTCCATGTGTGAGACCTGACGTCGCCTCTCCAATGCCAGCCTCTCTCACTGTGGGCACTCAGGGACAGAGGCAGGGCAGAGGCGCTTCTCTCTTCGTCCACCACACCGCGTCAACCCTCCCAAATCCACGGGTTGTCCCATCCTTTGGATCAACTGCGTCACCCGCCGAGAAGTCCCCCGAGTAGCTCCAGACAGGGCAGGTGCCCCCAGCCCTTCCCAATCCCTCTTCCCTGGGGCCCGTGCATGGCGAGATGCGGGGTTTTCCTGCATCTGCTCCGAAGGCAGGGGGTGTGGGGAGAACGGAGGAAGGAGGCCCAGGCTGGGGTTCGGCACCACCAGGTGGAACACTTGCCCAGATGAGAAATCAGGAAGATCAATAACTCTTCCCAGACCAACTCCCAGCCACATCTCTGCCCAGCCCAAGGCAACCTTGGGGTCTACCCATCCTCTGGAGCACCACATCACGGTGGGAGGTGGGGAACCCTCCTGCTCCCACCCCTCTGCACCCCCCACCCCAGCTGCAGGCCATGGAGCTGCCAGCCTCACATCAGATCAAAGCCCTGGAGGATGGCATGAGAACTGTCCAGTCCAGTTAGGAGTGAAGGTCACGGATCTAGTGCAGACCATAGAGGCGGAAAGCAGAAAAACCTCCCACGCGTGCACAGATGCACACGCCTCCCACCCGGACACACCCTCCCCCAGGGCCGGCCCAGTGTTCTGAGGCCTGGCAGACACGCCCAGGAAGACTGGCTGACACGCCCCTCGGAGCCAGGCAGAGGCACCAGCTGTAGGCCTGGGAGAGCCCCACCACTCCCGCAAGCCGCTGCCAGCCTGCACTTCTGCTCTCTCCCGTTGCTGCCTCTGGAGGTCAGGCCTCCAGAGCCTCCTTACAGGGCCAGGCTGCTGTGCCACACATTGCTTCCCACTTGGGACATCCCCGATGCACCCCCCACCCTCGCCCCCGCAAGACATCACCGGCCCTCCCTTCCTGTCACCTCCATGGAGGTCAGGTCTCCAGAGTGTTCCTGGAAGGCTGGGCTGGCCCATATGGCTGGGAATACGTTGCCAGCAAGGGCAAGTGCTCACGCGAGCCCGGCAGCCGGCTGTGACAGCTTCACGCTCGCCAACCAGGCCTCTGGCTTGCTCCAGGGCTACAGGGCAGTGCCCAGGGCGGCATGGGGCCTGTCCAGGGGCGCTGGGGATCACTGCTATCACAGCATCGATGCTGGGACTGCCTGCCCCAACCTGGCCCTCACAGATGGTGTCAGGACCCAGGAGAGTGGAGCCTCATGTCAGAGGCACTGGGAAAAGGGAGACTGGCCTTCAGGCGAGCGGGGTACTGGGGCAATTCACACCTTTGTGTGTGGCGACACTATTAGGATCCCTGCCGATGAGCAGATGAGCAGCGGCTGGAGGCTGAGCTGACCCCATGGAAATATGGGGGCTTCAGACAAACCCATCTGCCAGCCCTCACAGCTCACCAACGACGCTCTATATGACCCGGCACGTGGAAAAAGGTGTGCAGAAGCTCAGCCCTTGAGCGCACAGATCACATTCAAAGCCACAGTAAGAGAAACTCAGCCAACTTTTAGACCCAATCTCAGACCCAGCACAGAACCCAGGGAGCAAACACACAAAGCTGGCTTCAGTGCAGAGCCAGGGCTGAAAGGATAGTGTGTGTCCTGGCCTGCTCCCAGGCTCACTCCTGAAAACGGTGTCGGAGAGAAGCAGTTCCCTCCGCAAGGAGCCCGACCCACTCAAACGAGCCTTTCTCAGCACCCAGCATGGTTCCAAGATGGCACTTCTCCCCTAATGCATGAGACGTTAACCCTCTCAAAGCCATGGGTCTTTCTTGGTACTGCTGTGTTCAGGGGGCAGGAGAGAGAGGAGAAGACACAGAGCCACAAATCCGCGGGCACAGAATGCTTGAGTCATCCTGGGGCCCTCTCTTTTCCTTGCCCCGTTGAATCCATCATTGAGTCCTGCTAACTCTTCCTCTATACACATACAGGCTCTGACCCCTTCCCCGCCTGTCCACCTCCTCCTCACCCAGCCACCATCCTCTCACACCATCGGCTGCAGCAGCTGCCCCTCTGGCCTCCCAATTTCTTCCCTTGGCAGCCCCAACTACCTTTTTAAAACAAACATTGGCTGGGTGCAGTGGCTCATGCCTGTAATCCCAGCACCTTGGGGGGCTGAGGTGGGTGGATCACTTGAGGTTAGGAGTTTGAGACCAGCCTGGCCAACATGGTGAAACCCCGTCTCTACTAAAAACACTAAAATTAGCCAGGCATGGTGGCGCTTGCCTATAATCCCAGCCACTCGAGAGGCTGAGGCAGGAGAATCACCTGAACCCGGGAGGCGGAGGTTGCAGTGAGCCAAGATTGCACTGCTGCACTCCAGCCTGGGTGACAGAGTGAGACTCCATCTCAAACAAAAAACAAAAAACAGAAAACCATCACATCACTTTACCTCTGGCTCAAAACCCTCCAGCGGCTTCCTATCACCTAAGCATAAAATCCCAACTTCTCCCCAGGCACACAAAGCCCTGCACCTCCTGACACCCACCTCATCCACGTCCCCATCCACGTCCTGGCCACTCTGCCTTTCTTTCCAGTCACTGGATGCACTGAGGGCATCCTACCTTAGGGCCATTAGGCTAGCTGTTCTTTCTTTCTAGAATATTCTCCAGCCTGCTCTTCACTGATCTGTCCACTTCCTGTCCTTCAATCTCAGCTAAATGTCACCACGTCCTTGAGAAACCTCCTCTGAGCAGCCTGCCAGGAGTGCCAAGCAGTCACTTCCCACCACCACCTCCTACTTCCATTCTCTGCTGGCGTCTTCCTTTTTTGTTTTTGTGGGTTTGTTTCACGCTGCCTCGCCTACCAGACTCCATGAGAACAGGGGCGGTCTTGTCCACTCTGTTTGCTGGTGAGTGACTGACAGACGCCAGACCCTCTTCTCTCTCTCTCTTTTTTTTTTTTTTTTTTTTTGAGACAGAGTCTTGCTCTGTCGCCCAGACTGGAGTGCAGTGGCGCGATCTTGGCTCACTGCAACCTCCGCCTCCCGGGTTCAAGTGATTCTCCTGCCTTAGCCTCCCAAGTAGCTGGGATTACAGGCATGCACCACTATACACGGCTAATTTTTGTATTTTTAGTAGAGATGGGGTTTTGCCATGTTGGCCAGGCTGGTCTTAAACTCCTGACCTCAAGTGATCTGTCTGCCTCAGCCTCCCAAAGTGCTGGGATTACAGGCTTGAGCCACCGCACCTGGCCCCAGACCCTCTGTACTGCTGGATAAATTCAACCAGCTCTTCTGCAGAGGAGCCAGAGGTGGGGGGAATCTGAGCCAGACAGGGTCAGGCCTGCAGACCAGACCTACGCACAGGCTTGCCCCCTGGTCCACATTGGTGAGGCAGGACAGCTCTGAGACCATGGGTCACCCCTGCCACAGAGGACCCCCGCCTGCAGTCCAGCCTGGTCACTGGAAAGGGCTAAGTGAGGAGGGACTTGGCCATGATATTCTCACTCGGAGCCCGTGGAGTTCCCAAGCTTCATTATCAAGTCCAAGACAGCCGATGCTAGGATACAGGTGTCCCATCGGACCTGTGGATCCCATACCCCACACCAGGTACAAATCCCCGCTTGCATGACCCCTGGGAGTCAACAGCGAATGGAAACTTCAGAAAGGGAAAAACGAATAGGCGTGTTTTGCCCAGGCAAAGAAGAAAACAAAAAACCCGTCACTGAGAACAGAGCAGGCAAACATTACCCTCTCAGAGGGGAGGGGGCTCTGCAGGCACTCACAGCCTCTTCATGGGCAGGGCACAGGGCAGGGCTGGGCAAGACCACCCTGAGGCTTGCATATATTTGAGCCTGCATCCCAGGATTCATGATCATCAGAGGAAGCAGAGTCTGTTAAGAATAGCCCGGGAAGGT
Organism: Homo sapiens; assembly: GCF_000001405.40. Lineage (NCBI taxonomy): Eukaryota > Metazoa > Chordata > Mammalia > Primates > Hominidae > Homo > Homo sapiens. Next base: position 10,759,295 of record NC_000001.11, read on the forward strand.
GGCAGAGGTGCAGGTGCTAACGCCAAGCCCAGAAGACTTCAGCGCCACGAAACTCCCCCCACGGCCTTTTCCAGGTGACAGTCTAAACAGCCCCGGTGCTATCCAGGGGACAACGGCAGCACATCCTAAGTACGACAGACCAACTTCAGGAGCATGATCACCTTCTGCACACCAGGAAGAAGAGTCGCAGCCACACAGTTGCCCCACCACAGCGACCAAAGGCCACATTTGCATCTGATTTGCAAATCTCTGGGCTGTATCCAGAGCTAGTTCCCTGAGGAGGCATGGCCTGGATTCAGGCAGGTCTGCAGCTTCAGGGACCTACCAAACCCCAGTGCGCACCAAGGCTCCCGTCTCTGCAAGCGCTTCCTCCCTGCAAGTTCGAAGTCCAGGGCTGCTGAGCCCAGCCCCAGAGGGAGGGGCAGGACACACCTGCCCAGAGTGACCATGGGGAGGAAGAGCGCAGGCAGGTGAGCCAGGGACACCGGCTCCAGGCTGGCACACATAGGAAGAGCAGCCCCCGGCCCTGCCCTCCCCAGACATCCTCTAGGCCCTCAGCCTCTGCTTCCACCCCTAGACCTTGCCCGTGAACTTCGCAAACACCCAATCCCTCTGGACTGGTTTCCTTGGGATCTCAAGAAAGTACTGAATAATGACCAGCATGCAATGAGTCACCCAATGTGTGTCAACCCCTCACCCCAAGAACTGCCACGTTTGATACCTGCAGGTAAATATCTGACAGTACCAGCTCCACAGACTACCCCTCCCTGGCATGAGTGACCTGCCTTACGCAAAGGGCTATTTCCAAGCCTGGGTCAAAAGGCACCTACAGCTTCTCCTCTATGAAGGGTCCTATTTGGGCCGGAGGACCACTGAAGAGAGCCTGATAAATCATCCCCAGGCCAGCTCCTACCACATATGAGCTTACAGCAGAGCAGCCTCTGGAGATGGAGAAAGGCTGGAACTACTGTCCAGCCCTTCTAAGACGAAGTTCCAACCTAATGCTTAGATCTGGGAGTGGCATCTGATGGAGAATGGTCCTTGGCCACAAAGCCTGGGCTGCATTGTTCAATGTCATACCATAGAAACACTGGGAAGATCCTTAAAAGGCCAGTTATGCTAACCTCTTCATTTCACGGGTGGGGAAACCGAGATCCAGAGAGTAAGTAGTGAGTCGGTGACAAGGCCAAGGCCCAAATGCAGGTGCCCTGCTCCCAGGCCAGAGCTTTCTTCTCCATCCAACACTTTTTTCATTTTCACTGATGGTGCTTAAGCTACCACCCTCAGGATCAGAACCCACTGGGAAAGGTGAGTCTAGGCCCTACATCGTCCGTACCCTAAAGAGCAACCCCCAAACTGGCCACCCCACACTTCCTAGTGGCATCTTGGGAACCGGAAGCATCTACCTTTGCATCCCAAGAGGCCAGGGTCCGAAGTCCATTCCAACACGTGCTGCTGGGGAGTTGCAGGAGCCCCTTGTAAAGGAGGGGTCGATGGCCGTGGCAGCTGGGAGGGCAGGTGGGATGGAGGAGTCTTTGCCTTCAGTCAGCAAGGTCTGTTTGCCTGCCAAAATGAGACAGGAAAACAGAAAAGATGAGGCTACAACCGACACCCACAAACCCACCCCACACTGGAGGACAAGGGAGGCTAAGGTTCCCACACCTTGTGTGATAACCAGCCAGCCAGGTAAGAGATTCTCGTTCCTGCCAGCCAATCAGCAGATGGCATTGCCACGGCGCATACCATGCCTGACTCTGCAACCAACGCACCCTTCGCACAATTATTAGCCAATGGCTACGCAGTTGTTGTACCTAATAAAAGAAGCAAACAGGTAGAAACAATACTAGGCCAATCAGGTGCCTCCCCAGGTAACACAGAAGGATCACACCCAAGGCTGGGCACCCAGGGTGAAAGGTCAGGCCTGAAAATGGATCAAGCCAATACTGGAAACAGATCAAACCCATGCAACCAAACCAACCCTGGGCTCCCCAACGCCTGCTCCCTCCAGACTTTCCCTGCGCCAGCTCCCAGCTGCTCCCCTGACCCCTGGGTGGCCTTCTGGGAGCCTCTATAAAAGGAATCAACAGGTGTCTCTGCAGCGACCCAGGATAGTGAATTTAATTTCTTCTGGCTTTCCTTCCCCACTTCCATTCTGGTACTGTGGGACTCAATTTCATAAAAAGAAAAGAGGGTGTGGGCCCTTGCCCTGAAAGGGGGCTGCTGAGATTCAGTTGCGATAGGTGTTGGGACAAAAAAAAAAGTAGCCAAAGAAAGTTGGTGCCCTGCTACCGGCAACCTTTGTGTCAATTTAAACAAATATTGTGGTGTTTCCATGGTGATTCCTGTTTTGAATATCCACTACACTCACTTTTTAAAGGGCTTTTCCTGTTTGCGTTTCAACTTCAAACCTGTAAATATTTTCAGCATTTTTAGAAAAAAGGAGCTCATGCGCGTGCAAACACAAACACACAACCCGATCTCGGCGTACGACCTCCCAGCCCTGGAAGCCCGGCCTCGTGGATGTGAGAATGGGGTGCTGAGAACCCAGAGGGGGTGCTCGGTCCGCTCTCCTGCCCACCCTGCCTGCGGAGCTGGCATCAGGAAGATTGCCACTGAAATCCCGGCCCTTTCCTTCCCCCTTTGCGGGAAGATTGCAGCAGCCACAGCAGCTCTGCGTTCCTGAAGCGTGTGAGCGGGCTGGGCCCTGCCTCCTTAGTGTGGCATGGTGTGGGCAGCTGCCCTGCAGGTTCTCCAACTTGGCCCGGCCCTCAGAGTCCCCGGAGGCCTTGCAGGAGTGCACGAACCCCTCCCCTCCTGCCTCCCAAGGTTGGACCTGAGTGCGAGGGGGAGTTGGCTCTTTGAAGGTGAGAGCTTCAGCATCAGCTCTGCCCTACCTCGGCTGGGGCAATGCCACCGAGACCAGCTCCCTGGGGGAGGCCATCAGGGGTGGACAGCATCCACTGTCCAAGGCTTGGATCAGCCCAGCTCCCATCCCACCCCTCGGCGCCACACAGGGTTAACAGCGGGTTTCCTGGTTTCCATGGATTCCTGCCAGGCCCCTAATGTGAGTTTCGTGTGATTTGGGGGAAGTGGATTTCCTTTGTTTTCCAGTTTGGGAATATTTTTTTCTTTAAAAAAGAGGAAAAAACACTTTAATGGAAACTTCAGGGCCACTGGGAGACTCACTCCTCTGGGCTCTGAAACTCCCCTGCCTGTTAGTCCAGAATCCCCCAAAGCCCTGGGCAGCCCGTCCACCCACAAAACTCCCCTGGGCTAGAAGAAGGCATGCCTTGGACCACCTACACTCCTACTCCAAGAATCTCCATCTGCTGGGGGTCTCCACTCCAATATCCCATCAGAACGAACCCACCTAAAAGCCAGCATCTTACACAGGAGGCTGACATGCCCCTCTTCCAGCTTTGTAAAACAGACATGTACATTCCCCAGAAAAAAGGTTAAGGGAAACACATCTACCTCCCCAACTCCAGGCAAGGCGCTGGCAAGACCAGGGGCTGACCACAGGCCAACGGTGAACACTCTCGGTGTTTCATGTCCTTGGCTCAGAGGAGGTTCCAGCTATGGAAGGAAAGGGGGCTCCAGGCCCTGGTGGGACGCTCGTTGGGCTTCTTCCAGCGGAAAGTGGGGCCTGCCCAGGGCAGAGGATGCTTTTCAGCTTTGGCAGCAAGAACAACTGAATAAAGGGTGTGGCCAGGCCTCCTCCTCCTTTTCCCCCACGGTCTTCCCCATTCCTGCCATCCTCCAAGCCTGCCAGGGCGTGGCCTTGCTCCAGGATTGTCCCCAACCAAGTGGCCTGACCCACTTACCAAACCAGGGCACAGGCCGCGGGGCCTTCCATAAACTGAGGCTTTCCCACAGCCCAGGCCCCGGGGGCCATGGATCCCGGTCAGAAAGTGCAGAGCGCAGAGGCCGGGTCTCTGTGACCAGCGGCTCCATGGTGAAGAAGTGAGAAGCTGAGTGAGCGTGCTTACAGAAATCACAACGGGCTGAGAACCAGGAGACGTGGGTCCGAGTCCCACTTCTGTCCCCGAAACCTCCATGGGCCCTTAGACAAGCCTGCTAATCTCCCTAGGTTCCGTCCCCTCACCAGCCAGACGGAGACGATGCCTAAGACTTCCCTCCTACCTTGCAGGCTGCGCGGAGGATGGACAAGAGGCGTGAAAGGGTGTTAACAAGCACTCTAGAAATGCCCAGAATCACCACCACCCTCTTCTTCCAAGCCTCTTCAAGGTAGCCTTCTGAAATCTACCCCGGGTGGCCCCACACACCCCTGACTCTGCTCCTCCTATATCCTCCACCACAGCATTTACATCCATACTGGACTAAAGTAATTTGTTCACAAGTCTGTCTCCACCATTGGACTTTTAACTCCTCAAGGGCAGAGAGCGGGTCCTAATGATCTGCGCGTCTCCAGCATCTAGCACAACAGCTGGGCCACCGTGGGCAGCGAAGGTGTCGGTGGAACTGAACTAGTCCCTGACTTCAGGTCAGAGTCAGATGAGCTCCGTGCAGCTTGGCCCCTCTTCTCCAACAGAACGCTCCATTCGCTGTTTTCTGTTTTCTTTTTTGAGATGGAGTCTTGCTCTGTCACCCAGGCTGGAGTGCAGTGGCGCAATCTCGGTTCACTGTAATCTCTGCCTCCCGAGTTCAAGCGATTCTCCTGCCTCAGCCTCCCGAGTAGCTGGGACTATAGGCAAGTGCCACCACGCCTGGCTAATTTTTGTATTTTTAGTAGAGACGATGTTTTACCAGATTAGCCAGACTGGTCTCGAACTCCTGACCTCAGGTGATCGGCCTGCCTTGGCCTTCCAAAGTGCTGGGATTACAGGTGTGAACCACCGCACCCAGCCCTGTTGGCTCTTTTTTGTGCCCATTCTGTTTAGCTCTTCCCAAGCCTCAATCTGTGCCTTGGTCTCTCCTTCTCCTCCATTAGCCCTGTGAATTAACAGCTCTCAGGTTTAAGGGAGCCCCTTAGTTACTTGATCCCCTCCAACCAATTCCAATAAGAATTGGACCATGTGCCTACTATGTGCCAGGCGGCAGGCTGGGCATAAGGGCACACTGATAAGTGGCCTCTGCCCCCTGCCAATAGGCCAAAGTGAGAACTCTTGGTATGAACCAGTCAGATGCCTTCTATCTGCCAAGCACCGTGCCAAGTGCCCTACGCACATGATCTAGCCAAATCTTTACAACACAAAGGCAGAAATGGTTATGGTCCCCATGGATAGATTAGGGAGGGCGGGCATGGAGACACGAAGTGACTTGCCAAGGATCATACCATGTACAGGTGCCAAAGCCAGGCCTGGGCTGACAGGCTCCAAGGCCCAACTCACTTAAAAGGTCATCCTGCTCCCCTCCCTGTGATCTCTGCAGCCACCCACAACTGATGCTGTTGTCCCTCCAGAATCTCAGTTCTCCTGGCCTCAAAACAGTTCTGGACCAAGTCCCCCAGAGCCACCAGGCAGTGCTCACACGTCACAATGAAAGGCTCAGGTGCTTCTGGCCGGGCTGAAAAGGGGGGAAAGCGAGGCCCATGGTAATACCCGGCGAGCAGGATGAACCCCTGAACACATCTTCCAAATGGGGTCTGGACTGTGGTCATGCCCATTGCAACCTGTCATCTGACAGGATGGGGACAAGGAAGCCACCTCCATGCTAAGTCAGGAGGTCCTGTTGGGACAGGACAACTTCCATTTCTTCTCTCCAGATAAGGGGAAAGCAAAAGGGCTTTATCTTTGGGGGCGTGGGGCAGGGATTTCTGCTGCCTCCCCTACATCGGAACCTCCCCCCACAATGAACATCAGCCACGGAGACGCGGGATTGGGAAGCAGGGCCAGAGAACCCCTTGATTTTCACCTGGGGGAATGTGGGTACGGGGAGGCGCCTATCATCTCCCTGCAGGAGGGAAGACACTGGGAAGTGGTAGGGAAAGATTTCTATCCGAGAGGGTACGTGGTGGAAGATAAGCCCGGGGTGGGGAGAGGACAGAGCGCTAATGAGCAGATTTCATAAACCACCCGAGTGAAAACAAAAACACAGACGTGCACATTGCCCAACTCCAGGGCTGTATGGAAAAGGAAAAAAAAAAAACAATAAAAAAATCCACATCTTAATACAAAAATCCTCCATGATGTGTTGTGGCACGAAAGTGTTTTTCGCTGCATTTTTCATCTGTGATCTCACACGGCCCACGACGGGTACGCCCAACGCAGCAGGTATTCGACGGTACACAAACAGGGCAGACACATACACAATGAGCCAAAACAAGGGCGGCCAACATGCAGATCGGTCCAGGCTGGCATCTCACGGCTTCAGGTGACCTCTGGCAACGGCCTCATTGGACCTGAACCTGGGACCCTTTAGATTTCTGAGGGAGAGAGAGATGGGGCAAGAACGCAGCTCAAGTGCAGAGGGCTCTGAATTCTCAGAACTCCCAGCCAGCTGCTTATGCGGCCTTTCCACACTTAAGGTACTGTCCACTGTCCTGCTGCCGGCAGGGGACAGGGAGGGGACCCGCACCCCAGAGGCCCTTCCTCCGTATCACTCACCCCACAGTTACTATCTGTCTCCTTTCTGTTCCACCCCTCCCCCACTTTAATTGTTGGATGAGTTTACAGAGCTGTGTGCCAAAAACAATCAATTCCAGGGAACAGAGTTATACAAAAAAGGGCGTGTCGCCAGAGGGAGACGGATATCCATGGAAACCACCACCTTTTCACAGCAGCCTAGGTGAAGCTTGGGTGAGGGGATGTGTGGGGGTTGGGGAGACATGCTCCACCCAGAACAGGGCCCCAGAAAATGCAGGGGCCACTGATGATCTATCTGCAGGAACCAAATACCGTGCGGAGGGTCAGAAAGTGGAGTCAGTCACAAAACACACGTTCAGCACGTGCACACACACACACACACACACACATATATGCCACTCCGCCAGATCACTGGGCAACATGCCACTGTGGTTAAGCACACAAACTCTGGAACCAGACTGCCCAGGTAGGAATCCAGGCTCTGCCACCCACAAGCTGTGTGGCTCTAGGCTAACGACTTTAACCTTTCTGTGCCTCAGTTTCTCCATCAGTAAAATGGGGATAAAGATAGTTCCTCTGCGAACCGTCATGAGGATTAAATGGCTTCTTACGTGTAACATGCTGAGGAAAGTACCCTCGACCAAGTAGGTCCCCTAGAGCCACCAGACAGGGCTCAGATGTCACAACCAAAGCCTCAGGTGCTTCTGGCCGGGCTGAAAGGTGGGGGAAGGTGAAGCCTGTGGTAACACCCGGGTAACGAGCAGGTACTTCACAGCCCCACAAAGCAGGTGCTGTCAAGCATTTGATAAATCAATCACAAAGCCTAAACAAAGAGAAAGAAAGGTTTCTAGACCCTGCCACAGTAGAAGAGGAAAACGATACTAGTTCATGTTTATTAAGCATTGTGGGCTCAGGATTTTAATATATTAATGCATATAACCATCGCAAATTAATATCTATAACCTGCAATGAAGTAGATGGTTCTCTCAACTGGCGAGTGGAGGGTTGAAGAACTGGGACCCACAGAGAGATGGGGCCCAGCCAAGGTCACACACTGGTACATGATTTAACCCCAACTGCCTGACACCTCCTCACAGCACTGCTTAGTAAGGTGGGTGGGGAGAAAGCGAGGGAGGGAAGGGCTTTCAGGAGCTTCTCTTTCTGGACTGGCCTTAGAGGCAGAGTGGTGGGACCTAGACTCGCTCTTCCCAAACTTCAGAAGGAAAACAGAAATCCTCTGCGCCCGTTGACTGCTGATGGAAGGAACGAGGAGTGGGGAAAAGATGGGGCCCGGTCGTCCGCATTCCTCATGAGTTCCTGATGGGAGGAACGAGGAGTGGGGAAAAGATGGGGCCCGGTCGTCCACATTCCTCATGAGTTCCTGCCCCAGTCCTGGCCCAGGAGATCAGCGATGTCCTCTGACCCTTCCCTCTACCCAGGCAGGCATCTCCAGAATCAGGAAGTCCCTGGAGGGCAGGCAGCAGAGCTGGGGCCCCATCTCCCAGCAATGGAGGCCCAAAGCCTGGGACGGGTCCTATTTCCAGGTCACAGCCCTGTAAACAACCTGATTTTCCGCCTTCCCAGATCCTAGGCAGATCCCTGGAGGGGACAGGGCGGGGGCGATGGGAGCACAGGCTTCCCCTATTGCAAAGCCAGGCCCAGGGAGGCCGGGAAGCAGAGAGCCGGAGGAGTCAGCAGCTGCCTGCCCCGAGAGGTTTGGTCCACACCTGCTCGGAGACCAGGCTTGGTGGCTCAGCCCTTTCTGCCATCGACCACCCAAAGTCATTCAGATATTTCCTCTCTCACTTGCTTTTTAAAAAAAATTTAATGTTCTCTATAATTCATCCATCGCAGAAGATAATCGATAGAGCCCGTAATGAAAATCTGAGCCATATTTTATGACCCACTGCAAGCAGAAAGGGCCACATCAGCAGGTCCGGTTGCAGCTCCCTGTCTGTCTTGCCCACTGCCCCGGGGATCACTTCCCTCGCTGGCCCTGTCCACAGCCCTCGGCCCATGAGGAGGGCCACGACCCTGGCATCACCCCAGTCCCCCAACGCCCACTCCAACCCTAGTCACAGGAGGGTCACCCACCATTGCAAGGTCTTCCTGGAGCAGACCCCAGACCTGGGACCCCAGACTCCACCCTGGAATCTCACAAGTGTCTTGACTGAGTCAGGGGCCTTCCGGGAGCTGGAAGACCCTCACAAGGAGCGGGAGGCCTGCACAGGATTCAGGGAGCCAGGCCAGCCTCTACCATGGTGCTTCCCATGAGGCAGGCCGCCCTGATCTCAGGAGGCTCCCCCAGGGGCCTCCGGGTTTTATCTTGGACCCTCTGCTCAGGGCAGGGTGGGTCATTATTGTTCGTTTGTTTGTTTGTTTGTTTGTTTGTTTTTGAGACAGAGTCTCACTCTGTCACCCAGGCTGGAGTGCAGTGGTGCAATCTCGGCTCACGGCAGCCTCCGCCTGCTGGTTTCAAATGATTCTCCTGCCTCAGCCTCCCAAGTAGCTGGGATTACAGGCACGCACCACCATGCCTGGCTAATTTTTGTATTTTTAGTAGAGATGGGGTTTCACCATGTTGGCCAGGCTGGTCTCAAACTCCTGACCTCAAGTTAGCTGCCGGGCTCAGCCTCCCAAAGTGCTGGAATTAGAGACATGAGCCACTGCACCTGGCCTATTGTTCATTTTTACTCCCTCAACCAAGGCCCTCCTCTCCCTGGACTCCAGCCTTCTGGGGTGAAGGGTGAGGAGGAGGCATCCTGGGGGACGGGCACCAGAGTGCTGGGGGGAGTGGCCCCTCCTGCCCAGCCAGAGCCCACTGTGGGGGAGGGGAAGCAGAGCCCTGGCATCACCACTGAGAGCCAATCAGCCGGCCGGGCTTGCTCCTCCCAGAATCCATCACTGCCTGGCACCAATCAGAGAGCACCACAGGGCAGGTGCCAGGAGGCAGAAACCGCTGGTGACCAATCAGAGCCCAGAGGATGCACCAACCTCCCAGGAATGACAACTCAAGCCAAGCTAGGCATGGTAGCTCATGCTTGTAATCCCAGCACTTTGAGAGGCAGAGGCGGGCAGATCACTTGAGGCCAGGAGTTCGAGACGAGCCTGTCCAACATGGTGAAACCCCGTCTCTACTAAAAATACAAAAATTAGCCGGGTGTGGTGGCGGCGTCTGTAATCCCAGCTACTCAGGAGACTGAGGCAGGAGAATCACTTGAACCTGGGAGGCGGAGGTTGCAGTGAGCAGAGATTGTGCCACTGCACTCCAGCCTGGGCAACAGAGCAAGCCTCCGTCTCAAAAAAGAAAAGAAAAGAAAACTCAAGCCAGTAAGAGAATGTGATTCAGCCACGCTATGGACCACTATGCAGCCCTTAAGAGACACTTAGAAAAGTGGGGGAAGGTTCGGCGAGAACACTCCAGTGGCTGTGTGCTGGAGGATGCTGTCCCACACAGCAGCCACTGGCCACATGCGGCTACTGAGCACTAGACGTGGACAATGTGACTGAGGAACTGAATTTCCAATTTTCTTTTACTTTAATGAATGAAAGTTTAAAGAAGCTAGAGGCTTGGATAGCACAGGTTTAGATAGATAACTCATCAGTGTAAAAAAGTTAAATGTCTATTATCCCAAGATAGTGGGAATAGTCATTATTAATGATAATAACAGAAACAGAAATAGTTAATTTTTTTTTGAGATGGAGTCTCACTCTGTTGCCTAGCTGGAGTGCAGTGGGGTGATCTCGGCTCACTGCAACCTCTGTTCCCCGGGTTCAAGCGATTCTCCTGCCTCTGCCTCCCGAATAGCTGGGATTACAGGTGCGCACCACCACACCCGGCTAATTTTTGTATTTTTAGTAGAGACAGGGTTTCGCCATGTTGGCCAGGCTGGTCTCAAACTCCTGACCTCAAGTGATCTGCCCACCTTGGCCTCCCAAAGTGCTGGGATTACAGGAGTGAGCCGCCACACCTGGCCAGAAGTAATATTTAAGGGTGCTATGTGCCAGGCTCAGTGCTAAGTATTTTATATATGGATCATTACACTAAATCAAGGACCAGCCTGCAAGATCTACGCTATCAGTATTTCTACTTGACAGATGGGGAAACTGAGGTTTGGAAACTGAGTAACTTATTCAAGGTGATACTGCTGGGTGGAAAACCAGGGATTATAACCAGGTATCTCTGTCTCCCTAACTCACAAAACACATTTTTAAATTCTTTTCTTTTCTCTCTCTTCTCTTTTTTCTTTTCTTTCTTTTTTTGAGACAGGGCCTGGCTCTGTCACTCAGGCTGGAGTGCAATGGCACGATCTCGGCTCACTGCAGCCTCCACCTCCTGGGCTCAAGCCATACTCCCACCTCAGCCTCTCAAGTAGCTGGGACTACAGATGTGTACCATCACGCCTGCCTAATTTCTGTATCTTTTGTTGAGACAGGGTTTTGCCATGTCACCCAGGAGTTTCTTGAACTCCTGAGCTCAAGTGGTCTGTCTGCTTCAGCCTCCCAAAGTGCTGGGAGTACAGGTGTGAGCTGTCGAACCTGGCCTAAATTATTTTCTTTATACTTTTTTGTATTTTTCAATGCACATGAGCATAACTTGTAATCAAGGAGAAAAAATAGATTTTTAAAAAGGCCCTAAAAGGAGGTAATTCCTTTTTTCCCAGGAGCAGAGTGTACGGAGGGGTTGCTGGGGTCCCAGCCAACTGGGCCCCTAGCTGCGGGGTGGTGAAAGGAGCCAGCAGTGCGGTCACAGGCCCCCTCTGTCCTGCATGCTCCCACTGCCCAGATGCCCTGCACCTAGGAGCCCCGAGCCCACAGAAGATGCTGGGCCTGCAATTTTCCAGCAGCTAGGCCACCAGTGGGACCCAGCTTCCTCCCAGCCCCACCCCATCAGTTCCTGACAGGTTTCTCTGCAGTTTTGCAATCATCACCTAGGTCTACATCTTAAAGAAGGCAGTAGGCCAGGGGGCCATCTGCAAAGTCAACCCATGCCTCTTTTACCTCGGATCACCCTTTCCCACTCCCTTCCAGAAGAGCCAGTGCTTTCAGGATAACGAGGAACACAGGGCCAGCAACCCAAGCCCCAGTCCCGCTGTCTGCCATGGCACGTGCAAGGAGAGACGTGCTTTTCCCAGGAGGGGCGGTCATTGCCCCCAAGCATCTCCTCCTGGGATTGCATCTAGGTTCAGAACAAGGGGGACAAAGACAATTCCCTTGAAAGGTCAGAGATGAAGGCAGAAGCCCCAGCAAGTACTGAGCCCAGCTAGAAATGGAGGCAGGGAAAGTTCCCAGTTGCGCCTGCTTTTTCTCCATAGCGCCAAGCTGGGGGTGCGGGACAGGGAGCAACCGCCCCACTTGGTCTGGCTTCTATGGCAGCTTGTTTTTCCCTTGAGAGGCACAGATTGTTCTGGTTTCAGGCAGGTTGGGGAGGTGGGGGCGGGGGTGGCGGCAGGATAAATGTCCTTACTTAGAAGTTTTTATTATTATTATTATTATGGATTTTTGGTTCCCCGCTGTCTGCAGTTCTGTGTCATTTCCAATCTACCTTCAGTTTCCCTTGGATTTATATATTTATTTTTTGGGGTTGGTTTCGGGTACTTCTAGTCTATCAAACAATCAGCCCTGTGAGGTACGCTGGGTGTTTCCAGAAATTACATCACAAAAAATCATGCAATTAAAGTGTAAGGGAAAAAAAAACATAGCTGTTGCTTAATTTTGTATTTTAATTAGCGACTTATTGTAAACGTAGACTTTTAAAATGGAGGCACCTAAGCAAAGCCAGTAAACAAGTTTTTCTAATGAATTAATTTCACCTCTTTCCTCCTCCTCCTCCTCCTCCTCCTCTTCCTCCTCCTCCTCACCAGCCCAACTGTCACCCTCCAGATTTTCTCTGTCCCCTTATTTTCTATTCCACTTCTTGATCTTTGCCAAACACATATGAGAAAAAGAACACCCCTGAAATAAAATTGGGGATGCTGGCACCCAGGACTCCCCCTGGAACCCGCTTCCAGCCTTGATGGTGAGGATGCTGACTGAGGACCCGGCATGAAGTTGGCTGCTGCAGCCCCTTGTCCCGTCCCAGCCCAGTTAGCTGCTGCCAAGCCCCTCTCGGCCGGCCCCCAGGGAACTCCCCACTCCTGTCTGTGCCCTGATCTCAGCAAAAGACAGAGACAAACCGGGAGCGGCACTGACTGCCAAGGCAACAGTGAGAGGGTGGAGCCACGTGACACCTGGGGGGAGCCTGCAGGAACAAGGTGAGGAGACCTGGAGAGAAAGGAAGGCTTGGGCTGTTGTGAAACCTAAGACACCTCTGGTTGCCTGGAGGAAGGAGGAGAAGGGGCATGGGTGGGAGAAAGAAGAGGCAGTCTGGAGCTAGGGAGAGAGAAGCCGAAATTAGAAGGGTCTGCCCAGGCCACATTGCAGCTGGGAGAAAGAACACATCCATCAGTCCCAGGCACCCCCAGAGGGCTAGACCCAGGCCGCCACCATTGGCCACATGCCCCCATTGGTCTAGAGTTCTGCTCCTTCCCCCATAGAAACTTCCCAGCTTCAGGAGAGGAAGCAGATTGGCCTCTTTCAGCCTTGTTTCTGCGGGGGAAGGCTGAGGATCAGGAGCAGGGTGTCCCTGCTCTCTGCCTAGTCCTGCCATCCTGGAAAGGGCAGACACATATCCAGATATTCTACCACATGGAAGACTCTGGGAAGCTGTCTCTGCCACACATGAAGAATGGATACCACTGGGTGTCTCCAAGTCCCTGTTCACTGGAGGAGCATGCAGGCCCTCCTGTGACCCCAGAAGCTCGGCCAGTTTAACGAGGGCAGGGTGTCCACCTGAGTGCCAGACAGGTGCATGGCTCCTCCCTAAAGCTGTCATCTCCTAAGCCAATGCAGAGACACCATAAAGGAACAGGTTTGCTTCACAGACTCTCTCCCAGGGCAGAACCCCACGCTGGCCACTTTTACTCTGAGCATGAAGAGCTGTATGGGTGGGCTCAGTAAGGGCTGCTCCTGGCCTGCTCCCTCCCACCTCCTCCCCCTCGCCTCTGACTTGAAGCCCAATCTGGGACCTCCGCCTGCCATGACAGCAGGTGGCCCCATGACCACATGGTGGAGGATGGGGGCTCCCGAAGGCTCTAGAACACCTGGTGGCAGAATCCTGGCCCCCACTCACTAAGATTCCCAAGGAAAGGAAGGAGGGGAGGAAGGAAGGACCACAGAGAGGAAGGGGCTGGGTGCCCGTGTCATCGAGCACCGGTGGGAACCCAGACCCAAGCCCACGACAGATCCTGCTGGGTACAGCTTCAATCAGAAAGGAAAGCTCTCATCAAACATAGGCTGGGCAGGGATGTGGGCACTGAGATTAGGGATTTGGAAAACCATCTGAGGAACCTGGCCCTGGGAAGACAGCAGCAGGATTTAATACCTTATCCCAGCTGTCTGGTAAACACCCTGAACCATCCCCACACTCCGTTAGGCAGCCTCGGATCTTCAGGTGTGCCGGCTACGGGCAGGTAGAGACAGACGTGGGCAGAGACAGGAAGGGAGGGAGTGTGGGCTGGGGGAGGGGGCGGGGGTGGAGCTGGCCTGGGAGGGATTGGATGGGTGGCAGCCAAGCCAGACAGTCAGCGAGACAGCTGACAGGTGCAGGACAGTGGGACCCGGGAAGGAAATGGGCGAGCGGGGGTTCCGAATCCTCAGGGGTCTCACGCACCCCGGGGACTGAACATGGTGAGGGGAAGGGTCAAAGTCTTGGGGGCAGAAGGCCTCGGCCTTCTAGCTTCTCAGCATACTTGGCCGGGGGAACGCATGGACCAGGCAACGGGCTCCCCCAAACCAAGCAGGACAAGGCAGCAGGTGGGGGTTCCAGCTTCCAGGGCCTGCTGTGGTCAGACCAGACAGCAGTCTGTGTGTGTGCTTGTGAGGCACCCTGTCCCCAGCTCACACACACACATCCTATGCCAAAAAGAAAACCAAAGCACTCAAAATGGAGCGTCCTTCTAGTCTGGGCTGGGGCTGATATGCGCTGAGAAGAGGCCGCAGGGTGGGAGCAGCCCTGTCGCTGCTCAGAGGGGCCTCACCTCTCCAGAGATGGGTTGGGGAGAGTTCAGAGCAGACGAGTAGACAAAGAAGTGTCTGAAGGTCCTGGCAGCTCCCTGTGGTGGTCCGGAGCAAACCTCCTTAACTCTGATCCCAGCACAGAGGTGGGACCTGAGGGAGTGGGCAGGTGCCTGCACAGAGGCCAGGTGCTCCTGGGGTCCTCCACCGCCAGGCCCACAAGGGGCACTGCACTAATCCTCTTTTCCCATTTCCGTCTGCTTGTGGATGTAATTAGAGTTTTGGGTGGAAATCCACCCGGAGTGCACCCTCCCACCTGACACCGTCGCTAAATCCTTGGATACACACGGTATATCTCCTGACTCTCGGAGAATCGGGAACCATTTCAAAAGCTAAACAATCTACCCCTTTTAAATGTTCTCAACTCTGACTGCTTTCGGCAGCACACTGTCAAATCTGCCCTGGCCTTGGCCAGGGCCAAGTTCAGGGCCTCCCTCTCTGTCCCTGAGATTAGGGATTTGGAAAAAGTCCCACCACCAGGGCCTCCTGTGTAGTCTACAGAGGAAAAGAAGAGGTTGCTGGCCTGTTGCGGGGCTGGGTTTAGAGTCCTTTGCCTTCTGCACATTCTTTAAGCCCCGTGATCCCAAGAAATCCCATCCATAGCCCCCCCGATCCAAAAGGATCACCAGGAGATCCAGATGGAGCATTTTTCTGCTCTATTAACAACCACACAGAGCTCTGGCCCCACTGCTGGAGACTGGCCTGACTCTTGGGTATCTCCCACCACCTGAGTCAACGCGGACCCCTCTCTTCCCCAAGTGTGACCCTGTAGGCCTAGAGGAACCACCAGGAGAGGCTGGAGGCTTGAGCCCTCCCTCCTCTGTCCCAGCGCCAAGTTCCCTGCAACCCACAAGCACAGTCCTGACACTCAGAGCTCCCGCGGTCTTACAGACAAGGGAATGAATCCCCACGTGTCTCCTGCAACCATCTCTGTTCCAGCTTCTCTTCCAGACTCCTCCAGTCTCTCTACTCTGGCCCTGCCAGAATCAACAGTTTAAATCTCTGCATTAAACACACACACACAACACCCCAACAAGGGAGACAGAATACACCGAGAAAACCTCACCAGACCTAGGGTTGGGGCTGGAAACCGGCGACACTGGCTCACCATTTCCCCCGCACCAGGCAGTCGGCCAGAAAACCCTGGGCAATACACACGGCAGACTCCGCCAGACATTAGAACACTTGTTCGGTTCCCTACCCTTTGGAAGCCAGGCCCCCAGTGCATCGCTTTGGGCCATTGCTGCCGATAATTTTTCAGAGATAAACAAACCGGTTTGGATAAAACAAGATCCAACCTGAATTCTTCACCCAAAACTCAAAATGAAACTCTCCTATCACCCCTTTCATTCCCTTCTCCGCCTACCTATAACCATCATCCAGTTCCCTCAGGTTCAGACGACTTGATTTTTTTTTTTCTTTTAAAAATTCAGTTCTCTAGCTTTTGGATTCATGGACACTACAATGTCTGGGACCATTCGGCTCAATGTGAAGGCATGCGGGGGGATTGAGAAAGTCCCGGCCAAGTTTCTCCAGGATGCCTGGGTTGGAAGGGAGAGGGAGAAGGTGGGACCTCAGCTGGGCTGGTTTCTGGCCTAGGTCTTTTTCCCTGGTTCCTTTTTGGCTCAAAGTCTCTCCTCCATGCTCCGATGATCTCTTCAATCTTCAGCCCCTTTCAAGGGGACGGGTGTGAACGGGAGCAGAGCAGTTGGTCTACCTGCCCTCTCTAGGCACAGAGGGTAGGGTTGCTCAGTTACCCTTAGGGGTTCACCAGGTTAATAGAGGCCCGATGTCAGGACAAGAAGGAGGCCAAAGGGCCGAGAGGAAAGATGAAGCCCTGAGGTCTGTGGCCACGTGTGTCTCTCTGCCAGCTCTGTGTGTGACATGCCCTCCTACACCTAGACTCATTCATGCCTGACACACTCTCAACCAGCACCCCGTCCCACCCAATCAGGCCCCCAAGTACCCTCCCGCTGCAGCCTCTCCGTGTGATACTGTCTGCTTTCTGCCCTGAGCTCGTCTGGAACCTCTGTCAGGGCTCCCGCCTCCCAAGTCCCCATCAGTGGGGTCTGCTCGGTCCCTGTAGCTAATTTACACCCGTCAGGGTTTAAAATAGCAGAGGCATAAATGAAAAGTCCAATTTCTTCAAATTTGCATTGTAAAACCATCCTTCAACTTCCTTGAAATAAATTTTACTATTTTATTAGTGCAAACAAAATGGTAATAAAACACTAATACAGCGTCTTGTATCCAGGGGAAGAGCTAAAATTAACATAGAGCGAGCAGTGTTTGCTATTACATTCAATTACCTTTTTACTTGAGATTTACATTCTCATCCCCTTAATCTCCATAGTAGTGGCTTCAAAATCATTCCTCCCAGGCTCTGCCCTTCCCAAGCCCCCACAGCTGGAAGCCAGGCCTCCTGCCCAGATGGCGCTCACCCCGGGCATGGAGCCTGCCCCTTTCTCCACAGCTGCCTCTTGTCACAGGGTACCACTTCTCTCCCCTGCTTGTAATTGTCTCACGTCTTGGCCTCTCAGTACTCGGCAAGTTCACACCAGAGGGCTCTGACACGAGACACATCCAGACAGGCAGTGATCGATAAGCAGGTGCATGGGGCATGGGTTGGGGGCACTGCCCACCGAGCCTGCAAAGGCTCTCCCTGGTACCAGCTAGGGGCGGGAGCTCCTGGGAGTCCTGGGGAAACTGGCATCTCTGGTTTGACAGGTTGTGGGAGAGGGTTGGCTGCATGGCACAGCTGCGGACTCCAGACGGTGGCAAGAAGCTCCAGCCATCCTGAAGTAGGAAGGGGTGACGGCTCTATGGGGGCCAACCCTCTTGCTCATCTTGGGAGGTGGCTGCTTGCCAGCGATGGAGATGGGGCTAGAACCACCTCACCTTCTCACCATCCAGTGCTCTTTCTTCAACAGAAGCAGTCCCTAAAACCAGTCACCCCCAAACACAGCCCCACCATCTGATCCCCTAGGAGGGTCCCTTTACTTCCTGCAACTGGAGGAAGCATCATTCCATGTCTGGAACCGGCCAGCCTCACCCTGAGCCAGTGGGGAAGATGACCGTGTTTCCAAATGGCTCAAATACTGGGTCCTAGTTCCAGATCTGTCACTGACTAGCTGTAGGGCCTGCGGCACGAAGCAACCTCCCTCTGGGCCTCAGTTTCCCCACCTGTAAACCAGGACAATAACCTGTGAGCTGCCTTCTTCACAGGAAGGGTCATAATGATGGAACGATCACACAGGTGTCTCTGAGCCCACCCGAGCCTCGGAAGCTCAGCTGGGAATCTGTTCCTGAGGACAGGACAAGGACCGCAGGGTTGGGACCCCTATGAGGACCACGGAGAGGGGCGTCCGAGTCCTGGGCCAGGCCACCTCTGACCTCTGTGACTTCACCCTTCACCCACAAGCCTCCTTTCTCTTATTGGTCAAACCACCGCATCATTCCCACAAAATCCTCTGAGCTCATGCGGAAGGAAGAATTGCCATTCAGCCCCGGATCCGGCCAGAGCACAGTCTCACTCAGGGTAGGCCTGGGGCAGGGGACCAAGTGATACGCGAAAAACAGACGGAAGACCCCGTTAATTTTACTCTGCCCGGCTACTACAACGAGGGGGAAAGAAGCGACACACAAAAACACAACCACACACACAAACACAATCTCATACACAACCACTTACACTCATTTTCACACACAACCACACACCATCTCACACACAATCTCACACACACCATCTCATACAAAATCACACACAAAACCACATACCACGTTACAATCACACACAATCCCATACACACCCACTCACATAATCCACATAAAATCACACACAATCTTATATACAGCCACTGACACAATCCCACAACCACACACAATCTCACACACTCTCATATACAATGACTCACGATCTCACACAATCACACAATTTCACACAAAATCTCACACACAGGCACACACAGTCTTCCACACCATTTCACACTATGTCACAACCACATACAATCTCATACGCAATCGCATACACAATCTCATACAGTCTCATATACACTCACTCATACAATCTCACACACAATCACACACAATCATACAATTTCACGCAAAATCTCACACACACAATCTCATAGTCACACCATCTCACACAATCTCACAATCACAATTTCACACAAAATCTCAAACACAAGCACAATCTCATACTCCATCTCACACTATCTCACAATCTCGCACACAATCAGACACACTCTCACACACAACCACAATCACAATCTCATACACAATCACACAATCTCACACAGCATCTCCCACAAAAATCTCACAATCTCACACAATTCCACACAAAATGTCACACACAAGCACACACTCTCACACAACCACACACAATCTCACACTTCACCTCACACAATCTCATAAACAATCTCATACATGATCACTCATACAATCTCAGACACAATCTTACAATCACACACAACCACACACATCCTCATACAATCTCATACAGAATCACACAATCTCACATAGTCTCACAATCACAGTCTCAAACACAGTCACTCACACAATCTCAGACACGATCACACGCAAAACGATTTACACACGAACACAATCTCACACACACAAAACAACATATGATCTCACACACACCCATTCCCAACTCCCCTCTCGCGGTCTTTCTTCCTGAATCTGATTCCTAAAATGTCTTCCAGTGGACACGAGGAGGAGAGCTCCCATCCAAACTGTTCCCAGGCAAACGTGTCCTTGCTCTTGATCCGTGTGGAATTCCAAGTCCCCCTGGCAGAGAGCGGCTTCTGGGACTCTGGGAGGGAAGAATCTTCTTTAACCCCAGTGGAAGTGCAAGCAAAGGCGGTTGGCAGTTGGGCGTGACTGCCCAGAACACCAGGGACCCGCCTGGAGGTCTCTGCTCCCAGCCTGACCGCTGGCTGCAACCCTTTCTCCCTGGGCCCCTACATCCCACCTCCCATCACATCCTAGCCCAGAGGTGGGTATCACCAATAGCTCTCCTGGCCTGCAAACAAAAGGCCAAGACCACTGCAAGAAGCGAAGGAATCAACCCCACGAGCTAAATGTAGGGAGTTTGCTTTGGTTCACATTTATTTTTTCCTTCCCACTGGTGAAACAAAAGAAAGTTTGTTGTTGAGGTTCAAACATTTCTTGGGCCTTGTCCGAGTCTTACCTTGTTTTTCTTTTCCTTTCTGTCTCCCCCCCAGCCCCACCCCGTCTTCCCTGCCTCCCCACCTTGAATAAATAAAGCACCCGAAGCTGGCACCGGCTGGTGAGGAAAGTACAAACTATCTCATAATTTTATAATTTTTTTTTTTTTTTTTTTTTTAGCACACTGGCCTAGGGTTTTGGGCAAAGGACAAAAGCTATTGTTGCACAGCACAACACGAAGGCTGAGTCACCGATACGCCTCAGCTTCTCGAGATCTCATAGGTTTCTGTGGCTGGCACAGCCGGTGAGCTCAGCGCCCTGCGGGGGCCGTGGGTGCAGGCGCCCTCTCGCCTGGCGCTGCCCCGCCCCCTCCCCCTTGCCAGGGCTCCCTGCCGGGCCGACACGTTGGCTTTGTTGGTTTTTAATCATAGGGGGGGAATTTAAATAAAATGTTGTGAAATAAAAAACAAATCACCGTAGTCCCACCACCCTAACGCTATAATTTTCATTTTGGAGGATCACCTTTCAAGCGTTCTACAGAAGCATTTGGATTTTTATATAGTTTCTCTCGCAGCGTTCACAGCTCTTGGCATTTGGTATAGTTTTTCACTCATATAATAAACATTTTTCCATGTTTCGAAACCATCCTCGGGATGATAATTTGTACAGGTGACACCGTATTTATTCCGTCGTGATATTCCTGGGCAGACCCTATGAAGTGAGAAGGGGAGAACTCTCTCGGAATTGAATCGTTTATTTGCAAGATTCCAGCCAAGGTGGGGGCTTTGCCCGAGTGACCCAGATCACCTGGCCCTTGGGGATCTGGCCTGGGAGTGTGTACCTGGAAGAGGGGCAGAGGCTCCACCAACACCCCGCCCACCCTGAGCTGGGCCAGGAGTGCCCTGGCCCTTGTGCCCAGAGAGACACGGGTTCCAGCAGGAGCCCTCACCCTCACGGTGACCTTCACTCCCCACAAACTGCACTTCCTCCTTATAAAGCGCCCTGGCAGCAAAAGGCCCACGACAACGCTCTGCTCTCCATTTTTATATCTGAATATCTCAAAGCACTTAGCAAAGACTGTCATTTTCTCATTACCCCAAGGAGAGGAGGTCATTCGGGAAAATGGTACAAATATTCCCATTTGTCAAAAGCAAGAAGGAAGTGAGTTAAAAGGAAAATTCTGCCACTTAACTGAGCAAAAGCTACCCAGGAGAGAACACTGGGGTCTCGCCTGCCTCTCCATTCAGCCAGTTTGCCTTCTCCAGTGCAGTTTCAGGCACCTCATTACCAAAAAGATGGCTCAGAGCCAAAACCAGGTTTCCATTTTGCCAAGAATCAATCCCTCCCCGGTGGCCCCAGCTCAGGAGACCCTCCTACCTCATCCAAAGTCTCAATCAAAACCATATTCTTTTATGATTATAGTTATGTAAAATACATGTTTAATAAATATATACAGTCACCAAACGGGGGAAAAACACTAGACAGAAATACACCAGATACTAAACAATGTTGTCTCATGATAGTTAAGTTAGGGGTGCATTTTTTTCCCTTTGATCTATTTTCAAAAACTGTTTAAAATATGGTTCTATTTTTCCGGTGCATAGGGAAAAGCGTGCATTTCAGAGTCAGATCAACCAGCGTTGGAACCCTAGCTCTCCTTTAATGAGCTGAGTGAACTCAGGTAAGTGACTGAACCTCTCAGAGCCTCATTTCCTGCCAGGTACAATGGGAATCGAACCACTGCTTGCCTTGTGTCTTTCAATCCCACAAAGAGTCACAGCGCAGCATCTGACACACAATCGGCCCTCAGTAAATGTCTATTTCCTTTCTCTTTTAATAAAATAAGAATGTAAAATCAACTCAGCTTCCTTGCTGCCCCTTAGGGACAGAGGCAAGACCCTTCTCCTGCACCCCCTCTCCAACTTCATTCACATCCTTCACCTGTCTCCCCGCTCCCCTACTCGCCCCACCCCAACAAACCCCCAGGACACAGACCTCAGGATGCTGGTCCTGGCTCTCCTGTGACTTGCCTGGAGGGCGAGGAGGGGGCTCTGGGAGGAGAGAAGCTCCTCCTTCGACCTTCTCCACTAGCACAGGCCCAGGCCAGCCCCTCCAGGCAGCACACAGGCCTTGTGCAATGACTCGGAGGACATGCAGGGAGATCCCTGGGTTTGTGCCTTCTTGGCAGCTACCCTCTGGGAACAGGTGCCAGGCTGCAAAGGCCACCTGCTCCTGGGGAAGGGCAAGGGCCACACTCCCGTCTGCGAGGAGAAGCCAAGGAGAACCAAGATGGCGCCAGTGCTTGGGAGTCAGCTCCTCCCTGGGCAGGCAGTCCAGGCCAGCCCAGGGACTGCCACCTGCACGTCCAACAGCTCAGCCCTGGGCATTGCAAGCCTTTCCCTGCTCCCTCGAGGGCTCTGTACTGGGCGGACACGTTTGCCTTGCTATTGGCGAACATGCTCCAACAGACTTGTGGTGGCCACAGCCTCTGGGATGACGCTTCAGCCTGGCCTTGGGGGTCTCTGGAGCTCAAACACAGGGAGCCCTCTGCCTTACTGCCTTCATGATGACAGATGGGGAGGGTGGAGTAGAGACAGTACTAGTAGCAACGATAGCTACCCCTCATCACCATGTGCCAGGAGCCCTTCCAGCGTCATTTCATCTAATCCTCACAGCAACCCCAAGTGATAGGTGCTATCGTGAACCCTCTTTTACAAGTGAGAAAGCTGAGGCTGAGAAGAGCCCACAATATTCCAAAGTCAGAGTCCCAATAAGGAGAGACTAGGGATTTGAGCCGAGGACTTTACCACTATCCTCCCAGCATAGCTCCCCAAACAAGCAGACTCCACCAGCCTTTTCCAGAAAGAGTCCCCTGAGGGGCCTCCCTGGCCACTGGGGGCACAGACACCCCCCAGGAGCAGGTTGTAATTCTGCCAAAACAAGGGCATCGCTGTGCCTCTTGCCCTGCAGAAATAGGAAAGACGCTACCCCTCTATAGAGACAGGTTGGTCAGGCTAAAGAGTTGCTATGTCACAAATGAGGAGCACGACTGGAGGGGTATTTGAAAGGAAGCAGTGTTTCCCTCCCTGCAGCTTCTGGGAATGCTTAAGTGGGGAGGTCTAGGGACACGGGGCCATTGGCGAGAGGGCCTGGTACTAGTAAGTATCTACTGACTACGGTACTGGTGTGGACACTGTGGAATGGAGAATGATGGGGGCAAGGCCCTTGGCATCCATGAACCCTCAACATCGAAATCCTTCTTTACAAACCAGGGATAAGACCAACTTAAAATGGTGTACTCTTTCTTTTAAAATTAAAATAGGTCTCTAAGAGCAGGTTGGACACGGGGAGGACACCAGACAAGGTCCCCACGGCATGAGCCACCGACTCCCCAGCTGCCAGGGACGAGGTCCTGGGACTGAGCGGCAGGTCCCATAAAAGCTGGTGGAGCCCAGCAGGGTGGGGGCCGGGTGGGTCACCCGGGACAGACAGTCTCCAATCGTGCTGAGCACAGCACGTCCCTTCATTCAGGAACCCAGAGTAAAATGTACAGCTGGGTCTAGAGTTGATTCAGCCCTTAACTCATTCGGGATCGCTGGCGGAGCCACTGAGGCGGGAAGGGGAGTGGGCCTGGTCACCTGGGGGAGGGGGCTGGGCCGTCCCTGGGAGGGGGGAAGGCTGGGGCACGACCCCTGCTGATAGTGTGTGATACGTGCAAACAGAAATCATAATTCTTTGCAAAATCCCTCTCAAAACCAAACAGGCACTGAGAGTTGAGGGAGGGATGAGGGAGTGTGTGTTGGGTGGAGGGTGGGGGAAGCTTGTTTTCTACCCACTGCCAAATTCTCATTTACTGTCAGCTCCAATCCATTTGGAACTCACTGACTCAATTGCCTTTTCACGGGGAAAGGAGCCGGCACAATGCAGGGGACTTTTCAGCTTCACATTAGCACACAGGGCGCTGGGCAATGTCCGGGAATCAACACACACGGCCCTCCCGGGGCCACCGGCCACCCCCGCCTCCAGACAACCCAGCCAGCCCTGCCAGGGCCACATCTGCTCAGCCCTGCTTTAATATTTGGGGTTTTATTTATTTATTTTTAACGGCTAGGCCAGTGGAGAAGTGTGTGTGTGTGTGTGTGTGTGTGTGTGTGTATGTGTGTGTACATGTGCACATGGGCAAGCGTATATGTTTTGGGAGAGACAGGGGCTCTACCTCCCAAGAAGAAGGGCCTGTAAGAGTTCATTCCAGGGCAGTTCCAAGTCTTCCTTTTGCCCAAAGAAAGGAGGGATGGAAAGAAGAAATCCAAATTAGGTCTCCAGAAGGAAAGGATGTGAGGGGGTGGGGGTCACTGAAAGTAAATCTGGAAAGGGTCAATTATGGATAAATCCACATTTGCTGGGAGAGTGTCCCTAAGAACTCCACAGGCCCAAACACTATTCAATAATCATTATGAAAATAATATTGGCCTGGTGCAGTGGCTCATGCCTGTAATCCCAGCGCTTTGGGAGGCCTAGGTGGGTGGATCACTTGAGGTCAGGGGTTCGAGACCAGCCTGACCAACATGGTGAAACCCCATCTCTACTAAAAATACAAAATTAGCCAGGCGTGGTGACGCACGCCTGTAATCCCAGCTACTCAGGAGGCTGAGGCAGGAGAATTGCTTGAACCCGGGAGGCGGAGGTTGCAGCAAGCCTAGATCGTGCCACTGCAATTCAGCCTGGGTGAAAAAGCAAGACTCCGTCTCAAAAAAAAAAAAAAAAAAAAAACCTACAATTATAATCATCAAGATAACAATGGTGGTCCCCATTTTTCAAGTGCTCACCCTGTGCTCTCTACCAAGTGCTTTCTGCGCCACCTCCATCAATGATCACAAGAACCCCAGCGAGGCGGCACTGCTGACTGCCTGCCCAATTCCACAGGACTGGAGAGGTAAGACCCAGGCCCACCGTCACAAAGGTCCTAAGTGGGAAAAGAAGGGCTTAAGCCCCGTTCTGCCTCACTCTAGACCAGCCATCTCACCCTGCCCTGGGAGAGAGGAAACCTGCAGCAGAATCAAAAGAGAAGATGTCCTGGCACCACAGAGACCTTGGTCTTGGGAGCCCTCACGACATCTGGGTGTGCCCCCGCCCTCCATCTCTATCACTGTCCCATGGGGGGGTCCTCCATTTAGCCCAAGTTTGAGGGAAGCATCCCTCGGAGGGAAGCTTCCAACAGAACTTCCTGCGATGATGGAAATGACCCACCTGAGCTGCCCAGCACAGGACCTCCAGCCGTACGTGGCTGTGGGGCAGCTGAAATGTGGCTCGTTCAAGGAAGAACCAAATTTTAAATGTAACTTAAATTGCCATGTGGGCTAATGGCTACTGTATGAGATGGTACAGACCCCACACCCTCCAGTTATCTCCCTACCTCCCAGCCCAAGAGCTATTTTGTTTTGTTTTGTTTTGTTTTTTTGAGAGCGAGTCTCGCTCTGTTGCCCAGGCTGGAGTGCAGTGGTATGATCTCAGTTCACTGCAACCTCCGCCATCTGGGTTCAAACAATTCTCCTGCCTCAGCCTCCTGAGTAGCTGGGACTACAGGCTTCCACCACCATACCCGGCTAATTTTTTTGTATTTTTAGTAGAGACGGGGTTTCACCATGTTGGCCAGGTTGGTCTCGAACTCCTGACTTCAAGTGATCCACATGCCTCAGCCTCCCAAAGTGCTGGTATTACAAGCATGAACCACCGCACCTGGCCCCAAGAGTTATTTTGGAAATAGACTAAAAGCATCTAAAGACAGGAGGATGACCTGCCATGAGAGGCCCCACCTCAGTCAGCAGGCCCTCTCCTCTGCTCCTTCACGGCCTTTCAAAAATTACCAGTCAGCCTCCAACTTCTCTGCCTGCCTGCCTTCTTGTCTTTCTTTCTTGCTTGCTTGCTTTCTTTCTGTCTCTCTCTCTCTCTCCCTCCTTCCTTCCTTCCTTTCCTCTCTTTCTTTTCCTTCCTTCCTTCTTTCCTTTCTTCCTTCCTTCCTCCCTCCCTTCTTTCCTTCCTTCCTTCTTTTCCTCCCTTCCTCTCATTCCTTCCCTTTCTTTCTCTTTTCCTTATCCTTATCTTCCTTTCTTTCTTTCCTTCCTTCTCATCTTTTTCCTTCCTTTCTTCCTTCTTTCCTTTCCTTTCTCTTTCCTTCCCTCCCTCCCTTTCTTCATTTCTTTCTTAGAAAAAAGCATCCGTTTAATTAGATAAATCCTTCAAGCACGTGGCCTGGAGTTCGTCATGGAAATTAACCTGCTCCCAGATCTCAGATAGTGAAACAAGAACCGGAGTGTTTTGGCATAGCACAGTGAAATGGGAGAGGCCGATGGAGTTTCATACACCTCATCTTCCATAAGTGCCCCTCGCCCCTCCAGTGCCCCCCGCTTCACGGCCTCATGCCCTTGCTTCCTTAGGTCACTGCCTCCACCCCACCTCTGCTTCTCCTCCTGGCCCCGCCCTGCCTGTCTCGTGGCCCTCCACCCAGGCCTGGGGAGCACCCATCCCTGGGGCAGGTGGGAAACCTCAGCTCCATCCATGTCAGGGGCTAAAGGGACAACCGTTGTCCTCTGCCCCTTGGCTAAGCACCGAGGCTCTGCGATGAGCTCAGGCCAAGACCCAAATGAGGCTCAGCCCACAACGGCTGCTTCATCCTCCTCCTGCGCCCCTGCTATGTGCTGCTCACTAGCAGTGTGCGTTCCGTAAAATAAAGCTCAAAGTGGAACCCCAGCAAATGTCAGCTGGGATCCTCTCATCTAATTCTCATGGTCCACGTGACGGGAATTCCAAGTCCCATTTTACAGATGCGGAAACAAAGGCTTCGAGGAATGAATCGTCCAAGTGGAGGAAACACAATTCGCCTTCAGCTCAGCCTGGCTCCTGATCCCACGCGCCGCTCCCTCTGCCAGCCACACAGCCTCCATCTGCGAGGCGCTCTCGTGGGCACGACTCTGGGATTGCCAGCACCCAGAATTCAACTCACACTGGCAGAGGCCACTGGCGCCTTGGGCCGGTTTCCAAGATCTGCCCTCACCCCACCCCACCCTGGCCTTCTGTCCCAAACAGCTCCCATGATGACCCACCTCACCCCACCGAGCTCCAGGAACACTTGGTCTGGCCAGTGTGGGAAAGAAAGAGCAATGGCCCCTGCCCCACTTGAGGGACTGACTCCGCATGTGGGCAGAGTCTTCATTCTCATCCCCTCCAGACCCAGCAGCAAAAACACCAGGAGGACCCCAGGCAGGCCAGAGAGGTAAAGGACAAAATGCAGAATCTGTGTGCAGCACCACGTCACCCTGCACTAGGGGCCCAGCTCCAGACAGACAGAGAGCAAGCTCTCCCAGTTCCCCTCTCCATGGCAATCCCTGATAAGCCGCAAGTGTTTCCGTGTCCTCTCCCGCATGGGTCTGTAACACACACAGACATGTGGTCCTAACATTTCACACGTCTTAGCTCGTGTAACCCTCACATCAGCCCCACGAGGTAGGTACTATTATGCCCATTTCATAGATGAGGCACCGGCCAGTTAAGTCACTGATGAAAGGTCACACGATTTTGATCCCCAGCTAACTCGCTCCAGAATGCACCATCTACACTATATACAGCTCCTCAAATGAACCTGTTGGCTCCAGAGGCACAAAACAGTAAAGCACACCCCATATCCTGAATGGGATCCCCCATTCTGCCTGAAAGGCAGCCCCCAAATTCACCCCCAAGTTCCCAATGATAACAGAACCAACCTGCAACCTGACACAAAAATGTAACCCCAGCACCACCCGCGACACCCAGGCTCACGGCTTTCTGGAATGGAATTCACAGGGGTCCCCTTTGAGACTGATACCATATGACATAAAAACCGGCTCCCCTGACCTTGGGGACACCTTGCACTTGACAATGCCAACCATGATAAATTCTTCGTTACGTTTAATTACTTTAAAAAGGACTTTCATAGCTAAGAGCCCAGCCAACCATCAGGACACCCTTCCGAGGGTGGTACGGTCAGAGGCCATTTGACAAGAGAGGAAACTGAGGCCCAGAAAGGTAAAATGACTACCTAAGGCCACACAGTGATTTACTGCAGAGCCAGTACCAGAACAGGGTCCCCAGATGCATAGCCCATCAGGCCACATCTCGCAAGACCTTAAGTGTGGGGCTCGCAGAAGGGTAGGGGAGTGGACAGTTAGACCTGAGTGGAGCTCGGGGCCACCCGTGTCTCACCCCGTCCCCCGATCCCCAGCCAGAGATGCTGGGGCCTGACCCATGGTCTCCCCAAGGATCAGATTTCCCCGAAATTCCCGAAGGAGCTGTGGGGACGAGT
The DNA here is from genome assembly GCF_000001405.40 of Homo sapiens. Lineage (NCBI taxonomy): Eukaryota > Metazoa > Chordata > Mammalia > Primates > Hominidae > Homo > Homo sapiens. The sequence continues at coordinate 10,787,459 of NC_000001.11, forward strand.
GGGCCCAGAAATGGCCCTCACATAGCGAGCGGCACAGCTGAGCTCCCCGGGGGCGAGGGGGGCGGGCGGAGCTGGAGACGCTGGCACAGCCCTCATAGGTACTCTGCCAGCAATTAGTGCTGGGGAAGGGTGCCAGCCTGGCAGAGCTCATTCCCCCACCCCTTCTTCTCATTTACACACGCGCACGATCACCCGCACACACACACACGCATACACACACGCTCACCCACCCAGAGACCATCAGCAAAGAGGCAGCGAGGCTTCCTTTTGGTAAATCTCATCAGCAAGGCACACGCAGGGCATGCAATTTGGCCATTACTGCTCTTAAACAACAGAAAAGCAGAATCCACCCGCCATTAACCCATCCCACTCTCCCTCCGGGCTTCCCACCGGCTCAGGCACCAGCCTTCACCTCTGACTCCCACACATCCCCTTTAAAAGCTCCCCAGAAGTTGCTTTCCAAAAGAAACACAGAGTTTGAAAAAATGTTTTTTTTTAAAACTATGATAAGTCCAACCTGAATTGTGCTATTCTCCATGCTGACATCTCTCCACAGAGCAAACTATCCAAGGTTCAAACATGACCTTGCCTAAGACCGTTGCTCAAACATCTTAGAATCCCAGAGAACGTTAGCTGGATACGGGGATGTTCTCATCCAGAACATCCCTTTATATGTGCCCAAGAGCTCTGCCATTAAGGGGATGTATCCATTACTGTGGATAGGGGAACCGGGAGAGCTGCCTTTGGCTTGGTGAGGGGCATCGCTACCTGAGCAGGTGGGGTTCCTCACAGAGCAACCTGAGTGCTAGCCCCGATCCACCTATGGGGTCCCCTGGGTGACAGTTTGACAGCACTCTCCTCTCCCAGTGCAGAGGCAGGCAGGTGGGAGTAGTGGTGGGGACCGATCTTGCCTCCTCCCTCCTGCCCCCCTGCCTCATCCTGGAGAATTGGAAAGAAGCCCACCAGAGCAGGGGGCCCTAGAGGGTCCTTAGACTGCATTTATAAGATCTGCGAAACCCCTCAAAGTATAAGCAACATTTATGCTTACGAGATTTTTTTTATTAAGAGGATTCTCAAAGGGGGCACATGGATTCAAAAGAAGGGAAGAAGCACAGCCCAGAGACTGCCCGCCGTCAAACCAAGGCTCAGCAGTGCCTCACACCCAGGTGGCCAAGGATGGAACAGGCGGAGACCACAGGCAGGACTCCAGTCGTCTTGGCAGCAAGTGTCCCTGACCGCTGCCTCCTCACCCGGGAGCTGCCCCGGCCTCATCCTTGCTTTGCCTGGAAGCTGGTCACTGGCAGGGCTGGCCCGGGAGCTGTGCCATGCCCTGGGCCAGCGCCCTCCCTCCTGTGTGCCAGGGCTTCCTGCCCAGCCAGCAGAGGCATCGCACAGAGGAGCCCACCAGTGGGGACAGAGGGGAAGCCAGCAGCCGCTGCCGCTCTGCAGAACCTCGCAGATCCTCTAAGCCACCTAGTGTCCAGAGCTGAGCTCTAGCCACCACTCTGTCCCTCCTGCTTCTCACAGTGGCCACTGCAGGGGAGCCCAAGGGGACAGTAAGGGGGAGCGTGGGGTGGGACAAGCCTCCTCTAACCCTACCCCCACCTGGGCCTTCTCCAGGGACTTGAGGCCAGGGGTCAGGAGCCAAGCTGTTTGGGGACATGGCGCCCAGGAGAAAGCAAATACCCTGTGGCCCCTGCCCACACCCCCCACCCAAGACAGGGCTGTTCCCATCACCCCTGCTCCTTGCTCCTAGCAAAGCCCCCTATCTTTGAGATCCCCTGGGTCATCTCAGACAACCCATCCCACCTGGGACATCTTGGGGTCCCCCCACCCCAGCCTCCAGGCCTCCTGCTGAGCCTCCCAAACCCTGGGCCTGCCACTTCCCCAGGGCCTCTGCCTGCCCCCCGCACCCCCTCCTCTGCTGGCTCTTTTCTCTGTGTCCTCAAGACTCCTCTCACCTTGAGAAGTGTTAGGATTACCCAGCATTTACACTCAATGCGCTTCCTTATTCCTTAAGACTTATTAAGAATGATAATGAGTTCCGAAGGAGCGACACGTCCCTGTCTCTCTCTCTCTCTCTCTATCCTCCTCTCTCTCTCTTTCTCTCTCTCTCTCCCCGCACCTTCACTCTCTTTCTCTACGTGTCTTTTCCACCAAAGACACATAGGACAAATCCAGACCAAAAGGGAAAAAATTTCCAACAATATGGAAGAAGGGCACTTGAGAATTTCTATTCAATAAACCCATCTCTCTTCTTCCTTCTCCCTGGTTGTCCTCAATTATTCCAAGTAAGAAAAAAAAACTCCCCCTTCCCTTCACACTGTCCAGGCCACCCCTCACTCTGCCGGACTTTGAACAGGGGGAACAGGAGAAGGGCCCAGCTTGCCTGCAAAACCTCGTTAACGTGCAGCTCTTAAACGCTTGATTAATTTTTGCAGAATTTACGACAGGCTTTAGCTTTTTTTCCCCAAGCTGTGGCCTCAGAGCCACAGCAACTTAACTTGGTGAACTCAAGGGGGCCCGAGGTGGGGGTGCCCCCCTCCCCCAGTGGCCTCCTGCTGCTGGCACACCAGGCAGCCCTGCAACCAAAGGGAGCCACGCAGATGCCACCGCCCAGGCAGAAGACAGACCCACTCGCAGAGCGGCGTGGCAGCCAGAGGAGAGATCACCAGGCAGCCAGAACCACGGCTGACTTCTGGCCATCTGGGACTTTTTAATTTCAAAATAAGAAAGCCAGTAGAAAGTGGACAGAGAAGAAACCAACACGGGGTGCTGGCAATGATGCTTCCAGCCTGCACCCTCCCAACCACGCCACGTATCCCGGGCACAGGGACCGGCCTTATCGGTCTGCCGGGCTGCCCTTCAGAGAAAGGGAAGAACAGATCCTAATGAAATTACGGTTTTTAAAATGTCTATAAATTAAATCTCTCTCCTCTCTCCGTGAATCTCCCCCTGAGCTCCCTCTCCTCTACCAGGCTTGTTTGCCTCTCTTCGGTTCCCTCTGCTCATGTCTGTTTTTCTGATATAGACATCAAGAGGTTACGGGCTCAATTACAACTCCGCTGGAGTCTCAGCATCAGACTGGCTCGGCCTTCTCTTCTCCTCTTCAGAAACAAGATACCAAATAAATCTCTCTTCTTTATATTTTTATTTTCAATGCCAAAAGCCTAAAGATTCATTCCGTGGACTCACAGCCTTTTTGAACTTCGTTCAGATGGTGGGGAGAATATTCTTTTTAATTGTGTGTGAGTACAACATAAATGCTTCTCTCTTTATCTCGTTCCCCCCTTGTAAGGACACACACAAAAACCTTGGCTATGCCTGACATTTTAAAAAGGGGGAGAGGATGGTATAAATGTACTTAATGTATGTCTATAAGAGGGGGCGAGCGAGCCCTGGAGAATATTAGTAGGACATCTAGCACATTCTAAAGTTTGGGGGGGGACATCATGAGGAATCTTATTAGCAAAGGTCCATTTGTAAAGGGTAGATCATAAAAGGTGATTTTTTTTTTAAAAAAGAAAAAATTTGCTTCTACCTTCCCTAATACTGCCACGAGATGCAGAAGGGGAGATGTGCCATCTATATAATTTTACATCCGAAGAGACCCTCTTCCCATCAAAAAAAAAAAAAAAAGTTGAAAAATCCAAGTGTTAGTCAATCATCAGAGCTGTTGATTCCCGAGAAGAAGAAACCAGCTCTGAGTTGTAGGTCTAAGGGGAAAAGCAAAACAAAAACAAAAACCCCACTATACTTCTGGAAATATTAACCAGTGGGGATTCCAAAAGCTACTTTTCCTGGAAAAAGCACTTGAGACAAAGGTCGGAGAAAGCGGAAGCTGAAGGTGAAGCAAAAAGAAAAACTTAGTCTTTCCAATTAACTAGACTGGGAAAAAGAAGGGAGGTGGGAAAACACATTACTACCAACTCATTAATTCTTTCCTGTAAACAATTTAATTAAATTCTGCTAAATACAGGAGAAATACTTATTTTGGAGTGCTTCCCCCAACCTCAAAAGCAAATTCCTCCAGGTTCCTCCCCCCGTCATGCTAACACCTCCCTTGTCTCCAAACTACACAACCTTTCAGTGGGTTTCCAGCCCAGGCGTGGACTGCACTGCTGAGGGCTGCGAGAATGACAGCCTCATATGTCTGAAAGCTGACACTTCAGCCTTGAAAAGAAATGGGGGAAAATAAGCTGTTGACTTCTTGGTTAAAGTATTTTCTTGTTCTACTCATGTTCTTATGTCACTGGGCTAAAAAAAGAGAGAGAGAAAAAGAGGGGGAGAGAGAGAGAGAGAAGAGAGAGATGACTTTCCTTGAATGATCTGTTTAACCTAAGCCAGAGGAAAAAAAAGAAAGTCATTAATTACTTATGTGAGCTATTGCTTCAGAAAGACAATAAACCTGCCCGGTCGCCATGGATATGACATATTTGCTCTGAAAACAACACAATAATTAGCAAAGGGGAAAGATACAAGGAGAATATGCAAACTCCTGAGTTTAAAGCCACAGTGCTCTTTTCTACTCGTAAGCCTCTGTTCTGTTTGCAATCCAAATCAAACAAATTTTAAAAATATAGCAAAGAGGGAAATAATAGGAATGGTTCCTCTCGCCTCTGAGCTGAGCAGCAACAACCACTCTACCTCCCTCCCTCCAATATAAAATAATATAAAAGAGAACCAGGGTGGCAGAAAGAAAGAAAAAAAAAAAAACTCAAGTATTGCCTGTTTTATTTCCTATAGCAGGGGTGGAGTCAGTTTTTTTTTTTTTTAAGTGTGCTCTTATTTAGCATTGAACCTTCTGGCCAGATATAAATTTATTTATGAAAGCCAAATGCTCTGTACATGGCTTACCCCTCCCCCCCGCCCCCCCCCCCCCGGCCCCGCACACAAAGTAAATGGAAATGTGGAGGGGTGGGGTTGGGGGGGGTGTCCAGTTGAAAAAGTAAAGCAGTATATTCAGAAAGCACCATCTCTATGGAAGAACATTCACTCCCCCTACCTCCAAGAAAATGCAACCCCTGCCTTACTTTAATATTAAAAATGCATTAAATGGTTCTACCTACAACTTAGTCCCAAAGGATCATTAGGAAATGCAATCGCTTTGTATCATATCTGTCAGCGTGATAAATATCTGAGTCAGAGTCAGTTTGCAATTTTTCAGTGTCACAAAACAAGATAATTTTTTTCTGTCTTCCTTTCTTAATTCACTGCACCGCCTCCCCACGCCCCCACCCCCACCCCCAACCAGTCACAAATCTACAGAAAAATACCTGGGCAGAGAAGAAAAGGAGAAAAAGTTGATGTACTCTCACATACCAGACAGAGGTTATCGATATTCTCCCAAAAAGCAGGCAAAATTGAACTTTAAAATATTTGGGTGACAATTTTCCCCAAAAAATAAATAAATAAATAAAGCACTCCAGTAAGTTTGACTAAAAACTCCTTTTCCCCTCTTCCCAGAGGCTAATTTTCCTAAAACAGATGGTCAGGATCTAAAAGAGGAGCAAATATACCTCAACCCCCACAGGCAGAGAAATCTAACTTTGAACTTCTTTTAAATTAAAAAGGGGTGGGGGGCAAGATAAACTATTAATAAGTGTGAAAAAAATTAGCTGAGCTACAAGTTTTGTTTTTCTTATTAAAAAATTATTTAAACATAAGGGGAGCAGATATAAAAGGGAGTTTCATATTTAACTGACTTTCTTATTTTTTTAAACAATAGCTTTTTTAAAAGATTGGACTCTTTGATCTTGAAAGAATTTTGCTCTTATATGATGGGGGGAGGAAGGGGGTGGTGGTGAAATGATCTGTTTTAAATGATGATGCAACTTAGAGATCAAAGCCTTCGCTTTCTTCTAGCCATAATAAGCTGTACTTGCCACAAAGCGTAAGGCTCCCGGGCTGGGCTCCTCTCCTTCGTAAGAAGGAAATAAAATGCGCCGAGACTCAGAGCAAGACTCCAAGTCTCGGCAAGGTGCAAAGTCTAAAAAACAAACAAACAAGGCAAGGGGAAAAAAAGAGGAAGGCACTGCCCCTTTAAACGTTTTAGTGCATATGGAGTTTGATTTCTGAAAGAGATCAGTTTAACATCTCCATAGAAACCAGCAACAGATTATCATCAACAGAATAAATAACTAGTCTAATAAATTAAACAGGAGGCATAAGATCGCTGGAAACCTGATTACTGAAGTTCAACAATATTCCCCATAAACTCTCCTTAACCGCCTCTAAGGTGGCTAACAAGAAGGGGGTGGGTGGCGGGGGGGCGGGGCGGCGATCTCTCCAATTCGCCGGACTCTGGGGACAGAGATGGTGGCTACCTCCTGGAAAGGAGAAGTTCTCCACTCTGCCCTGAAGAGGGTCCAGGAGCTCCCGCGAGGGGCACACCCTAAAAACCGAAGTTTGGGAAGTGGGAAAGCGGCTGGGGGTCGGGGGAGTGGCGCGGGCGGCCGGAGATTGCGCAGGTCGCGACGCCCGCCCGGGACGCACCGCCTGGTCGCCACCAGGACGCAAACCCGGCGCTTTGCGCTCGGGCGCCGAACGGCCCAGCGCCCCCTCCGGGCACGTGGAGCGCAGCCCCGGCTCAGCCCCCGGGGAACAACTACCCCCCTCCCCATGCCCGGCGCAGCTGCTCCTGCTCAGCCGGGACAGCTCCCTTTAGGACGGCGACGTGTGTGTGTGCGCGTGTGTGTGCGTGTTTGTATGTGTATGCGTGTGTGTGTGTGTGTGTGTGTGCGCGCGCGCGCGCGTCGTGGGTTGGGCGGGGGGACACCAAGATTATCCGGCGATCTGTTTTCCAGTCCCCTCGTGCGCTCTCACCGCGCGCCTGTACCAGCTCGGAGACGTCCTAAATTTACTAACTTTGCCCCGCGACTACCAGGGCCTTTTCCCCCTCGCCACCCCCTGAGTGTACCGGGTGTCGGCGGGACAACTACGCACAATGAGGGCCGCACCCCCACACTCCACTCGGTCAGAAACGCACACTCCGCCCCGTGGCCCAGTGATCCAGGTTTGGGGGAGCTCCATACTCAGGAGAGGCGCTACTGCCGCTTTTCCGGTGGGCACGCACCCGCACCCGCACCGTAGCCAGCGTGGCTGGAAGGAGGTCCTCGCCGCGCCCAGAGCCGGCTTTCCAAGCTGAAGCTGGGGCAGAGGAACTTGTGTGGAGGAAGAGGGGGTCCCCTGCCTCCCTCAGCGCTCCACTAGCCTCCCCCAACTCCGGACCCGGGTCGGGGATGACTTGGAAGAAGAATCTGCGCCCACCCCTTAGAGAAAAATCTATTATTATTATCTTAATCTACGCCCCCAAAGTGTCCCTCCAGCCGTGATTGACGGCGCATACACCTGTTCCCTTCGCGGAGGAGCTTCCAGCGCCGGGGACAGACATTCGCCCAAACGCTCCGCAGCGGCCCAGCAACCGCCCGCCCGCCCGCGCCCGGCCAGCCCCCGCCAGCGGCCCCAGCGCGCCTCTGCCCGCACCTCGCCACCCCGGCGGCCGCCCCCTCCCCTTCCAGACCCGGCTGCCCGGCCCGCCAGCTCCCGGCAGTGCTGGCTTCGGAAAGAGAGAGAAAGAACAGAAAGCAAAACTTCCTGGCGGCCGACGGCCATCAGCTGCACATTCTGCAAATGCCACCGAGTAAAAATAAACCGGCCGCCGCTCCGCCCGTCCGGCTCACCCCGGGCGCACGAATCGGCCCCCTGCCCCGGGAGATCCCTGACTCGGTCTGGCCCGATCCCCCATTCCCGCGCGCCCCCTGGATCCCCGCTCCCCGACGCTCCTCCGTCAGTCACCACGCTCTCCTTTGCCGTTAAGCCGGACCCTAAGTGACCGGGAAACCGGCTCTCTCCCTTTGGTGTTCCCTGCGCCCCCACAAACTACTTTTTTCTCTGTCCTTCACCAGGTGCCTATTTCAGCCCTGTGCCCTTGGATTCAGGGCTCCTCCTCCCCAATTGTTGAGCTCCGAGGTCACCCTCAGCCCACCCTGGGGGAACAGACCCCGACCGACCCTCTCCCACGCTGCAGAGCCCCCCCGGAGCGCACCACTCTACCAGCCCGCTAGCCCGCCAGCCCAGCGTCCCACGTCCCCGGGCGCAACTTCTCTTCTGGCGCACACAACAGCCGGCAACAACTCGCCCGAACTTTCCCCGGGACCCAGGCGGGCTCCAGCCGACAGCCGGGCAGCTCTGGGCCGATGCCCCGGCTCCCCGTGCCCTGTGTTGCCAGCCCTTCAGCTGGGGAGGCAGGGGGTGGGGTGGGGAAGGGAGTGAGGAACGCCACTTGCCGCGCCTGGAGCAGCGCACTTGAGATAAACTTCCCAGGCACAGATGAAAAAGGGGGCGCCGCTCCCCCCATCTAAGAAATCTCTTGCCTTCGATTTCCTATGGGGGATACCCTTTGGCACCCCGCGCCTAAGCGAACACTGCCTACCTCTGCTGGCAGCACCTACACCCGGTATCCGGGCACAAGAGCCGGCTGGAGGGGTTCCCCACCCACCCCTTCCCATGGGCAAAGTCTTGCAAAGTCACCCCAGGCACCCCTCACCCCGCCTCCTTCTCTGCCCTGGAGAGCGCACGACCCCTCTGCTGCTGGGGGGTGGGGTGGGGTGGGGGTTTAAGGGGAAGGAGTGATTACCCGGTATTGGAGATCACCTGCCCCCCCGGGAGCCCACAGCGCGTGGGGCGCCCCCACCCTATTTGCAAAGTCCTGTGCTCGCGCCTGGCACCTCCCTCTCTTCTCCCCTACCCCGCCACCCCCTCAGTTGGAGTAAGCGACCCCCAGGAGGAGCAGCCCTCCCCTCCCCCGGAGCCGCGCGCCGGGCATTCCCCTGGCCACGGCAGGCAACGCGCCGCCCCGCGCCCGGGTGCCAGCCCTCCGTGCCCCCTGCCTCCGCACGGCCGGAGTTGGGTGGCAGCCGCCGATCGCAGGCTGGCTGGCTGGCTCGCTCGCTCGCTCGCTCGCCCGCTCCCTGCTGCAAGCGGCAGCCCCGGGGGTGGGGGGGGTGCACCGGGACAGGGGGAGAGACGGGGAGGCGCCCCGGGAGGCCCGCGGAGCTGGGGGACGTGGGGGGGCCGCGGCGGAGGGAGCGCCGAGTCTCTTACCTGCACTTGGGGCGGCTTTGGGTGACTTTCCAAGTCCGGGGGAAAAATGTGTGTGTGTTTGGGATGGAGCGCCGCGGGCGCGCATGCGCTGCCCAAAGTTGCCGGATCCCGGATTTTTCGCTCCCAGTCTCCGCTCTCGCCCGCTGTGATTATGGAATTCTCCGCGGCCGGGCGGGCGAGTGGGTGGCATGCAAAACCCGGGCCGGATCGCGGGGCCGGGCTCCGCTCCACCCTCACACCCCCAGACCTGCCCCTCCCGGATCCTTCCCACCCACCGCCCGGGCTGAGCTCAGCGTGTGCGCGCGGCGAGTCGCACGGCCTGCGGAGGAGCATCTGAGCGCTCGGCCCCCTTTTGCAGGTCCAGAGGCTTCTACACCCCCCCCCAGCTGAGTTGAGTTGAGGCTAGGGGAAAAGAGAGAAGGGATGGGGGGGGGGGTTACTTTCCACCTGTTCTGAACCCCGAGAGAGCCCGAGTTCGGTTCCCACTTTCGACAGAAGAACTGGCTCTTTTTTGCAAGTTAGAATGTTAGAACTGTGGAACCCAAAGGAACGAAATGTTCTCACTGTTTGATATCTGCTTTGCACTTATTCTTTGCAAGGGAGTTTTTCATTCAATCTATTGTGCAAGAAATAAATCCTTAAGTGAGCAAGATAGGCCGTGCAGAATGAACCTTACATGGAGGGGCTGGGGGGGGGGCAGATAATACACATTAAAACAAGTGGATAATGTTATTTCAGAGAGTGAAAGTATCCATGAAGAAAATAAACCAAGGCAATAGGCTAAAAAGTGTCTTGGGGGCCGGCATGGTGGTTTACGCCTGTAATCCCAGCACTTTGGGAGGCCGAGGCAGGAGCATCGGTTGAGCCCAGGAGTTCGAGACCAGCTTGGGCAACATAGCTAGACCTCATTTCTGACAAAACAAAACAAAGCAGTGTCTTGCGAGAGATAATCCCCTTGCCCCCAGATGGGGGGGAAGGGCCTTTTGAGGGGCACTTTCATACTTTATTGAAGAAACCCCCTTTTCTCCCATACCCAGACTTCCCATTTCCCAGTTGGTTTGAGGTGGCCACACCAGCTGAGCCTAGTAGTCAGCTTCAGTGCTGAGGCCCTGTAGCTCTGGTCTTGCCTTTCTCAGCAAGCGCACCCCTCATTCCAGGCCTGAGCTGCTTTTCCCTTCAGCATAAGCGTGGGATGGAAATATCGAGAGGCATGAAAGAAACTGAAAACACCCAGATGATGAGATAAGTGAGAAACTGACCATAACAGTAAACGAAATAGATCAATGATTTGTGGAATAAATGAATATAAATTCAAAGTATGACCCACAGCTTCAAGCCCTGCTCAACAGAATGCATTAAACTAAGAGGCAATGCCACAGGCTGGTAAACATTGTTGCAGGCTGGTAGTATTTGGAGCCTAATCTGCAAGGTGTCAGGAAAGCCTCTCAGGACCAGAGAAACGACCCAAAACCCTGTATGATGATTGTCTAAGACAAGCATCTTCCGGGATGCATTCCCATGTCCTGCCTTAAACTGGAAGTTAATTGTCCAGAAGCATATGGACACAGACTGGAGACATGATGGCCCTCTGGCCCTGAGGAGGCCAGGATTTGCCCTGTGCCCTAATAAAGCCAACAAATTTGGGAGAGGAAGCTGAGCCATCCCACACTCCTTAGATACTCAGTGATATTTGCTTGTGTTAGATGGACTGGGGAAGAAACCAGCTCAAAAAACCAGCTCCTCACTTCCTGGAATAGTTCTGGGGGTCCATTCAGGATCTGTCCACACAGGAAAGCCAGATTTAGACATTAGACACATGTTTCGGGTTCATTTTGTTTTCCCCCCTCCTTATCCCAATAATTGACTGGAAGCAGCAACACAACGATAATTAACATCCCTCAAAGACCACTGATTGGTTACTCTCCATTGCCGCCCCCACCATCCAAGGCATTCTCAGCTCTCAGGGGTTGAGGGCTCACCCACCATCTCTAAGACCCTTGTGCCTGGTGACTTAGCAGGATGCACAGCCCCAGAGATCTCAAGCCCAATCTTGTCATCCTACAGAAGGAGAAACTGAGGCACAGTGAGGGGCAGTAACCTGAGAAGTGGCAAGGTAGCTCTTCTACCTTATTGGCTCACGGCTGAGTCCACTCCTGGGGCAGCGTAAAGAAGGGGTTAGCAGCTTGGGCTTGGGGGTGAGACCCTACCGCTCCACCAGCTGGGTGACCTTGAGGAAGGCATTTGACCCGTCTGTGCCTCAGTTGCCTCCACAGTAAAATGGGGATAATAATAGTACCTACTGCCTGGGATTGTTGAGAAGCTAAAATGAGTTAATGCAGGAAAAGGGCCTGGGCCAAGATATTGATCGATAAATGCCAGTAATTGTCATTGCTCCTTGGGACATCCAGTGCTCCCTTTACTTCTCATTTCTTTCCATCCTCTCTCCATTCCTTCTCCTTTGTCCTTTTTTTCCCCCTCCAACAATAGTCCTTCACTCATTCATTCATATGGTAGGGATGACTAAGCTCCGAGGAAGAGCAGATCTCCACCAGTGCTGGGGAGACAGAGATGAATGAGACAAAGCCTGCCCTTGAGGGGCTAGGGAAGAATTCACTTGTCTCTCTGTCCCACTATCAGGCCTACCCCACTTCTCACTATCAGGCTCACCCCTACCCCTTTCCCACTATAATGCCCTCCCGCACACCATTTCCCACCTCTCTCAACGTCTCCAACAGCCACGTCACCCACCAAACTTTTATTAAAATGTGTATTCCTCCCTCCATTTTTTTCTCAAATATTTCGTAATTCTCCCACCTCCCGAGAAGTCTTTCCACCTCCTCTAAAGGAACCTCATCTCGGGTAGGGAAGGCTGGAAACAGAGGCAAGGCTGGGAGGAGGGAAGAGGATTTGGGGGCGGGGGAGGTAAAAAGGGAAAGCTCTTTTGTTTCTCAACCATCACTCCCAATGTCCCCCAAAAAATTAAAGTAAGGGGCCAGGAGAGAGCGGCAACCCCAAACAGCAGCCTCTGATCGCAGCCAAATATCTTCATGCCTTGTTCCTCCATCGCTTGTTTTTTTCACTCCCCACCCAAACTCCCAGTGCAGGGACTGAAGTCAGGTGCTCTTCCCCTCATGTTCTTCAATTTAGCATTTCCTGAGCTTCCCCTAAAATAAAAATCCAAGCCTTTCCCCCGTGGTCACCAAGGTCCTTCAAGGTCTGGCCGTCGCCTGTCCCTGGGCCTCACCTCCCTCCTTCTCTGCCTGGTTCACACCAGCTTCTTGCTGTCCTGGAAAACACCAAGCTTGTCCCCACCTCAGGGCCTCTGCACCTGCTGTTTCTTCCACGTGGAATGTCGCCTTTGCAGGCTGCTTCCTGCAAATCGAATGGCATTGTTCAGGTTTCTGCTCCTATCTTACCTCCTCAGGGGGGCTTTCTAGCTAAAGTAGCTCCCAGCCTTTCTTTACCACTTTGTCCTATTTGAGTGTCCACAATGATTTTGCTTCCTGCTTTGTTCCCATATTTCCTATCTGGCTGCCCCTACTAGCATGGAGCTTCTTGGAGACAGGGACTTTGTTCTGCATCCTCTGTGCCCTCAGCACCTTGAGCAGTGCCTGGCATAAAGCAGGCCCTCACTCTCTGTGAATCAGGCACAGAATCAAGATAAGCCAAGGTGATCCCGGCCCTTCAAGTGCCTATGCTGTTGGAGAATGACTAGAAAGGTCCTAGGACAAAGTTTGGTGGGGGGAAGAGGAGCTGATGTGAGCCGATACAACCCAGGACTTCCCAGGAATTACCAGGTTGGCACGGTGGCCTTGGCTGAGATTTTTACTCCCTGGCATTTGGCCGGGGGGTCTGCAGTGGGGAAATGGATGGCTCTGGCAAACTGTACCCAGCAGAGGAGGTTGCACAGGTGGGAAGGGAGGTGGGTCAGCTAAGGACCCCATCAAAACATCTCTCCAGCCCCCTGCCTCCAGCCAGGCTGCATGTGATCAAGAGCCTCTCCCATTTCTACATCTCCAGGGAAGACCCCCCCTACACACACACATAAACCTTTCTCACTCCGAGGACAGAGTCTGCACCTTTATCTCAGAAGCTCAGGAGCCAAGCACCATGTCTGGCACCCAAGAGGCTCCCAATAATTGATTGTGGAACAAATAAAGTTAGGTCTGTTTCAGTTTGTGTAATTGGGAAAGCCTTGAGAGTAATCACAGCTCAGCTTGCTGCCCACAGTTTTTGGTTTCTGGTCCTCTACTGTGATGGAAAGCAAATTGTACATCAATCACTGATATTTATTGAGTGATTATTATGGGCGTGGCACCATGTTAAGCCTTCGTGATATCTCATTAGACCCACATAACAACCATATGAAACTGTTGCAATTATAAATATACCCATTGTACAGATGAGGAAAGCGGGACACAGAGAATAACTTTCCCAAGACTGAGGCAGGCAGTCTGACTCCCTTGGGACCAGCTGCTTGGGCAGGGAGATAACAAAAGCCTCACTACTCCACTTACCCCAATGCAACAAGCATTTTTACCTTTACCTGATATTCATAAAGAGATGAAACTTGAATGTGAGTTGCATTAGGAGAGGAGAAAGGGGAAGCAGAACAAATCTGTCGATCTTATTTCAATCTAGTAAAAGATGAGAGGAAACAAAGAAATTACAGTACAAGGCATTGGATCTTAGGCTGGGCACAGTGGCTCATACCTGTAATCCCAGCACTTCGGGTGGCCAAGGAGGGTGGATCACCTGAGGTCAGGAGTTCAAGACCAGCCTGACCAACACGGGGAAACTCCATCTCTCCTAAAAATACAAAAATTAGCCAGGCGTGGTGGTGTGTGCCTGCAATGCCAGCTACTCAGGAGGCTGAGGCAGGAAAATCGCTCAAACTCCGGAAGCAGAGGTTGTATTGAGCTGAGATTGTGCCACTGCACTCCAACCTGGGAGACAGAGTAAGACTCTGTCTCAAAAACCAAAAACAAACAACAACAAAAAACACAAAGCATCAGATCTTGTATATAGTAAGCACTCAATAAATGGTAACAAAGAGTCACTATTTTTTACATTTGAAAATGTTGAATGATGTGCTGGGTTCCTTCTCCTGGGCTGTTCCTCATTTCGTGGTTCTCCTTGGGTGGGTTCCACGTTTTTCTGGCTCACTGTGCCTTGCCTGGTGCTAGCATCAGGTAGGTGCTCAGTAGACGCTTCGTAACTGAAGAGTTAAACAAGTGCCTGAGATAAGTGATTATGGTGATTACTGGGCAAGTAGTAATTTTAAAAAGGTGTTTGTTTGTTTGTTTTGAGATGGAGTCTCACTCTGTCACCCAGGCTGGAGTGCAATGGCGCAACCTTGGCTCACTGCAACCTCCGCCTCCCGGGTTCAAGCGATTCTCCTGCCTCAGCCTCCCAAGTAGCTGGGATTACAGGCGCATACCACCACACCTGGCTCATTTTTTTATTTTTAGTAAAGATGGGGTTTCACCCTGTTGGCCAGGCTGGTCTCGAACTCCTGACCTCAGGCAATCCACCCTCCTCCGCCTCCTAAAGTGCTGGGATTACAGGCGTGAGCCACTGCGCCCGGCCTAATTAAAACTTTTTAAAAGTTGAGTTCATTCATTTTATTTACAAGTGTCTCTCTTGGGAGTCCTGGGGAGGGAGAACAAGAGGGGCTTTTTCCCAAACTCTGAGCTTGGTTCGCAAATCCCATCCGGGTTGGTGAACTTGACAAGTTCTTCCACCCCAAAATTCCGTCATTCTTTTAGCAAAGTACGTAATTCTTTGTTTCTGACTAAATATATAATATGTGGGTTTTTTTGTAGAAAATTCAGAAAATACAGATAAACAGGAAGAAGCAAATTTAAATTATCTGTAATCCTACCACCTATGGTTGTCAATGTTCTGGTTGATGTTTCAGTGTATTTCCTTCCAGTCTGGGATTTTTATTTGTTTGTTTTTTTGATCTTGGCTTTGTTTAGTTGTGTAAAATCAGAATCACACTGAACATACTGGACGGTGGGGTTTTTTTTTTTTAGTCTGACATGTGTATGTAGCATGAACACTTCCTCAGGTCATTAAATATTCTTTTCCAACATGATTTTTAATGGCCGTATTGTAGAGTTGATCATAATTTACTTCCGCAGTACTTCACTGTTGCAAATTTTGGACATCGAACTTGTTTCTGATTCTTTTCATTATTATAAATAACTCTAATGAATATCTTTGTCCATAAATAATCATGCACATTCCTTAAAGTGGAATTGTTGAGTCCAAGAGTGTGCATACATTTCGAAGCCATTCCTATCCATTGCCAGATTGCCTCCTCCCCGGAAGGTTGTGTTCATTTGCCCTTCCACCAGCGCACATCTCCTGTCTCCTCTCCAACCTTTGGTGTTCTCTCTCTGTCTTTTTTTTTTTTAACCCCTGCTAATTTAATGGGTGAAAGAGTCTATGATTCTAGTAATGAATCCTTATTAGAACTGTGCTGGCCACAAGCAGGGGCTGTTTCAAGGTTTGAGCAGCCTTGCTGAGATCCACAGCCGCAGGCAGGGATGGAGAGAAAGGCAGTCTCCCAGGAACTGCGGCCCACAGCATCGCGTTGACAGGTTCCCCGAGGCTTCCAGAACAGCTACTGAGCCCAGGCTTCTTAGGCAATTCTCAGCCGAGGGGAGAGAAGGAGTAGGGTCTGTCTCTGTCCTTCAGTCTCAACAGAGTTGAGCTCCCCACCTCCTCCTACCCCTTCACCCACACCTTCCGGAAATCTCTCTCGACAGAAAAGCCTTAGGGATTTCTATGCCATAAATACTACCTGTTTTCCGAGCTCAGGATCCACACTTTGTACCTGCTTTCATTTTCCCTGTCCGAGCTCTCAATTCAGCTCCAAGCAAGGGACAGGCTGTCTTGCTCTCTGACTCAACCGCTTCTTTCCTAGTTAGTTCTAATTAATTTGCTTTTTCAGGGGTACTTATGTTTACCTCTGCCTGGTAACTACAAGAATTGCAAGTGACTAACATTTTCCTTTTAGGAAATTCCCTAGTCCCAGGGTCTCTGATCTCGATGGCCCCTTGCAGCTTTAACATTCTCTGAACTATCTACCTTTTTTTTTAAGAAAAAAGTTGTTTTAAATTTCTGGGGAGAAAAAAAAGGAGGGTAATTCACATTCTCTGCAAACAATTCAGGAAACCCAGTGAAATACAGAGATAAATATAATGCAGAGAATAAAAAAACACCCACCATCGTAGAGGCAGGTATTTGGGTGTGAATTGAACTTAAGAATTTAAAGAACGAATTGAAATGAAACCCTGCAGATATATCTTTTCGAGGCCCCCTCAGCAGCCTGCCTGGGAGATGTGTGTGGATAGGGGTGTCATTCATGCCAAGTGGTGAGGTGTGTGAATGTGATTTTATCTGTGTGGGAGGGAGTGTGTGTGTGCACTTGTGGAGGTGCGGGACTGCATTCCCTTTAAAGAAGGGTCCTGGTCCATGTAGGTGTGGCTGTGCTGTATTTGCACATGGGGAGACTGCTTCTGCTGTCAACAGCCACCCAAATACACAGCAATCCAGCCAGGTGAGGGGCAGGGCCGATGCTGACATCACCTCTTACCCGAAGATCCTGGGCCAACACCTTAACCCCTCCCACGCCTGCCAGGGTGGGGCAGGCCTGGCCCCAGGGCCTGTGGAACAGGGAAAAACAAGTGATGGAAAAATCGGAGGACCAGCCTCCCCACTGTCCTCAGAGCAAAGCCACACTCTCACAGCCGTGTGGTCCCTGCCACGTGCCACATGGGCCCACACAGCCCCTGCCCCTTTCTCTTCCCTCCCACCTCTCCCAGATCTGATAGCAGAAGCCAAAGGGACTAGTCATGGTGGTGCTTTGTCTTGGGATGCGATCTTGCCAGAAGTTGGTGTGGAAAGGGAACCTGCCCTGGGACTCCGGAAGTGGCTATGCTTCCTCCCGACGGGCACCTGTGCAGGCGCCGGCTGCCACCCTTGGCTGGCGTCACATGGAGGGCGGGGCTGGCCATGGAGGCAAGAAAGAGCTGTTTTGCTGATGAGCTGCCCTCCTGTCACACGGGCCGGAGTGCCAGGTCCCTGGATGTGGGTGGGGGAGGAGGAGGACTGCCCTGCTGTGCCAAGCTGGCCCAGATGTGAGCGACAGCCCGGCCTGCCTCTCCCCACTCCCACTCACATATTCACACACCCTCTGCTCCAGCCACACGGATCTCCAAGCTACCCCGCTTGCTCCCAGCTCCAGACCTCTGTCTAGACTGTTCCTTCTGCTCTAAGGCCTTTCGCCCCTCAGCTCACCCATTAAGACCAAAACAGGTGGCACCTCCTCTGGGGAGCCTTCCCTGATGTCCCTCTGCCCCAAATTGGGTTAGGCGCCTCTGTCTGTGCCCCCGTAGCCCCCTTGTTTTCTCCATCATAGCATACGTTATAACTGTCTTCTCCCTAAACCCTCCCATTAGATGGTGTGTGTGTGGTTTTAAAATCTATGTTTAAATCATCACTGTATTTCTTTTCTTTTTTTTTTTTTGTTTTTTGAGACGGAGTCTCACTCTGTCACCCAGGCTGGAGTGCAGTGGTGCAATCTCGGCTCACTGCAACCTCCGCCTCCTGGGTTCGAGCAATTCTCCTGCCTCAGCCTCCTGAGTAGCTGGGATTACAGGCACCTGCCACCATGCCCGGCTAATTTTTGTATTTTTAGTAGAGACAGGGTTTTGCCATGTTAGCCAGGCTGGTCTCGAACTCCTGACCTCAGGTGATCCACCCGCCTCGGCCTCCCAAAGTGCCGGGATTCCAGGCGTGAGCCAACGCACCTGGCCTAAATCATCGCTGTAGTTCTGAATTAGGTCACATGGGTTCAAATTCAGCTCTGCTACTTACCAGCAGTGTGACTTTGGGCAACTCCCAACCTCTCTCAGCCTCGGTGTCCCCATCTGTAAAATGGCAACGAAACCAGGATCTGCCTCACAGTATTGTCAGGAGAATTAATTGAGATAATTCATGCAGGGCACTCAGCCTGGATTCACACATAATGACTGTTGTTATGATTATTTCCAGCATCCAGCAGAGTGCTTAGAAAATGACAAGTGAACGAATAGTCTCTCTGTGCTCGACGTGTATGCGTGTTGGGGGATGTGTGGTGTATGTCAGGGCATGGGGATGGATAGGAAACCAGGACCTTCCAGGAGGCAGGTCCCGTATGAATGTGTGTGTCCACTCTGAAGGGTAATGGGCTCGTTATTTATGGTCAGGGCTTAAAAAAAAAAAAAAGAAAAAAGACAAACCAGTGTTCAGTAATGACAAAGTAATTACCTTTTTATTATTTTTTCAATAGGATTCAGAGGAGTGTGGGTCTTGGCTGCGGCTTGGCTTCCTGAGGCTCTGTGCTGTCTCCGTGCCCACTGCCCTGCCAGAGAAGAGGCTGGGTGGGAGAGGTCCGAGTGGCGCTCCTCAAGGTGGAAGGGGTCAGGGACCAGGGAGAGGGGCCACCCAGTTGACAAAACAAGAACCCCAGGCCGGGCATGGTGGCTCACGCCTGTAATCCCAGCACTTTGGGAGGCCGAGGCAGGCGGATCACCTGAAGTCAGGAGCTCGAGACCAGCCTGGCCAACATGGCAAAACCCCGTCTCTAGTAAAAATACAAAAATTAGCTGGGGGTGGTGGCGGGTGCCTATAATCCCAGCTACTTGGGAGGCTGAGGCAAGAGAATAGCATGAACCTGGGAGATGGAGGTTGCAGCGAGCCGAGATGGCGCCACTGCACTCCAGCCTGGGCAACAGAGTGAAACTCCATCTCAAAAAAAAAAAAGGGAGAGAGACCCAGAGGTGAAGTTCTCCCAAGCCCTGGCAAGGTGTCCACATCGAAGGCGCCAGACCCACAGCCTAGAACATTGAACAGAGAATGGTTCAGAATGAAAAATTAAAGCCCAGAGAGAGGAAGCCGCTTGCTCACCAGTGACCCTAGTGACCATGCAGAGCTAGTGACAGAATGAGAACAGAGCCTGGGTCCTCTGGCCCCAGCCAGGGCTCTTTCCCACCATATGACTTACTTGAAAATGGGGTCTGCCTGGCCCTGGCGCTATCCCTCAAATTTCAACCAGGAGGGAGGCCTCTTTTCTAGAAGGTGATTTTTTTCAGAGTCCTTCAAGGAGTTGTTGAAGACATAATTTCAGGGTGCCAGGACTCCCACATGTTAACTAGACTACACTGTGATTGACGTTAGCTATCCAGCAAGTGGCCATCCAGGGTGCCCTTTTCCACTGGCCAGGAAGGGGATGAAATCAGCTTTAGCCTCTTATGCATTTATCCATCTATCCATCAAATAATCGGTCTATCCACTCACTCAACATTTATCCATCCATTCATCCATCTATGCCTCCAATAATCCATCCATCTATCCCTCCAATAATCCATCCATCCACTCACCCAACCTTTAATCTATCCATCCGTTTACCCATCTATTCATTTATCTACCTTCCATTTTTCCATCCATCCACTCGTCTATCCATCCATCCATCATTTCATCCATCCACCCGCCAATTCATCCATCCATCCTTTCATCCATCCACCCGCCAATTCATCCATCCAGCCAGCCAGCTTCTATCTTTCCATTCATCCATCCACTAATCCATCCATCCATCCATCCACCCAACCTTTCATCCATCCATCCATTCATCCATCTATCCATCTATGTACCCTTCCACGCATCCACCCACCAATTCACCCATTCATCCTTCCATCCATCCACCCTTCCATCCATCCACCCACCAATTCATTCATTTATCCATCCATTCATCCATCCACATATCTAACAAACATTTGATGAGTGACCCCATGTTCCAGGCACCTTGCTAGGACCTGAAGGTCTGGAGATGCAGAGATGCACAAAACAAAAAATTGGGAACAGCCAGTGGAGAAAATCCAGCGGCATAGGAGGCATCTCAAAGACATCTAGAGATAAGTGCAGGTAGATGAAAGCTGACTTGACAGGGAGTCAAGCCCCCTGGCTTCCAGGCCCAACCCTGTCATTAACTTGCTGGAGAGTCTTAGATATGTTCCTTCCATGTTCTCTTTGCTATGGTTTCTTCCTCTATCACTTGAGAAGGTTGGACTAGCTCAGAGGGCAGGCAGACATTATCCAAAGAGCCCCTGATGAGGAGTATTTTGAGTGAGAGGTTGTAAAGTGCCAAGGGGACAGGGAACAAGAGTTTCTTTGGTTTTCAGTGAGAGAAGGAGGACCAGAAGATTCTGAAAGAAAAAGAAGGAAGAAATGAAGTAGGGGGGAGTCTGTTCCAGCTCCATGCTGCTGCAGATCTTCAAACCATTCCTCTGATCTTCTGCCCTTCCTTGTCAGTCTCTGGATCTGGGGGATCCGATTCCTGATAACTGACAAGGCCCCTGGCCCTTTGTCCTCCCTTCCCCACCTCCCAGCCCCAGCCTCCCCGCAGCTGTGATAACCCACACGTAGCACTTTACCCTCTGGAATTTATTTTAAGGTCTTGGCTTGTTTATTTATTTTATTTAGAGATTTCTCGGCGCTTCGTGGGGAGGAAAATTCGAATGGGGTGATTATGAAATACTATTTCACCTCGCTGTTCATTCACAACAAACAAAGAGAAATGATTGGTGATTAAAAATGCATTCTCTCTGCTTGTTTTCTTTTGTTTTACCATTATGGAAATATTATAAATACTGAATACTAATATGGACCTGCGGGGACCTCACAGACCTTCCAGAAACCAAGTCTCCTGTTCTTCCTTGGGGCAAATTCATGCTGTCCTCTGGGGCCCCAAACTAGGGCTCAAACCCCTGCCATTGCTCTGGTCCCAGACCAGGCATCCCTATCACCCTGGGCAGCCCCATTCAGTCTTTCCTGGACTGGGACAAGAGTCTCCTCACTTCCTTCTCCTGGTTCCCTGTTCAGCAGAACGTAGTCAAGGAGAAGAGGGACATGAATATTAAGAGCATTGGCTTAGTCCCAAAGTCACCATTCGTGGAGTTTTCCTCCCAGAGTCAGGCTGCCCGAGCCCAACGCCCTGCTCCACCACTTCCTGGCTGTGTGATCTTGGGCTCCTTGCTTGACCTCTCTGAGCTTCTGTTTCTTCTTCTGTAATATGGCAGTGAAAATGGTACCCACCTCATACGCTTGCTTTAGGGATTAAATGGGATCATAACATCTCATCTGATCATAGCGAACAGAATTGCTTAGTTAATGCTGGCTCCTATACTCAGTCGTATACCCTCTCCCTTTCCTGGGTCTCAGTTTCTCCCTCTGGAAGGTGAGAGCTATGTTGGTTGCCCTCTGAGATTCCCCCAGCTCCGGTGGGGTGGAGTGAGGATGTCCTCACCCACCTTGACTCTCTCGGAGACCTTGTTCTCCTTCCTGGGAACGCAGCCTGAGCCTGCCTCGTCGGAAGCCCTGGGACTCCTTCTTGGATTCTACTTTCTACCATCTCCTTTTAAGCCATAAAACTGGCACTTTCCCATTTATTTTCATCACAAACAAATAAATAAGAGTCAAAGCGCCCCGATCCAATTGCAAAGTGTTACATTGAGTCCGGATAAACAGCGAGTCCTGCGGTGTCCGCATTCCTTTTATCTTTCACTTTATTTAACCAAATTAACCGCTGTCCGTGTCCCCTGCGTGTAAGTGTCTCTCTCTGTCATATAAAATACAATCACGCTTGCTTGCTACATGTTTCAGATACTTTATCATTAACATCAATTCCAGCCAAATTAGGAGTTTCTCCCAACATAATTGCCCTTCCCATTATCCAGCACTTTATTTTTTCAAAGCACTTTCCGACCATTAATTAGTTAACCCTTAGGACGCCCCAGAGCCGAAGCTCAATGTCACCCTCCCCGCCTCTAAGCTGGGAAGAGGGGATGGGGAGGGGTCAGGTGGTTTGTTGGAAGTCACCCTGGATGTGGGAGCTGGGGGCTAGGGCGGGACCTTGGAAATCCCCCCTCTAGCCTCAATTCCTGGCCTGGGCTGCCACTGACTTTAATCTGATCTGAGGCAGGTGGGGGTCCCCAACACCTTTAAATTTGATCTGAGCTGGCAGGGGGTCCCCAACACTTTAAATCCTCTAGATCTGGATCCTCACTATGGTTCACCAAATGAAAGAGGGAGCAGAATAAAAGATTGGCTGGATGGTGGTACCACCTTTGCTGGGCAAAGGGAAACCAAGACACCCATCAGCCAAAGAGACAAGCAGGTGCCATATGTGGGAGGCCCAAACCATGCAAACCATGTGTTTGCCCCCACCATCCACAAGCACTCACGGAGTGCCTAAGAGGTGCCACATGCCATGACCTCCCTCCTCCAGAATGTCATGAAGACAAGTGCCTTTGGTGTGACAGTTATGGTTACCAACAACCAAAGTAAGGGAAGGCTTGGGGGCCATCTGGAAAATGGAATCTCTCAGGCACCGTTCCAGAAGTGTTTGGGGCCCAGCTTGCTCTACAATTCTGCCAACCCTATTCCCTTTCCTGGCTAGGAGCAGTCGTGGTCTTAGTGGGTCCTGAGCTAGGTGGGCAAGTTAAAAACTTTGGAGCAGACGGCCTGGGAAGATTCAGGGGGAGCCCTCTGAGGAAAACAAAATGATTCATTTCTTGGACATGGTTCTGGCTCATCAAGATGAACTCTGCCTACGGCTGCTAGGGATACACTGTCGAACCACCAATATTTTACATTTACGGCCACTCCAGAGTCCTAACTTCTTTAATGATTTTTTTTTTGTCTTAAAATACATGAGCTGGCTCCCACAGGGACACTGCCAGGAACCTTCAGAGAGGTTTTCCAAGAGGCTCGTTAACTGGAGCATGGTGGGTTTTGCAAATCTTCAGTTTCAGCAGTTTACCTTCCCACCAGCTGCCCGGAGGCTGGGGCCGCTTGAGCTAAGGCAGCCTTGCAGATAGAACACCAGCTACCAGCCTGGGAATTTTCCCCTGCCTTCCTCCACTCTTTCCATGCTACTGTTCTGTGGGAAATCAGACTGCAGCGAGCTCTTTCAATCCAAGGAATAGACCTGCTGAGGCAACAGAGCAGAGCTGACCTTGCAGTCTCCACAGTCAGACACCCTGGGGTCTGAATCCCAGCTCTACCACTTACTAGCCGTTTGACCCTGGGCAGGGTGACATCTCCAAGCCTCAGTCTGTCAACTGGAAAATGCGGCTGTTGAGAGGGCAGAGTGAGATGAAGTACGTGAAGGTCTTAGCACAGCGCCTGGCCCATAGTGAGTGCTCAGCGTGCCTGAGCTATCATTTTGGTCAAGGAGCAGATTGTAGGTTTTATTGTGAATTTCATTCCTCCAACCTTCTGCTTTCATTTTGTCTCCATCTCATTTCTTTCAGACCCTGGGTCTGAATATGGAAGCAGGGTGATGTGGTTAGATAACACCCTGGTTCTTAAACTCTTCATTTCATGGAGGGGAACAGACACAGAAAGGAGGAGAAATCTGGTTGGCCCCAAGTCCCCAACCTGCCACCTGAGACAGGTTACCTTCCAGGTGGCCCTCATGCTGTGAAGTCAGCTCCCTTGCCAGTCACCACTAGCACCGTGAGAGGAGGATAATGTCTGGCCCATCCAGGGTTGTAACCACAGCTCCTATCCACGCACTTGGCTTGCAGCAGGTGCTTTACTGCTACCAGCTGAATGCTTAAATTGTCCCTGGAAGTGCACTCTTCTTCTGGGTTGGATAATTTTGTGTGTGTCTCTTAAACTTCTGGAACTCTGTGCAAATAATAGGTAATAGCTTGAAACAGTCAAAAACCACGGGGAACTCTTTACTCAATTGCCACTGCCTTTATAGTTTCACTTAAAAGTCCTACGGAAACCTTTACCCACCATATTATAAACCCCTTGCAGGAAAAGACTCAAATTCAACTCTGCACCCACTATGGTCCTAGCACTAACTTTTGCCCATGAGAAAAATACATGCCATAGGCCAGGCACAGTGGCTCACGCCTATAATCCCAGCATTTTGGGAGGCCGAGGTGGGTGGATCACCTGAGGCCAGGAGTTCAAGACCAGCCTGGCCAACATGGCAAAACCCCGTCTCTACTAAAAATACAAAAATTAGCTGGGCCTGGTGGCACACACCTTTGTAATCCCAGCTACTCGGGAGGCTGAGGTACTCATCTTCCTCTAACCAATGATATTCCTGCAATCACACACTCATTTGTTTATTTATTCACTCTACACATACTTACCAAGTGTCAGGTTCAGCTGAGCTGGGTTTGAATCTTGGCTCTACCACTTACTAGCTAGGAGAACTTAGGCAAGTGACTTAACCAGGCCAAGCCTAGTTTCTTCCTCTGTGAGAGGGTAAGAGTTGATGAGACACAGTGACTGCCCATTGCTCAACACAGTGCCTGGCACATAGTGGGCCTGGCATACATGGTGGTTTTTGTTTTGTTTGTTTGTTTTGGTTTGGTTTGGTTTTTTCGAGATGGAGTTTTGCTCCTGTTGCCCGGGCTGGAGTGCAATAGTGTGATCTCGGCTCACTGCAACCTCTGCCTCCTGAGATCAAGCGATTCTCCTACCTCAGCCTCCCGAGTAGCTGGGATTACAAAGGTGTGTGCCACCAGGCCCAGCTGATTTTTGTATTTTTAGTAGAGACGGGGTTTCGCCATGTTGGCCAGGCTGGTCTTGAACTCCTGGCCTCAGGTGATCCACCCACCTCGGCCTCCCAAAGTGCTGGGATTACAGGCGTGAGCCACCGTGCCTGGCCTATGGCATGTATTTTTCTCATGGGCATAAGTTAGTGCTAGGACCATAGTGGGTGCAGAGTTGAATTTGAGTCTTTTCCTGCAAGGGGTTTATAATATAGTGGGTAAAGGTTTCCATAGAACCGTTAGCCAATTTTGACTGCTAAATAACATAATTGCAGAAGTCTTATGACATGTTATCAATTTACAGAGCACTCATCTGGAGACACTGTCTCCTGCACAATTGCTAGCCTCGTTTCACACGAGGAAATCAAAGCTCAGAGAGGTTGTGCGGCTTTCTTCAGGTCACAGAGCAGAGCCAATCTAAGAACCTCAGACTCAGTTTCTAGCACCCTCCTCGACCCCCTGCCACTACCTTCTTGCTCGTACTCTGCCTGGCTCCCCCTTCGCTGCCACACCGCCAAATGACATCTTTTACTTACCCAGGGGTGGCCAGGGGCCTTCAACAGCAGGCTGGAGTGGTTGCCTGGCACTCTGCGGGATTGAGATACCCCCAGGCAGACCCACCACGGCCATGGCAAGGCAGCCACACTACTGACTCCAGCAATGCTGCTTCTGTGGCAGCAACCATGGAAACCGCCCAGTCCTGGGGCCCAGCAGTTCCTGGGCCATAAGCACTAGGAAAAAGAGGGTCAGAGTCAGCCTGGCCTTCCCTGAGGCTCCCACCACCCTTCCCCTTCTAAGGACCCATTGACACCCTCACCCCATGTCCTCGAGTCCCAACACTGAGTGGGGGAGCCCTCCCGAGCAGTCCCTGTGGCCCTGCCCAGAGGCTGGCACAGCACTGGCAGCCAAGGGCTGGAGCCACCTTCCCAGACTGGTCCTGTGAGCCATGCTGGGCTGGAGGTGGGGCCCCCCTGCAGCCCCCAGCCCAGTTCTCCTGGGGCCATTACCCCTCCTGCCACCCATAGTAAGTGCTGAGGGCTTTGACTTACAGCATCTTATTTAAGCCTCACCCTCACCCCTTTGAGACAGAGTCTGTCATCATCCCCATTTCATAGATGGTCAGAGTAAGGCTTAGGGGGTCGAGAGACTTACTCAACTCTGTGCCCCAGGAACCCAGCCCTGTGCTCAGCAGGTCCATAGTAGACATCTGAAAGAAGTTTGATGAATAAATAAAAACATAACCAAGAGGGTGGGCGCATGAAAGATGATAGTTCCTGTTAATCAGGGCCTGCCATGTGCCAGCCACGTTCCGCAGAATTTCTACATGCTAGCTTGTTTAATCTCTGTAGGCATCCTGTGGGTAGATGCCACCCCATCAAACCCTCCAGACATGCACATCAAGACCCAAGGAGATGAAGAAGTGACTCCGTTGGGGGCACACAGGTAGCAGGTGATGTGGGTGGGAGTAGAACCCAGGCAGTGTGGCCACAGAGCCTGCCTGGTTACACCTCTGTGCCACAGTAAAGCTCCTGGGAGGTAAGTAAATGGGGGGAAGATGAGGGTTTGGGGGTCCAGGTGCTCTGCTCCCACAGCAGCGAATGTTCTCAGCCTGCATCCAGGCAAGGGGAAGCATTTCCTCTAAGTCCTGACCGCTCTCCCCGGCACATTCCCACCGTTACCTACACAGGGAATTAAGACTCAAATCCTCGTTTGACACGATGCAGGAGGATGCTAAGTACTTAAGCGCTAATTAATTAGTGAGCTGTACACGCTGCCACCAGCCGCCGGAGGAAACCTCAAACAGACCCCCAGAGTGCCAGCGCCCTCCCCGCCACGGGTGCCAGCCAAGCCCGGGGACAGTGAGGAGGGGACCACATGGGCAGGCCCAGCCTCTGGGGAGAAAAGTATCCAGACCAGATCTGACCCTTGCCTTCCAGTCCTCAGGAACCTGGGAGAGGGCTGGAGTTTGGAGACCCTGCCATGCCTCAGCCTTGGACGGGACTCTCTCACAATGAGCAAGCCAGGGTTTGTCCGACTTTGCAACAGGCTCTCCAAGGAAAAGCAAGATCGCAGGGGCTGCACTGAGCCCCAGTACTGGGGCCAGTTTCTGGGGCCCTTTAGACAAGAAGGAAGCATTGAATTCCCCCAGACCAACTGGTGTGTGTTTTCAGGAGCTGGACCAAGAGGTCCCCTGAAGCCAGACACGCTGACAGAGCACCAGCTCAGAGTAGGGCGCTGTCCGCCTCACTGGATCTTGATTTCACCATCTGTGTCATGCCAAGGTCAACTTCCCAGATGGGGCAGATGGTAACTGAAACCTAGGGCTTTGGACTCAGACTGCACCGGACTCTCTGCTCTGCCGCTTCCTAGTTGCATGACCTCGTGCAAGTCAGGTCCTGAGCCTCGGTTTTCTCGGCTGTAAAATGGGACTAATGAATCTCCGCAAGGCCTGTTGTGGGCATAAGTGAGATGCTACCTGTAAAGCTCCTCTTATGGTGCCTGGCACCTAGTGATCGCTCAATAAATGGTTAGCTGTATTAGTATGAACGGTTGCTGTTTTTGTTATTATCATCAT
This sequence comes from Homo sapiens, assembly GCF_000001405.40. Classification (NCBI taxonomy): domain Eukaryota; kingdom Metazoa; phylum Chordata; class Mammalia; order Primates; family Hominidae; genus Homo; species Homo sapiens. The sequence continues at coordinate 10,814,765 of NC_000001.11, forward strand.
CGTCTTCTAAGGAATCTTCCCATTTCATTCTCTGAGGCCTGCAGAGTGAACAATCACCCCGATTTGCTTGAGATTCTACTGGTTTAACACTGAAAGTCCCATGTCACGAGAAACCCCGCAGTCCAGCACAAGCTGGGACAGTGGATCAAACTCCCAGTTGCCCCCAAGGAGGGTGGAGGGAGGGAGAAGAGACCTGACATTGTGGGCCAGACAGTCTCTATGACGCCTTCACCCCAGGGTGGGACTCACACAGCCTCCAGGACCTGAAGCCCCTCTGCACAGGTGGCTAGACCTCGGGGAGGGCCAACTAGGGGACCTGGAGCGCTGAAGGATCTGTGGGTGGCAGAGGCCGGGGCCCTGGCCTTGGAGCTGTGGCTCTGATAGTGTTCCCAGCCTGCATCAGCTCTGAGGCCCTGCCTCCTGCAATATTTGCTTAACAATCAGCCCAGAAACTGCATTGTTCAGGACAGAAATGAAAAACATTAGGCTGGGGCTTGTTTTTCTTCCCTGTCCAAATTCTTCTGGGCCCTTGGGAGAGGAGACCGTATCTTGGCACCACCCTCTCAAGAACAGGCAGAGGCGGGAGTGTGAACTCCTGGGTTCAATTTCCCACCTCTACTAACCTAGGAGCTTGGGGGCAGGTCCTGAGTTTCCCCAAGTGCTCAAGAGGGGGAACTTCAGCCTGGGAGCTTACTAGGGCCGGAGAATCTGTGGTTAAGCTAAAATAGCTGTCACCCCATGCACTCTTACTGAAGCCTCAAGACCATCCACGGAGAGAGTCTCACTCCCATTTTATAGATGAAGGTGTTGAGGCTCAGAGCACTCACCCCAACCAGCATGAACACCAAAGCCAGTCCGTGGAGGCGGAAGAGTGAGCGGCTATTTGGCATCTCAGGGGAGCCAAAGGCTTCTGAGAAATGGGCCTGGTCTGTTTTGTTTGCTGGCTAAACACCTTTATCGAGGGCTGAGGAAGTAGGCGGGACGAAGAGGCAGAGGGAGCCCTGCACCTTTCTCCAGAGTCGACACCTACCAGCACTCTTGGGGGCCCTTAGAGAGGAGGGCTGCCCTCTGTGCCCAGTGCCCACTTTCCCCAGCTCCAGCCCAAAGGGGTAAGAGCCCTGACAGGCCCCTGCCCCTGCTCGGCTCCCAGCTCTTTCCCTGACACCCACAGGAGGGGGAGGAGGCAGGCGTGCCTGGCTCACCTGCCAAGGCTGGCAGCCTGGCATGCAAATGGGTGTGGGGCAGAGACTGAAGGTGCCCAGACAGGGGTGTGGGCACCTGACAGAGGCCAGGCAGGGTCAGGCTGGCTGCTGGAAAGGAAGGTGGGCAGGTGCTCCCAAGCCCCTCTGTGTTCCGGGCATGTGAAATGCATCGTCTTACGTCCTCACAGAAACCTCAGGAGGTGGACTTGTCCTCATCTCTGTGTTCTGGGGTGGTGGGGAGGAAACTGAGGCTCAGAGAGGTCACTTAATGGCAGAGCTTGAATTCAAACCCAAGCCTTTCTGACTCTCCCCCTGACACAACCCACATCAGCCAGATGGCATTAAGAGACAGCTCCAGGGTCAGGCCTCACACATTCAAATCCTGACTCTCCCATTTTACAGCCGCTGCAGAAATTACATCCTGGGCCTGGGCCTCCGTTTCTTCATCTGTAAAATGGGTCACTAACACGACCTCTTCATAAGGTTATCATGAGGGCACATGAAATCGTGCATGAAAAGTGCCAAGCACGTACTAGGTGCCTGACGGGGTAGCCATTGCTATCCCTATCTGTCATCCGTGGAATCACCTTACTGCTTTATGACACAGGCTGTCTCTTTAAAAGCAGCAAGACTGGCAGGGGGTCCTACACTGGAACCTGGTTCCCTGTCGCTCCCCACCCTTATTCCTTGGAAGATACTTGTTATTCTCAGCCTCCGTTCTGGCCCATTCTAAATGCCCTGGTCTTGCCAGGACTATGCGAGATCATATTTGTCTGTGGCCTGAGCAGGGATACCCTGATGGACCCTCATTCCCACAGATGCCCACTACCCTTCCTTGTCCATGGTGGGGAAGGGGCACTTCGGTCTGAGGCCGGGGGCCTGGGTTTGCGCCTCAGCTCATTGTCAAACTCAAGCAAGAGCCTCTCCCAGCTCTAGGCCTCTAGGCCGCTACCCTAAGTAGCTGCTGTCCTTGGTAGGGGAAGAAGATTTGAGAACTCATGCCCTGATTGCCCTGCCTGGGGCGACTGGGGGGCACAGTTCCTGTCTGCATCTATAAGCCCTCGGGGTCCCAAGAGGCTAAGATGTAGGAGTCCCAGAACGAGCCGGAGGAAGAGGAGAGGGAATTCTGCCGCCCAGGCTCCCCTGGGATTCTGCAGCCTCCTCCTTGATGGCTGCTGGCCCTGCCCACCTGCCGTTCTTGCAGTGGCAAACCTGAGCCCACAGTCCCCTGCTCAAAGCCCATCGGAGGCTCCTGGGGCCTGCAGGGCCTGGTCCAGGTCCCTTCACATGACTCGCAAGGTCCCACCACCCTCTCTGGCCTCACCCTCTCCTCTCTTCGCTGGGGCTCCCCCTCTCCAATGCACTGGCCTGCACTCACTTCCCCAGGCCCAGGTGGTCTAGCCCCCACCTTTGCCCCTGCTGTGGCTTCCCAGGGAATGCTCTTCCTACCTGCTCCCTGCCCCCACCCCTCTGTTGTAAGGTCTCAAATGAGACAGCACCTTCCTGGCTCCTGCCTCCCTAGCCTTGACCCCCCTGCAAGTTCCCAGAAACTCTGGCTTTTCCTGCGTGTAGGACATCACCTGGTCCCTGTCTTCAGAGAAGGACATGAAGCAAGCCCACTGGTACTGGCACCTTCATTCAGCTCATTCTTCAACCAGCAAGGATTTATTGAGCACATACTATGAACAGCTGCCAGGGCTGAGCCTGGGGTGCTTGCGCCCCTGAGGACTGGAGCCCTCAGACCCAGGGGGTATGGGTGGAAGAAGAACTTGGCTATTTAGAAAGGGACTCTAGGAAGGCACATGTCATCTCCTCTCCTCCAGGCCTGAGAGCATATACAAGGCCAGTACCATGAGCTAATAATATTTTACTTTTCCCCGTAGAGCACAGCATTGGGCTTGGCATACAGTAGGGGCTCAACCAATGCAGGCAGAAGAGAACTGACAGATGATAAGGTTTTCTTTCTTTCTTTCTTTCCTTCCTTCCTTCCTTCCTTCCTTCCTTCCTTCCTTCCTTCCTTCCTTCCTTCCTTTCTTTCTTTCTTTCTTTCTTTCTTTCTTTCTTTCTTTCTTTTTCTTTTTTGAGACAGAGTCTTGCTCTGCCGCCCAGGCTGGAGTGCAGTGGTGTGATCTCGGTTCACTGCAACCTCCGCCTCCCGGGTTCAAGTGATTCTTGCACCTTAGCCTCCCAAGTAGCTGGGATTACAGTTGCCCCCAACCATGCCTGGCTAATTTTTGTATTTTTAGTAGAGGCAGGGTTTCACCATGTTGGCCAGGCTGGTCTCAAACTCCTGACCTCAGATGATCCACCCGCCTCGGCCTCCAAAAGTGCTGGGATTATAGGCATGAGCCACCGTGCCTGGCCAAAGATAACCCTACACCAGGAACTTCATGAGTTCCAGGAGGGAAAGGCAGACTAGTGTGTGTTGCAGCAGGCAGGGAGGGCTTCCTGAGGGAGGTGCTGAGAACAGGGCCTTGAAGCCCGTGGAGGCTCAAAGTAGTTGGGAGGGAGGAGGGCGGATGCTTTCTAGGGATTGTGGAGACCAGGATACAGGCAACAGGAGCAAGAGGCGTGAGGTTGAAAGCAGGTGGGAGGGGTGGGGCATCTGTACAAACATCGTGGGTGATGTTTAGGAGAGTGCCAGGCTGTGCCTCTGGCCACCACCATACCTAAGACCCCTAAGTCTTGCTCTGGCTGGGGGTGACTGCGGGCCACAGTTCTTGTCTGCAGGGAAACCAATGGCTGCAGTTAAAGACAAGGCTGCCCTCCCCCCAAGCTCCAGAGACTGGGGAGTGCCCCGGGCAGGGCTTGCCCAGACCTGGCACTCCAGCTGCACCCTCCGCCCTGGGACATCTTGTACCCAGGAGGACCTATTAAAGGGACAAAGGTCCCCATGGGGTGCAGGCACCCCAGGCTCAGCCCTGGCAGCTGGCCCGGGCTTGGGCTGCAGCAGGAACCCCCACTCTCAGCTCTGCCATGTCAAGGCTCAGGGCAGAGAGGGAGGGATCTTGGTCTCAGGTCCATCTCCCTTGGGGCAGAGCCACCCCAGTTGTGTGAGGACGGGACACTGCCTGGCAGGTGCTCTCCCTCTGGCAGGGCACAGGCCGCTGGCAGTATGTACAGCACTTCAGTCTGGATTCTGGGATCCAGCGGTCTTGAGTTCGAATCCTGATTTTGCCCCTGCCCAGCGGTGTGAACTTGGGCAAGCGACTTGACCTCTCTGAGCCTCAGTTTCCTCATCTCTGAATAAAACAGGGTTAAGAATAGTCCTGGTTATTCATGATCCAGTGAGAACCTGCCCCAAACACTGCAGAGCATGACGCAAAGTCAGTGTTCAGTGAATGGGAGCTGCTGCTTGCTGTTCTTGGGAGAGAGGGATGGGCAGATGGGCACCACAGGAGTCCTTGGGCTCTTGTGGCAGGTCCTGGAGGAAAGGAAACAGCTTTGAGAGATGTGTAGAGATGGGAGGCTGCGTCCCCTCCCTGGAGGTGCTCTGGGGACCCAGCCAGGTGTGGGGGTGATGAGGGTGTTGGTAGAAGCCCCATTGGGTGGGGGAGTGGGGGTGGTCTCCTCCACAGAGGCCTCCTCAGGTAGCGCAGGCCATGGGCTTCTGTATTGCTGAATCAGGGTGTGGGGGCAATCAGCTGGGTGATTGTCGCTGAATGTTATTATCCTTGATAAGAACCAGATTAAACGGGGGAGGGGGCAGAGGGGAGAGAGGGCGGAGAGAGGGGCGGGAGGGCGAAGGAGGGAAGCAAAGTGCAGCCTCCCTCTTGCTGAGCCAGCCCTTGGCTGCTCTCGGGCTGGTCAGGGCCCAGTTAGGACCCCAGAGTCAAGCTCCTTCCAGGGGGCACTGGGAGGGGCGGGGATAGAGGGACTCGTGGGTGAGCTGCCAGGCGTGGGCCAGGCTGGCCAGCGGAAGGAGAGGTACAGACCTCCCACGCCGAGGGTGCCCACACAGGCCCCAACTCTGGTCCTCGGCAGCCAGCCATCACCTAGGGCTGCCTGCTGAGACGCCCCAACCGGGGACAGGAGCCAGTGACCCTGGGAAAACCAAGCCCATGCTGCCAGCCTCCGTTTCTCCACCAGTAAGCTGTGTGATGAGTGTGCCTCCTGCAAGGCTCAGGGTGAGGAGGAAACAAGGTGGAGGGGGCAGGGTGTCGGCCACACAGAGACACACCTCCCTCCTCCCACCGCATCCTTCCACAAAATCAATGACGCTCTGACGCCGTCTTTGCCCGGCTTTGCCCTTGTCCCTTTCCCTCTCTTGCCATCATGGGGGCCTAGCTGGGGGACCCGCTGACCCTCTGCCCCATTCTTTCCAAGCCTCCGGATACTTCCCCACCGTGGGAAGCAGGCAAGGCCCAACGTTCCCATTTTACAGATGGGGAAACTGAAGCCTAGAGAGGGATAATGGCTGCCCAAGACCAGAGTTGGAACCCAGGAGTCCCGGCTCTCTGTCCAGGGCACTTTGACCTTCTTGGCCAGCCTCCCCGCCACTCTGACACCTGGCTGGGGTGGGGGCCTGGCCTAGAGGGCCCCAGACTGCTGGGGTGTTGGGCTGGTGTGACTGAAGAGCCCCCAACCCCTGGAGGTGTCTCTGCTCCGGGGACAGGACTCCCTAGGACGGGCCCCACAGGCATTCCTGGCCATCAGGGAAGGCTATAAAAAGCAACACTTTTCAGCCCCAGAGTGTGACCTGTGTGACTTCACAGAATCCAGGGAAAAACACAGATAACCTTGGGGAGGCCTGACCTTCAAGAGGGGTGGGAACAGGAAGGGGGCACCCCGGGGCCGCAGCTTGGCCTGGGCTGGGGACGGGGCCTGGGGGTACGGTGTGAAATGAAGCATGGAAGCTCACTGGAATAATGATAATAATCACCGCTATTATTTTATTTATTTATGTATTTATTTTGAGACAGTCTTACTCTGTTGCCCAGGCTAGTGTGCAGTGGTACAATCTCAGCTCACTGCAACCTCTGCCTCCTGGGTTCAAGCAATTCTTGTGCCTCAGCTTCCCCAAGTACCCGGGACTACAGGTGCCTGTCACCACACGCAGCTAATTTTTGTATTTTTAGTAGAGACGGGGTTTCGCCACATTGGCCAGAGTGGTCTCAAACTCCTGACCTCAGATGATCCGCCCACCTTGGCCTCCTAAAGTGCTGGGATTACAGCCATGAGCCACCGCACCCAGCCTGCTGTTATTCTTCTGTGGGCTACTGGTATTCAGGACTGGCCACAGGCAGGCTCTGTGCATCAACTCCAGGGTCCTCCCCACTCCCGAAAGATGGATCCTAATGTAATACCCCATTTGACAGACCAAGGGATGGAGGCTTAGAAAGGACCAATAATCACACAGCGCGTAAGGAAAGGAGCTGAGCTTCACAGTCCCCCACCGCGCCCCACTCAGCACACTCCGTATTTCAGCCACGCCAACACTGGTTCTTCTTGTCTTGGGACCCTCATACTAGCTGCTCCCTCTGGCTTGAGAGCTTGTCTCCTCTCTTTGCCAATTAAATGCCTCTCTGTCTTTCAGAGTTCAGCTAGAACTTCATCTCCTTAGACAGGCTTTCTGGACAACCTTGCTCATTCATTCACTCATTCATTCAGCACATATTTATTGAGCACCTACTATGTGCCAAGCCCTGTGTTGAGTGCTGGTGACACAGCAGTGACCAAACTAACAAAATCCCTGGCCTTAAGAAACTAACATCTGAGTGGATCATTAATTGTGAGCTTCACTAGCAGGCAGAGCTGGCCCCACTCTGGGGAGATGAAGCCCTGGGATAAACTGGCACGTCTTCCCAATCCATCAGTTTCTTTCTTAAATTTTGGGTGGGGGAGCATTAACTTTTCTTTTTTTTCTTTTTTTTTTTTTTTTTTGTTGAGACAGAGTCTTGCTCTGTGGCCCAGGCTGGAGTACAGTGGCACCATCTCAGCTCACTGCAACCTCCGCCTACCGAGTTCAAGCGATTCTCCTGCCTCAGCCTCCCGAGTAGCTGGGATTACAGGCGCCCGCCATCACACCTGGCTAATTTTTGTATTTTTAGTAGAGACGGGGTTTCGCCATGTTGGCCATGCTGGTCTCAAACTCCTGACCTCAAGTGATCCACCCGCCTCGGCCTCCCAAAGCGCTGAGATTATAGGCATGAGCCGCCGCACCTGGCCAACTTTTGTTTTTTTTTTTTTTTTTAGAGACAAGGTCTCACTCTGTCTCCCAAGCTGGAGTGCAGTGGTGTGAACACAGCTCACTGCAGCCTCGACCTCCTGGACTCAAGTGATTCCTGGCTCAGCCTCCCTTGTAGCTGGGACCACAGGTGCTTGCCACCACACCTGGCTAATTTTTAAAAATTTTTTGTAGAGATGGGGTCTCACCATGTTGCCCAGGCTGGTCTTGAACTCCTGGTCTCAAGCACTCTCCCCCGCTCGGCCTCCTAAAGTGCTGGAAATCAGGTGTGAGCCACCACGCCCGACCTGCATTAACTTTTATTTAAGCAACACAAATCCCTTATGGAATAGCACATCAAACTTACATAAACTTGTAAGAGATACTCTAGACTGAAGGGGGCCCTTGGAGCCACCATCAGGGCACCCTGGGTAGCGGCCACCCTTAGTTGGGGGAGAAGGTTTGAGACCTCATGCTCTCATTGCGCTGCCCCAGCCTGAGAAAACCAGGCCTTCAGAGCACTGGGCTAAGGGCTGAATTTCTCTGGGCTACCCTCAGAGCAGGGAAAGTCAGAAGGGTCTGAAAGCCAGGAACCCCGAGTTCCAGCCAGGGCTCTTACTCTGCCTGCTGTGTAACCTTGGGCAAGTCACCCCACCTCTCTGAGTCTTTGTTTTCTTGTGGGTAAAATGACTGGCATATAATAGAGCTCTGCTAGGATCCCAGCAGGCCCTACAAACCTGTCTGATTCTAAAGCCAAGTTCGGCTGGCCGGCTTCGTGCAGTTCTACATCCTCTTCCGGCCTCCTCTCCTCTTCCGTAGGCTTCCTTCTCCTTCCCTGCCTGGACAATGCCCCCAACCCCATCGGTCCTAGTGGTACCTCCAGCCCAAGCCCCAGCTGCAGGCAGCCATCCTGCCCCACCCCTCCCCGGGTTCTGAGGAAAGAAAAAGGAGAGGCAGAAGGAAGGTCACATTTCTCGCTTGGCTCGCTGCCTGGTTTTCATCAGGCCCGCTGCCTAATTTTCCTGGGCGGCACTCACTTTCTTGGCCAGTCTCTCCTCTTTCTTAACCATCTCAGGGCAAAGAGCTGTCTCACCCCCGGCCCCCTCGCCTGGTATCATGGCCTGGCGTTGTTCCTGCCATGTCACCGTGGTGCGTCTTGCTGCCACGTCAGCCCACACCTCCTTTTCCGGAGTCCCCAGGGACAGAAAGCAGCGGCTCAGCTGTACCCAGACTTGATTCATAAGAACACCAATTATGATCATACGCATTTATTGAGCTCTTACTGTGTGCCACGGTCTGTGAACTCAGTGACTTTCCCCAGCAGCCTAATGAGGCTGAGACCCTTGTTTATCATCCCCGTCTTATAGGTAAGGAAAGCCAGGCTCAGAGACGGTAAGCAGTGGAGCTGGGACCTCAAATCAATATCTCTAACCACCATGCCATGTCGACTCAAAGAGTCTTTGAGGTCGGGTGCAGTGGATCACGCCTGTGATCCCAGCACTTTGGGAGGCTGAGGTGGGCGGATCACTTGAGGTCAGGAGATTGAAACCAGCCTGACCAACCTGGTGAAAATCCCATCTCTACTAAAAGTACAAAAATTACCCTGGCGTGGTGGTGCACACCTGTAATCCCAGCTACTCGGGAAGCTGAGGCAGGAGAATCGCTTGAACCTGGGAGGCAGAGGCTGCAGTGATCCTACCACTGTACTCCATCCTGGACAACAGAGTGGAATTTTGTCTTAAAAAAAAAAGAGAGAGTCCTGGAATGTCCTTCTCTTGGCTGAACGTGCTCCCCAGCATCCCCCACCATTCCAACACACACATACTTGTCTTGTAGATCTTGCTGTCAGTTCCAGAACGGTGCTTTCCTTAAAAATAGGGAGTCAATGCCCCCAAAACAATGCCCTTGAGGCAGTAGGCTCTGGGGGACCCAAGCCATTTGAAAGGTGAGGGAGATGAGGCTGCCCAGGCAGGACCTCTGGGCCCCAAAGCTGGTTTCTGCGGATACCAGGGGCCAGGCAGCTTCCTGGGAGTGAGATCAGCTGCAGATGGAACCACAGGGGCACTGAGCTGCTGGGGAAAGGGTGGGGAGAGCCAGCGTCTTCATGGGGATTCTCTACTCCCTAATCTAGGAGATGCAGGGCCAGAGAGCTGATGCTGGAAGTGAATTAGTCCCCACCATGGACTGAACTCTCCTGCGGGCAGAGATCCGTAGAGGGGAGAGGAAAAGGCTGTACTTGGAAGTTGAGCTTGTTGTCCTAGCTTGATGGAGGAGACATGGGCCCTTTGTTGTCCTAGCTTGATGGGGGAGACACAGGCCCTTCCATCTGAAGAAGAAGTGAGCGTGCTGCTCCCGGCAGCCACGCTGCTCCACCCCACCCCGACCCACCCCGATTTCCCCCAGCACCCAGTCCTTGGCAGGTACCAGTGGGGCTGCCTGGCTCCTCAGGGACCAGGCCTGCGATAAAAATCCTGCAGTGGCAACTGCAGTGATCAGAGTCAAAAAAAAAAAAAAAAAAAAAAAAAAAAAAAAAAAAAAAAAAAAAAAAAAAGAGAGAGAGAGACAGAAAGAAAGAAAAGGGGAAAAAAAACCCTCTAGTGCCTGACATTCTTTTTAGGATGCCCATAAAAGATAATGTGACCTGTAAAACCTGCAAGCTGTTCCCAGCCTGTGGCGCCCGGCCCCACGCCCCACTCCCACTCCCAGCTCCACTCTCCTGCCCCCAGGCTGAGGACACTACCGTGGGTGTCCCCTGGGGCCCAGGCCCTCTAAGCATCAGGGACCCTCAAGCTGCGGGAGGCAGCTGCCCTGAGGCACCACAGTCTGGCCAGGTGGGCAGCGGTTGTGAGACCCTTCCCCACTGCCAGTGCACCCCCCTCTTCGGCACCCCCCTTCAACCGTTCCTGGGCGCTCAGGTCAGCAGGGCTGCTGCTGCCAGGCCGGGAGGTGGGAATGTGCTAGGGCAGATCCCGGCTCTCGTTCTCGGGTGAGTCACCCCGTGGGAGTGTGTTGACGAATCCGAATCCCGGTTCTTTGTTTTCAGCTCCTGGGAATTCACACACTGGGGGCAGACACTCCATCCCCTGGTCTGCTGCCAGGTAGGGTGGCAAGATGGGAGCCGGTAGGCCTGGGGTCTATTCCCAAATTCGCCACCAATCGGCTGTTTGGAATCTTGATAAGTTCTGAGCAGCTTTGGGGCCTCAGTTTCTCTACCTTTAAAATGGACATAAAAGTCCTGCCCCTTGTAATTTTGCAAGAAGATAATAAAGAAAAAAAAACTATATCATAGCAAGCATAGTTCTTGGGATGATGACGATAACCATCATTTACGGAGTGCCCTACTGTGTGCCAGACACCATACTAAAAGGTTTATAGTTAATCCTCCCAACAACAGTAAGAGGTCTGTGAGATCACTATCTCTTTTTTAAAAGAAGGAAACTGAGGCTCAGGAAGGTAGAGTAACCTGCCTGAGGCCACATGACTTACACACCCAACTACCAGGCTCACCGGCTACCCACAGTGGAAATTAAGGACAGCCCTGCAAATGCCAGGCACATGATCATGGGGCTGGCTGAGCCCCTCCCCTGCCATCCAGGAGGCTGAAGGTGGGAGTTTCCTTCCACGGCTTCCTCTCCAGATGATCCACCCCTGCCACAGGTCCTGATGGGACTCACAGCAGGACCCTCCACAGCCATGCCCCTCTGCCCCGGACCCAGAGAGAACTCAGAGAGGCCTTGGCTCCTCCCAGCACCCTCCTGTGGGCAGATGGGGCTGAACTCTGTGTCCTAAAACCCTGAGGTGCACACGTCACAACCAGGGAGCCTTCCAGACGGGCAGATCTGCCTTGAGAAGGGCCCGGCAGCCAGGTTTCCCAATTTCCCTGACTTGACATCCTTGCCCCATCCTGGGGACCCAGCACTTTCTTGGAGCCCCACAGCTTCCTGAGGGCAGGCCCCAGGTACACCCTTCCTTTGTAGGGTCCACAACTCCAGGCTTTGCTCCTAACCTCCTCACAGCCCCTCTCCTGGGGTCCACCAGACATTCCTCGGCACTCCTGTTAGGCAGTGAGGCAAGGTTTAAAATACTCCCTCCCCGGCCGGGTGCAGTGGCTCACGCCTGTAATCCCAGCACTTTGGGAGGCCAAGGCAGGCAGAGCACTTGAGGCCAGAAGTTCGAGACCAGTGTTGCCAACATGGTGAAAACCCATCTCTACTAAAACTACAAAAATTAGCCAGGCGTGGTGGCACATACCTGTAATCCCAGCTACTCGGGAGGCTGAGACAGGAGAATCACTTGAACCCGGGAGGTGGAGGTTGCAGCAAGCCGAGATCGCGCCACTGAACTCCAGCCTGGGCGACAGACTGAGACTCTGTCTCAAAAAAATAATAATAATTTTTTTCTCTGTCTCAAAAAAATAATAATTTTTTTTTTGAGACGGACTCTCACTCTGTTGCCCAGGCTGGAGTGCAGTGGCATGATCTCAGCTCACTACAACCTCCGCCTCCCGGGTTCAAGCGGTTCTCCCATCTCAGCCTCCCGAGTAGCTGGGACTACAGGCGCACACCACCATGCCCAGGTAATTTTTTGTATTTTTAATAGAGATGGGGTTTCACCATGCTGGCCTGGCTGGTCTTGAACTCCTGACCTTGTGATCCACCCACCTCAGTCTCCCAAAGTGCTGGGATTACAGGCATGAGCCACCGTGCCTGGCCTATAATAAATTTTTTTAAATAATAAAATAAAATACTTGCTCCGTGGGCAGAAACCCTCGGTCCAGTGTTCCTGTCCCCCTCTACATTTTCCTAAGTACTCTCATTCACGTGTTCCAATCCCCAATGTGACGAGACAGCAACGGCAGTGCGTGTCCTGGGCCGAGCATGCTACGTGTGAGGTGCTGTCCTTACGGTTGCTCATTTCACCTCCATGTACAGATGAGGAAACTGACACTCTGGGAGGTCAGGTGGCTTGCCCAAGGTTACACATTTAGTGCATGGTAGACCCAGGATCCAAACCCACATCTCTACTGGGCACGAAGGCCCTGGCTCTTAATTAGTACGTTTCCTTTCTGTCCCACCATCTGCAAGCCTTTTGCTGTCTGGACCAGAGCAGCCCGGTCCATAGCTCTTATGAGCGTCCAGTGAAGCTTCCTGGGTAGATGAACTTACTGGACGATTTTTGAATGTGTGAAAGCACAAATGAATGAATGAGTCAACAAATGGGTGAGTGAATGACCTCAACTCTCACAATAACCAGGAAAGATGGGCAGCTTCTTCCCCATGTATAGGAAATTGAGGCTCAGAGAGAGAAAGTAACATGCTTGAGGTCACACAGGGAGTTGGGGGCTGTGATGGGAAACTCAAGCCACCCAGCCAACCACGGGCCCCTGCCACCTCCCTCCTTCCCCCATGGTCCCAGCCACGCTCCGAGTCCAGCTCTGTCTCCGGTCCCCGAGGGAGCGAGGCGGCGGGCACAGCGTCTTTAAGCTGCCCTTTCAGGGACGAACCAAGGAGGGGGCTGGGGAGGGGGGCTCCACCTAGCATGCAGGGCCAGGAGCCCACACCCGTCTCTCTGAGATGGGGTCAGTGCGGGGGGTCTTTCTCTGCAAGCACTTACGGCACAATTGATGGGAGAGATGCTCATCAAACGAGGGACAAATCATAAAGTTCGGGAGATGGAAATTAGGCACGGACAAACGATCCAGGTGCAGGGGAGATTTATGGGGGAGGCTGTATTCTAGCTAATGATTTCTGCTAATGATTCTCCGAAGTGTACAGTGGCACGGGGCCCACGCTCCGTGGGGTGACATGTACCCTGCGGGCCGATGAAGGACGTTCCTGGGGAGACGGCAATGGCGAGGGGATGGGGAAGAAGGGTGGAGGAACCCCCCCGAATACCGGGGTCCCCCGGAGTGGCGGGAGGAGACGGGGTTCTTGGGGTGTGAGTAGGCCCTGCCTGAGATTTATCGCTGGACCTGGCTCCTCGGTCCTTTCTCCACTCGCCCTGAAAGTGCCTCCCTGCCTGGCAGCTCCGAGTGTTGGCGGGGCCTGCCCGCTGCTGACACACACATTTTCAGAGCCCACCGCCGTCTTTCATCCCAGCAGCCCCCGTGACAGACGCAGGTTTCTGGCTGTAAACCGTCCCTCCCTGCCCCCTTTCTTCTCCCCTCCCCGACCCTCTCCTCTGCAAGAGCTGTCCCCTCCAAAAGACCACTTGCGCCTCCCACCCCACTTCATAGCCCTTCTCTTCCACTGGTAAGTTTCAGTGTCTCTGAGGCTGCCGCCTCCGGAGGCCCCAGCCAGAGACTCCCCCAACATCTGGTCCTGAAGCGCTCAATCCATTTTCCTCCATCGCCAGACCCAGGGACGCTGACACTGCCCGCTGGGACAGTACCTCCCAAATCTAGCCTCAATCCTGCTTACAGCAGAACGGGTGGGGACCTCCTGTTTCTGTGGCGAGGCCCTCGGGGAGTGGGAAGCTTCTGACCTTCAGATCCATGACCAGGAAATGTTCAAAGGAGCTCATTCCCGGGGATCAAATCACCGGGAAACGACGTTTGCTTTTTAGAACCTTGATGTGTTTTCTAATTTCCCCGCAATGAACGTGTGCGTGTGTAATTTTTAAAATGGGAAAATTGGCAGGTGTGAGGATGAAGGAATGGAGGTGGCCGGAGCACCCCCCACCCCGTTGCCCAGGCCGCCCCTGCCTCTCCTGGACAAACTCCCTTCTCTCAGCCGTGCTTGGCCCCTGCAAGTCTCCTCAAGCCCAGGACCCAGCACACTCCACCCGCAAACTCCGGGGTTTTCACAGCAGCCCCTGCAAGGTTTTGTTTTGTTTTGTTTTGTTTTTTTATCATCCCTGTTTCTCTACTGGAAAATCGAGATTTATAGAGAGAAGAGGTCATTCAAGCCAGGCACAGTGGCTCACGCCTGTAATCCCAGCATTTTGCAAGGCCAACATGGGAGGATTGCTTGAGCCCAGGAGCTCGAGACCAGCTTGGGCAACATAGTGAAACCCTATTTCTGTAAAAACAAAAACAAACACAAAATTAGCGAGACATTGGTGGTAAGCAACTGTGGTCCCACCTAGTTAGGAGGCTGGGGCAGGAGGATGGCTTGAGCCTGGGAGGCTGAGGCTGAAGTGAGCCGTCATCATGTGCTGTCACTGCACTCCAGCCTGGGCAACACAGCCAGACCCTGTCTTTTAAAAAAAAAAAAGTCATTCAAGTCCTCGTGCTTAGTATATGGCAAAGCTATACTTGAAACCAACTCCCTCGAACTCACACCTATGTTTTTCCCGCTGTGTTGAACCCTCCCACCCGCCCGGACCAGCTGAGCTGAGACCCCCTCCGTAGACGGATCCAGAGACTGAGGAACCAGGAACTGAGACAACCTGGCAGGAGGGCCCAGAAGAGAAAAGCAGGAAAGGGGCAGCCTCGGACTGCCTGGCCAGGGAGGGTCAAAAGCCGGGAATGGTGTCAATGTCCAGAGTGAAGTAATTGGTTAAATAAAGTGTGGCACAGGGACTCTTATGTCGCCACTGAAAGCAGCTTTTAATGCTCCAGCACAGACAAGTATTCAACATACACTGTGAAGTGAGAAGGGCAGGTTTCAGAACAGTTTGAGGCACACAGCATGCCGTTTGTCATAAGGGAAAAAGATCTTTGTGCAGATATATGCACAGACCCTGTCACCCCTTTGCCCAGTGTTGGTGACGAGGAAAAAAGATTTGGGGACCTTTTTCTCTGTATTGTCTGAACCCTATACAACAAACATATGCATCTTTAATCCTCAGAGGGGAGAAACCCAACAAAGCTATTTTCATTTGGAAAACAGAAAAGGAAACGACCCAATGGGTGAGACAGGGGCAATGCTGGGTGGGGGCCCTATCCTTAGATCACTCACTCGCCGCCACCCTGGTCTTTTGTCCTCAGAGTGTTTCTCCAGGCAGCAGATACTTGTACATAGTTGGGAGGGTGTCACCTTGGAATTCACTCTCCCCAATGCCCCTGACAGCCCCACACCTCCCTGGCCCACCCGCCACCCACTCCGGGCGTGATCAAAGGCCAAAGTGAAAACGAGATCTGAAACTTCAGCCTGGAAAAGCGATGATGCGCTGATGCCGGATAAGGAAGGATCACCGCTCACCAGCTGGATGCCCCCCCACCCCGGCGCCGCCCCTTCCCCCTCGGTCACTTCCCAGCCTGCAGCTCAGATCCTGTTTGGGGGAGGGCGGCAGCTACCAGGGGGCATGGCCCCAGAAACCCTCTCCCACCCTCTGTCCTAGAGCATGTTGAGGGGCCTGCCCTCTACTCTCCCCTCTACTGGCCTGTGTTCCTTGGGATTCAGGCGGTGTCTCTAGCAGCATCTGTAACTCCTCTGGTAGAGTTAGCAAGTTCCCGGAGAGAGGTAACCCATTACACCAGCTGGATGGAGTGATCAGGTCAGCAGCTGATGGGCTGGGACCTGGGACAAGTCAATGTAATGGGAACCAGGTGGCAGCTCCTGGGGCAGGGGGCGCTGGGGGGCGAGAGGAACCCTAGGGAGTTAGGAGGGGAGCCGTGAAGACAACTCCACAAAGCATCGTGGGAAGATCATGAGCCCCGGCACCAGAGCAGCCCAGTTGGAACCCCAGCCCCTCCACCCCTAGCTCTGGAACCTTGGGCAAGCCACACAACCTCTCTGATCCTCCTTGTAATCACTTGTGTAATGGGAATAATAATAGCAACAGCAACAGCTTCACCCCACAAACGGAGGGGTTCAATTTAGTGTATGCAAAGCT
This sequence comes from Homo sapiens, assembly GCF_000001405.40. Taxonomy (NCBI): domain Eukaryota; kingdom Metazoa; phylum Chordata; class Mammalia; order Primates; family Hominidae; genus Homo; species Homo sapiens. The sequence continues at coordinate 10,830,911 of NC_000001.11, forward strand.
GCTGGTAATTGCTAATGGCTCAATTAATGGCGGCTGTTACCATTGTCAAACTTACAGAGGAAGAGACAGGCGGCCTAGAAGAACCATAGACTTTGTCTAGGATAGGTGAGATCAGGGGCTGAGTAGTCAGTGTCATCCTGGCCCACCCAATGGCTGGAGGAGGGGATGAGGACAGGAAGAGGAAGGGGAAGGGGAGGCACTGGGAGATGACAGAGATAAATATATGTCATGATCTTGCCCCATCTGGGTCACTGGCTGCACCCCAGGGGTGATGACTCACCTGCTGAGAAGTTCCCCACCCAGAGACTGGTCCCACAGGCTGTGGCTCGGCCCCACGGGCACAGCAGGCATGCATCGGGGAGGCCCATGGAGCAATGCCCAGGGTTACCCATCTGCTTGAGGGCTCAGGTACCCCCCTTTGACCTCTTCACACCCCCGTCCAAGCTGCAACCTAGAACCAGCCAGCTGGCTCTCCTGAGGCAGGGCAGGCCCAGAGAGATCAAAGAATTTGCTGGGGCCAGACAGCAAGGCCCGTGAGGTTTCATCCCATTCAAACCCAGAGACGTCAAGTCACTTGCCAGAGGTCACACAGCTTGGATGTGACAGAGTGGGGAAGCCCAAAGCTTGCCTGTAACAGCAGGCTGCCCGGAGTCCAGCTGGAGACTGGCACTGGCGTGAGCCTCAAGCCTTTTAATCCTAAGATCTGACAGCTGGGCAGCGCCCCAGAAAAGTGGCACTGTGGGCCCAGTGGGCCCTGGGGTGCTCAGAGGGGGCTTCCCAGAGGCTCCTGAGGAGTAGACTCAGGGAGCGTTTCCACAGCAGGCCTTGCTCTCGGGAGTGAGATATGGGCACTCTCACCTGACCACATGCCCTTGGGGGCTGGTCTCAGTGCTGGGTTCCCCAGGGGACTCCCCTTCCACCAGGAACTCCTCCCCCTTGCGCTCCCATTAAACCCAGATTCCCATTAAACCCCTATTTTAAACTCTCTGGCCTCTTCCAGGCAGCCTCCCTGCACCACTGTGCCTCCCTGAGCCATCTGACCCTCCACCCCAGGGCCCTGAAATCAGCATCTCTGCCCTCTGTGTGGCTGGGTAACTTCTCTGGTCTTCTTTTGTCTTTTTCTTCTGTGTGTGTGAGCATCATGTTTATTTCTTTTCTTTTCTTTCCCTTTTTTTTTTTGAGACAGCATCTTGCTCCGTTGCCCAGGCTGGAGTGCAGTGGTGTGATCTTGGCTCACTGCAACCTCCTCCTCCTTGGTTCAAGGGATTCTCCTGCATCAGCCTCCCTAGTAGCTGGGACTACAGGTGCCCACCACCACGTCTGGCTAATTTTTGTACTTTTGGTAGAGACAGGGTTTTGCCATGTTGGCCAGGCTGCTCTCAAACTCCTGACCTCAAGTAATCTGCCCGCCTCAGCCTCCCAAAGTGCTGGGATTACAGGCGTGAGCCACCGCGCCTGGCCGCATCATGGTTATTTCTTCATGGGTTTATCATTATGTGTGATGTGAGCTTAGAGCCTAGCTCTAAGCTCCCCAAAGGTGGTGACCGTATAATCATTTCCCACCCCCATTACCTAGGACAGGACTCTGGCCACAGTGGAGGGTCAGAAGATTTCAGCACACTCAAGAATAGCAGGTAGCAAGGCACCCAAGGCAGCTTTGCTGTAAGTGAAATTGACTCTTGACTTGCTAACCCGATATACTCAGGGGTAAAATCCACTCTACAGAAAGTCTTTGCTTTAGAGAAAGTTGCTCACAGGGGTTCTTTAAACAGCCAGGTCTCTTGGTACCTGCAAGATAGATTTATTTACAGATTTCCAACTTGCCTGGTCTGCTTGGAGCATCATGGGCTGGGTCCATGGCAAGCCCAGGAAGCCCACGCACCTGTCTGCCCTGTCCGCCTTTTGTGTGGTATTGAAGGCCTTTCCCAATCGAGCCCCAGCCTGCCTTTCATAACAGAAATAAAAGCTGACAGTGATCCTACAGGTTAACATTGACTGAGTGCCTCATGCATGAGGTCACCTGGCAGATGGGGTCACTTCATTCATTCTCCAGGTAACTCTGAAATGGGGTGTCAACTGTCATCTTCACTTTAGAGAGAGTGACAGAAAATCCAGGAAGTCCCAGAAGGAATCTGGGATTTGAGCCAGGCTGACCACCTGGCCCTTTGGGGCAGCCTCCCTCTCCTGACAGGCCAGCCAGCCTCTCTCCAAGCCAACACTATCATTGCTGACCACAAACCTTTGCACCCACCGTCCCCCTGCCTGTCCCTGGGCCCAGCTCCTACTTACCTTTCCAGACTCAGCTCAAATATCACCTCAACTCCACCACACAGAATTCATCCTGATGGCTCTGAGTTCAAATCTCTGTGTGGTGCCAAGGACGTGGCCTTGGTATTGTCCATGTCTGTTCCTCCTGCTGAATCAGGAGGAGTCCCGAACACTCAATCAGGATGTACTAAAATCATTCACCCAGGCCGGGTGCGGTGGCTCACACCTGTAATCCCAGCACTTTGGGAGGCTGAGGCAGGAGAATCGCGTGAGTCCAGGAGTTCGAGACCAGCTCTGGCAACACAGTGAGACCCCCTTTCTATGAAAAATTTACATATTAGCTGGATGTGGTGGTGCATGTTTGTAGTCCCAGCTACTTGGGAGGCTGAGGCGAGGGGATTGCTTGAGCCTGGGAGGTCGAGGCTGCAGTGAGCCATGATCATGCCACTGCACTCCTGCCTGGGTGACTGAGCAAGACCCTGTCTCAAAAAATAAACAAATAAAATAATTCACCTACTCAACTGATATTTATTGAACACCTACTATGTGCCAGGCATTGGGGTAAACAGGGTGGATAAGGCCTGAGCTCGCAGGGCACAAATCCAAGAGGGAGACACAGCAATACCCATGTCGGCTGACACATGAACAAGCTAATTTCAGACAGTGATAAATTGTATGAAGAAACAAAGTGAAGTTCTAGAGAGAACCTGAGCTGATAGGACTCTGGCTTTCACCAAAGCGAGTCGAGTCCTTCTCCCAGCCTGACCTGGCTTTCTCTCAAGACCAGCACATTTGTTACTCACTCATTCACTCACTCATTCATCCACTCATTCACTCGTTCATTCATTCACTCATTCACTCACTCATTCATTCATTCACCCATTCATTCACTCACTCATTTGCTCACTCATTCATTCACCCATTCATTCACTCATTCAATCATTTGTTCACTCATTCACTCATTCATTCACTCATTTACTTATTCATTCATTCATTCACTCACTCATTCACCCATTCACTCACTCATTCACCTATTCACTCACTCATTCACTCACTCATTCACCCATTCATTCACTCATTCACTCATTCATTCACCCATTCATTCACTCACTCATTCACTCACTCATTCACTCATTCACTCACTCATTCATTCACTCACTCACTCGCTCACTTATTCATTCACTCATTTACTCATTCATTCATTCACTCATTCACTGAGCACCCACGGTGCCAGGTGCTATCCTCCAACACCCTGGGGTCCCTGGGGAAGACAAACCTGCTCTGAGTGCCAGTGAATCCAGGGAGACTGAGGCTAGAGCAGGGAAGGAGGGGAACACGGGCGGGGGGGGGTGGCACTGCATGGTATAGAGCATTTCCACCCCCTCTGATCAGTCATGCTTCCTAATTCAATAAGGTGAGAAGAAGCATAATTTGATCATATTTGTTTTGCATCACTGCAAAAACAGAAAATGAAGGGCTGCAGAACCGCACCAATTTACTTCATCCGACCTTGATTAAAAGAAAATTAATTGTCGCATCTCTCAGGATATCACAGGCAGCAGCCAATGGCTCTCCAGGATACCACAAAGAGAGGGAAAGGGAGCGCAAGACGCCCCATGCCCTTTTCTCTAACCACTTCCAGCCCGGCTGGCAGCAGAGACAGTGGAGCTGCCAAGGCCTCGCATTGCAGAGGAGGCTGGTGGCGGATGGGAGATGGGACCACTGAGCCCCTGAGCCCCACCCACTCTGAGTTGCATTTCCCCCACCCACCACCCACTCCCCAGAGAGGGTTCTGAAGGCTGGATCCCCATCCCAGAGCCCAATACAGCTTTGCAGAAGCCCTCAGGGGGCTCTCCTCCCTTTCCAGGGCTGGCAGCTGCCCTGCGGAAGAGCCCCAGAAAGATGCCCCCAAAAGATCCAGGTCCCCTCCAGTTTGCTCGACCTCACCACTGGCTCCGCAGCCCCAGCTCTAAGATAAAAGAAGGAGGGGAAAGAGGGGAAGGAGGGGGCTTGGCGCTGCCCGGGTGAGCCAGGGCGGGGGGTGACAGTGGGGAGAGCAGCTCATGAAAAGTTAATGCCCCCTTGCAGGTTGTTGATTTTTGTTTGTTTTTCTCTTTTTGCCAGAAGAGAAGCCTCTTTCATTAGCCCAGACTGTCATTACCCGGCATTAAATTTTCATAGAGCGGGCGGGAGGCCGGGCAAGGGGAGGCGGGCAGGGGGGCAGGCTGGGGGCTCCCTGGGCTGGGCCTGCCGGGGGCTGAGACTAGCTCCCCTGGGCCCCCGTCTGCACACTGCGAGGTCTCAATAAGAAGAGCCGGCTTTCTCCATCGCCCACTATGGGCTAAGCGTGGCCCACGGACTCAAGCCTTTGATCCTCTTATGCTCCTATGGTGTGGGTTCTGTGATCACCCCCATTTTACAGATGAGAAACTGAGGCTCAGAGAGCTTGTGGCTCTTGTCCGTCACAGCCAGAAAGTGGTAGCACCACTGACTTCCAAAACATGCCCTCCTCACCAAGGCTGAGAGGCCGAGGGAGGCACAGGGGAGGTGGTGGGGGCTGGAGGGGCCGGGGAGGCAGCCCCAGACAGGCAGGAGTTCGGGGTGCCTTCGGGGGTGCTTTCCCTTGGGGAGAAGCAGGAGTCCGGACCCCCAGCCCCACTCGCAGGAGGCAGTGGGCGGCTCCTCTCAGCCAGGCGGGTGAGGGTCTGTGCCGGCGGGGCATGCGACCCGCCAGGCAGGTGTCGGAGCCCTCACAATGGTGCACCTGGCGTGGGCGTCAGGCCTGCCCATTCAGCCCGGAACAATCACTGCTCTGCAGCCGCCGGCCCAGCGGCCTCCAGGGGCGGGAGGACCGCGGGCGGCAGAGCGGCAGATGGGCCTCGGGTGTCAAGTTTCCAGCTGGAGGAGGGGGCGGGTAGCCCGGGAAGGGGAGGGGGAAGAATCAGGCTCCTCCCCGCTCCCAGTGGCCCCTCCCAGCCTTGGGTTTCGGAGCAGGGTTGGGCAGACTGTCTGCCCACCACCACTGCCACCTAGAGCAGGCCAGAGGGGGAACAAAGGCCTCAGGCCAGGGCTGGGCTGAGGGTGAGGGGCTTGCTGTGGGCTTCTCGCGGGGCTGATGAATCCTGAGCTCGCAGCAGCTGGCAGAGTCTCTCTGGGCTTCAGTTTTCTCGTCTGTGAAACGGGTGTCCATTCACTAAATACTGAGCATCTGTTCCGTGCCAGGCACCGCTCTGGGCACCAGAATAGCAGCAGTGAGCAAACTGGAAGCAAATCCCTGTTCTCGCTGCACTCAAGTCCTAGTGCAAAAGACAGACAAGAATCAAGATTAAGTAATGGGCCGGGCACGGTGGCTCAAGCCTGTAATCCCAGCACTTTGGGAGGCCGAGGCAGGTGGATCACTTGAGGTCAGGAGTTTGAGACCAGCCTGGCCAACGTGGTGAAACCCCGTCTTTACTAAAAATACAAAAAAATTAGCCAGGCCTGGTGGCGGGCACCTGTAATCCCAGCTGCTAGGGAGGCTGAGGCAGGAGAATCGCTTGAACTCAGGCAGTGGAGATTGCAGTGAGCCGAGATCACACCACTGCACTCCAGTCTGGGTGACAGAGTGAGACTCCATCTCAAGTAAATAAATAAATAAATAAAATAAAGGAATGGCACACATAATCGCTCAGCTAGGAGCAGCGGGCCCGCAGAGGAGGAAGCTGGGCGAAGGAGTTGCGACCTGGGATAGGAGGTCCGTTCCAGAAGGAGGTGGGGCACAAGCCAGGCCAATCTGGGGAAAAGCATTCCAGCCAGAGGGAGCAGCAGGTGGAAGATTAGTGGTCCTACCCTGTAGGGTTTGCCTGGAGCTAGAGGAGGGGACACAGGTGAAACACCTAGAGCCCGGCTCACCGGCTCACCGTCATGCTCCCGATGTGAGGCAGTGACCTCAAGTCTATGGTGGTTTGTTTGTCTGTCCACCCCTGTAACCCCTGAGCCCCTGAGAGCTGGCATCATCAGCCCATCTCTGCCAGGACCTGGTGGGTGAGTAAAATGCCTTGCAGTTTGGAAATCTTCCTAGTCATTCTCAGCTGAGCTTCAAGGGACCAAGGGCCTGTGGGGACAGAGACAGGAGGATCTGAGAAGGGATGGGGGAGAGTCCAACCCTCTTATGTTACCGAGAGGGAACCAAGGCCCAGAGAAGGCTTTTGGAGAAGCCCCTGCTCATCCCCGGCCTTGGTGATTGCATCTGTGCAGTGGGGGTGGGGCTCTAGCGGGTGTGGAGTGCCAGCCGCTGCAGAGGTGGAAGGCATCCCCTGTCCACGGAGGGGAGGGGCCAGCCTCAGAGATCAAGTGGGCAGAGTCTTCCCAAGGGCGTGGACGCACACAGCCATGCGCACAGCAGGGAGGCAGACAGGGAGCAAAGAGGCCAGAGCAGGCAGCTGCTTAGTTCTGAAGCTCCACTGCTACTGTCCTGCTTCTGGAGGTGAATAGATGTCAAGAAGCCTGTGGGGGCTGAGCCTGGTGGCTCACGCCTGTAATCCCAGCACTTTGGGAGGCTGAGGCAGTAGGATCACTTGAGCCCAGATAGTGGAGGCTGCAGTGAGCTATGACTGCACCACTGCACTTCAGCCTGGGCAACAGAGTGAGACCCTGTCTCAAACAAAACAAAACAAAACAAAGAAGAAGAAGAGGAAGAAGCCTGTGGGCTCTTCCCTAGACCAGGACGGGGGTAGCAGCTGGAAGGAGGTGGACTCATGGACCTTGGACGGGCCTTGGCGTTACAGAGATCTGGGTTCAAACCCAGGCTCTGCCTCACACTAGTGTCTGACCCCAGCCATTCATTCATATGACTTCGCCAGGCCTCGGTTTCCTCATCTATAAAATGGAAAGAATAATAGCAAGAGCCCTGGCTTCATGGGGTTGTTGGGATGGGACTATGCCCCAGGACCCAGCCTAGCCCGGGCACAGGGTCGGAGCTAGAGACAAACACTGTTGTGGGTGCTCAATGGGCTAAGAAGGAGCATCTCGCCTGCAGGAACGGTTGCAGGGAGGCAGCTGAGGCTTGAAGCGTTTAGGGGATGCACCTAAGCTCACACTGCTAGTGAGAAAAAGAGCCAGGATTTGCACTCAGGTCATCCTCCTTCCTGGGCTCTTAGCAGCCTCTGGTGCACAGTGGTGGGAGGGAAGGCCAAGGGAAATCAGTGATGTGGCTCAGGGGCACTGAGGCCACTCCCAGGTCCCTCCCAGGCACCGCTGGCCCCCCAAGGGACCCCCACCAGTGGGTTCAGGGCCTGACAGTGCCCGCCTTACTCCTGTTGGCGGCACCAAAAGGCGGCAGATGAGGGATGAGGGGACCTGGCTCCCCCTTCCAGTCACTCCTGAGCTTGGCTGGGTTCCTTCCCTCCGGTCCCCCACTTGCTCTTCTAGGAACAAAGGCAGCACGGGCACATCCCCACTTCCTGGCGGTGTTGATTTTCTAATTCTCTACCCCTCAATTACCGCTTCCTGAGGGAGGCATTACCCTGGGAGCAGCCGCCTGCCTGGCCCAGAGGCTGCAGAGGGCGTTTGTGGTAGGGCGTCCCCATCCTTCAGGGAAGCCCACAGGGGGCCTGGCTGGGCCCTGGGCACTGGCCCCTTGGAAGTGCCTCAGGAAGTGCACCAGCCTCCAGGAAGTGTGCTTTCCAGTTGGGGCGCTCCATGGCCCTGCCCCTGCACCCCTTCAGGATCCTGGTCCCTTGGCCCAGACAGCCGCACGTCCACAGGCTCCCACACGGTCAAGGCCAAGCAAGGGCAGGCATGCGTGTGGGTGTATGTTAACCCTTGTAAGTGATTCATGTGTGTGAGCCAGCATGCAAAGGTGTAAGTGCATACGAATGTAGAAAACGAGAATGTGGATGTGTATATGTGACTGCGTGTGTAACGGTGCATGTGTGCAAAGCTGAATGTGGCAGGTGTCTGTGCACACATGTGTGGGTCAGTAATGAAAATGACTGCATGAAGGAGTGTGCAGGTGCGTGCAGGTGTGTGCGGTGTGAATAGGTTTGTGCGTATTTGTGCATGGGTAAGTGTGTTTTGGACTGAAAATGAGTGTGCAAGAGTGTGACTGAGTGTAAGTGTGAGTGTGGACAGGGCCAACTGAGGCCAGGGTAGGGGAAGGGGACCCCTGACTCCCAAGCACGGAGGCTGCTGGGTCTGGCAGTGCAGAGAGGACTGGGGGGATGGTGGATGGCCCCAGCCCAGCACTGCAAGAACCTCAGACCTCCAGCCCGCTTCCTGCTGGACGGGAGCTCGCATCCTCCCTGTCAAAAGGAAGGAAGTGCTCACCTAGGGCAGGTGGTCCGGCTGGCAGCAGATGCAAAAAGACTGAGTGGTGATTTGCATTTTCATTTGCATATATTTCCTTAGGTCCCACTGATTGGTTATTTGAAAGTCCCCAATTCCTGCCAACCCTGTCTGCTTGCAATGGCCCTGTGGGGTGGGAGTGGAGGTGGGGAAAGTGCAGTTGGGCACTGCTTGGCTGAGAGCTGAGGCTTGTCCCTGAGGCCTGAGGCTAATCCACAGGTCTGGTCTGGGTGGGACAGGGTGCTCGCTGAGAATCAGGCCCGTAGGGATTGCTCAGTGGCACAGAGCAGGTAACAGTCCCCAGGCCTCGCCTAACACAGAAAGTGCTCAGCCAGCTCTTTCGTCAATAGATGAGCAAAGCGTGGATGGGGCAAAATGAGCGTCGGCTGCCCAGTCTGCTCAGATCTTCAGGTGGGGTCTCAGTGATAGGGTCCTCAGCACTGCTGAGATGGCACCTGGTCCCCTGGGCCAGTGTGGCCAGCCCTGGGGGTGGATGTTGGGGAATCTGAGAGGCTGCCGATCAGATGCTGCCAGCTTCACCTCCTGCCTTCCCACTCCACCTGGGGACCAGGCGCCTGGCTGTGCATTTGTGGAAACTCTGTTTCCACAGCCACCCAGAGGGCAGGCAGCAAGAGGCTGAGGAGTTCTCAAAAAGGAGGAAAGTGCTGCTAGTCCCAGCAGAGGGCTGAGTGTGTGTGCGTGGCCTGCGTGCACAAGCATGCCTGTTCAAAAATGCGCGTGCTCCAGTGGGTGGACCCGACAGTCTTGAATACAGGGGAGAAGATGTGCATCTTGACACAGATGTATGTGGATCTGTACGTCTGTGTGCACAGGTGTGCATCTGTGTGCTGTGTGTGCGCTCACTCATGTGTCAGGGAAAATCGAAGTTTTCAGTGTGAAAGGCCTCTATGGCCCCTTTCCATTTGCCTTTTTGCTAAATTACGTAACCTCCCCCTAGAGTGAACAGCATGGCTTGACAACAATAGGGCTTTTGAAATGTCCTCTCTTCAGAAACACATTACACACATGTATGTGGAGACGTGAACATCTGTGTGACTGTATTATTGAGTGTATGCATATCTGTGTGTGCACATGTTATAAATGCACATGTAGGCCGGGCATGGTGGCTCACACCTGTAATCCCAGCACTTTGGGAGGCCGAGGTGGGCGAATCGCAAGGTCAGGAGATTGAAACCATCCTGGCTAACATGGTGAAATCCCATCTCTACTAAAAATACAAAAAAAAATTAGCCAGGCCTGGTGGTGGGCACCTGTAGCCCCAGCTACTTGGGAGGCTGAGGCAGGAGAATGGCATGAACCCAGGAGGTGGAGCTTGCAGTGAGCCGAGATCACGCCACTGCACTCCAGCCTGGGCGACAGAGCGAGACTCTGTCTCAAAAAATAAATAAATAAATAAAATAAATGCACATGTACATGTACCTTCCACGCACATTGACTGTAAACATGCTCATGTTAACAACCAAGGCTATTGCATACACAGGGGCACATGTGTGTTCCCATGTATCGTTTGCCCATGGGACTCCTGTGGGACTCCTGTGCAAGCTGTGTGCAGGCATGCATGGGAGATCTCCCCGATACAGTAGAGAGGTCACTACTAGAGTAGAGTGGGTGTCCAGAGGGTCCCGTGGGTACATGTGTGCCCCGGGCTGTATCTGCACACGTGTGTGAGTGCAGGGGGTGTGCGTGACTGTGCGCAGTAGGTGTGTGTACAGTACAGCATGTGTTTGCATATCGGGAGTTGGGGATGTTTAGTAATTAAATCCCTTTTCATCCTTCTGCACCTGTCTCCTGAAAGCTGAGAGAACAGACGTCAAACGGGACAAGGGCTGGATTGAATACAGCCAATTCTGAAATATTTATTAGCTTGCGACTCCGCTCAATGGAGGAGAAGGAATGCCAGCTAATCCACCCAGCAGTGCTCACAGCAGGGACGTTTTTCAACAGGGACTTCTTATATTTCAGCGACTGCCCACTCTGTCCAAAAATGAGAGCGTTTTCATCTGGGTCCATGCAGCATTCTCCAGAACTCTGGTTAGGCATTCACAGGGCAGAAATCAAACCTGAGCTCTTGTTTCTGGGTTCCTGGGGCCATGAAGTTCTCTTCCTCAGACAAAGACGGGTGAACCAGTAGGACCTGGGGTGGAGTGTACCGGTCACCGTTTATAGGACGCTTCCTGTGTTTCAGGCACCGTGTGTGGGCCTTTCCATACATCTTCTTCATCTAAGTCTTCACAAAACCCCAATGAGATAAATGCCGAGTATGACCCCATTTAATACAGTAGGGAGCTAGGAAACGCAGAAACATTCAACAAATGAGAAACAGAGGCCCCCAGTAATGACGCCACTTGCCTGAAGACATAAGCTACTTAGTGGTGGGGCCAGGATGTGAGTCCAGGGAATCAGCACTCCCAAGCTCAAACTCTCACCTTGCTGCCTCCTAATGGAACTATGATGGACCTACTATATGCACTGTGTGGAGAATTCTCGGGGTGCATCTAAGATCATTGAGAAAGAGTGGGGTGGCCCACTGTGGCAGGAGGAGACGGCTGTGTATTTGATGCCCCTCAGCCCTGCCCCACCCCACCCTACACCTGCTCATCACCAAGCCTGCCCTTTTTCTTTTTTTTTGAGATGGAGTCTCGCTCTGTTGCCCAGGCTGGAGTGCAGTGGTGCAATCTTGGCTCACTGCAATCTCCGCCTCCCGGGTTCAAGCGCTTCTCCTGCCTCAGCCTCCCAAGTAGCTGGGATTACAGGCACCTGCCACCACACCCAGGTAATTTTTGTATTTTTAGTAGAAATGGGGTTTTGCCATGTTGGCCAGGCTGGTTTGAACTCCTGACCTCAAGTGATCTGCCCTCCTTGGCCTCCCAAACTGCTGGGATTACAGGCGTGAGCCACAGTGCCTGGCCAAGCCTGCCCTTCTTATAAGTGCAGCTCAATTCCTCTAACTGCTCAGGTCAAAACCTTTAGACTCTCCTTTTACTTCCCTTTCTCTCTACCCTACATCCAAATGTAGGCAAATCCTGGTGTCGCTCCTTTCAGAAGGTACCCAGGATGCAACCACTGCTCATCCTCCCCACTGATGCGGCCCCGTCTGAGTCTCCATCATTTCTCCTTTGAGTGATTGCAGGGGCCTCCTTATGTCTCCCTACTTCCAATCTTACCCCCTACAGTCCAGAGTGGACCCTCTAGAACCTAACTCAGATGATCCTGCTTCTCTTCTCAGGGCCCTCCAATAACTTCTGTGTCACTCATTGTAGAAGTCAAAGTCCTTGCATTGACCACAAAGCCCAACCTCACTGACCTCGTCTCTACCCTCCTCCCAGCTCACCCCCGTGACCCTGGCTGGCCTCTGCTCCTCCTTGAACACAGCAGGCATGGTCTCTTTTCAGGGCAGAAATCAAAGCTGAGCACTTGTTTCTGGGCTCCTGGGGCCCAGTTCCGCAGGCAGAGACTGGCGAGCCAGTGGCTCATCATGGTGGCTCATACCGGTCACTGCTTATGGGGCCCTAGGAGCCCCAGGCTGCTCCCTCTGCCTGGAATCCCTTGTCCAGGTCCCCATGCAGCTGGTTCCCTCGCCTCCCTCAAGGTCTGCTCAAATGCCACATTCTTGGAACCACCTTGTGGAAACAGTGAAAGCCCTTCCTCTGGAGCCCACCATTCTACCATCCCTGTTCCCTTTACCCTTTGTATTTATTTATTTATTTATTTATTTATTTATTTATTTATTTATTGAGACAGGGTTGCACTCTGTCACCCAGGCAGGAGTGTAATGGTGAAATCATAGCTCACTGCAGTCTTAGCCTCTTGGGCTCAAGGGATCCTCCCGCCTCAGCCTCCTGAGTAGCTGGAACTACAGGCATGCACCACCATGCCCAGCTAGTTATTAAAATTTTTTTTTATAGAGACGAGGTCTCACTCTGTTACCTGGGCTGGTCTCAAACTCCTGGACCTGAGTGATCCTCCCACTTTGGCCTCCCAACGTGCTGGGATTACAGATGTGAGGTACTATGCCCAGGCTTTATCCTGTTTTATTGTTCTCCATAGTTTAAATTTCACATTCTAAACACTTGTGGATTTCATTCATTTTACTATTCAACAAATATTTACTGAAAATTTGTGCCAGATGCTATTCTTTCATCACTGGTTTTCAGTAATTTGACCATGATGTGCCTGAATATGGTTTTCTTCAGGTTCCTTCTGCTGTGGAGTTCATTGGGGCTTCTTGAATCGGTGGGTTTATCATTTTCATCAAGTTTGGAAAAGCTTTAGCCATCATTTCTTAAATATCTTTCCCATCTCCATCCTCTTCTTCTGGACCTCCAATTACACATATGTTAGACCTCTTACGTTGTCTCACAGGTCACTGAGGCTCTGATTTTTTTTTCCCCTCTGCATTTCACTTTAGATAGTTTCTATTGCTATGACTTTGAGGTCACTAATATTTTCTTCTACAATGTCTAACTTGCTGTTAATTCCATCCATTGTATTTTTCATTTTGGATGGTGGTTGCATTTTTCAACATTAGAAGTTTTTGAGTCTTTTTAGTATTTTTATTTCTCACATCATGTTCGTGCTTTCCTCTATCTTCTTGAACATGAAGAGTGTATTAGTGGTAGTTGTTCTAAATGTCTGCTAACTCTACCATCTGTGACATTTCTGGGTCTATTTCTATTGATTTGTTTTTTTTCCTGGTTATGGGTCATATTTCCCCCTTTCTTTGCTTGACTGGTAATTTTTATTGGATGCTGGACATTTTTAAAATACAAATATGTTTTTTGAGACAGGGTCTTGCTTTGTCATCCAGGCTGGAGTGCAGTGGTACAAACACAGCTCAGTGCAGCCTCCATTTATCTGGCTCAAGTGATCCTATCCCCTCAGCTCCTCAAGCAGTTGGGACTGCAGGTGCACACCACCACACCTGGTTAATTTTTGTATTTTTGGTAGAGTCAGAGTTTCACCATGTTGCCCAAGCTGGTCTGGAATTCTTGAGCTCAAGTGACTTGCCTGCCTCGGCCTCCCAAAGTGCTGTGTTACAGGCGTGAACCACTACACCCCGCTAAAATACACTTTTAATTTTGGAATAGTTTCAGATTTATAGAAAAGTTGCAAAGATAGTTCAGAGAGTTCCCATACACTTCACATCCAGTTCCCCCATCATTAACATCTTACATTGCTTTGATATATTTGTCAAAACTATGAGCCCGGGAGCTCGAGGTTACAGTGAGCTATGATCTGAGCTCTGATTGTGCCACTGCACTCCAGCCTAGGCAACAGAGCAAGACCTTGCCTCAACTAAAAACAACAAAGAAACAAAAAATTATGTAACTGACATTAGCCCAGTACGTTAAGTAAACTCCAAAGTTTATTTGGGATTCACCAGTTTTCCCATTAATGTCCTCTTACTAGTCCAGTATCTAATCCAGAATTTTATATTGCATTTAATTGTCATGACTCCCTCTGGTCTATGACAATTTCTCAGTCTTTTTTTTTTTTGAAACTGAATCTCACTCTGTCATTCAGGCTGGAGTGCAGTGGCATGATCACAGCTCACTGCAGCCTCAACCTCCCACCTCAGCCTCCCTATTAATGGGGACTACAGGTGCATGCCACCATGCCCAGCTAATTTCTTGTTTGTTATTTTGTAGAGACCAGGTCTCTCTATGTTGCCCAGGCTGGTCACGATCAGTCTCTTCTTGTTTTGCATGACCTTGACGATCTTGAGGTGTATTGGCCAATTATTCTATAGAATGTCCCCGATCTGGGTTTGCCTGTTGTTTTTCTCATGAGTAGATTGGAATTATGGGTTTATGGAAAGAATATCACCACCAAAGTGAAATGCCCTTCTCATCACAGCATATTAGGATAACACCAATGAGGCCAACCCTCATCACTTGATTAAGGTGCTATTGACCAGGTTTCTCCACCAGTAGTAGCAAAGGTACTATTTTTTCCTTTCCCTGTCCTCTTCTTTGAAAGCAAGTCACAAAGTGAACCTCACACTCCAGGGGATGGAAACTAAGCTCCACTTCCTGTCGGAAGAGAATCTACACATATTATTGAGAATTCTTCATGAGAAAGATTTATCTCTTCTCCCTCTTGTATTTATTTATTCAATTGTGTATTTACATCAGTATGGACTCATGTACATTTATTTTGTACTTTGGGGTTATAACCCAATACTACATTATTTATTTTATTGTCCAAATTCTTCCAGCTTTGGCCATCGAGAGGTCTTCAGGCTGGTTTCTGTGTCCCTTTGACATGTCCCCTCCTGTTTTTGGAGCCCTTTCTTTTCCTTCCTTCTTTTCTCTTTTTTCTTTTCTTTTCTTCTTTTGACAGGGTCTCACTCTGTCACCCAGGCTGGAGTGCAGTGGCATTATCACTGCTCAATGCAGCCTCGACCTCCTGGGCTCAAGTAATCCTCCCCCCTCAGCCTCCAGAGTAGCTGGGACTACAAGTGCATGCCACTGTGGCTGACTAATTTTTGTATTTTTTGTAGAGACAGGGTTTTGCCATGTTGCCCAGGCTGGTCTTGAACTCCTGAGCTCAAGAGATTTGCCCACCTCAGCCTTCCAAAGTGCTGGGATTACAGACGTGAGCCACAATGCTTGGCCATAGAATCTCTTTTTTCTTTGTTTGTTTTTGTTTTTGAGACAGGGTCTCACTCTGTGGCCCAGGCCAGCATGCAGTGGCACAGTCACTGCTCACTGGAACCTTAACCTCTGGGGCCCAAGTGATCCCCCACCTCAGTCTCCCAAGTAGCTGGGACCACCACTACACCTTAATTTTTTGTTTGTTTGTTTGGTAGAGACAGGATTTCACCATGTTGCCTAGGCTGGTCTCCAACTCCTGAGCTCAGATGATCTGCCTGCCTCTGGGATTACAGGTATGAGCCACCGCGCCTGGCCTGCTCTTTTTGGTATACAAGATGCTCTGCCTCATCTTGTATTTTTCCAGCTCAGGTCCTAGAATCCACCATTTCTCCTTTTAGTGGAGAATGGTATTAGAAGCCAGGATCTGGCTGGGAGTGCTTGCTGCTACTAGGTTGCCACTGCTGCTAGGCCCTCTCAGAAGACATAACCCTGTATCCGCACATGCCTGTACTTCTTTCTGTATCCATCCATCTGTATGTACATTGAGCTAAGCATGGGTTTGCACTGGTATCTCCAGCTCTAACCCACAGTCCATTCCAGGCTTCCCTCCTTGTTTTTCTGTAAACTTCCTCTCCAGCCACAAGAAATCTGGCTCCCAGCAACCACCATCTATTTACTTATTGTTCAACCAGCATTTAAAATATTACATGGTTGGGGGCTGGATTTTGTTGGATTCCTTTAAATATTGCTGGCTTTGTTCTGGAACACAGCTAAGTTATTTGGAATTGGTTTGCTCCTGTCAAGGCTTGCTTTTAAGTTTTGTTAGCATTAGTTCAGAGCAGCTTTAGTCTAGGGTGAACTCAGCCCCACTACCAAGGCAATGCCCTTCTGGGGTCTCCATCTGATGCCCCACGGAGTACAGCTCTCTCCACTCTGGCCACAGAGAGAGGGAACCCCTCCTCAGATCGCTGCACCGTCTCTCTGTGCACCTCCTTCCTCTCTGGTATTTGCTGCACATAATCTAGTCATTCTACATCCCAGAACCCCAAATTCCATCTCCTCAACTCAATGACTCTATTTTGCCTTTCTGTTTACTGGCCTGGTAATTCTCCAGGAGGTTAGCTGAGACAGTTGCAGGACTCGTCTTTGTTTTCTTTTTTCATTCTTTTTTTTTTTTTTTTTTTTTTGAGACAAGGTCTCTCTCCGTCAGGTTTGGAGTGCTCACCGCAGCCTCCACCTCCCAGGTTCAAGCGCTTCTCTTGCCTCAGCCTCCTGAGTAGCTGGGATTGCAGGCATGCGCCACCACACCAGGCTAATTTTTGTATTTTTAGTAGAGATGGGGTTTCCTCATGTTGCCCAGGCTGGTCTCAAACTCCTGGGCTCAAGTGGTCCACCCGCCTCGGCCTCCCAAAGTGCTGGGATTCCAGGCGTGAGCCACCGTGCCCGGCCTTCTTTGTTTTCCTTTTCTTAGCAATCACCATCCTGTGCTGCTTATTGTCCAATGTCTGAAAACCACTGAGTCATAGATTTTTGTCCAGTTTTCTGGTCCTTATTTTTTAGAATTGAGGTTTTGCTATATTGCCCAGGCTGGACTCAAACTCCTGGGTTCAAGTGATCCTCCCACCTCAGCCTCCCAGGTAGCTAGGACTACAGACATATGCGACCCTACCAGGCAGAGTTTTCTGGTACTTTAATGTGAGAAAGTAAATCTGGCCCTGTTACACCATCATGTCCAGAAGCAGAAGTCCAAACACTGTTCTAGACGCCAGGACACAATAGTAAATCAACTAACAAAAAGCCCCTGCCTATGAAGCTTGTGTTCTAATGCAGGGGTCAGGCACATTCTAATGCGGGCAACCACAGACTTCTACAAAAGGCCAGATGGGCCAAAAGGCTGAGCATGGTGGCTCGTGCCTGTAATCCCAGCACTTTGGGAGGCCGAGGTGGGCAGATCACCTGAGGTCAGGAGTTTGAGACCACCCTGGCCAACATGGTGAAACCCTGTCTCTACTTAAAAATACAAAATATTAGCTAGGCGTGGTGTCATGCGCCTGTAATCCCAACTACTCGGGAGGCTGAGGCAGGAGAATTGCTTAAACTCAGGAGGCAGAGGTTGCAGTGAGCCATGACCCTACCACCGCCCTCTAGCCTGGATAAGAGTGAGACTCTGTCCAGAAAAAAAAAAAAGCCAGATGGTAAATATTTAGTCTTTGTGGGCCAAGAGGTAAAAGTGAGTTAAAACCACATGACTGTGATTTGTAGTGTGCAAAGCAACGGGAGCGCCACATACAGTCTCTGTCGTGGCTGCCTGACTCCACCATTGCAGTACAAAAGCGGCCATAGGCAGCACATAAATGAATGAGCATGGCTGTGTTCCAATAAAACTTTATTTATGGATATTGGAATTTGGATTTCATATCATTTTCACATATCACAAAGTATTATTCTTCTTTTGATGATTTTATAACTACTTAAAAATGTAAAAACCATTCTGAGCTCTCCAGCCACATGCACACAGGCGGTGGCCCAGATGTGGCCGGCTGTGGTTTGCCAACCTCTGATCTAGTGGAAGGGACAGAAAATAATGAAGATAAATAAGTTAAGTATGGCCAGGCACGGTGGTGCATGCCTGTAATCCCAGCGTTTCGGGAGGCTGAGATGGGCGGATCACTTGAGCTCAGGAGTTTGAGACAAGCCTGGGCAACACGGCAAAAACCCCATTGCTACAAAAAATACAAAAATCAGCTGGGCGTGGTGGTGCATGCCTATAGTTCCAGCTACTTGGGAGGCTGAGGCAGGAAGATCACTTGAACCCGGGAGGCGGAGATTGTAGCGAGCCGAGATCGTGCCACTGCACTCCAACCTGGGTGACAGAGCGAGACTGCGTCTTAAAAAAAAAAGAAAACAAAAAGAAAAAGAAAAGAAAAGAAAGAAGTTAAGTATATGGTATGTTAGATAATAAAAGATGTCAAGGAGGGGGAAAAAGGAAAGTAAGGAAAGGGGAAGACCTTAGACAAGGTATCCAGGGAACATCTTGCTGAGAAGGTAACTTTTGTGTCAAAATCGGAAGGAGGCATGAAGACGAGCTCCATGCTTACAGCACATACGAGGCTGATCAGCTATTGGGCTCGTGTCTGCCACCCGGACCAGGCAGAGCTCCCCGAGAACAAGGACTATGTCTGTGTCCTCGGCCCCTGAAACACTGCCTGGCCCCGGTAATTGCATCTGTGCAATGGGGGTGAGGGGCCTGCTGGCGGGCTGAGCTGGGCTGTGTTTCAGGACGTGCTTGTAAACCCCATGGCTCACAGCGGGTGTTTGGTAAGAAAAAATATTTGTATTACTGGACTGACCAAATGAATCCCTGGGCAGGGGATGCCTGGCAGAGCAGGGTTAGAATCCCAGCTCAGCCGCCTTTGCGCTGTGGCACCCAGGAGAGCTCCGTTACCTCTCTGAGCCTGTTTCCTCACTGGTGAAATGGAGTCTCCCCTGCCCCGGGGGCTGCAGGGTTTGTGAAATGGCTTATGGAGTGTGCCTGACTCCACCTGATGCTCTGTAACATTTTACCAAGAAGAGGCTGAAGGGCTGCCCTGGAGTGGCCCCTGAGTTGGAGCTGTGAAGCCAAAGGCCTGCGCTCTCACCTCACATCCATCACCTCCTTCCCCAAAAGCCTGGGACTCCCAGAGCCCAGGGCACAGGGCCCTCCCCACCTTTCACCATAGGGAAGTGGACAGTGGAAGGAGCACTTTTGCAGGAGTCCAGTTCTGACTGCATCACTGCCTCCACTGAAGCCCTGGGCAGGTCACGCCCTTTGCCTGGGCGGCCATCCCTAAAAGAAGGGAAACAAACAAGGCAGGCCCTCCCATTGCCCCAGCAGGACACCCCAGGGAGCACAGGGATGGGAGGGGACACCCGAGTCACCAAGCCTTGGCCTTAACTAGCATGCTGACCTGCTGTCACTCAGCCAACCCTAGCCCCCTGGAAAGGGCTGGGAGTGGGGAAACCCAGGTTTGAGTCTTACCATCGCTGCCTCCTGGCCAAGTGAGCCCAGATTGTCAGAATCAGAGGCTGATGCTGCCCGCAGACAGGGCCGCTCCTCTCTCTTGTCATTCAGCCTAATGTCACCTTCCCCATCTCCATCCCCCATGGAAACCCAGGTCACTGTCACAGCACCTGGTCTTACTGCCCTCTGGGGCTTATCACTGCCTGGTTGCCCTTCCTCCTAGTCTCCTGTCTGTAACTTCCACGAGGACTATAACTCCACGAAGGAAGGCGGTGCCAATGTGGGTCCCATTTGTCCCCACACCTCCAGCCCCTGGAACAGTACAGGTTATAGGTGCTCAGGGAATACTGTTGAATGGATGAAGCCAAGCCCGCTTGGCAATCGTTCAGTCCAGCAACCCCCCCTTCCCCACTATTACGAAGATGGGGGTAGAGTTGAGGACCACATGGGGGAGGGGCTTGCTGAGGGTCACACAGAGGGTTTGAGGCGAAGCAGAGCCTCAACTTTGGGCTGGCTTCCCTACTGCACACAGCTCCTCTCTGAGCCTCAGTTTCCAAGCCAGGACAATGGGGAGACGGTCCCTCCTCCTTGCGGTGGGCTCTCTGGGGGCACGAGGGTGCAGCAGTTAGTTCTGATGAGCTGAAGCTGGGAGGTGGCGGGGACACCTCTTCAGAGCTACCAGGCTTGCCAAGGTGAGGATGTCGGGGCTCTGCCAGGATAAAGCACTTAGCCAGTGCCAGGCACACAGCAGGGCACAGGCAGACACACAACTGCACTTACTCGTTTGGGTTTTTTTCTTTTTTGAGACAGAGTCTTGATCTGTCACCCAGGCTGGAGTGCAGTGGTACAATCTTGGCTCACTGCAACCTCCACCTTCCAGGTTCAAGTGATTCTCCTGCCTCTGCTTCTGAGTAGCTGGGATTACAGGTGCGCACCACTATGCCCAGCTAATTTCTGTATTTTTAGTACAGACAGGGTTTCACCATGTTGGCCAGGCTGGCCTCAAACTCCTGACCTCAAGTGATCTGTCTGCCTCGGCCTCCCATGTGGTGGGATTACAGGCATGAGTAATAACGGTCAGCACCAGGCCCCTGGGCTTACCGTTATTACTGCCCTTCTACCCTTGGGCTTGTTCCGAGGCCCCGTCACAGCCCAGCAATGCGTGTGAGAGAGCTTCGTTCTTTGTGACTCGGCAGGACAGTGCCAAATGTCAGGGCTCAATTTTATTGTTGTTACCAATCGTATTGATACTCTAAGCTTGGGTTACCACCGACTTCCTTCCAAAGGGTATAAAGTGCTTTGCCATCGTCCTCACTCACAGACAAGCCCCAGAGGTAGGCCAGCAGGGAGAACGCTAATCTGATTACCCAGGACCCGAAAGGCGGGGCGAGGGTCTAAGGGATTGTGGCCAGTGACCTTGCTGCTCCGACCCCCACCACCCACGGAGCCAGGAGCCCTTCCTCACCCGCTGCCTGGGTCTGTTGACCAAAACCCAGCCCAAGTTCCCCAGAGCTTGGCTGTCCCTTCCATGCAGATTTCAGGGGAGCCCCCAGCCCCTGGGGTGAGGAGCGAAACAAGCCAAGGGCAGGCAAGGCTGGTTTGGGTCTGATGCCGTTAAATGCGTGGTGCCCCGTCAGCCATTAGCCAGTCTCTAGGGACAGACAGTCAGAACAGTTAAAGGAGCTCAGCCCATAGGAGCCACGGGGCTGTTACATCCCCAGCCCCAAGCCCTCCCCTAGCCGGCCCTAAACTGGCAGCTGAGCCTGGCCTGCTCATATTATCTCCTCTCCTGAGGTCCAGCCTGTGCCCACTCGCGAGTTGAGCGGGGGCACCGACTCTGGGTGGCCCAGGGTCGACAGAGGGGCTGTGAGTCAGCTAGTGAGACCTCAATAATCTACAAATGTGGCAATTTCAGAGCACCCCCTGAGCCAGGTCTGTGCCAGGCACCTGAGGCTAGAGGTAAGAGGCAGGTCCCTGGCTGAAGTGAGCACAGGGCTTGCGGCAAAGCAGAACTCCAGCTTCGGGCTTGGACTCCAACCATCACACCCTCGCCAGCCCCCTTTACAGGCACGGTCTAGCTGTGGAGTGAGGCAGATGACAGATTCCTGCAACACAGCGTGGCCATCGCAGATGCCAGGGCTCCCAGAGGAGGTGGGGTAACCTCATCTGAGGCTGTTCAGGGAAGCTTCTGGGAGAAAGCCACTGAGCTGGCCGGAAGGACAAACAGAGTAACTAAACGTAAGAAAAGGAGAAAGGGGATCCCAGATGAAGTCAGTTTGTCATTGGTAGAGTGAATAACAGACCTCCTGTCAAAGGCTTGCTGTGTTTTAAGAGAGGAGGGGAAAGTTATTTTGAAACTGAATCACAGAATGCACGGGAGGAATTATTCTTCAGGTCCTTATTAAGATGGGTGGGGTCCTTGGGCTCCATTTCCCTCTCTCAGACCCAAAGACCAACCCCAGGACCCATCCTGCTGTGGCTGACGTCCACCTGGAGAGTCCAGGCCCTGTGGGAAGCCTCTAGGTCATGAGGCCTACCCTGACGCCCATGCCAGCTACTAGGCAAAAGACGACTCACCCAAGACACGTGGACAGACTTGGATCTGAGCCCCATGACCTAACTGGTCCCTACTTTATCCAGCACTTGATCCTTCAGGATCAAGGCCTTTTTGCTTCTTCCCTATTTCCCTTCTCACCTAGATTGTCACCCTGGGCATTCAGAGTTGAATTGAGATCTTGACGTTCCCTTATGATCAGGATTAGTATCTCCCACCTTCCTGCCTTGAACTACACTGGGGGAAATACTCCTTTTAGTTGCACTCACCTGTCACCATGACAAACATCATCAGGATCACCATCACCACCTTGCTCACCAAGAGCACCATGAGCACCACCACTACCAATACCACCCTCACTAGCCTCCTCCACTGGTACTAGCACTACCACCATGAGCACCGTCATCACCATGACCATGATCTCTACCACTGCCACCATTACTACCGCCATCACCATCACCATCATCACCAGACCATGATCACCACCCTGATGACCACCACTATCATCATCACCATCGATAGCCTTATTCCACACAACAGGCGCTACCACTACCACCATCACAACTACCACCATGATCACCACCATCACTACCATCAGTACCACCAACACCATCACACCTGTCACCACCAAACAACAACATCATGATCACCACCATGATGACCATCACGACCATCAGCACCATCACCACCATCGATAGCCTCACTCCACACCACAGGCACCACCATGAGCAGCATTGCAACCACCACCATGATCACCAACATCACAATCACCACCATGATTACCACCACCACAACCATTGCTACCATCACTACTGCCATCATTACCATCACTACTACCACTGCCATCACCATCACCATTACTATGACAACCATCACTATCATCACCACCGTCACCACCACCACAACCATTGCTACCATCACTACTGCCATCATTACCATCACTACTACCATTGCCATCACTATCATCATTACTATGACAATCATCACTATCATCACCACTGTCACCACCACCACCATCATCACCATGGCCCTGATCACCATCATTACCATCCCCACAATCACTAGCCTCAGCACAGGCACCAGCACCCCCACTATGATCATCACCATCACCACCACCATCACCACCCTCATCAACACCATCATCACTACCACTATCACCACCATCATCACCACCACCATCACTACCATCACCAGGATGACTGTCACCATCATTATCACTGCCATCATTACCACCATAATCATCACCATCTATCACTACCACTATTGTTATCACCATCATTACCACCATTGCCACCGTCATCATAACCACTACCACTATCAGCATATCACATCACAACCACTACAATGACTACCACCGTCACCACCAAAATCACCACTACTACTATCCTGATCAACATCCACATCACCATCTGCTACCACTGTTGAGTCCTAATTAGGGAAAAGGAGTCAGGCTGGCAGGAGCAGGGGAAAGCAGAAAGAAAAAGCAGATAAGCTCTAAGTCTGCCTTTCTTCATGGTCCAGGACATGTAGCCCTCCTGAGCCCAACTTCTCACCAGACACCTGCAAGTTAGCTCACAGCAACCTTGGCATTATCGGTACTGCACAAAGCCCTCTTCAGCACACAGTACAAGCACCATCCTGTAAAATCCCCAGCAAGCCTTTGTCTCCTTGCAGTCAACTCCTCTGTATTAGTCTGTTCTCAAACTGCTATAAAGAAATACCCAAGACTGGGTAATTTATAAAGGAAAGAGGTGTGCCAGGCGCAGTGGCTCATGCCTGTAAACCCAGCACTTTGGGAGGCCGAGGCGGGTGGATCATGAGGTCAGGAGATCGACATCATCCTGGCTAACACGGTGAAACCCCGTCTCTACTAAAAATATAGAAAATTAGCCAGGCGTGGTGACACGTGCCTGTAGTCCCAGCTACTCAAGAGGCTGAGGCAGGAGAATCACTTGAACCCGGGAGGTGGAGGTTGCAGTGAGCTGAGATTGCACCACTGCACTCCAGCCTGGGTGACAGAGCGAGACTCTGTCTCAAAAAGAAAAAAAAAGAAAGAGAAAGAGATGTAATTGACTCACAGTTCCACATGGCTGAGGAGGCCTAGGAAACTTACAATCATGGTAGAAGGGGAAGCAGGCACCTTCTTCACAAGGCAGCAGGAGAGAGCCAAGTGAATGAAGGAGGAACTTCCAAATACTTCTAAAATCACAAGATCTTGGAGAACTCACTCACTATGATGAGAATAGCATGGGGGAAACCGCCCCATGATCCAGTCACCTCCCACCAGGTATCTCCCTCAACACCTGGGGATTACAATTCAAAATGAGATTTGGGTGGGGACACAAAGCCTAACCATATCATCCTCTCTTCCTGGTCTGCCCATTGCACTCTTGCAGCGTCTTTTCATACTTTCTCTAATATGTCTGCCTTTCTTTACCTACAGTTGTCTTGGTAAAGTCTTCTTACTGCCCTCGTGATGCCGGTCTCAGATAGTCACTGCTCACCCGAGACAACTACCATCTTCAATTCCATCATCATCCACCATCATCGTCATCACCCTCCTATTCTCCCTCCTCATCTTTCTCAGTCATCACCATCACCACCTTCATCATCCTTCAACAACACCATCTTGTCCTCCTACATGACCAGTACGAAAGGACCTTATAGGTTTATTTTCCCCTGGGGACCAGTTGTCATGTGGAAGATCCCTGCTCTCTGGGGTTTCTGAATCGAAGGCCAGCACTGCTGCTGGCGATAGGCACGGGGATGATGGGATCCTAAAGTCTTTCCTTCCCTACCACTCCTGCTGAGACCCCTGAGCTCTGGCCCAGATGACTGCAATTCCCCATGGGCCGTGTTTGCCTCTGTGCCCTGCCCTGTCAGTTTCCTTGGCCTGGAATGTGCTTCCCCTCATAACCTCCATGGTGGACTCAAGAGTCAGCCCTCCCAGGAAGGGTTTCGACTCCAAGTCTGGGTTGAAAGCCCTTTCTCAGGAGCCAAGGCACCTGCGGTTCACTTGTCTTGTCACTTGTCTGTCTGCCCCACTAGAGGGTGAGCTCCTTGCGGGCAGGGCTGGGTTTCCTTCAGCTTTCTATCCCTGGCACAGTGCCTGGCTCAGAGGAGGAGCTCAAAAAATATTTGTTGAACAAATGAATGCTTGTTAAATAAATGTGTATGAAATGTTGCAAATCATGAATCAGAGAGCTTTTGGCAGAGAAGAAGAGACAGAAAGTCTCTATACTCACCAGGGTGGAGCCAAGGACGGCGAGAAGTGGGAAGCTAACTGTGGAGGGGAATGGGGTTGGGGGCTTGATAAGGCTTCCCTTGGGAGGGGAGGTCTGACTCAGATACACTCTGTCAGCCAAGGAGTCCTCTCAGTCCACAGCCTCTGGGGTGGGGTGTTAGGGGGAAGTGGGGTCAGGGGTCAACTGCCCACCAGGCTGGCACTCTCCCCTGGGACCCCCAGCCTGGGCGAGGGAGGGGGAAGCGGGTCAGGCCCCTCCCTGCCTAGTGCACAGTGGCCTCCACTCGACCCCTTTAAGACAGCCTGGGCGGCTTCCCTTTGCTTGTTGAAACTGTTCAGTTTTCGGACAGGACAGGGGAGGGGGGCGGGGGGGAGGTCACACCTGTTGTGGAACTTGAGAGAAGGCTTATTTATAAATGTTCAGGGCTCGGGATTCTTGCGGAGCTGATGTCCGGAGGGGAAGGTCACCAAAATGCTTGTTTATAGAAGCAACAGCAACTGGGAACACCATAAACGGGCTAAACGATGAAATTAACAAGCCATCTGAGGCGGGGCATGGCGGGGCACAGCCAGGCCTCCGTTGGCCAGGGCGCTGCTGCTGGGCAGAGCCCCAGACCTGCCTCCAAGCCAGGGCCCTCCCAGGCCCCAGCCACCCTGCCTGCCCCCAAAACACCGGCCCAGCTCAAGTGCCACCCCCACCCCACGCCAGCCCTTGCCCCGTCCTCACCCAGGGGCATGTGGTTCACACAGCAGCTCCTCCAAGGCACAGTCCTCGCTGTGCCACCCCAGCAAGAGCTGGTTCTTCACCACCCCCAAGGTGGGCATTTCTGCAGGGGCCCTCACTGCCACCCAAATCCCCCCAAATGTACCAGGATGGTGCCTAATTGGGAGTGTACTTTTTTATGGCTCTTGAAGGCCAGACTTGGGCCTCCAGCCTGCCTGGGAGTGGGCCCAGAGCCCCGTGGAAGTGTCAGAGAGAGGGCATTTCCCCCTGCTCACCCCCTCCTGGGACTCTCTGTCCGATTCCCAGTTTCAGGAAAGCTGTATTTTCCTTGGGTGACTGATGGCTGAACAGGTGGCTTCTGGGTTAGAGAGTGTCAAGTGAACAGCGGCAAGGAGAAGTGGCCCTGCCATGGCTCACTTTCGCTGCCTGCCTGGCCCTGGGCTGCTGACAGCTCCCTGGCCTCCCCTGCTGAGGGCGTGTGTCTGGCCGCCCCCCACCAGACACCACCCCGGCCCTGCAGCCCACTAGCCGGGGCTGTCTGCACGCAGAGTCCTGACAGCTGAGGGGGAAACTGGGCCCTGCCCTCTTCCACACGCCACACCCGTGATCACAGACACACGAGCGTAGTCACATGAGGAGACCACTCGTGTTCCTCATGGAAAGCGCCTGCCCCCAACTTTCCAATTTTCCATCGAATTCACCGAATGACCCTGAGCCTAGCAGTGTGTCTTGTGCACCGACGGTCCCAGAGCCGACACGCACGGACACGCCGGGCTCCACCTGCCTCCACCTCCTGCGTTCTGGTCCCCCCCTCTGCGTTCTGCAGAGGCCCCTGGCCAGGCACCCCACTTCTTGGCTTCAGTATCCCTCTGTGTGTCTCTGTCTCTGAGAGACTCTCTCATCATCTCTCTCTCCCTCCCGTTCTCTCCTTTCTCTTGCTCTCTGTCTCTGTCTCTCCATCTTTTGTTAGATAAATTGCTACCTCTTTTTGTCTCTCTCTCTTTCTCTCCATCTGCTTCCTGCCTTGGTGTCTACCTCTTTCTGTCTCTCGCCTCCCTGACTCTCTTCCTCTCTCTCCGGCTCTGTCTCTGTCACAGACATCCCCCCCGCCCCCACCCCCAGCACATGGCCTCCGTAACTGGAAGTCCCATCCTCTGGCATCAGCGTCATCGGATCTATTTTCTCCCTCAGCCACACTGCTCAGAATTTCTGAGAGGAGCTACTGGCTTCAGCCTGGCCCTCACTGTGGGCCTGGTGGGTGGAGCGGGCAGCTCCCTGGGGCCATGAAGGACCCACACCCGGGGACACAGGCTGGACCGGCTCAGAGACTTTCTGGCATGAGCCAGAGCCGGCTGCCAACCTCTTGGCTCTCCTTGGCACTGGGGCCAGTGAGGCCACGCATTTGAGATCTGGGTGACCTGGTTCCCAGTGGGCCACAGCAGTGGGACCAGGGCCGCAGGAGGAGGCATCACCAAAGTTTCTTCATCGGCCACTTCCTTGGCCACTATCATTCACTCTCCAGGAGGACGCGACCCTCTCAAAACCTGCTTAAAACGCTGGGTTCTGGCTCCCTGGTCAAGGGGAAGGGAAGTAACCCTGATAAGACCCTTAGAAGGAACAGCCAAGCTGCCCCAGGGACCCTTTAGCTGCCAGGCGGTGGTGGGCCTCAGGTGCCTTGCGTGGCCTGGTGGAGACCAAGAGGGAAGTGCCTGGGAGGGGACACTGGGGACAGCGGCCTGGAAAGCACCGTCCTTTCCACACCCATGCCCAGAGGGCGTCCTGGCTCCCCATCAGCCCTGAATCCACAGGGAGGTAGGAAAGGTCCATGCCAGTGACACAACGGGCATGGGGCCCTAGGGAGGGCAGGGCAGGTGAGTGACAGGTGTCATTCCTGAGGTCCAAGACAGAGGGAACATGGGTCCAGGAGACCACCCCTGCCTGAATTCTGATCCACATGCCCTCACCCCCCACTTTTCTGCATGGATGTCAATCAATCACTCCTTCAGTGGGAAAATATGTATTGAGCACCTACTATGTGCCAGGCCTTTTCCAGGCACTATGATAAACCCACAGTCTGGAGAGGGGGCAGACAATAAGCAAGAAAACAAATATCTCATCACAAGCTGGAATTAGTGAAGGAAGCAGGAGCATGTTGCAGGGCGAAGGGAGAGGGAAAGGGAGAAGGAGCCTCCTCTGATGGGAGGTGGCAGAAGACCTCCGAGGAAGGAACATTGGTGCCTCAAGACCCTCTCTCCATCTTGGAAGCACCTCCCTTCCAGGTAGGAAGTCAGGAGTCCCACACCCCAGCTCATCACAGATTGTGGGCAGACCCACCTTAGTTCAATAGTCATAAAAACTTCAGCCATCACTTAACTCGTTGAAGACCTATCTATGCTAAGTGCTCTGCAACTTGCTTCTGTGTTTTATCTCTTTTAAAGCGTAGAACAACCTAGAGGCAGGTACGAGTAAAAAAAGACTTTTGCCCAGGCATGGTGGTTCACGCCTGTAATCCCAGCACTTTGGGAGGTTGAGGTGGTTGGATCACCTGAGGTCAGGAGTTCGAGACCAGCCTGACCAACACGGTGAAACCCCATCTCCACTAAAAATACAAAAGCTAACTGGGAGTGGTGTCGGGCGCCTGTAATCCCAGCTACTTGGGAGGCTGAGGCAGGAGAACTGCTTGAACCCGTGAGGTGGAGGTTGCAGTGGGCCAAGATCGTACCATTGCACTCCAGCCTGGGTGACAGAGCAAGACTTTGTCTCAAAAAAAAAAAAAAAAAAGAAAAAAGACTTTTGGCCAGGCACAGTGGCTCATGCCTGTGATCCCAGCACTTTGAGAGACTGAGGTGGGTGAATCGCTTGAGTCCAGGAGTTCGAGACTAGCATGGGCAACATGGTGAAACCCTGTCTCTACAAAAATTTCAAAAAAAAAAAAAAAGACATGATGGTGCTCCTCTGTGCTCTTAGCTACTTGGAGGCTGAGGTGGGACGATTGCTTGAGCCCAGGACGGGGAGGTTGCAGTGAGTGGAGATCACGCCACTGCACTCCAGCCCGGGCAACAGAGCAAGACCTTGTCAAAAAAAAAACAAAAACTTTTAAAGATGAGGAAACTGAGGCTCAGAGAGGTTCAGTAGCTTGTTTGATGCTACACAGGTTGTAGGAGGCAGGACCAGGATTTGAGTGCCCAGTGCAACATCCATGTGCCCCAGTTCTCCTTCTCTTTGAGAGCCATCTCTGGTCCCAGAAAAGAGGGGAGCAGCCTGCACTCTGGGGTGGGACAGGAGGAGTTGGAGGAAGAAAGGGGTTTTTCAGGCCCTTTCCAGGGCATCTGTCTCCAGTAAAGCCCCCTAGACTGGGACTCCCAGCCTCTCTCATCTTCTCTACTACGGACTGCGGAGCACACAAGCCCTCAATGCCCCCATCTGGCTTGCAACACCAGTCCCCCAAACCCAGCCCACACTCCCCCACCCTCAGGTACTCTAGGTACTGAGATAGGCCCCATCCCAGGCCCCCTGTTGCCATTGTCTTCTCCAGACAACCATTAGCATATGTGCAATGCAATTACCCTTCAGCTCTCCTGGCCCGGGGCTGACACGGAGGTCCCCATCCCCAGTGATTTGGGGGGAAGGGGGGTTATTACAACTCACAAAACCTTAAATTAAGAATGAATAAGAGAAACGTTGCATGCCACTTCTGAAAGGCTGCCAGCCCAGGCTGGGGTGGGTGACGGGTGTATTATACTCTGCGCCGACGGAGGAGCTGATGGATGTGCCCGTAGTGGGGAGGACGGAATAGCAGCTGATACCTGTCCGCTCCAGGCCCAGCGCTTTTCCAAAGCGGCTGGGTGTGGAGAGTTCATCCCCAGCTATCCCCTTACGGCTGCAGGGTTTGCAAAAGGCAGAAGTAGGTCTTGAGCTAGACTTGGGTGGGGAAGGGTAGGTGTGATCAGAGAGCCTCCCTGGAATAGTCAAAACAGAGCTTGCAGGTTGCAGAGGAGTAAACCCTTCAACCCCCAGGTACAGAGCAAGGGGGCAGAGGTCCAGGTCGAGAGACCAGTGTGTGCCGAGGTCCTGGAGTGGAGGGTCACGGCGCACGGCAGGTAAAGAGCTGGAAAGGCATGGAAGCTGACCCTGGAGGTGGAGAGGCGGGAGGAGGGTGTGACTCTGGGGAACTGGGCAGGAGTCACTCTCTGGCGAGCCTTCTTGTCCAGCGTCCGGATTCAGGATTTGGTCCTAGGAATGCCAAGAGGAGGAGTGTGCAATGTGACTGTGCTGTGTTTAAACAAGGTCCTCTGGCCACGGTGCAGGGAACAGACTGGAGTTGGCAGAGACTCTGTGGACACTCCAGGAGGCCCATGCGGTGGGCTGGGAGAGACAGTGGCAGCCTGGGTAAAGGAGATGGGGGTGAAGGAGAAAAGCAGGCAGACCAGAGAGGGTCAGTTACGGGAAGACTGATCAGTCGTGGTGATGGTGGCGGGGGAGAAGAGGTGGCGGCAGGGATGAAAGCCGGATTTGGGTCATGTGCAGCTTGGGAGATGGTGGAGCCACTTATCTAGATAAGGAAATGGAATGGGGGCACAGATTTGAGGTGCAGGAAGAGAAAAGGTTTAGGTGTGGATATGAATGTCATCACCTTCCTAAGCTATGGTTTCCTCTGTCCGTAAAGTCCGATGCCACACGTGGCTCACACAGAGCTGCGGAGCAGGCCTCTGACACTCAGTTCTGCTGTTCCCCAGTGTGAGTGTGAGTGTGCGTCCACGGGCTTCTCCTTCGACCACCATGAGTGTCAGTTTCCTCAGGGGGCAGGGCCAGTGTGAGGCTCAGAGGAGAACCAACAAGGGAAGCACGTTACAGCACGAAAACATTAGGCAAGTAAGTGCCTATGTGCACCTTCCCTGCTCACTCTGCGACCCTAAGCAAGACCCTTATCCTCTCTGGGCCTCAGTTTCCCCAGCTTGAGTCTGGAGTCACAGGCTGTCTCAAGAGGGGCCTTCTAGCTTTAATGCCCTCTGTCAGGGACAAGACCTCAGGACTCAGGCCCACGGCCAGCCCCCAGGAAAGGGGCATCCCAGCCCAGGCCTGGGGGCTCTCGGGAAGGTGTAGCCTGTCCACTGCTGCTTGGCTGAGCTGGAAGGTGCCACCCATCAGCTTGCCAGCGAGAACCTGGCTTCCTCCTCCATCAGAGCTTAGGGTTGAAGGTGGGTGTTCTGATGCCTTTCTCCTCCAAGTCCCACCCCCTGGTCTGTATCTCAGGCTATGCCCTGTGCCTCCCACAGCTCTGGGGAATCAGAGCAGGTCAGGCCAGTGTCCCCTGGCCCTGGGATCTGGTGCGGTCCTGGGCCCCTCCCACCTTGCACACATCTCTCAGGCCTGCCAGTCGGCAAGGAGCTGGGAGAAGCGGCGGCTTTGAGGTCAATGGGGATGAGGTCACAGGCAGGGGAAAGATGGGGCTGACAGCCCACCACACCCACAGGGGCAGGGTGTCAAGATGGGTCCCTCCAAAGCCCTGTGACCCTGGGATTCAGGGGAGTCGGGGGAAGGGAGGAGAGAGCAGCTCCCTTCCCCCAGCCAGGAGCCCTGTGCTGCTGCTCATATATCTGTCCCTGGATAATGTATATCCAGCTTATGGAAAATATTCATAATGCTCCTTACACCAAACTGGCCCCCTTCCATAGTGCGTGATCTAAAATTAAATCCATTTCAAATATACAGTAGATCGAGTCAAGCTAATATAAATGAAACATGATTAATAGGCAGAACACTGTCCTCCTTAGCAGGGCTGAGGAGGCAGAGCTGGGGCCACTCTAGCTCTCCCTCCCCACAGCCCCCAGCCCCCCAAGGCCTCCAAGCCCCTATCCTTATCCCAAACTCCCTTCCGTCCGCAGCTGAAATGTGGACCCTTCCTGGAATTCACCTAAATTGTGAAGGGCAAGTGTCAGGAAGCACAGCAGTTTAGAGAGCAGACGTGAGTGTCAGGACAGAGCTGAGACCTAAAGCTGGTGACCTCACCTCTCTGAGCCTCGGTGTTCTCATCTATACAATGGGACGTTAACGACCCCTGCCTAGTAGGGATGTTGTGAGTGTTAAATGCAAGAATAATGCAGGTTAAGCACAGAGGACCAGTCACCCGAGAAGGAGACCCTCATCCCCCAAGTCTGCCCCCTCTCCCCCCTCCCCAGCCCCCAGTGGGAGTGGGGATCTGTGCCCCCACTGGCCCCCTGATCAGCGGGCAGAACAAGGGCCAGCCAGAATTCCTGCCATTGCAGGGATATGCTTGGTGGGTTATTTTTAGTGCGTTGGCAAGTGACTCTGTTACTGACCAAATGTTCCCACATTGGGGACAGAATCTGCTAAGAGGGCACTTGTATGCTGAACCGAGGCAGGAGGGGGTTTGCAGCCTGTCTCGGGGGCTCCTCGTGTGTCCTTTTTGCACACACATTTGAACTCGGGCCCCGTGGCCACTGAGGGAGGGAGAGCAGGAAGAACTTGGGGGCTCTGGGAGGCATGTGCGCCGCGTCTGGCCTGTCTCCTTCCCGGCTGGGCACCTGGGCGCCTCACACGAAAGATGCTCCTTAGCGTGGAACGAGAAACAATGTCACCCTGGGAGAGTGCTCCACGTTCCCCCCTTCAGGAAAGACCCAGGCTTCCACTGGCTGAATGTGTGCACGTGTGTGTGTGTGTGTGTGTGTGTGTGCGCCTGTCTCCTCATTGCTCCCCCAGTGATGTCTTGCTGCAGGTACACGAGCCCCTCACTGTCCACCCGGGTCCCCAGCCTGATCCCTGGATCTTTCTGCTCACACCATCAAGGATGTTCTTCTGAACTCCTGGTGTACTTGCCCCGACCTGGGCACCCCACCTTTTGTGCAGGCCCACGAGAGTCGGGGGGGTGTCTGCCATCATCCATCCAACAACAGCCCTCTGCTGTTTCCTTTTCTCCCGGAGGGGTTGAAAGAGGGAGAGCCCCTCGGGGTGGGAGGGGGTGCTGTTGGCTTTTTCCCTGTCATTGGCCATTTGCTGCCTGCTTCACCAGACGTGTTTTGAGCATGTTTGCATAAAGTGGATGCAGGCTGCAATTCCGTGATGAATTCTATGAATACTAATCTGCTACTACCCTTGACCTTGGGGTCACCGAAAGATCAAAACCAAACCATTTAATATTTTCCTTTTGCAGATCAATAGAAGCATAAATTCCCCCTCAATGACAAGTATAATTTCAAACAGATCTATAGAACGCATGCATGCATTTCCAGCCAGGGACACTCACTGCCTGCTTTGCCTTTTGGGGAGCAGACGAGGAGTTTCTTGCCTTTTCTACCATTGAATTTCTTTTTGCCTTTTTTTATGGCACTGAAATGCTATTTTCAGCAGCTGCTGTCATATAAATATCTCTTGTTTTTCTTCTCCTCTTTCCCTCCTGGTGAAAAGGGCAGGGGACCTATTGAAAATTCCGCTTTATCTCTTTCAGTCGGGTTCAAGTACAGGTCGAATAATCGATCCCTCCTCCTTTTCTCTTTTAAGTTTCCTGTCGTTCTTTTGGCCAGATCAGCAGCGGAGAGAAATCAGGAGGGCAGCTCGCTTTATGGAGATCTTCTCAGAGTGTCTATATTGCTGTATTTGTGTGCGTGTTTGCGTGTGCGCGTGTGGGATCTGCAGTTGTGTGTGTGTGTGTGTGTGTGTGTGTACCTTTGTGCACCTGACGATAAACACTTGCTCCAGTTCAAACTCTCGCCCAGAACTCGAGGAGAGAGAAAACAGAAAATCACCAAAGAGAAAAAGTTAAGGGCTGGAGCGGGCATTGTTAACCCTTGCAGAGCTTCCAGACAGAGCTGGGGTGGGGCTGGGAACATCTCCTAGCTGGACCTGCTGTCCTTCCTCTGAGAACCACGTTCACCTCTGTGTGCATCTCCCCTAAGCTCCTGAGTCTTTTCTTGAATACAGCTCCAAGAAGGGAAAAAAAGATGCAAAAAGAAGAGAGAGAGAGAAAAAAACAAAATAGGAGGCAGAGTGGGGGGAAAGCAAAAGAAAAGAGAAAAGAGAATTAAACCATTAATCTGCCTGGATTTTCCACTTCATAGAGTAATCAGTTTGGAAGAGACTGAAATAAAGTGGAATGTATGATTGCCATCACCTCCTCCCTCCAGTCCCCATTTCTTATTTACAGAAACACAAGGAGCTAGGAAGGCGTCCCCTCTGCCCTACACAAAGGCCCCCAGTGTCCGCTCCAGGAGGGGACAAGGACCCCAGCCCTCAGCCAGAGCTGCCCGCTGCCTCAACACCCATGTGGCATCCTCTCTGAGCTGGAGGTGCAAAGCCAAGATGATTTAATTTATCGAAAGGACAAGGATGTCGTGTAGCAGATTTAATCATCGGAGAGTTTAAAAAAAAAATAAGGACCGGGCTAATGTCGTAATTTACATTTCAGGATAATAAAGAGAGAAAGACAGAAAAGGAAGGGGCCTGTAGCCTGCAAGGGGAGCAGGGAGGGGAGAAGGACCAGGGGGCCGAGGGAGCCCAATAGATTTGCCTGAAACACCAATAAATTTAAAAACAAACCCAGAAAGCTAAAGACAGCCCCTGGAAAGTGCTGGGAAAATGGACCATCGATTTTAGACTTGATCTGCATTTCGTATTTTAATAATGCTCTCTCTGTCTTTCCTTTTCTCTCTCTCCCTCTCTCCCTCTCTCTCTCTTTTGCAAAATATAAAAGCTGATCTGATAAATATTAATTTGAACCATCATAATGTATTTGAAAATTCCAGCTAAAATGTCACCACATGGAACATTAATGTAATATTTCAAGGCCCTGAGAGCAATACTCATATTGATTGCATTTATTTCACTCTAGGGAGGAGAGATAATTCTTCAATGTGGGACACATCTGGGAGCCAAGGAGGCAGAGGCTGAGGGGAGAAATGCGAAATTATATATGGTCATAAAAAATACAAAACAGAAAATCCTCCCCAAAACTCTCTCCTCACCCATGGTGCCCCGCACCCAAACTTGCCATTTTCATTTCCCAGAGTAGCCTGGGGCCCGCGGGAAAGGCAGAAGCCCAGGGCCCTCCGGGACCGCGGTTGCGGGATTGAGAGCGGAGCAGCCTCTCCCAGGGCCCCACTGTGTAAGCCTGCCTTGGCCAGGACAGACAGACAGACAGACAGACAGACAGACAGACAGACAGAGGGGCTGCCCACTGGAGCCTCCAGCTCGCTGGGTGAAAGTTTGTGAATGCCCAAGAGCTGTGAGGTCCTGGGAATGGGGAGAGAAGAAGGAAAGGAGGGGAGGGGAGAGAAGAGAGGAGAGGAGACAGCTGAGAGAAAAAGGAAAGAAAGAAAAGAAGAGGAAAGATACCAGGACCCAAGGGAGAGGAGGGGAGAGGAAAGGAGAGAGGCAAGCAGGAGTGAGGGAGAGAGAGGGGAGAGGAACGGAACAAGGAGAGAGAGAGTGAGAAGGAGAGAGGGGACATGAATCAGGAGAGAAGGAGGAAGGAAGAGTGAGCCGGGAGGGGAGAGGACAGGAGAGGCGGAGGCGGGGTGGGGGGCTCGGGCTGGGCCGTCTGGAGTCCCAGCTCCTCTCACTGTCATTAAGGATATTGATGTGCTCAGGCGTCAATGAGTCTTTGTACAAGTGAAAGGAAATCCGATGCTTGTGACCCTGAGCCCACGCCCTCCACCTGCCCCCCAACCTGCCCCCCCACCTGCCCCCCCACCAGCCCCGGCCCTGGAGCTGAGGGCTGGGAGGCCGAGGGACCAAGCCCCCCACCAGGGGCTGAGCTGCTCAGACTCCAGGATCCCAAGTTTCCCCAGCCCAGCGCCCCGTGCAGGAGTGGGGAGGGGGGGCACCTTGAACCTGACCCTTCTGATGTCCAGTGCCCAGGGCCCCAGAGCTTACTGGCTGCTGTAACCAGAAGAAGGCTGGGCAGGAACCCCATCTCAGGGCCTCAGCCCGCAGCAGGGTCTCCCCAAGACCCTCCTCCTTGCTTCTCAGGATGTGTGTAGGTTTTGGGGTGCTGACTTTTACAGCACCTTTAGAAGGCCAGGGGCCGGGCAGAGAGAAACTCCAGTGGCCCAGGGACTGGCCAAGGTCAGGCCCCTCTTTGCCAGTAGTGTCTCTGCACAAACGTCACCTCCCTGGCCATCCGAACAGCCCCAGCCGAGTTTTATTTTCTGCAGAGCGCTCGCCTGGAATTATCTTCCTTGTCTGTTTACATGCTTTGGATCGGCATCCCACCCCCGCAACCTTTGAATGTAAGTTTGAGAACGATGGGGCCGCGCCTACCTTGCTCCCCATCACATCCCCCGCCCCTCACGCTGAGCCAATGCTCCCTCTGCCCCAGCTGACTCGATGGAGGACGGACAGACGGACGCTGCAGCCTCCGCCCTCCGCTCGGCCAGCCCCCCGCCTGAGCCCGCTTCGAGGCCGGGTGACCCAGCCTCGCCCCCACCCCGGGACCCCTCCCAACCCCCGCCGCCCCCGCAGCCGCTCGAGGCTGCGCGCCCCCGCCTCCCCGGATCCGTCACTCGCGGAGCTGCCACAATATTGTGAAGGCTCCGCGCTCCCGCTCCGCGGCGCAGCCCGCAGCCCGCGCGGGGGCCGTGAGGGAGGCGCGGGCGGGCGGGCGCCGGCGATGAATAATGCATGACCAAGGCGCCCCCTACCGGCGGCCGCGGGCGGCGCGGGGACGGCCCCGCCGCGCCCGAACCCGGCCGGACCCAGGACCCGCACGTGTCCCTGCCCACCCGGGAGGGAGCTCCTGCCTCTATCCCCGCCTCAACCCCGACCCGGCCAGGCCCTCCTCCCCCACCCTCCACGTCAGGGGAGCAGCCTCCTACTCACGCCAAGACCGAGGAATGAGTTTGGGGAGGCGGGGGAGGCTGCACAGAGCCCAAGCCAGAGCCCCTTCTTGTGCTCCCGGGTTCGCGGTGCAGTGGGGACCAGGACCCCCCCATTCCGTCTCACCCTCACCCCAGGGCTTCTGGACCAGGACTTGCAGCCTCAGAGAAGGACAGGCTCGGAAGGACAGAGCAGAGAAGGAGATTTCATTCGTTTATAAAAATGAGTACAAACAATTTCATAAGAGTTTCCAAGTTTCTGCAGAATATTTACAACGTTGAGATATGAAGGCTTTTTTTTTTAAGTTCAAATGAAATACGGGAAAGCCCACTGTGTATAGATGGGTCTGTGTGGTTTTAGAATAAGGGTCCGGGAAGTGTCTTCCTGGGGTCTTCTTGGTGGGAGGATTGGATCTTCTTGGCTGCAGACGATCTGCTTGGGTGGTAGAGGACACGGTGGGGGGAGCGATGACCAAGAGCAGGCCCCCGCCGGGCTTGGAGTGTCCCCTAAGATGCCTGTGTTCTCTGGGGATCAGCCTGCACGCAGTCGCCTGTTCTTCAAGCCTGCCAGTCCTGCTAACAGGCAGGTAATGAGGAGAGCAGAGGCCTCTTTCAGGCAGCTGCTTTAGCTCCCAATCACGCAGGCCCCTGGGGAGCTGGGCCAGCCTCTCGGCCTCATGGCCTCTCCTCACTGAGAACAGATTCTAATGACACCCCCCTTCCATCCCCCGTGGTTCCTGCTGTGCCCTGACTCCCTGCCCAGCCTTAATAAGCCAGAAGGCAGAAACAACCATCACAGGGGCTGGGGACCCAGGGCCATTTGTTGAGCATCTGCTGAGATGCTGGCTCGTGTTGAGATCTCTCGTCCCAGCAACACTCCACACATTCAGATTGCAAGCCCCATATTACAGATGAGGAAAGCAAGGCCCAGAGAGGTGCGGCCATGGGCCAAAGATCACACAGCTGCTCAGAGATGAGCCAAGAGGCGTGGAGCTGGGCAGAGGAACTCCATCCCCCCACCCAGACGCTGCTTTGTGTCCCGGACCCCATGTCCAGGAGATCAGATTCAAACCTTGCGCTGGGCTACAAGCCCTCCCCATTGGAGCAGCAGTTGGTCTGCGTCACTAAAAATGAGTTGCAAACTCAATTGCCCTGGGCCTAGACTGGCAAGGCAAATGCATGAAGTGGGCCACACATGCAAACACGTGGTTCCCACAAGAGTTTCCCAAATCGTTTGGCTCTTAAGGAAACAACGGTTTAAGGTGATGATATCTGACAACCATTAGCAACCTTTGCCCTGGAATCTTGCTCCTTCAGGCGAGGCCTGGATTCCAGCCCCTATGTGCCTTTTGCTTGGCTCTGTTACCTTGACCAAGGAGTCTTACCTCTCTGTTCCTTCATCTGTAAACTGGAAATAAAAACTCTACCTGTGTCCCAGGGGGGTGCATGGGCCAGAAGAGAGGAGGGATGTGTAGAGTCCCGCAGGACGGCCCAAGATAATTCTGTCTGCTAAGATAATTCTTGTTAGTAAGTTGGGGGTCTCACCCCTCCTTTATTTGGGCGTGATCCCCAAAGAAAACGGTAAGAGAGAGGGGAGGCAAAATGCAGGAAGCCGTGTCACAGGCCAGTTCCTGTGTGGGTGGCCGGTCCTCAGCTCACCTGGGGACCCTGCAGAGCCTGCGGATCTCCGCTCCAGACTGTCCCAAGAGGTGTTGGGAGCGGGGAGGAGGTACTTATTTATCCACTAACTGTCATCTGTCATTGGTTGAAAGTCACAGGGGGCCAAGCTTGCTCCTATGGCCAGAGAGATGTCCTTGGGGAACTTGAGTTGGAGTGACGGGAACTGTCAGTAGAAGCTGCAGATGCCCTCTGGGTAGACCAAAGGATATGATGGGGGCCCAGTGCCCACTCGGGTGGTCTCACGCCTGCCAGCTACACTTGTCATCAGCAGTGCCCACCTTGGCTGTACAGGCTCTGGAGCCAGCATTGGGCCAGATTCAGCCCCAGCTCTCTTAAAGGGGAGGGAGGATGCTCACTTTTCCGTAGAATGCGTGAAATGAGAGCTGGGGGAGACAGGTGGGCTCCTTGCCTTTTAGGAGCCAGACACAGGAGTATTCAGTTCAGCCTGGAGGCTCAGAAGCCTTCCTGGAGGAGATGACATTTTCCCAGCAGAACTCTGAGCTGAAACTCAGTTCTCTGTGCTGGGGCCTAGAGGGACCTCACCCCCCCAACTGTCCCTTGTCACCAAAGCTGCTTCTGGCCGTGGTAACTAATGTCACACTGCTACGGCTGGAGTGGGGAGGTGTCTCTGCCTCTCCCATCATCCTGGACTCCAGGACAGCTGTCCTCCAATCCAGACTCTGTCCTGCCCCTGGTGCTCCTGGGTGCAGGGTAGACTCTTTTTCTTGAGAGGGGGTTAGGGAGGAGAGAGGGTAGTTCTGAGCCTAGGACCTGAGGGGCTACCTGAGGTTAGCCAGCAAAGTTTTCAGAACTTTAAACAAGCCTGGGGAGCTTGTTTAAAATATAGACACAGATCCCACTCAGATCTCTATGCCCAGAGCATCCAGGCAGGGATTGGAAGTTCTGCATTTTTAAAGCAAGCATCCAGGGCCTCCTCATGCAGTTGGTGGATTTGGGTTGGGGACCCATTCTCCTGCTCTGTGCTGAGCTACTAGTCATCTCTCCCCACCTCGTGGAAATCACCACCACAGACTTTCTATGGTTGTGAGCTCCTGGGGCAACCCCTCCTTGGCCATCCCTGTATAGTCCCTCCTTAAACACCCCTTCTCACTGGGAGCTAGGGCCAAGCAAAGAGGGTAGTGGGGAGGACAGAACCTCCCCAGGGATCAACCTCTGAGAGCTCCACTCTGCAAAGACCCTCCCACCTCTGTTCCCTGGAGAGCATGGGGGCTCCTCCTCCACTGAATCTATGACCTCCCATTCATTCATGTGCATGGATCAAATTTTGGAAATGCAATTAATTACCTGTTGTTGTATCTGCTTGAATTATTGTCATGTTTTCTATGCACTTTATACAACTTAATAAACAGTTGAGGAAACAAGATCTTGGTGGGACCAAGGCTCAGGAGAAGCTGAGCCCTTTCCATCATCATTCATGATCAAATCCATTCATTCTTTCTGTCGTTTGCTCATTCATTCATTCATCCAGTCAGTCATTGATTCATTCACTCAGTCCTTCATTCATTTGGATATTCATTTACTCATTCATTCATTCACTTATCCAGGGAATACTTGTTAGCATAGTCACGTGACAAGCTCCAGGACAGGTGCCAGGAAGCAGTGGTAAATAAAACGACAAGGTCCTTGCCTTAGAAGAGCTGACAATCTGGTGGAGAGACAGACAATAAATACATGCAATGGTTATAAAAAAGAGCTGGGAAAGTCAGGGAGGACTTCTTGGAGGAGGCAACATTTAAATCCACTCCCTGATTTATTCATTTCTTTATTCATCCATTTAGGCAGAGCAGACTCTGTTCCTGGAGAGGGCAAGAGATGGATGGCCCAGTGCCGAGGAGCCAAGACTCAAGGAAAGAGTCAGCCAGCAACCAAATTATTATAACGCAATGAGGAAACATGGTGGGGAGGAAGGAACCAAGACAGATGAGAGGGCAGAGGCTGGGGAAATGGCTGGGGGCGGGGGTTTCTTGGGAGGAGGCACTGAGCAGGTCTTCTGGGACCTATAGAAGGTGAGTGCTCTGAGCCTACAGAGGACAGTTCCGGGTCATGTTGCAGCCTTTTTTCTTTTCTTTTCTTTTCTTTTTTCTGAGACGGAGTCTCGATCTATTGCCCAGGCTGGAGCGCAGTGGCACAATCTTGGCTCACTGCAAGCTCCGCCTCCCGGATTCACGCCATTCTCCTATCTCAGCCTCCCGAGTAGCTGGGACTACAGGCACCTGCCACCATGCCTGGCTAATTTTTTTGTATTTTTATTAGAGACAGGGTTTCACTGTGTTAGCCAGGATGGTCTTGATCTCCTGACCTCGTGATCTGCCCTCCTCAGCCTCCCAAAGTGCTGGGATTACGGGCCTGAGCCACCGTGCCCAGCCTTTTCTTTTCTTTTTCTTTTTTTCTTTTTTTTTTTTTTTTTTGTGATGCAGAGTCTCACTCTGTCACCCAGGCTGGAATGCAATGCCGTGATCTCGGTTCACTACAGCTTCCACCTCCTGGGATCAAAAGATTCTCCTGCCTCAGCCTCCCAAGTAGCTGGGATTACAGGCATGCGCCACCACACCTGGCTAATTTTTGTATTTTTAGTAGAGACGGGGTTTCACCACGTTGACCATGGCTGGTTTTGAACTCCTGACCTCAGTTTGTCCACCCTCCTTGGCTTCCCAAAGTGCTGGGATTACAGGCATGAGCCACCACGCCCGGCCATGTACCAGCTTCTTCAAAGGGACCAGCGAGACCCTGTTATAGTGTTGGGCACAGCAGTCGTGGCATGGAAAAGGAGGAGGAGGAGGTCTGATGACTAAGGCCTCCTGGGTCCCAGTCCCCCTGAGCTGACTCTGATTCTTGGCTTGGAGTCAGAGGGGGCTTGGTAAGGCTGGGCCTTGGAGAAGAAGCAGAAGTTTATCAGTCAGAGGAGGACACTCCAAGACCAGCTCCGCCATATGCAAAGGCCTAAATGCAGGAGGGAGCTGGCACACTTGGGGAGCGGGAAAGGCCCAGCATTGTGGCAGAAGATGGTGCCTTAGGCCCCAGAGGTGGAAGATGAGGTAGCTGGATCCCAGGCAGCCATGGGGCAGCACTGAGGAGGGGCCTGAGCAAAGTCCTGAGATCAACTGGGAGCTATGGATGGTCTGCAAGCTGCGGAAGCACCTGCCAGAAGTGGGTATCTCATGTTTGTTTATAAATGTGTTTGGGGATATAACAATGAGCTAGCCATGGCCTCTGCAGTCAAATCACCAGCCATAACTCCAAGGGGAAAACAGTCAGAGCCCCAGGCCAGGGCAAGATCGGGTGGTAAGAGCCATCAGGATGACCCCTCCAGGTGGCCAGGAGTCCAGAGGAGAGGATTAGGCTTGGGAAAGAAAAATTCAAAGCCAGTAACACCCTAGTGTTTACCAGGTCCTTCCTCCTCGGCAGGGGCTTCCCATTCATCACCCCATTAATAATAGTAATCGTGGGAGCAGCCGCTGCCTAATAACTTAACACTTACTTTGTGCCAGCTTCTTTCTGTTCCAG
This sequence comes from Homo sapiens, assembly GCF_000001405.40. Classification (NCBI taxonomy): domain Eukaryota; kingdom Metazoa; phylum Chordata; class Mammalia; order Primates; family Hominidae; genus Homo; species Homo sapiens. The sequence goes on from NC_000001.11 coordinate 10,872,676, forward strand.
GTGTTTTTACCCATATTAATTGCTTTAATCTTCACAACAACCCTATGAGGTGGGTACTATGATCACTGTCCCCATTTGACAGATAAGGACATGGAGGCTCAGAAGCTGAGTGGCCTCTCCAGGGAATAAGTGGCTGAACCAGAATACTCACCGAGATCTTCCTAATTCCACGGTCCATGCTGGCTTCATTTTGCCCCACACTCCATCAAGGGAGGGGCTGGGGCAGGGGTGTGGGGCATGGGCCCAGGGTCCCTGTGAGGAGCTGCAACCTGGAGTGCTCCTGTCCCCGTCCCCTCCCCTCAGGCTGCCTCGGGCTGCGTTCCTCCTCTGCTGATTGAGGCTGGTGTTTTATGAACCCAGAACCGCAGCAAGATTCTCCTATTAATTTATTGGTATTGCTAATTAAACATCATATTCGCAAATGTAAATTTCCTAATGGCCTCCCTTCCATTTCTGAAGTTTCCTAAAAGAGCCTTCTTGTTATGGTTGTCAATTGAAACCAATTACATCTCACCAGATGGGTGGGCTGCAGCTGGCTCAGGGGTCACTGGGTCTGGAGGGGATCAGGGGCCCCTGGACGGGGTCTGGCTGGGGCCCTCTTTGACCTCAGGGGAGAATAGGAACAGGGGAACGTTGGGGAAGCGAAGTAGAGTAAGCCCAGCCCCAAGCTCTTGGGTGTCAGCCTCCTTCTTCTCGCTGATTGGGTGACAGCCTCCTTCTTCTCCCTGATTGGGTGTCAGCCTCCTTCTTCTCCCTGATTGGGTGTCAGCCTTCTTCTTCTCCCTGACATGCCCCCAGTCTGGTTGCTGGCCTGGGCCTGTGGCTGTTTGCAACGCTATGTCAAGGAGGCCAGGGCTAGGATGAGGAGGCAGCGTGGAGGAGAGAATACTAGAATGAGCAAATGTCAGTGCTTAGAGGGACCTTAGAGATTTTCCAGTCTAACCCCCCATTTGAAACATGGAGAAACTAAGGCACAGTGGAGGAAGTGACTTGCCCAGGGCTGCAGAGTCAATCACTACAGGAGCTGGGACCTAAACAGAGATCTGCTTCTGATCCCTTTGAAAATCTGATGAAGCCAGGAGCCATGGCTGATGCCTATAATCCTGGCACTTTGGGAGGCCAGGGTGGGCAGATCACTTGAGGTCAGGAGTTTGAGACCAGCCTGACCAACATGGTGAAACCCCATCTCTACTAAAAATACAAAAATTAGCCAAGCATGGTAGCCCACACCTGTAATCCCAGCTACTCAGGAGGCTGAGAGAGGAAAATCACTTGAACCTGGGAGGCGGAGGTTGCAGTGAGCCGAGATCGTGGCACTGCACTCCAGGCTGGGTGACAGAGCGAGACCCCATCTAAAAAAAAACAAAGAAAAAGAAAATTTGATGAGCTGTACCCCCTACTCCAGACAAATGTGTTCCCTGCAGGAATTGCATAATTGCAGGGGCACCACTCTACACCATGGCAGCCCCCACCCCAATTCGGTCATTGCGTGGTGTTTGAAAGCAACAGCTCTTGGATCAGGGAAAACCACTTTTGAATCCCACATGCAGCAAGTCCTCCGCGTCTTGGGACCTCAGTCTCCTCATCTGTACAGTGAGGACAACAGTCTCTCTCTCCCAGGGCTGCTTAGAGATTATTTGGCAAAGCGTGTGAGTGAGTGCTCCATCACAAGTGGCCAGTATTGGGCTGGGCCTCATGGTGTCAGAGACCAGCCTCCTAACGCAGTGGGGCGGGGAACTCTGGCCAGTCCTGGCCAGGTAGCCAGGTGGGACCCAGGGAGGTTGGGATAGGGTGAGGCCACCCAGACCTGGGACTTGGCCTCATCTTTGGAATAATGGTCACCATTTCCTCAGCACAGTGCTGAGACTGAGACATCACATGCGTGGTCTCCACAATCCTCCCCAGCCCAGTTACAGATGGGGAAGCGGAGGCCTTGGGGGTTAGTTAGTGACTTGCCTGGCCTGAGGTTCCCCAGGGGAAGGACTGTCTGACTCCAGGGTCTGAGTTGGCACCTGCTCTGTTCTGCCATTACTGAGTACCAGCTTGAGACGTGAGAGCAAATGTGGACCATCTGCCGGGAGTTCAAGCTCCCACTCTGTGGCCTCTTTGCTGGGAGACCTTGAGCATGTCAGGTCTGAGTAGTCAGGTCCCATGTGAGACACATCAGAGGGGAGTGCAGGCTGCTGCTGGCCCCCCGCCACCAGAATGCACACTGATGCCGGCATTGCCGGTTCTGCTCTGATGACAGTGGGCCCGGTGTCCCCATCCCACATCCCTAAGCCCAGCCTTCAGGGAGCAGGGCAAGAAAGGGAACCTGCTGGGTAAACTGAGTCAGAACATTGGCAAGGACTTTGACGATGCGGAAGACCTTCCCTGTGCTCTTGTCCCTGGTACATCTGGGGACGGCTGGAAGTGGAGCTGGCAGGGAAGGGGTGAGAGGTGACAGACACTACCCAGATACCAGGGAGCGTCCAGCCCATGTGCCTTTGTGGTAGCCCACGGGGAGAAGGGCCTCAGAAGATCACCTCCTCCGGCCCCGGCCCTCCAAGTAGGGTCACACATCTGAAGGACGCTCCCAGCCCCTCTTCCTCCTGCCTCAAGAAGCCTGTACTTTCCAAGTTGAAGACTTGTCCTTCAGGGACCCCCGTGGCCCACTCCGCTCGTGTGTCATTATCTTGAGGGAGCCGGTGGGTAATCAGAGTGTCCTGGTTGCTGCTTGGGAATCTGCATTAGGGAAAACTTTAAAAATACACTCTATCGTTGTTTACTATTCACAGCAATGACACGGGGCTGCTCCTCAGCCCATCGTCCTGGGCTTGCTATGTGCTGGGGCCTGAGCGGCCGCACCAAGAGCCCTGCATGGAGTCTGGGCTGGGCTTGAGGCATGGGATGAGGCCGGGGGGGTATCCAGACTTTCTCTTTGTTGTGTTTGTTTGTTTGTTTGTTTTTCTTTGAGACAGGGGCTTGCTCCAGGCTGTAGTGCGGTGGTGTTATCACGGCTCACTGCAGCCTCGATCTCCGAGACTCAAGCCATCCTCCTACCTCAGCCTCCCAAGTAGCTGGGACCACAGGCGTTCACCACCACACCCGGCTAATTTTCAAAATTTTTTGCAGGCTGGGCACGGTGGCTCACGCCTGTAATCCCAGCACTTTGGGAGGCTGAGGCGGGCAAATCGCCTGAGGTCTGGAGTTCAAGACAACACTGACCAACATGGAGAAACTCCGTCTCTACTAAAAATACAAAGTTAGCCAGGCATGGTGGTGCATGCTTATAATCCCAACTACTTGGGAGGCTGAGGCAGGAGAATCACTTGAACCCTGGAGGCGGAGGTTGCGGTAAACTGAGATTGCGCCATTGCACTCCAGCCTGGGCAACAAGAGTGAAATTCCATCTCAAAAAAAAAAAAAAAAAACTGTAGAGATGGGGTTTCTCCATGTTGCCCAGGCTGTGCCCAGACTTTAAACTTCTTTTTTATTGTGGTAACATACACAGAACATAAAATTTACCAGTGTAAACCATTTTAAAGTGTACATTTCAGTGGCATTGAGTACACTGGCAATGTTATGCAACTATCTAATTCCAGAACTTTTTCATCACCCCAAAAGGAAACCTCATACCCATTAAGCGATCACTCCCCATTTTCCCATCCCCCGCATCCCTGACAGCCACTAATCTACTTTCTGTCTCCACGGATTTGCCTATTTTGAATATTTCATATAAATGGAATCATCCGATATGCGGTCTTTCGTTTCTGGCCTCTGCCTTTCAGCTTCATGGTTTCAGGGTTCGTCCGGGTTGTGGCATGGATCCACTCCATCCCTTGTTCTGCGTGGCTGAAGAGTATTCCGTTGCATGGATGGACCACATTTTGTTTATCCAGCCTCCCACTGATGGATATTCTGGTTGTATCCTCCTCTTGGCTGTTGTGAACAGCACTGCTGTGAGGTGTCCAGATTTCGAGCATGTGGTTATCCAGGCTCCAGGCAGGGAGATGTCTAGATTCTGGTGCACAGATATCAAATAGTAGGTGTAAAGACACCCAGATATGCTGGGTATGACAATGATCAGCTTGATGCCCTCCTTAGGTAGGGGGGCTCCCATAGGCCCTTCCTCAGGTCCCAGTGCTGAGTGGGGGAATTGTTTTGTTGCCAAGGCTGGTCTCAAACTCCTGGTTTCTTTTTTTTTTTGAGACGAAGTCTCGCTCTGTCACCCAGGCTGGAGTGCAATGGTACGATCTCGGCTCCCTGCAACCTCTGCCTCCCATGTTCAAGTGATTCTCCCACCTCAGCCTCCTGAGTAGCTGGGACTACAGGTGCCTGCCACCATGCCCGGCTAATTTTTTGTATTTTTAGTAGAGGCGGGGATTCACCATGTTGGCCAGGCTGGTCTTGAACTCCTGACCTCAAAAGATCCTCCTGCCTCGGCCTCCCGAAGTGCTGGGATTACAGGTGTGAGCCACTGGGCCTGGCCAGTGAAGGCTTCTTGAGGCAGAAGGAGGAGGGGCTGGGAGTGCCCTTAGATGTGTGACCTTGCCTGGAGGGTGGGGGCTGGAGGAAGTGACCTTCTGAGGACCCTGCTCACCATGGGCTACCATAAAGGCGCAGGGCAGAACCTCTGTGCATAGATCATAGAGGACAGAACATCAGAGAGAGGCCAGGCTTTGCTGCTGTTCCATTCAAGTGCCCACCCAGGGGTGTTTTAGAGATGGGGAAACAGGCCAGGGAAAAGAAGTGACCTCGTCATAAGCGGCGGCATCACCAATGCCTCAATAGGTACCGTTGCCCGGCGCTTCCCATGTGCTTGGGAGGGTGGGCACTAGAGCATCCTTCAGCCACGCAACATAGTGAGGGGCGCTGTATTGTTATCCCCATTGTACAGATGAGATCATGAAGGCCCAGAGAAGTGAATTCGTTGCATAAAATGTAGGAGAGGAACAGATATTCTCAGCTGTCTCTAAAAGGAACCAGAGGTTTTCCTGCTAGCTATGCACCACTGTGGCCTGGGACAACTGTCCTCAAGGCCAGCACTGAGTCATCTTCTACCAGGGGGTTTTAGCACCCCTGCAACCTTCTGCTGGGATCGCCATCCCTCAGGCCACCCCCAAGCCAGAGGCCGGACAACTTGGGGAGGTGACATAGATTGTGGCAAGAGCCCAGATGAGGGTACAAATCCCTACTCTGCTCCTTAGTAACTAACTTCTTTTATGTTCCTGGGCCTCAGCTGTGCCCACCTGGCAAATGAGGAGTCTTGCCAACACCCCCTGCAGAGGGTTGCTTTAAGAGTCACTTGAGTTGATGCATCTACGATGCTTACACAGAGCGTGGCACACAGAAAGTGATCCTAGAATGTAGCTCAAGTGAACTCACGTGACCTCCACTCATGGCCTCACGCTGGCCTCCCACCAGACCCTGGGTTCAGAGGAGCTGGGTTGCCTGACAGACAGGAGACTGGGGAGCCTGGTGCCGCCCCCTGGGATCTGTAGCTACAAAGAACAGTGCTCACAGGGTCCCTGGGATAATCGGAGAGGACGCCACCTTAATTCCACCTCCATCAGACCTCCGCCAGAAGACACGACCCTTTCACCTCATCAATATTCAAGAGCTTAACAAAAAAAGCTATAACTAGGGAAGTCAGAAATAATGGAATGCAGTATTGATTATTTTATGGTGCGATTAGGGGTAATTACATCTCTCAAATTTTATTTTAATGTTACTTTCTACTACTTTTAGCCTTTTAAAATTATCCCAAACATCCCCATTTAATGGAACACCCGTGCCTTCAATTTCAATGTGAAATACTTTTTTTCTGCTAAAGTGTGACCTTAATATATTTGAAAACATAAATTACACTATGTATAAGCCATAAAAAATGAATGATGAATTTAATTCTGGTGAAGCGTGAGGGAACGGGGAGGCAGGCGGGCGGAGGCGCTGTTTATCCAGTGCGGAGGGGACAGTCAGAGGCAGGAGGGGGCAGCCAAGTCAGAAGGGGTGCCTGACCTTCAGGGGCACTGGGAACAGGGCTCAGAGCTCTGGAGGACACAGGCCAGGGAGGGATCAGAGGCTGCACCTGCCCCATCGCCCTCCCTCCCTGTTGTCAAGTGAGCTCAGGCTAGTTCCTCCCTAGGAAATGAGTTCCAAAGCATGCAAGGGGCATAGGCTAGCTTGCACCTCCCAGCCTAACTCTGCCTGTAATTGGTAGTGTGGTGTGGTTGCTAATGCATCGTGGCTCCATTTCAGGGGTTCCATTTTGCAGATGTGCAAACTAAGGCTGAAGGGACTCACCTAAAGTAGCTGGGCAAATAAGTGCTGCAGTGCTGGGAGCCGGCTGCAGACCCAGAATGTGGGACTCTCAGCCCAAGAGCTCCCGCTGTCAAAAAGAAGAGCCTGGGCTGGGCGAAGTGGCTTATGCCTGTAATCTCAGTACTTTGGGAGGCCCAGGCAGGCAGATCACTCGAGCCCAGGAGTTCAAGACCAACCTGGGCAACACGGCGAGACCTCATCTCTATTAAAAAAAAACAAAAAACAAAAATTAGCCGGGCATGCTAGAGCACGCCTGTGGTCCCAACTCCTCTAGAGGCTGAAGTGCAAGGATCAGCTGAGTCTAGGGAGGTCGAGGCTACAGTGAGCAGCGATTGCACCACTGCAATCAGCCTGGGCAACAGAGTGAGACTGTCTCAAAAAACAAAACAGGCTGGATGCAGTAGCTCACGCCTGTAATCCCAGCACTTTGGGAGGCCGAGGTTGGTGGATCATGAGGTTAGGAGTTCGAGACCAGCCTGGCCAACATGGTGAAACCCTGTCTCTGCTTAAAAATATATATATACAAAAATTAGCTGGGTGTGGTGGTGCACGCCTGTAATCCCAGCTACTTAGGAGGCTGAGGCAGGAGAATCGCTTGAACCCAGGAGGTGGAGGTTGCAGTGAGCTGAGATCGTGCCATTGCATTCCAGCTTCGGCAACAGAGCGAGACTCCACCTCAAACAAACAAACAAACAAACAAACAAAAACAAGAGCCTGTTGTAACTACCTGTGTCACAAGTGGACGTGACCGTGCCCTTGCGGACATCAGGGCAGCAAGCAGAGTAGTTAGGAACACGGACTCTGGGGACATGGAGCCCTGGGTTTGAAACCTGGCCACCTTCTAGGAGTGCCAGGAGGACTCTCTAGCACTGTAAAGCCCTGAGCAGGTTGTATTGGTTTCTCCCTGGCTTGCCGCACCCCTTGCCCGGGGTGTGTGTTGGGGGTGAGGTTGGGGGTTGAGGTCCCCGGGATGTTGGTTTACATAATGTGGCTGAGACCTTTTCTGAGCCCTCAGGACATGGCCTCCATACCTTCTGGCCTTCCCTGATTTCTGCCCTCTCCTCCTTTTCTTTTCCTCTCAGGTGACTGGCAGCTCATTATTGGGGACACTGCTGCCCCTTGGCATCATGAGCCCTGGAAGGGCAGGAGCCACATCTCCTTGTTCATTGCGGCGCCTCCAGCACCTGAGCATCATAGGAGCTGGAGAATATGATGTAAGTGAAACGCGCTCTGCAACCGTGACCTCGAAGCGGCTCATTCCAATGGTCTCAGCCTCTCAGCAGCCTTTGTGGCTGAGGGCCTCTCCCTCCTCCTAGATGCTCTCTTATCTTGGTTTCCTAGACTGCAGGCTCCTGCCTTTCCTCTGACTCCCCTGGCTGCTCCTTTTTGCCTCCTTTGCTGCCCTTCTTCCCCTTCTTCACCTTGGAGAGCTCATCCTGGGGGCCTCTCCTCTACTGTACTCACCCACAGGGTGACCATCCATCCTGCTCATAATAGCTTTTTTTTTTTTTTGAGACAGGGTCTCACTTTGTCACCCAGGCTGGAGTGCAGTGGCATGATCATGGCTCACTGTAGCCTCCACCTCCCGGGCTAAAGCGATCCCCCTGTTTCAGCCTCCTGAGTGGCTGGGACCACAAGCATGTACCACCACACCCGGCTAATGTTTTAATTTTTTGTAGAGACAGGGTGTTGCCATGTTGCCCCAGCTGGTCTTGAACTCCTGGAGTCAAGTGATCCTCCCACCTTGGCCTCCCAAAGTGCTGGGATTACAAGTGTGAGCCACCACACTCAGCCCTGCTATAGCTTTAACCACCATCTAGGCCAGTTGCTGTGCAATAAAAACAGAATGCAAACCTCCACGCAATTTAAAATTTTTTTGGTAGTCACATTTTTGAAAAGAGAAATGAATTCAAATACTCTGACCGAGTACAATATATCCAAAATATTATCGTTTCAACTTGTGATCAATATATAAAATCACTAAGGAGCCATTTTGCTTTTTTTCATCCTAAGCCTTTGAAATCTGACTTGTATTTTACATCTGACGGCACATCTCAATCAGTCTAGCGGCAGTTCAAGAGCTTGGTAACCACCCGTGGCTGGCAGCTGCTGTATTGAGCGGCAACAGAATCTATCTTGACCATTCTATTGGCGTCATCTTCAGCCCAGCTCCGTCTTCTCAGATCTGGAGGCACGTGTACTCACTCCTACTCCGCATCTCCTCTTGGCAGTCTAATAGGCATCTCAGACGCCAACCTCCAAAGCTGAGCTCCTGATCTTTCCTCCACCACCCACCCCCCCATCCAATTTCCATGATTGCTGCTCTAGATTCAAAATACACCCAGAGGCTGTGCACGGTGGCTCATGCCTGTAATCCCAGCACCTTGGGAGGCCCAGGCGGGTGGATCTCCTGAGGTCAGGAGTTCAAGACCAGCCTGGCCAACATGGTGAAACCCTGTCTCCACTAAAAATACAAAAGTTAGCTCAGAGTGGTGACAGGTGCCTGTAATTCCAGCTACGCAGGAGGCTGACGCAGGAGAATCACTTGAACCCGGGAAGTGGAGGTTGCAGTGAGCCAGGATTGCCCCATTGCATTCCAGCCTGGGCGACAAGAGTGAAACTCTGACTCAAACAAACAAACAAACAAAAAACCCAAAATACATGCAGAATGCGACCACTTCCCACCTCCTCCACTGCTGCCGCTATGGCCCACGCCACCAACACCTCCCCTCTGGATACCTGCAATCGCCTCCTCCCTGGTCTCTCCACGTCCACTCTTGCCCTTGCCCCTATAATCTGTGCTCCACCCAGATCCCAGAGTGGTCCAGTTAAAGTCTAAACTGATTGCTGCACTGGGCACCGGTGAGGTGGGTCACGCCTGTAAACCACCTTACAGGCCGAGATGGGTGGATCACTTGAGGCCAAGAGTTCGAGACCAGCCTGGCCAACATGGTGAAAACACCCAACCCCTCCACTCCATCTGTACTAAACTACAAAAATTAGCCAGGCATGGTGGTGAGGGCCTGTAATCCCAGGTATTCAGGTGGCTGAGATACCAGAATTGCTTGAACCCAGGAGGCAAAGGTTGCAGTGAGCTGAGATTGCACCATTGCACTCCAGTGTGGGCGACAGAGGTAAGCCTGCCTCAAAATAAATAAATAAATAGGCTCCTGTCACACCTCTGCTCACAACCCTCCAATACCTTCCATGTCCCTTAGCATGAAAGTTCAAGTCCACATATTAGAGCTTAAAAAATAGTAGCCCAGAAAAACAGACGTGTTCCTGCCTCCGGGCCTTTGCACTGTCTGTTCTGGCCTTTCCCACAGCTATCTACAAGGTCTTCCTTATAAACATTGCCATTTCTCTCCCCACATTCCTGCCCCCTCTTTTATTTCTCTCTGCAGCACTCATAACTTTCTAATATATTACATCATTTATGTATTTGTTGTTGTTGATGATTTTTATGGGAGACTCACTACCGCCCCACTCCATGAGGTCAGAGTTTTTTAAATTTTTTAATTTTTATTTATTTATTTATTTTGAGACAGAGTCTCGCTCTGTCGCCAGGCTGGAGTGCGGTGGCGCGGTCTTGGCTCACTGCAACCTCTGACTCCCAGGTTCCAACGATTCTCCTGCCTCAGCCTCCAGAGTAGCTGAGATTACGGGCATGTGCCACCACACCCAGCTAATTTTTGTATTTTTAGTAGAGACGGGGTTTCACCATTTTGGCCAGGATGGTCTTGATCTCCTGACGTCGTGATCCACCCGCCTTGGCTTCCCAAAGTGCTGGGATTACAGGCATGAGCCACAGCGCCTGGCAAGGTCAGAAATTTTTTATGCTTTTGTCTGTTTCATTCGCTGTCCCACCCCAGTGTCCACATGGATGATGCTTGGCAGATGTTATGCGTTCAAACATACATGATGGACAAATGAAAAAATCAGTCCCCTGTAAATGGATAGCCATTTGGACCAAGACCATTTATGAAATTCTGCTTATTTGAAATGTCACCTTTATCATAAACTAATCTTTCATGTAAACATGGACTAGTTCCCATCCATTGATCAATTTATCTAATCTCATTCTAATACTGCACTGTTTGGATTATTATGAGTCTACAGTGTTTTGCCAACTGTTAGGGCTCTTCTCCTTCAAAAAATTGTTTTCAATATTATTATGTATTTTCTTCTCTCTTTTTTTTTTTTTTTTTTGACACTGAGTGTCTCAGTGGTTCGATCTTAGCTCACCACAACCTCTGCCTCCCGGGTTCAAGCAATTCTCATGCCTCAGCCTCCTGAGTAGCTGGGATTACAGGCACCCACCACCATATCTGGCTAATTTTTGTATTTTTAGTAGAGACGGGGTTTCGCTGTGTTGGCCAGGCTGGTCTCAAACTCCTGACCTCAGCTGATCTGCCACCCTCGGCCTTCCAAAGTGTTGGGATTACAGGCGTGAGCCACCTCACCCAGCCCCTCTTCTCTTTTTTTTTTTTTTTGAGAGAGGGTCTCACTTTGTTGCTCAGGCTGGAGTGCAGTGGCAGGATCACAGCTCACTGCAACCTCCCAGGCTCAAGCAATCCTCCCACCTCAGCCTCCCAAGTAGCTTGGTCTACAGGTGTGCACCACCACATCTGGCTAATTTTTTATTTTATTTATTTATTTATTTATTATTATTTGGTAGAAATGAGGTCTCACTATGTTGTTGCCCAGGCTGGTCTTGAAATCCTGAGCTCAAGCTATCCTCTCGCCTCGGCTTCCCAAAATGCTAGGATTATAGGCATGAGCCACTGTGCCCGGCCCATTTCCTTTTTTTATATGAACTCTACAAATGAACTATCATGTTTGATAAACATTTATGTTGGAAACTTCATTGAGATTACATTCCATTTATTAAGAAGACTTATTTCAATATTGTCATCTCATCTAAAATATATCTCTCCATTTCTTTTTTGTCGTTGTTGTTTAAGGCCAGCTTACATTCTGTCCCTGTAATAAATCCTTTAATTCATTTAATTTTTTTAGAGATGGAATCTCACTGTGTTGCCCAGGCTGGAGTGGCTATTCATGGGCATGATCATCACACACTGCAGCCTCAAACTTTGGGCTCAAGAGATCCTCCTGCTCCCGAGTAGCTGGAACTATACATGTGTGTCACCACATCTGGCTCTCCATTTCATTTTTTTTAAAAGAAATGTTTTATATAATGTTTTATAAAAACATTAGAGGAAAATATTTTCACAAACTCGGGCAGGAAAAACAAGACACAATCCAGGAGCCAGGAGGAAAAAAAGTGTTACATTCTTTTATGACGTCAATATTTAACATTTCTATGTGACAAAACACCAGCAGCAGGCTATGAGAAAAATGATTTGTACCTAGAATATAGAAAAACATTAGGAAATGGACTAAAGACATAAACACATTTCACAGAAGATAAAATGAAAATGGCAAATAAGCATATGAAAAATAATTCACATTTATTAGTAATCAGATGAATGAAAGTTAAAACAATGGCATCATTTTGTTTTTGCCTGACAAATTGGAAAAAATAATAAGATCTATTAATATCTAGTATTGGTAAAAATGCAATGAAACGGGCACTATCATACAATGCTGGTGAAGGGCTACACGAGTTAACTTTTGGAGAACAATTTGTTTGTTTGTTTGTTTTTTCTATTTTTATTTTTTTGAGACAGAATCTGCTCTGTCGCCCAGGCTGGAGTGCAGTGGTACCATCTTGGCTCACTGCAACCTCCGCCTCCCAAGTTCAAGCAATTCTCATGCCTCAGCCTCCCAAGTAGCTGGGATTACAGGTGTGCACCACCATGTCCGGCTAATTTTTCTATTTTTAATAGGGACCAGGTTTCACCATGTTGGCCAGGCTGGTCTCGAACTCCTGACCACAGGTGATCTGCCCACCTCAACCTCCCAAAGTGCTAGGATTACAGGCATGAGCCACCAAGCCTAGCTTGATTTTTTATTTTTTTATTCTTTTGGAGACAGGGTCTCATTCTGTCATCCAGGCTGAAATGCAGTGACGTGATCTTGGCTTACTGCAGCCTCAACCTCCCGGGCTCAAGCCATCCTCCTGCCTCAGCCTCCTAAGTAACTGGGACTACAGGTGCGTGTCATTACGCCTAGCTAATTTTTTTTTTCTGTAGAGATGGGGTTTGGCCATGTTGCTCAGGCTGATCCTGAACTCCTGAGCTCAAGCAATCTGCCCTCCTTGGCCTCCTAAAGTGCTAGGATTGCAGGTGTGAGCCACCGCGCCTGGCCAGAACAATTTGTTAATATCCATTGAATTTAAACATTTGACCCGGGAATTCCACTTCTAGGGCTCTCTTTTCCAGAAAGACTTGTTTGGGTGGGCAAAGATGTATGTAAGGATGTTTGTTACTTTGCCTTTTTGTAATAGAAAATATGTTTAAAAAACCATAAATGTCTATCAATCAGAGATAGGATAAATACGTATAGCATTGCCACACCGAGGAACCCTGAACAGCTACTAAAAATAGTGAGGTAGATCTATGAAAATCTGTAAATATCATGGAAAGATCTGCAAAACATGCTGTCAAGGGCAAAGAAGCAAGTCAGAACAACACATGTGGTGTGATGTCATTTATATAAAAGATAATTGCCGGGCGCCATGGCTGATGCCTGTAATCCCAGCACTTTGGGAGGCTGAGGCGGGTGGATCACGAGGTCAGGAGATCGAGACCATCCTGACTAACACGGTGAAACTCCATCTCTACTACATATACAAAAAATTAGCCGGGCATGGTGGCGGGCACCTGTAGTCCCAACTACTTGGGAGGTTGGGGCAGGAGAATGGCGTGAACCCAGAAGGCGGAGCTTGCAGTGAGCCGAGATCACGTCACTGCACCACTCCAGCCTGGGCAACCGAACGAGACTCCGTCTCAAAAAAAAAAAAAAAAAAAAAAAAAAAAAAAAAAAGATAATGAAGATATTTGAAAAAGGGCAAAGGATTTGAACAAACATTTCTCCAAATAAGCTATACAAACATCCAATAAATGAGAGAAAAAATGCTCACCACCATCAGCCACCAGGGAAATGCAAATCAAAATAACTAAAAAGTACCACTTCACACCCACTAGAATGGCTATAAGCAAAAAGACAGATAATAGGAAGTGTTGGCAATGGTGTGGAGAAATAGGAACCTTTATACACTGCTGGTGGGGTTGTAACCTGGTACAACCACAAAACAGTCTGGCAGTTCTGCAAAATGCTAAACATGGAGTTACCGTATGACCCAACAATTCTACTCCTAGGTATATACTCAAAATAAATGAAAAAGTTTTGCTGACCAGACGTGGTAGCTCATGCCTGTAATCCCAGCACTTTGGGAGGCCGAGGCAGGTGGATTGCTTGAGGCCAGGAGTTCAAGACCATCCTGGCCAACATAGTAAAACCCCATCTCTACTAAAAATACAAAAATTAGCTGGGTATGGTGGCATGTGCCTGTAACCCCAGCTACTGGGAGGCTGAGGTATGAGAATCACTTGAACCTGGGAGGTGGAGGTGGCAGAGAGCCGAGATGGCACCACTGCACTCCAGCCTGGGTGACAGAGTGAGACTCTGTCTCAAAAAAAAAAAAAAAAAAAATTGCCCACACAAAAACTGACACAAGAATGTTCACAGCAGCATTATTCATAATAGCCGGAAATGGAAACCAAATGTCCATTAACCTACGAATGAGTAAGTAAAATGTGGTATATCCATACAATGGGTTATTATTTGACAACGTAAAGGAATGAAATATTGACAATCCATGCTGTGACATGGGCAAACCTTGAAAATATTATACTTCAGTGAAAAAGCAATACACAGTGATGTATGATTGTCTGTTTCCATTTATATGAAATATCCAGAATAAGCAAATCCAAAGACAGGAAATAGACTGGTGCTTTTCTAGGACTGGATACTGAGAGGGAATGAGGAGTGACAGCTGTGGTCACAGGGCTTCTTTTAGGAGTGATGGAAATGTTCTAAAATTGGTGAGGCGATGGCTGCACAATTCTGCATATACTAAAAATCATTCAATTTCGCACTTAATTATTATTTTTGAGACAGGGTTTCATTCTCTTGCCTAGGCTAGGGTGCAGTGGTGTGATCATAGCTCACTGCAGCCTCCAACTCTTGGCCTCAAGCGATCCTCCCATCTCAGCTTCCCAAGTAGCTGGGATTACAGGCGCACACCATGACACCCAGCTAACTTCTGCATTTTCCGTAGAGACTGAGTCTTGCTATGTTGTCCAGGCTGGTCTTGAACTCCTGACCTCAAATGATCCTCCTGCCTCAGCCTCCCAAAGTGCTGGGATTACAGGCATGAGTCACTGCACCCAGCTGAATTTTACACTTTAAATTAGGTGAACTGTATGGTATGTAAATTATATCCCAATAAAGCTATTTTTAAAAAAGATAATTAAGATGTTTGCACGTGATGCTTTCCCACTGGTTAATCACAGCTGAGGGAGTGGACTCTCACCCACAGTCCAAGTACCCCTGAATGGATCTCCTTTAAAATCCGTGGTGAACAATCTACGATGAACAAAATCTTAAAAGTTTAAATATCAGGATCAGTATTCTGATTTTTCCTTTGCTCCAGGCTCCAATATGTCTCAGCTAGGCAGTTACTGATCTTGTCTGTATTTAAAATTTTGATATGTTGTTCACCACAAAAATTTTTGCATTAATTTTGCTTTTAAAAAGTATTCCATTAGGGCCGGGTGCAGTGGCTCACAGCTGTAATCCCAACACTTGGGGAGGCTGAGGCGGACGGATCACTTGAGTGCAGGAGTTCGAGACCAGCCTGGACAACATAGTGAAACCCTGTCTCTACTAAAAATACAAAAATTAGCCAGGGGCTGGGCGCGGTGGCTCATGCCTATAATCCCAGCACTTTGGGAGGCCCAGGCGGGTGGATTATTTGAGGTCAGGAGTTCTAGACCAGTCTGGCCAACATGGTGAAACCCCATCTCTACTAAAAATACAAAAAATTAGCTGGCGTTGTGGCACGCCCCTGTAGTCCCAGCTACTTGGGAGGCTGAGGTATGAGAATCACTTGAAGGCAGGAGGCAGAGGTTGCAGTGATCCGAGATGGCGTCACTGCACTTCAGCCTGGACGACAGAGTGAGACTCCATCTCAAAAAAAAAAAAAAAAAAAAAAAATTAGCCGGGCATAGTGGTGCAAGCCTATTATAAATTCCAGCTACTCGGGAGGCTGAGGTGGGAGGATCGCTTCAGCCCAGGAGATCGAGGCTGCAGTGAGCCTGGGCGACAGAGTGAGACCTTGTCTAAAATAAATAAATAAATAAATAAATAAATTGCACGAAAGTATTATTTATCTTGATTTCTGAGGGGTTTTTGGCGCCCCCTGAAGTTTTGCACTCAAGTGCCTCATTCGCGCCCTACCCAGGTCCCCGCCCAGGATCACAGGATTTGTGACCCTGGCCTTGGCCTTGTCCCTAAAACCGTCACCCGGGTCTCCCAGGCGAGAGGGGCGGGAGGCTCCAGACGCCCAGAGCCCACAGCTTCCCGCCCGGGGCGGCTGAGCGGTCCCGGGGAGAGCCCTGGAGAGAGACAGAGAAGGGGAGGCGTGGAGCGGGGCCCCCACAGCAGAAGAGGGGCAGGAGGGAGGCGAGAGGGGGCCGGAGTCTGGCCCGAGACAGAAGGGGCGGAGGGGCGCGGGGTGGACGCGGCCCGGGGGTCCCAGACGGGGCGCCCCTCCCCACCCGGCCCGCCCTGCCCCACCCCCCGGCGCGGGAGGCCCCTGCTCCGCAGTCGGCGGCGCCCGGGGGAGGGGGCGCTGTGGGGGCTCCCGGCCGCCCGCCGCCTGATGCGTATCGATCGCAGCCCGGGGTCGACGCGGGGGCACCAGCTGCCGGCGGGCGGGGCGACCGCACATTAGCGCGGCCGGGACCACTCCCCGGAACGCGGGCCGGGCAGCCCATTAGACGCCCCCGGGCGGCCGGGCGACCACTGCACGGGCGGGGCGAGGCTGGCTCCAAGCAGGCGGCCCCTGGGCGGCCGGGGCGGGCGGGCTGCGGGCGCAGCAGGGGGTGCCAGGCCTGGCTCGACGGGCGAGGCTGCAGGCCCCTCCGAATCCCCGGCACGCCCGCCCCGGCTGGCTGGCTCCCTCCGTTTCCCGAACTGCGCTCCAGCCTCCAGACCTTTGCCCGCGCTCTGCCCCCTGCCAGGGACGCTCCCCTGCCATCGCTCCTCACCAAGCCTAACCCCGCTCGTTTTCTGGCTCCCTGCTTATTAGTGGGTTCCTTGAGGAGATTGTCCTGACACCTCTGATCCAGCCGCTGGCCTTGCACTTCTTCAACCGACCCCATGAAAGCATCTAGCTCCCCGGTACCGAAGGCATAAACACAAAAGCAGCAGGAGGCAAAACCAGCACAGCTCACAGGCGCTTCTGACAGGGAGCTCCCAGTCCGATTCCCTCTTCTGATCCCTGAGAGCAGGAGAGTATTGGGCAGAATTGGGGATGAATTAGAATCTACCACTTAACAGCTGCCCGACCTTGGGCAAGTGACTTAGCTTCTCTGGGCCTCGTTCCCACATCTGCAGCTTCATCGAGGCCTGGTGGGAAAAGGTCCATGTGGATCCTAATTCCTGCCCCCAGCGGGAGACTCCCAGAAATCAGTACCCAAGCTGGGGAGGGGACTGGAAACCCCATAAGGAGAGGTGGGCTCTGCACGCACTGTGGAATCTCCAGCGGGGTGTGGGGCAGACGGGAAACAGGCCATCCTCAGGCGCTGCTAGGGGCCTAGAATGGGGAAACTCCACACAGGCAACCTGGCAATCTAATGGGAGATGGCATCTCCCATCTAAGGCCAGCACCTCCCGCTGGGCCCCGGACTCATCCCTCTCACTGCCTGGGGACAGCGCTCCAACTCCATTTCAAGCGACAGGAGCTGTCTCTGTCTTGGGCTCATCAGCCTCATTTCTCCCTTAACCCCACCTCCCCTCCACTACCATCCTATTCTCAGACTCAGAGAGCTCCGGTTCCTCTCCTCCCATCCTCTGTGTCACTAACTGCTCTAATCTAGGGTCCAGGTAGCAAAGCCCAGTCATCAGCTCGCAGCCATTGTTCTACGAGTCCCATCAGTGCACTGGACCCAGTGGTCCCTACGCCCTCCTGAACGTTCCTTATTTGGCTGTTCCTCCCCGTTTTCTTCAGCTGCTCCTTCCAGTCTCCTCTGCAGCTTCCTCTTCCTCGTCCTCACCATAAACACCCAAGCATCCTCTGACTCTTCTCCACGTGCCCCCTCCCTCCGAGATCCCCTGCGTGCCTCTACTCTTTAAACACCAAGCGTATGCCGACAATTTCTAAACTTCTATCTGTGGCTCAGTTCTCTCCCCAGAGCCCCCCGCATGTCCATAGCCTGTCTGCTCCACATCTGCACTTGGAGAAGAGGCGGAGCTGCCTCTGCTCATACAGCCCTTAGCCAGCTAGGAGAAAGTGACTTTCTAAGGCAAAAGAAACTTTCTTTAAAACTTGGCACTGCACATGATTCCATCCAACGGCGGGAAGGCTGGATGGGAGGAGGCAAAGCGCACCCGCTTGCTCCAGGCCTGGCCAGGCAGCCCAGACTGGTCCTTGCGAAGGGAGGGGGAGGGGCACTGGCTCTGGGGTTTAATCAGTAGCATCCAGCTTCAGTTCTTCTCAACAGCAATTCCATAAATCAAACTTCTTGTTAAATCTGTGGCCAGAGCATATGCATCCCGTTAGAAGCAGTGCCGGGGCTGGGGCATGGTAGTGCCCCCACAGTCACCCCCTTAGCTTGGCCTGGGTTGGCTCGGAAGCAGCTTTCCTGGGGGCAGCATCCCAGGCCAGGCACACACTCCTGCTCACCCACACCAGGCACTAAGGCAACAGTCACACTCTGACCACTCCCCCCACCACCCCTGCCCTGTAATGCAGGCTTAACAGGTTTAGACTTGGGTGGAGGTGGAAATTGGGCATCCCAAAGAGGCTGTGAGCAAGAGGAGCAGCCTCAGGGGCCGCTCTGAGTGTGACTGCAATAGAACACTGTCCTTACCTGTGTGCAGGACCTGGAAGGTAGACAGGTCTATGATCAAAATGAAACCCCCTCGGTTATGCTGCCCTGGTATCATGTACAACCTGTGCAACCTTAACTGACAGTCCTGCTAATAGGTGCCTGTATTAGTCAAGATAAGATAAATTATGCTGTTGTGACAAACAACATTAAAATCTCAGTGTCTTAGAACAACAAAGGCTTATTTCTTTCTGATGATACACGTCCAGGGCAGGTAGGCAGGGGGCTTTCCTTCATGAGTCACTCAGTAACCCAGGTTAATGGAGGTTCCACCTCAGTGCCTCCTCCTTAGGCAGCCTCAGGACAGAACCGTCGGAGTTGGAGGTGATTAAATGCCCTGACCCAGAAATCACACATATGATTCCCACCCACAACTCTCTGGCCAGAGCTAGTCTCATGGCCACATCTAACTTCAATGTGGCAAGATGTACCATCCTCCTATGCACCCAACAGAGAACAGGGTACCAAGCTCTCAGTGATATCTGCCTCAGCACCCCAAACATAACATGTTCCAACCAAATTCCTCCCAGGCTTCCCAGCTGTGCTAATGGCATCTCCCCTTCTCCAAGGCTTGGGAGTCCTGGATTCCTCTCTTTTAAAAATATCCCACAGCCAGCCGGGCACGGTGGCTCATGCCTGTAATCCCAGCATTTTGGGAGGCAGAGGCGGGTGGATCACCTGAGGTCAGGAGTTCAAGACCAGCCTGGCCAGCATGGTGAAACCCCGTCTCTACTAAAAATGCAAAAAAAAAAAAAAAAAAATAGCTGGGCGTGGTGGCACATGCCTGTGGTCCCAGCTGCTTGGGAGGCCGAGGAAGGAGAATTGCTTGAACCCGGGAGGCAGAGGTTGCAGTGAGCTGAGATTTGCCACACTCCAGCCTGGGAGACAAGAGTGAAATTCCATCTCAAAAAAAAAAAAAAAAAAAAATATATATATATCCCACAGCCAGGTGATTTGCAAACCCTGTCAACTGTATTTTCAAAATTCATCCAGAAGGAAACCACTTCTTTCCAGCCCACACTACCCGCCTGGGCCGAGCCACCATCATCCTGGACTGTCACAGCAGCCTCCGAGATTCTACCTTTGCCCTCTATGGAAAGTCTCCACTCAGCAGCCAGAGGGATCTTGTTAGACATAAGCCAGATCACATCGCCGCTCTGCTTCAAACCCTCCATGGCTCCCACTGGCACCAGAGAAAAGCCGAAGTCATCACATTGGCCCTCAGAGCCTTGCCATCTGCATCTCCTCCATTATCTCTCTGATCTCACTTCCTCCCACCTCACTTCTCACTCTACTCCAGCCCCACTGGCCTCCTTGCTGCTCCTGGGACAGTCAGGCCACTCTGCCCCAGGGCCTTTGCACTTGCAGGTGCCTCTGCCTGGAGTGCTTTCCTTTCAGATCTCAAAAGGGCTCTCTCCTTCACCTTCCTCAAGACTTGGCATGAATATCTCTTTCTTGGGGATATTCCCTGACCTTCCTATTTGAAATTGCATGCCCACTCCTATACTCTCTTTCTCTTTCTTTCTTTCTTTTTCTTTTTCTTTCTTTCTTTCTCTCTCTCTCTTTCTTTCTCTCTCTCGCTCCCTCCCTCCCTCTCTTTCCTTCTTTCTTTCTTTCTCTCTCTCTCCCTCCGTCCCTCCCCCTCTGTCTCTTTCATTCTTTCTCTCTCCCTCCCTCCCCCCTTCTTTCTTTCTTCCTTCCTTCCTTTCTCCCTCCCTCCCTTCCTCCTTTCTTTCTCTTTCTTTTTCTTTCTTTCTCCTCTCTCCCTCCCTCCCTTTCCTTCCTTCTTCTTTCTTTCTCTTTCTTTTTCTTTCTTTCTCTTTCTTTCTTTCTTTTTTTCTTCCTTCCTTCCTTCCTTCCTTTCTCCCTCCTTCCTTCCTTCTTTCCCTCCCTCCCTCCCTCCCTCCCTCCCTCCTTTCTTTCTTTCTTTCTCTTCCTTCTTTTCTCTCTTTTTTATTTTTTGAGACAGAGTCTCACTCTGTCTCCCAGGCTGGAGTGCAGTGGCACAATCTCAGCTCACTGCAACCCCCGTCTCCCAGGTTCCAGCGATTCTCACGCCTCAGCCTCCAGAGTAGCTGGGATTACAGGCATGCACTATCACACCTGGCTAATTTTTTGTATTTTTAGTAGAGATGGGGTTTCACCATGTTAGCCAGGTTGGTCTTGAACTTCTGACGTCAGGTGATCTGCTTGCCTTGGCCTCCCAAAGTGCTGGGATTACAGGCACGAGTGGCCACACCCAGTCCCCTCTACCTGCAGTAGCATTTTTTTTTTTTTTGGCCAGGAGACTTGCCACCTTTTAACAATGTTAAGATTATACTTACTGTGTTTACTGTCTGTTGCCCCAACTAGAATGTAGGGCAGAGATTTTTATCTGTTTGGTTCACTGCTATTTACCTATCATTTGTATATGTATATATACATATGGCGTAGTGGCTAAGAGCTCAGACTCTGGAACCAGACTGCTGGTTCAAGAACCAGCTTTGCTACTTTCTGTGTGATTTGGGGCAATTCACTTGACTTCTCTGACTCTCAGTTTGCTCATCTGTACAATGGGAATAAGCCAGGCACAGTGGCTCACACTTGTAATCCCAGCACATTGGGAGGCTGAGGCGAGCAGATCACTTGAGGTCAGGAGTTTGAAACCAGCCTGGCCAACATGGTGTAACCCCATCTGTACTAAAAATACAAAAATTAGCTGGGTGTGGTGGCAGGCGCCTGTAATCCCAGCTACTCGGGAGGCTGAGGCAGGAAAATCGCTTAAGCCTGGGAGGTGGAGGTTGCAGTGAGCTGAGATTGTGCCACTGCACTCCAGCCTGGGAGACAGAGTGAGACATTGTATCAAAAAAAAAAAAGAATGGTACCTACCACAGGAGTTGTAAATTTCAACAAGCTAATACATATAAACTGCCTGTATAGTACCTGGCATAGACATGCTTGGTATATGTTGGCAATTACTATTTTAAAACTTTGAACCTATAATTCTACTTCTATTCACTTATAATAAAGAAATGGTCAGAGATTGTTCTGATTATGGGCAAAGATTTACATACAGTAGTTTCCTCATGGTGTTTTTTGTTTTTGTTTCTTGGTTCGGGGATTGTTTGTTTGTTTGTTTGTTTTTTTGAGACGGAGTTTCACTCTTGTTGCCCAGGCTGGAGTGCAATGGCGTGATCTCGGGTCACCACAACCTCTGCCTCCCGGGATCAAGTGATTCTCCCGCCTCAGCCTCCCAAGTAGCTGGGATTACAGACATGCGCCACCATGCTCGGCTAATTTTGTATTTTTAGTAGAGATGGAGTTTCTCCATGTTGGTTAGGCTGGTCTCGAACTCCCGACTTCGGGTGATCCACCCGTCTGGGCCTCCCAAAGTGCTGGGATTACAGGCATGAGCCACCACGCCCGGCCTCATGGTGTTTTTTCAATAGAAAAAGTTGAAAGCAATTAAATTTCTGAGAAAGTGGGATTGCTTGAATAAAATAAGGTACACCCATTGAAGGAACACTAGGCAGCCATCAAAATTCAAGTTCTCAAAGAATATTTATTTATTTATTATTTTTATTTTATTTTGAGACAGGATCTCACCCTGTCACCCAGGCTGGAGTGCAGTGGTGTGAACACAGCTCACTGTAGCCTCAACCTCCCTGGGCTCAGCTGATCCTCCCACCTCAGCTTCCCAAGTAGCTGGGACTACAGGTATACGCCAACACGCCCAGCTAATTCTTGTATATTTATTTTGATAGAGGCAGAGTTTCACTATGTTGCCCAAGCTGGTCTCAAACTCCTGGGCTCAAGCGATCCTCCCCCCTCCGCCTTCCAAAGTGCTGGGATTGCAGGCGTGAGCCACCACCTGAAATCCCAGCACTTTGGGAGTGGATATCTGTTTGTTTTAGTATTATTCTTTAAACTGTACATATACTCTTTTGCATGTATTAAGTAAATCATAAAATGCAGGAAAAAGGTAGGATATGAAACTATATGATCCTTATGACTTTATATTGATCCTTAAAAAATAAAAAATAAAAAACTGTATGATCCTAATTCAGATTTACTTATTTCTATGCACTCCCCTAACCCCTACATATTCACAGAAAAAAAGAGTGGGTGATGAGATATTGAAGGATTGGAACATTTTTTTCTATTTCTTATTATATTTTCCATATTTCTCACAACAAACATGGAAACTGCAATGCTTTAGTAATCAGGGAAAGGGGAATTTTTAAGGATTTAGTTCAGCATTTTCCAAACGCTATTTCCACAGCACGTTATTATAATAATAGGTGGCCAAAAGCAAGATTCTGAGGGATCGGGGAAGTTTGACAACGGTCAGGTAAAGAGAACATAAGCGGCCCGGCACGGTGGCTCACGCCTGTAATCCCAGCACTTTGGGAGGCCGAGGCGGGTGGATCACTTGAGGTCAGGAGTTCAAGATCAGCCTGACCAACATGGTGAAACCCTGTCTCTACTAAAAATACAAAATAAGCCGGGCGTGGTGGTGAGCGCCTCTAATCCCAGCTACTTAGGAGGCTGAGACGGGAGAATCACTTGAATCCCGGAGGTGGAGGTTGCAGTGAGCTGAGATCGCACCATTGCACTCCAGCCTCGGCAACAAGGGCGAAACTTCGTCTCAAAAAAAAAAAAAAAAAAAAGAGAGAGAGAGAATATAAGTATGAGTACAAAAACTAAGGTGGCGGGAGGCATGGCAGGACAGGACTTAGGAAGTTTCTTTTGCTCTTTGACCCAGTATTGATTGAAGGAGTGCAGCCGAAACTGTAACCAAACGAGGCCTGATGCTTCCAGAGTAGTATTGCAAGCAACAGTAGCAGCTTTAAAGGGAAGGTAGAGAGATTCAACTAGTTAGAGTGAAAGCTGGAGATCAAGTTATTCTCCCAGAATATGGAGGCACTAAAGTTGTTCTAGACAACAAGGATTCTTTCTTTTCTTGTCTTTGTTTTTTTGTTTGGTGTTTGTTTTTGTTTTTTTGGGTTTTTTTGAGACAGGGTCTCACTCTGTCGCCCAGGCTGGAGTGCAGTAATGAAATCTCGACTCACTGCAACCTCTGCCTCCTGGGTTCAAGCAATTCTCCTGCCTAAACCTCCTGAGTAGCTGGGAGTACAGGCATGCGCCACCACGCCCAGCTAATTTTTGTATTTTCAGTAGAAACAGGGTTTCACCACGTTGGCCAGGCTGGTCTCAAACTCCTGGGCTCAAGTGATCCACGCTCCTCGGCCTCCCAAAGTGCTGGGATAACAGGCGTGAGCCACGGTGCTCAGCTGTCTTTTTTTCATTTTTATTTTTTTAAGATTTTCTTTATATTCCTGAATTTATAAAGCAGTAATTATTATAGGAAGAAGAAACTTCCGTATCCAGCCCATATTGTCAACCAAGAGGTTAGGTGAGTTTTTGCTTTAAGGTTTTAGATGAAGAGATGCTTAGGGCGAGGTATGTGGAAAGGGTTGCAGAGCTTCCATGCCCTCTCTAGGCATGCCACCCACCAGCAACCTCCACTTACTCAGAGATCCGGAAACCAATAAGAACTATTTCTTATCTAGAGATGATGACATTCTTAGGATGTATGTGGACTGAAATTAATCGCTTATTGAAATGGCATCATATGAAACTGCCACTCCACTGCAGTTCTGAAAGTTACACCATGTAAATAATTTGTATGTCTCTTCTATAAGAAACTAATAATATCTAAACCAAAAAAGACAGAGACCAAGCAGTTTCACCTCCACAGGCCTTCTCAGAGCCTTTACAGTCGCACCTATCATGGCTCAGTCAACAGCGTTTCCTGGATGTGGCGGGAAAGGAAACAGAGCAGCTCGTGGTGAATCCTGGGTACCCAGTGGGGCTGGGGGTGCTTGGATGCCATCTGTACTGGTGGGCCTCTGAGGGCTGCTGGGGTCTCTCCAGGTTTCCCCAGACAGAATCTGGAATGCGGGCCTGCATCAGTCTCTTTGGGTCCCCTCTGCAAGCCTCTGCCCACCTGGGGTGTCCTTCCTCTGCACTGACCCCCACCCAACCCTCCCCGGCAGCCTGAGCCTCCCTCACTCTCTTGAGCTCCAGTGGCATTGACTGAGCTTGGGTTGGGTGGTTACTGGTGCCCCTCATCATGATTTCATTATGGTATTTGGATGTTTTTCTGCATGACTAGGGGGGTATTCTGTCCTCCCAGCTGACTTGCAAGGTCCCTGGAGGCGAGGCTGGTTGTGGGGACTTCCCCTGGGTCTCATGTAGCACTGGGCGCAGCCTGGACACACTGCAGACACACCACAAGCATTTCACTGGGAAACCCACCCCCACGACCCCCTTCAAGCTGCCCTCTGCTCCTGGAGGCTGCCTCCCTCCCTTCACCCAAGTCAAGACACCCAGCTTCCCCAAACTTTCCCAGGGTCCCGCCCCCAAATTCCTGCTTGCCTCCTCCTCCTCCCTCATGAAGAACACCTGCCATCCCTTCCTCCAAGAAGTCCTCCATGATTCTCAATCCAGGCGGAAGTCATCCCCTTCTCGGGCAATGCTAGAAAAAGCTGCTTCCCCACCCCCCACGCCTCCACCACCACTACACACGCACCTGTGCCAGGCCCAAAAGCTTGGGGAAAAATGTGACAAACGGAGAGGGCTCTGGCCTGTTTTTCCGGAGCATCCTGAATCCAGGTGACCTCTTGGGACTTGCTCACTGCTGCCAACTCACCCAGGGTCTGAATCATTTTCTCTTCTTGGGTTTCAGTTTGCCTGTCTCTCCAATAGGAACAGGAGACAAGAAAACCCTCCTTCCCTGTTGTTGAAGGTGTCGCTGTCTTTGTGTCCACTGCTGGGGCAGCCGCATGGAGCGGGGTTTGCTTGGAGTCCACTCATATTAGCGCGTTTCCAGGACACCATGGCCCTGTGTGAGGTGCTCATGTTTGTGGGTATGAGGCCTTGAGGACCTGACCCTGAGACCTGTGAATCCTGGCGAGTGTGTGTGTGTGTGTGTGTGTGTGTGTCTGTCTGTCTGTCTTTGGGCATATGTACCCATGACTCTCGAATGGCTCAGAGCTCCCTCCTTCCCCCTCAGGTCCCGAGGGAGTTCGGCAGGCCTGGCCGTAGGGCAGGAGTCCCAGGCAGACTGGGGCCAGCTCAGCCCAGGATACAGCCTCTCCCTGCCCTTCCGCATCCCCAGCCCAGCTGCAGAATTCAGACTAAGTGAGGGAGGACTCATGTTCCCTGGGGTGAGCCACACCAGCCACATCCTCTAACGGGGTGACCAGGAGTCCCAGGGGTCAGAGGGCCCCCTCAAGGGCTGTCAGACCCCAGGGCCCTGGACCTGCTGTAGGAAAGCCCCATAAGGCCCTCCCTGCCCTCCCACAGCAGGCACAGCGGGGAACACCTCACACCCTGCCCAGAGGGACCTGGCCTTGACTCACAGCCACAAGCAAATGGAGTGAGGATCCCCTGGCGCCCCGGCTCCCCGCCCCCACCCTTGGGGCTGCTCTTCCCGCAAAATCAATCATCCTGCCACTGTTTGCGGGAAGTGGGGGCCGGCAGGAGGCCTCGCAGGGCCCTGGCTCCCTTGCAGGGTGACAGCTCTTGAGTGCTGCCCCGGCTCACTGGTGATGCTGGGGGCCTGGCAAAGCACTACCGAGAGAATCCCATCCTGACCTCTGGACCCCTTCCCAGCTGGCCAACCAGGCCCAGGGCTGAGAGGGCGGGGTGGTGGGAGTTACCCCGGGGCTACTGCCAAGGGTGCAGCAGACAGGGCCTTGGAGACAGAGGAGCCCCCCAGAGGCCAGGGTGGAAGGAAGTAGCAGGAGGGCGTGTGGAAGTAGCTTGAGCTGTGTTAAGTGTCTCTTCCATCTCTTCCACAGGATGTATGACCTGATTCATTCATTCGTGGGTTCAGGGGGAGGTGACCAAAGACTTCACAGTCCTCCAGGAGCTGGAATGTTATGATGCAGGGGTCTTGACTGGCGGTGGGGGTGGGCCAGGGTGATGAGCAAGGGTCCCAAAGACTTCCTCCCTCAATTGGCCTCGGCTGCCTGGATTCCACCATAGAGAGCCATTGCCTGACCCCAGGGAGGCGGCCCTCCCGCTCTCCTTCTGTCCACATGAACATGCCCCATGGCTGGGGAACAGACCAGGAGCTGCCAGGTCTCTGGTACCCTCTGCTGCCACCATGACTCTTCGTAAAAACAATAATTGAAGCCTCACACTCAAAGAAGGCTTTAGGACATAGAAAATACCCTGTAGGGGGCCGGGCGCGGTGGCTCATACCTGTAATCCCAGCACTTTGGGAGGCTGAGGGGGCGGATCACTTGAGGTCAGGACTTTGAGATGAGACTTGCCAACATGGTGAAACCCTGTCTCTACTAAAAATACAAAAATTAGCCATGCGCGATGGCACACGCCTGTAATCACAGCTACTCAGGAGGCTGAGGTAGGAGAATCCCCTGAATCCGGGAGGCAGAGGTTGCAGTGAACTGAGATCGCATCACTGCACTCCGGTCTGGGTGACAAGAGCAAGACTGTCTCAAAGAGAGAGAGAGAGAAAGGGAGGAAGGGAGGGAGGAAGGAAGAAAGGAAGGAAGGAAGGAAGGGTCCTGTGGGGGGTCAGTGGGGGAGCAGATGTAATGATTTTCACCCCATTTTGCAGATGAGGAAACTGAGTCTTGGAGAAGTCGGGCTGCCTGAATGAATGAGCAAATGGCAACACGTTGGGGCAGTTAGAGCGCAGGGAGGAGGAGGAGGAAGAGGAGGCGCTGGGTGTGTGATGGGGATGTGGGGGTGCTGAAGTTGGGGGCAGGAGAACATCTCCCAGTTGATGTGTTCTCGTGGGAAGAGCACTGCACTGGGAGTCCTGCGGCCTGGTAGAGCCCTGGCTCCTGTACTGACACGTTGAGCAAGCCCTGCCTCTTCCCTGGGCCTCCACCTCCCCCTCTGTAAAATGGAGTTAATAGCCCTGCCCTGCCCCGTGGGGATGTTGCAGGGAGCAAACCAGTGCTACTGGATGGGAAAGGGCTTTGGAAACCGCAGGGAACTGCCAGCGCACCAGAGTCATCTGCCCACGTCTGCCTCCCGGCCTCGCAGTCCTGGGGGAGGCAGCCCAGCTGGATCTCGGGGTCTAGAGCGTGGACCTTTGCCCAACTTTGGAGTTCCAGAGCCTAACCTCTCTGGGCTCCACTGGGCTCAGCAGCCTCCCCTCCAGGCTGTGAGCTCAGGGGACCTGGAGAGGCAGCCCGAGATCCACCCAGAGCCTCCTCCACCTTCCCCAGTACCTGGGACGGGGGTGTGTGTGGCGGGGATGGCAGGCCGGGCTGCCAATGTGAGTATTAGCTGGCATGAAATAATTTGATGGTGGTGATAAAGGCTGGGCTGCCCGGGGCCCCAGAGCCCCACCCAGCTCCCCCCGCCCACAATTCCGCCCCCTGCCAATAACATCGAGGCTGAGCTGTCTGGGTTCCGGCTCACCATTCTCAGGTGATGAAATCCCGGCTCAATCAGGCTGGCTAGCGCTGCAGTTACCAAATCGCTATAATTGAGATTAATTTGGGGGCTGATTGGGTCAGCCCTTGCAGGCACCCATTAATTAGTAGGGGAGGCTCAAAGCCCCAACAGCTGGGCCCTGCACCCAGTGGAGCCTGAGGCCACTGTGGAGGGGGGCACTGAGAGATGCCCAGGTAGGTGTGTGTTCCAGAGGAGGGGGCAAGCTGGACAGAGCCTCACCCACCCCATGCCACTCCCGCCTCCTACCCAGTCCTAAGCTCGCTCCCACGCGCAGGAGGGGAGGGGACAGCAGAGCCTTTGACTCAGGCCCAGAGGCAGCTCTGGGTCTCTAAGGGTTAAAGGGCTCATTACAAGGGTGGGGAGAGGTGGAGAGGGTGCTCAGGGCTCCTTGGACTTCAAACAGCTCTTGCAAAACTTCTAGATGAGTTAAGTGCAAATGAATTTGAAACAGACAATGAAGTTCCCTTTAGAGACACCTGGGCAGAAAAATGAAGGGAAAAGCGCCTTAGGGAGAGCTCGTTTGTGGATTTTTTTTTCCTGAACCCAAAACACACAGGGAAAAACAAACCCACCCGTCTACTCGTCTACTCCGGGTGCCAGAGGCGGGCAGGCACGCCCTGACTCAGTGCTGGGCTGGCAGCAAGTTGGGCACACACGTGAGGCCCGGGCACACGCTGGGGAGTGGGGGGCAGCGGCACAGACGTGTGTGCAGAGCCGGAAGTTCCGGGCACACAAGTGTGGAAGTGGCACTGGTCCTGGAAAGGAGCGGAGCCCCTAGGCATGGGAGGATGAGGCGGCAGGGAGAGGGCATACGTGTGTGGGTAGCTGGAAGGAGGCCAGATGAGGGTGAGGGGGCAGGGCCCATTTGGGGTGAGGGGCAGAGCTCAGGCCCCGCCCCCCAGGGGCCCTGGCACCCTGGTCACGTGAGTGCTCCTGACCCCGGGGTGGGGCCCTCCCAATTGCCAGGTGGGTGAGGTGTCAGAGTGGGGGCCTCTGGGCCTGCCTGTCCCTCCCCACTCACCCGACTTGCTCCGGTTAATTGCCCGGTGCTTTGTTTTTTCCCTGTGAATCTCACAGAGGGACAAAAGCAAGTTCTGAGTCACCAGGAACCGCCTCCCGCTTCTGCCCACGCTGGAGCCTGGTCCCCACCCCACTCCGAGAACCCAAGGACCCCGAGGTGGTGGGGTCTGGCCCAGGTTGACTTGTGGGAGCCCTGGACCCTGCCGGGTCTGTGAGGTGTCCCCACCGCTGACCAGCACCCCTGGGGCCCAGGCATGTGGCTTCCCTGGGGGCCCTGATGGAGCAGCCTCCTCCCTGTGGCGCATTTGCAATTCATGGCTCCAGCCGAGATTGCATTAGGGCCTGGCTGTCACTCGTGATGAATGTCGCTTGTTTTCCAGAAAAAAACAGGCCCTGGATCCAGAGTGACAGGGCTTCAGGAGGCACCGGCCCTCCCTTCCGTGCCTGAGGACCGGGGCATGGCGGGTGTCCCCAGTGGTCTGTCAGCAGCCTCAGAACCTGACTCCTTCGGGGGCTCTTGAGGATCCCAAATAGGAGCTCTCCCCCAATTCCAGCTCCCCAGGCCTGTCTTCCCATCCCTCAGGTTCTCCCAACAGCCCTGTGGGAGGAATGCTGCTAGAGCAGCTCCACTGGACAGATGAGCAAATTGAGGCCTGCAGGAAAAGGGAAGGTAGGCGCAAGTGCGTGGGCTGGAGGGGAACTGGAGAGGGGTCCAGGGATCTAAAAGCTCAGAGAGGTTCCTGAGGGGGAAGTCTGGGAGACAATCTTAGGGGAAGTGGATTGCAGGGGTGGGAGGTGAAGAGACTCCTTGCAGGCTCTGGCTCTCCCTACTACATCCTGTCTGTGGGGCTGGGCGGCTACCCCGGGACCCAGGACTGCCGTCTGCCCACACCTTGCCCAAGCTCTGCACTCTCTCTTCCTGGCAACTCTTTCTGTCCAGAAGACGGGGGTCCCACAGGTCTCAGGCTCTGGGCTGTGCCTTCTGGCAGCCAGTAGCTTCCATGAAGGCAAAGGAAATGCATTCCTTCCCATCCCAACTCTAATCAGGCCCACAACCGGGCTGGGGGGACGGGGATCTGGGGTGCGGGAATTACCTGGAGGTCTCAGCTGGGCTCCCTCCCACCTGTCCCTCCCCCTTCTCAAAGAGCTCGCGTTCCCCAGGACTTTGGGAACACAGAAGCCCAGATAGGCCTCCACTGTGGCTCAAGGGCTCACAGTGGCTCCCACTTTCCCAAATTTTACTCTGTTTCATCTCTGTTCCTGCCCTCACCATCTGGGAACCACAGCCTTGAAGAGTGGCAGACAGAAGAAAAGAATTCTATCCATGAGTGTCTTGTCAGGCCCATTCCCGGGAAAAAGAACTATGTTCACCGTGCCCCTTCACCTCCGAGATTGAAACAATTTAGGCAGGAGATGAAATGGGTCATGTGAATCCTCTTATCACAGGTGAGGAAACTGAGGCCGGGGGTTCAGAGCAAGAGACAGAGGTTCTGTCCTCTGTTGAAAGTAGTGGCTTTTTGTTTTGTTTTGTTTTTTGTTTTTTTGTTGTTGTTTGTTTGTTTTTCTGAGACGGGATCTCACTCTGTCACCCAGGCTGGAGTGCAGTAGCGTGATCTCGGTTCACTGCAACCTCTGCCTCCCAGGTTCAAGCAATCTTCCCGCCTCAGCCTCCCAAATAGCTGGGATTACAAGCGTGAGCCACCACACCTGGCTAATTTTTGCATTTTTAATAGAGACAGGGTTTTGCTATGTTGGCCAGGCTGGTCTCAAACTCCTGGCCTCAAGTGATCCTCCCACCTCAGCCTCCCAAAGTGCTGGGATTACAGGCATGAGCCACCGCCCCCAGCCGAAAATAGTGTTTTGTTCACTGGTGTATCTCTGTGCCTAGAACAGGGTCTGGTATGGAGTAGGCATTTGCTGAATGAGCGAATGAATGAGTAGTGGCCTTAGCAGGACACAGGAAGCTCTGGGCTGCTGGGGAGGCTGAGCCATGAAGTCTGGCACTCGGGCCCTTCATGCCCCCTCAACTGCCTCCCCCTTGGTCTGGGGATAGGCAACCTGCTGCCTGCTGACACAGTCCCATGGGTGTCCCTGTTGCAAAGCCAGCTGATGGGATGGGGGCCTCGCTTTCCCCCAGTCAGAGTCCAGGTTCCAAGGTGCCCAAAGCTCCACAGCCCCAAACCCACCCAAAGGGACCAAGGCAGTGCAGGCCAGAAGGAAAAAAATACAAAACACCCTTCACTGGAGGTCTGGAGCCTGAGGCTGGGCCCAGATGGGCCACTGTAATCACAGCTCCTTGTGTGCCAGCACCGTGCTAGGCGGGCACTCATTGTGTCATTTCCTCCCCGTGACAGTGTGCTAAGCCGGGTGCTGTCTTCTGCTCATTATACACCTGACCACATCCCTGGAATGGCTGGGCCCCTACTGCTGTCCTTGCGCATGAAACAGCTGGGGAGCCAGCCCCTCTGGTGGCCCTCCCCTCCCCAGGTAGAGCCCCTGTCCTGTCCCGGCATTTTTGCCCAATGTGGAAAGCCTTGCCCAGAAGGCCAGGCGTCAGCTCCTGCCAGCTGCCTGCCCCATTTGTTCCAGGGCGGCCCCAGGGGCATCCTCACAGTCGTCCAACACTCAGGTTTTCCTTGGCAGCAGGGCTAGAGGAACAGCTCTGCATCCATGTCAGTGACCCCACTCCCTCTGCCGCAGCCCCAGTCCCCAGTGTCTGGAGGCCAAACGGTTTTCCAGAAGCCAACCCTGCTGAGTCCCTGACCCTTCCCTGTATGGGCAGATGTTGGTCCCATCTCCTACGATGTGAACAGCTGAACTGCACTCTGGAGCAGGCCAGAAGCCAAGGCTCAGAGGCAACATTGTCCCCACCTCCAACTGCACCTTCCAAGCGAGGCATGGAGCCAGGCAAAGAGAACACTGGCTCTAGAATGAGCTGGGTTCAAATCCCAACACTGTCCCCTCGTAGCTGTGTGACCTTGGACAAATGGCTTCCCCACTTTGAGCCTCAGCTTTCTCATCTGTAAAATGGGCATGGCCGTGTCTCACATCACACAGCGGCTATGGGGCTCCCGGGAGCTACATGCAGGCATTGGATTCTACACACTTGGTGTGTGGGCACCATCCCTCCAGGCCCTGGTCCCCATCCACCCCTGTCATCTGTGCCTGCTGCTGTGCCACTTCTACCACCGTCTATCAGAGCCAGCTGTGCCTGCCGCCATCGGGGCACCATGCCCAGCCCCATATACCCCGGGGGCCCTGCCACGCCCTGTCCTCCCTGCAGCCCACACCATCCAGCCTGCCTCAGGCTCCCAGATGAGAAGACTCCCGCAGCACCCCCAGGTCCCAAGGGCACCCTCTTTATCTTCACCCACGGGGGCCTTCTGCACCCCCAGGGACTCCTCACCAAGATCTGGGACCCAGGGGCCATGCCGGAAGCCCCTCTGCTCCCAGAGGGCAGCCCCCGCCCCTCCGCTACTCTGCCCGGCTGGTACCACATCCTGCCGCAGCCCTGCGTCTATTTCATCAGGCCAAGGATTGCTTTTTAAATAAATCTAAAAAACTCCACTTCCTCCTTGGCAAGTTCATTTTAAGTCATTTTATCTCTTTCCCCCCTATATTTTTCCCAAATAATGTGATTAAGTGACTCAGCGCCGGCTGCCTCTGGCAGGCCTGGTCTCTAATTCAGTTTGAGGACGGCCACCTTTGACCCCACTCCACTCTGGCTAAGAGAACACTTAAGCAATATTCTGCCGCTTCCTACAGAGGGAGGCCGGGTGGGGGGGCCCTCAAGGGGTGGGGGCGGCGGGGGGCGGGGGGAAGCGAAACAAACTTTCACATAAAATTATGGTATATGGATAATTGAGAAGTTTAAAAACATGAATCTAATTGTACAGTCCCCGGAGAAACCCATATCGAGCCACCCTATAAGAGGCCTGGAATCTCCCGATGATGATTTATTGCTAAATCCTAGTATTTTTCAATACATTATAGTTTTTAAATTGTGTTTAAATTGAGTGTAGAGGAGCAGAGGCCATTAGGAGATGCAGAAATGATGATTATATTTAAATATTCATGCACGCAGTACCTTATTATTGAATCTGAACACTAACAAAATCAATATTAAGTGCGGTTTGACATGAATTTATTTATGAATTTCGACTTTCTAAGTACTGTATTTTTTCACTCAAAAATTGTGAGTATAATGTAGTAATGATATCAAAACACGGTGTCAGGGAGCATTAGCTGGGGAGGTTATAAACCTCTGGATTAGGGGGCCCAAGATTGCCCTCAAAAGTGCTTAGTATACAAAACCCAATTCTTTTTTTTTTTTTTTTCCCTGTTTCCGAATCGTGCAGATCCACATACACTCCGGAGAGGGCGGGCGGGAGGATGGGGAGAGGAAGCAGGGCTGAGCTGTAGTAGCAGGCACGGCCACAGGCACTCAGCTCCGTGGAGGCTGGGGTGCAGGGGAACCAGGGTTCTCCACCAGCCCCTCCCCTGAGTTCTATGCCCCAGAAGCAGCCCCTCTGGCCAGGGGGTCCCTGAGGATCTGGGGTTCAGACTCCCTCGAGGGACACACTGTGGGGGTGGGGAGAGCCTGGGGGTGTCTTTACATCCCAGACTGGATTCTGGAGGCAGGGTGAAAGCTGGAGGCGTCTGGCCCCAGGAAACCAAGGCAGAAGGAGGTGGGAACAAAGGCTTTGCCCCCAGATTCTGGGTCCTGGCACCAAGTGGGTGCCCAGGGCAGAAAGCTTGGGCCACCGCTTCCTGCTCAACCCTCCTGCCCCGATGCTGGCAATGATGTTGGTGACGATGAGGAGGGCATCTTTCCTTCCTCTCCCTGAGCCCACTGGGGTGGGAGGAAGGGGCCTGGTCCTCTCCATCCAAAGCTTCTCCTTCATAGTATGGCCTGGAACTCTTCCCCCACCTGCTGCCCCTGTGCCACCGCTGCCCAGGAGGCCACCAACAGCTTCAGGGTTTCCCTCCCTCCCTCCCCTCCAGAGAATCGATGTCTGTGTGCTGGCAGGGGCAGCCCCCAAGCTCGGCATAGCCACAGCCTGCGGTGGCCTCTGTGCCCCAGGAACCACCCTGCTGTGCCCAGTTCACATACACCAGGATCCACAGAGCCCCGTGTAGACAGATAGAATGACACACTCATAGACAGAGCATGGAAATGAATTAGAGGCCAGCTAGAAGGAGACTCCACTCTTCAGATGGAAAGTAATTCCTTGATAATGCAGGCTTTCTGGAAACAGGTAAACTACATTCCCCAACGGGAAAGAACTGGACATCACTGCTGGTCCCTGACTTAGGCAGATGACTCCCAGCCCACCCCACACTGTGACACAAACCTGACTCTGACCATCAGTGGCCCCAGGACACTCTAGATAGACTCATAGCCCTGCATCCATAAATCCACACCCACTGCCCAGTACTCACCACACCCTGCTTCTAGGGCACCCACCAGCACCTTAGCACACAGGCTCACACCCCAACACCCACCACTCTCCCATTCTCCCACAGAAACAGTCACACTGGTAGGTGTTGCCGAGCACACAAGCTAGCACACACACACAGAACCGCAATCACCTTTACACAGTCCCACACACCTCAACAACTTCTACACGGGCAGACCCTGACATGCATGCAGACACCCCAACACGTGGACACTCTGACATACACACAGGCACAGCCAACATTCACATGGCACCCCGACATAAACACGAACGCCCTCACTGACATATGGCTACCCCAACATACACACGGGCACGCCCCCACTTCCCAACACCCGGCTCAAGTGCTTAGCACGTCCACACTCGCCCGCAGCAGGCTGGGGCCAGGTGAGCCTGGCCCTCCAGCAGCAGGAAGATGCAGCCAGGGTCGGGGGTCAAACAGCACTTAGAAGGTTTGATTCAGAATATTCATCAGTCTTTGGGGGGGAAAAGAAGAAGCCCACACATGGGGGAGGACGAGGAAAAAACCCAACCCCGACCCTAAACTCTTTTCCAGTAAATCGATGTATTTTGCTATAATTTTATTAGGAATATAAAAGGAGCGTTTTCAAAAGTGCTTAGGACGCAAAAAAAAGAGGCGGGCGATGGAAACATTAGTCTGTCTGTATTAGCAATCCCATAGTCACATTTTATTGTTACTGTCAGGATGCAAAAGCTGTGCTTAAAACAAAATAATACATAATGTATTACTGAGGCATAAACATCAGTGAGCCGCGAGCGGCCGGTGTTTTTATTTTAAAAAGAAGATGCAGAAAAAAAAAAGTGGAGGGATAGAGAGTGGGGGGAGGGTGCGGGCAGCCTCCAGGGATCAGTCAAGCTGGGACCCCAGACCCAGAGGACTGGGGAGGCCAGAGAAGTGATGGAGGCTGACCCGTAGGGATGATTTCAACCATAGAAGAAATAATGTCACCCCTGTATCAGTCCCCGAAAGTAGCCCCAGGCTCAGGGTCCTCCTACCTGCCAGCTCTGCCTTTGGCGCCTTAGGGTTTATAAAACTCTGGCCCCATGTCATGCCCCGACCTCGAGTCTCACCACGTGCCAGGGAAGAAGGCTGTGCGGCTCTTCTTGTCCCTGTTTTGTAGGAAAAGACACTGAGGCTCAGAGAGGGGCAGTTGTAGACTTCAGGTTGTGTTGTCAGTGAGCCGTGTATCCAGCACTCGAATCGGGGCAGAGTACTAGAGTCCCCGTTGTGTGCATTTTCTACTGTTCTGAGCTACCCAGGTGCTTGACAGTCTCCAGGCAGGGCCCTTAGGCCCTCGGGCCCCTGAGGTGGTCTCTTTGCACCACCCTTGCCCCCTGTCGACCATTCTCCAACATCAACAAATGTAATCTTCCAAAATGCAGACCTTGTTTCTCCCATGCTGACACCTCTAAGCCCCGTTCCCTCCTACCTAGGAGACAATTGTGGCCCTGCAGGATTCTCCTCGGTCTGGCCCTGCCTCGGGCTTGCCTCCTCCCCCATCCTCTGTGCTTGCTCACTCAGTGGGAGACCCACTGACCTTCCTACTCTTTGAGCCCACTAAGCTCATGCCTGCCTTAGGGCCAGGGCTCCTGCTGACCCCTCTGCCTAGAAAATCATTTCTGGCCCTTCATAGCAAATACTACCTCCTCCGAGAAATCCTTCCGGATCACCTAATCTAAACAAATCCTCCATCACTTTTTTCTGGCCTTTGACAGCTAATACCATCTCCTCCGAGAAGTCCTCCTGGATCACTCAATCCAAACAGACCCTCCATCACTTTTTGTTTTCTCTGATCTCTCTGGTTTTCTTTTACTGGGAATATCAGGAATTTCAACAGCAGAATGTCTAGTGCCCGTTTTCCCCAAACTAAAGAGTAACCCCCGAGAAAGCATGGGCCTCACTGGTCCTGTTCACTGTGGTATCCCCAGCACCTGGCACAGGCACAGTCCGTGTGTTCCAGGGAAGGATGGATAGGGCCGGGCACAGTGGCTCACGCCTGTAATCCCAGCATTTGGGAGGCTGAGGCAGGCGGATCACTTGAGGTCAGGAGTTCGAGACCAGCCTGGCCAACATGGTGAAACTTCATCTCCACAGAAATAGAAAAATTAGCCAAGTGTGGTGGTGCGTGCCTGTAATCCCAGCTACCTGGGAGGCTGAGGCAAGAGACTCGCTTGAACTCAGGAAGCGGAGGTTGCAGTGAGCTGAAATCATGCCACTGCACTCCAGCAATAGAGAGACTCCGTCTCAAAAAAAAAAAAAAAAAAAAAAAAAGGATGGATGGGGGACCACATTGCCACTTGGCTGTCATAGTGGGCAGGTGGGCCTGACCCATGGAAGTCTGCACACTCCAAGATGGGGCCTGCCCATCTCAGCAGCGTCTCGGCCAAGCACTTCCTAGAACATCAGGGATGACCTCTCCCCCAACCCGTGCCTGCCCCCCAAGCTTCTCCCAGCTGCCCTCTAGTACTCTCTGGGGGGAGTCCCCTCCACTCCCTGACCCTCTGTCCCCTCTCCTTCCTTCATTTCCTGACCCATCGGGCAGCTGCCGGGGAATCCAGGGACAGCTGGGACTTGTCCATCCTCCCTGCCCACTACACTCCTCCAATCACCTGCCCCCTCTGAGGCTCCACAGAACCTCAAGCCAGCTCCTGAGGGCCATGGTTCACTCAGGGGCCACTGATCCTTCTGGGAGGGCTTTCAGGAAGCAGAACTGAAGAAGGGAACCAGGCAGACCCAGGTTTGAGGCCGACTCTGCTTCTTAGTAGCAGTGTGACTTTGGACACAAGGCTTTCACTTCCCAGCGCCTCAGTTTCCTCATCTGTGAAATGGGGACAAGATGGTATTCACCTCGTTGGCCTCTGTGAGGCTTGCAAGGACATGTCAGGGATGTATGACCACCCTTTAGCACAGCTCTCTTAGGGGCTGCCACGCCATTCAAGGAAGGGGACATGGGGACAGGAGGTCCAGTCGGAGCCTGAATGTAGGGACCGGCCTCTCCACCCCCAGCCCTGAGCCCTTCTGGGGCAACTTCCTGCCGTCTCAGGGCACTTGGCGCCACCTAGTGACGGGCGGGGGCACCAGAGGGCCTGGTAGGGGCAGGGTGGGGTGAGCTGGGGGCCCTGGGGCAGGATGGAAACCAGAGAGGGTGAGACTTGGCAAAGGAGCAGGTGTCAGCGGCTTCTCTGGGCCCTGTTTGGGGCCAGTGTGCGCCAAGAGGTCACAGCCCCCTCCCAGCCTGGAGGCCATCCTGGGAGAGCAGAACAGGACAGTGGGGGAGGCGTTGGGGGAAGGGCCACAGGGGTTGCTTCCAGAACACCTGGGCCAGCTCGGGAGTCCCCAGCAAGCCCCGCCAGCAGCAGCTCAGACACCAGCATCCCACCCAGAGAGGGAGACTGAGAGCTGGGCGGGAAGGAGTGGGGGTGGTACCTGCAGCCCCCAAGGGACTCAGCCTCCTGCCCGTTACACCAGCCCCTGCTCGGGACCGGGACGCAGGAAGCCCTGTGTGCTGAGGCTGCATGACCCTGTTCATTCATCCACGGAGTCCCTCCCTTCTACACACATTTGTGAGTCCTCACTGTGCCACAGGACACTGGGGACAGAGAGAACAGGACAAACGCCCACCTCTGTAGGGCTGACATTGTGTGTGACAGTGGGGAGAGGCGAGGAGGGGGCAGAATAGCAAATACTGAAAGTTCAGTCTGTTTAAAGAGCACCAACGGTTAAGGTGCCAAGGGACACCAAGCAGGGGGCAGGCGAGGAGGGAGGGTTAGAGTGGGTGACAAGGGCTAACCCCACCACCACAGCATAACCTGGTGGTTAAGGTCTTGGGCTTTGAGCTGCCAAGCTGCCTGTCTGTAATCTAGCTTTGTGACTTTGGGTGAGCTGTTTAATCTCTCTGTGGCTGTTTCACAATTCCTAAAGTGAAGAATAAGAGCTACTCTCCACTGGGCTTGTCCCCAGGGCTGAATGAGGCCCAGAGCACAGGGAGGACCTGCGGCTTTTAGACTGGCTTCAGCTCCAGGACCCTCTGCTTTGTGGAGTGAAGGCCAGGGCTGCTTCTAAGCCCCTGCCCAACCTTCTTCATCACACACACACTCACATGCACACGCACATTCTCACACACATGCACACACACATTCTCTCACACACACACAATCAGGCACACACACATGCACACCTGTGTGCACACACACTCAGAGCAGAGGAACACAGGGGGGCCGGGGCCCTCTGCGTATCCAGGGAGCAATGCCCAGGCAGTCTCAGGAATCAGGGCTGAGCCTGGACAGATGCGCAGGGGCCGCGTGTTGTCCTTCCTAGGGAGCCATCTGTGTATTGTCACACGTGGTGAGCGTGCAGACGTGAGCCTGTGAACATGACTGTGTGTGTGGCTGCAGGGCTGGGGGCTGCCCATGTGACCACATGCACTCTCATAGGGTCCAGGTTGCCAGGAGCGGGGCTGTGCTCTGTGCCTGCATGTGGGGGTACAGGGTCCTGAGTGGGACTGTAGTGACCACTGATTGGGGACATCATTGCAGAGGAAATGTCACTCAGCCACTCCTCTTGGCCTGTCCCTGGCCCGCCAGAGCTGAGAGTGAGAGGAATTTCCAGCCCACCCACAGGGCAGTCTCAGGGCCCAGCCCAGTGTCCTCTCTGGGATCTTCCCGTGCTTCTAGAGCTCATCCCTGGGGTCTGGGAGTCTGCTCTGACCTGAGCTGGGGTGCAGAGTCCAAAGAGGCCGCATCCAAAATCTTCTGCCATCAAATCACTGGCAGTGCTGAGATGGACTCTTTCTGCAGTGGTATCGGTGCCACCGTTCTGGGCCTGCCCTGCCTGGAAGTCTCAGGAACGTGAGGCTGCAAGATCTCAGGCAGTCTTGAGTTCTAATTTTTGGTACTGCTTCTTCATGGCTGTGTGGCTTTGGACAAGTCACACAGCTTCTCTGAGCCTCATTCTCTACCCTGTAAGACAGCAATAAAGATATTCACTCCTGCAGGATCTCTGGTGGGAACTGACATTACAGGAATGTATGAATGGCCGGGCGCGGTGGCTCACACCTATAATCCCAGCACTTTGGGAGGCCAAGGCGGGGGGATCACCTGAGGTCAGGAGGTCAAGACCAGCCTGGCCAACATGGCAAAACCCCGTCTCTACTAAAAATACAAAAAGTAGCCAGCTGTAGTGGCGCATGCCTGTAATCCCGGCTATGTGGGAGGCTGAAGCAGGAGAATCATTTGAACCCGGGAGGCGGAGGTTGCAGTGAACCAAAATTGCACCACTGCACTCCAGCCTGGATGACAGAGCAAGACGCCTCTCCAAAAAAAAAAAAAAAAAGAATATATGAGGCCTGGCCACTGGCACGGGGCAGGTTCTCATTCATGGTGCCTCTACGGTGCTGATGGCCACATTCATGGAGCTGGAGCCCGTGGCAGTCGCCGTGCGGAGCCCTTTGCGCCACCGCCTTGGTCTGCAAGTCCTCCTGACGGTCCTCTGCAGTGGCTGCTTTACCGCTCTCTCCACTCCTCGGATGAGGAAACTGAGACTTGGTGAAGGGGCATGACTTGCTCGAGTCATGCAGCGAGCAGGTGGGAGAGCAGGACCTGCACTCAGGCGCCTCCGCCGGCCTGGCCCTGCCCTCGGGGCATTTCTGCTCCCAGTAGACCCCTTCATCATGCCCCAGCTCAGCCTCCAGGGCTGGAGTTTGCTGGGTGTCACCAAGTTTCCAACAAAGCCGGGTGGCTAGATGAGACTTCCTTCCGAAACCCCTTCCTTCCCTCTTCCCTGTCTGGTCAGGCTGGGAGGCTGGATGGCGAGGAAGCTGCCTCACCCTCTTGGGGAATCCCTGAGCAAAAAAGCTGAAGGAGCCCCTTCATCCTCATCCAACATTTTTATTTCACAGGTGGCGAAACTGAGGTCTGGAGGCCCAGGTCATTCACAGTCCACATCGGGCCAACAGTGATTCCCTATAATGAGAGCTCAGGGAATGTGGGCAGGGAGGTAGGATCCAAGCTCGAGGGATGGATCCCTGGCTCCCAGGATTAGTGTCCATCCTCCACACCCTCCAGTCGGTCAAACAAGCCCTCTCTAAGCACTTCCAGGTTGGCCAGGACAGGAGATGAAGATGCCTGGGAGAAACAGGACCTGTGGCCTGCCACCCAGGAGCACACAGCCTGGTGAGCAAAGCCAACAAATAGAAATCAGTAAAGTGAG
The DNA here is from genome assembly GCF_000001405.40 of Homo sapiens. Lineage (NCBI taxonomy): Eukaryota > Metazoa > Chordata > Mammalia > Primates > Hominidae > Homo > Homo sapiens. The sequence goes on from NC_000001.11 coordinate 10,913,250, forward strand.
CCCGTGGCCAGGGAAGCAGAGGAGCACTTGCCCTGGCCACAGGAGGTCAAGGGAGGCTTCCTAGAGGAGGAGGTGAGGCCTTCCTGGCTCCCAGCCTGTTTAAGCTAAGTCTTAAGGGATGGATCAAACATGTGTCAGAAGAATGAAGGAAGGGTACTCCAGGCAGGGGAACAGCATGGCCAAAGGTGAAGAATGTGGGAAACACCATAGCATGCTGGGAACTCCAAATATGTCTATGGAGGGAAAGGTGTGTGGGGAAATGGAGGGGTTCCGGGGAGATTGTTCCAGAATCTATGGCTGCATAACACACCACTCCCAAAACTTTGTGGCCTAAAACAGCCATTTGATTATGCCCATGGGTTGTCTGGGTCAGGAATTTGAACAGGGCATGGTGGGAACAGCTTATCTCTGCTGCCTCATTCTAGGGTCTTGTCTGGGAAGACAAAGGCTGGGGGTGACTTGATAACCAGGGAATGGAATCATCCGAAGGCACATTCACTCACACAGCTGACTGTTGGCTGAGATCTCAGCCAGGCTCTTGGCTAGAACCCCATGCACAACCTGTCTGCATGGCCTCACCACGTGGGTTATCCTGGGCTTCCTCACAGCATGGCGGCTGGGTTCCAAAGGCAAGTCCTAGGAGAACAAGACAGAAGTGCATGAAATGTTGGTGATCTAGCCTCGGAAATCAAGTAGTGTCCCTGCAGTCATGTTCCATTGGTTGAGGCATTCACAAAGTTCTGCCCAGATTCCAGGGGAGAGGATACAGAGCCCTCCACTGGAAAGGAGGACCACTGTAAGAAGAACCTATGGATGAGAGACGCTGCTGCGGCATCTTCAGAAAACACAATCGGCTACAAGGACCATGCACGATCTTGATTGCTGGGCTAATGGGGCTGAGTACTCCAGCACATGGGGGAAGAAAAAGAGCCAGAGATAGAGGAAAGAAGCCCAGAAAGCCCTGGGGAGTCACAGCCACCAGTCTAAGGGGCAGAAGCTGGTGTCTGGGATTAGGACTTCTTGGTTGGTCCCCAAAGGATGCCACCCAACACCACCCCTCCTTGCATCCACACAGAGCTGGGGTTCCAGGATCCCCCACAGTCTTAGAAGGCTCTGAGGCCTGGGAGGGATGTCTTTCTGGAGTCCCTTTATCCTGGGCGGAGAACCCCTGGCTCTGGCTGACTTCTCTCTGGTCCTGGACCTTCCCAGGCACAGGTGGGAGGAGGGAGCTGCAGGGGGTGCCTCAGCTCCCCTATCCTTGCTCCTGTACCGCTGCCTCTAAAGTTGGCCCAGCATGGCTTCCAGAAGACACTGAACCTTACAGAGAGCCAGCTCTCCTCTTTGTAGTCTAAAACAGGGACGATGCCCAGGAAGGGAAGAAAGAGGTTTCTTTCCTAGACTGTGCCAGGCTGGGTCCCATATCTCCCCTCCGGGGGTCCTACCACGGGCCTCAGGGCCAGGAAAGGGTGGCCTGCTGGCTGCAGAGCCCCTGCCTTGTCTCTCAGACTCACAGGTCCAGGTGACAGTGCTTAGCAGCCATCAGGGTCTCCCTCCCTCCACCAGGCAGCTTCTATAAGCAAGGGAGCAACTGGGGCAGAGTCTGGCCTTCCAATTTGATGGACCCAGTAACTCATTATTTGCCTAGAAGCCTGTCTCCCCATTTTCACTATGAGCCAGTAAGGGCTGGGACTGCCTGCTTCTTCTCTGTGACCCAGCACAGAGCCTGGCTCATAGTAGGTGCTTATTTAGTATGAGTTGAGTGAATAAACAAATGAATCTTTTAAACTTTTATATTCGGCTGAGCGTGGTGGCTCACGCCTGTAATCCCAGCACTTTGGGAGGCTGAGGCGGGAGGATCATGAGGTCAGGAGATCGAGACCATCCTGGCTAACATGGTGAAAGCCCGTCTCTATTAAAAATACAAAAAATTAGCTGGGCGTGGTGGCGGGCGCCTGTAGTCCCAGCTACTCAGGAGGCTGAAGCAGGAGAATGGCGTGAACCCGGGAGGCAGAGGTTGCAGTGAGCTGAGATCGCGCCACTGCACTCCAGTCTCGGCAACAGAGAAAGACTCCATCTCAAAAAATTAAAAAATAAAATAAATAAATAAATAAATAAATTTCTATATTCCCCTTACATAGCACTTGGCACATAATAGGTGATCAATAGGTGTTTGTTGAATGAACACATGAATGAATGAAGTGGATTTTCTTCTTCTCTGGATCCCTAATGCCCAGCAAAATTCCTGGCACAGAGTAAGTGTTCAGGACTTGTTGAACTGAAATGACAAACTGAAACCCCTGTGAGGCAGCCCTATCTGGTCCAAAGAGGACTTCTGTGACAGGCTGTCACTTAGCCTGGCCACGGAGCCCCCGCCTCAGCATCCCAGCAGGGCTTGGGTTCTGGGTGCTGTGGCCACTCTCTTCCCACCTCCACCCTCCACCACATCCCGGAGTGGGTGGAGCCTCCTCTCCCTGGTACAGGAACAGGTGGGTCAGAAGCAGGAGGGAGAGAAGGGAGGGGCAGACAGATGGATGGACAGACAGACACCACTGCGATGGGCCTTCCCCGTACAGGTGGCACGAGGGCTCCAGTCGGCATCTCCGGAGGCCCCTCCCCTGCTCCCTAGGGGTGTCCCAGTGGAAAGGGCTCCCCTGAAGGCCCCTGCCTGAAGGCCCCTTTTGCTTCCCAACCCTCAGTGCACTCAGTAGACTGGGGAGGGGGGCAAGCAGAGGGGAAGACAGAATTCTTCCTGGCAGTTTAAAGAGTTTTGGCATTTTCACGAGGGCACATGTAATATTTAAATTACTTCCCCCCCGGCACGCCCGCATGCCTGCCTTGGCTTCCCAGGTGAATTTGTAGGCGCTGAAATGGTCTAATTTCCCACACAAGCCATGTCAAATATAATTTGGGTGCAAAGTTGGTAATTATACGTAACATCAGTCTGATGTTAAAAACACTGAAAAATTTAGCAAGAAGAGACGACTGGAGAGACAGAAGTCTGAGGCCCAGCCAGGAAAAGGCAGGCCTGGGCCCCGCCGAAGCCAAAGTCTTTAATTAATAATAGCATGTTTTCAGGGACTCAAAGGACGCAGGTCCCCAACTGTCTGAAACTCCTTTGTCTACCAATTACCAGCTTTTGGGGAGGGGAGAGCCAGGGAGGAAGTGGGCGGGGGACACCCAGATCTTGGCGGAGAACTGCTGGGGTTTGGGTGGGGGCTGCAGCCCACCTGTGGGCCAGCGTCCTGTGGCCAGGCAACCCCACCCTGCTCCTCTGTCACCAGAGACCAACCCTGATGGGCCCAGGGTCAGGGAGGAGGGGCTCATCCCCCTTGAGTCTGGGTCAATTGTGAGGTGGGGGTGAGCAACGTTGGACTAGAGGCCAAGCAGTTCCAGAGGTTCAGAGAGTCTGAAAACTGTGTCCAGGACCCTCTTGATTTAGGTGATGCCTTTTTCATCTCTTTTCAAAGAACTCAATCAATCTTTTTGGGAAGACAGGAACCACATATTTCTTGTGAAGACAAGGACACGCCCTTGTGTCCCTGGCACCTGGCACATAGTAGGTGCTCAACAAACATTTGTTAAATGAATGCACTGTGCAAAACAAGGTCTAATCTGTCCTCCCCTGCCCTCTGTAGATGGAGTAAGACCCTCCTCCACCACCACCGCCTGAGGAACAGCACAGTAGAGGTCAGAAAGGTTAAGGGGCAGGCACAGAGCCTGGAGTAGAACCATGATTCCATACTTACCGGTTACCAAAACTCTGCCTCAGTTTCCTTGTCTGTAAAACGGGCACAGGAATAGATCTACCTCCTAGGATCGCTGTGACTTCTGAGTGGGAGACTTCGCAGGAAGCACTCTGAACAGTCCCCGGCAGGTAGCTCGTGTTTTGCTCCAGGAGGTGGATAAGGTGCAGCTTTGCAGAACAGCTCCCCAGATGGGGTTTCCGGAGGCTGTGGGAGGAGGGACAAGGAGAGAACAAGCAGCCGGCAGGGCAGAGGAACCTGGAGTGAAGAAACACATGTCCAATGGTTGCTTTAGTAAAGCTTCTGCTGTTGGGGGTGTGAAATGAAACTTCTTCCTTGATTCTCCAAGAAACCGTCCACAAAGGCTAGTTGTGGTGGCTCACGCCTGTAATCCCAGCATTTTGGGAGATGAAGGCAGGTGAATCGCTTGAGCCTAGGAGTTTGAGACCACCCTGGGCAACATGGCAAAACCCTGTTTTGTACAAAAAAATACAAAAATTAGCCGGGTGTGGTGGTGCACACCTGTAGTCCCAGCTACTCTGGAGACTGAGGTGGGAGGATTGCTTGAGCCTGAGATGAGGAAGTTCCAGTAAGCCGTGATTGTGGCGCTGTACTCCAGCCTGGGTGACACAGTGAGACCCTCTCAAGAAGAAAGAGAGGAAATAGAAGAGAGAAAGAAAAAAAGAAAGGAAGGAAGGAAGGAGAAGAAAAAAGGAAAGAAAAGAAACAGAAAGAAAGGAAAGAAAGAAAAAAGAAAGGAAGGAAGGAAGGAAGAAAGAAGGAAAAAGAAAGAAAGAAAATTGTCAACAAAATCTCCTCTTCTCTCTTGTGCTCACGTTATGGAATCATGTCTATTTGGGATGTGTGGCTTCCAGGCGGGCAAGAGCAGGCACAGATGAGACCGGCGAGGTGGGTACTATCATGTTTTGTGTATTGTTGATGTGAAAGCGAGCCTCAGAGAGGTTCAGTGGTGTGCCCACACTTCACACTTTAGCACAGCGGGTTTATCTTCAGACAACAGGCTCTTAACCCTCTGTGTTCCACTGGCAGATTCTGCCAAACAGTAACAAAAACAGTAGCTGGCATGAAGCACTTATTGAGAGCCAGCTGCCACACTAAAGCCCTTCATGTGGTTTAACCCATTTCATCTTCTCAACAGCCCTGGAGCAAGGGGTGGTACTATTTCCTATCCCCGTTTTACAGATGAGGAAGCTGTGGCCCAGTGGGGTTAAATCACTTTCCCCAGATCACAGGACATAGGAAGTGGAACAAAACCCAGGCTGGACCCCCAGTGCCCTTAACTGTGACGAGATCACCTCCATCCAACCTTGCCCTTACCCTGCACCCCTGCCCCAGCTAAACCTCCACACTAGGGTTCTGAGCCCTGCACACTGGAGGCATCTGAGGACCTTTGGAACCACTGATGCCCCCCTGTGAAGCACTGTAAGTGCTGCCTGGGTGTTGAGATTTTTTAGCTCCCAGGTGATTCTAGGGTTGGGAGTTTAGAACATTAAACTTACCCTGCTTCAGCTCAGTTCTCCAACTGCGTCTCCAACTGCAATGTGCATATGAGTCTCCCGGGAATCTTGTTAATGTTCAGGCTTTGATGCAGTCGGTCTGGGTGGGTCGAGAGCCTGGGATTCTGCATTTCTGACAAGCTTCTAGGTAATGCTGCTGCTGCTGTGGTCCAAGAGCCACACTTTGAGAAGCGAGGCTCCACATCAAGGGCTCTTGAGTTTGCCTGTACATCAGAATCTCCCATGGAATTTGAAAAACCACAGATGCCTGGGTTCCAGCCCAGAGATTCTGATGTCATGACCATAGAAGGCTGGTGGTTTTCAGGCCCAGCTGCACATTCAACCAGTTGGGGGCTTTGAAAAATTACCAATGCCCAGGCCACATTGCAGACCCTTGAGAATCTCTGGGGTGGCACTGGAGCCCCTGTATTTTTTTTTTTTTTTTTTTTTTGAGACAGAGTCTCGCTCTGTCGCCCAGGCTGGAGTGCACTGGCACGATCTCAGCTAACTGTAAGCTCCGCCTCCTGGGCTCACGCCATTCTCCTGCCTCAGCCTCCCGAGTAGCTGGGACTACAGGTACCCGCCACCACACCTGGCTAATTTTTTTGTATTTTTAGTAGACACAGGGTTTCACCATGTTAGCCAGGATGGTCTCGATCTCCTGACCTCGTGATCCGCCCGCCTTGGCCTCCCAAAGTGCTGGGATTACAGGCGTGAGCCACTGCGCCCGGCTGAGCCCCTGTATTTTTTAAAGTACTCCTGGTGATTCTAATGGGCAACAAGGGTTGAGAACTACAGTTTTGAGGTGCGTCTCACATCGTTCTTGTAGCTAGATCCCATAAAATCCAAGCCTTGGTTGCTTCTTCAAAGGGTTCAGATTATTGGGTCAGGGGCGAAACCCAGGAACCAGCATTCTTTTTTTTTTTTTTTTTTTTGAGACGGAGTCTCTGTTGTCCAAGCTGGAGTGCAGTGGCACGATCTTGGCTCAGTGCAACCTCCGGCTCCCGGGTTTAAGCACTTCTCCTACTTCAGCCTCTCATGTAGCTGAGACTACAGGTGCCCACCACCCACCACGCCTGGCTAATTTTGGTATTTTTAGTAGAGACGGGGTTTCACCCTGTCAACCAGGCTGGTCTCGAACTCCTGACCTCAAGTGATCCGCCCACCTCAGCCACCACACCCAGCCTGCCAGCATTCTTTTTTTTTTTTTTTTTTTTTTTTTGAGACAGAGTTTCACTCTTGTTGCCCAGGCTGGAGTGCAATGGCACAATCTTGGTACACTGTAACCTCCGCCTCCTGGGTTCAAGCGATTCTCCTGCCCCAGCCTCCCGAGTAGCCAGGATTACAGGCATGCACCACCACGCTAGGCTAATTTTGTATTTTTAGTGGAGATGGGGTTTCACCAGGTTGGTTAGGCTGGTCTCGAACTCCTGACCCCAGGTGATCCACCTGCCTTGGCCTCCCAAAGTGCTGGGATTACAGGCGTGAGCCGCCGCACCCGGCCCTGCCGGCGTTCCTAACACACTTCCCAGGGGATGATGAGGCAGTGGGCCTCAGGCTATAGCTCAGGAAGAGCTCCTCTGTTTCCTCATCCTCAGCCCCCTAAACCTGCACCATCCACCCAGCACACACCCCCCACAGCAAGTGGGGCTATTCACACACCTCCCCACAGCCAATGGGGCTATTATGGGATACCCACGTGGGAGAAGAAGGACGTGGAGGAAAGACCGACAAGGGGCTGGCCCAGGCCACAGCTACCTGTCGCCATTGGTGGCTGAGCAGGGCTCAGAGGTCATCTTTGCCCTGGGACAGGCAGGGAGGCAGGACCGTGCTTCCAAGAAAGGCAGTAGGGGAACAGCAACTGGGAACCAGACCAGAGGTCTCCCGTCTAGCCAGTTCCTCACACAGGCTCCCTGGGCCAACCACCCAGGCAAGTCAGGACAACACCTCCCCTCCATGACTCCGTTTCCTTATTTCGAGAATAAAGAGAATAATCTCGCCCCACCTCACCTTGTATGCATTATTGTGTATTTTTTTTTTTTTTACTTTTAGATTAAAGTAGTAACTGCTCAAGGCAAAGAATTCAAACAGATCAGAAGCATGTGAAGTGAAGTGTCTTTTAGAGATCCACTGATAATAGTTTCTTGTGTGTGGTTCCAGACAATTTTTTTTTTGGCGTGTACAAACATGCATCTGTATATACTTTTAAAAAAATAGGATAGCATATATGATTGCAATTTGTTGTTTAATTTAGTAATGTATCATGGGTATCCTTCCACAGAAGTCCGTAATGATCTATCTCATTCTATTTGAAGTCTGTGTAATATTCCACAGTATGGAGAGACCATATTTTATTTAGCCATTCTCCTATGGATAGACATTCCGGTAGGTTTTCATTTTTTTCCTGCAATAGACAACGATTCAATGAACACTCTTATTCTGAATACTTCAGCAAGTATATACAGAGGTAAATTCTTGGAAGTGGCTTTGAACCTCACCCCCGACTTTCCATCTTGTTTTATGAGAGATTGACAGGTTGGAGTTCTGCAATATATATGGATCTTCAATGAGAAGTGACAAGCTGATGACAATCAGGGCTGCCACGGATTTTGCACCACAGTGAGAAGGATTTCAGGTAGAAACTGATGAACACCACCTGCCTCATTTCCATGATCACCACCAGCACTAACCCCAGCATCAACTGTAACCTCTAACTCACACGACTGTTCCCTCCAACCTCACCACCCGCACTGGTGCCATCCCCATAACCACCAACAGCACCATTTCCAGAGCAGTCGGTGTTCTCAGTTGCAAACAACAGAAGCCATCCTGGTTTAAGTGGAAAGGTATTATAAAAGGGTATTAGGGGCCGGGCGCGGTCGCTCATGCCTGTAATCCCAACACTTTGGGAGGCTGAGGCGGGCGGATCACGAGGTCAGGAGATCGAGACCATCCTGACTAACATGGTGAAACCCTGTCTCTACTAAAAATACAAAAAATTAGCCAGGCATGGTGGTGGGCGCCTGTAGTCCCAGCTACTCGGGAGGCTGAGGCAGGAGAACGGCGTGAATCTGGGAGGTGGAGCTTGCGGTGAGCCGAGATCACGCCACTGCACTCCAGCCTGGGCAACAGAGCGAGACTCCATCTCAAAAAAAAAAAGGGGGTATTAGGCATATACCTAATATACCAATAGGTATACCTAACATACCACTATACTAATATGGTATATTAGGTATATGCCTGGAAAAAAATATAGAAGAAATTCTGTAAGAGCTTGGGTTAGGCAAAGGTTTCTTAGAACACAAAAGCACAGACCATAAAAGAAAAAAAATTGATAAATGTAATGTCATCAAGATGGAAAAGTTCTGCTCTTTGAAGACACTGGTAAGAAAAAGAAAATGCAAGTCACAGATTGGGAGAAAAACATTTACCAAACACATATCTGATAAGAGACTGGTAACCTATATATAAAGAATTCTCAAAACTCAAAAATAAGAAAAGAACCCAATAAAAATATGGTCTAGCCTAATAAAAATATGGGCTAACAATGTAAATAGACACTTCACCAAAGAAAATGTATGATAGAAAATAAGCACATGAAAAGACACTCAGGCCAGGCGCGGTGGCTCACGCCTGTAATCCCAGCACTTTGGGAAGCCAAGGCGGGTGGATCACCTGAGGTCGGGAGTTTGAGACCAGCCTGACCAACATGGAGAAACCTCGTCTTTACTAAAACTACAAAAAATTAGTTGGGCATGGTGGCACATGCCTGTAATCCCAGCTAATCAGGGGGCTGAGGCAGGAGAATCACTTGAACCCGGGAGGCGGATGTTGCAGTGAGCCGAGATCATAGCATTGCACTCCAGCCTGGGCAACAAGAGCAAAACTCCATCTCAGAAAAAAAAGAAAAGAAAAGAAAAAAAAAAAGATACTCAACATCATTAGTCATTAGGAAAATGAAAATAAAGCCACAGTGAGATACCACTACACACCTATTGGAATGGTTCAAATGAAAACTGCAGGGTCGGGCGCAGTGACTCATGCCTGTAATCCCAGCACCTTGGGAGGCCAAGGCAGGCGGATCACCTGAGGTCAGGAGTTCAAGACCAGCCTGGCCAACATGGTGACACCCCATCTCTATTAAAAATACAAAAATTAGCTGGGCGCAGTGGGGTGGCATGTGCCTGTAATCCCAGCTACTTGGGAGGCTGAGGCAAGAGAATCACTTGAACCCAGGAGGTGGAGCTGCAGTGAGCCAAAATTGTGCCACTGCACTCCAGCCTGGGTGACAGAATGAGACTCCGTTTAAAAAAAAAATGTAGATAATAACAAATGCTGGCAAGGACATGAAGCATGCACTGCCAGCTGGAACTCTCATACATGGCTGGTGGGGGTGCCAAATGGTGCAGCCACTTGGGAAAACTGTTTGGCAGTTTCTTACAAAGTTACACATACATTTAAATGGAATCATATCATATGTGACCTTTTATGTCTGGCTTCTTTCACTTAGCATCATGTGTTCAAGGTTCATCCAAGTTGCAGCATCTATCAATACTTCATTCCTTTTTATGGCTGGATAATATTCCATTATATGAATATACCACAATTTGTTTATCCATTCATCCACTGATGGACATTTGGGTTGTTTGCAGTCTTCGACTATATGAATAACACTGCTACAAACACTCACCAACAAGTTTCTGTGTGGACATGTCCTCTTTTCTCTTGGGTATATGCCTAGTAATGAAATTGCTAAGTCATATGGTAATTCTATGTTTCACTTTTTGAGTTAAGCAGCCAGTCTCCCGTGGCTGCTACAGCGCCATGTACATTCCTATGAGCAATGGATGAGGGTTCCTATTTCTCCACATAGTCAACACTAATTTTCCTTTTAAAGAGATTATAGTCATCCTAGTGAATATGAAATGGTATCTCACTATTGGTTTTTGTTTTTGTTTTTGAGACAGTCTCACTCTGTCACCCAGGCTGTAGTGCAGTGGCAAGATCTCAGCTCACGGCAACCTCTGCTTCCTGGGCTCAAGTGATCCTCTCACCTCAGCCTCCTGAGTAGCCAGGACTACAGGTGTGTGCCACTATGCCCGGCTAATTTTTCTATCTTTTTTGGTAGAGACGGTGTTTCACCATGTTGCCCAGGCTGGTCTCACACTTTTGGGCTCAAGCAATTCACCCACTTTGGCCTCCCAAAATTCTAGAATTACAGGAGTGAGCCACACCTGGCCTCACTATTGTTTTGACTTGCATTTACTTAAAGACCAGTGATGTTGAATATTTTTTCATGTGCTTTTGGCCGTTTGTATATCTTTTTTGGAGAAATATCTATTCAATTATGCCCATTTTAAAATTGCATTGTGTATCATTTTGTTGTTGAGCTGTAAGAGTTATTTAGATATTCTGGATATTCAATCTCAATTCTTTATTTTTTTTTTAAAGTCAGGCTCTTGTTCTGTAACTCAGGCTGGAGTGCAGTGGCACAATCATGGCTCACTGCAGCCTTGAATTCCTGGGCCCAAGCGATCCTCCCACCTCAGCCTCATGAGTAGCTAGGACTACAGGCACACACCACCATGCCTAATTTTATTTTATTTTTATTTTTTGTAGAGACAGGGTCTTGCTACGTTGCCCAGGCTGGTCTCAAACTCCTGCCCTCAAGCGATCCTTCTGCCTTGGTCTCTCAAAGCACTGGGATTACAGGGATGGGCCACTACCCAGCTTGGACTCTCAATTCTGTTCCAATGGTTTACATGTTTATCTTTATGCCAGTACCACACTGTTTTGATTACTGTTGCTTTGTAGTAAGTTTCGAAATCTGGAAATGTAATCCTTTGTTATGGGCTGAATTGTGTCTCCACCCCCAAAATTCTTATGTTGAAGTTCTAGCTCCCAGTATACCTCAAAATGTGACTGTATTTGGAGATAAAGTCTTTAGAGAGGTAACTGAGTTAAAATGATTACATTATGGTGGGACCTAGGCCAATAGGAGTGGTGTCCTTACAAGAAGAGGAAATTGAATATAGACACGCACAGATAGAAGACCATGTGAAGACACAGAGAGAAGAGAGCCATTTGCAAGCCAAGGAGAGAGGCCTCGAAAGAAACCAAAACTGCCTGACACCTTGATCTTGGACTTCAACCTACAAAATTGTGAGAAAATACATTCTATTGTTTAAGTTGCCCAGTCTGTGTTACTTTGTTATGGCAGCCCAAGCAAACTAGTATATTCCTCCAATGTTTCTTGTTTTGACTATTTGGGGCCTCTTGAAATTCCATATGAATTTAAGGGTCAGCTTTTTTATTTTTGCCCCCAAAAGACCATTGGAATTTTAATAGGGATTGCACTAGAATCTGTAGATTGCTTTGAAGAGAATAGCCATCTTAGCAACACTAAGTTTTCCAATCTGTGAACATGGGATGTCTTTCCATTTAATCAAGTCTTTAGTGTTTTTCAGCAATGTTTTGTAGTTTTCGGTGTACAAGTTTTTCAACTCCTAGGTTAAATTTTTTTCCTAGGTATTTGGATGCTGTTGTAAACAGAATTGTTTTCTTTATTTCCTTTTCAGTTTGCTCATTCCTGGTGTATAGAAACACAACTGATATTTGTGTGTTGATCTTGTCTCCTGCAACTTTGCTGAATTTATAGCCCATAACTTACAAATGATAAATTGTAAATTTCAGGCTGGGTACAGCTGCTCATGCCTGTAATCCCAGCACTTTGGGAGGCCAAGGCAGGAGGATCGCTTGAGGTCAGGAGCTCGAGATCAGCCTGGCCAATATGATGAAACCCCGTCTCTACTAAAAATACAAAAATTGGCCAGGCATAGCGGTGCACACCTGTAATGCCAGCTACTCGGGAGGCTAAGGCAGGAGAATTGCTTGAACCTAGGAGGCGAAGGTTGCAGGGAGCTGAGATCTTACCACTGCACTCCAGCCTGGGTGACAGAGTGAGACTGTTTCAAAAAAAAAAGTAAACTTCATATAGCCAACTGATTCTCACAGAGTGCTTCAATTTTGCTAAACTCATGTAACTGGAACCAATCTGTGGCTGCAATTGACAAACAAGTGCAGATCCAATGTGAATGTTGGTTGATATTTTACTTAACATTAAAGAGTAACAATTAAAACCACGGGGGCTGGGAGCGGTGGCTCATGCCTGTAATCCCAGCACTTTGGGAGGCCGAGGTGGTTGGATTCCTTGAGCTCAGGAGTTTGAGACCAGCCTGGGCAACATGGCAAAACCCCATCTCTACAAAAAATAAAAAACTTAGCCAGGTGTGGTGGCATGTGCTTGTTGTCCCAGCTACTTGGCAGGCCAAGGTGGGAGGATCACCTGAGGGTCATGGCTGCTGTGAGCTGTGATTGTGCCACTGCACTCCAGCCTGGGCAACAGAGTGAGACCCTGTCTCAAAAAAACCCATTAAAACCACCTACCCGGCCGGGTGCGGTGGTTCATGCTTGTAATCCCAGCATTCTGGCAGGCTGAGGTGGGCGGATCACGAGGTCAGGAGTTTGAGACCAGCCTGGCCAACACAGTGAAACCCCATCTCTACTAAAAATACAAAAATTAGCTGGGCGTGGTGGCAGGTGCCTGTAATCCCAGCTACTCAGGAGGCTGAGGCAGGAGAATCACTTGAACCTGGGAGGCAGAGGTTGCAGTGAGCCAAGATCATGCCACTGCACTCCAAACAAACAAACAAACAAATAAAAACACCTACCCTCACATACACCTTGGACACTGAAGACTGAAGCTATCTCCCTTCAAACAAATGACAGTGTACAAAAAGACTGTATTATTCCATTGTCTCCGTGCTATTCTGGGAGACTCTTGCCCACACAAATGACTTGATTGTGCATTAGAGAAACTTCCCATAAGACCCACCAATTCCTCAGTGGGAAGTATTGACAGGCAGCACCCTGAGATTCTTAGACTGCCCTGTGTCACAGACCCTCACCTTGCTGCCTCCACCAATCCTGGACTGTTTGGTTGTGACCCTAACACAATCCTGTTTTTTGTTGTTGTTGTTTTGTTTTTGAGACAGAGTCTCGCTCTGTCACCCAGGCTAGAGTGCAGCAGTGCCTCAGCCTCCTGAGTAGCTGGGACTACAGCCCAACCCCCAACCATGCCCGGCTAATTTTTGTATTTTTAGTAGAGACGGGGTTTCACCATGTTGGCCAGGCTGGTCTTGAACTCCTGACCTCAAGTGATCCACCAGCCTCGGCCACCCAAAGTGCTGGGATTACAGGTGTGAGCCACCGCGCCCAGCTCCTAACACAATCCTAATCAAACTCCTGCATGGAAAGACCCTCCTTAAACCAAACTTCCAGTTCTAATGGATTCCGACTTTGCCTTCCCACTTCGAAATAGTGACAAAGCCCTGTCCATGTGATGTTCTCCCTTCCTATAGTAAGCAATAAACCCAGCTTTGTCTTATCAACAGGTTGCACTGGCGGTATTTGGGGAGCCATCATTTGACAAGAGTAAGACAAAAATAAAACAACAAAGATATATGTCAGAACTTCATTAGTTCATCAATGATGTGACTTCTTTGCCGAATCAGATCATAGTTTTTAAATACTGAAAGAATGTTTCCTTAATTTTTTGTGTTATTCTCAATGTAATGGCTACAGACATACCACACTTATAAGTTTAATCTGTATTATCTGCCTTTTCTCTGCTACTTTCTCATGTCTAGACAATCAGCAAAACAATAAAATCAGACTTTGATTTGTAGCATTTGCCAATGTCTCTGATATAAATACTCCAACCATGGCCAATTTTAAGCTGCTCATGTGGGGTCACTGAATTCAGATTGAGAAGAGCTGTACATTAGCACGTCATTAGATAGTATTTACACCATATAGATACAATGGACATAAATAATCTCAGGTAGGTGCAGTGACTCATGCCTATAATCTTAACACTTTAGGAGGCTGAGGTGGGAGGATTGCTTGAGGCCAGAAGTTCAAGACCAGTGTGGTCAACACAGCAAGACTCTCATCTCTTACAATAATAATAATAATAATAATAATAATAATATATAAATAAATAATCTCAAGGGCATCTAAACAGTAAAATGTAGCAAAATAATTAGGAGGTGGTAAGTTTATTACCTTTGTTTTATTTATTTATTTTATTTATTGAGACAGGGTCTTACTCTGTCACCCAGGCTGGAGTGCAATGGTGCAATCATGGCTCACTGCAGCCTCAACCTCCCAGGCTCAACTGATCCTCCCACCTCAGCCTCCCAAGTAGCTAAGAGCACAGATGAGTACCACCACGCCTGGCTATCATTTGTATTTTTAGTAGAGATGGTTCTACCATGTTTCCCAGACTGGCCTCGAACTCCTGGGCTCAAGCAATCCGCCCACCTTGGCCTCCCAAAGTGCTGAGATTACATGCATGAGCCACCATGCCTGGCCTTATTACCTTTGTTTTAATAAAATTTTTTGTTAGTTTAAATAATTTTTTTTTTTTGAGACAGAGTCTTGCTCTGTCGCCCAGGCTGGAGTGCAGTGGCGCGATCTTGGCTCACTGCAAGCTCCGCCTCCCAGGTTCATGCCATTCTCCTGCCTCAGCCTCCCGAGTAGCTGGGATTACAGGCGCCCGCCACCACGCCCTGCTCATTTTTTTTTTGTATATTTTTAGTAGAGACGGGGTTTCACCGTGTTAGCCAGGATGGTCTCGATCTCCTGACCTCGTGATCCGCCCGCCTCGGCCTCCCAAAGTGCTGGGATTACAAGTGTGAGCCACCACGCCCAGCCTAGTTTATATAATTTAATGTTTAATGATAACTATGTTTAAGAAAAAGCTTGCAAAATTCCTCAAAACCTAACAACTGGCTCCCATGAACTGATACTAACCAGCTCTAGCACACCACTGGGCTTGACTACCGAGCAGCACTTAGAGATTTTGGGAGTTCTGTATCTTGATTGTGGTGGTAGCTACATGACCGTGTAAATTTGTTAAGGTATGTAGAACTATATGCATAAAAGAAGTAAATTCTACTATGTGTAAATATTACTTCAATTCACCTGAAAAATGGGGCACTAGGTAACTTACGAACTCTCTAGAGGTGCCACAGGATCAGACTTGGAGGCCAGACTAGCACCCAGGGATGCTCTGGAAGAGTGACTTCAGCTGCTGTTGCTGAGCACAGGGATGGCGGTTGAAGCCACTCTAAGTTGTCAGGAATGCCCCTGCCAGGACACCACCACTGCTGCCTCTGAAATCTGGCTGTCCCATTCCTAAGCTCCATCAGCACAGAGCCTGCCCACACCTCTTCCAAATAGAAATCCTGATTGGTGGAGACCAGGTCACATGGGCACACTCTAGCTGCAAGGGAGGCTGGCAAAGTGAATTTCTGACTTCTACCTTGGGGGAGCAGGACTCCTACTGGGACAGATGCCTCCACTCTAAAAAGAGGGTTCACAGGGCGTTGGGTAGCCCATGAGCATGAAAACTGTTCCCTACAATGACCACGAGTTACGGTCACCAGCACATCACCACTGCACCAGCATTGTCATGGTTATTGTCAGGAAGCCTGGCTCTGGCCCTTCTGTGTTCAGGGGCACTGTTAGACACCCACATGGGACAGGTGTGGGGTGGGCCCCTTCCCGGAGGAGCATACTTTCAGGTTGGAAGGCCCAGTCACCCACCCTGCAGGACAGTGTATGCTCAGCTGCTGTCAGGGAAAATGAGACCAAACATGGGAGGGTGAACCCAAGAGAGAGAGTGTGTTCCAGGCATTGGAGAGGAACAGGGAGGCTTTCCAGAGAAGGCAGTATTTCAGCTGAGCTTTAAAAGGTGCCAAAAACTGGCCAGGTGCAGTGGCTCACGCCTGTAATCCCAACAGTTTGGGAGGCTGAGGCGGGTGGATCATTTGAGGCCAAGAGTTCCAGACCAGCCTGGCCAACACGGTAAAACCTCATCTCTACTAAACGCACAAAAATCAGCCAGGCGTGGTGGGGAGCATCTGTAATCCCAGATACTTGGGAGGCTGAGGCAGGAGAATTGCTTGCACCTGGGAGGCGGAGGTTGCAGTGAGCTGAGATGGTGCCACTGCCCTCCAGCCTGGACGACAGAATGAGACTCTGTCTCAAAAAAAAAAAGGGTGGGGCCGGGGCAGGCACGGTGGCTCATACCTGTAATCCTAGCACTTTGGGAGGCCAAGGTGGGTGGATCACCTGAGGTCAGGAATTTGACACCAGCCTGGCCAACATAGTGAAACCCCATCTCTACTAAAAAAAAATACAAAAAATTAGCCGGGCATTGTGGCAGTGCCTGTAATCCCAGCTACTCGGGAGTCTGAGACAGGAGAATCACTTGAACCCGGGAGGTGGAGGTTGCAGTGAGCAGAGATCGTGCCACTGCACTCCAGCCTGGGCAATAAGAGCGAAACTCCGTCTCAAAAAAAAAAAAAAAAAAAAAAGGCCAGGCACGGTGGCTCAGGCCTATAATCCTAGCACTTGAGAGGCCGAGGCAGGAGGATCACAAGGTCAGGAGATCCAGACCATCCCGGCTAACACAGTGAAACCCCATCTCTACTAAAAATACAAAAAATTAGCCGGGTGTGGTGGCGGGCGCCTGTAGTCCCAGCTACTCGGGAGGCTGAGGCAGGAGAATGGTGTGAACCCGGGAGGCGGAGCTTGCACTGAGCTGAGATCGTGCCACTGCACTCCAGCCTGGGTGACAGAGAGAGACTCCGACTTAAAAAAAAAAATAGCCAACAGAAGGTGGCAAAAACCTAAGACAAGGGCGGCAGCAGCAGCAGAAGGGACCTCAAGAGGAAAGCCTGTGTGTCTTGGGGCAGGAATTATGCTTGCCACGCTAGGGCACTTGGCTGGTATGGAAATTCAGGCCGTGTTTCTCAACATTCTTGACCGTGACTTCAGAGTAAGAATATCTTTTGGGCCAGACAGGGTGGCTCATATCTATAATCCCAACACGTTGGGAGACTGAAGCAGGAGGATCCCTTGAGACCAGGAATTTGAGACTAGCCTGGGCAACATAGTAAGACCCTGTTACCACAAAACATTTTTTTTTTTTGAGACGGAGTCTTGCTCTGTTGCCCAGGCTGGAGTGCAGTGGCACAACCGATCTCAGCTCACTGCAACCTCCGCCTCCCGGGTTCAAAAAATTCTCCTGCCTCAGCCTCCTGAGTAGCTGGGACTGCAGGCGCGTGCCACCACGCTCAGCTAATTTTTTGTATTTTTAATAGAGACAGGGTTTCACTGTGTTCGCTAGGATGGTCTCGAAATCCTGATCTTGTGAACCATCCACCTCAGCCTCCCAAAGTGCTGGGATTACAGGCGTGAGCCACCACGCCCGGCCTACAAAACACTTTTAAAAATTAGCTCGACATGGTAGCACATGCCTGTAGTCCCAGCTACTTGGGAGGTTAAGGGCAGGAGGATCGCTTGAGCCCAGAAGTTCGAGACTGCAGTCAGCTGTGATAATGTCACTGCACCTCAGCCTGAGTGACAGAATGAGACTCTTTTCAAAAAAAAATGTTTTAATTAAAATATTTAGAAGGGAATTCTGACATATGCTACAACAGGCATGAACCTTGAAGACATTATGCTATAAGGGAACTAAGTCAAACACAAAAGGCAAAAGAACGTAGGATTCTACCTACATGAGGACCTCAGAGTGGTCAGATTCACAGAGACTGATGTGGTTTGGATGTTTGTCTTCTCCAAATCTCATGTTGAAATATAATCCCCAATGTTGGAGGTAGGGCTGGTGGGAGGTGTTTGGATCATGGTGCGGGATCCCTCACGAATGTCCTGGTGCCATCCTCATGGATTAGTGAGTTCTCCCTCTCAGTTCATGCAAGATCTGGTTGTTTAAAAGAGCATGAGGCCAGGGCCGTTGGCTCACGCCAGTAACCCCAACACTTTGGGAGGCCAAGGCGGGCGGATCACCTGAGGACAGGAGTTTGAGACCAGCTTGCCAACACGGCGAAACCCCATCTCTACTAAAAATACAAAAATTAGCCAGGTGTGGTGGCACATGCTTGTAATCCCAGCTACTCGGGAGGTTGAGGCACGAGAATCACTTGGACCCGGGAGGTAGAGGTTGCAGTGAGTGAGATCGCGCCACTGCACTCCAGCCTGGGAGACAGAGTGAGAATCTGTCTTGACAGCAACAACAAAAAAAGACCATGAGGCTGGGCATGGTGGCTCACATCTGTAATCCCAGGACTTTGGGAGGCCAAGGCGGGTGGATCACTTGAGGCCAGGAGTTTGAGACCAGCCTGGCCAACATGGACAAACCCTGTCTATACTAAAAATACAAAAATTAGCTGGGCGTGGTGGTGCATGCCTGTAATCCCAGCTACTTGGGAGGCAGAGGTGGGAGGAGGGCTTCAACCTGGGAGGTGGAGGTTGCAGTGAGCCAAGATTGCACCACTGCACTCCAGCCTGGGTGACAGATAGAGACTCCATCTCAAAAATAAATAAATAAATAAAAAGAGCATGCTACCTCTCCCCACCTCTTGCTCCTGCTCTCGACAAGTGACACGCCTGCTTCCTTTTCACCTTGCACCATGATTGGAAGTTTCCTCCGGCCTCATCAGGAGCAGAGGCTGGAGCCATGCTTGCACAGCCTGTAGAACTGTGAGCCAATTAAACCTCTTTTCTTTACAACTTACCCAGCCTCAGGTATTTCTTTGTAGCAATACACAAGCAGACTAATACAGAGACAGAAAGTAAGGTGGTGATTACCAGAAGCTGCGGGCAGGGGGGAATAGGAAGTTAGTGTTTAACGGGTGCAGAGTTTCAGTTGGGAGAGATAAAAAAGTTCTAGAAGTGGATGGTGGCAGTGGTTAACTAACCACATGAATGTACTTAGTGCCACTGAACCCGTGCACTCGTACACTAAAAACAGCTAAGATCAGCTGGGTGCAGTGGTTTAGGCCTGTAATCCCAGCACCTGGGGAGGCTGAGACAGGAGGATCGCTTGAGGCCAGAAGTTTGAGACCTGGGCAATCTAGTGAGACCCTGTCTCTACCAAAAAAAAAAAACGGTTAAGATTGTAAATTTTATGTTATGTTAATATTTATAATTATATAAATATTATATAATAGCATATAATATTTATATATATATATATATATTTTTTTTTTTGAGATGGAGGCTCGCTGTGTCGCCCAGGCTGGAGTGCAGTGGCACGATCTCGGCTCACTGCAAGCTCCGCCTCCCGGGTTCAGGCCATTCTCCAGGCTCAGCCTCCGGAGTAGCCGGGACTACAGGCACCTGCAACCACGCCCGGCTAATTTTTTGTATTTTTAGTAGAGACGGGGTTTCACCGTGTTAGCCAGGATGATCTTGATCTCCTGACCTCATGATCCACCCGCCTGGGCCTCCCAAAGTGCTGGGATTACAGGTGTGAGCCACCGCGCCTGGCCTATTTTTTTTTTTTTTTAGATGAAGTCTTGCACTGTCGCCCAGGCTGGAGTGCAGTGGCATGATCTCGGCTCACTGCAACCTCCACCTGTCTCCTGGGTTCAAGCAATTCTCCTGCCTCAGCCTCCCAAGTAGCTGGGACTATAGGTGTGTGCCATCACGCCTGGCTAATTTTTGTATTTTTAGTAGAGACAGGGTTTCACCATGTTGGCCAGGCTGGTCTCAAACTCCTGACCTCAAGTGATCCACCCACCTCGGCCCCCCAAAGTGCTGGGGTTACAGGTGTGAGCCACCACACCCAGCCTATATGTATATTTTTTAACACGCACACACATACACACACATACACACACACACACACACGATTTAGAAAGCTCTATACCAAGCTTATCCAACCTGTGGCATGGGATGGCTTTGAATGCAGCCCAATACAAATTCATAAACTTTCTTAAAACATTATGAGATTTTTTGTGATTTTTTTTTTTTAGCTCATCAGCTATCATTAGTGTTAGTGTATTTTATGTGTGGCCCAAGACAGTTCTTCTTCCACTGTGGCCCAGGGAAGCCAAAAGACTGGATACCTTAGCTTACCAAATCTAGCAGAAGTTGCCATGAGGAAGGGAGTGACTGGGGCCAGTCCAGGCAAAGGGGTCTTTCATGTTTTACTCTCTATGCCTCTGTGGGGTTTGTAATTTTTGCAATGAGTGCTTTTAAGTGACTTACTTGATTTTAAAAAACCCATTTACTGTATGTATGTGTGTGTGTGTGTGTGTGTATATATATGTGTGTGTGTATATATATATGTGTGTGTATGTATATATGTATATATAAAATTCAGAGTGGCCCCAGGAGTAGAGTGTTAGAAGGTGTCCATGAGGGAGGGGTTGGGATCTGGGGAGGCCTGAGGAGGCGGGCGGGTGTGGCCACAGGCAGTACCCTATTAGATCCAGTGCTGAGTGCAGCTGGGGAGGGTGTCTAAGTTGGATAACTGCTCACTGGGAGAGGGAGTTATAATCCACCACATTAAATACTGGGAGCTCTAACCCAGTGTCAGAACCCAGAGAAGGTCGGGCACAGTGGCTCACGCCTGTAATCCCAACACTTTGGGAGGCCAAGGCGGGCAGATCACTTGAGGTTGGGAGTTAGAGATGGGCCTGGCCAACATGGCAAAACCCTGTCTCTACTAAAAATATAAAAATTAGCCAGGCATGGTGGCATGCACCTGTAATCCCAGCTACTTGGAAGGCTGAGGCAGGAGAATGGCTCGAAACCTGGAGGTGGAGGTTGCAGTGAGCTGAAATGGCACCACTGCATTCCAGAGCCCAGAGAAGGTGCCTGATCCAACCTGAGGACCCAGAGGGCTTCCTGGAAGAAGTGGCTGGCGCAGGGGCACTGAGCATGAGTAGTGAGGCTGAGCAGTCACGGGGCCTGCCAGCAGGGGAGACTCCATGAAGCACCCTTTGGAGCCCAGAGCCTCTGGGCTACTGTGAAGCACCCTCTGGACCCCAAGCATCCCCAGGCCTGCAAGCTGAGCGAGGGAGGGTTGGACTGGGCTGGGGGCTGTTGTCCCCTGACCCCCACATCCACATCCACATAGGTCCTGCACAGCCCTCTCCCCAGAAACTGGCCTAGGGCACCACAGGAGCAGTTATGCAAATCGCCTCCAGGTGTGGCTCTCATTACCTTTTGGCGGCTGGGGCTGCAGAACGCCCTGATGCCACACTGGGCCGGATTTTGGAGGAGCGGGGAGGAACAAACAGCCTGCGCCCTTCTCTTCCCCCAACTACAGCTTCAGTGGAAAAGAAAAACATCTCTCTGGAAGAGCCCCCAAAACCTCATCACATCTGGTTCCCATCGGCCCCGTTTGGTTCTAATCATCCTGCTTCCTGCTACCGTCTCTGGGTGCCCCCAACCCCTGCCAAGTTGTGGGAACAGCCCCCACCCCTTCCCTCAGCCTTCAGCAAATCCTGCTCAGTGGGGTCCCTGACAGCTTCATTCAGACATGGAAGACTGGTGCTCAGGAGCCCGCGGGTGGCTGTGGTCCTGGACAGCGCAGCTCTAGATTGAAAGGCTGTGTCAGGGGTGGGTTCCAAGTGTCCCCCTGCAGTCCTGGGGATGCTTGGGGTCTATCCAGGCTCCAGAGGGTCCTGGGCTCACCATGAATGTGATGGATCATCTCGCTGCCCCCGGATGTTTCCCCAGACCTTTCCTCTGGCTGTTCCCGCAGCTTGGGGGCCTGTGCTTTCATAGTGCCCACACACAGCCTGCCAGGTCCCACCCAGACCTCCAGGAACCCTGCTGTCCCCTAGGCCTGGTTCCCCTCACCTCTTGGAGTGGGCCTTCCCGTGCATCAGGCACTGTGTTGGGCTACCTGCTCCCCACCTCCACCTCCCACCAACCCTCCCTGGGAGGTCCTTGGTAACCAGGAGTAAACCAGAGGCTCTGTCTGTCCTGAGAGCACAGAAGCAAGACAAAGTAGTATTTACCTGGAAGGCGTTTCTCTTCAAAGCCACTTCCAGAGGCCCCAGGGCCTCAGGGACAGAGCTGGGATAGGGTAGGGTAAGGGTGGGTGTGTCATGGAGCAAACAGATGATGGGTGGCAGGCGAGGCCAGGAGACGAAGCCCAGAAAGCAGGGACTCCAGGCGCTGCCCAAGCGGACCCAGAGAAACGATTTGGAGGGAAAGTCACAGAATCCCTCCGCTCTCCCCTCCAGGTGGTGGCAGCTTGGGACCGGCTGGGAGTGCATCTCTCTCTCCAGGGCAGGACACTGCCTTCAGCCCTCGCAGGTGCTGCTGTCAGGACCAGGTGACACGTGATGGACAGCATTTGTCCCGAATTATAACTAATCATTACCAGGTTGCACGCACTATGCGCAAAGCTCTGCCCCACCTGAGTCGGGTGTGTTAACTCCCTTCATCCTCACAGAAACCCAAGAGGGAGCTGCTTCCATGGTAATGATAATTATTATCATCCCCATTTCACAGATGAGAAAACTGAGGCATAAATAGGTTAAGTAACTCTCCCAAGGTCATACAACCAGGAAGCAGCGAAGCCAGGATGTGGACCCAGGAGCCACTTACCACTCCCCGCTCTACTGTGCAGAGGCCTTGGGGTCCCCCAGAATGCAGGGGTCTCTGATTCCACTACTACCTCTCCTTCCTAGACTGGACTAGACTCTGGACTGGGAGCTCCTTGAGGGCAGCAACAGGGACAGGTTTCACCTGTGTCTCCCCAGCAGCCAGGACTAGGTTTTCATTCATTCATGCATGCATTCATTCATTTATGCATTAATTCATTCATTCATGATTTTTACGAGCAGCACCTGGGAGCCATGTGCCACAATCCCTCTGAGCCTCAAGGACCCTCATCTGCAAAATGGGAATATTGCTAGGCGCGGTAGCTTACGCCTGTAATCCCAGCACTTTGGGAGGCTAAGGTGGGTGGATCACCTGAGGTCAGGAGTTCGAGACCAGCCTGGCCAACATGGTGAAACCCCATCTCTACTAAACATACAAATATTAGCTGGGCGTGGGATGCGCGCCTGCAATCTCAGCTTCCAGGGAGGCTGGAGCAGGAGAATTGTTTGAACCCGGGAGGCAGAGACTGCAGTGAGCCGAGATCACGCCACTGCACTCCAGCCTGGGCGACAGAGCGAGACTCCGTCTTGAAAAAATCAAAAAGAACAACATGGGAATATTGTCTAGAACAAAGCAATCCAACAGAAATAAAACCAGCAGGCATGGTGGCTCACGCCTGTAATCCCAGCACTTTGGGAGGCTGAGGCGGGCGGGTCATCTGAGGTCAGGAGTTCGAGACCAGCCTGACCAACATGGAGAAACCCCATCTCTACTAAAAAATATAAAATTAGCTGGTTGTGGTGGCGCATGCCTATAATCCCAGCTACTCAGGAGGCTGAGGCAGGAGAATCGCTTGAACCGGGAGGCAGAGGTTGCAGTGAGCCAAGACCGCGCCATTGCACTCCAGCCTGGGAGACAGAGCAAAACTCCGTCTCAAAAAAAAAAAAAAAAAAAAAAAAAAAGAGTAAGAAGTACCAAGTGAAATTAATTTTAACAACATGTTTTTTTAAAGCCATGTTTAATAGCTTTAAAATATTATAGCTATTATATTAATAGCTCCAAAATATTATCCTGTCAGCCCATAGTCAGAGGTAAAATGATGCATGAGATATTTCACATTCCTTTGATTGCACCAAAGCTGAGCAGTCCTGTGCACCTTTTACCTGTAGGGCATTCAGACATGGGAGACCGGTGTCAGGAGCCACAGGTGGCCATAGTCCTGGACAGTACAGTTCTAGATTGGCAGGTTATGTCTGGGTTGGATAAACCCCCAGCTTCCAGAGCGTGCGCAGGTGAGAGGGTCCCAGCCCCCTTTCTCTCGGCCTAGCAGAGCCTCCCCTTTCCTTCCTTGCCAGCCTTGCCCAGCCTCTCGCACACAGCCAGGAGTCGGGCCCCTCTGGGGTGCTCCTGGAACCAGGACTGAGGCCTGCTGGTTTCCGGGGAAGGAGGAGAAGAGAAAGAGCAGGCTGGGCGGTGAGGAGGGAGCTGCTGCCTGGCACGGGGACAGGGTTTGTTTGCACCTCTTTGAAGCCAGGAGATGAAAGCAGGACCCACATGGGCTGCCTTTGATTTTCTCCTCCCTGGGCCCCACGCAGCTGCAGCCGGGCCGGGCCCAGCCCTACACTGCCCCAGGGGGAGCAGAAGAGGCCCTAGGCTGAGGGTGTTGCTCCCCTGGGTGGCTTGGGGTAAGTGGACAAGGCATCCTCAGCCCTGGGGGATGGCCCTCCCACAGACCCACCCGAAAGAGACAGCCACAGCCTCCCTCAGGAAGAGCCAGCAGGTGCGCTGTGCAGAACCTGCGGCCCCAAACCTCTCCTCCGCCAACACCCGGATGCCCACCCTAGCGGCCAGCCCTGAAGGACAAACACAGTAAGAGCACGGAGGCTGAGAATCGGGTGGATCTCTCACCCTCTCCAAGCCTCTTTCTTAAGTATTCGTTGAGGGCCTACTGTGAGCCGGCACTATTCTAGATGCCTCCCACTGTGTGTCACAGAGCAGATGGAATGAAATGACTGTTTAAAATGCTCAGCACTGCAGCCAGGCGTGGTGGCTCACGCCTGTAATCTCAACACTTTGAGAGGCCGAGGTGGATGGATCACTTGAGGCCAGGAGTTCAAGATCAGCCTGGCCAGCATGGCGAAACCCCGTCTCTATTAAAGATACAAAAATTAGCCGGGCGTGGTAGTGCACGCCTGTAGTCCCAGCTACTCGGGAGGCTGAGCAAGAGAATCGCTTGAACCAGGGAGGTGGAGGTTGCAGTGAGCCGAGATCGCACCACTGCACTCCAGCCTGGGTGACAGAGTGAGACCCTGCCTCAAAAAAATAAAATAAAAATAAAATACTTAGCACCGGGTCCGGCACATGGCAAGCGCCCAGTGCATTTAACCAGCCTCCCCATCATCATCGTCATCACTACTGCATTCTTCAAGGTCTCTTAACTGCCGCCAGGCTCTGAAGGGAGAGAATCAGCGGCTAGAACAGTGCCCACCCCTAGGTCCTGTCCCTCTATGTTCTGGCCTGACATCAGCCTCCTCCACTCTCCCAGATCCTTTGGGGGCAGCCCTTGGCATGGGGGAAGCCAGACCACTTCACTCTGTGGCCAGAGAATGGCAGCTCAGATCCGAGGCGTCATGCTCCAGAGACCCCCTGGCCATTATGGAGGCAAAGACCCTCAAGCAGCTGGGGGCTCCGGGTAGCAGCAAAGCTCTGGGGCCAGCAGGGGTCAGGGCCTCTGCTTTACCAGGGGGGGTGGCCTCTGCAATACTGGACCCCCCATCATTTCAGGCAGCATGGATCAGGTGTCCTAGGCCCTCCCCCCTATCCAAACAGCCTCTGGAGCCCCCGAGTCACCCCACCTCTGTGGGCAGGGAGAGCCACCTTTGTCTTCCTTCTTCTCCCGGCAGGGCGCGGACTGCACTGCTGGTTACAGCATCCTCCCACGCAGGACTTGCTCTGCTCCCAGGCAGCGCAGGGACAGAGGGTGGGAGGGCCCGTGAGCCCCTCTGGGCATGCACCTTTACTCCTGATCCTCCCTCCCTGGACCTCCTGCTGCCTCCTGTGGGTAGGGGAGGAGAGATGGTGAAACCAGGCTGGCGACAAGGAGCACAGTGGATAAGAACCAAGCACCGAGGGCTTGCGAATGACCGCTGGGTTTGTAGGCCTGGCCAATGCGGGCTCTTTCCAGGTGTGTCTCTGACCCTGGCATTGCTGTTTCCAGGCCGGCGTGGTCATCCCCATTTCACAGATGAGGAGACCAAGGCTCAAAGCCGTGGAGATGCTTGCCCACGATCACACTCTTAGTTAGTGCAGCCAGGATCTGATCTCAGGTCTGACTGATTCCAAGTCTGTGTTCTTTCCACCCACCCGCACTGCCAGGGAATTCAGCCCCTCTCCTTGGTGTGCTCACAGAGCCCCAGGCGGCTCCTCTAAAGCCTGAAACTGCGCAGCCAAGAAGCCAGCCCTGGAAATGACTCGTGGCAGATCCAATGCTGGCCTCGGAGGCAGACCAGTCAGGTAGGACTCTCACCAACCCCATGGCCTCGGACAGGCCACCTTACCTCCTGACCTTCATCTTCTCTGCCAGGGAAGGGGGATGGAGGCAGGATTTCCAGAAGCATGCGAGGCTGGC
This sequence comes from Homo sapiens, assembly GCF_000001405.40. Taxonomy (NCBI): domain Eukaryota; kingdom Metazoa; phylum Chordata; class Mammalia; order Primates; family Hominidae; genus Homo; species Homo sapiens. The sequence goes on from NC_000001.11 coordinate 10,939,637, forward strand.
GTGATGATCTTCACCTTTTTAAATGCCTTAATAGTTTTAGATTTGTTTTATTGTGTATTAGAGCAGATAGATGTAACTAGCACATCAAATTCACAATTTCAGGGACATTTTTGCTTAGGTACTATCTACGTAAGTGAAAGAAGGGCAGCGATTTAAGGGAAAATACTAAGTAAATGAAAGCCCAGGTGGTTGGAGGATACGGCTCAGGGTGTGGAGGAAGATCAGCACGCTGGTGTCTCGGCAGCAGAAACCAGCAAGAAGACCTGCATTGACCAGATCAGAGCTCAGGTGGGAAGGGGCTGGAAAGGAGTGCCCTGGCCCCCCTGGCCACATGGACAGGAGAGAGGGACTCAGGGAGGCAGGAAGGCAGAGCCCAGGAGAGGAAAGGGAGAAAGCCGAGTAGATGCATCTACCCAAGGACCCCGCGTGGAGCCTGGAAGCCACATTGCTGCCTCCCGCCCTGGGCCACCCTGTCCGCAGCTGGCTGATGTAAAACACACATGTTTTGACTGAAGCCGCTCTCCCCCCACCTCCTGAAAAACGCCAACATTAAAGGGAGCGTAGCTTTGTAAAACTGAAACTGTAAAATGCTTCTGAAACCCAGCCTGGGGGATTAAAGAAACCACATGAAAAGGGACTCGGGACGACCTGGATGCTGACTTCCTGTTCAGAAGTTCGTTCAACATGTGCCTCCCACCCGGGCCCGTAGCGTGTATGGAGGAGTGGGAGGGAGGAGGAGGGAGGAGGAAGGCCAGGGCCAGTGGAGGCTGGCGGGTGCCTCAGGGGCCTCCAGAAACCCAGAGCATGGCTAAGTCTGAGGCCTGCAACCCTAGGCCACCGCCTTCCCAGGCCTCTGACCTCCAGGGGCTCTGGGGAAAAGGGTTGATGTTGATCTTGGCCTTGGGACCCTGCCCTGTAGTAACAGAGGGGTCAGGAGAAAAAGACCGTAGGCACCCGATGCCCTACCTCCCTGCCTCTGCCAGTCTCCCCTGCTGTTCCCAGCATGGTCCTCCCTGGCCCTGGGCATTCGGAGATGTAGAATGTGCTTGGATCCCAGCTCAGCCTCCCATCCAATGGTAGTTAAGAACCTTCCCCAGCCAGGCACAGGAGCGACTGTGGGTTCAAATCCCAGCTCTGCCATTTCTTAGCTGTGGGTCCACCCAGGAATCCTAAAATACTCAACCCATATGGCTGTTCAGGGGAATGTGCTCAGCAGGGTGCCTGGCATGTAGTAAGGGCTCCAGGAATGGCAGCCACCACCAGCAACCACCCACCTTCTCCCCACGGGGAGGTCAGAGCATGCAGTGTGTGTGCAAGGATGCTAGGGCCGGATGGTGCAGCCAGCGCCCTGTGCTGCGACTAGAGGGACGAGGCAGTTCCTCCTCTGCCCCTCTCAAGACTGGGTCCAACTTTCCCCCCGGTCCCCTTCTTACTACGTGGCCTTGGCCAAGTCACCTGCCCTCTCTGGGCTCAGGGCCTGCATCCTGGGGAAAAGAGGAGAAGAGGAACTGGGTCAAAGGTCCCCTCCAGTTCAGATGTTCTAGTTTGGGGCCAGAGGATGAAAAGGAAGGAGGAAGCCTGTCTGTCCCCTATGGCTGAGGGACCCCAGCAGGTGTAATAAGTGATTTCTGGCACTACGGCTGAAGACGGGGCCCACTGTCCAGGGCTGTGTCTGGGAGAAGCCCTCTCTATGGACACTCACACCCCCCGGATCTTGCACAGGTCACACAGACACAGACAGCCATCCATCACCCACACACACCACAGGCCACTGGGTGGCCACCACCCCCCGGCTTCATCACAGCCCTCCCTCTGCTACATAAACTCCCCATGCCCTCCAGTGTCCCCCGCAATCACTTACCTAATATTAGGATATTAAAAAATATGGCAAGATTTTAAGAGACTTATTAAAATGCAATTAGCAGCGTGTACGACTTAAGCAGAGAGATTATTTTTAAAAATGACTTGATTGTGCGGAATACCACGCACCTTCCCGAGGCCGTAAACCTGCCAATCACACACGTTCTCAAACGAGGAGGTTTCCTTGCTTTCTCTTTGTCCTTCAGGCTTTTATCCTGTCCCCCTTCCCCCAGTGACCACTAAGGCTATCGTCCCCAGCCCACAAAAGCCACCCACCCACGAACACAGAGACCCCTCCAGAGGCCCCTCAGAAGGAAGCCAAGGGTTAATGAAATCCAAAGCAAACCCTGGAGAAGCTTTGAGAAAGCAGCCACGGGGTGGGCAAGGGGATGAAGAAGCCCCCTCCCACTTACTCCCACCCCCATGGTCATCTGGATCCGGGCAGAGGCTGCCACCAGGGTAAGGTTGACAAACTCTCCTTGCCATGAAGGGACAAGGGGTTGGAAGGGCTGAAGGGAGGAGGAAGAGGTCCCAGGGAGGGGGCTACTGCTGACCTTCTCCGAAGGCTGAGCCTCAGGGACCCGGGCGTCGCAGCCCCCGGCAGCGCCCACCGGACGGGCTGGAACGGTGGGTTACGCTGCCCCCTGCTGCTCGCTCTCTGAACTGCAGCTCTGCTCCCGGGACCTAGTATCGGAGCGAAGGCATTGGCATGGTCCCAGGGCCAGCCCTTCTCCAGCTGGGTGGCCCACGAGGCCCCCCGGGGTCTTCCACAGGGTTAACCTGAAGAGAAACATGCATCTGGAAATGGGGGGATCTTCTCTCTGGCCGCCACCTCCCACGCAGCCCCACCCCTGGCTGGAGGAGTTTATCAAATAATTTGCTACTGCCTGGCATGACGCTCCCCCTGGCACTTTTATTCCAACCATAAAAAGGCCATTTCATTGAGAAATAAAGCCCCATCCCCCTGACGTGTAACTCCTTTCAGAGCTCTTACTCAACTGCCAGGCAAAATTTATGTTTCCTGGATGTTAGTGCCTAAGATTGCAACTGGGAAGTGGGGAGAGGGCTGGAAGGGGGAATGCCTCTCTGGCGGGGGAACATGCATTTGCTCTCTTGGTCTAAGAAGCCCCGGAAACCCAAAGTGTCCAAGAGAGAGCCCTCCCCTTGGAATGAGGAGGCCGGGGTTTGGGCCCTCGTGCCACCATCTGCTGGTTGTGACTTTGGGCGGGCCCTGAGCCTCAGTTTCTTGCTCTGTAAAATGGGAAGAACAATTCTTTTCTCCCTGGAAGGGATGGTGCTGGGCGCAATGAACAGATGGAGGTGGCAAGTACTTGGAGGTGTATGAGAGTCAAGTGTTGTATTGTTATGGAGGCTGTGACATTCTCTGATTTAGGGGGTATCCCTCACAGATTCTCTCATGCAGCACTTCTCAACTTACACAGTGGGGCGTCAGAACCCCCTGGATGGCTTCAGTCCTGCAGCCTGCCCAGCCCCACCCCCTGAATTTCCGGATCTGTAGGTCTGGAGTGGGGCCCGATAATTTGCATTTCTCTAACAAGCACGAGGTGGGGGTGGGGGGGTGGGAAGGGCTGCTGTTCCGGGACGCTACTTTGAGAACCACTGTTCTGAGGGCTTTTCCATCTGGGATCTGGAACGGCTCAGCCTGGTTGTTGGGAAAGGAACCAGGAACAGGTGGGAGGTCATCTGTGGAGCAGGTTACAGGTGGGCTCTGGCTGCCTGCATGGGAATGAACTTCTGTCCATATCGTCCCATCTTGTCCTCCCACCTGGCTTGGCTTAATGTCTCTGGCAGCCCCCAGCCCCAGACACCAGACCTGTGAGCAGCAGAGGTGTTGGGCGGTGGGCCGGGGCTGGGCTGGGCTAGTGATAATGGACCCTCAGAAGAGAGAGGTTCTCCCCTGGCTGCATGAGAGATTCTGAACATCCCATCTGCATGGGATGGCCCAGGTGTCCTCCTGGATCAGAGGTTGCTGGGCCATTCACTCCGGTTTCCAAACAGCAAAACTGAGGCTCAGAAAGTGAACTGACTAGCTCAAGGCCACATGGCTTGTGGGGACAGATCTGGTCTCCAGACCTCCAGAAGAAAGCACTTCCCAACCACACTGCTTCTCTGGTTACATAGTAATTGGGAGGATTACAACTAAGAAACTGAATAAAAGGTATCTGGGAGGCTGGGCGTGGTGGCTCATGTCTGTAATCCCAACACTTTGGGAGGCTGAGGTGGGCAGATCACCTGAGGTCAGGAGTTCAAGACCAGCCTGGCCAACATGGCGAAAACCCATCTCTACTAAAAATACAAAAATTAGCCAGGTGTGGTGACGTGCTACTCAGGAGGCTGAGGCAGGAGAATTGCTTGAACCCAGGAGGTAGAGGTTGCAGTGAGCCAAGATTGTGCCATGGCACTCCAGCCTGGACTGCAGAGTGAGACGCCTTCTAAACAAAACAAAACAAACAAAAAAAAAACACTAGTAAGTCAGGACCTTCAACCAGGGACAAACAATGAGCCTGGATGCTGAAGGGCGTGAAAGGCTTTGTGCTCAAGAAGGAAAGCCCAAAAGAGAAACTGGACCAGCTCCAGCTGCTCTGTGTAGCAGGAGAAAAGTACAATAAATGCAACACAGCCTTTGGACTTCATGCGGAGTCGTGGGGGCATAAAAGATAAGAATCCAAGCCGCTGAGGGCGGGGAACCACTGAGTGATACCTAAGCTGTCCAAGATCTCCCGGCAGCTGCTGACCCCGAGGGAAAGAGCTGCTCCCTGCCAGACTTTCACTGATCACAGACGTGTCAGCCATAAACAACTGACTGCAAGACCTGGGAGGTCTCAGCAGGAAAACCAGCAGAGGCAACACCCGTGCGTGTCCCGGGAGCAGGCATGGGTGCCAGCCAGGTCTGCCCTGGTCACAGAAATGGGGTTGTCCCATCTGGAGGGAGAATGGGAGCCTTCCCGAGAACCCTGAGCACTTTCTAATTAAGCACGACTGCCCCGCTTTTGAGCGGGTGCAGATCGAAGCTGGGGGAAGGAAGAGAAGTAAAGTGGTTTGTTCCAGCTGCACGGAGCGCTGAGCTGGGAAGAGTGCCCAGAACAGTTAATGCCCAGACCCTCTCAGCCTTGCAAATCGCCGCCCGCCTGGGGGGTGAAGAGCCATTTATGCCAGGTAAAGGCTGGTGATTTCATTAACTCCCTTCCCTCTGTCTCGTCTCCAAGGGCGCAGGGTGGTTGTTAAACACGGGAGGACTTGGTAAAGGGTCAGCCCTTGTTTACAGGACTTTCTTGTGCATGTGTGCCCCTGGTCTACCCTGTCCCAAAGCTGGGGGGCTCTACAGGGATGGAGAAAGGGCAGGGGTGGATGGAAGTGGATGGAGGTGGAGGGGAGGAGGCAAAGAGAGACAGAGACTGATTCCTGGGAGAAACACCACGGCCAGTGTTGAGATAAAAGATGCGAGATGGGCGGATCACACGGTCAGGAGTTTGAGACCAGCCTGGCCAACATAGTGAAACCCCATCTCTACTAAAAATACAAAAATTAGCCGGGCGTGGTGGTGCACACCTGTAATCCCAGCTACCCAGGAGGCTGAGGCAGGAGAATCGATTGAACCTGGGAGGCGGAGGTTGCGGTGAGCTAAGATCAAGCTACTGCACTCCAGCCTGGGCGGCAGAGCGAGGTTCTGTCTCAAAAATAAATAAATAAATAAATAATCATAAAAAGACGTGTCACGTCTCCAACGTCACCAGGCAGCCACCTTCCCTGCGTCATCTGGACGCAGGTGTGGGAGGGGCACAAGCCCTCAAAGAGGAGACCCTTTGAGTCACCTTTCCTTTCAGTGGGGCTGCTGCTCTGTCCCTCTGACATCCACTCTCCAGCCAGCCTTTTCGAGCATCTACTCAAGGCTACTGCTTTGCTCAAAGGCCCCTGTTGGACGGCCCATCAAGGCCAAAATAAAATCTGGGCTCCTGACGGGGCCCACAAGCCCTGGAGGCCCATCCCCGCTGCACTCTCCCGCTCACACCACCAGCTTCCATGGCCTTCTCTCCATCCTTCCAGCCCTCCTCAGGGCCCTTGCTCTTCTGTCCCTCTGCCTGGATGCCACCCCCAGCTCTTTCTGCGGTTGCCTCCTTACTTCCTCAGAGGGGTCGCCCGACCTTCCCACCCAAAGCAGCTCGCAACCGGAGTTGCCTGTTTGCTCCTCTTGAGAGCAGGAAGCATTGTCTGAAATTGTCTCATGTGTTCATTGTCGGTGTCCAATCCCCCTCTCACGTACACTCTAGAACTTTCCCTCCCACACCAGGGATTTCATTCGATTCACTGAAGCCTCCCCGGGGCTGGAACAGTGCCTGGCACCACCGATGAGGCACTCCATAAACCTTTGTTGAGTGGTAGAGTCCCAGACACACACTGTGGGAAGGCAACTGGGAGGCTAGGGACCCTCCCGTATGAGCCTACGGCATCAGTGCTGGGCTCTAACCACTGACCCCACCAGCCTTTGAAGATCATCCGGCCTCTAGCCATGGGCTCCTGTGGGCCTCCTCCAGCTCAGGCCACCCAGCCCAGTGTCCAGGGTGGCAGCCAGAGACTCAGGCCTCCTCCTGCTGGCTTTCCCTCTAGGTGTCAGGCTTCCCCAGGCGTGGGGGCCGCCGTCCCAGGGCAGCGGCTGCCCGCAGGGGAACCGCCTGGTAGGGCTGGTGGGGGCTGGTCTTGGAGTCATGGCTCGGATTCGAGAAGGGAAATCATCTGAGCTTTTAAAAAATTAAATGGAGTCAGTAATTTGATTTCAGAGAGAAGCTGAAAACCTCGTAATGGCAGGAGCAGCTCAGTCTCGTGGTGAAAAGGAAAAGCCTTAAATGGGGCTATTAAGCTTTTGCCCGGGACGGATCTGCCCGGAGAGGGAGGAGGAGGGAGCGCAGAGGGGGGAGAAGTCTTCTTCGAGGTGGGGACCGTTTATCAGCCAAGACAACCCTGATTATTTATTTATTTATTTCTTGTTCCGGGCGGGCGTTGCCGACGGTCTCCTCTTCTTGGCTGCATTTCAAATCCCACTTCCAGTGATGGGTCTGCCTGGAGGTGGGCGTCTGGGGGTCCACCTTTCCAGGGAAGCACTGAGTGAGTGCTCTTCCGGCCCAGAACACTGTACCCAGCCACAGCTGGGCATCTAAGCCAGGGAGCCTGGGGACAGCTGGGTCACTGAGGGTCACTGGGGCTGTCCAAGCCAGCGGGGTACCGGCTGCTGCCATGGAACCCAGAGGAAGGGAGTTATGAGTAATGAAAACGAAGCAGTGGCATCCCATTCTCCTCCCCTGGAGTCCTTTAGAGACCTGAGGTCATGGCACCCCAAGGCCTGGGGAGGGGGTAAACACCAAGGGTTCATATCACCATCACCAACAACCCCCAGAGATGTCTGAACCATGGCTCAGGCCCTCCATGCTTTCCTAGGCCTGCAAGCATCCCCTCTGCCTGGGCCGGGAGGTGGATGGTGGAATGATCGCCGTAAGAATGGCTCTCGAGTTCTGAGTGCACTGGATGTAGTCCGGCTCCACGCCAAATGCTCTACGTTCCTTTCCCACCCAACTCTCAACAGCCCCATCGGGAGGAATGATTACCATCCCCATTTGACCCATCAGGAAACTGAGGCTCAGAGAGGTGAGTGCCTTGCCAAGGTCACACAGCCAAAGAGCAGAGGAACTGGGACTTGAACCTAGCTCCTGGCAGGCCTGGCTGCAAAGCCTGCACCTCACCCTGATGCTTCACCACCTCCGACAGCAGACCAAGCCCAGAAACACAGCTGGCAGGGCCAGGGAGAGACCAGGAGACACTGCCCTGCACTCAGCGCCTCTTCCCTCGGGGAGGTCCATGCAGGCAGACGGCCTGCCGCTTCACCCCTCCCTCTGGGTTCCATGGCAGCAGCTGGTACCCTGCTGGCTTGGATGGCCCCAGTGACTCTCAGTGACCCAGTGCCCCTGGACTCCCTGGCCTAGATGCCTAGCTGTGGCTGAGCACAGTGATCATCTGGGCCAGAAGAGCACCGGGGCTTCCCTGGAAAGACGGCCCCCAGCCCCCACCTCCAGGCCGACCCATCACTGCCTCCCACCCTTTGCACTCTACCTCCCCAGGGTGCACCCAGGACTCACCCTGGAGTCTCCATGGAGGCTCAGCGTGAGGGCCTCTCAGAAAGCCCCTCCACACTGTCTTGAAGCTCAGGAGGCCTGTGGCTTTCAGCACTGAGGGCCAAGGTGGGCTCTGTCAGCTCCTGCTGGAGTGAGGCCCCCCGGCCAGCCTGGAAGGGGTATTCAAGCTCCACCAGGCTGGGTAGCAACACTCCTGTGGGAGCCCACAGGCTCAGGGTTTGCGTGGATGGAGGGCTGGACGTGTGTGCAACCCCCCACTCCTCCTGGCCCACAGGCCAGCCAGGGGCTGACTCCAGGTATCGGGCCTGGTCTGGCCCTCCCACAGATGAGGCTTCGGGTGTCAGAAGAGCTGCTGGGCGAACAGGTTCTGGTGGCAGAGGTTCCATAGGAAGAACTGCCAGGGGCGCTGCCAGCCTCACCCTGGGCATCCCGGTGAGTTCAGGTCCTGAACTCAGCCAGGCACTGGGGTCTGGCTGCCTCACACTTGGGGTGGAGAATGTGGCATCCCTCGCTGGCAGGATGGAGAGTCCCGGCCCCTCTATGTCCTGGCTTGGTTCTGAGGATGAAAGGTCCATGTGCCCCCTGGCCCCCTCCCTGGGGAGACCAGGCCCTGTCTGGCGTGGCCTCTCCACCTCCGTTCCAGAGCACGTTTCCTGGGGCTCTCCGGGAGAACGGTGAGAAACCAGCTCCTCTGCAGCCAGTGTGGCCCGCCAGGGCCTCGCCAATGGCTGGAACTCCTCACTGGCTTGGCCGGGCTCCCCCATGATGGGCTCAGGTGCAGCCACATCCCCGCTTGACAAGCCTCTCAGCAGGAGGGGACTTCCTGGAGACTTGGCGGGGTCCTGTTCAGGCCTCACAGTTCCTAGACCTTCAGTCAGGGTGACAGATGGTCCTGAGACCAGAAGTGATTCAGGTCGTTCAGGCCTCGGGGCTGGCGGTGAAGGAGAGGAGGCATCTGAGGACACGGGCAGGGTCAGAGCCGGGTGCGTTGGCAAGACTGGACGTGGCCGCCAGGGACTAGCCTGGACACCCTCTACAGGCTCCGAGGGGAGCGTGGCTGGAGGTGTGGGGTGTCCAGGGATCCCTGCTTCCCCTGGGGGAGGCTGGGGACCTCGCTGAGCTTGCACCACTCTGGGGAGAATGGAGGCAGATGTCTGGCCTCTTCTCGCCGGTTTGGCTGTTTGCAGGAATGGTCCAAGCCCCTTCTTCACCAAGAGAGAAGTGGAGAGAGAAAAAGCATTAGAAACAAGAACACATGGGCTCCGGCTGCCCTGAGAATCTCAACCCAAAGATGGGTTCGAGGGACCGGGTGCGGTGGCTCACGACTGTAATCCCAACACAATAGGAGGCCAAGGCGGGTGGATCACTTGAGGCCAGGAGTTCCAGACTGGCCTGGCCAACATGGTGAAACCCCATCTCTACTAAAAATACAAAATTAGCCAGGTGTGGTGGCGTGGGCCTGTAATCCCAGCTACTCGGGAAGCTGAGGCAGAAGGATCGCCTGAATCTGGGAGGTGGAGGCTGCAGTAAGCCAAGATCGTGCCACTGGACTCCAGCCTGGATGACAAAGCAAGACCCCATCTCAAAAAAAAAAAAAAAAGAAGAGCTGGAGGAAACTGTGACCTCTGGGTCTCCAGTCCTCTGGTGTGCCTCAGTTTCCCTCCCTCCATTTGTGTGCATAGCTGCTGACCCCCCACCCTCTGCTGCCTCCTTTGGCTGTGTCTCAAGGCCCTGGGAGGCTGCCGTGATCCAGGCCGACAGATGAGGGGGGCTGCCCTCAGGTGGGAGCTCTTGGGGGCCCAGCTTTCTATGGGAAATATTCTGAATTTGAGGAGGTAACATGGTTGGGGATCAGAGTGGGGCTCTCTTTGGAAGAATGGTGGTGAAAGAGAAGGGCCTCAGGCCCAGCTGGGTCTACCGATACTTCTTGGGGACCAGACTCTTTGGAGGAAACCATGGGCAGAGGATGCAGCCATAGACGTGCTTTGGCCAGTGCGTCGGAAGGCCGGTGCAGGAGGTCCCGAGAAAGCCATTCCTGGGCAGCTGGTCCTGCAGCCCACACCTGGGAGGAAGCAGCAGGTGGCACTCCCGCTGGAGGGGTCTCTGGTCCTGGGGATGGTGGGGAGGGAGTGGTCCTCAGTGCAGCAGTTGAGGCAGGCGACTCTGTTCCTGAACCTTCCAGAGAGAAGACAGAGGTCAGCCTTCCTCCTAAGGAAGCAAAATCCTCCCAACACCCTGCTGAAGGGACCATGAGTGACCCCTTTTCCACAGGTGGGGAACGGAAGCTTGGGGAGGTCAGATGCAAGTCCTGGGTTGGGAAATGTCCATTGGCTGAATTTCACAGTCCTCCCACTTGGAGTCCTTTTTGAGACTATGTGGACATCAAGATTCTTTTTTTTTTTTTTTTTTTTTTGAGATGGAGTCTCACTCTGTGGCCAGGCTGGAGTGTAGTGGTACAGTCTCAGCTCACTGCAACCTCCGCCTCCTGGGTTCAAGTGATCTTCTTGCCTCAGCCTCCCAAGTAGCTGGGATTACAGGTGTGCACCACCATGCCCAACTAATTTTTTTGTATTTTTAGTAGAGATGGGTTTCACCATGTTAGCCAGGCTGGTCTCGAACTCCCGACCTCAAATGATCTGCCCGCCTTGGCCTGTTAAAGTGCTGGGATTACAGGAGTGAGCCACCACGACTGGCCCATTTTTTAAAATTAAGTCACAGAAATTCAGATTTCTGCAAGGGGCACCTGGCCCTGACTCCCTGTCCCAGCTTCAATGCCACCAGATGGTTTCGTCTTTTGAGCCATTTCCTATTTTGAGGTCAAATACCTTGGCTCAGCCTCAGGAACCACAGAGAACCGGAGAGTGCTCCCTGCCTGACCACCTTTCAGGTCAGACTCAGCCCAGGCAGCGTAGGCATTCCAGGCCGATCATGCTTTGCCAAGTGCAGGAGAGGAGGTACGGTGCAGGGTGTTCAGCAGGCCCCCTGGCCTCCGCCCACCAGATGCTGGTAGGATCCCCTGAGTCATGACAACCAAAAAGGTCTCCAGATGTTGCTAAGTGTCTCCTGAGAGGCAAAAATCCCAGTTGAGAACTGCTGGGTTCCAGCTTGCAAATTCTGGCCCAAGGGTCAAATACAGCCCTTGGACATGTTTGACTCGGCCTGCAGGGTGTTTGAACTATTTTTTAAATTAACCAACAACATTTTAAAAGCAGGAGTTCTTATATAACCAGGTTCTCGTGGAAAACCAGATTTGGCTACACAGGCCTGCCTCCCTGCAAGATAGGATCAGCTCCAGCTAAGCGAGGCTGCTCCACTTAGAGGGACCTGGTGGCTGCGGGTTCCCAGGATTCTCCACCACTCCCTGTCACCTCCAACACTGAGCTTTGCTGCCTTATCCTCCCATGCCCAGGCCCTGGGTGTTCTTATCCTCCCCACTGTCCCGCCGCTGACATTCCCCGTCCCACCCCGAGAGGCATTTCCATCAGTGAACCCGACTTTAAAATGTGAAAACAGGCCGGGCACAGTGGTTCACACCTGTAATCCCAGCACTTCGGGAGGCCAAGGCAGGAGGATCACTTGAGCCCAGGAGTTTAAGAACAGCCTGGGCAACATGCATGATCTCATCTCTATAAAAAATATTTAAGGCTGGGCATGGTGGCTCACGCCTGTAATCCCAGCAGTACGGGAGGCTGAGGCGGCTGGATCACCTGAGGTCAGGAGTTTAAGACCAGCCTGATCAACATGGTGAAACCTCATCTCTACTAAAAATACAGATTAGCCAGGCATGGTGGCGGGCACTTGTAATCCCAGCTACTCGGGAGGCTGAAGCAGGAGAGGTGGAGGTTGCAGTGAGCCAAGATTGCGTCATTGCACTCCAGCCTGGGCAACAAGAGTGAGACTCTGTCTCGGGGTAAAAAAAAAAAAAAAGTTTAAAAACTAGCTTGGTATGGTGTCTTGTACCTATAATCCCAGCTACTCAGGAGGCTGAGACAGGAGGATCCCTTGAGCCCAGGAGCTCAATGTTATAATGAGCTATGATTGCAACATTGTACTTCAACCTAGGCAATAGAACAAGACCCTGTCTCTTATTTAAAAAAAAAAAAAAAATATATATATATATATATATGCACACACACACATACACACACATATGAAAACAACTATATCTAAACCATCTCTTAGATTTCTGCAGACCAGACACTTCAATAATTAGGATTTGTCCTATAGGTTCTAATTACTTTTGGGGTCAGGGAAGAGGAAGATTTTTTAAAAATCTCTAACCACGGGGAGTTTAGGCAATTCTAGCATATATTAATATTCCAACACATTAGTCACATATTTACAAAAGAAAAATATTATCTGTGTAAAACTTTTTTCTTTAATTCCTGGTGAAAATTCAAGCCAACAAGCATTTATGAAGTGCTTACAAGGGCAAGGCGGCAAGATAAGGCCTGTCAAGAATAAGAAGCCGAACAGGACACAGCCCCTGATCTGAATGAATTCATACTAGAGGGAGAGACAGGAGCATGCACCATAACTATAATAAGAATAGAAAGACCTCGAAGCTGCAGGGAAGCTGCTGGGGAGGTGCAGGGGAGGTGTGCTGGGAACCAGGGAGGGGAGAGATTCATTCTGGTTGCTGATGTAAAATTAACAAAATGAGGAAGAGAACATTCTTTCCCCGTGTAAATCTTTCCAGAGAGGCCAAAAAAACTCTTCCTAAAATGTTTCTATTGCTGTTGCTGATCTATTTTTATACTGTACTCTGTATCTTCCTATCAAGGACCTGCCCTCTCATCAAAACCTAGGATAAAGATCACCTACTCTCTGACATCTCTCCTGAGTTCACCTGCCCTCATAATTCTCTGGGCATTTTTTTGGTGTTGTTTTTTGGTTTTGTTTCTGTTTTGAGACGAGTCTTGCTCTGTTGCCCAGGCTGGAATGCAGTGGCACAATCTCAGCTCACTGCAACCTCCACCTCCCAGGTGCAAGCGATTCTCCTGCCTCAGCCTCCCAAGTAGCTGCGATTACAGATTAGAGATGTCTTCTTTTAGGAGAGACAGGGTTTCGCCATGTTGGCCAGGCTGATCTCAAACTCCTGGCCTCAAGTGATCCTCCCACCTTGGCCTCCCAAAGTGCTGGGATTATAGGCGTGAGCCACCGCGTCTGGCCTTTCTGTGGGCATTTCTTATCTCCCCTTCCAGATTGGACGCTGCTTGAGAGCAAGAACCAAATCCAGCAGCCTCTATTCCCACCTAAGCCTTGCATGGGGCCTCATAAATCGCAACTGCTTATTGAATATCTGTTGGATAAAGTTCTAGCCCTCGCTTTCCAAGATTAATGTCATCACTGCAGGAAACTGTTAAAATAAAAACAGCCAAAATGTGTAAAAATTTTCAAGAAACATTTCCATTTTTAGCAGACTGTCAGAACTCACCCCCAATCCCGCCTTTTTCTTTGTTTCTAATTCTGAATTTGGGGCTAGCTGTGGTAGGCAGTCCCCCTTTTAATCTTTAAATATAGTTCTGAATATAATTACACTTTTGTGCAACACCGAAACATCATATCCTCGTGACAGGGCAAACTTGCACTATTAACATCTGAGTTAAATCTCCTTCGCGTCTGTCTTCGATTGAGGACAGTTAGGAAGTATAAGATGAAAGTGATCGACATCGTTTGTGAATTACGTGCATTTCCTTGTGCTGTATTTCAATGGATTTTGCTCCTGGTGGTTTTGCATGTGTGAATACCAGGTTGTCCATTAGCGGAGCTTTCGCCAAAAACCCCATCCCAGCATCCTAGCATGAAGGCATACACCACGTTTAGAAGAAGGTTCCTCTTGAGCTGAGAAACAAGTTGCATCGTGTCGTGCTCTTTGCCAAGGACACTCGTCTGTCTACCAAATGACCGGAGGAACTGGAGCCCACACAGAGAGAGTGGATAAATGGAAACAGCTCTTCTTGTGCCAGGCACTCACTCTTCTAAGCCATTGATTCCCCTTATCTCATTCAGTCCTCAAAATAGGTACTGGTATGCCTATTTTCCAGATGGGAAAACTGAGGCTCAACATGGTTAAGTAACTCACTGAGGTTGTACGGTTGGTTAGGAAATGGATGCACCCCCATCCGCCTCCCTTGTCCCCTCCCTGGCAGACTCCAGGGCCAGGAACCACATCACCACTCAGTTCTCATGATACTGTTGTTCTTCTGCCAGTTCCAGCCAGTATGTCTGACACCTCACTTACCTTGTAGGTGTGGGATCTGTCGGGTCCAGGGAGTGAAACATTGTCACAGAAGAAAGAACCCCAGGGCCAAGGAAAGAGGGTTTGTGTGGTGTGTGCCTGTTACCAGCAGTCACACCCTCATGGTGCCTCACTCACCCACACACTGGAAGAAGCTCTCCACTGTCCAGAGGACCGGGGCAGCCATCTCGGCAAATTCCAGGCTCAGGTCTACCCTATAGAAAGCTTGTGTTCCCGGGGTTCCTCCGACTTCTTGGCATCGCTGTGGGGCCACAAGAAATTAGTTGCACATTGGCTGGGCGCAGTGGCTCACGCCTGTAATCCCAGCACTTTGGGAGGCTGAGGCAGGCGGATCATGAGGTCAGGAGATCGAGACCATCTGGCTAACACAGTGAAACCCTGTCTCTACTAAAAACACAAAAAATTAGCTGGGCGTGGTGGTGGGCACCTGTAGTCCCAGCTACTCGGGAGGCTGAGGCAGGAGAATCGCTTGAACCCAGGAGGAGGAGGTTTCAGTGAGCCGAGATCGCGCCACTGCACTCCAGCCTGGGCAACAGAGCGAGACTCTGTCTCAAAAAAAAAAAAAAGAAAAGAAAAGAAAAGAAAAGATAAGAAATTAGTTGCACATGGCAGGGGCATCCCATGCCCTGTGGCTGTCCCCTGATGGGGCTACCTTGGTAAAAGCACGGGCCTGAGGAGCATACATGGTGAAGTCCATTTTCAGCCAGCGCCACAGCTCTGCCCTCCACATTTCTTTCTTTTTTACTTTTATTTTTTGAGACAGGGTCTCACTCCCATTGCCTAGGCAGGAGTGCAGTGGCACAATCACAGCTCATTACAGACTCAACTCCCTAAGATCAAGCAATTCTCCCACCTCATTTTGTAATTTTTTTGTAGCAATGAGGTCTCACTATGTTTCCCAGGCTGGTCTTGAACTCCCAGGCTCAAGTGACGCTCCGGCCTCGGCTTCCCAAAGTGCTGGGATTACAGGCACGAGCCACTGTGACTGGCCTACCTTCCATGTTTCTGACCACATATGGCATCGGTGACCAAAGGAGAAGGGCCTCAGGAAGAGAAGGGGCGAGACAGAGATGCCACCGGATACTCACCTGGACCTGGAGCACCCCGGCCGCCGGAATGCTGACCACCACAAAGTCCTTGTTCTCAGTCACCATAAAGATGTTGGACTGGTGGACTCGGAGGAATCTGAGGCTCAGGGTTTCCTCAATGTAGGAACCTCTTTTGACTAGACCCAGTCTCTGCTTGGGGATGTGAACTAAGACCTCCGACTCTGGCTGGAATGACACTGGAATGGGAAGGACACAGGACACAGAAAAAGGCACACTTTGCAGGCTCGTGGACAAATTAAGTGGTGGTGGGCCTTTGCCAGGGGCCACACCTGTGGCCGGCACAGCACACTTCCCCAGTCAGTGACAGCAAGTTACTTGGTGTCCTGGTATCACTGCCTGGGCTGAAACTTAGCTGCATGGATGAAGAAGAGAAGAAAAAAAGACCATTCCCAAACACCTGACAGACCTTGCCACTTGCAAAGGCCCATCAGGAAGCAGATGCCAGGAGGGAAGCTGCAGAAATGTCTCTACTGAGACCGTCTTTGGCTTCGGTGACCTAGCCCAGTGCCCCTTCCATTTCCAAAGCAACTCTTAAGTAATATAACTCCTAGGCCAGGCACAGTGGTCCATGCCTGTAATCCCAGCACTTTGGGAGGCCGAGGTGGGTGGATTACCTCAGGTCAGGATTTCAAGACCAGCCTGGCCTACATGGTGAAACCCCATCTCTACTAAAAACACAAAAAATTAGCCAGGCGTGGTGGCGGGTGCCTGTAATCCCAGCTACTTGGGAGGCTGAGGCAGGAGAATCGCTTGAACCCTGGAGGTGGAGGTTGCAATGAGCCGAGATCGCACCACTGCACTCCCACCTGGGCAACAAGAGTGAAACTCCATCTCAAAAAAAAAAAAAAAAAAGAAAGAAATACAGCTCCTATCAGTTGTTTACACTTTAGCAAGAATTTCACTGTGTCAGGCTCTCAGGGGGACATTTTAAGCCAGCTCTGCAGCTGCTAATGGAAGCATCTGCCTTTATATAAAGGGATTTGAAACACTGTGAACAGGGAAAGAGATGGTTGGAGGCTCATCATGGTCATTGCCAATGCCTGAAAATCCCCAGAGCCCTGAGCCCTGATCCCGAAACTCAGTCCATGATAAAATTCTATACAAATGGAAAGTCTAAACCACCTCTAATCTACCCACACAGGATGAAGCCTTTGATCCACCTAACTTTGCACACCGAGTTCTTTGAATTTAAATTCCCTGGAGGTAGGAAGTGGTCTTCCAGATTCCGGACCTCTTTATATGACATAAGACCCAGGGCAACGGTGTCACTCCAGGCTGAACAAAACAGTTATCACATACATGGTCTAGATAGGGGGTCCCCACCACCCTCAGATCACAGAGCCCTGGAGGGTCTGACCAGGCTGCAGGCTCTCTCCCGTCTCTGTTCTCAGAGCCTCTGGAGCCAGCTTAGGAGCTCCCAAGAATTTGCAGACCTCAAGTTTGCAGGTCTGTAGTAGATGATTTTACTTTTTTTTTTTTTTTTGAGATGGAGTCTCGCTCTGTCCCCCAGGCTGGAGTGCAGTGGCACCATCTCGGCTCACTGCAAGCTCCGCCTCCCAGGTTCACGCCATTCTCCTGCCTCAGCCTCCTGAGTAGCTAGGACTACAGGCCCCCGCCACCACGCCCGGCTAATTTTTTGTATTTTTTTAGTAGAGACAGGGTTTCACCGTGTTAGCCAGGATGGTCTTGATCTCCTGACCTCGTAATCCACCCGCCGCGGCCTCCCAAAGTGCTGGGATTACAGGCGTGAGCCACCGCGCCCGGCCGATGATTTTACTTTTTATTCACCCCACATCCCACCCCTACTCCACACACACATACCCCAACACCTTCCAGCAAAAGCAAACTTCTCTTTGTCCCGAGCATTTCTGAAACGCATAGCCAAGGTTGGGACTGAGGAGAGGAGAGGTGGGATGAGACAGAGGGGAATAAGGTGCCCAGAGGAGGGAGAAAACAGACCAGAATGTGATGAAGTTGGAAAGGTGGACATTAGGGGCACTCCTGGGTCTTACCCGGTGGGCAAGCAGCTTCTAAAGAATAGGCATGGTGACCGCTCACCAGCCATAGTGGCAGGAGCTCAGCAGAGGTGTTCAGCACCTGGGGAGGAAGGGGGGTCCCCCCTGAGGTCTCCAAAACTGCTCCTTCCAGATGCAGACTCCCTCCACAGGGGCCCCCTCTCCTACCTTCGAATTAGTCTCTGAACTAAAGCCCCAAGTGTTACAAAGCCCAGGTCAGGGATTATGGCGCCGATGCAACTAGGAAATATTATTTAGCTGAGATATTTTTAGCAGGAAGCGAGCTCAGAGCAAATGTCATGTGAGCCGTCTTCTCTTACACAGCAACTTTGGGCTATTTAAAGAGACGGTAATTACGCTCCTGCCGCCATGATCAGGACGCACTGAATGCATGATTGCAGGAGCCCCTCATCTGCAGAGCGGAGCGCTTTACGCTAATGGGGCCCAATTTTCGAAGGCGCCTGCCTAAATCTGTCCAGTCTCGCAGGTGGACATTTGACTTGTCACTGGAGGGGTGGCAACCTGCTCTTCTAGGTGCTATGCCCCAGAGGCCCCTCACCTCCTGGCAGAGCCTGCTGCCCACCACTGACCTCCCACCTCTGAAGAAGGCCTTGTCTCGGGCTTTGGACGGTGACAGTGGTGGCATTCATGTCCACATACAGTCCCATCAGGCTGGCGTCTTCAAGAGAAGCCACCAGCTCCCCTCGAAGGGACAGCAGCCATGGAGTCTGGAGAAAGAGGACACGATCACAAACCATGTGGCCAGGGAGGCACGGTCACTAGGGGTTACGGAGAGGGGACACTTGAAGGGTCACCTAGGAAGGCAACAGGGTCACGGGGAGGATAATCTAGGCCAGGAGGCAGGACGGCAGGCCACTCTGGGAGGAGAGTCAACCAGACGCTAGCACGCTTATACTTTAGGGTAGGAGGTCCCTTGCAGGGGTGCCTGGCACACAGTAGGTGTACAACGCAACTGAAAGAACGAACACACAGTTACCCCTAACAGCAATGCCAACCAGTCGGCCCCTATGCCGCCCTGGCTGGGCACAACTGGAGTCCTGTCCTTGGCTCTGTTTGCCACCCTTTAGTGGGACATGGGAATCAGGGTCTTGAATAAAGGTGAGGGCCAGATGCGGGCAGAGGGACAGGGAAGGGTCGCCAGCTCCCATCTCAGGAGGACTGGCAGGGAGACATCAGGAAGACTTGGGGAGGTCAAGCTCACTGACCCCAAATATTCAAAGGGATGTGAAATGGAGAAGAGGGACTGGATCCTTCGGGGAGGCTGCGGGAAACACTCAAAGGACCAGCAGAAGGAAAATTCGGGAAACACCTGTGCAACATGGAACAAGCTCCTTACAAAGGAACAAGCTCCCTGTCACTGGAGACTTGGCAGAGAGAATCTTAGCACAGGAAGGACCTTACAGCCTTCCAACCCAGCCTCCCACCCAAAGCTGGGGTCCCCTCTTCAAGATTGTTCTCAGATGGCCTCAGGCCTCTGCCTGGAGGGCATCAGTGGGAGCTTCAAACTTCAGCCGGCAAGACCTGGTCCTTGAAGAGTCTGTACCATCCACGACACTCTCCGGAGGACAAGCAAACTCAAAAGCTGCCTCAGAGCATCCTGAGCACCCACCAGTCCTAGCAGAAACTTCCAGAGAGTTGCTCCTGCTACTTCAATGGGGCCCGCTTACCTGTCTATTGTCCCTCCACAGGGGCAGGGGCCGGGAGACCTGCAGAGACAAAGAGGAAGCAATGTCTCCTGCAAGCGGTGAGCAAAGGTGAGCAAACATCCCTGCCTGTGCCCATCAGCACCGGCAATTACCCCAGCAGGAGGCCGGTGAGAGAGCTGTGCCGCAGGGTTGTTTGCTCATTAAGACAAGAAAATCATTTATGTTCTGGGACTCGAGTGTCAACAGACGCAGGGAAATGTCACTGCCTCAGCTGCCATCCTAGGCCCGGCCAAGGGGGCAGCTGGGGTCCTGGGCGCAGCTGGTGAGGCCAAGAGCGGGTGTGCATGGGACCAACCCTGCTCACGGCCCACTTCCATTGGGGCTGTTTCCTAGGCCTCTTGTCTGTTTTTCTCCCTAAGTCCCAATTTCTTTCTCGCCCTTTTTCTTTCCACTTTGGATCCAACTAGCAGAAGTAGAGAGTGAGGGCTTCTACGGTCCCAGAGAGTACACATGTGCCCCCCAATGGCACCATTCTTAGGGGCACCAACCATCCCGGTTCCCCAGCAGTGGGGAGGTTCCCCTGATGTGGGATTTTCAGTGCTAAAACTGAGACAGGCCCAGGCAAACCGAGACAGTGGTTTCTCGTACCGCGCCTGAGTCTCACAGCCATCCCGTAGGGTGGCACCATTCTCCCGTTTCACAGACCAGGGCCCAAGGTGATGGCGTGGGCAAGGCACCTTCCCCAAAACCCCTCTGCAGCCAGTGCCACCCCACCCAGGTGCTCTCTCAAGTCTCTCTACTTTCTCCAAATGCCCCTTTGCCTTTGCGTCAGACTTGGCCAGGGAGGTTGTGGCACCGGACAGAGTCACAGACCAGCAGAGGGTCCCTCGGAGACCATCAGACCCCCTCTCCTACCCAATACAGAATGAGGAGACTGGAGCCAGAGTGGACTGACTCATCTTGACAGCTCCCCAACTCAAGGCTACCCACCTCTTCTCCCCAGGGGCAAAGAAGGGCTTCCAGAAGCAGAAAGGAGTGGGTGGGGCCAGGAAAAGGCCCGCCACCACCATGCAGCCTCCCCAGTTGCCCAGCTCGGCTGTTCCTTGGCCCCAGAGAGCCCATGTTGGCAGCAGGCTCGGGCTGCCCACAGGGAGCCCCTCGGGTCAGCCCTGTGATGGCCTTGCTTTTAGGGGGTGCTGCCTTCCCTTGGGGAGCAAAGTGGAAGAAATGGAGGAGATGTCCACAAGGTCTGGCAGAATGAGGAGGATGCGGCAATTCCTCAACAACACCACCAAAGCTGCACCATGGTGCCCCAGCCCATCTCCCCTGCTGAACCAGGAAGAAGACAGAGAGGCCCCCAGAGGCCAGGCTGTAAGAAGGAGGGAAGCAATTCTGCTAAAAGAAGGAAGGGAAGGCCAGGTGCAGTGGCTCATGCCTGGAATCTCAGCACTTTGGGAGGCTGAGGCGGGTGGATCACCTGAGCTCAGGAGTTCCAGACCAGCCTGGGCAACATGGTGAAACCCCATCTTTACCGAAAATACAAAAAATAAAAAATAAAAAAATTAGCCAGGAGTGGTGGCAGGCGCCTGTAGTCCCAGCTACTCAGGAGGCTGAGGCACGAGGTTCGCTTCAACCTGGGAGGCGGAAGTTGCAGTGAACTGAGATTGTCCCACTCACTCCAGCCTGGGCGACTCTGGCCAGAGTGAGACTCTGTCTCCAAGAAAAAAAAAGAAAGGAAGGGAAGACGTGACAAGTACGCAGCCAAAACGCACCGTGCCCTTTAAGTCGCCAGGAGGAGGCTATATTTAGGGCCCGTGGACATTCCGCAGGAGCTCGGGCAGCCTTCACTGGGAGCAATCGCTAATCACTGCATTGAGTTTACGGGTGCCCCTGGGCACACTTAACCCAGGGCAATGAATAGTTATTGCGCGGCCTCCCGCTCGGGGCCTGTGGGCACACTTAAGCGAGCTCGCAGATCGCTGCGAGCAGGGCACGGCTCGGGTACACCCTTGGGCACCCTGCGCCATCAGCGGGGAGAGGCAGAGTATTAAATATCTATGTGCCCTGTGCCCACAGCTGCATTTAGCCAAGGGCAAGGCCGGTGAAACGGCTTTAATTAAAACTTAATGCAAGTTCAAGGTGCAGCCACGGAAGTGGCGGCTGCAGAAGTCACCAGGAATGAATCAGTCAATTCGATGAGGTTCTCAGATGGGGGAAGGGGCTGGAGGGGAGGCGGGGGCAGCAGAGACCTGCCTCTGCTCCTTGTGTGCTGCCTACCTCTGTGCGACTCTGTTTACGGATGCAGAGCCCCCCCCACCCACCTGCTCCCACACCTCGGTCAGTGAAGGATGCCAGGGACTGGGGCATTGGGGCATCTGGGCTTCAAGGGCAGGACGATGGAGACCAAGCGGCGCCCGAGTGAGGAGTCGTTTCTGCTTTTCTCAGCAATTCGGCCCAGGCCCACTGTCGTGTGAGGACAGCAACACCGTCCCCCTAGCGGCGGCTTCCAGAATCACAGGCTCAGTGCAAAGGGAGCAGTAACCAGCCCCGGGATGTCAAACAGGTGCCCTGGCAGCCCTGCTTGGGGATCCCGGGGCGGGGCCGGCCCCGCAATTCTTAGGTGCACCAACACTGGCTTTGGCGTGGCCACTCTGAGCCCTTAATAAAGGTAGGTGGGCAGAGGAAGCCCCTCCCGCTCAGCCCCTGCTCCTTCAGGTTAAGAAGCAAAGGAACTTTAGAGAGTCCAACATGGCAGTGAGCCGGGCTCAGAGCGGAGATGAGCCCAGGTCTTCTGAGCTGGGCTGGTGCAGGGGCCCTTCCCACCACAGCACACTCATTTTTGAAGCTCAGATCAGATGAGAAGAAAGCGATAAGCTCTTCCTGGGGCAAGTCATGCCTTGGTCGTATCTGTTCCCTCAGCAGCAGCACAGGGCTGGGCATACAATAGATGCTCAATAAATGCTTGTTGGGGCCAGGCGCGGCAGCTCACGCCTGTAATCCTAGCATTTTGGGAGGCCAAGGCAGGTGGATCGGTTGAGGTCAGGAGTTCGAGACTAGCCTGGCCAACATGGTGAAACCCCATCTCTACTAAAAACGCAAAAAATATTTTAAAAATCAACTGGCTTTAATTAAACTGGTGGTGGCGCATGCCTGTGATCCCATGAGAATCGCTTGAACCCAGGAGGCAGAGGTTACAGTGAGCCGAGATCACACCGCTGTACGCCAGCCTAGGCAACAGAGCGAGACTCTGTCTCAAAATAAATAAATGAACAAATGCTTGTTGGATAAATGGTGTTTGTCATCAGCAGCCTTTTCACTCCAACCTCCTCCTCTCAGTTCTGCCTTCCTCTCCTTTCTCTTCCTCCTTCCTTCCTCCTCCTCCTCACAGACAGAAGATGCCCACCCAAATCCCTCAGGCCAAATCCAGCACTTTGTTTGAGCCGCACAGTGCCTACAAAATTAAAGTGACTTGACCGGGCGTGGTGGCTCACACCTGTAATCCCAGCACTTTGGGAGGCCGAGGCAGGCGGATCACTTGAGGTCAGGAGTTCTAGACCAGCCTGGCCAACATGAGGAAACCCCGTCTCTACCAAAAATATAAAAAATTAGCCGAGTATGGTAATGCATGCCTGTAATCCCAGCTACTCGTGAGGCTGAGGCAGGAGAATCACTTGAACCCAGGAGGCGAAAGTTGCAGTGAGCTGAGATCACGCCACTGCACTCCAGCCTGGGTGACAGAACGAGACTGCATCTCAAAAAAATAAATAAATAAAGTGAACTTTTTTTAACTGGAGGATTTCACATACAATTATAGATTTCCAGTTTATCTTGAAATGTTGGAAAATCTGGCAAAATGGGGCTGGAGTGCAGTCCAGCCTCAGCTCCCTCTGTAGGGGGCCAGGACTGTAGGTTGTGCCTGTTCCAGCATCCCCAGCCCCCACCATGTGGTCTGGCTCAAAGCCCAGCTCTGTTGCTACCAGCTGGCAAGTCTCCTAATCTCTCTCTGCTTAGTTCTCTCACCTGCAGAATGGGGATCAATATAGAACCAACTACATAGAATCGCTATGAAGGTGAGATGAGTTAATATTTGCAAAGTGAGTAGAACGGCACCCAGCACAGAATGAGCCATATATAAGTGTTTGCTGGGCCAGGCGTAGTGGCCCACGCCTATAATCCCAGGGCTTTGAGAGGCCAAGGTGAGAGGATCGCCTGAAGCCAGGAGTTTGAGACCAGCCTGGGCAACACAGTGAGACGCCGTCTCTACAAAAAATTTGAACATTAGCTGGGCATGGTGTCATACGCCTATAGTCCCAGCTACTTGGGAGGCTGAAGTGGGAGGATCCCTTAAGCTCAGGAGGTCAAGGCTGCAGTGAGCCTGCGTGACGGAGCAAGATCCTGTCTCTTTAAAAAAACAGGCCGGGTGCAGTGGCTCCCACCTGTAATCCCAGCACTTTGGGAGGCTGGGGCAGGTGGATCATTTGAGGTCAGGAGTTCAAGACCAGCCTGGCCAACATGGTGAAACTCCATCTCTACTAAAAATACAAAAATTAGCAGGGCATGGTGGCACACACCTCTAATCCTAGCTACTTGGGAGGCTGAGGCAGGAGAATCGCTTGAACCCAGGAGGCAGATGTTGCAGAGAGCCGAGATTGCACCACTGCACTCCAGCCTGGGCAACAGAGCAAGACTCCATCTCAAAAAAACAAACAAACAAACAAACAAAAAAACCCAGCTGACTAAATGAAGGAATGAGTAAAATTCTTTATTGCTTCCTCCTCAGTCCAGCACGCTCATTTCTGTGGCGGGTTTGGTCCCTATAGATGTTTGGGTTTCTAGCCCTCCCCACTCCCATCCAAATCATGTTTAGCTTACAGAGGTGCCCCGCTGATGAGAGCTAGAGAGAAACTTGAATTCAAGGAGCACACACGGCCATGAAAGAGCTCACAGTTGGATGTGGGGCTCAACCTTTCTTCCCTGATGTTTAAAATGTAGACATTGCACCTGATCGTACCTGGGGTCTATAACTCTTTGACATTACCCAGGTCAAAAAAAAAAAGCATCCAAACTAGCAAATTTAGCAAATTTTTTCAATCCAGAGAGAAAGGACACAAAGATGCAATTTTGCAGCTTTGGTGATAACCCGACTGGCCCCCTGAGCCAGCCAAGATGGGAAATCCAGAACCCGAGGTCAGAGAGCTTTAATCCCCCCTCCCCTCCCATCTCACTCGTCCTTGCTCAGAACCCAACCCAGCAGAGACCTAGCCAGTACCCAGGGATGTCTAGGAGAACAATGCCATACTGCATCTGCAGCTACCACCTGTCTCCCTGGGCCACGTCCTGTGGTGCAGGAGCCAGGGCCACCTGCCTTGGCCTTTAGAGAGAAGCCCAGCCTGGGAGGTCCCTCTGCCACCTCCCAGACCCCCCGAACCCATTACCTGGATGAACATGGGCCCACAGTGGACGCTTTCCTGGCCCAGCCTTGACCTTAGCATCGGACACTTCATTATGTAGCGATCACTCCGCTCCAACCCCATCACCCCTTTCTGA
The DNA here is from genome assembly GCF_000001405.40 of Homo sapiens. Lineage (NCBI taxonomy): Eukaryota > Metazoa > Chordata > Mammalia > Primates > Hominidae > Homo > Homo sapiens. Next base: position 10,964,240 of record NC_000001.11, read on the forward strand.
AATATTCTGATTTCCAGCCTGTAATTTGCTTTCTGGAAGTAGGGCAAAATTCATGTATGCAAATGAGAGAGGAAAATACAGTTAATAGCCTGCAATTATAGGTCAGTCCCTGTTCACAGCAAATAGGACACCATGAACCTCCTAGAAGGTGGGCTTGTGGAAGAGGGATGGGAAACGAGACCAAGGTCGACACCAACACGGAGCTTGGGTCTGGCTCTGGAAGCTCAGCCCCCACCAAGGAAGCCCTCCAGGCTGGGGAGCATTTGGGGATTTGGGGAAGGTCAAACCTAGTCAGACAGAATAAGAGCTTGCGTCCTAATGTCCCTTGAGAGTTGACAAATATTTGTTCACACTTTATCTCCTTTGATGCTCACCAGTGTCTCATAAGGCTGGGCTATTTTTTGTTGTTGAGACACAGTCTCATTCAGTCACCCAGGCTGGAGTGCAATGGCCTGATCTTGGCTCACTGCAACCTCCACCTCCCGGGTTCAAGCAATTCTTGTGCCTCAGCCTCCCAAGTAGCTGGAATTACAGGCAGACGCCAACACGCCCGTCTAATTTTTGTATTTTTAGTAGAGATGGGGTTTCACCATGTTGGCCAGGCTGGTGTTGAACTCCTGGCCTCAAGTGATCCGCTCATCTTGGCCTCCCAAAGTGCTGGGATTACAGGCGTGAGCCACCAAGCCCAGCCAAGGCTGGGTTTATGAGACATAAAATTCCCATTTTACAGATGAGGCAGTTGAGGCTTAGAGAAGGTAAATGACTAAGCCAAAGGCATGTGGCCATTTCTGAGACTAGATGTGAGAGCTGGTCTAGCTCATTCCGGTACAAGGCGGACTTCAAAGATGTCAAACCAATGGGTCCCTCTGCCCCTCCCAGGCTGCCCTCATTCAGCCACATAAGAAGAACCCAAGTCTAAGCTTTGCGGTGGGGCCTGAGAAGGGTGACGGGGCTGTCAGAGAAGGGCGACCACAGAGAGGAAGAGAAAGAGGAGGAGCAGGGTAGTTCCCAAAATTCCTTCCCCCACTCCAGACCACAGCCCCACTCAGGAAAAACTCTGGACTGGGTCAAGGAAGGGAGCACAAAGAAATGGAAAGGGGAAGTGGAGGTGAGGAAAAGACAAGAAAAAAAAAACTGTGAGCCAAACTGTGCGGCTGGTTGTCCCCTTGCAGGACCCCTGGAGTGAAATTTAAGTAACAAGAATGCTGGCACAGTGGCTCATTCCTATCATCTCAACACATTGGGACACCGAGGCGGGAGGATGGCTTGAGCCTGGGAATTCCAGACCAGCCTGGGCAACATGGTGAAACCCCATCTTCTACAAAAAGTACAAAAATTACCTGGGTGTAGTGGTGCATGCCTGTAGTCCCAGCTACTCTGGGGGCCGAGGTGGGTGGATCACTTGAGGTCAGAAGCTCAAGACCAGCCTGGCCAACAAGGTGAAACCCCGCCTTTACCAAGTAGTCTCAGCTACTTCAGAGGCTGAGGCAGGGGAATCGCTTGAACCTGGGAGGCGGAAGTTGCAGTGAGCCGAGATTGCGTCACTGCACTCCAGCCTGGGTGCCAGAGCGAGCCTCCGTCAAAAAAAAAAAAAAAAGGAAAAAGAATACAAAAATATCTTGCTTCTGTAAATTTTAGAGTCACATGGTCTCGTGAGCCCATAATGGGCCTGTGCAAGTGAGGGCTGTCAGTCAGTCTTTGCAACTCCTCAGCACCATTTATTCACTTCATTCAGCACTTACTGAGTACCTACTGTGTGCCAGGCCCTGAGGCAAGCCTGTGGGTGTGACTGCCTCACCCCAGAGACTCCAGGTCCAGCAGGATATGGTGTGTGAGTGGGCACATTATGAGTCAGTGTTGGCAATGATAGAAGCAGGTCTACTGCACAGAGAAGGGGGGATTCTCAGGAGGACTGCCTGGAGGAGGCAGCATCTGAGCTGGGCGGCCTTTTAATATCTATGCCCATAAACTCCATGAGGGCAGAGACTTCTGGTCTCCCTCAGCTCAGTTTCTGCAGAGGAATAATGGTGCAGTGTCTCCTTACTTGATATCTGAGCTCAGGCTTAGCTCCTTAAATCTCCCTTTAAAAAAAAAAAAAGAAAAGTTTCCCAAACCCACCTCTTTCTGCACAAAGCAGGCCGAGTATTGAACTCGAAAAAGGAAGTCACCGTCTGAAGCCAGATGCAGGAAGTAGCCACATTTAGCAAGAGAAGAATCCAGGTGGTCAGGGGACCTCCAGGTGCCTGGAATGAGAAAGGGACAGAAACGTGGGTTGAGCCTGTGGAGGTGGCTTCTCTGGCAGGGTCAGAAATATCAGACTCGCAGATAGAAACTGCTCCGCCTGGAAGCTTCTTACCTGGAAGGGATAAAAATAGCAGTAATTTTTAAAAGTCTGGAAAGGCATATACCAACAGGAAAGCCCGATGGTTCTTCATTCAAGGTGTATCCAGAATCCAACCCCATCTCCCCACGTGAATCCTCGGCTTGTGTCATTGCAGCTGCCTCCTCCCATGTCCCCCGGCTTCCTCCTTTGCCCCAGTTGTGTATATTTCATGCAGCAGCCCGCAGGATCCTGTTCAAAATGTAGGCAGATTGTGTCTCTCCTCTGCTCAAACCTCTTCATTGCCGGCCAGGCACGGTGGCTCACACCTGTAATCCCAGCACTTTGGGAGGCCGAGGTGGGAGGATCACTTGAGCTCAGGAGTTCAAGACCAACCCGGCCAACACTGCAAAACCCCATCTCTACTAAAAATACAAAAATTAGCCAGGCATGGTGGTGCCCGCCTGTAATTCGAGCTACTTGGGAGGTTGAGGCACGAGAATCACTTGAACCCGGAAGGTGGAGGCTGCAGTGAGCCAAGATTGTGCCACTGCACTCCAGCCTGGGTGACGGAGTGAAACACTGTCCAAAAAAAGAAAAAAAAAAAAAAAAAACTCCATTGCTTAAAAAAAACAAAGCCCTTGAAAGCCTCACGTGACCTGCCCTCACTTCTCTGACCCCCTTTCCCACTTCTCTTCCCCTCCCTCCCTCTGCTCCAAACACACCAGACCCACTGCTATTTCTCAATCATCCCAGGCCCAGTCCTGCCTCAGGGCCCTTGCACTGGCTGTGCCCTCTGCCTGGAACTCTCTTCTCCTAGATATCCACATGGCTGACTCCCCTGCCTCCTTTCAGTCCTTGTGCAAATGTTGCCTTCTCCATGAAGCCCACCCTGACTACCCTCTTAACACTCCCCGATCCTGCCCTCCTTCACCCTTTTCTGCACAATCATTGTCTTCTAACCAACTATCTTACTGGCTTATTTGTTATATTGATTGTTTATTGCCCTCTAGTCAAATGTCAGCTCCATGGGGCCAGGGATATTTGTCTGTTTTGTTCATTGCTGCATCTTTAGTGCCTCAAGCTGTTTCTGGCACACAGAAGGTTCTCAATAAATAGTTGTTGAATGAGGCTGGGCACGGTGGCTCACACCTATAATCACTCCACTTTGGGAGGCCGAGGCGAGTGGATCACTTGAGGCCAGGAGTTCGAGACCAGTCTGGCCAACATGGTGAAATCCTGTCTCTACTAAAAATACAAAAAAATTAGCTGGGAGTGGTGGCAGGCACCTGTAGTCTCAGCTACTCAGGAGGCTAAGGCAGGAGAATCACTTGAACCCAGGAGGCGGAGGTTGCAGTGCGCCAAGGTCGCGCCACTGCACTCCAGCCTGGGCAACAAAGTGAGACTCTGTCTCAAAAAAATAAATAAATACAAATAAAAATACAAAAATTCGTTCGGCGCGGTGGGGGGGCACCTGTAGTCCCAGCTACTCTGGAGGCTGAAGCAGAAGAATCGCTTAAACCCGTGGGGCAGAGGTTGCAGAGAGCTGAGATTGCACCACTGCACTCCAGCCTGGGCAACAAAGTGAGACTCCGTCTCAATAAATAAATAAATAAGTAGTTGTTGAATGAGTGAAAAATAAAGGGGGCTATCTCTGGGTAGAGGGATTACGAGCAGTTTTGATTATCTCCTTTGGATTGCCTGTAGTTTCTGTAATTATCTTGTATTGCTTCTGTCATGATTATTTTTAAAGCATTTTTAAAGCTCACAGTTTCACTTTCAAATGCTTGACTCGACTGTGCATTTGATGGAAGATGAATACGCTATTCCAGAAAACAGCTCTGGCAGCCTTTCTACGTGGGATTCTCTGGTGACATGCTTTCCTTTCAAAAGCACGCAGCTTCCACCGCTATCTTTAGCAAGAGATCAAGGCCGTGCCTCTGGCGGAGGAAGACTGTGAAAGGTAGCTCGCTGGGGAAATAAAGTGTCTGAGCTGGATGTGCAAACTGACCTGGATCGTTTTAGTTTTGCATTCACGTTTGCACTTTGTAAATATTTGCCTGGCACCCTGCTGCTCACACCTGCTTGCTGTCCCCTCAAGTTTATGGAAGGCAGCAGGCACCGTCATTTCTCCATCCCCACCTGGCGCTGCCACGTGAAATGAAAACTCTTCCTCAAAAGCCACAGGTGTCTCTGACAGCGCCTAAAACTAATGGCCTGTGGCTGGCCGCTGTGACTAATTCTCTGATTATTGGCTTTATGATTTTACGCTTAAAACTTCTTTATAATAACACACAGAAATGTTTAATGGGCTCTATCCAAAGCCATAAAAATTACTTATTGAACAAGCGTTTTAAGACTATTAATCTATTGTTTTCCATTAATAATGGCTCTCCAAAGAACAGGCGACAGCTTAATGTATCCACAGCTTTTCTCCTGGAAAAGTGGCCTTTTAATACACAAATGTCTCTCCCAAGGCGTCCCGGGCTGGCTGGCCAATGGGTGGTTGGCCCTCCCAGGGCAGATTTAGGCCCTACCGGTCCCAGAAGGTGCTTTAGGAATTTCCAGAATGAGCAGGGTCCCTAGGAGGTTTTCCTAGACTTGGGTGAGATTGGAAAGCCTCCCTCCTCAATATCTCTTTTTCTGTGCAAAAGAGAGGAGGAACCTGGGGGCTTGCTTTGCAGCCACCGAGATGCAGAGCATGGAGGGAAGCAAGCTATTTGCTCCTCTCTCTACTCGTGTTCCCTCCAGAAGGTTCCAGAAGGTTCCAGGTACGCTGAAGACATCCAATGCTTTCCTACTCCTTCTGTTGGAAAGCTCATGGCAGAAAGGTTTCTGGAAGTGACACTATGCCCCTTGTTGTTTGCTATTTTAGGTGCGCTCTTCCCCCACCAAGCATGTGATGGCCTCCCATTTCTCCCAAGTGTTTGAGAATCACCCCTTTAGTCTCACTTCCACTTTTGCAGAGTGATTTCGATTTTGGAGCATAGCGGCACCAGATGGGCGCTTCTTCCAGGGCTTTGGGCCACTTGTTCATTCAACAAATATTTATTGGGAATCTTCTAAGCACCAGGCAGTGTTCTTGGTTCTGAAGATGCAGCTGTAAACAAAAAGCACGTGGGCCGTGCCCTCACAGTGCTGCCTTCTGTTGGGAAGAGGGGCGCAGATGACAAGCTTGGGAACAATGGCAGGAGATCATCTTACTAGTGAGGAGTGCCGGGATTGTGACTGGGGTGGGCGTGGACGACTTTAGAGAGCCTGGAAGGGCTGTGGGGGGAGGTGGCCTTTGAGCAGAGATTTGAGTGATGCCCAGGAACCTGCAAGAGCCATGGGGGAGGAGCATTGCAGGCAGGGGAAGGCAACACAAAAGCCCCAGCAAAGACCCCGCCCAGCCACCGACCACCTCTTACCTGGCAAGTGCAAGGTCCTGGCCAGCCACCGCCTCAGCCCCTCCACGTGGCTCCTTGGGATCCACAGGGTCATGTAGTCTGAGAAGCACTCAACTGTGTCTGTCCAACAAGAAGATGCTTCTGAGAAGGAAGGAAGGAGGAGGGAGGGAGGTGGGGAAGGGAGGGAGGAAGGAAGGAAGGAAGGAAGAAAGGAAGGAAGGAAGGAAGGAAAAGAAGGAGCTCCTCTCAGCCTGGCTTCAATGGAATAGTCAGGAAAGGGCATGTAGGGGTCATATTGTCCTAACAGAGTGACCCTTTACTCCATACAGAGGTCACAGTTCACAGAATGCCCAAGGAGGAAGAACTTGTTGGGGAGGTCCTCAAATTCCAGCCTGCAGGCTGGGCACGGTGGCTCATGCCTGTAATCCCAACACTTTGGGAGACCGAGGCGGGTGGATCACTTGAGGCCAGGAGTTCGAGACCAGCCTGGCCAACACGGTGAAACTCCGTCTCTACTAAAAAATACAAAAATTAGCCAGGCGTGGTGGCGCATGCCTGTAATCGCAGCTACTCAGGAGGCTGAGGCAGGAGAATCGCTTGAACCTGGGAGACAGAGGTTGCAGTGAGCCGAGATCACACCACTGCACTCCAGCCTGGGTGGCAGCGAAACTCTGACTCAAAAAAAAAGATTTCCAGTGTGCCTACAAGTAACCTGAGCACTTGTTAAAATACAGATTCAGTAGGTCTAAGGCGGGGCCTGAGATTCAGCAGTTCTACCAAGTTCCCAAGTGATGGCTGCTGGTCCAGGGACAACACTTTGAGTAGCAAAGTCTTGGAGGTCATTAAATCTAAACTCTATGTTTTATAGGGGGAGACAGGGAGCAAGGTGACTTCATGGTACATATATGAGTACTCGCCAGGCATGGGGGCTCATACCTGTAATCCCAGGACTTTGGGAGGCTGAGGAGAGCAGATTGCTTAAGCTCAGAAGTTCGAGACCAGCCTGGGCCAAAGCAAGACCCCCCATCTCTAAGAAAAAAATTTTTTGTTTAAATTAGCGGAGCATCGTGGTGCATGCCTGTGGTCCCAGCTACTCAGGAGGTGAGGCGGAAAGACTGTGAGCTCAAGAGGCAGAGGCTGCAGTGAGCCGAGATGGCGCCACTACACTCCAGCCTAAGCGACAGAGCAAGACTCCACCTCAAAAAAAAAAAAGAAAAGGTAGAGTAGGGGCAAACTGGCTCAGCCATGGAATTCTGCAGCTTTGCTGACCACTCCAGGCAGAGAGCACAGCCTGTGCCCAGACCAGAGGGGAGAGGCAGTGCGCAATGTCCTGGTCACCCCTGACCCCAGCCTCTGCCCATCCTGCCCCAGTCCATTCTTGACACGGCAGCCACAAGGGATCTTAAAATGGAAATGAGATCATGTCAGTCCCTTCTCAGAACCTTCAATGGCTCCCCACTACCCTTGGAATAAAATCCAAACACTTCCACAATCCATGTGTTCCTGAGCCAAGCTGGTCTTTTCTCTACCTCAGGGCCTCTGCACATACTGTTCCCTCTGCTTGAAACACCATTCCCAACTCTTCATGTGGCTAGCTCTTCTTCATCTGCAGGTCTCAGCTTAAATGTCACCTCCTCTGGGAGGTCCTCACTGACCACCCCCACCCATTCTCTACCCTGGTCCTGTGTCTCTTTCCTTCCTGACTTGAATCACTGTTGGGAATATGTTACCTAGTTGTTTGTGAGATTTCTGTATACTTCTACTCGAGTGAGGATAGATGGAGATAAGGTTGTCTCGCACTGAGGCAAAGAGAAGCTCAGGAAGGAGAGGGGCCATGTCTGCCTTGTTGACCACTCTATCCCCAGGGTCCTCCCATGGACCAGTGCCTGTTGGCCAGCAACTGCTCAGTATCTGTCCAGCAAAGGGCTGTGGCTGGAGCCTGACCTGCCCTGAAGCTGGAGAATAAGAGAAGCCATGACCCAGAGATTTGTCTTTTTCCTTCTCCCCCATGACACATAAACTACAAGCTCCAGGAAAAGGCGTGAGTTATGTCTAACCTGTTCACCATGGCATCCCCAACACCTTGCCCTGTGCGTGGCATCCACAGAGGCGTGCTAAATATGGGTTAGGCACATGTTTTCATCCCAAGTACTCTAGTACAGAACACTGGAGTTTTCTGTAATCACACAAGAACAACAGCATCGTGAGATTGTTCAGCCCCAGGAAGTGGAATCCTGTTGGATGTAACCTATTTCCCCCAATAGAGCCCTGCCCAGAGTTGATAGAGAGCTTAAGTTAAATATACTCCAAGCTGGGCACAGTGGTGCACATCTGTAGACTCAGCTGCTCTGGAAGATGAGGCAGCAGGATCGCCTTTACCCAGTAAGTTGAGGTTTTAGTGTGCGATGATCATGCCTGTGAATGCCACTGCACTCCAGCCTGGGCAACCTAGCAAGACCCTGTCTCTGAAATACACACACACACACACACACACACACACACACACACACACACACACTCTAGAATTATTCTACAACTGAAGAAATGGGAATATGGAATAATATTGTCGGGCTAATTTCTCTCTCAACAGAGACATTTAAGCCACCAGGAAGAACACAAGGCACCTGGGCCCTGGAGTTGGATGATCAGGGCTTAGACCCTGGATCAACCTATGTGACCTGGGGCGAGTCATTTAATCTCTCCAAGACCCCATTTCCTTTTCTGCAAAATGGGCACATGTGCAGTAAATAATTAACTTGGGTCCAAAGAATTGGCCCTTTGCCCCTCCTGGGTGAAAGCAACTGGGAAGTAAATTCTAAGCCCTTGGAATGTTTTGCCTGTTAAGAGTGTCTCTGTGGCTGGGTGTGGTGGCTCATGCCTGTAATCCCAGCACTTTGGGAGGCTGAGGCAGGAGGATCACTCGAGTCTAGGAGTTCAAGACCAGCCTGGGCAACATAGCGAGATGCCCCCCCCATCTCTAAAATAAATAAGTAAAAATTTAAAATAAAAAAAAAAAGAGTGTCTGTTTACCTGGGGCATTGGGCCTTGCCGTATAGCCTTTGCTGAAAACGTGATTAATGCTGGTGGCCTTGGACCATGTGGTAATCAGTTCAGCCTCTGGAGGGGCTCAAGACTAAAGTCAGGCCAGGTGCAGTGGCTCACGCCTGTAATCCCAACACTCTGGGATGCCGAAGTGGGCAGATCACTTGAGGTGAAGAGTTCGAGACCAGCTTGGCCAACATGGTGAAACCCCGTCTCTACTAAAAATACAAAAATTAGCTGGGCGTGGTTGCGGGTGCCTGTAATCCCAGCTACTCGGGAAGCTGAGGCAGGAGCATCGCTTGAACCTGGGAGGTGGAGGCTGCAGTGGGCAGAGATCATACCACTGCACTCCAGCCTGGATGGCAGAGCGAGATTCTGTCTCAAAAAATTAAAAACAAAATAAAAATTTTAAAAAGACTAAAGTCAGCCACGTGGGTAGTCAGCCATGGCTATGCAACTGACCTCCAGTAAACCCTCTGGATAGGAAGGCTCAGGAGCTCTTCTCAGGTCTGCATACTCTGTATGTATTGTCACTCATCGCTGCTGAGAGAAGCTGGCCCCGTCTGTACAACCCCACGAGGAAAGGGCACCTAGAAGTGGTGGCAGTGGCTGCTGCCATCACACTGGCTGCAGCAGGGAGGTGTGGCTGGGGTCGAACACTCTATGGAGCTGGTGGGAGCCCCGCCCCTTCTGAGTTGGGACGGGAACTCCTTGGGTGCCTCGGCAACCTCCCAAACCGCAGCTGCAGATCCAGGCCTCCTGCTCTGTGGAGCAGGCAGGAGCCCCACCCTCCTGGATGGGGCTACAGCTGCCCAAACTGCAGCTGTGGATCGGAGCCTCCTTGTGCTCTTGGGGGAGGGCTAGGAGCAGGCAGGATCTGCCTTCCCGGGTGCAGCGGCAGCTGCCTTCCCAGGCCCAGGAGCTGGGTGTCTCTGCAGCCTGCACCCTCGGGGACCCCAGGAAGGACCCCCCCCACCAAGTCTCTGCAAGCTCAGGGGTGTCTTCTGCTGCCTGGCCTCTCTCCACTCTAGGGGCCTGCTCAGAGCTCTTAGGGGGTTTGGGGCCAAGCCTGTGAGCCATGAATGGCAGTGGGAGGCTGATTGATTCCTGGGTGGAATGGGGCAGGTCCCCAGTAAGGCCCCACCTGTGGGCCAGGGAGGGCCAGGGCTGCGGGCCGGGCTGCCAGTCCCCTGGACTGGAGTAGGGACTCGTGGTGCCTCTTTCTGGCTGGCCCATAGCTGCCCATGGACCAATCAGCACACACTTTCTCCCCTTTGAGGTCCATAAAAGCCCAGGGCACAGCCAAAGTCAGGCAGAGGACGGCCACAGGAAGACGAGCGCAGAGAGGCGATGGGATGAGTTGAGTACCCTCTCTGCTGAGAGCAGTAGAGGGTGGGACGACCAGTGGGCAGAGAAAAGCTAACCGCTCTGCTGACAGCTGCAGAGACCTGCAGAGACGTCCGAAAGACTTGCCTGTGGAGAGAAGCCACCCTCTCCAGGGCCTCCTCTCTGCTGAGAGCTGAACACTCCGTGGGAAGACCTGCCTACAGAGAGGAGCTACCCACTCCTCTGAGCTGTTCTAACGCTAAATAAAACTCTTCCCCTTCTTCACTCTTCACTTGTCTGTGTACCTCATTCTTCCTGGACACAGGACAAGAACTCCAAGAACTCAGGCAAAGGTGCCAGCGGCCACAGAGGTTTCCGGCCAGAAAAATGACACCCCAGAGATCCCGTAACAGAAGTTTGCCCCTGGGTATCTCCTGTACTGCACCCCGTACACCTCTTCCCTTGGCTGATTTTAACCCATGGCATTTAACCATAAGTAACACAGCTTTTCTGAGCTCTATGGGTCCTTCTGGTAAATTATCAAACCTGAAGGTGGTATTGGGCTCCCTTGAACTTGAAGTTGCTGTCAATAGTGAAGATAGTGTTGGAGACTCTTGAACCTTGTAGCACAAAAATAGCCCCCCCTTCACTGACATCAAGAAGATGAAATGAGGGCTGGGCATGGTGGCTCACGCCTGTCATCCCAGCACTTTGGGAAGCAAAGGCAGGCAGATCACTGGAGGTCAAGAGTTCAAGATCAGCCTGGCCAACATGATGAAACCCCGCCTCTACTAAAAATACAAAAATTGGGCCGGGCGCGGTGGCTCATGCCTGTAATCCCAGCACTCTGGTAGGCCGAGGCGGGTGGATCACAAGGTCAGGAGTTCGAGGCCAGCCTGGCTAACATGGCGAAACCCCGTCTCTACTAAAAATGCAAAAATTAGCCAGGCGTGGTGGCTCATGCCTATAATCCCAGCTACTCGGGAGGCTGAGGCAGGAGAATCGCTTCAACCCGGGAGCAGAGGTTGTGGTGAGCCGAAGTTGTGCCACTGCACTCCAGCCTGGGCGACAAGAGCTAAGCTCTGTCTCAGAAAAAAAAAAAAAAAAAAAAAAAACACAAAAATTAGCCAGGTGTGGTGGTGCACACCTGTAGTCCCAGCCACTCAGGAGGCTGAGGCTGGAGAATCACTGGAACCTGGGAGGTGGAGATTGCAGTGAGCTGAGATCACACCACTGCACTACAGCCTGGGCAACAAAGCGAGACTCTGTCTCAGAAAAAAAAAAAAAAAGGAAATGAAATGAGATGATGCATGTGAACCCTCAGCACAGGGCCAAGCCCAGAGTAAGCGCTCAACAAAGACATGTTACTCCCACAGTGTCATCTGTTTGCGGGGTGGCTAAGTGCAGGGGCTCTGGAGGGTGAAATCCTGGCTCTGCTACTCATTGCTATGGGACCTTAGACAAGTCACTCACTCCTCTGGACTTCGCGTCATCATCTAAAAGTCTTGTTAGAATGAGTTAATAGACACAAATCCCCCAAGACAGGCCCGGCACACGACACACGCTCCCTGTGCTGGTTTTAATTATTGAAACAAGCACCGAGCTCTGAGTCAGAGGATGCCAGGCCCAGCTAGCCACGTGAGCTCCAGCACTCGGCCTGCAGGAATGCCGCTTCCTTGTTGGGAGAATGACAGCCTGAAATCCACGCTTTGGTGAAGGCTTTGGAAGGCTTTCTCGCTTCCAAAGTTGCCCAGTGTCACCCAGCAGGTTGGTTCTCAGTCTGCTCATTGGGGAAATATCCAAAGCCTGATGCCAACCATAAAAGTGTGATTGATTCACCTGTTAAAACTTCTGCTGCAGAGCTTGGCTTGTCCGTGTCTGACCTGAAGGAGAGGCTCCATGGGAACACCGTGGGCTGAACACAGGCAAGCCAGACGGCCCTGCGGGAGAGGAGGGAAGGGGGTGGGGACATGCACCGCCCAGCTGCTGCCTCATCTACCTTCATTCACTCATTATATTTCTTTTTTTTTTTTTTCTGAGACGGAGTCTCGCTCCGTCACCCTGGCTGGAGTGCAGTGGCGCGATCTAAGCTCACTGCAACCTCCGCCCACTGCAACCTCCGCCTCCCCGGTTTAAGCAGTTCTCTGCCTCAGCCTCCCAGGTAGCTTGGGATTACAGGCACATGCCACCACGCCCGGCTAATTTTTGTATTTTTAGTAGAGATGGGGTTTCACCATCTTGGCCAGGCTGGTCTTAAACTCCTGACCTCGTGATCCACCCGCCTCGGCCTCCCAAAGTGCTGGGATTAGAAGCGTGAGCCACCGCGTCCCGCCCACTCGTTATATTTCTTTTGAGTGCCTACTATGCACAATGGCCAAGAGACGAAAAAAAAAAAAAAACCCATAAGTAAAGAAATAGAAGAACAAAATAATCTCAGATAATAATCAGGCTCAGAAGAAAATGAAACAGAGTGGTGAGATACAGAGAGCCTGAGAGGACCTCTGATGGGGAGGTCAGTGTGAAAAGATCATCCTCAAAAAAGGCAACATAGATTTTAGGCCGGGTGCGAGGGCTCACAGCTGTAATCCCAACACTTTGGGATGCTGAGGCAGCGGGGGATGGCTTGAGCCCAGGAGTTCAAGATCAGCCTGGGCAACATGGTGAAACCCTGTCTCTATTAAAACTATAAAACATTAGCTGGGCATGGTGGCGCATGCCTGTAGTCTCAGCTACTCAGGAGGCTGAGGTGGGAGGATCACCTGGGCCCGGGAAGTCAAGGCTATAGTGAGCAGTGATTGCACCACTGTACTCCAGCCTGGAGGACTACAGTGAGACCCTAGTGCTGGGATTACAGGTGTGAGCCACCATGCCTGGCCTCAAAAAGATTTTAAATGATGAATCTCGTGCCTATAATCCCAGCACTTTGGGAGGCCGAGGCGGGCAGATCACCTGAGATCAGGAGTTCAAGACCAGCCTGGCCAACATGGTGAAACCCCGTCTCTACTAAAATACAAAAATTCCCCGGGCGTGGTGGCGTGCGCCTGTAATCCCAGCTACTCGGGAGGCTGAGACAAGAGAATTGCTTGAGCCCAGTAGGCGGAGATTGCAGTGAGATGAGATCACGCCACTGCACTCCAGCCTGCATGACAGAGTAAGACTCCATCTCCAATAAATAAATAAATAAATAAAATGATGAATCTGTATTAAAGATTTTATTAACTCATTATTAGTGAGGGAACCAGGCAGAGGTTACAACCAGTTCAAAGGAGAAGAAAGAACAGATACATTTCTAGATCAGGATGCAAATAGACACCAAACTGGCTTCTTCCACAGTGGGGAAGGGAAGCCAATGGAACCTCCCCCATGAAATTTATTTGCGTGTCCATAGGCAGGAATTGGTTGCATTGCCATAGGTTCTCTATGACTTAGAGCACCATAAGATAGCACAAAGGTGATGAAAGGCTGGAGTTAGACAGCAGGAACCCTCTTCTCCAAATAATGCTTAGTTTTCCATTGAAGACACCAGTAACCTTTAAAAATAATATTTTTGTTTATTCCAAATTTCTGTTTTTGCCAGGCGCTGTGGTTCACGCCTGTAATCCCAGCACTTTGGAGGCTGAGGCTGACAGATCACCTGAGGTCAGGAGTTTAAGACCAAACTGGTCAACATGGCAAAACCTCGTCTGTACTAAAAATACAAAAATTAGCCAGGCGTGATGGCACACGCATGTAATCCCAGCTACTCAGGAGGCTGAGGCAGGAGAATCGCTTGAACCCGAGAGGCGGAAGTCGCAGTGAGCTGAGAGCGTGACATTGTACCACTCCAGCCTGGGTGACAAGAACAAAACTCCACAGTAAAAAAAAAAAAAAAAAGTTAGCCACCACGCCCGGCTAATTTATTAGTATTTTTTTTGTAGAGATGGGGTTTCACCATGTTGCCCAGGCTGGTCTCAAACTCCTAAGCTCAAGCGACCCACTCACCTCAGTCTCCCAAAGTGCTGGGATTACAGGCGTGAGCCACTGCACCGAGCCCCCAAATTTCTTTATGTCAGGTAAAACATCACTGAGAGGTGACAGTTGAACCAAGATGGTATGTATGTCACGGAGTCCCGCTGGGCATGGTGGCTTATGCCTATAATCCCAACACTTTGGGAGACTGAGGCAGGAGGATCACTTGAGCCCAGGAGTTTGAGACCAGCCTGGGCAAAATAGCAAGACTCGATGTCTACAAAAAGATTTTAAAATTAACCTGGTGTGGTGGCATGCGCTTGTGGTCCCAGCTACTCAGGAGGCTGAGGTGGGAGGATTGCTTGAGCCTGGGAGGTCTAGGTTGCAATGAGCAATGATTGTCCCACTGCACTCCAGCCTGGGTAACAAAGCGAGACCCTGTCTCAAAAAAAAAGAAAGAGTCCCATGCAAAGACCTGGGGAAGGGCATTCCTCAGCAGAGGAAATAGTCAGTGCACAGCAAACAGTCGGAAATGAGTTTGGTGTGTTTGTGTTTAAGGACTCAAAAGAAGGTCAGTGGAACTAGAGCCAGTGACAGAGGGGCCGCTGGTGGGCAAAAAGGAGAGGGGCAGGCAGGAGCCATGGCCAGGGGTGCAGGCTGGGGTTTTACCATAAAAAATTGTGGGAAGCCCTGGAGAACTCTAAGCAGGGAAGGAAGAGGATCTCACTTTTTTTTTCTTTTTTGAGACTGAGTATCTCACTCTGTCACCCAGGCTGGAGTGCAGTGGCACAGTCTCGGCTCACTGCAATCTCTGCTTCTCAGATTTAAGTGATTCTCGTGCCTCAGCCTCCTGAGTAGCTAGGATTACAGGCGTGTGCCACCACGCCTGGCTAATTTTTGTATTTTTAGTAGAGTCGGGGGTTTCACCATGTTGGCCATGGCTGGTCTTGAGCTCCTGGCTTCAAGTTATTCGCCCACCTCAGCCTCTCAAAATGCTGGGATTACAGGTGTGGGCCACCGCACCCAGGGCAAGGATCTCACATTTTAAAAGACTCTTCGGGCAGCTGAGACTCCAACTATTTAAAATGACTGCAGGCAAGAACCTAAACTTCCCACAAAGAAGCTTTCCTTAGAGGAGTTCAGGAAATAATCCTGAAGCCAGAAGCTGGAAAGAAAGAATGACAGGGAGAGATTGGCAGAATGTGGAGCATTGAGAAAGCTCCTGCCTCCTGGCGGGAGTGAGGTTGGTTCAACCACTCTTGGGAACTGGTAGAATCTACTAAGACTGAACATTCCTCCACCCTTCGACCCAGCGCTTCCTCTCCAACTGCAAGGCAAGCACAAGGGCATCAGAGGACACGTGCAAGACTGTTGACAGCAGTGCTATTATTTCCTGTAACCTGGAAACCACCCCAGCGCCCAGCAGTGGTAGAATGGACCCATTGTGGTCTACTCCTACAATGGAATACTGAACTGCAATGAAAAGAAAGAAACTACTATTGGACGGGTGCAGTGGCTCACGCCTGTAATCCCAGCACTTTGGGAAGCGGAGGCGGGCGGATCACTTGAGGTCAGGGGTTTGAGAGCAGCCTAGCCAACATGGTGAAACCCTATCTCTACTAAAAATACGAAATTAGCCAGGTGCGGTGGCGCATGCCTGTAATCCCAGCTACTCAGGAGGCTGAGGCAGGAAAATCGCTTGAACCTGGGAGGTGGAGGTTGTGGTGAGCCGAGATCTCACCATTGCGCTCCAGCCTGGGCAACAAGAGCAAAACTCCGTCTCAAAAAAAAGAAAGAAAGAAAGTTAACAGTTTAAAAAGCAATGTGAAAAGGCAGGAATGGGTGCTGCATTTCCTTCTAGGGCTGCCCTCGTTGAGCCATTCGATTCCTGGGTGGGCAGAGGGCCAGGGCCTCAGGCCCAGCCCAGGGAGGCCAAATGCCAGGGCCCACAGTCTCCCCAGAGTGGGTTGGCAAAGAATGACAGGACTGGTTCCCCAGCCTGGAATCTAAGCTGAGCCTGCAGCCTTTGAGCTGGGAGGAGCTTGCGGCTGCCTGGCTGCCCCGCTGCCCCGCTTCATTCGCTGAATTCAGAAGCGCCTGTGGCGAGCCTCTCCCATGGACGGCCGGGTACCCGCCCTGGGCTCTGCTGCCTGGACACTGAGCCCAATGCGGAATTCCTCTCCCAGCAGCGGGGAGGCGCTATTATTAGTTGATTAATTTGCAAAACAAAAACCTGGCTGGGGCAATTGGTCTTGAAGGAAGGTTCTCCCAGAGCGAGTAAATCTGAGACAGGACCAGAAGAATAATCTTGGGGAAAAGGAAAGTGGCTGACTCTGGTGCTGAGTCCCGGCCTTGCCAGGGACCCCGACTCTGCTGTTACACAGGGAATGCTGTCTGGAATCGGCCCGGTGGCAGGTGGGGGGTAGACAGCTCTCCCCTCCGTCTGATGCCTGCTCCTGTTCTCCTCCTTGAGCATCAATCGGGAGAAAGATGTGGGTTTGGGTTTTTCCCCCTCACTTCTCAGACCCAGAACTGCCCCATCCCAGTCTGGGGGGAGACATGATGCTCCATCCCCCAAAGCTGAGCCCCCTCATGGGGCATCCAGGAGAAGGCAATGGGTCCCCAGGACAGGGCCCGGACCTCCCCCTTGCTCGCCCAGCCCCACAAAGCCCCACTCAGCTTCTCCACTGCCTTCATTGTCTACAGACTTCAACCTCACAAAACGCCCAACAAAAGCCCTGCAGTCCACGGCCCAAAGGCCACAAGCCAGCTATTGTGACATTCCAGCTGGCCTGGGAGGCTTCACTTCCCACTCTCAGGAGCTTTTTAAAGTATCTCTTAAAAATGCATCTCAGATGGGGAAAAGAGGTAGCAATTCTGTTGCCAAGGAAAATGAGATTTTGGCCAAGTGCAGTGAGTCATGCCCGTAATCCCAATACTTTGGGAGGCCGAGACAGGAGGATGGCTTGAACCCAGGAGTTTAAGACCAGCCTGGGCAACACAGTAAGACCCTGTCTCTACAAAAAAATTAAAAAATTACCAAAGTGTGGTGGCACATGCCTATGGTCCCAGCTACTCAGGAGGCTAAAGTGGGATGATCACTTGAGCCCAGGAGTTAAGAGATGACAGTGAACTATGATCTTGCCACTGCACTCCAGCCTGGGCAACAGAGCAAGACTCTATCTCAGGAAGAAGGAGAGACAGAGAGGGAGAGAGAGAGAGAAAGAGAAAAGAAAGGAAAGGGAAGGAAGGAAGGAGAAAGGAAGGAAGGCAGGGAGGGAAGGAAGGAAGGGAGGGAAGGAAGGAAAATGAAATTTTCTCCTAATCCTTACAATCGAATAGCTAGCGACCACAACTCCTATCATTTGAAAACTCCTTGAAATCAAGCATCTCTTGGTCAACTTGACCCCTAATTTGTTTTGTTTTAAGGACCCTCTAGGACAAGGAAGACGTGTTCTGTTTTCTCCCAATCTTCTGGAAATCCTTCCCAAGATGGGAGGACTGGAATTCCAGAACAAGGGATGACAGGAGCATGAGAAAGGTGGGAGAGACTGTGGCCGGACCTCACCTGAGAAAGTCAGCCCTTCCCAAGGCATCCATGCATCTGGGCCCCTCACCCATTTGGCCCCCTTCCCTCTTAGATGCAAGGCTTCTGATTCTGATGGAAGATATTTGGCTTCTTCAAGGAGTGTGGGCACACTAAGCATGCCACTGGCTTCTCCCAATTCCTGAATAAGGGACACTTACCAGGCAAGTGCTGGGGACCCCCACATCCTCAGGCCCAGCAGCTCTCTCCTGCCCTGGGAGAATTTAATCTGAAGCAGTTCCAAGCAACTAAACGAAAGGTTGGCTCCTCCCCTTCCCCTCCAGTGCAGGTCTCGGGTCACTCAGGTGCCAGAAAACACAGGTGGGTGTCAACACTCTCAGCTTCTCCCCATCCCTCTGCATGGGTGAGATGAATTGCTTCAGCCGTGGGAGCTCAAAATAAGATTGCGGATCAGAAGGCTGAAGATGAATTGATCCACTGAGGCTGGAGTGCAGGCCCTCATTCTCCGCTCCCGGGAGAAGCCTGTCTCTGTGCCCAAGGAAGGAAAGAAGCTAAGAAACTGAGCTTCACCGGAGGAACAGTCACGCTGTCTTGATGGGGCTTCCCAGAACCCTGCTCCAGGCCCCTCCTGGCAGAGTTCAAAAGGAGCTGAGGGGCCAGGCATGGTGGCTCATGCCTGTAACCCCAGCATTTTGGGATGCAGAGATGGGCAGATTGTTTGAGGTCAGGAGTTCGAAACAAGCCAGGGGAACATGGCAAGACCCTGTCTCTACAAAAAATTTAAAAACTAGCTGGGCATGGTGGCACACACCTGTGGTCCTAGCTACTCAGGAGGCTGAGGTGAGAGGATTGCTTGAGCCCAGGAGGTTGAGGCTGCAGTGAGCCCTGATTGTGCTACTGCACTCCAGCCTGGGCAACAGAACAAGACCCTGTCTAAAAAAAAAAAAAAAAGGGGCCGGGCACAGTCACTCATGCCCATAATCCCAGTGATTTGGGAGGGCGAGGCAGGCTGATCACCTGATGTCAGGACTTCGAGACCAGCCTGGCCAACATGGTGAAACCTTATCTCTACTAAAAATACAAAACTAGCCAGGTGTGGGGGTGCACGCCTGTAATCCCAGCTACTTGGGAAGTTAAGGCAGGAGAATTGCTTGAACCCGGGAGATGGAGGTTGCAGTGAGCCAAGATCGTACCATTGTACTGCAGCCTGGGTGACAAGAGCAAAACTCCGTCTAAAAAAAAAAAAAAAAAAAAAAAAAAAAAAAAAAAAAAAAAAAAAGACCAGGCGCAGTGACTCACGCCTGTAATCCTAGCACTTTGGGAGGCTGAGGTGGGTGGATCATCAGGTCAGGAGTTTGAGACCAGCCTGGCCAACATGGTGAAACCCTGTCTCTACCAAAAATACAAAAAATAGCCGGGCTTGGTGGTGGGCACCTGTAATCCCAGCTACTCTGGAGGCTGAGGCAGGAGAATCGCTTGAACCTGGAAGGCAGAGATTGCAGACAGCTGAGATCGTGCCATTGCACTCCAGCCTGGGCGATACAATAAGACTCCGTCTCAAAAAAAAAAAAAAAAAGGAAGAGGAGATTAGGGCACGGACACATACGGAGGAATGACGGTGTGAGGACACAGGGAGAAGATGGCCAGCTGTGAGCCAGAGAGGCAGCTCCGGAGAAACCAGCCCTGCCTGCACCTTGATCTCAGACTCCTAGCCTCTAGAACTGTGAAGAAATCAATTGGTGTGTAAATCCCAAGTCTGTGGTACTCTGTCGTGGCAGCCCTTGCAAACAAATATCCCTGCAAAATGAGGATTTAGGACTAGATGGTTCCTAATACCCTTTGCAAGTGAAAAAAAAAAAAAGTCTTGATTTTAACTATTCCATTTTATCTGTGTTTATCCCTTCCTCCCCCCGCCCCAAATACTTGCCATTATTGAAAGTCGAGGAAGCCAGGCACAGTGGCTCACTCCAGCCTGGGCAACAGAGCAAGATTGTATCTCAGGAAGAGAGACAGAGAGGGAGAGAGAGAAAGAGAGCCTGTAATCCCAACATTTTAGGAGGCTGAGGTTGGCAGATCACCTGAGGTCAGGAGTTCGAGACCAGCCTGGCCAATATGGCGAAACCCCATCTCTACTAAAATTACAAAAATTAGCCGGGCATGATGGCACACGCCTGTAATCCCAGCTACTCAGGAGGCTGAGGCAGGAGAATCGCTTGAACCCAGGAGGCGGAGGTTGCAAGTGATCCAAGATGGCGCCACTGCATTCTAGCCTGGGTGATGAGCGAAACTCCATCTCAAAAAAAAAAAAAAAAACCAGAAACTAATTATCTCCCAGGTTTAGAGGCCAGAAGTCCAAAATCCAGGTGTCAGCAGGGCCACGATCTCTCTAAAGATCCCAGGGGAGGGTCGTTCCCTGCCTCTTCCTAGCTTCTAGTGGCTGGTGGCAGTCCTGGGTGTCCTGGGCTTGTAGCTGCATCACTCCCATCTCTGCCTCCGTCACCAGCATATGGTATTCTTCCTGGGTGTCTCTGTCCACATTTTTCTTTTTCTTTTTTTTTTTTTTGAGAGAGAGTCTCACTCTGTCACCGGGCTGGAGTACAGGGGCACTAAGTGCTGGGATTACAGGCCTGAGCCACCACGCCCGGCCCCAATTTTCCTCTTCTTATAAAGACTCTAATTACTGGATTAAGGGCCAGCCTAATCCAGTATGACCTCACTTAACTTGATTGCATCAGCAAAGACCCTATTTCTAAATAAGGTCACATTCCCACATATCTGGGATTTGGCTTTTTTTTTTTTCTTTGAGACAGGGTCCTACTCTGTCACCCAGGCATGAGTGCAATGGTGCAATCACGGTTCACTGCAGCCTCGACCTCCTGGGTTCAAGCAATCCTCCTGTTTCAGCCTCCTGAGTAACTGAGAATACAGGCACACACCACCATGCTTGGATGATTTTTAAATTTTTTCTAGAGACAAAAGAGACCAGAGGGAACAGCCACGGTGGCTCACGCCTGTAATCCCAGCACATTGGGAGGCTGAGGTGGGCAGATCACTTGAGGTCAGGAGTTTGAGGCCAGCCTGGCCAACATGGTGAAACCCCATCTCTACTAAAAATACAAAAATTAGCCAGGCATCATGGCGCATATCACTCATTCTAGCTACTCGGGAGGTTGAGGCACGAGAATCACTTGAACCCAGGAGGCAGAGGTTGCAGTGAGCTGAGATCACACCACTGCACTCCAGCCCGGGCGACAGAGCAAGACCCTATCTCAAAAAACAAACAAACAAGAGACAGAGACCAGAGGTCTCTGAGATGGGGTCCGTACGAAAGATACCACTACGTTGTCCAGGCTGGTCTCAAACTTCTAGGCTCAAGTGATTCTCCTGCCTCAGGCTTCCAGAGTGCTGAGATTACAGGTGTGAGCCACTGCACCCAGCCTGTTTCTCTTTTTCTTTTCTTTTTTTGAGACGGAGTTTCACTCTGTCACCCAGGCTGGAGTGCAGTGGCACGATCTCTGCTCACTGCAACCTCCACCTCCCAGGTTCAAGCAATTCTCTGCCTCATCCTCCCGAGTAGCTGGGATTACAGGCACCTGCCACCACGCCTGGCTAATTTTTTGTATTTTTAGTAGAGGCGGGGTTTCACCATCTTGGCCAGGCTGAACTTAAATTCCTGACCTCGAGATCCACCCGCCTCAGCCTCCCAAAGTGCTGGGATTACAAGCGTGAGCCACCACACCCAGCCCTGTTTCTCTTTTTAACTCATCTTTTTGTTGACCAACTTTTCCTTTAATCCCAAATTGCTCGGGATTTATCATGAGCCGCCTAAGAAGACATGGAGTTGGAAGTGGAGACCCAGAGTGGTGCATGGAAGCTGGTTGTCACCAGGATCTGTTCACGCTCAGGTGAAAGGCCCTCATCACACCAAACAGAAGCAGGCAGGATCAGAACACACAGCTGGTGAAACCCTCACGGGCCCTGGAGGAGGCCCAGATGCCCTGGCCCACTTCATAAGGCCTCAAACAGAAACGCCAAAGCCAGGGCAAACATCACTGGTACACAGCTCACTCAGAGAACCTGCAAGGACCACCCTGGAGCTGTTGTTTAAATCTTAAAAAGAGAAGAAGAAACAGGAATTGAAAAACAGGTTTTCTTTCCTAATCTGATACCCTAAACCCCATTCCTCCTACACACACACGCACACACCTATAAACATAGCCACAGACATCTCTACACACACACCCTGAAACCCACCTACACACACAACCCTATACAAAACTCTTAGCATATGCCCCACACACTCCTAGAAATGCGCGCGCACACACACACACGCAGTAGGGGCTCCCGTCTTAGATATTTTTAGAGAAAGCAATTTCATTGGGGTCTTTCCAGTGGAGCTCAAATTTCATTTCTCCATTTGGGAAAATCACATTTTCAAAATAGCTTTCTTTTTTTTTTTTTTTTGAGACAGTCTCGCTCTGTCACCCAGGCTGGAGTGCAGTGATGCAATCTCAGCTCACTGCAACCTCTGCCTCCCGGGTTTAAGTGATTCTCCTGCCTCAGCCTCCTGAGTAGCTGGGACCACAGGCGTGCGTCATCAAGCCTGGCTCATTTTTTTGTGTGTGTTTTTAGTAGAGTCGGTGTTTCACCGTGTTAGCCAGGATGGTCTTGATCTCCTGACCTCGTGATCCACCCGTCTCAGCCTCCCAAAGTGCTGGGATTACAGGCGTGAGCCACCGCGCCCGGTCAAGAGTAGCTTTTATGCAATAGTTGGAAGCCGTGAGAATTGGCCAAGTCAGCCCCAGCACGGTTTTCCCCATGGTTTTCTTATTAACACCTTCCTTCTCTTGCAAATACCCACTGAGCTGGTTTTTCAAAAGCAGAAACCACTGACCCACTCACTGGTCTCCTTTGATACTTAGAGGTTAACGATTACTAAAAATATACATATTGATTCCAACTGCCAAGCTTCCCAGGCCTTTTCAGGATGTCCATCTTGCTGAGATCTGGCACCATTACTTACCACTTTTATGAGGAGGAAACCAACATTTAACCAAACTATTACCAGGCTTGCTGAAGTTCCTCCTGATCAGTCAGTTACAAACACACAAAATAACTAGATACTTGGTTGCCTGAGAGGCAGAAGGTGAATGGGCAATGCAGCCTGTTGGTGAAACACGGTCTTTTTTGCTCTATTAGAATCATGAGACCGGGCGCGGTGGCTCACGCCTGTAATCCCAGCACTTTGGGAGGCCACAGCAGGTGGATCACCTGAGGTCGGGAGTTTGAGACCAGCCTGGCCAACATGGAGAAACCCCACCTCTACTAAAAACACAAAAATTAGCCAGACATGGTGGCGGGCGCCTGTAATTCCAGCTACTTGGGAGGCTGAGGTGCAAGAATCGCTTGAACCAGGGAGGCGGAGGTTGCATTGAGCCGAGATTGTGCCACTGCACTCCAGCCTGGGCGACAGAGCAAGAGACCCTGTCTGAAAAAAAAGAAAGAAAGAAAGAGAGAAAGAAAGAGAGAAAGAGAGAAAGAGAAAGAGAAAGAAAGAAAGAAAGAAAGGAAAGAAAGAAAGAGAAAGAAAGAAAAGAAAGAAAGAAAGAAAGGAAGGAAGGAAGGAAGGAAGGAAGGAAGGAAGGAAGGAAGAAAGAAAGAAAGAAAGAAAGAAAGAAAGAAAGAAAGAAAGAAAGAAAGAAAGAAAGAAAGAAAGAAAGAAGCAGCATGATTCAGGCCGGGCACGATGGCTCACACCTGTAATCGCAGCAGGATTTGTTGAGCCTAGTAGTTCAAGAGCAGCCTGGGCGATAAAGTGAGACCTCTGTCCCTACAAAAAAAAAAAAAAAACTAACCAAGCATGGTAGTACTTGCCTATGGTCCCAGCTATTGGAGAGGCTGATGTGGCTGAGGCAGGAGGATCACTTGATCCCAGGAGGTTGAGGCTGCAGTGAGCCATGATCATACCACTGCACTCCAGCCTGGGCAGCAGAGCAAGATCCTGTCTCAAAAAAGCAATAAACAATAAATAAACGGGCAGGGTGGCTGTAGTCCCAGCTACTTGGGAAGCTGAGGCAGGAGGATCACTTGAGCCTGTGAGGTTAAGTCTACAGTGAGCCATGATCAAACCACTGTAATCCAGCCTGAGCAACAGAGTGAGACCCGTCAAAAAAAAGAAAAGTAAAGAGAGAAAGAGAGAAAGAGACAGAGAGGGAGAGAGAGAGAGAAAGAGAGAGAGAGAGAGAGGAAGGAAGGAAGGAAGGAAGGAAGGAAGGAAGGAAGGAAAGAAGGGAGGAAGGAAAGATTTAAACCATTCTAGAAGGGAAGTTCCCCTCTCCTGAACAGAATGCAAATCTTTGCCCATCCTTGCCCTGGAAGGAGAGCAGCCAACTTTTCTGCTGCTAAGAACTGCCATTAATGGGCTGGCCTCCTCTGAGTCAGCAGGGTGCTGAGTGCTTGACTTGAGCATCTCATGCAGAAGTTCTTACCTGGGGTCCACCCTCAAAGATACACGCACAGAATTCATGGGGTGCTTGAACTTGGATGAGGGGGTGGAAATTACATCTTTATTTTCAATAACTTCTACTTGAAATTTAGCGTTTCCATTATGAACATAGTCAACAAGCCATCACATTGTTATGACTTTATGACTCTGTCCCCAACAGAAATTCCAGATATTTTCCTATCACACGAGAATTGTTACAGAGATCTCCAGATATCTCCAGATATTTCTCAGTACTTTTGAATTAAGGCACTGACCCAACCTGCTGCCATTTGATGTCAAAGAAAAAAGTGCTTACAGCCAGGCGTGGTGGCTCACACCTGTAATCCCAGCATTTTAGGAGGCCGAGGCAGGTGGATCACCTGAGGTCAGGAGTTCCAGACCACCCTGGCCAACATGGTGAAACCCCGTCTCTATTAAAAACACAAAAATTAGCTGGGCATGGTAGCACACGCCTGTAATCCCAGCTACTCGGGAGGCTGAGGCAGGAGAATCGCTCGAACCCAGGAGGCGGAGGTTGCAGTGAGCATTGTGAAGGGAATGAAGATACCTCACATCCCAAAACGGAAACCCAGGGGATGGACCAGTGTTTGCAGAGGAAGTTCCAGCCCTCTCTCTACTCCCATTCCTTGGGCAGCTCCCACCATGTCTGGGTCTTCCCTCTGCCTCTGTTGAAGCCCCTAAATGTGGACCCCAGGGCAACTGTGAGACCCAAGGGGACCCCTGAACACTAGAGGGTGGCAGTAGGACTCCTTTGTGCCCCCCAACAATGTACGTGAGCCTGCAGATCTGGAACAGTGGGGAACGTGCGCCTCAGTATGCACCCCCGCCTCCATCTATGAACATGCAACTAGCTCACTCTCACCAGACAGCTGCAAGAGAGCAGGGATTCCTAAACCCTGGATGGAGTCAGAGTGACAGTCACATACTTCACTCCCGAGAGAAACTTCTGGGCCTTGTAAATCCTGTAGTCTAGCAAAATGTCCCCCTGTACTGAGATCACTCATAGGTCATGGGAGATCCTCTGGAAAACACGGAAGCTCTCTGACATCACCATGTAATGATTCTTTTTCTCTTTCTCATGAGTGCTGATGGGTAAATAATGGTAGCTAATATTGACTGAGAACTTTTGATGTGCCAAGCACATAAAAAAAAAAAAACTTATTTATGGCCAGGTGCAGTGGCTTACACCTGTAATCCCAGCATTTTGGGAGGCCGAGGTGGGTGGATCATCTGAGGTTAGGAGTTCGAGACCAGCCTGGCCAACATGGTGAAACCCCGTCTCTACTAAAAATCCAAAAAAAATTAGCCAGGTGTGGTGGCAGGTGCCTGTAGTCCCAGCTACTTGGGAGGGTGAGGCAGGAGAATCACTTGAACCCAGCAGGTGGAGGTTGCAGCAAGCCAAGATCATGCCACTGTATTCCAGCCTGGGCAACAAGAGTGAAACTCTGTCTCAAAAATAGATAGATAAATAAATAAATAAAATTATTTTTGTATTTTTATTATTATCTCTTTAATTTTTTATCAAAAGTCCCTGTATTAGTCCGCTTTCAGGCTGCTAATAAAGATATACCCAAGACCGTGCAACTTACAAAAGAAAGAGGTTTAATGGACTTACAGTTCCACATGGCTGGGGAGGCCTCACAATCACAGTGGAAGGTGAAAGGCATGTCTCATATGGTGGCAGACAAGAGAAGAGAGCTTGTCTGCAGGGAAACTGCAGGGAAACTCGCCTTTTTAAAACCATCAGATCTCGTGAGACTTACTATCACGAGAACAGCATGGGAAGACCTGCCCCCACGATTCAATTACCTCCCACCAGGTCCCTCCCACAACACATGGGAATTCAAGATGAGATTTGGGTGGGGACACAGCCAAACCATATCAGTCCCTTACTGGTCCTACTTCCATGAGTGGCCATGACCAGGGGAAAAGGGAGAGGGACCAGCCAGCAAGGGGAGGGACCATCTCACAACATTCCATTTATACACAGACCAGTATCAAGTTACTATTGTGGTTAGGAGTTGGGAGCACGGGTAGTAGCGGTGTTGTTAAAAAAAAAATACAGCCCCTCCCCCAAACTGGGGTACCTGGGGACAATTTAGTCTGCTTCAACCCAAGAGGAAACAGATCAAAATTGGTTTGGGGCTGGATGCAGTGGCTCATGTCTATAATCCCAGCACATTGGGAGGTTGAAGTGGGAGGATCACTTCAGCTCAGGAGTTGGACCAGCCCGGGCAACAGAGAAAAACCCTGTCTCTACAAAAAGTATAAAAATTAGCCAGGTGTGGTGACACGCACCTGTAGTCTCAGCTACTTCAGAGGCAGAGGTGGGAGGATTGCTTGAGGCAGGGAGGTCAAGGCTGCAGTGAGCTGTGATTGCACCACTGCACTCCAGCCGGGGCAACAGAGTTAGACTCTGTCTCAAAATTTAAAATAAAAAAAAAAGTGGTTTGGGAAGGCCAGAAACATCAGGAATGGAGGGAGGAAGAAAATCCAGGTGCTGGGAAGGCCCTGGGGCGGCAGGCTCTTTGGAAGGCATTGCCTTCCCCATGCTGGGATCCCCCCAGCACTTCAGGTTTGGCAGGAAGGGGGCAGCCTGCAACCCCCAAGGGCAGGTCTGGGGCTGCCAGATGTTCCAGGCATGGGGCTGTAGGGGACTCACAAGGCGTGCCCTCCAGGGAGATGACAGCGCCGCTCCCAGCTTCTCGCCCGGTCTGCCATGGTCCTTGACCTCTTGTAGCAGTTTGCTTGTTCATGCTTGATCCCTGTCAGCTTCTTTTTGTTTTTTTTTGTTTTTTTTTTTTTTTTGAGATGGAGTCTCATTCTGTTGCCCAGGCTGGAGTGCAGTGGTGTGATCTCTGCTGCTCACTGCAACCTCTGCCTCCTGGGTTCAAGCGATTCTCCTGCCTCAGCCTCCCGAGTAGCTAGGATTACAGCACGTGTCATCACACCCAGCTAGTTTTTGTATTTCTAGTACAGATGGGGTTTCACCATGTTGGCCAGGCTGGTCTTGAACTCCTGACCTCAAGTGATCCACCTGCCTTGGCCTCTCAAAGTGCTGGGATTACAGGCATGAGCCACCAGGTCCGGCCCCTGTCAGCTTCTTGATGGCATCCTTAGAGCTGGCATAGATCATTTTGCCCTTAAGGGGTACAGACTCAGGGGCCCAGAAGATAAATACCAGGTCCTCCTTGCTCTCCTTGGACCCATAGGTTGCGTCACCTCAGAGGACACAGCAGCAGTCTTTGTCTGGCAGCATCTTGGCAAAGGTGGTGTAGGGGTTGTCAACGGTCCAGCCCATGTCATCCACCAGGGTCTCCTCGCCCTCCTCCAGGGCGATGTTCTTCTCACCCTCACTCAGGCAGAAGAGCAGCACCATTTTCTTGCGCTTCTTCACCTCCTCTGGCGTCGAAGATTTGCCCACTGTCATGTCAGTGAACACCTTGATGACACCATCAGAGATAGCCACACCAGAGGCCATGTTTTCAGAAATGAAAAGGAGATAGCAGCCAGGTGCTGTGGCTCACGTCTGTAATCCCAGGTTTGGGAGGCCAAGGCAGGAGGATTGCTTGAGCCCAGAAGTTTGAGACCAGCCCAGGCAATATGGCAAGACCTGGTCTCTACAAAAAATTTAAAAAAAAAATTAGTCTGGCATGGTGGCATGTAACTGTAGGCCCAGCAACTTGGGAGGCTGAGAGGGGAGGATTGCTTGAGTCCAGGAGATCGAGGTTGCAGTGAGCCATGTTCACACCACTGCACTCCAGTCTGAGCAACAGAGTGAGCCTATGTCTTGAAAACAACAGCAAAGAAAGAAAAGGAAGGAAGGAAGGAAGGAAGGAAGGAAGGAAGGAAGGAAGGAAGGAAGGAAGGAAGGAAGGAAAGCAAAGCCAAGCCAAGCCAAGCCAGGCATAATGGCTCATGCCTGTAATCCCAGCACTTTAAGGGAGGCAGAGGTGGGTGGATCACTTGAGGTCAGGAGTTTGAGACCAGCCTGGACAACATGGCGAAACCCCATCTCTACTAAAAATACAAAAATTAGCCTGATGTGGTGGAACATGTTTGTAATCTCAGCTACTCAGGAGTCTGAGGCATAAGAATCAGTTGAACCTGGGAGGCTGAGGTTGCAGTGAGCCAAGATTGCACCACTGGACTCCAGCCTGTGCAACAGAGTGAGACTTCGTGGGGAGGGGAGGGGAGGGGAAGGAAAAGAAAAGGAGATGGCAAGGAGAGCCAGAGAAGAGGAGAGCTGCTGTGGCTGCTGCCAGGGTCTGACTGAACCAAGCACTTTAATTGTCCCCATAATCCTATGATATGAGGTCCATACTCTTACTACCCCCATTTTACAGAGGAGGAAATAGAGCCCTAGAGCTGTCAGTGATTTGGGAGAAGTCTCAAGTCTGGTGGGTGACTTGAACTTGGCCCCACGTGGTCTGGATGAGGCAAGTTACACCAAGACCTATGTGTCTCTTTTCTAGAACATGTGCCTCAAGTTGCAGCAGAGGGAGGCACGTATGGAAATGTCTGCAAACTTCTTTGTTAAAATGTTTTTTCACCTTGTTTAGAAAACATACTAGTTTGATTTAAAGAAGCAAATCAACAGTTAAGAGCTCAGATTCCAGAAATATTCAAACTCGGGAGATATCGGAGAAATGCAAACAAAGATGGCGTTATGAGAGAGCATTTTACACTCATCAGAAAGGCAAAAATTAGGAAGGTGGGAATGAGACAGGTGGAGGATTGGCCAAGCTGTGCAGACAGGCAGGAGAGCAAGGAGCTAAGAGCCCAGGTGCCATAGCCAGTCTGGGGTGGATCTCAAAGCCCATCCTGGCGCTTCTGAGCTGGTTTCCTTACCTGAAAAATGGAGACAATGTTATAAAATTATTGTGAGGATTCAAACAACCATTGACATCAAGTGCTGGGAATGGAGTCTATGCTGAATAAGGGATCTGAACCCAGCACCGGCCACTATAAGCTCCCAGAGGGAAAGGACTTTTCTCGGCTCCTTTGCTGTATCCTCAGTGCCTAGAATAACTGAGCACAGGGACAATCTTCAGGGGAACCAGCAAGTAAACTATGGTAGAGTCGTACTATACACTATCCCATACACTGCAGCAGTTAGAAGCAATCACCTGGCGCCAGGATTGGTGAACTTTTCCATTAAAAAATAGATAGCACTTTGAGAGGCCGAGGCAGGCAGATCACCTGAGGTCAGGAGTTTGAGACCAGCCTGGCCAACATGGTGAAACCCTGTCTCTACTAAAAATACAAAAATTAGGCCAGGCGCAGTGGCTCACACCTGTAATGCTAGCACTTTGGGAGGCTGAGGCGGGTGGATCACCTGAGGTCAGGAGTTCGAGACCAGCCTGGCCAACAAGGTGAAACCTCGTCTCTACTAAAAAATACAAAAATTAGCCGGGCGTGGTGGCGCACGCCTGTAATCCCAGCTACTCAGGAAGCTGAGGAAGGAGAATCACTTGAACCCAAGTGGTGGAGGTTACGGTGAGCTGAGATCGCGCCACTGCACTCCAGCCTGCACCACGGGAGCCAGACTCCATCTCAAAAGAAAAAAGAATACAAAAATTAGCTGGGTGTTGTGGGGGGACTATTGTGGTCCCAACTACTCGGGAGGCTGAGGCATGAGAATCACTTGAACCTAGGAGGTGGAGGTTGCAGTGAGCCGAGACTGTGCCACTGCATTCCAGCCTGTGTGACAGAACGAGCGTCTGTTTCAAAAAAAAAAAAAAAAATAGGCCAGGTGTGGTGGCTCACGCCTGTAATCCCAGCACTTTGGGAGGCCAAGGCAGGTGGATCTCTTGAGCCCACGTGTTCCAGACCAGCCTGGGCAACAGGAAAACCTGTTGAAAACAGGAAGACCAGCCTGGGAAAACCCTGTCGCTACAAAAATTACAAAAATTAGCCAGGTATGGTGGTGTACACCTGTAGTTTCAGCTACCTGGGAGGCTGAAGTGGGAGGATAACCTGAGCCCGGAAAGGTCAAAGCTACAGTGAGCTGTGATCACACCGCTGCACTCCAGCCTGGGTGACAGAGGGAGACCCTGTCTCAGAAAAATAAATAAATAAAATAAAATGACCAATCTGCTTTAAAAAAAATCGTTATTTTATTTTTATTTATTTATTTATTTTGAGACGGAGTCTCGCTCTGTCGCCAGGCTGGAGTGCAGTGCAACCTCCAACTCTCTGCAACCTCCGACTCCCTGGTTCAAGCTATTCTCATGCCTCAGCCTCCCAAGTAGCTGGGATTACAGGCACACGCCACCATGCCCAGCTAATTTTTGTATTTTTAGTAGAGACGGGGTTTCACCATGTTGGCCAGGCTGGTCTCAATCTACTGACCTCGTGATGCGCCCGCCTTGGCCTCCCAAAGTGCTGGGATTACAGGCGTGAGCCACGGCACCCTGCCAGATAGGAAATATTTTAGGCTTTGCAGACCACAAAGACACTGCTACAGTCTTAGATAATATGCAAATGAGTGGGTGGGGCTGTTCCAAAACCTTTATGGACATTGAAATGTGAACTCTATGTCATTTTCTTTTTCTTTTTTTTTCTGAAACAGACTCTACTCTGTTGCCCAGGCTGGAGTGCAGTGGTGCAATCTTGGCTCACTGCAACCTCCACCTCCCGGATTCAAGCGATTCTTGTATCTCAGCCTCCTGAGTAGCTGGGATTATAGGTGCACACCACCATGCCCGGCTAATTTTTTGTATTTTTAATAGAGACGGGTTTCACCATGTTGGCCAAGCTGGTCTTGAATTCCTGGCTTCAAGTGATCCTACCACCTTGGCCTCCCAAAGTTCTGGGATTACAAGTGTGAGCCACCATGCCAGGCCTCCATGTCATTTTAATGTGTCACAAAATATGATTCTTCTTTTGATTTTTTACCCCAGTCATTTAAAAATTAGCTTGCTGACTGTACAGAAACTGCCATGCCCCAGATTTGGCCTATGGGCTATAGTTTGCTGAGTCCTATTCTAGGGCTACAACCCAGAGAAATTTTGTTTTTTTTTTTTCTGAGACAGCATCTTGCTCTGTCGCCCAGGCTGAAATACAGTGACACTGTCAAAGCTCACTGAAGCCTTAACTTTCTGGGTTTAAGTAAAGCTCCTACCTCAGCCTCCAAGGTAGCTGGGACTGCAGGCTCACAATGCTACACCTGGCTAATTTTTGTTTTGTTTTGTTTTGTTTCTTTAAAACAGAGTCTTGCTCTGTCACTCAGGCTGGAGTGCAGTGGCACAATCTCAGCTCACTGCAACCTCCACCTCCCCAGTTCAAGCGATTCTCCTGCCTCAGCCTCCCAAGTAGCTGGGATTACAGGTGTGTGCCACCATGCCCAGCTAATTTTTGTATTTTCAGTAGAGTTGGGGTTTCACCATGTTGGCCAGGCTGGTCTCGAACTGCTGGCCTCAGGTGATCCACCTGTCTCAGCCTCCCAATGTGCTAGAATTATAAGCATGAGCCACCACGCCCAGCCAATTTTTGTATTTTTAGTAGAGATTAGGTTTTGCTATGTTGCCCAGGCTGGCCTCCAACTCCTGAGGCCAAGCAGTCATCCCACCTTGGCCTCCCAAAGTGCTGGGATTACAAGTGTGAGCCACCATGCCTAGCCAACAAATTCTTTTTTTTTTGAGTCGGAGTCTCGCTCTGTCAGGCTCCCACCACCATGCCTGGCTAATTTTTTGCATTTTTAGTAGAGACAGGGTTTCATCACCTTGGCCAGGCTGATCTCGAACTCCTGACCTCAGGTGATCCGCCCTCCTCAGCCTCCCAGAGTGCTGGGATTACAGGGTTGAGCCACCATGCCCAGCCAACACATTCTTAAAATACAACAAGCAAAGCCAGTGATCTTGGGCAGAATGAGGGTTAGAGAGAGATAATCATGCATCCTTGCTTTCCAGAGACAGATAGTTGACCCCAAGTTGTCCCAGTAATTAATAGCCTCTCTGTCACTCTCAAAAATCCCAGATTGAATTTGCTCCCCGGCCCCAGTTAAACCATCATTCTATTTATATAAATTAAACACATACGTTCCCTAGAGTATCCCCAACCTCTAGAGCACTGGTCAGTAATTTTCTTTTTTCTGTAAAGGGCCAGACAGTCAGTATTTTCAGCTTTGTGCCATACAATCTCTGCTGTAACTACTCAATTCTGCCAATGTGGCGTGAAAGCAACCAGAGATGTACATAAAAAATGAGCGTGGGCCCAGTGCGGTGGCTCACATCTGTAATCCTAGCACTTTGGGAGGCCAAGGCAGGTGGATCATCTGAGGTCAGGAGTTTGAGACCAGCCTGGCCAACATGGAGAAACCCCGTCTCTACTAAAAATACAAAAATTAGCCAGGCGTGGTGGCGCACACCTGTAATCCCAGCTACTCAGGAGGCTGAGGAAGGAGAATCGCTTGAACCCAGCAGGCGGAGGTTGCAGTGAGCTGAGATCACACCACTGCACTCCAGCCTGGGCAACAGAGCAAGACTCCATCTCAAAAAAAAACAAACAAAAAAATGAGTGTGGCTGTGCACCAGTAAAACTTAGACATGGATACTGATACTTGAATTTCATATAATTTTCAGGTGTCACAAAACTGTATTCTTTTGATTTTTTTTTCAGCCATTTAAAGATGTAAAAACTGGCCGGGTGCATTGGCTCTCGCTTGTAATCCCAACACCTTGGAAGGCCGAGGCAGGCGGATCACTTGAGGTCAGGAGTTCAAGACCAGCCTGGCAAACATGGTGAAACTCCGTCTCTACTAAAAATACAAAAAAAAAATTAGCTGGGCGTGGTGGCAGGCACCTGTAGTCCCAGCTACTGGGGAGGCTGAGGCAGGAGAATCACTTGAACCCAGGAGGCGAAGGTTGCAGTAAGCTGAGATGGCACCATTGCACTCCAGCCTGGGCAACAGGGCAAGACTCCATCTCGAAAAAGAAATATATATATATATATATATATATATATATATATATATATATACCATTTTTGGCTTGCAGGTTGTATAAAAGCTGGCAATCGGCTGTGGTTTGTTGCTCCCTGATCTAGGGTAACACCTGGCAGGCACCATGGTAGGTGCTGAATAAATGTCTGGTTATTGCTAAGTACACCCACAGAACAACTGTGCATGCTTTATACAGACACATGCAGATTCAAAGACAGATGAACACCCTAGTGAGGGCCTAGGAGGGGGAGGGGAGAGGGACTAGGGGTTGGGAGTAACTGGAGAAAATAATGAAATAGGTCAGGCGCAGTGGCACATGCCTAGAATCCCAGCACTTTGGGAGGCCAAGGCAGGAGGATTGCTTGAGCCCAGGAGTTAGAGACCAGCCTGAGCAACATGGTGAAACTCTGTCTCTACAAAAAATACAAAAATTAGCCAGGCATGGTGGTGCGTGCCTGCGATCCCAGCTACTTGGGAGGCTGAGGTGGGAGAATCACCTGAACCCAGGAGGTGGAGTTTGCAGTGAGCCGAGATAGCGCCACTGCACTCCAACTTGGGTGACAGAGAAACTCTGTCTCAAAAACAAAAAGAAAATAATGAAATAAAATAAGCCAGGCTTTGCCCAGGCTGAGGAGGGTGGTGGGCCATGAACTGATGAGGGCAATAAACTCCACTCTGCTCCTAAGGCCCAGAAAGGAAAATGAAAGTGAGATCTCCAGGGACAGAAAACCTAAATTTTAAATTCTTTTTTCATTTTTTTTAAGGCAGGGTCTCGAACTGTCATCCAGGCTGGAGGTGGCACCATCATGGCTCACTGCAGCCTTGACCTCCTGGGCTCAAGCAATCCTCCTGCTTCAGCCTCCTGAGTTGCTTGGATCACAGGCAGATGCCACGACGCCCAGCTAATTTTTAAATTTTTTGTAGAGATGGAGGTCTTACTATGTTGCCCAGACTGGTCTAGAACTCCTGGGCTCAAGCGATCCTCCTGCCTTGGCCTCCCAAAGTACTGGTATTACAGGCGTGAGGCATCACACCCAGCCTAGATTTGAAATTCGGACACTGCTGTCACTATCTGGTGATCTTGGGTAAGTTGAAC
Organism: Homo sapiens; assembly: GCF_000001405.40. Lineage (NCBI taxonomy): Eukaryota > Metazoa > Chordata > Mammalia > Primates > Hominidae > Homo > Homo sapiens. The sequence goes on from NC_000001.11 coordinate 10,998,357, forward strand.
CTCTAGAAGGTTCTTTGTAAAATAGGACTAAATATGGTACCTACTTCATAGGCCCGTTAGGGATTAAAGGAATCTATACAGATAATGTGTTCAGAACAGTGTCTGGCATTTAGTAACTGGTGTTACAATGTTGTGGTTGTTTTCTATAAAGAACAGAGAGCAAATTGTCCCCCAGGTTCCAAATAAGGAGATGGATTAGAGGTGATTAGGAGCGTGGGCTCTAGAACCAAGGACCTCAGCTTTGCCACAGACTGGCTATGTGACTCTGGCCAAGTTACTTGGCCTTTCTGTGCCTCAGTTTCCTCAGAGAAGGTCAATAGTAGTAGTACTTGGTAAATAGAGTTGAGGTAAGAATTAAATTTGCCAACTCTGAGCCTGGTATATAAATGCTCAAATAAATTATTATGTTATCACTTTGGTCGCACAATTTCTGCCCAAGGGGAAATAATAAAAGGAGTCAAAACAACAATCTCCTGTGAAATATTCCAACAGGTCCAAGGAGTTGGGCTATGGATTTTGGACAAAGAGAAGAGAGCCTCTAATGTGAAAGGAAGACCCCAGTGTGCCAGGCACGGTGGCTCACGCCTGTAATCTCAACATTCTGGGAGGCTGATGCAGATGCATTACCTGAGGCCAGGAGTTTGAGACCTGCCTGGCCAACATGGTGAAACCCTGACTCTACTACAAACACAAAAATTAGCCAGGCGTGGTGGTGGGCAGCTGCAGTGCAGCTACTCAGGAGGCTGAGGCAGGAGAATCACTTGAACCCGGGAGGCAGAGGTTGCAGTGAGCCAAGATTGTGCCACTGCACTCCAGCCTGGGTGACAGAGCAAGACTACATCTCAAAAAAAAAAAAAAGAATGAATAAATAAATACAATAATAATAAAAATATTGAAGGTAAAATTGGGGAAATTTCACAGAAAGTAGAATTTTTAAAATTGTAACAACAAAAGAAAAAAGATTTTCAAAAATGATGCATCATTGTAGGAAAGTCAATAGCTAACAGGAATTTCAGAAAGAGAGAACCAAGGAATCATTGGGGAAAAAGCTGTCAAAGAAATAATACAACAAACTTTCCCAGAATTGAAGGACAAAAATCTCTATAACAAAAAGATCACCATATGCCCAGAACAATGAATGAAAAAAGATACTCAGGAAGACCAAGTCATCATCTTGAATTTCATTCTTTTTTTTTTTTTTTTTTGAGACAGAGTTTCACTCTTGTTGTTGCCCAGGCTGGAGTGCAATGGTGCAATCTCAGCTCACTGCAACCTCCACCTCCTGGGTTCATGCAATTCTCCTGCCTCAGCCTCCCAAGTAGCTGGGATTACAGGTATGTGCCACCACACCTGGCTAATTTTGTATTTTTAGTAAAGATGGGGTTTCACCATGTTGGTCAGGCTGGTCTCGAACTCCTGACCTCAGGTGATCCACCCACCTTAGCCTCCCAAAGTGCTGGTATTACAGGTGTGAGCCATCATGCCCAGCCCTTTTTTTTTTCTTTTTAAGACTAGTCAAGTGCAGTAGTGAGAAAAGGGGAAAGAATTGAACTGATCAACTGAGATAACTGACTACCTTCAGATCAGCCCATCTTGAATTTCAGAAAATGGATGATACGGTAAGATCATGAAAGAGTCCAGAGAGAAAATGAAGATTACGTGAATGACCAAGAATGCAATGGATTTCTTAACAGCAATAAGAGAAGCTAGGCGCCAGCAGAAAAATATCTTCTAAGTGTTGAGTATGAATGACCTTCAACCTAAAATTCTGTACGCAACCGGACTACCAATGACATGTAAATGGAATAAGACCATTTTCAGACATGTAAGGAAGTCTCCAGGATGACAACTGATACAATTTCCAGCAAGCAATCCAGGAAAGGAGGCATGAAGACTCCAAGAAATAAAAAAATAAAAATTACAAACTATCTGGCTGGGCACAGTGGCTCTCACCTGTAATCTCAGCACCTTGGGAGGCCAAGGTGAGTGGATCACTTGAGGTTAGGAGTTCAAGACCAGCCTGACCAACAGGGTGAAACCCCGTCTCTACTAAAAAAATACAAAATTAGTCAGGTGTGGTGGTGCACACCTGTAATCCCAGCTACTTGGGAGGCTGAGGCAGGAGAATCACTTGAACCTGGGAAGCGGAGGTTGCAATGAGCCAAGATCACGCCACTGCACTCCAGCTTGGGCAACAGAGCAAGACTCTGTCCCCCCCCAAAAAAATCACAAACTAGCTGACAGATTTGACTATGAAGAAAACCTTATTCAAGACATTTACACAACTTTTGGAGGGCATAAAATGATTATTTAGATGTTCAAAGAGAACAAAGCAAATGAAAAAGCAAGGCAATTATTAACTCCAGGAAAAAGTAAAGTTGCACAAGAAAAGATAAAACTTGTCTCAGTCATGAACACAATTTATGTAGTCATAATAGTGAAAACATTGAATATGTATTTAACCAAAAATGGTGATATTAGGTATCAGTATATTAAGAGGATGGAGGAAATGATAATGAAGTGTGAGCTAAAAAACCCTCATTAGACATAATAGGAAATCAGTAGATACTTTCTAAATTGAATAAATGAAAATTTTGCAGGATAAGGCCAGGCATGGTGTCTCATGCCTGTAACCCCAACACTTTGGGAGGCCAAGGTTGAGCCCAGGAGTTTGAGACCAGCCTGAGAAACATGGCAAAACCCCATCTCTAGCAAAAATACAAAAATTAGCCAGGCATGGTAGCACATGTCTGTATTCCCAGCTACTGGGGAGGCTGAGGTGGGAGGATGGCTTGAGCCCGGGAGGCAGAGGTTGCAGTGAGCTGAGATCGAGACACTGCACTCTAGCCTGGGTGACAGAGCAAGACCCTGTCTCAAAAAAATTTTTTTTAATTGCAGGATAGATTTATTATTTTAAAAGATGTAGGTATATCCATAAGAAACAACTAAAAGAATGGTTACTTCTGATAAGGGATATGGAAGGGGCTGGGGAGAACAAGAGACTGCAGTTTTTTTGTTATTTGTATTTATGTACTAACTGGCTTTTTACAAAAAATGGTTTTAAAAACCCAAGATCTAGAACAAATAAGGGAGGCATACCTTAATTTTGGCAGCTAAGATGCTTAAATTAAAAGGAAAGTAAGCCAGGCGCAGTGGCTCACGCCTGCAATCCCAGCACTTTGGGAGGTCGAGGAGGTTGGATCATGAGGTCAGGAGATCGAGACCATCCTGGCTAACATGGTGAAACCCCGTCTCTACTAAAAATACAAAAAAATTAGCCAGGCGTGGTGGTGGGTGCCTGTAGTCCCAGCTACTCAGGAGGCTGAAGCAGGAGAATGGCGTGAACCTGGGAGGCGGAGCTTGCAGTGAACCGAGATTGTGCCACTGCACTCCAGCCTGGGCGACAGAGTGAGACTCCGTCTCAAAAAAAAAAAAAAAAAGAAAGTAAATCGTGATAAAATAAAAATATCTTACCTTAGTATTAGTTTACCTTTCAAAAGTACTTGTGGGCCGGGTGCTGTGGCTCATGCTTATAATCCCAGCACTTTGGGAGGCTGAGGTGGTCAGATCGCTTGAGCTCATGAGTTCAGCACCAGGCTGGGAAACATGGTGAAACCCCATCTCTACTGAAAATACAAAAAAAAAAAGAGCTGGGTGTGGTGGTGTGTGCCTGCAGTTCCAGCTACTAGGGAGGCTGAAGTAAGAGGATGGCTTGAGTCCATGAGGCAGAGGTGATAGTGAGCCAAGATTGGGCCACTGCACTCCAGCCTGACCAACAGAGCCAGACCTTGTCTCAAAGAACAAACAAGGCCGGCGCAGTGGCTCATGCCTGTAATCCCAGCACTTTGGGAGGCTGAGGTGGGTGGGTCACCTGAGGTCAGGAGTTCGAAACCAGCCTGACCAACATGGTGAAACCCCGTCTCTACTAAAAATACAAAAATTAGCTGGGTGTGGTGGCACATGCCTATAATCCCAGCTACTTGGGAAGCTGAGGCAGGATAATTGCTTGAACCTGGGAGGCCGAGGTTGCAGTGAGCTGAGATCACGCCATTGCACTCCAGCCTAGGCGACAAGAGCGAAACTCCGTCTCAAAAAAATAAACAAACAAACAAAAAAATGCTTCTGACAACAACCTAATGCCCTGATTCTGATTTCTAAATCGTTTTTCCCACTATAAGAAACCAGAGATTGGCAGGGCACGATGGCTCACGCCTGTAATCCCAGCACTTTGGGAGGCCGAGGTGGGCAGATCATGTGATCAGGAATTTGAGACCAGCCTGGCCAACATGGTGAAACCCTGTCTCTACTAAAAATACAAAAATTAGCCGGGTGTGGTGTCATGTACCTGTAATCCCAGCTACTCAGGAGGCTGAGGCAGGAGAATCACTTGAACCTGGGAGGTGGAGGTTGCAGTGAGCTGAGATCACACCATTGCACTCCAGCCTGGGTGACAGAGCGAGACTTCGTTTCAAACAAAACAAAACAAAACAAAACAAAACAAAACAAAACAAAACAAAAAACCATAGATCCTTTGAGGAATGGCTGATTCCAGGGATACAGCAGGGAAAATATAAGACAAGCCCGGTACATCTTGGTGGTCCAGAAGGCAAGAATGTGCTCAAAGGCTAATAGAGACACATCCAATGGACTTAGAGTCAGTTTAAAGGGTTTCCACAGAGCCTGAGTAAAATAATGTGATCATTAGAAACATTAATGACTATAACCTATTTTGAAACACTAAATAAATAAAAATGCAAGAGTTCATAGTGATTATTATTATTATTATTAGTTTTGAGACAGGGTCTCACTCTGTCTCCTAGGCTGGAGTGCAGTGGCATGATCTTGGCTCACTGCAACCTTCGCCTCCCGGCTCAACTGATTCTCCCACCTCAGCCTCCCAAGTAGCTGGGACTACAGGTGTGCACCACCACATCTGGCTAGTTTTTAAATTTTCTGTAGAGATGGGGTCTCCCTATGTTGTACAGGCTGGTCTTGAACTCCTGGGCTCTAGCAATCTACCTGCCTCAGCTTCCAAAGTGCTAGGATTATAGGCCTAAGCCACTGCACCCAGCCGTGACTATTTTTAAACAAGAAAAAAATACAATTAATTTGTCACTATTGGAGGTGATTATTGTGTCAGTCTATCCTGAAAATTGATAAAGGATTAAGCAGTTAGGAGGAACTGTGGTTCATCTCCAGGTGATGAAGGAAAATTCTTTACAAAAGAATATAGACGTACCGGAGAAGAGTTGACTCATGCCAGTAATCCCAGCACATTGGGAGGCCGAGACGGGAGGATCGCTTAGGGCCAAGAACATGAGACCAATCTGGGCAACGTAGGAAGACCCCATCTCTACAAAAAATTTTAAAAATAAAAAAAATTAGCCAGACATGGTGGTGCACTTGTAGCCCCAGCTACTCTGGAAGATGAGGCAGGAGGATCGCTTCAGCCCAGGAGGCCAAGGCTGTGGTAAGCCATGATTGCACCACTGCACTCCAAGGTGAGCGACAGAGTGAGACCCTATCCCTAAAAAAATAAAAATAAAAACAGACTGGGCGTGATGGCTCACCCCTGTAATCCCAGCACTTTGAGAGGCCAAGGCGGGTAGATCACGAGGTCAGGAGTTTGAGACCAGCCTGGCCAAGATGGTGAAACCCCATCTCTACTAAAAATACAAAAATTAGCTGGGTGCAGTGGCAGGTGCCTGTAGTCCCAGCTACTTGGGAGGCTGAGGCAGGAGAATCACTTGAACCTGGGAGGCAGAGGTTGCAGTGAGCCAAGATCGTGCCACTGCACTCTAGCCTGGGCAACAGAGCAAGACCCCGTCTCAAAAATAAATAAGTAAATAAATAAAATAAAAAATAAAAGCAAATAAAACTTTCCATTTTGTAACCCCCAATAAAATAACAGAGTAAGGCAAGGATCATCAGTGGATGCTAAACCATTAGGTGAAAGGATGTAGTGAAATGGGATGTTTGCCCTGTGCCAATGTATCATCTAGAGATTACTGGAATTTTGCAAAGGGGGGAAATACATCTTTTCCGTGGAGAGATCTAGTGGTCACAGTCTTTTTTTTTTTTTTTTTTTTGAGACGGAGTCTCGTTCTGTCGCCCAGGCTGGAGTGCAGTGACGTGATCTCGGCTCACTGCAAGCTCCACCTCCCGGGTTCACGCCATTCTCCTGCCTCAGCCTCCCGAGTAGCTGGGATTACAGGCGCCCACCACCACACCTGGCTAATTTTTTGTATTTTTAGTAGAGACAGGGTTTCACCGTGTTAACCAGGATGGTCTCGATCTCCTGACCTCATGATCCACCCACCTCGGCCTCCCAAAGTGCTGGGATTACAGGCGTGAGCCACCGCACCCGGCCAGTGGTCACAGTCTTAATTGAGAGATCAAATTTAGCATCACTAAAAGTGAAACAGCCAGACATTATGTGGCTCTTGATAAGGAGCATTGGGATATTCAAGGCTTTGCCCAAGAAGTGTTGTGGCCATTGTGTTTAACCTGGATGTGATCGTGTCTTTAGATCTAACTTCCAGTATGCAGGAAAAATAGGGAATAGAGGAGTGTGCTGAGTAATACAACAGGGAAGCAACCAGATGAATTCAGAAGGTGCGACATTCTACAAACTACCTGACCAGAGCTCTTCCAAAAGTCAGTATCTTGTATAGGGAGATTATTCTAGATTTTAAAAAGATTAATGGACATACTAAGCAAATGTAATGCATGAAGCTTAATTGGATCCTATTTTAAGAAAATACAGGCTGGGCGCAGGGACTCACACCTGTAATCCCAGCACTTTTGGAGGCCGAGGCGGGCAGATCACTTGACCCCAGGAGTTTGAGACCAGCCTGGGCAACATGGTGAAACCTCATCTCTATAAAAAATACAAAAAAAATATCCTGGTGTGGTGGGATGCACCTGTAGCCCCAGCTATCCAGGAGACTGAGGTGGGAGGATCATCTGAGTCCCGGAGGTCGAGGCTGCAGTGAGCCAGGATTGTGTCACTGCACTCCAGCCTTGGTGACAGAGTGAGACCTGTTTCAAAAAAAAAAAAAAAAAGAAAAGGAAAGAAAGAAAGAAAAGAAAAAGAAAACAGCTATAAAAGACATTTGAGGGGAACAATTGTAGAAATTTGAATGTGGACCAGGTATTAGATGATAGCAGGAAATAATTATTCATTTTCTCTTATGATTATCATTGTGGTTATGAAGGACAATATTCTTGTTCTTAGGAGAAGCAGGATGAAGAATTTAGGAGTGAAATGCTGTGATGTCTGCAATTTACTTTCTTTTTGGTGGGTAATTGGGGGAGATGGGGTCTCACTCTGTTGCCCAGGCTGGAGTGCAATAGTGCAGTCTTGGCTCACTACAACCTCTACCTCTTGGCACCACAGCCTCCTGAGTAGCTGGAACTACAGGTGCATGCCACCACACCTGGCTAATTTTTGTAGAGACAGGTCTCGTTATGTTGTCCAGGCTGGTCTCCAACTGCAATCCGCCCACCTCGGCCTCTCAAAGTGCTGGGATTACAGGCATGAGCCACAGCGCCCTGCAAATGTACTTTCTTTTCTTTCTTTTTTTTTTTTTTGAAACGGAGTCTCACTCTGTCACCCAGACTGGAGTGCAATGGCACGATCTCGGCCCACTGCAACCTCTAACTTGCGGGTTCAAGTGATTCTCCTGCCTCAGCTCCCGAGTAGCTGGGATTACAGTCGCCTACCACTGCACGTGCCCAGCTAATTTTTGTATTTTTAGTAGAGACGGGGTTTCACTGTGTTAGCCAGGATGGTCTCGATCTCCTGACCCTGTGATCTGCCTGCCTCGGCCTCTCAAAGTGCTGGGATTACAGGTGTGAGCCACTGCGCCCGGCCAAACACTTATAATCTGAATCAAATCATGAGGAAACATCAGGCAACCCCAAATTGAGGGACATTCCAAAAACAAAGCAAGCCTGAACTCTTCAAAAGTGCCAATGGCATGAAAGACAAAGAAAGGCTGAGAAAGTGTTCTAGATTGAAGGAGTTGAAAGAGCCACAATGATGGAATACAATGTTCCTGGATTGGATCCTAGATCAGAGAGAAAAATTACTCAAAGGCACTTTGGGAGGCCGAGGCGGGCTGATCACAAGGTCAGGAGATGAAGACCATCCTGGCTAACACGATGAAACCCTGTCTCTACTAAAAATAAAACAAAAAAATTAGCCGGGCGTGGTGGCAGGCGCCTGTAGTCCCAGCTACTCAGGAGGCTGAGGCAGGAGATTGGCGTGAACCCGAGAGGCGGAGCTTGCAGTGAGCCAAGATCGCGCCACTGCCCTCCAGCCTGGGCGACAGAGCGAGACTCCATCTCAAAAAAAAAAAGAAAAATTATTCAAAGGACATGTTTTGTTTTTGTTTCTTTCTTTTTTTTTTTTTTCTTGAGACAGGGTCTCACTCTTGTCACCCAGGCTGGAGTGCAGTGATGTGATCACTGCTCACTGCAGCCTCGACCTCCCCAGGCTCAGGTGATTCTCCCACCTCAACCACCCAAGGAGCTGGGACTACAGGTGTGAACCACCATGCCCGGCTTATTTTTTTTTTTTTTTTTTTGTAGAGATGGGGTTTCACCATGTTGCCCAGGCTAGGCCTCTAACTCCTGGGCTCAAGGGATCTGCCCACCCACCTCAGCCTTCTAAAGTGCTGGGATTACAGGTGTGAGCCACCACAGCAACCTGTTTTTGTTTCTTTTTCTGCGGGGGCGGGAAGGGCCAAATTTTAAAATGGTTGTATATTAGAAAAGAGTGTTACATTAATGTTAAAATCCCGAATTTGATAACAGTATTGTGATTGTGTAAGAGAATGTCTTTGTCCTTAGGAAAGACAAACTTTTTAGAGGCAAAGGGGCACGCAGTCTGTCATTAATCTCAATGGATAAGTAAGAACATATATGTTATTAATTAATTTTTTTTTTGAGATGGAGTCTCGTTTTGTTGCCCCGGCTGGAGTGCAGTGGCGTCATCTCAGCTCATTGCAACCTTTGCCTCCTGGGTTCAAGTGATTCTCCCACTTCAGCCTCCCAAGTAGCTGGGAATACAGGCATGAGCCACCATGCCCAGATAATTTTTGTATTTTTAGTAGAGATGGGGTTTCACCATGTTGGCCAGGCTGATCTTGAACTCCTAGACCTGAGGTGATTTGCCCACCTTGGTCTCCCAAAGTGCGGGATTACAGGCGTGAGCCACTGCGCCCAGCCATGTTATTAATTTACATGTCTAGAGAGAGTGAGTGATAGACCAAATGTGACATAATGTAATCAGTTGATGAATCTGGATGAAGGGAACACAGCAGTGCTTTGCACTATTCTTGGAACTCTATCATAAATTTTAAATTATTTCAATGTAAAAAATTTGTTTTTAAAATCTAAATTAGACCTAGACTATTTGGGAAGGCAGCTTCTAATTTTGGCAGGAGCTAAAAACATGGAGATGAAGAGGAAATTAATCTTGATACAATAAAGATTTTTATTACTTTATTACTTTATTACTTGCTTTGTCGCCCAGGCTGGAGTGCAACAGCTTGGCTCACTGCAACCTCTGCCACCTGGGCTCAAGTGATCCTCCCACCACAGCCTCTCCAGTACCTGTAACCACAGGTGTACATCTCCAGGTCCGGCTAAATTTTGCATTTTTTGTAGAGATGGGGTTTCACCATGTTGCCCAGGCTGGTCTCGAACTCCTGGGCTCAAGTGATCTGTCTGCCTCGGCTTCCCAAAGTGCTGGGATTACAGGTGTGAGCTACTGTGCCTAGCCTAAAGCTACTTTTTTTTTTTTGAGATGGAGTTTCGCTCTTGTTGCCCAGGCTGGGGTACAATGTCTCAGTCTTGGTTCACTGCAACCTCCGCCTCCTGGTTTCAAGTGATTCTCCTGCTTCAGCCTCCCAAGTAGCTGAGATTAGAGGCATGCGCCACCACGCCCGGCTAATTTTGTATTTTTAGTAGAGACAGGGTTTCTCCATGTTGGTCAGGCTGAACCCGACCTCACATGATCCGCCCGCCTCGGCCTCCCAAAGTGCTGGGATTACAGGTGTGAGCCACCACTCCCGGCCCTAAAGTTACTTTTATTTAAATATCTTTATTGGCTGGGTGGTGGTATGTGCCTGTAATTCTAGCATGTGGGAATGCCAAGGTGAAAGGATCACTTGAGGCAAGGAATTCATAACCAGCCTAGGCAACATAATGAGACCCTGTCTTTACAAAAAAGTTTTTTTAATTAGCCAGATGTGGTGGTGCACACCTACATAAATAAATAAATAAATAAATAAATAAATAAATAAATAGGGCCGGGCACAGTGGCTCACGCCTGTAATCCCAGCACTTTGGGAGGCGGAGGCGGGCAGATCACGAGCTCAGGAGACTGAGACACGGTGAAACCCCGTCTCTACTAAAAATACAAAAAATTAGCCGGGCGTGGTGGCGGGCACCTGTAGTCCCAGCTACTTGGGAGGCTGAGGCAGGAGAATGGCGTGAACCCGGGAGGTGGAGCTTGCAGTGAGCCGAGATTGGGCCACTGCACTCCAGCCTGGGTGACAGAGCAAGACTCCGTCTCAAAAAATAAATAAATAAATAAATAAATCTATGTATCATTATTGCCCTAGTATTTCTTTCAGTTTTGTCTTTTTTTTTTTTTTCTTTTGAGACAGAGTTTCACTCTTGTTGCCCAGGCTGGAGTGCAATGGTGTGATCTTGGCTCACTGCAACCTCTGCCTCCCGGGTTCAAGCGATTCTCCTGTCTCAGCCTCTGGAGTAGCTGCGATTGCAGGTGCCTGCCACAATGCCCTGCTAATTTTTTGTATTTTTAGTAGAGACGGGGTTTCACAATGTTGGCCTTGAACTCCTGACCTCTGGTGATCCACCCACCTCGGCCTCCCAAAGTGCTGGGATTACAGGCGTGAGCCACCGCGCCCAGGCTTCTTTCAGTTTTCAGGAATGTTGTGGAGCTGTGTCCTGTTTGCCTCATGGAGCTGATGAGCTGGGAGAATTCAAGGGGGTTGATGGAAGGGGAGAAGGTAAGTCCCCAAGTGACCCAGTTGAAAACCAGGGCCTGGGCCAGGCACAGTGGCTCATGCCTGTAATCCCAGTACTTTGGGAGGCTGAGGCGGGAGGATTGCTTGAGGTCAGGAGTTGGAGACTAGCCTGGCCAACATGGTGAAACCTCGTCTCTACGAAAAATACAAAAATTAGCCAGGTGGGGTGGTACACGCCTGCAGTCCTAGCTACTTGGGAGGCTGAGGCAGGAAAATAGCTTGAACCCGGGAGGCAGAGGTTGCAGTGAGCTAAGATTGTGCCACTGCACTCCAGCCTGGGCGACAGAGCAAGACTCTGTCTTGAAAAAAAAAAATGTTGTGTTTCAAACAACTTTTGACAATCAGTGCTGTAAAGCTGAATCCCAGAGACAACTGAGATAGGAGCAGGAAGATCTGTGGTCCAGTCTCCCTCTGGCCTTATAATTATCTTCCTGAGTTACTTACCTTCTTTGAGACAGTGTTTGCTTGTCCTCCCAACTAGCCTGAAAACTTCTTAGGAGAAGGGCCAGCCTTTGGGGTCATGTTCCTGTGTGACCTGTCTCTAGGAACTTCTGCATACCCAGCTCTGCCCACTTGGAGCTAGTGTCCAGGACTCCACAGCACTACCCGCACTAAATACCTCGGTCTCAGTCTTGTGACAGAAAGTGGCCAGTGTGGTGGACATAGTGCAGAGGTTTAGGGTCTGACCAACCTGGGACAGCAATTTATGGGCTAGGTGACATCCTTGAGCAACTGTATGACCTCAGGCCTGTCATATGGTCTCTGAGCCTCAGGTTTTTCTTCTGTAAAATGGGAGTGATAAAACCGACTTCTCTGCTGGGTATGGTGGCTCACGCCTGTAATCCCAGCACTTTGGGAGGCTGAGGCAGATGGATCGCTTGAGCTCAGGAGTTGGAGGCCAGCTTGGGTAACATGTCAAGACCCTGTCTCTACAAAAAATATAAAAAATTGGCTGAGTGTGGTGGTGTGCACCTGTGGTCCAAGCTACTCCGGAGGCTAAGGTGAGAGGATCGTTTGACCCCTGGAGTTAGAGGTTGCAGTGAGCCGAGGTCACTGCACTGCACTCTAGCCTGGGTGACAGAGTGAGACCCCATCTTAAATAAATAAATAAAGTATTTTGTGTAAACACTTGTAACTGTATTTCATTGAGTGTGATACATGTATATACAAAGAAACATAAATAGTTGCCAGTTAAACTATGACACATCATCATCAACTGGAACTGGAACTGAAATCACATACTGACTTCAGCAATGTGAAACATTGGCCGGTCGCGGTGGCTCACGCCTGTAATCCCAGCACTTTGGGAGGCCGAGGCGGGCGGATCACGAGGTCAGGAGATTGAGACCATCCTGGCTAACACGGTGAAACCCCGTCTCTATTAAAAACACAAAAAAATTAGCCGGGCGTGGTGGCGGGCGCCTGTGGTCCCAGCTACTCAGTAGGCTGAGGCAGGAGAATAGAGTGAACCCGGGAGGCGGAGCGTGCAGTGAGCCGAGATAGCGCCACTGCAGTCCAGCCTGGGCAAAAGAGCGAGACTCCATCTCAAAAAAAAGAAAAAAGAAAAAAAAAAGAAATGTGAAACAAAGGCCGGGCGTGGTGGCACTTTGGGAGGCCGAGGTGGGCGGATCACCTGAGGTCAGGAGTTTGAGACCAGCCTGGCCAACAGGGGTTAAAAATACAAAAATTAGCCGGGCATGGTGGTGCATGCCTGTAGACCCAACTACTCAGGAGGCTGAGGCAGGAGAATTGCTTGAACCGGGGAGGCGGAGGTTGCAGTGAGCTGAGATTGTGCCACTGCACTCCACCTTAGGCAACAGAGGGAGTCTGAAAAAAAGGAAGAGAAAAGAAAGAGAGAGAGAGAGAAAGAGAGAGAGGTAGGGAGGAAGGAAGGTGGGAAGGGAGGGAAGGGGGGGAAAGGGAGGGAAGGGAGGAAAGGAAGGGAAGGAAAGGAAAGAAAGGAAAGAAAAGATAGAAAAGAAAGGTGGCTCGTGCCTGTAATCCCAGCACTTTGGGGAGCTGAGGCAGGCGGATCACTTGAGGCCATGAGTTCGAGATCAGCCTGGCCAACATGGCCAAACCCTGTCTCTACTAAAAATACAAAAATTAGCCGGGCATGGTGTCTTTGCACGCCTATAATCCCAGCTATCCCTTGAACCTAGGAGTTGGAAGTGGCAGTGAGCTGCAGATTGCGCCACTGCACTCCAGCCTGGGGGACAAGAGCGAGACTCCGTCTCAAAAAAAAAAAAAAAAAAAGTGAAACAAAAAGTGTGCCTTAAAATAGATGAAGTACTGTATTATTATTATTATTAAAGGGCTGGAGCCAGAACAAGTTAGCATTTTGTGCCTCGAGATTCAAATCCCAGGTCTACCATTTATTCCTTGGGTGACATTTTTTTGGGGGGAGGGGCTGGAGGACAGGGTCTCACTCTGTCGCCTAGACTGGAGTGAAGTGGCGCGATCTCGGCTCACCGCAACCTCCGCCTACCGCGTTCAAGCAATTCTCCTGCTTCAGGCTCCCGAGTAGATGGGACTACAGGCGCGCGCCACTACCGCCCGGCTAATCCTTGCGTCACTTTAAGCAAGACACTTGATCTCTCTGTGCCTCAGTTTCCTCACCCGCAGAATGAATATCAATAGCTCCTGCTACACAAAACTGTTTGGGCTATTAAATATGTGAATACTCAGAAAGTACCTGGCACAAAGTAGCCTTATCATTGCTATTATTTAGAACAAAGTTATTGTTTCCAGGTTTGGAGGTGGGCTGGCGGAGGGAGGAGAAGACGCACTAGGTTGCCTTTCAGAAAAGGGGTCCAGGCCTTATCCTGCCTCCCAGGTGGACTCGGCCCGGGATCCCGAGCCCCGCCCCCTCCAGGCCCCGCCCCGCCCCGCCCTCGCTGGCCGAGACTCTGTGCTACTCTCGCGCGCTTTGAAAGTGCGCGAGCTCCGACCGAGACCTGGGCCGGCGGTTGGTCGGCCGAAACCATCTGCTACGTTACGTGGGGGGAGGTCAGCTCCTATACAGCCACACTTTTTTCAATCTTCAGCTTTTCAGGCCTAGGTCCTGGTTTTATTTTAGCTTTCAGAGCTTCTCTGTAGGCTTGAATTTCCAGGAGGCAGCCCGAGTCCCTGGGGAGAGGGTCATCGTGGCTCTCGTCGGTGCCTTCCACCTCTGGACAGGCAACCGGTGGGAGAGGACGCCGGTGGGCGGGGGGAGGAGGCGGCCCTAGCGCCATTTTGTGGGAGCGAAGCGGTGGCTGGGCTGCGCTTGGGTCCGTCGCTGCTTCGGTGTCCCTGTCGGGCTTCCCAGCAGCGGCCTAGCGGGTGAGTCGCGGAGCCTTCTCACTGAGGACGCCGTAGGTGCCTCGGCTTCTGCATTGGGGCGGCCCGAGGCAGACGCAGCGGCTTCGGACCCTGCCCCGGGAAGTCAGCCGTGAGACCGGGCCTAGTCCTGCCCGAGCGGGCTCGCGCGGGAGCGTCGTTAGGTCCTGGCACGGGGAGGCCGGTGGCGCCGAAACGGGGGGCCGGGCCCGCGGTGCCGCGTAGCCTGAGGCGGAGGTTGGCCCCGGACCCGGACAGTGCCGGAGCCTTCGGTACTTTGTACTTCGAGGGACGCTGCCAGCTTGGGCCTGGTGCTCCTGCGCCCCACCCCGGGCCGCGCCGAGAAACTCCTCCCTCGGCTGGCACGCGCGGGCTTCTGGGAGGCGACGGCCGGCACCGCCAGGACCTGTCGCCGCGGGCCTTGGGGCTCGGGCTCGCAGAGCCCCCGGAAGCCCCAAAATGAGGAACAGAGGGAAACTTTTCTCCTGTTCTTTACACCTGGTTCACTGCCCATATTCAGTCTTCAGGTTCAGCTGATGGATCGCTTGCTTAGGAAAATCGACTGGGACCTATCACGCCCATGCCTCAGCCAGTTAGGCTCCTCCTCTGCCTTCAGGATTACTTAACGACTAACCCGATTGTCATAAAATAGCTACTGTTTATTGTTCCCTTGCATACCCTAGCTTGTAACCAGCAAGCCACGTTGGACTCACAGTTACAGTTTCAGTACCTGACGCATCATAAGCCTTCAGGGAAAGTTTTTTGAATGAATGAACTGGCGAGGCATCACATTTTGATAGGAAATCACTACCCTTACCTTCACCTCGTCATTTTTCAGGGATAACCAATGCATATACGAATCCAGACAAGCATTTTTCTGGAAGTCAGAACTCTGACATGGTTTGGGTATTATCATTATAAGGAAACAGTTATTCTGACATGAATGTTGTTCATTCATATCTCTTTTCTCTTTAGGAAAAGTAAAAGATGTCTGAATATATTCGGGTAACCGAAGATGAGAACGATGAGCCCATTGAAATACCATCGGAAGACGATGGGACGGTGCTGCTCTCCACGGTTACAGCCCAGTTTCCAGGGGCGTGTGGGCTTCGCTACAGGAATCCAGTGTCTCAGTGTATGAGAGGTGTCCGGCTGGTAGAAGGAATTCTGCATGCCCCAGATGCTGGCTGGGGAAATCTGGTGTATGTTGTCAACTATCCAAAAGGTTTGTTACCATTTGGTTTTTGTAATCATGCTGAAGTGTGTTCAGGTGTGTGTCTCATCCATGGATCTTAGCCTCTTTTGGTGGCAGAATGTCTCCTGAAACTTAAGTATTTCCTTGAACTTCAGTGTTAGACAAGTTTGGAAGACCACGAGTCTAAATTTATGGAAACTGGGGATTGTAGATCATTTTAAAAGAGAAAACAATGTATTTAAAAAATATCTGAATAAACTTTGCCAAGTTGATGATAAATTTCAGGAATCACTAAGAATGTTTTGTACATAAATCATTGTTGTAAATAGATTCTTCTGAAGTGCTTCAGTGTTTGGATTTGATCATTGTCCTTTTGGTGTTACATCATTCATTCAGCAAATCTGAGTTCATTTTTTCCCTTAAATGAGCAAACAGTTGGAGTAGCCAAATCTTGAATTAGTGCAGTTCCAATTACAATTTCGAGGTTCTGGTCTTATCCTTCTCTCTGCCTCTTATCAATGATGTTCTAAATCTAAGAAAAGGAAGCATGAAGTTTAAGAAGTGTGCCAAGGAAATACCTAATTTCAGCATTTTGAAGTAGTGTGCTGTTAGTAGTCGATCTGTCTGTGTGTTCCTTTTATTATAACTTGGTATTGCAACAAAGTCCATCAAATTTGGTCAGTATGCAAGACACCCTTTTACATGTCTAGGAAAACTTTAGGGCTAGGCACGGTGACTCATGCCTGTAATCCCAGCACTTTGGGAGGCCGAGGCAGGTGGATCACCTGAGATCAGGAGTTTGAGATGAGCCTGGCCAACATGATGAAACCCCATCTCTATCAAAAACACAAAATCTCTGGATGTGGTGGTGGGTGCCTGTAATACTAGCTACTCAGGAGGCAGACGCAGGAGAATCGCTTGAACCGGGAGGCAGAGGTTGCAGTGAGCAGAGATTGTGCCATTGCACTCCAGCCTGGGCAACAAGAGCGAAACTCCGTCTCAAAACAAAAAAAAACGAAAACAAAAATTGGCGTGGTGGCGGGGGCCTGTAGTCCCAGCTAGTCTGGAGGCTGAGGCAGGAGAATCGCTTGAACCTGGGAGGCGGAGATTACTTTAAGCTGAGGTCGCGCCGCTACACTCCAACCTGTGACAGAGCAAGACTTCGTCTCAAAAAAAAAAAAAATTGATAATGTAAACTCGGGGTTTTTAGTATGCTGTTTCTTCAGCCAGTGGGTATAGATTAATATTTACTCAAATTTAAAATGTCAGGCTCGGTGCAATGGCTCACACCTGTAATCCCAGCACTTTGGGAGGCTGAGGCAAGCAGATCACCTGAGGTCCGAAGTTCAAGACCACCCTAGCCAACATGGTGAAACCCTGTCTCTACTAAAAATTCAAAAATTAGCCAGGCGTGGTGGTTCGCGCCTGTAGTCTCAGTTATTTGGGAGGCTGAGGCAGGAGAATTGCTTGAACCGGGAGGTGGAGATTGCAGTAAGCTGAGATCGTGCCACTGCTCTCTGGCCTGGCAGCAGAGCGAGACACCGTCTCAAAAAAAATTTTTTAAATGTCATTTAATTTATCTCCCCAGGCTGGACATGGTGGCTCACATCTGTAATCCCAGCTACTCGGGAGGCTGAGGCAGGAGAATCACTTGAACCCGGGAGGCAGAGGTTGCAGAGAGGGGAGATTGCGCCACTGCACTCCAGCCTAGGTGACAGAATGAGACTCCGTCTCAAAAAAAAAAAATTATCTCCCCTTCTCTTCTAAATAACCTAAGGTTGAGGTTATTTGGGGGGTTTTTTTGTTGTTGTTTGTTTGTTTGTTTTTTGAGACAGTCTCACTCTGTCGCCCAGGCTGGAGTGCAGTGGCACGATCTTGGCTCACTGCAACCTCCGCCTCCCAGGTTCAAGCAATTCTCTGCCTCAGCCTCATGAGTAGCTGGGATTACAGGTGCCTGCCACCACGCCTGGCTAATTTTTGTATTTTTATTTATTTATTTTTATTTGTTTATTTATTTTTTAGACGAAGTCTCGCCCTTGTCGCCCAGGCTGGAGTGCAGTGGCACGATCTTGGCTCACTGCAACCTCCGCCTCTTGGGTTCAAGCGATTCTCCTGCCTCAGCCTCCCAAGTAGCTGGGATTACAGGCACCTGCCACCACGCCCGGCTAATTTTTTCTTTATTTTTAGTATAGACGGCGTTTCACCATCTTGGCCAGGCTGGTCTTGAACTCCTGACCTTGTGATCCACCTGCCTCAGACTCCCAAAGTGCTGGGATTACAAGTGTGAGCCACCGCGCCCAGCCAGTTATGTTTTTTTAAGTAAGCCAAACTTTTGGTTTCTTTTTCTTTTTTGAAATTAGAGATGGAGGCTCTCGCTCTGTTGCCCAGGCATATTGCAGTGGCTATTCATAGGCACACTGCAGCCTCAAACTCCTGGACTCAAGTCGTCCTTCCTCCTCAGCCTCCTGAGTTGCTGGAACTTACAGGCATACACACCACTGTACCTGGTTTTCTGTTTTATTACAAAAGTTGTGTATTTGTTGTTGAATGTTTAGGAAAGATAAAAGTTAAATCTTCATCAGGATATACAAGTTGCTGATATTTAAAGTCAAAGTGAAGTAGAATTATTTTTGTTTTGATAAACCTTTTGAGAGGGAGAGATTGTAATCCGGAAATGCTACAAAAAACAAACTTGGAAATCACTGAATTTGCACCAGAAAAGCACCTCAGACACTAAACTTAAGCCTTTATTCTGTCCTCTAGAGCAAACATCACTTCTTGCCAAGTTTTCAGTGTCTTATTCTTCTTAGAGTCTTCTTTTTGCTTCTCATTTCTAGATGTAGGAGGTAGTGTTTTTAAAGAAGTGCTAAGTGAAGATTTCTAAAAGGTTTCTGCTCGTTTTATTTAGATAACAAAAGAAAAATGGATGAGACAGATGCTTCATCAGCAGTGAAAGTGAAAAGAGCAGTCCAGAAAACATCCGATTTAATAGTGTTGGGTCTCCCATGGAAAACAACCGAACAGGACCTGAAAGAGTATTTTAGTACCTTTGGAGAAGTTCTTATGGTGCAGGTAAACTTCGATTGCATCAAACAGTTTTTCTTTACCAGTGAATGAGTATCTAGCATTTATTTATTGGTATAAATAGAGATGGGGTATCACTATGTTCCCTAGGTTCTGGCGTCAAACTCCTGGGCCCATACTGTCCTCCTGCCTCGACCCCAATGTGCTGAGCCACCATGCCCAGCCACAATCTTGTTACCTTTCTTTTTTTTTTTTTTTTTTGGAGACCAAGTCTCACTTTGCTGCCCAGGCTGGAGTGCAGTGGCACGATCTTGGCTCACTGCAACCTCCACCTCCCGGGTTTAAGTGATTTCTCCTGTCTCGGCCTCCTGTATCTGGGATTACAGGTGCCCGCCATCATGCCTGGCTAATTTTGTATTTTTAGTAGAGACAGGGTTTCACCCGTTGGCCAGGCTGTTCTTGAACTCCTGACCTCAAGTGATCCACCTGCCTTGGCCTCCCAAAGTGCTGGGATTACAGGTGTGAGCCACCGCGCCCGGCCACATTCTTGTTATTTTAATGGCACTGTCCTTTCTGTTACACAGATGATACTTCCAATATTTGTTATATTTATACATATATGTTGTACCCTATGTTATTGCCTTTGATATTGTAAAATCCTACTGTTGCATGAAGGCTTAAGGGAAGTAGGTGACAATAGCTTTTCTTTATATATTAAACTAATGGGAGGTTTTTCCATTTCATTTAAAATTTGTAAACATTAAATTTAGTTTATCTTTGAATTCATTCTAAGACATTCTGTTAAAATCCTGTTGTGGTGGCTCATGCCTGTAATCCCAGCATTTTGGGAGGCTGAGGTGGGAGGGTTGCTTGAGGCCAGGAGTTCAAGGCCACCTTGGCGAACATATCCAGACTCAGTTTCTCTTTTTTCTTTTTTTTTTGAGACGGAGTCTTGCTCTGTCACCCAGGCTGGAGTGCAGTGGCATGATCTCGGCTCACTGCAAGCTCCGCTTCCCGGGTTCATGCCATTCTCCTGCCTCAGCCTCCCAAGTAGCTGGGACTACAGGTGCCTGCCACCACGCCTGGCTAATTTTTTGTATTTTTAGTAGAGATGGGGTTTCACCGTGTTAGGCAGGATGGTCTCGATCTCCTGACCTCATGATCTGCCCGCCTCCGCCTCCCAAAGTGCTGGGATTACAGGCGTGAGCTACTGTGCCTGGCCTCTCTTTTTTTCTTTTCTTTTTGGAGACAGGGTCTGGCTCTGTCAGTCAGGCTCTAGAGTGCAGTGGTGCAATGTAGGCTCGCTGCAACCTCCACCTCCTGGGTTCAAGCTATTCTTGTGCCTCAGCCTCCCAAGTAGCTGGGACTACAGGTGCATGCCACTACACCTGGCTAATCTTTGTATTTTTTGTAGAGACAGGGTTTTGCTGTGTTGCCCAGGCTGGTCCTGAACTCCTGTGCTCAAGCGATCCACCCTCCTCAGCATCCCAAAGCACTGGGAATACAGGTGTGAGCCACCGCGCCTGGCCCCATCTCTCTTTTTTAAAAAACTCAAAAACATTTCTGTTGTATAAGTGAGTTTTGCTCTGTTGTTAACACAGTATGGATTCAATATTAACCTCCTTGTTTTTACTGTTAAGACTAACTTGGTTTAAGTTTTAAGCCACTGCATCCAGTTGAAACCATTCAAATTGTTTTCTAAGGAACTATGATTTGGGAATGGAGTGTGTGAGTATGTGCACTTTTAGAGTAAACTTGTATCATCCTTTCTAGGTCAAGAAAGATCTTAAGACTGGTCATTCAAAGGGGTTTGGCTTTGTTCGTTTTACGGAATATGAAACACAAGTGAAAGTAATGTCACAGCGACATATGATAGATGGACGATGGTGTGACTGCAAACTTCCTAATTCTAAGGTACTTGCGTCTGTGCTTTGGGAATTTTTGCCAACAAACTTCCTTAGAGGATTGTAAGATAAAATGTTAAACACACTTAGAAAAGATAGCGGCAGGGTGTGTTCATGAAATCCTTTTGTCTTGTTGAAGTCTTTGGCCCTTAGTGCATGCTGAATATTTTATGCTTGTTTGAAATATTTAGTTTATTACTTCTCCAAACTAAACCTTTGTTCATTTTGTTCTTCCTTTTCGCTATGGATGGAAAAGAGAAAAGGTTATTTGTCAAGTTAATAGTTTCTTACATAGTTATATGTTAAAACATAAAGAGAATCAGAATACATACATTAATTGTTATAAAGACCTAACTTTTTCCAAGCAAACAAATAACATTGGCTTATTTGGAACATCATCATCTTTGCCAAGAGATTGCTTATTTATTAATTTTCTCAAATCCAAACACAGTCATGTATCACATGGCAAAGTTGATCAGTCAGCAGCAGACCTCGTGTACAGCAGTGGTCCCATAGGATTATAACACTGTTTTTACTGTACCCTTTCTATGTTTAGATACACAAATACTTACCATCATGTTATAGTCGCCTACAGTGTTGAGTACAGTAACTTGAAAGTTTGTGGCCTGGGAGCAATAGGCTATACCATCTAGCCTAGATGTGGGGTAGGCTATGCTATCTGGGTTTATATGATGTTTGCACAACGACTTTTTTTTTTTGAGAGAGAGAGTCTCACTCTGTCATCCGGGCTGGAGTGCAGTGGTGCAATCTCAGCTCACTGCAAGCTCTGCCTCCCGGGTTCACGTCGTTCTCCTGCCTCAGCCTGCCGAGTAGCTGGGACTACAGGTGCCCACCAACACGCCTGGCTAATTTTTTGTATTTTTAGTAGAGATGGGGTTTCACCGTGTTAGCCAGGATGGTCTTGATCTCCTGACTTCATGATCCGCCCATCTCGGGCTCCCAAAGTGCTGGGATTACAGGTGTGAGCCACCGCACCTGGCCCTTTTTTTTTTTTTTTGAGATGGAGTTTCACTCTTATTGCTCAGGCTGGAGTGCAATGGTGCAATCTTGGCTCACTGCAACCTCCTCTTCCGGGTTCAAGTGATTCTCCTACCTCAGCCTCCCAAGATGCTGGGATTACAGGTGCCTGCCACCACACCCGGCTGATTTTTGTATTAGTAGAGGTGGGGTTTCACCATGTTGACCAGGCTGGTTTGAACTCCTGACCTCAAGTGATCCACCCGCCTCGGCCTCTCAAAGTGCTGGGATTACAGGTGTCAGCCACCACACCTGGCCACGATGATGAAATTGTGTAATGGCTCATGATGTATTTATATCCATCATTATGTGATGCATGACTGTGTACTTTTGTAACTTAAAACGTTACTCTTCACTGAAGCCTTACAAGAAAAAGAAATGCTGATGGAAAAAATTAAGGGTACGTCTACTTTTTAATGGTTCACTGCTATCCAAGGCGAATGATTTTGTTATATCCCTTACCTTAATGTTTTTTTCATTGTTCATAACATATTTCTGAGTTTTTTTCTTCCTTTTGATTTGATCAGCAAAGCCAAGATGAGCCTTTGAGAAGCAGAAAAGTGTTTGTGGGGCGCTGTACAGAGGACATGACTGAGGATGAGCTGCGGGAGTTCTTCTCTCAGTACGGGGATGTGATGGATGTCTTCATCCCCAAGCCATTCAGGGCCTTTGCCTTTGTTACATTTGCAGATGATCAGGTATTTTTCTCCTTAACGATATGTCCCGGCCGGGCGTGGTGGCTCATGCTTACAATCCCAGCACTTTGGAGGCCGAGGCGGGTGGATCACGAGGTCAGGAGATCAAGACCATCCTGGCCAACATGGTGAAACCCCGTCTCTATTAAAATACAAAAAAAAAAAAAAATAGCTCGGTGTGGTGGTGCACGCCTGTGGTCCCAGCTACTCTGGAGCCTGAGGCAGGGGAATCGCTTGAACCCAGGAGGCGGAGGTGGCAGTGAACTGAGATCACACCACTGCATTCCAGCCCAGTGACAGAGTGAGACTCTGTCTCAAAAAAAAAAATATGTCCCAGGTAATTAGGTAATTTCTCTTGAACATTGCCCATGCAGCTAATTGCTATTCTTAGCTAAGTTTTCTGACCTTGTAAGACGTAGGGTGTATGGGCCTAGATGTTTGTGATACCTGTATCTGATATCACAAATACAACATTTTAAGAAATCTAAAAGTAAATATGCCTTTAGATAATTTTCAGTATGTGGCATTTGGGAATGTTATATACTTTTTTTTTTTTTTTGAGACAGAGTTTTGCTCTTGTTGCCCGGGCTGGAGTGTGATGGCGCGATCTTGGCTCGCTGCATCCTCCACCTCATGGGTTCAAGCGATTGTCTTGGCTCAGCCTCCTGAGTAGCTGGGATTACAGGTGCCTGCCACCACGCCTGGCTGATTTTTTTGTGCTTTTAGTAGAGACAGGGTTTCACCATGTTGGCCAGGCTGGTCTCGAACTCCTGACCTCAGGTGATCTGCCCATCTCAGCCTCCCAAAGTGCTGGGATTACAGGCATGAGCCACCACGCCTGGCCAGTTTTTTGTATCTTTAGTAGATAACGGGGTTTCACTGTTTTGATCTGGCTGGTCTTGAACTCCTGACCTCAGGTGATCCACCCCCCTCAGCCTCCCAAAGTGCTGGGATTACAGGCGTGAGCCACTGCTCCTGCTCCCGGCCCATTTTTTAAATTATTATTTTGAGACAGGGTCTCACTCTGTTGCCCAGGCTGGTGGAACACAGTGGTGTAATCATAGCTCACTACACCCTAGAACTCCTGGGCTCAGCCTCCAGGGGGAGGATCCTCCAGCTTCAGCCTCCCAAGTAGCTAGGACAGATGCATGCCACTACGCCCAGCTAATGTGGCTTTTTTGTGGTTTTTTTTGATAGAGGTGGGGTCTCCCTGTGTTGTCTAGGCTGCCAGGCTAGTCTTGAACTATTGGCCTCACACAGTCCTCCCACCTTGGCCTCCCAAAGCGCTAGGATTACAGGCATGAGCCACCATGCCCAGCCTATGTCTTTTGAAAATCGACTGAAATATCACTGCTGCTGTTAATAAAACTAAAAGCTGTATTGGGGGTTTAAATGAAATGAGTGTTCATTGCTTATTTTTCCTCTGGCTTTAGATAAATTAATGCTTGTAATCTAAGTTTTGTTGCTACTTTAAATATATGAATCAGTGGTTTAATCTTCTTTGTTTACATCCCTTATTTCTTATAGATTGCGCAGTCTCTTTGTGGAGAGGACTTGATCATTAAAGGAATCAGCGTTCATATATCCAATGCCGAACCTAAGCACAATAGCAATAGACAGTTAGAAAGAAGTGGAAGATTTGGTGGTAATCCAGGTGGCTTTGGGAATCAGGGTGGATTTGGTAATAGCAGAGGGGGTGGAGCTGGTTTGGGAAACAATCAAGGTAGTAATATGGGTGGTGGGATGAACTTTGGTGCGTTCAGCATTAATCCAGCCATGATGGCTGCCGCCCAGGCAGCACTACAGAGCAGTTGGGGTATGATGGGCATGTTAGCCAGCCAGCAGAACCAGTCAGGCCCATCGGGTAATAACCAAAACCAAGGCAACATGCAGAGGGAGCCAAACCAGGCCTTCGGTTCTGGAAATAACTCTTATAGTGGCTCTAATTCTGGTGCAGCAATTGGTTGGGGATCAGCATCCAATGCAGGGTCGGGCAGTGGTTTTAATGGAGGCTTTGGCTCAAGCATGGATTCTAAGTCTTCTGGCTGGGGAATGTAGACAGTGGGGTTGTGGTTGGTTGGTATAGAATGGTGGGAATTCAAATTTTTCTAAACTCATGGTAAGTATATTGTAAAATACATATGTACTAAGAATTTTCAAAATTGGTTTGTTCAGTGTGGAGTATATTCAGCAGTATTTTTGACATTTTTCTTTAGAAAAAGGAAGAGCTAAAGGAATTTTATAAGTTTTGTTACATGAAAGGTTGAAATATTGAGTGGTTGAAAGTGAACTGCTGTTTGCCTGATTGGTAAACCAACACACTACAATTGATATCAAAAGGTTTCTCCTGTAATATTTTATCCCTGGACTTGTCAAGTGAATTCTTTGCATGTTCAAAACGGAAACCATTGATTAGAACTACATTCTTTACCCCTTGTTTTAATTTGAACCCCACCATATGGATTTTTTTCCTTAAGAAAATCTCCTTTTAGGAGATCATGGTGTCACAGTGTTTGGTTCTTTTGTTTTGTTTTTTAACACTTGTCTCCCCTCATACACAAAAGTACAATATGAAGCCTTCATTTAATCTCTGCAGTTCATCTCATTTCAAATGTTTATGGAAGAAGCACTTCATTGAAAGTAGTGCTGTAAATATTCTGCCATAGGAATACTGTCTACATGCTTTCTCATTCAAGAATTCGTCATCACGCATCACAGGCCGCGTCTTTGACGGTGGGTGTCCCATTTTTATCCGCTACTCTTTATTTCATGGAGTCGTATCAACGCTATGAACGCAAGGCTGTGATATGGAACCAGAAGGCTGTCTGAACTTTTGAAACCTTGTGTGGGATTGATGGTGGTGCCGAGGCATGAAAGGCTAGTATGAGCGAGAAAAGGAGAGAGCGCGTGCAGAGACTTGGTGGTGCATAATGGATATTTTTTAACTTGGCGAGATGTGTCTCTCAATCCTGTGGCTTTGGTGAGAGAGTGTGCAGAGAGCAATGATAGCAAATAATGTACGAATGTTTTTTGCATTCAAAGGACATCCACATCTGTTGGAAGACTTTTAAGTGAGTTTTTGTTCTTAGATAACCCACATTAGATGAATGTGTTAAGTGAAATGATACTTGTACTCCCCCTACCCCTTTGTCAACTGCTGTGAATGCTGTATGGTGTGTGTTCTCTTCTGTTACTGATATGTAAGTGTGGCAATGTGAACTGAAGCTGATGGGCTGAGAACATGGACTGAGCTTGTGGTGTGCTTTGCAGGAGGACTTGAAGCAGAGTTCACCAGTGAGCTCAGGTGTCTCAAAGAAGGGTGGAAGTTCTAATGTCTGTTAGCTACCCATAAGAATGCTGTTTGCTGCAGTTCTGTGTCCTGTGCTTGGATGCTTTTTATAAGAGTTGTCATTGTTGGAAATTCTTAAATAAAACTGATTTAAATAATATGTGTCTTTGTTTTGCAGCCCTGAATGCAAAGAATTCATAGCAGTTAATTCCCCTTTTTTGACCCTTTTGAGATGGAACTTTCATAAAGTTTCTTGGCAGTAGTTTATTTTGCTTCAAATAAACTTATTTGAAAAGTTGTCTCAAGTCAAATGGATTCATCACCTGTCATGCATTGACACCTGATACCCAGACTTAATTGGTATTTGTTCTTGCATTGGCCAAAGTGAAAATTTTTTTTTTTCTTTTGAAATCTAGTTTTGAATAAGTCTGGGTGACCGCACCTAAAATGGTAAGCAGTACCCTCCGGCTTTTTCTTAGTGCCTCTGTGCATTTGGGTGATGTTCTATTTACATGGCCTGTGTAAATCTCCATTGGGAAGTCATGCCTTCTAAAAAGATTCTTATTTGGGGGAGTGGGCAAAATGTTGATTATTTTCTAATGCTTTGTAGCAAAGCATATCAATTGAAAAGGGAATATCAGCACCTTCCTAGTTTGGGATTTGAAAAGTGGAATTAATTGCAGTAGGGATAAAGTAGAAGAAACCACAAATTATCTTGTGCCTGAAATCCATTAAGAGGCCTGATAGCTTTAAGAATTAGGGTGGGTTGTCTGTCTGGAAGTGTTAAGTGGAATGGGCTTTGTCCTCCAGGAGGTGGGGGAATGTGGTAACATTGAATACAGTTGAATAAAATCGCTTACAAAACTCACACTCTCACAATGCATTGTTAAGTATGTAAAAGCAATAACATTGATTCTCTGTTGTACTTTTTTGTAACTAATTCTGTGAGAGTTGAGCTCATTTTCTAGTTGGAAGAATGTGATATTTGTTGTGTTGGTAGTTTACCTAATGCCCTTACCTAATTAGATTATGATAAATAGGTTTGTCATTTTGCAAGTTACATAAACATTTATCAATGAAGTCATCCTTTAGACTTGTAATCGCCACATTGTTTCATTATTCAGTTTCCTCTGTAAAGGGATCTTGAGTTGTTTTAATTTTTTTTTTCTGCATCTGAATCTGCATGATTTCCAAACCCTGTACCATCTGAATTTTGCATTTTAGCACTTGCACTATTACTCAGCAGCAGTAACATGGTAACACTTAAAATGGTACTCGGGGACCTCCAAAGACTAAACTGACAAGCCTTCAAGGAGCCCAGGGGTAAGTTAACTTGTCAACGGCATGGTTTAATCCCTTCTTTACACTTGTGTAAATTTCAGTTACTGGTCATAGAAGGCTTTCAATGTTGAGTGGCCTTTTATTAACATGTTTATGGTACTGCATAGATACGGGTATTTATTTTACCCTAAGAAGATTTTGAAGTTTAAAAGTACTTAAACTATTTGGCAAAGATTTGTTTTTAAAAATCTATTTGGTCAATCTAAATGCATTCATTCTAAAAAATTTTTTGAACCAGATAAATAAAATTTTTTTTTGACACCACAGTTTAGTGTCTGGAGTCTTACTGGAAAAACACGATTTCTTTTTATATGTGATATACAGATGCTGGAAAGTTACCTTTAAAAATTGAGTCTCTAAAGAAAAAAGAAAATAATAAAAATTGAGTCTCAAGAAGTTGTACTTCATATGCACAAGAGAAATGAGGCCAAGACTCACAGTAAGCTTTTACATGGAATGGTAACTTTTAGTTAGACTGAAAAACTTGAATGTTAGCTATTAAAACCTTTTAGGAAGGAATAGCCAGCTAAAACCAAATGAGATTTTTAAAGTTAAATCAGCACTTAAGTTGTGTCCTTAGTAGGAAAAAGTAGGAAGTTAACTACTCCGTAATCCAAGAGATAATGTGTAACAGTAAGAATGATTTTGTTGTTGTTGAGTATGAGCAAAGTAGCCCCTAAGTGTGTATTAGGGTTCTGTACTTAACTGTTGTGTGATGTGTGCTTTTGTTAGGCATCACTGTGCCCAAGTATTTCATGTTCATTGTAAAGAGGAAAAATACAGATTTCTCTATAATGTCACCACTTATTTCTAATGCCACTTTTCATCTTGTGGAAATGCCATGTTTTGATTCAGTCTTCTGAATTTGAACATTATTCAGGTTATTTCCAATTGCTGGGAATATCCTTACTGCTAAAATAAATTCTTAGCATTGGAATTGCTAGGTCAAAGATTATGCATGCTTTTTAAGGGCTTTTGAAATGTATTGCCAGTCTGTGGCCTGCCACCCTCCCTGAACATGCCTGGTCTTGCTTAAAATGTATTGCCAAATAGTCCTTGGGAAGTTTATGTTGTCTTTAACAATGTGAAATAGTACTACTATTCACGTTCCTTTTGTCTGACAATTTGATAAGTGAATAATTGTATCCCACCATTCTGTAGTATTGGTTTTTAACATGGAAATTTTAGTCAATACCTGGGCTGAAGTATCAGTGTTTCCAACCTACCTACCCAAAAAAAGGATTCAAGGTTATTCCTCAATCAGTACTGCCATAATATATAAAGCACTTACAGAGATCAATAAGAACAAGTTTAAAAACAAAGAGCATGGACAGGCAGTTTACAGAAATGCCAACAGCCAGTATGAAAAGAGACTGGCTTTTTAAGGTAATGAAATGTAATTTGAGCAGTGACATTACACTGGGTGGGCAAAGATGACTGTCACTCTCGTGGTTTATGTCCCCTTGAGTCAATGGGTAAGGCTGGAATTAAACTGGCAAGTGGAGAAATGACAGCAGCCTCACCTGGAGTCTGTTTTTTTGGGTGGAGCAACAACTGCCATGTCCACAGTAATGATGAATGCTTCTCGAGCCACGTCGCTGCCAAGGTCTTCACAGGCATTTCTAAAAATGAAGAATCCTTGACTGCAGACACGCAAGTTAAAAATCACTAATTATGTTCTCGATCCAGGGAATATAGTTAATAACTTTTGTGTAGACTCCATACTGACCTGCTTCCCCACAATTCATGGAACCCCAGGACACTATTCCTCCCACAAACCACCTCTCTGTTTCACTATCTAGAAACACCAGTGCCCCTCCGCTGTCACCTCTGCAGCTGTCCTTGCCCCCACTTTCTAAGCCAGCACAAAGCATGTTAGCAGTTACACTTCCCCTTGGATAGGGTGGCTTTTCATATGCAGCAGTACATTTTTGATGGTCAACAATCGGTATGTCGACATACATTAGATTTCTAGCAAGAAAACCCCTTTGGGTTAATCCCCATCCAGATGCAGTTCCAATGTCATCTGTCCTCATAAAGGATTCAGCTTCTTTTCTTGGCAGACAAATAGGCGTGATGTTGCTATTGATTACAACTTTGTTATTCAATTTAATCAGTGCTATGTCATTGTCAAAGCCAGCATCATGAGTATAACCTTCATGTATAAAAACAGCTTCAGACCAGGCTTGTGTATAATGAGGTGATAGTCTTTTCAGGGTGCCCATTCGAATGTCCAGGGCGGATGCATCATGTTTTTGCTCATAGACGGCATGAGCAGCTGTTAGGACCCAGTTGTCATATAAAAGTGCACCTGCTGCTGTGGTTCCACCTAATATCAGGACTTGCCAAGGAAAATCACCAGGTTTTGCCTTTTGCCCTCCATATATACGCCCTCCTGTTGTGCGGGCTGATAGTCCACAAACTGGAGAAAGAAGCAGATAGGTAGAGAGCCTTTGTAAAAATGTCAATCGTGTTTTTCTTAAATTATGACCGCCTTGAAGTATATATTTGATGTCAACCAAAAATTATATTACATGAATTGGTGGGTGACTACCTATACAGGCAAGTGAGGCTATTTTAAAACATCACAGTTCAAACACCTGATAAAACCTTTTGGTATTTCTTAGCTCCTCAGAAAATGAGATTAGTGAAAACTGACTTTTAGAAGTTATTTTGTTTTGCTAAAATAATTTGGTCTATAAGATTGGGAAAATTGGCCGGGTGCAGTGTCACACCTGTAATCCCAGCACTTTGGGAGGCTGAGATGGGTGGATCACCTGAGGTCAGGAGTTTGAGACCAGCCTGGCCAACATGGTGAGACCCTGTCTCTACTACATACACAAAAATTAGCCGGGCGTGGTGATGGGCACCTGTAATCCCAGCCACTTGGGAGGCTGAGGCAGGAGAGTTGCTTGAACCTGGGAGGCGGAGGTTGCAGTAAGACAAGTCACACCACTGCACTCTAGCCTGGTAAGAGCAAAACTCCATCTCAAAAAAAAAAGGAGATTAGGAAAATTAACAGGGCAAGCAGGCATTGTCTGAGCAGATGGACTGGATGATGTGCATAGGAATTAGAAGGATATAACCTTTTCATTGTTTCTGTTTTCCTACTTGTAAAATGGGTATTTATGTAATCCTAGGAAAGCAGGAACTAAAGTCAGTATCAGGATTTGCAAAATTACTTTTACCTTTGAACATACAAATGTTTTAGAAATTAGAATGTTGCAGTTGTGGCTAGGACCCTGTGGATTCCAAAATTTTATTTTTGGTCTAGTTGATTCTTCCAAACTAAGTTTTATTGTATCTTTATTGCAAATTAAATACGCCCATTAATGTAGCATATATGTTTGCTGTTGTGGTAGTGTACTTGCATTAATACCTACAGACGTTGTGTTAGCCAAATACAGGTTTAAAAAAACTAATTTGAGCCAAATAACACAAGGGTAATTAATATATTACTATCTTTCTGGGTTTTTTTTCTTTTTTTTTTTTTTTTTTTTTTTTTGAGACAGAGTCTCGCTCTGTCACCCAGGTTGGAGTGCAGTGGTACAATCTTGGCTCACTGCAAGCTCTGCCTCCCAGGTTCATGCCATTCTCCTGCCTCAGCCTCCTGAGTAGCTGGGACTACAGGCACACGCCACCACACCTGGCTAATTTTTTGTATTTTTAATAGAGATGGGGTTTCACCGTTTTAGCCAGACTGGTCTTGATCTCCTGACCTCACGATCTGCCCGCCTCAGCCTCCCAAAGTGCTGACTTTTTTTTTCTTTTTCTCTTTTTTTTTGAGACAGAGTCTCGCTCTGTTGCCCAGGCTGGAGTGCAGTGGCGCAATCTTGGCTCACTGCAAGCTCCACCTCCCGGGTTCACGCCATTCTCTTGCCTCAGCCTCCCGAGTAGCTGGGACTACAGGCGCCTGCCACCACACCAGGCTAATTTTTTGTATTTTTTTTTTTTTAGTAGAGACGGAGTTTCACCATGTTGGCCAAGATGGTCTCGATCTCCTGACCTCGTGATCTTTCCGCCTTGGCCTCCCAAAGTGCTGGGATTACAGGCGTGAGCCACCATGCCTGGCCCTGATTTGTTTTTTTAAATCATTCTACAGAGGGGGAGGTTGCAGTGAGCCGAGATTGCGCCACTGCACTCCAACCTGGCAAGAGAGCGAGATTCCGTCTCAAAAAATAATAATAATAATTCTACTCAACTATTATCTTTGGAGCCAATTCTGGTTAAAAAAAAAAGTACTATTAAAAGGCAGATTGCATTGATGTTTAAAAACTAGATGTTGAAAACAATTGCTTGGGGAAATTATTTGCTTTGGGTTTTAATAGCATTTTAACATAGAATAGTAACTCAACAGAAGAACTTGTGTTTATAAATGTATAAGTTGGTCAAGATAATTTTTAAAATCTTTTTTTTTTTTTTTTTTTTTTTGGATATGGAATTTCACTACTGTTGCCCAGGCTAGAGTATAATGGTGCGATCTGGGCTCACCGCAACCTCCACCACCTGGGTTCAAGCAATTCTGCCTCAGCCGCTCGAGTAGCTGGGATTACAGGCATGTACCACCACACCCGGCTAATTTTGTATTTTTATTAGAGACGGGGTTTCTCCATGCTGGTCAGGCTGGCCTCAGGTGACCCACCTGCCTCGGCCTCCCAAAGTGCTGGGATTACAGGCGTGAGCCACACCTGGCCTAAAAATCATTTAATTTTTTATGCTTGCCTAGTTATAAGGTCAAAGAGAATCAAATGACTGATGCAGTCAGCACCTAACAACCTCTGTATATGGGAAGGGGGTAATGAGAACATACTATTTGGAAATAATAACAGCCTAAGAGCCAAGTGCTGAAGTTACATTTCTGCCTACCACAGCTAAAGCTCTCCTCACTGTCTCCTACCCAGTCCTCCTTTCCATCAATTACCAGTCTCTTGTATAAATGTATCCATTACCAGGCTCACAGACTGGGAGTGATTTTTCTCCTTTGGAGCTCGTCCAGAATCCATCAGCCTCACACACATATTTACCTGCAAATCATTGGAAAAGCAAAAATGTTTAACTGCATGTATAAGATGGTTGTCATTTGCTTGAATACCCCCTTGAAAAATGTTGATTCTTGAGCATCAGTGGGACATAGAGGTGTCTGAAGAACCATTTTACATGATTTCATAAATAGGAGGTCTCTGCATTACCATGTTTGCTTGCAAAGTGGAAACCTTTTAGATGTGTAACTTGAATATGTATCAAGATCTCAAGTGCTTAATGATAAGGTGTTGACTTGTTAAATTAAACCATTTGGAATACATTGTGTGTTTGTAGTAGTCATTTACTAGATCTGTTTTCAGATTTTTGCAAATTGACATTAAAGTCACTTTAGCTATAATATTTCACTTAGCGGATGGGAGAAGTGGCTTTTAATCTTTTGTCTAGCCTTAGCCAAAAATGTTGGTTAAAGTTTATTTTCAGACCATGGGGGCTCAAGTTCCAAGTATTGCCCACCCCCAACTTTGAAGAATTTGCATACCATCATTCACTTTCATTGTGTAGAAGGTCTCTTCACAGCTGTACTGAATCACAGCTTTGTAGGTGGTCACTCCAGGACCTGTGATGTACTCCACTCGGCCACTGGGTAGATCATCAGGAGGGCCACAGTCAACAACTAAGAAAGAAGCATGGGAGGGAGGAATCCATTGATCATTTCAGTGCTAACTTTCCAAAGGTCTGGAGAAGCACCTTTGGGAGGCTGAGGCGGGCAAATCCCTTGAGCTCAGGAGTTTGAGACCAGCCTGGGCAACATGGCAAGACCCCCTCTCTACGAAAGGTTAAAAAGCCGAGCATGGTGGCACGTGCCTGTTGTCCCAATTACTTGAGAGGCTGAGGTGGGAGGTAACTAAATGGCTGAACTGAGGGGGAGTCGTCCATGTGGAGGAAGAGGTGTGCTGCCTTTCCTAGAGAAAGGGAATTTGAAACCACCCAGAGCTCCTTAGCACCCTCATGTCAAATATAAGAAAGATCTGCGGCCGGGCGCGATGGCTCATGCCTGTAATCCCGGCACTTTGGGAGGCCGAGGCGGGCAGATCACAAGGTCAGGAGATGGAGACCATCCTGGCTAACACGGTGAAACCCCGTCTCTACTAAAAATACAAAAAAAAAAAATTAGCCAGGCGTGGTAGCGGGCGCCTGTAGTCCCAGCTACTCGGGAGGCTGAGGCAGGAGAATGGCATGAACCCGGGAGGCGGAGCTTGCAGAGAGCCAAGATGGCACCACTTCACTCCAGCCTGGGTGACAGAGCAAGACTCTGTCTTAAAAAAAAAAAAAAAAAAGGCTGCAGCGGAACAGCACATGACATGGCACAGGTTCAATGTAAAAGGTTGCAATTTAGAAGGCAGTAAGGGTAGAAAAGGACACGATAGTAAGATTGGAGGAGCTGGGCTCGGTGGTTCAAACCTGTAATCAGCATTTTGGGAGGCCAAAGTGGGAGGGTCACTTGAGACCAGGAGTTCAGGACCAGTCTGGGCAATAGCGAAACCCTCTCTACAAAAGGTAAATTGGCTGGGCTTGGTGGCGTGGTCTCAGCTACTCAGGAGGCTGAAGCAGGAGGATGGCTTGAGCCTGGGAGGATGAGGCCGCAGTGAGCTATGATCACACCACTGCACTACCGCCTGGGTGATAGAGACTTTGTCTCCAAAACAAAAAATTCAGCTTATTCTTCTGATCCTTTTAATAAATTGAAGTTTTTAGAAAGACCTGGAAGTCTTTCTAAAGCTCACTGGGCACGGCTCACACGTGTAATCCCAGCACTCAAGAGAGGCCAGGGCAGCCTGGGCAACATAGTGAGACCCCATCTCTACCAAAAATTTAAAAGGAGCTGGGTATGTGGCACGTGCCTGTAGTCCAAGCTACTGAGGAGGCTGAGACAGGAGGATCACTTGAGCCCGGGAGTTTGAGGGTGTGTCACATGAGGTATGGTTGATCATTATCCCAGTTTGGGGTGTGTGTATTACCACATAAAATTGCCCCCCTTTTCTACATACAATAGTGTATACTTGCTCACACATGTGAATTGTGTGTAATTGGAGGGACACACACCAAAACGGTAACGATTAGGCCGGGCCTGGTGGCTCACACCTGTAATTGCAGCACTTTGGGAGGCCAAGGTGGGTGGATCACTTGAGATTAGGAGTTGGAGACAAGCCTGGGCAACATGGTGAAACCCTGCCTCTACTAAAACTAAAAAAATTACTGGGTGTGGTGGCGGGCGCCTGTAATCCCGGCTACTGGGGAAGCTGAAGCAGGAGAATTGCTTGAACCCAGGAGGCAGAGGTTTCAGTGAGTCGAGATTGTGCCACTGCACTCCAGCCTGGGTGACAGAATGAGACCCCGTCAAAAAAAAAAAAAAAAGTGGCTGGTCACGGTGGCTCACGCCTGTAATCCCAACACTTTGGGAGGCCAAGGCAGGTGGATCACTTGAAGTCAGGAGTTCAAGACCAGCCTGGCCAACATGGTGAAACCTCGTCTCTACTAAAAATAGAAAAATTAGCTGGGCTTGGTGGGAAGTGCTTGTAATCCCAGCTATTTGGGAGGCTGAGGCAGGATAATTACTTGAACCCGGGAGAAGGAGGTTGCAGTGAGCCGAGATGGCGCCACTCCACTCCAGCCTGGGTGACAGAACAAGACTCCGTCTCAAAAAATAAATAAATATTAAAAAGTAATGATTATACTTGCATATGGTGGTATTACAGGTATTAAGATGTTCATAATTTTCTGTATTTTCCATCTTCTACCATGAATATTGTTGCTTTCATACTTAGAAAAATATTGTCGGCCGGGCGCGGTGGCTCATGCGTGTAATCCCAGCACTTTGGGAAGCCAAGGTGGGTGGATCCCCTGAGGGCGGGAGTTCGAGACCAGCCTGACCAACATGGAGAAACCCCGTCTCTACTAAAAATACAAAATTAGCCGGGCGTGGTAGCACATGCCTGTAATCCCAGCTACTAGGGAGGCTGAGGCAGGAGAATCGCTTGAACCTGGGAGGCAGAGGTTGCGGTGAGCCAAGATCACGCCATTGTACTCCAGCCTGGGCAACAAGAACAAAACTGCGTCTCCAAAAAAAAAAAGAAAAAGAAAAAAATATTGTCAGGCTGGGCGCTGTGGCTCATGCCTGTACTACTAGCGCTTTGGGAGGCCGAGGCAGGTGGGTTGCCTGAGCTCAGGAGTTCAAGACCAGCTTGGGCAGCACGGTGAAATACCATCTCTACTAAAATACAAAAACTTAGCCAGGTGTGGCGGTGTGTGCCTGTAGTCTCAGCTACTCAGGAAGCTGAGGCAGGAGAATTGCTTGAACTCAGCAGGCAGAGGTTGCAGTGAGCCAAGATTGCACCACCGCACTCCAGCCTGGGCAACAGAGTGAGACTCCGTCTCCAAAAAGAAAAAAAAGAAAAAAATATTGTCAAAGAACACACTTTGGAAGCCTGAGGCGGGCAGATCACTTGACGTCAGGAGTTTGAGACCAGCCTGGCCAACATGGTGAAACCTCGTCTTTACCAAAAAAATACAAAAATTAGCCGTGCGTGGTGGCATGTGCCTGTAATCCTAGCTACTCAGGAGGCTGAGGCATGAGAATCTCTTGAACCCGGGAGGCAGAGGTTGCAGTGAGCCGAGATTGTCACCGCACTCCAGCCTGGGTGACAGAGTGAGACTCCGACACACACACACACACACACACACACACACACACACACACTCTCTCTCTCTCTCTCTCTCACACACTTTGGGAGGCCCAGGTGGGCAGATCACCTGAGGTCAGGAGTTCGAGATCAGCCTGGCCAACATGGTGAAACCCCATCTCTACTAAAAATACAAAAATTAGCCGGGTGTAGTGACATGTGCTGGTAGTGCCTCCCAGCTCCTGGGGGTAGCTGACGTGGGAGAATCGCTTGAACCCAGGAGACAGAGGTTGCAGTGATCTGAGATTGTACCACTGTACTCCAGCCTGGGCAACAGAATGAGACCCTTCTCAGAAAAAAAAAAAAAAAAAAACCTTGTCAAAGAACATATTTTTCTAAAGCACATACCTTCCCTAGTAGGTTGGTTCTGTTTTAACCTCTAAGAATGCACTGAGAGATGAGTAAAAAGAAGCAAATTTGAAATTCAAGGGCTGATAAATGGATCATTAAAAAAAAAAAACCAAGGATCCGGGCACAGTGGCTCACGCCTGTAATCTTAGCACTTTGGGAGGCTGAGACCGGTGGATCACTTGAGGTCAGGAGTTCGAGACCAGCCTGGGCAACATGGCAAAACTCTGTCTCTACAAATAATACAAAAATTAGCCAGGCGTGGTGTCAGGTGCCTGTGGTCCCAGCTACTCAGGAGGCTGAGGCAGGAGGATTGCTTAAGCCTGGAAAGATAGAAATTGCAGTGAGCCGAGATCACACCGCTGCACTCCAGTCTGGGCAACAGAGCAAGACCCTGTCTCAGAAAAAAAAAAAAAAGGGAAAGAAAAAAGAAAGTAAACAGAAAACCAGAGAAGCAATAGAAGCAGCAACAGTAGCAGCAGAGGGAGTTCCGGGCGGTTATGGGGCCTGTAGTCACCACACGACCGTACTGCTGCACGCGGGCATTGGCCGGTCCCAAGATCCATCTTTCTGACAAACTGCAGTAAAGGATTTCAGGGGCAAGTGACCCTAAAGAAGAATTCAGAATATATTAATTTCCTTGTTTATATCATAAAATCACTCCCCAAAGCTGTGCTCTCACAGCAGTTCCTATTCTAGTGTTTTACGAGGTGCTCCTGAAGGGGGTGGCAGCACACATGACTAGTATCTGCGTGTGCTGGGGTTGGGGGGATGCCTGGCACATGGACGCACTGCCCCACCGCCTCGGTGCACGTCTATGCCACCTAGGTTACGTATTTCATCACTCAACAGGTATTGGCATTTTATGAATCAGATGGAACCTTTGCAGCAATTTATAATTTTTTTTTTGCTTTTCACCCTAATACAAAAACATATCAGATCTCAGCCAGGTGCGGTGGCTCATGCCTGTAATCCCGACACTCCTGGAGACCAAGGCGGGTGGATCACTTGAGGTGAGGAGTTCAAGACCAGCCTGGCCAGCATGGTGAAACCCTGTCTCTACTAAAAAAATACAAAAAATTAGCCTGGCATGGTGGCGTGCACCTGTAATCCCAGCTCCTCAGGAGGTTGAGGCAGGAGAATTGCTTGAACCTGTGAGGCGGGGGTTGCAGTGAGCCGATATTGCAACACTGCACTCCAGCCTAGGTGATAGAGTGAGACCCTGTCTCAAATCATCATCATCATCATCATCATCATCATATCTCAACATTTCTGCATCTGATGTTCCACCATTTCTTTATATAAAGTGACAGAGGACCAGGCGCAGTGGTTCACACCTGTAATCCCAGCACATTGGGAGGCCGAGGTGGGAGGATTGCTTGAGCTCAGAAGTTCAAGACCAGCCTGGGCAACATAGTGAGACCCCCACCTCTACAAAAAAGACAAAAGTTAGCCGGGCGTGTTGGCGCTTGCCTGTAGTCCCAGCTACTTGGGAGGCTGGGGTGAGAGGATTGCTTGAGCCTGAGAGGTCAAGGCTGTGGTGAGCTGTGATCGTGCCACTGCACTCCAGCCTGGGTGACAAAGTGAGACCCTGTCCAAAAAAAAAAAAAAAAAAAAAAGCCAGAGGACTGTGGTGACAAGTTTGAGAAAGCAGGTGTGATCAGACTTGCAAGTGTGTCTGTGTATCTGTCTAGCTGGTGGCCATTAGCTGGAGGAGGGCTACTAAGAGTTCTTTTGTGAGCTTCGTCTGTGTGCTGTCCATCAGCTTTCACCGCCAGCGTCATTCACAGGGAAACATTTTTCGACTTGCTAAGATAATGTTTTTCTAAAATCAAACATTAAAATAAAAGAAGATGGCTTTGGCAGAAACCCTGTGCCGCAAAGGATTTCAGGTCTTCTTGTGTTAAGTCAGAAACTAAAGAAGTCGCCGGGCGCGGTGGCTCACGCCTGTAATCCCAGCACTTTGGGAGGCCGAGGCGGGTGGATCATGAGGTCAGGAGATCGAGACCATCCTGGCTAACAAGGTGAAACCCCGTCTCTACTAAAAATACAAAAAATTAGCCGGGCGCGGTGGCGGGCGCCTGTAGTCCCAGCTACTCGGGAGGCTGAGGCAGGAGAATGGCGTGAACCCGGGAAGCGGAGCTTGCAGTGAGCCGAGATTGCGCCACTGCAGTCCGCAGTCCGGCCTGGGCGACAGAGCGAGACTCCGTCTCAAAAAAAAAAAAAAAAAAAAAAAAAAACAAAAAAAAAAGAAACTAAAGAAGTCTGTGGTCCGAGGAGCTGTGGAAAAGAGCCTGCACAAGAAGTTTGCAAGGTGGGAAAAGTGTCTCTCTTTTTTTTTTTTTTTTTTTGACCCGCCACAGGACTGTGGATTGCATACCTAGCTATCGTTCCAATGTTATTACTTTTTACCACTGGGATTCCATGACAATTTTGAAGAACATAAAGAGGACGTGTTAATTTCTTACCTGTGCCCCTAAAGCAACACGCTAAGCATTTTTTAAAATTATACTCCTCCCTTAACAGTGACCACTATTTATAACTTTGCAGAATATACTCTTTCCCGGGGCTGTCTACTTTTTTGTGGGCCCAGGAGTTGTTTCATGGAAAGGTCATTTGACCAGGGGGAGAACTTTAATTTGATGCAAGACTGGGCACATGGAACAGGATAGCAAACTCATCTTTCTGTCATTCCAGCCACTTCACAAAGAGCTGCTGTCGTGTGTGACCAACAGAAAAGTTGCCCGTTTTATTTTATTTTATATATTTTTTTGAGACAGAGTCTTGCTCTGTCACCCAGGCTGGAGTGCAGTGGTGTGATTTCGGCTCACCGCAACCTGCGCCTCCCAGGCTCAAGTGATTCTCCTGCCTCAGCCACCCGAGTAGCTGGGATTACAGGCGCCCGCCACCTAATAATTTTTGTATTTTTAGTGGAGACGGGGCTACTACCTCATCTAATTTTTGTATTTTTAGTGGAGACGGGGTTTCACCACGTTGGCCAGGCTGGTCTTGAACTCCTGGCCTCAAGTGATCTGCCTGCCTCTGCCTCCCAAAGTGCTGGGAATACAGGTGTGAGCCACCGCGCCTGGCCAAGTTGCCCATTTTAATCACCAGCTTTCCAAACTAGCTTTAAAACAAAGGGCTCGCTTATGTAAATTTAAAGTTAAGTATAAAGAAAGAAAGAAAAAAGGGCGGGATTCAGAATCACATTTTCCATAGCCATCCTTTTTGTCCTCTGAAAACTTATTTCTTGGCTTTTTATCATTTAAAGATAGACAAAAGAAATCATGCTGACACACGATTTTCTCACTTTCCTTTCACATATCTGCAGATAGAAATATGTTTACATTTCAAAGCAATCGTCATTGATCGTGGTGTACTTTGTTTTAACTCACTTGCAGAAGCTCATAGCCAGTCTCGCAAAAGATGGAGAAGCTGTCTTTCAGGATGTATTTGGCTTGCACAGGTGAAACGTGGCCATTAGGTGGCGCCATCGGATAAGGGCAAGGCTGCGCTGCGCAGAGGAAACCAGGCTTGTTGGTTTTCATGTGGTCTACAGCAGCCAAGACTGAATCGAGCCATCTGAAGTTCTTAGTTTATAAAGAATACTTAACATGTAAAGAGAGCTCACCATACGTGGGGTAGGGTTCTTTAAAACCAAAGGCAAGATTAAACTCTCAGGTGCTTTTGCAAATTAAGGTTTCTTGTTTTCCCTGGGACTGAGCAAAAGGTATGTGAGAAAGCTGGGTTATGTGGGAAGATGGTGCAGTCCCCACAAATAGAACATCTGCTCCATGCCAGGAACTTCAGAGCCATGGCTCAAAACCAAGAGAGAGTGTAACTCCGAGGAAAAGAGCTCAGGGGAGGCTTTGGGACTTGCATGGGACTGGAGCTGTGTTTAAATCCTAGCTCTCCATTTCCCCATGGTTATGTGTAACCTCTCTGAGTCTCAGTTTCTTCATCTGCAAGATGGGGGGCGGTTGACGATAATAGTTGCCCCAGGGCTGTTGTGAAGATCAAATACAAAGCACCTAGGCTAGTTCTTGGCGGAGCTGTAATCAACCCTCACAGCAGCCCCATAGGACAGCTGTTATGGCATGGGGAGAAAAACCGGCTGACAGACTTGAAACTAAAGATCCAGGCTGATTTGGGGAGCCTCAGGCTTCCCCTCATGAGCTGCATTCCACTCTGGCCCCCAAACCCTGGCCTCCACTCACCCCAAGGCTTCAGTGCTCCCCAGCTGCCCCTAAAAACCCACTGGTCAGTTTCGGAGTCCTCTCCTCCCTCCAGCACCTGCTAGCATCCAGTGATCCCTGCCAAGCTGCTGGGGCAGCTGGGTGCACCTGGGTGCCCCTGACCCAGCCTGTGGCCTGGGGAAGCTCTCAGTCCCATGCAGGTCCCAAAGTCTCCCCTTGAGGAATCAATCTCCAGGGACAGCCTTGGTGGACCTGTGGAGGCCCAGGGCTTCTAGCACTTGAGTGTCTGTCACGACGAAGAGGTGGTGGAAGTTCTGGCAGGGCCTCAGAGGGCAGAGCCAGGGCCAGTGGGGGTGGTCCTGAGAGGCAGAGTGTGTAGATCCTGGCTGCAAACTGCTGAAGCTGTGGCTCTGGTGCAACACTCCATGGTCAGAACTCCTTTTTCCCCTGCCCCAACTCATACCCACACTTCAACTTCCACAGCTCCACACCCTGAAGAGTGAAGCCTCTGGGCTTTTGCACATACTCTTCTGCCACCTAGAACTCTTCTGCCACCTAGAACTCTGTCCAACACCCACTTATCCTTTAAATTCAATCTCAGCATTTCCTATTCAAGGATAGCTTCCTAGCTCCTAGCCCCTGTCTGGTGAGGTCCTCCTTTGGACTCTCACATTGCCCAGTGCTTGGCTCTAGGCTGTGCTTGCCACAGGGCTCTGGTTATGTTTCTGTGACTGTTCCCTTACTGGACTGAGCAGAGGCTGTGAGAACTGTGGCTTCCACGTTACATATCCCTAGTAGACATCCATAGGATGGAATGATGGGTGGATGGAAGGATGGTGGATGGATGGATGGATGGATGGATGGATGGATGGATGGATGGATGGATAGATTGGTGGATAGAAGGACTGGTAGGCAGAAGGATGGGTGTATGGATAGATGGCTGGCTGGATAGAAAGATAAGTAAGGTAGAAGAATGGGTGGATGGACAGATGAATGGCTGGAAGGATGGATGAAAGAATGAATGGATGAATGGATGGATGGGTGGGATCTGTAGGTAGAAGGATGGGTGGATGGATAGATGGATGGCTGGAAGGATGGATGGATGATGGATGGATGGATGGATGGATATATGGGTGGATATATAGGTGGATGGGTGGATGGATGAATGGATGCATGGATGGATGGAAGAATAGGATTGGTAGGTAGAAGGATGGGTGGGTGGATAGATGGATAGCTGGAAGGATGGATGGATGGATAGATAGAAGGATGTGTGGGTAGAAGGTCGGGTGGATGGTTGGATGAATAGAAGAATGGATAGATAGAAGGATGGGTGGATGCAAGGATGGGTGGGTGGGTAGGTAGGTGGATAGAAGGATGGATGGATGGATGGATGGATGGATGGATGGATAGATGGATGGATAGATGGATAGGATGGGTGGGTGGGTGAATGGCTGTAAGAATGGGCGGATGGGTAAATGGATGGGTGGGTGGATGAATGAGGGATAGGATTGGTAGGCAGAAGAATGGGTGGGTGGGTAGATGGACAGTTGGAAGGATGGATGGATACATAGAAGGATGTGTAGGTAGAAGGATGGGTGGATGGTTGGATGAATAGAGGAATGGATGGCTAGAAGGATGGGTGGATGGAAGGATGGGTAGGTGGGTGGGTAGATGTACAGAAGGATGGATGGATGGGGCTGGGCGCGGTGGCTCACGCCTGTAATCCCAGCACTTCGGGAGGCCAAGGCGGATGGATCACGAGGTCAAGAGATCAAGACCATTCTGTCCAACATGGTGAAACTCTGCCTCTACTAAAAATATAAAAATTAGCTGGGCATGGTGGCGCATGCCTGTAATCTCAGCTATTCTAGAGGCTGAGGCAGGAGACTTGCTTGTTCCAGGAGGCAGAGGTTGCAGTGAGCTGAGATTGTGCCACTGCACTCCAGCCTGGCAACAGAGCAAGTCTTTGTCTAAAAAAAAAAAAAAAAAAACGGATGGATGGATAGGGTGGGTGGGTGAATGGCTGAAAGAATGGGTAGATGGATGAATGGATGGGTGGGTGGATGGATGGATAGGATTGGTAGGTAGAATAATGGGTGAATGGAAAGAGGGATGGCTGAAAGGATGGATGGATGGGTATATGGATGGATGGATAGGATTGGTAGGTAAAATAATGGGTGGGTGGATAGATGGACAGCTGGAAAGATGGATGGATGGATGGATGGATGTGTAGGTAGAAGACTGGGTGGATGGGTAGATTAATAGAAGAATGGGTGGGTGGGTGGATAAAGGATGGATGGATGGATAGAAAGATGGGTAGGTAGAAGAATGAGTGGACAGATGGATGACTGGGAGAATGGGTGGGTGGATGGATGGATGGATGGATGGGTAGGTAGGTAGAAGAATGGGTGCATGGATAGGATTGGTAAGTAGAAGGATGGGTGGGTAGATAGATAGCTGGAAAGATGGATGGATGGATGGATGGATAGATAGAAGAATGTGTAGGCAGAAGGATGGGTGGATGGGTAGATGAATATGTGGATGGGTAGATGAATATAAGGATGGGTGGGTGGAAGGATGGGTGGGTAGGTGGATGGATAGAAGGATGGATAGATGGATGGATGGATGGATGGATGGATGGAAGGATGTGTTGGTAGAAGGAAGGGTAGATGGGTAGATGAATTGGATGGATGGATGGAAGGATGTGTTGGTAGAAGGAAGGGTAGATGGGTAGATGAATAGGATGGGTGGATAGAAGGATGAGTGGATGGAAGGATGGATGGGTGAGTAGATGGATAGAAGGATGGATGGATGGATAAATGGAAGGATGGGTAGGTAGAAGGATGATGGATGGATAGATAGGTGTCTGGAAGAATTGGCAGATGGATGGATGGATGGATGGATGGATGAGTGGATGGATGGATGGATGGATGGATGGATGGATTGGTAGGTAGAAGGATGGGTGGGTGCATAGATGGACAGCTGGAAGGATGGGTGGATGGGTGGATAGATAGAAGGATGTGTAGATAGACAAATGGGTGGATGGACAGATGAATAGAAGGATGAGTAGACAGAAGAATAAGTGGGTGGGTG
Organism: Homo sapiens; assembly: GCF_000001405.40. NCBI lineage: Eukaryota > Metazoa > Chordata > Mammalia > Primates > Hominidae > Homo > Homo sapiens. The sequence continues at coordinate 11,041,587 of NC_000001.11, forward strand.
GGTGGATGGATGGTGGATGGATGGATGGATGGATGGATGGATGGATGGATGGAATGATGGGTAGGTAGAAGGATGAGTGAATGGATAGATGGATGGCTGGAAGTATGGGTGAGTGGATGGATGGGTGAATGGATGGATGGATGGATGGGTGAAGAATGGGTGGGTGGGTGGATGGATGGAAGAATGGGTGGATGGATGGATGGATGGATAGAAGTATGTGTAGGTAGAAGGATGGGTGGATGGGTAGATGAGTAGAAGGATGGGTTGATAGAAGGATGGGTGGGTGGAAGGATGGGTGGATGGGTGGTTGGATAGAAGGATGGATGGATGGATGGAAGGATGGGTAGGTAGAAGTATAAGTGGATGGATAGGTGGAAGAATGGGTGGATGGATGAATGGATGGATGGGTGCATGGATGGATAAGTAGGTAGAACAATGGGTGGTTGGATAGATGGATGGCTGGCAGGATGAGTGGATGGGTGGATGGATAAGATTGGTAGGTAGAAGGATGGGTGGGTGGCTATATGGATAGCTGGAAGGAATGGATGGATGCATGGATACATGGATGGAAGGATGGATGGATGGATGGACAGACAGGACGATGGGTGTATGGATGGATGGATAGAAGGATATGTAGAAGGATGGGTGGATAGAAGGATGAGTGGGTAGAAGGATGGGTGGATGGGTGGATGAATAGAAGAATGGGTGGGTAGAAGGATAGGTGAATGAATAGATGGATAGCTGGAAGGATGAATGGACTGATGATAGAAGAATGGATAGTTAGAAGGATGAGTGAATGGATAGATGGATTGGATGGATGGATGGATGGATGGATGGATGGATGGATGGATGGATGAACGGACGAAGGATGGGTGGTAGAAGGATGGCTGAATAGAAGGATGGATGGATAGGATGGGTAGGTAGAAGAATGGGTGGATGGTTGTGTGGACAAAAGGATGGATGGGTGGGTGGATTGATGAATGGTTGGAAGGATGAGGGGACAGAAGGATGAGTGGACAGAAGGATGGGTGGGTAAAAGGATGAGTGGATGGGTGAATGGGTGGTTGGAAGAATGAGTGGTGGAAGGATGGCTGGGTGGCTGGCTGGAGGGAGGGACAGCGGGTGCTTCCCCTTAGAAGACTGCTGCCTCAGACCTCAGACACCACTAAACCTGGTGTCCCTTCCTAGTCCTGGCCCAGAAGGAGCCCTACACTCTACAGCTCCTTGACACTCCAGGAGAGAGGGCAGCTCTGCGCTTCCAGCCAAGATCTGAGACCCACTTGCTCACCTGTGCTCGTGTAGTGGATCTTCCAGCCTGTGTGGTCTCCTGATTCATCTGTGACAAAGGTGATGGTCACCGTGTTGCTTTTTGTTTCAATCCTGTGGGGCAATGTCTTCCCACAGAATGGGCCATGTTCTTCTCTGTCTGTTTGAATCTGAGAAAGAAGCTCATGAAAGCTGGGGAGCAGCTGCCTGGGTCTGGCCTGGGCCGGAGGGAAGTAACCCACCTCCTCAGCATTTCAGGGACAGCCAATGAGGCCAACCCAGGCCATGGATTGGGGTGCCCCTCCCCACTCTGCCTCCCACACTTGTACTCGAAGGCCCCAGCCTTGGACCTCCATAGAGCACCTGAAGAGGTGGGGGTCACCGAGGGTGACGGGAACGTGGTGGGGGCCATGCTGCAGGAAGTAGGGGGTGCAGCTGGGCTGAGGGGGAGGATCTGGGACAAGATGAGGGGCCCAGGAGCCAGACCTTGAGAAAGTCGTAGGGACACAGGGTTTCAGGGTGTGTCTCCACATCGAAGGACTCCACAAAGTCCAGAATGACACTGAACCCCTCCTCCAGGCTGATGCTGTAAGTGCAACTGGAGAGTTTGGGATACGGCCGTGGGTATTCAGGGCTGCTGAGCTCCCCAGACCTCTGGGTGAAGACCTGGCCGGAGCACAGGGCTGGAAGGAGGGAAGGCAGGGGAGTGACTTGGCGTGCCCTCTATCAGCCCTCGCACCAACAGCAGGGTGGATGCCTTGGGGAGCAGGAAACTGGGACAGGGATGTGGCTGGGACATCTGCATCCCTGGGTTGGGCTGGGCCCTGCAGGTGGCCAGCCCCTGAGGCCTACCCAGAAACCAAACGACCCACCCGATGGCTGAGGGGCCGCTTAGAGAGGGGGTTTCTCTTGCTTTGAGGCTTTAGCTGAAACAGGCAGCACTCGGGATGGAGCGCACAGGCCCTCACTCACACCCCCAGGGAGCGTGGTGGTGTCCTGAGCCAGAGTCGCAACCCCAGGGTAGGGGCTAGAGCACTGAGTTCCACCAGGCTCTGCCGGGGCGGGGGGCGGGGGTGGATGGACACACAGGAAGGAGGAAGAAGGGACACTCTCCTTGGTCCCTGGGAATTCGGGAAAAGAGAGGAGCATCTCCTCGAGCCTAAGGGCCCCTTCGGAGCTCCCCTAAATTCCCTTACAGCCACCCCAGTGATTCCCAAGTTTATTCATCAGGGGTCTCCTACCCGAACCCAGCCAAGACCAGCCAGCCCCCTGGGTTCCTGGAGGAACCATCCGGAAGAAGGGTCTCTCATCACCCCCTTTCCCCAGGTCTGACCCCTGCCCTGGGGGCTGCTCCTGGAAGTTCAAGGCAACAGTGATCATGACTGAGTCTGGTGCTCTCCTTCCTCGCTGGAACAGCTGATGCTGCTGCCACGGGCGGGGTGTTGGGCTGGGCTCTATCCCTCAAGGAAGGCTTGGTCCCCATCCCATACCACCACCCCACCCCCAGCTGCAGTGGGGGGCATTTGAGTTGTGAGGCCTCTAGGAAGTGAGGAGCCCCAACATTGCCTGCCTTCTTCCACGTGGCTGTGCCCTATGGGGCAGTGGGAATCACCCCTGGATTTGCGGGGGACCAGATTACCCCTCAATGAATATCTCCCAGGGTGTCTCCTCTGTGGGTCAGGCTCCTCCAGGCCAGACCCTGAATGGGGGTGGTTCAAGATTACTCTGGGCTCAGCCTCTGGGGACCTGGACTCGAGCGAGGCCTTGCCCCTCTCCGGGCCTCAGTGCCCCATCTTCAAAACGGGGGGTGAGGCCAAGGAGCCTGTGGCCCCATGGAGGAGGCTCCCACAGACCTGGGGTTCATGAGGCTGTGAGGAGGGTAGGCAGAGAGGAGCGCACCCCGCCGCCTCCCGACCCTCCCACCCCAGAGACACGTGGCAGCAGGTGGGGTGGGGCCAGGTTTATTATTGGGTCCATGGTGGGTGAATGGGAGTTGGGGCACAGCCATCTCAGCCCAACCCGGAGCTGAGGCCAGCAGGCTGGCTCTGGCTTCTGACCTGCTGGGCAGGCCGGAGCTCCAGGGGAGGCTAGAGGCTCTGCTCTGGAAGAGAGATCAGAGAGGCAAGGAGAGACACCGAGAGGGAGAAACCGAGTCGGGGGAGGCAGGGTCAGCGCCAGCAGGTGGGGCTGCCCACGCCCCAGAGCACTGGCCCGTCCCACAGTGCAGGGAACCAGGGAACCAGGTCCCAAGGAACGAGGGCTAGATACCCCCGACTCTCCCGTGGCTACATGAGGGGTTCCCAGAGCCCAGGTGGAACCAGGTACACAGTGGGATGTTAGAATTAGTCTCAGTCGCTAGGGCAGGGTGGCACTGATGAGCCTGGCTGCTGAGAGGGGAAGCAGGGCTGAGAAGGGGAGCTGGAGGCAGCAGGGCCTAGAAGCACCCAGTGTCCAGGGCCCAGGCCCTCCGCACCCCTGGGCAGAGCAGCAATGGCCCTGAGGAGCCCCGGGTATCCCAGGAGAGGGTGCGTTGGGGCCCAGGCAGCCTCCCTCACCTGAGCAGGTGCGCTTGTTACGGTGCAGGACGTAGCCTGCGCGGCAGGAGCAGTAGAAACCGCCCAGGTGGTTGTGGCAGTGGTGGTCGCAGGTGGGCGCCTCTCCCGGGGCCACCTGGCACTCGTCAATGTCTGGGGGAGAGGCAGGGCCAGGCAGGCCGTCAGGAGGGAAAGAGGCGGGATCCAGCCTGGACTCCTCCCAGGAGATCCATGACCTCAGAGTGGACCTCAGAGGAGGCCTCGTCCTGTCTAGGGTGCGGGACTGGTGCCGGGCCAATCACCTTACAGGCCTAGGGTCGCTGCAAGCTCCCAGCAGCGCTGGGAGAAAGATGCAAACATCACCTCTGTTAAACCAGTGGGAGTTTCAGTGTCCGGCCCGAGGTCACCCAGCTAATGAGGGGAGTCAATCAAACCCAGGGGGCGGGGCTACAGCGCTGAACCCTTGCAGCAGCTTCCTAAGGAGCAGAGAAATTGAGCCACTTGCCAGAGGTCACACAGTTGGTCTCTGCAGGGACTGGGATCTGAAATCAAACATCCTGGCAGCGCTCCCGCTGGCAGGGCCCCACTTTGTCAGCTGTAAATGGGGCCCTCGGCCCCTGCGTCGTTTTTGTTTTTTGTTTTTTGAGACGGAGTCTAGCTCTGTCGCCCAGGCTGGAGTGTAGTGGTGCAATCTCTGTTCACTGCAGCCTCCACCTCGCAGGTTCAAGCAATTCTCCTGCCTCAGCCTCCCTAGTAGCTGGGATTCCAGGTGCGCACCACCACGCCCAGCTAATTTTTGTAGTTTTAGTGGAGATAGAGTTTCACCGTGTTGCCCTGGCTGGCCTTGAACTCCTGACCTCAAATGATCAGCCAGCCTCGGCCTCCCAAAGTGCTGGAATTACAGGCGTGAGCTGCTGCGCCCGGCCAGTCCCTGCGTCACTTGAGGCGATGCTGTCCTCAGATCCCTGGCTCAGAGTTGGCACTCAGCCCATGTGAATGGAGGTCACGGCTGTTTTGGTCTTTGCATTGTGGATGATGTCAGGCCAGAGGCCTCTCCCCTGCCCTGGGAAAGGTGGGGAAACTGAAGGCAGGGCTGCCTGGCCTAAGACAGAGTTACCCCCACAGCCAGCTGCGCAGACTGAGATGTTGCAGGACCCCTCTTGGCTCACCCTCGGCTGCATAGAAGGCCTCGAACCCCGTGAACGGCTTCTCGTTGGAGTAGTCGGAGCGGAAGGTAATGTCCAGGCTGGAGCCCAGCGAGTAGAAAGTGTCCTTGCCAGGGGCCCGCTCCGTGTCTGTGCTCTCCTGCCCGCACAGCGTGGCCAGCACCTTGGCCCCCGAGCTCAGCTGTGGGGTCAGGTGTCACAGGGAGTGAAGGCAAGACCCAGGCCTGATCTCCCTCCTGGCCAAGCCTGGCCCCTGCTCCCAGGTGTCCCTGAACCCTGGCTACTCCTTGGGGACCCCCCGACCCTGAGAAACCCCAGCCCTCCCGTCCTGACGGCACCTTGACGAAGTCGTACTCGCAGAGGTGGGAGAGCTCCAGGTCGAAGTGGGTGAAGTAGAGGCGCAGGCGGTAGCCGGGGGGTGCAGTCAGGGTCCAGCGCCGCTCCTGGTCATTGGCATACTCCCCTGGAAAGCCGGGGGATGCCAGGCGCCCGAACACAGGTTCAGGCCACTTCGGGCCCAAGGGGGTGGCCACCGAGCCACACAGAAGGCCCAGGAGGGTCAGCAGCCTATGGGCAGGGCAGGGGCGGTGAGGGCCCAGGCCTGTGCTCCCACCCCACACCCTGCAGGGAGGCTGTGGGCGCCCACCTACCTCATGGTGTGCCCGTCCAGCTGGCCTGGCCTGGTCTGCAGCCCTACGCTGGTCTCACCTTTGATCTGTTTGTCCAGTGACCTGCCCCTGCCCCCAGCCTCCCTGACTCTGGGATTCTGGGAATCGACTCCATGACTCCAGCCTGCTCAGAGTTCCAGGCAGGCAGGACAGGCTGCTCTGGGAGCCAGGAGTCGGACCTAGGTAACAACAGCCTGGAAACAAATCCTGGCTCTGCCCCTCACCCCTCCCTTTTTTTTGGATCTTGTTCTGTTGCCCCGGCTTCAGTGCAGTGCTGCAATCATAGCTCACTGCAGCCTCTACTTCCTGTGTTCAAGCAATCCTCCCACCTCAGCCTCCCAAGTAGCTGGGATTACAGGCGAGCACCACCACACCTGGCTAATTTTTTATTTTTGGTAGGGATGGGGTTTCTCCATGTTGGTCAGGCTGGTCTTGAACTCCTGCCCTCAGGTGATCCACCTGCCTTAGCCTCCCAAAGTGCTGGGATTACAGGTGTGAGCCACCGTGCCCAGCCTCAGGCTGGCTAATTTCTTAAACCCTGTCAGAAGGACCTGGTGCCACCAATTCCCGATTCCCTTGCAGGCTTAGAAGTCGCTTTTGGCTGGGCTCGGTGGCTTATACCTGTAATCCCAGCACTTTGGGAGGCCAAGGTGGGTGGATCACGAGGTTGGGAGTTTGAGACCAGCCTGACCAACATGGTGAAATCCCATCTCTACTAAAAATACAAAAATCATCCAGGTGTGGCAGCGCGCACTTATAATCCCAGCTACTCGGGAGGCTGAGGCAGGAGAATTGCTTGAGCCTGGGAGGCGGAGGTTGCAGTGATCCGAGATCGCACCACTGCACTCCAGCCTGGACGACAGAGTGAGACTCCACCTCAAAAAAAAAAAAAAAAAAAAAGAAGTTGCTTTCCAGGCAGTTATTTCACACCTGTTTATCTGTTCTTCCAGCTTCCAGAACTTTGAGGCTGCTGCTTCCTCTTCCACACTCTGTCCTCATGGATTCATGTCTTGTCTTTTTTTTTTTTTTATCCCCTTTATATTTGTTTTTGTTTTTTGTAGAGATGGGGGTCTCCCTGTGTTGCCCAGGCTGGTCTTGAACTCCTGAGCCAAAGCGATGCACCTGCCTCAGCCTCGCAAAGTGCTGGGATTACAGGTGTGAGCCACCAAACCTCTGCCTCCGGGGTTCGAGCAATTCTCCTGCCTCAGCCTCCCGAGTAGCTGGGATTACAGGCATGCGCCACCACGTCCGGCTAGTTTTGTATTTTTAGTAGAGACGGAGTTTCTCCATGTTGGTCAGGCTGGTCTCGAACTCCCAACCACAGGTGATCCACCCGCCTCAGCCTCCCAAAGTGCTGGGATTACAGGCGTGAGCCACCATGCCTGGCCTATTTTCTTTTAGAGACCGGGACTCTGGCTGGGTGTAGTGACTCCTGCCCATAATCCCAGGAGGCTGGGAGGCTGAGGCAGGTGGGTCGCCTGAGACCGGGAGTTCAAGACCAGCTTGGGCAACATAGCAAGACCTTGTCTCTAAAAAAAAAAAAAATTTTTTTAAATTAGCCAGGCATGGTGGCATGCACCTTTAGTCCCAGCTACTTGGCAGGCTGAGATGGGACAATCGCTTGAGCCCAGGAGGTCTCAAGGTTGCAGTGAGCCATGTTCATGCCATTGAACTCCAGCCTGGGTGACAGAGTAAGATTTTGTCTCAAAAAATACATACATAGCAATAATAATAATGCAAGAAAATTTCCCAGAACTGAAGAACGTGATACTGATCGAAAGTGTGCCCCAAGTGCCCAGAAAAGGAGATAAAAATATTAATACAGCTTTACACATATTTAAAAACACTGGAGAGAATAATTATGTTTTACAAACAAAGAGAAAGAGAAAAATCAAATAGTAAATCACATGCAAAAGATCAGGAAAAAGAATTATTTTGGAGTTAAACCTCATCTCTACTAAAAATACAAAACTTAGCTGGGCATGGTGTTGCGTGCCTGTAATCCCAGCTACCTGGAAGGCTGAGGCAGGAGAATCGCTTGAACCTGGAGGCTGCAATGAGCCAAGATTGTGCTACTGCACTCCAGCCTGGGACACAGCGAGACTCCATCTCAAAAAAAAAAAAAAAAAAAAAAAAAAATAGACGGAGTCTCGCTCTGTCCCAGGCTGGAGGGCAGTGGTACGATCTCAGCTCATTGCAGCATCCACCTCCTGGATTCAAGCGATTCTGCTGCCTCAGCCTCCCAGGTAGCTAGGATTAGAGGCATGTGTCAACACGCCAGGCTAATTTTTGTATTTTTAGTAGAGACAGGGTTTCACCATGTTGGCCAGGCTGGTCTCGAACTCCTGACCTTGTGATCCGCCAGCCTCAGCCTCCTAAAGTGCTGGGATTACAGGCGTGAGCCACCATGTCCAGCCGAGACTCCATCTTAAAAAAAAAAAGAAAAGAAAAAGAAAGAAAGAAACTACACCTGTCTTGTGACTGCTCATTAATCTTGCCAAGGTGGAGGCCGGGCACGGTGGCTCACACCTGTAATCCCTGCACTTTGGGAGGCTGAGGTGGGTGGATCACGAGGTCAGGAGATTGAGACCATCCTGGCTAACACGGTGAAAGCCCGTCTCTACTAAAAATACAAAATTAGCCGGGTGTGGTGGTGGGCACCTGTAGTCCCAGCTACTTGGGAGGCTGAGGCAGGAGAATGGCGTGAACCCGGGAGGCGGAGCTTGCAGTGAGCCAAGCTCGCGCCACTGCACTCCAGCCTGGGTGACAGAGCAAGACTCCGTCTCAAAAAAAAAAATCTTACCAAGGTGGTGGTTCAGCCCCCGAACAGGGAAGAGAGTAGTTTTAGGGAGAACTATTATTATTCTTGTTTCAAGTTAAACTCTAAATTCCTCCGCCGGTCAGCTGGGCCTACACCCAGGAATGAGCAGGGTCAGCTTGGAGGTCAGGAGCAGGATGGGGTCGGTTATGTCATAATTTTGCAAGGGTGGTTTCAATAGGAAGACATAAGGTCCAAGAGATGCCATTCACTAAGGGACTCCATTGGGGGCGGTGAGAAGGCTCTGGACAGCTTCTCCAGAAAGGGGACGATGACAGAACACCTGTTGAGTCCAAGGAGCATTAGAGAATTGGTGAAAAATTTGGGGCCAAATTAGTGATAAATTTATTGAAAACTAAGTAAATGAGAAACAAACAAAAAAAGAACCTCCAGGGAAAACAAGAAGCTGTGTAGGAGATAAAATGTTATCATAAGGCCAGATGCGGTGGCTCACACCTGGAATCCCAGCACTTTGGTGGTTTGTTTTTTTTTTTTTTTTTTGAGATGGAGTTTTGCTCGTTGCCCAGGCTGGAGTGCAATAGCGCGATCTCGGCTCACTGCAACCTCCGCCTCCTGGGTTCCAGTGATTCTCCTGCCTCAGCCTCCCTAGTAGCTGGGATTACAGGCATGCACCACCACACCCGGCTAATTTTGTATTTTTAGTAGAGATGGGGTTTCTCCATTTGGTCAGGCTGGTCTTGAACTCTTGACACTGGGCCCAGCCTTAATCCCAGCACTTTGGGAGCCCGAGGCGGGTGGATCACTTGAGGTCAGGGGTTTGAGACCAGCATGGACGTGCCTGTAAGCCCAGCTACTCCGCCTCCCAAGTTCAAGCAATTCTCTTGCCTCAGCCTCCCCAGTAGCTGGGCTTACAGGTGCCCGCCACCACACCCGGCTAATGTTTGTACTTTTAGCAGAGACCACGTTTCACCATGTTGGTCAGGCTGGTCTTGAACTCCTGACCTCAGGTGATCCGCCCGCCTCGGCCTCCCAAAGTGCTGGGATTACAGGCATGAGCCACAGTGCCCTAACTCAAGCAATTCTTAAACAAAAGCCTGGTCAGGCGCGGTGCTACCTGACTGTCAGTTACATGGAGGCGGGCCAGAGTGCAGCCTGATCAATGCTAAATTATAACTCTATTTCTGTCCAGAATTATTCTTTTATTTTTTCTTTTGCTTTTTCCTTTTATTTTCTTTAACTGGTTTTTTTCTTTTTTTTCCTTTTTTTTTTTAAGACAGAGTCTTGCTCTGTCACCCAGGCTGGAGCGCAGTGGCGCGATCTCGGCTCACTGTAACTGTAACCGCCCAAGGGGTTCACCTTGCCAGCTGTCTAGACAGAGCTGATTCATCAAGACAGGGGAATTGCAATAGAGAAAGAGTAATTCACGCAGAGCTGGCTGTGCGGGAGACCAGAATTTTACTATTACTCAAATCAGTCTCCCCGAACATTCGGGGAGTAGAGTTTTTAAGGATAACCTGGTGGGTAGGGGGAAGCCAGTGAGCCAGGAGTGCTGACTGGTCAGAGATGAAATCACAGGCAGTCGGAGTCAGAGCTGTTTTCTTGCACTGAGTCCTGGGTGGGGGTCACAAGATCAGATGAGCCCGTTTATCCATCTGGGTGGTGCCGGCTGATCCATCAAGGCAGGATCTGCAAAATATCTCAAGCACTGATCTTAGGAGCAGTTTAGGGAGGGTGGGAATCTCGTAGCCTCCAGCTGCATGACTCTAAACCATAATTTCTAATCTTGTGGCTAATGTTAATCCTACAAAGACAGTCTAGTCCCCAGGCAAGAACATCTGCTTTGAGAAAGGGCTGTGACCGTCTTTGTTTAAACTATAAACTAAATTTCTCCCAACGTTAGTTCAGCCTACGCCCAGGAATGAAGAAGGACAGCTTGGAGGCTAGAAGCAAGATGGAGTTGGCTAAGTTAGGTCTCTTTCACTGTCTCAGTCATAATTTGGCAAAGGCAGTTTCACAACTTCCGCTTCCTGGGTTTAAGTGATTCCCCTGCCTCAGCCTTCCGAGTAGCTGGGGTTATAGACGTGCGCCACCACACCAGGATAATGCTTGTGTTTTTAGTAGAGACGAGGTTTTGCCATGTTGCCCTCCCAACACTCCTGGCCTCAAGTGATCTGCGCACCTCGGCCTCCCAATGTGCTGGGATTACAGGCATGAGCCACCACCCGGGGCTGCGCTCATTGTTCATGAATTTGTACAGCTTCATCTCCAGAGCCCTCCTGATCCTTTCCTGGCAGTCATTGGGTGGGGTGAAAGTCCCAACCCTTCAGTCTTTAGGTCTTACTTACCAGCCCCACCCTGAGGCTCCCCCGGGGCTCTACCCTAGACCACTGCATTAGCATAAACTCGGGAGTTCTCTAACAGAGCATATAATGAACGACAAGACACGCCTACCGATCAGGAATTTCCAAAGGTGTTAGCGGCTCCGTGACAGGAACTGGGGACAAACACCAAATCGATTTCTTCTTCTACTACAGAAGATAAACCCCAAATAATCAGCTCCAAGAGGGAAAGGGGCTGCGGGAGGAGGACTGTGATTTTTCTTCTGACAAGCCGCACGGACCCATGAATCCTTAAGCCAGGGGCCTGGCTAATTATCATAAATCAAATTTTGAAAAGTCTAGATAGGATTGATGTTATTCCCCATGCCACACTGGGCCTGTTTGTGGCCCAAAGATTTCTGGGACGCTGGGGGACCCAGGTTGTGTCCTCATCAAGGCTGTTTCTGTTTCAGCAGATCATCCTGGGCTGCATCGCACCCACCCAGTCGTGGGGCTCAGGCTTGCCCCCATCCCTGGTGCATGCCTCTTCGCGGCGGCCAGGTGTGTGTATAGACTATAGGCTGGGGAGGCGCAGGATCTACGCTGCCGGCAACTTCATCTTCCTGCAGCTGCTTCCCAGATCTCCTGCCTCCCAGATGGCCCCGGCTGTTTCCACAACCTGGTCCACCCTCCCTTCTCTCGGGCCGGCACTGGTTGAGGGCTGCGTCGCACGTGCTTCTCACCAAAGCTTCCTAACAGGGACGGTGTGCTCCCCCTCTGACATCGGGGTAACCGGCAGAGGGCCTGCGTGGCTGCAGGTCACAGAGCTGAGGGAGGCAGAGTTGAGATTGAGATCTGGACCGATTCCAGAGCCCTTGGGGAAAGGCCCTCACACTTAGGGGGTCACGGGATCGTCCCTCTAAGGGGGCAGCATTCCCTGCCTGGATCTTGGCCAGGGAGTAGATGTCAGAGAGACCATCCATGCCGGGACCTCCAGAGTGCCTGGCCTGAGATGCAGGAGACCCTGGGGTGAGCAGGGTGGAGTGGCGTCGGACGGTGGCTGCTGATTGGCTGTGTGTCCTTAGGCACATCGCCTTGCCTCTGTGCAGCAGGAACAATGCCTGGCGGGCAGGTGGTTGTGAAGGTTAAATGAAAGTGCCTGGCCCACCCAGCTGCAGCCTGGCCTGTCAGGCTCCAGAAATAGCCCCTGCCAACCCACCTGAACGCCAGCTGCTCCTCTCGGGCCTTCCCTGAGACTATGAAGGCCCGGGGGCAGACGCCAGCTCCCCAGACTGATTTGAAAGGTCAGGGTGGCCTGGAGAAGTTAGCCTGAGGTCAGATCTGCTGATGGGCCAAAGGTCTGAAGGTGCTCAGTCTGGTGAATTCACAGGGGTGGGGAGTGGGGGGCAGGTGGAGACTGGAGGGCTATGACTGGCCTGAAGCCAGAGTTGATGGCGAAACTGAATCCCCCTTACTCTGGTGTCCCAGAAAACATACCCGGGTGAGTTAGGGCTCCAAGGTGGCTGCCTCGGCTGGGAGTGGGGCCTCCCTCCCTGATGCGTCCGCTAGCCCAGCCCCTGCCCAGGGTGGGGAAAGGGGTTGGCAACTCAGGCCCATGCAAAGAGGGTTCCTTTCCTGTCCTCCCACCACCGTTGGGTCCTGGAAGGCGGGAGTTCAGCACCTTGGAGAGGGGACAGCCCTGGTCCTCGCAGTCCCTGGTGGGGTGCCCACACTTGCTTTCTCAATTTGTCCACATAGGGGGCGGGGCATGGTGGGAATTTGAACCCAAGTCTGAATGCCGGGTGGAGTCAGGGCACAGTCACTGGGCCAGTGTTAAGCTCCTGATGTGCTTAAAAAGGCCGAAGGTAACCAGCCCCGCCACCCCTTCCTGTATTTGCCCTGGAGTACCTGGATGGGACCTGACTTACACCTGTGAGTGTCCCCAATTTTTCTGAGAATGCTCCCGGGCAGCCCCACCCTGATCTCACCCACCCCACTGCCCTGGGGGGCTGTCACCAGTGGCCTTGTGAAGGGCTTGGTAAAAGGACAGCTAAGTCAGCTTCCCAGGACAGCTCTGGGTCCCACGTGACGACTGCGGTGACCCTCTGTGCCCCAGGCTATCCACGATGGCCCGCCTGCAGCCTCAGCCCTGCAGCAGACACTTGGGGGTCAGCCAGCAAGGCCTCTGCAGACCCTCACCCCAGAGGCACCCAATGGTGAATGTGGCCCTGCCTGGGCCCAGCCAAGGTCAGGAGACACAGGACTCCAATCTTTGCTATAAATACACGTGTTTGGTGAGTGAGGGGCAACAGAAGGCAGAGAGATGGCGCTGTACACAGCTGGTATAGGCTTGGAGGTGGAACGCCAGAGAGACAGACACACAGACAGTCCGCCCAGCAGGGCAGGCCGGGCAGCATTCTGGGGCTTGTAACACTTGGTTGGTGGGCGAGAGCCAGCAGGAGGTCCGGCCCGGGGCTGGAGGGGCCGAGGCACCCCGCAGGCTCCAAGGTCCGAGGTCCTGGGTGGCATCAGTGGTGGCGCCTGGGCTCAGCTCACATCATTCAGGGCCTGGAGGGACATGAGGCCAGTCAGGAGGGCGCTCTGGGTCCCTGGGTCCCACCACCCAGCCCCGCAGGCCACCCACCTTGCGGGCAAACTCGGGCAGCACAAAGGCGGCGCGGTGCACGTCGGAGTTGTAGTACTTCAGCTGCATCTGCGCCACCTGCTGCTGTGTCAGCGGCTGCACCGGCTCCTGGAAGTTCGTGCTCTGGGGACCGGGCCAGGGGCACATCAGGGGGGGCACTTTTTTTTTTTTTTTTTTGAGACGGAGTCTCACTGTTGCCACGCTGGAGTGCAGTGGCGTCATCTCAGCTCACTGCAACCTCTGTCTCCCAGGTTCAAGTGATTCTCCTGCCTCAGCCTCAGGTACGCGCCACCACGCCCGGCTAATTTTTTTTTTTTTTGTATTTTGAGTAGTGATGGGGTTTCTCCATGTTGGTCAGGCTGGTCTTGTACTCCTGACCTCAAGTGATCCGCCCACCTTGGTCTCCCAAAATGCTGGAATTACAGGCATGAGACACCGCACCTGGCCTGGGGAGGGTTTTTTTTTTTTTTTGAGTCGGAATCTTCCTCTGTTACCCAGGCTGGAATGTAGTGGCGCAATCTCGGCTCACTGCAAGCTCCGCCTCCCGGGTTCACGCCATTCTCCTGCCTCAGCCTCCCCAGCAGCTGGGACTACAGGCGCGCGCTGCCATGCCTGGCTAATTTTTTTGTATTTTTAGTAGAGACGGGGTTTCACCGTGTTAGCCAAGATGGTCTCGATCTCCTGACCTTGTGATCTGCCCGCCTCAGCCTCCCAAAGTGCTGGGATTACAGGTGTGAGCCACCGCGCCCGGCAGGGGCAGGGATCTCTATTTATGCCCACCTTCCCCCCAACCCCCACCCCCAGACACCCCCATCTCACCGGGTTCTTGCTGCACAGCATGAAGCCGATCTGGCCGCTGGGGTAGGTGGGGATGGTGCAGTAGGCATAGGCCACCACGGGGAACAGGGACTGGCAGAACTGCCGCATCTCCTTGATGAGGTCCAGGTGCAGCCACTGGCACTCGCCTGGGGGCCCCTAAGCATCAGCATCCGGCAGGGCCTGCCCTGCCCCACCCCGCCCCGCCCCAGTGCTCCAGGCCTGTGGCTCACCCTGGCAGCAGAGGACACCATCTTCCTTGAGGGCTGTCTTCATGAGCTGGTAATAGGACTCCTTGAAGAGACTTTCGGCGGGGCCTGGGGAAGACAGAGGGAGACACACTGAACAGTCTGGCTGTGACCTCCAGGGCCACTGTCACCCACACAGCTACCAGGTGGCCAGAGCCAGGATCTGAACCCAGGTCTGTGGGGGATCCACACCTGAATCCCATTCTTGGGGGAGTCTCATTGGCACCACAGCAGAGGAACCTCTAACCTAGGCCTTCGTTCAAGACTAGAACCTGCCCCCACTCCAGTGCTGACCACTTCAGAGCAGAGGGGAGGCTGAAGAGGACACAGGGTCCTCAGTGTCCCAATGCCAGATCCCCACTCTCCTTGGTCACCAGCTTGTGAATCTGGGCAGTCGCCTGGCTCCTGCCTACTGTCCTGAGCCATGTTTCAGAGGGCAGGTAACAAATGAGAAGGGAAAAGTACAGCTCTAGTTCGGGGGGTGGGAGGCCGCTCTATCCTTTACTCTGAAGGCCTGGGGGAGGCTGACCTCCAGACCTGCAGCTGCCAGAAAACCCTGGGGCCCATCCACTGCTTACCCATGGGGTCTGAGGAGTCAGTGATGATCACGTCGAAGGCATCCTGATTCTGTTTCATGAACTCAAAACCGTCACCCACATGTAGGGTCAGCTTCGAGCTAGAGTAGCCAATGGCCATGCCTGGCAGGAACTTCTTGGAGACTTGGATGACATCCTGGAGGGGATGGGAGGGACCAGTCTGGGCCAAGGGGCTGGGGGACCTGGAGCCAGCACAGCCACGTGGGACTCTCCAAGTGCCTCACAGGCAAGCCGCCTTGGCCAACCCCTTCCCTTTTTTTTATTATTTTTTTTTGAGACAGGGTCTCACTTTGTGGCCCAGGCTGGAGTGCAGTGGCATCGATCATGGCTCACTACACCCTCGGCCTCCGGGGCTCAGGTGATCCTCCCCCATCAGCCTCCTGAGTAGCTGGGACAAGTGTGTTCAATCATACTTGGCTACTTTTTAAATTTTTGGTAGAGATAGAGTCTCCCTATGTTGCCTCGAACTCCTCGATCCTCCCACCTCGGCCTCCAAAAGTGCTAGGATTACAGCTGTGAGCCACCACACCTGGCCCCTTTTGGGAACCTCAGTTTATAATGTGTAAAGCGGGGAGAACTCTGGTACCTCCATTTCTCCTTGAGAGCTGGCTCCTGCCGGCGGCTTGGGCTCCTCTCTCCCATCCCTACCCCCTCCTTCCAGACCAAATCGCCCCATCTGAGTGGCTTTCTTGTCGCTTCCTATTTTATTTATTTTTCGAGACAGTCTTGCTCTGCTGCCCAGGCTGGAGTGCAGTGGCACGATCTCAGCTCACTGCACCCTCCTGCCTCAGCCTCCCGAGTAGTTGGGATTACAGGCGCACGCCACCAAGCTGGGCCATTTTTTTTTTTTTTTTTTTATTTTTAGTAGAGACCTTGTGATCTGCCCGCCTCAGCCTCCCAGAGTGCTGAGATTACAGGTGTGAGCCACCAGCGCTTGGCCTGTTTCCTATTTTAGAAGGATGCAATTCCAACCTCTGGCCAGGAGAACCTCCCCCTCCCTGCACACGGCCACCTGCTTTTCACTGAGGTCTCAGCTCAAACGCCACCTCCTGGAGGCCTGCCCTGACCACCCCCCATGCATTCACAGGAACCCTGCCTTCTCCTGTCCCCCAGCCCCTGTCTTGCCTTCATCAGACCATCCTTTGATGTCTCTATTTTTGTTGTTTGTTTTTTTTGAGACAGATTCTTCCTCTGTCACCCAGGCTGGAGTGCAGTGGCGAGATCTCGGTTCATTGCAACTTCCGCCTCCCGGGCTCAAGTAATTCTTCCACCTCAGCCTCCCTAGTAGCTGGGTTTACAGACATGCACTACCATGCCCGGCTAATTTTTGTATTTTTAGTAGAAATGGGGTTTCACCAGGTTGGCCAGGCTGCTCTTGAACTCCTGACCTCAGGTGATCTGCCCGCCTTGGCGTCCCAAAGTGCTGGGATTACAGGTGTGAGCCACCACGTCTGGCCATCTGATGTCTCCTTTAACTAGGACATCAGCTCCTAGAGGGCAGGGACTGATCTGTCGTCTACCACTGTCCCCATACCCGGGCAACACCTGGCACGTAGCATGATTTTAGTGAGCAGCTACTGAGTGTAAGGGGTAACGTACAAATAGTTGAGCTGTCTTGGGGCCCTGCCTGGGGCTCAGATTAAAAATCAGCTTAGTCGGCTGGGCGTGGTGGCTCACGCCTGTAATCCCAGTACTTTGGGAGGACGAGGCTGGCGGATCACCTGTGGTCGCCAGGTCCGAGACCAGCCTGACCAACATGGAGAAACCCTGTCTCTACTAAAAATACAAAATTAGCCGGGCATGGTAGCGCATGTCTGTAATCCCAGCTACTCCGGAGGCTGAGGCAGAAGAACTACTTGAGCCCAGGAGGTGGAGGTTGCAGTGAGCCGAGATCGCACCATCACACTCCAGCCTGGGCAACAAGAGCGAAACTCTGTCTCAAAAAAAAAAAAAAAAAAAAAATCAGCTCAGTTTTAGTAAGAGCTCGCCACGCAGGTGCCCTCACCACCTGCCAGGCCCTCTGCCATCTGGTTTTCCTACTGAACCCTCCCCGACCAGGTGTTTTCCAGATGGAGAAACAGGCCCTACCTGCCTTGCTCGGGGGTGTGCAGCCATTTCAGGGCACAGCTGGCCGCTGGGAGAACCAGGACTCAAACCTGGCTCTACGCCGGCACTCACCTCGTCGATCTCACACTGGACCACGGACTCCACGGAGGGGTGCTTCACCACCTCCCGCAGGACACCTCCATCTCCGCCCCCGATGATCAGCACCTGGGAGGAGGGGGCAGTCAAGGCAGGGGCCCTGGCAGGACTGGGAGCCCCCAGGCCCCTGAAGCAGACCCCCTGACCCCTCGGACCCACGGGCCTCATCTTTTTCTACCCTCGGAAACGCTTTCGTGCCGGTGTCCCCTTTCCTGGAAGTTCCTTCCAGGGCTGCCCTAGGATTCCGAGGCCGCGTCAGTGTCGGCCCCCACCCCTCCGCGGGACGCCCCTGGCCTCGCTAGCACTTTCTCTGACAACCATGCAGGCAGCATCTGGGAAGAGCCCGGAGCACACCTGGGGCCGCCCCTCGTCCGGCACTGTTCCAGGGGACACTGGGGTACCTTTCGCGGGTTGGGGTGGCTGCAGAGAGGCAGGTTGGCGATCATCTCCTGGTAGGAGAACTCGTCTCTCTCCGTGCACTGGATGACACCGTCCAACACCAGCACGTTGCCATAGGTCTTACTGCGGGCGGAGTGACAGTCGGGGACCTGGGTTCTCTGGGGTGGGGAAAACGTACCCCAAGCCGCCCTGGGTGAGGAGGGTCTCCCCATCCCGCCTAGGGGTCCCAGGGATGAGGAGCGATGGTGACACGTGGCGAGGAACGGCAGGCGGGCCGCCGGGTGGAGGCCGGGGTGGGACCCGGGGTCTCCTCGGGCTCTGACGTGTCCTGAGGGCTGACACGTGGAGCGGGGCGCAGACTCCGACTCCCCCACCCAAGAGGCCAGCCCGCAGTCCCAGCCCCAGCCCAGGGAGGCGGTGTGAGGGGTGGCGAGGGGGCCAGGGCAGGACGAGGTCCAGCCCGCTTGGGTCCCGGCGTGGAGAGGCCCGTGAGGCGGGCAGCAGGCGGCCCGGGCTGAGCCTAGGGGGCAGGCGCCTGCGGGCAGCGGCGGTACCTGCGGAAGACGAGGATGTCCTGGTAGCGCGAGCGCCGGTGGTGGAGCAGCTGCTCCACCTGCAGTGACAGGGCCTGGCCGGGCCACAGGCTGCAGGTCTCGCGGAACCAGCCCTCGCGGATGGCGGCGGGGCCGGAGGCGGCGGGGCCGTCGGGGCCGGGCTCCATGGCGGGCGGGCGGGCGGCGCGGGGCGCGGGCCCGGGACTGCAGGCCGCGCGGCGCCGCAGCACAACGGGACCAGCTCCGCCCGCCGCCCGCGCCGCAACCTAACCCGGGCGCGGGGCGGGGCCTGCCGGCGGGGGCGGAGCCCGCGCTCGCCAATGGCAAAGCGGCCTCGCCTGGCGCTCATTGGCCACCGGCTCGCAGAGCGGCGCAGAGTGGCTGTGGCGCGCCGTCCGTCGGCGGCAGCAGGGTAGTGCGGCCCGCTCCAGGGGCCACGTGGGGCCCGGCCGGGGCCGGGCGGCCGGGTCGGGTTCCGGGGCGGGCTGGGCCGGCGGAAGGGGTCCGGGTCCTTCCTCCGCCCCAAGCAGCCGGGGCGGTGCACCACCGGCCCCCGCTTCCTTCTCGGGGTTGGGAGGCACCGAGGGCCTCGAGGGGCTGCGGGACTCGGGCTTGGTGTGGAGGGCAAGAGCGCTGCGACGTGCGGACTGGAGAGTCAGCCTTTGGGCTGGAGACACGGGAGCGGGTGGCTACAGTGGTTTACGTTGTTGCACGGGGCGAGTAGAACGTATCCTTCTTTGCGTCCAAAATCTGGTTCCTTGTTGGATTTGAACAGATTATGTGGCTCGTCGGGGCGAACCGAGGGTTTTTATTTACTTGGAAAGAATCATCACAGCCCGCGAATTCACAAGCTGGATTTAGCCATTTTCCCTTAGATTCTGCGCCATGAGCCTATAGGCTGTTGAATACGAGAGAAGTGCTTTTCTAAACGAGTTTCTAAATTTACCAGCAGTGTCCAGGAAGAGGCCCAGAACATACATATTCAGCACCAGAAAAGACTGGCACGCAATTTTTCTTGACAAACTGGGTCTTGCTCTTTGAAGGGTGGGTGGGAATGTGCTGTTTTTATGAGAATGTCAAAGAACTTCTCAGAATCACATTAAGCATGCTAATTACCAAATATTAAATGCTAATTGTTCCACACGCAGTTCGAATGCCAAGGAAGGAAGATGAAACTAGTATAAGCTACTCTTGACATTATGTCAGGGATGGTTTTGACACGTTTTGCAGCCTCCACCTGGAGGTGGGGAACGTTTCCTGTGTCGTCCCCAGAGCAGAGTAACAGCGTTGTTTATGGGTGAGAGCAAGCCTCAAGCCTAGGCAACAATGTGCCTTGCTTGCTTTTAAGCTCCTTCTAAAGGGGAGGTAAACCAAGACCGCTAAAGAATTGCTAGGTGCCTGGGCGTGATGGTTCACCCCGGTAATCCCAGCACTGTGGGAGGCGGAGGCGGAGGCGGGCGGATCACGAGGTCAAGAGATCAAGACGATCCTGGCCAACATGGTGAAACCCCGTCTGTACTAAAAATACAAAAATTAGCTGGGCATGGTAGTGCGCGCCTGCAGTCCCAGCTACTCGGGAGGCTGAGGCAGGAGAATCGCTTGAACCCGGGAGTTGGAGGTTGCAGTGAGCTGAGATTGCGCCACTGCACTCTAGCCTGGGCAACGATAGTGAAACTCCGTCTCAAAAAAAAAAAAAAAAAATTGCTAGGCAGCTGGGCACAGGGGCTCAGGCTGATAATACTAGAATTTTGGGAGGCCGAGGCAGGAGGACCGCTTGAGCCCAGGAGTTCGAGACCAGCCTGGGCAACATAGCAAGACTGTCTCTAAAAAATAAAAAACATTGCTAGGCAACAGCTTCCATGGACTTGTTCCAGGAACGAAGATTATTCTTGAAATGTCCACGTAGTGGATAAGACAGAGTCAATCAGTGTGTCCAGTGCTACAGGCTTGATTGGGTTCAATCCTGTACTTGGGTCAAGGTGTTTGCCTACATTGCCTGTACTTCCTCCAAGACATTTCTGCCTCTGGGTTGTAACTGCCCGTGTACTTGTCTGTGTTCCCTAAGCCAGATCATAAGCTCTGAAGCTGAGGATGGTGGCTGTAGATGGCAGTACTTGTCTGTGTTCCCTGAGCCAGATCATAAGCTCTGAAGCTGAGGATGGTGGCCGTAGATGACAGGCCTGGATGCAGCCAGGTGCCTTGTGGATCAGCTTGCTTTTAGGTGGTGAAGGACTGACCATAGACAGTGGCCCTGGCATTCCAGGACACTGCATGGGGGAAAGTGGAGGGCCAGGTCCATCCCATCCCCTCTATAAGCTGGACAAAGCTGCTCCAGCATGTGGGTCCTCACATGAAAAAGGCCACATTGACATCCTTTGTCCTCCTGTAGAGGGAGTGAAACTGAGAGGCCTCAGCCTCAAGCAGGCACAGAACTTGAGACCTCTCGGCCAGAGTGTACAGACATTGCACAAACCTTCCAAGTTCAGAGAAGACAAAAGCCCTGAGTAAATTACAGACAAAAAAGCCCCCAAATATACAGCACTGTGAATCCAGAAATGCCACCTGACTTCAGGTCACAAGGAAGAAAAACTGATTTTGCCAGAAGTAGCCATTATTGCACAGCCCAGTTATAATCACAACTGACGTTAAAGTCAGGCCAGATGACCACAGAAGTCTACAGAAAAAAACCAGGATTGGCCACGCGTGGTGGCTCACGCTTGTAATCCCAGCAGTTCGGGAGGCCAAAGCGGGTGGATCACCTGAGGTCAGGAGTTCAAGACCAGCCTGGCCAAGGTGGTGAAATTCCATCTCTACTAAAAATACAAAAACTAGCTGCCATTGTGGCGTGCACCTGTAATCCCAGCTACTTGGGAGGCTGAGGCATGAGAATTGCTTCAACCCAGGAGGCGGAGGTTGCAGTGAGCCACAGTCGCACCACTGCACTCCAGCCTAGGTGACAGAGCGAGACCCTGTCTCCAAGAAAGGAAAAAAAAAAAAACAAAAAAAAACACCCCCAACACCAAAAAACAAAACAAAACAAAACAAAAAAACAACCAAACAACCAGGACTGAGAAAATCAGGCTTTAGCATGAAATGTTTTCCCCTAAATTCAGACCAATGTACCTCAAAAACCCAGTTGTAAAGCTTAAGTGTCTAGTGGGTTAACTATCCCACCCAACCTCCTAAAAAGTGTTATTATAAAAGGAAAAAGGGGAGAAAGGGTAGAGGAGAGAAAGGTGGGCCAATGGCTACTGTTCAAGGAAATGGTTTAAATGGGGCTGCCACGTGGTTATGTGTCTGTCACGAGAGGCTTGTTAAGCAGTTAGCACTTGAGTCATTTTTCTACACTTCCATTCAGCCAGGCAGACAGCTGTGGTTATGAGTGGGAACAATTTTGGCCATTATGTGGTGTGGCTTGGTTGAAAATGCTTATGGCAAGCTGCCTAAGGCACCGCAAACAGCAGCATGCCTCCTTGAGCACACAGTCCTTCTGCTCATAAATTCTCTCTCTACCTCCAACCTGGCCAGCCCTGCCAGATCCCTTTCCCTTCCTCTTGGAGCACAGGCCCAGCCATGGCCTCCACTACTCAGTCACTGCACAGTTCCTGACCCACACATACCCCTCTATGTGCTCACCATCCTCCTTAGTCCTGTCCCAGGTGCTCCCCAAGTGACCTGACATTGAGCTCCAGCTGTTGTTCTTTGAACACCCAAGACCCTCATCTCCACCCCATGGCTGAGGAGTTCTGGATTTGGGGTTTGATGGACCAGTAAACCTCTGCAGACACCATCTAGGGACTGACACTGGGTTGCGAACTTTTTATTTTGCAAGATTGAATATTTGAAAACAACTCAAACTCCTGTCTAAGGTTCCTGTCTTTTAAAAAACAAACAGAAGGCCAGGCACAGTGGCTCACGCCTGTAATCCCAGCACTTTGGGAGGCCAAGGTGGGTGGATTACCTGAGGTCAGGAGTTCAGGACCAGCCTGGCCAACGTGGTGAAACTCCATCTCTACTAAAAGTACAAAAATTAGCCAGGCGTGGTGGTGGGCACCTCTAATCCCAGCTACTTGGGAGGCTGAGGCAGGAGAATTTCTTGAACCCAGGAGATGGAGATTGCAGTGAGCGAAGATCATGCCATTGCACTCCAGCCTGAACGCCAGAGGGAGACTCTGCCTCAAAAAACAAACAAACCAACAAACAAACAAACAGAAAAACATTGTCACACAGACAAAACCAATATGGAAAACTTCCAAAGAAAGGGTGCGGCATCACTTTAACGGGTGAGCACAGCGGCCCTGGCAGCCTCCAGGCTCTAGGTGGCACTGGATTCTTTCTGACAAGTCCTCATCTGGGCTGTCAGAGACCTCCGCTTTGAGCTGCGCTGCCATAGAGCTCTCTGGAAGTCCCTTGCTCCTCAGGGTCCAGTCCGAATGCGCCTTTCACGAGGCCTCTCAGGCCATCCTCAGGAGAAAATAATTTCTCACTTTGGCCAGGCGTCGTGGCTCACGCCTTGCAATCCCAGCACTTTGGAAGGCTGAGGTGGGCGGATCACTTGAGGTCAGGAGTTCAAGACCAGTCTGGCCAACATGGTACAACCCCGTCTCCACTAATTAGCTGGGTGTGGTGGTGGGCGCCTGTAATCCCAGCTACGTGGGAGGCTGAGGCAGGAGAATTGCTTGAACCCGAGAGGCAGAGGTTGCAGTGAGCTGAGATCGTACCACTGCACTCCAGCCTGGGTGACAAGAGCGAGACTGTCTCAAAAAAAAAAAAAAAAAAAAAATTCCACCTGTGAGGCCGGGCACAGTGGCTCACGCCTGTAATCCCAGCACTTTGGGAGGCTGAGGTGAGTGGATCACCTGAGGTCAGGAGTTCGAGACCAGCCTGACCAACATGGTGAAACCTTGTCTGTACTTAAAAATACAAAAATAAGCCGGGCGTGATGGCAGGCGCCTGTAATCCCAACTCCTTGGGAGGCTGAGGCAGGACAACTGCTTGAATCCAGGAGGTGGAGGTTGCAGTGAGCCGAGATTGTGCCGTGCCATTGCACTTCAGCCTGGGCAACAAGAGCGAAACTCCGTCTCAGGAAAAAAAAAAAAAAAAAATTCCGCTTGTCAATTTTTTATAGCAGAGACTGCCATTTTTAGGCAGTGACTGTTCTTTGTCCTTCGATGTCTGTTCTTCCCAAATTCTATAGTAGAACCCTGGGCTTTTAGTTGGACACACGGATGACTGAAATAATGATATTTCCTAGTACCCCTTGCTGTGGTCTTGTGACTAAGTTCTGACCAATGGGAAGTTGAAATGGGCAGTATCCTATTCAAAGAGATTGGGTGCTGTTCTTTCCTCCTTCCAGCAGACTGGAATGAGAATGTAATGGCTGGAGCAAGGGCAGTCACCCTGCACCATGAGGCGGCAGCCTTGTGTTTGAGCTGAGGATGGTAAAACAAGATAGGAGCCTGTGTCTGATGATCATGAGCATCACACTAGCTCTGGGCCAACTATGTTTACAAAAGAGGAGGAAAATCATCTCTCTTGTTAAAAGTCACTATAGTTTGGCTTTTCTGTCATTTTCAACCAGTCTAGTCCTAGCTAAAACAAACTCCAGCCTATCTTAGGACAGGGCTGTTCTCTGCTGTTCAAGAGTGGGAGCTCTCTGACGGCAGTGATGTGTGATTTGGCTTGGTACCCCCCAAAGGTTATCATATACAGTTGGCAATCTCAATACTTTGTGGGATGAATTTCAAAGAAAAAAGGTTTCTAGGTTAAGTATTTGTAAAAACCAAAGTAATGGCATTTTGTGCTTTCCTGATTTATTAGCCCATCTCAGGATTAAAATAAAATGAAGTTCTAAAGAAATTATCAGAGACTGGGTCACAAATTTATATAAAAGTTTAGTGAGTGCTGCATTATTAAGAATAGTACCAAAAATGAAAACCTAAGCGTTTAACAATGGGGGTTGGCGAAAATAAATTTTAGATTGAGAAAAGTGTCATAACACAAACTTTCAAGGTGACAAATGATAGAAACCTGAACCCAAGATATATTTTAAAAATATATCTATATACACATAGCGAAAGCTTATAAGGAAATACAGCAAAATGTTAATCTCAGCTGGGTGTGGTGGCTCATGCCTGAAATCCCAACACTGGCAGGACAAGACAGGAGGATTGCTTGAGGCCAGGAGTTCAAGACCAGCCTGGGCAACACAGCAAGACCCCATCTCTATAAAACATAAGAAAAATTACCCAGGTGTGGTGGCATGTGCCTGGGAGGTCAAGGCTGCAGTGAGCTAGGATCACACTACTGCACTCCAGAATGGGCAACAGAGTGAGACCCTGTCTCAAAAAAAGGAAAAAAGCATCTTTGTGTGACAGGACTACAAATGATTAAAATTTTCTCTTTGCATTTGCCTTTTTTTTTGAGACAGAGTCTTGCTCTACTGCCCAGGCTCAAATGAGGTGGCGTGATCTCGGCTCACTGCAACCTCCGCCTCCTAGGTTCAAGCGATTCTCCTGCCTCAGCCTCCTGAGTAGCTGGGATTACAGGCGTCCACCACCATGCCCGGCTAATTTTTTGTATTTTTAGTAGAGAAAGGCTTTCACCGTGTTGGCCAGCATGGTCTCGATCTCCTGACCTCGTGATCCGCCTGCCTCAGCCTCCCAAAGTGCTGGGATTGCAGGCGTGAGCCACCGCACCCGGCCGGCTCTGGATTTTTCTAGAAGTCACCATAACCCCCGGAGCACACTCACCTGCCCACAGACAGCTGAAGATGGTTGCCTGAACAGGATGGCAACCTGCCAGAGCTGTGGCGGCAACAAAATAAAAGTCAGGAATCAGCTTTCTTCAGGAAGAATTTTAATGGTTTAAAAATATGTATGTACAAAAGCAGCACCAGCATTTGGTGCTTCCGGTCCACAGGCGCCACGTGTCTTCCAGGACTATCTCTGTGGCCAGTTGTACCTGAAGCCTCTGCAGAGAGTACAAAAACAACAGTTATTTCTTCCGGGCTGGTTGGATGTTCTCAGATGGTTTACAAAATGGTGCAAATCTTAATCATGCAGAACAGAGGAAGAATGGTTTGCTCAGGGGCCCCAGAGAACTCGGCGGCCCACCAGAGTTGGCTGAGCTGAGCAGCATCTTGAGAAGGCAGACCTGTTTTTCCTGCCCTCGGGCAAGTCCCCTGACCTCAGGGTCGGCTTAATTATTAGGATTTTATGTTTTTAACAAAAACATTTGGCTGGGTGCAGTGGCTCACACCTGTAATCCCAGTACTCTGGGAGGCCAAGGCGGGAGGATCAATTGAGGCCAGGAGTTTGAGACCAGCCTGGCCAACATGGCAAAACCCCATCTCTACTAAAAATACAAAAACAGGCCGGGCGCGGTGGCTCACGCCTGTAACCCCAGCACTGTGGGAGGCCGAGGCGGGCGGATCACAAGGTCAGGAGATCGAGACCATCCTGGCTAACATGGTGAAACCCCGTCTCTACTAAAAAATACAAAAAATTAGCCGGGCATCATGGCGGGCGCCTGTGGTCCCAGCTACTCGAGAGGCTGAGGCAGGAGAATGGCGTGAACCCGGGAGGCGCAGCTTGCAGTGAGCAGAGATCGTGCCACTGCACTCCAGCCTGGGCGACAGACCGAGACTCCATCTCAAAGAAGAAAAAAAAAAAAAACATTAGCCGGGCATGATGGCAGGCACCTGTAATCCCAGCTACTCGGGAGGCTGAGGTGAGAGACTTGCTTGAACCCAGGAGGTGGAGGTTGCAGTGAGCTGAGATTGTGCCACTGCACTCCAGCCTGGGTGACAGAATGAGACTCTCACAAAACAAAACCAAACCAAGCCAAACCACTCTTCAACAACAAGGATAACCCACATGTGCTTACTTTTTCCTCATTCCTAATAGGCTGGTCCAGGAAAATTTCACAACTATTTACACCTATTTTCCCTGAGGTGACCCCAGGACACACGGTAACTAGAGAGCCAGGAACAAGGGGAATCTGAGTCCTGGGGTGCAGTGCCTGGCTCTGTGATGTATGGCACAGAGCAAATCACCTCCCG
Source organism: Homo sapiens (assembly GCF_000001405.40). NCBI lineage: Eukaryota > Metazoa > Chordata > Mammalia > Primates > Hominidae > Homo > Homo sapiens. Next base: position 11,067,839 of record NC_000001.11, read on the forward strand.
CCCTTGTTTTCCGAGTGGCGTGAGGGACCTGGCTGTGGGAGGTTCTCTGAGTCATCCTGGTTGAAGACCCCTGGACACTCGCTCCCCAGCTACTCCCCACGGACCACACCACGCAGGGCAGGTGCTTTCTCACTGGGCTCCCTGGGCCACACCGCCGTCCACCACATACCTGTCTGACTTTCCAGTTGGAAAGGACATGCTTTTGTTTCCCACCGACTGTTTAATTTTTTTGGCTGCAATGCATTTCTGAAAAGAAAAGAAACCGTTTAAGCTGGGTGGGCACCTTGACCACAAGATACACAGAAAAACACACCTGAGCTCAGGTGGCCAAAGATTCTAGCAGCACAGGAGTGACTTTAGATCCCCTGAGAGAGGATGTTTCTGTGTCTCTGAAGGCAAGGCCGCCAGGATGCGCTGCAAGAGGAACAGGAGCACCCCAAAGCAGCCCTGCCCCCGCGCCTGTGGAAGCTACAGCCACGCTGTTTCCCTGGCACCAGCACCAACACCCACGAGGGGTGAATGCAGGCTTGTGCTGGCCCCAAAGGGGGTGCTTTTGGCCTGCAGCTATAGTTCCCATGGTAGCAAACACAGAATAATACCCTTTAAAGCCACATGCCAGCTTTTACAGCCTCGTTTTATGAGTTGCTGGGGTAGCTGATCAGTACTGTCTGCCCTTGGGAAGAAATGAGGTGAGGAAAAAGATATGCAAAGGAATGGACTCCTGGATGGGCCTGTCTTCTCAGCAGAGGAGGAGGTCAGAAACAGGCGCCACCAGCGTGCTAAAATCCTCCAGGAGCAGTTCTTACCTTGCCAGACGGGGTCTGTTTATTTGGATCAAACTGAGAAGAAACTTTGGATTTGCTGTTTCCTGAAAGGTAAGAGATGAGAGAGACCTGCGGTCAGGTCAATGAGTTACCACACATCACAGGCTCACAGCGAGGCCGGGACCATGACACTCAGGGAAGCCTTGGCTGTGAGAGCACCCCTGTCACGATGAGGGGCTAGGGCTCATGGCTCACATAAATGAATACATAGCGATCCTGGTCCCTGTGGGCAGTCTGAAAACCAGGCCCATTTCTCTCAGCTCTAGTCCCAGGACCTTAGGGGCAGGTGGCTACAGCAGTGGCCCCCGCACATAAGGAAATCCATTCTGATCTCTGTGCTGGGTGATGCCATAAGGAACTCGGGCTCTGAGGCGACACTCCTGTATAAAGGGCCATTGTGTGGACTGGCCTCTGCTTTCTCTTTTCCAAAGGAGCATGTTGCTCCGAAGGCTGCTAGAGTCGAGAATGCCATCTGTAGCCCCTTCAAAGCAGACGGACTCTCACAGCCCAAGCAGCCATAGGGGTTCATGTCATAGGCTTTGAGATTTTTCAACAAACAAAATTCTGTGTGTGTGTGTGTGTGAGAGAGAGAGAGAGGGTTTATGGGCACAAGTTATAGTGAGGAAGGATGGCGCCCTGGTCACAGTGGAAGTGACAGGTGATCTTGCTAACCCACCATGGAGGCCACCATGAGTTGAGCTCCCATGGAGGAGGTGGTAATGAGGCTGCAGGCGACTGTCCACATTGCCACGGCCTCTCTGGACTACTCCAACAATTCCTGGCTAGCACCATGCCTTGTGCAGGACTCACTTGGCCCCTATATTGTGGTCTCTTTATGGCTTCCTCCCCTCTGACGCGCACAGATGTCCCTGTATGGGGCCCCATTACTTCCTCACCAGCAAAAGCCTTGAAGTCTGACTGGCTGTAGTCGTAAGGCGTAAACTCTTTTTCTGGTGGCTCTGGGTCCTTTGGCTTCTTGGAAATTTTGAGTCGTTTCTTCTCTTGTTTCTGTTCTGTGGTCCTTGGGTCGCTTGTTGCTCGCTCTCTCTTCTTTGCAGCATTTTCTAGCTGTAGATCAGGAACAGATGTGGGGGAGGAACAGGGAGGCACATGGGAACAGGGAACTCCACCGGCCTCAGCAATAGCTGGGACCCAGCTGCCTAAGTGGTAAGAAGAACAGTCAGTGGTGGGGAGAGGAGCTGTGGCTGGAACTTCGGGACCAACACTCAGGGTCAGCTGAAACAAATTCCTCACTGGACAATGACATGAGGTCATTTAAGAAAGGCAAGCAGGCCAGGTGCAGTGGCTCATGCCTATAATTCCAGTGCTTTGGGCGGCCTAGGTGGGAGGACTGCTTTAGGCAGTCTGAGACCAGCCTGGGCAACATAGCAAGACCCCTATCTCTACAAAAAAAAAGAAACAAATGTAGCTGGGCATGGTGGTGCGTGCTTGTAGTCCTAGCTACTTGGGAGGCTGAGGTGGGAGGATCACTTGAACCCAGGAGTACAAGGCTGCAATGAGCTATAATTGCACCACTGTACTCCAGCCTGGGCATCAGGGTAAGAGTAAGACCATGTCACTATTTTTTTTTTAAAAGGAAATTAAAAAAAAAAAAAAAAAAAAGGAAAGGCAGGGGGCAGGGGTTAAGAATTCGAGTGATAGCCTGGGCAATATAGTGAGACCCCGTCTCCACCAAAAACAATAACAAAAAATAGCTGGGAATGGTGGTGTGTGCCTGTGGTCTAGCTACTTGGGTGGTTGAGGAGGGAGGATCGTTTGAGCCCAAGAGTTTGAGGCTGTAGTGAGCTGCAACTGTGCCACTGCACTCCAGCCTGTGCAACAGAGGTAGACACTACTTCAAAAAAAAAAAAAAAAAAAAAAGAGTTCCAGAGTGCTCTGGGGTTTCATTCTCTAGAATGCAACATTTTTGTAGGACACAGCAGGACACACAACAAGCTTCAGCACTGTAACCTCAATACCTTTTCTACTACTACAGTTGAGTGGTCTGGCATATTTACCATAAACACAGTGGAAGAAGGTTAAGAGGAATTACAATATCAATCTTGTGGAGGTTTCGGAAATGAGGTAGACACTAATAGCCAAGCTAAGGTGAACCGGAAAGAAGTCAGGACTTAATATAAAGCACAGGGCAAGCCCCCTAAGATATCCAAGGAAGATCCTGACCACAAGCAGGGGCATCGTTTTTCAAAGGAAAAAGGAGAAAAGCTGGCACATACCACGACCTGCTGTCGGACGGAGATGGCCTGTTCTGCTGCAGCTTTGCACGCCTCCTTTGCCTGTTCCCGGGCAGCTGCAAGGGAGAGAACTTGTCTCTGGAGTTGGTGAATCCAGCAACCACCCTCCCCTCCATCTCCATCCCCCTCCGACTTGGCCTAGCCACAGGGGTTGTCACGGCTGATTCCTCCTCCCTCTCAGGTCCCCGGTCCCCCATCTCTGCAGGACAGGCTGCCTCAGAGCTCAGGCTCAGGTGCTCTGCCCACCTTCAGCTACACGTGAGCTGATCCTCCCCAGCCCTGCCTGCTCCTCTTCTGTGAACCTAAATGCTCAGTGGCCTGTGGACCTGAGGGCGTTTAACAGGATCGTCACCATCACCATCGTGGACAAACCTGCTCAAACCAGCTACTTTGGCTGCCAGCAACTCCAGCTTTCCAGCTGCTCAGGACAAAACCTTCATCCAAGGTTCCCTTCCCTTTTCTCACATGCCACATCCACCTCATCATCAAATGCTGTCAGCTTTGCTATGGGACAGATCAAGGCTCTGACAGCTTCTCACCACCTCCTCTGCTCCCACGCTGGTCTCAAAGCCACCATCCCCTCTCGCCTGAGCCACTGCCATGTCTCCTATCCCTTCCTGGACTCCCATCCTGTCCTCTATAGTCTACTGTTGACACAGCAGCCAGAGTGCCACATGTCAGTCACTTCCCCCCGTCTGCTCAGCACCCTCCTGGCTTCTGAACTCAGAGTAAAAGGCAGCGTCATCCCGTGGGCCTCTGCTGGCTCCTTCCCCATCTCCTGCTCTTCTCTACCCGCTCTGCTCATGCAGGCCCACTTGCTGCTGCTCAGCATGCCCAGTGAACTAGCCCCAGGGCCTCTGGGCTCGCTGTGCTGTGGCTCCAGAACTCTTCTCTAGGTCACTGCAGGTCTCGTCAATGTCGCATTCATTAGACTGCCTTCTCCAACCACCAACGAGACAGCTACAGCACCTCCAGCACTCCCCACCAATCTCTCTGCACAGCACCTGCTGCCATCTGCCAGGATAGATACTGATTGCCCACCATCCCTCAGCAGAAGGGAAGCCCCACAGGGGCTTCATTCATCGCCGTATCTGGCACTTGGCTGAAACAGCGGGTGTGCAACAGCCATTCTTTAACAGCCGACTGAGTTGCAAGGAAGTGAGTGTTACCTGTTTGCTCAGCTGCCTTCTTCTTGACAGCTTCTTTAGAGTCTTTTTGTACTTGTACCTGGGCCAGCTTCCAGCGGTTGCTGATCTATAATGAAAGCAAATATAACAAAAAAAACCCTCCAAAGTCAGCCACCTAAGTCTGTCTTACTTTTCATGAGGTGACGAAGGGCAGGTTAACCTAAGAAGTACACACATTCTAAGTCATAAATTTTCAAATCTAAGGGCATGAAAAATAAATTTCATGCTGGCTTTATTGCTAAAATCCCTATTAAGGACAAAGTGCTACTGTCCTCCAGGCACTGGGCCATCCATCATCTCATTCAATCCCTCTGTAACCCTGGGAAAAAGGTACTGTCATCACCCTCTCTTTAGAGATGAGCAAACAGACTCCGGGAGAGTAAATAACTTGTCCAAGGGACATGGTCAGTAAATGACAGAAGCAGACTCAAGGCTGGGCTTCCGCAAGTCTGCTGTGTTTCTTTATGACACCCCACGGACCTATGGCGTTACAACACATGGAGGTGACACTGGGCATAACACACAGGACGTGCAGTTGTTCAGTGTGACATAACCCGTGGGGGGAAAAGAGGAGAGAAGGCAGAAGCCCCACCTGATTCCCCATTTCCAAAAATAGCAAGCTAACTCAGGGACAGGAACGGGGCTGGGGGACCTCTCGGTTTTGCCTAACAAAAGAGCTCTGCTGCCACACAGAGGAAGCCAGTCGCCCATGTCATCAGAGCAGACGCTTCCTAAAGGGAGGAAGGAGGCTGCGAACAACAGTTCACGTTCTGGCTCTGGGGAACATCTCAAGAGGGTCTAGGGGAGGTGTGCTCTCATTCTTACTCATAATGCTGGTAAAAACAAGCCAGATAAGTAAGATAGAGTGTTTTAAAATTAAAGCTGTCACCTTTAAGAGCCTTAAAGTAACAGACATCTATAAAAATGCATCAAGCTGTATATTTAATATTTGTGTACTTTACTACATATAGATTAAACCTCAATTTAAAAACCGCAAATGAAGATTTGTTTCTTACAAAGTTTCCAAGTGCTTTTCTTTTTCTTTTTTGGCTAGAGTTCGCTCTGTCGCGCAGGTTGGAGCGCAGTGGCGCAACCTCGGCTCACTGCAAGCTCCGCCCCCCAGGTTCAAGCGATTCTCCTGCCTCAGCCCCCCGAGTAGCTGGGACTACAGGCGCCTGCCACGACGCCTGGCTAATTTTTTGTATTTTTAGTAGAGACGGGGTTTCACCATGTTAGCCAGGATGGTTTCGATCTCCTGACCTCATGATCCGCCCGCCTCGGCCTCTCAAAGTGCTGGGATTACAGGCGTGAGCCACCATGCCCAGCCCAAGTGCTTTTAAGAATCTCACTGAAGTTCTGGACCCTTTCCCTAGAAACAATGCTAGAAAATAAAGGGCTTTTGCATTCATTTTCACGGGATTCACAGATGAGATAGGCTTGTCTAAAACAGAAACCTGGTATGAATAATTAAGAAATCCCCTTTTCTTAGAAAGTCTCTTTTAGGGCCAGGCGCAGTAGCTCACGTCTGTAGTCCCAGCACTTTGGGAGGCCAAGGCGGGTGGATCACCTGAGGTCAGGAGTTCGAGACCAGCCTGGTCAACATGGTGAAACCCCATCTCTACAAAAATTAGCCGGGCATGACAGCAGGTGCCTGTAATCCCAGCTACTTGGGAGGCTGAGGCAGAACTGCTTGAACCTGGGAGGTGGAGGTTGCAGTGAGTCAAGATTGTGCCTCTGCACTCCAGCCTGGGTGACAAAGCGAGACTCCATCTCAAAAAAAAAAAAAAAAAAAAAAAGTCTCTTTTAGAACAGGTGACAAGTCCACTTACTTCATAGATTTTGGTTGATGGATCGAACTTCGCTGCCTGAGAGACGGGAGCACGGTGTCCCAGTGAGGGCAGAAACTGGAGGAAGGAAATGGCTGTGTGAAACGCTGCCGGGAACGGAATCTAGAGCCACGGGGCAGAAGCGCTCAGATGGGGGGTTGCTGGTGCCTTGTCAGCGTCTTTGCCAGGACACCAGGGCAGCCGACACACTGGCTTCAGAGGCTTCCTTCCCAGGTAAAAGCATGTACAGCTGTAGGCATCTCTGCATATCCTGTCAGCCCTGACAAAACTACTACTCACCATCCTAAATGGATTTTCAAAGGACTCCATGATGTTCTGGGCTTTTTTCTGTGCAACTGTCAATGGACCCTTTTTACTGTCTTCAGCACTAGGTTCCTGCAGGGACAGACAAAAAACGATCACTAATGACCATGATCATCTGTGACATCAAGATGCAAGCAAGAGAGCAACAGTTAACAGTGATTTTTTTTTTTTTTCTGGAGACAGAGTCTCGCTCTTTTGCCCAGGCTGGAGTACAGTGGTGTGATCTCTGCTCACTGCAACCTCCACCTCCTGTGTTCAAGCGATTCTCCTGCCTCAGCCTCCTGAGTAGCTGGGATTACAGGCACGTGCCACCATGCCCAGCTAATTTTTGTATTTTTAGCAGAGACCAGGTTTCACCATATTGGCCAGGCTGGTCTTGAACTCCTGACCTCAAGTGGTCCACCCGCCTTGGCTTCCCAAAGTGCTGGGATTACAGGTGTGAGCCACCGCACGCACCCGGCCAGTAACAGTGATATTAATACCAATGGCTAAGGCTAATTTTTCATACACTCTCTTATGTATAAGGTGTTGTGTCTGCAACAGCACACAGTAGCATTTCAATATCAATGTGCTGGATCAGTGAATTCTCAGCATGTCCTCATAGCCTATGAGGTGGTATTACTCTCACCATCTTACAGAGGAGGAAACTGAGGCCTACAGAGGTTGTGACAGTCTTTCAGAGGCTTGCAGTGAATACAAGCAGACCAAGGATCTAAACCCACCATGGTCTGGCTCTAGAACATGAGGTCTTAATTGATGCCTGAAATTTATTTTATGTATGTATGTATTATTTTTTTGAGTGGAGTCTTGCTCTGTTGCCCAGGTTGGAGTGCAGTGGTGCCATCTCTGCTCACTGCAACCTCCGCCTCCTGGATTCAAGTGATTCTCCTGCCTCAGCCTCACGAGTAGCTGGGATTACAAGCGTGCGCCACAATGCCCGGCTAATTAAAGACAGGGTTTCACCATGTTGGCCAGGCTGGTCTCAAACTCCTGACCTCAGGTGATATGCCCGCCTTGCCCTCCAAAAGTGCTGGGATTACAGGTGTGAGCCACCACGCCAGGCCTGAAATTTAGTATTACATATCTTTATAGGGAATCATTGAAATTATGCAACAAAATGCTGCTTCCAACTGGGTTCATAAATATGTGCTATCCTTTTGCTTCATCTGTAATTATGCGCCCTTGCAACACAAGAGTGCAGGGAGACCACAGCCTCCTTTACACCAAACAGCACTTCCGTATCAAAGCAGCCCAGAGCTCATGCTAACACGCTTAGCTGCTAAATCATCTTCATGACTCAAATTAGCTCTGAGGTCAGCTAAAGCGCCTAGTATTTTCTCATTAATTGCTAAAGCAAGGCCCAATCTAGATTTATGTAATTAAGTTAAAAACCAAAGTGAAGCCTGGGCGACATGGTGAAACCCCACCTCTACAAAACATACAAAAATTGGCTGGGCATGGTGGCATACACCTGTAGTCCCAGCTACTCGAGAGAAGGCTGGGGCAGAGGGATTGCTTGAGCCCAGGAGGCAGAGGTTGCAGTGAGCCAGGATGGTGCCACTGCACTCCCACCTGGGTGACAGGATGAGATCCTGTCACAAAAAAAAAAAAAAAAAAAAAAAAAAAAAATGCCGGGTGTGGTGGCTCATGCCTGTAATCCCAGCACTTTGGGAGGCTTAGGTGGGTGGATCGCCTGAGGTCAGGCATTCGAGACCAGCCTGGCCAACATAGTGGCCCCATCTCTATTAAAAATATAAAATATTAGCTAAGTATGGTGGCGGGCGCCTGCAATCCCAGCTACTAGGGAAGCTGAGGCAGGAGAATCGCTTGAACCTGGGAGGTGGAGGTTGCAGTGAGCCGAGATGATGCCACTGCACTCCAGCCTGTGCAACAAGAGCGAAACTCCATCTCAAAAAACCAAACCAAACAAACAAAAAAAGTGAAATAGCTGGGCACAGTGACTCATGCCTGTAATCCCAGCTACTCAGGAGGCTGAGGCAGGAGGATCGTTTGAGCCTCAGAAGTCAAGGCTGCAGTGAGCCATGATTGTGCCACTGCATTCCAGCCTTGGTGGCAGAACAAGATTGTCTCAAAAAAAAAAAAAATCATTTCTCTTCTTCACTGAAAGCACACATATGTGGTGCTGGGGTCAGGCAGGAAGCTATGGGCAGCGCACATTCTACAGTTCATCGGACAGTACACCCATGCCACCCCTGCTGGGCATCCAGGTGAACCGTTTTTCCTCCACCACCACTGCAGCTTGTCTGGAAAGCCCTGCTTGTATGTTCTCTTAGCGCAGGCCCTCCTCCCACTAGGTGCTGTTCAACAACAGGACGTCAGCCTTTCCTGGAAGATTTCTTCACACAGAGCTCAAGAGAATCCCCCATCCACGTCCCCAGACCACCTCCTCCAGAGTGGTCAGTGCCACCTTGCTCATTGGTCTCTATGCCTCTCCCAGCACTGCTGGGTTTTGCTCTCAGCATTAGTCTCCGAGTGTATGCAATGCTCCAGGCAGACAGCCTGCTGAATAAATCCAGTAAATCCCAGGGGGTCCTCATCACCTCAGTGAAGTTTCTGTGCTACTCACATTAAATAACGTGATGACAGCTGTGGCAATCAGGCATGTGGTACCCAGCAAGTTATCTTCTTTTTCATCAGGGAAGAGGCTCGCCTGCTTCTGAACTGGCACAGATCCTAGAGGAGCAGAAGATAGTAAGGTCAAAGCCTACAGAATTTTGTTTATTTTTTCTTTTTGAGATGGAGTTTTAGTGTAGTCCCCTAGGCTGGAGTACAATGGCACAATCTCGGCTCACTGCAACCTCCGCCTCCTCGGTTCAAGTGATTCTCCTGCCTCTGCCTCCTAAGTAGCTAAGATTACAGGTGCCCACCACCATGCCAGCTAATTTTTGTATTTTTAGTAGAGATGGGGTTTCACCATGTTGGCCAGGCTGGTCTCAAACTCCTGACCTCAGGTGATCTACCCGCCTCAGCCTTCCAATATGCTGGCATTACAGGCATAAGCCACCACGCCCGGCCAAGCCTACAGAATTTTAGACAAGGTAGCTGTGTCCCAACCTCTTCGGGACAGTCAGGAGGGCTCTCGACTTTACCACTGGTTGGGATGATTGGATAGCCATCCGGAGGGGCATGGGAGCAGTCGTGAGGTCCAAAGAGAACATTCTCCAATCTCTGCATTAAAAGACACCAGCAGGCTGGCATGTAAAACGTGCAAGCCGGCAGTAGCTTTCTGCCAGCTGTCAGCACAGGCCTCTGTCAGAGGTGTACTTGCACTGGCTGTGACTTGACGTTTTCCCTCCTGGGGGAGAAAACAGATCCGACACTCTACCTCAGCACTGGGCAGCGGTCCGCTCTTCTTCACTCCGGCTGCAACTTCAGACTAAGGAAAAAAACGAAGGGAATTGAGGAAAGTTGCCCAAGCACCTCAAGTCCAACCCCCAGTCTCCAGCGCTGACTGTATTCCTTCACCAGCCTGTTTCTCAAAAGCCCAGAGATTTTCTTTCCTCTCTTCACTCCTTACAGTGCCTGGCATGATAATTATTTGGTGCTCAATAATTATTTGTAGAATGAAAGAATAAAGCTCTTTAACATGACTAAGCACAATAGGAAGGATTCCAAAGAGCTTGAAAAAGACTCTTCTCTAGTAATCAAGGTCTCTCTTTACTTGGACAAAGTACAGAGCTTACAAAGACATTTTTAACACAAAAATTGCAAATGTGGGGCTGGCAGGTGGCTCACAACTGTAATTCCAGTACTTTGGGAGGCTGAGGTGGGAGGACTGCTTGAGCCCACGGGTTCAAGACCAGTCTGGGAAACACAGCAAGACCCATCTCTACAAAAAATTAAAAAAAACATAGCTGGGTATGGTGGTGTATGCCTGTGGTCCCAGCTGCTCAGGAGGCTAAGGTGGGAGCCTAGCAGATGCGAGGCTACAGTGAGCCATGATTGCACCACTGCACTCCAGCCTGGGTGTCAGAGCAAGACCCTGTTTCTTTTTTTTTTTGAGACGGAGTCTCGCTCTGTCGCCCAGACTGGAGTGCAGTGGCGGGATCTCGGCTCACTGCAAGCTCCGCCTCCCGGGTTCACGCCATTCTCCTGCCTCAGCCTCCCAAGTAGCTGGGACTACAGGCGCCCGCCACTACGCCTGGCTAATTTTTTGTATTTTTAGTAGAGACGGGGTTTCACCGTTTTAGCCGGGATGGTCTCGATCTCCTGACCTCGTGATCCGCCCGCCTCGGCCTCCCAAAGTGCTGGGATTACAGGCGTGAGCCACCGCGCCCGGCTGACCCTGTTTCAAAACAACAACAACAACAAAAAAAACAAAAGAAAACTGGCTGCCATTGTCAGCATTTGCTACGAAGTCTCATCAATCTTTTCTTCTGATGCTTCCTACACCTGTTCTTTCCTTCTCAGTGTGTGATTCCTCACTCATTCAGGGAGCTATCACTTCACATCTGGGCCATCGCCAGGCTCCCAAAACTAGCTCCCTCTGCTGAGGTCACCGCTCCATCTCACTCCACCACATTAACTGCCTTAGAACAGTGAATTGGCCCAGTTACCAGACAGTACTTGCTGCTGAATCATCAAAGCTAAGGTCATAAATAAAGAGTCTTAGCTCTCAACTATCATAAAAAAAAGCAGCTAAATTCATCAAGACACACACACTGGATTTCCTAAGCCCTATTATTTCCCTAGGGTTGTTTAGAATGCAGACCAGCTCATGAATCTAGGAAGCCACAAGGAATAAGACACTAGCAGAAAAAACAGGCCTGCTAAAGTTGGGCATGATGGCTCACGCCTGTAATCCCAGCACTTTGGGAGGCCCAGGTGGTGGATCACCTGAGGTCAGGAGTTCGAGACCAGCCTGGCCAACATGGTGAAACCCCGCCTCTACTAAAAATACAAAATTAGCCAGGCGTGGTGGTGCATGCCTGTAATCCCAGCGACTCAGGAGGTTGAGTCAGGAGAACTGCTTGAATCCAGGAGGCGGAGGTTGCAGTGAGCCGAGATCATGCCACTGCACTCCAGCCTGGAGACAGAGCGAGACTCCGTCTAAAAAAAACAAAAAACAAACAAACAAAAAAAAAACAGGCTTGCTAAGTTGGGACCCTTCAGTAGAAAATCTTTTTTTTTTTTTTTGAGACGGAGTCTCGCTCTGCCTCCCAGGCTAGAGTGCAGTGGCGCGATCTCGGCTCACTGCAACCTCCGCCTCCCGGATTCAAGCAATTCTCCTGCCTCAGCCTCCGGAGTAGCTGGGATTACAGGCGTGCACCACACGCCTGGCTAATTTTTTGTATTTTTAGTAGAGACGGGGTTTCACCATGTTGGCCAGGCTGGTCTCGAACTCCTGACCTGAAATGATCCAGCCACCTCAGCCTCCCAAAGTGCTGAGATTATAGGCGTGAGCCACTGTGCCCAGCCGCAGAAAAGCTTCTTACCTTGAGCAGGGGCATCTCTCGGGCCTGCTGGATTAAAAGGTGCATTTCGTTGATCTGCTGCCGCACAAGGGGCGGTACTGGGTTGCAGCAAGCTATGATGCCCTGAGGTTCCCTGAAGACAAGTAAGAACACACTCAACTTGTCACTCAGAAACGCAGCCCTTAAAGGCTTCCAGATAAGAATAATGACTGGGTAAAGCCAGGCTGCCACCTAAGCTGAAGCTACAGGTAGGTGACTAAGGAAACACTGATGTCAGGCCAGCCTAGGCCAACTTCTCCATGTGTTCTTTGCGACACCAAGCTTTAAGTGGATCCCTCTTGGAGCCTGACTCCCACAATCAGGGAGAGCTGAAAGTAAGTGCCATAGCACTGTGGATTCTCAATTCCGCAGGGGGCAACCAACGGGCTGTGGATTTTCATTCTTGCTTATACTTCAATCAAGATCACAAAACGTTTAAGATCATGAGCTGCTTTAATTTGGAAGAAAGTACAGATGACAGAATCTGGGACATTTTCTTCCCTTGCAAGTAGATGCTATAAGGCTCAGAGACTTAAAATAAACTCAAACTAAGGCATAATCATTGAAATGATTCCAGTTCAGAAGTTTTAGTGCTTAAATGGCAGCCTGAGGGCAGAAATTCTATATTCCTTCAACTTGCTACCTTCCAAGCTTGGAGCATTAATCTCTGAGTAAGCAGCCTTGGGTAATAGCAACCAGAAAAGCTTGATTTTGAAGAACATCAGATCTACTGAGAAAGTCAGAACATATTAATCAGATTTGAAACTCACTTAGGCAGTTCTTCAGCTATTTTCAGCATCATGTGGTTTGGCAGTACATATCTGGAAAAAAAAAAACACACACACACACACACACACACACACACACACACACACACGGTGGGGACACATTACATTCAGCCAGTAAGTTCCATTAGATGCTGTCACATAGGGGAAATAACCAGCTTTCATAGCAAAAGAAAAAAGCCCATTATTTACTTGTTATTAGATCTCCTCAGTCTGGAAACAAGTATTAAAAGAACCTCTAATCCCTTACCCGTAACTTTCATCTTCCCTGCGAGCTGTTTTATCCCTCCAGGCAAACAGCAGCTGAAAGGCTGTCAACTGCTGTGTGTTAAGGTGCTTCTTCTGCTTCCTATAGAGTTCAAGGTAGGACTCATCCGTGAAGATAGGTTTGATGAATTTCTACAAAGTATTAGAGAACATTCAAAATCAACGGGAATCAAAATTGTGCCCTGGGCTCTGGAAAATGTTTGGCTCTTTTCATGAATGTAAGGAGCAAACCTAAGAACTAGAACCTGGCCAGACACAGAGCCCAAGTGTCGCGGTCTGTGTGACTGCGGCTGAGGTGTACCTTGAGGCAGATGTCCCTGCTCCGTTGCCACACCACCTGCAGCTGCACCGGCTGCCCGTTGCCGCGCTCCCACATCTCCAGCCTCATTTTGTCATAGATATATAGCAGGTAATGGGTGTCATCCCGGGCGTAGCTGAGCATCTCCTCGGGCAGAGGGCTGGAATTGCAGAGGACAATGTTTTACTGATTGCCCCCAAGGACAGCAATTCAATTTGTCTATTCCTTGGGTGCTGGGACTTCCTTAGACCCTTCCAATATGAAAGATCCTTTCATAGTCAATACTGCAGTTATGCCAACATTTCCTGCATTTTAACATGATAAACCATTATTTTAACAGCTGGGTAGAATTGGAGGCAGGGTAATGCGGTGGTTAAAATAAGGGCACTGTCAGCTACTCTGGACACACACAAGAGGCAGTAGAAAAGGGGCCACTGGTGTCCTGAGTTCAAATCTCAGCTCCAGATGTCTGTCCTTGGACAAGTTCCTTAACCTCTTTGGGCTGACCCACCTAACTTGTGAAATGGGAACCAGGTACTTCATAGGCTGTTGTGAGGACTACACAGGACCACATCCTTGAAGCACTTAGCCCAGAGCTTGGCACAGGGTAAGGGCTCCGTAACAGGGAGTGGTTTTTAGATTTTATCAATTTTTATCTTTTATTTGGATTTTATCAGTCCAAATGTAATTTTACTTTTATATTTAGAAATTCTGGCATTCTGGGCCAGGCGCGGTGGCTCACGCCTGTAATCCCAGCACTTTGGGAGGCGGAGGCGGGAGGATCACCTGAGGTCAGGAGTTTGAGACCAGTCTGACCAACATGGAGAAACCTCGTCTCTACTGGAAATACAAAATTAGCTGGGCGTGGTGGTGCACGCCTGTAATCCTAGCTACTCAGGAGGCTGAGGCAGGAGAATTGCTTGAACCCGGGAGGCAGAGGTTGTGGTGAGCCGAGATCGCGCCATTGCACTCCAGCCTGGGCAACAGTGAAACTGCATCTCAAAAAAAAAAAAAGAAAAAAAGAAATTCTGGCATTCTGGCATGTGGAATTCCTGAAAAAGCTCAGTAGCACCTTCCTATGACAGGTGCAACCTCGGAGAGGTAGCAACCAAGCGGAAAACGACCAAGCTGAGCAAGGCCTGCAGGAAGTGGGGCAAAACTGCTACCTTATGCCACAAAAAAACGCTCAGTGTAAAGCTAAACAACAGTGTCCCTTAGAATTCTTTCCCACCTATGGAAGGTCATCTTGCACACACACACACACACACAATCATCCCTACAGAAGATCTTACACACACACAAAATCATCTGGTAGAAAGATCCCAGTTTCAAACAAAAGACCAGCATGGGCAAATACTGGTGCGGCACCTCTTTTTCAACCACTATTTCCATGGAACACAGTGTAACTGCATCAGCCCATCATAAAGTCCACCTTAGCATTAAAAAATTTCCTACCACTTTTACGCTGCTGAAGATGCCTGGCGAAAAGCCTGATGCCATTCATCTCAATGAGCGTGGTAGGGCTCAAACCCAGGTCTCTCTGGACGACAGGTTAATGAATAATCACTTTCTTCTGCCACCCACATTTCCTCAGTAAGAGCAAACTGACCGTATTCTCCAATCAGCCAGCTGATATTGCTTGTTTGAGTCCACGTTGCAGTAGAGTTTCAGGAGATGATCGAGTGAGTGCCTGCCCAGGTTAAGAAGGCGTGCTGCCTGATGAGTATCAAACATGTTTACTACATACAACCCAAAGTCTTTCTGTAGCCATTCTATGTCTGAATCAGCACCATGAAAGACCTGAAAACAGAACCAAAGTCATGCAGTACACTGGTAGCAGGCCACTCATGCTCAGAAATTAACTCTGCCTCTAGTTTATTAGAACACTGAAATTAGAAGGTAGTCTCCGCTGTCCCATCTGTAGTGCAGTGGTGTGATCTTGGCTCACTGCAACTTCCGCCTCCCATGCTCCAGCAATCCTCCCACCTCAGCCTCCCAAGTAGTTGGGACTACAGCGTGCCACCACGCCCAGCTAAACTTTGGTATTTTTTGTAGAGACGGGGTTTCACTATGTTCCCCAGGCTGGTCTCAATCTCCTGGGCTCAAGTGATCCTCCTGCCTCAGCTCCCCAAAATGCTGGGATTACAGGCCTGAGCCACCTCACCTGGCTGAAGCCAATGTTCTAATCAAGATTAGATATATGCAGCTGGGCATGGTGGATCACGCCTGTAATCCCAGCACTTTGGGCCAAGGTGGGTGGATTGCTTGAGGTCAGGAGTTTGAGACCAGCCTGACCAACATGGCAAAACCCTGTCTCTACTAAAAATACAAAAATTAGCCGGGTGTGGTGGCGCATGCCTTTAACCCCAGCTACTTGGGAGGCCGAGGCAGGAGAATTGCTTGAACCCGAGAGGCAGAGGTTGCAGTGAGCCGAGATCGTACCATTGTACTCCAGCCTGGGCAACAAGAGCAAAACTCCGTCTCAAAAAAAAAAAAAAAAAAAAAAATTAGATATATGCAGGGTTTTTTTTAAGTTAAAAAAATTTTTTTTTAAATTTATTATTATACTTTAAGTTTTAGGGTACATGTGCACAATGTGCAGGTTAGTTACATATGTATACATGTGCCATGCTGGTGCGCTGCACCCACTAACTCATCATCTAGCATTAGGTATATCTCCCAATGCTATCCCTCCCCCCTTTCCCCACCCCACAACAGTCCCCAGAGTGTGATGTTCCCCTTCCTTTGTCCATGTGTTCTCATTGTTCAATTCCCACCTATGAGTGAGAATATGCAGTGTTTGGTTTTTTGTTCTTGCGATAGTTTACTGAGAATGATGATTTCCAATTTCATCCATGTCCCTACAAAGGACATGAACTCATCCTTTTTTATGGCTGCGTAGTATTCCATGGTGTATATGTGACACATTTTCTTAATCCAGTCTATCATTGTTGGACATTTGGGTTGGTTCCAAGTCTTTACTATTGTGAATAGTGCCGCAATAAACATATGTGTGCATGTGTCTTTATAGCAGCATGATTTATAGCCCTTTGGGTATATACCAAGTAATGGGATAGCTGGGTCAAATGGTATTTCTAGTTCTAGATCCCTGAGGAATTGCCACACTGACTTCCACAATGGTTGAACTAGTTTACAGTCCCACCAACAGTGTAAAAGTGTTCCTATTTCTCCACATCTTCTCCAGCACCTGTTGTTTCCTGACTTTTTAATGATTGCCATTCTAACTGGTGTGAGATGATATCTCACTGTGGTTTCGATTTGCATTTCTCTGATGGCCAGTGATGGTGAGCATTTCTTCATGTGTTTTTTGGCTGCATAAATGTCTTCTTTTGAGAAGTGTCTGTTCATGTCCTTCACCCACTTTTTGATGGGGTTATTTTTTTCTTGTAAATTTGTTTGAGTTCATTGTAGATTCTGCAAATTAGCCCTTTGTCAGATGAGTAGGTTGCGAAGATTTTCTCCCATTTTGTGGGTTGCCTGTTCACTCTGATGGTAGTTTCTTTTGCTGTGCAGAAGCTCTTTAGTTTAATTAGATCCCATTGGTCAATTCTGGCTTTTGTTGCCATTGCTTTTGGTGTCTTAGACATGAAGTCCTTGCCCATGCCTATGTCCTGAATGGTATTGCCTAGGTTTCCTTCTAGGGTTTTTATGGTTTTAGGTCTAACGTTGTTAAGTCTTTAATCCATCTTGAATTGATTTTTGTATAAGGTGTAAGGAAGGGATCCAGTTTCAGCTTTCTACATATGGCTAGCCAGTTTTCCCAGCACCATTTATTAAATAGGGAATCCTTTCCCCATTGCTTGTTTTTTGTCAGGTTTGTCAAAGATCAGATAGTTGTAGATATATGGCGTTATTTCTGAGGGCTCTGTTCTGTTCTATTGATCTATATCTCTGTTTTGGTACCAGTACCATGCTGTTTTGGTTACTGTAGCCTTGTAGTATAGTTTGAAGTCAGGTAGTGTGATGCCTCCAGCTTTGTTCTTTTGGCTTAGGATTGACTTGGCGATGCAGGCTCTTTTTTGGTTCCATATGAACTTTAAACTAGTTTTTTCCAATTCTGTGAAGAAAGTCATTGGTAGCTTGATGGGGATGGCATTGAATCTACAAATTACCTTGGACAGTATGGCCATTTTCACGATATTGATTCTTCCTACCCATGAGCATGGAATGTTCTTCCATTTGTTTGTATCCTCTTTTATTTCATTGAGCAGTGGTTTGTAGTTCTCCTTGAAGAGGTCCTTCACGTCCCTTGTAAGGTGGATTCCTAGGTATTTCATTCTCTTTGAAGCAATTGTGAATGGGAGTTCACTCATGATTTGGCTCTCTGTTATTGGTGTATAAGAATGCTTGTGATTTTTGAATATTGATTTTGTATCCTGAGACTTTGCTGAAGTTGCTTATCAGCTTAAGGAGATTTTGGGCTGAGACAATGGGGTTTTCTAGATATACAATCATGTCATCTGCAAACAGGGACAATTTGACTTCCTCTTTGCCTAATTGAATACCCTTTATTTCCTTCTCCTGCCTGATTGCCCTGGCCAGAACTTCCAACACTATGTTGAATAGGAGTGGTGAGAGAGGGCCTCCCTGTCTTGTGCCAGTTTTCAAAGGGAATGCTTCCAGTTTTTGCCCATTCAGTATGATATTGGCTGTGGGTTTGTCATAGATAGCTCTTATTATTTTGAGATACGTCCCATCAATACCTAATTTATTGAGAGTTTTTAGCATGAAGCGTTGTTGAATTTTGTCAAAGGCCTTTTCTGCATCTATTGAGATAATCACGTGGTTTTTGTCTTTGGTTCTGTTTATACGCTGCATTACATTTATTGATTTGCGTATGTTGAACCAGCCTTGCATCCCAGGGATGAAGCCCACTTGATCATGGTGGATAAGCTTTTTGATGTGCTGCTGGATTCGGTTTGCCAGTATTTTATTGAGGATTTTTGCATCAATGTTCATCAAGGATATTGGTCTAAAATTCTCTTTTTTGGTTGTGTCTCTGCCCGGCTTTGGTATCAGGATGATGCTGGCCTCATAAAATGAGTTAGGGAGGATTCCCTCTTTTTCTATTGATTGGAATAGTTTCAGAAGGAATGGTACCAGTTCCTCCTTGTACCTCTGGTAGAATTCGGCTGTGAATCCATCTGGTCCTAGACTCTTTTTGGTTGGTAAGCTATTGATTATTGCCACAATTTCAGCTCCTGTTATTGGTCTATTCAGAGATTCAATTTCTTTCTGGTTTAGTCTTGGAAGAGTGTATGTGTCGAGGAATTTATCCATTTCTTCTAGATTTTCTAGTTTATTTGCGTAGAGGTGTTTGTAGTAATCTCTGATGGTAGTTTGTATTTCTGTGGGATCAGTGGTGATATCCCCTTTATCATTTTTTATTGCGTCTATTTGATTCTTCTATTTTTCTTTATTAGTCTTGCTAGCGGTCTATCAATTCCAAAATTGACCACATAGTTGGAAGTAAAGCTCTCCTCAGCAGATGTAAAATAACAGAAATTATAACAAACTATCTCTCAGACCACAGTGCAATCAAACTAGAACTCAGGATTAAGAAACTCACTCAAAACCGCTCAACTACATGGAAACTGAACAACCTGCTCCTGAATGACTACTGGGTACATAACGAAATGAAGGCAGAAATAAAGATGTTCTTTGAAACCAGCGAGAACAAAGACACAACATACCAGAATCTCTGGGACACATTCAAAGCAGTGCGTAGAGGGAAATTTATAGCACTAAATGCCCATAATAGAAAGCAGGAAAGATCCAAAACTGACACCCTAACATCACAATTAAAAGAACTAGAAAAGCAAGAGCAAACACATTCAAAAGCTAGCAGAAGGCAAGAAATAACTAAAATCAGAGCAGAACTGAAGGAAATAGAGACACAAAAAACCCTTCAAAAAATTAATGAATCCAGGAGCTGGTTTTTTGAAAGGATATATGCAGTTTTAAATGTTTCTTTTGTCTTCAGTCACAGCTTTCTACACTCCTGATTCCATACGCTTGAAGTCTGAAACTGTTATCAACCAATGAGACACATGAAAGCAGCTCTAGTAGCTTCAGTACAGTCATCAAGTCCAAACAATCTTGATGGCTGGGGCTCACTGCAGTAGTCATTAAAATGATTTAACGTTTTTCTGGGCGGTAACAAGCTAAGTCTTAGCTGTTCTAACAGGGATTTAGAAACAAAAGCCATTTAGCACTGTACCCTAGTTAGGAAATGACATGATTCCTCCCAACTTGACTGGTCTAGGTTGAAATAATGAAATAGTACACTGAAAAGCACTAAAAATCTTGTATGAGCTCACATGCATGAGTTACAAAAGGCTGGCTGACCTTAACGATGGCTGGGTCTGTGAGGCTCTCATTGAGAATGTACATGTCACTTCGAAGCTCGAGGGTGTCAATGATGAAGTCTTCCGTCCGAGTAGAAATTTGCATCAGGCAGGTCAGTCCCAGGAAGCTCCTGTAAGAGTGGTGCTAAACCCCACAGAAGGAGGGGAGAAGAGGAAAAACAAAGATTATATTAGACTTTCCTTTACTGATTTTGAAAAGTCAGCTACAAAGCTAAGTTATATGATTAATTTTTTACCAAAAAAAATTACAATTAGTATTAATTTTATACTTCTCCAACAGGTGAACTCACAGAAAAATGTAAAAATTTTACCCAGGGTCATTTATAAGATACCTCCAAGTCAACTGCAAATTCCTGACAATTCAAGAGCTTTTCGTTGAGTTCCACGAGTTCATCCAGGGAGGATATGAAATGGCATGGTGTCTCTTCTATAGGTCTGTATAACTGGATCAAGAGAATAGTAAGAAAAAGGGAGGAATATAGAAATCATCCCCCAGTAAAGTACAAAGTGAACTACAAGTTTGAGAAATGACCCAAAACTGTAACTTTCTCCCTTAAAGATCTTCAAGGAAAGTCAAAATTGCATCAATGAATCTACTTATTTGATTCCTCTTGGGCTACTACACGGCACCTTTAAACTAAGGCTGGGTACTAACCTGGGGTTGTGGCTTTTGAAGCACTGCATCTGCTGGGGTAAAGTGATTTAGTTCATATTGATAAGGATGTGCAAACCTGAGTAAATAAAACAAAAAGAGAAATCATTCTGATTAATTCCATGATTCAAGGGAAAAATAATGCCTTTTATCCAATCTGTAAAAACAAATGAGAAAAGACCACTGTGAAAATATCTTCCCTTTACAAAGAGCTTATTTCAGTAATTCAACTACAAATCATAAATCAGATGATATTTGCTCACTCTTAAAATATGATAATTAAGTCTATTAATTTCTTTAGAGAGCTGGAGACCCAAGCAGCTTTATAAAGATTTGAGTACTTATTTGCAAAGTACTGTATAGTTGATGTTGTGGATAATACCAAAATGAGAAATATGTCATTCTTGCAGTTTGAAATAACAAATCTGTAAAGTAAGGATGAAGCAAATACTGCAGTTGGCCAAGAGCTTAATGTTATATTTTTTCTGATCCTAAGAAATCTGTATAAAAATCCTCAACTTGTGGTGTGTTCCTCGAGGATCACGGTAGCCCAGGAGGGCAGGGCTGCCTTTCATGGCCTTTGTTTCTCCAGCACTTAGCTTGTGGCCTCACATTGCAGAGCTGGGGCTAAAGGCATGAATGCCCAGACAGACTCTGGCTCTATGTGAGGAAAAGGCCAATACTAACCAAATTTTTATCACCTTTTTGCATTATATTAAAGGCAAAGTCCATTTGTCTATTTTAAGTGAAGTTTTTCCAAGATGCTTATATTGCCAGTAAAAAATGCCTTTTCTTTACTAAATTCATAAATGAGCCTTGGGCTGAGCACGGTGGCACATGCTTGTAATCCCAGAACTCTGGAAAGTCGAGGCAGGAGGACTGCTTGAGGCCAGGAGTTTCAGGCAGCCTGGACAACACAGAAAGACCCTGTGTTTACAAAAATAAAAACTAAAATTAAAAAACAAGCCAGGTACAGTGATGTGTGCCTGTAGTCCCAGCTACTAGGGAGGCTGAGGCAGGGGGATTGCTTGAGCCCCAGGGTTCAAGGCTACAGTGAGCTATGATTGCACTACGGCACCCAGCCTGGGTGACAGAGCAAAACTAAAAAAAAAAAAAAAAAAAAAAGTGAGCCTTACCTACTATTTGAATCCTAATAAGAAAGGCAGAGCAGTATAGTATGGAGGAAAGACAAATTTAAGAAAACATGGGGCTGGGTGCGGTGGCTCGGGCCTGTAATCCCAGCACTTTGGGAGGCCAAGGAGGGTGGATCAACTGAAGTCAGGAGTTCGAGACCAGCCTGACCAACATGATGAAACCCTGTCTCTACTAAAAAAAAAAAAGATACAAAATTAGCCAGGTGTGGTGGCACATGCCTATAATAATCCCAGCTACTTGGGAGGCTGAGGCAGGAGAATCATTTGAACTCAGGAGGCAGAGGCTGCAGTCAGCTGAGATCGCGCCATTGTACTCCAGCCTGAGCAACAAGAGCGAAACTCCGTCCCAAAAAAAAAAAAAAAGAAAGAAAGAAAGAAAGAAAGAAAACATGGGCCAGCTCTGGCCAGGCACAGTGGTTCATGCCTGTAATCCCAACCCCCAACCCTTTGGGAGGGCAGGTTGGGAGGATGGCTGAGGTCAGAAATTCAAGACCAGACTGGGCATACAGAAAATACAAAAATTAGCTGTGCATGATGGCTCATGCCTGTGGTCACAGCTACTTGGGAGGCAGAGGCAGGAGGATCACTTGAGCCCAGGAGGTAAAGGCTGTAGTGAGCTGTGTTCATGCCACCACACTCCAGTCTGGGCGACAGAGCAAGACCCTGTCTCAAAGAAGTTCCAACTCTACAAGAAGCCTGCATCTCTAATTTTGCTTTTACATCTTTTTTTTTTTTTTTTTTTGAGATGGAGTCTTACTCTATCACTCAGGCTGGAGTGCAGTGACGCCATCTTGGCTCACTGCAACCTCCACCTCCCAAGTTCAAGCGATTCTCCTGCCTCAGCCTCCCGAGTAGCTGGGATTACAGGCACACACCACCTCGCCTGGCTAATTTTTGTATTTTCAGTAGAGATGGGGTTTCACCATGTTGGCCAGGCTGGTCTCGAACTCCTGACCTCAGGTGATCCACCGGTCTCAGCCTCCCAAAGTGCTGGGATTACAGGCGTAAGCCACCGCGCCCAGCCTTCGTGTTTTACATCTATAAAATGGGAATAAGAGCAACTGCTACTTCTCAGGACTGCAGTGAGGTTTACATGAGGCAATGCTGTGTAGGCCCTTTGTGAACACAAACAGCAGGTTTTATTGCTAAGGCCCAGGTTGGGGTGTAAGGAGGAAATCACTACTCCTCAGATTGTTTTCATGTATATACTCCACAAAAGTGAAAATGTGGCAAAAAGGTAAGTACTCACGGCAGAAAGTCAGACACAGGCCAACACTTACATGTCTTGCTCAACCTGCTGGGTTCTCTGCTGATGGATGAAATCAGCCAGTGCAGGGGGGACGTCCAAGTCCTCAGGACGATCCTGTGGGCGTTCCCGCCTTTCCTTAGAGAGAGCTGGGGATCCCAGCAGTGACAAAAACATCATTAGCACATTCATGTCTTTTCTAATTACACAGGGGTAAACTGGTTCCCTTTGTTTTTTGGCTTTTTTTTTTGAGACAGGGTCATGTTCTGTCCCCCAGGCTGAAGTGTGGTGGCACAAGCACAGCTCACTGTAGCCTTGACCTCCTGGGCTCAAGTGATCCTCCCACTTCAGCCTCTGGAATAGCTGAACTGGGCTCCCTTTGAACAAAGGAGGGTGGGCTCCCTTTGAACAAAGAAGAGAGACCTGTACACCCTTCCTGGTTTTTGCATCAAATAAAGTGAGACTCAAACACAGGCAAAGTATGCACTATTTACCTTGAGGGAGAGGTTTCTGAGCATTGGGTTTGATGAAGATTTTAGGAAGAAATGGTGTGTTGGAATTGTCAATCTTCTCTCGAAACTTGAGCTGAGGTCGGATGATATTTTTTGCATGAAGCAGCCGGAAAGTTTCAGATTTTGCTTTTTTGCCATATTCTGCTGCCTATGATCAATGAATACAAATACTTTATAACACAGCAACTTGATGAATTAGAAAAGTAAATTCCAATTTATGACTTCTGAGGAGACAAGAACATCGCAAAGGTCATTCATTCATTTAAGAATGTATGTGCATGTAGAGGTCTCCAGAAAGAGAAGAAGAGGGTGTAATTAGTTTGTGTATGTTTATGAGAACAAACTAAAGGAGACAGTGGCCAGTTCTCTAATAAATTAGAACAGAAATGCATGTTAGAATGAGCAAAATCTCTGTTATGAAGCTGACATCAAGAGCTCTAGTTAATCTGAAAAGCCCTCACCTTACGGTTCCAGCTGGACACTACCGTTTTGGGGACCTGCAAGCCGGCAGGGAGGACAGGCTGTTGATTCTTGTTTACACCTGAGGCTTCATCCAGTAAAATACCCTAAGAGTAGAAGAGGTACTGGTTAAGCATTTTTCCTTTTGAGGTTAGCAGAGTTAACTACCTAACATTTTATTTATTTAACATGGAGTATCACTCTGTCACCCAGGCTGGAGTGCAGTGGCGCAATCTTGCCTCACTGCAACTCTTTACAGTTCTGAATTGGGCTCACTGCAACCTCTGCCTCCAGGGTTCAAGCGATTCTCCTGCCTCAGCCTCCCGAGTAGCTGGGATTACAGGTGTGCACCACCATACCTGGCTAATTTTTTATTTTTAGTAGAGATGGGGTTTCACCCGGTTGGCCAGGCTGGTCTCGAACTCCTGACCTCAAGTGATCCGCCCACCTGAGCCTCCCAAAATGCTGGGATTATAGGCGTGAGCCACCGTGCCCCACCTAATTACCTAACATTTTAAAGAGATTGGTATTCAGAGACATTTGTGTAAGAAAATATACATATATAAGAACAGATCAATGTATGTATCAAAACATCAAGTTGTATGTAATAAATATATAGATGGTCCCCAATGTATGACAGTTTGACTTGTAAGTTTTTGAGTTTACAATGATGTGAAAGTGATTTGCATTTAGTAGAATCCATATTTCAAGTACACTTACCACCTGTTTTTCTTTTTTCTTTTTTGAGACAGAGTCTTGCTCTGTTGCCAGGCTGAAGTGTAATGGCGTGATCTCAGCTAATTGCAACCTGCCTCCCGGGTTCAAGCGATTCTCCTGCCTCAGCCTCCCAAGTAATTGGGACTACAGGCATGCACCACCACGCCCAGCTAATTTTTGTATTTTTAGTAGAGACAGGGTTTCACCAGGTTGGCCAGGATGGTCTCGATCTCTTGACCTTGTGAGCTGCCTGCCTCGACCTCCCAAAGTGCTAGGATTACAGGCGTAAGCCACTGTGCCTGGCCCTGTTTTTCTTTTTTTTTTTTTTGAGAGGGAGTCTCACTCTGTTGCCCAGGCTGGAGTGCAGTGGTCCAATCTCAGCTTGCTGCAGTCTTCGCCTCCTGGGTTCAAGCAATTCTCATGCCTCAGCCTCCCGAGTATCTGGGACTACAGGTGCACGCCACCACGCCCAGCTAATTTTTGTATTTTTTAGTAGAGATGGGGTTTCACTATGTTGACCAAGCTGGTCTTGAACTCTTGACCTCAAGTGATCCACCTGCCTTGGCCTCCCAAAATGCTAGGATTACAGGCATGAGCTACTGTGCCCGGCCACAACCTGTTTTTCACTTTCAGAAGTGTATTCAATGCTACTTGAATTACATGAGATGAATATTCAACACTGTATTATAAAAATAGGCTTTGTGTAAGATTTTGCCCAACTGTAGACTAATGGAAGTTTTCTGAGCACATTTAAAGCAGGTTCAGTTAAGCTATTTGGTAAGTGAGGTGTATTAAATGCATTTTTGACTTATAATATAGGTTTATTGAGACATAACCATGTAAATGATCGCCTATACAATTTTTGTCAATAAAAAAATAAAAATTTTACAAAGTTGATCAATAAAGGTCATTAGTATGTCATGCCAAGTAATTAATGCATTATTTGCTCAAAGGCAGGTAGGACAGTAATTACCCATGCCCAATACTCGATTGACTCTTTAAAGCTCTGAATTGGGCTGAAAATTCTAATATGATTTAACAGTGTAATGTGGCCACTAAAATAACTAAGAAGTCCCTGGACTGCATACATTAAATATAGAAGTACACTATTTAGAATGAAACTGCAGGGAGTCCTCATCTATTTTGCACTTTAAAGCAGACGTGAAATATCAGCTTGGGCACTACTAACAGAGGCACAACCAGGTGACACATAGGATTATGGCAGGACTTGAAATCACAATATACCAGAAACTGCTGAAAGATTTGTAGGCATTTAGACTAGGGAAGAGATGACTTCATGGGACAGGAGGGCATGATTTAAATATTTTCAGGACTGTCAGATGGTTGAAGTCAGATTTGTTTTCCATGATCTCTATGTATTTCTGTGGAAATAACGTTCTGCCATAGAATTAGGCATAAATAGATAGTAAGCAAGACAGAATAATACACATCTCCTTCCAATCCTGTGAGCTGGAGGGGGTTCAGTAGATTTTGAGTAACGGTACAAATAAACTAAATTTTGGTTGGGTGATATAAATGCCTCTTCTTTTGCAACACAAATAGAATTTGCAAATCTTGTCAGGCACAGTGGCTCATGCCTATAATCCTAGTGACTAAGGAGGCTGAGGTGGGGGGGGATTGTTTGAGGCCAGGATTGTTTGAGGAGTTCAAGACCAGCCTGGGCAACACAGCAAGACATTGTCTCTATAAAATAAAAAAAAATTCAGCCAGACGTGGTGGTGCACACCTGCAGTCCCAGCTACTTGGGAGGCTGTGGTGGGAGGATCGCTTGAGCCCAGGAGTTCAAGGTTGCAGTGAGTTATGGTTGCACCACTGCACTCCAGCCTGGGTGACAGAGCAAGACTTCAGTATCCAAAAAAATAAAAACAGAATTTGCAGATCTGGAAGACAGATTCAGAATAAGGCACTTTATTTATTTATTAATTTTAAATAAAGACAAGGTCTCACTATGTTGCCCAGGCTGGTTCTGGAACTCCTGAGCTCAAGCAATCCTCTTACCTCGGCCTCCTACAGTGCTAGGATTACAGGAGTGAGCCACTGACCCTGGCCAGAATAAGGCACTTTAACTTTTTTTTTTTTTTTTGAGATGGCGTCTCACTCTTGATGCCCAGGCTGGAGTGCAATGGTGCAATCTTGGCTCACTGCAACCTCTGCCTCACGAGTTCAAGCGATTCTCCTGCCTCAGCCTCCTGAGTAGCTGGGATTACAAGTGCCCACCACAACACTCAGCTAATTTTTTATATTTTTAGTAGAGACAGTGTTTTACCATGTCCGCCAGGCTGCTCCTGAACCCCTGACCTCAGGTAGGTGGATCCACCCACCTCGGCCTCCCAAAGTGCTGGGATTATAGGCGTGAACCACCATGCCAGGCCACCTTTTTTTTTTTTTTTTTGAGACAGAGTCTCACTGTCATCCAGGCTGGAGTGCAGTGGCATGATCGCGGCTCACTGCAACCTTGGCCTCCCGGGTTCAAGCGATTCTCCTGCCTCAGCCTCCTGAATAGCTGGAATGACAGGTGTGTGCCACCATGGCCTGGCTAGTTTTTATATTTTAGTAGAGACGGGGTTTCACCATGTTGGCCAGACTGGTCTTGAACTCCTGACCTCAGGTGATCACCCGCCTTGGCCTCCCAAAGTTCTGGGATTGTAGGTGTGAGCCACCACACCTGGCTGGAATAAGGCACTTTAAAAACAGGCTTTCAGGCTCAGTGAGGTGGCTCACGCCTGTAATCCCAGCACTTTGGGAGGCCAAGACAGGCAGATCACTTGAAGTCAGGAGTTTGAGACCAGCTTGGCTAATATGACAAAACGATGTCTCTACTAAAAATACAAAAATTAGCCAGGAATAGTGGTGGGTGCCTGTAATCCCAGCTACTCCGGAGGCTGAGGTAGGAGAATCGCTTGAACCTGGGAGGTGGAGGTTGCAGTGAACCAACATCGCCCCACTGCACTCCAGCCTGGGCAACCAAGCAAGACTCCGTCTCAAAAAAAAAAAAAAAAAAGAAGCTTCCATGGGGCAGTAATATTTTTAAGACAACTGTAATTATTTTTTAGAAAAAATATACCAACTATTAGAAGGGAATGTTATTATAAGAAATGTTAAGCTTATTTCCTTTTCATTTTCTAAGGTGCCTGGGTTGCTCTGTCTATCCGTATATTTTAATAATACAAAGCTCTTTGTTAGTTACCATAAGAGTAAGGGAAGGCCGGGTGTGGTGGCTCACGCCTGTAATCCCAGCATTCTGGGAGGCTGAGGCGGGCGGATCACAAGGTCAGGAGATCGAGACCATCCTGGCTAACACGGTGAAACCCCGTCTCTACTAAAAATACAAAAAAATTAGCCAGGTGTGGTGGCGGGCGCCTGTAGTCCCAGCTACTTGGGAGGCTGAGGCAGGAGAGTGTTGTGAACCCGGGAGGCAGAGCTTGCAGTGAGTCGAGATCGCATCACTGCACTCCAGCCTGGGCGACAGAGCGAGACTCCGTCTCAAAAACAAAACAAAACAAAAAAAAGAGTAAGGGAAAATACTCACCACTCTCTCCAGAATTACATCATTGGCATCAACTAGTAAATCAAACTTGTCTTCCAGCTCAGTCACTTTACTTCGATCCTTAATGTTGCTGCGACACCCATGGTACTGCATTACTCTGCTCATGCTAAGGAAAGGAAAACCAAGGTTAGCTTGTAGATTTTTATTTCACTTGTTTACATTCTGTGAGAGAGAATGTTCAAATGATGTGGCTCAGACTGTTCCCAACACATCTTTTTTTTTTTTTTTGAGACAGTCTTGCTCTGTTGCCCAGGCTGGAGTTCAGTGGCATGATCTTGGCTCTCTGCAACCTCAACCTCCCGGGTTCAAGCGATTCTCGTGTCTCAGCCTCCTGAGTAGCTGGGATTATAGGCACATGCCAACAGGTCTGGTTAATTTTTGTATTTTTAGTAAAGATGAGGTTTTGCCATGTTGGCCAGGCTGCTCTCGAACTCCTGACCCGAAGTGATCTGCCTGCCTCCGACTCCCGGATTCAAGCGATTCTCATGCCTCAGCCTCCTGAGTAGCTGGGATTATGGGCACACGCCACCAGGTCTGGCTAATTTTTGTATTTTTAGTAAAGATGACGTTTCACCACGTTGGCCAGGCTGGTCTCGAACTCTTGACCTGAAGTGATCCACCTGCCTCGGCCTCCCAAAGTTCTGGGATTACAGGTGTGAGCCATGAGCCCAGCCTTTTTCTTTCTTTCTTTCTTTCTTTTTTTTTTTTTTTTTTTTAAAGAGACAGGGTCTTGCTCTGTTACCCAGGCTGGAATGCAGCAGTACAATCACAGCTCCCTGTAGCCTTGAACTCCTGGGCTCAAGTGATACTCCCACCTCAGCCTCCCAAGTAGCTGTGACTTGGGAGTGGTGCACCACCACTCCCAGCTACTTTAAAAATTTTTTGTAGGGATGGAGTCTCCCTACGTTGCCCAGGCTGGTCTTGAACTCCTGGGCTCAAGCGATCCTTCTGCCTTTGCCTCCCAAAGCACTAGGATTACAGGCATGAGCCGCCATGTCTGGCCCCTGATACTTTTTGATGAAACCAATAAAACTTGCACCCTAGCTGGGCGCAGTGGCTCACACCTGTAATCCTAGCACTTCAGGAGTGGTCACGACTTCGAGACCAGCCTGGCCAACATGGTGAAACCCCATCTCTACTAAAAATACAAAAAACTGGCTAGGCGCAGTGGCTTATACCTGTAATCCCAACACTATGGGAGGCTGAGGTGGGTGGATCACAAGGTCAGGAGTTCGAGACCAGCCTGGCCAACATGGTGAAACCTCCTCTACTAAAAATACAAAAATTAGCCGGGAATGGTCGTACATGCCTGTTATCCCAGCTACTGGGGAGGCTGAGGCACAAGAATCGCTTGATCTTGGGAGGTGGAGGTTGCTGCGAGCCGAGATCACGCCACTGCACTTCAGCCTGGGCGACAGAGCAAGACTCCGTACTCCCCCCCAACAAAAAAAAAAAAGCTGGTCGTGGTGGTGTACACCTATAATCCCAGCTACTCGGGAGGCTGAGGCAGGAGAATCGCTTGAACCTGGGAGGCGCAGGTTGCAGTGAGCCGAGATTGAGCCAATGCACTCCAGCCTGGGTGATGGAGCGAGACTCCATCTCAAAAAAAATAAAAATAAAAATAAAAATACCTGCTACTCTACAAGTTGTGGGAAAGAATCTTGGATCTGGCAAGGCGCGGTGGCTCACGCCTGTAATCCCAGCACTTTGGGAGGCCGAGGCAGGTGGATCACGAGGTCAGGAGATCGAGACCATCCTGGCTAACATGTTGAAACCCTGTCTCTACTAAAAATACAAAAAATTAGCTGGGCGTGTTGACGGGCACCTGTAGTCCCAGCTACTCAGGAGGCTGAGGCAGGAGAATAGCGTGAACCTGGGAGGCGGAGCTTGCAGTGAGCCGAGATCATGCCACCGCACTCCAGCCTGGGCAATAGAGCGAGACTCCGTCTCAAAAAAAAAAAAGAATCTTGGCTCTAAGTGTTCACGTCCCATTTAATTAAAAAAGATTTGTACAAAAGTCAATATATTTTTTCAGTACAAAAGTCAATACATTTTTTAAAGGCTAAACTAAAAATATACCAAGTAATATTTCCCTAATCAAAATCCATTGCTTCAATTTTCACATTTTATAGCTCTTCATACCACAGAAAATGTTTAAGGAAAAATAAATTTCAGGAAAAATTTATCTACTTCTTTGTTTTCATTTCTTTTCACTAACACAAGAAAACAAAGTACAGTACTTACCACTGAAGCAACCTGTCTCCCTGTGTTTCGCAAAATGCTTGGAAGCCAGGAAAACTTCGGTAAAAATCATACTCATCGCCAAACTGTGGTAGGCCCCCAGATGCCTTGGTGACTGCCACCACGGACCCAAGAGCAAACTGTCAAAAACAAGAAAAGATGGCATGTTTACACAGGGATCCCCATTCATTTGGTATGTCATTTTTTTGATCTATCGTATACAAGGTATCTACTCTTCATCCATCAAAAAAAGCACTCATTTAGTGCCAAACCCCAATCTAATCTAGGCCCTGAGAATACAATACTGAACAGGAAACCAAGTTTGGAGCTTATATTCTTGGGAGAGTTGAGAGACAGAATACATACGTATATAATCTGATTAATATTCACAAATACCTGGGGTTGAATCTTGACTCTGCTACGTATTAACTGAGATCTTGGACAAGTGATTGCTTTATTTGGACTTTAGTGTTCTCCTCTGAGAAACAGGAAAAATAAAAAGGGCCTGCACCACAGAGTTTTTGTGAGGACAGAATGAATAAGCTAATAAAAGCACTTAGGACAGTTCTTGGCACATAAGCGTTATTATTACGACTCAAGTTCAGATCCAAGAGCTTTCTACAGGAATTTGTTTTTGTGTTTTCATCTGGATGAGCATCTAAAAACAATACAAGCTTATCCTAGATCCTTGGACGACAAATTTATAACAGCTACTATCTAAAACTGGATTTGTGTTTATTGTTCAGTTAGTGTCAAGTGGTTCTCTATTTTAACTGTTGTGAGGTAACGAAAAAAAGCCGTGAAGTGACATAAATGATGGCTGATCATGTGAAGGCCTAAAACGTCATTGTGAGTTTTGTGAATAAACATTTCCCAAGAAAAAAGCAGAGAAAGGAGGTGGGAAATTAAGTCACGGAGGGGAACATGGTAGCTTATGAGCATGACCGCCACACAACCAGGACCACAGTTAGTGGTCCAGGAACTATTGAGAGCCATGTTAATGAATCAATAGCATTAGCTAACAGCAAATTAGATAAGATACAACGTTAGTGGAATTTCTGTAAATTTATAGGGTTAATTTACAAATTATTTTAGTTTCATTGCTTTGTAAGAGCTATGCACACCTTAAGCCTAGTTGTACGTTTGCTCATATTTAAGCTAAGTTATACAAAGATCTTAAGTGAACGCCCTGTATACCTTCCAGGAGTTACTAATAAACGTGCAATGGGGCTTTAACAGGTGACATTTAACTCAGGGTTAAAAATTATGTAGGACTGGACTTCAGAAACAGAGGAAGAGAAGGGCCATACTGGCCGCGGGAGGAGACAACTCCAGGCAAGTGTGGGGAGCGCGAAGAAGCCGAGCCCCTGCGGAGAGCTGGTCGGGTGGCTAGGGCGTGGCGAGCGCGACGTCGCAAGGGCTAGGGACGTCTGGGTGGCAAGGAAGCCTTTCCCAGGATGCGAGACGGCTTTCCACATTTGGGCCTCCATGGACTTAGGCTCGCAAGCGGGACGCCCCTCAGTGTCCGTTTCCGAGGCCCCATCCCCGGAGGGTGCAGGAGAGTCTGCGCCCAGCGCGGACAGGGGCCCCGCGACCCTCGCTCGGGCTCCACTACGGCGGGCGGGCATTGGCTGCCCAGAGGGCCCAGTCGGCTTCCGGCGGCCGCGGGCGACTCCTGGTACCCCCGAGGCCCCGCGAACTCACCTTCACAAAGCTGTCGGCGTCCGGGAAGCCTGGCAGCACCATCTCTCCGTCGGATTTGGTTGCGCTGGTCGCCGACAGGACCCTGGGCTCCCGGGTACTGGGTGGCGCCATTTTTTCAGCCTGCACGGCTCGTCTCGCGAGAGCTTGTCGGCCGAGGAGACGGGACGCGTGCGCACCACGCATGCGCCAGGTCGAAGCGGCGGGCGGGGCGTCTGATTATAGTGTGGGGAGCCTGCGATTGGGGTGGGGCGCCTGCGATTAGGTTGGGAAGCCTGCGTTTAGGGTGGGGCACCTGCGATTAGGTTGGGAAGCCTGCGATTAGGTTGGGAAGCCTGCGATTAGGGTGGCACTTTCGAGCGCTCTGGTGTGAATTTCACGTTCTTTTACCTCATATTGTATCATCCCAACAACCCTGTGATCTAGGGTGCGGCCTGGAGGACCTGACTATCACATATATTTTTGACACGAGGTTTGCCCAATCTGGTTTCGAACTCTTGGGCTCAAGAGATCCTCCCACCTTAGCCTGCGAAGTAGCAGGGACCCCAGGCGAGGGCCACGATCCCCGCTTATCCTCGTGTTTATTTAAAAATTTAAAAAACAAACAAACCGGGATTACCGGGAGTGGTGGTGCGCATCTGTAGTCCCAGCTGCTCGGGAGGCTGAGGTGGGATGGTTGCTTGAGCCGAGGAGGTGGAGGCTCCACTGCACTCCAGCCGGGGTGACAGGATGAAACCCTGTCTCAAAAATTTCTTTTTAAGGTTATGTTTTTGAGGCTGGGCGCCGTGACTCACACCTGTAATCCCAGCACTTTAGGAGGCCGAGGCGGGTGGATCACCTGAGGTCGGGAGTTGGAGACCAGCCTGGCCAACATGGTGAAACTCTGTCTATACTAAAAACACAAAAATTAGTCGGGCGTGGTGGCACATGCCTGTAATCCCAGCTACTCGGGAGGCTGAGGCTTGAGCCCGGGAGGTGGAGGTTACAGTGAGCCGAGATCGAACCACTGCATTCCAGCCTGGGCAACAGAGTGAGACCTTGTCACAAACAAACAAAAAAAACCATGTTTTTGGGACAAAGTTTCACTCTTGCTCTCCCAAAGTGCTGGGATTACAGATACGAGTCATCAGCGTGCAGCCTATTTTTATTTTTATTTTTTTTGAGATGGAGTCTCACTCTGTTGCCCAGGCTGGAGTGCAGTGACGCAATCTTGGCTCACTGCAACCTCCCGCCTCCCGGGTTCAACGAATTCTCTTGCCTCAGCCTCCCGAGTAGCTGGGATTACAGGCGTGCACCACCACGCTCGGCTAATTTTTTTCGTATTTTTAGTAGAAACGGGGTTTCACCATATTGGCCAGGCTGGTCTCGAACTCCTCACCTTGTGATCCTCCCGCCTCGACCTCCCAGAGTGCTGGGATTACAGGCGGAGCCACCGTGCCTGCCCTGTTTATTTTTTTTTTTTGAGACAGAGTCTCACTCTGCTGCCCAGGCTGGAGTGCAGTGGTGCAATCTCAGCTCACTGCAACCTCCGCTTCCTAGGTTCAAGTAGCTGGGATTACAGGCGTGTGCCACAATGCCCGGCTAATTTTTTTTTTTTTTTTGTATTTTTAGTAGAGATGGGGTTTCACCATGTTGGCCAGGCTGGTCTTGAACTCCTGACCTCAAGTGATCCACCTGCTTTGGCCTCCCGAAGTGCTGGGATTACAGGTGTGCGCCACCAGCGCCTGGCTTATTTTTTTTAGACTGCATCTTACCAACCTGGTCTCGAACTCCTGGGCTGAAGCCGTCCTCCCACCTCACTGGGATTACAGGCAGGAACCACTGTGCCCGGCCCAGCCTCATATTTAAAGTCACCTCCTCCCAAGCTCTGGCTGGTTCTGTGTTCCCCTCACCCATTTGGTCTTGACTCCTGTAATTAATTACACCTCCCCTGCCCCCTGGATCTATCTTTTCCCTCTCTATTGGTTCATTCCTAACAGCCTACAAGTACACTGACATCTTTCCCAACTAAAAGAGAAAAGGAAAAAACACTGGCTCCCACATCTCCTTCCAACTGCCATCATCTCTCTCTTGCCCTTTACAGGTAAGCTCCTGAAGAAAGCGTCTAGCTCCAACTGTGCTTCCTCCCTCCAGTACCCTCTGAACTCCTCCAAGCAGACGTTGTTTCCTGCAGACATCGCTGGAACCATTCTGGTTAACACAGAGTGGGAACTCAGTACACATTTGTGAAGTGAACTCCTGGAAGAGCTCTTGTGAGGGAGGCACCGAATTATCAGGCAGCTCAAGAGATAGATTCACTCTCCTGAAATTAGAGATGGGATGCCCTTAATACAATTCATTCCACCCATTAAGTCTTCAATAAATGTTCAGCATATCCAGTTAAGAGAATACTTGCTTTTCACTTTTTCCGTGTGTGTGCTTCAGGTACACAGGTACTCTGGCAGGACAAACGCCTAGTTCATTTAGTATTTTTGAGGACCTATTTCACGTGGTTCAACCTAATACCACATGTCAGTCAGGCTGTGCTAAATGCTCCTCCATGGATTATCTTGTCTTTCAGACAGCCTCACAAGGTAGGGCTTACCCACACTTTCAGAGGAGACAAGCAGAGAGAATCTACGTAACTTATCCAAGGTCACAAAGGTACTATGAGATGCAGTTGATATTTGAAACTTAGTAAGTTGACACTACAGCCTTGATTCTTTTTTTTTTTTTTTTTTGAGATGAAGTCTCACTCTATTGCCCAGGCTGGAGTGCAATGGCATGATCTTGGCTCACTGCAACCTCTGCCTCCCGGGTTCAAGTGATTCTCCTGCCTCAGCCTCCTGAGTAGCTGGGATTACAGGCGTGCACCACCACGCCCAGCTAATTTTGCATTTTTAAGTAAGAGATGGGGTTTCACCATGTGGGCAAGGCTAGTCTCAAACTCCTGACCTCGTGATCCACCCGCCTCGGCCTCCCAAAGTGCTGGGATTATAGGCATAAGCCACCATGCCCGGCCTCAGCCTTGATTCTTAAAAAATACAACTGGCTGGGCGCAGTGGCTCACACATGTAATCTTAGCACTTTGGGAGGCTGAGGTGGGAGGATGGCCTGAGCTCACCAGTTTGAGATCAGCCTGGACAACATGGCAAGAATCAGTCTCTACAGAAAATACAAAAATTAGCCGAGTGTGATGGCATGCACCTGTAGTCCCAGCTACTCAGGAGGCTGAGGTGGGAGGATAACTCGTGCCCGGGAGGTGGAGGTTGCAGTAAGCTGAGATTGCACCACTGCCCCCCAGCCCGGGTGATAGTGCCAGACCTTGTCTCCAAAAAAAAAAAAAAAAAAAAAAAAAAAAGAAAAAAATAGTTAACCTGTTAACAACATCTGGTGATTAGGGGCTCCCATCCCTTTGAGCAGTCGAAAATCCACATATAGCTTTTAACTCCCCCAAAACTTAACTAATAGCCTCCTGTTGACCAAAGGCCTTACCGATAACAAACGGTCAACTGACACATATTGTGTGTATGTATTGTATTCTTACAATAAATTACGAAAATTTTAAGGAAAATATATTTACTATTCATTAAGTGGATCATCATAAAGATCTTCATCCTTGTTTATGTATTTATTTTTAGAGATAGGGTCTCTGTCATCCAGGCTGGAGTGCAGTGGCACAATCATAGCTTACTGTAAGCTTGAACTCCTGGGCTCAAACAATCCTCTGGCCTCAGCATCCAGGGTAGACTGGGCCCATGCCACCATGCCCAACGAATTTTTTTATTTTTTGTAGAGGCAGGGTCTCACTATGTTTCCCAGGCTGGTCTCAAACTCCTAGATTCAAGCAATCCTCTCACCTTAGCTTCTCAAAGTGTTGGGGTTACGGGCATGAGCTGCCGTGCCTGGCTGGACTAAACTGTATTTAAAGGCCTCCACTAGCTCCTCCTCTGCCTTTGATAATTTGTCTCAACACACCCAGAAGGCTTTGCTTAGATATAACTTAAAACCTATCGGATTCACCAAAGACCTTAATCCAGACTCTTATATCCTAAAGAATATATCTTTATCACTGATGGCCACCATTTTCCTGCCTTTATCATTCTCACACCTTTATCGTTCATGAATAGTAACATCACTGTAGTCACTGAGAGTTATTTCATCTGGAGCCAGGAAAGTTATGGTGACCATATTTTCTGGAGCAAATAGGTGATACATGGTTTAGGACTGTAACAGAAAATCCAAGTAGGTATGTGACTTTCTAGCTGTGAGTGTTAGAACTGTTATTAGTATCACCATTGAGATTTAAATTCACCTTTTTTTTTGGAAACAGTCTTGCTCTGTCACCCAGGCTGGAGTGCAGTGGTGCGATCTCGGCTCACTGCAACCTTTGCTGCCCGGTTCAAGTGATTCTCCTGCCTTAGCCTCCTGAGTAGCTGGGATTACAGGCGCCTGCCACCATGCCCGGCCTTTTTTTTTTTGAAACGGAGTCTTGCTGTTGCCCAGGCTGGAGCATAGTGGTGCAATCTTGTCTCACTGCAACCTCCGCCTCCCAGGTTCAGGCAATTCTCCTGCCTCAGCCTCCCCAGTAGCTGGGATTACAGGTGTATGCCACCACACCTGGCTAACTTTTGTATTTTTAGCAGAGACGGGGTTTGGCCACGTTGGCCAGGCTGCTCTCCAACTCCTGACCTCAGGTGATCCACCTGCCTCAGCCTCCCAAAGTGCTGGGATTACAGGTGTGAGCCACTGCACCTGGCCACCAGTTGCCTTTTAAAAACACCACTCAGGGCTGGGCACAGTGGCTTCTCTGGGAGGCTGAGGGGGGCAGATTGCTTGAGTCCAGGAGTTCAAGACCAGCCTGGGAAAGATGGCAAAACCCCATTGTCTACAAAAAATGTTGCGGGAAGTCAGGAACCCTGAATGGAGGGACTGGCTGAAGCCATGACAGAATAACATAAATTGTGAAGATTTCATGGACATTTATTAGTTCCCCAAATTAATACTTTTATAATTTCTTACGCCTGTCTTTACTGCAATCTCTGAACATAAATTATGAAGATTTCATGGACACTTGTCACTTCCCCAATCAATACCCTTGTGATTTCCTATGCCTGTCTTTACTTTAATCTCTTAATCCCGTCATCTTCATAAGCTGATGAGGATGTATGTTGCCTCAGGACCCTGTGATGATTGCATTAACTGCACAAATTGTTTGTAGAGCATGTGTGTTTGAACAATATGAAATCTGGGCACCTTGAAAAAAGAACAGAATAACAGCAATGTTCAGGGAACGAGAGAGATAACCTTAAACTCTGACCGCCGGTGAGCTGGGCACAACAGAGCCATATTTCTCTTCTTTCAAAAGCAAATGGGAGAAATATCGCTAAATTATTTTTCTCAGCAAGGAACATCCCTGAGAAAGAGAATGCATCCCTGAGGGTAGGCCTCTGAAATGGCTGCTTCGGGGGCGGCCGTCTTTTATGGTGAAAGCTGTAGGGATGAAATAAGCCCCAGTCTCCCATAGCACTCCCAGGCTTATTAGGACGAGGAAATTCCCGCCTAATAAATTTTGGTCAGACTGGTTGTCTGCTCTCAAACCCTGTCTCCTGATAAGATGTTATCAATGACAAAGCGTGCCCAAAACTTCGTTAGCAATATTAATTTTGCCCCGGTCCTGTGATCTTGCCCTGCCTCCACTGCCTTGTGATATTCTATTACCTTGTGAAGCACGTGATCTCTGTGACCCACACCCTATTCGTACACTCCCTCCCCTTTTGAAAATCACTAATAAAAACTTGCTGGTTTTATGGCTCAGGGGGGCATCATGGAACCTGCCAACATGTGATGTCTCCTCTGGACACCCAGCTTTAAAATTTCTCTTTTGTACTCTGTCCCTTTTCTCAGACCGGCTGACACTTAGGGAATATAGAAAAGAACCTATGTGAAATATCGGGGGTGAATTTCCCCCAATATACAAATATTAGTTGGCGGTGGGGGTGCTCATCTGCAGTCCCAGCTAATTGGGAGGCTGAGGCGGGAAGATCACCTGAGCCCAGGGGGCCGAGGCTGCAGTGAGCCATGACTGTGCCACTGCAGTTCAGCCTGGGTGACAGAGCGAGACCCAGTCTCCAACAAAAACAAAAACAAAAAACACCACTCAGATACTACTCCGTTTTAAAACTTCACAGCATCAGGTTCATACTCCTTGCTGCTGAACTGAGGGAGGCCCCGGTCTGGCCCCGGCCCCGTACTGCTTTCCTGCCTCCTTTAGTTCCTATTATTTTCCTGTTACTCCCTTTATTCCCCACTGACCACTGAGCCAGACATGCTGAACTATGAGGTGCAGCCATAAGAAAATGCCAGTTTTGTATATTAAAAATGGTCCACGTACCTGTGATTTCAAATGGTCCAACTGATACTTGCCACTGCTATGGATACCTTGCTTTTACAGCAGTGCCTCACACTTCCTTTTCTGCTGAGAATGCCCCCCCCTTGGTTCATCTGACAGACTCCCACCCCTCTTTAAGACCCATGCCAAATGTCCCCCTTTCTATGGGGCTTTCCAGGCTCACCCGGTGGAATACACGCTCCTACCTGTGGCCCATACATGCCTCTTCTCAGCACTTGGCCGGGGTAAGTTCTGTTCACTTCAGTGGCATGCTGTCTCCACCTGTCTGGCCTGGGAACAGTCTGAGGAAAGGGACCATGTCACGTACACCCTTACGTCCTCTGTCATCCCTACTACAGAGTGTTTACTGAAGGCTGAGTGCTGAAGAGAGTAAATGCTTCCTTTTTGAACTGATCAAAATTATGACTAAAACGCCACTCATATACATATGTTTAAAATTCTGATGTCATTTATTGGCACAAAAATTATTCTGATACA
Source organism: Homo sapiens (assembly GCF_000001405.40). Taxonomy (NCBI): domain Eukaryota; kingdom Metazoa; phylum Chordata; class Mammalia; order Primates; family Hominidae; genus Homo; species Homo sapiens. The sequence continues at coordinate 11,106,586 of NC_000001.11, forward strand.
ACATGGTGTCTAGACATGGCTACACTTTATACTTTGTGCATTTAGTTGAGTATTTGTTCTGCTCATAATTTCCAATATGTACCAGACCTTCCCTGTGTTCAGCACCTCCATGACAGTATTTCTGTTTTCTGAGCCCTTGCTCTAAACAGAGTATTTTGACCACTGAAAACATCCCAGAACCCTGCTGCAGAAGGCCAGTGAGGGTGGTCCCACTGCACAGTGATCCCCTCTGTGCATCTGCTCAGCCGAGGCTGCCAGCGATCTGAATAAACCTCCCTACTAGCGGTCAGGTCTTGAATTGAAGCGTGTGAGTCGCAGCATCACTGGGTCTGATGGAAGACAGACCTTTTGTACTCATTTTGGCCTATCTTGCAAACATTTCTGCTGCTGTCCACAGACCAGTGAGGTCTTGGGATAGGTGGCAGGGGTGAGGTCAGCATCTTCTGTGTCTTTACAGTCTAGGATCCTAATCCATGTTCTCCACGACCTGAGGCTTCTTGGCTGTGCTGAGTTTGCTGTACCCATGTTGAGAGGAGCAACTAGGTCATTCTTCCATCAGCAAGTACTTATGATGAGTTCTCTTGTGAGTTAAGTCAAAACCCGTATTTCTAAAGTTATGGATCTTCTGTTCCCCAAAATGAATGGCTTGATTTACGTGGTATTACTATGTTTCACTGTCCTGGGAACCAAATCAAGCCTTGTGTTTCTGACAATATATTCTTCAACAGCAGCTAGAAAGTTGGTTCAAACCAACTTTTAATATACAGTAGTTCTTTTCATTTACATTTCAAAATATTTAACAAAGTCAAACTTTCTCACCATGGTTTCAGTTTAGTGGAAGCATTTACTAAAGTACAAAAGCCTCAGAAAAAACGTGATGGGCACATCTGGGCCTCCAGTTACCAGAAAGGGCACCTAAGAAGGCAGAAAGAAAAGGAATATTTTAATAATTTGAGCTTCTTCAAAGGTTTACACAGATAACTTGAAAATGAAAAGGCCAAGGTCTGACAACCCTAGGGTATTCCCTGAGCTCTCCCACAGCTAATTGCATGGGACACACTCATCATTTCCAGTCAAGGCTAATGCCCACCGAGGTCCCGCAAGGACACTTCCCCAGCGCCCGCTCTCTCAAGTTTCTGCCTTCAAGCATGCCTTGGGCAATTAATCAAAGCACACCCCAGAGTGGCCCTTGAGGTTAGACTCCCAGATCATAAATCTGTCTTTTTATCTCCTTCTCTCTGTCACTGCTCTAGCTTTTTCTTTCCTTCGCCCTTCCTGTATCTCTGCACTGGACTGACAGCAAAACCCAAAAGGAACCCCTCACAAACAAACAAGCCTTGCCTATTCTCCTGAACCACTTATCTTAATGTAATTTTAATTTTAGTGTTTGCCTTCCAAGTATGCATCCATATTTCTCAGTTTCTTTTTTTATAACAATGGGCACATGCAGTAAATATGAATTTTTAAAGAGATCTGAGCTCTAACTGCCCTTTACAGATACCTCACCAAATCTCTTTTTGCTACTCTGGCTTTGGGGCCTAGGCTTGGGACCTGATTGCTTATTTTAACAAAGTCACTTTGAGAGCCCCACTCACCAGCCAATATAGCACTGGCAGAGGTTTTCATGGGATGTCGCTTGTTTGATGAGCAGCTCAACTTGCGTTGGAACATCCAAAGTGTCATCATGAGAGAAGTCCCGACCTAGCACAGGAGGAACAAAAACATTTCACTCTCTTCCTGGCAATCGATGCACTTCTTGTTCCCTGTGGGCTTAACTGTCTATGCCAACAGCTTATCGTCAGACATGAAGATGAAGGATACCATCATAGTTGGATTTGAAAAGTTTGGCCAGGTGCGGTGGCTCACGCCTGTAATCCCAGCACTTTAGGAGGCTGAGGCAGGCAGATCACCTGAGGTCAGGAGTTCAACACCAGCCTGGCCAACATGGTGAAACCCTGTCTTTACTAAAAATACAAAATTAGCCGAGTGTGGTGGCACATGCCTGTAGTCCCAGCTACTTGGGAGCCTGAGGCAGGAGAATCACTTGAACCTGGAAGGTGGAGGTTGCAGTGGGCCAAGATCGCACCACTGCACTCCAGCCTGGGTGACAGAGCAAGACCCTGTCTCAAAAAAAAAAAAAAAAAAGAAAAGAAAAAAAGAAAAATTCGGCCGGGTGCGGTGGGTGAATCACTTGAGGTCAGGAGTTTGAGACCAGCCTGCCCAACATGGTGAAACCCCATCTCTACTAAAAACACAAAAAATTAGCTGGGCGTGCACCTGTAATCCCAGCTACTCGGGAGGCTGAGGCAGGAGAATTGTTTGAACCTGGGAGGCAGAGGTTGCAGTGAGCCAAGATGGAGCCACTGAACTCCAGACTGGGCAATAAGAGCAAAACTGTCTCAAACAAACAAAAAAAAGACATGATTAAAAAACACTTCTCTGAATTTGGCTGATTTTGGACCCAAAAGAAATTTATTCACCTCCTGAGTTAAATGAGATTAAACTAACATTAAGTACTGTTATCAGTCATCAGAAAGAAGAATCAGAGACAATGTTTAACTGATGACCTCAAAGACACTCTTTGTCAGCTGCATGGTGCCAAAGCTCGTCACTAACACCACTGGACATGGGGCTGACCACCACTCAGAGAGGAAAGTGTGCTCAGATTTTATGTCCCTTTTAAGTAAACACATGACACACTCACCAGTGAGCTTATCTCGAACCCTGTTAATAATCTGGATAGCTTTCTTATTTAGGGCCTCTGGTTTCACCAAACCGTCTCCAACTGGAATACACAAAAGTAGAAATAACTGTAAGAATGGGAGCAATACAACAGGTTCAATGGGTGCCCTGTTTTTCTCAAATATTCACTTTTGTAAGTGTTAAGCAATCCTTCCTCTATGTCCGTCTTTGTCCTCAGAATATAATGAGAAATTCATGGAACCTTTTCTGCTCAAAGGCAGTTTTGTTGCTTCATCTTGTTGACCCCTCTCAGGGTATAACACAGCTGCTATTTTCTTAATGAGCTAGTCACTGGTGCGGTTCCTCAGAGGCTGAACTTACTGAAAGAATGAATAGATTCTGGCACTGTGGTCCCCGTTTTCTTATGGGCTGGCTCTCCAAGTTCCACACCGTCCAAAATTTCTATGGGAAAAGAAATCAATTAACAGAAAATTCAAACACCAAAAAGCCACTGTTGGTGTTAGCATCTAATTCTCTACGCACTCTATTCCTTTAACGCCTGCCCTACCTACCCTAAAGGGGAAAAGAGAAGGAAAGTTTTATGTTACTCTTTATGTATTTCAAAGTTTTAAGCTGGACATAGCTGTAATCTCAGCTACTCAAGAGGCTGAGGTGGAAGGATCACTTGAGTAGCTGAGTTCAAGACCAGCCTGAGACTCCATTTGCAAAAAAAAAAAAAAAAATTTTTAAATCTGTAAAGCCATTTTCAAATGTGAGTTAATAATTATTGAAAAAATTTGGTGCTTATCAGAATTGAAACATGGATTTTCAGGCAAATTGCATTAACAAAATAAACTCATAGGAATAAGAACAGGTCAAAAGCCTCGTGACAAAATGTGTTTGGACAAAAACTGATAAAGAAAATTAACTTCGGAATGTGTCACACACAAGGTTGAAATGTTATTCCTTGGAGGAATTTTCATATCAGCTCTGGGTAGAAAAAGTCCTCAGGTGTTAGGTTCACCCTCCACTGATTATGGCTTTTAGCAGAGAAGAGTCTGAAATCAGAATTATGAAGTTTTTTGAATGCTGTCCTTGTACATCACAGACCTTCTGAATGAAGGTAGTGATAATTATACTTCTTTTTTTTTTGAGACGGAGTTTCGCTCTTGTTGCCCAGGCTGGAGTGCAGTGGCATGATATCGGCTCACTGCAACCTCTGCCTCTCAGGTTCAAGAGATTCTCCTGCCTCCCGAGTAGCTGGGATTACAGGCATGCGCTACCATGCCTGGCTTATTTTGTATTTTTAGTACAGATGGGGTTTCTCCATGTCGGTCAAGCTGGTCTCAAACTCTTGACCTCAGGTGATCCGCCTGCCTGGGCCTCCCAAAGTACTGGGATTATAGGCATGAACCACCGCACCCGGGTGATAGTTATACTTCTATTAATGATCCATTGGAAGTTCTTTTTTTTGAGACAGGGTCTTGCTGTGTTGCCCAGGCTAGTCTCAAACTCCTGGGCTCAAGTGCTCCTCCTGGGCTTACAGGTGTGCACCACAACACCCAGCTGGAATTTAACTTTTAAGCTAAACAACCAAATCCACCACCATCTGGTGCCAGCAGAACTGGCTGTCCTAGTTCCCTTCTGTATGCTACAGACAGCATATAGTAGCCACTTGAGAATTGTTAGGGAGGTGGGCCCTGAGAATGAAGCCAGTAAGTCTCAGCACACTTCGTTTGAGACCAGCCACCAGTATAAGCTCCCCCAGAGACTGTGTGTCCTATGAGCCTGGTGATTCAGGCATTCACAAATCCTGTCACAGTGTCCATGTATGACATTATAAGCCAGTATCCCAATTTCTTGCCTGAAACACCCTTTTCCTTTCTACCCATCAGATTCCACCCATCCAATAAGGATAAATTACCCTTTGGCAAGGTGGGGTGGCTCATGCCTGTAATCCCAGCACTTTGGGAGGCCGAGGCGGGCAGATCACTTGAGGTCAGGAGTTCGAAACCAGCCTGGCCAACGTGGTGAAACCCTATCTCTACTAAAAATTCAAAAAAATTAGCTGAGCATGGTGGCATGCGTCTGTAATCCCAGCTACTTGGGAGACTGAGGCAGGAGAATTGCTTGAACTCGGGAGGCAGAGGTTGCAGCGAGCCGAGACTGCGCCACCATACTCCAGCCTGGGTGACAAAGCGAGACTCTGTCTCAAGAAAAAAAAAAAAAAAAGAAAGAAAAATTACCCTTTGTCAGGTGAAGTGATGGTTAGATGCCACCAACCCAAGTGCTCTCTTCGCAGCTACGGTTCACAGTGAAGTCCCCTTTTCTGAATCTCCACAGCCCTACTCCACACGAAAGCACCCGCAGGCTCCACGGCAGAGTCTCCTGCTCTCTGACTATTTCACGCAGGTTATGGTCAATTCTGTAATGCTTTCTGTGCTTCTTCAGGCGACCACTGTACCTCACATTTTCTTTTTGCACCCCTAGACATTATTTGGCTTAGTTTATTAACTAGTTGTAAGTGCTCTGTAAACATTTGTAGAAAAGATATACTTTTTTACACCCTAACAGTAATTCCCAAAGTATGAACTATGTAGGGTGTTGCTAAATGTCACGAAGGAAAAAAGGGGTGGGATGGGGAGTGCGGGGAAGAGGGGAGGGCTAAACAAAGTTAAACAATTTTACTCAAAAACAAACAAACAAACAAACAAAAAAACCCCCCAAAACCAGTAACTTCAATGCTGTGTGTGCTGGAAACTAATACAAATAAAATAAAAGTTAAACAGCTTGACTCAAACACTCCTGAGAGGTTTCCACACACAAAAAGGACTCTGGCTCTCAGAGGGACACAAGTCTTCTAGACCCCTGCTCTGTGAGTCGCGCTCCTAGAAACACTGTTCCATGTGGTTCCAGGGTTCCTCCCAGCAACGCAAATAAATTTCTGCTGCTTCCATCTTCCCATTTCTGAGCTATTATCAATGCTTGAGGACCAAGGTAATACTGTTAATAATTATTCCAACCCAGACACCATTAGTGAGCTGATATTCAGACATACTTTAAACTGTGTTTTTACAGATAGATTAAAATCAGATAGTTTGATAAAAATCTCAGAGCTTCAGGTACCCACTCCATGTGTGAAACAGTAAATAAAAAACATATTAGCTGCTTGGTGCTCAGTAAATATTTCTAGACCAAGTATTTGAAGTTCAATTAAATGCTTATCAGGTGATAAGCTAGCAGTAATAGCACCTTTGCAAAACTATCACTGTCAAGAACCACGAGAAAACTAGATTTACTTCCTTCATGTTCAGTAGCCATTACCACTTTAAGTTATGCCTCCTACTGTCAATAACAAAGCCCATCCCATTCTAGAAACACTCTGGACAAGGGGGAGAGCCTCTGCAGCCTCCCACGGGATGCACCCACTGACTGAAGCCCACCCCACTCTAGAAACACTCTGCACAAGGGGGAGAGCCTCTGTAACGTCCTGCGGGATGCACCCACCGACTGAAGCCCACCCCACTCTACAAACACTCTGCACAAGGGGGAGAGCCTTTGCGACCTCCCGTGGATGCACCTACCGACTGACTGGCCAGCAGAGTAGGAATCCGTCCTCGTTCGGGATCGCTTGTTGCCTTTGGTATTTGCTAGGGAGAGAAATAAAGAGTATTGAAACATGCTTCAAATTTTGACTTGAAAGAAACTTGGTTATTTTCTTCCAGTCATAAAAATATAATTGTTCGTAAAGCTATAGCCCCAAAAAAAGAGATGACAGACATATTACTCAGGAATAAGTGGGTGGGTATTAGCATGGGATGTGAAACCCAGGGGGACACTCTATACTGTTGATTTGGACTTAGACAATGTAATACAGATAATATAAGGTCAAAGTATGATTTAATTTCAATGGATTAGAAGCTCTTTTGGTGAACATCCCCTAAGGTGGCAGAACAAAGGGTAGATGAAGATACTGCTGTCCCAAATCATAACTGTTTGCGTTTCTTATTAAAATTTCAGCTTACTACTCTATATAAAGCCCAGAGAAAAATCACTAGGATACTTGGTTAATACTGAAGAATATTTTAGTATCTAAATTGATAATGGCATTTTCTGTTTTAGTTAATAAAAATACTTGAAGTTCTTTTCCAGGTGTCAGAGTTACTCTGTGCAAATGTAATGCAATAGCTCTGCAATGTATCCCAGGCTGCAGGCTTGAAGGGGCATAGGTTTGTAAAATGTTATGTGCTGGATATTGCTAATTTGGGAGGCTGCCAACCCCAGCTTCCACACACTTGATTTTATTTTTTATTTGTTTTCTTTTATTTTTAAAATTAAATTTTTTATTTTTTTATTTTTTTGAGACAAGGTCTCACGCTGTCACCTAGGCTAGAGTGCAGCAGTGGCATGATCATAGCTCACTGTGCCTCAACCTCCCAGGCTCAGGTGATCCTCCTGCCTCTGCCTCCTGAGCAGGTAGGACCACCGGCATGTGCCACTGTACCCACCTTAATATGGTTTGGCTGTGTCCCCACCCAAAATCTCATCTTGAACTGCAATTCGAATTGTAATCCCCATGTGTTGTGGGAGGGACCTCATGGGAGGTGATTAGATCATGGGGATGGTTCCTCCATGCTGTTCTCGTGATAGTGACTGAGTTCTCATGAGATCTGGTGGTTTTATAAGGGGCTTTTCTCCCCTTCACTCTGTACTTCTCTCTTCTGCCCCCAAGTGAAGAAGGAAGTGTTTGCTTCCCCTCCCACCATGATTGTAAGTTTCCTGAGTTCTCCCCAGCCAAGCAGAACTGTGAGTCAATTAAACCTCTTTCCTTTATAAATTACCCAGTCTCAGGCAGTTCTTTATAACAGCGTGAGAACAGACTAATACATGCCTAATTTTTTCAGTTTTTGCAGAAAGGGGTCTTACTATGTTGCCCAGGCTGGTCTCGAACTCCTGGCCTCAAGCAACTCCTCTGCCTTGGCCTCCCAAAATGTTAGGATTACAGGTGTGAGCCACTGAGCTCAGCTCCCAGGCACTTGATGATACTCACTGTCCATCAGCCTCCAGTTCAGCAAGGGGTCATAGACAAAGGCTTCCAGCACGGCCATGACACTGTCCTTGTGCTCTCGCAGCACCTCCATCACTGTGTGGCATGTGATTCTGTAGTTGCCATCCAGGCCTGTAACCTAGAAATGGGACAGAGCCACTCACCACAGGAGTTACTAACTCTCCACCCAAAGCAAGCCGAGGGGGTCTGTTACCCTCACTTAGGAAGCAGACACAGGCCATGTTGACGTATCAGGGTGAGAATGTCTTAGGAGAAGGAATCAGGGCAGGACTGTGATCCACAGGAAACCAGGTCAGAAGTGAAGTGGTAAGCCTTTCATAGATAGGTCATTTCTAACACAATAGGAAATAACAGAAAACTGCTACAAAAATCACAAAGGCACTTTGGAGAACTGATGGGCTCTAACAAGCGTGTTCTCAGAAGGCTGTAACTGTCCTGATCCCATTTGGAAGCAGCTCGTTCCCGATATCCACTCACCTCCATAGCATTGGTCAACATTCTTGTTAGTCTAAATGGAATCTTCTCTGGAAACTTCTCTCGGGTCATAGCAACCTACAGAATAATAAATGGGAAAAGCCAAATCAATGTTTATTTTCTTTACCTGGAGCCAGGTGGAGCAGGTGGCTTTCCTCTGCATCACCTGCACTGATTTTAATTATAGCAGGGAAAGGAAGCAGCTTGGGTTTAGTGAGAGGACTTGTCACAGGGATTTGAAAGACAACTTAAAAAAAAAAAGAAACGAACAACAGAAAAGAAGAGAAAACAAAAAGGAAAAAAGACAAATGTGCATCGTGTCCAGGCTCTTGGGCAACAGGTGGTATGGAGGGTAGGGGCCTACTCTACTCAGAGGGCATGGGAACAGCAGCCCTTGCTCCAAGGGGGTTAGAGTCCAACTAAGAGCCCAGATTTCATTTCTTAGACTGACTTAACTACAGCCTTGGTAGGGCCAGCAGGGGTTAAGAGTAAGGCAGTTTGGGCTTAAGTCTGCCTACAGTGTCAGAGGAGGGGGAAAAGTGATCACCCGGGAAGATGAGGTTGGGGTTCTAGAACATGTGTTCACCTCAAAGCAGTCCCCAAAGTCAATGTGCAGGATCTTCCCACTCAGACGGTCCAGCATCAGGTTGGATGGGTGTCTTTGAGAAACAGAAGACAGATCAGGGAGGGATCAACAGAGATAACGGATGAAAAAATCAATAAGTACGTGATACTGTAAGCTAGGAGTTGGCAAACGATAGCCCTCAGCCAATCCAGCCCCTCCACCTCCACTTCTGCAAGTCCAGTTTTACTGGAACACACAGCACGCTCCCTTGTTTAAGTACTGTTCCAGGCTGCTTCCATGCTACGACAGCAGAGCTGACTAGTTGTGACAGAGACCAAAGGGCCCACAAAGCCTAAAACGACCTATTAACTGGTCCTTTACAGAAACAGTTTGCCAACTCCTGCTGAAATGTGGGCTTATGTGTGAATCACAGGTTGTCCCACTGTACTGAGATACTGTGCTTTTCTGAGGTCTTTGGTGACCTAATAAGTCATTTCTGGCAGCACTGGCACCTTCTGGTGACAAGGCTCTATCATTTTTACTGAGCAGCCGTAACAGGGTCTCATCTCCTTAAGTCCCTGAGCCAATCCCGGCAACCACCTGGCTTTTATCAACAGATATTCTGCTAGACTTTTAAAAACAAAAATCTACTATTTTTGTGGGGTAAAATTATTTTTACTCTCAAATAGTTGCATGAGACATGATTCCAGGAGAAAAACAGTAGACATCAGAGAACCAGTCTTTTTTACATTCTTGTGAGTCCGTTTCTGAACATTCGTAAATTACATGTTCAGTCAGTACACTTGGACAAAACTTATTATGCAAAAATATCAGAAGGATCTACTTTGGTTGGTTTCAATTACAGAAATAAAATGATTTATCTTAGCACAGTGGTGACTGACAAATGTTTCTTGAATCAATAAAATCAATATGATTTAGTATTTTTGTTTTTTTCTTTGAGACAGAGTCTTACTCTGTTGACCAGGCTGGAACACAGTGGTGCAATCACGGCTCACTACAGCTTTGACCTTCTGGACTTAAGTGATCCTCCTACCTCAGCCTCCCAAAGAGCTGGGACTACAGGTGTATGCCACCATGCTTGGCTAATTATTTTTTGTAGAGACGGGATCTTGCTATGCTGCCCAGGCTGGTCTCAAATTCCTAGGCTCAAGTGATCCTCCCACCTCAGCCTCCCAAAGTGCTGGAATTATAGGCATGAGCCAATGAGCCTGCCCTGCAATACAGCTTTTAATACATTAAGCCAGACTAAGGAGAAAGTAGTATCCTTGAACTATGTGGGGCTTTATTGAGATGGGGTCTTGCTATTGCCCAAGTTGGTCTCATACTCCTGGGCTCAAGTGATCCTCTCACCCTGGCCTCCCAGGATGACAGGCATGAGCCACTGCACCCAGCTTGAACTATTTTTCCTTTTCTTTAGTTTGATGTATTCTTCTGATGGCATCACAATCAATAGGGAACTAAGGCTAATGTTGTAAAAGAGACCTTACATATACAATACCAATATTTATTTACCAAAAAGCCATATATTTAATTGGAAAACCAAATGAAACCATTCAGGAAAACTACAATGGAGAAAGAAGACTAAAAAAACCAAATTAAATTACTCACCTATCTCCCAGGCCTAAAATATACCCAACCATTGACATGACCGCTAAAGAACGGGTATAATTGGTTCTTCGGTCAAACCACACCTAGAACACAGGAGTGCATGTGAACTACGGTTCTGGAAACTTTAATTTCAACATAATTATACTCTAATAAGCTGTCTTTGGTTTGTACTTTTGAGACCGAGTCTCGCTCTGTCGCCCAGGCTGGAAGGCAGTGGTGCTATCTTGGCTCACTGCAGCCTCCACCTCCCGGGTTCAAGCGGTTCTCATGCCTCAGCCTCCTGAGTAGCTGAGATTACAGGCACCCGCCACCATGCCCAGCTTATTTTTGTAGTTTTAGTAGAGACGGGGTTTCACTATGTTGGCCAGACTGGTCTTGAGCTCCTAACCTCAAGTGATCCGCTTGCCTCGGCCTCCCAAAATGCTGGGATCACAGGCCTGAGCCACTGTGCCTGGCCTAATCAGTTGTTTTCTTACAGTCCATCAATAACTGGTTAGAATGTATAACATTATAAAGACCTCATTCACAATTCTAACAATGAACTATGCCTTGAATTAAACTTAATTAGAAATGTGTTAGACTTAAAGATCTGAGTAAATGAAAAATATCAGTTTAAGGATATCCCCTTATGAGTATAAAGATGTTAACAGCCTCAAGAAAAAAAATAGATGACGATAGCCCCTGAGAAGGGACTTGTATTAACACCATGGAACTTGAGAAACAGGCCGAAAGAGCAATGAAACAGAAGAGGAGCCCTAGAAAGAAATCCAAGGACACGTAGAATTTAGTGTTTAGGCTGGGCACGGTAGCTCATGCCTGTAATCCCAGCACTTTGGGAGGCCGAGGTGGGTGGATCACCTGAGATCAGGAGTTTGAGACCAGCCTGACCAACATGGTGAAATCCCGTTTCTACTAAAAATGCAAAAATTAGCCGGGTGTGGTGGTGCGTGCCTGTAATCCCAGCTACTCAGGAGGCTGAGGCAGGAGAATCACTGAACCCAGGAGGCAGAGGTTGAAGTGAGCCAAAATCATGCCACTGCACTCCAGCCTGGGCAACAAGAGCGAAACTCTCTCTCAAAAAATAAAATTAAAAAAAATTCAGTGTTCAATAAAAACAAAATCTTCTAAATAGCAGGGAAAGGATGAATTATTTGGCCAACAGTGTGGTCATGGCTAGTCATGTTTAAAAAAATAAAGTTACGCCTTAAATTCCAAACTTAGTTAATTTTTTTTTTTTTTTTTTTTTTTTTTTGGACAGAGTCTTGCTCTATTGCCCAGGCTGGAGTGCAATGGCACAATCTTGGCTCACTGTAACCTCTGCCTCCCTGGTTCAAGCGATTCTCCTGCCTCAGCCTCCTGAGTAGCTAGGATAACAGGCACGTGCCACCATGCCCAGCTAATTTTTGTATTTTTAGTAGAGACAGGGTTTCACCACGTTGGTCAGGCTGGTCTTGAACTCCTGACCTCGTGATCCGCCCGCCTCGGCCTCCTAAAGTGCTGGGATTACAGGCGTGAACCACCGTGCCTGGTCTTGTTTATTTTTAAGAGACGATCTCACTATATTACCCAGGCTGGAGTGTAATGGCTTTTCATAGGTGTGGTCTTTTTCTTCTTCTTTTTTTTTTTTTTTTTTGAGACAGGGTCTGGCTCTGTCACTCAGGCTGAGTTACAGATTGTGCAGTGGCACAATCTCAGCTAACTGCAACCCTTGCCTCCTGGCTCAAGTGATCCTCCCGCCACATCCTCCTAAGTAGCTGGGACAATGGGCAAGTGCCATCATGCCCGGCTAATTTTTTATTTTTTGTAGAGATGGGGTTTTGCGACGCTGCCCAGGCTGGTCTCAAACGCCTGAGCTTCAAGCATTCCACCTGCCTTGGCCTCCCCAAGTGTTGGGATTATAGACGTGAGCCACTGCACCCCGCCCATAGGTGTGGTCTTAATGTGCAACAGCCTTGAACTCCTGGGCTCAAGCAATCCTCCTGCCTCAGCCTCCCAAGTAGCTGAGACTACAGGTGTGTACCATAGTGTCTGACTTGGGTTAAGACTTAAATGTAAAAAAAACCCTGTAACTAGTATAAGAAAATATAGGTAAAAAAATAACCTCAAGGTGGAGAGGGCCTTTCTAAATATAAAACCAAAGGAAGAGGCCAGGCACCGTGGCTCATGCCTGTAATCCCAGCACTTTGGGAGGCTGAGAAGGGCGGATAACTCGAGGCTAGGAGTTTGAGACCAGCCTGGCCAACACAGTGAAACCCTGTCTCTACTAAAAATACAAAAGAGTGGCCGGGAACGGTGGCTCCCGCCTGTAATCCCAGCACTTTGAGAGGCTGAGGCGGGCGGATCATGAGGTCAGGAGATTGAGACCATCCTGGCTAACATGGTGAAACCCCGTCTCTATTAAAAATACAAAAAAAAAAATTAGCCGGGCATGGAGGCGGGTGCCTGTAGTCCCAACTACTTGGGAGGCTGAGGCAGAAGAATGGTGTGAACCCGGGAGGCGGAGCTTGCAGTGAGCCGAGATCGCGCCACTGCACTCCAGCCTGGGTGACAGACTGAGATTCCGTCTCGAGAAAAAAAAAAAAAAAAAAAAAAAAAAGCCGGGCATGGTGGCACGCGCCTGTAATTCCAGGTACTCTGGAGGCTGAGGCAGGAGAATCACTTCAACCTGGGAGACGGAGTATGTAGTGAGCCGAGATCGTGCTGCTGCACTCCAGCCTGGGTAACAGAGTAAGACCTTGTCTCAAAAAAAAAAAACAAAACAAAACACACAAACAAACAAACAAAAAAAACAAAAACAAACCAAAGGAAGAAACTTTAAAGAAAAGGATTAAAAATTTGGTAACTTCTAACTTTAAAAAATGCCTGTACAGTCATATCTCTAAGTTAGGGCCCCCATCGGATCCCAAAATCTGCAATACTCAAGTGCCTTATATAAAATGGTGTAGGCCGGGCGTGGTGGCTCATGTCTCTAATCCCAGCACTTTAGGAGGCCAAGGCAGGAGGATAGCTTAAGACCAGGCTGGGTGACACAGTGAGACTTTGTCTCTAAAAAAAAAAAAAAAAATTTATATATATATATATAAAATTGCTTTGAGACAAGGTCTCGCTCTGTCACCCAGGACGGAGTGCAGTGGCATGGTATGGCTCACTGCAGCCTCATTCTCCTGGATTCAAATGATCCTTCCGAGTAGCTGGGCTTACAGGTGTGTACCACCATGCCCGGCTAATTTTTTTGTAGAAATGGGGTCTCACAGGCTAGGTGTGGTGGCTCATACCTGTAATCCCAGCACTTTGGGAGGCCAAGGTGGGTGGATCACTTGAGGTCAGGAGTTTGAGACTAGCCTGGACAACATGGTGAAACCCTGTCTCTACTAAGAATACAAAAATTAACCCACATGGTGGTACGTGCCTGTAATCCCAGCTACTGGGGAGGCTGAGGCAGGAGAATCGCTTGAACCCAGGGGGCAGAGGTTGCAGTGAGCCGAGATCTTGCCACTGCACTCCAGCCTGGGCGGGGAAAAAAAAAAAAAAAGAGATGGAGTCTCACTATGTTGCCCAGGCTGGTATTGAACTCCTGGGCTCAAGTGATCCTCCTGCCTTGGCCTCTCAAAGTGCTGGGATTACAAGTGTGAGCCACTGCACCCAGCCAAAAACAACTTTTTAATAAAATGGCATAGTATTGTATGTAACCTATGCACAACCTCCCTTATATTTCAAATCATCTTGGGTACATATAATACCTAATACAATGTGAATGTTATACAATGTAAACAGTCATTCTACTATATTTTTAAAAATTTACATTTCTTATTGTTATATATATTTTTAAAAAATATTCTATCCACAGTTGGCTGAATCCACAGATGCAGAAGCTACGGATATGGAGGGCTGACTGTGTATCAAAAACCAAACCAAACCAAACAAAAACTCCAAACCAAAGAACACACCATTAGCAAAATTTAAAAACTAAGTTAATAGGAAATTTGTAACATATATAAAAAAGACAACTATCTTTAATTCTTTAATATATAAAGAGTTCTGGAGGAAATATTAAACTACTCATTCTAACTCTGTGAACTTGTCTTGCTCACCCATTTCATTTTTGTTAGAAAAGTCTGGACACGCTCTACAGCCAATCACAGCAAAGAAGAGCCGCTGTGTGCACATGAACAGATGGGAGGGCCATCCTATTGCGAGTGGGGGTTCCAGGAGAGCGCAGGTCTGCAGGGCCCAGTGGCCTACCTCGGAGCTGGGGCTTTTCAGCCACAGCAGCTTGGCCAGGTCGTCCCCAGCTGTATTATTGACGGCATGCTCAAACACCTCCACCTTCTGCATCAGAGTCAAGTGGTCATAGTCCGGAGCCATCTGCATCAGGACACAACTGTTCAGTAAGAGAGCAGCCTAAGACATGTAGTTTGGGTCCAGGAAGAAACAAGGCTTGGGGTCCAGGCAGAGCTGAGTTCTAATTTCCCCATCATAGCCAAAGGAGAAGGGAAATAAGAACATGGCAAAAGGAGAAACGAAGTGACCACTCTAACCTGATGACCACTGGAACCCCAAGGCATAAGGGAAAAACACGAGACTTCACCTCAGTTATAGGCCTT
Organism: Homo sapiens; assembly: GCF_000001405.40. Classification (NCBI taxonomy): domain Eukaryota; kingdom Metazoa; phylum Chordata; class Mammalia; order Primates; family Hominidae; genus Homo; species Homo sapiens. The sequence goes on from NC_000001.11 coordinate 11,121,608, forward strand.
CTGTGCAGATGAGAGTACTGGAAGTTTCAAGGTTTTGGAAAACAAGCAATTCTCTTTCTTATTACTTACACATCTACTAAACATTATTTCTCCATATGGCCAGTGCTTTGTATACATTAGTAAATATATGGTGCCGAATATTTATCTGTCTAGTCTTCCCTAGGATGGTGAAAACAATTTCTCAGCTTAAGGGTCCTTCAGTTTCTTACAAGCTTATCTGCTTTAGGACTCACTTTATTAAACCTTCTTCAAAGCTGATTCTCTCAAAGAGATTTTTCAGTGACAGACATACAGAGAGGAATGAGAAAAGCAGCGCTACGGAGATTCCCTGCCACGGAAGGGGCACTAGCTCTCGTGGCCGCATCACATACCCGCAACATGATGCGATGCTCGATGTTGAGAAGGATCTTCTTCTTCTCCCTGTAGTCCCGGATGAGGGCGTGCAGTGTGTCACAGTGGGGAACCCAGCCAATGAGGCCCGAGTTGGTCGATAAAGGGATGACAGCGTATCTCTGGATGCTGGCGCCCACAGAAAAGCAGGGTTAGTGTACCGTAAAGAGAGTATACCCTTGAGCAGCTCAGAACACAGGCAGACTGTTTTTTTTTTCTTTTTTGAGACAGAGTCTTGCTCTGTTGCCCAGGCTGGAGTGCAGTGGCACAATCTTGGCTCACTGCAACCTCTGCCTCCTGGGTTCAAGTGATCCTCCTGCCTCAGCCTCCCGAGTAGCTGGGACTACAGGCGTGTGCCACCATGCCCAACTAATCTTTTTATTTTTGGTAGAGACGGATTTCACCATGTTGGCCAGGATGGTCTCAATCTCTTGACCTCATGATCCGCCTGCCTCGGCCTCCCAAAGTGCTGGATTGCAGGCCTAAGCCACTGCACCCAGCCCTATTTTTTTTTTTTTTTTTTTTTTTTAGATGGAGTCTTGTTCTGTTGCCCAGGCTGGAATGCAGTGTCACTATTTTGGTTCACTGCAACCTCTGCCTCCTGGGTTCACGCGATTCTCCTGCGTCAGCCTCCCGAGTAGCTGGGATTACAGATGCACAACACCACACCCGGCTAATTTTTTGTATTTTTAGTAGAGACGGGGTTTCACTATGTTGGCCAGACTGGTCTCGAACTCCTGACCTCGTGATCCACCCTCCTTGGCCTCCCAAAGTGCTGGGATTACAGGCGTGAGCCACCGCGCCCGGCGGCCCTGACTATTTTTAATGAGCCCCCGCCGCAGCAGGCTGGTGTGAAGTGTGTGTTGAGGGATGCTTTGTGAAGAATAAGGCATCACAGAAAGACAGTGCACTGATGGTGCAGTGAAAGCAACACAGGTCTCCTCAACCTGCCCAAGAAACTCATGGCTTTGGGGGAACAATCAAGTGACTAAAATACCTCTCAAGTGAATTCTCATGGTTTTAACAGGAAGAGGAGTGCCAGAATACGGACGATGGGAAAGGTTTGGCTTTCATCCCACAAGGGGTCAGACCCATCCCATCTGTAGACTCTCCAGTCTACCCGCCACAAATTGCTCCCTGCTGGATTCTTTGGAGGTTGTTAAAGGCATTTCCCAATGAAAATACCCTAAAAACTCTGGAAGAACTTGGTTATAAATTATAAAATTTTATAACTTAATTTTTCATTTTTAAAACATTTAAAAAATATTATTTACTTTTTGAGATAGGGTCTCGCTGTTACCTAGGCTCGAGCACAGTTGCCCCATCACAGCTCACTGTAGCCTCGACCTCCTGGGCTCAAGTGATTCTCCTGCCTCAGCCCCCTGAGTAGCTGGGACTACACTGTGCCCAGCTTTTTTTTTTTTTTTTTTTTGTAGAGACAGGGATTACAGGCGTGAGTCACTGTGCCCAGCCTATCTTTATTTTTTGAGAGAAAGGGTCTTGCTCTGCTGCCCAGGCTAGAGTGTAGAGGCACAACCTTGTCTCACTGCAGCCTCAACCAACTGGGCTAAGATGATTCTTCTGCCTCCATCTCCCAAGGAGCTGGGACAACAGGCATGAGCCACCATGCCCAGCTGATTTTTTTATTTTTTGTAGAGACAGGGTCTCACTTTTTTGTCCAGGATGGTCTTGAACTCCTGGTCTCAAGCAATCCTCCTGCTGTAGCCTTCCAAAGTGTCGGGATTACATGTGAGCCACCATGCCTGGCCACTTAATTTTTTTTTCCTTACTTTAGTTATTTATTTTTGAGATGGAGTTTCACTCTTGTTGCCCAGCCTGGAGTACAATGGTGCAATCTTGGCTCACTGCAACCTCCGCCTCCCAGGTTCAAGCAATTCTCGTGCCTCAGCCTCCTGAGTAGCCGGGATTACAGGTGGCCGCCACCACGCCCAGCTAATTTTTGTATTTTTAGTAGACACAGGGTTTCACCATGTTGGCCAGGCTGGTCTCGAACTCCTGACCTCAAGTGATCCACCTGCCTGGGCCTCCCAAAGTGCTGGGATTATAGGCATGGGCCACCGTGCCCGGTCACCTTTTTAATTTTTTTAAATAAATAGTGATGGGGTCTCTCTATGTTGTTTAGGCTGGTCTTGAATTCCTGGGCTCAAGTGATCCTCCTACCTTGGCATTACAAAATATTAGGATTATAGGTGCGAGCCACCATGCCCAGCCTTTTTCTTCTAAAGAGACAGTCTTGCTCTATTACCCAGGCTGGAGGGCAGTGGCACAATCACAGCTCACTGCAGCCTTGAACTCCTGGGCTCAAGCCATCCCCCTGCCTCAACCTCTGGAGTTTCTGGGACTACAGGCATGAGTTACCATGCCTGGCTCCCTAATTTTATAGTTTTTTGTTAAGATATAATACATGACTACACGAGACAAATGTAGGAAAAAACCAGAAGACTTCTCAAATTGTTGCCATTTCAGGGTTTCTGAATACCTGAGGTTTTTCCGAAGAGATGTTGGGTCATTGGCCAGAAGGGTGTTAACCAGGCCGAAGAGCTGCATCACACGCTCATCCTGGCGCAGATCTTCATGGCCTTTTAGAAGGAAAACAAACTCATGTCCGTTGCTGCCTGTAAGGAACAGTGGGAGCGGTGAGTGTACATCAGAGGTCCTCAGCTCTTCAGCTGAGAGCACCACTGCATTCAAGAGATCCCACAGACTACATATGCCTTACCTAATCACACGTTCCTCACAAAAAGAAAAAACAATCTTTAGAATTAATGAAAAGAGTGGCTTTGCCTTTTATGGTTCTCAATGACCAGTGTTGTTCAAATTAAAACAAAACAAAATCTGTTTTTGAGGACCAGGAACGGTTAGGCATGGAAATGATCATTCCTGTTTTCCGACCCACTCTGTCCTCCTCTGTTCTGAGAAGCCTGACTCCTACAAGCCGCATCACCTGGGATCCCACTTGGGCGTGGCCAATGGTGGAAGGGTACTGGCAGGAGGTCAGAGGATGGGTAGAGGGAGAGGTCAGGGTATGTGTCCCCCATCACCAGCCTGGCCCCAGTTCTAGAAGCTACCACTCTCTCTGGACTGTAGACTCTGCTAGATGGCCTCTCTGGCATGGTGACGGTTCTAGCTGGGCTCCTTGCTCTTTCAGTTCTGGAGTGTGGGGGTGGGTGAGGGCTGAGTAACAATTTCTCACTTGTGCTTGTTCATGAGCGCTCCTTGTTGATTCTCTTAGCTTTGCTTACACCTCTGGAAACAATTCCTTTCTTAAACTCTCTTTAATTAAACACCCCAAGAACCAGCCTGACCCACATTTTGTATCAGAAGACAACAGCTCATGCAGAGATAATCACCTGTGGACCATGATTAATTGGTGTTGGTGAATAATCACTGCATTTAAGAAACATTGAGCATTATTAAGAGCGAGAGGTGAGGCTGGGCGCGGTGGCTCACACCTGTAATCCTAACATTGTGGGAGGCCAAGCTGGGCGGATCACCTCAGGTCGGGAGTTTGAGACCAGCCTGGCCAACGTGGTGAAATCCCATCTCTACTAAAAATATAAAAATTAGCTGATTGTGTGGCATGCGCCTGTAATCTCAGCTATTAGGGAGGCTGAGGCACGAGAATCGCTTGAACTCAGGAGGTGGGGTTGCAGTGAGCCGAGAGCACACCACCTCACTCCAGCCTGGGCAACAGAGTGAGACTCTGTCTTGGGGAAAAAAAAAAAAAAAAGAGCAAGAGGTGGCTGGGCGCAGTGGTTCACACCTGTAATCCCAGCACTTTGGAAGGCTGAGACAGGCTGATCACTTGAGGTCAGAGTTCGAGACCAGCCTGGCCAACATGGTGAAACCCCAACTCTATTAAAAATACAAAAATTAGCTAGGTGTGGTGGTGCGTGCCTGTAATCCCAGCTACGCGGGAGGCTGAGACAGGAGAATTGCTTGAACCTGGGAGGTGGAGGTTGCAGTGAGCCAAGATTGCGCCATTATACTCCAGCCTGGGCAACAAGAGCAAAACTCTGGCTCAAAAAAAAAAAAAAAAAAAAAAAAAGCGAGAGGCCTCAAAGTGCCACCACAGCACTCAGGCCTCACTAAAACATCCCCCATAAGTAACACTCTACCCCAAGGGAAATTCCAGAGCCCACTTGCTTAACAAATCTCACTGTGAGAATCCACTTGTTCATTTTACACAATCATTTACCACAGAGACTATGATGGTAAAAAAAAAAAGAAAAAAATTTCAAGAGCCAGAAGCCCCCGTTTCAGAGGAGCTAGCACCTTCCCTGCTTGCACCCAGCTGCCTCCTCCCTGGCCTCATCAGTCTCCAACACCTGCCTTCCACTGTTACTTCTCTGCCTTGCATGCCTTTGTCATTCCCTTTATGTGTGATCATGCTTCACATAAGCCCAACTACATGAATGAACTAAGTCCTGAGGACATAATGAGAAATTTGCTTGCCCTCTATTTTCCTCTCAATGAGCATGGGAGAGATGTAGCTATGATAGGTGAGTAGTGGGAATGGCAAGCAGTAATTTCAGAAGAGGGAAGGGGTCTCAGCCAGTGTAGGAGGGAGAAGTGGGTGACAGAAGTGCACAATGGTCCTTACCCATAAGTGTCAATTTCCGGGGCCTCTGCTTGGATGTGATGACTTGCAAAGACGGTGCTATGGACTGAATGCGAATGATTGGCTGGTTGGGGTCATATGTTCCTGGCACAGCCAATTCAAGGTCCCGGCACATCAGAAGTTTTGGGGAAACATATTGCAGCTCTAAGGATGTGAGCTGTAAATAATTACCAAAGGATTTAGTGTTCTGCCTCCAGGGAAGAATTTAAACGCAATTTAAGTATTTTTCAGTGGATTGCTAATAACAATTACTTGTCCCAAAGCAGAAGTAAAACCAGATGCTTTGGAATGAGTGTTAGAACATTCATAGACAGTAAAACAGAAAGGACTATAATGACAGTTAACCCTGCCAGGAGCCTGAAGATCCTACCTGAGGCAGCTGCTTTGAGATTCGTCGGAACACATGATAATAGAGGTCCCAGGCTTGGGTGAGGTCCTTGACATTCCCTGATTTCATGTACTTCCTGCACCACTCTTGGGCCTCCATTAAATCTCGACCATAGGCCTGAGAGAGAAAGCAGGCACGTTTTCAAGTTATCAAAGTCTCAACCAACCCAGGAGGCAAAATCCCCAGGCTGACTGCAGATATTCCTCAGGAGCCCGCTGTGGCCTGAAAACACTGGCAGGGGGCTGGAGAAAGCAAGAGCATAGGTGCAGGCCTCCAACCCTGGAGCTTCCAAACCAGCAGCATGGCTTATAGGGAAGGAAGGGTGAGAGGAGAGACGAGATGACCTCTTGAGAAATCTTGGGCTTTTCCAGTTAAAATTCAGAAGGGTCCCTGTAACTAATTTCTGATGTTTTATGCTCTGTGACCTCCATCAGAGCTCGTTTTATTAAAGTCAGTGGAAAGGCCAGAGGAAAAGAAATCTGACAAAGGCCTTGGGTCACGTCCTTTCATTCTATAAAAACTTTTCTCATTTCATTTTTTTTTAGTGGCAGAATATTTCTACAGGGTTATGTCCTTTCGTGTTTTTTACCCCATACCTGATTAAAGGATGTTTCCTTCAGAGTCTGGGGGCCCCGTTCCATCATAGCATGCAAGGGCTCCAGCACCTCAAACATGCCTTTCACGTTCCTTTCCCCAAAGTACAAACGAGATGCCTCTTCCAGGCCTTCATGCCACATCTCATGCCAGAGGATGGCCACTCGGATCAGCTCCTCGCTCACCTGAAGCCAAGAGAAGAAGGAGAGAAGCATCAAGAATCAGCTAACCTCAGAAAGGTCTGTTTTGGAGACACAGGAGGTACTATTTCCAGCAGTCAGAGGAAGTGCACAGCACCAATGCGAGGAAGAAAAACAATCCCACTTGCGCCCACCAGCTAAGGGACCAGGGTCTATGAAGCCCCACAGTGGCTCCGACCCACCATCATGGCCTGCTGGACCAGGGTGTTGCTGTGCTCACACATGTTCTTCAGAATCTTGTTGGCTGCATTGTGCCGGGCTGTCGTGGTAGACTTAGAAGCCACTGTCAGTGGGTAGATGAGGGCCTGAGGGAAAAACAGAAGAAACATCTATAAAGGAAATGTGGGTTGGGGAAGAGCTGGTATGAATTTTAAGGAGAATAACAAAACAAGTGGTGAGTGTGACATTAACATCTGCTTGAGACTACCAGGAAGGGGCTCAGTCTTCGAGGGAACGCTTTCTTTTTAGCAAGGCTCCCGGGCCCTCTGGGACGGCTGGCTGGACAGACCCTCCTGGGCCAGGATGGAACACATGGCTCCCAGTTCCTGCGCTTGTGTCGCCAGGGCAGCTTTTGGAAAGGCTGACCACCAAACCAGTGGTTAGATGAGAAACTGCCCAGAGTCTCCACATACCTGGGGGTGGTACCGACCAATGTCTGTGAGAAGCTGGTGAATGAGACGTCCCACCAAGGGTCTGGGCGTATCAATTCTTGCAATGAGCTGAGGTATAACCTGGTATTCAAAAAGACACAGTATGTAGCATATGAGACTTGAAACAACTAGTTATTCTTCTAGGCAAAGATCAATTCTTTTAACTTGTTTCGGTTGATGCTCTGAAATGGTTCATTCCCTTCCCTTTAGTTTCTAAAAGAAAATAAAGAAAATATGGACACTTGACACTGGGACCGAGCCCTACTTCCTTAGCACTGTATTAACACACACTGCCTTGTGACACTGAACACAGCATGCTTGTAAGAGGAGACACACAGAAGAGAGACTTGGAGCCACCTTCACCTGTAACCAAGTATCCTCACCTGTAGCCAGGTATCAATCTGGATGGCTTTCACCCCCTCCACTAAGGCCTCATTGACATCTGGCCAGTGACCATAATCAAACCATAAGGTGAGAACTCTGAAAAAGAAATGAGAAAGTCACAGAAAATTTAGTTTCCCAGTTTTTGCCTGCCTGTTTTTCATCTCTAAGGCTCCTGAGAAGAGAGCTGGCAGGGACTCCAACCAGTAACTCTCAAATGTGTTTGGCCTCCCATGGGAGCAGGTGTCTGTGATGGGTGGCAGTGCTCTTGACTGAACACCGTAAGAGTCACCCTGAGCAAATGAGCATTTCATCCCAGGTCACCGAGGGGTCACCATGGCATGTATGCAAACATCAAACAGACGAGCCAGGATAACCTTTAGAAAGCCACAAGTCTGCACATGTAAGAGTCGCTGTACGGCAGAGGCAACAGGGACACCTGGCTCTTAGCTGGCTGGAGATCCTCAAATGAAGGAGGATGTGGACCTTGTCACCTTTACCCTCTGGGTTAACTGATTTGAGTCATTTGTTTAGACCTCTCCAAGTTGCTGAGGGATTTTAGAAATACTGTGACTTCAATAGGCAACAGGGTGGTCAGAAAAAAAGAAATATTGTGATTAACAGATGGGTTAATAATCCCTCCATAATAAACCACACATGGAGAGTTCTCACTCCACTTCTCCTCCTCACTCTCTGTAGGTTTCACCCACACAGGTGGGGCCCAGTCAGCTGTTACTCCTTAAATGCAGTGCAGAAAAAAGGCACATACATCGATCTTGGGTGTCCTGATCAGGGTCAGGAAGGGAAAGAGGACTTTTACGTGTGACTTCTAGGTCTTGCCATTAACATGGCCTACCAGAGTTGCATCCTTCCCTTCTCTGATACCTGAGTGTATCCTGGAGGTTGTTGCCTCGTGACAAGGAGATGGAACGGAAGAAGCCCTGGACGGCAGGCACCGTGTACATCAGGAGGGTTTTGGACAGATCCTGTTGGAACACACACGTGTTAGCGACACTCTTGCCTCTGCTTTCTCATCTGTAAAATGGGCATAAGAGCATACTAACTGTACCTACTTCAAAGGGTGGTTATAACAATTAAATCGGTTAATGCATGAAAAATCTTTAATCATTACCTGGCACATAGCAAAGACTCAATAAATGGCAACTGTATCATAACTGTTATTATCTTGGGCTGACAGTGGCTTCCTGAACAGGATGGAGGGAGGAGGTGGAGCTGAGGCTCTGAACACCCGGATCTCTGGGCCTGCCAGCGGCCCTGGCGCATTCTGAACTGACAGCCCAAGGGGAAGGGGAAGAAGTGGAAGTGGAGAGAAAAAGGCAGAGGATGGACCTCCCAAGCCCCATCCTCAGAGTGGACCCGCAGCTGTGTACAGCCACCCACACACAGGTGCAGCACGTAGAGAATGAGCTCGTCCACAGGGAAGCTTGACAAGGAGCTTGCTCTTCAGCATAGAGGCTGCGTCAGCTCCCCAAACACAAATATTCACACACAAAGCCCTATCTCAGGCAGTGCTGGATGGTAGATAGGCAGTATTTTCCAGCTCCATCTGGCACTTCAGATACAGCCTCAGGTTCCTTTTAAGCTTAACAACGATTCCATTTCTCAGAGAGCCTGGCACCTTGGTTGGTTGTTAATAAGGAAGAAGGGAAGGGTACCTCAGTGACCTTCTTCTGCAGCGGCGATGGGGTGGGGCTGTTCTCGGTGCTCTCGGCCTCGCTCTCACTGTTGCTGCCCTCGGTGCTGGCAGTGGTGGTGGCAGTGGCGGCCGTGGTGGCGGCAGTGGTGGCGTTGGTGATGTTGGCCCCGCTGGCATGACGCAGTTTCTTCTTCTCATCGCGGGCTTGGTTCTGATGTTTGTAGTGTAGCACAGCTTCGAAGTTCATCACTGCCCACGCATGCCAGGCCTGGTTGGGGAGAAAGGCAAGGACAGACACTGGAGCTGTGACCAACAGCAGGGCTCAGAGGAGCGCAAGGTCGATGCTGAGGAACAGCTGCTCCTGCCTGTTCTGTGTGTCCATAAAGCAAACACTTCAAGGAGACACTCAGAAATGGCTGTTTTACTAAATTCAACATGATCCACTCACTTTGTGGAGCACTAACTATATAACGTACTATGAGTGCACTGCGAGAAGGGCACAGCAAGAGGAGCAGGAGAGAGCTCTTGCCTCAAGGGATCTCCCGGCCTCCTAGGGGAGCTCACGCACAAACCTGAAGACCTAGGTACTCTGCAAGGCACAATGGGAGTAGCAAGGACAGGCATTTGGAAAGCTTTGTCAAGAAGAGGGATTTGGGGTAGGTCTGGAAGAGAGCTGCAGAAGGGCAAGGAGGGAAACAAGAAGGCAGCGGTGGGGACTACTTGGCAAGGGGGAAGAATAAGGCCAGAGATGTGCAGATTGGTTCACGGGAAACAAGCCCATGAATGTGACCGTGCAGGGGATACATGCAGGCGAGGAGTGAGAGCGAGGCCAGCAAAGCACGCCTGGAGCAGGCACAGGGCTGGCACTTTCACCCAGAAAGCAGAGCTGCACTGGGTATAAAGTGTACATTTAGGGGAGAGCAGAAATGGCAAGCAGAAGTGGGGGCAAGCAGCAGTCATCACAATATTTCAAGGGAGCAAAGTTTTGACAGGTCACCAGATAGTGGACAAAGGAAGACATGAAGAGCATAGGAGCCTGACAGAGAAAGAATCTCACCCATCTGCCTGGTCCCAACACCTAGCCCACGGCCTGACAGAGAACCAGTGCTCAATGCTTGAAGGAAGAACCGCTGGTGCTTATTTGGATAAAGGAATACTACTCTCTCTGGGGTTCTGAGCGGCAATGACTCTACAGCGTACCACCACTTGGTTTAGCGAGTGTGAGGCAGAGTTTGCTTCCAGGCATGGTAACTTTGCAGTGATAGTAGGACACTACGTGACCCATTAATAGCTGAACTTTCTGAATAATTGGGAAATTCGTTTGTATGCCTTGCCAAAAACCTTGAACACAGGTGTATCCGTTTTCTCAACTAAGGAGAATAGATTGATCACAACTAACCTTTACTTGATGAGTAAGAATTCTACAATGACCCAGGTTTCAGTTTTCCCATACCTTCATTTATTCACTGAATATCTCTTGTGTATCTGCTATGTGCCTGGCAATGACCTGGGGTCAAGGTGAACAAGACAAACAGTCCTGGCATGCATACAGGGCCATGACGTTGATGGTAGAATACATCATAAAACAAAAGGGACCCACATTAGGAAAAGCTTTTAAAAACTAAAACTAAAGTTCCTGAAACCAACTTTTTTCTTGTGATTTGCTTACTTCCTAAAAGCTTAATGAATGAAAGTAACTCTGGTTAGAATACAACTCTGATTAATAAGCTTCCAGTTAATAGTGTTTACCGGATGTATTTTCCAGCTTTGGACATGCAAGCTGTCCTAGAGAGAGTATTACTCTTATGACAAAATGGACATTTTTCAAACCAGAATGAAGCATGCCTAAACAAAGGTAAGATCTGTATTATAAGTGCTTCTGCAGTCCTCAGATACAAGTTTAGATTTCAGAGAGATTAATTCACAAAGTATTGGCAAGCCAAGGAAATACTGGAAAGATGTCAATGACATCTGCCACACCAAGTAGTTACCAGAAAGCCTCTCAAAAAGAAATAAGAAAGTATATTCTCACCAAAGATATACACTTCCAAAAATCACCCCTCCATCAATCACATCTTTTATATATTTTCTAATTCTGTTTATCTCTTTCAAAAGTTTCCTGTAACATAACAGGATGTTACTTGGATCTTTCCAATAAAAACAAAGAAAGTTAAGTTCTTAGCTGAGGAGCAGGCAAGGATGCAAATCAGAAAAACGCTGAACAAGAACAGATGACCTAAGGGAAGATGTCACTCCAGAGATTAACCATGTGTCCAGATGCTCCCAGGAAAACAAGCAGCTCAGAGTCTGTAAGACAGCAGCAATCCCCAACACCACATACACATAATAATGGTGTAACAAGTATTTCTCCAATAATCTTTCTGTATTAATTAAACTTGTAGGGGGAAATGCAGGCTCCCTGGGCCTCTTATAGATAGGCTCCAGGGACTCAAGGAGTAAGTTCACAGCATCAGCCTAGCTCCGCAGAAGCTCAGCTGTAACCACGAGCACACAGGAGGACACGAGCCAGCCAGGGTGCTGGGTCTCACAGGTGGCCTGCTTCTGATCACCTTGTACCAGCTGCGGTCGTGCTCTGTGGCGGCGCTGTAGTACTGCAGCACTTTGGGGATTGTGCTCTCATTGATGCCCTGTAGATTCAGCTGCCACTCTCCAAGTTTCAGGAAGCATCTGGAAGCAGAGAAACAAGCCCCCATGACATTCCCTCCTCAAAACAGCCCTCCTAAGAGGACCACAAATTGTTAGGGGACACTGAAGCCCTTCTGGTATTTCCTCTTATTCTCAAGAGGCAATGTGAAGGAGCTAGCAAAATTTTCAGCCACACGCAAGAAAGGAGATGGGCTTTTGGAATACATTTTTAAGATACCATCTTTCCATCTTGACCTTTGTCTCTCAATGACAGCATAAACCATGTACCTGGTACAGATAGGTCTGTATGGACTTACCTACCCCAAACCCAATTTTTTGTGGGTGACAGTTGAGAGTTACTTCTTTATTGATTGCTATATGGCTTCTCCCTTACTTTTCCCTTTGCCTCCATTCTTTGTAATGAGATTAGCCCACATTTACTGACTGCTACTGTATTCCAAGTGCTGCTTGAAATGCTTGGCATTGTACTCTTTGCATTAATCCTCACACTACTTTATACCACCCTAGGAAATAGAAACTGTTACTATCCCTTTTATATTGGTAACTGAGGCATAGAGAGGTTAAGTCACTTCTCTGAAGTCAAATATCAAATCTGCAGCACAGAGTGGCACAGTGGCCCACACCTATAATCCCAGCATTTTGGAAGGCTGTGGAGGGAGGCTGGCTGGAGCACAGGAGTTTGAGACCAGCCTGGGCAACATTAAACTTGTAGGAGGAAATGCAGGCTCTATGCCTGTTCTTTTGTAGAGACCTCATTTCTACAAAAAACTAGCCAGTGTGGTGGCACGTGCCTATAGCTACTTGGGAAACTGAGGTGGGAGGATTGCTTAAGCCCAGGAGATCAAGGCTATACTCTAGCCTGGGTGACACAGCAAGACCATCTTAAAAAAAAAAAAGGGAGGGGCAGCATATCTGACATTTGAAAACAAGGACTCTAAAACCAGACGCCAGGAGAACAGCACATGGGTGCTCTTGGGCTGCTGAACCTAGGAAAGCAAGTGGCAGAGACTTTGAGAGCAGTATGCTTTGGTGGTTGCCTGGGATCCCTACTGGAAAAGGAAAGAGAGATGTCAGCAATCAGCCACCCAAGAAGCCTTGAACTCCTCCTTGCTGCAGAAGCTGCTGGGATGACAGGGCTGGAATATGACTTGCCCCAGGTCAGTGGGGACCTCACCGGGCCATGAGCTTGTGCAGTTCCTGCTTATGCTGCTGGTCCTCAGTAGCGATGGCATGCTGGGCCTGTTGCTGCATGGTCTGGACAAAATGCTGCATGTGCTGGAAGGCATCGATCTGTAACAGGACAAAGGCACAGAGAGCCACTTGGCTTGTGGCCCAGCTTCAGAGGAAGGGAGCTACCGTTCATCTGATAGGCATGAGTCAACCCCTCTCCAAACAGAATACCCTAGAGCACAGAATGATGACCCCATAGGACAGAGGACCAGGGCGTGATACTGGGAGAGACTGGGCTTTTCAAAAAGATTCATGACTTATTCAACTCAAGTCTTGGCTCTCCTTTGCCAACTATAATTACCAGTTTTATAAGCCTTGGCAAAGTTTCATGCCTGGCTACCCCAAATAAAAATTCCTACAAAGTAATTTGAAACAACTGCTTACTTCACTATCAATATGTTACCCTGGGGGATATTAGGCTTTTGGGAATTGTTTCAGGCTAATAAAACTTTGGTATTTGTTTACAACACCAGGGTACCTTGGACAGTCCAGCGGAGCAAAAACTATGGATTTAAAAATCATATAGCACCCAAATAAGAACACAGATTTGGAGTGAAAACCCGCATGCATTCACAGGGAATAGGGAGAAGATATTAGCTCAGCAGACATCTGGTTGAACAGGGTGACTTAGGGGCAAAATCTCCAGAGCATCCTAAAGCAGCTAGATCTATTTATACTACCGGCTTGTATACAAAGTGAGCAGAGGGCATGTGAGTCAGGAACAGACAGCTGAACTGAGGAAGGGCAGAGACAGAATCACAGATCTGGGACTACTGTACAAGCCCGCCACATCCAGTTGAACCAGCATCTTGATAAGTGCGGTCCATATCACTTTTAAAGGGAAAAACAAATCTTTTCTGGTTTTTCTAGAGGGGGGAAAACCCACAAATAGAAAAAAAAATAATAATAAAGGGCTTCAAGGATGGAGATAGAATGTACAAACATCAAAAGCTCAAATGGAAAAATGGCAAAATCTAAATGCATTAACACAGGGAAAGGAAACATTATATGAGAGAATGTGAAAAAGAGGCAATGTGTTCTGTGCTGCAGAAGAAGGAAAAAATCAAGACTTCAGATAAATAACAGTTCTCCTTATGGTAAATCATATAAGAGGTATTTTTGTTTGTTTTAAATAAAAACATGTTAGCCAGGTGCAGTGGCTCACACCTGTAATCCCAGCACTTTAGGAGGCCGAGGCGGGTGGATCACCTGAGGTCAGGAGTTCCAGACCAGCCTGGCCAACATGGTGAAACCTGTCTCTACCAAAAATACAAAAATTAGCCGGGCGTGGTGGGGCGCGCCTGTAATCCCAGCTATTTGGGAGGCTGAGGCAGGAGAATTGTTTGAACCCGGGAGGCGGAGGTTGTAGTGGGCCAAGATCGTGCCACTGCATTCCAACCTGGGCAACAGAGTGAGACTGTCTCAAAAAAAAAAGAAAAGAAAAAAGGCTGGGTGTGGTGGCTCACGCCTGTAATCTCAGCACTTTGGGAGGCCAAGGTGGGTGGATCACCTGAGGTCAGGAGTTCGAGACCAGCCTGGCCAATATGGTGAAACCCCGTCTCTACTAAAAATACAAAAATTAGCTGGGCGTGGTGGTGGCTGCCTGTAATCCCAGCTACTCAGGAGGCTGAGGCAGGAGAATTGCTTGAACCTGGAGGCAGAGGTTGCAGTGAGCCGAGATCACACCACTGCACTCCAGTTTGGGTGACAAGAGCGAAACCCTGTCTCAAAAAAACAAACAAACAAACAAAAAACATGTTAGTGATGATGGCCTTGAAGAAAATGAAACTCCCTAGCTTGGGGGCCAGGACCAACCTCAGATGCTTTTCAATATAAGGAATTAATTGGCATGAAGAGACTGGGTTAACCCAGAGCCAGAATGACATGACAAACAATTGATCAAGCAGCTAATCCATGCATGAGGACAGGGCAGGCACACAGATGTTCCAACACTTAACAAGACACCTGTCTCCCTCAGACATCTGTCTTCACAGGGATCCATTACTCACCACCAACTTTGAAAAATGAACTACAATAGCATCCCACACTTGGGAAGTGATAAATGTTCCTTTAATTTTAATTTTTTTAACTTAAATTTTTATTCCTTTAGAGACAGGGTCTCTCACTCTGTTACCCAGGCTGGAGTGCAGTGGTGCAATGATAGCTCCCTGCAGACTTGAACACTTTTGCTCAAGTGATCCTCCTACCTCAGCCTCCCAGTAGCTGAAACTACAGGCACACACCACCATGCCCAGTTAATTTTAATTTTAATTTTTAGTAGAGATGAGGTCTTGCTATGTTGCCCAGGTTGGTCTCAAATTCCTGGGCTCAAGCAATCCTCCCACCACGGCCTCCCAAAGTGCTGGGATTACAGGTGTGAACCACCCTTTAGTTTTTTTTTTTTCTAGGAGAACTACATTGACCAGTCTTAAATCTGATTTTTTTTTTTTTTGAAACAGAGTTTCGCTCTTGTCACCCAGGATGGAGTGCAGTGGCGTGATCTTGGCTCACTGCAACCTCTGCCTCCCAGGTTCAAGCGATTCTCCCGCCTCAACTTCCTGAGTAGCTGGGAGTACAGGTATGCATCACCACACCCGGCTAATTTTTGCATTTTTAGTAGAGACGGTGCTTCACCATGTTGTCCAGGCTGGTCTCAAACTCCTGACCTCAAGTGATTCGCCTGCCTCAGCCTCCCAAAGTGCTGGGATCATAGGCGTGAGCCACCACACCTGGCTTAAATCTGATTAAAAAAAAAAAAAAAAAAAAAAAGAATTGGGAGGCGGTAGTAAAAAAACTCAATCGCCAAAAAGGTGATAACTCAGTGTGATCATTGCATACGTCACGCAGGTAGGAGCTAAACTAGGAACTCTGATGGTAGGTGCTTTTCAGAGCCCATAAGCTACCTGTCATCAACAATCCAGACACTGGGTTTAAACTCTTTGGTGGACTTAATAAGGAGCTGAACAAAATATAAACTGCCAAAGCTGGGGAGGCTGGGTATTAAGTTTGGATTTGAAGCCCAATATTTCGTTTATCCAGCATAAGAGAATCCAGTATCTTTCTACTGTATAGTACAAGGCAACTTATTTTCAAGGAATTGGAAATTTTCTATTTAAAATTTGTTTTCTCCATCCCCAGGAAATGAAAAAAGGGAAAAGTGATTCTTTCCCTCTTATAAATGAAGGACCTGTCACTTGGAAGAAGGGGCTTCTCATAGACCCACAGGATTTTAGCTAGGCACAATATTCTGGTTCTAGATTGCATGGGTGGGTTTGTGGGCAAGAACAATGGCCTTGGCTCAGTGAAATTTTACAGAAGGACCAGCCTGTCTCTGGACTCTGTGAAGTGTCTTGTCTAGGAAAACATGATACATATACCCATAGCCTGATGCCTTCCAGGATAACAGGGTCTGCTTTTCCCACAAATACTTTCCTTTGCCTCAGGCGAGGCAGAGCATGATTCTTGTTTACAGTGGAGGAAAGTAAGGCTCAGTGAGTGTCTTGCTCAGTAGCACAATTATTAAGTAGTCAGTTTTCCTTGGGTAGCTCCTTAACTATGAAGATATGACATCTCTAGTTCTGGGCTTGAAGTCCCAGCACTTTAAATAGGTTCCTGATTTTTAATTCCACAGAATTTGGGCTACTAAGAAAGACTATTCCATGGAGAAGTTGGGCTGGGGTCTTATGTTGAAAGAAGCCACTCCTTGCTTGAGATATTACCCAAAAGACTTCTTCGGCCTGCCTTAGGCAAGACAGTCAAAGACTTGGAGGCTATACATAGGAGGGAAACCAGACTATACTCAGATCCAGCACCTTCTGTTTTTCTCATTTGCCTGGAGGAGGTCAGGCTTTGAATCAGAAATGCTCTGGCCTGGGAGGCTCACAGAGACTGAAAAATAAAACAAAACAACAAAAAAACAAATAAAATCTCCAAGCTGCATATTTGAAGAAGGAAACTTAGGTCATTGGTACTGCAGTAAATCCCAAAGACCAGGTGCCTGGGTACAGGCTGGCTGATCCCACTCTGGGTGGTATTCACAGCCACTCTGATTCAGTCATGTATAAAATTAGTCAATTTCTAGACCCAGTCCCCAGATCTCCTAAGTGTGCCTTCTGCAGAAACACAACTTCTATTTTATGAGATCTTCCCACAGCAGAGGCTCCAGTGGCTGGGTTTTATTCCTCTCTCATCTCAGGTACTTCACTGTGGGGGTCACAATGGGGAGAGAAGGCTAGTGAGACTCCCTCTTCCTTTTAAGAAGGAGGAAGGGGAAGCCAAAGCAGGTGATGACTTTGCCTCCAGGGCCTACTGTTTATTAGTCCTCAGCATCATCCAGGCAGATTGTTTAAAGAAAAAAACCCCCAAACCAGGAGCCACATCTATTTCCCAAGGGCTTGTCTGTACATAAAGTCAGAAGAATTCTACATTGGCTTCAAGATAACTTTCCCTCCTGGTTTCAGCATTATACCCTGCATGTTATTCCTTTTGAATCCAAACTGATGTCAGGAGAGGAGACAGAGGTCTGAAAAACCCAAATTGGTCTTGTGAAAGTTCTAGTCTGTGTATTTACAAATCTGCTCTTTTTTGTACCAAACAGTCCATCTTCTCTTAGGGGTAGAAAGTGTGCCCTTTCTATGTCCCAGCACTTTCTAGATACAAATACATATAACTGTGATCACATTCATTGGTTTGATCAATGGTATACACACCATCTCCTCAACTATGATTCACTCTATGAAATCAGGCCAAATAGCTTTGTAACAGGAAGAGACTCCCTGACATTGTGAGTAGGTGGTTTAAACACTGTTTCTTTTCTGGCCTTAAAGAGGCAGAGCGAAGCAGATTAGGCGAGCATTCTGGAGAAGGTGGTCTGTTCTGGATGCATTGGGATACAGACCTTGCGGGCACTCTTCCACATGTTTTTCATGTAGGCATAGGTCACCTGAGGGTGAACTGTTGGCAGAGGATGGTCAAGTTGCCGAGACGGATCAACTCCCAGGAGCAACACTAAAGTTTTATGAGCAAGAGCCTTAAAAATAAGAGAAACTGGGTTATAGACAGAACTGGACAGCCCAGGGACACCATGGGGCCCTACCTGCCCATGTGGGTGGGTGGTTGTCACTCACCAGCCTGCCACTCTTGCCGCACAGGCTTGCATACTTGAGCCAGGTTCTCATGTCTTCATGAGGGCTGACCACAAGGGACCGCACCATAAGGATTTTCTGCCAGTCCTCTACGATACGCTGGCAGCCCTGGAACATTCAGAAGTGAAGATTAGATATGTCTTCTGATACATTGTTTTTGTGGCAGAGTCTTGCTCTGTCGCCCAGGCTGGAGTGCAGTGGTGCAATCTTGGCTCACTGCAACCTCTGCCTCCCGGGTTCAAGCAATTCTCCTGCCTCAGCCTCCCGAGTAGCGGGGATTACAGGCGTGTGCCATCATGCCTGGCTAAGTTTTGTATTTTTAGTAGAGACGGGGTTTCAGCATCTTGGCCAGGCTGGTCTTGAATTCCTGACCTCGTGATCCAACCGTCTTGGCCTCCCAAAGTGCTGGGATTACAGGCGTGAGCCAGCACGCCCGGCCTTTTCTTGTATTTTTAATAGAGATGGTGTTTCACCATGATGGCAAGGCTGCTCTCGAACTCCTGACCTTAACTGATCTGCCTGCTTCGGCTCCCAAAGTTCTGGGATTACAGGCACGAGCCACCATGCCTGGCCTTCTGATACATTTTAACTTCCCTGCAAGCCACAGCCAATTCCACTGTGAAACACAACAGAGATTTGCTGATAGAATCTCAGCTTTCTCAGGTTAAGGGTACTGTGAGTGAAATACCCTTAGGCAGCAGTCCCCAACCTTTTTGGCACCAGGGACTAGTTTTGTGGAAGACAATTATTCCACAGATTGGGTGGGGGGCGGGGGGATGGTTTTCAGATGATCATCAGGCATTAGATTCTCATAAGGAGCATGCAACCTGGATCCCTTGCATGCGCAGTTCATAATACGGTTCATGCTCCTGTGAGAATCCAATGTGGCTGCCGATCTGACAGGAGGTGGAGCTTGCCCATCCCTCACCTCCTGCTGTGCCTCCCGGTTCCTAACAGGCTACTCACCGGTCCCCGGCCCCGGGTCTGGGGACCCCTGCCCTTAGGGGCGTCTCAGCAGTTTGAGAGATGGTATAGCATGGGTTTGGAGCTTGAATCCTGCCTCTGTCACTTGCTACCCTATGTGACTTTGGGCAAATCACTTAACCTCTGACAGATCTGTAGGGTGGAATAAAAATAGTACCAGTTTCATAGGGATACGGTGAGGATTAAATAAATTAAATGATTGATTTCAATTTATTTTGTGAATGGTGAATAACACATAATACATCTTCAACTTTAAAATTTTGTTTCAGTCTTTCTGGTTGAAGATGACTATCACTGATAAAGATATTAAATTTAAAATGTATCATTCAAAGTTGAAAAATGAATTAAATGTAAAGAAGTTTAAAAATTTTTGAAGTGACATTGTTTTTAAGTTGGTAGCATTTATATTTCTGAAGTTATTAAAGCCTAAACCTCCATTAAGACTTCTGAAAAAAAAAAAAAAAAGACTGTTGAGATGCCATGTATGTTGGCATCTTAGATTCTTTCTTCTTCATTTCTACTAGTCTCAGATCAAAAAGTATACACAGAAGGGGAAATGCTTCATTTAGTTACACTTAGAAATTCTTCTTTCTTTTTTTTTGATAGGGTCTCACTCTGTCACCCAGGCTGGAGTAAAGTGGTGCAATCATGGCTCACTGCAGCCTCAACCTCCCAGGTTCAAGCGATCCTCCCGCCTCAACCTCCTGAGTAGCTGGGACTATGGGCGCACATCACATCTGGCTAATTTTTGTATTTTTTGAAGAGATGGGGTTTTGCCACATTGCCAAGGCCGGTCTCAAACTCCTGGGCTTAAGCTATCTGCCTGCCTCAGCCTCCCAATGTGCTGGGATTACAGGTGGGATCGTTCTTGTCTCCCAGGCTGGAGTGCAGTGGCTCGGTCTCGGCTCACTGCAACCTCTGCCTCCAAGGTTCAAGCGATTCTTCTGCCTCAGCCTCCTGAGTAGCTGGAACTACAGGTGTGTGCCACCATGCCTGGCTAATTTTTGTATTTTTAGTAGATACGGGGTTTTGCTATGTTGGCCAGCCTGGTCTTGAACTCCTGACCTCAAGCAATCCACCCACCTCGGCCTCCTAAAGGGCTGGGATTACAGGCATGAGCCACTGTGCCTGGCCACAAATTCTTTATAATTAAAAAAAAAAAAGAAAAAAGGCGGGGCACGGTGGCTCATGCCTGTAATCCCAGCACTTTGGGAGGCTGAGGTGGGGGGATCACAAGGTCAGGAGATCGAGATCATCCTGGCTAATACGGTGAAACCCCGTCTCTACTAAAAAATAAAAAAAATAATAAAAAAAAAATTAGCCAGGCGTGGTGGTGGGCGCCTGTAGTCCCAGCTACTCAGGAGGCTGAGGCAGAAGAATGGCGTGAACTTGGGAGGCGGAGCTTGCAGTAAGCCGAGATCGTGCCACTGCACTCCAGACTGGGGGACTCAGCGAGACTCCGTCTCAAAAATAAATAAATAAATAAATAAATAAAATAAAATAATAAAAAAGTGAATTAATTATCAAAGGGGCTTAAGCTAATTTTACATCTAACAACTATAGAGAGTCAGGTTGGGGACGGCTGCCTAAGGGTATTTCACTCACAGTACCCTTAACCTGAGATTCTATCAGCAAATCTCCGTTGTGTTTCACAGTGGATTTGGCTGTGGCTTGCAGGGAAGTTAAAATGTATCAGAAGGCCAGGCATGGTGGCTCATGCCTGTAATCCCAGAACTTTGGGAGCAGAAGCAGGCAGAACTCCTTTTTTTTTGGAGATGGAGTATCATTCTGTCCCTCAGGCTGGAGTGCAGTGGCGCAATCTTGGCTCACTGCAACCTCTGCCTCCCAGGTCCAAGCGATTCTCCTGCCTCAGCCTCCCAAGGAGCTGGGATTACAGGTGTGCGCCACCACGCCTGGCTAATTTTTGTATTTTTTTCTTTTAGCAGAGAGGGGGTTTCTCTATGTTGGCCAGGCTAAGTCTCAAACTCCTGACCTCAAGCAATCCACCTGCCTCAGCCTCCCAAAGTGCTGGGATTACAGGTGTGAGCCACCATGCCTGGCCAAGTGAACTCCTTTTTCATCCTTGTTGATAAGAAGTCAGACTCAGAAGGGGAGTTCCTGAGATCTACTGCTTCATGGTAAATTCCATGAACCCATGGAGCTGTCCTCCATGGAGATAAACTTAAAAGTCTAGCGACAATGATCTCAGGCTTTTAGCTATGATAAGATGCAGTCTGAGCCTGACTGGAGAACCCAAGGCTAGAAGAGACCCAGCGCCAGTAAGGCTGACCTCTCTAACTGCCCTATGGGAGGGTCTTAGGAACCAAAAGCATTGGTGCAACTCCAAAGAAAAGTAACAAACATGTATTTTTCCACTACTATAATACTGGTTGGGGATTTTAATTTAAATGATTTGACCACAAAATGGCAGTTTTCTAGCCCCAGCAGTTCATTTGACAGCAAGCCATCCACAAGAGCCAAATTTCCACTATAAATGTAATGCTTTACTTTCAGGCCTTGGACCACATTTTTCCATCCCATGAAGTGTGACAACAATGATTTCGAAAGTTAAAATAACAGAAAAAAGTACACTGAGTGATTGTTTTTTGTGACTTCTCACCAATAGTTAGGTTCTCCCAGATGCTGAAATAATTTGGCCTCCTGTAAGCCAAAAAGCATCTTGCTGCCTCAAGATAGGAAAGTCACGAAGGCTTAAGGTGGTGGCAGTGTCCTGGACCCAGTAAAGTCAGACAGGCATCTCTCTTCCCAGGACTCATTCCATGCCTCCCCTCTCCTCTAAGTCTACATTTGGATCAAGTCCCACTTGTCAGACTGTCAGAAGGTTCATCAGATCTCTGCTGTAGAAACTCTTTATTATAGGCATTTCAAAGAATTGGGGTGTGTACAAATCAAGTGGGAAATGCTTATTTGTGGAATTCTTTCTGGTGCCCAGGAGACAATTTTCCATCAAAACATTCACTGGGCATTTCATAATTACTAATAAAACATGTAAAAGAACTGTATGTGCTCATTTCAGAGCCATAAATGACTGTATTCATAGATGTTCCTTTGCCCATTGCTCTTTCCTGTCCAGGGGAATGTGCCCTGAGCTTCCTAGGCAGGAATGTGTTTGGAGTCAAAAGGTTTTGTCGCAGCCTACTGAGACGCCTGGAAGCACAAACTTCGATTGGTCTGAAGCGAGAATTTGGAATTAGCAATTAGGTGGGGATCTAGTTGAGAGGAAATGGTTTATAATTGCGGGGATGGATTATGATAGGTAGGGAGACAAATGGTTTCTGGAGTGGTAAAGGCTTTCTCTCTTTTTTCTTTTGCTGATGAACTTCCTATCCTACCCACTCAAGGAATGGGATAACTGGCCATCCTTCCCAGAACATTTAGACTCCTGACTCCCAGACCTGGAGTGACAGTTTCTCATGTTAAAATGATCAGAATGTGAGAATGAAAACACTGATGGAGGACTTGGGAAAGCTTCTTCTCTACAAGCGGAAACTGCAGTGGAAAAAAAGTCTCAATAGAGGCGACAGGATGACTCTGACCTAAGTAGCTATAAATAGCAGGAGTTGGCCAATGAGAACCTAAGGCAACCCCATCTGAAAAGCTGGTGCAGGTGGCCTCCAAGTGTAGTTAGAGCAGTGGTTCTTAGCTTTGGCTGGTGGAATCATCTGGGGGAACCTGAAAAGATACTGATCCTGAGTCTCTCCCCAGAAATTTAATTGGCCTGGGGAATAGCCTGGGCATCAGGATTTTAAAAAGCTCTGCAGGTGATTCTACTGTGCTGCTAAGGTTGAGAACCACTGATTTTGAGGTTATGATTCCTAACTGACTGGTCACAGGTGTCACTTACTAAAAAACATTTTTTTTAATTCCTAGAGAAGAGAATAAGAAGAGACTGGAAAATTGGTCATTCTCTCACAGCTTAAGTTTAGGTGAGGAGCCTTTGAGTATTCTGCTTTGTATGCAAGCCAAGCAATACACTGGTGGAGGAGGCAGGAAAAGCAAGTTGAGTAAGAGCCAGGGTGGAGGGGGGCACTCACCCAGGTCCTGGAAGGGGTAGGGGTAGGTGGGTGAACTGGGGCTTTCTACCAAGCTCACCTGCAGTCTCTCCCACCAGATCTGGCGGATGATCTCTCGTCGCTCGGGGACAAGTTTGTACTGGATAACCTCCTCCAGCTCGGACAGCATGTGGCAAGAAACCATGGCCTGATGGAAGCAAATCGCATTCCAAACTAATTACTGCACGAACAATCCAAAAGACAGGATTAATTTAAATCATTCCTTCTGGTGTCAGGGTATCTGCCGATCAGAGAAAACAGGCATGTTTCCAGCAGCCTGTAAGTTCTCAATAGCCCATTCTGAAAAAAGTATGGAAATAAGCCTCAAAAATGACAATGTGCAGAATAGTTGACACTTACCCCATATGCCCGACTGTAACTCTCTCCTGCCATCGCAGTTAATTCAGCATCCAGCAGGTCCCTGGCCTTGTCAATGCACTAGAAGAGAAACAACCCTTGGGACTGAGCTCTGGACTTGGGAGCTTAGGGTTATTTTAGGGCACCCCAACTAGCTACAGAAGTTATCTGTCTCACTTAAATTCCAGGGATGAAAAGAGAAATTCGCTGAAGAAGGGCATTTTCCCAGAACTGAATGGCTTGAGAGGAGGTATTATCCAATTTCTCATCGAAGACAGAAATGTATGGCATCCAAAACTTTAACATCTATCTAAGGTAACACACAAAATCTTAGGTGGCAAGGGCATGGGAATGTGGGCTGTAAAACCGAATCATGGGTTCTTGCATCTCAAGAGGACATAACTGGGGATCTACCTTTTTTTTTTCTTCTGAGACACAGTCTCACTCTGTCACCCAGGCTGGAGTGCAGTGGTGTGATCTTGGCTCACTGCAGTCTCCACCTCCCGGGTTCAAGTGATTCTCTTGCCTCAGCCTCCCAAGTAGCTGGGATGCTGGGGTTACAGGCGCCCGCCACCACGCCCAGCTAATTTTTGTATTTTTAGTAGAGATAGGGTTTCTCCATGTTGGTTCAAGCGATTCTCTTGCCTCAGCCTCCCAAGTAGCTGGGATGCTGGGGTTACAGGCGCCCGCCACCACGCCCAGCTAATTTTTGTATTTTTAGTAGAGATAGGGTTTCACCATGTTGGGCAGGCTGGTCTTGAACTCCTGGTCTCAAGTGATCCGTCTGCCTCGGCCTCCCAAAGTGCTGCGATTACAGGTGTGAGCCACTGTGCCCAGCCTGGGGATCTACCCTCTTTTAACTTTTTCTTGCTGGGCATGTTTATGAAAATAGATTCTGCACACACTTCAATGGCTCCAGGTGGTAGCTCTGGCTTCCAAGCACCCTCTGTCCTTATGAGGGAGTGTCTCTAAAATTGGCAGAGATGCCCAATCCTGTCCACATGAACGGGAACTCTTGTGTCTCTGACAGAGACAACCAAGATCTTGGTTCTCATCACACAAATGACAGCCTGGGGGACGCCACAGCACTGCAGTTTGAGTTTCCTCTGTGCCATCAATTAAAAACCCCTCATGCAGAGCTTTTCCCGTTTTTGAATGTTTAAGGTTAATTATAGTGTCCCAATGCCTTAAGTGCTCAGATCATTTACCCGGGCACCTCATCTAAGTCTCGTGTCTGACAGGGTGGATGGGATTACTTCATTATTTCATTCTGCAAGTCAGCATACTATTTGCAAGTAAGTACTAGCTTCCTCGGAAGGTAATCAATGTGTGACATGCCTGCATGGCCAGAAGACCCTTGTGACTGATTTCTGCTGCACAGTGAGACTGCTGGCTCTCTGAATCCTACCTTTTGGTGAAATACAGCTTCTCTCTACAACAAGGGATACAATGATGACCCAACAAGCTAACTCCAAAAGCAACCGAGACAGTAGCTTCCAGAACACATTTGTCCCCCTCAGAACAATAAGTAGCCCCAGCTGACCTGCTGGCAGTCTTCTGAGTACAATGAATCAAAACCATTCAAATGTACTCACAGAGCCGAGTAAACATCAGACCTGAAGTACAACAGCTTCTTTACCAAAGCACCGTGGGCTTAGAAGCACTACAATCTTTTCCTCACTGAGAGATCTGGGTGCATGTAGGTTTTTACCTGTTGTGCCAAGGAGAAGAGGTCCTGATGCAGTGCCAGCACAGCTCTATAAAATGCCCCATCATGGGTGTCCCGAGGGATCATACAGGTGTATTCTTCCATGCTGTCCCACTGACCTATACACACACACATAGACAGAAAGCATCAAGGGGGTTGGCTGGTTGGGCTAAAGGCAGCATCTCAAATAGGTCTTGCCACTGTTATTTTCCTTTAGCTTGGGATATAAACAAGACAAATAAACTTGAGCCTCATGTACCAAAATCCTGCAGAGCCCCTATACACACTATGCAGGTTGACGTAACAAAAAAAGCCACATCTGTCTTCCAAACACAGGACTCCATGGCTGCCCAGGGAGCATCTTGACAGATGAGGGGAAGTGCATGAGTGTGAAGTCTGCACATCAAGTGGGCTGAATGCAGCACCTCATTATCCTAGAGAACTCTCTCAGGTTTCTCCAGGTGCAACAAAATTGCTTTCTTCCTTACTACTGAGACAGCTCACAGTTCAATGGTATGTTGGGAAATTACATTTTCCTCCAAACAATTGAAAATAGCCATTACACAGATGATAGGGGACAGGATTAGACAAATAGCTTGCCCATTTCATTCTGGCAATATCTTTGCCTCAGGAGGGAGGAGATAAATATTTTAAGCGACTCCATTATAACAAAAAGATGGGCTAGGTCACAGCACAGTGCTCTCTGTGTCATATTAGACAGGGGAAATAGCTGCATCCGGGAAGAGGTATTCACTTCTCCTGGTGGGGTGAGTATGTATCAAATGCCAGGATTTCCAAGACCATCTGCAGAAAAGATATCAGCTTCATTAGCTGCAAACTACAGGGCTGCCAATTTTACAAGGCATTTTCCTGCCTCTCACTCCAGACCATCGGCTCATCCATTCTCTATGCCTCTGGGCACAAGCAAATAGCTAACAATGACTCCTCAGGAAGCAATTTGTTTTTGAAAAATGTTCCGGATCTAGCCCAGAGCTCATGAAAGGAAAAGGTATAAGCTCTGTGACTCAAGAGGGACAGAAGAAGAGAATGGAGGTAGAGGGTTATGTAACTTTCCTCTGGGCTCCACAGGTGAAGCTTTTCACCAGGGACACTCTACATATCCTCTCCCTTCTTATCAAGACCATCTCTGGAACACATATTGATAATCCTCTTAGCTGGGGCCCAGTGTCAGAAATTGACATGTCTGCAGGGATTGAAAAGAAATCTCTGCTTTAACTCTGGGAGTAGGAGTGAGGTGGGTAAGAATTGGGCAGCAAAGAGGAGAATAGAGACAATAAATGGTGAAAATGTTTGTAATTGCTGGAAAAGGTGAAGGGCAGATGGGGGTTCATTATACTATAATCTTCACTGTTATATATATTGGGAAACTTCTAAAATATAAGTTAAGAAATATTAACAAAAGGAGATAGACAACTGTCCTCTCCCTTTACTCCTGCTTGGGATAAAAACATGACATGGGGAGCTCCAGCAACCATGCTAGATCATGAGGTGAACTTTAAAATGGAGGCACAGGCTGAGCATGCAAAGCAGAAATCTGGAAAAAGGCTAATGATAATAGAGCCAAAATACTAGTCTGGAAACGCCTACCTCTAGATTTCATTTATAAGAGAGGAAAATAAATCAGTAACTTGCTTTAGGCAACCAAAGCCAAATCCTACTGTGGTATAAGAAGAAATATGTTTGGTCTTTGTCCCTAGTGCCTGGTATAGAGCTATCGAAAACCCTCTGCATTTCCTGAGTGATAGGAGTGTTCCTTATTATTCATAATGAGCCCCTATTGATTATGCTGATAAGGTAGAATGGTTTAAGAAAAAATTTATTTATTGAGAAGGCCAATTATAGAGATGACTTTATGACTTTAGGCATAGCTGGATGCAGGAACCTAAAGAGACTTCTCCTCATCTCTCTTTAAAACAAAAAAATTAGGGCCAGGCGCTGTGGCTCACACCTGTAATTCCAGCACTTTGGGAGGCCGAGGAGGATGGATCACGAGATCAGGAGTTCAAGACCAGCCTGGCCAACATGGTGAAACCCCGTCTCTACTAAAAATAGAAAAATTAGCCGGGCGTGGTGGCAGTGCCTGGAATCCCAGCTACTCGGAGGGCTGAGGCAGAGAATTGCTTGAACCCGGGAGGCGGAGGTTGCAGTGAGCCGAGATCGTGCCACTGCACTCCAGCCTGGGTGACAGAGCGAGACTCCATGTCAAAAAAAAAAAATTATGTGTGTGTGTGTGTGTATATATATATATAATTGGTAGAGACGGAGTGTCACTATGTTGCCCAGGCTGATTTCAAACTCCCAGGCTCAAGTGATCCTCCTGCCCAAGCCTCACAGAGTGCTGGGATTACAGGTGTGAGTCACCACACCCAGCCTTCTCATCTCTTATTTCTGCTTTCAACTGAAGAGGTAAATGGAGACACAGAGATGCATACCCTAGTACCCTGCTGAATGTGTAGGTGTATGACCCCACTAACCTTACAGAATATCCAAACCTATTGCCAAAGAGATTGGTTCTTTGAGTAGCATGTGACTTAAACTTTGCCTTATGTTGTCTCTCCCTCCTTCTCCCCTTCCAGGATGGGGCTGGTTACCAGAAAGACCAAGTAATTATCGGGTTTGAACTTTCAGCCCTGTCCACTGACATCCAGGAAAGGTGAAGAGGTTGAAAATGAAAGGCAATAAAAACTCTTGAACAATGAGCTTCCAGGTTGATGAAGGTGCTGGGAGGGTGAAGGTAAACCCCAGTACCACAGGACAGAAGCTTCTGCACTCCAGACCCTTCTAGACCTTCCCTCATTGTACCTGTTCACCTCTATCTTTTATAATACCCTTTATAATAAACAAGTAAATGTAAGTAAAGTGTCTCCTTTTGTTCTGTGCGCTGTCCTGGCAAATTATCAAACCTGAGGAGGAGGGTTATGGGAACCCTGATTTACAGCTGGTCAGTGAGAAACACAAATCACAACCTGGAACTTGTGATTGGCATCTGAAGTGGGGCGATATTTTGGGACGAGCCCTTAACCTGTGGGATCTGATGCTATTTCCAAGTAGATAGGGTCAGAAATGAACTACTTGACACCCCACTGGTGTCTGCTGACAATGGCTTGGTGTATGGGGAAAAGCATCTGGCATCAGTACTCTGTGTGAGTGTGCTAAGTGTGTATTTCTCACCCACTAAATCTCAATTTTGATTTTGTGCACCGTTTTCCTTGGCCTCCCCACGAAGATCCAATTTTCCCCATGTCTAACAAGTTAATAAAAATCATCAGGTAGAAAGGACAGATGGAAGGTGTAGAAGTAGGTGGATACAGACCATTTTTACCCTTCCATAGACCTGGATCTCCACCTAGAGCCAGCACCTTACTCTTCTGATGCGAGCCCCTAGCCTCACTCACCCCATCCTTCACAGGGTGCCTGTGAGGGAAGCTTTACCTAAACCCCATGCAGCTGCAGCAGCCATCCGGGCCATCTTGGCTTGGGTCTCATCATTAACCAGGGTCCACTTTTCACAGCACTGCTGGTGGAGTTGACCCCTGAAGAAAATGAATTATATAGTCAGATTAATCCAAATCTCCTTAAACTACCAATCTTCCTCTCCTGCCCCTTGGGTTAGGTGAGGACTACACAGGAACTGGACACCTTTAATAAAAAAGCACATTCTACTAGGTCACATAATAGAGAATCAATGGGCTATTTGTTGTTTCTATGACCCGGTGCTCGTAATTTTTCTGGGTGAGTTTATCAAGGATAGGAACCATGCCTAACTCTGTGATATGAAATGTCCTGAACATCTGGCTCCCTTCATAAATATTAAATAACTTCTCTCCTATGCCAAAGAATTCTGGGCTCTTTCCCTTTGGCAGGCCTACAGAGAAAGCAATCTGAAGAGACGCATCTGGACATTCATTTTGGGCTCAAAGCTATAGGGAGAACTGGCTCCTAAAAGTATTATACCAATGGTTTCAGTCTGAAATGAAACCCAGATGAAATCAATCTGTACAGAAGAAAGGCTCCACAATGGTCACATCTACCAGAAGGCTAGATGCTGCTTATTCTCAGAATTTTGCACAATTGCTGAATGTGAAGGAGGACTATGAGATATTGAGATATAAATGGTGCTTAAGACACCCCAATAAACAAAAGAGAACATGGAAGCCCTAGAATAGGGTCTTGCTATTGACTGTTGAAACTCCCTCTCATGTTTCGCTTCTCAGTGAAAAAAAATAAACTCGGCTATTATGCAAATCCGAGTCCCTGATTTCATGTGAGCTTCAAGATGCAGCTAGGAGACTCCTTAATTTTTCCTGCTTTCTGAAAGACATGCTGCAGGATGATTTAACTTGGCACTGGAGGTGGAGTCATGAGGAAGGGCACAAGTTCTAAGTGGCCCAGGTCAGAAGCCTCATGGAACATGAGCTGCTCTGCGCTCTAAGGTGGTGTAGGAGGGCGGGGATAAAGATGCTGAAGTCAATCCCTGCAGAAGGAATCTAGGCTGAGCTCACCAAGAAGCTGACTGTGGACCACGTCTAGGAGAGGTACTCAGGGCCATTATCCAGCATCGCAGTACAGCAGATATTAACTTTGTTGTCTCTCTGGCACATGATCAAGAAAACCAGGGACACAAGCACTCTGGCTCAATACAGAGCTGAGACCAAAAAGAGGAACTGGTGGCCATGATGCCCTATGCATTTACTGAAGCTCCATTAAGGGAACAGGATAAACCTCTGTGTTGGTTTTCTGCCACCGAGACTTAGAAATCTTCACTCCTGGGCCCTGCTAGGGGTTCCCTTAGAGCAGTAGTTCTCAAACTACTAAGTGCATCAGAATCCCCTGGAAGGCTCCTTCAGATGGCTGGGCTCCACCCTCTGAGTTTCTGACTCAGTAGTGCTGGGATAGGGGCTGAGAATGTGCATTTGTAACAAGTTTCTATGTGACGCCAAAACTGCTGGACCAGGGGTCACAGTTTGAGAACCACTGGCTTAAAGCAGAGGCACAGCTCATCTGCACAGCATATTTTTGTAGGGATCCTGACTAGAGGTAGAAGAGAAAGCTGCATGATCTCCAAATGGTCCTTCCAACCCTATAGTTCAAAATTTACAGCTGGTGAACACAAGCAACTTGGATGAATGCATCCTTCATGCAAGCTGTCCCTCCTAACTCAGCCTCCCTCTATTATTTTTTCAGGATCAGCTGATTCTGTGCCACAGGACCAAGGATGTAGTTTTTCTTTTCATCTAGAGCAGGAAGCAAGTTCAGTGCTGAAATCCCACAAATTGTTACCCCAAGAGACAAAGCAGGGAGCAATGTAGGAACAGCAACTCAGAAGGGCAAGCCCTAGCAGTGAACTTCGCACGGCCTTCACCATGCAGCTGTGTGGGAACAGCTGTCAGAGCTTGGTCAGTACACAGACAAGAGCATTGCTCTTCCACAAACATTTGTTACAAAAAATAATGCAGAATATACCGAGTCCTACCTCTCAAGGGCGGTTGGGTGAGGGGCAAAACCAAATAAATAAAAAACATGAGATTGTTTATGGGGCAACAACTAGGATATGTTTTTCTGATACCTTTCACTACACATAGGGAGGACTGGGTAAAAGGTGCACCCTCTGAGACTTTGATTTTCTCACCTAGCGTTCTGGCAAAAAACGCAGAAAGTGCTTGCTTTGGCAGCACATATACTAAAATTGGAACGATACAGAGAAGATAGCATGGTCCCTGAAGATTTAAAACAAATAAAAAGCTTAGGAAGTATTCTTTCATTTGGAATGGCTCCATGGCTCCTCTTAGGGTTGAGGGCCTATGATCTCACTCCCGAGGAATCTGTTCTCAATACCTAGCTGTGTGGGGAACAGTTTGAGGAGGGGGTTCACTTTAGTTCACTTTGGCTGCAGGCGTGGCTGCCTGCACCATAGGGCTGGGCAGGGCAGGGGGTGCGGGTTGCCTAGCTCTCACAGCCTCCTGGAGGCAGATAAGAATGGGGAAATGGGAAGGGTCTCAGCTCACTGTTAACTCCAGATCATTCTTCATGTCACCTCTGATGAACATCTGCCTCAGGCATATTCAGGATATACGCACACAAAAGAAATTTAGAAATTGCACTCTAAACAGAATTGACTGAATAAACCGTATCAGAAACCTGCATATGATCAGGAAAAATATTCTGCTTCTTTCGACTCGTTTTAAAACCTCTTTTAGTCTCCCACATTCTTAAATCCTTTGGTCAGCATTACTAGCCACTTACGCTTTATGGGTAACTATAAAACGGGAAAGAACCCAAGAGGTCAGAGGTATTTGGGACTGAGAACGGCAACATCAGGAGATCGATATCACTCAGCTCGGTTTTCTCAACTTCTGTGAGCCTCAGTTTCTTCAACTATAACACAAAGGAATTGGAGGAAACCACATCTCAAGTCTCTTCCAATGTATCCAATCTGCTCCTACTAACCCAGCTAGGAAAAGTGGTCATCTTTAATGTGAAAGGAGAGGAGTGGAAGGGGAAGGGGCCAGGAGAGGTTTCAAGAGGGAAGAAACAGTGGAGAGGATTTCAAAAGTAGAAAAAGAGGCAGAAGAAGAGGGCAATTCAAAGAATGGAACGAATGAATGTAGGACTTGGAGAAGAGTGAATAATTTGGCCAGAGCTCAGATTATGAGAGAAGGGTTCACAGAGAAATGTGCTGAAGAAGCGGGCTGGTGCCATAATAGGAAAGACTTTGAATGCCAGGCTGTGATATTTATATGTAAATCCAATGGCAACAGTGAAACATTGCAGTATTTTAGGAATTGATTAGAGTTGAATTTTAAGAACACTTCCATCTCGTTTTATCTTTCTCATAACAAGATATGATTGTATGACAGCTGATATGAAACTAGAAAAATTGTTTTTGAAATAATGTGAATAATTCTTATTAACATACTTTTCTTTTGCCTTAGATCAGTGTTGTCCAATAGAGCTTTCTGTGATGATGGAAAAGTTCTCTATGTGCACTGTCCAATACAGCAGCCACTGGCCACATGTGGCTACTGAACACCTAAAATGTGGTATGACTGAGGAACTGAATTTCACATTTTATTTAATTTAAAAATAGCCATAAGGCCGGATGCAGTGGCTCACACCCGTAATCCTAGACCTTTGAGAGGCTGAGGCAGGTGGATTTCTTGAGGTTGGGAGTTCAAGACCAGCCTGGCCAACATGGCGAAACCCCATCTCCATTAAAAATACAAAAATCAGCCGGGAGTGGTGGTGCATGCCTGTAATCCCAGCTACTCAGGAGGCTGGGGCAGGAAAATCACTTGACCCTGGGAGGTGAAGGTTGCAGTGAGCCGAAATCACAGCACTGCACTCCAGCCTGGGTGACAGAGTGAGACTCTGTCTCAAAAAAAAAAAAAAAAAAAAAAAAAAAAAAAAAAAGCCACATGTGGCTAGAGGCTACCATATTGGACAATACAGCTTTAGATACTTGTTGGACTGAGAAAAACAACAACAACAACAACAACAACAACAACAGCTTTAGTTATATAAATAAATAAAGCGGATTTTAAAAGACATGCTTCCTAAATTTATTGAGGTAAATGAACATGGAATTTTTGTTGTTGTTGTTGTTGCCCAGGCTAGTGTCAAACTTCTGGGCTCAAGCAATCCGCCTGCCTCAGCCTCCCAAAGTTTTGGGATTACAGGTGTGAGCCACCACACTCAGCCTTTTAATGTTAATTTATAAAAATAAATAACACTTCCTATAAATAAAAAAATAAAAATAAATAAAAATCTTCCTAATGATGGTTAAATCAGACAAGCCACTTTCAAATAATTGTGGAATATTATCTCTCTCTCTATATATATATATATGATCCAATGCCTAAGGCTAAGTTCACTAACATTAAATTTTCATGCAAAACATTATAACATCTTCTATCTTGGGGATGTAGTAATAACTTTATATTAAGAAATAACAGCCAAACTTGGCAACATAATGAGACCCTATCCCTACAAAAAATAATTTAAAAAAATTAGCCAGGCATGGTGGTGCATTTCTGTAGTTCCTTCTACTCAGGAGGCTGAGGTGGGAGGATTGCTTGAGTCCAGGAGTTCAAGACCACAGTGAGCTGTGATCACACCACTGTACTCCACTGAGAGACAGATTAAAGTCCTGCCTCTTAAAAAAAAAAAAGAAGGCTGTGCACAGTGGCTCACACCTGTAATCCTAGCACTTTGGAAGGCCAAAGAGGGAGGATCGCTTGAACCCCAGGAGTTCAAAACCAGCCTAGACTGCACTGTGAGACTCCGTCTCTACAAAAAATAAAAAAAATTAGCCCACTGTGGTGGTGTGTGCCTGTAGTCTCAGCTACAAGGGAGGCTAAGGTAGTACAGAAAGACTACATGTAGTGAAAGATCATTCTTTTAGAAGACTTGCTTTGATTTTGTCCAATATTCTTAAACTTTCCAAGGCAGGAAATGTCTAAACAAATAAAAATTTGCCTATATTAAATAGACTAGATTTATTGATATGATGAAATATCATGCAGCTATTAAAAAAATGAGGCAGTAGCTCTACAGGTGCTGATATGGAACAGTGGCCTAGACTTGTTAAGTGAAAACAGCAGAGTGCAAAATGGTAAAAACAGCACATTGCCGTCAATGTACATCCCTGTGATGGGGGTCAGGATATACTACCCTGAAATATAGCACACCTTGGCATACTGAATATTTTAAGAAAATGGCAGCAAAAAAAAAATTACTCTGACTCTCCCCTGCCCTTATGCCCTGAAGCAGGTCATAACATCTAGGAAAAATATTTTGACCTTCCCCTGAAGGAGGTCATAAGGCCCTCATGTGAGAGATGCCTTCCCTATACCTGGAGGAAAGGTACATCCTTATTTCTGAAGACAGGGGGTCACAGAGAAGAATCTGAACAAAAAGGCCTACTAAAATCCCCCATACTGTGCTCCTCATTGTACAGGTCCAAGTTAGATATCGTTTCCTCCCGGTATCTTCCAAGGCTGATTAGGGTGCTTCCTATTACCCACAGCCCCCTGGGCTCCTTTGTTGATGGTATCACAATGTATTACGACAGCCTGGTTGTCTGTCCTGTAAGCTCTGGGAAGGCAGGGGCTGTAACTGTCTTGCTCACGGCTGTGTCCCTAGGGCCTGGCACAGACACTAGCAATGAATACACACGTGATAGTTACTGGCTGAATGAAGGAACAGTGGACCCTCAGTATCATGTTCCAGAGAAAGTAGGGATAACCTACTAGTCGGGAGGTAGCATGGAACTTTGTTTTAGTCATTTATTTTTTATTTATTTTTATTTATTTTTTTGAGATAGAGTCTCGCTCTGTCACTCAGGCTGGAGTGCAGTGGTGCAATCTCAGCTCACTGCAACCTCCGCCTCCCGGGTTCAAGTGATCCTCCTGCCTCAGCCTCCCGAGTAGCTGGGATCATAGGCCTGCAACACCACGTCCAACTAATTGTTTATTTTTAGTGGAGACGAGGTTTCGCCATGTTGGCCAGGCTGGTCTCAAACTCCTGACTTCAAATGATCTGCCTGCCTTGGCCTCCCAAAGGGTTGGGATTACAGGTGTGAGCCACTGTGCCCGGCCTGTTTTAGTCATTTAAAACTGCAATTAAACAGTTTAACAATGATAGTATAGCATTTTATTTTAACTATTTTTTAAAAGTTGCACTTGTTGTTGGAAACAGAATGGAGGCCATTTTTTCCCTTCAACATTCCCAAGCAACTCTCCAAACCAAAACCTAGCCAAATGTTCTCAGTTACGCATTACTGTTGCTTGCACCTGGAGTACCTGTTTCCCCCCTACCTTCTCCTTTACCTATCTCCTAACTCTCAGTCCTTCCTCCAGGAAGTACTGCAAAATCACCCTGCTTCCTCCTTTGGGCTTTCAAGGTAGCATGGCTCACACATTATCAACATCCTCTCAGGCTATAATAACCCTCTGTTTACGTGGCTGTCTCATCAACCTCACAGGAAAGGCCTGTTTTCTTGTGTATTTTGTTTCCTTGGAGCCTGGCATAGTGCTGGACACACAGTAAGCATCCGATATAGGTGAAGCACCTGAAGAGGGCAGTCACTGTTCTTCTTTCCTAAAAACATCTGCAAGAGCTAATTTTAAAAATCAAGGTTGCCAAGTAAGAATATGAGCTCTTCACTGGGTCAGTAAAGATCAGGAGAGTAGACAGGAGAAGTAGATCCCAGGAGCACCCCCAAGGCTGTCCTGTCCTAGAGCATTATAAAGTTTAAGTGAAGGCCTTCCTACTTAGCAGCTGAGATAGAATGGAGAGAGAAAAACACCAAAAGTGAAAGATGATTCCTGAGAAGTATCAAGTGGAACAAAATGAGTCTGAAGTGAGAACTCCGTGTGGGGGAAGCCTTCCTTTCAAATCCAAAGATCAAAGAGACGAAGTCTCTTGCAGCCACACATGCCATCATTCTAGGAAGCTCACCATTCCCCCAAGGCCTCGAGGCAGCGCATGCGGCCCAGCATCAGCTCTGGGTCGTCCTTGTTGGTGTCCATTTTCTTGTCATAGGCCACAAGGGCATCCTCCCACTCGTGCAGTTTCTCATACCAGGTAGCCTGGATCTCCTGTTACATGGGAAAGAAAGACTGCTGTGAGGTACACAGAAGAAGGGATCACATTGTTTAATCCACATACTCTCTTTCCTAATGTGCTGCTGTACGCATGACACTTCACCTATCACAGTTACGTCTGGGCTTGGATTAAAAACAACTTCAGACAATCTGGAGGAGTGCTGCTTGGGGAAGGTGGAAATACTGGTTCCTTGGCACATGGATGGAATGATCCTGGGATTATCTGAGAGCAGACGTCAGGCCATACTCCTCCCCCATTATTTCCTTCCCAGACACATGGGTCATCAGAACACACCAGGATGTGCGGACACGAGGACAGGGGAAATCATTTAGGGATAGAAGAAAACGTCGACCAGAGCACCAGAGCTGTTTCAAAGGTGCCATCGCTCCGATCTGCTGGAGTGCTGACACTGGGCTACTTGACAGGGATGGCAGCTGCTTTCCTGATGGGGCCAGAAAGACCAGGCCTCATCTGCATGTTTGCTGGAGGAAAACAACTCACTTTTTAAAACCTCTTGATTCTCTGCATTTCTTAACACATTTTTAAACTTTCAGGAAATAATAATTTAAAATATAACACCACCACTTAAAATTTTTTGGAAAGTCTTTCCCCTATTCTTCTAGAGTCTCCCATCCAATGTTCCCTCCTGCTCAGTGCTTGGCAGGTTTACCAGTGTCAGGGGCCAAAGGAGGGATTGCATTACCCTAGCAGATGGTGTGCCACGCTGAAAGAGGGTGTTGTCCACGTGAGTAGGAGGTGCTACAGTCTGAAAGTTACAGACTATGACTCTCCAAATGATCAGGAGACTGTTTTATATGCTTTCTGTCTGCCCTCCATCTCAGTTTCTCTCCTGGGCTACTTCATCATCAGCTCAATAAATGACTATTTTTGCACAGGCAAGGGTAGTGGCTCTCTAGGGATTTCTTTAACAACAATATGATTCTGCAGTGAAATTTGTATGATATAATGCAGGGCCCACACTAGTTTCTCCCATTACCCTCTTCCCCTTTCTAAATAAAACTGATGTTTGTGCAGTATGTAGACTAACAACTACTCTGCTAAGCTGTCTAAAATAATCTTTTCTTCTTGAACCTCTGAAAAGAGGTCATTTATGCTGGAGATTGTTCCCTTGTACCTACTTTCCCTGGTCTGGTTCTTTCTGGCAGAGCCGGTGCCCTCTGCTGCCCCTAGACTAATTCTGCTGCCATAAAGTCTTTGCCCAACATCAGTGGAGTTTGTCAAAATGAGCGTATCTGGCTCCACGTAAGGCAAACTATCTCAACTTCATTTTTCAAGCCTGTCCAAAATAATATCTATTATGCCTAAATACAAAATAGGAAACTTAGAAAAGAGTGACTACAAAAACTGTAAAATTTAAAAGCACTGGTAGATTTCTCATTTCAAATTTCTATACTGGGTGGAAAAGAAAAAAAAAAGAGCTGGTGACTAATGTGTGGCATACACTCAGCATGAACAAGCAGAGGGGAGAGGGGGCAGCATATGGAGTGGGTCAGTTAGAGGGTAGGATATTTTGAATTGCAATAGATTGCAGAAACTATAAGGTTTAAGCAATGAATCACACAAAATTCTAATGAGATTGCTGTTACATAAATTTTGCTGAGAAAGCACAGGCTCTGCCAAGAAAAAGCAAACCATTGTCAAGCTTAATATGATTCAGCTACCTAAATATAACAGAAAATCCACCACGGGTTTAGCAATAATCCTGGAGCTAATGGCCACCTTTGGAACCTGAAGATGGAGAAAGTTTCATTGAAGGCTGGCATTCTGAGTATGGGGTATAAACCATCTGCTGGCAGATCACCTGAATACCAGATGTCTGCGGAGTCCTTGTCTCAATCAGCACTTTCTGGGATCTAAGCTCTAAGGATATCAAAGGAGAGAACATCTTGATCTAGGTGGAGTACATGAAGTGCCCTCTCGCCCTACTTTCTTCTCTCTGCAAACAAGGATTGTGGCAAGGATGGATGAGATACAGTTCTTTCACTTTGCCATCATCTGGAGAAATGCTGTCTTAGTCTAGTTACAGATAATATGTGCTAAGGCCGGGCATGGTGACTCACGCCTGTAATCCCAGCACTTTGGGAGGCCGAGGTGGGAGGATCACCTGAAGTTGGGAGTTTGAGACTAGCCTGATCAACATGGAGAAACCCTGTCTCTAATAAAAACACAAAATTAGCTGAGCGTGGTGGTGCATGCCTGTAATCCCAGCTTCTTGGGAGGCTGAGGCAGGAGAATCGCTTGAACCCAGGAGACAGAGGTTGCAGTGAACCAAGATCGTGCCATTGCACTCCAGCCTGGGCAACAAGAGCAAAACTCCGTCTCAAAAAAAAAAAAAAGATAATATGTGCTAAAGATGGCAAAAGATTCCCTTAAACGTTTCATTCTAATTTACTAGCCCTTCTGTGAGGCAAAATGCTAGATGATCAAACAAAAGCCTGTTAAATATTCCCAATTTTTCTCACTTTAACATCCTGGGCTCCTGATCAAGGCAAACCACAGTAAGCAACCTACATGACTAACAAAAGGTTCCTCATCAAATATATGGACCTAGAGCTTCTTGACCTTCCGGGAATTCAATACTAAGTTGATTAAGTTGATGCTTTATGTATTTTAGAAGTTATCAAAATGCCCTGCCAAGACCACAAAGAATAACAGAAACATTTTAAATATTGGTAGGCCAAAGATGGCAGTAGGGAAGTAGCTATGTAAGCAATAACGAACACAAAAATGCCTCAATGTCAGATATCAATTATAGCATTTATTTATTTATTTATTTATTTATTTATTTATTTAATTTTGAGGCAGAGTTTCGCTCTTGTTGCTCAGGCTGGAGTGCAATGGAACAATCTCAGCTCACTGCAACCTCTGCCTCCCAGGTTCAAGCGATTCTCCTGTTTCAGCCTCCCGAGTAGCTGTGATTACAGGTATGCACCACCATGCCAGGCTAATTTTGTATTTTTAGTAGAGATGGGGTTTCTCCATGTTGGTCAGGCTGGTCTTGAACTCCTGATCTCAGGTGATCTGCCCATCTCGGCCTCCCAAAGTGCTGGGATTGTAGGCGTGAGCCACTGCGCCCGGCTGTATAGCATATATTTTCTAAAGAACTGGCCATGGTGTCTTCCTAAGTATCTAATGAGGATTAACTGTGGCCTAGACACAATGCAAGCTCCCACAAAGATAACTCAGATCAGGGGCAAATGCCTTGGCTCTAATGTCAGACTGCCCTGGTTCAAGTCCTGGTTTTGCCATTTATTCACTCTGTCAGCTCAGACCAGTTCTTAACCTGCTGGGACCACAGTCTCCTCATCTGTAAAATGTGATAACAGCAGTAACCACTTCATAGCATTGTTGTGAGGACCAAATTACATGAAGTATATAAACACTTAGCAAAGGGCCAGGCACATGCTAAGAGTTTGATAAAATCAGTGCTTACTGC
This sequence comes from Homo sapiens, assembly GCF_000001405.40. Classification (NCBI taxonomy): domain Eukaryota; kingdom Metazoa; phylum Chordata; class Mammalia; order Primates; family Hominidae; genus Homo; species Homo sapiens. Next base: position 11,160,756 of record NC_000001.11, read on the forward strand.
ATATTCGAATCTACCCTCATGATTTATCTCAGTTGAAATAGAGTCCCGGAGGTTCCAAGATGGCCGAATAGGAACAGCTCCAGTCTACAGCTCCCAGTGTGAGCAAAACAGAAGACAGGTGATTTCTGCATTTCACCTGAGGTACTGGGTTCATCTCACTGGGGCTTGTCGGACAGTGGGTGCAGGACAGTGGGTGCAGCCCATGGAATGTAAGCCAAAGCAGGGTGAGGCATCACCTCACCCCGGAAGCACAAGGGGTCAGGGAATTCCCTTTCCTAGCCAAGGGAAGTTGTGACAGATGGCACCTGGAAAATCGGGTCACTCCCACCCTAAAACTGCGCTTTTCCAACGGTCTTAGCAAATGGCACATCAGGAGATTATAACCCGTGCCTGGCTCAGAGGGTCCCACGCCCACGGAGCCTTGCTCATTGCTAGCACAGCAGTCTGAGATCAAACTGCAAGTAGGCAACGAGGCTGGCGGAGGGGTGCCCACCATTGCTGAGGCTTGAGTAGGTAAACAAAGTGGCCGGGAAGCTAGATCTGGGTGGAGCCCACCACAGCTCAAGGAGGCCTGCCTGCCTCTGTAGACTCCACCTCTAGGGGCAGGGCATAGCTGAACAAAAGGCAGCAGAAACTGCTGCAGACTTAAATGTCCCCGTCTGACACCTTTGAAGACAATAGTGGTTCTCCCAGAACAGAGTTTGAGATCTGAGAGGCGACAGACTGCCTCCTCAGGTGGGTCTCTGACCCCCCAGTAGCCTAACTGGGAGGCACCTCCCAGTAGGGGCCGACTGACACCTCACACGGCTGGGTGCCCCTCTGAGACGAAGCTTCCAGAGGAACGATCAGGCAGCAACATTGGCTGCTCTGCAATATTCGCTGTTCTGCAGCCTCCACTGGTGATACCCAGGCAAACGGGGTCTGGAGTGGACCTCCAGCAAACTCCAACAAAACTGCAGCTGAGGGTCCTGACTGTTAGAAGTAAAACTAACAAACAGAAAGGACATCCACACCAAAACCCCATCTGGACATCACCATCATCAAAGACCAAAGGCAGATAAAACCACAAAGATGGGGAGAAACCAGAGCAGAAAAGCTGAACATTCTTAAAATAAGAGCGCCTCTTCCCCTCCAAAGGAACGCAGCTCTTTGCCAGCAACGGAACAAAGCTGGACGGAGAACAACTTTGATGAGTTGAAAGAAGAAGGCTTCAGATGATCAAACTTTTCCAAGCTAAAGGAGGATGTTCAAACCCATCGCAAAGAAGCTAAAAACCTTGAAAAAAGATGAGACGAATGGCTAACTAGAATAACTGGTGTAGAGAAGACATTAAATGACCTGATGGAGATGAAAACCATGGCATGAGAACTACGTGATGCATGCACAAGCTTCAGTAGCCGATTTGATCAACTGGAAGAAAGGGTATCAGTGACTGAAGATCAAATGAATGAAATGAAGCGAGAAGAGAAGTTTAGAGAAAAAATAAAAAGAAACAAACAAAGCCTCCAAGAAATATGGGACTATGTGAAAAGACCAAATCTACGTCTGACTGGTGTACCTGAAAGTGACGGGGAGTGAAATAGAACCAAGTTGGAAAACACTCTTCAGGATATTATCCAGGAGAACTTCCCCAACCTAGCAAGGCAGGCCAACATTCAAATTCAGGAAATACAGAGAAAGCCACAAAGATACTTCTCGAGAAGAGCAACTCCAAGGCACATAATTGTCAGATTCACCAAAGGTGAAATGAAGGAAAAAATGTTAAGGGCAGCCAGAGAGAAAGGTTGGGTTACCCACAAAGGGAAGCCCATCAGACTAACAGCGGATCTCTTGGCAGAAACTCCACAAGCCAGAAGAGAGTGGGGGCCAATATTCAACATTCTTAAAGAGAAGAATTTTCAACCCAGAATTTCATATCCAGCCAAACTAAGCTTCATAAGTGAAGGAGGAATAAAATACTTTACAGACAAGCAAATGCTGAGAGATTTTGTCACCACCAGGCCTGCCTTACAAGAGCTCCTGAAGGAAGCACTAAACATGGAAAGGAACAACCGGTACCAGCCACTCCAAAAACATGCCAAATTGTAAAGACCATCAATGCTAGGAAGAAACCGCATCAACTAACGAGCAAAATAACCAGCTAACATCATAATGACAGGATCAAATTCACACATAACAATATTAACTTTAAATGTAAATGGGCTAAATGCTCCAATTAAAAGACACAGACTGGCAAATTGGATAAAGAGTCAAGACCCATCAGTGTGCTGTATTCAGGAGACCCATCTCACGTGCAGACACACACATAGGCTCAAAATAAAGGGATGGAGGAAGATCTACCAAGCAAATGGAAAACAAAAAAAAAGCAGGGGTTGCAATCCTAGTCTCTGATAAAACAGACTTTAAACCAACAAAGATCAAAAGAGACAAAGAAGGCAACTATATAATGATAAAGGGATCAATTCAACAAGAAGAGCTAACTATCCTAAATATATATGCGCCCAGTACAGGAGCACCCAGATTCATAAAGCAAGTCCTTAGAGACCTACAAAGAGACTTAGACTCCCAAACAGTAATAATGGGAGACTTTAACACCCCACTGTCAACATTAGACAGATCAAGACAGAAAGTTAACAAGGATATCCAGGAATTGAACTCAGCTCTGCGCCAAGTGGACCTAATACACATCTACAGAACTCTCCACCCCAAATCAACAGAATATACATTCTTCTCAGCACCACATCGCACTTATTCCAAAATTGACCACATAGTTGGAAGTAAAGCACTCCTCAGCAAATGTAAAAGAACAGAAATTATAACAAACTGTCTCTCAGACCACAGTGCAATCAAACTAGAACTCAGGATTAAGAAACTCATTCAAAACCGCTCAACTACATGGAAACTGAACAACCTGCTCCTGAATGACTACTGGGTACATAATGAAATGAAGGCAGAAATAAAGATGTTCTTTGAAACCAATGAGAACATAGACACCACATACCAGAATCTATGGGATACATTTAAAGCAGGGTGTGGAGGGAAATTTATAGCACTAAATGCCCACAAGAGAAAGCAGGAAAGATCTAAAATTGACACCCTAACATCACAATTAAAAGAACTAGAGAAGCAAGAGCAAACACATTCAAAAGCTAGCAGAAGGCAAGAAATAACTAAGATCAGAGCAGAACTGAAGGAGACAGAGACACAAAAAACCCTTCAAAAAATCAATGAATCCAGGAGCTGGTTTTTTGAAAAAGATCAACAAAATTGATAGACCACTAGCAAGACTAATAAAGAAGAAAAGAGAGGCTAGGCGCGGTGGCTCATGCCTGTAATCCCAGCACTTTGGGAGGCCGAGGTGGGCGGATCACGAGGTCAGGAGATCAAGACCATCCTGGCTAACACGGTGAAACCCCATCTCTATAAAAAATTAGCCGGGCTTGGTGGCGGGCGCCTGTAGTCCCAGCTACTCAGGAGGCTGAGGCAGGAGAATTGCATGAACCTGGGAGGCGGAGCTTGTAGTGAGCCGAGATCATGCCACTGCACTCCAGCCTGGGCGACAGAGTAAGACTCTGCCTGAAAAAAAAAAAAAAAAAAAAGAGAGAGAGAGAGAAGAATCAAATATCAAAAAGGCACATAAAAAATGATAAAGGGGATATCACCACCGATCCCACAGAAATACAAACTACCATCAGAGAATACTATAAACACCTCAACACAAATAAACTAGAAAATCTAGAAGAAATGGATAAATTCCTGGACACATACACCCTCCCAAGACTAAACCAGTAGGAAGTTGAATCCCTGAATAGACCAATAACTGGCTCTGAAATTGAGGCAATAATTAATAGCCTACCAAACAAAAAAAGTCCAGGACTAGACAGGTTCACAGCCGAATTCTACCAGTGGTACAAAGAGGAGCTGGTACCATTCCTTCCCTCTGAAACTATTCCAATAAACAGAAAAAGAGGGACTCTTCCCTAACTCATTTTATGAGGCCAGCATCATCCTGATACCAAAGCCTGGCAGAGACACAACAAAACAAGAGAATTTTAGACCAATATCCCTGATGAACATTGATGCAAAAATCCTCAATAAAATACTGGCAAACTGAATCCAGCAGCACATCAAAAAGCTTATCAACCATGATCAAGTGGGCTTCATCCCTGGGATGCAAGGCTGGTTCAACATATGCAAATCAATAAACGTAATCCATCATATAAACAGAACCAAAGACAAAAACCATGACTACCTCAACAGATGCAGAAAAGGCCTTCAAGAAAATTCAACAGCGCTTCATGCTAAAAACTCTCAATAAATTAGGTATTGATGGGGCGTATCTCAAAATAATAAGAGATATTTATGACAAACCCACAGCCAATATCATACTGAATGGGCAAAAACTGGAAGCATTCCCTTTGAAAACTGGCACAAGACAGGGATGCCCTCTCTCACCACTCCTATTCAACAAAGTGTTGGAAGTTCTGGCCAGGACAATCAGGCAGGAGAAAGAAATAAAAGGCAATTAGGAAAAGAGGAAGTCAAATTGTCCCTGTTTGCAGGTGACATGATTGTATATTTAGAAAACCCCGTCATCTCAGCCCAAAATCTCCTTAAGCTGATAAGCAACTTCAGCAAAGTCTCAGAATACAAAATCAATGTGCAAAAATCACAAGCATTCTTATACACCAATAACAGACAAACAGAGAGCCAAATCATGAGTGAACTCCCATTCACAATTGCTTCAAAGAGAATAAAATACCTAGGAATCCAACTTACAAGGGATGTGAAGGACCTCTTCAAGGAGAACTACAAACCACTGCTCAACGAAATAAAAGAGGACACAAACAAATAGAAGAACATTCCATGCTCATGGATAGGAAGAATCAATATCGTGAAAATGGCCATACTGCCCAAGGTAATTTATAGATTCAATGCCATCCCCATCAAGCTACCAATGACTTTCTTCACAGAATTGGAAAAAACTACTTTAAAGTTCATATGGAACCAAAAAAGAGCCCGCATCGCCAAGACAATCCTAAGCCAAAAGAACAAAGCTGGAGGCATCACGCTACCTGACTTCAAATTATACTACAAGGCTACAGTAACCAAACAGCATGGTACTGGTACCAAAACAGAGATATAGACCAATGGAACAGAACAGAGCCCTCAGAAATAATACCACACATCTACAATCATCTGATCTTTGACAAACCTGACAAAAACAAGCAATGGGGGAAGGATTCCCTATTTAATAAATGGTGCTGGGAAAACTGGCTAGCCATATGTAGAAATCTGAAACTGGATCCCTTCCTTACATCTTATACAAAAATCAATTCAAGATGGATTAAAGACTTAACAACGTTAGACCTAAAACCATAAAAACCCTAGAAGAAAACCTAGGCAATACCATTCAGGACATAGGCATGGGCAAGGACTTCACGTCTAAAACACCAAAAGCAATGGCAACAAAAGCCAAAATTGACAAATGGGATCTAATTAAACTAAAGAGCTTCTGCACAGCAAAAGAAACCACCATCAGAGTGAACAGGCAACCTACAGAATGGGAGAAAATTTTTGCAATCTACCCATCTAACAAAGGGCTAATATCCAGAATCTACAAAGAACTTAAACAAATTTACAAGAAAAAATCAAACAACCCCATCAAAAAGTGGGCAAAGGAGATGAACAGACACTTCTCAAAAGAAGACATTTATGCAGCCAAAAGACACATGAAAAAATGCTCATCACTGGCCATCAGAGAAATGCAAATCAAAACCACAATGAGATACCATCTCACACCAGTTAGAATGACGATCATTAAAAAGTCAGGAAACAACAGGTGCTGGAGAGGATGTGGAGAAATAGGAACACTGTTACACTGTTGGTGGGACTGTAAACTAGTTCAACCATTGTGGAAGACAGTGTGGCGATTCCTCAAGGATCTAGAACTAGAAATACCATTTAACCCAGCCATACCATTACTGGATATATACCCAAAGGATTATAAATCATGCTGCTATAAAGACACATGCACACATGAGGTTTATTGCGGCACTATTCACAATAGCAAAGACTTGGAACCAACCCAAATGTCCATCAATGATAGACTGGATTAAGAAAATGTGGCACATATACACCATGGAATACTATGCAGCCATAAAAAAGGATGAGTTCATGTCCATTGTAGGGACATGGATGAAGCTGGAAACCATCATTCTCAGTGAACTATCGCAAAGACAGAAAACCAAACACTGCATGTTCTCACTCATAGGTGGGAACTGAACAATGAGAACACCTGGACACAGGATGGGGAACATGACACACCGGGGCCTGTCGTGGAGTGTGGGGAGCGGGGAGGGATAGCATTAGGAGATATTCCTAATGTAAATGACGAGTTAATGGGTGCAGCACACCAACATGGCACATGTGTACATATGTAACAAACCTGCACGTTGTGCACATGTACCCTAGAACTTAAAGTATAATTAAAAAAAAAAAAGAAAGAAATAGAGTCCCTACAGACACAGTTTATCTCTTTCATCCTGAAGACTGGTAAGTCAGCATCAGACTGTTATGAATTGGAGAAAAAACAGAAAAGGAAAGTAACTTTCTGAAGGTCAGGGCCAATAACTCCCTAGCCAAGTCTCTACCTCCTGCTTTTCCAAAAAGAATGAGGTGCTTACCAGCTCTCCAAAGTGTTTCATGGCATATTCTAACACTCCGGCCGCTGCCTCCGGCTGCTGTAGCTTATTATTAATGCTGAGAAAACAAAGGGAAAAGGTAGTTACACTCAACAGGTCTGAGGGTAGGAGATGTGGGGGTCATTTGTGGGCAGATGGTTCACCAGCACTTTGAGGACAATGTCTTGCAGATGCTGAAAGAGTATCAATTATCTATTACCATCCAGAAAGCTCAGTTTAAATCGTTTCATCTGAAAGAGGTTTGTGCTCTCCTCCCATGATTCTGGGGGTCAGTAATGGGAACACTCATCTTGCTGCTCTGTGGCCCTTCCTTTAAGAGCAGAGACTAGGCTGGGTGTGGTGGCTCACGCCTGTAATCCCAGCACTTTGGGAGGCTGAGGCGGTTGGATCACGAGGTCAGGAGATCAAGACCATCCTGGCTAACAAGGTGAAACCCTGTCTCTACTAAAAATACAAAAAAATTAGCCGGGCGTGGTGGCAGGCACCTGTAGTCCCAGCTACTCAGGAGGCTGACGCGGGAGAATGGCGTGAACCTGGGAGGCAGAGCTTGCAGTGAGCCGAGACCGTGCCACTGCACTCCAGCCTGGGGGACAGAGTGAGACACTGTCTCAAAAAAAAAAAAAAAGAGCATAGACTGGTTTCCTCTCAGACGCCGGCAGGCAGGCAACATGTGTCTGTTTCTGAAACACCAGAAACCTTGGATACGAAATTATCCCTGTTGTAGTACACAATCATATGAGACTCCTCTGAACTTTTTTTTTTTTTTTTGAGACCGGGTCTTGCTATGTTGTCCAGGCTGGTCTCGGACTCCTGGGCTCAAGTGATCCTCCTGCCTCAGCCTCCTGAGTAGCTGGGATTACAGGTACACACCACAGCACCTGGCTCCTCTGAACTTCTAAGTCTTAACTTCTCATCAGTTGCCTTCAGTAGTAGGAATAACAAAATTAATCAAAACCATCAGACTCTGTGAGTGACACAGGTGGCACCAAGGTTGGGGCATGCACGTCAATGACAGAACCCTGGGAGCTGTGGCAATGCAGCCCTGCTGACCGTTCTGACAGAGCCCACCCCCTTCAAATTCAGATGCCTCCCTAGACCCTCTTCAGGGGCTGTTCCCTTCCACCCTTTGCAGAAGGCTGCCAAGGGACCATATCTAGAGTTTCTTGAACTGGCCTCTACTGTAGAGAAGCTTTTCACTAATGACACCCTGCTCTGCTGATGCCATCTTTAGGCTGGAGGACTGTTACCACACTGGGACAACTGGGCAGTGCCACTGGGAGGCCTGGTGCCTGCAGTTGGTTCATCAGAGGCTGCTAGGAGGCCTTGAAAACAGAGTAGCCATGGGGGCTTAGATCCTTATTCCTGTAGGAACTTATGCAACTAAGCTCAATACTAAATATAAGCCTGAGTTATGGAAGGAAGGGAAAGAGGGGAGGGTGAAGGAGCTCGCTTGAGAAATCCACAAGACCACAATGATTATATCTGTTTAAAGGTAGGGAGCAAAATGTGACACATCAACCTGGGAGTCTAGACTGGTTTAATGAGCAAGGATCCAGTTTACTGCTTTGAGTACAAACTGTCTGCTTGACCAGAATTAATTTTTAAGTGGTTTTGGGAAATTCCAGGATTTGAGTTCAATGTGGTAATATGGCAAGAAATTGCTGTTATAAATATTATTTTTAAAAATCCAAATTCCACCACATTTCTTCCAATAAAACCAAAGGAAATTGCCCAGAAATCTAAAGAAGCTAACATTTGTGAAAGTAATAATCTAATGCCTCATGTTTACAAAGCGTTTTCAAATAATCTTTCCAATCCATCACTTCTTTGACCCCATGCATCCCTAAGAGTGGGAAGGGAGAGGTGTTATCAGACCTGTTTCACTAACGGGGAAGCTAAAGCCCAGGAAAGGCAGGGATTTTCCCCAAGGCCCACAGGAATCAGGAAAGTCCCCACAGTAAATCAAGCACCTTATGCCTCTTTGTTAAGGAAAAGTTGGGGGTGAAACAGCCTTGGATTTGGAGTCAGAAGATGGGGTTTTTCCCCATGTCAGACTGATCACATGCTGACGTGATAACAAGTTTGAGGGAGACACATCTCACCACATGTGATGGTAAAAACCCAATCATCATGCATAAATGTATACAAAAGGATTGAAACTTGGGTTTAACTTTCTGGAGGTCTAATTCTGCCACTTATAAGCTGTGTGATCATAAATAAGTCGTTTCAAAAATTTTAATTTTTAATTTTTTTAGGTACATAGTAGGACATATTTAACTCATCTTTTTTGAATGTAAATTCCTTATCTATATAACAGGGCTAATATCACCTCCTCCTTCAGAGGGTTCTTCGGGGAATTAAACAATGAACATGCAATTGCTAAGCAGGTCCTTCACCTGTGTTTGTCCAAGCATAAAAGCTGCTAAAACACAGTGATATGCTTGTCTGCAGAAATAACATACACCTACGGTGGAGACTTAAGTTAGGACTAGGAAGTCATCACTGCGAATTCCCAATGTTTCCTGAGTAGAACTGTTCGAGTGTCCAGTATCCAGTTTCTAGGCTCCAGATTCGTTGGGGAAGCTATGCGGCTGGTGCTTCTTGAGCTGGTACTAAGCAAGGCAATGAACCAGAATATGCTCCATAAGTTAGCCTGCTACAAAATTCGGAGATGTTTTTAATTTCAGAGTGAAACCACGGCATGATGGTTTCCCTTAGGAAGCCCTATATGAGGTTTTCTAAGCTAAGAATGAAAAGCAAGTCTAAAGGGACCTACTCCACTGTAGGTTCATTGGGAAGCAGTTCCCAATGCCACTTGGCCCCATAAATCAGGTACTGGGCTTTGTGCCCAATCACATGGGGCTGGGTAAACTGTACTAATAATATTACTAGGTATAGATTTGGGATTATCTAGTTCCTTGAAGCCAAATAAAGATTTTGGAAGCATAAGAAAACAGGAAAAAAGAAAGCCAGTGGCTGGGCACAGTGGTTCATGCCTGTAATCCCAGCACTTTGGGAGGTTGAGGCAGGAGGATTGCTTGAGCTCAGGAGTTTTAAACCAGCCTGGGCAACACAGTGAGACCCCATCTCTATTAAAGAAAAATAATAATAAAAAAAAAGAAAGCCAGTATATAGTCTATATATTTTAATGATATGGTCCCTGTATTATTACAATGGATTCTTGGGATGAAGGCCATCTTTATTTCAATCCTATCCTTTTCTTTTTTTTTTTTCTTTTTTTTGAGAGATGGAGTTTCACTCTTGTTGCCCAGGCTGGAGTGCAGTGGTGTGATCTCAGTTCACTGCAACCCCTGCCTCCCAGGTTTAAGTGATTCTCCTGCCTCAGCCTCTGGAGTAGCTGGGATTACAGGCGCACACCACCACACCACACACGCCGGGCGGCCTTGGTAGGAGTAAAAAATTGTTCTGATAAGGAAGATAAAGTGTTCTTCACCTGAACCAGAAGAAACTAACTCTAAGAAACGACATAAAAAACTGAGGCCGAGGTGGGTGGATCATGAGGTCAGGAGTTCGAGACCAGTCTGGCCAATCCAGTGAAACCCCGTCTCTACTAAAAATACAAAAATTAGCTGGGCGTGGTGGCGGGCACCTGTAATCCCAGCTACTCGGGAGGCTGAGGCAGGAGAATTGCTTGAACCCAGGAGGTGGAGGTTGCAGTGAGCCAAGATTATGCCACTGCACTCCAGCCTGGGCGACAGAGCTAGACTCTATCTCAAAAAAAAAAAAAAGAAAAAGAAAATCCAGGAGTTCTAACAACTGTCTTCAATCTTGTGCTCTGGAAAACATTCTATTTTCTTTTCTTCTTTCTTTCTTTTTTAAAGAGACAGGGTCTTGCTCTGTTATCCAGGCTGAAGTTCAGTGGCACAATCATGGCTCACTGCAGCCTCAATCTCCTGGCTCAAGCAATCCTCTGGCCTCGGCCTCCCAAACTGCTGGGATGACAGGTGTGAGGCACTGCACCTGGCCTCCAGCCTATTTTTAAATTTTAACATTACCGAAGCTCGATTCATTCCGAGGAGAAAACAACAAAAACAAAAACAAATACAAGTCTTTTCCTAATCCACTCTCCCAATTATCACAGTGCATAAAAAATGAGTTTTACAACAAACTGATCAAAATTAGGAAGTAGTGATTAGGGACCTCGAAAGAGAAACAAATTTTACCTTAATACAGCTACAGCCTTGATATACCACCTCTAAGGACTGACCAGCATAGCTTTGCAAATTAAAAATGTAAAAACATATGGCCTTAACTCCTTTAAGAGAGAGTCCAGGCCAGGCACGGTGGCTCATGCCTGTAATTCCAGAGCTTTGGGAGGCCAAGGTAGGAGGATAACCTGAAGTCAGTAGTTTGAGACCAGGCTGGCCAACATGGTGAAACCCCATCTCTACTAAAAATACAAAAATTAGCCAGGTGTTGTGGCACATGCTTGTAATCCCAGCTACTGGGAAGGCTGAGGCAGGAGAATCACTTGAACCTGGGAAGGTTGCAGTGAGCCAAGATTGTGCCACTGCACTCCAGCCTGGGCAACAAGAGCAAAACTCCATCTCAAAAAAAAAAAAAAAAAGAGAGAGGGAGAGTCCTATGACTTATCTGTATAATATTTCCCATCTGAATGTGTGGAGGCAGGTCAGGCTGCAGACAGAGCTCAGTGGGCAGGAAAGAGGGCAACAGGCTGGGCTCACTGGGGGACCAGGCCTTTACCAGTGGCCATTAAACTTGGGGGTGCACCTTGGGATCCATGATAAGCTCTTATTGAGCAGTAAGAACATAATCATTAAAAAATTACAACTTTGGCTGGGCGCGGTGGCTCACGCCTGTAATCCCAGCACTTTGGGAGGCTGAGGTGGGCAGATCACGAGGTCAGGAGATCGAGACCATCCTGGCTAACATGGTGAAACCCCGTCTCTACTAAAAATACAAAAAAGTTAGCCAGGCATGGTGGTGGGCGCCTGTATAGTCCTAGCTACACAGGAGACTGAGGCAGGAGAATGGCATGAACCCGAGAGGTGGAGCTTGCTGTGAGCCGAGATCACACCACTGCATTCCAACCTGGGTGACCGCGAGACTCTGTCTCAAAAAAAAAAAAAAAAAAAAATACAACTTTGGGCCAGGCGCGGTGGCTCACGCCTATAACCCCAGCACTGTGGGAGGCCGAGGTGGGCGGATCACGAGGTCAGGAGTTCGAGACCAGCCTGGCCAACATGGTGAAACCCCATCTCTACTAAAAATACAAAAGTTAGTGGAGCGTGGTGGCGAACGCCTGTAATTGCAGCTACTCGGGAGGCTGAGGCAGGAGGATCACTTGAACCCAGGAGGTGGAGGTTGCTGAGATCGCACCACTGCACTCCAGCCTGAGCGAAAAAAGCAAGACTCTGTCTCAAAAAAAAAAAAAAAAATTACAACTTTGACTAAACTCATGAAAAATGAACACTCTCGCTCTGAGAAATTAATTTCTTTGTCTCTGATTTGAGAACCTGAAGGTAAGAAGGTCACTGTCCATATCCACTCTCTTTTCTTTTTTTTTTTTTGAGACCGAGTCTCACTCTGTCACCCAGGCTGGAGTGCAATGGCACGATCTCAGCTCACTGCACCCTCCGCTTCTTGGGTTCAAGCAATTCTCCTGTCTTAGCCTCCTGAGTAGCCGGGATTACTGGTGCCCACCAGCATACCTGGCTCATTTTTGTATTTTTAGTAGAGATGGGGTTTTGCCACGTTGGCCAGGCTGGTCTAGAACTCCTGACCTCAGGTGATCTGTCCGCCTCGGTCTCCCAAAGTGCTGGGATTACAGATGTGAGCCACCTCGCCTAGCCCACTCTCTTTTTTTCACAACAAGGTCTGGTTCTGTTATCCAAGGTGGGGTGCAATGGTGCGATCTCAGGCCACTGCAACCTCCACCCCCTGGACTCACGCAATCCTCCCACCTCAGCCTCTCAAAGGCCTACACCACCACACACATTATTATTTTTTTTTTGTATTTTTAGTAGAAATGAAGTTTTGCCGTGTTGCCCAGGCTGGTCTCGAACTCCTGAGCTCAAGTGATCTGCCTGTCTCAGCCTCCCAAATTGTTAGGATTACAGGCATGAGCCACCACGCCCAGCCACACCTACTCTCTTGATTGTTCAAAGAATAAAGAGATTTTTAGTGAACCAGCTGCTATCAGCCTGTGTATTTATTTCCTCTTCCCCCTTTTTCACTTTAATTTCCTACAGGACTTTCTCCCTAAGCTACATTTCTCTTATTTCCTTCTGAGGAGTTCCCATGCACGCCTCTAAAGCTGCTGGAGAATACTAATTATGGATGTGGATGCTCTGGACAGTGAAGTCAGCAGGCTTATTAATCCTGGTGATCAAGAGAGTCTGTTATCTTGTTTGGGATCTTAATTTTTTCTTCTTCCTCCATGCCTTCTGGCACTCCATCACGGGAGGCAACAAGAAGAAGATACAAGAAGAAGATACCAAAATAAGAAGAGAGCTCACCATATGTGCCAGGCACTGCGCTTATTGTTTCTATGTATTATTTCGACCCTGTGAAACTATTATTAATATTCTCATTTTATATATGAAGAAAACACAGCCCAGTAGGTCACAGGCTATTGCCTTCCCTTAAAAGGTGACTTTCTCTTAAAAATGTTACCACGGAAAAGTATCTTTAGTGCCATGTTGAGGTAAAGAGAAAAAAGTATCTTAAGTAATAATGAAGGGTATACTGCAAGCTCTGCAATGGGAGGGACAGGCGGTGTCTTAGCTTTCTCCTCTTGGCATCAGTAGGCACCCAGGAATTAGCTGTAAAATGAACGAGTGTGAGCAATGGGTGGGATGTTTCCATTAACTCTCTCTCTAGAACTCATTGTGCAGGAGAAGGGAGCCCTCCTGTGCCTTCATTTTAACTTCCTCACTAACATTCCTCTCTTACTCCCAAGCTCCCATCTCACATTTTTTATTTCCTTCCAGAAGCTACTAATATGCCTCCAGCCTTCCACGTGACAAGTCAGCATGCCATCACAGCAGGCTTTTCAAAGACAGCCAGGCTTATAGTTCAGGCTGCAAAGTGCAGGACAAGCAAGTCTCTGTGAAAATGCAGGAGTTCACAGCCACTAAGTCCCAGATCTCCTGCCTACCTGGGTGATACAAAGCCGTCCTTTGAATTATGTCCCTTTTCTAATGAGATGTGGTTTTTATGAGACTGAAGGCAGAGACTGTATGTTCGGCTCCTGTGAAGAAATCACCTTTGCTCAAAAGCCCCCTTAGCGAGGAACTCTTGTTTTACGGGGCAGCTGGGAGTTTTATAAAGCCCATTCTATAAACACCCCCTTGGGTGCCCCTCAGTCTTTCCCTATTAATGCTGCAGGCTTATAAAGGGCAAACTGTTCAAAGCTCCAGCCCAACAGAAGAGGAGTACGTAACACCACAAACCAGACCCTGCTGATGCTGGTCTGGTGGAAAAGATCTGAACACAAACAAGTTTAAAGAAACTGAGGCTTGTCAGCAACGTGCCTATAACAGTGTGCAGAAATGACAGGTCAATCAGATTTCCCATCTCCTCTTGACGCCTACTGAGGCCAAAAGGAAAAGAGAACTGAGTCCCAAGAATTTTCTAAACTAGTGATTCCCACTGCCTCCCTAACATGGGTGTGGGGTATGTTGGTATTCTACTCCAGTTTCCAGTTATAACATCCAGTTGCTATCATACAGTTGTGAATCTGTAGAACAAACAGAAACTGCCTATCCGCATAATAGAATCCAGAGCCCACAAACTGAACCTGGCGTTAGGAAGACAACGAAGACAGGCGGAAAGGAGAACATGGTGAATCTGGGTATCAGGGGCAGAAGGAGGCCGCTGTACAGACATATTCATTCTCATTCATTCTCCACTCTCCCCACCCCAGCCCAAGATTGAATTCTGATTAAAGGAGGCTGAATTGCAGAGCCTCCTTTCATCAAATTCGAGTTTTGAATTGAGCTGGGAAAGTTCTTGGCAATCAAGGAAAACATTTTCTAGAGCTGAGCAGAACTAATACTAAGAAATTGCCTTGCTGCCTTCCTATAGCAAACATCACACCATTACGCTGAACATCTTATCCCCACTATCCAGAAACCTTGTTCCCAAGGCAGGGCAAGCATGCGAGCTGAGCAGCGGGTGGTTCAGCTGTGCAGACACTTCCCCCGGCAAAGGCCCTGTCAGGAGTGACGGTAGAGCAGCTCACGTGGGCAGTGGCGCCTGCTGCCTCCCCATAGCCCTTTCCTCTCAGGCTCTCCCTAGCAGGTTTTTTTTTTTTTTTTGAGACAGGGTCTCACTCTGTCACCCAGACTGGAGTGCAGTGGCGCAATCTCGGCTCACCGCAACCTCTGCCTCCCAGGCTCAAGGATTCTCATGCCTCAGTCTCTCCAGTAGCTGGGATTACAGGTGCGCGCCACTACTGCCCAGCTAATTTTTCTATTTTTAGTAGTAGAGATGTGTTTTCACCATGTTGGCCAGGCTGGTCTTGAACTCCTGACCTCAAATGATCTAACCGCCTCAGCCTCCCAAAGTGCTGGGATTACAGGCATGAGCCACTGTGCCCAGCCCCCTCACTGCCTTTTATTGGAGGAGGATGAGATTGACTGAAATAGTGGGTCATTAACTGCTCAAGGACTTAATGCTGACCCACAGCAAAGCAGTCTAAACGCCTTTCCTGCCACCTGAAGAGAAACCTGGAGAACATTGTCTCTGGAAGTGCCCTCAGTCACGGCTCCACAGGCTTCTGGACAGATGCTGAGTCCACAGTAACTTGACATGGCAGTGCCTCCTTGAGTGGCCCACTTGGTTATCGCCCTCATCCCTCAGTCTTGGTGCCGCGTGACCTCTGGGGTTCAGAGCAAAGTGATGCAAGCCTCTTCCACACAAGGCGGCGCCTGTCGGAAAGTCCTCAGGCAGCAAGGAGCATCTGCAGGCACAGCTGGGGCAACGCTCAGGCTTCCCCAGCGCTCCCATCAGGAATGTATGAGAACACACCCACTGGCTTCCCAAATGGCTGTGGACCTTCTTTCTCCTGTCTATTTCTAGTGCAGACCACAGTCTGAGTTTCATTTGGTTCCCTGTCAAGTGAGAATTCTCTGAATTCCCCTGGCGCCAGGCTGGTGACACATGCATCACAGCTGATGGGGCTGTGGCAGGTCTGACTGAAGTGGCCTGACCAGCCACACTGAGGCCACCCTGGACACTGCTTTGGGTCCTAACCACTGTATCAAGCAGTTTCTCTCATGGAGTGGTAACTGCTTGAGATTCTCCTGTCACTTCTCCCAGCACTGAGGCTTAGCTCTGTGCCCAACGCAGGATTAACAACCAAATAGTCTGATTCCTTCTAGGGCCAGGAAGATCTGGGGTTGGCTAGGCCTTGATGTCTTTATCAGGAAGCTACCTTGGGAATCTGGGAACAGGAGAATGGTCTGGGGAACTCAAGAATGAACAGACTAATGTAGAAGAGAAAGGACAGCAGGGCAGACAGAAGCAAAATGAAAACATCTGAAAAGTGACGGGGCAGAAGGTTGGGAGGGCTGCCGGAATGCAGACAGGAGGGGAAGTGAAGGGAAACAAAGCCAGAATCAGATGATGAAGACAGTACCTCTGGGTCTGGCAGGGCTGGAACTTAGGAAAAAGAACTTTATATATTAAGAGAAGGCTGGCCCCATTACAAGGTTTCAAAGCTGGGGCATTTGGTGTACTTGGAGCTCTTGGGGACCTAAGGCACCAAGATAAAAAAAAGTTTGGTGCAAGAGAGGTGGCCAGCTTTAGACAGTCAAAATAGGTTTCTTTGGCTAGGCGCGGTGGCTCATGCCTGTAATCCCACCACCTTGGGAGGCCGAGACAGGATGACTGCTTGAGGACAGGAATTCAAGACCAGCCTGAGCAACATAGCAAGACTTCGAATCTACAAAAAATTTAAAAATTAGCTGGGTGAGGTGATCTGTGTCTGCAGTCCCAGCTATTTGGGAGACTAAGGCGGGAGGAACACTTGAGCCCACGAGTGTGAGGCTGCAGTGGGCTACAATCGCACCACTGCACTCCAGACTGGGTGACAGAGTGAGACTCTGTCTCCAAAAACAAAACAAAAGATTCCTGATGTCTCAGGCTCAGAGTGGCCTAAAAATAAAAAGAATTCTTACTATGTCTTCATCCTTGTTTCTGTCTGGTCACAGTTTAAATGGTTTGTCTGTCACAATGCCTAGAGGACACGCTAAATCTGTATGTGAGAAAGTGTGAGCCCTTAGAATAAAGAGGGTAGAATGTTAACAGTTTTTGAGATTAGGAAGTGCGTGGGGGAATGGGGGCGCGTGTGCAAAAAAACTCATCTTTTCAAGATTGGTGAGTGGAAGTACCACTTTTTAAAAAGAAAAAAATGGAGGAGGGAAGTTGATTGTAATATAATCACCTTTCCAAGATACTTTTACCTGCGCATATTCTGCATAAATGCATATTTTATACATACTGGTGATGAAAGTATAGATACAATTTTGTATGCTGCCTTTTCACTAACACAGGTATTTTCCACTCCATTCAGTCTTCATAATTGCTTTTACTGGCTGCATACCCGTTTCCTCCCACTGATAGATCCCATGGCTGGTTAGCAGCAGCACTTGTTAGATACCAGGCCACCAGGAGTGCTGCTGATGGCTCCCATTCAGCACTCTCTATGCTAAGTGAACTGTCCTGCAGAAGTTTACAAAGTCAGCTCTGGGAATCCTAGTGCCCAGCCTCGGAGAGGAATACTGCCCAGCGATGAGCTGGCAAGCTGGCCCATTTGACTCACCGTCTCCAGGCATCTCCTGGTTGGATATAGGGCCCAGGTACCTTAGCACAACCCAGAATAAGGCAGAGAGAGGTGCACAACCCCAGAATGTCAAAGCACACGACTTTTGCTGGCCAGGTTTGCAACTGAGGAGCCTGTCAGAGGCGTGTTGTAAAAATGATGAATGGCTGTCACATTTCCAAGGCTCTGGCTGATTTAGGGAGCTATTGGCAGGCACACCGCTCCCAGCATGTCAGCCAGTTAATTACTTCCAACTTTATCTTACTTGTCAACACTTCTTGACAAATTGGCCATTATCTTTTTATTCTACAACAATGAGCACTGCTCCTTTTCTTGTGATGCCTGCAGGTTCTTCTCCCCCTTTCTGCTTCTTCACATCCAGAGAGAAACAAAGAGCTCTGAGAGAGACTACTAGAAAGAAGCAGCAGTCAGGAAAAGGATGGGGAAAAGGAGCAAAAGGGGTGGGCTGATAGAGTGACTCCAAAGCTAATGTTCATCTCTCTTGACTCAAAACTGAGGTGATATTTTGGGTAAAGTCCTGATTTCTTGGCTTCTGAATGTCCAAGAACTCTGACTCAGTCCATTATGTGGATAAAGTTGGGAAACAAAACTTAAACAAGCTGGCACCTAGTGATCTGGCAGCTTGTAACTCTTCACATTTAATTGTAGAAGCAGATGTGAGCTGGTCTTCCACTCTATTAAGGAGTTGGGCCACAGTGTAGGAATAATGATGCCCATTCTGGGTTCAGGGAAAAGAAAAAACCATGCCCACCTTCTTGGTAATGGATGCCTCATGGAAGAGAACTGTGGCACTCTATAACTGGATTACCAGGATTCACAGCCAGTGAAAAGTCCAGAAATGTTTGGAGAGACCAGTGGTGCCCCTACTGATATCATCACTGCATGAACAGTCAGAGGTGGCCATGAGGCAGAGCCCAGCACCTACTAGATTTCATCAGTTCTAAGACACACATTTTTTTCACACCTTAACATCTCTGAAATTGGGATGCAGCATACAATTCAAGGTTTCAGAGCACTGGGACACAGTGTAACTGCTAGCACTTTCTTTCCCTCCCCCAGTGTTATATAAAAATCAGAAGCAGTTTCTCTAAGTCAGCATAAGAGCAGTCCCATTAAATCTCCAGGTAGTCTGAAGGATAAGCTAGCTTTTGTAGAAGAGTTTAGGGATACCACTGAAATACAGCAAGTTTCTCCCCTTAGAAGGGTCTTGTTTTGTAACAATAGCCCCTCTGTCCTTTTGGCCAGCTTTAGGAGAAACCCCAGAACTCTCCTCTTCTTACAATTCCTCGCTGATGGCGAGGTTTCTCCACTGAAGAGCCTTCCCTGGGGTTCATAAGACGCTCTGCAAGAGCAAGCTGTTACAGTGACCCTGGGGGAAGTCTTGACAGCAGCTAGAAGTAAATGCATGCTCTACTGATAACTGGTGAGAGATGTGGCCTCTTGGGCTGAATCTAAAAGTGCATTTGAAAAAAAAAATGGGGCTACAGCAAAGATACAAACTGCTTCTGCTTTTGCTCTTTTCTCCTACTCTTTGCAGCATGGAGCTTTTCTACAAAGGACACAGATTCTTACAGGCACACTGGCCCTTCTGAAGTCAGCACGAACATAGAAGTTTGGAATGTGGTTTTTTGTTTGTTTTGAGATAGTGTCTTGTTCTGTTGCCCACGCTGGAGTGCAGTGGTGCAATCATAGCTCACTGCAGCCTCAAACTCCTGGACTCAAGTGATCCTCCTGCCTTGGCCTCCTGAGTAGCTGAGACCACAAGCGCATGCCATCATGCCCCACTAAACTTTTTACAGAGACAAGGTCTTGCTATGTTACCCAGGCTGGTCTTGAACTCCTGGCTTCAAGCAATCCTCCTGTCTTGGCCTCCCAAAGTGCTGGGATTATAGGAGTGAGCCACTGCACCCAGCCTGGAATGTGTTTTGCTGTGAGCAAAACCTCACCTCTGTGGACTGACTGCTTTTTCTTCCAGCAGAGGTACAGAAAAAGAAAAGGACCGCATATCTTTTCTGGAAGCCAGGAAACAACTGTAAAAGCAGGAATCATACTTTCAAGCAGCACAATATTGGCACCCTGGAAACATGTGTTTAGAATTAAGACAAAGAGTGGGTTTTGTTTGCCCATTTAGCCCCTTGCCTGCAGACTGTAAAACCCAGTCACCCTTGCCATTAATTGGTTGCTCAGGCATAACTGGCACAAATCCTCTAACATTCTTAAAGAATGACCAGGCCTGTTTTCCAGTTTGTGGTGCCTAAGTCAGGGTGGAGATGTCTAACCCAAAGAGAAGCTCTGTAGTTCAGAGAACAGCTTGGTGGGGTGGACATGTGATCTTGTCCTGCAACCCCTGACAAGGTCTTATCTCTAGCTAAGGGTGATTTACTGAAATTGCAATATAATGGACATTTGATTTCCCTTTGGGGACAGATGAGCTTTGTTAGGTTACTGGGGATAAAATATGGGGACTACAGCTGCCCAGAAATAAGGCAGGTTTTTTTTTTTTTTTTGACGGAGTCTTGCTCTGTCGCCAGGCTGGAGTGCAGCGGTGCGATCTCGGCTCACTGCAACCTCTACCTCCCGAGTTCAAGCAATTCTCTGGCCTCAGCCTCCCAAGTAGCTGGGACTACAGGAGTGTGCCACCACATCCAGCTAATTTTTGTATTTTTAATAGAGACGGGGTTTCACCACATTGGCCAGGATGGTCTTGATATCTTGACTTTGTAATCTGCCCGTCTTGGCCTCCCAAAGTGCTGGGATTACAGGCATGAGCCACCTTGCCCGCCCGAAATAAGGCAGTTTTTATGGGGACATGTTACTTTCTTCATTTTGTCAACATTAGCTGTTGCATGCAGCCCCTAGGGCCAGTGCAGGTTGAAGTAATCAGACATGTCATTTACACTGGCTTCTGGAATAAACAGGAGAGGGAGAAAACCTGATCTCAGATACTCTGTGGTCCTCTTGCTGATCATCTTCCTAAGTAAAAAAAAAAGTGATGAGACACAGCCTGGTGATGTCTAGGAATATGTATGCAATATATTATACAATAAGGAAGCTACCTCAAGTTATTGATTTAAAAAATGGGGTCAAAGCCGGATGTAGTGGTGGGCACCTGTAATTCCAGCTACTCGGGAGGCTGAGGCAAGAGAACTGCTTGAATCCAGGAGGCGGAGGTTGCACTGAGCTGAGACCCCACCACTACACTCAAGCCTGGGCGACAGAGCCAGACTCCATCTCAAAATAAATAAACAAATAAAATAAAAATTAAAAAGAGGGTTGAAACAAAGGATCTCAACTCTCCCAGTTTTCACTTTCTTTGATTCTATGACTAAGACCTGAAGAAGGAAAACTGACCCCATGCAGGACAGAATGTGATGCCCTACAGCGAAGACCTCACCACAGTAAAACACTGGAAACGTCCATGGAGAGAGACTGTAAGTCTCCATAATAGATATTTAGGGGGAAGAGAACCTTCTCTTTGAAATTCATTATTTCATTTGACAAGTTCTAATTTAGTATGCATTTTGTCTTAGGCTTTATGCTAAGTGCTAGATGCTAGAGGTACTGTGGAAAATAAGAGAAACATGTTCTTTGCTTTCGCAGAGCTTACAGGTTAGAGAAGTAGATACACAAAAAAGTACAAACCGAGGCCAGGTGCAGTGGCTCACACCTGTAATCCCAGCACTTTGGGAGGCCAAGGCAGGCGGATCACCTGAGGTCAGGAGTTCGAGACCAGCCTGACCGACATGGAGAAACCCCCTCTCTACTAAAAATACAAAATTAGCAAGGCATGGCAGTGCATGACTGTAATCCCAGCTACTCAGGAGGCTGAGGCAAGAGAATTGCTTGAACCTGGGAGGCGGAGGTTGCAGTGAGCTGAGATTGCGCCACTGCGCTCCAGCCTGGGCAATAAGAGCGAAACTCCATCTTAAAAAAAAAAAAAAAAGTACAAACTGAAATAAGTGCTTTTGTGGCAAATACCATGAAGAGAACAGAGTGCTTAGAGAAAAACATGGGGATTTATGGGGATTTATGTTAGACTAGAGTAGTCAGCAAATACTTTTATGACGAGACAACAATTGTGTACTAAATAATACAATACTACTACTTGGTACAATACTACTACTTGATATTTGCTAGACGTTGACTATGTGTCAGATACTAGTTCAAGTGTTTTATGTGCATTATCTATTTTTACACAAACATCCTAATTCAAGTATACATAAATATAGGAGAATATAACACCTAAGTGTACAGTTTGATGAATTATCATAAAGTGAAGACATCTTTGTAATTACCACCCAGACCAGAAACAGAACACAACCAGCTGCCAGCAGCTCAGAGGCACTGAGCCCCCTCCCAATCACTGCTCCCCTCTGTGTCCCCAGAGGTCTGTAAACCCTACTCTGACTTCTAACACAATGGGGTTGTTTGCTCAGTTTTTGAGCTTAATTATATAAACATTCAACACTATGTTTGTGACATGCACCCAGGCTGCTGCACGTCGCAACAGCTTTTCCTTTCTATTGCTGAACAGTATTTCACGGTGTGAATATACCACCATTTACCTATCTTACTGCAGATGAACACTTGGATTGTTTTCAGTGTTTGGCTATTACGAGGGGTAGTACGCGGACACTCTTGTCCATGTCTTCTGGAGCATGTGTGCTTGCACTTCTGCTGGAAAATATCTATAGCAGAATTGTTGAGTTACATATAAGGATATGTTTAGCTTTATAAGATACTGACAGATTGTTTTCCAAAGTGGCTTTACCAATTTACATTTCTACCAATAGGACATGAAAAGCCCAATTGCTTCACAATCTCTGTCAACATTTGCTATTTTCAGCCTTTTCCATTTCAGCCCTTCTGGTTGGTGTGCAGTGGCATTTTATTATGATTTAAATTTTTATTTCCATAATGACTAATGAGATGGGATAGCTTTTCATGTATTTATAAGCCTTTTGGATATCTTTGTGAACTAAGTGCCTGTTCACATCTTTTGTCAATATTTTATTTTTTTCTTTTTGAGACAGAGTCTCTCTATGTTGCCTAGGCTGGTTTCCAACTCTTGGGCTCAAGCAATCCTTCCACCTCAACCTCCCGAGTAGCTCAGACTACAGGTACACACCACTGTACCTGGCTTCTTTTACCAATCTTTTTATTGTGCTACCTTTTTCCTCCTTATTGTTTGATAAGAGTTCTTTATACACTCTGGGTATAATACATATACAATATTGAAGATAATAGAAATATTTCTTGCCTTTCATTCTCTTCATTGTGTCTTCCAATGAACAGAATGACTACTTTTGTTGCATTTCTTAATATTTTCCTTTATGATTGGTGTTTTTTCTATCTTAAGAAATCTTTGCTTATCTTAGGAAGCCACTTAATCTCCTACGTTATCCTCTATAAATTTTATTGTTTTACTGTTCACACTTAAGAGTTTAAATCTCCTGGACTTGAGCTTTTGTGTGTGGTGTGAGGTAACGATCAACAGTCTTTTCTTTCAGAAAAAGGATCACTGAGGGAAAAAAAAAAATTTTCTTCCCCCATAAGGCTACTGAGCTGACTTAGCAGTCCTTTCCTCACCACTCTGTGGTGCTACCTTGTTATAAATCAAGTGTCTATATCACATGGCTTGAGAGGAAAGGAATAAATACATAAATATAAATACACAAAATTAAGTATCTCTACATATGTGGGTCTGTTTCTGGACATTTAATTCTGTTCCATTTGTTCATCCATGTCACTACTGTACTGCCTTACTTACTGCAGCTTTATGATAAATCTTGATATGTAGTAGTGTAACTCTTCCAAATTTATTTTCCTTATCCAAAAATACCTTGGTTATTTAACCCTTTGCTTTATTTAATTCTCATGAAAAGCCTGTGGTATGAGATAGTTTTGATTTTTATCTCCATTTCACAGGTTGGCAAACTCAGAGAAGTAATATGTCCATGGCCACACAGCAACCAAGTGCTAGGGAGGGATTAGAATCCAGATTTGTCTGCTTCTAGGCCTAAGAACTCAAGTGCTATATGTACTACCTCCTTAATCCTAATGCCAAATGACCCCGTCAGGGTATTTAATATGAATGCATTACAATTTTAAGAAATTCTCACGTTCTAAATCATTCATTTGCGGTGAAAAAATCTTGTTTGGGCTGTGTGTGGTGGCTCAGGCCTATAATCCTAGCACTTCGGGAGGTTGAGATGGGAAGATCTCTTGAGGCTAGGAGTTCCACACCAGCCTCAACATAGTGAGACTCCGTCTCTACAAAAAAATTTAAAAACAGGCAGGCGTGTTGGTGTGCGCTTGTATTCCCAGCTACTTTGGAGGCTCAGGCAGGAGGACTGCTTCAGCTCACGAGTTCCAGGTTTCAGTAAGCTATATGATTGCACTACAGCACTCCAGGGTGGGTAACAGAATGAGACTATGTCTCTAAAAAAAATAAAAAATAAAAAAAAATTGTTTGGCAATTACCAAGGCCACTTTCCTGGTGGAACTCAGGAAAACAATGGAACAAGAGGGAAAAACCTCTAGGATTCCTTCCCATGTCTACAGAGGATCAGTCCCGCTCCTCACCTGGGCTCCCCGGGCACGGCCCCCCTCCACCTCTCCAGCTTTAGCTTCTGCTGCCATTCTTCTTCCCTTTGACTCTTAGGCCACACTCGACTACTTACATTCTCCCACTAGTCCAAGTCTTTCACATAGCTGCACCTTTGCTTACAACATCCTCTCCCATTCCTGGCTATTTCCTCCTTTTTCTTTAAAACCTAGGTATCACTTCTCTAGAAGGCCCTCCTTGTCCTCTGTGTCTCCCATCCTAGCATGTCACACTGTCCAAGAGTTCAGCTGTCTAACTAGACTGCCAGACACTGGGCCAGAATAATCGCTGGATTGTGCAACTTGAGTGGAGGCTAACAGAGCTATAAAGTCCTGACAGAAATCAGAGAGACTTTTTTTTTTTTTTTACTATATTCCATAATTTAAAACTGACTCTGGCCAGGTGTGGTGGCTCATGCCTGTAATCCTAGCACTTTGAGAGGCTGAGGCTGGAGGATCACTTGAGCCCAGGAGTTCGAGACCAGCCCTGGCAACACAGTGAGACCCCCATCACTACAAAAAAAAAAAAAGAAAAGAAAGAAAGAAAGAAAGAAAAAAAGATAGTTGGGTGTGGTGGTGCATACCTGCAGTCCTAGCTACTCGGGAGGCTGAGGTGGATGGATCACTTGAGACTGGGAGGTTGAGGCTGCAATGAGCCATGGTTGCCCCATTGCACTCTAGCCTGAACAGAGTGAAACCCTGTCACAAAACAAAACAGAACAAAACAAAACAGGACTCTAAGAGAAGGCCTGAGAGAAAAGACTTCTAATAGGTTCAGGACACATTCTTTGATAGAAGTGGCAAATTAGAAAGCTCAGGGAAAAGATGGAAATATCTTCTGTGATGGACTTGGACTTTCAGTTGAGACAGGAATGGGATGGAGTGCTAGAAAGGCAGATATGTGGCCGGGCATGATGACTCACACCTGTAATCCCAGCACTTTGGGAGGCCGAGGCGGGTGGATCAACAGATCAGGAGATCGAGACCATCCTGGCTAACATGGTGAAACCCTGCCTGTACTAAAAAATACAAAAAATTAGCTGGGCATGGTGGCAGGTGCCTGTAGTCCCAGCTACTTGGGAGGCTGAGGCAGGAGAATTGGCGTGAACCCGGGAGGCAGAGCTTCCAGTGAGCCAAGATCGTGCCACTGCACTCCAGCCTGGACGACAGAGCAAGACTCCGTCTCAAAAAAAAAAAAAAAAAAAAAAAGGCAGATATTCAACGGCTGTATAGAGTATGGCAGGCTGTGGTTTTTTCAAAGACTTCAGAAGAAGTGAAATATTCCTTTGAGATACACAATTAAAACTAACAGCAAGGCAGCTTCTTCTGAGATGTATTCATTCCACAAGCTGAGAGTGGGCAGCAGTCTCTCCAACGGGGCATTTTCAAGCAAATGGGATCTGATGCTCCTCTCTGGATAGAAGGAGAGACCACCCCTAGGTGCTCCCCTGCCCTGTGACCCTCAGACTACCTTGGTGCCAGCCCAAGGCAGTGCGGCCCAAACACTGTGAAGTCTTTTGAGAACCTCCAGGTTGAGTACAACCTCACTGACTTTTTTCATTAAGAACAAAAGCTTAATTTTCATAAACACCTTTTCCAGGAGCACCAAGCTAGCCCTCTTTCAACACCAGCAAAATGGAGAAAAGGAAAATCTAAACAGTATCCAACCTAGGTTTTCCAGATTTTGTCAGTTAATTCCCATTTTTAAGGTCACTCTGCTCACTGAAAGGCAGAAGAAGGATTTAAAAGCCTCTTTCAGAGAAGGCAATACCATTTTAGTCCTCCACATCCTTCATGGTTTTCTCTACTGGCTTAGCTGTGCTCAAAACAAGGACTTCTTTTTCCTTCATTTAGATATTCAGAATCTAGGACATCATAAGGTTGTGGATGTTTTAGAAAATAGATAATCTTCTGGCATGAGAAATATCCTTAATTAGCTATTTTTCCTCAAAACTGGAGGGGGGGTGAGTATTGACATTTGGGTAGCTTATGCAATTCAAGAGCTTCTGTCTTCTGTCTTCAAGTATTGCCTTATGTTAGAAATAAGTTTCCAGAAAATAAATGTCAAAGACCAGACACTCATGCTAAAGGCTAGATGCTTCCAATACAAACTTACGAACCTCCTCCTACCTTTCCTAAAAGGGACTGTTACATGGGGTACAAATATGAATGATTAATTTATTTTCTGCCCACATATAAGAATCAATTCATAACACTTTCCTGTTTGGGTGAGCTACTGGGAAGAATAAACAAAAGCTGGCTAGAACTCCACAAAGTTCCACTGTTCTTTTGTGCTTTCTCTGCTGCACTGTTACATGAGAGTTCCAAGGCAGCAGGGTCACGTGGGATGCTATACATCAGTGGTCCCCAATCTTTTTGGCACTAGGGACTGGTTTCGTGGAAGACAATTTTTCTATGGACCAGGGTGGGGGTGGGGAGATGGGGGATGGTTTTGAGGTAAAACTGTTCCACCTCAGATCTTCAGGCAGTACTTAGATTCTCACAAGGAGCACGCAACCTAGATCCCTCACATGTGCAGTTCACAACAGGGTTCACACTCCTGTGAGGATCTAATGCTGCCACCGATCTGACAGGAGGCAGAGCTCAGGCGGTAATGCTCACTCACCTGCCACTCACCTCCTGCTGTATGGCCCTATTCCTAACAGGCCATGGACAAGTACAGGTCTGC
Organism: Homo sapiens; assembly: GCF_000001405.40. NCBI lineage: Eukaryota > Metazoa > Chordata > Mammalia > Primates > Hominidae > Homo > Homo sapiens. The sequence continues at coordinate 11,187,586 of NC_000001.11, forward strand.
AGCCTGGGGATTAGGGACCCCTGCTATACATGACTGTATGGTACATAGCACTTCTGTGGCATGTGGTTTAAGCTCAGTGTCATTTGATGGCCAGGAGATCCACTTGAAAATCCCTATTTTTAGCAGACCTTGTAGGATGCCAATATTTGGGGCCAGAGTCTCGTTACTAAAATGAATGCTATGGAGCTAAGGCTGTGGTGCCCAGCTGGGCTAGACATTTGCAAAAAGAGAGCAGACTGGCAGACAGTGCCAATTCTCAACAGAATCTTTTGATTAGAATGCCAAGTTGCTATAAGGGTATCAGTAACATCCTCACCCTTTAGCAGGCAAAGGAGGCTGGGTATGTGAGAAAACAAACTCTGATCCACCTGATCCTCCACTGCTTTTTGATTCTGAGAAAAAAAAAAATTGTTCAGTAACTCCAGCTGCCTGAACAGAAATTACTTTCTGAGGAGCTAGAAGCCCTGACTGGAAAAGAGCTCTGGGGGATTATGGCATGGGAGGAGAGCTGTCAGGCATCAGGCTTATGTGGGAAGGACCCACGCTGACTACAACAGTACAAGTAACTGCCTGAGTGGCTCCATAACATGGAAACAGCAATCGTATGTTCCAAAGACAGAGTTACTGTTTTAAGGACAGAGGAACCTTTGTATAGATTCTTAGTGAAAAGCTTATTTTAAGGATGTTTGCTGAAACTCCATGTTTTTCACATTTCTTTTCAAAAGAGCATTGTCCTTCATATATAGTACATGAAAAATTACAATATTCATGTTTTTTAGATACAAAGTCATATACAAATAGAGGAGGAATAATTTCAAATTGCAAACCATACCAGCAAAGAAAGAGGGAAATGAGACTCTAGATATGGATTTATTAGGTGACAGGGATTCTTTTCTCTATATTTTAATATATTTTCCAAGTTTTGAACCACGGGCTAAGGATGGGCCTGTTCTCTGTCCTGCCTAGAAACTGACAGAAGCATGGGTGACCAATCCCAGACATGCTTGGCACTGCTGAGTTTTCATCTCTGTTGTAATCTTCTGACACCTCCTTGCAAAATATCAAGTGTTATATGCTAATACTGGCCCTCTCTTTGTTGAAGGAGAAAGCATGTAAAAAGACAACTGTCCAAACCCTGTGGCTACAAAGTCTTTTTTTGGCTTCCTAAGAGATTTACTCTATTCTTCTATTTCTAGAACTTTTCTAAGTTGGAAGATTTCAAATGTGAGATAGTGTTAGATCCAGGTTGAGTAAGGATTTTATAAAATACTAAATAATGATCAGAGATGGGAATAATCAGCCTAGATAAAAGCATATTCAGCAGGATGTCAAAATATACCAGATCCTCATATAAACAGCATGGATTACATTAACAGGCCTCCCTGGGTGAGTAGCGTCTCTTTCGCCTACCTTACGCTCACCCCATGGTTATATAACCTTTTGAACGGAATTTGGAAATTCTTCTGACCCTGTCCTGCTTGCTGATAGAGTTGAGCCAGTGGCTGGCAGGGGCATAATCTAATAGGCGAAACTGGAAACACACAAATTCACAGTCCTCTTGTCTTAGCCCAGAGACTGTACAGGCAAGGAAAGAAAGACTCGCCCCATCTCCCTCCTCCCCTCCTCTGGCCTAAGTTGCCGCTGACTTCACCCAACAGGCACCTGACCCTCCCAGATGAGCTGGGAGGGGCTAAAGCCTGGTGCAGCCATGGTAGGGGTGGAGGTACAGGCAGCAAACAATATTTAAGATGCTGACTTGTGGAGCATTCGGGCTTGGAAGGAAAGCTATAGGCTACCCATTCAGCTCCCCTGTCAGAGACTCAAGCTTTGAGAAAGGCTAGCAAAGAGCAAGGAAAGAGAGAAAACAACAAAGTGGCGAGGCCCTCAGAGTGAAAGCGTAAGGTTCAGTCAGCCTGCTGCAGCTTTGCAGACCTCAGCTGGGCATCTCCAGACTCCCCTGAAGGAAGAGCCTTCCTCACCCAAACCCACAAAAGATGCTGAAAAAGCCTCTCTCAGCTGTGACCTGGCTCTGCATTTTCATCGTGGCCTTTGTCAGCCACCCAGCGTGGCTGCAGAAGCTCTCTAAGCACAAGACACCAGCACAGCCACAGCTCAAAGCGGCCAACTGCTGTGAGGAGGTGAAGGAGCTCAAGGCCCAAGTTGCCAACCTTAGCAGCCTGCTGAGTGAACTGAACAAGAAGCAGGAGAGGGACTGGGTCAGCGTGGTCATGCAGGTGATGGAGCTGGAGAGCAACAGCAAGCGCATGGAGTCGCGGCTCACAGATGCTGAGAGCAAGTACTCCGAGATGAACAACCAAATTGACATCATGCAGCTGCAGGCAGCACAGACGGTCACTCAGACCTCCGCAGGTAAGGAGACCAGTCCCCTGAGGGAGCGTGGAGTGCCTCCCCATCTACAGCACTGCTTCTACATATCCTGGTCATCAGAACCACTACTGGGGCCTCTTTTGTGGGTACACTTTCCCTTTAGTAAAGGCTTATGCAGTATTTCCTTTGACTTCTAATGCTATGTAAGTTTACCTAACACCTTCACGGGTCTCTTTTATCCACACAGTGTTTCAGCCTACCATCTTGGAGTGCTGAGATACTACATGGTTTGCCCAAAGTCACCCAGCAAGTCTTAGAAGCAGGGTTCAAGTCTTCCTGATTGGTGTAGCTCTGCTACTTCCTCACCAAGAGCTGACAGGCTATATCTCAAGAAATTCCAAGGAAGCACCAAACTGTAACAGCTGTTCCTCTGGAAGCAAAGTTTTGCCAGAAACAGTTCTCTGGTGTTCCTAAGATTTACCAGGAATGAGCATTAATGGAATTTTGTGTCCTCTCTCTGTAAACGTAACTCTTCTCATTGGCTCAGAGTTAAGTGTAGAGACACATAACCATGTGAAGAGTCCCTTTGTGTTCAGGAAGGATGCGGCTCCTTAAGGTTCCTCAATTGTGATACGTCTATTTTTTTCCATGGTCTTAAATGAATTTCTCCGAATACAGGATTTTTTAAATGCAATGCTGAAATATAGACTTAATAGGCCAAAAATAAGATAAATTTAATCTTTCTTTTGCAAAATAACTTTTATTTCTGGTTAGCTCAGCTCAGGTGGGCCAACATGAATTTACGGTTTAGAGATAAAAATTTGGTTTTCTGAAATTATCAGGAAAATATTAGTTGTAAGGAGCATATCCTATAGACATGTCATTTCTTGCTGATATAAAAACCATTGGTCCCATTATAAACTACATGAAGAACAAAGACATGATCAGCTTCTACTGACTAAGTCAATGGTTAACCTCAGCTCAAATTAAGAAAAAGTTTTAACATGAAACCAAGCTTGAAAATTCTGTTACCTGAACCAACATGTATCAATCACTTTCTAAGCATGGACTTCCGGGCCCTCAGTTTGGGATTAGAAAGGTATTCTCAGGCCATTTTCCAGACAAGTGAGTCCTGATTTGGTCTGTGAGATGAAACCAGACATGCGGAAGACCAGGCCAGACAGAGGAATCTGACCGTGCCACTTCCTGCTCATCCAAACAGGAGGCTTTCTCACCATCCTGCAAGGAGGTTCTTGGGGTCAAGTGCAGCTCTCCCACCAGGTCTCTTGCTCTTCTTGCCCAGGACATCATTCCTTATTTTTCTTCTCTATGACCAAGTGCTCAGTTACCCTTATATTCTATAAGTAGGTAGTCCCTTAGAGGAAGCAGTAAGTTGGTGCTTTCACCACTAAGACGAAATGAAGAATAGTGATGGCGAAGGCACACGTACTCTACCTCCCTTTCCCAAGGTGCTCTGCAAGAGAACCTATGTGCCTCAGACAACTCCCATCTGCCATCTTGGTGCTCCTCTCTAAGGTCCCAGTGCAGTGGTCACCAAGAAAAGCACCCCGAGACATAGCAGGCAGGAAGCTTCTCTTGGATAGTAAGGGCCGCAGTCTCTGAATCCTATCAGAAAAGGCTGTCTCTTCCACTATGCTCTTTGATATTTAGAATACAGAGCTTAAATCCTGCATAAAGTAGCAGCTCCATGGCCCTAGAGTAAAAAAACTGGCCAGTCTGATGCTCTCATTTCATTGTTTTAACAAAACTTCTGGGAGGAAGGCCTCAAAGGTTCTTCTGAGTGTTTTGAGGTGCTAGCTGGATGGAAGGGGAAAATATGTGATAATAAAATCTATCTCCCTTAATTATGGTCTCAGGTGGCAGTAGCCACCATCTCTGAACAACAACAAAAACAACCAACCAGGAAACATCAACAAAACCAGACTCTATGAGATATTCACGACTGATTTGTTATAGTGGCGGCTGTCTAAGAAGTCTGAATCTATCTGACAGGAGTATCTGTTACGTGGCCCTCATACACTGTAACATTTCTAGAATTCATGGCCCAGCTATAGCAGAATAATTTATTTCAGAGTTAACCTGAAACCACCTGTTGGAACGTCCCACTAATGCTATCCAGGTGAAGGGCTTCCCTACCCCTCTGCTCCACCGCTAGTAAAGCCAAAATACACCCCCTCTGGATCTCCCCATATCCACCTCTCCCAAATGCAGACACTGATGGGTAATTAACACCACTGAGAATCCCAGGGTAGAAATAAAGGCTCAGTCTCTAAACACTCAACTCAGATGGAGCCACTGGGTCTAAATGCTCACCCTGTGGTTTGTTCTCTTGTAGATGCCATCTACGACTGCTCTTCCCTCTACCAGAAGAACTACCGCATCTCTGGAGTGTATAAGCTTCCTCCTGATGACTTCCTGGGCAGCCCTGAACTGGAGGTGAGGTCATTACAGTCACTGGCCATGCCCTAATACCTGTCCTTCACCCCCTCAAGGGGACTACAACAACAGGGCCATTCACAGTTTAAAGAAAGGAAAATTCGGCTGGGCGCAGTGGCTCACACCTGTAATCCCAGCACTATGGGAGGCCGAGGCAGGTGGATCACTTCAGGTCAGGAGTTTAAGACCAGCCTGGCCAACATGGTGAAACCCTGTCTCTACTAAAAATACAAAAAAATTAGCCAGGCATGGTGGTGGGCACCTGTAATCCCTGCTACACAGGAGGATTGCTTGAACTCAGGAGGCAGAGGTTGCAGTGAGCCGAGATCACGCCACTGCACTATAATCTGGGAGACAAAGTGAGACTCCATTTCAATTAAAAAAAAAAAAAAAAAAAAGGAAAACTCAAACACAAGCAAACACACCAAACACCACAGAGCTATGCAAACACTCAGTTTATGCCCTGCACTCCAAACCCAGGCATCTGTTTGGCCCCTTCAAATCATTATCAGTCAAACAACAAGCCTTCTAACATAGATCAGATCATTCTTATAACCACCACATAACTTAGTTTAAATCTCTTGCCATGTCCTAGAACAGCTATTCCTTGGGGGAGGAGAAAAGAAAACACGAAGGCAGCATCAAATTATCTGGATTTTCACCCAGGCATGGTGGCTCACACCTGTAATCCCAAGTTTTTTGGGAGGTGAGGTGGGCGGAACAATCACCTGAGGTCAGGACTTTGAGACCAGCCTGGCCAACATGCTGAAACCCAGTCTCTACTAAAAATACAAAAATTAGCCCAGTGTGGTGACAGGCACTCTGGTCCCAGCTACTAGGAAGGCAGGAGAATCACTGGAACTCAGGAGGTGGAGGTTGCAGTGAGCCGAGATTGCACCACTGTACTCTAGCCTGGGCAACAAGAGTGAAATTCTGCTTCAAAAAAAAAAAAAGTATCTGGATTTTTCCCTCCAAGCTTCATGTGCACTCACCCCCGGGCCCAATTTGCATCGTTCTTCCAGAGCAATGCACCACCCACCCCAGCTCACCAGCAGTGGGGCAGCATCACTGCCCGAGTGAGCCAGTGTGACTGCGGGAGTGCACACATCTACTGGCTCTGCAGGGACAGGAACAGGTTGGGAAGCCTGCCCTCTTGCTCCTGCCTTCTGCCCCTGCAAGTCCCTCACCAGAGTATCCCCTCTGCTTCAGGTGTTCTGTGACATGGAGACTTCAGGCGGAGGCTGGACCATCATCCAGAGACGAAAAAGTGGCCTTGTCTCCTTCTACCGGGACTGGAAGCAGTACAAGCAGGGCTTTGGCAGCATCCGTGGGGACTTCTGGCTGGGGAACGAACACATCCACCGGCTCTCCAGACAGCCAACCCGGCTGCGTGTAGAGATGGAGGTAAGCACAAGGCCAGGGGCCCCATGACTGGACCAGTGCCACCACACATGACCGCGTACAACTCCGGGGGTGCCATTCCTATTCTGATTCAAGACAAATCTGTATATTCATTGTGATGGTTTTCCTGCAAGTTGTAATGGAGTTGAGGAAAAATAGGTATTTTTCCTTTCTGCAACCCCCCCAACCCCCCGACAAAAGTGGGGCTGCAGGTGGGACAGGAAGAGGCCAGACCCAGGCCAGAGTAGAGCAAATTCAACAGTCAGCTGTGCCGAACACTAGTCTCTGCTCTGGCCGAGCATGAGGTCCTTTAGGTGCAAATCTTACTGATACTGTTTGGGGACCCTTGCTGAAGGTCTGAAAGCACTCACTATATCCTCATGTTTCTCTTACAGCAGCTCTGTGTGGGATTCAGCAAAAACATAGCTGCACCTTATAAGCAGGAAAGTGAGGAATATAGAAAGAGAGACTAATCAAGGCCATATGGTGAATCAGGAAAGAAGTTCGAGCCTTGTTTTCTGATTCCCAGGTTAACACAGTAAACTGGAGGTAAACAAGTAATAAAGTCTTATTAGATTCACACCTATAAAAAGATGTTTGGCTATGGGACTGTCAGGAGAGAAGGGGTATAGAGACAGCATGAAATGGAGCCTGCTGCACTTTCTTTAAGGCTCTGCTCCTCCTGACAGGACTGGGAGGGCAACCTGCGCTACGCTGAGTATAGCCACTTTGTTTTGGGCAATGAACTCAACAGCTATCGCCTCTTCCTGGGGAACTACACTGGCAATGTGGGGAACGACGCCCTCCAGTATCATAACAACACAGCCTTCAGCACCAAGGACAAGGACAATGACAACTGCTTGGACAAGTGTGCACAGCTCCGCAAAGGTGAGATTTGGGGGGACCGGAAAGGAGAAGTTCAGGTACAAGCTCATAATCCCACTTGAGGAGAAAGAGTGAATTATAACTGTACAGTTGATATTCCGGTTTTGGTATTCTTTCTGACCCTGGCTCTAACTCCTTACCTGATGTCTGGTCTATCACAGTCAACTTACTAGCACTGGGTCTGTTTCTCATGCCAGGTGGCTACTGGTACAACTGCTGCACAGACTCCAACCTCAATGGAGTGTACTACCGCCTGGGTGAGCACAATAAGCACCTGGATGGCATCACCTGGTATGGCTGGCATGGATCTACCTACTCCCTCAAACGGGTGGAGATGAAAATCCGCCCAGAAGACTTCAAGCCTTAAAAGGAGGCTGCCGTGGAGCACGGATACAGAAACTGAGACACGTGGAGACTGGATGAGGGCAGATGAGGACAGGAAGAGAGTGTTAGAAAGGGTAGGACTGAGAAACAGCCTATAATCTCCAAAGAAAGAATAAGTCTCCAAGGAGCACAAAAAAATCATATGTACCAAGGATGTTACAGTAAACAGGATGAACTATTTAAACCCACTGGGTCCTGCCACATCCTTCTCAAGGTGGTAGACTGAGTGGGGTCTCTCTGCCCAAGATCCCTGACATAGCAGTAGCTTGTCTTTTCCACATGATTTGTCTGTGAAAGAAAATAATTTTGAGATCGTTTTATCTATTTTCTCTACGGCTTAGGCTATGTGAGGGCAAAACACAAATCCCTTTGCTAAAAAGAACCATATTATTTTGATTCTCAAAGGATAGGCCTTTGAGTGTTAGAGAAAGGAGTGAAGGAGGCAGGTGGGAAATGGTATTTCTATTTTTAAATCCAGTGAAATTATCTTGAGTCTACACATTATTTTTAAAACACAAAAATTGTTCGGCTGGAACTGACCCAGGCTGGACTTGCGGGGAGGAAACTCCAGGGCACTGCATCTGGCGATCAGACTCTGAGCACTGCCCCTGCTCGCCTTGGTCATGTACAGCACTGAAAGGAATGAAGCACCAGCAGGAGGTGGACAGAGTCTCTCATGGATGCCGGCACAAAACTGCCTTAAAATATTCATAGTTAATACAGGTATATCTATTTTTATTTACTTTGTAAGAAACAAGCTCAAGGAGCTTCCTTTTAAATTTTGTCTGTAGGAAATGGTTGAAAACTGAAGGTAGATGGTGTTATAGTTAATAATAAATGCTGTAAATAAGCATCTCACTTTGTAAAAATAAAATATTGTGGTTTTGTTTTAAACATTCAACGTTTCTTTTCCTTCTACAATAAACACTTTCAAAATGTGAGTATCTTCTTTTTAAATTCTTACCATTACCACTTACAGCAGGATAAAAAGTTAAAGTTAAATCAGAGGGTGAGCAGTGACAGAGGCCCGGGGTTTGTTTTGGTGTTCAGGGCAACCAAGCGGGGAGCAGAAGCCAAAAGGGAACAGGTAAGGGACAAAAGGGCAGCAACCAGGACAATTCTTCATAAAGGGGATTACACGTCTGGGGCTGGGCAGTGAAGGCATCCAGCCTTATCAGACCCTCTATTCTACTTAGGATAGAGAAGCAAAAACAGGCCAGCAGACCTTACCCTAATGCTCGGGGCTAACCAAGTAAAAGTGGTGTGTGTGCGCTTTCTAACAAATAACCACTCAATCCTCTGTCCCCAAGAAAGCAAATATATTTACTGATATGTGAGCTTTAAGGAGATGGGGGTAGTTTATACTATCTCAGTGTTAGCCCTGATTTGGGATTACATCTCGGATTTAATTTGCCCTGTAGCAGATAGGTTAAAAAAGTCAATAGGTTGCAAGACGGATTGAACTAGTAGCAAGAGAACAATACTGTCAACAGAACACAGTTTTTTAAAGCAAAGACAAAAAAATAAGAAATAGCTGCACGCGGTGGCTCACGCCTGTAATCCCAGCACTTTAGGAGGCCGAGGCGGGTGGATCACGAGGTCAAGAGAGTGAGACCATCCTGGCCAACATGGTGAAACCCCTTTCTACTAAAAATACAAAAATTAGCTGGGCATGGTGGCATGCGCCTGTAGTCCCAGCTACTTAGGAAGCTGAGGCAGGAGAATCGCTTGCATCTAGGAGGTGGAGGTTGCAGTGAGCCAAGATTGTGCCACTGCACTCCAGCCTGGAGACAGAGCGCGACTCCATCTAAAAAAAAAAAAAAGAAAAGAAAAGAAAAGAAATAGCTGAACAAAGATGTTTTTGTGTAGGGCTACCCTAATTGTTTCAAAAAGAATTTAGGGAAGTTGACTCAAATGTATATACTAAAATAAGCTCTGAAAAAGCAGACAACTTGGTGAAGGGAAAATAAGAGTAGGAAAAATAAAACAAAGCCTGTGGGGGTTGGGGGAGGGTTAGTAGTAAAAACAGGTAAGATGTCTGGAATTTGTTGGAGGTAGACCAGGAATTTAGCTTCAAGCTCTCTAGCAGCCACTGTGAGGAAGGAATTCAATCCCTTACTGCAAAGCGATGTCTCCAAGGCCAGATCCAAGTAGTGGCTCAGGGACATAAAACCAACAGTGGGAAAAGACCCCTGAGAAGAATTTCCATGAGGCTCACCCACAGAACTAGGGGTAGTGCTATGAGCAACTTTGTCTAAGGCTGTTTCTTAAAACTTCCTTCAGTAAAGACGACAGTATACCACCACAACCGGGCTTAGGAAAAGCAGCTTTACAAAATCAGAAGTAAAAACTGCAATTGGAAGCAAAAAAAGAAAGGTGATGGGAAGACACAGGAGACCAGCAGAAGGGAGGCAGAAATGCAAGCTGAGCTGACTTAGCTGAGGACACCCAAAGAGCCGAGCACACTGGCTTTCCCCAGTAACAGCATTCATTCATTCACTCATTCATTCACTTTTTTATTGAGACAGAATCTCGCTGTCATCCAGGCTAGAGTACAGTGACGCAATCTTGGCTCATTGCAACCTCCACCTCCCAGGTTCAAGCAATTCTCCTGCCTTAGCCTCTCAAGGAGCTGGGAATACAGATGTGCGCCACCACACCCAGCTAATTTTTGTATTTTTAGTAGAGATGGGTGTTTCACCATGTTGGCCAGGCTGGTCTCGAACTCCTGACATCAAGTGATCCACCCACCTTGGCCTCCCAGAGTGCTGGGATTACAGGTGTGAACTACCCCGCCCGGCCTGGAACAGCGTTTTAAACAAAGGACAAGATCAATCTCCAGGGAATTCTGAGGATTTACTTTCAATTATATTTGCTTACAAAGCTAAATAACCTTCTAGAGCACTTTTCCAGGCCTCTGACTATATTTTTCTGCTACAAATCTGCATAACTTTAAGTTTTTATGATTGTATCAAATATGCGGAAAAATTAAGGGTGGAATTGGGAAGGTTTCAAATAGGTCTCAAACAGGTGAGCAAGGAAATTAATATGCAAAATGAGTTATCTGACCTTAAAGTGATCATACTTAGTTACCGTATTTTCTATGAGCTATCAAGTGACAGCACATTACCTAAGCCAGAGATGGAAGGAAGAAAGTGGATTTTCACATTTACTGTGCCTGATGTGAAACTGAAGCATGCCTCAGAGGACGGCATGTTTTTAATTATTCCTACATGGTATTTCAGAAATCAACATTTTCTCCAAGTCCAATTTATTTGGGCAAAAACAGGATTCTATTTCTATCTTTTCGCTAACTTTTTAAAGTGTTAAAGGAACTCTTTTAAATATCTTCTCAAAAGCACAGCTAGGAAAGGACTTGGCTATTTGATTACCCTCTCAAACAAAGGAGGCTCTATCCTCCTTTGATAGAGCCACACAGCAGGCTCTATCAGCCACGGTGAAGGAACTTACTAGCCAGATGATTTTTTCTAAACTATCTGCAGTGAAATGACCGACCATTTAGCATTCACATGAAGATAATGAGATCCCGAAGTTGATATTCTCTGATAATCATTAGGGGAAGTGAATGGTTTTTTAGGAGCTGGAGCTAATGTTTCATGCTGCTTGTAATTTCCTAACAGCAGAAAATTTATTAAACGAACTATTTTTTCCATACCCAGAAGACTGAAAACTGTCTTAACAGAGGAGCGAACATAACCACATCAGAGAAAAGACCATTAGATTTCAGATTATGCTCTGCCTTTTATATTCACAAAACACCAGAGGAGGAAGATGCAGGCATCAATAGATTTAGTTGATAAAACCCCACTGTGCCCTTGAGTACCCTCTGAAGCCCAGGAACCAGCACATTCTACTCCAGCTCTAGACAGCGCTATCTAACCCAGACATAAAACCTATCTTCCTAGGCTGCCATGGCCACAGAATTGCTTCTCAACTAAATTTCACTGGAACAAGAAAGGACAGGTTGGAAAACAACAGGAGCCCAGGTGATAAGGGTCAACAGAAATGACAATCATGGCTAGATTCCTGGGGAGAGCCATCTGCAACAACATGTCATTTAAACATGCTGGCCAGACCCAGAGGCAGATTTCACAGAGCAGAAGTCTTCAAGTGACTCCAGTGAAGTGGCACCAGGCAGTGGGAGAAGAGAGGTCATTTTGCATGAAGGCAGCAATTAAAAAGGGTTTATGGCCTACCTGATGAGAGATTCTAGAATGGCAGGGGTGGGGCCTTTCTGGAACTCCAGTTCTTTGTAGTGTAGTGCTTTGGCATATGCTCGGCACTTGGCAGCTCTCTCACCCAGCAGAACAATGCCATTGTCATCTCTCAGTGGCAGGGGGCCCTGGAGAAGAGCAAAACCTCACAGCACAGGAAAATGGCAGATGGGGCACAAACAAGAGAAGGCTGTGTGGATGCTTCTCTCCTCCCACCAGCTGGTTCCCTGTCAGCCTCCATCTGGACAATGGGGAAAAGTCTCACCTTGTCACTGTGTTCCATGAATTCAGCCAAGTTTAAGAGGGTCTGTGTGACTTCAGCGATGTCTTGTGAGGTGAGGGCCAACTCGATGCTTCTGATGAGCTCATCCTGTTGATCTTCATTCAGTTCAGACCAGCAGGACACAAATGCAGCATTGAAGAGATCCCTGAAGGCAGAGAAGGTGGAAAATGGAGAGACCTCCCGTGCCTCTGCCTGCTGCCTCAAAGTCACACCTATCAATTCGCTTTTGGCATCACTGATTTTGGTTATACAAACCAGTGCTATACAGACCAGTGCTGTCCAAGAGAATTTTCCTGTCCAATATGGTAGCCAGTGATCACTAAAGCACTTGAACTGTGGCAAGTGTGGCCAAGGAACTGAATTTTACATTTTATTTATTTTTAATTAACCACATATGGCTAGTGTCTACTGAATTTTACACTGCAGGTACAGACATTGTGATATTCAGGGACTTGGGGGGCGAGTGGCAGGGCGGGGAGAAGAGCAGAGCAAAGTGACTTTTCTCCAAAGGAATATTTCTTGGCAGTTTTTGCATTATTTCTCTTCACTGGAGGAAATGGGAAATGAACAGTATAGGGACTTCTAACATAGAAGTTGGCATTAACAAATGCAGAAAATAATAATCATTAAATGATTCTTGGGATGTTTCTGGGACAATGTCTAAATTCTTAAGGTCAGAAATGTCAAAGGCAGCATCTGCAATTGCTTTCAAAATATAACCAGAATCCTTAGTTGGATGGTCATAAAAAATGACAACAGGACTAGAAGCATTAGCAAATAGGATCCAAATCCTTAAGTTCTAAAAGATTTTCTAAGCCAACAGTTGGGGCCTCACAAAGACATGGAACCAGAGGTTCCATTTCAAAGATTACTATGACCACTTTACATTACCACAGTACCACATGATGGACACATTTGCCATCCCTTACATCTAACATTAATTCTGTCCTCCCCACTGTTCTGGTGACTGTGCGGGGAAGGAAATGGGAAAAAACAGGATATACCTACAATGGATAGATTTAGCATTTGATGCCTCTATACCTATTTTCTGTTACATATTAACAGGTTAAGTTAGACCAATGTGTATAATTTTGGAATTTGATAGAAAAAACAAAATTTGAAATCCAAAGGATCAAATGAAGACCAAAAAAAGTCTGTTATAAATTTAAAAATAAGGCCAGGCGTGGTGGCTCACGCCTGTAATCCCAGTACTTTGGGGGGCTGAGGCGGGCGGATCACAAGGTCAGGAGATCGAGACCATCCTGGCTAACATGGTGAAACCCCGTCTCTACTAAAAATACAAAAAATTAGCCGGGCGCGGTGGTGGTGGCCTGTAGTCCCAGCTTCTCAGGAGGCTGAGGCAGGAGAATGGCTTGAACCTGGGAGGCAGAGTTTGCAGTGAGCCAAGATCACACCACTGCACTCCAGCCTGGGCAACAGAGCGAGACTCTGTTTCAAAAAAAAAAAAAAAATTAAAAGTAAGTTTTCGGAGCCAGGTAATTACAGTCGCTGGTCATCCTGGTGACTTGGGAGGCTGAGGCAGGAGGATCTCTTGAGATTAGCAGTTCAAGACCAGCCAGGGCAATAACCAAGACCTTCATCTCTAAAATCATAAAAAAAGTTTTCCTGATCTAGGTCAGAGGCCACATTGGATCTTGAATGAACGTATTTGGGACTAAGGGGATAAAAACATTGTGTATATCACAAGCCTCTCATGGATAACACTGTGCTCAGAGGTGACTGGAGAGAAAAGAGGAATAATAAATACATCAGCTGAGTACATGATATCTCCACACTACGGAAACAGGGAAGTCCTAGAAACTATTTTAAAGCATTAAAAAATACTTGAAAGAAATTAGAGGATGCAAATCATGGCATCAAACCAACAGTCTCAGGGGCCATCACTACTGCTAAATATATATCATAACAGCAAACCAGCTGCTGACAAAAATGAAGTGAAATGCCTTGCTTTCTGCTTCTTGCCAATGCGAAGGGCTGCTTATTAATTAAATCACCATTTTATGCCTCATTATAAATAATTAATATCCAATGCAGAAAAATTTAAGAAATAAAGAAGAGAATAAAAAAGAAAATAATCACTCCTTAAGCCTTCCCTAAAGATAACCATTGCTATATTACTTTCTAATCTTTATCCTATTCACATTTATTTTAATTTTCAATTTTGTATTCCATTTTATTTACTTACATTATATTATAAATCTTTCACATGCATTAGAAGTTTTATAAACCAAAAAAAAATTTTTTTGAGATGCAGTCTTGCTCTGCCATCTAGGCTGGAATGCAGGGGCACGATTGTGGCTCTCTGCAGCCTCTAAACTCCTGGACTCAAGTAATCCCCCCGCCTTAGCCTCCTGAGTAGCTAGGATTACAGCTTCATGCCACCACGCTTGGCTAATTTTTCATTTTTGTAGAGATAGAGTCTCGCTAGGTTGCCCAGGCTGGTCTTGAACTCTTGGCCTCAAGTGATCCTCCTGTCTCAGCCTCCTAGAGTGCTGAGATTATAGGCAGGAGCCACAATGCCCAGCCTGTAAACCAAATTTTAAATGGCTGTTTAAGATTTACTATTTAGGCCGGGCACAGTGGCTCATGCCTGTAATCCCAGCACTCTGGGAGGCCGAGGTGGGCAGATTGCGAGGTCAGGAGATCGAGACCATCCTGGCTAACATGGTGAAATCCCATCTCTACTAAAAGTACAAAAAATTGGCCAGGTGTGCACCTGTAGTCCCAGCTCATTGGGAGGCTGAGGCAGGAGAATGGCTTGAACCTGGGAAGTAGAGGTTGCGGTGAGCCAAGATCGCGCCACTGCACTCCAGCCTGGGAAACAGAGCAAAACTCCGTCTCAAAAAAAAAAAAAAAAAAAAAGATTTACTATTTAAAACAATATTTTTTTTGGCGGGGTTGAGGGATGAGAAATTACCTGATAGGTACGATGTACACTATTATTCAGGTGATGGTTCTACGAAAAGCCCAGACTTCACCACTATGCAACATATCCATGTAACAAACCTGCACCTGTACTCCAAAATCTATAAAAATTTTTAAAAATTAAAAAAAAAATGGTGATGACTCATGCCTATAAATCACGGCACTTTTGGAGGCTGAGGCAGGATGACTGCTTGAGTCCAGGAGTTTGAGATCAGCCTGGGCAACATAGTGAGACCTCGTCTCTACAAAAAATAAAATTAGCTGGGCCTGGTGCGTGTCTGCAGTCCCAGCTACTCAGGAGGCTGACGTGGGAGGATCACTTGAGCCCAGGAGGTTGAGGCTGCAGTGAGCCGAGATCGTCCCACTGCACTCCAGCCCGGGCAGCAGAGACCCTGTTTCCAAAACAAAAACAAAAACAAAAAACCAGGCGGGGCGTGGTGGCTCACGCCTGTAATCCCAGCACTCTGGGAGGCCAAGGCAGGTGGATCATTTGAGGTCAGGAGTTCAAGACCAGCCTGGCCAACATGGTGAAACCCCACGTCTACTAAAATTACAAAAAATAGCCGGGCGTGGTGGCGTGTGCCTGTACTCCCAGCTACTCGGGAGGCTGAGGCAGGAGAATCGCTTGAACCCAGGAGACGGAGGTTGCAGTGAGCCACAATTGCGCCACTGCACTCCAGCCTGGGTGACAGAGCAAGACTCCATCTCAAAAACAAAAACAAAAATGAAAACAAAAAAACCAACCAAACAACAACAACAAAAAAAGATGTCTAAAGTGATGAATATCCCAATTATCCTGATTTGTTTTATTACACATTATATGAATGTATCGAAATATCACATGTACTTTGAAAATATATGTACATCTATTATGTATCAATAAAAAAAATTTTGGCCAAGTGGCTCATGTCTGTAATCCCAGCACTTTGAAAGGCCAAGGTGAGCAGATCACTTGAGGCCAGGAGTTGAAGACCAGCCTGGCCAACATGGCGAAACCCCGTCTTTACTAAAAATACAAAATTAGCTGGGTGTGGTGGTACACACCTGTAATCCCAGCTACACGGGAGGCTGAGGCAGGAGAATCTCTTGAACCAGGAGGCAGGGTTGCAGTGAGCCACAACTGTGCCACTGCAGTCCAGCCTGAGCAACAGAACAAGACTCTCAAAAAAAGAAAAAATAAATTCTGGCAAATTCTATTTTCCAAAGATGTCTGCAACAGTGGCTCCTGTCCCATATAGTCTGTTAGAATATTACTTCTCCTCTCTCAAGAGGTGGGTGCCCATGTCTTCTTCCTTTGAGCCTGACTGCGCCTTTGTGGCTGCCTTGAGCAACAGGGCAAGGCAGAAGTGACTCTTCATGACTTCCAAGACTCTTTATGACTTAGATCATAAAAACACCATGCTCTTCTACTACCTCGTTCTCTTGGGACACTCACTCTTGAAGCCAGTCACCATCTGTGAGAAGGCCCAAGCAAACTCATGGAGTGATCCCATGGAGAGGAACCAAGGCCCCCAGCCAGAGCTGGGTTCCTAGTCGAGAGTCACCTGCACTTTGCCAGACACACAAGCCAGCCTTGAATGCGGATCCTCCATCCTGCCCCAGTCAAACCATCTCCACTGACACCATGTGGAGCAGAGGCGAGCTGTCCCAAAAGTCCTCCCAAATTGCAGATTCAGGAGTAAAATAAATAACTGTTATTGTTTCAGACCTTTTTTTTCCTGTGGTATTTGTAACAAACAGCAATAATTAGAATACCATTGTTATTGGAAATAGGTTACATTCAACTATTACACAGTTGCTTTTAGAGTTATAAATAACTTTGTAATTAAAATGTTAGACCTAAAGCTACTAGAAAAAGGAATTTGTGGTCTACTAGCAAGGTTAAGATAGATGCTACAGTATGAGCTTGTTGAATTTGTCTTTCTCTTTCTTTGTATCCCACAAAATTAGAAAAATTAAAAATACCAGCCCCTTGATTATTACTTCTAATAAAAACTAATTTGTATATATCGTTTTCTATGTGCTGATCTTCTCCACCCGCCCTGACACACTATACCTGGCCATCGGGTTGTAGGCCTGTGCCAGGGCCCAGCAGGAGCGCAGGGAGGGCGATGATGAGTCCTTCAGCAGCTCCAGGCTCAGCCGTCTCAGCCATTCCAGCCAGTCATCTTTGGAGACCCTCCTGGCAGCGCCCCAGGCCTGTGATCCCACAGGTGACAATGGAAAACAATCAGTTTCAAGGGCCAATTGAAAAAAGTCCTCATCTATTTAATGATTATTCTACTTTTAGATTTATAAAATCCATCTTTCACGATAAAATTCCCCTAGAGTACAAATACAAAAGAATAATATTTAATTAAGAACAGCAACTCTGGAACATACCACACTGTGGAAAAAGCCTGTTTCACAACTCCTTTGTGCTGGACTCTGACTGCAGCAAAGGAGCACTACAGAACCAGAATACATGGGATTGCCACACTCGGGTGCATTCGACAAAGCCTAATGGGCTCCAGCAGGGCATGAAGGGAGCTGTGTCCTCTGCATTAGAACACCAGCTCATCTGACAGTGAAGAGTCACGCAAGAAGAGGGAAAAGGCTCAGGTTTACACCATAGTGAATCATGTTGCAACCAGGTGAGCAGTGAGCCCAAAGCACATGGCACTGTGGTAAAACAAGAAAAAGGGGTTGAAC
Source organism: Homo sapiens (assembly GCF_000001405.40). NCBI lineage: Eukaryota > Metazoa > Chordata > Mammalia > Primates > Hominidae > Homo > Homo sapiens. The sequence goes on from NC_000001.11 coordinate 11,205,196, forward strand.
AGATTTAATTTCTACTCTATCCCCTCCAACTTCTCTCAAAACTCTGAACTCTCCAGACATCAAGAGTTACTACCAGGGGCAGCTTATTCAGGTGGGTGGAAAGGCTGAGGTTTTGGAGAACAGTATAGTGTAGTGGGCAACAGCTACACTTGACTCAATGGCTTCAGTTCAAATCCCAGTTATATAACATAATTGGCTCTCTGATCTTTGGCAAGTCACTTAACTCCCCTGTGCCTTAGTTTCCTCATCTGTAAAATGAGGATTATAGTTTCTGCTTCCTGGGGTGTTTTAAGTTAATAAATGTAATGAATTTATAACAGTGCTTGGCACAAAGTTAGTACTATTTGCCTAGTTCTCTAAAGTTAGAAACACCTGCCTGGGATCCTGGCTCTTCCACTCAGCAGCTGTAACACCCTGGGCAAATTACTTGTATTTTGCAGCTGAGCCTCAGAGTGCCTCATCTAAGGATAATGTGTCTAAATGGCTTAGCCGGAATAAAGGAGCAAAAAATGATTGTTATTATTGTCAAAACAACACCTATTTGAACTGGCCTAGGCCTAACTACACTAAATCCCTAACTTTTAAAATATGTTCTTCATAGATTTTTCCAGCAGGACACATCAATCCTCCCTAAATGGGGGAAATCATGTAAGACAGAGCAGAAGGTCTCAAACTTTGGACTAGTGAAGTGGTCCAGTGAGTGAAAAGACCCCCAGGTGCTATACCATCAAGGACTCAACCATCACCTCCCTGGGATACACTGGAGATGTGCTGTTGCTTCTAAAGAGTTACGGATGAATAGAATTAGACAACCTATCACTTTATGTCAAAAACCGAAGCAGAAATGTTACAAGAGACAAACTAAATAATACCACTGACCATACAACGAGAACCTCTGAATGAGAAGGAAGAGGGAGACTAGATACCAAAGACTGATTTTTAGACCTTGCTCTGTTGAGCACAATGGGAACATCCAGTCCTTTCCTGCCCACAGATACCTGGTTTCTTCCCTACAAGATGGGTTTGTGTGTAGCTGTATTATATTATACAGCAATTGTTAAAAGCTGCACATAAACAGGGAAGTATTACTAGTTTCTTTTTCCCTCTAATGAAATGAGGTTGGGCCTGGGTAAGGCAGAGACAATTCAACACAGTGGTTAAGAGAGTGGGCTCTGGAGTCATGCTATCTAGGTCAAATCCCAGCTCCACCATTGATGCTAGTTGACACTGGGCAAATTACTTAACCCGTCAGTGCCTCACGGTCCACATCTGTAAAGTGGGACAGCAACGACAGCACCTAACTCATGGGGTTATCATGAAGATTAAATGAGTTAATATAGTGTTCCACCACAGTGCTTGACACACGGAAAGCACTCAATAAATGTCAGTTGTTACTATTACTTGATAAATGGCAGTAAATAGGTTTTCAAAAAATCATAGCTTAATTTATTGACTAGGCCAAGTCCCCCATGTGGCCCTTTCCCCCTGCTCTGTAAAACATTATCAACTCTCAATTCTCTGGGTTCTATAACAACTGTGTAAACACGAGCTGCTTCCTCTTGCCATCCACCCACTGCTGATCGCCTCATCTGGTGATGCTGGTGCCTGTTCATGGAATGCCAGCTTACTCATGGTGAAGGTAAACCCAAACAGATTATCATTCAGACAGACAGTAAAGCTGCTGAAAATTCTGGAAGGCATTCTAGAAGTATACATAAATGGTTTTTATGTTTTCTGTATCACATAAATCTAATATTATCATAACAAATAAAATGGTGACTGAGGTGGCAAATTGTTACTCTGAAAGTTGGTTAAGACTGATAAATGCACCAATCCCTAATTATCATCACATGATTATAAGGAGGCACAATTTACTTCTGAACAATGAGGTCTGCTGCCTTTTTTTGTCGTTGTTGTTGGTGAGACAGGGTCTTGCTCTGTTGCCTGTGCTGGAGTGGTGAAGTGGGATGATCACTGCTTACTGCAGCCTTGACCTCCCAGGCTCAAGAGATCCTCCCACCTTAGCCTCTCGAGTAGCTGGGACTACAGGCATGCACCACCATGTCCAGCTAATTTTTGTATTTTTTGTAGAGGGGGAATTTTGCCATGTTGCCCCAGCTGGTCTTGAACTCCTGGGCTCGAGTAATCCTCCCGCCTGGCTTCCCAAAGTGTTGGAATTACAGGCATGAGCCACTGCACCTGGCCCCCTACCTCTTTTTTTTTTTTTTTTTTGAAGAGAATCTTGCTCTGTCACCTGGGCTGGAGTGCAGTGGCGCAATCATAGCTCACTGCACCCTGGAACTCATGGGCTCAAGTGAACCTCCTGCCTCAGTCTCCTGAGTAGCTGGGACTACAGGCAGGTGCCACTCTGCTCAGCTAATTTTTAAAATTTTTTCAATTCCTTTTTTTTTTTTTTTTTTGAGACAGGGTCTTACTCTGTTGCCCAGGCTGAAATTAATTTTTTTCATTTTTCATTTTTATTATACAGATGGTGTTTTACTATGTTGCCCAGGCTGGTCTCAAACTCCTGCTTCAAGTGATTCTTCCATTTTGGCCTGCCAAATTACTGAGATTACAGGCATGAGCCACCATGCCCAGCTCCCACAATTTACTTCCCAATGAAATAGATCTGAGAGTGAGCTGTGGAGGATTCTGTCTAGAGTTTTGAACTTGATCTACTTTCTCAGGTGAGATAAACTAAGAGTCTTTCTTTTGTCTATCTGGCAAGGTTTATGCTTATTTTTTCCAAGTCTGGGTAGAAAGCAAAACTTCCTGGAAGCAAACTAGATTACTGAGGAATTTCCTAAAATAGAGAGAACAAAGCTCTAAAGCAGGGTGGACGGCTGCCTGGTTGGAAGGACATTCTGAACCTAGTCAGGATGAAAACATCTGGGTGGAAATGTACATCTGGCCTCCTGCCTGGCCCCTCCCTCCAGTGTGAGGTGTCAGCAGGGTGGCCTCAATGATTACCTGGGAATGCCAAGTGACTGATAACCTTTTTCTTCCTCCTAAAGTCTCAGAGTAGCAGTTACAAAATCCCCAGAGGGAAAGCAGCATCACTCCTGACCCAGGAATATTTTACTACCTCCATCTTAACCCAGCAAACGTTTCTTAGCAGTGGTCACTTGAAGCTGTTTGTGTGAGTAAAGACTCTGAAACAACAGTAATAAACCCCCAGTGCTCCGCAAAGCTGGGCGTGAGCCCGTACACATGCACAAAGGACTGTGTTCAAATCTTTATGGGTTTTTCCAAAAGAAGTGAACGAGTCAGCTAGGACACAGTCTTGCCCAGTTCTTCACCTCTATCTGCTGCTGCACATGGAGTGAGATGGCTAATAGATGAAAAATAACACTGAAATCTAAACTGGAAGTTGCTTACAGTCACCAGAAACATGAAAGACTAATGCAAAATGGAAAATACTCGATGTGGTATATTTATTTAAAGTTGGTGAAGTAATTATGATTATTGTGCTCTGATTCACTAGAGATGCTTTGAAACTGCCTGTTTTTAGGTGGATAGCTGATGGCATACATGGTGAAAAGCTGGTCATATCTTAGGCTTTGGCCAGCAGAGATAATTCAGTAATCACTTGGAAACATCTAAAACCTCACTACTCAAAGTATGGTCCATGGACCAGCAGCATCACATTAGCTGGCAGCTTGTCAGAAATGCAGAATATCAGGCCCCAAATCAGACTGCCAACAACAGAATAAGCATTTTTACAAGACTCCCAGCAACTGGTAAGCCCAATGAGTTTGAGAAGTTTGAAAAGCACTGTTTGAAAGAGCCTTCATCAGTCTCAATGCCAACTAGGGGGCTCACTAGCTTTGTTCCCTTCATGTAAAAAATGAGAATGTATTTGCAACAAAAGGTTCTACCATCCATATTCCAAGGGAGCACAAAAGGACATTTTGTTCTCTACTTTTTCTCTATTCAAAACAAAATTACAATTTAGGCACCTGTAAAAAGACAAAATGATCTAAGTTCATGGTATCTAGATTTCTGGAAAAAACACCTGGGCTGGTTTTCGGTTGCCCAGTTTAAACAGTTAAAAGTTTTGAGTAAGTGAGAAGAGCAGAGCTCTCCTTTCCCAGTCACCTGAAACAATGGACTTGCCTTTTGGAGGTTGATGGTGCTGACGTGCAGTTTCTTCATGGGTCCTGTTTCCACTGGTCCACTAGCCAATGCATCCCCTTGGCCACTCCTAAGCATCCGATGCTGGTAAATCAAAGGATCCTCCTCTTCATCAGCAAGTGTGTATCCCTACAACCAAAGATTTATAGGAAACACCTATAACTCTACTAGATGCTTCTGGTTTAGGAAATATCCTTAAATTTTGGGAGGTGCAGACCTGGTAGAGCCAGGATTTCAGTAAGAAGTAAAAAGTTGCACATATGGACAAAATGAACCACAGATGGGCTGACTCCCCAACTGTAGACAGTCTTTGCTAGTCACTCCTAGTTACTGACAAGCACTGACTTAGTATTAAGATCAAGCAACCATGCAACTAGCAAAGATAAACAATTGTCGGCAATGGGAAAAGTGATAAAGTGTTTGGAGCAAAGGTGGCAAACAGCCCCCATCCCCTGGCTTTTTAAAACTTTTTAAAAAGAATCATCTATTCACTTATTTATTTGTGCCACTCCCTACCTGCCTATCTAATCGAACCTATTTATTTACTTATTTTTTTGAGACAGAGTCTAGCTCTGTCTCTCAGGCTGGAGTGCAGTAGCGCAATCTCAGCTCACTGCAACCTCTGCCTCCTGGGTTCAAGCAATTCTCTTGCCTGAGCCTCCTGAATAGTTGGGACTACAGGTGCACACCACCATGCCCGGCTAATTTTTGTATTTTTAATGGAGACGAGGTTTCGCCATGTTGGCCAGGCTGGTCTTGAACTCCTGACCTCAAGTGATCCTCCCGCCTCAGCCTCTCAAAGTTGTGGGATTACAGGCATGAGCCCCTGTGCCTAGCCTTTAATCTACTTTGAGATAGGGTCTCACTCTGCCACCCAGGCTGGAGTGCACTGGTGCAATCACAGCTCACTGCAGCCTCAGGTGATCCTCCCACTTCAGCCTCCTCGGTAACTGGGACCACAGGTACCCGCCATCATGACCAGCTAATTTTTTGTATTTTTTGTACAGATGGGGTTTTACCATGTTGCCCAGGCTGGTCTCAAACTCCTGGGCTCAAGCAATCCACCTGCCTTGGCCTCCCAAGGCGGGAGCCACCGCACCCAGCCCTCTGCCTGTTTTTATATAGCCCAAGAGCTAAGAAGGGTTTTTATACTTTTAAATGGTTGGGGGGAAAAAAAATCAAAAGAAGATTGATATTTTGCAACACATGAAAATTGAGAGAATCAAATTTAGGTGTCCATAAATAAAGTTTTAGTGGAATGCAGCCAGGCTCATCATTTACACATTGTGTATGGCTGCTCTCAGGCTGTAGTGGCAGAGCTGAGGAGCTGCAAAAGAGACCACATAGTCTACAAAACTGGAAAAAAGTTTGCCAATCCCTAATTTACAGCCAAAAAGCTACACAAACTCCCATAGCCAAGATTACAAGAATATCAAGTAGTAAAGACAACAGGGACTTCAGAACAGAAAAGAAGTATAGTTCACCTTGACAATTCTGCAGATGAGCACATCATAGCGCTGATGATTGATTCGGTGTCGCACCAGAACTTTATTCACCATTGGAATGAAAATTTGGTACTAAAACAGGAGGGGGAAGAGATGAGAAACTATCATTTTGGAGAGTGGAGAAAAAGTAGAGGAAAAAATATTATACAACTACATTATGACCATTTCTTCTGGGTTTGTGGCTAGCTCTGTGATATTCAAAAGAATCCTTCTTCCCATCTCCCGTTATAATCCTAGTTCAAGTCCCCATCATCTGGTTTATGATGGTGGCCTCTTAACAGATCTTTGCTTCTGCCCTTGCCCCCGCAGCCTATTTTCCCACATGGCATTGAGTTATCATTTAAAAATATTAAGTCAGATCTTATTTTTCCTGTGTTCAAAGTCCACCAAAAACTTCCAGTCTTGCTCAGAGTAAAAGCCAAAGTACTTACAATGGCCCACAATAGTGATTTGCATATTTTAGTGGGCGTCAGAATCACCTGGACAGCTCATGAAACCAGAGACTGCTGGGCTCCACAGCTAGAGGATCTGATTCAGTAGGTCTTAGGTGAGATGAGGTCTTGCTCTGTTGCCCAGGCTGGAGTGCAATGGCACAATTATGGGGGTCACTGCAGTCTGGAACTCCTGGGCTCAAGCGATCCCTCTGCCTTAGCCTCCTGAGTAGCTGGGACCACAGGCACGTGTTCCTACGCCTGGCTAAGTTTTAAATTTTTTTGTGGAGACAGGGTCTTGCTATGTCTGGAGTTGGTCTCCAACTCCTGATCTCAAGCAATCCTCTTGCCTCAGCCTCCCAAGTTGCTGGAATTACGGGTGTGAGTCACTGTGCCTAGCTCAAGAATCTGCATTTCTAACAAGTTCTCAGGTATGTAGACACTGATACTGCTTGTCCAGGAATGATATTTTGAGAGCTCCAGGCCTACAAAATCTAGTCTCTACTATTCTGCCTTATCTCCATCACCTTAACTACAAGCACTTCCCCATTGCTTGCTCCTCTGAAGTCACACTGCTTTCCTGCTGTGCCCTGAACTCTTTGAGCAAGCTGCCACCTCAACCTTAGCACTTGCTATTTCTTCTCCTTGCATCCAATTCTTTGCAACCAGGCCTTTATTTTATCTAGGTCTCTGCTTGAGTGTCAACTGATCAGAGGTCTTCTCTGTCTACCCTAAATAAAGAGCACTTCTCCCCACTTCAACCCATCACTCTTAAGAAACAAACTGTTTATTTGCTTTGCTTCATCAGGATGGAAGCTCTATGAGAGCAAGGACTTTATTCTGTTTACCGTGTTACCCCCAGAACGGCACTTAGCTCACATAGGTTGCTCAATAAATGTTTGCTGAACACATGAAAAGAAAAAAAGCAAGTAATTCCACGTTCTCTGATGGTGGCTGGCATCAGACAAAGTCTGAGTGGCTCACAGACAAAGTCTTCTTTCCAAATAAGGCAGAAGAGCACCTGTCTGTCCAGACTCCCATCTTACCTTCTTCCCCAGCTGAAAAACAAGTGAAGACAGCGTGTCCATGGCTGTGGAGCGCAGTTCTGGGCTCTGGTCCAGTGTTCGAACAATAGGGTGAATGATCCGGGAGGCATAGTCAGTGAAATCCAGGGACTCCGTCAGGCGGTCCACAGTCTCTAGCGCTGCCCTACAACAATCACTAACATACAGTAACTGCTAACATACAATCTCCAAGGAAGAGACGTGACTGAGGGTGAGCTTAACAATCAGCACCAAAGGGATGGGAATGAACGGCTTCTAAGGTATTTTGGATGACATGGATCCAACATTTATTCCAATGGGATAGGGACAGTTAAGATTTCCATAAACCTGGGATATTTCTAGACTAAAATAATGTGAGTTGAAATAACAAAAAAAATAGAAAGATGGCCTGGGAACTTAAGAAATGAACATTTTCAACAAAACATTAAAGCTTAAAGATTGCTAGTCCCAAAGAGGAGGTGCTCACTTTCGAGATGGCAGTGGAGCTTCAGGGGCATCAAACAACTTAACAATAGGAGGCAGCAGTAAATGCAGGTAGTCATCCAGGTTGGCGCCAAACAGCTGGATTGCAGCCAGTAACTGCAAAAGGGAGCAAAAGCATGGTGATGAATAGTCAGGTCCCAAGTATCTAAGGACACGCAGCGGGTGGTGGTGTAGACAATTCAAAGTTCTCTGGGGACTGGGAAAACTCTTTATTAAATGGCCTTGAACTATATCCTTTTGATAGCACTTTCTTCCCCTCATTTTATTTGCTTACATATTACTTTGCTTTCTCTGTGCTTATTTGAGTTGATAAGGAATCCGTTGCTGGAAAATAAAGAAAATTAGTCTGGGATAAAATATTTCCCAAGATTAATCCATTGAAACAGATACAAAACATAAGGATAATCAAGAGAGGATTACAGACATTCTGTAAACTGCACACATTGGGTATTAGTATTCTTGGGATTCTGTCTTATGGAATGGGCATCAACCTGTCACTCAGAATGAGGTCTCAGCTTTTAGCTGATCACCCAGGGACTCAGAGGAAATCAGAAAATCTCTCTGGAGGATGACGTAGGCTACTCACCTTGATAGAGACAATGCGGCCTGGGCTGTTGTCATGCATGAAGACACGCAGCATGTGTGGGATCAGCTGGGGCAGGTAGAGCTTAAATTCACCCCCAAGAGCTACCACAATTTGCTCAATGAGAAGAATGATCGTGCTCTGAATTGAGGTGTTCATGACCCAGAATTCCTACAAAGAGAGAAAAGTCAGAGGAGCTGAGTCAGGTCCCTTTCTGATGATATATGAACAAAGGAATCAAGATGGCCAGAAAAGCAAAACTGTAGTGAGCATGGTCTGCGCCGAGATCAACTCCTCACTCCCCTCCTCCCACTGGGCCCTTCTTGTGTCCTATGTTGCAGCTACACTGGACAAACTCAATTGCATTTCCCCAGATGCACCAGGCTACCTCAGTCCTCTGGGCTTTGCTCATGCTGCTTCCTCTGCCTAGAATCCCACTTCTTGCTCAGCTAAGCCCTGTCTGTCTTTCTAGACCTGGCTCTAGCCTCACTTCTCCCATGCAGGCTTTCTTCTTCTCCTTCCATGATCCACTTGGGTCCTTTGCACTCCCTTTGATAGCGATAGCAGTTGTAAGACTTCCTTTGCTTTGCTGTCCTCCCTCTAGACTGTAGGCTACTTAGGGACAAGTATCCTATCTCTGTATCCCCAGAATCTATCAATCAGAGCATCTGGAATATTCTAGAATGAACAGATGACTAAGTCACTCAAAAAACTCTGAAGTGGTCCAGGGTGGACTTGGACCTTACTTTGGTATCACCTGATCTCTACCAGAGGGTGACTCCAGTATTACAAATATTTCCTGGCTTTTCTGGATTTAGATTTTGCTATTAATAGATAGCATCTGATATCTGTCCCTTCCCAAAAATCTATCCATCAGGCCTGAACAGTGCCACAAAATGAGCCCCTTTCTACACCCACATGGTTATTTTCCACACAAGTTACTAAAATAAAAACTTGGCCAACTGGCCACAGATCCTGCCTCAGTGCTGCAAAGCAAATTAGTCCAAGCCTCTAACTCCAGGAAAAGATATCATTTCTATCAACTCAAAAAGACAGCTGCCTACCACCATCTTTAAAAGTTCTGGAGTAGGAAATTTAATGATAATAGAAACCCTACTAATGATGGCAACACATGAATGTTAATATTCTTGGAGCCTCTAAATAGTTCAAAGTAGAAGTCCATAACAACAAGGATAACTCCTCAGATGAAAGGCTTTATAAAAAGATATAGTATTTTTATTTAAAAAGGTATCTTTAAAAGCATAATGGTTTAGAAAGCAAAAACTATACTAGAAGATGCTGGTAAAACTTCCTTTCTCTCTACTTGGAGAGAAGTATTCTCTCTGAAAAAGCTGTGTTTTCTAGGTTAAAAGTGTTGCCAAAGAAACACCACAGATTTCACAGCCTCCAGAGTCTGTCTGATGTTCATCCACTTGAACCCTACTCTGCCTTCTTTAGAGAAGGCCAACCTACCTCCCAGCTGCATTATCATCAGCTCCTCACAGGGGCTTCTCTACCTCAAAGATGTCAGGCAGCCTGCCAAGGGATGTCAGCTGGATCACTGTTCACAAAGACTATTTTCTTCCCAGGCTCGGGGGAGCTCATTAAAATGCCCAGAATCAACAGTCAAAGGAAGAGCCCCCGTTGCACCTTCTCTATCTGGGATGAAATGAAAGCTGTATTTTGCAGGTGTGAGGCTCCCTGCCTCAATTCCCTGTGTTTTGGTCATCAACCTGTTATGACTATAATATGGTCATATTGTATCCTTGTTTAGCCTTCTTGGGGGGATTAAGTCACAGATTACTTCATCCTCCTCCCATGAGGACACTGCTTCTTCCCTTGCCCCTCCTCCCACTAAGACTAGCCATCGGCCTCTTTAGCATTCTGCCTAAATCCTCCTTGTACAGAGGCTTCTGTGGTAAGAGTCAGGGAATAGAGCAGCTTTTAATTATTTATACATGTAGGGAGGTTTTCAGTTCTGAGATCCAGGTGCTGGGAAGTTCCATTTGAAACCAGCCATTTTGATTTTAGTCCTGCTAAAATCAAATAGTCCAGCCATTTTGATTTTAGTCCAAACTAACTACAAAGGTCTGGTGTGAAAGAACAGAAATCTTCCAACTCTTTGAGGACATGCCATCCCTGTGAAGCAATCTTCCCCGTAGAGACATTTAAATTATATAGAACACAAGGAAAAATGATATTGCCCATGGGGTGTCTTCTGGCACCTACTTAATGCATGTTATAAAATCCTGGAACCTGAGCCTTTTCTCATGTGCCACTGCAGTCAAAAGGTGATATGTATGGTTTTGGAGGTAGCAGGGTAAAGCATCACCTTGTTCCTTGGTGCCCAACACGTGTCCATCATATTTAACAGCCCTAAGAAAACCCAATCCCTTCATGGTTTATGAGCAGTAACAAAGAGGGCTTTCATGAAAATAGAAAAGCACCCTTGTGATATTAAAGTAAAATTGCTTTGTTGTGTGTGAGGCAAATAACCCAATTGTCTATTTCTGGCAGAACAATTACTGCAGGATTTCTCTTCAGCCTTCATGCCTTGTAGTTTTGTACCTGGGAACCTGGAGCAACAGCCCTTCCTCCCCCTCAAAATCCAGTGGGCTTTGTTCCACTTCCTGTACTAAGACTGTAACAGCTCTACAAAGATCCGTGAAAAAAAGTCTATGTCATTCAAACTTGCTTCTGAGCCTTCCTTGACCCAAACATGGAAGAGGCCAAAGCATTAACTTCTACTCACTCTCATGAGGGTGACTATTTCATCCATATAAGGTCTGATGTGGCTCTTCACAAAGGACACCAACATTCCCAGCTGCTGGAACAAAAACTGAAATGGACAAGAGGTCAACCAGCTGGTATCATGAAGGACATTGAACCCCCAGGCTTACCTTAAGCTCATGTGAACAAATAAAGGCAACTATGGAATGGGTTTCCACACTACACTATCTACTGAGAATATATTTCAAAGACCCAAGCTTGGCTAGGTTTGGAGGCTCAGTGCTTTGGGAGGCCAAGGCGGGAGGACTGCTTGAGGCCAAGATTTCAAGAACAGCCTGGGCAACATGGCGAGATCCTGTCTCTACAAAAAAAATACAAAAAATTAGCTGGGCACTTGCCTGTAGTTCTAGCTACTGGATGCTAAGGTGGGAGAAATGCTTGAGCCCAGAAGTTCAAGGCTGTAGTGAGCTATGCACGTGCCACTGCACTCTACAGAGTGCAGGGTGACAGGGTGAGACCCTGTCTCTTAAAAAAAAAAAAAAAAAAGACACAAACTTAAATGGTGATAGTGGTGGGGACTCAAAACAATTGTCAGAGGTTTTTACACACAAGGCGAGCCAGTTACTGCACAGCAGGGGCTTTGTAACCCTCATTTAACCTCCCTGTGCCCAGGCTCTTCCATGGGAAAATGGAGATAATAATACTTACCTCATAGACTTCTAAGGCTTAAATGGGATAATTCATGTCAAGCACTAGAACAGGGACGTGAATACTATTCAGTGCTCAATGAATGTCTGTATCATTGAAGGATTCCTGGAATTACTAAACTTAAAAATAAACCTGAAAGTTTTTACCAACTGTAAATGTACCTTTTGTTTATTTGGCTCTAATTAATTACCACTTCCTTCCTAAAATAAATACAGCTAACTCTTGATTATGGGTATTGTAGCTCATTTATAGTAATTAACTCATTACTTAGGTCTTAATTAATTAACTATGTCTCTGAGAGATTATGAGCCAAAATAAGCAAGCAAACTGGGGTAGGGATAGGATGAGGAGATTCTACTGAAGTCAGTACCTTTTAGGTGTAGGAAGAAAAAACATGCACTAAATAAAGCTGGGAATAAGGAAGGTGTGGGTAAAGAAAATCTCAACTACTTTCCAGGTTAAAGATTTGTCTTCAAGATGTAGGTTTTATTTTGTTATGAGCTTCAGATAGTATTACACGCCAGTAATAAGTAGCAAATAATATTTGACACCCCTTCCCCCAATTTTTTTTTTTTTGAGACAGAGTCTCACTCTGTCACCCAGGCTGGAGTACAGTGGCATGATCTCGGCTCACTGCAAGCTCCCGGGTTCAAGCCTCCCGGGTTCAAGCCATTCTCCTGCCTCTGCCTCCCGAGTAGCTGGGACTACAGGCGCCCGCCACCATGCCCGGCTAATTTTTTTTTTTTTTTGTATTTTTTTAGTAGAGACAGGGTTTCACCGTGTTAGCCAGGATGGTCTCGCTCTCTTGACTTCATGATCCGCCCGCCTTGCCCTCCCAAAGTGCTGCGATTACAGTCGTGAGCCACCACGCCTGGCCCCCTTCCCCAAATTTTTACAGCTCTCTCTGCCTTTGTTTCTCTCCATTAACAAGGATAATTTAGAAAATGAACATATGTATTTTCACTCCTATCCACATGCAAGTCGGGTAAGTTGGAATAAATAAAAAGCATTACTTAAAAAAAAAAGTGCTATCTCAAACAGTGAGTAATGGATTTATAGTACTCATTACCCAAAGAGGCAAGATCGATAGGACATACAGGATTGGGCTTAAAGAAGAGTTTGAACATATTCCCTAATGATAACTTTGACTTCTAAGGTGATTACAGCCTGGTCCCCATGTGGCACACATTTGACTCAGTAGGCTCATTTCTACCTATCTCCTGGTCCCCACCATTCCCCAAATTGAATCACTACAGTTTTGTAGTGATTCCCCATACAAATATGTATAGTGGTCCCTATACAAATATGTTATTACAGGCCGGGCGCGGTGGTTCACGCCTGTAATCCCAGCACTTTGGGAGGCTGAGGCGGGCAGATCACAAGGTCAAGAGTTTGAGATCAGCCTGGCCAACATGGTGAAACCCCATCTCTACTAAAAATACAAAATTTAGCTGGGCATGGTGGCATGTGCCTGTAATCCCAGCTACTCGGGAGGCTGAGGCAGGAGAATTGCTTGAAACCGGAAGGCGGAGGTTGCAGTGAGCTAAGGTCACACCATTGTACTCCAACCTGGGCGACAGGGCGAGACTCCATCTCAAAAAAAAAAAAATGTTATTACAAAGATCAAGGAAAATGAGACTAAATATAAAGGTTCTTCAGGCAAATTTTTATTATGCAAAGCCTGAAAGAAAGTAGAAAACCTAAGCTGGAGGAAAACAGGCCTACAGCGATGGCGGGGAGGTCAGAGAAAACTGAGAGACAGAAAGAGGAAACAAGCTTCCTGGTCCTTGGTGCCATTTTATTAGGCATGATTAGGGAGCATTTCCGTGGCTTATTCATAAGGAGTAGCTGCCCAAGGGACATGGACAGGCAAGCACCTCAATGCTGAGTAGAGAGCTAGAGGAGCTGCCTCTTCTTCCTTAGCCTTTCACATGTGTTCTCTTTTTGCTCGGAACATGAGTATTTTAAAAGAACACAGTTTTGCTCCTGAAAATATGATGCACTAGATCTCCTTCCAAACTCCCCCACTATGAAAAGCCTAAAATTAAGTACAAAAATATAAACATGATTATAAGATTATTAGAACTGAAGTGGCCAGGCGCAGTGGCTCACGCCTGTAATCCCAGCACTTTGGGAGGCCAAGGTAGGCAGATCACCCCGAGCTCAGAAGTTTAAGACCAGCCTGAGCAACATGGCAAAACCTTGTCTCTACCAGAAGTACAAAAAAATATATTAGCTGGGCATAGTGGCATGTGTCTGTAGTCCCAGTTACTTGGAAGGTTGAGGTGGGAGGATCACTTCAGCCTCAGAGGTGAGGTTACAGTGAGCTGAGATCATGTCACTGCGCTCCAGCCTGGGCAACAAAGTGAGACCCTGTTTCAAAAAAAAAAAAAGAACTAAAGCCTCTCACATAAAGCCAGACTTTCAAAGAGCTACATATTAAGAGAAATGGTGAGTTAAAAAAAAAAAATCTGTCCACTGGTAAAAGGAGATAAAGAAATTTGCCAGTTGTGATGTGGGGTCTAGGCAGAAAAATGCCTCCCCTAAGAGTTCATAATTTCAGGCATCTATTGTACAGGTTTAGGGATTTATTTTCACTAACTGTGTGGCCTGGGAATCTCTAAGCCAAGAAATTAAAGTTCTCATGGACCACCTGGCAGAAGTAAATGCACATCCTCTCTGGAAAGATGCAAATTTAGAGCAGATTTTCTAGTATTGCTCCAGGGAAAGCCCAGTTGAATATGCTATATGATTCGAAATTATAAAACACGTGAGGAAACAGACCACTACAAGCATGACTTCTCAGAAACAATATACACAATCAGACCCACTAAGAGTTTTATATATAATAGAAGTATTCGACAGAAAATTTAGTCTGTTTAAAATGCCTTAAAAAAAGTGGGAATAAGGCTGGGCACGGTGGCTCATGCCTATAATTCCAGCACTTTGGAAGGCTGAGGCGGGTGGATTGCTTGAGGACAGGAGTTCAAGACCAGCCTGGGCAACATGGTAAAACCCTGTCTCTATTGAAAATGCAAAAAACAAAAAAAATTAGCCAGCATGGTGGTGCACGCCTGTAGTTCCAGCTACTCAGGAGGCTGAGGCATGAGGATCACTCGAACATGGAAGGTGGAGGTTGCAGTTAACCGAGATCGTACCACTGCATTCCGGCCTGGCAGCAGAGTGAGACTTGATCTCAAAAAAAAAAAAAAGAAAAGAAAAGAAAAGAAAGAAAAAAAAAATAGAAGGGTATAAGGACAAAATTCCAAAAAAGATAATAGATGAGAATTTCTCAGGAACTGATAAGATACCAATCCTCACATTCAGGAAGCCCTCCAAGTCTCAAACAGGATAATCAAAAGAAATTCACATCTAGATATATAATAGTAAACACTTCAGGATAACAAAACAATGAGAAGTAAAGCCACAGAAAAAATATGTAAAAGGGATTCACGATTTCTCAACGGCAACAAAAAGAAGTCAGAAAGTGGGATCGTATCTACAGTTGTAGGAGAACCTAGAATAATATTCTTGGCTAAAAAAATAAATTTTTTAATTTAATTTTTAAATCTCCAAATGAAGATTTAAAAAGAGGGTGAAATAAAGACTTATTCAGATAAGAGCAGTTTATTTCAATGAATGCTCCTAAGAGGAATTTGTCCTATGAAGAAAGAATATGATTCTAGGAGAAAGCTCTAATATGGAAGACAGGGTGATGAGACATGAAATATGTGTGGATGAATATAAACAAACACGACATAAAACGACAATAATGTTTAATAAGATGGAGGAAGGGGGCCTAGGAACGCAGGCACCCTCTAAAACAAGCTTGTCCAACTCCTCGTGCTCTAGAAGCTAGAAAAAGCAAGGAAAACAATTCTCCCCTAGAGCTTCCAGATGGGAACACAGTCCTGTCAACATCTTGATTTTAGCCCAGTGAGACCTCATGTCAGAAATATAACCTAGAGAGCTGTAAGATAAGAAATCTGTGTTAAGCCACTAAATTTGTGGTAATCTGTTATAGCAGCAATAGGAAATAATAAAGGAAGGAAGAAAACGAGGTATAAAGATGGTGACAGAAGCTAGACGTTGCTAGATAAGATTTTATTTATAGTTCTAGCTCTGGAACTATGTTAATGTCTTATATAACTAAAACAAAAGTTAATTTTTTTTTTTTTGGAGATGGAGTCTTCCTCTGTCGCCCAGGCTGAAGTGCAGTGGTCCAATCTTGGCTCACTGCAACCTCTGTCTCCCGGGTTCAAGAAATTCTCCTGCCTCAGTCTCCTGAGTAGCTGAGACTACAGGCATGCACCACCATGCCCGGCTAATCTTTGTATTTTTAGTAGAGACGGGGTTTCGTCATGTTGGCCAGGCTGGTCTCAAACTCCTGACTTTGAGTGATCCACCTGCCTCGGCCTCCCAAAGTGTTGGGGTTACAGATGTGAGCCACCACGCTCAGCCTAAATTTTTTGTAAACTCAAGGAAATTTCTAAAAATTGAAAATAAACAGAAACAAATGAGTATAACTATAAGCCAAGTTGGCTGCACAATCACTCAAGAAGAATATCAACTGAAAGTCTTAAACTACATTTAGTCATCTTATTGTTAATACTAACATTGGTCATTTTCTATTTACATCTATAAAATATATATATATGTATGTAATCTCACTAAAAGAAATCAGAGCTCCTTGGAAATGGCTATGCCCAGGTTTGAGTGAAATATACTTGATACGCTTGGAGTAATTTTTTTCCGCCAGAAAGCAAGAAAGTCTACCGGGCCATGTAAAAAGGACACAACAGCCAGGGTGATCAGGACAATCTGATTGTGAAAAAGATTGGTGCCTGCAATGAACAGAAATATTATATATACATATATATATAGTGTATATATACATATATATATTCTATATATATAGAAATACTCTATATAGAGAGCTCTGTTTCTTTTAGTGAGATTACATATATATATGTATCTTTCTTAAACACACAAGTAGTAAAGTAAATGACCAATATTAGTATTAACAATAAGATGACTAAATGACTTTCACTTGACAGTCTTCTTTGAGTGACTGTGCAACCAACTTGGTTTACAGTATAAATAAAGATAAATTATATATATATATGTATCTTCATGAGTTCATACTGATACTCCAAAGAATGAGGGTAGGATTGGGAGGTGGGAAGGTGCCTGGCTCACCTCTGAAAAGCTGTTAGAGGCTTGACTCATTATACTAAAAAATTGATAAATTGATAAATAAAGGGAAAGATTCATGCATGTATTCTGCTTTTCCTACATGATCTACACTTCAAATTACCTCAGTAGTTGATTATATAAAGTTCTTTTTTAAAATTTATTTAAAAAAAATTTTTTTTTTTTTTGAGACGGAGTCTCGCTCTGTCACCCAGGCTGGAGTGCAGTGGCCCAATCTCGGCTCACTGCAAGCTCTACCTCCCGGGTTCATGCCATTCTCCTGTCTCAGCCTCCCACGTAGCTGGGACTACAGGTGCCTGCCACCATGCCTGGCTAATTTTTTTGTATTTTTAGTAGAGACAGGGTTTCATCGTGTTAGCCAGGATGGTCTTGATCTCCTGACCTTGTGATCCACCCGCCTCGGCCTCCCAAAGTGCTGGGATTACAGGCGTGGGCCACTGCGCCCAGCCTAAAAAAATGTTTTAAATAAAATGAGATGGGGTTTTGCTATGCTGCCCAGGTTGGTCTTACACTCCTCCTGGGCTCAAGCAATCCTCTCAACTCAGCCTCCCAAAGTGCTGATATTACAGCCACCATGCCCAGCCAAGTTCTTTATTTCTAAAGAACTTTCTAGCTAATAAATCCAGAAGGAATAATCAAATTAGAAAATCACCATTTTGGGGCACATGTTCTCAGGAGCTCCTGAGAGATATGTCATGGAAAAAAACATTTTTTTTAATAAAAAAAATATATATATAAGTAAGAAAATCACCATTTTGCAGTCCCTAATCAAATAACAGCTCTAGGAAATAACTACCAATGAATGCTAAAATGACTGGGAAAAAGGCTGATAGGGAACTTTATAACAGATGGATCAGATGACAATATCCGAACCCACTGATCAGCCTTTACATCACTAGCAGTGGGTCATATGGAAAATATCTGTTTACTAAATGTTGAAATAGGAGGTATACAGTACTGTAATCTATGAAGTATCTCTTGTCAAAAGAACAGAACCTGAATCTAATCAAGCCTCTAAATCTAACTAGTTTATAGGAAATTAAGACACTTCGAAGATACAATCAGCCAAATCCAGTATGAGAAACAGGACAAATGACCTGGTTTCTTCTACAAATACATGACTTTTTTTTTTTTTTTAAGTAGAGGGAAAAGGTAAATAAGTAGTGAAAGAATTATATACATCAACCAAATGCCAGATGTAGACCTTATATAGATTTTTATTTGAATAAACCAAATTACAATGAATTTTTAAGACAATCAGGGACATCTGAAGAAGGGTTGGTATTAAATAATACTAAGAAATGATTGTTAGCTTTGTAGGTGTCATATTTGTGGTTACATGGGAAAAAGTATGTATTGGTGAAATAATATGATACCTGTAATTTGCTTTAAAATACTGCAGAAATGTATGTACATGTGTCGGGGGGAAAGGCGATGGAGGTAAGAGATAAAACCAAATTGACAAAATGCTAGTAATTACTGATGGGTATGTGAGAATCTAATATAATAGGTTGTCTACTATATTCATGATTGAAATAGTCTATTACAAAATGTTAAGAAAAATTAAAGGTGGCCAATGAGTGAAGGCAAAAGATGAAATAAAAAATAAAGGCTCAAACAAATCCAGAAAAAGACAAAAAAGAAAGATAAACAGACAAAGCAGGACAAAAAGAATGCACTAAGTAAGATGGTGGAAATAAACGCAAACATGGCCAGGTGCAGTGGTTCACACCTGTAATCCCAGCACTTTGGGAGGCCGAGACGGGTGGATCACTTGTGGTCAGGAGTTTGAGACCAGCCTGGCCAATATGGTGAAATCCTATCTCTACTAAAAATACAAAATTAGCTGGGCATGGTAGCATGCACCTATAATCCCAGCTACCTGGGAGGGTGAGGCAGGAGAATCACTTGAACCCAAGAGGCAGAGGTTGCAGTGAGCCGAGATCACACCATTGCACTCCACCCTGGCAACAAGAGCGATACTCCGTCTCAAAATAAAATAAAATAAAATAAAATAAAATAAAATAAAATAAAATAAATAGGCCAAATATAACAGCAATCACAATAAATGCAATTGGCCTAGAATGCACTGGTTAAAAGACAAACATTTTTAAATTGGATTAAAAAGATAATCTAGCTATATTTACAAGACAGCATCCAAAACAAAAAGTCACAAGACAGTTAAAAGTAAAAGAATTGGAAAAGACATATACCTCCAAAAAAAAGCTGGTACAGCTATATTAATGTTACGTAAAATACGTTTTAAGGTATTATTAAAGATAAGAAGGATTATTGCATAATGATAAAAGAGTCAACTTACCAGGAAGATATCAGGATTTAAAATTTGCATGCATCTAGTAATATAATCTCAAAGATACATAAAACAAGATTGACTAAACTATCAGAAAAAAGCCCACCAATGTAAAGGGAGATTTTTGTCTCACTTCTCTCAGTATTGATAGATCAAACAAACAAAAATTAGAAGGACACAAAAGATTTGAACACAATAAGTAATAAATTCAATCTAATGACTTATGTAAAACCCTGTCCATAACGTTAGCAAATACACAAGTATTCCCAAGGATATAGGAAATATTTATGAAAATCAATCAACCACTAGACCATTAAAGCAGTTCCAGCAAGCATGAAAGAATCATAAACACAATGCAATTAAGTTAGAAATCAATATAAAAAAGAGAAATTAAAAACCCTTTAAGTTTACAAATAAAATACCCACTTCTAAATAACTCAAGGGTAAAAGAAGAAATTCTAACACTGGAAAATATTTCTGGACAATAATGAAAATACTACATCACTACTGAGTAATAAAGGAAGAATGAATTACTGATACATGCCACACATGGATGAACCTCAAAAGTTTTAAGTGAAAGAAGCCAGATGCAAAAGACCACATATTCTATGACACCAATTACATGAAATGCCCAGAAAAAGTAAATCTATAGAGAGAGAAGCAGATTAGTAGTTGCCCAGGGATGAGGCAGAAACAGAAAATGACTGAAAATGGACAGGAGGTTTTTTTGCTGGGGTGATTTAAGTTTTCTAAAATTAGATTATTAGTGATAACTGCATAACTCTGTAAATATATTAAAAATCAATGAATTTTACGGTATGTAAATTTTATCTGACTTGTAAATAAATAAATAAATTTTTTATTTTAAATTTTCCCCCCACATATCTTACGGTATGTAAGCTTTAAGAAATTTTGGAAAGCAGTTAATACTTGGAGTGAAATTCATAGCCTTAAGAGATTACATTAGAAAAGAAGACTGACAATGACTTAACATTCTAACACAATTTTTTTTAAAAAGCAGAAAAAGTAAAATAATAATAGATCAACAAGTCAAAAATTGGTTCTTTTTTTTTTTTTTTTTGAGACAGAATCTTGCTCTGCCATCCAGGCTGGAGTGCAATGGCACAATCTCAGCTCACTGCAACCTCCACCTCCCAGATTCAAGCGATTCTCCCACCTCAGCCTCTTGAGTAGCTGGGATTACAAGCATGTGCCACCATGCCCGGCTAATTTTTGTATTTTTAGTAGAGATGGGGTTTCTCCATGTTGGCCAGGCTGGAGTTGAACTCCGAACCTCAGATGATCCACCCGCCTTGGCCTCCCAAAGTGCTGGGATTATAGGCATGAGCCACCGCACCTGGCCGATAGTTGCTTCTTTGAAAAATGCTTTAACAAATCTCTAGTAGAAAATTAAAACATAATCCACTCAGTTCTGGGGCATAAAAAAAGATCTTAAAAAAATTAAAATGTAAGAGAACAGTGTGAACAATTTCATGTCAACAAGTTTTATCACTTAGACAAAATGAACAGCTTCCTAAAAAAAAGTAGCCAAAACTGCTTCAAGGAGATACAGAAAAGCTAAACAGATCTTTGAGCCCATAGTTAAGAAAGAGAAAATTATAGACCAATTCAATCAAGAACACAGATCCAAAAATTCTAAGCTGAACTGACATAAGATCGAAATTTAAAAATACATTATAACCAAGGTGGTTTTAATATAAGAATGCCAGCATTCTTACATTAGAACACGTTATCAGTGTGATTCAACATATTTAACACATTAAAAGAGAAAAACCATATGACTATTACAGACTAAAGAATTCAATATACATTCATAATAAAACTCTTTAGTATTCTCTTTATATGAGAATATTTGACCTTTATAAAGCTATCTAGTGCTCATTTTGGCAGCACGTATACTAGCATTGGAACAATCTAGAGAAGATTAGCATGGCCCATATGCAAGGATAACAGGCAAATTTGTGAAGCATTCCGTATTTTTTTAAAAATAAAAATAAAATAAAAAGATATCTACCAAAAAGCTACAACAAATATTATACTTCATGGTGAAATCTTAACAGCAGTCCCATTAAAATCAGGAGCAAGGTTATAGATTTCCACTATCACTGCATCTAATTAACATGGAAGTAGGCCGGGTACAGTGGCTCACTCCTGTAATTCCAGTGCTTTGGGAGGCCAAGGTGGGCAGATAGCTTGAGCCCAGGAGTTTGATACCAGCCTGGGCAACATGGCGAAACCCAAAAAATCAGCTGGGTGTGGTTGTAAATGCCTGTAGTCCCAGCTACTCGGGAGGCTGAGGTGGGAGGATTATTTGAGCCCAGGAGGTGGAGGTTGCAGTGAGCCCATATCACCTATTGCAACCTCTGTGTCACCAGCTTGGGCAACAGAGCTAGACCCTATCTCAAAAACCAAAAACATGGTAGTAGAGGTCTTATGACTTTTTTAGTACTTATTACTTTTCCTTACTGTGTCACTAAGTGGTGGTTTACAAGATTAAAACTAAAAAACAAAACTTCCTTTTTTAATTTTTCTTCCCCCCACCCCCGCCCCCGCCCCCGCCCACCAGACTATATAATTATATAGAGTAAAAACCTGAGAGAATTTACAGGTAAATTATTAGAGTTAATAAGAATTCCGGCCAGGCGTGGTGGCTCATGCCTGTAATCCCAGCACTTTGGGAGGCTGAGGCAGTTGGATCACCTGAGGTTAGGAGCTCAAGACCAGCCTGGCAAACATGGCGAAACCCTGTCTCTACTAAAAATACAAAAATTAGCCGGGCTTGGTGGTGCACCCCTGTAATCCCAGCTACTCAAGAGGCTGAGGCAGGAGAATTGCTTGAACCTGAGAGGCAGAGGCTGCAATGAACTGAGATCATACCACTGCACTCCAGCCTGGGCAACAAAGTGAGACTTTGTCTCAAAAAAAAAAAAAAAAAAAAAAAAAAAAATTCAATTAGGTTGATAGTTATAAATACAATAGAAACAAATAAACAGTATGTCTATACTCCAGACACAAAGTTAGGAAACATAATTTCTAAAAACATGCTATCTCCTCTAAATGTACATCATGTTGACAATATGATCAGAGGGAAAAGTAACTAATTGAGGTATCTTTTAAACATAGTACTCTTACTGTACACCCTTAGTAGAGTGTATTCTAAGAATAACAGGAACTACAAAGCTACTCTGAACTTTACTTAGATCTGTGGTTGGTAGTAGTAGGGACATATAATCTTAGAACCATTTTGCATATTCTGTGGTTTAAAGAAAGACACAAGAAACAGCAAGAGTGAGAGGTGGGGGAGGGGAAAATTCCTCTTCACAGAAAAATGCTGCCAGCTAATAAAATGGAGAAGGAATAGCAAAATTAGAAAGTCATCACTTTGCAACCACCAGTGTGATAATCAACTCAAGTGAGGATTATCAACGGATGCTAAAATCACCGGATGGAAGGTAGCTGAGGAACAGGATAGCCATGGAGTCTCAAAGTGTCACCCCACAGATTACTCACTAATGGCAAAGGAAAACAGATAAGCTTACAATGGAGAGATCGGATAAACACCTACTCGGCCGCATGCTCGCACTGAGGATCAACAGTAATGGGACCAACTGGTGGCAGTATGAGATCCAGTAAGAAGCATTCAACTTCACCTGTGTAGTATTTTCACTAAAAATGTTACGACTTAAATCTCGTCATGAAGGAGCAACCAGAAATCCAGACTGATTTTCTATTTGTGGGGCATCTACAACCGGACTGAACTCTAGATTACTGAGAATGACAATGCTTTTCCTCCCCCAGGCTATTCATCTTTTAGCCATCTTTTTCTTGAGACAGAGTCTCACTCTGTCGTCCAAGCTGAAGCACGGTGGCTCGATCTCAGCTCACTGCAACCTCTACCTCCCAGGTTCAAGGGATTCTCCTGCCTTAGCCTCCCGAGTAGCTGGGATTATAGGCGTGCACCATCACGCATGGCTAATTTTTGTATTTTTAGTAGAGACGGGGTTTCACCATGTTGGCCAGGCTGGTCTCAAACTCCTGACCTCAGGTGATCTGCCCACTTCGGCCTCCCAAAGTGCTAGGATTATAGGTGTGAGCCACTGCACCTGGCCCTTTTAGCCAGGACACTGGAGTGAGCTGATTGTACACTTTATATGTTGGGAGTTAAGGGGGAGGAAGGCATTGGGCTCAGGGGCACAGAGAATGCACAATTAAGAAGCTGAAGCACAGATGGATCTGTGCATGTGTGGTGCAGAGGAGAAAGAGAAGGATTGGGGTTTGAGGTACTTACTTCCCGGATGGCCCCATCACAGACTCGAATGACGTTAAGGAACGTGGGCATGACCTGGGGCAGGAACTGCACACATTTGAGTCCCAGGGACTTGAAGATGAAGGTGATGGCCTGGACAACCATGGTGTGATGATGAGAGAGTGACTGGTCTCGGAAGATCCGCATCAGGGCCACCATGGACACAGCTGGGTAGAACTCATCCAGAGGCAAGTTTCCCATGTTGACCAGCATTTCACTAGTGCTATAGTCAGCTAGGACAAAACAACAGAGAGTGTTAGAGCTACACATGGCATGACGTGACTTCAGGCAGAGCATGGTTAGTAACAAACAACCTCCTAACAGACATTAGCATTCATATCTTTCTTCCTAGTATGTTCTAACACTGTTGGGAGTTCAAGGTCTATTAGGAACCAATGAATAGCCTCTCACCATCAAGGAGTAAACGGTTTTTGGCTTTTCTATTACTCAAACCACAAAAGCCTAAAACAGTACATGATGGGTTGGTTTTCTCTAAATTGCTCTGTTTAATTTAGCTTCTTACCGTTCACAACTTCATAACTGAAACCATCAATAAAAATAATTACTCCCCCAAAATAAAGTAAAGGGAATTAAATTAGGCAAACATCTGTTCAGCAGCTCCTTGGTTCCCCTAGGGAATTCAGACAAGTTGGTAGGCAAATACTACCTACCTGACTTGAACAGTAAGGACCTCAAGGACTCTGACGGTGGCAGCGGGGGCAGTGGCAAGGGAGGGAGGTATACTAACATGAAGAGTGCAGCGAGGAGGGTAAGAACTAAACAGATGAAGAGCTGGGCTGACTGGTGCCATGAATAAGGAAGAACACCAGGAGCAGCATGGCTCAGGCCCTGCTCTCAACAGCTATGGGGCTGACAGAATGACATCACAGGCATGCCTCTCTAATACCAGAAGAGGAAGAAATGTGAAGCAATATGATCCCATCTAGAAAGTTCAGAAACAATTTATTTTGGGGTAATAATATTTTCCTGGAATAGTTGGGAGAATCAATGTTAACTTTCAATGTCAGAAATAGGCCTGCCCTGAGGGAATATGGGTTAAGTCTAGAAAACCCTCCTGCAACCCCATACCCCACCCCCATTCACTCAGGCTACTTGTCAAAAGGCAACGGGCTATACAAAAAGTATCGAGGTGTGGTGGCACACGCCTGTAGTCCCAGCTACTTGAGGGGCTGAAGCAGGAGGATCACTTGAGCCCAGGAGGTCGAGGCTACATCATGCCACTGTACTTCAGCCTGGGTGACAAAGTGAGACCCTGTCTCCAAAAAAATAAAATTAAGTTAAAATAAAAACAATAAAAGGCAATGGGCAACAGACCACCAGAAATTATTCCACCTGTCTAACTGGAACCTTGCACTCATTCACCAACCTCTCCCTATTCCCCCTCCCTGAGTCAATTAAAAATAAAACAAACCTTTAAAAAAAAAAAAAAGGCGTCCAGGCACAGTGGCTCATGCCTGTAATCCCAGCATTTTGGGAAGCTGAAGCAGGCAGATCACTTGAGGTCAGGAGTTTGAGAACAGCCAGGCCAACATGGCAAAACCCCTCCCTACTAAAAATGCAAAAATTAGCCAGGTGTGCTGGTGTGCACCTGTAGTCCCAGTTACCTGGGAGGCTGAGACAGAAGAATTGCTTGAACTCGGGAGGCAGAGGTTGCAGTGCTGTATTCCAGCCTGGGCAACAGAGTAAGACTCTCCATCTCAAAAACAAACAAACAAAAAAAGGCAGTGCAGCTCTTGGGCCAGACCATTTCACGGAAAAAAGAGCCCCAAATTTCTGATTGCTGCTAGTTTTCCCTATGGCCCTGAGCCTCGCCTCTGATTTCCCTATCAATTAAAACAGGAAGAATCAATTCTATCCTCTTCTTCTGTAGATACCATGGGAATGAGAACCATCAAAGAGGCACTAAGAAAGAATGAGAGATAGATAGAGGTGATGGGGTGATAATGTGTATCTCTTGCATTGGCATCAAAAAGCAGACAGACTTGGCATGCCAACCCTTGACAAAGAATCTAGACAGACATGAGGACTCTGGCCACAATGGGAAGCAGCAACCCTTCCGGGATTCAAGAAGAAACTACTGACTTTTCATTCAAAAGTTGCTACACGAGCCAATATCCTATAATTTCTCAGTAATCCAGCTCCAGACTTTCTAAACACAACCAGCAAGGGCTCTGTGAGTGAGAACTTGGCAAGTCTTTCATGGCTACCCCCAACTTACAGGAATCCTGACTTGACTTGGATTCTGACAGGCTGACAGCAGAGGCATCCCGGGACTGGTCTATCATGCCAATGTTCACTTTGTGCTTGTAAGGATCCAAAGCCCCTAAAAGCCCTAACACACGGATGGCCTGCGTGGGAAAGGGGAGGGAAAAAAGAAAACATTCATCACAACATGATTACAACAAGTATCACGGATACTCCTCTCAGGTTACATAATCCCCAGTTCATATCCAAATGACCAGCTACATGAACAAAATTGGAGAGGGACAGGAAGTCTGACTGACACTGTCAGAGCATGTTAATGCTGCAACCATCTCTCTCTTGCCATCGTCCCAGCAAAGTCTTTAAAGACCAAGTTTGCCACGTCCCCTACCTCTCTGCGTGTACCCTGGTTCTGCTCAGTCTTCAGAAAATTCAGTAGCACCTCAAGCAAAGTAGGGTACTTCCTGTAGGGCTCTACTACATAGCCAGTGCTGGCCACCAACTGTCCCAGGGTCCACAGAGCCACCTGGATAGGCACAAGAACACGATTCAATGAGCCAGTACGAGAGAAAAGAAAGCATAGTTGAACTCTTTGTATAATGATTATAATGAAGTGTTAGAGGCTGTAAGAAGAAAAGAGGTTTCCAGTAAAGACACTAACCATGAGCAGAAATCCCAAAAGGGCATAAAACCAAGGTTGATCAAGCACACAACCCTGCAACAATCACTGGATCAAGAGACAAAGAAAATTCCCACCTTTCTCAAAGAAAACACATCATTCTTCCATATCCCAAATGATTAACAGGAGATTCAAAAGGAAATTAAGATTTTTTGTTGTTGTTGAGACAGGGTCTCACTGGAGACTGGAATGCAGTGGTGTGATAACAGTTCACTGCAGCCTTAATCTCCTGGAATCGAGTGATCTTCCCATCTTAGCCTCCAAGTAGCTGGGACTACAGGCACATGCCACCATGCCCAGCTATTTTTTTTTTTTAGTAGAGACAAAGTCTCATCATGCCCAGGTTGCTCTCGCTCTGGAGCTCAAGCAATCTTCCTGCCTCAGCCTCCCAAAGTGCTAGGATTACAAGTGTGAGCTGCCATGCCCAGAAATAAATTAAGACTGTTCTTAATTTTAGTCTAGTCATCTAATAGCCTCAAATTGGGAAAGCAGAACCAGGGCTGGGCAAGGATGAGCTAAACTTCTGTTCCTTCATAGGCAGTGGCCAAGGCTTTCTTTTTCCCTCTGAGAGCTACGGCTCTGACAATTGACCTGCATTTTCTTTTGTATAGACAAAATGGCACTAGTCAGCCCCGATAATTACTGAAACTGACTCTGGGTCAGGACAACAGGTAATTCTGGTTTCAAATCTTTCTAACTTTTACTCATTCAACAAATATTTTTGAGCACCTACTATGTGTCACACTCTGTTCTAGGCACTGGGTGAGGACACTAAGGTGAATAAAGAGAAGCAAAGTCCCTGGACTCATGGGGTCTGTCTTGCTCAATCAGGAAGCAGTAATACTCACCTGCCTTTTGGCCAACAAAGAGGAATCCTGGAGCATGTCCATGATGATAATAAAAAGTTCATCAACCCATTTCCTCATTTCCAGGCCACTAACCTGCAAAATGAAAAAGAGGGTGGCAGAAAGGGTTAGAAATTCTGGCATTAGAAAGTATTTTGGAGGCCGGGCACGGTGGCTCATGCCTGTAATCCCAGCACTTTGGGAGGCTGAGGAGGGCAGATCACCTGGCATCAGGAGCTCCAGACCAGCCTAGCCAACATGGTAAAACCCCATCTCTACTAAAAATACAAGAATTAGCCAGGTGTGGTGGCACACACCTGTAATCCCGGCTACTTGGGAGGGTGAGGCACGAGAATCACTTGAACCCAGGAGATGGAGGTTGCAGTGAGCCAAGATCACACCACTGCACTCCAGCCTGGACAAAGTGAAACTGTCTCAAAAACAAATAAATAAAATAAAAAATTTTTTTTAAAAAAGCCCTCTCTTCCTTTCTCCACCATCATGGTGTGTGCCTGACTCTGATTCTTGCCATTCTTCTCACAAGACTTTCAGAATTAAGCAATTCCTGGCCAAGAAACAAAAGTAAAATCGTCCCATTCCCCAGTGGATTCGGATGAAAACTGGTAATAAAACCAGGTACAACTCCAAAAAAAGACACTGGAGAAGAACCAAGCAGGGTCTATAAGGAATTGCACATGAGATGGCACACACATTTATGCTGTCTGAAGGTCACAATGATATTACCATATCAAGCTGAAAATGTCACCACTATCTGGAGAGTTGGACATGTTTTATTGAGAATATATTATTTCTCTCTGAATCTGTTATGAATGCATTGTTGGCTGGGTTCCGCAATAAATATGTGAGACCTTTCATTTAAAAAAAAAAATAGTATTTTGACTTCCTTAGAGGTTAGTTTCTTTTCCACCCTATCTCCGCTATGGAAAAAGTAGCTGCCCCTTTACCTGTGCCAATTCTCCTATTGTTGCCAGGACATTATTGATCACACCTGGGTTTGGATCAGGGTCTGGATCTTTCAGTTTCAAAATTAATGCCTAGAGAAAGAAGTTATGAGAAAATGAATGCAGATTAGACTCTACTAGAAACCTTTCTTTTATATAAGTAAAATTCACCCAAGAGACCATCTCAGTCATAAAGAAATTCCTTCTAGGCTTTATGAATCCAAGATTTCTCTGGAATGTAAATTCTCAAACTTTTCTCCATATGAAGTCTAAGTCTGACATGTGAGAGAGCTGGGAAGCACCATAATGTGAAAGTATTTCTCATGTCTCCTCTAAACCGAGTCTCAGTGATTGTTCATCCAGATTAACATACATTATAAAGGACTTCACGTGACTCTAATGTGTTGAGATTTGAAGGTTGTTTCAGATTTTCAAGCTCATTTTTTCCTCATTTTGGGCGAGCTATTTTATGCTACTATCTACCTACTTCTCCTTTCCAAACATCTGCGATGATGTGCCTGAAGCATTAACTCTTACCTCTTGTAAGGACAGCACTTTCCTGCAACTGATAAGATTCTTGGTATTCTTTAACTGAAAGTGCTTGATATGGCCCTTTGGTCTCCAAGCGTGAGAGCAAAGAAATCACCTACTTTGTTCAGTGTACTAGTGAACACTGAAACACTCCCATCTCCCCATATGAGCTGATGACAACGCACAGAGAAAGCACCAGCCTCTCGGTTTGTGTTACCTTCAGAATAGGCTCCATGTAGGGGCGGATGAGTCGGGGGGCATTGGAGACCAGGTGCCCCAGCATGCGGGCACTCTGCTCTTTGATTCTTCCAATCCCACTGTGCTCCAACTCTGTCAAAATCTGTAGGGAAGAAAGGCTCATATGTTCTCTATGGCAGAAGACATTCTAGAGAGAGACTGTGTCCAACAGAAAAAGTGGCAGGGAACTGGGGGAAAAACCCAGACCTCCACGACAGATGAAGTAGCTGCTAGATACTCAATGAGCAACAGACTTTTCTGCAACAGGCAGAACAGCCTTAGATACAGCTGTGACAGGAAGAAAAACTATTCGAAAACCTGCTCCCTTTCCTTTTATCACAGCACTCCAATGTCCCATGGCCCTCTCTAAAGCAGAGCTTTTAACCATGTAGCACAGCCAGAGAAGACTGAGAAAACCAACAGGGAGAGCTGTGAGTAGGGTTCTATAAAAATGAGGAAAGAAGGTAGGGCCCCTTGGGAGAAAAATCTTTGTCCAGACAGCAAATTACTGAAGACTACAAATAATGGCAAAGGAATCAAAGAACAGTTAGAACAGCTATGATGCCAAGAGAAGTGCTGATACTCTGTAGCTGTTTGGGGCATATCTAGATAAACCTCAATAGGTGGGGATCACACTGGCAGGATCCCCCGAAGCCTTACTGACTGGAGATAACACATTGGTTCTAGCTGACATCCTTAGGACACCAGCAAATCAGCATATCTTGCTCATGGTGACATAGACAGCATAATATAGACAGATTTCTGGATAAAGCTGCCAGAAGGAAATCGATGAGCAGTGACAAAAGCAGATGTCACAGAGCTCAGGTTAACTCAGCTACCCAGAGGAGTCTACAATTTAACATTACATTTTGTCTTAGGTTACTGACTTAATAACCCGATTTTTCTGGATTCCCCTGGCAGCCTGTTTTCCCCAGTCATAGCAGACCACAGGGAAAAGAAATGAAGGGGATACTGAGAATAGACCTGCAGCACCAAGAAGACATGGCTGACTGCAAGGAAATGTGCCTCACGGAGCAGAGCCCAACTATCTGCAGCAGTGCGGGGCCAATCCAAAGAACCCCAGGTTCACTTAGAGCCCGAGAGCCTCACTGCATCCTAATAACAATAACCAATGCCCACCCTGATGACCAAGACCGCAAGAAAGGCCAAAGTCGGCCAGGCACGGTGGCTCATGCCTGTAATCCCAGCACTTTAGGAGGCTGAGGCAGGTGGACTGCTCGAGCCCAAGAGGCAGAGGTTGCAGTGAGACGAGATCCCACCATTGCACTCTAACCTTGGTGACAGAGTGAGATTCTGTCTCAAAACAAAACAAAACACCAAAGCCTTTACCAAGGCATGAAAATGTACACCTCAATTTGGAAAAATCTATATCAAAGTTTAAAAACAAAAAAGAGTAATTTTAACATTTCAAGGGCTAAATTCAGTACATAAATTCATTCAAAGGAGCTTCACACTCTGCAATATTGAAAAAATGAAATGGCCTGATAGCTTAATATCAGCTTTAAGAAGATTAGAGCCAGCCGGGCGAGGTGGCTCACACCTGTAATCCCAGCACTTTGGGAGGCCGAAGCGGGCAGACCATGAGGTCAAGAGATTGAGACCAGCCTGGCCAACATGGAGAAACTCCATCTCTACTAAAAATACAAAAATTAGCTGGGCGTGGTGGCGGGCGCCTGTAGTCCCAGCTACTCAGGAGGCCAAGGCAGGAGAATCGCTTGAACCTGGGAGGTGGAGGTTGCAGTGAGCCAAGATCACACTACTGCACTCCAGCCTGGCGACAGAGCGAGACTGTGTCTCAAAAAAAAAAAAGAAAGAAGATTGCAGCCACGCCTGGCTTGTTGACTGCTATATTCCCAGTGCCCAGCAGTACCTGGAACATAGCATGTGGTCAAAAAGTCTGCTGACAGAATGAACATATTGATATTCTCATTAGGAGGTATTTCTTATTTTTTCCTTTTTTTTTTTTTTTTTGAGATAGGGTCTCACTCTGTCACCCAGGCTGGAGTGCAGTGGCACAATCACGGCTCACTGCATCCACAACTTACCAGGCTCAAGTGATCCTCCCACCTCAGCCTCCTGAGTAGCTAGGACTACAGGTATGCACCACTACACCCAGCTAACTTTCGTATATTTTGTAGAGACGTGGTTTGTCATGTTCCCCAGGCTGGTCTTGTCAAACTCTTGGGCTCCTGTGATCCGCCTGCCTTGGCCTCCCAATGTGCTGGGATAACAGACATGAGACACTGCACTCAGCCGTTTAGGAGATATTTCTACGCCAAATTAATTTAGCATGATTTGAGCTGGCAGGCTCAACAGTGATTTCACGTTTTTTTTTTTTTTTTTGAGACAGAGTCTCGCTCTGTCGCCAGGCTGGAGTGCAGTGGCGCGCTCTCGGCTCACTGCAACCTTCACCTCCTGGGTTCAAGCAATTCTCCCTGCACCAGCCTCCAGAGTAGCTGGTATTACAGACGCCTGCCAACATGCCTGGCTATTTTTTTTTTATTTTTAGTAGAGATGGGGTTTCACCATGTTGGCCAGGCTGGTCTTGAACTCCTGACCCCAGGTGATCTGGCCACCTCGGCCTCCCAAAGTGCTGGGATTACAGGCATGAGCCACCACGCCCGGCCTTCAACAATGATTTCTATTCCTTCCTATAACTGAGGAATGTTTTTAAGACTTAAAATGGCAGGCACTTCTAACGCAGGCCGGCAGTTAAATAAATCATTACGCTAAAAATAGAAGTGCCAACATAAGTACAACTTCCTAATTTGTTGACTGATGATATAATTTACAGCCACTTTATAACAAATTGTGAACAAACATTTCTCTAGAGTGAGTTACATATATTAATGATTTTCTATGTTTAAGTTCCTTATATGTTATAAAAAGTGTTTACTTCAAAACAAACCATGAAGGAGGATCAGGAAGCAAACAGTGAGCAATGGGGACAGGAAATGACTGGGTGAGCAACATAGAGACCCACAAGAGGCAGGTGGAAATAACTTCACCAGGCAGGACTGGTGTATTGGCAGGACTCCATGTATTGCTCACCAGGAGGCCACAGATCTTACTCAGTAGGTGAAGACAAAAACTGAGGAGCCATGTCTCCAGAGCAATTCTACCTTACGCTACAGACCAAGCAGCTGAGCTTGGCATTCTCATATTATTTAAGAACGAAAGCCAGGATCACAGACTGGAGCAATGACTATTAGAACAAATAGTGGAAACGGTCTCACACTGGTTATTTTTGTGAAGAACAACGGCCTCCGTGCTTGACCTGGCACCAGCAAGAAAAGCAGGAGAGCTGAAGGATAGGGAGGCGCTGGGAAGTCTGACACCATCTGCAGCAGATCAACCCAGCAAGCAAAGAGGGCCAAGAAATGGGATCACTGGTGACTTGCCAGGAAAAAGAAAGAGCTGCATGAGAGGACTCTGAACCACCTTAGAGTCATATTGACAAAGGGCTCATGAGGTGATGAGCACTGGAACTGCCATTATAAAGCCAGGGAAACATTTGGACCTTTGCAGACAAATGCGGCTTTTACCAGGTACCTCAATCTTTCTCCCCCATCCTTGTCCTCAACTCCGCTTCCTCAAGCAGTTCTCACAGCGAGAGTCCTGTCTTCCCTGCCTGTGGGTCTGGCCATCACCTCGGTTACCTGGATGAGCATCTTGCGCAGGAAAGGCATGACAAAGGCAGGGTTCATGCTACTGAGTCGGCCCACAGTGCAGATGGCCAGCTCCCGGATCTCAAACACCTGGTCATTCAGAGCCACAAACAAGGCCTGCAAGTTCTCCGCCTGGGCCAGGTGTGCATCAAAGCGCTCGTCCAGGGACGCCAAGACACAGTAGCGAATGTCAGGGTCTGCAAGAGCAATGGAGCCTTTGAACATTTCCTCATGATCCCATCACTCCAGCCCTTCCCAGCTTCTACCTCCACTGCCATCAGCGTAGTGGGAAGATTCCAGATGCTTTTTCTCATCTAACCTCTGTCATTCTTTTCTCTACTCACAAGAGTAAAAGACAAAAGAATTAAAGGTAGATTATCTTACACCAAAGGCTACAGTAGCCATGCCTAACACGCCTTGGCAGAGAAATAGCTGAATATCAGCTTTTTGAGCCGAAGAACTCTAGAGAGGCCATGTAATGAAACTGGCTACTCCCAATTGTCCTAAGCTCCTTAACTCCCCTAGATTCCTTCTGTCTGGCAAGCCTTACCAGGATCTGTTATCCCAACTACGAGCAGTTTGCTAAGCACATCTGCCACCACTTGCACTGCGGTCTGGCTAACCACATGAGCATGGCCACTGATGAGGTGGATGGAGGGTGTGAGCAGGCGGGAGCAGGTGCGGGCAGCCTCCATGCGGATCTCCTTGTGCTCACTGTTCAGGAAATGATCCGCACAGTGGCGAACAAATTGGGTCAGAGAGTGGCCTGGATAGAAAGGCAGAGAGAAAACAGAATAAACACTGCTGCTGTAGACAGGTAGGTCTGCAGCTTGCTAGCTGAATTTTCCATTTTGAGGCTACTAATTCTACTTTCAACTAGATATTGATCAATACGATACTGACCCGGAACTCTTCTTTTTTTTTTTTTTGAGACGGAGTCTTGCTCTGTCGCCCAGGCTGGAGTGCAGTGGCGCAATCTCCACTCACTGCAGGCTCCGCCTCCCGGGTTCACACCATTCTCCTGCCTCAGCCTCCTGAGTAGCTGGGACTACAGGTGCCTACCACCACGCCTGGCTAATTTTTTTTTTTTTTTTTGGTATTTTTATTAGAGACAGCGTTTCACCATGTTAGCTAGGATGGTCTCGATCTCCTGACCTTGTGATCCGCCCGCCTCGGCCTCCCAAAGTGCTGGGATTATAGGCGTAAGCCACCGCGCCAGGCCTGACCCAGA
This sequence comes from Homo sapiens, assembly GCF_000001405.40. Classification (NCBI taxonomy): domain Eukaryota; kingdom Metazoa; phylum Chordata; class Mammalia; order Primates; family Hominidae; genus Homo; species Homo sapiens. The sequence continues at coordinate 11,239,083 of NC_000001.11, forward strand.
ACTTTTAAAGGGTAACAAGGGGGATTTCAATCAGCAGAAAGGTAAAAGGGGGTGGTGAAGGAGCAAAGAGACAGATAAAAGGTATCCCCCAATCCTAGCCTTTTTATATTCCCTTTAAATAATAAATTATTTTGTTTTATTCCAACTCAACCCCTTACATTCTCAGAGGATAATACAATTCTTGATCAAATTTACCTTGCCTCTTTTAGTTCCCGGATTTAAATACCAGACAAAGAGTCTGTGTAGGCTGGGTTTAAACATAGCTACTTTCTATTCACTAGAAATAAATTATCATGGGTGTGAATCAATGTTAAGTGGAGGAACTGCAATAGAGAAACCATGGGTGGCTGTCTCCAGACAGCATGTTCAGGCTTTCTGTACTTGCTTGTTTCCCCACATTCTTGACCAATACTACCTATATGATCTTAAATTTCAAAAGTATCAACTTCTCCCCCTGAAATATATCTCTGTGGGGTATTATTATGGGTTTATTTGCAGTTTAGAACTACACAGTATGGTACTTTTAGAAATCATACCGCCAGCCGGGCACAGTGGCTCATGGATATAATCCCAGCACTTTGGGAGGTCGAGGCAGGCAGATCACTTGAGGTCAGGAGTTCCAGACCAACCTGGCCAACATGGTGAAACCCCATCTCTACCAAAAATACAAAAATTAGCCGGGTGTGGTGACACGCGCCTATAGTCCCAGCTACTCGGGAGGCTGTGGCAGGAGAATCGCTTGAACCCAGGAGGCAGAGGTTGCAGTGAGCTGAGATTGTGCCACTGCACATCAGCCTGGGCAACAGAGAGACTTTGTCTCAAAAAAAAAAAAAAAAGAAAGAAAAAAGAAATCATACTGCCATAGACATGGAAACACCCAAAAGCCCCTACTTATACATTTTAAAGCATTACATACCATCTCAGCTACAAAGAAGTGGAAAAGTGAGGATGTGAGGGGGATCTGTCTCTGAAGCATTATTTCCTTGGATCAACGTATACTTTCCCTCAAACCATTTGCCCCCAAACTCAGTATGGGACAAAGAAACAAAAGTAGGAATTACCAATACGTGGAAAGAGTCTAGGAAGGATGAGCTGCTACAGAATCAGCTACCCTGTCTTTAGCACCCCAGCAAGATCCAGGAATCCTAGATACCTTCATTCCTTTCCCAAAGTTTCCAGCATCTCTCACTATCTTGGCAAGAGCCGTTGTAATTTCTTACCTTCAAATTCAAAGCTGCCAAGCGTTCGGAGGGCAAGAGTGATGCTGCCCACATCGCTGGCCTCAGGGAGGGTCGTGAGGCCAGGAGAGGCCAGCTGATGGGCCAGGCCCTTGGGCATGCCTGGGTGGCGAAGGGGTTTGTGCATAAGGACCAGGGACAGCATTTTCAGTAGCCCATCTTGAATGTCCTTCTTTAGCTGTGGAATCTGACGGCTCAGGTCGTAGAGCACTGCAGTGAGGGCAGGGCTGAGGGGAAGGAAACAAGTCACATAAGGGCTGGGCACATGACACTCAGTCTGTTCTTGGGAAGAAACAGCTTTCTCTCCCAGCAAGGGGATCAGGCCTCTGTTCTTCAGAGTAGAAAGGATATTATAAAATAAGAATAAAAGTGTAAACTCTCTTGGCTTAGTCTCAGGTCTCCAAACAATCTATGAGTTTCTGGTTCTTGCCACAGAAGACTTGCTCACTATAATTCAGCCACTACAGAAGACCAAGTCTCAACAAACACTCTGGGAAGCAGATTAAGAACACTGTCCTTATTTTACAGATGAAGAGAACTTAGTTTAGGAAGCTTAAGCAACTTGCTCAATAATAATATACACAATATTTGCAAATATTTATTGAGTACTTCCTATATGCCAGGCATGGTGCTAAGAGTGACTATACCATGAACCCACAGCAACCCTAGGCAATAAGAATTACTATTGCACCCACTTTTCAGATTAAAAAAAAAAAATGAGGCCAGGCGCGGTGGCTCACACCTGTAATCTCAGCACTTTGGGAGCCGAGGTGGGCGGATCACAAGGTCAGGAGATCGAGACCATCCTGGCTAACACACTGAAACCCCAACTCTACTAAAAATACAAAGAATTAGCCAGGCGTGGTGGCAGGCGCCTGTAGTCCCAGCTACTCAGGAGGCTGAGGCAGGAGAATGGCGTGAACCCGGGAGGCGGAGCTTGCAGTGAGCCAAGACTGGGCCACTGCACTCCAGCCTGGGCGACAGAGCGAGACCCCTTCTCAAAAAAAAAAAAAAAAAAAAATGAGGCTCGGGGAAATTAAATAACTTAGTCAAGATCATATAGAAAGCTAGTGATGAAACTAGGATTCAGTACTAGCCTGTGTGTTTAGTCTAAGCTATCCTGTCCATCCAGTTGAATGTGCAAACAACCATGCCTCATTCTTTTAACAGTCCCAACACTGGGGGCCAAGCCTCACGCTGATACAGGGCAAGCTCAGGTTTCTGACACCCACCTTAGTCCCACTGCCAGCATGGGCTCCAGCAGCTCCTTGATATCCTGCTGGATGCCTGGCCCCATTGCTCGAGCCAGCATGCTGATGCAAGTGAAGACTGTGGCATCCACCTGCATTGCCTTCTGCCTCCTGTAGAGAAATGGAGAGTGGCTAGTTGAGACATAATGACATTCTTTAATGTCCCACCTCAAAATCACCTTGGGGCAAGGAGAGCAGGTTACTCAGGCAGGGCTACCACAGATGGGTATGCAAATTGTCCAGAGCACAGTTCAAAGGGACCCATCACATCACAATTACTGTAGATTTGTACATTTCTACAACAATCCAGCAGATGGCAGTAAAGTGTCTTAAGGAAGGGGCCTTTTTTCTGAATTCACACAGCTATACCATATGGGTTATTGTGGTGCTCACCAAGATAATTATGTAGGAAGAGAGCTGAACAATGTGTTCATCAGGGACAAGAAGGCAGTACACAGCCATCATATGGAAAGAAATTCTTCTATGATGAGAATGCTGGGCTTTAGAATGGGGCCAGGCGCAGCGACTCACGCCTGTAATCCCAGCACTCTGGGAGGCGGAGGTGGGTGGATCACCTGAGGTCAGGAGTTCGAGACCAGCCTGGCCAACATGGTGAAACCCCGCCTCTACTAAAAATACAAAAATTAGCTGGGCGTGCTGGCACACGCCTGTAGTCCCAGCTACTTGGGAGGCTAAGGTGGGTGGATCACTTGAGGCCAGGAGTTCGAGACCAGCCCGGCCAAAATGGTGAAAACCTGTGTCTACAAAAAAATACAATTATTAGCTTGGCATAGTGGCACATGCCTGTAATCCCAGCTACTCAGGAGGCTGAGGCAGGAGAATCGCTTGAACCTGAGAGGAGGAGGTTGCAGTGACCCAAGACCGTGCCACTGCACTCCGGCCTGGGCAACCAAAGTAAGACTCCATCTCAAAAAAAAAAAAAAAAAAAAAAAAAGAATGAGTGGGGCGTATTAATTCACCACAGCAATCTTCGCTAATAAACAGGGAAGTATAAAGACAACCTGAGACAAAGGATGATGAACACTGACCCCCTCGCCTTAGCGAAGACACCCCAGTCTCTCCATCTGGCAGGATGCTGAGGGGTTTTCTCATATTTTATTCGCCAGGAGGTTTAAAGAGGTGGAATAACTTATTCAACTTCAGCGATGAGGAAAAAGATGACCCTTAGGTCCCTTCAGTTCCAGTCAAGGATTCCTCTCTTTAGGTCTTATATCAAAATAAGACTTTTAAAAGCCAGAGAAAAAAGCAAAACTAGCAGATTCCCAGTAAATAATAACACTGAAAATAGCATTGGCATCTCACATGTTCTCAGGGTATTCAACCTCCCCAAATATTTCATATATGTTATTTCATTTGGAAAAGCTTAGAATTCAACTAAGGAAGGGCTGTTCTTCATATGATTTGCTATACCCTGGAGTTTAATGATGCAAAAAATGGGCGTAAGCTCCGTGGATCTGAAATAGAGCGTCCTTCCTCTCCAACCAAATGGAGTGGAAGGTGAAATCATAACAGAGGTGCTTACTTATGGGCGAAGTCCTTTGGGGGCAGGGCCGCTCGGATGATGTCCAGCACGCGAGGCAAATAGACCTTAAACTCAGACCTCACAGCCACAGAAAGTAGCCCCAGGGCTTGGAAGGCCGCTGTACGTTCCTTCTCCTTCTTGACACAGCTTAGGACATGGTTCATGGTATCTTGGAGATACTGGGTATCTGAGCACAGAAAAGACAAAGTAGATAGCTCCAGGTCAGGGTTAGGGTCTACATATCAACAGTCAAAGGTCCTATAAAGCAATTCAGTTTAAGAATAAATTAAGAAAGTGGCCAGGCACAGTGGCTCACACCTGTAATCCCAACACTTTGGGAGGCCAAGGAGAGAGGAGTGTTTGAGGCCAGGAGTTCGAAACAGCCTGGGCAACACAGTGAGACCCTGTCTCTACAAAAATAAAAATTAGCCAGGTGTGGTGGTGCATGCCTGTAATCCCAGCTACTCGGGAGGCTGAGGCAGGAGGATCACTTGAGCCCAGATGGTTGAGGCTGCAGAAAGGTGTGATCGTGTGCAGCACTGCACTCAAGCCTGAGTGACAAAGAGCCTGTCTCAAAAAAAAAAAAAAACCCAAAAAACGTAAAAGGTTGCCAAAACAATATCACAGAATTGTCTCCATTACTGTTACATTTTCACACAAGAATTACATGCTCTTGCTGAAGAAATATATGTCAAACCTTGTTTAAAAACAGAAGATCATCTAAACAATTTTACATTATAATGAAATTTGAAGTACAGTCATGGGCCGGGTGCAGTGTCTCACACATGTAATCCCAGCACTTTGGGAGGCTGAGGAACATCACTTGAGTCCAGGAGTTTGAGGCCGCACTGAGCCAAGAGCCATGCACTCCAGCCTGGGCAACAGAATAAGACCCTGTCTCAGATGCAGTGGCTCATGCCTGTAATCCCAGCACTTTGGGACACCAAGGCAGGAGGATCACCTGAGGTCAGGAGTTTGAAACCAGCCTAACCAACATAAAGAAACCCCATCTCTACTAAAAATACAAAATTAGCCGGACATAAGGGTGCATGCCTGTAATCCTAGCTACTCAGGAGACTGAGGCAGGAGAATCGCTTGAACCCGGGAGGCGGAGGTTGCGGTGAGCCGAGATCACGCCATTCCACTCCAGCCTGGGCAACAAGAGCAAAACTACATCTCATTTAAAAAAAAAAAAAAAAAAAAGACCCCATCTCAAACTAATAAAAAACCAGTACAGGGTCGGGCGCGGTGGCTCACGCCTGTAATCCCAACACTTTGGGAGGCCAAGGCGGGTGGACTGCCTGAGCTCAGGAGTTTGAGACCAGCCTGCACAACATGATGAAACCCCGTCTCTACTGAAATACAAAAAATTAGCCAGGCATGGTAGTGCGCCTGTAATCCCAGCTACTCGGAAGGCTGACGCAGGAGAATCACTTGAACCCGGGAGGCAGAGGTTGCAGTGAGCCAAGATCGTGCCACTGCACTCCAGCCTGGGCAACAGAGCAAGACTCTGTCTCAGAAAAACAAACAAACAAACAAAAAAACAGTACAGTCGTGTGCCACTTAACAACGTTTGGGTTAACAATGGACCATGTATATGATGGTGGTCCCATAAGATTATAATACAGTATATTTTTACATATCTTTTCTATGTCTATGTTTAGATACACAAACATTTACCACTGTTTTACAGTTGCCTAGAATATTCATTACAGTAACATGCTGTACAAGTTGTAGCCCAGGAGCAATAGGCTACACCACAGAGCTAGGTGTAGAGTAGGCTATACCATCTGGGTTTATGTAAATACATTCTATGATGTTCACACAAGGACAAATTCTCCTAAGACGCATTTCTCAGAATGTATCCCCATCGTTAAGCAATATATGACTGTAATACTGAGCACTGTTTGCAATAAACAGGCCATTCCATTCAGCATAGGCCTGGAAATCATTTTGCTATTACCTAGAGATTTTTATGACAGTTATATTTAATAGAAGAAGATTTAGTCTATAATTTGGAAAGCCACATGTATATTTTCATTAGGTTCACATAAGCCAGTGTGCATGGGTAGGCGATTCTCATACAATCCAAGCTAAAGTGTTATTTCTCCTCTGAAGGCTGGAATTTCCTGATTCTTGCTTCTTGTCTATTTATTTCTTCTCTTCCATTGATGTTGGTCCCAAGTCCAGGCACCAGTAGTACACATAAAATAGGAGAGAAGGGAAAACCACACATCCCTTAGGAAGTTAGGGATACTGAAAGCTACCAGAACCACATTTAGACAATGAATTAGACTTCTAAAATAGCACATGCTATGACTGCATTTACTCTGAGAAATGTTTTCTCCCATGGCTCTTGTGGTCAAATGACAATGAGGCATGCTGGGGCTTGAAGACAGGTGACCAAGGAGATACAACCCTAAAATTAGAGTGGGTCAACAAGAAAAACTAAGGGGATAGCATTTCGGCAGGAAACGGGGTAAAATCAAGAGCATAATTTCCTGGCAAGGCGCCACAGCTCATGTCTGTAATCCCAAGCACTTTGGGAGGCCAAGGCAGGAGAATTGCTTGAGCCCAGGAGTTCAAGACCAGCCTGGGCAACACAGTGAGATCCCAAATCATCTCTACAAAAAATAAATTTAAAAAATTAGCCAGGAGTGGAGACTCATGCCTGTGGTCCTACCTACTTGGGAGGCTGAGGTGAGAGGATCGCTTGAGCTCAGTAGGTCATGGCTGCAGCGAGCTGAGATCGCATTACTGCACTTCAGCCTGGGTGACACAGCAAGACCCTGTCTCAAAAAAAACCCCAAGAGAGTATAATTTTCTTTCCTGGATTTAGCATCCTGAGATTAGAAATCTGACTGTAGAGATTCTAGTTCAGTCTTGGAGTATTTTTTTATATTTCTAAAGCTTATAACATTGAGAAGTTTAAGCAATAACTTCCAAACTGCAAGCTTTAAACAAATAGTACTTATGCAATGAAGCAAATACTTATACGGTGTGCCCAGGCTGAATGTCACTGGCATATTTTAGCATATTTAATAAAACAACCTTGACTAACCTTAAAAAAGAGAGCAACAACAATAACAAACACCCACATCAAAAGAAGAAATCTAGGGCCCTCTGAGCCTTTGTATCCTGCTGCTAGGCAGCCTTCTGAACTTACAAGGGTAACTTACAAGGGTAATGTGCCAGACTTTGATCAAATTTGGCCTAGTTATTAGTTCCTTTTGAACCACAGACTTTCAATCCAAGATCATTTAAAGCTCTACTGAACAGCAGCCTGTCTGGTCATTAAAAAAGAGAAAAGCTGCTGGGTGCCAGGCCAGAACAATAGAAACTAACAAAATACGGGTGATTTTCCTTCTGTTATTTCTCTCTGGTTCAGTGGTTTTATGTGGCGAATTGTCATGTCCTCACCCAACACGTTCTACTTCTTTCGAACAGCGTGTTTAACACCTGACCAGCTACATTTCTCCTGTGGTTTGTCTGGCTGGGTGGCGTGAAGTGAGTCTGTGTGCTAGGGAATAGGGTCTGCTGAGGGCCAGGCTGGCCTTTTGCTTATGTTCCTGGCTCTCAATGGGTCCTGAATGCTTCACTAAGCACAGGCAATGAGCACCACGGTAAAGTGGGAAGAGATGTTCAAGACTGGGTGCCTACACTCAGCAAGTAGAGAGGTAAGACAAGGACATTAAGTATGAACAGGCAACTAGAGCATTATAAATTTTACCTCTACCCTATTTCCAAAACATATTTGAAGTAGCTTGAGGAGGCTGTAATAATATATAATGGTTTCCACTTATTAGGGCTCTGTGCCAGGCACTATAGTAGATGCTGAGACATTAATGCTGCTCATCTTGGGAGGCAGAGATTGTTATTCTGATTTTACAAGTCAGGAAGCTGAGGCCCAGGTAGGTCAAATAATCTGTCCAAAACCTCATGGTTAAGGGCGGAGGTGGGGTTCATCTCAGGTCTGATGCCAAACCTTTCCACAGCTGAGGGCTATGATGGAAGAAGGCAAGGACATTTACAGCTGGAGCAATCTAGGAAGGCTTCGTTGAGAAGTTGGACTCTGAGTTGGGGCAGCTTCAGGAGCCAAGGATTGATGCTGCCTGCAAGTGGTGAGGCAGCTTGGTGACCACCTCAGGGACAGAAGCAGGACGATCCCCAAACCCTCCCTGACTCACAAAGCTTTGACGTAGATGCTGCACAGTAGCTACATCAAAACTGCCCTTCCTTTGGTCTCTTTTAAGTCTACTTGTGAACTTGTTGGCATCCATACATGAAAATTTGCTTGGCCATAGAATTGCCTCTCTGTTCTGATTGTTCCTGTGTCTGCTGCCTCTGACATTAGAAAACCTGAACTAAATAGCATTGAAATTGGACATGAGACAAAGAAATCAGAGATTTGTTGGCGTTGCTTCAAAGGAAAAGATATTTGGCTTTTCTGGAATCACCTGTTCCCTGTTTACCCTGAGATGGGTAATGATGTCTTCCATGGACATCCTCACCTGTGAAGGCAGAAGGTCGGAATGCAGCCAAGCGGGGCAACAAATTAAGGATTGTCATTTGGATCAGCGAGTTCTTGCTATTCCTGCATTTCAGCACCCACTGGCACACCTGAGAGAGGAAGGATAAAGGGTTGGCAGGGGAAAAGTGAGGTGTGGAGCTTAGGAAAAGAGGGAAAGGGCCTCTCACCACTTACCTGATCAAATTTCTCCTCCATCAAGTCTCTGCAACACCGGCTCTCCACCAGGGTGGACTTAGCTGGACTGGGGGAGGTCCCAAATCCCATGAGGCCTTGGTGAGAGCTGTACCCCAGCAGCCCCACCAAGGCATTTGACTGCTGGGGCTGTACAGCCTGGAAACTGGTGAAGGGGGTAATGTGACGAGGTTTTGTTCCGAAGCCCATGAGATCTTTGCAGTACTTGTCGTGTACCAGCTGCTGCTGTGTGATTTCTTCCATTTCTTCTCTCAGACGCTATATATATGAGGAGGAAAAAAATCATCTTTACTTATGACTGGCATTCAAACTGGGCACTGTGGATTCTACAGACAATTACATTTGCCTAATCCCGAAACGCAACTACTTCCAAAGTGAAGGGTGGCCACTCTTCATGTTTAGGGTTACAATTTCCCCAGAACCTTGCAAGGGACCTGATTTTGTTCTAAGTTAGGCAGAAGAGCACCACCTATTGAACAATAAAGCAGCAGCAGAGGGCTGCCTTGCCAAGGGTTCTCACCTCCCAGGACTCCTCACTTGGTTTGGAAGGGCTGACTTGCATACTGCTGTGACTACTGACCTAGGCCACTGCAATGAGGCTTGCAAAGGTGATGGGAGCTCCCCTGCCAGCATCCTGTTAAGGACTGTCTGATCTCTTTCTTCTCCCTAGAAACCCAGGTAAAAACTTATGCAGGCCAGGCGTGGTGGCTCATGCCTGTAATTCCGGTACTTTGGGAGGCCAAGGTGGGCAGATCACCTGAGGTCAGGAGTTCAAGCCCAGCCTGGCCAACATGGTGAAACCCCGTCCCTATTAAAAATACAAAAAATTAGCTGGGCGTGGTGGTGGGCACCTGTAGTCCTGGCTACTTGGGGGCTGAGGCAGGAGAATCACTTGAACCCAGCAGGCAGAGGTTGCAGTGAGCCAAGATTGCACCACTGCACTCTAGCCTGGGCGACAAGAGGGAAATCTGTCTCAAAAAAACAAAAAACAAAAACTTAACCAAATAATTTTCTCAGAATCCTAGGATTCCACAGGTAGTATGGAATAAGCTGACTGAGAACTCATGTCTATTACCTTTACAATGGGCTGCTTAATCACTCATCCTGAGTCAGGCGCAAGGGCTCACGCCTGTAATCCCAGCACTTTGGGAGGCCTAGGTGGGCAGATCATGAGGTCAGGAGTTCGAGACCAGTCTGACCAACATGGTGAAAACCCGTTTCTACTAAAAATACAAAAATTAGCTGGGTGTGGTGGCACATGCCTGTACTCCCAGCTACTCGGGAGGCTGAGGCAGGAGAATTGCTTGAACCCAGGAGGCGGAGGTTGCAGTGAGCCGAGATCACACCAACTGTACTCCAGCCTGGGCAGCAGAGCAAGCCTTGGTTTTGGGGGCCAGGGGAGGGGGGTTGGGGACTACTCATCCTCCAAGACTCCAAATTGAGAAGGAGATACAAGTTTTCCAAACTTCTAAACTTTTCTTGACACACATATTTTCACTTTTCAGAAAATCTTGTCCTCTCGTCAAAGTCACCAGTGAGTCTTTTTTTTTTTGAAACTAAAACACTCCATCTTTATTTATTTATTTATTTATTTATTTTTTATTGATCATTCTTGGGTGTTTCTCGCAGAGGGGGATTTGGCAGGGTCATGGGACAATAGTGGAGGGAAGGTCAGCAGATAAACAAGTGAACAAAGGTCTCTGGTTTTCCTAGGCAGAGGACCCTGCGGCCTTCCGCAGTGTTTGTGTCCCTGGGTACTTGAGATTAGGGAGTGGTGATGACTCTTAATGAGCATGCTGCCTTCAAGCATCTGTTTAACAAAGCACATCTTGCACCGCCCTTAATCCATTTAACCCTGAGTGGACACAGCACATGTTTCAGAGAGCACAGGGTTGGGGGTAAGGTCACAGATCAACAGGATCCCAAGGCAGAAGAATTTTTCTTAGTACAGAACAAAATGAAAAGTCTCCCATGTCTACCTCTTTCTACACAGACACGGCAACCATCCGATTTCTCAATCTTTTCCCCACCTTTGCCCCCTTTCTATTCCACAAAACCGCCACTGTCATCATGGCCCGTTCTCAATGAGCCACTGGGCACACCTCCCAGACGGGGTGGTGGCCGGGCAGAGGGGCTCCTCACTTCCCAGCAGGGGCGGCCGGGCAGAGGCGCCCCTCACCTCCCGGACGGGGTGGCTGGCCGGGCGGGGGGCTGACCCCCACACCTCCCTCCCGGACGGGGCGGCTGGCCGGGCAGAGGGGCTCCTCACTTCCCAGTAGGGGCGGCCGGGCAGAGGCGCCCCTCACCTCCCGGACAGGGCGGCTGGCCGGGCGGGGGGCTGACCCCCCGACCTCCCTCCCGGACGGGGCGGCTGGCCGGGCGGGGGGCTGACCCCCCACCTCCCTCCCGGACGGGGCGGCTGGCCGGGCAGGGGGCTGACCCCCCCACCTCCCTCCCAGATGGGGCGGCTGGCCGGGCAGAGGGGCTCCTCACTTCCCAGTAGGGGCGGCCGGGCAGAGGCGCCCCTCAACCAGTGAGTCTTAAGCTGCTAAATCCAATGGTCAATTCTTAGTCCTCATCTTATTTGACTTATCTGCAGCATTTCATCCAACTGATACTTCCACCTCCTTGACGCCCTTTCTTCACCTGGCTTCTCAGACTCTAAACTCTCCTGGCTCTCCTCCTCCCTCCCTGGCTGTTCCTTCCCCATCTGCCTTGGTCCTCTTCATCTCCTGACCTCAGGTTTGCAGACTCCATCTCTTCTCCAACTGTACTAGTTCCCTTGTGCTTCTCACCCAGTCTCATGATGAAATAACATCTATACGCTGACAATGCCCAAATCCATCCCCCTTGCCCAGCTCTCTCCCCAGAACTATTCAGTATCCTCACTCAGGTGCCCAACAGGTCTCTAAGTTAACAGGTTCAAAACCAAATTCCCAGTCTTCTCCCGCAAGCCTGCTGCTCCCATTTCAGTCTTCCCACTGCAGTGAATGGCAACTTCATCCTCCTAATACTCAGGCCAAACACCTTGACACTTCTTTCTCTCCATCTACCTCCAAACCATCAGCAAATCCCAAATTCAGAATCCAGTTGCTTCTTGCAACTCCATAGCTCCCACTGTGGTCTGAGCCACAAATATCCCCCACTAAGACCATGGCAATTCCCTCCTAACTGGATTCCTGGCTTTAGTCCTTGACCCTCTAACAATCCATTCTCAACACAATGGCAAGAGTGATCCTTTTGAAATATGAGTTAAATGTCACTCCACTGCTCAAAGCCCACTTATAGCTTCCCGCTTCCCACACAAAGGCCCTATGTGATATGCCCCTCCTTCCCTTAGGTGTTCCTCTGACCCCATATCCCCACACACTTCTCCTGCTCACTCTGCTCAGCCATGGTAGGGGAGCTGCTACTGCAGTATTTGCTGCTCCTCTAATACACCAGCACGCTCCTGCCTCAGGGACCACTGCCTAGAATGCTCTTCCCCAGATACCTGTAGGGCTTTTTTCTAACCTCCTTCATGGCTGTGCTCAAATAGCACCGTGTTTTAAAATGTAATCCTTAATCCAGGTGAGCATACTCTATTCCCCTTCCTTGCCCTACTTTTCTCCATAGCTCTTATAACCATATGATATATAATAGGTTTTTACTTGTATATTATCTATCTTCCCTTATAAGAATGGAATCTATTTTGTTCACTGCTGGATTATTCTAGCTCTTAGGACACAGTGTAGCTGGCATATACTAGGTGCTCAATTAATATGTGTTGAATGAATGAACAAATTATGAAATTTTAATACCTTATATTTAGATAGTTTCTTTTTTTTTTTTTTTTTTTAGTGACAAGGTCTCATTATGTTGCCCAGGCTGGTCTCAAACTCCTGAGCTCAAACTCCCACCTCGGTCTCCCAGAATGCTTGGATTGGATTACAGGCATGAGCCACCATGCCCAGCCTTGGATAGTTTCTTATAATTTACAAACCACCTGCACAAGAACTATTTCAATGAAATCTGACAACCACTCTATGAGCTAGGTGATACTGTCCTGTTTTAATGGGAGGAAACAAAGATCTCAGAGGTGCCTAGATTACAGTGGAAAACATTATGTTAAACTCAGGAGGTAAAATCTGAAGGTTACCATTTATAGAATGCCCACTATGTATTAGGTGCTGTGCTGGACACTTCACACACATAGTCATCCCCTTAGTATCCATGGGGGTTGGTTCCATGACCCACTGCGATACCAAAATCTGCAGATGCTCAAGTCCCTCCGATAAAGTAGCATAGTATTTGCATATAACCTATGTATAGCTTCCCACATACTTTAAATCATCTCTATGTTAGTTATAACACCTTATACAAAGTAAATGCTATGTAAATATTTGTTGCACTGTATTTTTAAAAATTTGTATTATCTTTAAATTGTTTGTTTTTTCCTTGATTTTTTTTTTCTTTTTAAAAAGTTAAAAAAATTTTTTTGTAGAGACACGGTCTCACCGTCTTTTGCCCAGGCTGGTCACGAACTCCTGGGATCAAGTGATCTTCCCACTTCAGCCTCCCAAAGTGCTGAAATTGCAGGTGTGGGCCACTGCACCCAGCCCTGGGTATTTGTGAACCATGACTAGTTGAATCCAGATGTAGAACTCATGGATATAGAGAGCCAACATCATATAGAAACCGCACAAGAGCCCAATGAGGTAGGTAAGAGCCCCTGTCCAAAGGGAGAAAAATGAGGCTAAACAGGTAACTTGCCTGAGTCGCACAGTCATCAGAGCGGTGGGGATCTGAAGCCAGACTCCTCCTGCTTCTGCACACTGCTGCATGCGCTGCTCCCACATCTGGGCATGGCTATTATCTAACAAGCACTGTGTCTATTATAAGCAGGAATCCCCGGGGTAAAATTTCACAGCTCATTTTCTACAGCCAGTCTCACAGATGGAGCTTTACCTCCCAAATATATCCTGAATCAACTACTTCTCAGTATCTGTGCCACCACTCCTAGTCAAAGCCACCACTGTCACTCACCCAGACTACCGTAATAGCTTCGTCTGGCAGCCGTGAGAATGCAACCTCCAACTACAAGGCGCATAACCAAGGGCCCCAGCTGCTGCTCTGAAACCCATCACTAAGTTTGTGCCAACGTCACCCATTGCTCCCAGCCAATGACAGAACACAGTAGGGATGCTAAGGCTATCCTGCTCTTGGGAGACACAGACCTCTCTGACAGCCAACTTTGGCTTGAGGACCCCGCGGTGGCCCTGCAGAGTAGGCTAGAACACTTCTATCCGAATTTTACCCTCTTGCTTACTCAGGGTCAGATGTGCATTGTGGTCCGATGCTTCTCCCAGCTTCCTCCCCATATTCTCTTGAAGGCTGTTTCCCTAATAAAATCCATGCACTTTTAAATCCACCTTCTCAAGCCAACACATCTCCTAATTGGTCTCCCTGCTTTCATTCCTGCCTTTCCCCACATTTTTTCCTATAAGCAGTCAGTGATTGTTAGAAACGCATGACATCACATTATTCGCCTGTGTGCATACTTCCAATGTTTACCCCTGTGAAAGCTCGTGTTTACTGTGAACCGTGGGCCTATTAATTTGGCCCCTCCTTCCCTCTCCCTTGCTCCCGGTACACCAGCCATACTTCCCTTTCTTCTGTTTCATCAATGTCTCACACTCTTCCACCTCAAAGCCTCAGCCTGGAACACAGTCCCCCGGCCTGCTGCAAGGTAGCTCCTTCGTGTCATGTGGACCCCCGTCAAATAACACCACCTCAGGGAGGGCCTTCCTTGACCCTCCACTCACCCCCTCCCCATCACTCTCTATTCTATTCTGGTTTGACTTTCTTCATAGAACTTGCTGCTATCTGAAATTATCTTATTTACTTATTTATTATGTTTCCTGCCACAAAATGTCAGCTCCATGAGGACATGGATCTCGCCTTGCCTCGCTCACAGAATGGTACACGGGGAGCCTGGACTCCCCTCTGCCGTGGCTTCTCACCTCTCCCTCCATGCTGCTGATTCGGACCAGCTCGTTAAGGATCAACAAGGCTCCATGGATCCGATCATCCCGATTCATGCCCTTCTCTTTGGCCAAGGTCTCATCAAATCCCTTCTCTGCTTCTTCAAATGTGTGCTATGTAGAGAGACAGGGTGCCTTCATTAGAGACAGAGTACAAACCCAGAAAGAATACAGGCCCATCCCATCTACACTGGGGGTTCTGAGGTGCTACCACGCCTGCTCAGTGCCTAGTGCCAGTCATCAACAAAACTAACTGATCAATCTCTTTTATTTAATTCAGCTTCAATTTTTTTTTTTTGAGATGGAGTCTTGCTCTATTGCCCAGGCTGGAGTGCAGTGGCGCAATCTCGGCTCTCCACAACCTCCACCTCCTGGGTTCAAGTGATTCTCCTGCCTCAGCCCCCTGAGTAGCTGAGATTACAGGCACACACTACCACGCCTGGCTAATTTTTGTATTTTTAGTAGAGACAGGGCTTCACCATGTTAACCAGGCTGGTCTCAAACTCCTGACCTCAAGTGATCCACCCATCTCAGCCTCCCAAAGTGCTGTGATTACAGGTGTAAGCCACCACGCCCAGCCCCAGCTTCAATTCTCATAATAAGCCTTTGAGGAAGATACCATCATCATCCCTATTTAACAGCTAAAAACACAGGCTCAAAGAATTTAAGTGACTTGTCCAAGATCACACAGCAAAGGCAAGACTGGAACCCGCATCTCCCAATCCCATGTTCAGAGCTCTTTTTCTAATATAAGACTCACTGATAAGTTCCCTCTGCAGCAGTAATCAGCACAGGCCTCATTATACTAGAGCAGAGAGAAATGGCACTTTCTAAATTAGTATCATTTGTATCTCACTGATTTTGAGACACCTATTTTTCCGTATTTTAACATCTCTGAAAAGAGATGTCTTTTTTTTTTTTTTGAGACAGAGTCTCACTCTGTTGTCAAGTCTGGAGTGCAGTGGCATGATCATGACTCACTGCAGCCTTGATCTCTTGGGCTCAAGCAATTCTCCCGCCTCAGCCTCCCAAATAGCTGGGACCACAGGCGTGTAACACCAGGCCCAGCTAATTTTTTTATTTTTTGTAGAGACGGGATCCCACATGCTGCCCAGGCTGGTCTCAAACTCCTGAGCTCAAGCAATCCTCCTGCCTTGGCCTCCCAAAATGTTGGGATTACAGGCGTGAGCATCCAGCTGAGATGTCTTATAATTAATTATTAATAAGAAGAAGGTACAAAGTTGGCCGGGCACAGTGGCTCATGCCTGTAATCCCAGCACTTTGGGAGGTCAAGGCAGGTGGATCATGAGGTCAAGAGATCAAGACCATCCTGGCCAATATGGTGAAACCCTGTCTCTACTAAAAACACAAAAATTGGCTGGGCGTGATGGCACATGCCTGTAGTCCCAGCTACTCGGGAGGCTGAGGCAGGAGAATCACTTGAACCCAGGAGGCAGAGGCTACAGTGAGACAAAATCACACCACTAAACTCCAGCTTGGTGACAGAACAAGACTCCATCTCCAAAAAAAAAAAAAAAAAAAAAAAAAAAGAAAGAGGTACCAAGTCACAGTTTAATTGGCATATTTGCATTCTTAGTCATACATAAAATAATGTATAGAATAATGGTATGGCTATCAATAGATGTTTGCTTTAATAAAATGCAATAAAGTAACTATTGATTCATACTGAGCATAAAAAATTCATTGGAGGCCAGGCGCGGTAGCTCATGTCTGTAATCCCAGCACTTTGAGAGGCCAAGGCAGGTGGATCACCTGAGGTCAGGAATTCGAGACCAGCCTGGCCAACATGGCAAAACCCTGTCTCTATTACAAAAATTAGCTGGGCGTGGTGGCACACGCCTGTAGTCCTAGCTATTCGGGAGGCTAAGGTGGGAGAAAATCGCTTGAACCCAAGAGGCGGAGGTTGCAGTGAGCCGAGATTGCGCCACTGCACTCCAGCCTGGGCGACAAAGCAAGACTCCATCACAAAAAAAAAAAAAAAAAAATTCATTTGAGAGCAAACCAAAACGTGATTCTTGCTCCATGGCAAGGGCTTGTGGCTGCCCTTTAGGCCAGGTGATTCTCTACGCAGATGTGCTTTGCTAGTGGTGGGAATGGAGCCATCTCCTTACCCTGTACCACTGAGGCTTCTGCATCTCCTTCGGCTCACGCTGGGTTGTGAGAATCAGACAGGCACGAAGGGCGGCTACAGCTCCCTCACGGATGGCCTGTTTGGGGTCCCACACGGCCACAAAAATGTTGTCAAAGAAGGGTTGCACTTGCTGGAAGAAGAAGGTAGGGACGCTGATGGCCAGCTCACGGAGAACCAGGACCTGGAGAAAAAAGCAAACCGAGAACTCTCATTGGTACCAGAGTTTTGTTCTCTCAGGAGTACAGTCTCTTGTCATCTTAGAGCCATACACACCAGGAACAGAGAAGGCTTGCTCACTCTTCTAGCTAGGAAATTCTGAGGACAGAGGAAGGAAAGCAAAATTGATTAAACATCTCAGTGCTCATTATCCTAGGTTGTTTACAAACACAGAATGCTTGTAATGTTTGAACATAAGTTCTGGAAGTGCAGATGTGTTTTATGTTTTCTTTACCACTATACTAACAGCCTAGAACTCTACCTGGAATACAGTAGGTATGTAGTAAATATTTACTGAATGGATAATCCTGTTTAATGTTTAATCCTGTTGTTATTTTTATTTGACAGAGGAAGAAACTGAAGGTCAGAAGCTGCCCCAGGTTACAGAGTTAGGTAGGAAGTTGCAAAGCCAAGACTTGAGCCAGGGTCCAAGTGTGTGTCCTTTTCCTGGTACCGTGCCCCCTCCTCACAGTACTGCCTCCTCCGAAGGGCAGCAGACTGGAAAGCACGCAGCTGATGCTTCTGATCCCCACCACACCATGCTAGATTCCCTCTTAAGGACGGACTCTACCCCATCTCACAGCCTGGAATCCTAGCTCTTCTAACCAGCTTTTTTAAGGAATGAGCCTCAGAAGGAAGCAAAAGACCCCCCCATGACACCATCGTTCCCCAAGCCTGGCTGTGCTCCTCCCTGTAGACACTCACAGCTGCATGTCTCCGGCCCTCATTGCGGTCAGCACCCAGCCATTCCAGGGCTCGCTTCACCTCAAATTCCACGTACTCAGCGGTAAAAGTGTCCCCTGCCATGGCAAGACGGCCAATGGCCTTGGATGCCATTTCCATGACAACTGGGTCATTGGAGGGGAGGAGGTTCCGAAGATAGTTGGCAAATCTGCCAATTCGGGTGGCATTCCCACCTTCCACTCCTATGAGGCTAGCTGCAAAAGAGAGGAAGGCAAAAGGTGATGATGGGGCGTATGCTGGCCAGGAAAGTACGCAGACTTCAACTAAAAGCTGGTGAGTGCCGGCCAGGCACGGTGGCTCAAGTCTGTAATCCTAGCACTTTGGGAGGCTGAGGCGGGCGGATTGCCTGAGCTCAGGAGTTTGAGACCAGCCTGGGCAACATGGTGAAACCCCGTCTCTACTAAGATACAAAAAAAAAAAAAAAAAAAAGAAAACAAAAAAATTAGCCAGGCGTGGTGGCACACGCCTGTAATCCCAGCTACTTGGGAGGCTGAGGCAGGAGAATTGCTTGGACCTGGGAGGCAGAGGTTGCAGTAAGCCGAGACTGCACCATTGCACTCCAGCCTGGGCGACAGAGTGAGACTCTGTCTCAGAGAAAAAAAAAAAAAAAAAAAAAAAAATCTGGCGAGTGAACCCTCCATTCTACTTTGAGTACATTTCTAGATGGCAAGGACAGATACAATTTTCATTTTAACCCAGATATTTAATACTTGTGCCAGAAATATTTACATAAAGCAAAATAATCTCATGCTAGTATAATTTTCTCCCCTACCCCCCAAAAAGGGAAAACAACTGGGACTGGATAATAATTCACAGGACTGATGACCAGTCCTTAGAAGTTAAAAATGACCTGCCTGGCCAGTTGTGGTGGCTCACACCTGTAATCCCAGCACTCTGGGAGGCTGAGGTGGGCAGATCACTTGAGGTCAGGAGTTCGAGACCAGCCTGGCCAACATGGTGAAACCCTGTCTCTACTGAAAATACAAACATTAGCTGGGCATGGTGGCAGGTGCCTGTAATCCCAGCTACTCGGGAGGCTGAGGCACGAGAATCGCTTGAACCCAGGAGGCGGAGGTTGCAGCAAGCCAAGATTGCACCACTGAACTCCAGCCCCGGCAAGAGTGAGACTCCATCTCAAAAAAAAAAAAAAGACCTGCCTTTTATTAACTATACCGATTCCACTTTTCCATTCGTGAGCCCCACTATGCGAAACCCTGCTCTACTGAGGAAGCAGAGCCCACAAAAGGCAATATGAAGGAGTGGAAAGAAAGCTGGCTTCTAGTCTCAGCTCTGGTAAACTGTCTGAAAAGTCACTCGATGGTTCCGAGACTCCACTTCCACATCTAAAAATACGTTTTTCCTGTGGCCCAGGGCTGCTGCTAGAATTAAAAGCCACGGGCTTCTTAAATTTCATTAAGCAAATATGAACTAGTATCCAGTAAGTGGCAGACACAGGGTGCAGTGGGCACAAAGGTGAGTGTGTTGTTTTTGTGACCAGAGACTCTGTCCTTACCTATGGCCAAGATGCCACCTTTCCTCTCATTGGCATCTGAGCTGGAAACCAATTCAAAAATGTGATGGTTCAGTTGGTCATAGAAGCGAGTAGACTCCTCTTGACTCATCTGCAAAAGAAGATATAATCAGAACAATTTCTAATAATTCTCTAACTGTGGTGGTGGGAGTGGGCTGGCATCTAAAGATTAGATCCTGAGAGGCAGGAGGTATAGTTCAAACCAAAGAAGACAAGTTACTGCCCATTTCTATAGGATTACACTGTAGAGTACCTGAACTTGCAATCATCTGATTATTTAACAAATATTTATTAGGTATCTACTCTGTGGCAGAAAATGTCCTGTCCTAGGTTCTTTCTAGTACCAGGGATAAAAGGAGAAACAAGATACTGTCTCTGACCTCAAGTCTGGTCTCTATTTAGAAAGCCCCTAGCTCTCAACTCTCCAAACCCATCCCAATCACTGTTATCAGACAGAAAGCATTTGAGGGTGTGGTATGTGGTAAGGAAAAAATAAAAAGTTAAAAGAAACAGCTAAGTCTATTCTGGCCCCTAAAATGTGACCACAAACAAGAAAAATGCTACAAAAATGTGCAACTGCTGCAAAAGAACCTGCATGTTTTATGGATGTGACAGGTTGGGTGCCTTTATAAAATAATCTCTGTTTTCCAAATCCTCACTTAGCTGTACAAAAAAAAATGTAAACCAGTGATGGTACATTTAGCCCACACATCCCACAATGACTGGCCCCAGATCCCAGAAGCACCTCTCGGAGTTCCATGGTGACATAGTGCTGGAGCTCCTTGGCGGCTTTGGCCCTGGTTTCCTCATTCCGGCTCTTTAGGCCACTGGCAAACTGCTGCAGGACGCTCACATTGCTAGATGTGGTGGCAGCGGTGGTGGCGGCGGCAGGTCCGGTTCCAAGCATCTTGCCCTGAGGTTCTTTAGAGAGAAGTTTCCTTTAATATTCTGGATAAGAAAGTATGATGATAAATTTACTTATGGCCCTGGTCACCCAACACAGATCTCCCCCTAGCCCTTGTCAGGCAGGGGATTCTAAAAAGGTTGAGAGATCTGATTGAGGAACATTTAGAAAGCCTAGATTCATTAAACAATGACTGATGTTTAAAAGAGGCAGTGTAGTAGGGAGGTTAAATTGTGGGCTATCGGCCTAGCCTACTTGGGTTTGAATCCTTGGGTTATATACCTTGAGCAGTTTGGGAGGCTGAGCCTGGAGGACCACCTGAGGTCAGGAATTTGAGACCAGCCTGCCCAACATGGTGAAAACCCATCTCTATGAAAAATACAAAAATTAGCTGGGCGTGGTGGCATGTGTCACCCAGGAGGCTGAGGCAGGAGAATCCCTTGAACCTGGGAGGTAGAGGCTGCAGTGAGCCGAGATCCTGCCACTGCACTGTCTCAAAACAAAAACAAACGAAAACAAAAACAAGGTTATATACCTCAAGAAAGACACTCAAAATGTGTTTCTTCAACTACAATAGGAAGATAATAGTACCTAGTTCATGGGTTGATGTGAGAACTAAATGACTTAATACGTGTCAAAAAGTGTTTAAAACAGTGCAGGGCATATACTAAGTTCTTAATAATTGTTAGCTATTATTATTACTACTACTACTACTATGTACATGGCAAAATGCCAGGTAACAAATGTCAGGAGGTAGGGAAAGAATTAAAAATGACTAAGACTGCCCCTTTCCTCAAGTTCAGTCTAAAAAGAGAGATTATTATTCTACAGCAGCACTATCTAATGGAAATTTAGGCCGGGCACAGTGGCTCACGCCTGTAATCCCGGCACTTTGGGAGCCCAAGGTGGGCAGATCACCTGAGGTCAGGAGTTTGAGACCAGCCTGGGCAATATGGTGAAACCCCGTCTCTACTAAAAATACAAAATTAGCCAGGCGTGGCAGTGCGTGCCTGTAACCCCAGCTACTTGGGAGGTTGAGGCAGGAGAATCACTTGAACCCAGGAGGCAGAGGTTGCAGTGAGCTGAGATTGGGCCATTGCACTACAGCCTGGGCAACAAGAGCAAAACTCCATCTCAATTAAAAAAAAAAAAAAGAGGAAATACAATGATCCACAAATGTAATTTTAAGGCTGCTTGTAGCCATATTTTAAAAGGTAAAAAGAAACAGGTGAAATTAATTACCTAAACCAATATATCCAAAATATCATTTCAACATGTTATCAATATTTAAAAAATTGATATAGTGTCCATTCTTTTTTTTTAGCGAGTCTTCAAAATCTAATGTGCATTTTACACTTACAACAATGTCAATTTGGACTAGTCATTTTTTTTTTTTTTTTTGAGACAGAGTCTCGCTCTGTCACCCAGGCTGGAGTGCAGTGGCATGATCTCGGCTCACTGCAACATCCACCTCCCGGGTTCAAATGATTCTCCTGCCTCAGCTTCCCGAGTAGCTGGGACTACAGATGTGCAGCACCACGCCTGGCTAATTTTTGTGTGTTTTTAGTAGAGATGGGGTTTTATTATGTTGGCCAGGCTGGTCTCAAATTCCTGACCTCAGGTGATCTGCCCGCCTTGGCCTCCCAAAGTGCTGGGATTACAGGTGTGAGCCACCATGCCCGGCCTGGACTAGTCACATTTCAAGTGCTCCACAGCCACATGTGGCTGGTGGTTCTTGTACTGAACAACGCAGTTCTACAGGGGACTAGCTCTTCAAATGTAAGCTAAAAGAAAGTAATTAGTTCCTGGCCGGGTTTGGGAGGCCGAGGCGGGCGGATCACGAGGTCAGGAAATCGAGACCATCCTGGCCAACACGGTGAAATCCCGCCTCTACTAAAAATACAAAAAAAAAAAAAAATTAGCCGTATGGTGGCGGGCGCCTGTAGTCCCAGCTACTCGGGAGGCTGAGGCAGGAGAATGGCGGGAACCCGGGAGGCGGAGCTTGCAGTGAGCAGAGATCGAGCCACTGCACTCCAGCCTGGGCGACAGAGCGAAACTCCGTCTCAAAACAAAACAAAAAACACCAATTAGTTCCTGAGCTCATTCCCTCATTCCTCAATTATGCCCACACTGCCATGGGTGTAACATACACCTATCCCAAGTATGTTCAGCTTATGCTACAAAACCAATTTCTCAAAATTCTTATTTTTGAAAGAATTTGTAAGGCACAGAGGAAAAACCTGGGAATAATTGGTTTTGTAAAGCTTTCAAATACTCCACTGCCAAGAAGAAGACTGCAGAAAGAAATGTCATCCTTTAGGGGAGAAGAAACTTAAGAATCCCTGCTAAGAAAACTACTCCAGTTTGTGTGTATGTGTGTGCGTCCGAAAGGGGGGAAGGTGGCTGGCAAGGGATTTCTATTCTCAGGAAAGAACCAGTGTATCTTTATATGATCTGAGGCCCACAGGCCATCTGCTCCAGACTGAATTCAATTAAACTTAGGATATCTGAAGTCAAATATCCTAATGGTGTTGATAGGGCTTAAGGAAGTTAAGATTGGATGGGGGAAACAGGGATGGGGCTGGGGGAGAGGGAGAGAAGATGTACCCCAACGATGTAACCAAGCTCAGTTTCGGGGACTGGATCTCTGAGAGGTGTCCACAGTGGAGGACAAGGGGCTGACACGGACGCTAGTGTTCCCTGGGGCAGAGATACACAATTTTTATACGTGGCTCAAAAGAAAGGGTGGCTGTGACAGGCAAAAGACCCAAAGGGCAATACCAGAGCTGATGGGCCGGCCTTCGGGCGGACGTACCGCGGGCCGAAGGGTCCAGGGGTCTCTTGGGGGTCCCGGGGAGGTGGGCGTTGCCTCGAGGGGTGGGAGTCAAGGCCTCAGACGGTGCCCAGGTCGTGGGGCCGGCAATGTGGGGACCCCACGTCCCAGACGGGCGGCTTCCCCTGGCCCCCCCACGGGCAGGCTGGCCGTGGGTCTGGACATTACGCCGCCCTAGAGGGGTCGTGCCAGGCCCTAGACTCACCGCGCGGCTTCGGCCAAGGCCTCAGCTGCCGCCGCCAGCACCGGTACCGCCGCTTCAGGCCCCCTGCCCCACCGCCCGCCTTCCCCGCTGTCCTCTAAGCCGGGAGCGAGGGAAGGAGGGTTCCCAGCCCTGAGGACCAATCGACAGGTATAGGGAGAAGATGGACTGAAAAACAGGCCAATAGTAATGAAGAAGAGAAGCTTCAGGACCCGGCTTCTCCAGGGGGCGGGGACTGTTCAAATAGACAAACCACGCGGCCAGTGGCAGGTGAAAACAGGCTTGGGTCCACTCGGGAGAACCAATCGGTCGTGAGTTCACCTCAGTCACTTCCACTCACACATCCGGTACGGCGCTGCTAGGATTCCCTTCTGCATCCGGGCTGTGAACTCAAGGAGTCCGGTGTCTGGGTATCTCCGGATCGCAGCGAGAGCGGCTAGCAGAGGTTCGCGACCCCTCCCGGTGTAATTCTGAGAGGAGAATGTGAGCGATGCCGGTGCCCAGGAATTACTGCATCAAAAGACGTTTCGGGCTAGCGCTCTTTATGGATCCTGTGATATCTCTTTTGTTACAATTAATAAGCATTTGAAAATGTTTTTAATTAGATTCTCTAACTTTCCCAAAATTATCCAACTCAGGATCACTCCAGAGAAACCATAGCCAAGTTTTAACCAAAAGAGCTAGTCATAAATAAAAATTTTCAAAGCAACATTATTTTTTAAAAATCCTTTCAAAAAATCAATAGCTGGCCCGGCGCGGTGGCTCACGCCCATAATTCCAGCACTTTGGGAGACCGAGGCAGGCGGATCACCGTAGGTCAGGAGTCGAGACCAGCCTGGTCAACATGGTGAAATTCCCCCACCCGCACCCCCCGTCTCTACTGAAAATACAAAAATTAGCTGGGCATGGTGGCTCACGCCTGTAATCCCAGATACTCGGGAGGCTGAGGCACGAGTATCGCCTGAACCCGGGAGGTGAAGGTTGCATGCACCGAGATCGTGCCACTGCACTCTAGCCTGGGCAACAGAGCAAGCTCCGTCTCAATACATACATACACACACACACACACACACACACACACACACACACACACAACCAAAGAAAATAAATAACTGCTGGTCACGGTGGCCCACGCACTTTGGGAGGCCAAAGCAGGAGGATCGCTTGAGGCCAGGAGTTCCAGACCAGCCTGGGCAACATAGCGAGACGATGTCTCTACAGATTAAAAAAAAAAAAATCAACAGCAAAAGTGGATTTGACTACATTTTTTTTTAATCACAGTGCTATTTGTCATAGTAAACACTGAAAATTCCTAAATATTTCAAAGTAGGAGTCCAATAAAATATGATGCATTCGTTTGGGCGCGGTGGCTCACACCTGTAATCCCAGCACTTTGGGAGGCCGAGGCGGGCGGATCATGAGGTCAGGAGTTTGAGACCAGCTTGACCAACATAGTGAAACCCCGTCTTTACTAAAAATACAAAAAAAAAAAAAAAAAGGTAGGCGTGGTGGCAGGTGCCTGTAATGCCAGCTACTCAGGAGGCTGAGATAGGAAAATCCCTTGAAGCCAGCAGGCGGAGGTTGCAGTGAGCCGAGATCGCGCCACTGCGCTCCAGCTGGGGTGACAGTGCGAGACTCCATCTCAAAAAAAAAAAAAAAAAAAAAAAAAGATGCATTCATAATAAGAAAAATACATAGCCATTAATAATTATAATTTAGAGCCTAGCATGGTGGCTCATCCCTGGAATCCCAGCACTTTGGGAGGCCGAGGCAGGATTGCTTGAGGCCAGGAGTTCCAGACCAGCCTGAGCAACATAGTGAGACCCTTGTCTCTACAAAAGAAATTTAAAAATTAGCTGTGTGTGGTAGCACATGCCTGTAGTCCCAGCTACTTGGAAGGCTGAGGCACGAGAATCACTTGAGTCTATGACTTCAAGGTTGCAGTCATCTGTGATCTCCACTGCACTGCAGCCTGGGCAGCAGAGAAAGATCCTGTCTCAAATAATAATAATAACAATAAATAGTGGTAATTAGATGAATATTTGCTAAGAAGGAAAAGGTTCACAACTAGTTTAAAAATTACAAGTTGTGCAACAATGTAAGTATAATACAACCATTTACAAAAATATTTATGCATTTCTTATATGTCTCTGTTTACATGGGGGAAATGTGCACAACTAAGATGTAATTTGGGAAAGACACACTTTTTTTCTTTATACATTATCAATTACTTATGTAATAAAAACAAGTGAAGGTAGAAGAAATGAGTTTTCAGAAGGTCTAAACTGCCAAATTAAAGATAGTTGGGCTGGGTGCGGTGGCTCACACCTGTAATCCCAGCACTTTGGGAGGCCAAAGCAGGAAGATTGCATGAGCCCAGGCATTTGAGACCAGCCTGGGCAACATAGTGAGACTCCATCTCAAATAAATAAATAAATAAACAAATAAAGATGTCAATATTCCGTGGCTAACAAAATGCTTTGTTTGGCAGGGTTTTTGTTGTTGTTGTTGTTATTGTTAATATCTATGATATTGGCCAGGCACAGTGACCCAACACTTTGGGAGGCTGAGGCAGGTGGATTGTTTGAGCCCACCTGGGCAACATGGTGAAACCTCATCTCTACAAAAAATGCAAAAAATTAGTTGGTGTGGTGGCATGCACCTGTGGTCCCAGCTACTTAAGAGGTTGAGGTGGGAGGATCACTTGAGCCCAGGAGGTCAAGGCTGCAGTGAGCTGTGATCTCACCACTGCACCACTGCATTCCATCCTGAGTTGACAGAGTGAGACACTGTCTCAAAAAAAAAAAATTATATATATATATATATAAATATATATATATATATAATTGCTCCTTTTTTTTGAGACAGAATCTTACTCTGTCACCCAGGCTGGAGTGCAGGGGAGCCATCTCACCTCACTGCAACCTCTGCCTCCCAGGTTTAAGCGATTCTCTTGCCTCAGCCTCTCGAGTAATAATGGCTACTTTAGATTTAGCCTCTTTTCATTGCTCCTGTGAGATAAGTATTCCTCTAAATTTTACATTTTCACTGATGTTCAATTTTTTTTTTTTTTTTTTTTTTTAGATGGAGTCTCGTTCTGGTACCCAGGCAGGAGTGCAGTGGCGCAATCTCGGCTCACTACAACCACCGCCTCCTGGGTTCAAGTGATTCTCGTGCCTCAGCCTCCTGAGTAGCTGGGATTACAGGCACCTGCCACCACACCCAGCTAATTTTTGTATTTTTAGTAGAGACAGGGTTTCGCCATGTTGGCCAGGCTGGTCTTGAACTCCTGACCTCAGGTGATCCGCCTGCTTCAGCCTCCCAAAGTGCTGGGATTACAGGCGTGAGCCATTGTGCCTGGCCCAACATCTATATTTTTATCATTAAAAGCTTCTAATATGCAATATAGTCGCTATTCAAATCTCAAAATAAACAAGTTACATTTATCATGAAAAGTCTTGCTCCACCCTTGCCCCTTGACTATGTATTTTCTCAGTTTCTTATGCATCCCTAGATTTTCTGTCTGCAAAAACAAGCAAATATATACGTATGTATATTCCTTTTTTTTTTTTTTTTTTTTTTTGAGACAGAGTCTCACTCTGTCGCCCAGGCTGGAGTGCAGTGGCATGATCTTGGCTCACTGCAACCTCTGCCTCCCAGGTTAAAGTGATTCTCCTGCCTCAGCTTCCCCAATAGCTGGGATTACATGTCTGTGCCATCATGCGTGGCTAATTTTTTTATTTTTAGTAGAGACAAGGTTTCACCACATTGGCCAAGCTGGTCTCAAACTCCTGACCTCAGTTGATCCGCTTGCCTCAGCCTCCCAAAATGCTAGGATTACAGGCACGAGCCACCATGCCCAGCCCATACATATATTTTTATTTTCCCCTTTTGTTATACTATACGCACTATTTTGCATTTTTAAAATTTTACTGCATCTTGTAGATCTTTCTCTTGTAGTTCCAACAGGATTCTATGCCTGCTGCACAGCAACAGTTGACCAATGCAATGAGACAGCAGAGTCTGCAGCAGAGAAAGAGTTTAGTGATCGCAGGGCAGCCAACTGAGGAGATGGGAGTGTTACCAGCGCTGAATTTACATGGTCTGCAGCAAGCTCAGTTCTTGCCTCCTCAGAAGAAAGAATTCAACTGAGGGGCATAAGGCAGAGTGAGAGACTGAGGCAAGTTTTAGAACAGGAGCGAAGTTTATTAAAGAGCTTTAGAGCAGGAATGAAAGGAAGTAAAGGACACTTGGAAGAGAACCAAGCAGTTGACCTGAGAGATCAAGTGCGCTGTTTGACCTTGACTCGGGGTTGGCATACTTCCAGGGTCTTGCATCCCTTCTCCCCTGATTCTTCCCTTGGGGTGGGCTGTCCACATGCATGGTGGCCTGTCAGCACTTGGGTAGGGGCGCATGTGCAGTGTGTTTACTGGAGTTGTGGGCATGCTCACTCAAGATGTGTTTCCCTTACCAGTCCAGTGTTCCTAGAGGAAGATCATCGGCGATTTTGCCTGTTAGTGATCATCTGCGATTTTGCCTCTTAGTGCCCATGCTTGAGCCTACTCGCCCAGCTCCTGAGATCTTATGGGAAGCTGCTGATCACCAGTTTCAGGTGTTTCTATCTTTTGGGAGACTGCCTTTCTCTGGCACCAGCTGCAATCAATTATTATTTTAGCGAGATAGCTTAACAACTGCCTGACCATCACCCAATGGTTGCTTGACATTCCTGGGGTTAGGGGGTGGGGGCCTCTCCTGCTCTGCTCATGCCTGACTAGCTATCTACTGTAACAGGAGGAGACCTTCAAATCCATCTCCCCAAGGAATTCTGAGCTGGGTTTGTTTGTTTGTTTGTTTGTTTTGTTTTTTCTTGAGACAGAGTCTCGCTCTGTTGCCCAGGCTGGAGTGCAGTGGCAGGATCTCAGCTCACTGCCACCTCTGCCTCCCAGGTTCAAGCAATTCTTGTGCCTCAGCCTTTTGAGTAGCTGGGATTATAGGTGTGTGCCACCATACCCGGCTAATTTTTGTATTTCTAGTAGAGACACGGTTTCACCGTGTTGGTCAGGCTGGTCTCAAACTCCTGACCTCTTGATCTGCCCACCTCGGCCTCCCAAAGTGCTGGGATTACAGGAGTGAGCCACCGTGCCCGGCCTGAGCTGGGGTTTTTAAGGGGATTGTAGAGGGGGAGAGGCTGGAAATTTGGTATCGTTTATGGGTTGGGGTAAAGGGGGTGAAATCATCAGGATGTAGAAACTGCATTCTTTGGTGAGTTAGCTCCCTGTGGGGTCTTTCACAATGGCTGTCATCAGTAGTTTCACTGATATGCAGGACCTGAAAGAATACCTCAGGTGGAAAACAATGTTTTGCAAGCTTAAGTTGTCTGATGACAGGGTCCGCATGATTCTGGGACAGTAGGCAGCAAACAACTATGAGGAAATGGCTCAGAGTTCAACATGACCTCATGATGAATGCTGAATGTGCTGCAAGCTTTGTTTATTTTCATTTCTCTCCCTCCCTTCCTCCCTGATTTATTTTATTTTATTTTGAGATGGAGTCTCACTCGGAGTGCAGTGGTGTGATCTCAGTTCACCGCAACCTCCACCTCCCGGGTTCAAACGATTCTCCTGCCTCAGCCTCCCGAGTGGCTGGGATTACAGGTGTGCGCCACCATGCCAGCTAATTTTTGTACTTTTTTTTTTTTTTTGAGACCAAGTCTCGCTCTGTAGCCCAGGCTAGAGTGCAGTGGCGTGATCTCAGCTCACTGCAACCTCTGCCTCCCAGGTTCAAGCAATTCTCCTGCCTCAGCCTCCAGAGTAGCTGGGATTACAGGTGTGCACCTCGGCAGAGTAGCTGGGATTATAGGCGCACCCCACTGTACCCGGCTAATTTTTTGTATTTTTAGTAAAGACAAAGTTTCACCATGTTGGCCAGGCTGGTCTTGAACTCCTGACCTCAGGTAATCTGCCTGCCTCAGCCTCGCAAAGTGCTAGGATTACAGGTGTGAGCCACTGTGTCCAGCCTAATTTTTGTATTTTTAGTAGAGACGGGGTTTCACAATGTTGGCCAGGCTGGTCTCGAACTCCTGACCTCAAGTGATCAGCCTGCCTTGGCCTCCCAAAGTGCTGGGATTACAGGTGTGAGCCACCGCACCTGGCCCCTGATTAATTTTATAAAGTTTGTTGGGACGGTTTCATTTCCATCTTGGTACACACAGAGTTTCTTGTCCTTTTGTTGTTGCTACAGCTGCATAGTGTTCTATCACATGGCTGTGCCATAGTTCATTTTCCAGTCCTCTGTGAATGGACATTTGTGTTATGTCCAAATTTGTGCTATTACAAATGCTGCAGTGAATGCCTTTGTACGTATATCATTTTCTTCCCTGACAGCTATATCAAGATAAATTCCCAGAAATGGGATTACAGGGTTAGACAGTTTTGTTGAATCTTGTCAAGTTGATCTCTATAAGGGAGGTACCAATTTTTATTCCCATCAGCCATATAGGAGATTTTTGCCACCCTGAGATATGATACAGCCCTGTTTTCTAATTAATAATCAAAGATGATTTTATAGCAACAGTAATAAGTGCGTTTGTCGGTTTCTTTTCTGTTTACAAAGAACTTTCTTTTTTATTGTATTTTTGCAAGTCTTTTTATTTTATTATTATACTTCAAGTTCTAGGGTACATGTGCACAACGTGCAGATTTGTTACATAGGTATACATGTGCCGTGTTGGTTTGCTGCACCCATCAACTTGTCATTTACATTAGGTATTTCTCCTAACGCTATCCCTCCCCCAGCCCCCCAACCCCCAACAGGCCCCGGTGTGTGATGTTCCCCTCCCCGTGTCCATGTGTTCTCATTGTTCAACTCCCACTACAAAGAACTTTCTTATGCATTACACTAAAATAATAGCTAATATTTATTGAGCACTTACAGTGTATCAGGGATTTTGGTGGACATTATAGAGTACTTGTTAAAAGCAGCTTGGAGTCAAGTCAAACTAACTGAATCTGAAATTTGGCTGCAACACTTTGTACCTATTTCCTTATGTGTAAAACTGGAAGGATTATAGTCTCTTCGTTGGTAGGCAGTATTGTGGGGGTTAAACGCTAATACCACACGTAAAGTACCTAAAAGAGGTACTTGGCCCAGCATGGTGGCTCACACCTGTAATCCCAGCACTTTGGGAGGCCAAGGCAGGTGGATCACCTGAGGTCAGGAGTTCGAGATCAGCTTGGTAAAACCCTATCTCTACTAAAAATATAAAAATTAGCTGAGCATGGTGGCAGACGCCTGTAATCCCAGTTACTCAGGAGGCTGAGGAGGAGAATCACTTGAACCTGGGAGGTGGAGGTTACAGTGAGCCGAGATCGCACCACTGCACTCCAGCCTGGGCGACAGAGCAAGACTCCGTCTCAAAAGCAAACAAAGTATATGGCTCATGTGAAAAGTCAATAAATGCTGTTTACTATTATTCCTGAGCATTTCTATGAGGCAGGTTGTATTGTTCCCACCTTATATATAAGTAAGCCAAAGAACAGAGATATTGGGACATGGAATTGGTAAGTGATAGAGCCAGGATTTTAATCTATCTGCTGATATATTGTCTGATTTGACATTGTATGACTCATGGGTTTGGCCAGCATAGAAAGCTCTGTGTTGAGTGGTGAAGTTGTAATGTTCAACAACCAGATTGGGGGTAAGTGGAAGCAGACATGTACAGAGCTAGCTTCACAGCTGTGTCATGCTCTGTTTTGCAATTGTTAATGATTTTGAACAAGAGGCCCCACTTATTTTTTTTATTTTTTAAATTAATTAATTATTTTTTTTGAGATGGAGTTTTGCTCTTATTGTCCAGGCTGGAGTGCAATGGCACGATCTCGGCTCACCGCAACCTCCACCTCCCGGGTTCAAGTGATTCTCCTGCCTCAGCCTCCTGAGTAGCTGGGATTACAGGCATGCGCCACCACTCCCGGATGATTTTGTATTTTTAGTAGAGACGGGGTTTCTCCATGTTGGTCAGGCTGGTCTTGAACTCCCAACCTCAGGTCATCTGACCACCTTGGCCTCCCAAAGTGCTGGAATTACAGGCGTGAGCCACCGTGCCTGGCCTGGCCCCACTTATTTATTGATTTTATTTTATTTTTTTGAGATAGGATCTCACTCTATTACCCAGGCTGGAGTGCAGGGGCACAATCATGACTCACTGCAGCCTCAACTTCCCAGGCTCAGGTGATTCTTCCGCCTCAGCCTCCCAAGTAGCTGGGACCACGGGTGCACACTGCCACGCCTGGCTAATTCTTTTACTTTTTCTTTTTCTTTTTTTTTTTTTTTGAGATGGAGTCTTGCTCTGTCGCCCAGGCTGGAGTGCAGTGGCACGATCTCGGCTCACTGCAAGCTCCGCCTCCGGGGTTCATGCCATTCTCTTGCCTCAGCCTCCCAAGTAGCTGGGACTACAGGTGCCTGCCACCACGCCTGGCTAATTTTTTTGTATTTTTAGTAGACATGGTGTTTCACCATGTTAGCCAGAATGGTCTTATCTCCTGACCCCATGATCTGCCCGCCTCGGCCTTCCAAAGTGCTGGGATTACAGGCGTGGGCCACTGCACCTGGCCCACACCTGGCTAATTCTTCGATTTTTACCGTGTGGTCCAGGCTGGTCTTCTCCTGGGCTCAAGCGATCCACCTGCCTTGTCCTCCCAAAGTGTTGGGATTACAGGTGTGAGCCACCACATCTGGTCTTTTTAATTTTTTAGAGCGGAGATCTCACTTTGTTGCCCAGGCTGGTCTCTAACCTGAGCTCAAGAGATCCTCCCGCCGGGTGCGGTGGCTCACACCTGTAATCCCAGTACTTTGGGAGGCTGAGGCAGGCGGATCACGAGGTCAGGAGATAGAGACCATCCTGGCTGACACGGTAAAACCTTGTCTCTACTAAAAATACAAAATAATTAGCCGGGCGTGGTGGCGGGCGCCTGTAGTCACAGCTACTCGGGAGGCTGAGGCAGGAGAATGGTGTGAACCCTGGAGGCGGAGCTTGCAGTGAGCCGAGATTGTGTCACTGCACCCCAGCCTGGGCAACAGAGCAAGACTCCGTCTCAAAAAAACCTCCTGAGTAGCTGGGACTACAGGCACACATTATCACCCCCAGCTCCACCTCTTTAGTTTGCACTGGGTACCACAAATTATGTAGTCAGTCCTGTGTGCATCTATGTTGCATGTGTATTATAATTTCACTGATGTAAATGATGTGTAGCATACAGTTTACAAATACTAAAATATACAGTACAGGACTCTATTGTAAACTCCATATAGCCAGTTCTCACAGTATGCTTTCTTTGATGTTGTGTAGCTTCCCTATGGTCCCAATTGATCAATGAGCATAGTTCAGACATGAATGTTGGTTGATATTTTATGTTAGGAGTAAGAGGAAAGTGAAACAATCAAAAGAGATATGTCAGAACTTCACTAGTTTGTCAAGGCTACAAGCGACTTATTTGTTCAACTGGATAATAATTTGCCAATGCTGAACGAATATTTCCTCAAAGTTTTGGTGCATTCACTTACACACTTTTTTTCTCTCTTTTTTTTCTTTTTTGAGACGGAGTCTCGCTCTACTGCCCAGGCTGGAGTGCAGTGGCGTGATCTTGGCTCACTGCAGCCTCTGCCTCCAGGGTTCAAGCAATTCTCCTGCCTCAGCCTCCCGAGTAGCTGTGATTACAGGAATGCACCACCACCCCCGGCTAATTTTTTTTTTTTTTTTGAGATGGAGTCTCACTCTGTTGCCCAGGCTGGAGCCCATTGGCATGATCTTGGCTCACTGCAACCTCCATCTCCCGGGTTCAAGCAATTCTCCTGCCCCAGCCTCCCGAGTAGCTGGGATTACAGGTGCCTGCCACCACGCACGGCTAATTTTTGTATTTTTAGTAGAGACAGGGTTTCGCTATGTTGGCCAGGCTGATGTCGAACTCCTGACATCAAGTGATCCGCCTGCCTCGGCCTTCCAAAGTGCTGGGATTACAGGCGTGAGCCACCGCACCCTCCAACACTTTTAAGTTTAACCAGTAATATGAACATTTTCTCCGCCACTTTCTTAAGTCTAGACGACTTAGCAGTTATTAAGCATTTGCTGATTTGCGTGGTGTAAATTCTCCCACCATGGGCAGATTTCAAGCTGCTGAAGGATGTCACTGAATGAAAAGCTGATAAGAGGTGAGCAGTAGCACATCATAGAGTATTTCCACGGTGCAGATATGATAGACGTCAGAATGTATGCACACAGCAGGCGCTCAATAAATGCTTGTAGCATGAATAAATTAATGAATCCTACTTCGTGAATGAAAGTGCGCCCGGTAAGTCCTAAAGCAACACGCCTTCGAGTTCTTATGATGCTAAGAGAGGCTGATTGCAGTTAGTCTGGAAGTAGCTGCGGGGCGCAGTGCAGGCAGGAAAAGGGCTGGATGCCGGGTCACCGCCCGGCCCCAGCTCCTGGCCCGTCCCCGCTCCCGGTCCATTCCCGCCCCGGCCCCGCCCCCTCCCGCCCCACCACCGGTCTGGCCCCGCCCCTCAGCCCCGCCCCACCCCTCACCGCCCTTCTCCCCGCCTCTGACCCCGCCCCTCCTCTGACTCGGCCCTGCCCGCCCCGCCTCTGACCAGGCCCCCGCCCCCCACCCCTCACCGCCCTTCTCCCCGCCTCTGGCTCGGCCCCGCCCCCTCCCGCCCTCCAGCCCACCCTCCGGTCCAGCCCGCGCCGCCGGCACCTGTTTCCGGGCGGGCCTCCAGAGGCCGGCGCACAAGATGGCGGCTCTGGCGGCCTAAAGAAGGCGGCCGCGGCTCAGCCGTGGGCTCTAACGCGGGGCTGGGGGCCGGAGACAGACTTCGCCCAGGTGACGGGTAGTAGGGGCGGCGCCGCTTGGCCTCGTGGGGTGTAAGACCCACTTGCTGTTGCCCCCGGACCTTGCCGCCACACCAGCCCTGTCCTGGGGCGGAACCGAAGGAAGGTCGGGCCCTGCTGCCCCGCCCCGTCCTTCCTCCTTCCCGGGCGGTCACTGTGCGTGGCTCACTTTTAGAGTTTACTTCAACCACGTGGAGCTTCCATGGCGGCCTCTCAGGTCCTGGGGGAGAAGATTAACATCCTGTCGGGAGAGACTGTCAAAGCTGGGGACAGGGACCCGCTGGGGAACGACTGTCCCGAGCAAGATAGGCTCCCCCAGCGCTCCTGGAGGCAGAAGTGTGCCTCCTACGTGTTGGCCCTGAGGCCCTGGAGCTTCAGTGCCTCACTCACACCGGTGGCCCTGGGCAGTGCCCTTGCCTACAGATCCCACGGTGTCCTGGATCCCAGGCTCTTGGTGGGTTGTGCCGTGGCTGTCCTGGCTGTGCACGGGGCCGGTAATTTGGTCAACACTTACTATGACTTTTCCAAGGGCATTGACCACAAAAAGAGTGATGACAGGACACTTGTGGACCGAATCTTGGAGCCGCAGGATGTCGTCCGGTTCGGAGTCTTCCTCTACACGTTGGGCTGCGTCTGTGCCGCTTGCCTCTACTACCTGTCCCCTCTGAAACTGGAGCACTTGGCTCTTATCTACTTTGGAGGCCTGTCTGGCTCCTTTCTCTACACAGGAGGTAAGATTTGGCCTGTCCTGTGTGCTGCAGGTCTTAGTCGCGTCCACTGGAAACCGCTGCTTTGTAAAGGAGTTATAGGGATGTCAAAGGTGGCTTTCTAATTTAAGCCGCTTTAATTGAAGTCTATAATTGTGGGTGATGTGAATTTTTTGAAACAGTGATTTGAGAAGATCCTGGTTTGACTTACGGACGTAGGGCATGACTGAAAATTTTATATGGACATTTATTTTTATTTATTTTTTATGTATTCATTTTTGAGACGGAGTCTCGCTCTGTCGCCCAGGCTGGAGTGCAGTGGTGCGATCTCGGCCCACTGCAGCCTCTGCCTCCCGTGTTCAAGCGATTCTCCTGCCTCAGCCTCCCGAGTAGCTGGGACTACAGGTGCACGCCACCACGCCTGGCTGATTTTTGTATTTTTATTAGAGACGGGGTGTCACCATGTTGGCCAGGATGGTCTCGATTTCCTGACCTCGTGATCCACCCGCCTCAGCCTCCCAAAGTTCTAAGATTACAGGCGTGAGCCACCGCGCCCTGTCAGGACATTTTTTAATTTTTTTTATTTTTTTTGAGACAGAGTCTCGCTCTGTTGCCCAGGCAAGGGTGCAGTGGCACCATCTCGGCTTACTGCAACCTCTGTCTCCCGGCTTCAAGCGATTCTTCTGCCTCAGCTCCCCGAGTAGCTGGGACTACAGGCATGTGCCACCACGCCTGGCTAATTTTTGTATTTTTAGTAGAGACAAGGTTTCACCATGTTGGCCAGGCTGGTCTTGAACTCCTGACCTCATGACCTGCCTGTCTTGCCCTCCCAAAGTGCTGGGATTACAGGCGTGAGCCACCATGCCCGGCCTATATGGACATTTTTTCTGTCTCATTTTTTTTTTTAATCACTCATACTTTATAATGCCACAGTTTCAAATATTAGAATTAAATCTGAAGAGTTCAAAATGATATAGATAATTACTTCTAGCTAGTTTGCTAGGTGACTTCTTGCAAGAGGCTGATTAAGGTAGTGATGGGCAGGTGGGTAAGCCCTATTTATTGAGCACCTATTATGTGCCAGGCACTGTTCTGTGTGAACACAGCAGTCACAGATCCCTGCCCTTGTGAAACTTACGTATTATCATGAAAAGAGACAGAAAGTAAAAATAGAAAATTATAGTTAGGGTGACCAATATCCTGGTTTGCTCAGGACTAAGGTGACAGGACTAAGTCGGATGTGCGACTTCTGGAGCTAAAACCAGAAAAGTTCCTGGTAAGTCAGGTTGAATTGATCACCCTGATTATAGTATATGAAAGATGATAAGTGCTATGGGAAAAAAAAGTAGAGCAAAGAATGGGACACAGATTACTATTTTAAGTAGTTTGATCAGGGTAGGCTTCATCAAAAAGGTAACATTTGGCTGAGTGCAGTGGCTCATGTCTGTAATCCCAGCCCTTTGGGAGGCTGAAGCGAGAGGATCGCTTGAGGCCAGGAGTTAAACACCAGCCTGGGCAACATAGACCCCTGTCTGTATAAAATATAAAATAAAAAATATTAGCTGGGCATGGTGGTGCTTGCCTGTGGTCCCAGCTACTTTGGAGGCTGAGGCGGGAGAATTGCTTGAGCCCAGGGGTCAAGGCTGCAGTGAGTCCTGATCACACCACTGCACTCCAGCCTGGGCGACAGAGTGAGACCATGCCTCAGAAAGGTAGTATTTGAGTTGAGTTACATTGAAGGAGGTAAGAGGTGAGGGAGTTGGCCAAGCAGATATCTGAGAGAGGAGCATTTCAGGAAAAGCAACAGCAAGTGCCATAGGCCTTCAGGCAGGAATGTGTCCAAAGAGCTTACAGAGCAGCAAGAAGTCCAGTGTGTGAATGAAGGAGAGAGTAAAGAGAGGTAAAGTAAGAGAAGTACGTTTGGGGAGGGTAAGGAGGCACACACACGGATTATATAGACCTTGTAGGCCACTGGTCTTGGCTCTGGAATGGAGGAGCCACTGCAGGACTTTGAGCAAGGGAGTGATGTAATATAATGTTTTAAAAGAATTGCTCTGGGTAAGGTATTGAGAATGGATCAAGGGGAGTGGGGCAAGGGTAGAGGCAGGAAGACCAAGTAGGAAGCTCTTGAATAATCCAGGCAAGCGATGTTTGGTGGCTTGTATCTAGCGGGTGGTAGTGGAAGAGGTAAGTAGCCAGATTCTAAATATGCTTTGAAGGTAGACAGGGTTTGCTGATGGATTGGATGTGAGGTAAAGAGAAACAGAGGAATTAAGCATAACTCAAAGGTTTTTTTTTTTCTTGGACACATTCCACATTTTATTTACATTTTCAGACTAACTTTGGGCTGGGTGCTGTGCCTCATGCCTGTAATCTCAGCACTTCGGGAGGCCAAGGCAAGTGGATCACTTGAGATCAGGAGTTCCAGACCAGCCTGGCCAACATGGTGAAACCTTGTCTGTACTAAAAATACAAAAATTAGCCAGGCGTGGTGGCATGTGCCTGTAGTCCTAGCTACTCGGGAGGCTGAGGCAGGAGGATTGCTTGAGCCCAGTAGGCAGAGGTTGCAGTGAGCTGAGATCATGCCACTGCATTCCAGCCTGGGCAACAGAGAGAGGCTCCATCTCAAAAAAAAAAAAAAAAGACCAACTTTAGTTTCAAAATTATATCTCCATATATGTATCCCTTTTTTGTTGATGTCACTTAACCTTAAGTGCATAGTTTGTTAAAAAAAAAAAACTGTAAGCAAATATTTACCATGTCTGTTACGTGTAACACACATGAACAGCTTTTAACAGAAATTCATCAACTCCCCCCCAACATTTTTTATTATAAGATAGGTATCAAAACAATCCTGAACATATTTTTCATACTACTAGTAGTCAGCACCCACACCACTTCAAAAATTAACACATTTGTGCTGGATGTGGTAGTTTTTACCCATAATCCCAACACTTTGGGAGGCTGAGGCAGGCAGATCACCTGAGTTCAGGAGTTCGAGACCAGCCTGGCCAGCATGGTGAAACCCCATCTCTACTAAAAATACAAAAATAAGCTGGGCATGGTGGTGCATGCCTGTAGTCCCAGCTACTTGGGAGGCTGAGGTAGGAGAATCGCTTGAACCTGGGAGGTTGTAGTGAGCCAAGATCTCATCACTGCATTCCAGCCTGGGCAACAGAACAAGACTCCATCTCAAAAAAATAAAAAAAATTAAAAAAATCAAACACATTTGTGACAGTGTTCATTGTACC
This sequence comes from Homo sapiens, assembly GCF_000001405.40. Classification (NCBI taxonomy): domain Eukaryota; kingdom Metazoa; phylum Chordata; class Mammalia; order Primates; family Hominidae; genus Homo; species Homo sapiens. Next base: position 11,277,288 of record NC_000001.11, read on the forward strand.
TGCTACTTTTTTTTTTTTTTTTAATTTAACGGAGTCTTGCTCTGTCGCCTAGGCTGGGGTACAGTGGTGCGATCTTGGCTTACCACAATCTCCGCCTCCCAGGTTCAAGTATAATCCCAGTAGCTGGGATTACAGGTGCCCGCCTGGCTAATTTTTGTATTTTTAGTAGAGACGGGGTTTCGCCATGTTGGCCAGGCTGGTCTCTCTAACTCCTCACCTCAAGTGATCAACCCTCCTTGGCCTCCTAAAGTGCTGGGATTACAGGCGTGAGCCACTATGCCTGGCCAATACCTGCTACTTTTTAAACAATTTCAACTGCAGCTCTCTTTCACTAAGCAAGATGGATAAAGCATGCCATTTCTGTTTTCTTTTTTCTTGAGACAGAATTTTGCTCTTGTTGCCCAGGCTGGAGTACAATGGCACGATCTCGGCTCACCACAACCTCCACCTCCGGGGTTCAAGCAGTTCTGCCTCCGCCTCCCAAGTAGCTGGGATTACAGGCATGGGCCACCACGCCCTGCTAATTTTGTATTTTTAGTAGAGACAGGGTTTCTCCATGTTGGTCAGGCTGGTCTCAAACTCCTGACCTCAGGTGATCTGCCCACCTTGGCCTCCCAAAGTGCTGGCATTAAAGGTGTGAGCCACCTCTCCTGGCCTCTGTTTTCTTTTTCCTTTCCTTTTTTGTTTGAGATGGGGGTCTTACTCTGTCACTCAGGCTAGAGTGCAGTGGTGCGATCTCAGCTCACTGCAACTTCTGCCTCCCGGGATCAAGCGATCATCCTACCTCAGTCTCCTAAGTAGCTGGGACTACAGGCGCGTGCTACCACGCCTGGTTAATTTTTGGATTTTTTGTAGGGACGGACTTTCACTATGTTGGCCAGGCTGGTCTTGAACTCCTGGCCTCAAGTGATCTGCTCGCCTGAGCCTCCCAAAGTGCTGGGATTACAGACATGAGCCACTGTGCCCAGCCCTGTTTTCTTTATTGAGATTTTTAGTCTTTAGAAACACACATGCTTCCACTGCCATCTGACACTTCTTACCACGCTTTCATCTTGTAAACCTGAATTATATTTCGAGTACTCCAAGTTTATGTTTAAATGACAGTACCTTAACAAGAGAAAAAAATTGGGTTGCATTTTTCCTGTTACCTGAAAACATAATGGGTGTACATATATTAAATATATTCTTACAAATGTCCAGGTCATGTTTACCAGCCGGAGTTCTTTTATTTAACGTGTGGGTATTTTGCATTGTGATATTTAATCAAGACATTAACACGAGTAGAAGGTTGTTGATATAAGACAAGTTTGAGATCCACTAAAATTAATTGTTGTATGTTTGTCCTTCCAGTGGCTGTGGAAGCTTCATATTTTCTTTGGACATCATTAGACGTCTTAGCTCCTGAAGTACAACTTTAATGCTATATGAATTTTGTCATTTTGCTAACACTGGTGTGCTGCGGTCATCCACCATCCCACTGGAGTTATTTATTCCATTCATATTAATTCTTGTTACAAATCTAACTGATGGGGGAGCTTCTGGGTATTTGGGTCCACTTTCTATTTTCAGGCTATATATTCTTTTTTTTTATTTTTGAGACAGAGGCTCGCGCTGTGGCCCACACGGGAGCGCAGTGGCGTGATCTCGGCTCACTGCAACCTCTGCTTCCTAGGTTCATGTGATTCTCCTGCCTCAGCTTCCCGAGTAGCTGGGATTACAGGTGCACACCACCACACCCAGCTAATTTTTTGTATTTTTAGTAGAGATGAGGTTTCACTATGTTGGGCAGACTAGTCTCAAACTCCTGACCTCGTGATCTGCCCTCCTTGGCCTCCCAAAGTTCTGGGATTATAGGTGTGAACTGCCATGCCCGGCCTATATTCTCTTTTCATAATTTGTCCTTGGTGGCCCAATAATCATGCCTGTCCACCTTGTAAATGTCATATCTTCATCATCTTTAAGGCCCCAGTTAATCATACCATTGCCTATCAATAGCTGCATAAGCATAACTCAAAGGTTTTGACCTGAGAACTGGAAGATACCATCTGGAGTGATGTCATCATGTGAGAAGGGCAAGGCTGGGGATAGAACAAGTTTTGGGGGAAAAGCAAGCAATTGACTTCGTGGTTTTTTGTTTTGTTTTTTGTTTGTTTTGAGACAGAGTCTCACTCCGTCTCCCAGGCTGGAGTGCAGTGGCATGATCTCGGCTCACTGCAGCCTCTGCCTCCCGGGTTCAAGTGATTCTCAGCCTCCCAAGTAGCTGGGATTACAGGCGTCTGCCACCATGCCTGGCTAATTTTGTATTTTTAGCAGAGACGGTGTTTCACCATGTTGTCCAGACTGGTCTCAAACTCCTGACCTCAGGTGATCCACCCACCTTGGCCTACCAAAGTGCTGGGATTACAGGCATGAGCCACTGCGCCTGGCCAACTTTGGACATCTTAATGTCTATTAAATCTCCTAACAAAGATGTCAAATGGGTAGTTCAAGTTCAGAGAAGCCTGGGCTAGAGATTACATATCTGGGAGTCATTGGTCTATAGATAAAGTTGTAGGACTGGGTGAGGTCATCAAGGGGGAGGGAGTGTTGGTAGAAAAGTCAGTCCTGGTCTGAGCCCTGGGACACTCCCACATTAGAGGTGGGGGAAGAAAAGGCACAGGTAAAGGGGATGTGAGCAAGCATCCAGAGGAGTAAGAGGAAAATCAAAAGGCTGTGGTGGCCTGGCAGCTAATTATAAAAAGTTCAGTGAAGGAAATCAATGAGGTGGTGTAATAGAAAGTACAAGGTGGTGGTGAAGGGAAGAGGCTGTCTTTGTGAAAGTGACGTTCAAACTAGGACTTGAAGACGGAAGGATAAGGAGCTGGCCACGGGGTGGAATTGGAGTCTGATTGTGATGCTGAGTCCTCCAGGGCTGAAGGACCACTAAGTGCAAATGTGGTGGGTGAGAGAGAGTGTGACATTGGCTAGGATCTACTGAAAGGTCTGTGTGAGCCAGAGGGGGCATGAGACACAGTTGGTGAGTTAGGCAGGGTCTCTGTCATGGCGATCTTAACCAGTCCTACTCCCCAACCTCCAGGGCTCAGTCCTTGGGCCTCTTTTCTCTATCTCCATGTACTCCCTTGGTGATGTAGCTCATGGCTTCAGATGCCATCTGTTAAGCTAGTGACTCTTAAACTCCAGACTCATATCCAACTTCTTGCTCAGCAACTTCTCCTAGAACTGTCTCATAAACATCTCAAGCTTAACATGTCTGAGACCAAATTCTGATCTTCTCCCCAAGGAAACCTGCTTCGCCCACAGCTTTTTCCCCATTTTGCTCAATGGCAGCTTCATCCTAGTTCTTCAGGCCAAAAGCTGTGGGCATCGTCCTTGACTCCCACGTCTCACATCCAGTTCATCAGCAAATTCTGTTGACTCTCCTTTCAAAATGCATGTAGGATCTGACCACTTCTTACCGTGTCCAGCCACCACTGTGATCATCTGTCCCTGGATTTTTGCGGCAGGCTCCCAACTGGTCTCTTTACCTCTGTTCTGGTCCCATTCAGGCTGTTCCCACTCAGCCACCAGAGTAATTCTGTTAAAATATAGGGCAGCCCTGTCAGTCCTGCTTAGAACTCTTCAGTGGCTCCCATCTTGCTCAGAGTAAAGGCCAGGGTCTTTACAGTGACTCCCTAGGGCCCTACATTCTTTGCCCACCTTTTGCCCTCCCCCCAGTTCTCTGACCCACCCTCCTCCTTTCTTCCTGCTCATCCTGGGCCAGCCACACTGCCCTTTCTAGTCCAGGAGCATGCACAACCCCTCCTGCCCCTCCCTCAGGTCCTTTGTAGATGCAGCTTCCTCTGTTTGAAATGCTTTTCCTGCTTCTAACCATGTGGTTCACTTTCTCACTTCCTTCACCTATTTGCCCAAATGTCAGCTGCTCAGTGAGGCCTTGCTTTCTACCTTGCTTAAAATTACACACCCACTCCGTGCCCCCACCTGATACTTCCCCTGCTGCTCTTCTCTGCATTAGTTTTCCTCATAGCACATGTTACCTTCTAATGTGCCATATAAAGTACTTAATTGGTTAATTATCTTCCCCCTTCGACTGCGAGCTCCCTCCCTGCAGTCAGGGATTTCTGTCTCTGGTATTAGCTGAACCCCTAGCACCCAGAGCACTGCCTGGCATGTAATATTACTTAGTAAATATCCAGTGAACAAATGGGAAGGCATTGAAATATACTGAGCAGAGTAGTGACATAATCTGGTTTAAGATTTTTTAAACATTGTCTTTTATTGACATATAATTGACACACAGTGAAATGCACAGGTTTTTAGTGTTGCAGCTTGATGAATTTTGATAAATGTATACAGTTGCATAACCCACACCCCGTCATCATCCAGAACACTTCCATCACCCCCAAAAGCTTCCCAGTGCTTCTTGCCTGTCAATCCCACACTCCCTGCCCCCATCCAGAGACAGGAAAAGAACCACTGTTCTGATTCCTCTCACAGAGATTAGTTTTGCCTGTCATATAAATGGAACCTTTCACTATGAACTATGTATGTATGTATGTATGTGTATTTATTTCAGTCTGAGCTCTCGTCTGGCTTCTTTTGCTCAGCGTGATGTTTTTGAGATTCATTGTTTTATTGCGTGTATCAGTAGTTCCTTTTTTTGCTGACTAGCATTCCATTGTAACATACCACAACTTCTTTTTATCCATTCTCCTTTTCAGGGACATTTGGATTGCTTCCATATTTTGGCTATTACGTCTGAACATTCATGTTCAAGTCTTTTTGTGGATATTTGTTTTCATTTTTCTTGGGTAAATGCCCAGGAGTAGAATTGCTGGGTCACAGGGCAGATGATGTTTAATTTTATGAGAAACTGCCAAACTGTTTTCTGAAGTGGTTGTACTTCTTTACACTCCCCCCAGCAAGTGTTCCAGTTGCTCTGCGTCTTGCCAACTTTTTGACTTAAGTCTTAACAGATTCATTCTGGCTGCCGTGTGGAGAACCGGCCCAGTATTTCACTGTGTAAGCTCATTCAGAAAATGGGGTTGGGAGAGGAGGAATGCCTAAAAGGAAATTCCCAGATGGGCCACGTCTCTGAATCAGGTAGAGCACATGAAGCCTTGGGCCATGTATCAAATGCTAGGAAACAGCTTTCTCCCCAAGGGCTCTACTGTTTTCTTGTGTCAGATAACCAGATCTTTTTCCTCCCCAGAGTGGGTTGCTCTTGGTTTTGGGGTGGGGACAGAGATCTCTGCTCAACCTTGCTTACATCACTTTTTTTTTTTTTTTTTTTCAAAAGACAGAGTTTAGCTCTTGTTGACCAGGCTGGAGTACAATGGTGCGACCTCTGCTCACTGCAACCTCTGCCTCCTGGTTCAAGCGATTCTCCTGCCTCAGCCTCCCGAGTAGCTGGGATTACAGGCGTGCACCACCATGCCCGGCTAATTTTTTTTTGTATTTTTAGTAGAGATGGGGTTTCTCCGTGTTGGTCAGGCTGGTCTTGACTTCCTGACCTCAGTTGATCCACCCGCTGTGGCCTCCCAAAGTGCTGGAATTACAGCGTGAGCCACTGTGCCTGGCCTTTTTTTTTCTTGAGACGGAGTTTTGCTCTTGTTGCCCAGGCTGGAGTGCAATGGCACGATCTCGGCTCACCACATCCTCTGCCTCCAGGGTTCAAGCGGTTCTTCTGCCTCAGCCTCCCGAGTAGCTGGGATTACAGACATGCGCCACTACACCCGGCTAATTTTTTGTATTTTTAGTGGAGATGGGGTTTCTCCATGTTGGTCAGGCTGGTCTCGAACCCCTGACCTCAGGTGATCCACCTGCTTCAGCCTCCCAAAGTGCTGGGATTACAGGCGTGAGCCACCATACCTGGCCGCTTACATTGCTTTTTGCCGAGTGATCTAAGGAGGTGTTCTTGGAGACTCCAGCCAAAGGTCAAGGCTGTAGTGCTGTTGCATTTTCTTTCACAGCCAGACCAGTGGCGTCACTTGGGGAGCTGAGAAAACAAGCACAGCAAGAGTGGGCAGCTGTAGAGGAACTGGCTAGGTCTGTGCTGGGAGTATTCCTGCCCAGCATCATCTTTGCGTGGGTGTAGTCCCTTAAATGTGTGAGATATTGGAAGAGACGTCAATTTACTAATTCTGAACTGGAGCTCGTGCTCTGCTTGAGGGAACTTCCTCCTGGAGGGCATGTCCTCATACAACCAAATTATTTATGAAAACATGGCTTGGTATAAAAATTATCCAAATAGAAGGAAAAAAAATATGGCTTGAGGGTGCAGAATTAGCTTGCTGAATGTTGAAGAGTGTCAGTGGCCATGCCTTAATGCCCTTCCCTGGAGATACTTTGTTCTGAAGAACTAAGGGTGTGTATTTAGCACCAAGGGACCCCAGCTGCTGATGTGAAGGTGAACTTGGACTGGATCTTGTTCCTTAGCTCCTGTCATTTTATTTCATTTTGATTCCTGTGGCTAGTGGGAACTTCTGTCATTTTAGACTGGTTAAAATGCCTAACCAGAGCTTTATTTTCTGATCTTGAGTCCACATCTTGTAGCTTGGTTAGAACTGGAGTTTGCTAAGCTTCTGTAGCAATAATTGCATGGGTCACCTCCCTCAGTGGGCAGCTCCACTCATTCCATACTGCTTTACCTGTTTCAGTCTGAGTGGGAGATCTTTCCTGACCTTGATCCCAAATTCCAGGTGCTTGTTACTGTAGCTCTGTCTTCAGTTCAGCCCTTGTGCCAAGTATTGGGGAGTGAGCTGTGACCAAGCCAGACACATGTCCTGCCCTCATGGAACTTACAGTTTAGTGAGAAAGGTGGAGATTAATTAGAAGCATGATGAAGTTTATGAACATGGCAGGCATATTGCCATGGGAGCATATTGCAAGGGGATCAAATGTGGCTTAGGGGTGAGAGGAGGTGGTCCTGGGGAATGGTCTTTAAAGTCTTAAAGGGTGAGTAGAGTTAGCCAGGCCAAGGGAGGGGTGTCTGAAGGCTCTGACGGATTGGAAGAAGTCTGTGTGAAGAGGGGAGGAGAGCTCAAGGTGAGGCAGGAGAGGTAGGGCTGGGCCACAGGTGAGCCAGGTTAAAGATCTGGGACTTTTATCCCCAGGATGAGTGGTTGATAAGGGTTTAAGTGTATGTTGGGGGAGGGGGTGGTCAGATTCCTTTATTTATTTATTTACTAATTTTTTTGAGACAGAGTCTTGCTCTGTCTGCCAGGCTGGAGTGCAGTAGCATGATCTTGGCTTACTGCAACCTCTGCCTCCAAGGCTCAAGCATTTTCCCTGCCTCAGCCTCCCGAGTAGCTGGGATTACAGGCGTGTGCCACACGCTTGGCTAATTTTTGTATTTTTAGTAGAGATGGGGTTTCACCCTGTTGGCCAGGCTGATCTGGAAGTCCTGACCTCAGGTAATCTGCCCGCCTTGGCCTCCCAGAGTGCTGGGATTACAGGTGTGAGCCACTGTGCCCACCCAGCCAGATTCCTATTTTTAAAGGTTCACTCTAACGCCTTTTTAGAGATTAGATTAGGGATGGAGAGGGGGAGGGGTTATGAGAGGGGAAGCTGATAGACCAGTTTGGAGGATGTTGCAGTATCCCAGGCATAAGATGACCATGAGGTAGATTTGGTAAGGGGGATGGAGGGTGGCCCCGGGGATGGAGAGAATGGATAGTTTTGAAGGAAGTGGGTTAGACAGGCTTTGAAGTAGATGAGCAGGACAGAAACAGGAGGTAGGGGTGGTTTAGTTTCAATCTCATAGGAGACAGAGGAGGAAAGCAGCATTATAACTCTCCTGTCCTCGCTGTTTTGCTTATCGCAGGGGTGCAGGTTTAAGGACCCCGAAATTTCACTGAAATTCACTGGCCGTTTTTAAAACCAGAAGATGCCTTGAGATTGTAGGGGAAGGAGGTGGAAAAGTAGAAGGCCAGAGTGGCTATTCTGTGAGGGATTGATCTCACGGGGTCTTGCAGGGGTTGGTGAAGGGTGAAAGATAGCAAAGAACTGGATTCTAAGACCTTTAGATCCTTCCTGGGCTCTCCCATTGAACTAAGAGTATAGTGGGTGCCTAGTGTGCTATGTTGCAGAGCTCTGTTGGGGGACAGTAGGAAGGGAAACTTGGGTATGAACCTGGGAAGAGGGACTTGAGGCCTCACTGGGCATTCTCTCTGCACCTGTGGCATTGGAGAAGAAATCAGAATTTGCTCTGTGGGGTTAAGGGATGAAATGAGTGCCCACCTGCACAGTCTAAGGATTTACCATTTTCAGCCGGAAGTGGCCTGCCTCTTCACTGGTGAACAGTCCCTAAATTTCCAGCCTTGGTCTCACACCAACTCTCTGGATTTTCTGGCCGCAGGAATTGGATTCAAGTACGTGGCTCTGGGAGACCTCATCATCCTCATCACTTTTGGCCCGCTGGCTGTGATGTTCGCCTACGCCATCCAGGTGGGGTCCCTGGCCATCTTCCCACTGGTCTATGCCATCCCCCTCGCCCTCAGCACCGAGGCCATTCTCCATTCCAACAACACCAGGGACATGGAGTCCGACCGGGAGGCTGGTATCGTCACGCTGGCCATCCTCATCGGCCCCACGTTCTCCTACATTCTCTACAACACACTGCTCTTCCTGCCCTACCTGGTCTTCAGCATCCTGGCCACACACTGCACCATCAGCCTGGCACTCCCCCTGCTTACCATTCCCATGGCCTTCTCCCTTGAGAGACAGTTTCGAAGCCAGGCCTTCAACAAACTGCCCCAGAGGACTGCCAAGCTCAACCTCCTGCTGGGACTTTTCTATGTCTTTGGCATCATTCTGGCACCAGCAGGCAGTCTGCCCAAAATTTAAGGGGACAAGTAGCTCCCCCCACGACATGTCTCCCTTTCTTAGAATATATTAAAGTCAGAGTCTCTGAGGAAGGAATGTGATTTGGCAGTCAGGGTACTAAGCATGGGTGGGAACTCCTGCCTTATAAAAATTGTTTTTGTGTTCTTAAAGATAATATGTTGTTTTTCTGTTTTTTGTTTTTTCCATTTTATGGGGAATTTAAAAACCATTCTTGTATCAGAAGGTGAATTAGGCGCATGGTCTTTGTTTTATTAATAATTTCCACTAGAGGGTGTTCTCAGGTCACTTTGCAGTGAAGTGGACTTAGTTCCTCCTTGTTCTGTACAAAATGTCTCCAGACTTTGTAAAGGAGCTGCCCAGTTTGGCCTCCTGTCCCGAAAAGACCCTAATAACTAGGCAGAGTGTTGTCCTGCTTTCTTCGTCTCGTAGGATGTGCTATGATTGGTGCCAGGCCTCACTAACACAGGGGCTACCTGTCTCTTATTCTCAGCACCTGTGTCCTGAGATACGCTGCCTGAGACAGAGAGAGTCCCTCATTAACAGCCTGTGTGGCTGTCAGCTTTTTGCCTAAATTGTGATTCAGATGCTTTTGTTCTCTCTCCTTTCACTTATTGCCACAGTTGAGGAAAAGTGTCAGATTACCCTGCAGCAAGACAAGCCAAGGACTGGGAGGGAAAAAAAAACCACTCTGGAGGCAACTGAGAAAATCACTGCTTTTGGATAGGAATCAGTAGGGTGGCTGTTTTCCCTTTGTTGAATCTACTAGAGTGACAGGAAGGACTCCCAGCCCTTTCAGTAACTATCAGGAGCCCTGAAACGGTAGAGGCACTGCCATCCTTGTGGGATACTCAAAGCCCACAGGGCTTTTCCCTCCCTATTGCATCTTCTGATGCTCCCCACACCTACCCTCCACCTCTCCACCTCTGTGGTGTTCCCATTTGTGTGTTTCCCATCTGTGGAGCCAGACTGAGCAATAGCTTAGCAGCGAGTCAGGGACAGCTGCCACTTTCCACAGAGCCACAGGATGGGCAGAGCAGGGACCCAGGGAATGAATAGCCAGTGGACAAACAGTCTTGAGCTCTGTTCAGCCAGAGTGATGGGCCCTGCCAGTTAAGGGGCTGTGTCTTCATCCTTGAAGACAGATGTGCAATATTGACCCTGCCTCTCCCCAGGGCTTTGTGGAAAGATAGTTGAGGGCTTTAGTGAGATCACACTCAGAGTGGGGCAATTCCAGCATTTATCCTGGCTGCGTTTCATTGCATTGTCTGTGAAGTATAATTTCTGGGCCAGAATTGCTCAGTTGCATTTGATCCAGGACTATAGATTGGAAATGGGTCATCATTGTTTTCTGTTGTGATTATAGCCATTCTAGTAGGCGTTTAAGGTCATGGCCTGCAGAAAATGATGTAAGAACTAGTTCTTAATCTTTCAGATCAAGCTAATGATGATATGGAACCTTGAGTTCGAATTGATTGGTTTACTTGGAAAAAAACATGTTTGAAAATTGCAAAAGTTCCGCCGGGCGCGGTGGCTCATGCCTGTAATCCCAGCACTTTGGGAGGCCGAGACGGGCGGATCACGAGGTCAGGAGATCGAGACCATCTTGGCTAACACGGTGAAACCCCGTTTCTACTAAAAATACAAAAAATTAGCCAGGCGTGTTGGCGGGCGCCTGTAGTCCCAGCTACCTGGGCGGCTGAGGCAGGAGCATGGCGTGAACCCAGGAGGCGGAGCTTGCAGTGAGCTGAGATCATGCCACTGCACTCCAACCTGGGGGACACAGCAAGACTCCGTCTCAAAAAAAAAAAAAGAAAAAGAAAATTGCAAAAGTTCCTCTAAAGTTAAATCAAAGGTGGTTTGTCTAGCAGAGAGCCAGAATCTTCTAATAGTGGGCAGAGCCCAGAGACAAGGGGAAGAAAGATGACCTTCTCCCCAGTCCTTCCCAGCACCATTTTTGTTTCACACCAGGCTTGTGGCATTTTGGTGCTCACAGGGGTTTTGCCTTCTGACCTCTCCTTGGAGTAGGCCATTCTCATGCAGGGCTCACCCTGAGGCAGGAGGACCAAGGGCTCCCTGCGTCCACGGACCACGTATGCCTTGGTGGTCACTCCCATCGGGGCTATCAGTTCTGCACTGTGCCCTGGTGCGGATTTTAATGCATATTTTTATATATAAATGTTCCCAAAGGCCAAATTTGTTGCCAGGTTTTATACGCAGGTCACCATAATTTGTATTATGTTCCCTGAGTCAATGAAGGTTTTCTTTAGACTTCTTAATTAAAAAGAGAAGAAAGAAAATGTTCACCAATGGTCTGGCTTCTGGTTTTTGCTTTCCTCATACTTACTGTCTGATTGTGAACTCTGATTTGTAAATCTCAGGGAGACCAAGGCAGTGACATTGGACATTCAGGCTGTGCAGAGGGGCACCTGGTCTTTGGTGATGAGTTTGGGTAGGGTTTGACCAGATTCGACAGGCCTTTAGAAAAGGCAGCAGGGACTGGGCATGGTGGCTCACGCTTGTAATCACAGTAATTTGTGAGGCCAAGGTGAGAGGATTGCTTGAGCCCAGGAGTTTGAGACCAGCCTAAGTAACGTAGTAAGACCCCATCTCTACAAAAAAAATTTTAAAAAGTTAGCTGGGCGTGGTGGTGCATGCCTGTAGTCTCAGCTACTCAGGAGGCTGAGGTGGAAGGATCGCTTGAACCTAGCAGGTCGAGGCTGCAGTGAGGTATGATCACGCCACTGCACATCCGCCTGGGCGACAGAGCGAGACACTGTCTCAAAAAAAAAAACAAAACAAAAAACGTTGAGGGCTGCATGTAGCTACAGTGGATTTGCCAAGAGCCAGTCAGCAGTCAGGCCAGATTAACCTCGTTTCATTTTTCTTTTTCTTGATAGGGTCACTGTGCTGCTAGATGGAGAACATGAGGTAGATTGAGTACATGTGGGTTTCAGCTAGGCATTGGACAATATATCCTATGAACAAGGCAGAGAGACGTGGGATGGATAACAGTGGAGTTAGATAAATTCCTGAGAGACTGAGCAGGCGGTGGGAGAGAGCTAACTGATCAGCATGTCAGTGGCAGCTGGGAAGGAGCCCTTAGTAGCAGTTGGAGCCCTGTCCTCTGCCCTTTGCTCCGCTGGATTCAACACCTGTTATTAATGACGCGGATGAGGCAGCCAAAATGAAAGGTTTCATGAACCTTGGAGGAAGAGCTTACAAAATGACAATTAGGAGCCTCATAAATCAAAAGGCTGCTTTGATGGGTCAAAAGAAAAATGTAGTGTGAATAAATACAAAGCAATACACTAAGGTCCCAAAATCAACAGCATAAACATCAGAGAGGGGGAGAGCCATGATGTGACAGCCATGGAGATAGGGGGGTATGAGTTTTCTCAGTGACTGGAATCTGACATCACTTGTCTTTATTTATTTATTTATTATTTTTTTTGAGACTATGTCTCAGTGTCGCCTGGGCTAGAATGGAGTGGCGTGATCTCGGCTCACTGCAACCTCTGCCTCCCGGATTCAAAGCCATTCTCCTGCCTCAGCCTCCCCAGTAGCTGGGATTACAGGCACGTACCACCACACCTAGCTAATTTTTGTATATATATGTTTTATATATATCTCACTCTGTCGCACGGGCTAGAGTGCAGTGGCGCAATCTCGGCTCACTGCAACCTCTGCTTCCTGGGTTCAAGCGATTCTCCCACCTTAGCCTCCTGAGTAGCTGGCATTACAGGCACCCGCCACTATGCCCAGCTAATTTTTTGTATTTTTAGTAGAGAAGGGGTTTCACCATGTTGGCCAGGCTGGTCTCAAACTCCTGACCTTGAGATTCACCCGCCTTGGCCTCCCAAAGTGCTGGGATTACAGGTGTGAGCCACCGCACCTGGCATAATTTTTGTATTTTTAGTAGAGACGGGGTTTTACCATGTTGGCCAGGCTGGTCTCGAAATCCTGACCTCAGGCTATCTACCCATCTGGGCCTCCCAAAGTGCTGAGATTACAGGCGTGAGCCCCCGTGCCTGGCTGCCTTTATTTCTTGGAGTCAGATTTATTCTGCTCCCCAGGCAGGTGGCTGAAAATTCAATGCCAGCTACCTCTTGAGCACCCTCCCAAATGTCTGGGATCACCCAGAACTCCTGGCCTCTGTGGGGCCAGAGCCAGGGATTTTTGCTTACCATCTGTAAGGTCACCTCTCTGCTACTGGATGCTGGGGTTTGGCCCTGGAATCTGCCCTTGTCTTGGACACTGCTCCTCTAGAAGGGTTCATAAAGCCCCTTCCTGGTGACAAGTGCCAGTGGGGCACAGATCCTGCTACTCCAGTCACATTTCTGCCCAGTCTTGGAGCACTACCACTCTACCTATGATAATGCTCCATCCACCTCCCCTACTCAAAGCATTTCCCTTCTTCTCTACGCTTTGCAGGACCTTTGTGCTGAATCCCACTCAGGGCACCTTTGGAAGCTTGGTGCTGACTTCTGGAGTCGGGTGGGAAAAGATATGAATATATCCTATGTTGTCTTACTAACGCTTCCGTTACTCCTGTATTAAAACCACCAGGCCAGGTGTGGTGGCTTACGCCTGTAATCCCAGCACTTTGGGAGACCGAGATGGGTGGATCACTTGAGGTCAGGAATTCAAGACCAGCCTGGCCAACATGGTGAAACCCTGTCTTTACAAAGAAATACAAAAATTAGCACCTGTAATCCCAGCTACTTGGGAGGCTGAGGTGGCAGAATCTCTTGAACCCAGGAAGCGGAGGTTGCAGTGAGCCGAGATCACGCCACTGCACTCCAGCCTGGACAACAGAGCAAGACTGTGTCTCCTAAATAAACAAATAAATAAAATAACCAACACCTGAGCCTTTGACCTGGGCCAAAGCTTAGTCTGAGTCAGTAATGAGCTCCAACTTCCATGCAGATTAATATGATCTGAGCTAGAATTTAATATGATCTGAGCTAGAATTAACAGGAGAATTAGCGTCCAGAATAAGGAAGGCAGAAATTCTGCCCATCCCTGTCATTCTTCTCATGCTGGGCTGGGGCCAGTCCTGGGCACTTTCTTGCCTTCTTTCTTTTCTCTAGATATTAATAGAATCAGTGTGGTGAGAGATCAAGAACATGCTGTGGATATAATATACTTGGATTTCAGCAAGGCATTTGACAACATGCTATGAAATATGGAATGGGGCCAATCACGGTGGCTCATGCCTGTTATCCCAGCACTTTGGGAGGTCAAGGTGGGTGGATCACTTGAGTTCAGGAGTTCTAGGCCAGCCTGGCCAATATGGCAAAACCCTGTCTCTACAAAAATACAAAAATTAGCTGGGCGTGGTGGTGCACAACTGTAATCCCAGCGACTCGGGAGGCTGAGGCAGGAGAACTACCTGAACCCGGGAGGCAGAGATTGCAGTCAGCTAAGATCGTGCCACTGCACTCCAGCCTGGGTGACAGAGCGAGACTTCATCTCAAAAAAAAAAAAAAAAAAAGAAATATGGAATGGATGAAAAGACAATTACAGGAGCTTGCTTTCTATATGCATGTGTGTGCACGCGTGTGTGTTTGCATTGGTAACGGCTGCAGTAGAGATTTCCATTTCTCAGTGTAAGAACCACACTTTGAAGATGTTATCAACAAAGTGGATCTTGTCCTGAATGCGGTTGGCAGATGGGTGGGGGCACATAAAGCCATGTCAGCCTGGAAAGGAGAGTCACAAGAAGGCTGTCTTCGGGAAGACGGGTTGGACTTTTTTTTTTAAAACTTTTTTTTGCGTGTGGCTTCAAAGGGTAAAACTAGGACTAATGGGTAGAAGTTATATGTCCCCAAGTTGAAGCTCTTAGCTCAGGAAGGTTTCTTTCATTCTTTCTTTTTTCTTTTTTTTTTTGAGACGGAGTTTCGCTCTTGTCGCCCAGGCTGGAGTGCAATGGTGCAATCTCAGCTCGCTGCAACCTCTGCCTCCAGGGTTCAAGCGATTCTCCTGCCTCAGCCTCCTGAGTAGCTGGGATTAACAGGTGTGTGCCACCATGTCCAGCTAATTTTTGTGTTTTTAGTATAGATGGGGTTTCACCATGTTGGCCAGGCTGGTTTTGAACTCCTGACCTCAGGTGATCCACCTGCCTCGGCCTCCCAAAGTACTGGGATTACAGGCTTGAGCCACCACACCTGGCCAGATCAGGAAGGTTTCTTAGCCATTAGAGGAATCAGCGAGGGGGATGTTCAGAATGTCTCAGTTGGGGGTGAGTTCCTTGTGACTAGAGGCATTCAAGCGAAAAGATGATTCCTCGTCAGGAACATGGGTGTGAAGAGTCGCATCAGAGAGGCGTTGGATGAGAAGACCTCTAAGGGTCTTCCAATCCTGTGATTCAGTTGTTCTGTTATTACGGGATAGTCTTTCAGACCTGCCCCACGGGTTGGGAGGACAGAGTACAAGAGCCGTGTTGACATTTCTTCTTGATGTCAGACTGTTGACTGTCTGGCCATCTTAACAGGAACAGCTGTGATTGATATTCTTTTTTTAAAAGATTTTATGTATACACACACACACACACACACACACACACACACACACACACACACTCACAGAGTTGATTTCACCTCGAAAGCCCTTGAAGTGAGAGGGATGACAGCTCCTCTCTGAGCCCTGCGGACCACTCTGCTGCTAATGGACTGTCAGCCTCTTTCATTATGGGCTCCAGACTGTGCAGGCTGGTGTAAAAGGAATGCCTCTGGCAAGAACCTGGCACTTGGGTTCCAGCCAGTTGACATTTGTGACCTGCCCTTCTTCAAACTGGGACAGCCCTCCCACTGTGAGTGACTAAGCTAGGATGGCAAATGGTGGTATAAACCAAGTTGGGTTCCTGCCTGAGGAGGGGGCAAAGGCTGAGTCTGGGCTCATCAGGAGGCTTGCAAACGGCTTCCTGGGGTCAGGGAAAGGCTGTAATTGCAAGGCACAGACTCACTTCAGAAGATGCTGGAGCTCTGGGAGGAACAGTGAGGGCTTTGATCACATGCTCCCAACCAGGCTGAGTGGGGTATCACAAGTTGGTCTGGGCGCTTCTATGATGTTAAGGGATCCCAAGGGGCAGGGCTCTGTGTGGTGTGATTCAAGGGGTCCTCCAAATTCCGCACTCCCACGGTCCTGCCATATCCTGGCCCCTGTCTCCCCCAGCTTGGCTTAGAATTGCCTCCCATTAGGATCACAAATGGGTTTAACAGGGAAGACAAAAGCATAGCATGTGTTACTCACCTATTATTTTGCCAACATGTTTATTGTCAATTTCTCCCAGTAAGTGGTAGGACTAGAGTATAAGGACCATGTTTTCTTTTCCAGCCCATCTCAGCACTAGCACAGTGCATGGTGCAACAGAGCAGGCAGTCAGTAACTGGTTGTTGAATGACTGAGTTACATGGGAAGGGCTGGGCCCTCCAGGGCTGACTGACAGGTGTGAGAGTTTGGACCACTGCATCACATCAGCTGTCAGTAAGGACAGGTGAGTTCCACTTGGGGTTGGGAGTAGAGGAGAACCATGGCAGTAACTTATTATTATTATTATTTTGAGATGGAGTTTTGCTCTTGTCACCCAGGCTGGAGTGCAATGGCACGATCTCGGCTCGCTGCAACCTCTGCCTCCTGAGTTCAAGCGATTCTCCTGCCTCAGCCTCCCAAGCAGCTGGGATTACAGGCACCCACCACCATGCCCAGCTAATTTTTGTATTTGTAGTAGAAACGGGATTTCACCATGTTGGCCAGGCTGGTTTCGAACTGATCTCAGGTGATCCACCTGCCTCAGCCTCCCAAAGTGCTTGGATTACAGGCATGAGCCACTGTGCCTGGCCCCATGGCAGTACTCTTAAGAGCTTTTAAGATCCAGCTCATATTCCTGGCACGTAGAAGTCTCTAAATAAATAAACGTTGGATGACTGGCCGAGGGAATGGCAGTAATAAAGCTGTCATTTGTTGAATGCTCACTATGGACCAGGCACTGTTCTGATGCTTAAATACATTCTTTTAGTGCTCATAACAACCCCACGAATTGGATATTAAGGTCTCTTTTTCATAAGAGAGGAAACTGAGGTTCAGGGAGATTATTAAACTTGTCTAGGGTCATCTGGCTAGTAAGTGATAGAACCATGATTCAAATCTTGCTCTAATTCAGTGCAAGTTCTTTTATTATTATTATTTTTAATTAAAAAATTGAGACAGGGTCTCATTATGTTGGCCAGGCTGGTCTCAAACTCCTGGCCTCAAGCAGTCTTACCTTGGCCTCCCAAAGCGTTGGGACTACAGGTGTGAGCCACCACACCCAGCCTTCACTACAAACTGCCCCTCATCTCTCTTGCCCTGCAGTTCCTTGCTTGTAAGGGACTCAATCCATTGGTCTGCCCTTAGCCGCTCCCAAGTGTGTGAGTGTTGGGGCCAGCTATAGGCCTACAGAGGTGGCCCATGTGCCAGTGCCACAGAGGTGGTTCCCATCAGGGTGGGATGGCTGCTTCCTGGCTGGTGGCATTCCTACCAACACCCCCAGGGGCCAGCTCTGTGGGGATAGTAACTAAGCTTGTTGGTCTAACCTACTCTGGCTGGCTGGGCGAAAGTTACAAGTCAAAGTCTGCCCATCCCCAGATAATGGAGAGTGGCTCCTGCCTACCCACGATGATGGAGGCGAAGGTTCAGTCTCAGGTTAAATTTATGCTCCTGTCCCCTCATCTGTCTGTCCTCATTCGTCTCGTCTCTTCCAGTCCTCATCTAGCCACTGAAGCAGAGTGCCCACATCAGGAGCAGCCAGTGCTCAAGCTCCCAGAAACTGCCTAGTGACCTGCCTTCTAGACCTGCCTCCTGAGAATGGGGCTGGCCACCTTCGAGGAGAGGGAAGTGAGCCCCTTCCTGCCTCGGGGTGGGCAGCATCTGGAGCTGACAATTGTATGCATGTTCAGGACACAGGATACTCAACTCTTCGGGTTCAGTGTGCTGTGTGGAGGGAGAGGAAGTTGACACACGTGAACCATAGAATAAACAACGACCACAGAACATCAAGGTAGAGATGGGGCTGCTGGGTATCAGGAAGGCTTCCAGGAAGAGGTGACAATGAGCGGCGATCAAGGTTTCTAGGAAGAGGTGGCCATAAGAGGTGACTGTTCCATGGAAACCGAGGTGCTGATGGACAGCTCAATTCCCCCAGCTGGAGAAAGCCCCCCTGTTGCTGCCTGAGAGAGTAAGACTCGAAGTTTTCCTTAATCAGCCTCTTTTGGCTGTGCAGTTAGACAACTGGAGCATTGAGGCAGGTGTGCCAAGGGCACTCTGACCACTGCCAAGGTCAAAGCCTTCTGCAGAATGAAAACTCCGACACTTCCTTGCTGAGAAACAAACAAGAGAGAATGGCGGGGCATTTAATCATCCACAGCTGCCAATACCTAATCAAGATGAATGGCCTGGAGAGACAAGGCCAGGGAAAGCATCCCGTGAAGCAGGAGCGCTGAGCCCAAGTCTCCTGCGAGTCAGGGGAGCCCCTCAGCCCTGGGCCACATTGAGGCCAAGGGAATACCAGGTGGGAGGCCCTCAGATTCAGGGGAAGTGCTGAGGGGGTCAGAGGTCACCATGGTCACCAATGAGGGCCTTCCAGCTGACACTTGCCTTGGCCAAAGACCTTTACTGAGAGCCTGCTCTGTCCCAGGAGGCAAGATAAACGAGGCACACCCCTGCCCTTTGAGGACACACAGTGAACTAATAGCAAAAGCTACATGCATACATTATCCTGCCACCTCAAGTGTCAACATAGACACTTGTCCCTAGAGATCCTTAAAGCCCCTCTGAAGGACAGGCCACTCACAGCCATGTGTGAGACATAGAGGCATAAAGGCTGTGGGGAAATGAGGGCAGAAGAGATGAACTTCTCCATGCCCCATTGTTCCAGACTGCGATCAATTCACTATCTATGACTAGATCTCCTCTGATGCCATCTGCAGGTGGCTGCAAGACCAGTCAATTTATTGAACAAGTATTATGTTACAGGCACTTGCTAAGCTCTGGGAGGTATCATGGTAAATGAGACCTTATCCCTGTCCTCAGGAAACTTACACTCTCCAGAGGACAGACAGACAAACAGGCACACCTTATATCACTCCTGGAGCTTGACTGGTGAAGTGGAAAGAGTTTGGGCTTTCGAGTCTGGCAGCACTGGGTGGGTAGAAGTCCAGGCTCGATCACTCACCCCCGGGATACCCTCAGACAAGCTACATAACCTCTTTGAGCTTCCGGTGCCTCCTCTGCAAAGGAGGATGATAGGATTTGCCCTGTAGGGTAATTTTGGGTTTAAATGAGGTAGTGCTCACAGAGTACTTAGCATGTGCCTGGTGAGTAGTAGGCACTTCATAAAGTGAGTTCCCCCTGTCCCCCCCTTTGTTTTGAGACAGGATCTCACTCTGTAGCCCAGGGTGGAGTGCAGTAGCACAATCATGGCTTACTGCAGCCTCAACCTCCCTGGGCTCAGGTGATCTTCCCACCTCAGCCTCCAGAGTAGCTTGGACTACAGGCTTGCACCACCATGCCCAGCTAATTTTTGTATTTTTTATAGAGACAAGATTTCACCATGTTGCCCAGGCTGGTCTCCAGCTCTTAGGCTAAAGCAATCCGCCCGCCTCAGCCTCCCAAAGTGCTGGGATTACAAGCCTGAGCCACTGCTTCCAGCCCCCTTTCCTTTCTTATGGATGACTATTTTAGAATGTTGTTTTTTGTGTAATCTTAGACTTTCCTACCAAGGCAGAGGGCCCATGGCTGAGGGTCCATGTTCTTCCCAGTACTCAGCACAGTGCCTGGTACATTCATTCATTCATTCAACAAACATGTATTGAGCACCTGATAAGTACCAGGAACTGTATTAAAACTAAACATAGAAAATGAACAAGACCAGATCTCTATGCTCCCAGAGCTTATATGATAGTAAGGGAGATAGAAAAGAAACAACTATTCATTGTGAAACTCTCTGCTGTGGTTTGAATGTTGTATCCTCCCAGATTCATGTTGAATCCTAATGTTGAATCCTATGTTGAAGCCTAATCCCCAACATGATTGTATTAGGAGGTGGCAACTTTGGGAGGTGATTAGGTCACGAGAGTAGAGTCCTCATGGGTAGAGTATTAGTGCCCTGATCAAAGAGACCCCAGGGAGCTGCCTTGCTCCTTCCTCCATGGGAGGACACAGCTGGAAGGCACTATCTATGAACCAGAAAGTGGCCTTCACCAAACCAAATCTGCCTTGGTTTTGGACTTCTCAGCCCCCAGACCTGTGAGACATTTCTGTTGTGTATAAGCCATCTAGTTTAATGGTATTTTGCTATAGTAGCCTGAATGGCACTCTGTGTATGGGGGTGGGGGTGTCCATTTGGTGATTCCGAGGGGCTCTGCCCTGGCACCAGGATAAGTTCCATGCAGAAACCAAAGGATGACCCATCTGCAGCCCTTCTGTCAGGAGAGCCAAGCCTGGCTGTGCTGAGATCAGAATCCTGGTGGGGTGACTATGAAAAAGTTGGGGTCTTGGCCTTGGGGTCAAAGATTGTCAAGGTGACTTCTCATTCGAATGCTTCACAGCCCTGGAGGCTTGACAGTTGAGAATGCGCTGAAGAAGTCCTGGATGGAGAGACAGGTGGTCTTACATGTGGCTGTGAGTGGCCTGTCCTTCAGAGAGGCTTTAGGAATCTCTAGGTACAAGGGAAAGATAACATCCCCTTGGGCTGCAGTCCAGGTTCATTCAACAAGGGAAGAAAACTGGAAAACATCTGATGTCTGTTTTACCAGAGTTGTTACTATTACTTTTACTATTATTGTTTTTTGTTTTTTTGTTTTTTTTTTGAGACGAAGTTTTGCTCTTGTTGCCCAGGCTGAAGTGCAGTGGCACGATCTCGGCTCACTGCCACCTCCATCTTCTGGGTTCAAGCGATTATCCTGCCTCAGCCTCCCGAATAGCTGGGATTACAGCATGCACCACCATGCCCAGCTAATTTTGTATTTTTAGTAGAGAAGGGTTTCACCATGTTGGTCAGGCTGGTCTCAAACTCCTGACCTCAAGTGATCCACCCACTCTGGCCTCCCAAAGTGTTGGGATTACAGGCATGAGCCATTGCTCCCCACCAGAGTTGTTATTATATTTTAAAAAATTGGGCCAGACACAGTGGCTTATGCCTGTAATCCCAGCACTTTGGGAGACCGAGGCAGGTGAATCACCTGAGGTCAAGTGTTTGAGACCAGCCTGGCCAATGTGGCAAAAACCCATCTCTACTAAAAATACAAAAATTAGCCGGGCATGGTGGCACATATTGTAATCCCAGCTACTCCGGAGGCTGAGGCAGGAGAATCACTTAAACCTGGGAGGTGGAGGTTGCAGTGAGCTGAGATTGTGCCATTGCACTCCAGCCTGGGTGACAGAATGAGACCCTGTCTCCAAAAATAAATAAATAAATAAATAAATAAATAAATAAATAAAAGTTTCCCATGTGCATGTGTGCACATATGTGTGTACACTTATGGACATTTGGGGACACCTCCTGCACCCCGCAGTGGTGCAGTTATTATCCTGGGTATTCAGTAGGTGCTGAACGTGAAGGGAACCCAATGCAGTGAGCGACACCTGGTAAAGCCATCTCAATGTCTAGACAAGCAGTCTCCATGCAGCTCCAAGGAGGATAAGGGGAAACCACAGAGGGCTGTGAGCAGAGGGTTGCTCAGAGCCCCTCCTGACGGAGGCGAGGAGGAGGTGGAGCCATTCGTTATCCTGCCAGCTTGGCACAGAGGCTGGGTGCAGGGGCTGGGTGGCTGTGCTGAGAAGAGCCATTCCATTTCCAAGAAGGAACAGGGAGGGGATGGTGAGGAGCGAAGATAACCAAGTCAGTCAAGCAGGGCAGAGCACGGTGTAATCCATGCCCTAGGCCATCACAGTGGCTGCAGCCAATCTCACTGCATGAGAGGTGGGAGAAGATGGGCTTCCCCAGGAGAGGCCCTGCCCTGGAAACCCCACTGCCTGCCCTGGGTCATCCTTGATACTCATTCCCTTGTTTCTCTCAGTGGCGGGCATGACAGCAACATGTCAAGGCCGCCTAACCACAGTCACAGTGAGAGCCACCAGACGCTGGATCCGGGCAGCAACTTGGGGTTCACTGAAGCTTTCTCCGTGCTTTTCTCACGCTGGCCTCCCTATGGCCCTGAGAGGTGCATGCTCGGCTTGTTTCATGGGCTGAGTGGTTCAGTGACTTGCTCGGGATCACAACCACCGCACAGGAGCACCACACATGGCCTGGACTGGTTCTCTTCCAACTCTAAAAGCAGCACTCATTTGGTTAACAGTCTTTTTCATTTTCAACACTTCTTTCTTTTGAAGGGGGGAGCAAAGCGTGATCGGTTGCCTTTTATAATTCTCGTTTTCAATTTCAATCTCTTTTAAAATGTTGAAAGACTCACAGCTGCCTCTTTTGTTATTGTCTTCATCTCCCACCCTCTTTCCGGCCTCTCCTCCTTGCCTTTCCTTCCCTTAACCCTTCCCATGGCTCCTCTGAGCTGCCCAGGCATGTGGCCGGCTTGTCATGCTGGTGGCCTTGGATGTTGGAGAAGAGGGGGAAGAGGTAGGATTGAGGGGCTCCATCAGAGACAGGGTCTCAGGGGTCTTCACAGTTTGATGGATTTTTTTTTTTTTTTTTGAGACAGAGTCTCTCTGTTGCCCAAGCTGGAGTGCAGTGGCACGATCTCAGCTCACTGCAACCTCTGCCTCCCAGGTTTAAGTGATTCTCCTGCCTCAGCCTCCCGAGTAGCTGGGACTACAGGTGCGTGCCACCATGCCCAGCTAATTTTTATATTTTTAGTAGAGACAGGGTTTCACCATGTTGGCCAGGCTGGTCTCAAACTCCTGGCCTCAGGTGATCCACCCATCTTGGCCTTCCAAAGTACTGGGATTATACGCATGAGCCACCATGCCCGGCCTAATTTTTGTAGAGACAGAGTCTTGCCATGTTGCCCAGCCAGGAGTCAAATAGCAGGAAGGCTCTGCTCCAAACAATGCTTGGTTTTCCATTGAAGACATCTAATAACTTTTACAATTTTTTTTTTTTTGAGACACAGTCTCCCTCTGTCACCCAGGCTGGAGTGCAGTGGTGTGATCTTGGCTCACTGCAACCTCTGCCTCCTGGGTTCAAGTGATTCTTGTGCCACAGCCTCCTGAGTAGCTGGGATTACAGGCGCCCACCACCATGCCTGGCTAATTTTTGTATTTTTAGTAAGACAGGGTTTCACCATGTTGGCAAGGCTGGTCTCGAACTCCTGACCTCAAGTGATCTACCAGCCTTGGCCTCTCAAAGTGCTGGGATTACAGGCATGAGCCACTGCGCCCGGCCAAAAAAAAATTTTTGTTTATTCAAAATTTCTGTCTTTTTTTTTGAGACAGGGTCTCACTCTGTGGCCCAGGCTGGAGTGCAGTGGCAAGATCACCGCTCACTGAGGCCTCGGCCTCCCCAGGCTCAGGTGATCCTCCCACCTCAGCCTCCCGAGTAGCTGGTACTACAGGCATGCACCACCACACCCAGCTAATTTTTGTATTTTTAGTAGACACGGGGTTTTACCATGTTGACCAGGCTGGTCTCGAACTCCTGACCTCAAGTGATCCACCTGCCTCGGCCTCCCAAAATGCTGGGGTTACAGACGTGAGTCACCATGCCTGGTGAATGGATGGTTGATTCTATTTGCTTTGTGCAGTCTGACTGATGTAAATCATCTCAGCCATGTCTGGGCATTGGAGTCAGGTTTAGGCAGGAGTGGCCTCCAGGTCACCTGCAGAAACACACACGGCCGTGGCTCACCCCCTTGCTCCCAGTCACTCTGTGTCTGAGCCAACTTAGGATCGTGTATGTGTGTTCTCACACTTGAGACTCTTTTTTTAAATTTTTTATTTATTTTTTGAGACGGAGTCTCACTCTGTCACCCAGGCTGGAGTGCAGTGAGTGGCGCGATCTTGGCTCACTGCAAGCTCCGCCTTCCGGGTTCACACCATTCTCCTGCCTCAGCCTCCCAAGTAGCTGGGACTACAGGCGCCCGCCACCATGCCCGGCTAATTTTTTTGTATTTTTAAAATAGAGACAGGGTTTCACCATGTTAGCCAGGATGGTCTCGATCTCCTGACCTCGTGTCCGCCCGCCTCGGCCTCCCAAAGTGCTGGGATTACAGGCTTGAGCCACTGCGCCCGGCCACACTTGAGACTCTTAGCAATTCCATGACTGAGGTATGATAGCTCCCATTTTATAGATGAGGAAACTGAGGCTCCTTCAGCAAGTTAAACAGCTTGCTCTCAATGTCCCCAAACAGACCCAGCAGCCCAAGGTCTCAGAGCTGATGGCAGAGCTGGGATGAGAAGCCAAGTCCTTTGACTTCTAACCCAGTGCTTTTCCCGCCATGCTCTGTGTCCCATCCTTGGTCCTAATCTTGAGACGGCAGGACTAAGATTGGAGGACTTGTGGCTTCCAGGTTCCTCCTGAAAGCCACCAGAGATTTAAAAAAAAAAAAAAAGAGTGAGAGGTTAGCCTGATCCAGCGAGAGCAGCGATGGCTCCCTGGGTGAGGATACATGCCAGCGAGTGAGGAGCTGCTGACTGGGGGGTGATCTCCCTGATAAATGATGGAGTGCCAGTTGCTTCTGCAGCTGCAGGGCTGCATCTGGGCCCCAGTGCTGATGCACGCTCCGCCTCCAGATCCGCATTGTCACCAGCTTGTTGGAAAAACAGATGTTATTGTCCTCTGTTCCTGTCCCTTTGTCCCTAATAGGCACTTAAGCGCAGGAGGGGGAAAAAGAAACGGAGACAGAATCGTGTAACTATTTCAGGCTCTTTCCAGAAGCATGCACTTCTGTGGGACTTGGGGTCTGGGATGGAATGGGTGCAGGGAAGCACCCCCTGCCCCCTGCCCCAGTGTTTCTGGGACAGCCCTGGGGAGAAGCTGCTTGTTGGTCCAAGGCAGTGGGTGCTGAGGACTAGTTCTTGGAGGAGACGCCTTCCTTCTCTCTTAGATCTGCACCTGGAGTGGGCCCTAAGCTGACATTTCAAAGAAGGAATGCTGGGGACCTCTGGTCTTCTGCCTGGACTGCCAGAGTTTGGAAGATTGGATGAGGTCAAGGGCTGATGAGATCAAGGTCTTTTGTTCCATTCTTGTTTGGGCTTCATCCATCCATCCATCCATGCATGCAGTGATTTGCTAAACACATTCTTTTTTTTTTTTTTGAGACAAGGTCTTGCTCCCAGACAGGGGTGGCAGTGGCATAGTCACAGCTCACTGCAGCCTCCAGGGCTCAAGCAATCCTCCTGCCTCAGCCTCCCGAGTAGCTGGGACCACAGGTACATGCCACCATGCCTGGCTAATTTTTTGATTTTTTGTAGGGATGGGGTCTCACTATGTTGCCCAGGCGTAAGCACATCCCTAAGGGCATAACCCTACTCCTGACAGCAGCATACTGGTTTGCAGGTGAAAACTTTTCATGGAAAGGACAATACATTCTCTTCCATCAGGTCAGCCATGGCTATGATTTAATGGGAGCTCTGAGGCTCTCCTGCACCTAAATAGCTCTGCATCAACCTGCCTCTGTGCCTCAGATTCCACCATTAGTCAGTCCTCTGAATAAAGGCCTTATATTTCTCAAAGGTCCTTGCTAAAATACGAGCACATAACTGAGGAGATTCTCATTGAGGAAAAAAAATCTGCTTGTCACCATGGAGAACAGAGGATCAGGGCCTAAAATGAGTGCTACACAAGATGGGGACATTTTGATCAGGGAAAGATGAGAAGAGGGATGTCCATTCTGTGGGCTGCTGTCCTGGGAGGGAGGACCTGAGGAGCTGTATGAGAGAATTAGGAATTTAGGGGAAGCAGTTCTTTTTTTTTTTTTTTCCAAGATGGAGTCTTGCTCTCTCGCCCGGGCTGGAGTGCAGTGGTGCGATCTCAGCTCACTGCAACCTCTGCCTCCCGGGTTCAAGCAATTCTCCTGCGTCAGCCTCCTGAGTAGCTGGGATTACAGGCGTGCACCACCACGCTTGGCTAATTTTTCTATTTTTAGTAGAGACAGTATTTCGCCATGTTGGCCAGGCTGGTCTCGAACTCTTGTCCTCAAGTGATCCGCCTGTCTTGGCCTCCTAAATTGCTGGGATTACAGGTACGAGCCAGCGCACCTGGTCTAGGGGGAACAGTTCAGAGAGGGACCTGTCTGCATGCATCATTGGTTGCCCTATTCTGCTTTGAGACCGGCTGTGTAAGTACAGACTCCTAAAGAGCTATCTCAGCCTTCCTCGTCCTTGCTGGAATCAGAGATGCTTTTTTTTATTTTTTATTTTTATTTTTATTTATTTATTTTTTTTTGAGACAGGGTCTTGCACTGTTGCCCAGGCTGGAGTGCCGTGGTGGTGCAATCATAGCTCACTGCAGTCTCGAATTCTTGGGCTCAATGGATCCTCCTGCCCCAGTCTCCTGAGTACCTGGGACTAAAGGTGTGCACGCCTCGCCTAATTTTTAAAAAATGTTTTGTAGAAATGGGGGTTTTGTTATGTTGCCCCGGCTGATCTTCAACTCCTGGGCTTAAGTGATCCTTCTGCGTTGGCCTCCCAAAGTGCTGGGATTATGGGCATGAGCCACTTCGTCCAGGTGGGATGCATTTTTATGTTCTATTGACCCTCAAAATGGGAAAGCTCAGAGATTGGGCCACCTCTGTCCCCATAGGTACCTCCCTCCACATTTCATTGGGATATGAGGGACAGAAATGGGGTGGAGGCGGAGGCCCTAGCACCCCATCCATCTCCCATGTTCCTGCTGCCTTACCACACCCTGCGCCCTGCTCTGCGGCTTCTAGATGGTAAGAGTGGACAGAGCATTTGAGGGCTCAGTCCTGCCATCCAGGATGCCGGCAATGGCTAGTGGGGACTCAACAAAGGGCATTGGTAACTGTATCAGTCATGAATTGCTGTATGGCAAACCACCCCAAGACTTAGTGGCTTAGAACAAATTTCTGTTTGCTCATGGTCCCGTGGGTGGCCAATTTGGGCTGGGCTCTCCTGGACTTATTCGTGTGGCTGCAGTTGGCTGGTGGCTGGGATGGCAGGAGGGTCTAAAGCCAGCCTCACACATGTGTCTCTGTGCCTGTCTCCCCCAACAGCTGGAACTGGGGGACTGATTGCAGGTGAGCTCAGGCCCCTAACCAGGGGCTTTTTCTTTTTTTCTTTTTTTGAGATGGAGTCTCGCTCTGTGGCCCAGGCTGGAGTACAGTGGTGCAATCTCGGCTCATTTCAAACTCTGCCTCCCGGGTTCACACCATTCTCCTGCCTCAGCCTCCAGAGTAGCTGGGACTACAGGCACCCACCACCACGCCTGGCTAATTTTTTTGTATTTTTAGTAGAGACGGGGTTTCACTGTGCTAGCCAGGATGGTCTCGATCTCCTAACCTTGTGATCCGCCTGCCTCGGCCTCCCAAAGTGCTGGGATTACAGGGGTGAGCCACTGTGCCCAGCACCAGGGGCTTTTCAAAAGCAGAGAGTGCCCCGGCCCACCTGGACAATTTTGATGAAAGAAGAGAAAATGTCACTGAGTGGGTGTGGGAAGGACCCTCTTCTGCCATCCCCCTCACCTGATGAGTATTAGGGAGCTAATTACCTGGGAGGTGCTACCAGGCAGAGATGCTCTTCATAACCTCTTACTGCTTAACATTCAGAACCTATTTCACCTTTCTGTTGCAGAACTTCTGAAAAAGCCACCTAATAAAGCACATTAGAATTAATCTTTTTTTTTTATGTTCGATGCTTTATTCTGCAAGATCCACAAGATCATATTTTAAGAGAACCAGATACTATGGAGAAAAATGTTATTTTAAAGTTAAAAGTATTAAATATACATAGTGTACTGTACAGTTGAGTGCAACTCAAGATATAATTTTGATATACCCCTTTTTTTTTTTAATTGATCATTCTTGGGTGTTTCTCGCATAGGGGGATTTGGCAGGGTCATAGGACAATAGTGGAGGGAAGGTCAGCAGATAAACAAGTGAACAAAGGTCTCTGGTTTTCCTAGGCAGAGGACCCTGCGGCCTACCGCAGTGTTTGTGTCCCTGGGTACTTGAGATTAGGGAGTGGTGATGACTCTTAGCGAGCATGCTGCCTTCAAGCGTCTGTTTAACAAAGCACATTTTGCACCGCCCTTAATCCATTTAACCCTGAGTAGACACAGCACATGTTTCAGAGAGCACCGGGTTGGGGGTAAGGTCATAGATCAACAGCATCCCAAGGCAGAAGAATTTTTCTTAGTACAGAACAAAATGGAGTCTCCCATGTCTACTTCTTTCTACACAGACACAGCAACAATCTGATTTCTCTATCTTTTCCCCACATTTCCCCCTTCTCTATTCGACAAAACCGCCATCGTCATCATGGCCCGTTCTCAATGAGCTGTTGGGTACACCTCCCAGATGGGGTGTCGGCCGGGTAGAGGGGCTCCTCACTTCCCAGAAGGGGTGGCCGGGCTGAGGCGCCCCCCACCTCCCGGACGGGGGCTGGCCCCCACCTCCCTCCCGGACGGGGCGGCTGCTGGGCGGAGACGCTCCTCACTTCCCAGATGGGGCGGCTGGCGGGCGGAGGGGCTCCTCACTTCTCAGACGGGGCGGCTGGCGGGCGGAGGGGCTCCTCACTTCTCAGACGGGGTGGCTGCCGGGCGGAGGGGCTCCTCACTTCTCAGACAGGGCGGCTGCCGGGCGGAGGGGCTCCTCACTTCTCAGATGGGGTGGCCGGGCAGAGACGCTCCTCACCTCCCAGACGGGGTCGCGGCCGGGCAGAGGCGCTCCTCACATCCCAGACGGGGCGGCGGGGCAGAGGCGCTCCCCACATCTCAGACGATGGGCGGCAGGGCAGAGACGCTCCTCACTTCCTAGACAGGATGGCGGCCAGGAAGAGGTGCTCCTCACTTAGACTGGGCGGCCAGGCAGAGGGGCTCCTCACATCCCAGACGATGGGCGGCCAGGCAGAGACGCTCCTCACTTCCCGGACGGGGTGGCGGCCGGGCAGAGGCTGCAATCTCGGCACTTTGGGAGGCCAAGGCAGGCGGCTGGGAGGTGAAGGTTGTAGCTAGCTGAGATCACGCCACTGCACTCCAGCCTGGGCAACATTGAGCACTGAGTGAACGAGACTCCGTCTGCAATCCTGGCACCTCGGGAGGCCGAGGATGGCGGATCACTCGCGGTTTGGAGCTGGAGACCAGCCCGGCCAACACAGCGAAACCCCATCTCCACCAAAAAAAACCGAAAGGCGTGGCGGCGTGCGCCTGCAATCGCAGGCACTCAGCAGGCTGAGGCAGGAGAATCAGGCAGGGAGGTTGCAGTGAGCCGAGATGGCAGCAGTACAGTCCAGCTTCGGCTCGGCATCAGAGGGAGACCGTGGAAAGAGAGGGAGAGGGAGACCGTGGAAAGAGAGGGAGAGGGAGAGGGAGAGCTAGAATTAATCTTAAAAGGTTTCCATAAAGATGATGATGATGATTATCTAGGGATAATTCTAGGTGGGCGCACAGGCTTACTGAATGCTGGCACAGAGGGGCGGGGGAGGGGTCGCCCCTCCAAGCAATGCCCCCAGCCCCTGTGGGCCACACACATTTTCCTGCTCCAAGAGTGTCCCCAAAAGCTCCCCCGACTCCCTGTCCTCACTGCATCCCAGCTCTTCTGCGTTCGCGTCACAAAGTCTTGCTTCCCTCTGGTGGCCCTTTTCCCCTCCCCCAACTCTTCCACCCACCTGCCCACCCCTGCTCCTATGCTCGGATCTGGTGTGGCAATAGAGGTGTGCTCTGGACCAAAGGGCTTTGCCCTGAGGATGCAACACAAAGACTTAGGCTGGGGAGGAGCCATGAGAAGTTGGAAGGCTATATCCTTGCCTCCGAACAGGGACTCCTGATTCAATAGCTCAGAAGGCAGTGACTGCCTACCTCTGGGACTTGGGCCATGGGCTTTTAAAGGCCTGTTCCCCATGCTTACACAATCCTGCAGAACTAATCTATGGTGTCAGAAGGCAGGACAGAAGTTGCCCTTGTTGGGGTGGGGGTAGGGGTCTGTTTAAACAGATGTATTCACTTTGTGAAGATTCATTGAATTACACACTTAATTGTGCACCCTTCTGAATGTATGTTACACCTCACGGAAAAGTTTACCGCCAAAGCCCTTTATGAAGTAGATTTGTGACTTCCATAATATTGAAATTAAATTATCTCTGATAGGATGGGATGACACAGTAGAAAGCAGCGGATAATCCACAGTTGTTTTCTACTTGGACTCGGAACTAGAACATTCCGCACAATATACACGTTTGTGAAAGATTCGTTTTTGTAATTGTGCATGTTCCTGCTAATTTTAACATTGGTAAGAGCACGCAAGAGCATGCACTTGCTAATTTCTAAACAGTAGTACTCAACTTCAGGTGAGATGGTCCAGAAGCATTCAGGTGGCAGGAAGTCACACTGAGACAGGATTAAGAATTTGGCACAGATCGCTGGCCAGATGGGGAGACTCACACCTATAATCCCAGCACTTTGGGAGGCCAAGGTGGGTAGATCACTTGAGGTCAGGAGTTCGAGACCAGCCTGGCCAACATGGTGAAACCCCACCTCTACTAGAAATACAAAAAGTTAGCTGAGCGTGGTGGCACGTGCCTGTAGTCCCAGCTACTTGGGAGGCTGAGGCAGGAGAATCGCTTGAACACAGGAGGTGGAGGTTGCAGTGAGCCGAGTTTGAGCCACTGCACTCCAGCCTGGGCTGGGTGACAGAGCGAGACTCTGTCTCAGAAAAAAAAAAAAAAAAGAGAGAATTTGGCACAGATTCCCTCTTCCCTCTGCCTCCTGTCCCTTAGCTCAGCATTGGATGTGGTTGTTGTTCAGGTCTCAGGAATGCACATTTATCTCCTGCTTGGATGGGTCCCAAGGTCTTGAAGAATAAGAACCATCATCTCTTGGTGTGAAGGGTTGAAAAGAAACTGCCCATTGGAGGAGGGCCCCATAACCTGATCCCAGATTGGTCTCTGTTGTGTCCTGTTTGCAATAAGTCCCCCATCCCTGTGGCACACCCCTCTGTCATGTGCCTTTGGCTCATTCTTCTCATCAGAAGGTGGGGTCTCTTTCCCCACCCCTTGAATCTGGATCAGTCTTTTGGCTTACTTTGACCAGAAGGATCTGGTGAAAAGTGATGCCAGGAGTCTGGTCCAGCTTCCTGAAGGATGAGATGCCACTCAAAGCAGAGAAGGGCCATCCCAGCTGAAGTCCCTAGACCATCCGGCCGATAACCAGCACCAACCACCAGATGTGTGTGTGAGGCTGGCTTTAGACCCTCCAGGTATCCCAGCCACCAGCCAACTGCAGCCACCCGAGTGAGCCCAGGATCCCAGCCCAAATTGGCCACCCAGAGGACCGTGAGC
Source organism: Homo sapiens (assembly GCF_000001405.40). Classification (NCBI taxonomy): domain Eukaryota; kingdom Metazoa; phylum Chordata; class Mammalia; order Primates; family Hominidae; genus Homo; species Homo sapiens. The sequence goes on from NC_000001.11 coordinate 11,308,575, forward strand.
AAATAGACACTATTGTTCTAAGCCACTAAGTCTTGGGGTGGTTTGTCGCACAGCAATTCATAACTGATACAGTTACCCACACCCTTTGCTGAGCCCCTGCTGGCCAGCGCCAGCATCCTAGGAGCGGGACTAAGCCTTCAATCTGGAAGCAACTTTCTTCCCAGGATTTGTTTCTTCACTCATCCCCACCAGTTTCCAGGGCTGACACGCCAGTGCCCATTGCTCTTTATTAGTTTAATATATATTGAAACCTCCAAATAGATGCTGGGGCCCAGGTGGAACAGATGAAATGTGACTAAGTTCTGGGAGATGATTGATAATGAGTAGGGACTGGAAAATCAATTGTGTTAATTCCTGGTCTGTCACTGGGACCAAGAATTAATGAGAAAATCTGTCTAACTTAATGGTATTTACACATTATACAGAGTGTGATAAAATTGTCTGCAGGTGCTGCCTGGCATTTCAATTATACGAGGCCTGTACCGCCCAAGGGGCAGGCAGGTCTCAGCTGTCCAGGACCTGGGCTGGACATTTACAGACTCGCTGGAGTCCCCCAATGACCACACCAACTTCTGAGCAGGTCGCAGGTCACAGGTCCCAGGCCCCTGCATGGACCCTGTTGGCATGGCTGGTCCTTGCTGAGTGTGGATCATCCAACTGGCAGCATCCCAGGGTTTTGCTAGAGGGCACATTTTGGGCCTGCTTTGAGGATAACCACTCCAGAAGCCATGTGGGCAGTTGGACACAAGATCAAGCCAGGAAGGGCTTGATCTTATGTGTTGGCAGAGTCCATGGCTTGAGACACAGATAGTCCTCTTTACCCCCCACCCCTTCCCCAAGAGATGGTCAGCACCAGCTCTGCCCCATATCACACCCACCACTTGGAAGGCTGCCTTGAAAAGTGTCGGGGAAACTGATGAAAGAGCCTGCTTCAGGGGCTGAGTGCGTGCTTCCCTGAAACTCTGTAGACCAGGGCTCCTCCTGCTGATGTGGTTTGGCTGGGTCCCCACCCAAATCTCATCTTGAATTGTAGTTCCCATCAGCCCCACGGGAGGGACCTGGTGGGAGGTAATTGAATCATGGGAACGGTTTCCCCCATGCTATTCTCGTGATTGTGATGTAAGTTCTCATGAGATCTGATGGTTTTATAAGGGGCTTCCCCCTTCGCTCGGCTCCCATTTTTCTCCTTGCCACCATGTGAAGAAAGATGTGTTTGCTTCTCCTTCCGCCATGATTGTACGTTTTCTAAGGTCTCCCCAGCCCTGCCGAACTATGAGTCAATTAAACACCTTTCCTTTATAATTTACTCAGTCTTGGGTATTTCTTCATAGCAGCGTGAGAAGGGACTAATACACCTGCCTAGGGCTGCCCACAGGAGGTGGCATGACAGCCAGCCTCCAAGATGGCCCAGCTCCTGACAATACTACTACTACTACTAATAATCCCCAGCTCCTGATACATCCTTCATGGTCTTCTCTTATATTGAATAGGGCTGGTCTGAGTATCCAATAAGATATCGCTTTGGCCTGGTTCTCTCTTGTATCACCCACTCTGGGGAGTGCCACCACGTGGGGAGGCCCATGTAGGGAGGACCCCAGGCCTCCTGCTAACAGCCAGCACCATGTGAGTGCCATCTTGGAGGCGGGTCCTCCAGCCCTAGTAAGACCCCTGATGACAGCGACCTCAGGAGACACCCTGAGCTCAGCTGCTCCTGGACTCCTGACCCACAGAAACTGGAATAGGGATGGAGATGTTTATTGTTGTCTTAAGCTGCTAAGTTTGAGGGTAGCTCACTAATCCAGGTGGGGAGGGAGATGGGTGGGCAGACCCAGGGTTCGTTCACCCTGTAGTGTGGCATTCATGGAATGCCTCCATTGCTCTGCCCTTCACGTCCACTCTGATTTTTATTCCAGTGAAATCCACTTCTGTGTTTTGCCACCTCCCAAGTCCACCCTGCCCTTCCCACCTCCCTGCCCCTCCCACCTCCCTGCCCCTTCCCACCTCCCTGCCCCTTCCCACCTCCCTGCCCCTTGCTGCTTTCTTTGCCAGGAATGCCCTTTCTGCTCCTCCTCCTTCTCTTCTTCATTCCTAAGATGAACTCCTACTCAGCCTTCAAGACCCAGCTGAAATGCGCCCTCATCTGTGAAGGCTTTTCCAGTCTCTCTCGGGCAGTTTTTGTCACCTTCTTTGGCACCCCCGTGAAACTCTATTCCTCAATGGATAGCTGAGGAGGGTGAGCGATCATGATTGGTCCACTGAGCTCTGGCATTTAGAAATTGAATTTCATTAATTACAACTCTGCCCTTCTCTGTTCATTGGCACCCAGAGGAGGCTCCAGGTAAGGGTGTTGAATGAATGAACGAATGAGTGTGCAAGCAGAATGGCCGCCTTGGGGAGAAAGGGAGGAAACTTGTGAAGCCTGCATGGCGGGAGGAGGGCAGAGCTTGGCCTGAGTGAGGGCCAGGCTGCTTCTTGGCCTGTGTCTGTGAGTTCCAGGGCTGTTCATTCTAACACCATCAAGGGTGCTCTTCTCTCCAAACGCCCCAGAGCTTTCCTGACTCAGGGGACCAGGCATACCTGGGAAGCCCTTTGTGTCGGTGTGTCCCCGTCATCCTCTGTTTTTTTATGTTGTCTTGTTTTGAGGCAGAGTCTTGCTCTGTTGCCCAGGCTGGAGTGCAGTGGCTTAGTCACGGCTCACTGCAGCCTTGACCTCCTGGGCACAAGCAATCCTCCCACCTCAGCCTCCTGAGTAGCTGGGACCACAGGCATGTGCCACCACATCCTGCTAATTTTTAATGTTTTTAGTAGAGACAGGGTCTTGTTATGTTGCTCAGGCTGGTCTTGAACTCCCGGCCTCAATTGATCCTCCCACCTCAGCCTCCCTAAGTGCTAGGATTACAGGCATGAACCATCCTGCCACCCTGTCACCCTCTTTCCCTAAACCTTGCCCTCCCTTGCCCACTGCTTTCCATGCCTGTCAGACAGCCCTCCAGAGTCCCTTCCCCTTATTCCAGACCTGGAGGGCAGATGAGCCGCAGCCAGACAAATCTGATTTCTCAAGCAGGTTTAAAGGGCTTTTCCCAGAGACCCTGAGCTCATTTCTCCTTTCTGTGTCTCCAAAGTGCCAAGGCAGCAATTTGGATCTCAAACGCCCCGATAGGGGTGCAGCCAAGTTCTTTATTGCACACAATGAATTTGTTATGTGGGGATTCTTTGGCCTAAAGGATGGCTTAAAGTCCTGGTGTCCCACTGTGTCCCAGCGTGGCCAGTGCTGAGGGGCAGGAGAGCTGCCTTGCTTGCCTGTCTTCTGAGAGGATGGTTGTGGACACCTGAGGTCAGAGACAGATCACCTGTGGACTCCAGTCCTGCTGCTGGCTGCTCCTGTTTATTGAGAGCTTTGCAGGCCCAGAGAAACCCAGTCATTTATCTACAGTCCCACAGCAGGAAGCTGCAGGGCTGAGATTTGCTCCCAGTCCTGTCTGACCTCAAAATCCCCTGCTCTTGATCGTGAGGCCACACTCCCTCAGCCTGGTGAGCCTGTGGGCCCAGCTGCTCTAGGGGTAACGCACCACCTCCCAGCCCCTAGTTCACCCAGGGGCCTTATAAGATGCAGCAGGACTGAGCCAGAAGCCGAAGGGAATGACAGCCTGGGGCTGAGGTTCCTGGGTCCCTGACACTCACAAACTGCTCCAGCTCTCAGAAGCCAATCAGAGACTCCGTAGTTTCCTGCTCGGCTGAATTCTCCTCTCTGGAGGCAGAGAAAGGAGGTGCTTTGCCATCTCTGGTTGTGGGGCTTTATCTCTGGAAACTCTGCAGTGCGTGTGAAAACCTGTGGACCAAAGAACGAGGAAGAAAGATTAAAGAGGGAAAGGATTAAGATCTACAGGGCTTCCCATGCTCTGCACAGCCGCTCTCAGAAGCTGCTCTGCGATCTCTCTATTAGATGACCGACAGCTGCCAGCTCTGGAGGTGAGAAGGGCTGAGCCCCTCACCCCAGCCAGGAGCCACTGAGAAAGCAGCATAGTCAGGACAAAAAGACAGGAAGGGCGGGGGCGGGGGTGTCGGGGTGTTGGGAGGTGGCAGAACACAGAAGTGGATTTCACTGGAATAAAAGGGCAGATGGGAGGGCAGAGCCGTGGATGTGTTCCATGAGTGCCATGCTGCAGGGTGAAGGGACCCTGGCCCTCCCATCTGTCTCCCTTCCCACCTGGATTAGTGAGCTACCCCAAACTTAGCAGCTTAAGACAACAATAAACATCTCTATATTCCAGTTTCTGTGGGTCAGGAACCTGTGGGCAGCTGAGTTCAGGGTCTCTCCTGAGGTCACCGTCGTCAGGGGTCTTGCTGGGGCTGGAGGACCCACCTCCAAGATAGAACTCACATGGTGCTAGGCTCCTTCAGCACAGGCCTCCCCACGTGTTGGCACTCCCCAGAGTGGGTGATACAGAAGAGAAAGAACCAGGCCAAAGCCGCCATGGTTGTTTTTTTTTTTTTTTTTGAGATAGGGTCTCACTCTGTCACCCAGGCTGGAGTGCAGTGGTGGGATCATAGCCCACTGCAGCCTCGAACTCTTGGGCTCAAGCACTCCTTCCACCTCAGCCTCCCAAGTAGCTGGGACTATAGGCGGGCACCACCACACCTAGCTCATTTTTAGTTTTTTCTTTGGTAGAGATGGGGGTCTCACTATGTTACCCAGGCTGGTCTCGAACTGACCTCAAGTGATCCTCCTACCTCAACCTCCCAAAGTGCTGGGATTACAGGCATGAGGCCACTGTGCCCAGCCCCCTACCATGGCTTTTTTATGAACTGGTCTCAGAAGTCTCATACCATCCTTAAGGTCACCCATTATTGTTCCCAGCTTCCCCTGCACTCTAGACAATCACTGCTGACAGCCAGGCTGCCAGGGGTTCCTGCAGTGGCTGTGTCTGATGCCAACATGGCCAGCCCCTAAAGGTTGTGATATCTGTGTCCCCAGGACCCCTTTTCAGATATCATGATGGGCAACATCAGTCTAGGAAGGTAGACCCTCCAAACTGTGCACCATCCCACACCCTTCACCCACCTCCACCCTCTCCTTGTTGCCCCGCTTATAGCCACATCTTCCATCTCCAAAGAAGATGCTCTCAGCAGTGACTGGAGCATGGGGAGGCTGGAAACAGTAGGGGTCCACTTTTATGGAGTGCTTGCTATGTGTGAAGTTGGTACTGAGCACGGCAAAAGTACTAACTCCTTACAGCCTCTCTGCAGGATAGGTGCCTCCCATTTTATAGATGGGGAAACTGAGGCACAGGGAGGGTAAGTGGCTTGCTGAAGACACACAGCTCTCAAGTGGCAGAGCTAGGAACTGAACCCTAGTACTCTGCCTCCAGAGCCCATGCTGTTAACCTTATATTTATAGCATTTGTGACATTAGGCAACATTTCCTTTCCGCAAGAGAGCCGCATTCATCAGGCAGGGATTGGAGTTCAGGGTACAGCAAGAAAGACACAGGTTAGATACCTGGAGGGCTTTCCAGGCCACAGGTCATGAGGCCTCAGTGCAACTTTGTCCCCTGAGGATGTTCAGAAAATGAGGTCTTCCCAGGCTGCGTTGAGCACAGCCAAAGGCTAAGGGGCGGTGGTCATTGTTTTTAAATTAAAAATTGTGATAATTTATACATAATACAAAATGTTCCATTTTAATCTTTTTCTTTTTTCTTTTTTTTGAGATAGGGTCTTGCTCTGTCACCCAGGCTTGAGTGCAGTGGCGCGATCTTGGCTCACTGCAACCTCCGCCTCCCAGGTTCAAGCGATTCTCCTGCCTCAGCCTCCTGAGTAGCTGGGATTACAGGTGTGTACCACCATGCCCAGCTAATTTTTGTATTTTTAGCAGAGATGGGGTTTCACCATGTTGGCCAGGCTGGTCTCGAACTCCTGACCTCAAGTGATCTGCCCGCCTCGGCCTCCCAAAGTGCTGGGATTACAGACATGAGGCACCACACCTGGCCCAATGTAACCATGTTTCAGTGTACCATGCAGTGGCATTAAGTACCTTCACATTGTTGTGTAGCTGTCACCACTGTCCATCTTCACAACTCTTCCATATGGTCTTTTCTGGAAGTGTCTGCTGGCCCCAAGGCCTTTGGCCAGCCTGGACTCCCTTCCTCCCTGCCTCCCTGAACGTGGATGGGGCTGCTGGCAGGGGCAGGACGAGCACACAGAGGGAGGAAGAAGGCGCAGCACAGACTTTCCTCTTCAGAAGGGAGGTATTAAAACGATCCACTTTTGAGGCTCACTGTCTGCTTCAAAGACCCACGGCAGCTCTGCGGAGGACGAGCCGTAGCAACCGTGTGAGAGGGTTTATCAATAGTACCTGGAGCTCAGTAACTCATAAACCTTTCATTAGGTTTACATCGATGATGGCCCAAGTCCTAGGAAGTAGATTTAGGCTGGAAGACGGATGTCTCCATAAATCATCATCTCAGCAAATTAGGGAGTTGGAGGGAGCCTTTTTATCGGATTTCCCAGCAGCTCACTTGGGAAGCTCTGCTTCTTTGCTCCCATTCTGAGCTGATGCCAGATTCTGAGCCTCACGTGCTTGGATGGAAAATGCAGTCAGCGGCTCAGAGAAGGGCCTGCCCAGGACTAGGAGGAAGAGAGCACTACGCTGCTCTCCCTGTTCTTGGGTTCCTCCAGGCCCGGCTGCTGATTTTATGGCCTTATCTGCCCATCTTGTTATCTACAGAGGGAGCAGCTTTCTAGAAGGCATTTCTTCGAGAGAAAGAAATGGAGACAGCAGCAGCAGCAGCAGCACAGGCAGAGCAGTTTTAAGATCTCTCACCAGGCCAGGCACGGAGGCTCATGCCTGTAATCCCAGCACTTTGGGAGGCTGAGGCGGGCGGATCACTTGAGGTCAGGAGTTCGAGACCAGCCTGGCCAACATGGTGAAACCCCATCTCTACTAAAAGTACAAAAATTAGCCAGGTGTGGTGATGTGTGCCTGTAATCCCAGCTACTTAGGAGGCTGAGGCAGGAGAATCACTTGAACCCAGGAGGTGGAGGTTGCAGTGAGTGGAGATCGCGCCACTGCACTCCAGCCTGGGCGACAGAGCAAGACTCTGTCTCAAAAAAAAAAAAAAAAAAAAAAAAAGATATCTCAGCAGACATGAGAAAAAACAAGAGGGGAGCTTCTGTTTGCTAATGAGAACAATAATAATAATAATAACAGCACTCTTGGTGCCTGCCGCATAGCCCATTGTCAGTATGGATCAGCTGTTATTTTGAATCTTTCTTATCTGCCACATGCTTTATTAAGGATTTATCTTTACGTTATTATTATCATCACCCTCTCATTTTACAGATAAGAAAGCTGAGGTCTGAGAGGTTAAGTGATGTGTCTCTGAGATCAGCCCAGGAGCAGCCTCTTATTGACTTGACCTTCCTACCCTGCCTTCCCCTCTGAGTCTGTTTCTTCCCATCTCTGAAATAGAGAATCAACTTCAGTGCTCCCCATTCCTCAGAAATGAAGCTGGAGAGGAGTCAGCCGGGAAGCACTAAGCCTAGAGCTCCTGGGGAAGAAGACGCACCTGCTCGAAGGGCAGGGAAGGCTGTTCATTTCAGGACGACGTCCACAGCTTCTATTTCACGGAGCCATCTCAGAGGCAGGGAAGGCTGTCCATTTCAGGACGATGTCCACATCGATGGCCTTGGCAGATGTTGCTTATTCCCATTTTACAGATGAGGAAATTGATCCCTTGCCTCTGCCTCCCCGAGTTTCAGTCCCACAGCTAGTAAATGGTCCAGGCTGGCTGGAACCAGGTCCTGACTAGTGCTGTGGTGTCAGAGGCCAGTGGGCAGTTCAGCTAGTGCCGCCAGGCTCTCCGAAGGCCATGTCTCCAGACAGGATGTCAGGGCATGGGTCCCTGCTGCTCCCTTCCCCCTGGACAGGGGTCCTCTCAGGTGGCTCCCCTCTGCTTTGCTCTGCAGCCCCAGCCTCAGGTGCTCCTACGCCAGCTCCTCCTGCCCACCCTTTCTGTTCCCCAGGGCTGCCCTAAATGCTCAGACAGACTAATTACAAGCACGGGCAGAGAACTGGGCTGCTGATTTGGCAGGTGGGGCTTTAGGACTCCGTGATGCTCACCAGCGGCCGGCAGGCTCCCTGACACATCAGAGACTTTTCCATTTCCTTTCCTCTCTCCTTCTCTTGCCCCTGGAGGATGAGCCAGCCTGCCAGCAAGTGAGCGAGTGAGCCAGAGGTGGGCTGCTGAAGTCTGTGCAGCATGCTGGCTGTGGAATGAGAGGGCTCTGAGCAAGCCATGTCCCAGGAGAACTTTTACTCAGGAATAATGTGCATGAGGATTTATTTCCTCATTGCTGGGCTTCCAGCTGAAGTACAGGCATGTCTCTGCTTGGCTCCGGCAGGGGAACTCGGCTCAAAGGTTTCAACAAAGCAGCCAAAGATTCCGATTCAATGAACACTGAGCACATTCTGTATGGGAGGCTCCGTGCCGATAGCTCTGCCCACTCACCCCATTTAACTTCCTTTACTTTTTTTTTTTTTTTTTTTTTGATATTGGGCCTCCCTGTGTCATCCAGGCTGGAGTGCAGTGGCATGATCATGGCTCACTGCAGCCTCAAACTCCTGGACTCAAGCAATCCTCCCGCCTCAGCCTCTCTCCTGAGTAGCTGGGACTACAGGCACAAGTCCCCATGCCTGGCGAATTTTCAAGCTTTTTGTAGAGATGGAGTCTCACTATGTTGCCCAAGCCAAGTCTCAAACTCCTGGCCTCAAGTCATCCTTCTGCCTTGGATTCCCAAAGTGCTGGAACTACAGATGTGAGCCACTGCACCCAATGGCCCCCATTAAGCTTTATTTATTTATTTATTTATTCGAGATGGAGTCTTGCTCTGTTGCCCAGGCTGGAGTGCTGTGGCACAATCTTGGCTCGCCGCAACCTCTGCCTCCCGGGTTTAAGTGATTCTCCTGCCTCAGCCTTCTGAGTAGCTGGGATTACAGGCACCCTCCACCACGCCCAGCTAATTTTTATATTTTTAGTAGAGATGGGGTTTCACCATGTTGGCCAGGCTGGTCTCGAACTCCTGACCTCAAGTGATCCAACTGCCTCGGCCTCCCAAAGTGTTGGGATTACAGGCATCAGCCACCACGCCTGGCCCCCATTTAGCTTTCATAACAACCTTCTGAGTTCAGAATTCTTATTCCCATTTTACAGATAAGGAAAGTGATTTCTTCAAGAGTCCACAGTTAGTAATAACACTCCAAGTGGGTATTTACTTACTACATTAACTTGCCACGTGCCAGGTACTACTCAATATTATACATATTAACTCATTTAATTCCCTCAACAACCAATGAAGTCAATACTGCTATTACCCTCATTTTGCAGGTGAGGAAACAGGCCCACTGGGATTAAGTAAATGCCCCAGGTTATAGGGGCCGTAGATGGTGGATCTGGGATTCCATTCCAGGCCAGCAGGCTCCAGGGACTATGTGGCAGGACTAGAAATAAGGTCCTGTTCTTTGGATTCGAGCCCAGTTCCTGTAAACCATAACGTTACTGTTGGTTCGTCATGCCCATGAAAGGGATGGGTTTGGAGGGACCTCAGAGTCTCAGGAACTGTAAGGTCGAGACTTGGTTGTGTGCCTTGATCAGGACACGTCATCAGTGGGAAGCTATAGAAACCCAACGTTAGTAGCTGAAGCAGAAAAGGGAATTTATTGGCTCATATGACAGGAAGCCCAGGCGTGGATATAGGGATTTTTTTTTTTTTTTTGAGACAGAGTTTTGCTCCAGGCTGGAGTGCAGTGGTGCAATCTCTGCTCACTGCAGGCTCCGCCTCCCGGGTTCACGCCATTCTCCTGCCTCAGCCTCCCGAGTACCTGGGACTACAGGCGCCCACCACCACGCCCGGCTAAGTTTTTGGATTTTTAGTAGAGACGGGGTTTCACCGTGTTAGCCAGGATGGTCTCTATCTTCTGACCTCGTGATCCACCCACCTCGGCCTCCCAAAGTGCTGGGATTACAGGCGTGAGCCACTGCGCCCGGCTGGATATAGGGACTGAATGATACTCTGAGGACTCCATCTGTCTGTCTCTCTCTCTCAGCCTCATACACCCACAGTTCTGTCTTCATGGAAGGGAAGGTGGGGTCCATGTATGTTGGTAGTCTGGGCACTGCTCAAAGGCCCCAGCAAAGGGCCAGGTGGGAGCTGAAATACATTCAATGCTCTGCTTACAAAGCTCTGTGTCCTGGTATAAGGCAGCATTGCCCCAGAGAGACATTTTTCCTAATTCATCTGCCTGGGGGAGTCACCTATTGCTAATACACATAAGATGCCGTGTAAGCTAGTGGTAACCCTGACACCTTCTCCTGGCCACCAAGACCAGCCCCACACCAGCACCCTCATCCCTCACTCGGCAACTCCATCAGACTCACCTGCTCAATCAGCACGTATTTATGGAGCCCCTACCTACTGAGTACTGCTGGCAAAACTCCCTGCCCTCCTGCAACTTACGTTCTACTGAAGGATGGGATTGACTTTGCTTGGGTCACATGTGCACATTTAGACCAATCACTGTTACCAAAGGAACGAGAGCCCGCCCTCCTGCAACTTACATCCTACGGAAGGATGGGATTGGCTTTGCTTCGGTCACATGTACACACTTAGCCCAATCACTGTTACCAAAGGAACGACAGCACGCTGTGGTTGATCCCGCTGAGCCAGATGCCCTCCCTTTTGGAGAGACACGGCACTTGCTTGACAGCCTCACCAGGACTACACAAATGGGGGTGGTTTCTCAGGAAATAGGAGGGCTGGGCCGCAGAAATAGCTGACATCCACCCAACTTTGGGGTTCTGGGACAATCATAGTCCTTCCTTTCCTTATTTCTTTATTCCTCCCTAATGACTTTCCCACCGGCATTAGGAGGACCCTGGGCCCTGATACTCTGAGAACTGGGGGGTTGGGGGAGACAGGGTTTCCCAGAAGGGCTCAGCCATTGGCTTATCACAGGTGAAAATTCCCCATAGTCCTCGGAGAGAAGGGGCAGGGGTCAGGGCTGTTTACCCAGCAATGTGATTGTGATGTGACTCTCAGTTTTGGGAAGAGGAAAAATGAGGGGGATGGGGGTGCATCGGTGGGGAATCCAACTCAGAGAGCAGGGACTGAGTGGGGGCTCTGGTCCCATTGTTGATGGGTTGGTGGGGAGGGCTGGTTGGGTACCCAAAGCATTGAAAAGCATTTGTTATATGCCAGGAGCTTCACCCACTTCATCTCATTTAGGCCCCACACCTGCCAGGTAGGTGTCATTATCCCATTTTATTGGTGAAGAAACTGAGGCTCAAAGTGTTGAAGAAACAGAAAGATGCTGACTCACCTGTGCTAGTCCCAAAGGCTCTGCATGGAGTCCACGGTGCCCTGAGCCACAGAGGCATGCCCCAAGCAGAGTGCCTGCCCCATGCCACCTCTCACACGCCCAGCAAGGGGCCTCACAGGGACCGTTTCCACCTCCTGATCCCTGGCCCACTCGCCCCTAGAGACCCAGCAAGCCCTCCTACAGCCTCACCTGTACCAGGTCCCCTGCTTCCACTCCCTGTGGAAGCACTCCACTCCCACTCCGGCGGCCTGTTCCAGTTTCCGGAGCACTTGCATGCATTCTTACCGTCAAAGAGTGAATCCCACCCACTCCCTGAGGCCACTTCATCATCCCGGACACCTGCCTGCCCACCGCGGGCACAAGGTCAACCTTGAGCAGACCCTCGGGGCCTGTCTGCCACTAGAGGGAGCTCCCAGTGCGGCCATATATGCCTTCTGGGATGCCGAGGGGCTGGGGCCCAGGCAGAGGGACCCGTCCTGGGGATGCCCTACCAAGGGGCGTTCAGAGGCAGAGCTCTTGTGACAGGTTGATCTTCCCCTCCACTCCCCAAAGACCCAGGAGGCTCTGGTTTGTGAGATCAGCATCTTCATTATTAAAGCACAGGTGCCAGGAGATTCAAGGTGCCTGGAAGAGGACCTTTGGCATCCAGGGGCATGGGCTCCGGATCCACCTTCCCTCCTCTGCCCATGCCTGCAGCTCACAGCCCACTGGAAGTCAGAGGAGAGCAGGTGCCACTCACAGCAGGCCGGCAGCTGGCTTCCTGCTCCTTATTTATTGATTTACTGACTCACTAATTCAACAAATCTTTATTGAGCACCTTCTATATGCCAAGCACTGGGCTCAGCCTTGGGACTACCATGGTGAGCCCATAGCCCCTGTCCTCATGTAGCGTTCAGTCTTGTGGAGGTAGAGATGCATAAACCAGCTGTAATATTGTGTACTAAATTCTACATGGCCAGGTGTGGTGGTACACACCTGTAACCCCAGCACTTTGGGAGGCCAAAGCAAGAGGATTACTTGAGGCCAGGAGTTCAAGACCAACCTGAGCAACATAGCAAGACCCCATCTCTACAAAAATTAAAAAATTAGCCAGGCATGGTGGTGGACTGGTTAGTCCACCTGGTTAGTCCACCTGGACTGGTTAATCCTCCTGGTTAGTCAGGAGGCTGAGGCAGGAGGATCGCTTGAGCCCAGGAGTTTAAGTTTGCGGTGAGCCATGATGGTGCCACTGCACTCCAGCCTGGGTGACAAAGTGAGACCCTGCCTCAAAAAACAAAACAAGGCCGGGTGTGGTGGTTCACACCTGTAATCCCAGCACTTTGGCAGGCTGAGGCGGGTGGATCATTTGAGGTCAGGAGTTTAAGACCAGCCTGGCCAACATGGTGAAACCCTGTCTCTACTAAAAAATACAAAAATTAGCCTGGTGTGGTGGTACGCTCCTGTAATCCCAGCTACTTGGGAGGCTGAGGCAGGAGAATCCCTTGAACCTGGGAGGAAGAGGTTGCAGTGAGCTGAGATCATGTCACTGCACTCTAGCCTGGCTGACGGAGTGAGACTCCATCTTAAAAAAACAAAAAAACAAAAAAACCCAAAACCAAAAAACAAAACAAAACACACACCTCAGTAAATTCTACAACAGGTATAAGCCTGGGAGACTCCAGGTGCAAAAGAGGATGTAGTTAACCTCTACCTGGGGGGACTGGAAGGCTTTCTGGGGGGATGGCATCTAACCTGAGACCTGAGGAGTTAGCCAGGCAACGTGAAGCATTCCAGGCAGAGTGATCAGTTTGTACAAATGCCTGGAGGTGAGAGAGCATTAGCCTCTCTCTCTCTCTCTCTCTCTTCACTTTTCCAGCACTCCTGTGACTGTGCACTCTTCTGGATGCTGGACTGACTGTGTCACCAAACAAGACAGGCAAGCTCCCTGCTTCGTGGTGCTCACATGCTAGGGAATGTGGCCATTCAGGTGACCCAAAGACGTATTGAAGCTGGAGGGAGACATGTGGAAGGGACGGTGGCCCCTGCCCTGCCCAGAGCACCCAGGCCCCATCCTCCATCCTTCTGCTGAGCCTGGCAGCTAGCCCCAAGCCCTCCTGCACCAGCCAGCTGTGGGGAGATCACCCAGGCCATGGCAGGAGCCTGTGCCAATGTTTTAATAGCCAGGCTGAAGGCCTGCTGGGCAGCTCTGCTAATTACAGTGATTAATGTTTTTAAATTCCTTAGAAAGAGTAATGTGTCATCACTCTGTTGTCACAGCCCAGCTCCAGAGTCTGCTTCCTCCCCTCTCCCCGCAGAGGTGTCCCCCAAGCTCCTGCGGGCTCCCCACTGTGGCCCAGCCGCCCTTGAGCCCAGACACCTGGCCCTCCCATTCCCATGCCTGTCTGGAGCCTGACTACTGTCTCTGCCCCGGTGGTGCAGGAAGGAGCTCTCTTATCCATCCCCACTGCTAGAGAACTGTGCAGCCGCAGTGGTCAGGGAAGGTGGACCCCCTCATCCCCCAAGTCACTTCTGCACGGGGCAGAGAGAGCCCCTGATCTCTAGCTCCCCTGATCCCTCCCCGCAGCCCCACTTCGTCCCCATGTGGCACACACCTCTAGCTGAAGTCATTTTTGTTTTGTTTTGTTTTTGTTTTTGTTTTTGTTTTTGAGATGTAGTCTCGATCTGTCACCCAGGCTGGAGTGCAGTGGTGCGACCTCGGCTCACTGCAAACTCCGCCTCCTGGGTTCACGCCATTCTCCTGCCTCAGCCTTCCGAGTAGCTGAGACTACAGGCGCCAACCACCACGCCCGGCTAATTTTTGTATTTTTAGTAAAGACGGGGTTTCACCATGTTAGCCAGGATGGTCTCAACCTCCTGACCTCGTGATCCGCCCGTCTCGCCCTCCCAAAGTGCTGGGATTACAGGTGTGAACCACCGCACCCGGCCTAGCTGAAGTCATTTTATGTGGCTTCCTGTTTCACGGCCACCTTCCGGCTCTGGAGTGGGACAGGGACCTTTCCAGGTGCTCTGTTTGTTGAATGGAGGAATGAATGAAAGGGTCAAATCCCCACTCTGTGTGCCTCCATCCTTATAACAGGATAAGTTTGGATCTGGTGCTTTTCTCCTCCAAATCTCATGTGTCTCCCTTGCTAGCTCCCCTCCCAGGTAATGTCTATAGGGGACAGGTGGCCCAGTGTCTTCCTCCTACAACCAGAGAAATGTAAGACCACACCGCACAGAGTTGAGGCCTGATTATCTGAATCCATTGCTATGTTAGCTGGAGCAGGGATATCAAGACCAGTATGCTTCTGTGTATGTGAGACGGAGTCTCGCTCTGTCACCCAGGCTGGAGTGCAGTGGCACCTTCTTGGCTCACTGCAACCTCCGCCTCCCGGGTTCGAGCAATTCTCCCATCTCAGCCTCCCAAATAGCTGGGACTATAGGTGAGCGCCACCACGCCTGGCTAATTTTTGTATTTTTAGTAGAGATAGGGTTTGGCCATGTTGGTCAGGCTGATCTCGAACTCCTGACCTCAGGTGATCTGCCTGCCTTGGCCTCCCAAAGTTCTGGGACAGGTGTGAGCCATCGAGCCCTGCCAAGACCAGCACACTCCTGCCCCAGCGGCCAGAGGAGCCGGGTCTTGACTTCTATGGGATAGCTTCAAGCCTCCAACTTGAGCTTCCTTTGACTGCTGTCATTTTCCTGGTGTCCCCAGGGAAGGCAGAACTTCCTCATGCCTGGCAGTCTTCTCCTGAGGTCTAACCTCACTCTCCCTTTGCACCCACTCTGATCTCCATCAGTGGAATTGGGTGGGGAGCCTGAGGGAGAGGGGTCTCTTCTCAGGGGCAATCTAAGAACTTTGTTCCACCTGCCAGGCCCAGCCTGGGCCATCTCCAGGCCCTCTGGTCCCTCCTGGCACTGGGACTGCCTCATTGCCTAGGAAGGTGTGTTTGTTTTGCTTGCTTATTCACTGCCACGCTTGCCCCAGTAGGCAGCCAGCTGGCAGGAAGCCCCTGGGAGCCCTTCTCTCACCTGTGCCTGGCACAGCTGGGGCTGGGTCAGGGCAGGGTTAGGTGGGGTAGGCTGTGTCTTCACTTACTCTCCCTGAGGGGGTAAGAGATGTCACCTGCCAGTCCTTCAGCCCAATTAGGACAGGACAAGGACAATGCAGAGAGAGGGATTGCAGCCACACTGAAAACCAAAACACACCTCGGAAGGGATGCAAGTTAGAGAACCTGAATGCCACCCTAGGAACCACAGCCCCCGCCTTGCCATTAGATGTCTGTGACTGAGGCTGGTCGCATCTTGCTCGGCCTCAGTTCCTCCGCCTGTAATGTGAGAAGGGAAAAACA
Organism: Homo sapiens; assembly: GCF_000001405.40. Classification (NCBI taxonomy): domain Eukaryota; kingdom Metazoa; phylum Chordata; class Mammalia; order Primates; family Hominidae; genus Homo; species Homo sapiens. Next base: position 11,324,279 of record NC_000001.11, read on the forward strand.
GGAGGATCCCTTGAGCCCAGGAGTTCAAGGTTGCAGTGAGCTGTGATCACATCACTATACTACAGCCTGGGTGACAGAGTGAGACCCTGTCTCAAAAACAAACAAACAAAACAAAAAACCTAAATAAATTCTACAACAGGTATAAGCCTGGGAGACTCCAGGTGCAAGAAAAGGATGTACTTAACCTCTACCTGGGGGGACAGGAAGGCTTCCTGGGGGGTGGCAGCTAACCTGGGACCTGAAGGATCTGAGGAATTAGCCAGGCAAAGTGAAAAGTGTTGCAGGCAGAGCGATCAATTTGTACAAATGCCTGGAGGTGTTTGATGAGCTGAAAACTAAGGTCTCTTCTAGTTCTGGGATTCAACACAGGCAGTTCCTGCCCCAAGACACAGCTGAGAATGGAGCAGGGTAGATCTTTGACCCCTCAGGGTGGCCCGGCACTTCCCGGAGGAGGCGCTGGGACCCGGCACCTAATGACCGCCGCCCCCACACAGGAGAACTGTTGGGTCTCTGAAGGCCAGGCAGGAGGCCAGATGGGTAATTGACTCCTGCCGTAGGGGAGCTGGCCCGGCTTCATCAGTATGCAGGGCCTGTGCAGAGTGCTTAAGAAAAACTTATTAATTTCCCTTCCACAAAGACTGAGAGTTTGACGGTAATCACAGTATCAAGTCGTAATAATAATAAAAAAAATCCCTCCGTTGAAAATCACAGTTGGGACTCTGGAGAGTTCAACAGGAAAAGATTGTATTAAGATAAAGGAGATTATAACAGGGCGGACATTAAAGGTTGTCATTGTCGGGTAAATCACATCAGGGAGGCCCCAGGACTGCTGTATCCCAGGGAGGGAGCGAGGACCCCGTCACTGACCTGGCAACCCCACTCCGTCCGCCTCCCGCCCACCCTGGAACTCTGCCTCCTCCTGCCCTCGAAGGCTAAGATACACAGGTGGCTCCGGAGCAAACTTGGGAATCAGATGTCCCGGCCTGAGGACCCTCATTATGGGCAGAGGGTGGAGCACTGTACAGGTTCTGGAGGACAGAGATCTCTGCTCTAGGTTAGGCTCTTACAGTCTAGCCTGACAGTGGTCTTCAGAATATGTGCCCAGTCATGCAGGGGCCTGGGGGTGGGGCGGTGTTTCTGGGTCACCTGTCCTATTGGCATTTTCCTGGTAAGGATGAGAAAGGAGGATGAGCTTGCGGAAAGGAGGTGATGGGGCTGGGCATGGTGGCTCATGTCTGTAATCCAAGCACTTTGGAAGACCGAGGTGGGCGGATCACTTGTGGCCAGGAGTTCGAGACCAGCCTGGCCAACATGGCAGAACCCTGTCTCTATAAAAAAATAAAAAAATTAGCCGGGTGTGGTGTGGTGGTGTGCACCTGTAGTCCCAACTACTTGGGAGGCTGAGGCAGGAGAATCCCTTGAACCTGGGAGGCTGAAGTTGCACTGAGCCAAGATTGCGTCACTGCACTCCAGCTTGGGCTGCAGAGCGAGACTCTCTTTCAAAAAAAAAAAAAAAAAAAAAAAACTGGTGAGAATACCAGGGCCTCTGGACACTGCCCTGCCCTGCCTCTTGGACATAGGCTGAATCAGAAAGGGTGTCCCAACCTGTCAACAGGGAGTCCCAATCCCAGTGGAAAAGCCCGAAGAATTCTAGTGAGATATTACCAAGATGAGGCTATACTTGCTCAGGTGCCAGGTGACCACTGCCCCCGGGGCTGGGGCTGGGTGCAGTGCAGGGCCAAGCTGGGGTTGGTGATCCTTCTCTTGGACATCTTCACTTGGGCCAAATGAGAGGGTTCTCTGGGTCTAAAGATGCAGTTGGATCTGAAAGTTATACTAGACTTGGGACGAGAAGCTACAAGCTGTTAACGACTGGGGCGGGGGCCACATGGAAGAAAGGAGTTGATCATGGGCTTCTCTGGTCATTACCAAGGGGCCCTATAATGTGGAGGCTTTGAGTCCTGGCTCAAAACGTTTTAGCTCTGCATCCTTGGGCAGGTTACTTAACCTCTCTGTGCATCAACTTTTTTATCTATAGAATGGTGGTTATAGCATCCACTTAATGCTGTGATGAGGATTCAATGTATGATTATAGTGAAGAATTATAAATAATAAAGGCCTGCTTTTATCTCTTAATTGCCCTTGCCTGAGGTCACACAGTCAGTAGGTGGCCAAGACCATCTCCTGCCCATCACCTACTTTTTTTTTTTTTTTTAGACAGAGTCTCGCTCTGTCGCCCAGGCTGGAATGCATGGGGGTGATCTCAGCTCACTGCAAACTCTACCTCCCAGGTTCAAGTGATTCTTCTGCCTCAGCCTCCCAAGTAGCTGGGACTACAGGCGTGTGCCACCACCAAATTAGAAGGAATGCTAATTTCAGAGGGAGAGATACATTCTGGGAAGGAGAACTTACAGAACGCCCAGCTAATTTTTGTATTTTTAGTAGAGACGGGGTTTCACCATGTTGGCCAGGCTGGTCTTGAACTCTTGATCTCAAGTGATCTGCCCACCTGGGCCTCCCAAAGTGCTGGGATTACAGGCGTGAGCCACCGCTCTCGGCCTCATCACCTCCTTTCTGCAAGCTTCTCCTTGGGGAGTGCAGTGTGGCAGCCAAGGGCTTGGGCTTTGGACCCAGAGTGCCTGGGGTTCACATCCTGGCTTTTGCTTGGGCCAGGGACTTCAGTTCTCATACTCAGCTTTCTCCCTTAGGAAAGGTGAAAGTCACCCTCCTAAGGTCAAGGTGATGCTGCTGGTGCAGCGAGTAGCTCAGAAAGGGGCAGCTGAGGCAGGCAGCTTTCCCTGGGGTCTCTGGCCCTAAGCCCCCCGACCTGTGGCCGTTAGGCCCAGTGGGACAGTGGTTCCTCCCCCTGGCCCTCCAGGTGGCATCCGGCCCTCTGCGGCTGCAAGCCATGGGCACCAAGGACGGTTCTGAAGTCGCCCTGAGTTTATGAGGCTGAGCGGAGAGGACGAGGCATGTTAAGTGTAATAGGGTTGTGTGAGATTAATGTGAGGCCGGGTGAAGCAGCTAAGGCAAGTCATTTTGGCAGTTAATACATACATTTAAGGAATGATTTGAGAGTGTGAAAACATTTAAAAGGAATGCTAATTTCAGAGGGAGAGATACATTCTGGGAAGGAGAACTTGCAGAGGACAGAGCTGGGGTGGAGCCAGGATGGAGGTGCCAGGTGACCCTGCTCAGAATTCAGCCCCCTACAGAGTTTGTCCAGGTCCTTCCAGGGCCTCTCTGTGCCCACCTGTCTCCAGGAGCACAGGCCTCTCGGAAGACCTGAAGCGGGCACTGAGTGGGAAGAGCTGGGCTGGAACCTTGTGGAAGCAGGGTCCTTGTCTGCCCGCATTATGGAGCACAGGGAGTGGAGAGGGTGCAGCTCAGGGGGCTTTGTGAAAAGGGTATTGCTTGAACTGAGCTTTGAAAATGGGTTGGGAGGAGAGGGTGGAAGCAAGTGGATTTGGACTTTTCATCCAGGAGAGAAAGGTGCTCCGTGACTGAGCCTGTGATCCGGGTAGGATAGGGCGGCCCATATAATAGGGGAGACTCAGCTTCTTCAGGCCTGCGTGCAGGCTTCACTAGGGTCCTGGAGAGCAGGAGGCCAGGAAGAGCAGCCTCCTCCTCCTCAGGGAGCTCTCCCTCTCCTGGACCCTCTGGATGGGAAAGGTGGAGTCTCTCTGCTCTGAAGTGGTTTTTTTTTTTTTTTTTTTTTTTTTTTTGAGACAGGGTCTCGCTGTGTCTCCCAGGCTGGAGTGCAGTGGCACAATCACAGCTCACTGCATCTTCGCAGCTTCGACTTCCCGGGCTCAGTTGATCCTCCTGCCTTAGCCTCTCAAGTAGCTGGGACTACAGGTATACACCACCACGCCCGGCGAATTTTTGTATTTTTTTGTAGAGATGGGGTTTTGCCATGTTACCCAGGCTGGTCTCGATCTCCCGGACTCAAGTGATCCGCCCGCCTTGGCCTCCCAAAGTGCTGGGATTACAGGCATGAACCACCGCGCCCGGCCCCACATGCTCCTTGACGGCACAAGCCTCCTCAGCCCTGCTAGTGAGATTGGAGGCAGGCCCTTCCTTCCTGGAGTTTGATCTTTCAGCACCAGAAAGTGTGTGATCCGGGAATCTCCTGGGAACCCCTCGGCTCTAAGACCTCAGCCCTCCCATCCACTGATCCAGCCTAAAAGTGGAATGAGCTGATCCTCAGCTTGCCCGTCCCATCTCCACTAGAGGCCCAAGAGCCAAGGAGTTAGTGCCGTCACAGCTGGCTGCGATGAAGGCCTTTAAAAGTGCCTGGTGTGGTTATTAATAATGTCTCCCGGCTCTGAATGCCTCTTTAATTCCTCTGCTTAAACCACTCTGGAATCCATAACACTTGCCCCTTAGCCTGTGGTAATTCCGCTCCCTTAATGGCCTTTTATGGAGGGAGCTTATTGAAAGCTTTTCCCCACCGTGAGTAAATCATGTCCTCTGGGTCATCCTTGCCTGCAATTTTATTAACTTCTTATGAGAAGTCAGAGGGACCAGAGGCAGGCCAATGTTTCCTCCGTGTTCTGTCCTGCCCGGGCCCGGCACTGTCCCTTTCCTGGCTGGGATCTCAGAGGAGGAGATGGCTGGGGACGTTGGAAATCAATAATGTTTGGAATGTCTCAACCCAGTGCCCCTGACTCCTTCACTCTCATCTGTCAATCCTTCCAGGTGGGTAGGAGCTGGGAGACCAGGCACTGTGAATGGGAGAAGCAGGGGACACTGGGAAGCAGGGACAAGTGCCAGGAGGGACAGGATACGCATCAGTTACCTGATTCACTGGTTACCTGGTGCATCAGCTACCTGGTTCATTGGCTGGTTACCTGGTGCATTGCTTATCTGGCGCATCAGTTACCTGGTGCATTGGCTACCTTGTGCATTGGTTACCTTGTGCATTGGTTACCTGGGGCGTTGATTACCTGGTGCACCAGTTACTTGACTCATAGGTTACCTGGTGCATTGGTTAACTGGTGTATAGGTTAACTGGTGCGTCAGTTACCTGATTCATTACTTACCTGGGGCATTGGTGCACAGGTTGATTACCTGGTTCATCAGTGATGTGGCAAGCACCAGATTTGGTAGCAGGAAGTGGGAGACTGAACCAGAGCCAGACACTGGCGCCAACAACTGGGAACTGGAAAAGGCCAAGGACCACGCTAATGTGAGACAATAACTGAGGAAGCTGTGTTCGGGGGAAAGGGAGCGTATGGAAACTCTTTTCTTTTTCCTAGAACTAGAAAACCTAGAGCTGCTCTAAAAAATATAAATATAAATTTTTAAAAAAGGCAATTGAGACCCTAGGAAATGGAGATGCCTGGAAAAAAACCCAGGAGGTTCCCCCTGGACATCTGGGAATGAAAGGGTTTGTGGCTTTGGAATGGCTTTCAAGGGGCCCATGTGCCTCTCTCCTGGCCCAGGAGAAAGACGGGAGGGGCGCAGGGGAAATAATGGGAGAGGTGGAAGAGGGCACTGGGGCTGGGGACTGGGTGTCCCTGGGGTGTGGGACAGGACTTCTTTTTTTTTTTTTTTTTGAGAAGGAATCTCGCTCTGTTGCCCAGGCTGGAGTGCAGTGATGCCATCTCGGCTCACTGCAAACTCTGCCTCCTGGGTTCACACCATTCTCTTGCCTCAGCCTCCCCAGCAGCTGGGACTACAGGTGCCCGCCGCCATGCCAGGCTAATTTTTGTATTTTTAGTAGAGACGGGGTTTTACCGTGTTAGCCAGGATGGTCTTGATCTTCTGACATTGTGATCCACCCACCTCGGCCTCCCAAAGTGCTGGGATTACAGGCGTGAGCCACCATGCCCGGCTGGGATGGGACTTCTTAAGGGAGCATAAACCCATCTCTGCTGTCTGCTCCCTGGGCCATAGGCAGGGGCATTCCTCAGAGAAGGACCATGTCAGACTGACATTCAGCTGCCCCCTCTTACGCCAACTCTGAACTTCCCCGCAACCGCTAGCTCCTCCCTCTGGCCTAAGAGAAAGTCAGGACAGCCACCCGGCCCAGCTTCGGAGCTCCACTGAACTTCTCCCCACAGAGAGTGTTAGAAATCATCTCTGTGACTACAGCAGAAGGGAGGCTGGGGCAGGGGCGGCCAGGGGTGGGGCTGGATCCCAAACCTGGAGGGGCCAGTGTCTTCAGCCGTCCCCAGGAAGGGTCATAGAGGGGTTTCCAGCCCTGACTGACCACTGGCAGCAGAGGTTTTGCAAATTCTACCTGGAGCCTAGGAAGGTGGGTTGGCATGAGCAGCTCTGTGAGGATCCCCTGTCCCTGGTGTCACCATCTGGGCCAGCCAGTTCATTGGAGGAGGGTCTGGTGAGTCTCCTCTCCTCCCACTCCAGGAAGTAGAGTGAGCACCAGACCTGAAGTCAGGAATTGGGCTATTCCCACCTCTCACCAAGAGGCTGCAGTCCTGGCCAGGCACGGGGTAATCCCAGCACTTTGGGAGGCCGGGGCAGGCAGATCACTTGAGGTCAGGAGTTCGAGACCAGCCTGGCCAACATGATGAAACCCCGTCTCTAAAAAAATACAAAAAAGAAAAAAAAAATTAGCCAGGCGTGGTGGCGGGCACCTGTAATCCCAGCTCCTTGGGAGGCTGAGGCAGGAGAATCCCTTGAACCCGGGAGGCAGAGATTGTAGTGAGCCGGGGTCACGCCACTGCCCTCCAGCCTGGGTGACAGACTACATCTCAAATAAACTAAAAAAAAAAAAAGAGAGAGAGAGGTTGCAGTCCTGATTCTGACCTTTGGCAGGGGAAATAGCTGGCTCTGGCTGCCCCAGCCCCTCCTCCGTTCAGCTCCGGGCTTGGAGCTGGAAGCCAGTTGATGCCCTCCCCTCTCCCTGCTTCCCCGAGCCGCTGGCAGGCACTGGTACTTCCCCTGTGCCAGGCTCTGTGTCGAGGGCTTTACACGTATTATCTCATTTAATCCTCTCACCCACCCAGACTACATAGTCTCTCCTCAATGACTACCTTCCATTCATTCGCCCTGTTCTCCGCTTCCTAGCCCTGATGACAAATCATGATATGCTTTTGCTTGTTTACTTGTTGTCTGTCTTCCCACTTAGACTGTAAATTCCTTTTGTTCTCTGCAGCATCCCGAGCACTTGTAGAAGGCCTGGCTCACTACATTTTTTCTTTTTAAATAAATGAGGGACTTAATCAAGTGACTAGGCTCAGAGTCATTTTCTCAGGATCACCCAGCTTGTGTCTGTAGAGCTGGAATCCACACCCATGTTGCTGAGGGAACCTGCTCCCCTGTGATGACAGGAGCTGCTGGGAGGAGTTTGAGTTTCAGGCCCAGCACAGAAGCCAAGAATAACTGAAACCCCAGTGCCTTTACATTCACCTCTGCACAATGAATCGAGCTTCCCAGTGGTGCTGGGAGCAGAGCCGGATTCTCCCCTAAACTGGAGGCTGGCCATCGGACACCCTTCCTGGCCTGAACTCTCTTTCCTTCCCTGCAGGGAACCCCAGCCATGGCTGCATGCTCTGGCTGGGAGTAACAGTGAGCCTCAGGCTGGGGAGGCAGAGGGACAGCAGAGCACACACCCCTAGATGGATGTAGAGGATATGGGAATAAAGACCACATTCCTCACCCCTGTTTGGAAACGGGGAAGCGGGAGAGGCACAGCTCATCTGCCGGCACTGTCAGCTTGGCCTGCGGAATAGACCCTAAGTCCGATGACTTCATCCCCACCACTACCTACCGCTCCATTCCCCTCGCCTCACAGCTGCATGACCGAAGGATCCTCTCCCTCCCACTCAACTCCTACCATCTATTTTCCACCCAGCAGCCAGAGTGGTTTTTAAAAGAACAAACTAGGCTGGACGTGGTGGCTCACGCCTGTGATCCCAACACTTTAGGAGGCTGAGTCAGGAGGACTGCTTGAGGCCAGGAGTTTCAAGACAAGCCTGGGCAAAACAGCAAGACCCTGTTTCTAAAAAAAAAGAAAAAAAATTATCTGGGCTTGGTAGTGCACTTGTGTAGTCCCAGCTACTTGGTAGGCTGAGGTGGGAGGATGATTTGAGACGAAGAGGTGGAGGCTGCAGCGAGCTGTGATCACGCTACTGCACTCCAGCCTGGGCAATAGAGCGAGACCCTGTCTCAAAACAATAAAAATAAAAGAACAAACCAGATTATGTTGTTGCTGGCTTAAAACTTTGAATAGCTTCCTATTCTACTTACAAAATAATCCAGGCTGGGCACGGTGGCTCATGCCTGTAATCCCAGCACTTTGGGAGGCCAATGTGTGTGGATTGCTTAAGCCCAGGAGTTGAAGACCGGTCTGGGCAACATGGCGAAACCCTGTCTCTACAAAAAATACAAAGATTAGCTGAGCATGGTGGCACGTGCCTATAGTCCCAGCTAGTAGGGAGGTGGACATAAGAGGATCCCTTGAGCCCAGTAGGCCAAGGCTGCAGTGAGCCATGATCAGGCCATTGGACTCCAGCCTGGGTGACAGAGTGAGACCCTGCCTGTGTCAAAAAAAAAAAAAAAAAAAAAAAAAAAGCCTGGGCTCAGTGGCTCACACCTGTAATCCCAGCACTTTGGGAGGCCGAGGCGGGGGATCATTTGAGGTCAGGAGTTCGAGACCAGCCTGGCCAACATGGTGAAACCCCGTCTCTACTAAAAATACAAAGAATTAGCAGGGTGTGGTGGTGCGCGTCTGTAATCCCAGCTACACGGGAGGCTGAGGCAGGAGAATCACTTGAACCCAGGAGGTAGAGGTTGCAGTGAGCCGAGATTGTGCCACTGCACTCCAGCCTGGGTGACAGAGCGAGACTCCATCTTGGAAAAAAAAAGACAAAAAATCCAAGCTTCTCTTTGTGTCCCATGCCTGACCTAACCTTCTCTTCTTTTTCCAGCCTCTTCTCACCCCAAGATCTCCTCCACTGCCCTACCACACTGACCCTTTCTGCCCCTGTACCGCCAGAACTCGGTCTCTCTCCACACCTTTGCCCTTCCATTCTCTCTGCCTGGCATGCTCTCGTCTCAGATCTAAGGGCTGACTGCTTCTTATCATTCAGGTCTCAGCACAGATGTCACCTCTGTGCAGAGCCTTCTCCTGACCACCCCCGAACCCAGCACATCCTATCTCCTTTTCCTGTTTTATTGCTTCATTGCATTTGACATTGTGAGTCTAAAATCTAAGATTTTGTCATTTATTTATAGTTTATTCTTTTCATATCTGTCTCCCCCACTGGAATGTCAGTTAGCTCCATGAGGGCAGGGACTGTGTCTGGTCATTGCTCTGACTCTGGGGCCCTGAACAGTGTGCGCCTCATAATAGGTGTTCAATAAATGTTTGCTGAATGCATGAATGCATGAACATTTCATGTTGGAGGGAGGCTTGCTTGGGGCATCCCTGCTGGGCAGCTTAGCTCCTTCCTGCCCCAGGACCTTGCTATGCCAACACTAGAAGGTGAGGAGGGGGGCAGGGAGGGAAGTGGGGATGAGGTCAGAGCTCCCAGCCTGAGTGCCACTCCTCGGGTGCTGAGCCGTGGGGGGTGACGGCCGCTCTGAGGGAGATGGATGACCTGTACTGGGTGGCTGCCCCGGGAAGCTGCTTCCTATTAATAACAGCAGTAGCACTGCCAGGAGGGGAAGGGGAGGGAGGCAGAGGCAGCGGAGATGGGATAATGCCCCTCACCCCTCACCAAGCCAGGAAAATGGCATCGTATTTTCTAGAAGACAAGAATGCCACTTTTAAAGAAAATTAGGCCAGGCACGGTGGCTCACGCCTGTAATCCCAGCACTTTGGGAGGCCGAGGCGGGCGGATCACCAGGTCAGGAGATCGAGACCATCCTGGTGAACACGGTGAAACCCCGCCTCTACTAAAAAAAAAATACAAAAAATTAGCCGGGCATGGTGGCGGGCGTCTGTAGTCCCAGCTACTTGGGAGGCTGAGGCAGGAGAACGGTGTGAACCCTGGAGGCGGAGCTTGCAGTGAGCCGAGATCGCGCCACTGCATTCTAGCCTGGGCGACAGAGTGAAACTCTGTCTCAAAAAAAAAAAAAAAAAAAAAAATTTGGCCTGGTTTGTAAATGGGTCTCTGTCTGCTCTGCAGCCCTCCCTGTGGACAACTCCTCCGTGCGTGGAGGCTTCTTCCCCGGCTGGGTGGACCCTACAGGCAGCCAGAGGGATGTCCCCCTTACCCCTCCCCTTGTCTGGGCCAGCCCCAAACAGAGGCCGTGGCTGAGAGGGAAGTGTCTGCACCCTGGGGCTGGGGAGGATGAACTTTGTCCAAACTCCTCTGACTCCTTTCTCCGAGGGTGGTTATTGGGAAACAGGAGTGAAGGTGAGTATGGGAGGGAGGAGGAGGAGGAGAAGCAGAGAGAGAACAGAGATGGTGTAGGCTGCTTGGTGGCAGACCGGGGCGTGGGCAGGAAGGCCCAATCTGGTCCCACCAGATACCTGGCTTTGCCCTTGTCCTGGGGCAGGCAGGGGGCATTGAGGAGCTGGCAGAACTGTGGACAGAAGGAGAGCGGAGCCGCTTTCTCTCCCAGCGAGAAAAGAGCCCAGTCACTCTCATTTTCAGGGGAAGCAACATGCCACACCCCCCGAGACACCTCTGTCCCCAGCACAGTAGCTCCTGATGGCTGCCCGGTGAGGATGCTGCGGGCAGGTCCCACTGTCCCCCCAGGCTCTGGCGTGCTCCCCCCAACCAAGATGCCCCAGCAGGGCCCCTAGTGGCCCAGGTCTGTGGCCATCCTGGTTCCTGTCTCCACTGTCTATCTGGAGCCCCTCTCCAAGCCTCCATCCCCCACCAGCCCCCTCCCCGCCTCACCGGGCCACAGCCCCAGCTTGGTCTCTATCTTCTCACCCAGCCCTGCCTCTCACTAGGCCTCACTGCCGCCTAGCCCTATCCCTTCTTTGGGCCCTGATCCTCTGTCCTGAGTCCTCTGGCCCCGGACACGTTATACTTCCATGACCAAGGGTCTTTGTAAATTCTTCAGGCGCTCTCCAGAAGCCCCAGTCCCCTCATACTCACAGCTCTGAACACAGCCCGGCCCTGTCCCTAAAACCCAGACAGGACCCGCATGTGCCGTGACCTCCCACTCTCCAGTGTGGCCCCTAAGAACTCAGGGTCGGGCTTGGCATTAGCCTGGAGGCCTGGAGCCTGCTCATTCAGTCCTGAGCTGACAGAGAAGGTCATTAGCAAGTTCCTAACTGGGCCACACCTCCTGGGCTGTGAGGACGGCTTGTGCCAGAGAAACATCACACTCCGTGTATCTCACTTCTTGGGGTGGTGGCACTTGGTGGTGCCGGGGACTCCCACATGTACTTGTGAGAAGTCTCAGTTCCCCATCTCCTTCTAGCCACCTCTCTGTCACCTCCCTCTGCTGGGTTGTGGAGGGGTGGGGTATGTCTCGGGGTGTCCCTGTGTGGCCTCAGGCATCATTTGTAGCTCTCCTGTGGGTTGAGGTTTCTTCTCGGGGCTCATTCACCCCGGCTCCCATAACCCTACCCCACCATTTCCTAAGCAATAACCCCGTATCAAGCACTGGGCTAAGCAGGATCTTCATGGCCTCACAAGGTGGGACCTGTCACTATTTCTGTGCTCAGCAGAGGAAATGGAGGTTCAGAGTTGTCAAGCCACTTGCCTAAGGTCACAGAGCTAAACCCTGGTGGAGCTGTGATTAGGCTATAGGTCTGGGTGGCTCCTGCCTGAGTTCCTGGGGCTCAAGTTACCCCATATCAAACTGGGAGACCCTGTGTGGTCATTTCTTGGTGCCAGAGTCTGGTTGAGGGGCACAGGCAGGGAAGCTGGGTCTGGAACAGTCTGTCAGGTTGGACACTGTGATCACCTCCCATTGAAGCAGGAGGAGGTGCAGCCACAGGCCGTTAAGTGATTGTTTATTCAAAATGAAAGGAAATCTCCCGAACAAAGCAAGAAACTCAAAGATTGAAGCGCAGGGCCTGGGTGGGAAAGAAGAAATTATCCGGTTCCTGCCCTTCCCCAGCAAAGCAGGCATGGCTAGAGCTGTCCTAGCCAGCACCAGAGTGGGCCCCTGGCCAGGCGCAATGGCTCACGCCTGTAATCCTAGCGCTTCAGGAGGCCAAGGAGGATCACTTAAGGCCAGGAGTTTGAGACCAGCCTGGGAAACTTGGTGAAACACCCCGTTTCTACAAAAAGTAGCCAGGTGCCTATAGCCCCAGCTACTCGGGAGGCTGAGGTGGGAGGATCACTTGAGCCCAGGAGTTCAAGGCCATAGTGAGCTATGATCATGCCACTGTACTTCAGCCGAGGCAGCAGAGTGATACCATATCTCAAAACAAAACAAAACAAAGCAAAAACCCAACAACAAAACAGCAGGCCCCAAGGAAGCCTGTGGCAGGGGCCTGAGGGGTGGTGCAGGTAGGGTTGGTGGGGTTTTCCTGGGTCATGCCTCTAACTAGATAATAATGATGCCTGTCTCATTGCGGTGCGGTGGGAATACAATGTGCCTATAGTATATATGTAGCGCATACTGTATATGCAGTGTATACAGTGCACATATAGTGCATTTACAGTGGACATCTAGTGCATATATGGTGTATACGTAGCGTATATATAGTGCACGTGCTGTAGTGTATATATCGTGCATATGTAGTGTACGTGTAGTGAATATACAGCGCATATATAGTACATATGTGGTGCACATATAGTGTGCATATATGGTACATAGTGCACATAGTGTACATGAAACATATGTACACGAAACATATACACACGTGCACTACATTACACGTGTGAATTACATTACACATCTATCATATATGTGGTGTACATGTAGTGGACATATAGTGCCTATGTAGCATATGAATATGTAGTGAATATATAGTGCATATAGAGTATCTATGCAGTGCATATACATGCACTATATATAACTATACGTGCATTTACACATACACTATATGTGCACTATATATTCACTACATAGGCAATCTATATGCACTTTATATTCACATATATACACTATATGTGCATTACATGTACACTACATTACACTACGCCACATTACATTACACGTGCATTACATTACACATATATATGGTCTATGTGGTGTACATGTAGTGCACATATAGTGTATATATAGTGCATATGTATATATAGTATATATACTATATATACATAGTGCATATGTAGTTTACATGTAGTGAGTAAACTGCATATATAGTACATATGTAATGCATATATATAGTGCATGTATAGTACCTATATCGTACATGTGGTGGACATGTAGGGCACATATGGCATATATAGCGTGTATATATAGTGCACGTGTGGCGCATATGTGGTGCATACACTGCATATGTAGTATATATACATACAGTGCTCAGGGACGATGCGCCTCCTGCCTGGGTTCCAGGGGCAGGCACTCTCATCTCCTCTCAGGCCCCCAGGGGGCGCACCTCCCCCCGGCCGGACGTGTTCAGGCAGCGGCTTCCCTTCAGCCCCCATGCAAGCAGGTGCTTTTTATTTAGACTGATTTATTATTGGAACAACTTGAATCAGCTTCAAAGTAAGTTAAATGAGAAGAGATCTTCACCCCTAGTCTCATAAATCAAGGGGTATTCAAAGAAAAGGGAAAACAAATCACAGAAGCCTGGAAACAGATGGGCTTTCGTGGCCTTGTATTCCTGGCCTCTCTCCTAGGGCGCGCTGGGAACCAGTCTTTCTTTCCTTCCTTCACCTGAAGAGCCTGGGTCGAAAGCTGTGCTCCTTCCCCCCTCCTCCCCCTCTTTCACCTCCTCCTCCTCCTCCCTCTCCTCCCCCTCCTCCCTCTCCTCCCCCTCCTTCCCCTCCCCTCCTCCTCCCCTACCTCCTCCTCCTCCCCCACCTCCTCCTCCTCCCCCTTCTCCTCTTCTCCCCCCCCTTCTCCTCCTTCTCCCCTCCTCCTCCTCCCTCTCCCCCTCTTTCACCTCCCCCTTCTCCTCTTCCTCCTCCTCGTCCTCCCTTTCACGGTCGCCAGGGAGAGGCTGGTGTCCCCATAGCGAGGGCTGGATTTAAGTTGAGACAAATTATCCTTCTCCCTTACGCAGTGCACATGCCCAGAGCCCCTTTCTAGCCTCAGGGCTCCTGGTGCCCTGTGGGGCAGGGGAATGTCTCCGGGCAGTGTGGTTTGGGGTTGGGAGTTGGAAGGACTGTGGTTCCTGGATGACTGTGGAGAGATGTGAATTTGGGAGTCTGGTTGTGAGGCCATCTGAGGCTGCCCAGTGTGTGGCTGTTGTGCTTTGTGTCCCTGTGTGTATGTCCTTGTGTGTATGTGTGTCCCCTTGTGTGTCCCCGTGTATGTGTGTGTCCCTGTGTGTGTCCCCATATGTGTCTGTGTGTGTATGTGTGTGTGTCCCCGTGTGGGTATGCGTGCGTGTATGTGTGTGTCTCCGTGTGTGTGTGTATGCACACAAAAGCAGCTGAGCATTCCTCAGGCCTGGCCTGGAATTTCAGATCCACTCTGGATGAAAGTTGCTGCTGGCTGCCTCTTCTGTTCCCCTAACTATGGGCACTGCCTTTTCCTTATGCCAAGCTGCCCGCAGCTGAGAGCAATGCAGGGTCTCCCTCTCTGCACAGCAAATTCTGGCTGGGGACTCCACTCTCCTGCTCCACAGGCCACCTGGACGCACTGCCCAGGGCCACGGGAGGGACACCTGCAGCGGATGGACATCAAAAACTAAGGTCAATGGCCGGGTGCAGTGGCTCATGCCTGTAATCCCAGCACTTAGGGAGGCTGAGGCAGGAGGATCACCTGAGGTCAGGAGTTCAAGACCAGCCTGGCCAACACGGTGAAACCCGTCTCTACTAACAATGCAAAAATTAGCCAGGTGTGGTGGTGGACACCTGTAATCCCAGCTACTCAGGAGGCTGAGGCAGGAGAATCACTTGAACCTGAGAGGTGGAGGTTGCAGTGAGCCGAGACTGAGCCACTACACTCCAGCCTGGGTGAGAGGGAGAGACTGTCTCAAAAAAAAAAAAAAAAGAAACTAAGGTCAATCGCCAATGAACAATGAGACAGCGTGGGGGTGAGACGGGAGGACACACCGGGAGGGGCGCAAGAAATGCCAGAGGCAGGAGACAGATGGGTCCAAGGGCCAGAGAGCCTGCTCCAGTGGCTCCTCGGAGTGAGATGGGTCAGAGAGGGAGGCAGGAGACCAGAAAATACCAAGGAAGAAAAATCTAAGGTAAGGGAGACCAAGAAAGAAAGAAGAAGGAGTCAGACGTGCAGCTGCAGGGACAAAGACACATAAACCGGGGGTGAGAGAGACAGAGTGAGAGTTGCCTCCAGCTGGGGCTGGGTGGGGAACTTAGTTCCCACCAGGGTTGTGGACTTGGGAGCTTGCTTGCGGGGAGGAGGGCTAATTGGCGATTTCATCCAGGTCCTCCAGAACGTCTGCAGAAAAACAAACCCGCTAAACATCTCTCACCGTCTGTCATCTTCATTTTGCTTTTGTCTTCAGAATAAAGAGAATCTGAAACTCCCTAGGAGAAGCGGCTCCAGCGGCTCTCAGGCTGTCTCCCGTTCTGCTCCTTCTTCATGCTTTTCTGGTTGGAGTCTTTGTTCCGCAGCTTCTTGCCCTGGTTCAGGCTGGCGGCTGCTCTGACCCGGCGTGCTGGGGTCTCCATCCCCATCTCTGTCACACTGTGGTCTGGAGTGTCTGGGTCTCTTGCTCCCCTCCCCCTCCCCCCAGGCTCAGCCTGAGCCACCCCACCCCCCTTGGCCCGCGTGGCCGCTGCTGATCCTTGCTACTCCCAGCTGTCTCCGTGGCTCAGCCTGCAGATTGACAGGGCCCATAAATCACCGTGGCAAGGCAGGGCCCTGGGAAAGGAACACGGGGCCAGGTGCTGACAGGGCTGGCCTTGGGAGCTGGGGCTTTCGGCTTTCTGGTGAATCGCTGGGGCGTGGAGCCTGTGGCTTCTCTCCCAGCTAAATGGAGCATTTTGGTTGCAGTGCCTGTGTCTCCTGCCGATTTTCTCCAGCTCCCTGGAAGGTGGGACAAGAAGAAATAGGTTGAATGTGAAGCAAGTGGGATTCGGGTTAGACTGAAAAGAAGAATTTGCAGTGATGAGGCTTAACTTTGGAAAGAGGAAACACTGGGATGGGAAATGGTGAAACCCCTTGGCAAGGAGTTGGTAAAATCTGGATGGATTCTGTCTGATGATTTATAGTGCTGCCTGGAGACAGGGGAATGAAACATATGATCCACTCGACACAGAAGCCTTTGCTTTGTTTGAGGGGAGCCCGGGGGCCAGGAGAGCAAAGAAGTTACCAGTGGGGGCTTGGGGAACATGCAGCTCCCCTCCTGACCTGCTGTGTGATCCTGAGCAAGTGACTCAACCTGGCTGGTCTCTATCTGTAAAATGGGGATAGTCCCACTTCGTAGACTTACCATGAAGCTTAAAGGGCAGTGTATGCAAAGGGCTCTGCACAGTGCTTGGCACAGAGAACTTTTAATAAAGCACAGTTATAGGCCAGGCATGGTGGCTCATGCCTGTAATCCCAGCACTTTGGGAGGCCAAGTTGGGTGGATCATCTGAGGTCAGGAGTTCAAGACCAGCTTGGCCAACATGGAGAAACCCCGTCTACTAAAAATACATTAGCTGGGTATGTTGGCGCATGCCTGTAATCCCAGCTACTCGGGAGGCTGAGGCAGGAGAATCTCTTGAATCCGGGAGGTGGAGGTTGCAGTGAGCCATCATCACATCATTGCTCTCCAGCCTAGGTGACAGAGTAAGACTCTGTCTCAAAAAAAAAAAAAAAAAGCAGTTATTATTATCGGGCAAGATACTCAGCCTTTCTAAACCTCAGTATCTTAATTCATAAAATCCTAACCCTCACTTAATCATTCAACACACACCTGGAGAGCCCCAATCATGTGCCAGACCGCATCCCAGGCTCTGGGGATGTAGCAGTTCACATAGCAGACACAATTCCTATCCTTGCAGAACTAACATTCTAATTAGAGGGAAGGGAGAGAGGCAAACAAGAAACAAATAGATGTGCTATGAGAAAATAAAGCCGAATAAGGGGCATAAAGAGTGATGGCTGGTGCAGTGGCTCACGCCAGTGCTTTGGGAGTCCAAGGCAGGAGGATCGCTTGAGGCCATGAGTTTAAGACCAGCCTGGGTAACATAGTGAGATCCTGTCTCTACAAAAAATTAAAAACTTAGCTGGGCATGGTGGTGTGTGGCTGTAGTCCCAGCTACTTGGGAGGCTGAGACAGGGGGATTGCGTGAGTCCAGCAAGTCAAGGTTGCAGTGAGCCGTGATTGCACCATTGCACCCCAGCCTGGGCAACTTAGAGTGAGACTCCATCTCTTTTTAAAAAAAAGTGAGAGATAGAAGAGGCTATTTTATATAAGGTGTCCAGACAGGCTGCTCTGATAATATTTCAGCAGAAACTTTCATGAAGTGAAGGAGTGAGCTGATAGGGGATATAAGGGTGGAGCATGCAGGCAGTGGGAACAGTGATTGCAAAGGCCCTGAGGCAGGTGAGTGTGGTTGGATTGGAGCCCAGGTGGGGAGAGTGGGCGGAGAAGCCATTGAAGAGGAAACACATAGTTCATTGTAAAGGCTTATCTATTGGCCCACGCGGCGCTCTTGCAGAATTTTGCTAGTGGAGTTCACCTGCCCTGGGAGGCCCTTTGGTTCCAGCATCCTGGGTGAACTGGATCTCCTGCCACTCCTACCTGTTCAGGACCTAGAGAACAGCAAGCCCGAGGCTCCATCTCCTGTTTACCGCTGGCTGTTCTGCTCTGTTTCTGATCCATGGCATGCAGCCATGACTTTATAACTTACAAAATCCTTTATTGCCATAAGTGGAGAGGAGTTTCATGCATGCAAACTTGTCCCAACCTGGCAGCTTCATCTTCATTTTGTAAATGTTGCAATGAAACTCCAGGAGGTTCTGTGCTTGCTGGAGGCGTATGGGCCATATGGTGTGGAGGAAGGGCTGTAGTTGACCACTGCTTTATAAGCAGCTTTGTAAACGTATATATTTCAAGATGACACACACATACACACACACACCCCAGTCCCAGAGTGACACAATCATAGGGCCATTGCCAGAGCAATCATGAGTACTGAAAAAGTGAACACATGGCCTCTGCACACCAGGTCCCAGGCCGCAGCTGTGGCAGACATCCCTAATCAATCACAGGACTCCTTCGTGCTGAGCCCAGATGCAACCTCAGAATCCTGGAAAGCCCATATGGGGTTGATTTATAAAAGGAAGCATTGGCCATTTTTGCTGCAGGGGCAAGCTGTCCTGGGGGGCCTTTCCTGGGGGATAGGGAACAGCATTGGCCTAATCTCGGGTCTTGGAACCCTGTTCTTGAACCCTTGGCAGCATTCTCTGCCGGATTTATAAAGTGACTGCAGCTCTGGAACATGAGACAAAATTAGTGCAGCCTCAGAGAGCGCTGTCTCGAAATTGGCTTTCCAGCGAGCGGCTGGGTCTCCTACTCTCCCCACAGGTGGGGCTGTTTGAGTCCCTGGTAGGATTTGTTCCAGCTGCCAGACATGGATTAGGCTTTTGACTGTTGAACCCAGACAAGGGGACCAGCTGTTTAATGAGCTGGAGGAGGAAGTGGCTCCTGAAAGCAAGTCCTTTTCTTGGCTCAGGCATGCAGATCAGACATGGAACCAGGAAAGCTGCCTCGCCAAGCTTGGTAACCAGAGGGAAATGAATGATAGTGATCTGACAGGGAAGGATAAGGACAGGGGAGAAGAGGGGAGGTGGGGAGAGGAGCAGGAGGGGAGGAGCCAGGAGGGAAATCATGGACCAGCCTTTGCCTAGACCCCAGGGCTCTGCTGCAGGCTCCACTCCTCTTGGCTTCTTTTGCTATCAGAATCATTGTGCCTTGGATCCTGGAGATCCCGAGGCATGTAGATGATCTAGGGGTAGGCTAGATACAGATTTACATTGATACCTGGAGACAGGATAACCTGGGTTCAAATTCCTGTTCCTCATTGACTTGCCTCCGTTTCCTCATCTACAAAATGGGCTTCGTGTTTCCATGAGCAGGGGCGTAATGCTCTCAGACTTCCCCACCCTGTCACATTCTGCCATTCAGCTTTTGGTAGATGTTCAAACTGCCATTTGGACCTTTATCCATGGGATTTCAGTGTCTCTCTCTTGATTGGATCTGAACTTGGTGGAGGAGGTGGTGGGTTTATTCATTAGAACCCACTGAACATTAATGGCACCCACCCACGTGTTTGATGTGACGATTAAGCAGGTGAAGGTGTTTGTAGCTGCTTGTATCCTCCATGTCTAGATATATAGCTAATCCATACCTGTGCATATCTATACCTATCAATACACACTGGGGCCCAGCACAGATCGGTGCTTAGTTTGTTTGCTTTTTGAGACAGTGTCTTGCTCTGTTGCCCAGGCTGGAGTGCAGCGGCATGATCTTGGCTCACTGCAACCTCCACCTCCCAGGTTCAAGCAATTCTCATGCCTCAGCTTCCTGAGTAGCTGGGATTGCAGGTGCCTGACACCAGGCCTGGCTTGTTTTTTTTTTTTTTTTTTTTAGTAGAGACAGGGCTTCACCATGTTGCCAGGTTGGTCTCGAACTCCTGGCCTCAAGCAATCCGCCCGCCTCAGCCTCCCAAAGTGCTGGGATTACAGGTGTAAGCCACTGCACCTGGCCAGATTGGTGCTTAGTTTAATTTCAGCTGGCGAGTCCTTCCCGTCCAGCCTCCTCCTAATGTGCCATTGTGGGGAGAGGGCAGGGAAGGTCTGAGAGCAGCCTCATGCCTTCCTGGAAGAGTGGGCCTGTCCTGGGGCCTGGAAAGCAGGGATGTGGTGGCAGCTCCCCAGGCAGCTTCCTGCTCCTCAGCTGAGATTTGGAATGAGTGATCCCCTCCCTGCGCAAACCCAGGTAGTCCTCAGGGAGGCAGGTGAGGGGAAGGTTTCAACCCCGCTTCTGCCACCAACAGCAAGGGGTGACCTGGGGGAAGTGAGTAGGTTGGGCCTGGGCTTGGGGCTCCGAGGAGATGGGTGGCAGGGCACAGCCTCCTAGAAAGTCAGGGAAGCAGGGCTAGCTCCAGTCACTGTCCCAACTGTCACCCAGTTTATGGAGAACTGCTCTGTGCCAGGCCCAGTGCTGAATAAGACACGCACGGTCCTGGCTCTCAGGCAGTTGATATTAACATGCTATCCTTCATGAAAATCATGAGAGTGCTGTCGGCCACAGTTCCGCAAAGAAGCTGTTGGGGCCACGTGCATTTCAGATTTCAAAATTGTTTTCAGATTTTATTAATGTAATGTTCCCTATATTACAGACGACTCCAACATATTCATATTTCTGTAGCGAAATACATGTGAATAGTGGGATACAGACTGTTAAGTATCTCTAAGGTCAGTTCAGTTTAGGTTTTGCTGCCAAATGAGTTTTGAAAAGCTTTTTGGTCTCAGAGCTTTGGGGATGTTGGAATGGCAGAGGAGGGATGAGGGACTGACCACTTCCCGAGCTCTGAGAAGCACTGGGCCGAGCACTTTCACTGGCTGAATACATTAAACGCTCACAACAGCCCTATGAGGTCCGTTCTATTTTTGTCATTCTGACTGTACAGAAGAGGAGATCCAGGCACAGAGAGGTTAAGTAATTCACCGAAGTTCACACAGCTAGTAAGAGGCAGAGCTTGGATTCAAACCCCTCGGGGGCCAAAGCCTGCCAAGGTCACATAGTTTACAATCCAATGTGTGGTGGGCAGGTTGGGGAGGTGGAGGGAGCACTAGCACAAAGATGGTTACAGTGCAGTGGAAGAAGTGCCAGAACTGGGGGGTCCAGGTCCCTGAAGCCCAGAGGCAGGGGCCCAACTCAGCTTAACGGTTGGGGAAGATGCCCTAGGGGAGCTGGCAGCTTCCCCAACCCCGAGGGCACCAGCCAGGTAACAGCGGGGAAGGGAAAAGTGTTTCAAGTGAAGGAAATAGCATAAACAGCAAGAACAAAGGCCTAGAGGAGAGAGAGAGCAAAATGGGGGTGCAGCCTGGAATGGGAGGCCACGGGGAAGGAGGTGGGGGCTTGGAGGGTAAGCTGGGACCAGCCTCACAGGACCTGCGGGGCCACACTGTGTCCTCCTGACTCATCTACTCCCTGACCCCTCACACCACCCCGGGGAATCCCATGATGGGAAGAGGTCAGATCTTCCTGCCTTCTGTCCAGGAAGAGGGACTGAGGAACAGGACTGTTTCCCATGCATGAGATCCTGAGTCCACAACCCCAGCCGAGCTCCCCTTCAAAGGTGGTGGGCAGGGGAGCAGGGGACTCGGAGACACACAGGGAGGGAAGGAGTATTTTTTTTTCTTTCTTTTTGAGACAGAGTCTCACTCTGTCACCCAGGCTGGAGCACAGGGGCACGATCTTGCAACCTCTGCCTCCCGGGTTCAAGCGATTCTCATGCCTCATCCTCCCAAGTAGCTGGGATTACAGCATGCACCCCCACAACTGGCTCATTTTTGTACTATTAGTGGAGACAAGCTTTCGCCATGTTGGTCAGTCTGGTCTCGAACTCCTGACCTCAAGTGATCCACCCACCTTGGGCTCCCAAAATGTTAGGATGACAGGCGTGAGCCACTGCGCTTGGCCGGGAAGGATTCTTTATCTTTGACTAGGAGTGCTTGATGAAACACCGGGGCTGGGGAAGGGGTGGGAGGATGAGAAGTGGACCAGTCCTTGCAGTGTCAGGACTCCCTCCCTGGGGGGCCATCTCCTCCCTCCCTAACAGGCTGGGTGCTTGGCTCCAGCCACTGCCAGGCGAGCAAACCCTCTGAGTGCCGAGGATGCACAAGCTGCCTCTCTCCTGGAGACGAGCCCCTGCCTGACAGATGAAATCTTTATTATGGTGATTTTTATTTGGGGGCGTGTGAGTGTGTGCACATCTGGGGCCCAGGCGGCAGCCGAAATTCCCACAAACGTGGCTCATGAATATTCCACAGTGTTGCCTACCGCACTTTGCAGCCATCGATTATTTATATGTGAAATAACGAAAGCTTCATAAATAATGGAACTGCCTGTGTCCCAGCTGCATCTCCCGCGTCCCTCTGCCTGGCCCAGGTGAGGGGATGGGCTATGCAGGGAACTGGCATCCGAGCAGGGAGTGGCCTTGACGTTCAAAAACTACTTTCTCCAGCAGAATTCACATCCTTCATAGGAAGGAGGCCTGCGTGGCGCAGGAATGTGTATGTGTGTGCACACTGTATGCACACATTGCGTGTACTCACTTTCCCACCCAGGGAGGGGCCAGAACACGCAGGGCTGGGCCGGGGGTTGCTTATACTGTAGACTCTGCAGTGTAGACTCTGTGCAGATGGGCACAGAGAAAAACCTTGTGTTAGATTACTGATGAGCTGGGAAAACAGCAGACATTTCTTTGTTCAATTCAATTTGAACCTCACCACTGTTGACTTGGAGTCGGCCAGTGTCTGATTCAGGAGAGGAAAATGGTTTTATGAAGTTCTCCCGTGTGTCACCCCTTTATTTATTTATTTATTTAGAGACAGAGTCTCACTCTGTTGCCCAGGCTGGAGTACAGTGGTGCGATCTTGGCTCACTGCAACCTCCGCCTCCTGGGTTCAAGTGATTCTCCTGCCTCAGCCTCCTGAGTAGCTGGGATTACAGGCACGCACCAACACACCTGGCTAATTTTTTATATTTTTAGTAGAGATGGGGTTTCACCGTGTTGGCCAGGCTGGTCTCGAACTCCTGACCTCGTGATCTGCCTGCCTCGGCATCCCAAACCACGCCCAGCCGAGTGTTACCCCTTTAGACGCAGAGCATGTCTTAAAGGGACAGAGAAAGCCTCCAATCAGCCTTGTCCCCCAAATCCTGCACTACACAAACTGCTTCCAAGTCTTCAGGGTAAATGTTTGGGGTTCAGGGGAGGTGAATTCATGGCAGATGAGCAGGTGTGCCCATGCAGAGTGGAAGCCTGGGATTGAAGGTGAAGACCTATGTGCCCAATTCCTCACCACCCCCCAGACATTTGACAATAGCTTCTTCCTCTGAGCAACTTCCATTTCTCAGTCTTCTCACCTCCATCGTCTCCAGTCTGTACAACCACCTTTAAAGCAGGTGCAATTAAAATACCACTTTGCAGAGACGGTTAGTGCAGTTAATAATTTGTCCAAAGTTGCAGAGCTTGATAAGTAGGAGAGCCTGAGCCTGTCCAGTTTTCCCCTTTCCACTGTTTTCTTCCTTCCTCCCTCCCTCCTTCTCTCTCTCCCTCCTTCTCTCCCTCCCTTTCTCTCCCTTTCTCCTTCCTTCCTTCTTTCCTTCCTTCCTTCTATCCTTCCTTCCTTCCTTCCCTCCCTCCCTTTCTCTCTCTTTCTCCTTCCTTCCTTCCTTCTTTCCTTCCTTCCCTCCCTGCCTCTCCCTCCCTCCCCCCCTCCCTCCCTCCCTCCCTTCCTTCCTTCCTCTCTTTCTCTCTTTCTTTCTTTCTCAGACAACTCTCACTCTGTCACCCAGGCTGGAGTGCAGTGGCGCAATGTTGGCTCCCTGCAACCTCTACGTCCCAGGTTCAAGCAATTCTTGTGCTTCAGCTTCCCGAGTAGCTGGGACTACAGATGTGTGTCACCATGCCCAGCTAATTTTTGTATTTTTAGTAGAGATGGGTTTTCACCATGTTGGCCAGGTTGGTCTCAAACTCTTGACCTCAAGTGATCCACCTGCCTCGGCCTCCTAAATTGCAGGGATTACAGGTGTGAGCCACTGCTCCCGGCCCACTGTTTTCCAATTAAGGCCTTGCCTATTGTCTGGCCAGCACTGGACCAGGGCAAGGACATCTATATCCTCAAGCAGTGCACATTTTCTCTGTGACTGCTGAAAGGGGGAAGTGTGTGGACTATACATTGATTGGGACATTGAATTATTTGTATGAAGTACAAGTTGGGTAAAATACAAAAACTAAGTGTGACGAATGTTCTTATCCCTGGTTGAATCACTAGGGGAGCTTTTTGAAAAATGGTTTTGAATTAAACTTTATTTTGAGATAATTATAGATACACATACAATTGTAGAAAATAATACAGACAGATCCCATGTACCCTTTACCCAGCTTTTCCCAATGTTAACAGTGTGCAAAACTGTAGTATAATATTATGCCAGTAAGCAGACGTTAATATAATGCACTATGCTGGGCGCAGTGGCTCATGCCTGTAGTCCCAGCACTTTGGGAGGCCAAGGCGGACAGATTGCTTGTAGGCCAGGAGTTCTGGACCAGACTGGGCAACATGGTGAAGCCCCGTCTCTACAAAAATAATAAAAATTAGCCAGATGTGGTGGCTGTAGTCCCAGCTACTAGGGAGGCTAAAGTGGGAGGATCACTTGAGCCTGGGAGGTCAATTCTGCAGTGAGCTGAGATCATATCACTGCATTCCAGCTTGGACGCCAGAGTGAGACTCTCTATGTATGTATGTATGTATGTATGTATGTATGTATCTGTCTAGCTATCTATCTATCTCTATGTATCTATGTATCTAAAATCCACTGATCTTATTCAGATATCAGCAGTTTCCTATCATGCTAATTTGTGTGTTTATGCATTTTGATTACATGTGTAGGTTTGTGTATCAAGATACAGAGAAGACCCACTGGCATGAGGGCCTCTTATGTTGCCCTTTTATAACCATATCCACCTACTCCCCCTCCCCCTCTCTACCCCAACCCCATCCCTGACCCTTGGCAACCATTCATCTGTTCTCTCTATAATTTTGTCATTTTGAGAATGTTCTATAAACGGAGTCATACAGCATGTAACCTTTCAAGATTGGCTTTTTTTTTTCACTCACTCAGCATCGTTCCCTTAAAATTCATCCTAATTGGAATGTGTATCAATAGTTTGTTCCTTTGTATTGTTGGGTAGTATTCTACGGTATGGGTGCAACACAGTTTAACTCATTGAAGGATAACTGGGTCATTTTCAGTTTTGACTGTTACAAATAAAGCTGCTGCTGGGGTGCTTTTAAAACACTCAGACTGGAGGATCTGACTCAAACAAGAGTGGGTCGAGGGTAAGCCCTGGAAATGTATAAAAGTTTGTGCCGTCACTGACCAGGGTAAGGCATGAATGCAGAGCTTGGGGAGTAAATAAAGTTTAGACTTTATCCTCACCGCACCCCTAAAGTGTAAAACAAAGATATATATGTAGTCAAAGATAGTGCCTTGTATGGACAGCTTGAGTTCTCTGAGGTTACTTCCATCTTTGTCTATAATAGAAAAGGCAATATGTGGCTGGATGCGGTGGCTCACGTCTGTAATCCCAGCAATTTGAGAGGCTGAGGCGGGTGGATCACCTGAGGCCAGGAGTTTGAGACCAGCCTGGGCAATATGGTGAAACCCCATCTCTACTAAAAATACAAAATTAGCTAGGCAAGGTGGCTCACGCCTGTAATCCCAGCTACTTGGGAGGCTGAGGCAGGAGAATTGCTTGAACCCGGTAGGTGGAGGTTGCAGCGAGCTGAGATTGTGCCACTGCACTCCAGCTTGGGCAGCAGAACAAGACTGTCTCCAAAATAAAAAGAAGGAAAAAAAAAAAAAAACAGAAAAAAAAGGCAGTATGTGTTTGGGGAGAAAGTTCTGGTCTGGGGTTTTGGAGGATTTGTGTTGAACTCTTTCTCTTTGTACCCTTGATTTCTTGCCTCATGATGGGCCTCAGTTTGTCCATCTGCAAACTGGGAGCTGATTTTACTTCTGTAGATATTTATGATAGAGGAAAGCAACTGTGGCTGTGGTCCTGGGATTCCTCCAGTGCAGACACCTGGGTTCATCTGAAGGCAGGGAAGGAGCTCCTGCCTCAGTTCCTGCCCGTGAGTTGGAAGGGCTGGGAGCATCTTCAGGGCAGCTGGTCCCTGCTGCAAGTCTCCCTCAGCAGCCCATGCAGCTGACATTGCCCAGATGTGACATTGTCACTTGCAGCTCAGGGCACAGGATCGGTCCCTGGGAGAAAGGACAACTTCAGGGCGAACTAATGAGGCCAAACCGCACACCACTTCCTCCCTGCATCCCAGCCCTCCTCCTGCCTCACTGATAGCCCCTCATCCTGCTTCTCTCACTCCCCTCGGCTCTCCCTCCGGAAGGAAAGCCGGACCCCCTCTCTGCTTCCAGACCAAGGCTGGAATTATTTAATTGCAAATCAGTAAAAGCGTCAGCAGCTTGCCGCTTAACTGCTAAGAGGAATGATTCATAACCCCATGCCAGGCACCGAGCACTTCCTTCCCATCGCCTCGGCCCACCCCGCGCGAGAGAGGAGATAAATTACTGTCATTGCTTTTTATGGCACATATAATCGGGTGGCAACATGGAGACTCGACTCATCTCAAAGTCATTTACAATGAATTATTCATTTGGCTGAAAAAAGTCTTCAATTGGAGGGGGAAATAGCCTCTCGACTCCCTGGCTTCGGGCTGCCCTGTTGGTAGGTGGGGAGGTAATCCTGGGCCTGGGAGATCCAAGTTCCCCTCGGTAACTTCTGGACCTCAGAATCCGATAGCATGGGCAAGAGGGTAGGGGTAGGAGTCTGAGCTGCAGGAACTCACTTACCTAACGTGCTTCTGGAAAATACTGCTGGGGTCCTGGAGTATCTATCCCTCCCACTGGCATACTCAGAGGAAACCACAGATCCTTGTTCACATCAGGTAACCCCTCCCTTCCTCCCTCCCTCTCCTTTCTTTCTTTCTTTCTATAAACATTTCTTTCCCCTAAGACAGAATCTCACGCTGTCACCCAGTTTGGAGTGCAGTGGGGCGATCTCAGCTCATTGCAACCTCCGCCTCCTGGGTTCAAGTGATTCTTGTGCCTCAGCCTCCCAAGTAGTTGGGATTACAGGCTCCCCAGTAGCTGGGATTACAGGCACCACCATGCTCCACTAATTTTGTGTATTTTTAGTAAAGATGAGATTTCATCATATTGGCCAGTCTCGTCTTGAACTCCAGGCCTCATGTGGTCTGCCCGCCTTGGCCTCCCAAAGTGCTGGGATTACAGGCGTGGGCCACCATGCCTGGCCTCTATAAACATTTGTTATCTACTAATATGTGCATATCAGTCAGGATATGGCACCTTACGCTGCAGTAACAAGCGTCCCCCTAATTTCAGAGGTGTAAGAGCACAAGGTATATTTCTCAGGCAACTCATCACACAGGTCTATGTCGTTCTCACTCTGGGAAGCGGCTGGTGGAGCAGCCACTATCTTGATGGTTGCTGCCACAAGCATATCCTCTTAAAACATACACTCAGAAAGGACACATGTTGCTT
This sequence comes from Homo sapiens, assembly GCF_000001405.40. NCBI lineage: Eukaryota > Metazoa > Chordata > Mammalia > Primates > Hominidae > Homo > Homo sapiens. The sequence goes on from NC_000001.11 coordinate 11,351,550, forward strand.
CTGTTTCCATTTCATGAGCGAAAGCAAGTCTCATGGCCACACCTAACTTCAAATGGGCAGGAAAGTGCCACCTGACCTTATGCCCTGGAGGAGGAGAAAAAGGAACATCTGTGAACGCCCCGATGCTTATTTCACAGGGGATGTGTCAGGCCTTGGAAAGTAACAATGAAAGGGACCTAGTCTTTTTTCTTGATGGTCTAGTGCAAGGGGCAGATGGAAAAGACAGATGCACAGAAAAGGATGATCCAGGGGGCTCCGCTCCAGGAAAGAGGCCTTCCTGGAACTCCCAGGAGGAAGGGCGATGTGGGATCTGGCCTCAAGGGACCTGATCTTGGAACTTTTTGGTCATGGGCAAGTGAACTCATGTCTTCGAGCCTCAGTTTCTTCCTCCTTCACGTGGGGGTGATGAAGGTGAGACCGTAGCACCCACTCATTGGGTGGTTGTGAGAAATGCGTGAAATGTCTGTCGAAGCCTTTGGAAGGTGAGTCATTGGCATGGTTTGCTATGAATTCATTTACACTTGTTTTTAGAATAACAACGCTAAGTTGCTTCTCGCAGGGACATTCAGTTCCTGAGGTTGGCCCCCGCCAACTATGCTTCTGAATCAGGGTTCAGCCTGGTAGGCCTGGCTGGCTGGGGGCTCCCCAAGGGGCAGCTCCAGCTTTATGAAAATAGCAATTTCCCTGGAGAACTCAAGTGTGGACTGGGGGCAGTGCCCCCTTCTGGTAGGAGGGGCTTTGGGCTGGAGGGTGGCCTGAGCATGGTGAGTGTGGAGCTCACCTAGAGGCCTCATCTGTGGGTGAGGTCCCAAGTCCCACCCCCAGCTCCCCCTGAGCCGCAGCCCCCATGGCATTCATTCATTCATCCAACACATATTGATTGAGTGCTGGCACTCGCAGGCATTGCGCTGGGGTTGAGGACACAGCAGATGAACAGGACAGACCAGCTTCTATTCTCACGGTGCTTGCATGGCAGTGGGAGAACAGGTCATTTTTGTGGTTGACACTGTTGGTTGACCAAATGCCCCGGGATCCCTTTGCTCATTTCTGTGAGTTTGTCCCTCAGTTTCTGTGTGCTTTTTTCTTTTTTGAGATGGAGTCTCGCTCTGTTGCTCAGGCTGGAGTGCAATGGCGCGATCTGGGCCCACTGCAACCTCTGCCTTCCGGGTTCAAGTGATTCTCCTGCCTCAGCCTCCTGAGTAGCCGGGATTATAGGCGTGCACCACCACACCCAGCTAATTTTTGTATTTTTGGTAGAGACGGGGTTTCACCATGTTGGCCAGGCTGGTCCCAAACTCCTGATCTCAGGTGACCCACCTGCCTCGGCCTCCCAAAGTTCTGGGATTACAGGCGTCAGCCACCGCGCTCGGCCTTGTGTGATTTGTTTCTGAGAGCCAGCCTGCACCTGTGACTCTCTTTAGAGGACTGCCCCGGGCTATGAGAGCTGGTGTGCCCAATGCATACAGAGAACAGGAAGTGTGCTGAGAGTTCATGTTTCCCCAGAGGCAGCCCTTAGCTCAGGACTGATGAGTGTTGGAGAATGGAAGTCCTGCTCCCTCGCCTTGAATTGGGACATCCCTTAAGATGTCATTTCTACTTCAGGGCCTCCCATAGGGCCAGGCTAAGGCTGAGGCTTTGCTCGAAATTGCCCCCCTGGTTAGCTTCCTCCCTTCTCTGTCCTGCCCCCGTATCAGTCTCCTCTGGGAGCACCTTCTTGAATCATCAGCACACAGATCCTCATAGCAGGGTTTGCTTCTGGGGAGCCTCACTTACAACACTTATCTGAAACCCACCCCTTCCTTCCTCAGTGGGCAGAGCCTCTGTTTTGTTCTCAGCTCTTTCTCCTCTCCACAGGACTCAGCACGAGTACTGTTGGTCTGACTGGTCCCACTCGATTTGCCCTGAATTGCATTAGCTGGGAACAGGTGACTCAGATGTGGCCAAGGACACAGGATGGGATATCTGTGGGGCGGCTTCTGGGAATCGTTTTCTTTTTCTTTTCTTTTTTCCTTAAGGCAGAGTCTGGTTCTGTCGCCCAGAGAGCGGTAACACGATCTCAGCTCACTGCAACCTCTGCCTCCCGGGTTCAAGCAATTTTCATGCCTCAGGCTCCTGAGTAGCTGGAGTTACAGGCACGTGCTACCATGCCCGGCTAATGTTTTGTATTTTTAGTAGAGACAGGGTTTCACCATGTTGGCTGGGCTGGTCTTGAACTCCCTACCTCAAGCGATCTGCTCACCTCAGACTCCCAAAATGCTGGGATTACAGGTGTGAGCCACCACACTGGCTTGGGAATGGTTTTCTTAAAACAATAGGCAGAGGATGAATCCACTTCCCCCACTGGACACACAGCCACATGCAATGGCAGGAACCTTGGCCAGTGCACTGAGGAAGCTGACACACCAAGGATGGTGTGGTGAAGGCACCTGTGCTCCACACGATGCCCGGGAGGCTCAGATTGCCAGCCTGGAGCCCCACACCTCAGAATGCCTTGTTCTGTGAAATGAGAAATCCCCTATTTGGCAAAGCCATTTTGAGTCTGGTCTGCTGTTATTTGCAACCAAAAATATCCCAGTGGATATGATTTCATTTATTTATTTTATTTTATTTTACTTTTGAGATGGAGTCTTGCTGTGTCACCTAGGCTGGAGTGCAAATGAGGCAGTCTCCACCTCCCGGGTTCAAGTGAATCTGCTGCCTCAGCCTCCTGAGTAGCTGGGATTACAGACGTCTGCCACCACGCACAGCTAATTTTTGTATTTTTAGTAGAGATAGGGCTTCACCATGTTGGCCAGGCTGGTCTCAAACTCCTTACCTCAGGTGATCCGCCTGCCTCGGCCTCCCAAAGTGCTGGGATTACAGGCTTGAGCCACCACGCCCAGCTTGACACAGTGGATATGATTTTAGATAGTGATAAGTTGCCATGAAAGATGGGTTCCTTCCAGGTCTCTGTTTAGTTTGGCAGGTGGGTCCCATTGGGCTTCCATCATGTACTAGGTTTGCAATAAATTACACAGTGTCATATGGCATGGGGTAAGGAATAGGCTTTATTGGGGAAACAGAAAACTAACAAGGCAGAGTCAATAAGCAAAACAAATGGAAGGTATGGGGTCAGATAACAGTGGGGAGGACTTCAGGTGTCCTGGGAATGTAACCTCACATTATTTATCCCTCATGTCTCCTGAAACATCTTTTCTGTTTGTTTGCTCTTTTGGTCTCTATAAATCTTGTTTCCTTCTTTGCTATGGCCATCAGGAAGCTCAGAGTTAATTTGTGGCACCTCTCATTTACTGTTAGTACCTTATAGTGTGTAAGTTTGTATTGTCCCTTTAGCCTGACATTATCTTATTTTTCCTTTGCTCCAAGTTCCTCATCCATCTGTTTTTATTCTGTTGGGCTCTGCCTATTTCTGTAAGTTCCATCAGTTATTCTTCAGAGTGAAGCAGGATATGCCTGAATCCATCCATCCATCCCCTGAAGCTGTACTTAGAACCTCCCTGAGGACGGTGACTGCTAAGTGGCTCCGAAGAGCCTCCCCAGGCATCTGGCAGGCTGGGGAAAAGCTGAGAAAGGCCTCTTTCTCTGTAGCTTCAAGGAGGTATTTATTGGCTGTCTTTCAGGCACATTTTAGCTGTCATCCAACATTCTCAACCTTAGTCCCCTTCTCTGGGCTAAGGGGAGAATGATGGTCCTACCCCAGTCTCCCAGATGCCAGGTCTGGGAAATGGAGTGGAAAATCCTTTGAAATTCCCAATTAATAAATAAAAATAATGTGGAGGGCTCATCACCATGGAGACCAAAGGCTTGTTTGGTCGTCATGGTGACCCTGGGATAGGCTGTCTGCCCAAAATGATCAGCATCACTAGGAAAGAAGGGCCAAGAGGTGGAGAGACAGGACTGCATGCCACAGGGTGAGAGCCAGGCGCCGGCAGATTTCTCGAGGCAGGTCGAGAGCAAGAGTGGGATGATGTGGAGGTGTGGGAGATCAAAGGGGAGAGCACACTATCTTCTAGAACTTTCTTCCTGCCACTCTGCCCCCTCTTTCATCCACCTGATTCCTTCTGGGCCCCGTGCCCCCCGGGCTGGGAGGGGAACCTGGCCTACTCCTTGGCAGTGCTGCCAGGGAGTCTCCATGACAACCCCAGCCCCCATCTGTGGGAGTGGAGCCCTCGGCTAGGGCCTCAAGGGAGTTGCCTGGGTAACCGGGCTCCCTTGCCCCACTTCCCCGCCAACCAAACCTCCTCGGCCCCTCCCCCTCTTTGCGATGGGAGGGTGAGAGGATGGGGTCACCATGGAGACCCAGCTTCCCTCCCGCTGCCCCCTTTCCAGAGCAGCTGTCACAGGATGATGGTCGGGAGGAGACCTGGGAACGAGGGTGTCTGCTGGCGAGGAGACAAATGACCAAGACCCTCTCTCTGGCGGAGGAAGAGCATCCTGGCTCTTTAAGAAGTGACACTTCTTGGGATGTTTGGGGTGTTGAGTGCAACTCCTCTCAGCCACCCCCTGCTGGAAGTCCTGGGCTCAGTGGAGCGGGCCTGGGCAACGAGTTCTGGAGCGGGGACCTTCTCCCTCCCTGCCTGGCTGTTCCCCTGCAGAGGAGCTGTGGCTCATTCAGCAACGGAGAACACTCAGGTGGTTAACGAGCATTTACTTCCCAAACGAGGAGACGGTTACATGACTAGTTGTTGTTTTATCTTGCTAATGAAAATACATAAAAAACAAAATGGCCAATTAGCAAGGCCATTTGTTCCCAGGTCTTGGCTGTTTCTTTCTGGAGAGGGAAGCCATTCTCTGGGTTGGGGCTGGCCCCTCAGTCAACTGTGGTGGCCTCTGAGGCCCCTCCCCCTCACTCCTGCCCTTGTGGTCCCTGGTACCCTTGCCTTTGATTTCTGATGTGTGCCGCCAGCAGCCAGGAAACCCCTGCCGGTGTTCCCTGCCAACCCCCCTCTGTAGCCTTCTCATTCATTTCTTTCTTTCTTTCTTTTTTTTTCTTTTCTTTTTTTTTTTTGGAGATGGAGTCTCGCTTTGTTGCTCACCAGGCTGGAGTGCAGTGGCGTGATCTCGGCTCACCGCAACCTCCGCCTCCCAGGTTCAAGTGATTCTCCTGCCTCAGCCTCCCGAGTAGCTGGGATTACAGGCATGCACCACCACACCCAGCTAATTTTTGTATTTTTAGTAGAGATGGGGCTTCACCATGTTGTCCAGGCTGGTCTTGAACTCCTGACCTCAAGTGATCCCCCCGACTCCCCGCCTCGGTCTCCCAAAGTGCTGGGATTACAGGCATGAGCCACTGCGCCCAGTGGCTTCTCATGTCTTTCCTTCAGCTGGCTAGACACCGCTGGGTTCTCTCTTCCTTTCCTCACCACCTCCTTCTCTCGCTTCTAATAAAATACTTCATTTTCTTTGCTCTGCTCCCAACCAGACTTCCTCACTGTCGCCACCCTCATTTCTTTCTTTCTTTCTTTCTTTTTTTGAGACAGAGTCTTACTCTGTTGCCCAGGATGGAGTGCTAGAGTGCAGTGGTGCAATCTCAGCTCACTGCAACCTCCATCTCTCAGGTTCAAGTGATTCTCCTGCCTCAGCCTCCCGAGTAGCTGGGATTACAGGCACGTACCACCACACTCAGCTAATTTTTGTATTTTTAGTAGAGATGGGGTTTCACCATGTTAGCCAGGCTGGTCTCAAACTCCTGACCTCAAGTGAACCACCCACCTCAGCCTCCCTAAGTGCTGGGATTACAAGCATGAGCCACCGCGCCAGGCCCCCCGCCTCATTTCAACGTCAGTTTGAATTCTTCCTCTTTCAAGAAGTTTGCTCGATAGAACAGACTAGGCCTGCTAAGAATGTTTACTTGCTCCCCATTCAGCCACGTTTCCAGGAAACCGCCTCCTGAGCCTTTCGCTGTCTGGAGAATCTGGAGGCCTCCACCCCCTATCCCTGCAAATAGAAATGCGGGGTTTGGGCTCCGGTTCTAGTGGCCTTGGTTTCTGCCTTGAGCCTAGAGCTCTCACAGATTCTGACAGCACCTCGGCCACTGTGGGTGCTCAGGGGATTCGTGGAGCTGTCAGGCCTTCTCTGTGGCCGGCGAGATCTCCTGCCGCTTGTAGAGAAATGGGATTGATACATTACATATTTATGACCTGTTGAGTTCAAGGGAGACAGGCAGGAGAGGAGAGAAAAGGCAGCCAGGGAAGGGGTGCTGAAAAGGGATCCCCAGCTGTCCCCGGCAAGCTTGGTGACCAGTGAGCAGGACTCAAAATTGTAGTTTGACTGATCACCTGCAAACACAAGGAAGCTATGTCCCTGGGAGCTGGCAGGGAGGGTGCAGGGTGGCACCTAGCAGCAAAAGAAAACAAAATAAACCTGTTATAATTTGCATCGCTGCGGAAAGCAGGGCGCATGCAGGCGGAGCGGAGGAGCCCCTGTGGGAGGGGGGCAACCAGGATGGGGGCTCTGTGAGCGTGAACTAGAGAACCCAGAAAGACACACAGTCCCTGGGAACCTGGAAGCTACCGTGTTCCTGCTGCACCCTTACGTGTGTACTCTGCAAGGTGGGTACCACCATCCCCATGTTATGGATAGATAAATCGAGGCTCAGGGAAAAGGCAGTATGTCCTTCCAGTATGTCCACTGGAAGGCTGTAAGCCAGAGGGGTTAAGAGTTTGGAATCCAGAGGCACTCACTCTGCTTAGCTTTGAGTTTCTGCCTAGAGACTTCCCGGCCATGTGACATCGAGCACACAGTCTCAACTTCAGTCTTCTTGTCTTCTTATCATAAACTTGGTTACGATTACTGGGAGGGCTGCTGGAAGAGTTATTAATAAATGAAAAAATGTACATCATTTTTCATGGCACTTTGCACATAATAAGAGCTCAAAAATGGTAACTATACAGCCGGGCACAGTGGCTCATGCTTGTAGTCCCAGCACTTTGGGAGGCCGAGGCAGGCAGATCACTTGAGGTCGGGAGTTTGAGACCAGCCTGGCCAACATGGTGAAATCCCATCTCTACAAAAAATACAAAAATTAGCCTGGCGTTGTGACGTGCACCTGTAGTTCCATCTACTCGGGAGGCTGAGTTGGGAGGATCGTTTGAACCCGGGAGGTGGAGGTTGTGGTGAGCCGAGATCACGCCATTGCATTCCAGCCTGGGTGATAGAGTGAGACTCCGTCTCAAAAAAAAAAAAATATTATCATGGTGCATCTCCTGGGCAGACCTCATTCCATCCATCCATCCATCAATTAATTTAACCATCAAACTTTGATTGCCAAGTACTTGGTACACAGGTGATGAAGGCACAGTCCTCGCAAGAAGAGGCTTGCAAACTAGTAAAAGAGACAGACACACAGACACATAATCAAATATGCAAGGATGGTGAGAGAGGTTTGAACAGAGCCTGTGGCAGGGGTGGGGATGGCTGATTCTCCTTGCAGATGGGTCAGGGGCTGCAGAGCTGATCCTCCAAACGTGAGGGATGGGAGTTTCCTCTGAGCTGGGAAATGTGTGGCCGAGCTCACCTTCCTTCCTTGGCCTCCCTCCTCCATCTGTTCCAAGCAGCCCTTTGGATAATGAGCTGGATGGTCAATGATGGCAGCAGCTAATTTTCCTGCTCACAGACTGCAGTACCATGTGGCCTGGCCCAGCTTCAGTGGGCGTGCTGCAGGCACCAGATGTCTCTTAACGTCTTCTCAGTTCAAGATTGATGAAGAGGGGCAGGGGTCCCCAAAAGACTGCCCTCCTCTCTCCACCTCCTGCGTTGTGGCCTGCCCTCCGAAATGCTTTGAGTGCTTTGGTTCACTGCCATGAGCAGGCTCAATTGCCTACCAGCATGAGGACTGGAGTTTATGAACCCCAAACCCGAACACTTGGTCTGGTGCGTACTTTGGCAATAGAGCAGAATACCAGGATTGCCATGAAATTGCAACAGATGGGAGGGAGGGGATACCTGTGCGGTATGGTTGAAGGGATTGAATGACATGGGCCCCCAGCAACAGCAACAACACCCACCGCCGCCCCCACACACATGCTCCCCACTCCCCACTCAGTTCCTGATACCTGGGGTTTCACAGTCTTCCTTTGTCTAGAGTTTATTCCTATAGTCATGCCTCTGTGCCTATGTCCAACAAATTTATGGAGCCCTCCAGAATGCCAAGCCTCGTGCTAGGCATGGAGGACCTGAAAATGAACAAAACCCAGCTCCTGCTCGTGGTCACAAAACTCACCCTCAGCTGGGGAAAGAAGACTCACAAATAGTCGAACAAACCCAACAAGGCTTGGAGTGAAGCACCATTTACAGGGTGCTGGGGCGCTGGCGAGGGCTGCCTAAACTTGCTGAGGGCCAACCTCGAGGAGAGGGGAGGACAGGGAAGGCTTCCTGGAGGAGGTGACTCCTCAGCTGGATGTTGAAGCTTGAGAAGGAGCCAGCTGAGCGAAAGGGGCTGGGGTGACAGAGGAGGGGTTTCAATGTAAGGTGGCCCCTGGCACAGGTGCTGTAATGTGCCCATGGCTTTCTCAGCTGGTGCTCCCTGGTGTGGGTGTCATGGAAACTCTCCCGAAGGCACATGGAGGTGAAGCAGGGGATGGCCTGGGAGAGCCCGGAGCCCTGTGCAGCATAAAGGATGTGAGGGTGTTACTGGAAAGGGGTCCCAATCCAGACCCCAAGAGAGAGTTCTTGGATCTCATGCAAGAAAGAGTTGAGGGCAAGTCCATAAAGTAAAAGCAGGTTTATTAAGAAAGTAAAGGAATAAAATAATGGCTATTCTATAGGCAGAGCAGCCCCGAGGGCTGCTGGTTGCCCATTTTTATGACTATTTCTTGATTACATGCTAAGCAAAGGGGTGGATTATTCATGCCTCCCTTTTAGACCATATAGTGTAACTTTCTGACGTTGCCATGGCATTTGCAAACTGTCATGGCGCTGTTGGGAGTGGAGCAGTGAGGATGACCAGAGGCCACTCACGTTGCCATCTTGGTTTTGGTGGGTTTTGACTGACAGGCTTCTTTACTGCAAGCTGTTTTATCAGCAAGGTCTTTATGACCTGTGTCTTGTGCCGACCTTTGATCTCACCCTGTGACTTAGAATGCCTTAACCATCTGGGAATGCAGCCCAGTAGGTGTCAGCCTTATTTCACTCACCTCCTATTCAAGATGGAGTTGCTCTGGTTCAAACGCCTCTGACAGTAGGAGCTAAAGGTGAACTGAGGGCAACCTCCCTGGGCTTCAGCAGGAAGGGACAACACTGGGAAGAGAGAAGGAAAGGAAGCTGCCACCACAAAGCACAGACCTCGTACTTTGTGCTGGATTTGACCCTTTGTGCCTGCAGGACAATGCCAGGCTATTTTACTTTTGCCCCTTTCTTGGGAGCACTTCTCATCAGTTCCCTTCTGTGGCTGGTTAGTGCCCTGTGCGGGGCCTGGGGCTTCTATTTCTTCTATTTTTACTAGAGCAGCTTATTCAGGCTCTGCACATAGGAGGGGCTTAATGAAGGGTGCCTTCGGTTGAGACACAGGGATCTAGTCGGGGTTTCCAGAAAATCTGCCTGGGCACTCACACTTCTCTAAAATGTCCTCTTGGCCCCGGGAGCCAGGGGGTTGTAGTGGGAATCTGGGGCCCTCGGTCCTAAGCATGGAAGCTTGGGTAAGCCTGAGAACCTTTCTGGGTCAAGGCTTCCTCATCTGTGAGCCTGGGGTGGGGCATTTGGCAGCTCTTTGAAGCGGGATACTTTGTAGGTACCTCCTTACCCCACCCTTCTTCTCACGATGTCAGCTCATCTGCAATGCCCTGTCTTGGGTTTTCGTTGGCCACCAGTGCCATTGTGGGAAGGTGTGACTTGGGGACACCCACTGGATCAGCAAGCATTTATTTATTTATTTTCGAGATGGAATTTTGCTCTTGTCACCCAGGCTGGAGTGCAATGGCGTGATCTCGGCTCACTACAATCTCGGCCTCCTGGGTTCAAGTGATTCTCCTGCTTCAGCCTCCCCAGTAGCTGGAATTACAGGCATGCACCATCAGGCCCAGCTAATTTTTGTATTTTTAGTAGAGATAGGGTTTCACCATGTTGACCAGGCTGGTCTGGAACTCCTGACCTCAGGTGATCTGCCCGCCTCGGCCTCCCAAAGTGCTGGGATTACAGGCATAAGCCACCGCGCCAGGCCAGTAAGCATTTCTTTAGTTAGTTTTTCAAGCCACAGGAAGCCTGATCTTGTGCGTTCAGCTACTGCCCTCAGTCTCTGTGTATATTGTGGCTATTACAGACACTATTAGCATCGATCGATCAGCCCAGTGTGGCCAACCAGCTCTGCTAGAGGAAGGATTCTTGGCTTCCGTAGACCCAGCAGGGACCCACTCTCTAGTGTGTGCAGGGGGAGGGAAGAAAGGGAAGGAGAGAGGCAGGGAACGCTTGAGGGAGTGAAGAAGTGGATGACTATGGGCTATGCTGCTTAATAAATCCGCTGCCAGACTTTAGCCTTCACCCCACGAAGGCCTGTCTCTCACATTATATGTTCAGTGTGGTTTAGAGGGGATGGGGCTGTTTTGTCCAGCATAAAGGCCAAAGACCCAGACCCTTGGGGGCTCCATCATCCTGTGGCTGCAGCACCTGGAAATGAGACTCCCAGGGTCACTGCAGCAGGGATGAGAGAAGGGAAGACCACACACTGGCTTCCTTGTGTTTCAGCTGGAAGTGAAAGTGACTCCTGTTACTTTTTTTTTTTTTTTTGAGACAGAGTCTCACTCTGTCACCCAGGCTGGAGTGCAGTGGCGCAATCTCGCTCACTGCAACCTCCACCTCCCCGGTTCAAGCGATTATCCTGCCACAGCCCCCTGAGTAGCTCGGATGGCAGGCATGCACCACCATGCCCAACTAGGTTTTTTTTGTGTGTGTTTTTAGTAGAGACAGGGTTTCTCCATGTTGGCCAGGCTGGTCTTGAACTCCTGACCTCAGGCGATCTGCCCACCTCAGCCTCCCAAAGTGCTGGGATTACAGGCGTGAGCTACCGCACCCAGTCTTCTCCTGTTATTTTCACTTGCAGCCTTTTGGCCAGACAAGTCACATGGCCCTGAGGCGGGTGCTGGAAAACGTGGAGGAGGGGTGGCTTTGGTCGCTGGACACACATCTCTGCCACGGTGACTGACGGAGGCTGTGAAAGGACAATCTGAGTGAAGAAGTGAATGAGGTGAGAGGTGAATGAATGAAAGAGTGAGCGGAGGGTGCGAGGGCTCATTTCCCAGCCTGGGAGCCTCTCAGGACGGGCCGAGTCCCAAGGTTCCCGGTAGCTGCACAGAGCATCCCTCCCCTGGGGGCCGTGTCAGCCACAGTCCAACTGTCACCTCCGGAATTACATTTCAAAAACTCGTTTTGAGAGAGACAAGCTGGGCCCTGGGGGGCTGTATCTCTGTGTCCTTGTCCTTGGGAGGTGGAGAAAGGAAAAGGGGAGGAGGAGGAGGAGGAGCAGCGGGAGGGACGGGCCAGGCTGCAGAAAGCAATTAGTGGAAAATGGGAAATTACTTTCTCTGTGTGTTTGGCATCACCGCCCTTCCCCAGCGGCTTCAGTCAGGTTGTGCTGGGCGCCAGGCAGGTGTAGCCTTGGCCAGGGATCCACTAGAGCTAGTGGGGACCGAGGGCCTGGGATGAATCAAGGAGGGCTGGCCCCAGAGTCCTGCACGTACACTTTTTTTTGTTTTTTGTTTTTTTTTGAGATGGAGTCTCACTCTGTTGCCCAGGCTGGAGTCCAGTGGTGCAATCACAGCTCACTGCAACCTCCGCCTCCCAGGTTCAAAAGATTCTCTCACCTTGGCTTCCTGAGTAGCTGGGATTACAGGCGTGCACCACCACGCCCAGCAAATTTTTGTATTTTTAGTAGAGACGGGGTTTCACCATGTTGGCCAGACTAGTCTCAAACTCCTGACCTCAAGTGATCCGCCCGCCTCAGCCTCCCAAAGTGCTAGGATTACAGGCATGAGCCACTGCGCCAGGCCTACACTTGGTTTTATCAAAAGAAGGAATGAGGTACCATTTCATCTTAGGCATCGCTGTGGTGCCAGCACGTGCTTGGATTCTTAGCTGGGGTCCATCCCTCCCAAATTAGAGCCTGAGACAAGTGCTTGAGCACAGGTAGTTAAATTGGGAAGCAGGCTTGGGTGAGGGTATGGGTCGGGGGCGGTGAGGAGGGCCAGGGAAGGAGGAGAAGACATTCAAGGCTGCCATACTGAGGTTACTGCCGTGGTCCACAGGTGCTGATTCCACAGGGACTTCCTGAGAAGGGCGGAGTGGCTCCCAGCGGACGGGAAGTATGTGATGGCTCCCTTCCCCATTGGCCGAGGGTCTCTTGGGGGTGTTGACTCCCCTGCGTTCTGGGCTGCATTTGCCTTGAGGGGGTCTTGACCCACAGCGCATGGAGGCAGGAGGTTGCTGTTCTCTGCTGCCTCAGCTGACATCACCGGTGGGCTCTGGGGAGGTGGCCCTGGGGTACCGGAAGCATGTGCCACGCAGGGGCAGGGCAGCCCTGGAGGGGTGGAGCCGGGGACCCCCCGATGGGTGCCAGTCCCACTGACATCTTTCTCCACTCCCCGTTCTACTTCCACAGTTAGAGACCGCCTGAGAACAGGAAACCTACCTCCTCTATTTCTGGGTTCCCAGTGTCCTGCCCAGAGCCCATCATGTGGCAGAAGCTCAGGACACAAATGTCAGGGGCAGAAGACTAAGTCCTTGCTCTGGGCAGGGGTCAGGACGTGTGCAGCTCCTTGGCCCCAGAATTGTTTCCCTCCTGCCTCACTCCCTGGTGTAGAATTTGGCCCAGACGCTCCCTGCCATGTGACTTGGCAGGAGCTCCCTCTAGAGGAGGGGTAGTGATATAGCTGTAAATCTCACGTTGAGGCTGGGCGCGTTGGCTCAAGCCTGTAATCCCAGCACTTTGGGAGGCTGAGGCAGGCGGATCACCTGAAGCCAGGAGTTCGAGACCAGCCTGCCCAACATGGTGAAACCCTGTCTGTACTAAAAATATTAAAAAAATTAGCTGGGCATGGTGGTGCATGCCTGTAATCCCAGCTACTTGGGAGGCTGAGGCAGGAGAATCGCTTGAACCCAGGAAGCAGAGGTTGCAGTGAGCTGAGATCGTGCCACTGCACTCCAGCCTGGGCAACAGAGCGAGACTCCATTAAAAAAAAAAAAAAACCTCATGTTGAAATGTGATCCCCAATGCTGGCGGTGGGGCCTGGTGGGAGGTGTTTGGATCATGGGGTGGATTTCTCATGAATGGTTTAGCACCATCCTCTTGGTGCCGTTCTTGAGACAGTGAGTGAACTCTCTCGAGATCTTGTTTAAAAGAGTGTGGCACCTCCCTCCATGTCTCTTGCTCCCACTCTTGCCATGTGAGATGCCTGCTCCCCCTTCACTTCAGTCACAATTGTAAACTTCCTGAGGCCTTCACCAGAAGCTAATGCTGGCACTATGCTTCTTGTACAGCTTAGAGAACCATGAGCCAATTAAACTTCTTTTCTTTATAAATTGCCCAGTCTCAGGTATTTCTTTATAGCAATGCAAGAACAGCCTGACACAGGGAGTGTATTTTTGCATTGGTTATAGACTACATTGTATCCATGATTAAGAATAGGCTGGGCACGGTAGCTCACGCCTGTTATCCCAGCACTTTGGGAGGCTGAGGTAAGCAGATCACCTGAAGTCAGGAGTTCGAGACCAGCCTGACCAACAAGGCTAAACCCCATTTCTACTAAAAATACAAAAATTAGCTGAGCATGGTGGCACGTGCCTATAGTCCCAGCTACTCAGGAGGCTGAGGCAGGAGAATCAGTTGAACCCAGGTGGCAGAGGTTGCAGTGAGCCAAGATAGTGCCACTGCATTCCAGCCTGGGCAACAGAATGAGACTCTGTCCATCCCCGCCCTACCCCCTTACCACAAAAAAAAAAAAAAAAAAAAGAATAAAGGAATTCATGAGAGTGGGTCCAAATCCAATAAGATGGCTGTCCTCATAAGAAAAGGAAGAGACACCAGGGGTGCATGCACATGGAGGAAAGCCCCTGGGACTTAGCCTCCTGGGTTTCATCTCTGGCTCTGGTATAGTGATCTCTGAAAGTGCTGATCCTCTGTTTACCTTGATGCGTGGGGAAGATGCCACCGTAGTCGGAGTTAGGATTGTAGATGGGTAGAGGAGATCTCCCAATATTTGTTTTGTGTCCTGCTTCTCTCCCTTATTCTGACAAATCACGACCCAGATTGGATCATGTACCCTTGCCCTCTTTTGGAGAATTGCTCTTTCCTCACGCCTTCCTCACTCCATCTGCTTCTTCTAGAGGGGCTGCCAATCACATTATCCTGTAACCCTGTGCCTCAGCCACAGTCACACAGTGATTGGCCCAGGGAAGGACACGTGACCAAGCTGGGCCAATTGGAATCCTTCCCTGGGACTGTACACATGAAAACGTGGTAAAACGGAAGCCACCTTCTCCCTTTGGACTTTGAATGGGAAGGGTGATTCTGAAGTGCCAATGACCATGTCTCCCCAAGTCACGTGGCTGCCCAGACAGAAGATAAAAGGGGAACAAGTTCCTGGTGCTCTCTGTGGGGTGACCCTGCTGGGGCAGCTTCCTTCCCAGGATGCTGATGGCAGGCCCAGGACGGTCTGGCCTTTTCAATATGCTGTTGTGATTGTGGCCTGTTCTAATTTAGGCAGTCTGGCTGTCATAAACAAAGTCTGACTGCTTGGCAGGTGGAAAGGTTAGATTTGCATGAAGTGGCTTGTGTCAATCCCAGTTCTTCTCTGTTACTATTGCTCGCCTCTGACGTCACAGGTTTAGGCCTGGTTGTGACACTGGCCATCTGGCTCCCTGGACCCCTCTCTTCCTTTGGGCCTGAGCTGGGCCCTACCCTGCTCTCCAGACTTCTAGGCAGGATGCTCCTCTGGCCTTCACAGGACCTCCCTTCCTCTAGCCTGGCGCTGTCCAATAGCAACGTAATATGCAATTAAAAAAATTCTAGCATCCACATTAAGAAATGCAAAGAGAAACAAGTGAAATTTAATTAATTAACTTATTTATTTTGAAATCAGGTCTTGCTCTGTTGCCCAGGCTGGAGTGCAATGGCGCCATCTCCACCCACTGCAACCTCCACCTCCCAGGTTCAAGCGATTCTCATGACTCAGCCTCCGGAGGAGCTGTGTTTACAGGCATGTGCCACCATGCCTGGCTAATTTTTGTGTTTTAGTAGAGACAGGGTTTCGCCATATTGCCCAGGCTGGTCTCTAACTCCTAGGCTCAAGCAGTCTATCCTCAGCCTCCCAAAGTGCTGGGATTACAGGTATGAGCCACCATACCCAGCCTAATTGATTTTAATGATACATTTTATTTAATCCAATAATCAATATAAGAACTTACTGAGATAGTTTACATTCTATTTTTTGTACAAAACCTTGGCTCTTATAGAATATCTCAGTTGGGACCAGCTACATTTTAAGTGCTCAGTGGCCACAGGAGGCTTGGTGACCACCAGTGACTCTAGGCCATCAGGAAAGCAGCCTGAGGCCTGCAAAAGCCCGGGTGATTTTGGCCTTTTCATTTCAGCCAAGCCTCTCATTTTCATTAGAATGGTATCATGTGTTTATTACTTTAGATCTGACATCCGAGCTTGGCAGTTAGCTCTCAGGCCGGAGGACATGAAGGCAAGGTCCAGAAGCCAACAGCTCCTCACCCTGTGGGAGGCAGTGGGGGGGACCATGGAGGGGTGGGGGGATTCTTCGTTTTTACGTTTTTGAGGGGAATCATTTTCGATTTACAGAAAAGTTGCCAAGATAGTACAGAGTTCCTGTACACCCTTCATCCAGCTTCCTTTAATGGCAATATCTTAGTAAAGTAAGGAATTAGCGTTCCTACGGTGCTATTAATAAAACTTCAGACTTTATTCATGTTTCAACAGGTTTTCCACTAACGTCCTTTTTCAGATGCGGGATCAAATCCAGGCTGCCACATTGCATTTAGGGGTCTTGATTTTTTTTTTTCTTTTTGCCCAGTTTCATAAAATAGGAGCAAGGCCTTGATTTTTAAATAAATAAATACATCTCTCTTCTGTCTATAAAACAACTTTATTGAGGTATCATCAACATGCATTGAATTGCACACATATAAAGTATACATTTTGATATGTTTGACTGTGTATATTTCTGTGAAACCATCACATGGTATGTATTTTAGCTAAGCTACAAAATAACAAATAGCCAAACCTGTGTAGACTTTACTAAATCCAAGCAGTGTTCTACACACTTTACACGAGTGAATGTTTTTGGCTAGATGCAGTGGCTCACACCTGTAATCCCAGCACTTTGGGAGAATGAGGTGCGTGAATCACCTGTGGTCGGGAGTTTGAGACCAGCCTGGGCAATGTGTTGAAACCCCGTCTCTGCTAAAAATACAAAAAGTTAGCTGGGCGTGGTGGCACATGCCTATAATCCTAGGAGAGACTGGGATCTCAGGAGACTGAGGCACGAGAATTGTTTGAAGCCGGGAGGCGGAGGTTGCAGTCAGCCGAGGTTGAGCCACTGCACTCCAGCCTGGGCAACAAAGTAAGACTCTATCAAAAACAAAACAAAACAAACAACAACAACAACAACAAAAACAGAGTGAATGTTTTTATTCCTTATAACAACCTGTGGCAGATGAGATTACTGCTGCCATTTCTTTACTCCCTGGTATAGAATTCTATACCTATACCCTCTGCCATGTGACTTGGCAGGAGCTCCCTTTAGAGTAGGGAGAGTATATTTCCCCACCTGCTATGGACTAAATTGGGTCCATAATTAAGATTAAATGAGGTCATAAGGGTGGGGGCCTAATCCTCTAAGAAAAGGAAGAGACACCAGGGGTGGATGTACACAGAGGAAAGGCCATATGTAGGCACAGAAAGAAGGTGGCCGTCTGCAAGCCAGGAAGAGAGCCCTCACTGAAAACCAACTTTGACAGCACCTTGATTGCAGACATCCAGCCTCCAGAACTGTAAATAAATTTCTGTTATTTAAGCCACCTAGTCTGTGGTGTTCTGTCATGACAGCCCAAGTAGATTAATACACACCCCTACTGATATTGGGTTTGACCATGCAACTTGTTTTGGCCAATGATATGTTAGGAGGCATGATGCTTGCAAAGATTTTAATGTGCTTGGTAGATTTGACTCACCCTCCTATGAGAATTCTGTGATTCTCTGTGAGAAAGAGAGACCCAACTTGTGGCCTTGAACCCAACTTGTGGCCTGGAGCCAAGACTGGACCAGGCCCAGTCCGATCCTGGCCAGACCCTGGAGAGGCACAGCTGATCCACAGATCCATGAGAAAGAAAATGAATACAGAGGTTATAAGCCACTGAGATTTTGAGATTGTTTGTTATGGATTAAAAAAAAGAAACCCGAAAGCCGGGCGCGGTGGCTCACACCTGTAATCCCAGCACTTTGGGAGGCCGAGGTGGGCAGATGACCTGAGGTCAGGAGTTCGACACCAGCCTGACCAATATGATGAAACCCCACCTCTACTAAAAATACAAAAATTATCCGGACATGGTGGCATGCACCTGTAATCCCAGCTACTCAGGAGGCTGAGGCAGGAGAATCACTTGAACCTGGGAGGTGGAGGTTACAGTGAGCCGAGATCACGCCATTGCACTCCAGCCTGGGCAACAAGAGCGAAACTCCATCTCAAAAAAAAAAAAAAAACACCCAAAAACTGACTAATAATCTATGAGTTGAGATACTATTGTTATCCCACACTTTATCAGCGAGGCAGTTTAGGCATGGAGAGGTTAAGTGACTTGCCCAAGGTCACACAGCTGGTGAGTGCTATATCCAGGACACAAACCCAGGCAGTCTGGCTCCAGCGTTCATGCTTACAACTGGTTCTTGTATGAGCAGAGTTCTTCACCATTCATTGATCCAGTGATTTAATGAATTCATTCTTCGGCTTGTTAGTTCATCAAACATTTACACGAAGTAGTTTCCCCCATTAATTTCTCTCATAACATCCCCATCTTTTTCTTCTTAGCATTTATCAATGGTTGTCATGTCTAGGAATCTATTTCTATGCTGGTGGATCTGCCCTCTGGTTAGAGTTTATGCTCTAGGAGGGCAGGGACTGTATCGTTTTTGTTCCCACAGTATATCCATCAGTAGCAGTCCATAACTGCTTGTTGAATAAAACAGAGTTAGTTGTTAAATGCCAGCCCTGGCTACATATTGGGAACACAGCAATAAGGCATGTTATCTGTCTGGAGGGCGGGTGGAGGAGCGGACAGGCATCTGATCCCCAAACATCATGCTAAGGAGCTTGGCCTTTACTTGCAGGGCATGGGGAGCGGTCAGTTGCAGGTTCCTGGATGTGTCTGAGCTGACACCACAGGCACTTTTTTTAGGTTGTGTAAAGAGTATTTATACTTCGGAAAAGGGTGCCCGGCAAAAGTCCTGTCCAGCTCTGAGACTTGCTGATTGCTCTGAGTAGGGTGCCCAGAGCAGGAGGCAGACAGAAGTGGAGAAGGAACTGGGTGGCTGTAGCAGAATTTATGTGAGCTGGGGCAGAGGCGGGGGTCGTTGGCAGCAAAGGGAAGAAGCCAGTAGGGCAGATATTGAAAAGAAAGACGACATGAGCCTACCGAAAAAGTAGGAGGTGCGAAGGAGAGAGGGCTGCGCCAGAGGGGCATCCAAATTTAAGCAAGAGGTTGCCCGGAATGCCCCGAGCACCGCATCTGGCCCAGGGCAGAGGAATTGCTCAATACATGGTCATTGTTGTTGGGGTTGTGGATGATTCAGTGGAAGACTGTAGCTGCTGAGGTCTGGACATGAGGATCGGGATTCAACAGCAAATGACTGGAGTGTGCATTTCAGAGCTCTGGACTGGGAAGGAGGTGGCGTGGGTCTAACTACCGGAAGATCAGTAGACGCATCGCTGTCATCTAGCTATTTATTTTATTTTATTTATTTATTTATTTATTTTGAGATGGAGTCTCACTCTGTCGCCCAGGCTGGAGTGCAGTGGCTCAATCTCGGCTCACTGCAAGCTCCGCCTCCCGGGTTCACACCATTCTCCTGCCTCAGCCTCCCGAGTAGCTGGGACTACAGGCGCACGCCACCATGCCCAGCTAATTTTTTGTATTTTTAGAAGAGACGGGGTTTCACCGTGTTAGCCAGGATGGTCTCGATCTCCTGACCTTGTGATCTGCCCTCCTCGGTCTCCCAAAGTGCTGGGATTACAGGCGTGAGCCACTGCACCTGGCTTATTTTATTTTATTGTGACAAAATATACATAGCATAAAATTTACCATTTTAACCATTCTTAAGTGTACAATTCAGTGGCGTTTAATACATACACACTGTCGTGCAGCCATCACCACCATCCAGTTCCAGAACTTTTTCATCACCAGACAGAAACTCCATTCCTCTTAAGCAATCACCGCTCATTACCGGGTGGAATTGATGGGTAACTATGTTTTGCCATCAATTTGCTGTGTGCGTTTGGTGAAGTCACTTCCACTCTCAGAAGCTAGTTCTTTCCTTATAACTTTAAAATGGAGGTTTCTTTTGATTTTGCTAGGCTGAAAAAGCTAGGTGGACGGATGATGTCTCTGAAAGATAAAAACGTTGAGTGCGTGTGGAGGGCCGAGTCAGCCTGAGGGGGTGGGGGGAGAGGAATGGTGACAAAAGAGGAGCTGGCAAAGGAAACAGATGAAGAGTGGGGTGAGAAGGAAGAACATCTTCTTTGGGATTGGGAGAAAGGTTAGGAAAAGGGGGAAGAAGAGAAAAAGAAGAGGCTGACACAAAGGAATGCTCAAAACCAGGCTGTTAATGTGATTTCATGAGATGAGGTTGGGATCCAGCATAAAATCCAGGGTGACAGCCAGTGGCCTCAACCTCTCCGGAGCAGGAATCATGTGGCAGGAACGGAGGGCACCAGCTGCCTGTGAGGGCGGGCTGGGGACTGGACAGGAGGCTGGGACAGATGTAGCTGGGTGTGCCAGGGTCAAATTAGGAGAAATAAAAGGACTGCTAAGCTAGCCTGTCATTATTGAACTCACGGTAAAGAAAATGTATTTCTTTTCTTTTTTTTTTCTTTTTCTTTTTCTTTTTTTGACACAGAGTCTCTCTCTGTCTTCCAGGCTGGAGTGCAGTGGCATGATCTCGGCTCATTGCAACCTCTGCCTCCCGGGTTCAAGTGATTCTCCTGCCTCAGTCTCCCGAGTAGCTGGGATTACAGGTGTGTATCACCATGACTGGATAATTTTTGTATTTTTAGTAGAGATGGGGTTTCACCATGTTGGCCAGGCTGGTCTTGAACTCCTGACCTCAGGTGATCTGCTCACTTTGGTCTCCCAAAGTGCTGGGATTATAGGCGTGAGCCACTGAGCCTGGCCACTTTTTCTTTTTTTTTTTTTTGAGATGGGGTCTGGCTCTGTCACCCAGGCTGGAGTGCAGTGGCATGCTCTTGGCTCACTGCAACCTCTGCCTCCCAGGCTCAAGCGATCTTCCCACCTCAGCCTCCCAAGTAGTTGGGACTACTGGTGTGCACCACCATGCCCGGCTAATTTTTTTTTTTTTTTTTGGTAGAGATGGGGGTTCAACCTGTTGCCCAGGCTGTTCTCAAACTCCTGGGCTAAGAGATCTGCCGGACTTGGCCTCCCAAAGTGCTGGGATTATAGGTGTGAGCCATCGTGCCCAGCAAGAAAACATATGTCAAAGGGAAATTGACACGGTAACGAATGTGTATACTGCTTTATTTACACACACCCTATCTGGTTCCACATGAAATTTACAGGTTTGTTTTATTTTTATTTTTGAGACAGAGTCTCGCTCTCATCACCAGGCCGGAGTGCAATGGTGCGATCTTGGCTCACTGCAACCTCCAACTCCCGGGTTCAAGCAATTCTCCTACCTCAGCCTCCTGAGTAGCTGGGATTACAGGCACGTGCCACCATGCCCAGCTAATTTTTGTTTGGCATCAGTTAATGAATGCTTACATTTTGGGTTGAGAAAAGATCAATGTAAATAGGTAGCATGCAATAACCCTCTTTTGTGAATGTGTTTAATAACAGCTTTTATTTCTTGAGCAGCTCTTCTGCAGCTGACCTGGTGATAGCTCAATTACACTTCCCACCAATCTGAATAGGGTTGGTTGTCTTTTTTTTTTTTTTGGTCACTCTTTATATATTATCCCTTTTTACAGATGAGAAAATGGAGTCTTGGAAGGCAAAGTGACACCATGCTGGAAGAAGAGCAGAGAGGAATTGGAACCCACTCAGGACCTTGGAAATCTTCATCTTTCTGGAAGGGCCAACCAGGCATTCATCCTTGGCCTCCACTGGCTCCTTCTCTGTCTCCAAAGATTTTAAATAACGTGGCAGGCAAGGCTGCCTGAAGGCTGGGACAAGCGATGGTCCCTGGGCTCCTCCCCAGAGCTCGACTTCTCCTACGCTGGAGCTGTCTCCACAGGCCCCCCTGTGTACAGTGCAGGATTGGAAGGAGCACTGGACGGGGAGTCAGTGGAGCAGATGTGAGTAGCAGCCCCAGGCCTGCCTGCTGGGTGATCCTGACACAGGCGGTTGCATTTTCTGATCCTCAACAGGCTCGTTGTGAATGGATGCTGATACCTCCCTGGCAGGGCTGCTGCAGGGATCAGGCCAGACTTGAATGTGAAAGGGCTCTGAATAGCCGAGTCCAGGGTGGGTGAGGGAAGGTAGCATCGGCAACCTGCGGGTGGGCCCTGGCCACACTGACGGAGGAATTGTCTCCCTGTTATCCTGCTCACTCTCTGTGGGGTTTTCAGAGGAAGCAGAGTCCCTCAGCTTCAAGCCAGATCTGGGATTCCAAAGACCCACAAGGGAGGCCCAAGCAGGGAAGGTTATGGGAGGATTCTGGAGAAGAGGGTGCAGGGGGCAAAGCCTCTGCCAAGCAGCTCCTCCCCTGTGCATGCGTGTGTGTGGATGGGTGCGTGGAGTGTGTGGTGTGTGTGTGGATGTGTGTGTGTGTATGAAATGTGTGTGGATGTGTGTGTGTGGTGTGTATGAATGAGTGTGGTGTGTGTGTATGGGTGTGGTGTGTATGGATGTGTGTGTGTGGTGTGTGGATGGGTGTGTGTGTGGATGGATGTGTGTGTGTATGTGTGTGTGGTGTGTGTATGAGTCTGGTGTGCATGTGGATGGATGTGTGTGAATGTGTGTGTGGTGTGTGTGTGAATGAGTGTGGTGTGTGTAGAGTGAGTGGTGTGTGTAGAGTGAGTGGTGTGTGTGTAGTGTGTGCGTGTGGATGGGTGTGGTGTGTATGTATGGATGGGTGTGTGTGGTGTGTGTGGATGGGTGTGGTGTGTGGATGGATGTGTGTGGTGTGTTGTGTGTTGTGTGTGTTGTGTGGATGGGTGTGTGTGCTGTCTTGTGTGTTGTGTGGTGTGTTGTGTGCTATGTGGATGGGTGTGTGTGGTGTGTTGTGTGTTGTGTGGTGTGTGTGGTGTGTGGGTGTGTGTGGTGTGTTGTGTGTTGTGTGGTGTGTTGTGTGCTGTGTGGATGGGTGTGTGTGATGTGTGTGGTGTAGTGTGTGGTGTGTGTGTGGTGTGTGTGGTGTGTTGTGTGGTGTGTTGTGTGCTGTGTGGATGGGTGTGTGTGGTGTGAGTGGTGTGTGGTGTGGTGTGTGGTGTGTGATGTGTGTGGTGTGTTGTGTGTTGTGTGGTGTGTGGATGGGTGTGTGTGGTGTGTTGTGTGGTGTGTTGTGTGCTGTGTGGATGGGTGTGTGTGGTGTGGTGAGTGGTATGTGGTGTGGTGTGTTGTGTGTTGTGTGGTGTGTGTGGTGTGTGGATGGGTGTGTGTGGTGTTTTGTGTGTTGTGTGGTGTGTGTGGTGTGTGGTGTGGTGTGTGGTGTGTGGTGTGTGTGGGAGTGCTCTCTGGCCAGGTGCAATCTCCTTCCTGTTCAGCTCCTGGGGCTGCTGCTACTCTTAGTTCAAAAGACTTTTTATCCCTGGCAAGGACAATTATTGGGGTCACGGTGACCTGCCTGTTTCAGCGCCTGCTTGGGCTTGTTTCGTTTGGCCTAAGACAAAAGCTTGAACTCTGGAACTGCCCAGAGGGGCGAGGGGTGCAAATTCCCTCTGCCTGACCTAACTGCAGTGTTCACAGGACTGACTCATTGTCCCCCCGGGTCAGGACAGGAGTGACATTCAAAAGAACTCATAAGCAGTTTGGCCAGGTACTGATCACTCCGAATGGATTCTGTGCTTGAGGAATCCACCAAAGGCCTTTTTGGTTTGTTTTCCCAGAAGCCCATCAGTCACCATCTGGGGAGGACAAGGAGGGAGCAGGGCTGATCCAAGGAGCTCTGGGGCAGATGGACTGTCCCTGTCACGGCTTCTTTTACTGGTAGTAATGACTCCCACTGGTTGAGTATGCAGGCGCCACTTTGCTCCATGCCAGGTACCATCCATGCCTGCACTTTCTTTTTCTTTTTGTTTTTTGAGATGGAGTCCCGCTGTGTTGCCCAGGCTGGAGTGCAGTGGCGAGATCTTGACTCACTGCAACCTCCACCTCCTGGGTTCAAGTGATGCTCCTGCCTCAGTCTCCTGAGTAGCTCGGATTACAGGCATGCACCACCATGCCCGGCTAATTTTTGTATTTTTAATAGAGATGGGTTTCACCGTGTTGGTCAGGATGGTCTCGATCTCCTGACCTCATGATCCGCCCACCTTGGCCTTCCAAAGTGCTGGGATTACAGGCGTGAGCCACCGCACTTGGCCCATGCCAGCACTTTCTAGGTATAATCTCACTTGATCCCATCCGGCTCTTTGAGGCAGGCTATATGATCATGCCCATTTTGCAAATCAGGGAGCTGAGCCTGAGGAGCTGGGGTCCTTGCCCAGTCACACAGCCAGTAACAGCAAGAGTTCTGATTTACCCCTAGCTGGTCTGGATTCTCTTGGTCCCCTTATACACCTGTTCCCTGCTGGGGGAAGTCAGCTGGGGGCGTGGAGACTGCCTTGGAAGGTGGCTGCTGCAGCCCCCCAGACCTCCGGCAATAGAATTCCCTATAATTCGGTTATAAATCATGTTCCTAACTAAGCCAGCTCTGAAGGTCACCGGTAATCAAACTGTCAGCAGGCCATCTTCAGCGGCTGCCGTGGTCAGGGCCCTGAGCCAGGAGAGCCCAGGGAATCAAGCTTCCAGCCCGCACCTTTACAAGTGGGTAAGAGGCTGGAAATGGGAACAGGTTAAGAGGGCTTGGGGCTGGGGCCGAGTGACAGCTGCACTTCTGACTTCAAGATAATGAGGAGGAGAGAAGCTCCAGCCTCGCTTCTGAGCTATCTCGGTCCTTCCTGTTGTTGGTAGCATTGAACCTCCTGATCCGTGGAAGGTGGCTGCTTGCAAAGTTCTGATGACATCACATGGATGTGTGTTGGCCGGGTATTCCCTGGGGAATGAGCTTAGCGCGGAAGCAGAAGAGTTGCATTTTCTAAACCACCAGCTAAGTGGCAGGTGCGTACACATCATCCTGTGTAATCCCTAAGCTTGTCCCATGTGGTAGCAAGTTCCTTTTATTATCTCCATCTCCTGGAGGCTCAGATTGGCAAAGGGGACAGAGCTTGCAAGCATTCAGGTTGGCATTCAGGCTTACATCTGGGTTTTTTCCTTTTAATTCTTTTTTTTTTTTTTTTTTTTTTTTTTTGAGACAGAGTCTCACTCTGTTGTCCAGGCTGGAGTGTAGTGGCGCGATCTCAGCTCACAGCAACCTCTGCCTCCCGGGTTGAATTATCCTGCCTCAGCCTCCCGAGTAGCTAGGATTACAGGCATGTGCCACCACATCCGGCTAATTTTTGTATTTTTAGTAGAGACGGGGTTTCACCTTGTTGGCCAGCCTGGTCTCGAACTCCTGACCTCAAGTGATCTGCCCACCTCGGCCTCCCAAAGTGCTGGGATTACAGGCGTAAGCCACTGCACCTGGCCTTCTTTTGACTCTTACCAGTATTTTCCAATTTTGACATTTTGAAATAATGCTGGGAAATGCTGGTTAAACCAAGAGAAACAAGATTCCTGTCCGCATGACTTTTCAGAGCCTTTAATAAATTGGATCACGATTCTTCATGCACAGAGAGATGGGATGCCAGGGTGGAGGCCTTGGAGGCTCTGGCAGAGAGGAGATTAGTACTCCATTCCTACCCCAGTTCTGCAGGGGAGCATGGCTGGCTTGCTCTTGAAGCCCTGGCCCCCCTCATCTGGATGCAGCCTACAGTGGGGTGAGCTGAGGCCTGGCTCCACACACCTCACAGGAACTCCTAGAAGAAGGGAGGCTGTCAGGTACCCCTGACCTCTTTCCTGAGCTGTTCAGGACTCGCTGGCTCACTCGGGGCAGGTGAATCCCGCTAACCCACCAACTGGCCTCACTTCTCCCTTCCACGGAGTAATAGCAGCCTCCACCTCCCAGGTCCATCTGTGCACTTGAACCCCTGGATTTCAGGCCCGGTGTTCCTCAGAGATGGCTGCTCCTTATGTGCCCTGGGCCTGGGCTGATAAACCAGAACCCATGGGTACCTCCCAACTCACTCCCTTTTGCTGCCAACTAAATTAGCTCCTGTGGGCATTCCTCCACCCCCAGCCCAAGAACAAACAGCAAATTAATGAAACAGATGGGCTCTGTCTGCTCTGCTGGCTCTCAGCACTCCCATATTCAGGGCAGGGCTGAGACTGGACTAAATCATTTCTCCTTTGCTCCTGGGCACACAGCTAGACTACATTGCTAGCCTCCCTTGTAGACAGCGACCTTGGGCCACTTGGCTGAGTTCTGGCCAGCGGAATGTGGGTAGAAGTGATGACTGGCGTGCCCACACCTGGCCTGTGACACCTCCTACGCAACATCCCGTCTGCCGCCCTGTTTTCTGCCAGCCGAATGAAGAGGATCCAACAGAGAACTCCGAGGCCCTAGGAGACTGGGGAGGACAAGTTGGAAGGAAGCTTTATTTGTTATTTTATTAAAATTATTATTATTATTATTTCAAGACAGGGTCCTGCACTGTTGCCCAGGCTGGAGTGCAGTGGTACAATTACAGTTCGTTGTAGCCTCCGACTCCTGGGCTCAAGTGATCCTCCGGCTTCAGCCTCTTGAGTAGCTGGGACTATAGGTGCATGCCACCACATCTAGCTAATTTAAAAAATACCCTGTAGAGTGAGCATCTCCCTATGTTGCCCAGGCTGGTCTCAATCCTGGCCTCAAGGATCCTGCTGCTTCAGCCTCCAGAGTGCCGGGATGACAGGTGTGAGCCACCGCACCCAGCCTAGAAGGAATCTTTAGAGAGTGAAAGACCTGGGTGGAAATCCCAGCTCAACCCCTCAAAGCTGTGTGATCCTGGGCAGGTCACTTACCTCTCTGAGCTCAGTTTCCTCGTCTATAGATAGAGGATAATGATAGTGCCATCCTTGTAAAGTTGTTTTGAGAATCAAATAGGATTCTTTGATTTGAAACAGCTCTGAAAGTTCATCGGAGCCCCAGGGCTCCCTGCAGTATTGTCTGGGCCCTTTGTAGCCACCGCATCACAGTTCAATTTCTCCCTCTGTCTAATTCTGCTCTTTTTCTCCTTTTCAGAAATCCCTACCGCTGAGTTCTGGTGGAAGGCAGTTAGTATTGGAAGAGGTCATGGGAAGCAGATTTTTCAATGGGATTTTTGAGTTGCGTTACTTGCTGGGTCCAGCAATGAGGCCCCCATCCCTGGGAGGTAGGGGTCTGTTGTGCTATAGCAGGGCAGTTGTTAAAACTCTCAGTCATGGTGAACTGGGATGGAAAATCCACAGAAGGGAATGCATTGGCAGATATATCTCAGCCATTTGAGAGATTTGGGGGAAGTAATCATTATAAAAACTGTGGAGTCAGATAGTGATTGCTGGCCAGGCACAGTGGCTCACCCCTCTGTAATTCCAGCACTTTGTGAGGCCACGATGGGAGGATCATTTGAGGGCAGAAGTTCAAGACCAGCCTGGGCAACCTAGCAAGATCCTGCCTCTACAAAAAAACGCAACCCAACCCAAACCAACTAAACAAACGAAAAACCATCCAAGAATGCCTGAAGACATTTCTGTTGTCATAATTGTGGGGGAGGGGGATGGCATGGCTATTGGTACCCAGGAGGTAGAGGTCAGCGATGCTGTTAAAAATCCTATGATGCGACCGGGCGCGGTGGCTCACGCCTGTAATCCCAACACTTTGGGAGGCCGAGGCAAGCAGATCACCTGCGGTCAGGAGTTCGAGACCAGCCTGGCCAACATGGCTAAATCCCATCTCTACTAAAAATACAAAAATTAACTGGGCATAGTGGCGGGTGCCTGTCATCCCAGCACTTTGGGAGACCAAGCTGGGTGGATCACCTGAGGTCAAGAGTTGGAGACCAGCCTGGCCAACATGGTGAAACCCCATCTCTACCAAAAATACAAAAATTAGCTGGGCATGGTGGCGGGTGCCTGTAATCCCAGCTACTCAGGAGGCTGAGGCAGGGAGAATCACTTGAACCCGGGAAGCAGAGGTTGCAGTGAGCCAAGACTGTGCCACTGCACTCCAGCCTGGATGACAGAGGGAAACGCTGTCTCAAAAAAAAAAAAAAAAAAAAATCCTACAGCTCCTACGACAAAGAATTATGTGGCCCAAAATGTGAATAGTGCCAAGGTGGTGGCGTGCATCTGTAGTCCCAGCTACTTGGGAGGCTGAGGAAAGAGGATCGCTTGAGCCCAAGAAGTCAAGTTTGCAGTGGGTGGTGAGCATACCACTGCACTCCAGCCTGAGTGACAGAGCAAGACCCTGTCTCAAAAAATAAAAGTAAAAAAGGGAAAAAAAAACCAGATAGTGATTGCTGGGGGCCTTCAGTGCATTGGAAGAAGACCATGTAAAGCTGGGGTGATTAATCACCGATTTAAGTGAGGTGTGAGATCCAGAGGCCCTCCTTGGCAGCATATATCAAGAGACTCTCATCTTCTGCAGCTCGCAGACAGAAAAACCTGAGGATCGGGCCCACAACTTAATTATAAGTGGAGCTACAGAGAAGGCTGAATTCTCGACTCTGGCAAGTCTGCTAGTCCAAGGTCAGAGCCTTGATTGGAAAGAGGGATGCTCATTTATGACATACGGATGGGGACATCTGGGTTGTTGCACTTGAAAATCTTGAATCCCTAAATTCTCTGAAACCCTCTGGGCCTGCAGGGTGGTTCACTCCTTGTTAAAGGCAAGCAAAACCCTCCCTTGCTTGAAGCTGATGCAGAGTCCTCTGGCTTGCCAGACTATCTGTGCTGCCTCCTTTTCTGTCCCCCAGACCAGTATCTTCAGTCAAGTTACAACAGAATTCAGTTATACCACGAGAATAAAGGGATGACAGAGAGGCTGCAGGACCCAGCCAACGTTCACTGGCAGACATCAGAAGAGGATGGATGGGACTGGATCACGAGGGTGCTGGGATCAAAGGCAATGGAGGAGGGAGTCGGGTAGGGAGAGTTCAGCAACGTGGGAGCCACCTCCAAGGATACAGGATTTAACCGCCTGGCAAAGACCCCAGGAGATGGTGCTAACTCACTGTTAGGATGGCTCTTGGAGGCTTGGAAAAAGCAAGGGCTCATACTAGGTGAACTAGAAGTGCCAGAACTTCTGTGGCAGATGGTGGAAGACGGGATCAAAAGACTCAGATAAGCTGGGCGAGGTGGCTCATGCCTATAATCTCAGCACTTTGGGAAGCAGAGGTGGGAGAATCACTTGAGCCCAGGAGTTTGAGACCAGCCTGGGCAACATGGCGAGACCCCCGTCTCTACAAAAAATAATTAGTTGTGCATTGTAGCATGCACCTGTAGTCCTAGCTACTAGGGAGGCTGAAGTGGGAGGATAGCTTGAGCCCTGGAGATGGAGGTTGCAGTGAGTGCAGTGAGGTGATATCACGCCACCGCACTCCAGCCTGGGCTACAGAGCAAGCCTCTGTTAAAAAAAAAAAAAAGCCTTAGGGAAGTGGGTGTGCTAGGATGGATAACTACATAAAGCCAGAAAAGTGACTTGCTAACTGTGTTCTTTGGGAAAGCCTAGAGGACTGCCCATTTACCATGCACGGGGGAGAGGGCTGAGGACATGGTTGTAGCGCTCAAGGGTGCTGTTCTCTGTAAACCAAGGCTGACAGGAGGAGGTGCTGTGACAGACCGGGCTCCCTGAGAGCAATAAGGAAGATGGGATCCTGAAAGAATAGAGGCTCAGTGGTGGAACTTAAACATAACAGGCAAGGTGGGCAGAATTATCGTAATGAGCAGCAAGGCCAGAGTGGCAAGCAGGGAGCCTGCAGAGAGCTATAGAAATGGCTCCTAGAACACGGTGTTCCCAGGGACAAGATAGACAGGCAGCCAAAAAGAGTACTAAGTAATTTTTTTTTGAGATGGAGTTTCACTCTTGTTGCCCAGGCTGGAGTGCAATGATGCCATCTTGGCTCACCGCAACCTCCACCTCCCAAGTTCAAGCAATTCTCCTGCCTCAGCCCCTTGAGCAGCTGGGATTACAGGCTTGTGCCACCACCCCCGGCTAATTAAATATTTTTAGTAGAGATGGGGTTTCTCCATGTTGGTCAGGCTAGTCTCTAACTCTCGACCTCAGGTGATCCACCCGCCTCA
Source organism: Homo sapiens (assembly GCF_000001405.40). Lineage (NCBI taxonomy): Eukaryota > Metazoa > Chordata > Mammalia > Primates > Hominidae > Homo > Homo sapiens. Next base: position 11,381,181 of record NC_000001.11, read on the forward strand.
GCCTCCGAAAGTGCTGGGATTACAGGCGTGAGCCACTGCGCCTGGCAAGTATTATGTAATTTACACAGCCAAAAGAATTCAAGGATGGCTGAAGCTGCTGCCCTAGCAAAAGCCCACAATCCCTTACTGAGCTAGAGTTCAGGCCCAGAACCCATTTAATGAAGGAGAGACTTGATCCCCAAGAAGCAGCAGCCTGCAACACACGGCAAATGTACATGGTAGTGGTTACCCCATTCCTCTTCAAAAGAACCTGCAGCCATTTGTTTGAGTTACTGTACCCTGGTGAAAGGAACAACCAGACATTTCTAAGATTACTGGCTACAAGATTCAAGGGTTCAAGATGGGCCGGGCACGGTGGCTCACGCCTGTAATCCCAGCACTTTGGGAGGCTGAGGCAGATGGATCACGAGGTCAGGAGATCGAGACCATCCTGGCTAACATGGTGAAACCCCATCTTTACTAAAAATACAAAAAAATTAGCCAGGTGTGGTGGCTCATGCCTGTAATCCCAGCACTTTGGGAGGCCGAGGCAGACAGATCACGAGGTCAGGAGATGGAGACCATCCTGGCTAACATGGTGAAACCCTGTCTCTACTAAAAATACAAAAAATTAGCCGGGCATGGTGGTGGGCGCCTGTAGTCCCAGCTACTCGGGAGGCTGAAGCAGGAGAATGGTGTGAACCCGGGAGGTGGAGCTTGCAGTGAGCCAAGATCGCACCACTGCACTCCAGCCTGGGCAACAGAGTGAGACTCCGTGTCAAAAAACAAAAAACAAAAAGGGTTCAACATGACGTGTTGATATGTAGGGATCTGAAGTGTCATCATCGCCTCCTGTTAGGGTAGGAGCAGATGGGACCCAGAATATCAATAGAATCCTGGTCTGAGCTTTGACCACAGTAGATACACTGAATCCATGAACCCACCCAGTTCCCTAGTTCCAGAATTTGTAATTGGGATGGGCACACATGATTGGCAGAATTCATACTCTCTTCCTTGCCCTTTGGTCTAAAAGCTATGTGGTGAAGCCCAGATGGAAGTCTCTGAAACTATCCCCCATCCTGATCAAGTAACAAACAAAACAAACAAACCCAGCATTACCGTTTAGGGGAAATGGCAGAAATTAGCATCACTTTTAAAGACCCAAGATGCATGAGTGGTGATCCTCATCCCATCCTTATCCAATTCACTAGCTTGGTCCTTACAACAACATAACAACAAAGAAATTCAGATGAATTCTAGCAGATGAGAGTGGACTTTCTTTTTTTCTTTTCTTTTTCTTTTTTTTTTTTTTCTTTTGAGACAGAGTCTCGCTTTGTCACCCAGGCTGGAATGCAGTGGCACCATTTCTGCTCACTGCAACCTCCGCCTCCAGGATTCAAGTGATTCTCCTGCCTCAGCCTTCTGAGTAGCTGGGACTACAAGCATGTGCCACCATGCCCAGCTAATTTTTGTATTTTTAGTAGAGACAAGGTTTTGCCGGGTTGACCAGGCTGGTCTCGAACTCCTGATCCCAAGTGATCTGCCCACCTCAGCCTCCCAAGGTGCTGGGATTACAGGTGCGAGCCACCGCGCCGGGCTGAGAGTAGACTTTCATTAGTACAACCAAGCAGTAGTCTCACCTGCAGCTGCGGTGCTACATAGAGTGTCTCTGCTAGGGTAGATTAACACAGCCTTAGGGACACAGCGTGTGGCTGTTGATCTGGCAAGTGGCTTCTTCTTCCATTTCTAGTAGGAGGGGTAGTTGGAAGCAGTTTGCAATCCCGTAGGATGGAGAACAGCATTCACCTACAGTTCTGCCCATGTGTGTGCTAACTTGGCCACTCTCTGTCATAATATAGTATGAAACTGGTTCTCCACTGGGCCATTTGGCAATGTCTGGAGACATTTCTGATTGACACAACTGGGAGGGGACATGCTATTGGCATCTAGTGGGTAGAGGTCAGAGATACTGCTAAACATCTTCCAATGCATGGGACAGCCCCTACAACAAAGAATTATCTGGTCCAAAGTGTGAATAGTGCCAAGGTGGAGAAACTTTAGACTACAGGGATCCAGAACATCCCATCATTCCACAGAACATCACACTGATCCATTATTATTATTATTATTGAGACAGGCTCTCTTTTTTACCCAGGCTGGAGTGCAGTGGTGTGAACACAGCTCAGTGCAGCCTTGACCTTCTGGGCTCAAGCAATCCTCCCACCTCAGCCTCCTGAGGGACTATAGGCGTGTGCCATCATGCCGGGCTAATTTTTTATTTTTTGTAGAGACAGGGTCTTGCTATGTTGTCCAGGCTGGTCTCAAACTCCTGGGCTCAAGCAATCCTTTCACTTCGCCTCCCAAAGTGTTAGGATTACAGGCATGAGCCACTGCGCCCAGTCCACACTGGTCCGTGATATCAATAAGACACATTGGCCCATTATATCAATGACATCACGTTAATTAGTCTGGATGGGCAAGAAGTGGCAAGTGATTTGGAAGCCTTGATAGGACAGACATGCTTCGGAAGGTGGGGACTCCCTATCAGTGAAATTTTTAGTACAGTGGTTTGGTTTGGGGCACGCCAGGACATCTCCTCCAAAGGAAACCACAAGTTGTTGCATCTTGCACCTCCCACACATCAGAAGGAAACAAAACATCTTATAGGCCTTTTTTGGGTTCTTTAAGCAATATATTCCACACTTGACAAATACTGCTGCAACCCATTTTGCCAAGTGCCAAGGATGGCTGCCAGCACTGAGAGGGGCCCAAGGCAGGAGAGGGTTCTGCAGCAGCTCCAGGCTGTGGTACAAGCAAGTCCCACGTCTGGAGTCATGTGACCCAGCAGACGTTGATAACAGACATATCTGTGGTGAGAAAAGACGCTACGAGTTTATGGCAAGTCCCAATAGGAGAATAACAACATAGATCCCTAGAGTTCTGGAACAAGGCCATGCCATCTGTAGTGGAAAATCATGCATTATTCGAAAAATAGCTTTAGTGTGCTTCTGGGTCTTGATAGCGGTGGAGCGTCTGCTCAGCCTGGTACAGACAGCTTCGACATGACACCCTGTGAGCATGGAGAGTCATCCCCCAGAACACAGAGCACACCCCAAATGAATGACCATACTATTCTATGGTGTTGTGTCTGCAGTAGGTAAAACACGTGGTCTGGAAGCTAAGGGGTGAAAGTAACAGAGCCATCACTCACTGTCATCCTCAGTGACTCATTTAGGAAATTCATTTCCTGTCCCTGAAACTTTAAGCTTTGTGCGTCTGAAGATCTGCTCTGGTTTCCAGATGGGGAACGCTTCACCAGGGTATAGAGTAAGAGCTCCCCCAAACTTTAACCCACATCTGCCACCTGGTCATTTCAGATTCCTTGGACCAAAAGGCCATGGGACGAGGGAAGGAGTCACTGTACTGGCAGGAATTACTGTCCCTGAGCAACTGGCAGGAGAAGGTAGGATTGCTGTTACACAATGAAGGCAGGGAAGATCAGTTTTGGTACCCACGTGATCTGTTGGGCTGTCTTTTGTTATCCTCTTGCCCATTTTTGACAGTAAATGGGTAAGTGTGGCAGCCATGAGCTGGGAAGGGCACAGTTACCAGGGAGGGGCCAGACCTGTGAGGGATGAGGGTCTGGGTCATCCCACGAGGTGAACTCTAGATCAGCAGAGATGCTCGCCGAGGCTGAGGGGAATCTAAGATGGACAGTAGAGGAGGGAGAGGGTGGGTACCAGTTGCAGCTTCAGGACCAGCTGTAGTGGCAAAGAAACTGTAGTGCAACCAACTAGCCATCTTCTTTTAGATTTTTTTCAGGGAAAGAGACCACCTAGAATCCTGAAAGAATGGTCCGTAGATGGACAGACTCACTCTGTGAAGCAGGTGGATCTCAGTGGAACGAGGGGTGGCCGTAGTGAATGCTGCGGTGCCCCACGCAAATCTACTGAGGACCAAGGTGCTCATTCCCTTGCCACTGGGAGTGCTGGCTGCTGATGGCTCACGGCGAAGTCCCTCCTCCAGAATTGCCCTCTGCCAAAGGGAGTTTTCTCACCCAAGATTATGCCCCCTCCTCAAGTGCAGCCCAGATCCAATGGCTGGTCCAGGCAAGGGCACAAAGTTCTGACTCCTTTACCTTGATTTGGGACAGCTTCATAGGGTCGGTCTAGCTCCAGATCTCCCTGCGGGATCGGCGGAGGCCTCCACTGCAGCTGCATCACAGTCCAGCATCTCCCTCTGCCTAATCGTGCTTCCCCCCAGCCCCCTAACGTTGCTGCGAATGAATTCTCCGCGGTAAGCCTCCTGTATGCAAAGCTGTGCCTCAGAGTTTGTTTGCTGGGGAAGCTGACCTAAGTCACTGAAGATGGTGAGGCATAGGGGTTGTTTTTGTTCCTGGCTGTATTAGTCAGGGTTCTCCAGAGAAACAGAACCAACAGATGCAGGTAAACAGAGAGACGTTCACTGTGAGGGATTGGCTCAGTGGAGGCTGATTATGGAGGCTGAGGAGTCCCATGATCTGCTGTCTGCCAGCTGGAGGTCCAGGCAAGCCAGTGGTGTCGTTCCAGTCCAGACCCAAAGTCCTGGTCTGAGTCTGAAGGTCCGAGAGCCAGGAGCGTAGATATCAGTGGGCAGGAAGAGCTGGATGTCCCAGCTCTGGCAGAGAGCAAACTGGCCCTTCCTCCAGCTTTTGGCTCTGTCTGGGCCCTCAATGGAATGGCCAGTGCCCACCCACATGGGTGAGGGTGGTCTTTTTTAGTCATCCATGGATTCAAACGCTGATCTTGGCTGGGCGCAGTGGCTTATGCCTGTAATCCCAGCACTTTGGGAGGCTGAGGCAGGTGGATCACCTGAGGCCAGGAGTTCAAGACCAACCTGGCCAACATGGTGAAATTCCATCTCTACTAAAAAAAAAAAAAAAAAAAAGTTAGCCAGGCATGATGGCAGGTGCCTTTAGTTCCAGCTACTTGGGAGGCTGAGGCAGGAGGATGCTTGAACCCAGGAGGTGGAGGTTGCAGTGAGCCGAGATTGCGCCACTGCTCTCTAGCTTGGGTGACAGAGCAAGACTGTCTCAAGACAAAAACAGAAACAAAAACAAATGCTGATCTCTTCTGGAAACACCCTCACAGACACACCCCAAAGTCAGGTTCTATCAGCTATCAAGTTGATGCATGAAATTAAGCATCACATCTGCCCAGTGGTTTAGCGCAAGGGAAGCCACACGGGCTAAACTTTATAGCGATGGCTCTCTCTGCTCCTTTTTTTTCTTGCTCTGTAACCCAGGCTGGAGTGCAGTGGCATGATCTTGGCTCACTGCAACCTCCACCTCCCGGGTTCAAGCAGTTCTCATGCTTCAGCCTCCCGAGTAGCTGGGATTACAGGTGTGCGCCACCATGCCCAGCTAATTTTTGTATTTTTAGTAGAACCGAGGTTTCACCGTATTGTCCAGGCTGGTCTTGAACTCCTGAACTCAGGCAATCTGCCTGCCTTGGCTTTCCAAAGGTCTGGGATTACCGTCATGAGCCACGGCACCTGGCCTCTGCTCCCCTTTTGATGCCAGACCCGGAGAGGCCAACAGTTAGCTCTGGGGCTGCTGTCCTTCTGTGTGTCCTCTCCTGTGGATTTTAGAAATGAGCATAGAATTCTAGAGGGATGAGTTGAGAGGAGGAACAGGAGCCCAGGATGAAAACTACAGCTCAAGTGGGCAGGCAGGGAAGTGAGGGATGACAATTCACAGGGCATCCATTTACACCCCAATTACAGGCATCCAGGCCTTCAAAGCAGCGACATCAGGAAAGCCGGTTGTGAAAGGATTCACCCTAGGACTCATCTGCAAGGGTGGCTTCTAGCTCATTTAATATACATTTGAATAATACAATAATAGGAACGGGTGTGTAGATGGCCGGGGTTGCTGGCACCATTCCCTTGATGATGCTCATGGGAACTCTATGAGGATGGAGTGATCATAATCTCCATCTTACACAAGGGGAAACTGAGGCTCAGAGAGGTTAAGCGACGGACCACAGTCACACACGAAATTGCAGAAGTGAGTGTCAGACCCAAGTCTGCTGTACCCAAAGGCAATCGCGTGGTCATTTAGGAGCCCTGCTGTTTTGAGACCCCACAGAGAAAGTGTGGGTGTTCCGTGTTCCTCTTACTGATTTATTTATTTTACGTTGTCTTCTGGTCATGTGCTGTTCCTGCCTGAAGTCCAGTCTGTGGGGCTGGTGAGAGGGCCATGAAGGAGATTTCTGGATGAGGTCCTGGTCCCCCTGCCTCCCTCTGGCCCCATGTCTCTGGGTCTGTTCCCCTCCCATGCTCTCGCTTGCTCAGACCTGGCTGTTAGATTCAGTATGTGGCCTCAGGAAGTCCCCCGTCTCCTGCTTCACGACACTGTCTTGGTGCTGAGAGCTTGAAGGGCTCCCACTCTGATAATAACTTCCAAATGGACTCTCACGTCAGCCCAGTCTAGGGGTTTGGAGTCAACGGCTTTTTCACAGTGTGACTTTGGGCAGAGAACGCAACCTCTCTGAGCTCAGTTTTCACTTGCAAAATGGGTGTAACAACATCTTCCCCTAGAGATTACGTGTTCAGTTAGAGGACACATGAAAGCGTTCCAGAGTGTTCCTCTCGCGCCTCTGTCTTTCTCTCTGTTCTCAGCTTCTCTCACCTTCCTCAGAAGTCCCCAGACTGAAGTGAGCTTTATTTACATTTCAGAAGAAACACCAGACTCTGGGTCTAGATATCATCTCTTCCCAGTTTCCCAGGAGCGTAGCCTGGGGTCCTCCTGTCTGGCAGCCTCTGCGCCCTGGCTGTGTGGCTGAGCTGCCTCTCCCTACCCTCTCTCCCTTCCTCCTCTTCACCTCTGCCCTCTCCGTCTCTCCCCGGCTCTCCCAGGCCTCAGCCCTCTGCTGCTGTTTGCCAGTTTCCTCCTGGTTTCCAGCACACATCGTCGTTGCTACTTTTGATTACATTCCCAGTCTCTTTTCAAGTTTATTTCCCTTAGGTCTTCTGACTTGCTTGGAGCCAGGAGGGAGCAGAAGTGGCTTGAACCTCTGGGGAAGGCTGGTGAGTTGGGGGATGATGGAGGAGGTGGGGGAGAGGGGCCATTCCCACTTCCCACTTTGGGAGGAGGCACTCCAGTACCTTCCTGATGTCCTGTCCAATATTCATATTCTGGAGCGGGGGGCGCTGAGCGCTGAGCTAAGCCATTGTCTCAGATGTTCATGCTCCAACTCCTGCCCAGCCCCTACCATCGCCATCTCTTTAATCCCCTCCCAGTCCCACCATCGCTGTCTCTTTAGCCCCCTCCCAGCTTCACCACCTCTGTCTCTTTTTTTTTTTTTTTTTTTTGAGATGGAGTCTTGCTCTGTCACCCAGGCTGGAGTGTGGTGGTGTGATCTTGGCTCACTGCAACCTCTGCCTCCCAGGTTCAAGCGATTCTCCTGCCTCAGCCTCCCAAGTAGCTGGGATTACAGGTGTGTGCCAGCACGCCCAGCTGTCTTGTATTTTTTGTAGAGACAGAGTTTCACCATGTTGGTTAGGCTGGTCTCAAACTCCTGACCTCAGGTGATCCACCTGCCGTGGCCTTCCAAAGTGCTGGGACTACAGGCGTGAGCCACCGCGCCTGGCCCATCGCCATCTCCTTAGTCTCCTCCCAGCCCTGAGGGCGTGTCCTCAGGTCCAGCCCCCACTCTGTCTGTCTGGGTACTTGGGTAGCCTTTGGCAGCTCCGGCAGCCTCTGATCATGAAACACTCTTTGTCAGAGTTGGGAAGCATCTTAAAAGGCCCCGATCAGGCAGCATCTTCACTTTAAAAACAATATCATTTTTATTTCAATAGGTTTAGGGGTATAAATGGTTTTTGGTTACATGGATGAGAGTGGTAAAGTCTGGGCTTTTGGTGTATCTGTCACCTGAATAGTGTACACTGTACCCAACAGGTAATTTCTCATCCCTACCCCACGTCCCCTTCCCCCCTCTGAGTCTGCAGTGTCTGTGTTGCCACTCTGTAGCATTTCAGCTTCATGGCTGTGGACTTTGCGCTGGCTCATCAGCCATCCTGAATGTCACGTTCCTTAGGGCCCCTCTGATGGGGCACATTCATAAGTGTTAGAGATGATGTATTCGAAGTGCAGGGTTAGTACCCCCCAAATAGTAGCTATTATTATTACTGATAGTGGAATGGAGTCCTTGTGTTTTCTTTTCTTCTCTTCTCTCTCTCTCTCTCTTTTTTTTTTTTTTGAGACAGAGTTTTGCTCTTTCGCCCAGGCTGGAGTGCAGTGGCGTGATTTCGGCTCACTGCAACCTTCGCCTCCCAGGTTCAGGCAACTGTCCTGCCTCAGCCTCTCGAGTAGCTGGGACTACAGGCATGCACCATCAAGCCAGGCTAATTTTTATATTTTTAGTAGAGACCGGGTTTCGCAATGTTGCCCAGGTTGGTCTCAAACTCCTAACCTCAGATGATCCACCTTCCTTGGCCTCCCAAAGTGCTGGGATTACAGGTGTGAGCCATCATGCCCAGCCGCCTTGTGTTTTCTTTTCTTTCCTTTTTTTTTTTTGAGATGGAGTCTCACTCTGTCGCCCAGGCTGGATTGCAGTGGCGTGATCTCAGGCTCACTGCAAGCTCTGCCTCCCAGGTTCACACCATTCTTCTGCCTCAGCCTCCCGAGTAGCTGCGACTACAGGCACCCGCCACCATGCCCAGCTAATTTTTTGTATTTTTATTAGAGACGGGGGTTTCACCATGTTCGCCAGGATGGTCTTGATCTCCTGACCTCGTGATCTGCCCGCCTCGGCCTTCCAAAGTGCTGGGATTACAGGCGTGAGCCACTGCACCCAGCCTTGTGTTTTCTTAAAGAGTAAGGTTTAGAGTATGGAAGACTGTGGGCTGGGTGCAGTGGCTCACGCCTGTAATCCCAACACTTTGGGAGGCCAAGGTGGGCAGATCACTTGAGGCCAGGAGTTCAAGACCAGCCTGGCCAACACAGCGAAACCCCATCTCTACTAAAAATACAAAAATTAGCCTGGCATGGTGGTGCATGCCTGTAGTCCCAGCTACTCGGGAGGCTGAGGCAGGAGAATCACTTGAACTTGGGAGGCAAATGTTGCAGTGAGCCAAGATCATGCCACTGCACTCCAGCCTGGGTGACAGAGCAAGACTCCGTCTCAAAACCAAACCGAACCAAACAAAAAAGACTAAAATGTGGCTACACCAAGAGGAATTTGGGTTCCAAAGTTATGCAAGTGCCTTCTTTGTTTAGCCAGTTGTGCTGGTCCTTGGAACACAGGCAGAAGGAGATTTCAAAGAGCTAGTGAGATCCCAGGGCAGAGGAGAAGAACAAGCGGAGGGGAAGAGAGGAGAAAGAAGGGCAGAGGGAGCCCAGTAGGAAGAGTCCAGCCACGTGGTGGTGGGCTACAACTGGGTGAGAAATGAGACCAAGGTATTTTCAAGAAGAGGATGCCAAATGCTGCATTTTCTGCAATGTCAGCCTCCTCCGTCTCCAAACCGTCAGAGAAGTTGTTCCTCACCATGAAGTGCCCTGGGGGCTTTCAGTTTCCCCTGTCGAGAGCCAGGAGAGGAATCTCATGCAGAACAGGGCAAAGCAGAAAAAAACGAGGTGCGTAGAGAAAATGAAAGAGGCACCCGTCTTTTGCCACTGACATGCCCCCACAAAACTGCCAGGAATATTGAATCATTTGACTCCTTTTTTAAAGAGTCTTTTCCTCTTTTATTTTGAGATTTTGAACATTTCAAACCTCAGAAAAGTTGAAAGAGCAGTCCATCAAACATCTGTGTATCCTGCACGTGGGTGCACCCATTGTGAACGTTGGCCACTTTTACTTTCTCTCCTTCTTTCCTTTCTTCTGATTATCTGGAAGTGAATTGCAGACATCTGATTCTCCATCCCTAAATAATCAGCACATGTCTTCTATGAGCAAGGATCTTCTCCTCCATAACCATAATGATATAATTATCATACCCAAGGACCTAACACGGATGTAATAATGTTATCTAACGTTCTGCTCATATTCACATTTCCCCAATTGTTCTAAAAATGTCAGTTATAGCTGGTTTTCTCCCATTCAGGAGCCACTTAAGGATCGTGCATTGCATTTAATTGTCATGTCTCTTTAGTCTCCTTTCATCTAGTCTTTTGGTCTTTCTTGTAATTGACATTTTTGAAGAGTCCATATCAGATGTCTTGTAAAACGCCCAGCAACCTGAATGTCGATTGTTTCCTCATGATTCAATTCAGTCCTTACATTTTTGGTGAGAATATTAAATAGAAGATGTCTTGCACTTCTCATTACGTTACCCAAGGAGGCATGTAATGTCAGCTTGTCCTATTTCTGGTGACCCTACATTTGATCACGTGGTGTCTGCTAGATTTCTCCTTTGAAGGTATCTTTTCCCTTTTGTAATGAATAAGTAATCTGTGGTGATATTGTTAGACTTGTGAACATATTACTGCATCCATTGATGATCCTTGCCTGGATCACTTGTTACACCGGGAATTGCAAAACTCATTTGCCTCTGGGAGGGCCAGAGCGTCTGCTGGCACGTGGCTTACATGCGTGGCCATGTAAGCTCCTCCATGCACTGGCCCAGGTAGGTGGTTTCCTGAATGTGACAGCCAAGTGTCTCCAACGGCCTGTCTTAGCCCCTTCTGATCAGTCTTGCTTTTTGATGTCCTTGACAGAGGAACTGGCTTCTCTGGCCGGAGAGCTGGTCTTTTACCACCTGGAGAAACTTGGACCCCTGGGAGAGCTCAGTTGAATGGCTGCTAGTTCACTAGTTCAGCCACTGGTGGCTAGGAGTGTGTGTGTGTGTGCGTGTGTGTGCGCGCACATGCAGGCACACATACACTGGGTGGGAGGGGCATCTGGGTACTTGGAACCCGGAGGCACATATCCGCTCTGTGCCCAGGAGCTGCAGGGTGCTGGGCTCTAGCCTTGGTTTCCATGGCAATGGGCAATCTCCTTCTTCATTCTGCTCCTCTCTGAACCAGCTGACAGCAATGGGGCTTTGGGGCAGAGACACAAGACGGGGAGCGGGCTTCACCAGACCCTCCGTGAATATCTTGGAGATGAGAAGTCTGAGCAACTGCTTCCCTCACCATACTACAGAATGACTTTTCCAGGGACTCTGGTGTCCGCCACCTACTGCAGAATGTACTCTTCCATCAGCAAGGTCTATGACAACATCAAGGTGGCAGTGGGGCCCAGCTTCTTCCTTGTGAATTCCACTGAATCTGTTAAACAGATTCAGATCTGTAGTTTCTTGATCTGCTGCCTACATTGTCTTGATCTATTTGCATATATTATCTGTCTTGCAACACCTTTTTGAGGCGGGTGTTATTATTATTCCCATTTTATAGGTATAGAAACTGAAGCTCCTAGGGTCACGTGGATAGTAAGGGGTGAGGCCAGAACTCGAACTCAAGGTAACAGTGTGGTATAACATATAAGAGTGTGAGCTGCAAAGACAGGCTGGTGCCGGTTTCAAATCCTGACTCTTTCACTTATTAGCGGGGTGATTTTGGCAAAGATAGAGACTCCCAGGTGGCTGAGGTGGGGCCTCTCCAGGGCCCAAGATCTGCTATGAGACTTATACGTTTAGACGCTTCATGTTCTCAGTGTCCCCAAAGCTCTCAAGGGGACTTACACCAACAAAAGTCCCCAGAGGAGTGCATCCATGTGGCTAATTTCTGGCCAGTGAAAATTAAGTGTAAGTGATACACTGAACTTCTAGAGAGTTAGTTTGTTTGTTTATTTATTTATTTATTTATTTATAATTTTTGAGATGGAGTCTCACTCTGTTGCCCAGGCTGGAATGCAGTGGTGTGATCTCAGCTCATTGCAACCTCCGTCTCCCGGGTTCAAGCGATTCTCCTGCCTCAGCCTCCTGAGTAGCTGGGACTACAGGCATGCGCCACCACGCCCAGCTAATTTTTGTACTTTTACTAGAGATGGGGTTTCGCCATGTTGGCCAGGCTGTTCTTGAACTCCTGACCTCAGGTGATCCACCCGCCTTGGCCTCCCAAAGTGTTGGCATTACAAGTGTGAGCCACCGCGACTGGCCAGGAGTCTTTAAAAGAAAGGAGCTGTCCCTTTTGTCTCTTCTCTCCCTTCCTCCTTCCTGCTGTTTAGAATGTAGTTGTGATGGATGGAGCACCAGCAGCCATCTTGAATAAGAGGTGATCTTGAGGATGGTGGAGCAGACATAGAAAGGTCCTGGGTCCCTGATGACTTCATGGAAAGAACTCGCCAGCCCTGAACTGCCTAGATCTGGACTTTTTTGTCTGAGAGTCTCAATCCTTATGTAGTTGAGCTGCTAGTTTACAGGGAGCTGATGCTTTCTGCTGAAGGTGATCCTGCATGATACATCGAGTGATCAATTTACAGTGAGAAAAAAGCTCTTCCAATGACCCTGATTTCTACTCACTCACCACCTAGGACACCTGGACTGAGGATTCACCGGAGGTCATGGCTGAGTGTGGAGCGGGCATGGTCATGCTCTGGGAGGTGTTGACTCCAGGCAGGGATGAGCCTGGTGTGCAAGCCCTACCCACAACCTGATGCCCATGCTGGCAGACCCAGTGCCCCTCCTTCTCTCCAGGTCAGCACAGGTCGAACACTCCACGTATAACAGGCAGGGCATAGCACCACTGGTTAGATTTGGCTCTCCAACCCTATGGAGACACTTTCAGATGTGTCCCTCAGCCTGAGAGCCACACTGCCCTCCTGATCGGATGCAGGACACACCTGGCCCCCTTTCTTTCCGACAACAGTGACCCACCATCTCTAAAGAGGGTGCACCTGCCTGCTCTCATATGCCAGCCAATTCTGCTGACGTTGAAGGGTGACATGCCCTGTCCCCAGACCCTGGGTCCTGTGGATGGTGGGGCAGATGGGCTGCTCCCTTTTGGGCCCTCTGCCCAGCAGACCCAGCCTATCCTGGCTCCCTTTTTCGACTCTGGCTGCTCTTCCCTTGGCTCAGGTCATGGAGTTGTGATCACAGAACTCCAGCCCCAAAGTTGCAATTCTTTCCTCCACTTTTTTGGCTCTGGTTTTCCCAGGTACTTGTGAGAAGTGAAGCTCAATGTCATATTTTGGTAATGTAATGTCAGCTCAGGAATTATATGGGCATTGGAAGGGATGCCATCAGTGTGAAGGTGAACTTTTCCACACTGCAAAAATTCAGGGCCGGGCACAGTGGCAGACTCCTATAATCCTAGCACTTTGGGAGGCTGAGGCAGGAGGATTGCTTGAGCCCGGGAGTTCAAGACCAGCCAGGGCAACATAGGGAGACCCCCTATCGCTACAAAAAATAATAATAATTAGCCAGACGTTGTGGTGCACACCTGTAGTCCCAGGTACTTGGGAGGCTGAGGTGAGAGGATCATTTGAGCCCGGGATGTTGAGGCTATAGTGAGCTGAGATTGCGCCAGTGCACTCCAGCCTGGGTGACAGAGCCAGACTCTGTTTCAAAAAAAAAAAAAAAATTGGACTTTACCCATCCACCCATCCATTTGTCTACCCAAAACCCATCTATAGTAGTCTCTCCTTATCTGTGGAGGACACGTTCCAAGACCTCAGTGGACACCTGAAACCTCTGATAACACTGAGCCAGTTACACATACACACACAATATGTTTTTTCCTAGACCTGTGTACTTATGATAAAGTTGAATTTATCAATTAGGCATAGTAAGAGATTAACAACAACTGATAAAAAATAGAACAATTAAACAATATACCATAATAAAAGTTATGTGAATGTGCTCTCTGTCTCTCAGAATATCCTATTATACTGTATCACACGTAACTGTAATCTCAGAAAGCGAAACCACAGGTGGATAAGGGGCAATTACTGTATTCCAGGAACTCTGCTAGGCATTGGAGATAAGGAAACGAATAAGAGATATTTCCTTTGCTCAAGAAGCCATGGGTAAACGGCAGTTACACCCCAGGGCCATACGTGCTGTGAGAGGGAAGAGGCCAGCGGTCTGTGGGAGCTTAGGAAGGGCGGCTCCCCCAACCTGGGACAAGAGTGGCGTGGAAACCTTCCAGCTAGAGGCAGTTTTTCAGCTGAGACCTGAAGGGTGAGTGGGAGCTATTGGTGGAGTGTGCCGAGAGGAAGGGAGAGATACCTGGAGAGGGAGAAACAGTACGAGAGCCTGGAGGCCAGAGCATGGGATGTTCGCAGTGCTGCAGGTAGCTGGGTATGGCTGTGGCGTCAAAGGCGGGCAACGGGATGCCACGAGGGGAGGGGTGGGCGAGACCCATGGGGCTGATCTACCTGAGATGCTAATGGCGTCTCCCCTCTGAAAGTTTCATGTGTTTTTGGTTTGCTCAAGGAGGCTGGGAAAAGAAAACAATTCCTTACCATGTGACCCCAGCAGCCCAGAGAGGGTGAGCGCCTGACAAAAGCCCCACAGCCATTCTTCAGCAGGTCTCTGACTTCCAGCCCAGTCTTTGCCCCAGGCCTGGCTTGCCCTTGAAACTACCCAACGATCTGAGAGCTCCCCGCAGCCTGTCCCACTGGAAGAAGCAGTAGGGGCCATGTGCCCACTCCCTGGGCACCCTGTAACTCAGCTCAGCCTCTCTCCCTCGGCTCTCTCGGCTCTGTCGGCCATGCCTTTGATGAGGAGGTCCGGCTGCTTAGTCACTGGGGCCAGCACAGGCAGCCCCTCGCTGTGGAGCATCCCTCCAGTGGAGCACAACATTTCCTCCAGGTCTCTGGGGCATGCTCCCCGACTCCCCTAGAAGGCTCCAGCAGGGTTTGGTGCTGGTCAGGAGGTCCAGGGGGGCTGGCTGCATCTTGTATTTGAGTTGCACGTTGTGTTTGTGTATGTACGTTGCATAGTGCACATGGCATGGGTTTGCTGGGTGTGTAGTATGAGGGGTGGATTGTGTGTTGCCCATGTGTGGTTTGTGTATGTGTGAACTGGGTGGTTTGTGGGTCTTACAGGGCACATGCGTGCTCCACCCTTTATTCGTTCAGGCTGCAGGAAAGCCAGCCTCTGGGGCCCACTCTGCTCAGGCCGGGACTGGACCTAGCGTTTGGGGAAGTATGAGCTGCCCACCCTTTCAGCAGAGCCCTTGGTGGGCAAAATGGCCATTATGGTTGACTCTGTGGGGCCAGTTCAGGGGACCCAAGGCCTGATGACCAGTTTCCAGTGGGGTGTTATTCCACTCAGGCGGGTCAAGGGAGAGGGCAGGAGAAAGAGGAGAGGGAGCTGGGCGGGGGCGAGCATGGGGCCTCCTAGGGAAGGGCAGGGATGGCAAGAGGTGAAACAGCTTGGGCATCGCTGGACCGGGAATTCACCTCCTAACTCCTCAGCTCCTTCAAGTCTTTGTGCAAATGTCACCTTCTCAAAGAGGTCTCCCCTCCCCTCCTGATTCAAGATCACAACTTCGCACCTCACTTCCACCGTCCTAACTCTCCCCTGCTTTGTCTTCTTTTTGCTGACATAGTCTGTGCCCTCTTCTAACCACCGTATAATTTACTCATTTATTATGTGATTCTTTATTGTCTGTCTCCTCTCACCCCACCCCAACACTGGGATTATTTTGTCGGTTTTGTTCATAGACAGATCCCACATGCCTGCGGTGACCGCTTCGTGGGCCCTCAAGAAATATTTGTGGGGCCGGGTGTAGCGGCTCACACCTGTAATCCCAGCACTTTGGGAGGCTGGGGCTAGCGGATCACCTGAGGTCAGGAGTTCGAGACCAGCCTGGCCAACATGGCAAAACCCCGTCTCTACTAAAAATAGAAAAATTAGCCAGGCGTGGTGGCAAGTGCCTGTAATCCCAGCTACTCAGCAGGCTGAGGCAGGAGAATCGCTTGAACCTGGGAGGTGGAGGTTACAGTGAGCCAAGATCATGCCATTGCACTCCAGCCTGGGCGACAGAGCGAAACTCTGTCTCAAAAAAAGCGAAATATTTGCGGATTGAATGCACGCGTGAATGAACAGTGTCTGCCCCTGGGAGGGCGGGCTTGGGTCTGGGGTGCTCCAAGTGTGTCCCTGAGCATCTCCTTGGACCGTGGGAGCGGGGCCTCCCAGCCTGAGCTTGGGACAGCTGGTGGGCAGCAGGTGGTGAAGCGGGCGGGGGCTGCCACTCCATGTCCCCTGCCACGGACCCACCTTCCACTGCCTCAGATGCCATGCCCCACTGGACACTGGCTGGTATCCTCTTCCCCAGGCCAGCCCTGGACCCAGCGGGCAGCATCTTGGCATCCTCCTTCCTGGCCCTGGAGGGTGTGAAGCCAGCTCTGGGCTTCCCGGGAAGTGTGTGCCTGTCCCCTTCCTCTTGCAGCCAACCCTGCTCCAGTGCCCCCTCCTCTGAGGCTTGTCTGTGTTAAACTGCCCGGAGGGGTCTCTGTCCCAGCTGCACAGCCTCTGGGGAAACCTCTCAGAAGCTTCTGGAGAGGCCCAGCGGCTGTGGCGGGTGTGATGAGACCTTTTTCCAGGGCTCCTGCCCAGCAACAGGAACCTTCCTTCCCAACACAGCCACGTGGTGTCCTCCTGACAGGCGGGGGAGGGACAGATGGTTCCCTATGTACCGGCATCCTCTGTCTTGTGTCTCAGGGGGTGCCTTCGCTGGCCAGGGCCTGCACTTTCCAGTGTCCTGGGAGTGTGGATCAGGGACTCTGGAGGCTTCCTTCCCAGGGCTGGTTCCCAATTGGCTTCCCAAATGTCACAGATCCAGACTAAGCGTCTTCACCCTCAACCCCGTCTCATCAGGCCCAGTGAAGGGTGTCCCGATGGCCCAGGGGCTCAGCTCTAAAGCCCTGGGGTTGTCCTTGACACCTGTCTCTCTCACACGCTGTCTTTCAAGGAATCCTGGAGGCTCTACCTTCAAATAATCAGAATCCAACAACTTCTTCCCCGCGCTGCTGCCTCTTCCTGGTCAGAGATGCCGCTGACTGTACCGGGAGCAATGCCCTGGTCTCCTAACTGGTCTCCTGCCTCTACACTTGCCCCCTCCGGTCTGTTAAGTCCACGTCCTGTTCTGGATGTTTCATATAAATGGAATCACACAATCAGTGGTACTGTGTGACTGGTTTATTTCCTGAGTGCTACATTTTACAACTCCGTGATGTTATTATTTGGTTGGAGCAAAAGTTATTGCAGTTTTGGCCATTGCTTTTAATGGCAAATCCGCAAGAACGTTTGCATCAACCTAAATAAGTAAGCAATGGTTAAACCATACATTCTCAAATGTATTAGAAAGGAATAATAGTAAATATTTGGAAGACAGTCAGTGGGGCAGGATGCGAGGTAAGAAGAGTGACTGTAGGTCAGGAGTCAGGGGCGTCGGGTTCTAGTCCTGATTCTGTCTTTAGCCATGCAACCAAGTGAGCACAGCAACCTCTCTGGGGACACTAATACATTTGTTCAAGCCGCCCAGCAACTAATGGAAAGAGATTACAGCTAGGACTCTCCTATAAGACTGACAACAGCATGCCTGGGGCAGGCCTGCAACTGAGCACCAGGAGGCAGCCTGGGGACTTCTGCTGCCATCTACCCCAAAGTATCTCTGGTCTCCCTGGCTAGGAATTTTTTTTTTTTTTTTTTTTGAGACGGAGTCTCACTGTGTAGCCCACGTTGGAGTGCAATGGCATGAACTTGGCTCGCTGCAACCTCTGCCTCCTAGGTTCAAGTGATTCTCCTGCCTCAGCTTCCCGAGTAGCTGGAATTACAGGCACCTGCCACCTTGCCTGGCTAATTTTTGTATTTTTAGTAGAGTAGGAGTTTTGCCATGTTGTCCAGACTGGTCTCCAACTCCTGAACTCAGGTGATCTGCCCGCCTCAGCCTCCCAAAGTGCTGGGATTACAGGTGTGAGCCACCCTGCCCAGCTGGCTAGGTCTTTAAGAATTGAGGGGAAGTTTTGGGAGGCCAAGGCGGGTGGATCACTTGAGGTCAGGAGTTTGAGACCAGCCTGGACAACAGGGGAAACTCTGTCTCTACTAAAAATACAAAAATTAGCTGGGCATGGTGGCTGTAATCCCAGCTACTTGGGAGGCTGAGGCAGGAGAATTGCTTGAACCCGGGAGGCGGAGGTTGCAGTGAGCCGAGATGGCGCCACTGCACTCCAGCCTCAGTAACAGAGCGAGACTGCATCTTAAAACAAACAAACAAACAAACAAACAGCCAAAAGGAATTGAGGGAAGTCATGACGAGAAGCATCGATTGGGTTCCTGAAAGCCCCAGTTCACATTCCAGCTCGCTCCTTACCAGCTGCATGCCTAACCTCCATGAACCTCAGTCCTCTCATCTGTAAAATGGGCTAATGCAAGCATCTCCATCCTAGGGCTGCTGAAACAAAACATGATAAAGTGCATGGCAGGCTCCCAGTAAGTGCTTGACAAACCAACTATGTTCTCTCTCTTTTTTTTTTTCCTTTGAGACAGTCTTGCTCTGTCACCCAGTGGCATGATCTTGGCTCACTGCAACATCTGTCTCCCGGGTTCAAGTGATTCTTCTGCCTCAGCCTCCTGAGTAGCTGAGATTACAGGCTCATGCCACCACACCTGGCTAATTTTTGTATTTTTTTTTTAATAGTGATGGGGTTTCACCGTGTTGGCCAGGCTGGTCTTGAACTCCTGACCTCAGGTGATCTGCCCCCCTTGGCTTCCCAAACTACTGGGATTACAGGCATGCCCGGCCCATGTTCTCTCTGGAGGCAAGAAGTCTTTGTCTGAATGAAGACAGGAAGGCTGGAGGAGAGGCAAGTTCAAAGGCTGAGGCCTTTCAGCCCTGAGGCTGCCCAGGTGGTGTTGAAGACAGGGCACCGGTGTGGGGTGGCAAAGCAGGAACAACTTCTTGCTTATCCTTTCCGGTTTGGACCACAGTGGTTCCCTGCTGGACTGTCTATTTCAGTGGTGGAAGCCTGCGCTGAGATTTATCGTCGTGTTCCTGCTGCCTGCAGACCGTGGGAAGGTAAAAAATGTCCTTTTTCAGGCAATAAAATAGAAAATGGAATCCAATTTCTCTCCAGGGTAAGAATCATTATGTTTCACAATGATTGTAAAGTGTGCAGCAGTGAGGAGTGGGGTGGCTGCTGGAGCCTGGGTGAGGAGGGGGAGGGGGTAGTGCCTGCAAGGTGGCTGTCGACAGTCACCAAAGTGGGCCTGGAAGGAGCCCAGGAGGCAGGGATGCCACCCCATCTGATGCCTGGGTACCCGCAAGGCCTCCATGTGGCTTCAATGCACATTTATCAAGCACCTGTGCTGGACAGGGAGAGGTGGGACGGCCACTCTGCTTGCTGCTCCTGGCATGTTGGACAGAGATGAATAAACATGTGTTCAGGTAAATGAAATTGAATTGAGTGTTAAGGAATTTGGATCTTATCCAGGGTACCAAGAAACCAAGATTTAAGGATTTAAGGTTGTGTGTGTGTGCGTGTGTGTGTGTGCTTACATTTTTTGAAATATAACTTATAAAGTGCACACATCTTAAGTGTCTAGTTTAATAATTTTTTTCACATGGAGGCACCATGTCCACCACGCAGTGAGCTACAGAACATTTATAGCACTCCAGAAAGTTCCCTCGTGCCCCTTGCTTATAGATACTCCCCACAATAATCACTGTTGACTCATTCTCGCTTCTTGAACTTCATGTAATTGGAGTCATCCATTAAGCACACTTCTGAGTTTTCCCTTCTCTTGCTCATCACTATCAGCAAAGTCCACCCACGTTGTTGTGTGTAGCAGGAGCAGTTCACTGTTTTTCATCGCTGCTTATTGTTCCATGTTATATCACGATTTTTGGATCTTCAATGCTGTTGATGGACATTATGATTTGGGGCTTTGCCTAGTAAAGCTACAGAGAATGTTCTTGTGTGTCTTTCACTGGACCTAATGAAGAGTTTTAAGTAGAGTAGGGACATATTAGATCAGATTTTTTTTTTTTTTTTTAAACAGAGTTGCTCTGTCGCCCAGGCTGGAGTACAATGGCATGATCTCGGCTCACTGCAACTTCCACCTCCTGGGCTCAAGCAATTCTTGTGCCTCAGCCTCCCAAGTAGGTGGAGCTACAGGTGCACACCACCATGCCCAGCTAAGTTTTGTATTTTTAGTAGAGACAGGGTTTTACCATGTTGGCCAGGCTGGTCTTGAACTCCTGACCTCAAGTGATCCGCCTGCCTTGGCCTTTCAAAGTGCTGGGATTACAGGAGTGAGTCGCCACACCCAGCCTAGATCGGATTTAAAAAAAAACTTTTGTTTCTTTAACTTTATTTTTTTCTGAGTGATTTTAGGTTCACAGAAAAGTTAAGAAGGTACAGAGACTTCCCATATACCCTCTGCCCCTATGCATTCATAGCCTCCCCCATTACCAACACCCCCATCAGAGTGGTGCATTTGTTACAATCGATGGGCCTCTCTGGACTCATCATATTCACCCAAATTCCATGGTTTACAGTAGGGCTCCTTCTTGGTGTTGTACATTCTGTGGGTTTGGACAAGTGTATAATGACCTGTATCTACTATTAGAGCATCACCCAGAGTAGTTTCACTGTCCCCCAGATCCTCTGTGCTCCGCCTATTCATTTCTCCCCACCAAATCCCTAGCAATTGCTGATCTTCTTGTCTCCATAGTTTTCCCTTTTCTACAATGTCAGCTAGTTGGAGTCATACAGGGTGCATCCCTTTCCGATTGGCTTCTTTCAACTTAGTTATACACAGTTAAGGCTCCTCCATGTATTTTCATGACTTGATAGCTCAATTCTTTCTTTCTTTCTTTTTTTTTTTTTTTAATTTTTGAGATGGAGTCTCACTCCATCACCCAGGCTGGAGTGCAGTGGTGTGATCTCGGCTCACTGCAACCTCTACCTCCTGGGTTCAAGCGATTCTCTTGTTTCAGCCTCCCAAGTAGCTGGGATGACAGGCGTGCACCACCATGCCTGGCTAATTTTTGTATTTTTAGTGGAGATGGGGTTTCACCATTTGGCCAGGCTGGTCTCAAACTCCTGACCTCAGGCGATCCACCCGCCTCAGCCTCCCAAAGTGCTGTGATTACAGGCATGAGCCACCACGCCTGGCCTGTATATAACACTGAATAATATTCCATTGTCTGATGTACTACGGTTTATTCATCCATTCACCCGCTGAAGGGACATTTTGGTTGCTTCCCAAGTTTTGGCAATTATGAATAAAGCGGCTATAAACATCCATGTGCAGGTTTTCATGCAGTCATAAATTTTCAATTCATTTGGGTGAATACCAAGGATCATGTGGTAAGAGTATGTTGAGTTTTGTCAGAAACCACCAAACTGGCCTCCAAGGTGGCTGTACCATTGTGCATTCCCACCCAGCAAGGAAGGAGAGTTCCTGTTGCTCCACATCCTCACCAGCATTTGATGTTGTCAGTGTTCTGGATTTTGGCCATTCTAGTAGGTGTGCAGTAGAATCTCATTTTTGTTTCATTGCTCTAGCTTTTTATTTTGAATTATTTCAAACCTATTGAAAAGTTAAGACAGTAATACCATGATGGTAAATTGCCTGCTTTCACCACTTTACCTCCCTTTTATCCACCCCTTTGGAAGTGCCTTCCCACACTGACTCCGGGCTTGGTCAAGTGACTTGCTTTGACCAATGGGACAGCAACTCAACTGATGCAAGTGGCAGCTTTATAAAGTGTGTTGTGCATTGCTTTTCCCTCTTCCTCTTTTGGATCTCTGCCACTGCCATGAGGACACTCCCAGGCCCGCCTGCCTGAGGGATGTAGAGATCTATGGAGGAGAGGTTCATCATACAAGCCATGGGATCCCTAGACCAGTCAGGCTCCAGTGCACCCACTGGTGGATGACAGACCCTTAAGCAAGCCCTGCCCAGGTTGGTGGAATTGCCTGGCCAGCAACCAGGGGGCTTGCAAGAAATCATAAAAAGCTGTTGTTTTAAGCTTGGGGATGATCCCAGTACTTTGGGAGGCCGAGGCAGGCAGATCGCTTGAGGTCAGGAGTTCGAGACCAGCCTGGCCAACATTGTGAAACCCCATCTCTACTAAAAATACAAAAAATGAGCCGGGCGTGGTGGCTCATGCCTGTAATCCCAGCTATTCAGGAGGCTGAAGCAGGAGAATCCCTTGAACCCGGGAGACGGAGGTTGCAGTTAGCCAAGATTGTGCCACTGCACTCCAGCCTGGGCAACAGAGCGAGACTCTGTCTCAAAAAAAAAAAAAAAGAAAACCAACCAAAAAAACAAAAAATAAAAAAAAACAACTGTTACAACAATAAACACACATCTATTCTTTACCTAGTATTAACACTTTTCCACATTTGCCTTATTTTTATTTTGTTATTTATTATTATTATTTTTCGAGACAGGGTTGTACTTTGTTGCCCAGGCTGGAGTGCAGTGGGGGGCAATCATGGCTCACTACAGCCTTGACATCCTGGGGTGAAGTGATCCTCCCACCTCAGCCTCCCGAGTAGGTGGGACTACAGGTGCAAGCCACCATGCCTGGCTAATTTTTGTATTTTTTGTAGAGACAAGGTCTCGCTATGTTGCCCAGGATGGTTTCAAATTCCTGGGCTCAAGCAATTCTCCCGCCTTGGCCTCCCAAAGTGCTGGGATTACAGGCATGAGCCACCGTGTCTTTCCCTCATTTGCCTTATTGCTCTTTTTATATTTCTTTCCTTGAAACATTTAAAACTTGCCAGCATCATCACATTTTTATCCTACATACTTTAGCATCTGTCTCTTAAGGACATCCTCCTACGTAACCATAACACCATGATTGCATTCAAGACAGTTAATGGTGTTACAATAATATCATCTAATATTGAGTTCATATTCGAATTTCCCCAAGCACCCAAAAACGTCCTTTATAGCTGCTTTATTTATTGTTTTAGATCCAGAATCTAATTAGGATCATTCCAGGACATTGCCCGCTTCCGCAGTTCTGTTCCTGCATACAGATATTTGTTGGCCCATCCCGGTGTCCAGCCAAGAGCACCGAGTCAGGGCAGCATGAAGAAGGTGGGCTGGGGAACCACACTGTCTGGGTTCTAATCCCTGCATTTCCACTTCCCAGCTGTGTGACCCTGGGAGCTTTCCTTTCCCTTCCTGTGCCTTGGGTACCTCACTTATCTGCAAAACAAGCATCATCCACCTCGCAGGGTTATCGTAAGCATCCAGTGAAGTATCACACACAACATGCTCAGAACAGAGCTGCCTATATTGTAGGTCACTGTGCGTACTTTAGTGATTTTTGTCATGAGACAATTACTACTCTTTTTGTTTGTTGATCAAAGTATTTATTGCATAGACCTTTCCAAGCAGTGCTGTTTCATTGGGAAAACTGCCAGGGTTTAGATTCCTGCTCTGATAATCCCCATTTAGATTGAAGGGGGTTGCATTGTTTCTTTCTTTCTTTCTTTCTTTCTTTCTTTCTTTCTTTCTTTCTTTCTTTCTTTCTTTTTCTTTCTTTCTTTCTCTCTCTCTCCTTCCTTCCTTCCTTCCTTCCTTCCTTCCTTCCTTCCTTCCTTCTTTCTTTCTTTCTTTCTTTCTTTCTTTCTTTCTTTCTTTCTTTCTTTTTTTTAGGACAGAGTCTTGCTCTGTCACCCGGGCTGGAGTGCAGTGGTGCGATATCGGCTCACTGCAACCTCTGCATCCCAGGTTCAAGCGATTCTACTGCCTCAGCCTCCCCAGTAGCTGGGATTACAGGCGTGTGCCACCACGCCCGGCTAATTTTTGTATTTTTAGTAGAGACAGGGTTTCACTATGTTGGCCAGGCTGGTCTTGAACTCCTGGCCTCAAGTGATCCACCTGCTCTGACCTCCCTAAGTACGGGGATTACAGGCGTGAGCCACCACACCCAGCCGGCTGCATGGTTTTGAGGAAGAGTACTGGAGTGGAAGTCAGGAAACTTGGACCCCAGTCCCCTTTTCACCTCTGACTTGCTGTGTGACCTTGGATGTGCCGTTCACTCTCTGGTCCTGATTTCCCCCCTCCTTCCCTTCCTTTCTTCCCCCTCCTTTCTTCTTTCAATTGCATTGACTGAAGGTTTTTTCCCCCCACTTGTTCTATTTTTTCCCTATTAATTTGGAAGTGATAATACATGCTATTTCTATTCTCTTGTAATTACCCTAGAAAATTTAACATGCATATTTAGGTTATAATTGACATCTATGATTTCTGTCTTTACTCTCCTCCCACACAATTCCAGGACCTTAAAATGCTTTCTTTCTGGTCACGTCCCTTCCAACTCTTGCCACCATTGCCCTGTATTTTTCTTCTCACTTGTCGTTTGCTTTAACCTCATAAATTAAACTTTTTCCTTTTTTTTTTTTTTTTTTTGAGATGGAGTTTTGCTCTTGTTGCCCAGGCTGGAGTGCAATGGTGCAATCTTGGCTCACCGCAACCTCTGCCTCCTGGGTTCAAGCGATTCTCCTGCCTCAGCCTCCCGAGTAGCTGGGATTGCAGACATGCGCCACCATGCCCTGCTAATTTTGTATTTTTTTTAGTAGAGACGGGGTTTCTTCATGTTGGTCAGGCTGGTCTCGAACTCCTGACCTCAGGTGATCCTCTCGCCTCGGCCTTCCAAAGTGCTGGGATTACAGGCATGAGCCACTGCGCCCAGCCAAATTAAACATTTTATATAGTCCATATTTGTTTAAGTTTACCTACGTTTAACACTGTTCTTACCTACATTTACCCTTTTTTTTTTTTTTTTTTTTTTGAGACAGAGTCTCGCTTTATCACCCAGGCTGGAGTACAGTGGTGCAGTCATGGCTTACTGCAGCCTTGATCTATTGGGCTCAAGTGATCCTCCCACCTCAGCCTTCTGAGTAGCTAGGACTACAGGCGCACACCACTACGACAAAGTTTTTGTAATTTTGGAGAGACAGGGTCTTCCTAGGTTGCCCAGGCTGGTCTCAAACTCCTGGGCTCAAGCAATCCTCCCGCCTTGGCCTCCCAAAGTGCTGGGATTACAACAGGCATAAGCCACCACACCCGGACTACCTACCATTTTTTTTGTTCACTATTCTTTCTTGCATCTTCCTTTTTCCTGAAGTTTATTCTTTAAAAGTTCCTTTAGGGAGGGTCTTGGTTGTAAACTCTGACAGTTTTTGTTTGTCTAATAATATCTTTATTTTGCTCTCATGCTTGAAAAAATTTCAGAAGAGATAGAATTCCCAGGTGACAGTTATTTTCTCTCTACTGTCTCCTGGCTCCCAGAGTTTCTCTGAGAACTCTGCTATCCGTCTATTTGATGTTCCTTTTTAGGTAATCTCTCTTTTATCTTTGGCTGCTTTGAAGGTTTTCTCTTTGTCTATGATGTTCCATGGTTTTGCTATGGTGTTTTTAGGTGGAGATCTCTTTTAATTTATCCTGCTTGAGATTCATTGAGCTTTCTGAAGTTTAGAGTAATAGTTCTGGAAAATTCTCAGCTATCTTCTCTTTGAATTTGACTCTCCACTGTTACCTCTGATATCTCCTTCTGGAACTCTGATTAGACACATACTCGATCTTCTCATTTCATCCCCACCTCTCTTAATCTCTCTTTTATATCTTCCATTTGTTTGTCTCCCTCTGCTACCTTCTGAGAAATGTATTTATTTTTTATTTTTTGAGACAGAGTTTTGCTCTGTTGCCCAGGCTGAAGTGCAGTGGCATGATCTCGGCTCACTGCAACCTCCGTCTCTTGGGTTCAAGTGATTCTTCTGCCTCAGCCTCCTGAGTAGCTAGGACTACAGGCGTGTGCCACCACGCACAGCTACTTTTTTCGTAATTTTCATAGAGACAGGGGCCTGGGGAGTGTGGTTTTGCCATGTGGCCAGGCTGGTTTTGAACTCCTGGCCTCAAGTGATCCACCCACCTCGACCTCCCACAGGGCTGGAATTACAGGCGTGAGCCACTGTGCCAGGCAAGAAATGTATTTTTATGTCTTTTCCAGTTCACTAATTCTCTCCTCAGCTGTCTCATCTTCTGTTTCATTCATGAAGTTTCTACTTTCAATTATTAAACTTCTCATCTCTAGATATTTTATTGGACTCTTTTTCAAATCAATCTGGTAATTTTTCATAATCTCATTTTCCTTTGTCATACTTTTGCTATCCACTTTTACGTTTTAAAATCCTTGCATGTTTATTTTATATGCAATGTCTGATAATTCAACATTGGCCACCTGTGCATGTCTGGTTTGCAGTTGCTGTTTTTGGTGGCCCCTGCTCACAGTAGCTTGTTTCCTGTGTGTTTTGACTTTTTCTCTACTGTGCACTTTCTTGGAACTTGTTTTCTACAGGAATTCGTGGAGGCCTGGCCTTAGGGCTGTTTCTTCAGAGAAGATTGGTGTATATTTCTGCCAGGTGCTGCTGTTAACGGTGGGCTGATTTTCTGCTTGTGGTTTTTTAGGCCGCATAAGTAGAATGAATTCTGGCCCCACGCCCACATAAGGGCAAGCTGGTGGTTAAGATTCTCAGGAAGGAAGACTTTTTCTTTTTTTTTTTCTGGTTTTTATTTTTCCCTTCCCACCAGAGCCAAGGCAGGCTTTTCTAGTTCATGTTCGGAAGACCTTGCTTTATGTGTGGTTGGTGATATGGTTTGGCTCTGTGTCCCCACCCAAATCTTATCCTGTAGCTCCCATAATCCCCACAAGTTGTGGGAGGGAGCCAGCGGGAGATGATTGAATCAGGGGGCGTGTCTTTCCCGTGCTGTTCTGGTGATAGTGAATGGGTCTCACGAGATCTGACGGTTTTTAAAAACGGGAGTTTCCCTGCACAAGCTCTCCTTTTGCCTGCTGCCATCCACGAAAAATGTGACTTGCTCCTCCTTCCGCCATGATTGTAAGGCCTCCCAGCCATGTGGAACTGTAAGTCTGATAAACCTCTTTCTTTTGTAAATTGCCCAGTCTCAGGCATGTCTTTGTCAGCAGCATGAAAACGGACTAATACAGTTGGCAAATTTCATCTCCCACCTTGCCCAGACCGGCTTTGTTTCTTGCTGTTATAACACAGAGCATCAAAGGCCAGGCTTTCGGCTGACCAGATGCCCCCGTGGAAGTGCTGGCTTCAGTGCCAGCTCACTCACTTCTCTGGAGTTGCATTCTTGCAACTTTGAAGGTTTTCTTTACTTTCCCACAAACCTATCCATGCATTAAAAAGCATTTTAAATGCTTCATCCAGCAATTTCAGAGGTCCTGTATTGGGAAAGTATCTCCAGAACTTAGCCATAGGGCCCAGTTTTATTTATCCTTCATTCATTCACTTATTCATGTCACAAACACTTCCTTGAGTACCTACTAGGGGCCAAGTCCTGGGTTAGCCAAAGAGGATGTAGAGATCCATTAAGACACGGTCCCCCTTGGGGAGCTCAGCACGAAGGCCCTTAAAATGTGACTCGATGGTGTTGGCAGAAATAATTCAAATTATAGGCACACCTCGTTTTATTGCACTTAGCTTTCTTGGGTTTTGCGGATATTGCCTTTTATTTTTATTTTATTTTTTTAACAAATTGAGGGCTTCTGGCAACCCTGCATTGAGCAAGTCTATTGGCGCCATTTTTTCCAACAGCATGAGCTCAGTTCACGTCTCTCCATAATCTTCACAATCTTTGAAACTTTTTCATTATTATTATCTCTGTTATGGTGATCTGCGATCTTTGACATTACTATTGTAATTGTTTTGGGGTGCCACAAACTGTGCCCATAGAAGATGGCAAACTTAATAAATGTTGTGTGTGTTCCCAGTGCCCCCTTCTCTCTCTCTTCAGGCCTCCTGATTCTCAGAGACACAATAATATTGCAATTAGGCCAATTAATAGTCCTACAGTGGCCTCTAAGTATTCAAGTGAAAGGAAGAGTCACACGTCTCCCACTTTACATCAAAAGCTAGAAATGATTAAGCTTAGTGAGGAAGGCATATTGAAAGCCAAGAGAGGCCAAAAGTTAGACCTCTTGCCCCAAACAGTCAGCCAGGATGTGAGTGCAAAGGAAAAGTTCTTGAAAAAAATTAAAAGTAATACTCTAGTGAACACACAAATCATAAGAAAGCAAAACAGCCTTATTGCTGATACAGAGAAAGTGCTCATGGTCTGGATAGAAGATCAAACCAGCCACAGCCTTCCCTTAAGCCAAAGCCTAATCCAGAGCCGGGACATAACTCCCTTCAATTCTATGAAGGCTGAGAGAGGTGAGGAAGCTGCAGAAGAAAAGTTGGAAGCTATCAGAGGTTGGTTCATGAGGTTTAAGGAAAGAAGACCTCTCCATAACAAAAGTGCAAGGCGAAGCAGCGAGTGCTGATGGGGAAGCTGCAGCAAGTTATGCAGGAGATCCAGCTAAGATTCTTTTTTTTTTTCACGGCAAAGATGCCATAGCATTTTATTACCATTACAAAAGTCAACCAATGATATTTTCATTGAAATATCTGCACTGAATGATGATTCCACATATGAGGCAAAGAGGGATGTCTTTGGAGACGGCACTTTAGTAGGACATTAGCAAATCATACCGGTTGGCTAAAACAAAAAATGAGTTATTTATACCTGGCCGGAGGCCTGTTAGGGCTGTTCCTTCTCACTGTGGCCTGATTAAAAACCGGTGGCATTAAGAAAGTGTCCGCATTTCCCACAGTCTGTGGGTGCCCCAGTGGGGTGGTGCTGCTCTCAAAAGCTCTGTGTCCCTAAACACATGCTTTCTCACGCGATCAGTTTCCCCAAGTGCTAATTCCAAAAATAGACTCAGAGCTGGCAGAAATTGTTCAGGAAGCTTCTTGAAAGCCCTCTCCATTTCTCAGTCTGACTTTCAGCTGTCCCAGCTACTGTAAGCAGCTTCAGCTTCCCAAGATCACTAGCAACTTCTGCTTATGCTGATATCCTTGGTTTTACATGGCACTGGTTGTGACTGGCTGTTAGACTAGTCGCCCACCAATTAAGTGCACCTCTATTTCACACCCTTTTCTTGAATCTGGGCTGGGCTTCCAGTTAAGATCCTTGATGACTCTAAACTTGATGATCCTTGGCTACACTAAACAACAGATTTTCAGTGCAGATGAAACAGCCTTCTATTGGAAGAAAGATGGCATCTAGGAATTTTTCCTAGCTAGAGAGGAGGTCAATGCCTGGCTTCAAGGCTGGCTCTATTTTTAGGGGCCAATGCAGCTGATGGCTTTAATAGAAGCCAATGTTTATTTACCATTCTGAGAATCCTAGAGCTCTTAAGAATTATGCTAAGTAGGCCGGGTGCAGTGCCTCATGCCTGTAATCCCAGCACTTTGGGAGCCCAAAGTGGGCAGATCACCTGAGGTTGGGAATTCGAGACCAGCCTGACCAACAAGGAGAAACCCTGTCTCTACTAAAAATACAAAATTAGACAGGTAAGGTGGTGCGTGCCTGTAATCCCAGCTACTTGGGAGGCTGAGGCAAGAGGATTGCTTGAACCCGGGAGGCGGAGGTTGCAGTGAGCCAAGATCATGCCATTGCACTCTGGGCTGGGTAACATGAGCAAAACTCCATCTTAAGGAAAAAAAAAAAAAGAATTATGCTAAATCTACTCTGCTTGTGCACTATAAATGGAACAACAAAGTCTGGATGGTAGCACATCTGTTTACAGCATGGTTTACTGCATATTTTAAGCCCATTTTTAAGACCTACTGCTCAGAAAAAAAGATTCCTTTCAAAATATTACCACTGATGGACGAGGCACCTGGTCACCCAAGAGGTCTGACGGAGTTGTGCAAGGAGATTAATGTTTTCATGCCTGCGAACACAGCATCCATTCTGCAGCAAACTAGCATCAAGGAGGAATTTTCACTTTCAAGTCTTATCATTTAAGAAATGCACTTTGTAACACTAAAGCTGCCATAGATTGTGATTCCTCTGATGGATCTGGGCAAAGTAAATTGAAAACCTTCTGGAAAGGATTCACCATGCTCCTTTCTATCAAGAACATTTGTGATTAATGGGAGGAGGTAAAAAATCCACATTAACAGGAGTTTGGAAGAAGTTGATTCCAACCCTCATGGATGACTTTGAGGGGTTCAAGACTTCAGTGGAGGAAAGAACTGCCGATGTGGTGGAAATAGCAAGGGAACTAGAATTAGAAGCAGAGCCTGAAGATGTGACTGAATTGCTGCAATCTTATGATCAAACTTGAACAGATGAGGAGTTGCTTCTTATGGCTGAGCAAAGAAAGTATTTTCTTGAGACTGAATCTACTCCTGGTGAAGATGCTGCGAACATTGAACTGTGAACTGTGAACATTGCTGAAATGACAACAAAGGATTTAGAATATTACATAAACTTAGTTAATAAAGCAGCAGCAGTGTTTTCAATGTTGAAAGAAGTTCTATGGGAAAAATGCTATCATCAAACAGTATCACATGTTACAGAGAAAATCTTTCATGAAAAGAAGAGTCAATCAATGTGCAAACTTCATTGTTGTCTTATTTTAAGGAATTGCCACAGACATCCCAACCTTCAGCAACCGCCACCCTGATTGGTCAACAGCTGTCAACATCCAGGCAAGACCCTTCACCAGCAAAAAGATGATGACTCAGTGAAGGCTCAGATGATTGGTAGCACTTTTTAGCAATAAAATATTTTAAAGTTAAAGTCTGTACATTGTTTTTTTGGACATAATTCTGTTGCACACTTAAGAGACTACAGTATAGTGTAAATGTAACTTGTACATGCACTGGGAAACCAAGAAATTTATATGACTTGCTTTATTGCAATACTTGCTTGGTTGCAGTCGTCTGGAACTGAACCCACAATATCTCCAAGGTGTGTCTGTACACAAACACAACAACTGCTGCCATTTACTGAGGTTCTCTGCTGTGCCAGGCACTGTGCCCAGTACTCTGCATGTATCATCTTATTGACTGCTCTCGCCAACCCCATGAAGGGGCAGTAGTATTAACCCACAATGAAGAAACTGAGGCATGGAGAAGTTAATAACCTACCCTAGGATGCATAGTTGCAAGATGGCAGAACCATAATTGGAAAGTAGGCCATCTGGCTTAGGACTGGGATCTTGGCCTCTTTGCTAAGGGATTGCCCCCCCACCCCCACCATCCTTTCCACCCTCCTGCCTTGAATACAACTCCCCCCAGCCCTGCCCGATCTTTAACTCCCCCTCAACCACCTGGCCCATCAGTGACCTCCTAGCCCTGCCATGAAATCTGGGCCAGCCCCATGCTGGGGCATGGCTCCCAGCCTGTCCTTAGAAAGACATACTCCCTGCCAAAAAGCAGCTCAATGAAGAGGACATGGTGAGGGCAGCCCCATTAATATTCCTTCCTTCTGTCATTTTGGCAGGAAACAGTGAGATCCTGGAGAGGCGGGGAAGGGGGAGGGGGCAGTGAGTGTGGGGCTGTATACCTGACAAGAGGAGACGTCTTATGGCATCATTCATGAGGGTGGGTTTAATCCTGGCAGAGGGATCAGGATGGGTGGAGGGATGGGAGGCATCTTCAGAAGGGAACCCCAAAGGATGGGGAGGGATGGCCTGGAATAGATAAAGGGTGAGGAGCCTGGGTGCCCCCTACCCAGGAAGGCAGAAGCAAGGCCACCTCCCTACGATAGTCTTTACAACCAGCCCGACCAGTCATGTGTCATATAAGTGCACACGCACACATACACGCACACACACATGCACACTGCTGTGCACTCCCTGAGGAGGGTCCAGTGCGGTCTGAGCCATGTCTTTGTCCCCAGCACACTTAGCTCAGAGCCTGGCCCTCAATCATGAATATGTGCTGAACAGATCCTGGTTTATGTATTTTAAAATTTTTTAAATTATAGTCATGCTTTGCTAATGACAGCGTCAGAGGCTGATAAATGCATCATTAGGTGATTTCGTCCTTGTGTGAACGTCATAGCGTGTATTTACACACACCTAGATGGCGTAGCCTATTCCACACCTAGGCTCTATGGTAGAGCCCGTTGCTCCTAGGCTGCAAACCTGCACAGTGTGTGTGTCCCAAATGCTCTCGGCAGCTGCTAACACCGTAGTATTCGTGTATCACAACATATGTGAACATAAGAAAGGCACAGTAAATATATTGTATTATCGTCCTACGGGACCACCGTCATCTATGTGGCCGTCGTGGGCCAACACATTGGTGTGAAGCACATGGCCGACCACGTGTTGTATCTGAATCTAGGTCGACCCACTGTGCGATTAAACACCAAAGTAGCGTATTATGGAGAAAAAGTGAAATTCTCTCCCTCCTTTATCCCACCGCTTTCTCTGCTCCCCACCAAGGTAAACACTGTTAGCAGTTTGGCAGCCTCCTCCTTCCGCAGGGTTTCCAGAAGGCATGAATCTGTAATCTCACGAAGCGGGCAACACACACACACACACACACACACACACACACACACACACACACGCTTTGGGACCCACCACCCTTCCTTTATTTTCCCCTCCTCCATTTCCTCCCTCCCCCAGCCCCCTCCGCCACTGCCGTGGCCCTGGTGCTGGACTCAGCAGGGATTCACAGCAGGACAGCAGAGGCTGTCCTCACCCTTCCCAGTATTCCTCCTCTGCTGAGAGGGAGGGACATGGGCATGGATAGGGGAGGGTGGCAGTAGGTGGAGGTTCCCCAGGAGGTGTCCCTAAAGGGTAGGGAGAGAAATTGGAAGACCCAAGATTGGCTGCATTTCTAGCTGAGACTCTTTCGTGATAGCTCTCCCTCCTCCCTCCTCCCTCTTTCCTCCTCCCTCTTTCCTCCTCCCTCTTTCCTCCTCCCTCTTTCCTCCTCCCTCCTCCCTCTTTCCTCCTCCCTCCTCCCTCTTTCCTCCTCCCTCCTTCTCCCCCTTCTCCTCCTCCCCCTCCTCCTCCTTCTCCTCCTCAACTGGAGCCCAGCCTTGTATCTCTTGCTCCAATGCGGAGCCTTGCATGGAGGTCTCAGCTTGCTCTGAAAGCTTGTCATGTCTGTGTTTAATGAAGTTTAATTATCTTCCAAGATTCAATGAATAATTATAAATCTTTTCAAGATGCAATCACACGGGTTCATGCTTCATTAACAGTGGAAAATCAATTGTAATTCGCGTAATTCCTTTCTTCTGGAGATCAGTCTGTTTGTACACGCGCTCCCCTCCTCACCCTGCTTTGTCTGCCCCAAGAAGTACAAAGGATGCCTGGCTTTTTCCTCCAGAATTGACGAGCCTTGTCAGGAGCAGGGAGGAGAGCGAGGCCCAGCTGGAGCAGGTGGGGGAGGGGAGGGAGAGAAAAATGGTCCCAGGGGAATAGGCCTGGGGAGCTATTTCTAGGAGGCAGAGCTGGGGGATGAGGGATTGGAGGGCAGAGGGGAGGAGTCTACAAGGCTATGAGGAGGCAGAGTGTTTCTTAACTTTTTAGGGGGGTCCCAGACCCCTTTAAAAACCTGTTGAGGCCAGACACAGTGGTTCACACCTGTAATCCCAGCACTTTAGGAGGCCGAGTACTGGTTATTTGAGGTTGGGAGTTCAAGACCAGCCTGGCCAACATGGTGAAACCCTGTCTCTATTAAAAATACAAAAATTAGCCGGGTGTAGTGGCACACACCTGTAATCCCAGCTACTCAGGAGGCTGAGGCAGGAGAATCGCTTGAACCCAGGAGGCAGAGGTTGCAGTGAGCCGAGATGGCACCACTGCATTCCAACCTGGGTGACAGAGCAAGACTCCGTTTCAAAAAAAAAAGTCTGTTTAAACTATTGACGCCCCCAGAAAAATGATATTCTGAGGGTGTCACCTTGCTTTCAGGGTGTTACATCCTGAGGTCCTTTCCAGCTGCTCTGACCTCCTAGGGGTCGCAGATAACTGTGAGAATACGAGGCTGCTTCTTAGTAATGTTGGACATTCTTTTAGCTCCAAGAAATCCAGAGCCCCTGCTGGGAGCTGGGTGCCATCTGCGGCCCAGCTCCAAGAGAAACTGCCTCGCTTTTCTCCAAACCACAGACGACAGCCCTGGGCCAGGGCAGCTGTGCCCGAGCCTCGTCTTCTCTGAGATGTCTGCCGCCAACAGCGCCACTGACCGGCACAGCCTTGTTGCAGACAACACTTAGCTTTCTCTCGAAGGTGGCAAGTTGCCCGCGTCTGCACAGCAGAGGAGAGTGGGGCTCTGTAAGGGACTTCAGGGGCCACAAAGATATGGGGAAGTCCTTATCCAATTAGCCAGACCACTGGAGGGAGTGGAGGAAAGAAAGCTGTTCTGCAGATATCTGGACTCTTCAAAGTGAATAGAGGATGAGGACCTCCGACCTCTTGCTGCGGGCGGTTTCTTCCCTGAACTTCAGTCCTCAGCCTCTAAGCTGCGCTGTCTAATGGAACTTTCTGTCCAGTGTAGTAGCCACCGGCCATATGTGACTATTTCAATTTAAGTTAATATCAAAGAAAATTAAAAATTCAGTTGCTCGGCTGCATTAGCCACGTTTCAAGTGCTCAAGAGCCACACGTGGCCTGTGGCTGGTGTATTGGACAACACAGACATAGAACAGAATCATCATTAAAGAAAATTCGACAGACGATGCAGGTCTAGGGTCTGTAGTGCATGTCTGCAATCCATCAGATCTCATGAGCTGCCCCTAGACTTCGATTAAGTATTAGTTTCCTATGGCTGCTATAACAAATCACCCCAAACTTAGTGGCTTAAAGCAACACAAATGTATTTCCTAATGGTTTTGAAGGTCAGAAGCCTGACATGGATTTCACTGGGCTAAAATCAAGGTGTTGGCACAGCTGCACACCTTTCTGGAGGCTCTAGGGGAAAATCTGTTTCCTTCCCTTCTCCAGCTTCTAGAGGCCACTGGAATCCCTGGAATCATTCCTCTTTGTCCATCTTCAAAGCCGGGAAGACCATATCTATCTCCACAGAAGAAAGAAGTTCTCCTTTTTAAGAACTTGGATGATTAGACTGGATCCGCCCAGGCCATCCAGAATAATCTCCCCATCTCAGTCCTTAATTCGCTCAAATCTGCAAAAACTCTTTCCATGGAAGGTCATCTAGTCACACATTCCAGGAATAAGATGTGGACATCTTTTGGGACATTGTTCTGCCTACCACAGGTCCCAAACTTTTTTTTTTTTCCAGTTGTGGATCCTGAGATCCAGAGAGGAGAAGAGGCTTTTCCAAGTCACACAAGGTGTAACGGGTACTGCAGTCTCCACCCAGGTTCCCTCTTCCAGGGCATGCACCCACCCCTAGCTGCTGGAATTAGAAGCTGCTGATAGCTCAAAACTGTGCCCCTCACAGAGCATTGCCTTTGGCCTATAGACCTGTCTTGATCAATGTCACACCCTACCCCACCCCTCCCTGCAGGCCCCCTGACAATGACAGATGTAACTATACAAACGTCTGTTCCCTTGCCTCTATTTGGGACCTCTGTAGTGACCAGTCCAGGTCCAGAGCCCTTCACGGGATGAGCTCAGATCTTAGGGGCAACGATTGAGGATCGGCTTCTCCCTCTGGCCAGTCCTGCAGTGATCTCGGATCAGTTTCCCTCTGGCAGTACTGCTGTGCTCGCTACCCTTCAGGTGTGTCTCCTGGAAGCCTCCCCAGTCACTCATCTGCAGCAGCCCAGGGGACAAAGCTCCAGCTCCTCCCCTTGGTCCATAGCACCTTTTATGATCTGGCCCCTGCTGGCCCGTCAGCCGCAGCAACTCACATGCTCCCTGTGCTCCAGCCTAAACAAGTCACTTTCAATTTCCCAAATGTCCCAGACTTTCTCGGCCTCCAAGCCTTTGCCCATGCTGGTCCTGCTGTTTGAAATGCCCTTCATCTCCTGGCCAACTCCTCCTCACTCTTTAGGACTCAGCTCAAATGTCACCTCTTCCTGGAAGCCTTCCCCAACTTCCTCATCCCATCCCAGTCTCCAGGAGGATCCTCTCCGCTGAGCCTCCATGGCTCCCTGGGCCCACTGCTTTGCAGCTCTCACCAAGGTCTACAGAGTGCTCTGAGATTGGAGCTGTGTCTTATTCCTTTCTGTATCTTAAGACACAGCATCTTGCCAAGAGTGGGGACTCACTAAGTGTTTGTTGACTGACTGTGAACTCAGCTGGCCCCTATTATCCCTATTTACAGAGGAAGTTGAGAAGGTAGTGAGACCTGGGACACTGAGGCCCATCCTGGGGACTCATTTCCCGAGCAAAGACATCCTGGCAGCTCCCCAGACTCCAAAAGGCCAGGAACTGCCGACAGCTGCTTGACATCTGAGCTGCAACTCCTGCCTAATGAATGATTCCTCTTCCACACATATGTTTCTGGTAATCAATTGGCTCGTCATTAGCCCACAGCAGCAGTTGTCTCAACTTCAAATGAAATGCAAATGTAATTGTTTTCTTTAGGCCTGGTGGGGTCAGGCTCCTCTTCTCAGGAGGAGGCCCGTCCCCCTCTCCCAGACTGCCAAGACTCAGGACTGCAGGGCCTGCTAGTGCCCTGGAAGGAGGCTGGACTGGAGCTCCCAGAAGTGACATAAGCCCCCTCTGCTCACCCAGTGTTTGGCTTGTTTCTCCTAACTAGCACTGCAGTCTACTTGCCACCCTCGTATGCAGTTCAGTTGCAAGTACGCTCAAGTAATGTGCCACTGATAATCATTGATGTACCAACCGTTGTGAGTAATTTGCTTAAAAAATATACAGCCGAGTGCGGTGGCTCATGCCTGTAATTCTAGCACTTTGGGAGGCTGAGGCAGGTGGATCACTTGAGGCCAGGAGTTTGAGACCAGCCTAGCAAACATGGCGAAACCCTGTCTCTACTAAAAACACAAACAAATTAGGTGGGCGTGGTGGCGCATACATGTAATCCCAGCTACTCGGGAGGTTGAGGCAGGAGAATCGCTTGAACCCGGGAGGTGGAGGTTGCAGTGAGCCGAGAGGGCATCACTGCATTCCAGCCTGGGCCACAGAGCAAGACTCTGTCTCAAAAAAAAAAAAAAAAAAAAAAAAGAAATAAAAAAAAATCAAGTAGAGTAGATTTAATGTTCTCTGTCTAATAAGGTCACTGTCACTCATCCCACATGCTTCCTTGTAGGGAAGAGGCCGGGGGGCATTATATCTGGGAACAGTGTGGCCTCCAGGGCTGTCTCACTGCCGCAGCAGCCTGAGGGTCATTAGCAGTCAGGGCAATTGTGAGTGATCATGGGGTGTGTGCATTGCAATTTTATAGCTACACTCATTTCCTTTTACATGTTGGATTTTATTAAACTCTGGATGAGCCTGGATGGGGGAATTATTGAACTGCTTATAATGAGGATAGTTAACCCCTCCAGAGCACTTTCGCCCGTTGCAGGTACCATTTTCAGAGCTCTATGTGCATGATGATTGTCTTAATCTTTTTATGAGCCCATGAAGTAGGTTCCATTATTTTCCTCATTTTAGAGAAGAAAATTGAAGCTCAGAGAAGTCAAGAAATGTGCTCAAGGTCACCCAGCTGCTGGGTGGCAGAATAAGGATTTGCACCTCAGTTTATCTGAGTCCAGAGCTTGCTTTTAAAAATTCTTGCAAGACGTACACTGAGTTGCCTCACATTTGCCCATTGACCCACTATCTGTGAGTTGGTCCTGTGCTGGGTGCTCAGGAGCATCAAAAGACAGGTCCTGGGAGCCAGACCTGGGACCCCAGGGCTCCTGCTCCCCCAGAGCCAGGTTGCTATCCGCCTATGTCCTTGTCCCATCCTCTCCCTACTAGAGGACAGTGATTCTTTCCTCTTGCACTCTCTGGCATCATCAATTTTCCCTCTCTCCTGGGTCATTTCCAATGCCATAAGCATGCTATGATTTTTCCCCATCTTAAGAAAATAACCTTCTCTCAACCATGCTCCTCTCCTCTGTGCTACACCATTTCTCTTTCCCTTTACAGGGAAGAGTTCTGACTTGCTGTCTCCAATTCCTTTCCGCCCAGTCTCTCCTGAATCCACCCAATCAGGCTTTACCTGCATTGCTCCATCAAAACTGCCCTTGTCAAGGTCATTGATGCCCTCTTCATCACTCTGTTCCATGCTGGACCCTTGGTCCTCTTTGTCCTTTTCCCATCGGCTGCCTTTGACTCTCGTAATTGTCTCCTCCTTGAACCTGTTCTTCCTGAGGCTTCTAGGACACTGGCTTCTGGCTTCTCCTCCTGTCTCTCTCTGGTTGCTCCCTCTCCGCCCCCCTGCACAACAATCTGACTTTTTTTTTCTTTTTTCTTTTCTTTATTATACTTTAAATTCTAGGGTACATGTGTACAATGTGCAGATTTGATACATACGTATACATGTGCCATGTTGGTGTGCTGCACCCATTAACTCGTCATTTACATTAGGTATATCTCCTAATGCTATCCCTCCCCTAGCCCCCGACCCCCCAACAGGCCCCGGTGTGTGATGTTCCCTGCCCTATGTCCAAGTGTTCTCATTGCTCAATTCCCACCTATAAGTGAGAACATGTGGTGTTTGGTTTTCTGTCCTTGTGATAGTTTGCTGAGAATGATGGTTTCCAGCTTCATCCATGTCCCAGCAAAGGACATGAACTCATCCTTTTTATGGCTGCATAGTATTCCATGGTGTGTATGTGCCACATATTCTTAATCCTTTTATCATTGATGGACATTTGAGTTGCTTCCAAGTCTCTGCTATTGTGAATAGTGCCGCAATAAACATACGTGTGCATGTGTCTTTATAGTAGCATGACTTACAATCCTTTGGGAATATACCCAGTAATGGGATTGCTGGATCAAATGGTATTCCTAGTTCTAGATCCTTGAGGAATCGCCACACTGTCTTCCACAATGGTTGAACTAATTTACACTCCCACCAACAGTGTAAAAGCGTTCCTATTTCTCCACATCCTCTCCAGCATCTGTTGTTTCCTGACTTTTTAATGATCGCCATTCTAACTGGCATGAGATAGTATCTCATTGTGGTTTTGATTTGCATTTCTCTGATGACCAGTGATGAGCATTTTTTCATGTGTCTTTTGGCTGCATAAATGTCTTCTTTTGAGAAGTGTCTGTTCATATCCTTTGCCCACTTTTTGATGGGGTTGTTTTTTCTTGTAAATTTGTTTGAGTTCTTTATAGATTCTGGATATTAGCCCTTTGTCAGATGAGTAGATTGCAAAAATTTTCTCCCATTCTGTATGTTGCCCGTTCACTCTGATAGTTTCTTTTGCCGTGCAGAAGCTCTTTAGTTTAATTGGATCCCCTTTGTCTATTTTGGCTTTTGTTGCCATTGCTTTTGGTGTTTTAGACGTGAAGTCCTTGTCCATGCCTATGTCCTGAATGGTAATGCCTAGGTTTTCTTCTAGGGTTTTTATGGTTTTAGGTCTAATATTTAAGTCTTTAATCCATCTTGAATTAATTTTTGTATAAGGTGTAAGAAAGGGATCCAGTTTCAGCTTTCTACATACGGCTAACCAGTTTTCCCAGCACCATTTATTAAACAGGGAATCCTTTCCTCATTTCTTGTTTTTGTCAGGTTTGTCAAAGATCAGATGGTTAACAACCTGACTTCTAAGTGTTTCGTGCCCTAGGCTCAGTGCTTGGACCTTCTGTTCTCTATCTACACTCACTCCCTAAATAATCTCAGCCAAGCTCATAGCTTCAAACACCATCCAAATGCTGATAATCCCTGAATGCCTGCTTACAGTCCCAGTGTGCCTCCTGAACTCCAGACTTACACCTACAGCTGCCTACACCACATCTCCGCTTGGTGGATTAAAGACATCTCAAACCTGGCATACACAAAACTGAGCTTCTGAGCTTTCCCCCAAACCCTCTCCAACCTCTTCTTCTCCCACCTGGGTATGGCAACTGCATGCTTCCAGTCGCCCAGGCCAAAAGTCGTTCTTGACCCCCCTCAGTACATCATCCTCTGCATCCGATCCACCAGCACATCCTGTCTGCTCTACTTTCTTTCTTTCTTTTTTTTTTTTGAGATGGAGTCTCGCTCTGTCCCCCAGGCTGGAGTGCAGTGGTACGATCTTGGCTCACTGAAAACTCCGCCTCCTGGGTTCAAACAATTCTCCTGCCTCAGCTTTCCAAGTAGCTGGGACTACAGGCGCGTGCCACCATACCCGGCTAATTTTTCTATTTTTAGTAGAGACAGGGTTTCACCCTGTTGGCCAGGCTGGCCTCGAACTCCTGACCTCAGGTGATCCACCCGCCTCGGCCTCCCAAAGTGCTGGGATTCTAGGCGTGAGCCACCCTGCCTGGCCTCTACTTTCAAAATATATCCAGGATCTGGTCAGTTCTTTCCACCTCCAGGTTTACAACCCTCTGACCCTCTGAAGGCAATCACTGCCTAACTGGTCTCTCTGCTTCTGCCCTGGCTCCTTCACTGTATTTTCCATCCAACAGCCAGAGGAATCCTATAAAACATAAATCAAATCATGTGACTTCTCTCCTAAAAACCCTCAAACGGCTTCTCATCTCTCTTAAAATAAAAGCCAGAGTTTTATTACCACCTGTGAGGTTTCATATGATCTAGCCTCTCCCTTTGTCTCTGACTGTGCGGCCTTCCACTTTCCTTATTTGCTCCGCGCCTGCTTCCTTGCCACTCCTCCGACGCCCTAGGCATGCCCCTGCCCCAGGGCCTTGGCACTTGCTGCTCCGCCTGCCTGAGCTATTCTGTTTGCCCAGAAATCTATTCAGCCCCAGTTCCCTCCCTTTCTCAGATCTTTACTCAAATGTCCCTCTTCAGTGAAGCCTTTCCTTGCCTCCTTCTAAAATGTCAACCCCAGACCAGGCGTGGTGGCTCACACCTGTAATCTCAGCACTTTGGGAGGCCGAGGTTGGCAGATCACTTGAGGTCAGGAGTTCGAGACCAGCCTCATCAATATAGTGAAACCCTGTCTCTACTAAAAATATAAAAATTACCTGGGTACGGTGGCACACGCCTGTAATCCCAGCTACTCGGGAGGCTGAGGCAGGAGAATCACTTGAACCCGGGAGGTGGAGGTTGCGGTGAGCCGAGATCCCACCACTGCACTCCAGCCTGGGTGACAGAGTGAGATTCTGTCTCAAAAAAAAAAAGAGTCCCCTGCCTTCCTCACTCCTGCCTCCCACCCCTCTGCCATGCTGTGTTTTGTTCTGTCTCGCACGTTTCACTAACTCAATACACGTTTCATTTATTCGTGAATTTATTTTCTGAGAATCCCACTGGAATGTCAGCGCATGAGAGTGGGGACTGCGAGCTTTTTTTTCATCGCTGTGTCCCAAGTCCACGGTGCACAATGTTCAGCAAATATTTGTTGAATGAATGAGTAAATGAATCCCTTCTCCTGTCCAGCATGAAGAGATCCAAGTTATCTACAGCATCCATGCCACCCAGGGGTGGGAGGCGAGGTGCTGAAGAGCCCCCCAAGACAGCAAGTGGGCCCTGAATGGAAAGGGATTCTCCATTTTCCCAGGGAGAACTCAAATGTCTATTTTCCTGTGCCACTGGAAAACATGGTTATGTATTAGTTTAATTGTGTGTCTATTAAATACCATATATCTAAAATAAGGTGTGCTAATTTAGAAACATGAATTTTTCCATTTAATGCATTTCATGAAATTATTTTGCTCAAACCCCTTTCTGGGGCCTTCCCCACTGGATCTTGGGAGTCAGTAGACCCCTGTTTCTAGGGATCTGAGACTCAGTGCCTTTTGAGTCCTGTGTGTTGCTGTCACTGGGAATTTCAACCCAAGTTACAGCTTCCTGTCCATTTCAGAATAAGAAAGTTATGTTTTCTATTCATCCACTGGGTATGTGTGACACTCGCCTCAGTTGAGACACACACTGCTGGCACGGTGCTCTGTAAATAGGGTGACCATCTGTCCTGGCTTGCCCGGGACTGAGGGGAGTACTGGGACTTTCAGTCCCGAGAAAACCCAAGTTCATCCTTCTGTCCATAGCGGGCTTGTTCCCAGCCACGTCCTTGCAGTTCTGAGGCCACGCACCCAGGAACAGTGAATATACTTGGGTCGATATTCCTTCCCGCATTTTATAAGCTGATCCACCAGGGAACTCCAGAAGGTCTCAAGTTAGCTTTGATTGAGGCTAATGTGTTTTCCTACACAGTGTTACGTGGTCTAAGCTACATAATCGACAAAGGACTCCAAAAAGAGAGGCTTTGTTAGGACCCTAATATAACCCTGTAAACCAAAAATAAAATCCCAAGGTCCCCCACTGACTGAACAGACCCCCTCTTGGCCAAGGGAACCCCAGAAAAACCTTAAAACTGAGTTATTGGCCATGATGGAACAGGAGGTTGGTCATGCCTCATTATACCTCCTTCCCTTATGTGGTTTAGATACTGACCAGCATTAAGGCTAAAATGGAAATGATAAGACTGACAGGACAGACTCTTTGTGGCAATAAGATGCTAAATTATAAATAAGACCTAAAGCCATGCCAGGCAGGGGTTAAATCGTGTACCCCTGCACTTAAAAAATAAACTATAGGGCCGGGTGCGGTGGCTCACGCCTGTAATCCCAGCACTTTGGGAGGCCAAAGTGGGTGGATCACCTGAGCTCAGGAGTTCAAGACCAGCCTGGCCAATGTGGTGAAACTCTGTCTCTACCAAAAATACAAAAATTAGCTGGGCGTGGTGGCAGGCACCTGTAATCCCAGCTACTTGGGAGGCTGAGACAGGAGAATCACTTGAACCCGGGAGGCGGAGGTTCCAGTGAGCTGAGTTCGCACCATTGCACTCCAGCGTGGTCAACAAGAGCAAAACTCCTTCTCAAAAACAAACAAAAACAAATAAACAAAAAACTGTATTCTGACTGCCACAAGGTTTGTTTTTTTTTTTTTTTTTTTTTTTTTACAGCTAAACAAGCACTGGCCTCAAGATAAATACTATTAAGACAATTACAACTCACCCAGCTCACAGACACTAACTAAGCCCCTATTCCTCCAGCCATAACTGCAGCTTTCAAAGGACAAGAGACTGATTACAATAACTTTCTCCTGATAGAAAGACCACCCTCCACGGACCGGTTCTGGCTGGTTTACAGAGGCTGCACACTTGAGAGCCTTCATGTCCTAAAAAGACCTTTCAACATATAGGGCCTAATTATAATACATTTAAATGTTAAGTCTCTACCCCAAAGTGAACATGGGTCATACGTAACATACATGTTTATTCAATATACATGTGTCGGGACCACCTTCATAAATACTCATAGCTCTTCCTGTAACCTGTTAAATATGCATGTTTCGCCAACCCCTTCAGCATAAAGCTTCCACCGGAACCCCTCTGATGGAGTTTGGATATTTGTCCCTGCTCCAATCTTGTGTTGAAATGTAATCTCCAGCATTGGAGCGGGGGCCTGGTGGGAGGTGTTTGGATCATGGGGTTGAATCCTTCATGAATGGCTTGGGCCATCCCCTCGGTGATGAGTGAGCTCTTGCTCTGAGTTCACACATGATCTGGTCATTTAAAAGTGCATGCCCCACTCCCCTGCTCCTGCTTTCACCATGGGACATGCTTGCTCCCGCTTCACCTTCCACCATGAGTCAAAGCTCCTTAAGGCCTCCCGAGAAGCTGAGTGATGTCAGCGCTATGCTTGTACAGCCTGCAGAACCATGGACCAATGAAACCTTGCTTGTTTCTTTATAAATTACCCCGTTTCAGGTATTTCATTATAACAATGTAAGAATGGCCTAATGCACCCTCTCTTTCAAAGTGACTATCAATGGCCTTTATTGGAGGCACCTTCCCAGCCTTTGGGATGACCACCTTGCAGGCTGTTACTCCTTATAGAAAATAAACCCTCCTTTTTAAAATTCATATATATATTTAATTTCACAACCCTATAGCCAGGCCAAGGGCTCAAACCCCTCCTAGTTTATTATAAATAAAGCATGGGAGTCAGGTGCAGTGGCTCATGCCTATAATCCCAGCACTTTGGGAGGCTGAGGCGGGCAGATCACTTGAAGTCAGGAATTTGATACCAGTCTCGCCAACATGGTGAAACCCCGTCTCTACTAAAAATACAAAAATTAGCCAGGCATGGTGGTGCACGCCCATAGTCCCAGCTACTTGGGAGGCTAAGGTGGGAGGATCACCTGAACCCAGGAGAAGGAGGTTGCAGTGAGCCGAGATTATGTCACTGTACTCCAGCCTGGGCGACAGAGTGAGACACCGTCCCCCACCCCACCAAAAAAAAAAAAAAAAGAAAGAAAGAAATAAAGCATGGGATCGCATAGGAAAATAGAAAATATCATTCTGGTTTAACGTTGGTTAAATGTTGGGTGGTGTGTTAAGGGGATTTGCTGGGGGTGTAGCTGTCTGGGTCTCCTGATAGGTCAGGGTGAAAACAGGACTCGGAGGAGTAATCACAGTAGAAGGAGAGTTAAGCCTCAGACATCTTTGCTTGTGTACTATGGATGAAATGCGATTTTGCAGAATCTGATGAGATTCCTGAGGGTTTGTTGGATCCTGTTTCATGGAGAAATAGAAGGTGAACAGCTACTAGGGCAGCGATGATAAAAGGGAAAATGAAGTGGAAGGTGATGAATCATGGAAGGGGGGTTTGTCAACTG
This sequence comes from Homo sapiens, assembly GCF_000001405.40. Classification (NCBI taxonomy): domain Eukaryota; kingdom Metazoa; phylum Chordata; class Mammalia; order Primates; family Hominidae; genus Homo; species Homo sapiens. Next base: position 11,425,601 of record NC_000001.11, read on the forward strand.
AAAATCTGTCCCAGATTCATTCCACCAAGTTAGTACCAGTGCATGGGGAGCTGATCATAGGTTTGTGATTACTGTTGTCCCTCACAAAGATATTTGTCCTCATGATAGGATGTAACCTGTATATGCTGTTGCTATTACTGCCAATAGTAGAATAATACCAATGTTTCAGGTTGGTAGAACCTAGAAAGGTCTAGGACCTGTGCTATAAGCCTCGTCCTACGTGGGTGTATTAGTCCGTTTTCACACTGCTGATAAAGACATACCCAAGACTGGGTAATTTATAAAGAAAAAAAGGATTAATGGACTCACAGTTCCACATGGCTGGGGAGGCCTCACAATCATGGCAGAAGGTGAAAAGGCACGTCTTACACGGCAGCAGATAATAGAGAAAATGAGAATCAAGTGAAAGGGGAAACCCCTTATAAAACCATCAGATCTCATGAGACTTATTCACTACCATGAGAACAGTATGGGGGAAACTGCCCCCATGATTCAATTATCTCCCACTGGGTCTCTCCCACAGCACATAAGAATTATGGGAGCTACAATTCACAATGAGATTTGAGTGGGGACACAGCCAAACCATATCAGTGGGCCTTCTTAGGGTTGTTGTGAGGCTTAAATAGCAGGAGTCCCCTCCCCCAACTCTCACTACCTTCACCACCCCCACCCTTCCAGTGGGACTGAAGAGTAAATTGCTGCTTGTCTTCAGACCCTCCACCTGAGGGGCAAGAATAATAGCAGCTTGATATGGTTTGGATCAGTGTTCCCACCCAAATCTCATGGTGAATTGTAATCCCCAATGTTGGAGGTGGTTTCTGGTGGGAGGTGATTGGATCATGGGGGCGGAGTTCTCATGAATGTTTTAGTACCATCCTGGGTACTGTATAGTGATTTCTCACGAGATCTGGTTGTTTGAAAGTGTGTAGCTTTTAACACATTTCTTTCTCTCTCTTCCTCTTGTTTCTGCCCTGTAAGATGTGCCTACCTCCTTTTGCCTTCCACTATGATTGTAAGTTCCCTGAGGCCTCCCTAGAAGCAGAAGCTGCTATGCTTCCTATACAGCCTGCAGAACCATAAGCCAATTCAGCCTCTTTATAAATTACCCAGATTCAGATATTTCTTCATTCATAGCAGTGCAAGAATGGACTAGTACACAGCTACTCTGTGCCAAGCTGTGAATATGATCTGTGGTCCTTATCATGACTCATTTCCATTTTACAGATGGGAAGACTGAGGCTCCGAGAGGGTAAGGAGTGACTTGACCAAGGCCATGCATCTAGGTGCTATGCATTCGGTGTGGAGCTCAAGTTCAGAGGCTATCCCTCACACCCACCCCACCCCATCCCCATCGCATTGTATGGGTGACTCAGGTCTTGTCTGGGTTTACCCTCCAGCGAAAACAAAGGAAATGGTTTATCCAAGGGTTTGGTCCCCCATTCCTGGTGCCATGGCCCACGACCTGGCCTCAAACCTTTGGCCTTCCTGACCCAGTCCCCAGGGCCCCAGCCCTGGGAGGTGGCTACAGACAAGGTACAGGCAGTGGAGCAAGTGTTTGTGTGTGTGTGTGTGTGTGTGTGTGTGTGTGTGTGTGTGTGTGTGTGTGTTTTAAGTTCATCTTCCAGGGTCCTGTCCCCCAGACCTGAAGCTTTCATTGTGAATACAACACAGAAAATTTAATTAAATTAATTAAGTTATAACTTTCTGCAACCATTTATACCCACAGGGAAATGTGGTCTTCTCTGCTGTGGGAGAGACCCAGGGTGCAGAGCCTGGACCAGCAGACTCAGGGAGGCAGGAACCAGGACCTGGGAACACAGGTGTGCCTTTCCTGCCTGTCTGCAAGCATTTCATGAGCACCTGCTATGTGCAGGGAGGGTGCAGGGTGTTGAGGAAGTTGTGGCCGGCAAAGCACTGATCCCAAGCAGAAAGTGAAGCTGGGGCATTAGGACTTACCCCAGGATACTGTTTTCCATGTCTCTCCCTGCATCTCTTCCTGCTTTACAAATCCTAGCTCTGGCAACACCTCCTCAGGAAGCCCTCCCTGACTGGCCCAGCTCACCCCACCTCTTCCTGTTGTCCCTATCACACAGCTGAGCAATGGGGCAGAGACAGATGGGCTCCTTGAGGGTGGGGGCAGAGTCTCTTTACCCCAGAAGCATGTAGCCCTATGTCTCTGATTTCGACAAATTAGAGAATCAAAGAATGCCCCTGACAGAGGGAAAAACTGAAGGTCAGAGAGGGGCAGTAACTTGCCAGAGGCCACACAGCAGTTTAGTGCAGAACCAGGACTAGAATGCTTCTCTGCCAAGTCCTTTCCCCTAATTATCATAATACCCCACATGTCCTGAGCTTTTTTTTTTTTCTTTAATGCGTCTGGCCCCGTATTAATTACTTAAGACAGATGAACCCATCTAGCTTGTCTCCAACCCCTCAAGGAAGGCACTAATACTATCATCCCATCTCCACTGATAAATGCACTACCTGGGGCCTGGATAAGTGACAGAATGTGCCCGAAGATCCTTCCCTGTCAGTAAATGATGGAGTCAAGATTCCAGCCCAGATGAATCACCTCAAATCCACCCTCTTCACCACTGCATCATATTCAAATCTCACCTGGGGATCCTGATAGGCTTCGGGGGGCTATGAACCACCCGGACTTGTGTATATGTGCATTTTTCAGGGGAGAGAATCTAGAGTTTTTATCAGATTATCAAAAGGGTCTTGGCCGGGTGCGGTTGCTCACACCTGTAATGCCAGCATTTTGGGAGGGCGAGGCTGGTTTGGATCACCTGTGGTCAGGAGTTTAAGGCCAGCCCGGCCAACATAGTGAAACCCTGTCTTTACTAAAAACACAAAAAATTAACTGGGCATGGTGGTGCGCACCTGTAGTCCCAGCTACTCTGGAGGCTGAGGCAGGAGAATCTCTTGAGCTGAGATCACACCACTGCACTCCAACCTGGGTGAAAGAACAAGACTCTGTCTCAGAAAAAAAGGAGGCCTAAAGCTTTCAAAACGATGGCTCACTGCTGTTTATGAAATTAATGAGATGGTTCATTATGAGGATGGAGCTGCAGGTGAGCTTAGTGAGGGTGTGTGTGTCTGTGTGTGCATGTGCGTGTGTGTGTGTACGTTAAGAACAAGCTGGGATGAAGGAGTTGGGGCGGTGTCCACGATCTCCATTTTTATGCCCTGCCCCGTGACATTCCCACCTGATGTGCTCTGCCCCCCAGCAGTAGCCATGGTCATCTCAAGACCCAGCTGGGCCCACGCGTGTGCTCCCCCATGCAGAAGGCTGGACTCACCGCCCGCTTTTATGCCATGTTCCATTTCTCTTCTGCCCATCAGCTGGGCCTCCCCACGGCCCGATCTCCACGGTTGTTTTATGGAAGGTGTCAGCTCCCTGCTCCAGTCTCTGGCCTGATGTGGTTATTAGGAACAGCTACAAGAAGAGACAAAACACAGGCAAGAAGGCGGAGGGCGAGGGTCCCTGAGGCAGCTGCCCAGAACGTGTAAAGCCTCATTCCTTGTGTCACTGGAGCAAACTCTCCGCTCCTGCCATCGCTTCTTATTTAGGACTGCATAATCATTAGGATGCGTATTTGGAAACAATTAAAAATGAGCTGCCAACATGTGGCTAAGTTTGCTCAGGCCACTTTGATAACATTAATCAGGAGAAAGGGGAGAAGGTGGCAGGATAGGGCGCATGTGAATGATCGAGGCCCAGGTGGCTCCTGGCTTGGCTGCGGGTCTTTATCCCCGGCTTCTCACTGGCCTGGGCCTGGTGGCGGTAGAGATGGTTTGGGCCAGCAGCCACAGTCCTGGGAATCGGTTTGCAAGGTGGGCTGGGCCTCACCTGCTCTGTCTGAGGCCACATGCCCATACCCCCAGGCTACTTGGGACTTGAGTCCCAAGTGCTTGGAGTAGACACCCCTCTACCCACCCTTGGCCAGCTCCTCTGCTTTGGAACAGCCATGCAGGCTTTCTTCTGCTCCAGGAGGTAACTTACAGGACATGTAAATTACAAGTGTGAATTTGTGCTTTGTGAACCACAGAGGTCCTGGGTTGGGGTCCTAGCCCTGCCTCCTATTGCTGGGTGACCTAGGCTGAGTTTCTCTCCTTCCTTTTCCACCACCCTCCCTCTACTGCAGCCACAGGAGAGTCACAGCTTTGGCCTTAGATGGAACTGGTTCAACGTTTTTTTTTTTTTTTCCTGAGACAGAGTCTCGCTCTGTCACCCAGGCTGGAGTGCAGTGGCGTGATCTTGGCTCACTGCAACCTCCGCCTGCCGGGTTCAAGTGATTCTCCTGCCTCAGCCTCCCAAGTAGCTGGGACTATAGGCATGCACCACTATACCCGGCTAATTTTGGTATTTCTTTTTTAGTAGAGACTGGGTTTTTCCACGTTGGCCAGGCTGGTCTCGAACTCCTGACCTCAAGTGATCTGCCAACCTCAGCCTGTGGTGGGATTACAGGTGTGAGCCACCACGTCTGGCTCAGCACTGATTCAAATTCTAGCATTTCTCCTCACCAGCGCTACGATTTTGAGCAAGCCTCAGTTTCTCCATCTGCAAAATGGGGATAACACTATCTACCGTCTATCATTCTAATGAGGATGAAAAGGGAAAAATGCATAGAAAGCGCTTAGCAAGGTGCTGGGGCCATGCATGTTCCTGGAACGTTGTAAACAATCCCTGCGCTCTATGTTGTGAGTAGCCACCTGACCACTTGTCAGTCCCTTCATGCAAACAACCTGGTAGCTTGCAGTTCCTGCTCCATGCTCTGCCCTGGGCAATGAGCTGTGGAAGGCAGGGACCAGGTCCTGGGGGCATTTTGTGTCCCCCACAGTGCCTACCCCATGCTCTGCTTCAACACTCGATACCGACTCATCAGATGCTTGTCTGGATTCCTGAAGTTGCCTCCCGACCCTTCTCCTGCTCCTCCGACCTTCCTCCCCGCAGCTGGACAGGACACAGCAGCCGGGGACCTCTTGGTAAAACACACATCGGCTCACGACTTCCCTCTGCTCGAAACCTCCTGCGCATTCCCATCTCCGAGTGAAAGTTCCAGCCGTGCTATGGCCTCTGTAGGAGACGTGGTGGCTTCAAACAACAGAATGTATCCTCTCCCAGTTTTGGAGCCCAGAGGTCCAAAATCAAGGTGTCAGTGAGGTAGGTTAGATAGGTAGTGTGGTCACAGCCCCCGTTAGAGGGGAACAAACTTGCCAAAGAGATGGAGAGAACAAACTGCCCAACAGTGCATCAGCTGTATCCTGGGCTCGTGGTTAGGACATCCTGAGGCAAGGAAGGAGAGGAGCAGCGGGGGAAATCCTCACATTCACACAAGCCCAGAAACCCATGATTAGTGTCCTTGGGCTGACCTGTGCTCATGTTTTTTTTTTTTTTTTTTTTTTTTTTTTTGAGACAGAGTTTCACTCTGTCACCCAGGCTAGAGTGCAGTGGCGCGATCTCGGCTCACTGCAAACTCTGCCTCCCGGGTTCAAGTGATTCTCCTGCCTCAGTCTCCCAAGTAGCTGGGACTACAGGCACCTGCCACCTCGCCAGCTAATTTTTGTATATTTAGTAGAAATGGGGTTTCACCATGTTGGCCACGCTGGTCTCGAACTCCTGGATTCAAGTGATCCACCCACCTCAGCCTCCCAAAGTGCTGAGATTACAGGCGTGAGCTGCCGCGCCTGGCCCCTATGCTCATTTTAATAGCAAAAAGCACACACCTGGATGGAGTTGTTTTCTTTCTTTCTTTTTTTTTTTTTTTTTGAGATGGATTTTCCCTCTGTGGCCCAGGCTAGAGTGCAATGGTGCAATCTCGGTTCACTGCTGCAACCTCCACCTCCTGGGTTCAAGCAATTCTGCTACCTCAGCCTCCTGAGTAGCTGGGATTACAGGTGCCCACCACCACGCCTGGCTAATTTTTGTATTTTTAATAGAGACGGGGTTTCATCACATTAGCCAGGCTGGTCTCAAACTCCTGCCCTCAGGTGATCCACCCACCTCAGCCTCCCAAAGTGCTGAGATTACAGGCATGAACCACCGCGCCTGGCCCCTGTGCTCATTTTAATAGCAAAAAGCACACCGCTGGATGGAGTTGTTTTCTTTCTTTCTTTCTTTCTTTCTTTCTTTCTTTCTTTCTTTCTTTCTTTCTTTCTTTCTTTCTTTCTTTCTTTTTTTTTGAGATGGATTCTCCCTCTGTGGCCCAGGCTAGAGTGCAATGGTGCAATCTCGGCTCACTGCTGCAACCTCCACCTCCTGGGTTCAAGCAATTCTGCTACCTCAGCCTCCTGAGTAGCTGGGATTACAGATGCCCGCCACCACACCTGGCTAATTTTTGTATTTTTAATAGAGACAGGGTTTCACCACATTATCCAGGCTGGTCTTGAACTCCTGCCCTCAGGTGATCCGCCCGCCTCGGCCTCCCAAAGTGCTGAGATTACAGGCGTGAGTCACTGTGCCCGGCCCTGGATGGAGATTTAAGATGTGAATGAGACATGCCGTGTATGTGCTAGCATGCATATCAGTAGGGCATGCGCCTCCAGGGGTCACCCAGAACGTGCCTAACAGCAAAGCCCGTTCCCGCTGCTTCAGGAATAATCACGTAAGACTCCCATAAAAGGACTTTCTCCAGTGTCACCAGGGCTGTCTTGCTCCCCAGCAGCCCACTCTCACCCAGCTCTGAGTGCACTTTCACTTTACAATAAACTTTTCCCACTTACTTTCTTCTCTTTTCCTTTTTTCTTTTCTTTTCTTTTTTTTTTTTTTTTTTTGAGACGGGGTCTCGTTCTGTCACCCAGGCTGGAGTGCAGTGGCATGAGGTGTGATCATGGCGTGACGTCAAGTGATCCTCCCACCTCAGCCTCCCTAGTTGCTGGGACTACATTCATGCACCCCCGCACCCAGCTAATTTTTGTATTTTTTGTAGAGACAGGGTTTTGCCATGTTGCCCAGGCTGGTCTCGAACTCCTGGGCCCAAGCAATCTGCCTGCCTCGGCCTCTCAAAGTGCTGGGATTACAGGCATGAGCCACTGCCTACTTTTATTTTGGACTTGCTCTCAAATGAAGTCAGGAGCCTGAATGGGCCCTTGGCATCAGCAGGGCTGCACCCTCTCCATAGGGGAGGATCCTTCCTGGCCTCCTCCCACTCCTGGTAGCTGTTGTGCTCCTGGGCTTGTGGCTGCATCATGCTCTCTGTGCTCACATGGCTGTCCCCTCGGTGCGCCTGTGCCTTCTCTTTATTCTACCTCTGATCTCCCTCTGCCTCTCTCTGTTAAGGACCTTTGTCATTGGGCTTAGGGCCCACTCAGGTCATCCAGGATGATCTCATCTTAGAATCCTTAATTTAATCACACTTGCAAAGACTCTTTTTCCCAATAAGGTCACAGTAATTGGTTCTGAGGATGAGGACCTGGACATATCATTTGGGAGCCACTGTTCAGCCCACTACAGCCTGGTAGAAGTTCCGCCCCTTCCCACCTCCTTTCTCCCCCTTGTGCGCTCCAGCCAAAGTAGTCTCCATGCAGTTCCCTAAACAATACCACCTCAGGGTGCCTTCAGATAAACCCATAGCCCATGTCCTTATTTCTTTCGAGTATTTGCTCCTATATCACCTGTCCAGTGAGGACTTCTTAGCCACCCTACTGAACTCCATGGAACACCCGATTGCAACTCCTCTTCCTTTCCTGCTTTATTTTTCTCCACAGCATCTACTGCCTTTAACATCTATCATTTTACTTATTGCTTTTTATTTATGTCTTTTTTTGAGACAGGGTCTCACTCTGTCACCCAGGCTGGAGCGCAGTGGCGCGGATCTCGGCTCACTGCAGCCTCGACATCCCGGGCTCAAGCGATTTTCTCACCTCAGCCTCCTAAGTAGCTGGGATTTAGGAGTAGTAGGTGCACACCGCCATGCTTGGCTAGTTTTTGTACTTTTTTGTAGAGACAGAGTCTTTCCATGTTGCCCAGGATGGTCTCAAACTCCTGAGCTCAAGCTATCTGCCCACCTCAGCTTCCCAAAGTGCTGGGACTTATAAGCGTGAACCATTGTGCTCAGCCCATTTTACTTATGTGTTTATCATTGCCCACCAAAAATGAACCTCCATGCAGGCAGGGACTTTGTTTTGTTCATTGGTCTATTATCCCCTGCGTCTAAAATTGTGCCTAATACAGTAGGTGCTCAAAATCCACTTGCTGACTACACGAGTAAATGGGCAAAGCACTGTGCTATGCTGGGAATAGAGCAGTGGCCAACTGAATGCACCCCCTGCACCCTCAGAACTTACCTGGTTGGGAGGCAGTTGGAATCTCGATGTCTGCCTTGCTGTCCTCTCCTTCAGAGGAGATGATCAATGGAGAAGGCCATGCATTGGCCGAGGCCAGGGAGATGAGTTTCCGTCATCTTGAGCAAGAACTATTGGGAGCACCTCCTGTGTGCCAGGCCGGAAGCCAGCAGGTAAATGAGATGGGACCCAGGAGGGCCACTGTCCTGTCTGCCTTGCTCCTCATTGTAGCCCTAGCACCCAGTGCATCTTAGGTGCTCAGCAGAGATGTCTTGAATGAATGAGTCACTTCTGCCCTAAATATGAGACGATGCATGGGATAAATCAAGGTAAGTGCCCAGTACTGGCCCAGAATTGAAGTCCTCGGTCTGTAACAAGAGTGTGCTGCACAAAGGGGTCCCTCGCCTAGGTACGAGGTGACACACAGGGACACCATCAATGTGTCTCAGCAGCAAACCCTCCTGAGAAGCAGCTGTTCCACCAGCTGATGTTGCCCCCTTGGCTTTGCGGACCCCTGGGCCAGTATCCCAGGCTGCTGTGGAGGGGCCCTCTGGCTGGCGGTGGGCCTCCCCCTGAGGGAGGCCTTAGAACTCTCCGGTGGAGGGAGCAATTCTCCGCTCATGATCACCGGGATGCTGAGCCTAGAACAACGGACTGAAGGGCATGTCACCCATTAAGGGCTGAACCTCTCACCCAGGAAATCACAAATCACTGCCTCATCTGTTGTCCCCTCTGCCACCTGCAGTTCCAACCTGGCCCTGCTGCTGGCTGCCAGCTGCACCCAGCTCCCCAGGGGCTGTCTTCAGCAGCTCATAGAGGCTGCTCGGAGCCTGTTCCAGCCTGTAAGGGAGAAGAGAGCAGGTGGCTGGGGCCTGGCCATGGTGTTCCCAAGGCTGCTTGCAGAACACACTTTCTCTGTCCTCTTCCAGGCCCATGCCTGACATCAGTGCCCACGAAGAGTGACACAGGCCCATTCACCTGCAGCACCTGGGACCAGAGATCTAGAGCCAGGCCAGGCTCCCACTCCTGGGGGACAACTGGGCAGGGGATCCCAGTCAGCTATTTGCTCTCACACACCCTCAGGCTTGGAGTCTGTCTGGGGAAAGAAAGCTGACATCCGCATCTGGCTTCTTAGCAGCAGGTAGGGCCCGGGCCTCACAGGCAGCTTCCCCGCCACTGTCTCCCATCGTCTGTCCTACCCAAGGGAGGCCAGGCTCCGTGTCTCCCACAGGCAGGATGTGAAGGACAAGCTGCCCGCCTGCCCGCTGCAGCCTGGCAGGCTTGTCAAAGGCAGTAATTGTCGGGAGAAATTTGCCAGTGGAGTGAAATAAAGAGTCTTGAAGGCATAAAGCATCGGAGCCGCCGATAAGAAGCTGTTTTATATACACTTTCTTTCCCTGGGGTGGAACCAGAACACAGGGACTTTTTTTTCTGGTCATTTGAGCCAATGCTTTTATGCCCGAAGAAGGCCAGTTTGGGTGTGAGGGAGATTAATGGTGGAACAGCCAGCCACCACGGAAGCCTTGTGGGTGTGGGGGGTGTCTGTCTGCCCAGGGCCCCCATGGTGGCCGGAGGGTTTCCTGCCCTCTTTGCCTGCCTCTGAGAGCACCCTCAGAGCTACCCGAAGCCCGGAGCCCTCTGGTCCCCAGCTTCCCTGCTGCACCATTTCCTGTGATCATCTCCACCCACCCAGCTCCAGAACTAGGGGCTGGGCCAGGCAGGTCCAGGGGCTTCACTTCTGCTTCCCCTAGTAGGGTACGAGGGAAGATGAATGGATTCCCTACTGCGCCCTGTAGTTCCCCATCTTTTCCACCTTGAGGGCCCCTCTCCTTTTATATAATTTGGTTTAGGTGATGCAGGTTCATGGTGGAATTATTATTATTATTTTTTTTTGAGATGGAGTCTCGCTCTGTAGCCCAGGCCGGAGTGCAGTGGCACAATCTCGGCTCACTGCAAACTCCGCTTCCCAGGTTCAAGTGATTCTCCTGCCTTAGCCTCCTGAGTAGCTGAGATTACAGGTGCCTGCCACCACACCTGGCTAATTTTTGTATTTTTAGTAGACATGGGGTTTTGCCATATTGGCCAGGCTAGTCTTGAACTCCTGACCTTCAGGGATCTGCCTGTCTCGGCTTCCCAAAGTGCTGGGATTACAGGTGTGAGCCACTGTGCCCGGCCCATGGTGGAATATTGAGAAAAGGTATGAGCACAAAGGAAAAAAATTAAAATTGCTATAAACCTTTTCACTATTGTGGGCTGTGGTTTTCCTGGGCTTTCTTCCTATATCTTTACAAACACGGGCTTTGCTATACCTGTTTCTTTGTGAGCTGCTCCTGCCCACCGCCTAACACGATGATGAGCATCGTCTGTGAAGCCTCCTCCATTCGGCGTCCATCTGGTCCATGGGGCCCCACATGACATTAGCTGTGCTTTCTCATTCATTGATTGAGAACATTCAATATGATGGCAGCGACTATGAATCCAGCCAACATGCATACATCAACTTTCCCTTCGTGAATCACAACAGCATCTTAATGCCCTTGAAAATGCTCTTATGTAGATGAGCGAGGCACATTATTTATTTCATCTGTAGGCAATCGTGACTGTGTGTGTAGTAGACCCCTTGTAATCAGTTGGTCACCTCTTGGGCTCCGTGGACACCCTGGGTTGAGAGGAGCTGGAGAAAGTGCCCAGTGTGTGTGGTGGGGTTTGGGAAGGGATGGGCTTGGACCTGCAGAGTGGCCCACATATAGATGGGTTCACTTGAAACGCGATTTGTGGTTTGCTGTTATTTGCTTCCAAATTCCCTCTTCTCCTAGTCTGAGTTCCTTGGGGGAAGGTGGTGTTTCTGGACCTCTCTCCCAGCCCCCTTCCTCTCCACTCCAGGAATGACCTGGGGCAGGTAACCTACTAACCAACTCCTGGTGATCCACTCCCTTCAACATCAGCATAGACAGCTGGCTGGACAGTCAGGGAGGGAGACGCAAGACAGGGCAGTTTGGTGGGTGAGAGAGTTGAAAAGGCTGTGGGCATGGAGGACCTAGGAGGGTCGGCTAGGTGGGGCACTACAGGGGGGGCCAGAGGACAGCCTTCGAAATGGAAGGAGGAGAATCCCCAGGTAGAAATTTCCAGAAGTGGAGGTGGGAAGACACTGAGATCCAGCCTTTTTCAGGGTTTGACCAGTAGCCAGCAAGAATATAGAATCTCCACGCTGGGCTCAGAAACTCCTTAACTCCTCCCTAGGGAAAGAAGTCTCCTCTGTCAGGCCCACAGCAGAGAGTGATCCAGCTGCTGCTGAAGATCTTTCTAGAACAAATCAGACCCCACCACTCCCCTCCAATGGCTTCCATTGCTCCTAGACTCAAATAAACTCCTAATGACAGTTCATGGGACCCAACAGATTCGGCCCCTGCCTGCCTCTTCCACCTTACTCTGTATCTCTTCTCCTCCCCTATATCCCAGCCCCAGGGACCTCTTTGCTGTCCCTCAAACCCTCGAACCCTGAGCCCTGTCCTGCCCCAGGCCCATTGCACCAGCTGTTCAAACCTCTGTCAAGAACACTCTTTCTGGCCAGGCATGGTGGCTTACTCCTGTAATCACAGCAATTTGGGAGGCCTAGGCGGGTGGATCACTTGAGGTCAGATGTTCAATACCAGCCTGGCCAACATGGTGAAGCCCCATCTCTACTAAAAATACAAAAATTAACTGGGTGCAGTGGTGCGTGCCTGTAATCCCAGCTACTCAGGAGGCTGAGGCACAAGAATTGCTTGAGCCTGGAAGGCAGAGGTTGCAGTGAGCTGAAATCGCGCCACTGCACTCCTGCCTGTGTGACAGAGAAAGATTCTTCCCCTTCAAAAAAAGAATGCTCTTTCCCTAGACCTCTGGGTGACCACTTCCTTCTCATTTTTGGGATACCTCCTTATACGCCACTTCCTTGTGTTTAGGCCGGTCCTGTCCACCATGGTAGAGCAGCCAGCCTGTCCTTTCTTCTCAGCTCACTCTACTTTCACTGTCTGTGCCACTATTTATTAAAAACCATTTGGTTTTTAACTTGTTTACACATTGATCATACATCTCTTTCTCTACTATAAGATCCACAAGAACTGCTGGAGCCATAGCACAGTGTCCAGAATATAGTAGGTGCTGAATAAATACCTGTGGAATGAATGGATAAACATGTGAGGCAGCCCATTGTGCTTTGGGAAACTTGTTTGTTGGAACAGACATAGATGGGAGGGAGAGGTGTCATTTCAAGTGCTGGGGCCACTTGATTGGTAGGGGCTGCCTAGAGCACTAGGCTGAAAAAGGGTTTGAGGTCACAGTTGGCCTCTGTGAGAGAGAGGACTGTGATCAATTAGTAATGCCTGCCATGGGCATACAGTCAGGAACAATGGCACATGTGCCACATATCTGACACATCAGGATTAGACTGGAAGCCCCCTGGAAAGAAAGTACAGCCTTCTTATTCTTCTTTGTGGCACCCTAGCAGCGGGCATGAGCTAGGTGCTTGGCCATGACTGAGGCTGGCTGATTGGCCAACTGAGACTTACTCAACTTTGAGGCCTGGGCTCCTGAAGAGACAGGAGAAAACATCTAAGCCAGTGGTTTTCAATTTTTAAAAAAACCTGCAGTGTTCTTTCTTCAAAGGACATTTTACATGAAGCTCAAGATATTAGCAGATGAAAGCAAAGCTACTCTGGCTGAAGCTGGGTTTGGGGCCCAGAGCCCTGCCTGCTTGCTCCACCCCTGCCCAAACAAAGCCATCTCTGAGATACCTTCAAGGAACCTGATGGCTTCCCAGAGCCCAGTCTGAGAACCACGGATGAGGAAACCAAGATCCAGAGCGGGGAAATGACTAACCCAAGGTCACACTGCAACTAGAACTGAAAATTGAGTGGCTTTTCCAGACTCCCAGCTTAGTGCTCTTTCTACCACATCTCCGGGGTCTCACCCAGGGCAGGTGGCCTCAGCTGTGGGCTGGGCTTTGGGGCCAAGAAAGGACATCCCCCACCTCCTTGGGGCTCGGTAGTCACCTGGCCAGCCATCTCTCCCCAGACCCTGAGACAGAGAGCACCTGCCCCTCCCAGCACGGCCCCAGCCGGGGTGGTGGGCATCTGCTTTTTTGATCTTGCTCCCGGAGCCCTGGGGTGTGTTGGAAAACAGCTCTCTCTCCCCGACAGTGCTTTATTAATTAAAGCATTTCCCCTCTTTGGTAGCAGCTGCTTCAAAAGAGATCAGTGAATGTTTAATTCATTGGTTCCGAGCTGCTCCCCCAAACTCCCCCCAACACCTCCTTCCTTCAAAGTGCTTTCATGGGAAACCCTCCCAGCACGAGGGCTGTTTCCCTGCTTTTCCGCAGAGCTGCCAAGCTGCCTCTCCCGCCACGCTCCTCCTCAGCTAGCTGAAAATGATTTGTTATTCAGCTCAAGAAATCTATAAGGAACAAGCAAGGCTGGGTGCAAGCCCAGGTTCCCCTCCTTGAGATAGTTTAAAAGGCTGTGATTTGTCAAATTACTACATGAGTATTTAACGATCATCTTCCTTGGCCACTTAGAGGCAAAAAATGAGGCCATTGATTACCAACGATTCTGATTAGAGGCTGTGGCTCTCCAAGGTGTGTGTGTGTGTGGGGCGGGTGCTGCCGGCATGAGGGCATCTCTGGGAGGGAACCTCCATCCTCTCACAGCTGTGGCCAGCAGAATAGAAGGGCCCTGTTACCCTGGGCCAAGCTGTGGGCTCATCTCCAGCAGGGTCGCATGGGGCCAGTGAAGGGGTGATCACTTTCTGTGGGAGCTTGCAGACCACACTGGGTTTGTCTGCACACCTGTACACACGCTGGGGTTCCCATCCCCACCTCAACTTCGTGAGCTCTTGAAAGATCCAGTTTGAGTTGGGTGGCTGGGTGTGCAGAAACCCTGTCAAGACTGGGACACGTGAGCCCATTTTCTACTGCCTATGTGAGCTCTGCTGCGTAAACTTGAGGATGGGGAGAGACCCGGTCCATAGGAGCCACGTTCAGCCCTTCCCACCTTTTGATCCTCCTTGGACACCCCTACCCCCAATTCATGGTGTTCCCTTGAACTATGCCTTCCATGGGTATGTCCCAGGATTATGTCCAATTCCTCTTTCTCTACCGCCCATTGTGGAATGTGTACAGTAGTGACACCGTAATGTCAACCAACTTTATAACCAGAAGCAAATCCCATGCAACTCTAACCCTAACAACCCTAACCCTAACCCTAACCCCAACAACCCTAACCCTAACCCTAACCCTAAGTTTAGGGTTACCATGGGCAGACCACCAGGGGCATACCTCACCATGGATGGGGACAAAACAGGGGCCTCAACCCTGGGGTTGGGACCCACTGAATCAGTTGGGGGAGCTCCATGGTCCCACCACATGGACTCCTCAGTCAGTACATTCCATCTACCCACTGGCCTGGTCATCCCACCAAGCAGAAAACCCGGTCGGTGGCCCTGCCACACCCAAAACCTTGGAAGGTATTCATGAGAATCTTAGAAAAGGTAGCAAGAGGAACCAGTATCCACTGGGCACTTAGCATATGTAGTTGCTGTGCACAGCGGGTGACAGTCATTAGCTCACTGAGTCCTTGCCCAACCCTGGGAGGCAGGTGCCACTTGGTGGCTGAGTGAACTCAGGCAGGTTGAGACTTTGTAACTGCTCAGCCACTCAGGATAGGGAGGCAAGCCTGGATTGGCACCCACGTCTGTCTGACCCCACGCAGGGCTGCTAACAAGGATTGCTTCATCAGACCTGGCAGGGCAGCTTCATGCCAACACCAGCCACACAGGGTGGGACGCAAGCTTGTCATTCTGGGCAGCATCAGGCTGGGTAAGGGCACAGTTCCGGGATCAGGCAGATTGGGTTCAGATCCTGGGCCCGACACCTAACAACAGCCGTGTGGCCCTGTGCCAGTTACTAAACTGCTTTCTGCCTCAGTTTCCTCCACTGTCAAAGATACCGCCAGGGCTCACCGCCTAAGGTCACCATGAAGATTCCTTTACTCAGGCAATACATATTCAGCAAGTGCCCAATATGTTCTAGAAGGATCCCTGCCTTGGCCTGGTGGTGGGAGGTGAACAACATGCATATTAAGTAAGTGGACGATGAGATGGGTTAAAAGGGAGAGCAGAAGAGGGCAGAACTAGGATTCCGAATGCTGGAGGCAGGGCAGGGTCATGTGTGTGTGTGTGTGTGCGCACGCACACGCGGGCGTGTGCTTGTCCTGTTCACTGGGGATGGAGCAGCCATGTCCCAGAATCAAAGCAGGGAGGTCAGGCCACAGGGAGAAGGAGAGAGCCAGCCCAGTGGGTCAAGCAGACATCCGTGGAAAGAGTGGCCCAGCCAGAGGGAACAGCCAGTGCAAAGCCTGAAGGAGCATGCCCCGGGTGTTTGAGGTCAGCGTGGCTGGAGCAGAGAGCGTGAGAGCATCCCATGAAATAAGCAAACCAGGGAACATCAGGGGTCTTTGTAAGGACCTTGGCTTTACTCTGAGTGGAACTGAGGCGACGAGCCTAGGTGAAGTGCTGCGTGCAGCGCCTGGCACAAGGAGTGCTGGTAAATATTAGTTACTCTTTATTAATCCTTTTCAGTAATTCTCTTTTGTGTAAAGGGACTGGGTGAGATGCCAGTGCAGCCTTGCAGAGAAGTTCCCCTCTTGCTCCTGGAAGCAAATCGACCAATTAGAGGCTTGTCCCATTGTGTGGGAGTTTATTTTCCTGTTCTTGGAATAGAGAGTGGCTTCTTGGTTCAGCTTCCCACTGACAACAAGTGGATTTAATAAAGTGAGGGCTCTCCGCACTGGGCAGGAGAGGTGGGTGAGCAAGGAGGAGGAGGGAAGGGGGAAGGAGAGGAGGAGAAGAAGGAAGGAGATGAGGAGAAGGGAGGAGAGGAGAAAGAGGGAAGAAAGAGGCAGAGGAAGAGAAAGAGGAAGAGAGGAGACAGGAGGAGAGAGGAGGAGGAAGATGAGGGAGGAGGAGGAAAATGAGGGAGGAGGAGAGGGAAGGAGGAGTGGGGAAGGGAGAAGAGGAAACGCCATAGAAGAGCTGAGATGTCACGCAGCCCCCTCAGCTTGGGGATCCCCACATGGCTCCCTCCCTGTGGGGCTCTGCATGAGTTTCAAAGAGGTGGTTATTTTGGGTGGCAGCGTGATTGGGAGCTTGGAAAGCAGGAAATTGAGTGGTGATTAAGGTTGTAATAAGTTGACAACACCAAATATCATTACTCTGAGAACATGCAAATGATCACGTCTTTACTCGGGATTTGCCATGCAAATACCAATTAACTGGGAATGTATTTGCCTTGATATGGGGAGGCTGGTTCTCCTTCCAATGCCCCCCTACTGTCCCCACAAGAGAGTAAACAAACAGAAGGGGCATCGTGGCAGCATGGAGGAAGGGGGCCACAGTGAATGTCACCAGCAGAGGAGAATGAAGAGCCAGGGGCCCCACCTAGCCAGGGTCGGGTGACTGCTGGCCTTATGGAAGGCTGCCAGAAACTCTGGCCTAGAAGTCCCCTGTCCCAGGCTCTGCCTTCCACGCTGGTCTCTGGGGCTGATAGGAGCCCCTGGAGCTTCTTGTCTCTGTCCCAGGCCATGTCCCTGCTGCATGCCAACCTGTGTGGCTTTTGTAGCCGAGCTCACTTTCTGCAGCTTGGAGGCACGTAGCTGATGATGCCCCATGGAGGAGGAATCTGGAATGAGACACGTGGCAGTTCTGAGCCATGGCCTAAGGGTCCTCACACTACTATGTCTTGGGGACCCTCTGAAAGGTCCTGGACAAATGGCAGGGAGGCCGTGGACAGGAGCCCCGACATTTCCTTCTCCTGGCCAGAGATTTGCCACTGCTTCTGCTCCCCACAAACCTTGCACAAAGAAGCACCATTGCCTATACTGCGATGGATATGGCATGCTGCCTGCCCTCAGGAGCTTCCAGTCTCATTTGTTAAGCAGAAGTAACAGTGGCCGGGGACAGCAGATGATAGGTGTGAGCTGAGTGGTGCCCACAGGAATGGCCTAGGCTGCTGGAGGGATGAACTTGCTTTTTGCTCTGGTTGCATAAGGTGGTACAAGAGTTTGGCTGAGCCCTGAGTGGGGAGTGAGAAAAAGGGAGAGGTGGAGGGAGGGGGCTCTCAGTGGGAAGAATGGCAAAGGCAAGATTTGGAGGTTAGGGAATTCATGCTGTGCTCTAGGGCCAATGAGTCCCACATCCATTCATCCTATCCAACCACCCAGCTATCCAGTCCTAATCTACCCAAACCAACACACCAACCCCTTTACCCAACCACCTTCCCACATACCACCCAACCCACCCATCCAAGCCACCAGCCTAACCCAACCCCACATCTGTCATCAACCCACCAGCTCACCTCACCAGCATGAGCCAGCTCTTCCACCCACCACCCAACCCACCAGCCCAGGGGAAGAGCATGAACTCCGGGGTAGATGGCTGGGGTTCAATTCTTGACTCTGTCACTTTCTGCTGTGGAGTCTTAGGCAACTTTCTTAACATTTCTGTGTCTCAGAGTTGTTGTCTTTGAAATGAGGGTGATGATCATATGTGAGTTATTGTAAGGAGCTGATGGCATCTTGGGCCAACGCACAGCATCCCAGGCACAGCATCTGGGAGGTAGCGAGTACTCACTCTACAGTCGCACTTGCTGTGTAGCTTGATGTGATTTATTTCAAAGCTGGTGGGGCCCATTAGGGAGGGGAGCACTGGGGCTGAAGCTGAGCTGGAGAAAGTTAAGCCATAGGGAACTTTAAAAAGGTTAAGCAGAAGGATCAGATGCCTGGGCTGGGGGCCCACCAGGCCATTTGTCTGGGCCCAAATCTGGTAGCGGGGAGATGGATACCTGGAGGCTCTCCCATCATCCCACCCCTCCTGGTGGGCCTCCTTGGGAAGCTGGGCATCCGGCGTTTGTCAGCCAGGAACTCATTCTCATATCTAAACCTCTCCCTTGTATCTAAACATTTTGCTGATGGGCACAGCCCCAGCCAACCAGCCTGGGCAGGGCAGCGGGGAGCAGCCCCGCTCAAGTCTGTAGATCTTTCTTCCCTCTCTGAGACCCCAGCTGGCCCAACCCTCTTCCACCCCATATCCCATCAGGCTCCTGCAGAAGGAAAGGAAGGTTTCCTGCAGCCCATATCCAGCCAGAAGCCTCCAGTGGCTCCCATCTAGCTGCCTCAAGAAATGCTTTTGATCATCTAAATCCAGGTTGTATTAATTCAACAAATCCCTTAAATTCCCAGAGATTTTCTCTGATGTCTAAAGGAGGTCCCTTCCCCGGCTCCTTGGGCGTCTTCCTCTGAGGCTTCCCAGCATCCTCCTGGCTCTGCAGCCACTCAGGCCAAGGAAGGTCGGTGACTGGAGAGAAGCTTCCCTGGGGTAGGAACCAGGCAGCCATGGCTGCCCGGTTTGGGGGTTATAGTGCCCACCCCACAGCTCTTGGACGGGTGGGGGCTGACCCTGTGGGTTATTAGCCCCAGGCTGCCTGGCTGGCAGAGCTATTACAAGGCACAGTGCAATTTCATGCCCTGTTTCCTCCTTCCTTGGTCTGCAGTTTCTGCTCTATTTGTCCAAAATGAACAGAGATGAAGTGGAATGAATTACAGTCTCTCCTTCTCCTCTCTGCTGTCTTCCTTCCCTTCCTCTCTCTGCCTCCTTGGTACTCCCAGCCAGTCCCTCGGCCCCCGCTCCCTCTCCTCTGCTCAATCTTCTTTTCCTCATGCTCCCTCCCTCCTGGATCGGTTAAAATCCGTGACTCTGCCCCGCACTCTCCCACTCACTCATGGAACCACTCAGCAAACATTCACTGAGCCACACATCAGGGTCCCTGCCATCCCCTTTGCCATCCCACCTGCCTGGGCAGAGGGCTGCCTGGGCCCACGTCAGGCCATGAGGGTGCTGATGTCTCCAGGAGCCCCCATATGCCCCACTGACTCCCCTGGAAGGTGGGGGTGACACTCTCTCTAGCTCTGAGTGCCGCATCCCTATGTCAACTCTGATAGTCATGGCTGGACAGCTGGCCCTAGGGTACCCTAGGTATGCCAGGGTCACTGCCAGCCAAATCCTGGCCTCCAATGCTAACCACCAGTCAGGGGCTAGCGCTGGCCCCCAACCACAGCCTCTCAAGCCCTTGGAGTAGATACATCTGGGGGTTGGCCCAGCCCAGCCCGTCCTCTCTGCGAACTGTGCCGTCACCTGAGTGCTAAGTCCCTCAGGAGGGTGTGCTTTGCCCGGCCTCGGAGGTGAGCCAGATCAGGAGTGTGTGTACCAGTCCAGGCAGGCCCCACAGCCTCCTTACAGAGGTGGGCAGTCAGGCCCCGGGAGGTTCTGCTCTGTCTCTGAAGGGCAGACTGGGGTGAACTGGGGTGCAGTGCAAAGCTGAGACTTTGGTGACCTCATCTGACTCTCAGCTTGGGACAAAGGGCAGGCTAGTGGGTGGAGAGAAGGCACAAAACCGAGTGGGCAAGGGGTCAGAGGAGAGGGATGCTCTGCGAGCTGAGGGGCAGGAGAGCACAAGACAGAGAGGGAGGGAGACAGAGAGTCAGAGAGACAGACAGAGACAGAGAGTCAGAGACAGAGAGAGAGTCAAAGAGTCAGAGATAGAGAGTCAGAGAGACAGAGACAGAGAGACAGAGAGTCAGAGACAGAGAGAGAGTCAGAGACAGAGAGACAGAGAGTCAGAGATAGACACGGAGTCAGAGAGACAGAGAGTCAGAGAGACAGAGACAGAGAGTCAGGGGGACAGAGATAAGAGACAGAGGGTCAGAGAGACAGAGTCAGAGATAGAGACAGACAGAGAGACAGAGACAGAGAGACAGAGAGTCAGAGACAGAGAGACAGAGTCAGAGAGAGACAGAGAGACAGAGAGTCAGAGAGGCAGAGACAGAGAGAGACATAGAGACTGACAGACAGAAGGAGCATGAGGGCCCAGTGACGGGGACCGGGAGAGACAGGCTGACAGCACAGAGAGATTCACATAAAAGGCAGAACTACAGAACTGGGGACAAGGGGTGGGTGGGTTCGTCCTGCTGTTCTGCCGTTCAGCCCCCACCCCCTACCTCCACTCCTGCCCTTGGTCCCATGAGGCACCTTTAAAACTGCCTAATAAATTCTCCTTTTGCACAGGTGGGCACAGGTGGGTTTCTGTCCCTGGCAACCACAGGTATCTTGCTGTGAACCTGATTCCTTTGAGCCTGTATGGGGCACGCAGCACAGCCCCTGCTCCTGGGACCCCTCCTGTCCTCTTGTCCCGAGCTCCTCTCTCCACCACCTCTCACACTCTCTCTGTCACCCCCACCCCAGCTCAGCCTCTCCTCCGCTACCCTGGTATTTCTTGGGTTCGCACGACGCCTTTATTCTTCTGACTTGAGCTAAGCAGATCCTGTCCGGCATGTGCTGAGCACCTGCACCATGCTGAATGCTGGGCCTGGGGTTTAATTCATTCCTTCCAGCACCTCTGTGATGCTGGCACCATTTCTGTCACTTACAGATTAGGAAAACAGGCTCAGAAAAGTTAACTTGCCTGAGCTCATACAGCTGGCAAAAGGAGAAGCAGAGATTTGCTTCCTGTTCTCACTCTAACTCCAGAGCTTTTCTCTGCTGCACTCAAACCCCTTCCATAGATGGCACATTGTGTTGGACCCCACAGAGCCCCTTTCTTAGGAGAGTGTTGGGTGACCTTCCATCTGAGTGGCCTCAGCCCTGGGTGAAGTGGTCAAGCAGATGCATTTGTCCAGATGAGCAGTTTAGGCAGCCACAGGACCTTTCCAGGGTCACCCAACAGCTGCCCCCATCCAAGGGCCATGGCTCTCACACTTCATGGAGGTAGGGAGGCTTTGGCATGATGGCAGTGGTGGTAGCAAGTTAGGGGCAGAATAACCCTTGAAAATGCCCGCAAGACTCAAGACTCCTCACCCCGCCCCTCTCTCCAGGTGGCCTCTGGTGGGGAGGCTCCATTTCTGGAGCCTTTTTGGTGTTGGCCAAGATCCATGCCAAGGAGGTTAGTAATGGGCAGGACAGGGGAATATAGGTGCCACTCCTCCCCCAGGCATGCCCCTTCTCCTAGATCAAGAGCTAGTGTCCTTCTGGGGTTCCTGGGTCCTAGTTCTTAGCTCTGCAGTTCCAACCTTCTTTATTTCTAATCTTTCCAAATTCCGAACCAGGAGCTGCACCTTCCACTGCCTTTGGGGCCCAGACAGCTGCAGCAAATGGGCAAAGTGGGCTGGGTGTGGTACAATAGGGAGTGGTGAGGACTGTGGTAAGCTGGAGGTGGATGCCTGTCTCCAGGGGATAGCTGCTACTCAGGACAGCCCACTGATACCCTGTGGGACTGTGGCCCAGCATGGCTTCAGGTCCCTGTTGTTCAAGAGAAATTATAAATCTAGGTTTATACACATCTATTTTTTGTTGTTTTTTAAATGGCTCGCAGGCCAACTTTTTAATTTTTATTTATTTATTATTTATTTATTTATTTATTTTGGCGAAGTTTTGTTCTTGTAGCCTAGGCTGGAGTGCAAAGGTGTGATCTTGGCTCACTGCAATCTCCACCTCCCGGATTCAAGTGATTCTCCTGCCTCAGCCTCCCGAGTAGCCGGGATTACAGGCGCCCACCACAACATCTGGCTAATTTTTGTATTTTTAGTAGAGATGGGGTTTCACCACGTTGGCCAGGCTGGTCTCGAACTCCTGGCCTCAAGTGATCCGCCTGCCTCAGCCTCCCAAAGTGCTGGGATTGCAGACATGAGCCACTACGCCCTGCCAGACCAATATTTCAAAACAGGTATGTGGGCCAGGTTGGGGCCACAGGCTGCCCATTTGTAATCATTGTTCTAAATGCCCCGAGTTCTAAGTGCTCCAGAACTCTCCGGAATGCTAAACTCTCCTGCTGCACATCACCATTGAGGATGGATGGATCCCATTTGCTGGGCTAAAACTGTTTCCAAACCACTGCCTTCGACAGAAGGGGTAGTAATTACACTCTGACATTAATATTTAAACTACAAACGAGTTAGCGTGCTAATACTGGCCCCGAAGGCTTCGGACTCGGTTGGGTTTTATCCTTGTGAGACCTAATTATTGTCAGCAATGAATCCTGTAAGACTGCAGGATTAAGGCCAGGGAGGAGGAGGTAGGCAGATCCCTGGGGCCAGTGGCATATGGGGCCTGGACACAGGGCGGCCTGAGGGCTGGGGGCCACGCCCCCTGGTCAACTTGGGCCATCTGAGAGGCCACAGAGACAGCCAATGGTTTGCTGTGCCTCCCAACCGTCCCCAGAATTAGGGATTTTGCTCCTAAGACGTGCCCCATGAGGACTGAGGCATCCATGCCTCATCGGCAGGAAATTCACAACAGTCTCTGATCTTTGATCCCTTGACCCAACCTCATGAGAGATCCTCCCAATTCAGGAGAGATCTCAAGAGGGAAATTGGCAGTCTGTGCTTCTGTGCTTGTCCTGGAAAACAAAAAGGGTTGTGTTGGGGTTGTGGGGTGGAGCAAAAAGGGCTGGTGTGTGGTGTGCAGAGGGGACTGAAGCGGGCTTCTCAGAGACTAGTTCTAGAAGCTTCCCCGGCTTCTGCTGGATTACGTAATCGGTGGATTACGTTGGACTGACGAGGCTTCTGCCTTGCTCACTGTGATTGTGCCCGGCCCCACAGCTGAGGCTCACAGCTGTGTGGCTGTGATAAGCAAGGAGACCCACGAAAAACCATCCAGAAACTTCCATCCCCATCTGCAGTTGGGTTTGGCCTTGAGAAAGTGGTCTGGGTGGGGGGAAGGAAAAACTAAATAACCCTAGAAGCAGAATTCAGGTTTCTGGTTTTCGCTCCCTTGTAGAAAAGGGGCTGGGAGCTGAGGTTTAGAGCCAGGGAGGCCTGGGTTCAAATCCCACCTCTGCCCTTTATCACCCGTGTGGCCTTGGTGAGTCAGCCTTGCCAGACGTCGTTTCTTCCTCTGTAAAAGGGGATCATTTCGGGGGTGCAGGGCTTGAGGGAGGCTGAAGCGAGAACATGTAAATATAGAGTCTGGCACACCGCGAGAGCTCGGCAGGTGGTGGCTGCTAAGTTTATTTCATTGCCAGTTGGCTCTCCGAGGGGCTCACAGTCTGCCGAGGACATCTGCCTGGGAGCAGAGCAGGTGGACGGGGCCCATCCCCATCACAGCACAGAGCCCTATCAGCCACCCTGTCCCAGGTCTCAACCCACAATGTCCTGACCGTCTCCGCAGGACTCTCCCTCCCTAGGCCTTACTTCCAGACCTGCAATGCCCGCCGCTCCCGCCTTGCCTTGGAGAATGGCAGGCTGTGAATTTTCTCAGTTTATCTCAGGGAAAGAAAGGCCCAAGATAAATACCCTTGGACGAATCCGCTAGAGGAACGAATGAGGCCATAACTCAGCCAGGGCCTCCGTGGCAGATGGAGGATCCCTGGGCTGCAGGCCTGCGGTGTTGGGGTGGCTGGGGGGCTGAGAAACCTGAGGGCTAACGGGTGAGGGGCCTGAGCCTCTTCCCAGCCTGGTCTTCTAGCTTGGGGACAAGAGTCAGAGAGCTTTCAAGGATCCATGTCACTGAGGACAGCAGATGCGGTGTCACCTGCTTGCTCCCCTCAAACCCAGGGAGAAGCTGGGGGAAGCGAAGCCTGGCTCAGCTCCTTAGTCCCTCTGCCCTCTCCCCAAAGCTGTTACCTGCCCCCAAAGCACCACGGGGGAGGTGTGCGTCCGCAGCAACCTCATTGGAGGGTGATTCGATGTACCTCTTGGGACTAAAAAGGCACACACTCCCTTTGATCCAGCACGTCCTCTCCAAGAAGCCCGCCCTGCAGAGACCCTCACCCGTGCTCAGAGAGCCACGTGCCTGAGCATAGCAGCTCTCACAAGAGCAGGGGGACTGGAGATGACATGATGCCCGTGGACAGGGACTGTCACGCCGCAGGGAAATGAGGTTGAAGGAGTGAGGCGGCCTCACTTGTGCAGGAGGGAAGAATCACCCTGATCCTCTGCGACGGGAAAGAGACAAGGGGGACTGAAGGGCACACGGGGACCCGGGCAGAGCGGAGGCAGTATTGCAGAAGGACAGATACTGTCTGATTCCATTCTTATGAGGTCCCTAGAGGAGTCAAGTTCACAGAGACAGACAGAGACAGTGGGTGCCAGGGGCTGGGAGAGAGAATAGAGAGTGAGTGTTCAATGGGGAGAGGGTTTCAGTTTGGAAAGATGAGAAAATTCTGGTGGTGGATGACAGCGAAGGTTGCCCGATGGTGTGAATGTTCTCAATGCCACTGAACTGTATGCTTAAAAATGGTTAAAGCAGTAAATTTTATGTTACATCTAATTTACCACAGTAAAAAGAAGAAGGAGACAGGGACAGGGTTCGCGGGAAGATCACTTATCTGCTTTCTTTTACACTGCTTGAGTTTTAAAAAATCATATACATCTATTACAAAGGGCATAGTTACATCACGGAGACCCCTCTTCTGCCCCCACACACCTCACCCAGGTTTGGGGTGCTGGAAGATGCAGACAGGTCAGTGTTCCAGGGGTGGGTTTGGCATGGCGCTGCTGTTTCCGGGTCTCAAGACATTTGCTGTGTGAGTCGAGGGAGAGCTACGGTGTCTCTGGTCTTCTCTGGGTTTCAGTCAACATCCCATCCATGCAGAGAGGAGGCTGTATCCAGTCCTGCCCTCACTGGCCTCTGGCTTTCAGACCTCAGTTAGGGGCCTCCAGGGCACAGCTGAGCAGGCCAAGTATCTAAGGACAGCAGCTTGGCTGGGCACAGTACCCTCAGCAGGGCTGGGTGAGCTACCTCTGCATTTCAGGTGGGCAGCAGCCCTCGGGCGGCTGCTTTAATGAGGAGCGGGGACAGCCAGAGCCATCTGG
The DNA here is from genome assembly GCF_000001405.40 of Homo sapiens. NCBI lineage: Eukaryota > Metazoa > Chordata > Mammalia > Primates > Hominidae > Homo > Homo sapiens. The sequence continues at coordinate 11,450,782 of NC_000001.11, forward strand.
TGCAGCCTCTGCCAGTGCCTGCTCCCGGCAAGCTGGCCGCTCCTGCCCTCTGAGCACGCCCCAGCTCCTGCCACCCTCACCTGCCCCCATCCCCTACATCAGAGGCTGTGCTGGAAGTGAGTCTCTCTGCTTTCCAAAGTGGCAACTTTCACTGTTAGCCTCGCGGGGGCTCCTCAGGGCTGGTCAAGGCTATTACCAGCATATGTGGCACCTTTGAGCAAAGTAGGAGCAGGTGAATTCCATGGACCTGGTGTTGCGGGGGGACGAGTTTCCTCCATTGTATAGATGGGGTGACTGGAGCCCTGGGAGTGAAGCCATTTGTCCTATGTGGCCCAGCTCTGGAGCAATGATGAGCAGAGACTGGGCTCTGCACCCTCCCAGCCAGGACAAGCCTCTGCTGGACAGTGACTGAGTGGGTAGAGCAAAGAGGCTAGGGGACCAGGGCAGACCATGGCACTGTCCCAGGAGAGTCCGAGAGCCTGGGCTGGGGCTGGGGCTGGGGAAGCGGGAGGGTGGTGTAGGGGAGGAAAGATCTAAAAGACACGGCCAGGCACAGTGGCTCACGCCTATAATCCCAGTACTTTGGGAGGCTGAGGCGGGCGGATCACCAGAGGTCAGGAGTTCGAGACCAGCCTGGCCAACATGGTGAAACCCCATCTGTACTAAAAATACAAAAATTAGCCAGATGTGGTGGCGGGTGCCTGTAATCCCAGCTACTCAGGAGGCTGAGGCAGGAGGATCGCTTGAACCTGGGAGATGAGGTTGCAGTGAGCTGAGATCATGCCACTGCACTCCAGTCTGGACAAAAGAGCGAGACTCCATCTCAAAATAATAAAATAAATACAAATAAAACAACAAAAAAAAGACTCATCACCAGGTGAGAGAAGAAGGCCGGGAGTTGTAGGTGCTGTGAGAAGGGCCCCCCTAGGTGATGGGGAGCCAGCTCTGGAGCCAGGTGGGCCTGGGTGCAAATCCCCAGCTCTGCCTCACAGGGAGGCTCTTCTCTGAGCCTCAATTTCCTTCTCTGCAAACTGGCAGCAAAGTCACATCTACCAGTTCAGCGGTGTGAGAATGAAAGGACATGATTGTCCAAAACACCTGGCACCGTGCCTGTTCACCCTTCGGCCTGTGCGTGCTTGGGGAGGGGAGCTGTTATTACTACTGCTGTTGTTAACCTTGACAATGGGTGTTTCCATCTTGAACACCTGGAAGATTGTTTTTGGGAGGCGCATTTGGAGAAAAAGGGAGCACAGAAGCGAAGAGTTGGCTGTACTGGGGCTGGGGCTGGGCAGGGGTAACTGTAGAGCAGAAGCAGGCTGGGAGGAGGATGATGAATTTGGCTCTGGACTCAAGAGCAGGAGCTAAAAAAATGGGACACAGGAACCCCACCCTCCTGGAGTGCCCACCGTTGGTCTTCCCAGCTGCCCCCCTCCCCCAACCCTGCCATCACCTCGCCCCGATTTGCTCCCTTCCTTCCTGGGACTCATTCATTCCTAGGGCACCTGCTCAGCATTCCCTGGGAAGGGTTTAAATTGGAGCAAGAATTAATTGCAAGGGAGAAATGCTGCCCCATGGGCTCAGGGAGGAGCTGGCTTCGGGACAAGCTGATGGCTGAGTGTGGACACTGTGCTTGGGATTCACCAAGCACCTGGCTGCCTTTCACCTCCACATGTTCCAACTCAATTGCAACAGAGAGAAAATCGAGGCCCAGAAAGACAGGGGACCTGGCTCGACGGGGAATGAAGAACCACAGTCAGCCCAAGCCCCATGAGCAAAGCAAGTGCATCGTGGGCTGACGGAGGAGAAGCGAGCCCTATCCAGGTGGCTCAAACCGTGAGTCCTGAGCACCTCTTGTCATTTCTCTGCAACGATGAGATTTTCAGTGATTGGGACATGTGTCTTGGGTGCTGCTGACCAAATCCTCATGAAAAAGGGAAGGGTTACACGGTGAACTCCACTAACATCTCAGACTCTGTATTGAATGAACTCATGAATTAAACTGAATCCCAGAAAATGGTTGAGGGCTCGGGTGCAAAATGTCACACTGGTAGGTGTGACATTGCCTGCAAATCTGAGCATAGCTGACGCTTGCTGAGCGCTTGCTGCGTGCCTGGCCCCTGCGGGACTTGATGCGGAGGAATTATCCTCCCTGAACATGAAGGCATCACAGGCTCAGGCAAGCAATGGGCAAGCCTGAGTTCCAGTCTCCGCTCTGTCACCTGTAGCAAGGCCCAGGACAGGTCATTCTGCAGGGAGTTGGTGGCCTCATCATCACCAGCCTCATTTCCAGCCAGGGAAACTGAGGCTCTGAGGAGCTGATGGCTTGTCCAAAGGGCCACATCAGTGGGAAAGCTGGAACTTGAACCCTGGTTCATCTGACTCCAGAGGCTGAAGACAGCTGGTGATGTCTTTGGCAGAATACAAAGGGTAGGGTGGTCCCTGAGCCAGAGCCAAATTCATCACTGTATCCCCAACCTGCCCCTGCTCCACCGTCGCCTCTGCCCCAGCCCAGCCCCCAGCCAGCCTCTGTACTTCCCCTGATGTGGAACAAGCTTTGATCTGGGAGACTGCCAGTCACCCCAGGCTCCAGTTCAGGCTGCAACCATGACATTGTGCAAGCTGCTCCCCTTTTATGGCCTCAGTCTTCTCATCTGGGAAGTGGGGATCTGCCCTCTACTCAAGTGGGATGATAGCAGTGAGCACTATGGAAGGAAAATGACTGAAAGACACCACCAGCCACTGTCAATGGCTGAGAGACTCAAAGCCAAGGCTGTGGGTGATGGGAGGGGAGAGGGACCCATGGATATTCCTCCGCCTTACAAGTAGCTCTCAGCTCTGCACACAAGGAGGGGAGCTGGGATGCAGACCATGCCTGGACAGCCCATCATTTCAGCTGAGCCTTAGGATGCATTCTGCTGTCATTTTTAACACCGGAGTTACTCCAAATGCTACAGGCTCAGGAGCCTGCCTTCCATGAACCAGTCATGGGAGAAATTGGAACAGGAACAGGCTAGGGAGGTCAATGCAGGCCCACCTGGTGTACCGGGGAGGGGCTCAGTGGACCTAAAGGGAGGAATATGGGGCTCAGCTCCCGTTCGGCCTCAAATTTCACTGGGCAAGTCCCTTCCCCTCTCTGCTGTCCTGGGTCTATGCCAAGGGCTCTCTCTGTCTGCTCTGTCCAGCCTGGGCACGTACCCTGACCGAGCCTGCGTATAGCAGGCTCCATGCCGCCTAGCTCACGGCTGCAACCCCTATACCTGGTGCTCCGTAAAGTCCCATCCTCTCTTTGCCTCTTGTCTTCCCCCTCTCCTCCCCACTTCCCCGTCCCATCACGCGCTTCCCACCTGGCCCAGGGCTCATCTGCACCCTCGTGTGGTCCCAGCAGAGAAGACGAGGCACCGTGCTTCTCAGGACTCCATCCTCGGCAGGCTGAGCCGTGCAGCTGGATGGTGACAGCAGGAGGACCAGACGACCTTACCCAGAGCCTCGCAGGCTGCAGAGCTTTAATTTATTTAATCAATTCTGGTCCCCAGGCTGGGGAAGGAAAACGGCAGGATATTAAATCTGTCGCTCTCACCAATCTGTCATAGGGTTGTCAGCGCACATTGATTCTCCTCCTCCCGCCTTTATTAACTATCTCCTCCGGGAGCTGCCGGCTCCGCCAGTCCCAGCCTGGACCCTGCCCTCGAGCAGGAAGCAGATTGCAGGTGGAAAGAAGAGGAGGGGAGTTGGGGGTGGGGCATGAAGCCCTTATGAGGGACAATTATAAGAAGAAAACGTTTAGAGTTGGGAGGCAGGGACCCTGAAGAGCATTTGTAATCCAAACTCTTTAGTTTCCAGATGGGCAAACTGAGTCCAGAGAGCAGAGGGGATGCCTCAGTAGCACAGCCTGTTGGGAACAAGGTTGAAACTAGACTCCAAGACTCCTGATGCCCAGGCCAGTTATTTTTATCCATGTAATCAACATGTTTTCCTTGAGTGACTATTTAGAGGCGATAGTGGTGATTGTCCATCGTCTTACCATTGCTCTAACAATGACCACAAGCTTGGTGTTTTAAAACAACACACATTTACTACCCTACAGTTCTGGGGGTGAGAAGTGTGAAATGGGTCTCACTCCAACTGAAGTCAAGGTGTGAGCAGGGCCGTGTTCCTTCCTGCAGGCTCCAGGGGACAATTGATCTCTGTGCCTTTCCCAGTCTCTAGAGGCTGCCACATTCTTCAGCCACAGTCCCCTTCCATGTTCAAAGCCAGCAACACCAGTCGGGTTGCTCACACCACATCATTCTGACATGGACTCTCCTGCCTCCCTCTTCCACTTACATTCCCCTTGTGATGACACTAGGCCACCCAGATAATCTCTCCATTTCAAGGCCGGTCACTGGATCAGCAACCTTCATTCCATCCGCAACCTGGATCCCCCCCTTCCCACGCAAGGCGCCATATTCACAGGTTCTGGAGGTTTGAACATGGACGTCTTTGGGGGGCCGTTATTCTGCTGGCCCCGGGAGCATTCCCATGGATCATGCACGGGAGCAGGCATCTCACTTCCCACTCACAACAACTCAAGGAAATCAGTACTAGCTTACTCCATTATATAGAGGGGGAAACTGAGGCCCAGGGAGGTCTAGGCTTGCTGAAGCCAGTGGTGGAGCTTGGAGTCAGACTCAGGCCCAGTTCAGCTCAGAGACCAAGCTCCTCTGCTCGGCTGCACCGGGCGGTGGTGGGGCAGGGGTGTCCCCATGTGCAGCCATCGGGGAGGGGCAGCCCGAATCACCTGCTGTGGATCCAGGGAAGACGGATGACAGCTTGCAAGAGGTCTGTCCCCTGCCTCGCCCCAAGGAGCAAGGTGAAGGAGCCATGCTTTTATAAAGGGGGGAAATTGGACAGCCCGCAGAGGTGGGGAGATACTATCTGCTCTAAATAGTTGTGCACCCCACCCCGCCACCCTCTCCCTAGCCCATTTGCCCTCATACGATTTATTTGCTCATAGAATTGAAGGCCTTCTTTTCTGGCACCATTTTCTGTTCTGCTTAGACAAATATTTAGCAGCCAGGCCTGACCTTAATTTCCTTAAATATCAGGGGCCCTGGAAGCTGAAGAGCCTGCCCAGTGGGTGAGGACACGGTGCACCTGGGGTGCCGAGGATGGCTGGGACGCTGCTACCCTTCCCTTGGTGAGGCCTACCTCTCCCCAGGACCTACCAAGTAGCCCTGCAAACTGTCAGGTCTCCCCACTGTTGAGGGTGTAACAAGAGGTAGGGTGCAGATGGCAGGATTCCAGTGACTCAGTGCCCAACGGAGCTGCATGCTGGCCAGGGCCTCTCTGCTGGGGGTGATGGGCTGAGCAGTGATGGAGCCTCCCCCCGTCTCCCAGGGCTCCCTCCCTTGTAGGGTGTGGACTGGCCTGCATATGGAGGGAAGGCAGAGGCAGGAGTGGCGGGGATGCCGGTCATGTGGGGGCTGCCGGGGCTGCTGACTCTGTCATTGGCTCTGTCTCCCACGTGGTCATTCGTGAACTCATTTCATTCATTGCTTCATTGAGAAACATTCAGTCTCGTGCTAGCCTAGGGATCGGAAATAAAGTCCACAGCTGCCTTGCAGGAGCTGTGTCCTGGAAATTGGCCAGCGAGAGGAGGGGCATAGAGTCTTGGGCAAAGGCTGGGGTAGAGGAGATAGAGATCGGGACTGTCCTCATAAAAGAGTGACCAAGATGAGTTTTGGAGCATGAGTGAAACAAGCTCCCTGCAAAAGACTGGCTATCTGGAGGAAGCAGGACAGGCCATCCTAGGGGTGCTGCTGGGAAGAGGAATGGTTGGTGTCTTCAGGAGGCAGGGACCCTTGGGTTCTATTCTCAGATCCTGCCTCTGAAGTCAGCTCCAAAGTTCTTGGCTCTCCTATCTGTCCCTTGCCCCTGCCTGTCCCTGCATTTTGTCCTCCCTGTTTGTGTAAGTGGGGCCACTGCCATTTTCCCAGCCACTCAATTGGAAACCACCATTTTCTCAGACTAATACCAGCTACTGCCCTCAAGGCTTTAAGAACATAACCTCATCTCATTCGCACCGCAGCCTAGGAAGTAGGCACGTGAGTTATCTCCATTTTGTGGAAACGGAGGTCTAGAGACATCATCACTCCTCCAGGGTCACCCAGCCAGCATGTTGTAAAGCTGAGAGTTTGCAAAGAAGACAGGAACAGGGAGAAGACATTCCTGGCAGGGCACAGCCTGTGCGAAGTCCCAGAGGGGAGGGAGAGCATGGCACAGGACAGTGGGTGGTGGGTGCAGCTGGGTGTGCCAGCGAGAGTCGGGGGAGAGGTGTGGTTGTGATTGGATCTCAAGTGTTTTAGAAGTGGCAACATTTCCTGGGTGTTAGGTTCCAAACCACCTTCACATCTGTCATCTTATTTGATCCTGTTCAGTTGCTGTTGCAGTAAGCAGCTCAGAGAGGTGAAGAGGTACCCGAGGATGCATAGCTAGGAAGTGGCAGAGCTGGGCCCCAGCCCTGCTGTCATGTCCCCAGCACCTTTGGGGGATGGCCAAGACCACCAGGGCACTCTCTAGGGAACAGGGTTGGACCAGGACCCCTTTGATGGGGAAGGGATGGAAGAAGGGAGAGTGGGGGCCAGGGCTCCTGTCTTGTTTTGCCCCAAGATGCAGAGACTGGAGCCGCCACACTCAGCCCTCAACACTGTGACCTTGGACTTGTCCTCCCGTCCTCTGGGCCTCTGTCTCCCTGTCTGTAAAATGACAATCTCCTACTCACACTCCAAATCTCTGTTACGGCAGCATCTCCTCCAGGAAGACCCCCTAGCCTCTGCCTCCGCATCACCTCCTCCAGGAAGCCACCATGGCCTCTCCAACCGCATTGCATGCCTTTACTAAATGCTCTTAGTGCTCCGGACTGCCATACTCTATATCCCTCACCTCACAGCGTGACTCTGTGTAATATCTTCCTAGGTCTGGATCTCGATTTGGGACCTGCCCACATTTTAGCTACTTGTCTCTGAGCCTCAATTTTCTCATCAATAAAATGGGGAAGTAACAGTGCCTACCTCATATTTCTGTTATGACGATCCAATCAGAGAGCTCATGAATAGCAGAGTGCTGGGCAGCAAATAAGCCGTCAGGAAATGTTAATAGTTTCTTAAGAGTCAAATTGTGTCCCCCAAAAAGATATGCTGGTGTCCTAACTTCCCAGGACCTGAGAATGTGACCTTACTTAGAAACAGGGTCTTTGGGCCAGGATCGGTGGCTCACGCCTGTAATTCCAGCACTTTGGGAGGCCGAGACGGGTGGATCACTTAAGATCAGGGTTCAATACCAGCCTGGCCAACATGGTGAAACCCTGTCTCTACTAAAATTACAAAAATTAGCCAGGTGTGGTGGTGCATGTCTGTAATCCCAGCTACTACTTAGGAGGCTGAGGCAGGAGAATCACTTGAACCTGGGAGGCAGAGATCGCAGTGAGCCGAGATCGCGCCACTGCACTCCAGTCTCCATTGGATGAATCCAATGACTGTTGTCTTCATAAGAGAGAAATCTGGACACAGACGTAGACAGACGGAGAACAGCACATGATGATGTGACAGAGCTTGGGGCGACGCATCTACAAGCCGGGGACCCCACGATTGCCACCACCAGAAGCTGGAGACACTCCTGGAACGGAATTTCCCTCAGGGCCTCCAGAAGGAGGCAACCCTGTCCATACCTTGACTTTGGACTTGTAGCTTACAGAACAGTAATAGAATAAATTTCTGTTGTCTACTGTTTGTGTTAACTTGTTCCAGCAGCCCTAAGAAACGAATACACTGTTATTTCAACGCAGCAAAGCGAGCGCGGTTCTGGGTATACAGTGGTGCCCAATAAGCTCCACTCCCTCATTGCTGACCCTCTGCCTTCACTATCCTCCACCCCCACTCCCCTCCCCACTGGCTTCTCAGGCCAGGTCAGTCTGGGCTGGGGGGCACCTGCTGGGCCAGGCAGGCAGAGCAATTCCTGTGCCCTGGCTGAGGCCTGCGGCACCTCATTACCAGGCAGAATGTACCTCGATTTCACCCATGACTGGCACTGAAAAGCAGCCCTGGCTGGTGTCATGGATGGGCCAGAAGCTGCTCCGGGCGCCTCCTGCCCCCTCCTGGGCCTGGCAAATCTCTGAAGCACCCAGAAGCTGGCAGGCAGCACGCTCCACAGCTGAGCCACACAGATAAACCTCAACAGGCGCTGGGCTGTTCGGTCCTGGAGCAAACATCAGGAAATTAATAGGCCTTTCTGTGGGCAGCGCCTGGCCTGGCCCCCACTTCCCCCTCACTCCCGCCTGCCCCCCTCCCCTCATCCCAGGCTTTGTTTCCTTTTTCCCTTTGTTTCCTGTTTGCGATAAACACGATTCATGCCAGTCCAGCCGGGCCCCGTCACCAGCTCAAGGCCAGCCGTATTTCTCAGCAATGAGCCCCGAGCTGGCTGCAGTGAGGATCTGGGCCATGGACACAGGCGTGAGGAAGGGGCACTGTGGGCAGAGACAGGGCTGATGTGGGGGCGCCAGCAGGGAGCAGGGTGCCGGGTCTCTGTGAAGTGCCGCTGAGCACTGGGCACTGAGGGGAACTCAGAGAAGCCACCATGGCCAGACCCTCCCTATCTGGGCACAGCTGTGCCCACCCTTCCTACATGGACATAGCTTCCTGAGGCTGCTGTAACAAAGTGTCACACACCAGGCGGCTTAGAGCAACAGATATGTATTCTCTCGCAGGTCCGGAAGCCAAAAGTCCAAGCTCAAGGTGTCAGCAGGGCCATTCTGTCTCTGAAGGCCCAAGGGAAAGCTCCCTCTGGCCTCTTCCAGCTCCTGGTGGCAGCGGCCACCCTTGGCATTCCATGCCTGTGTGGCTCCAGCCTCCGCCTCTGTCTTCACACAGCCTTCTCTTCCCTGCGTCCCTCCCCTTCTTGTAAGGACTCCAGTCGTATTAGGACCTAATCTTAACCAATGTTAAGTAAGACCTAATCTTAACTAATGACATCTGCAACGATCCCATTTCCAAATAAAGGTCACATTCACAGGTACTGGGGGTCAGGAGTTCAATACATTTCTTTTTGGGGACAGAATGCAATGCATCCCAGCTGCTGAGGCTCCTGGTGGCATCTCTCATCACCGCCTGTCACACCTCAGCCATCCAGCCATCCTGGGCACCTGCAGCTTCCTAGTTGTGACTGGCTCTTCCTGGTCTCTGGGCCTCCGTCTGTGCTGTCATCCTCCCTGGATGCCTGACCCTACCATTGTCCAGTTGGTATACGACCCCTCATCTATCAAGATTAAGCTTTGCTGGCTGGGCGCGGTGGCTCATGCCTGTGATCCCAGTACTTTGTGAGGCTGAGGCGGTGGGTCACCTGAGGTCAGGAGTTAGAGACCAGTCTGGCCAACATGGCGAAACCCTATCTCTACTAAAAATACAAAAATTAGCCAGGCGTGGTGGCAGGTGCCTGTAATCCCAGCTACTCAGGTGGCTGAGGCATGAGAATTGCTTGAACCCGGGACGGGGAGGTTGCAGTGAGCCGAGATCACACCACTGCACTCCAGCCTGGGCAACAGAGCGAGATTCTATCTCAAAAAAAAGAAAAAAAAAGATTAAGCTTTGCCGTCTCTCCTGGGAGCCGTCACTGACCCCTGGCCTCCAGGCCCCTAAATGCCCGGTGCTCACCTGCACTGCAGCTCACACCTGCACAAGGGTCTTTACCCATTTCCCATGCCTCCCCAGGCCCTAAGCACACGAGCTCCAGGCAGGCAGGGTCCATGGCTCCCCTCTGCCTCCCCAGCATGGGATGCACATACTTGCCCAGTAAACGAATTCTCGGATGAAGAATAATTGAGCACTTCCTGTGTCCCCATGCCAGCCACTGTTCTAAACCCTTTACCTGCCTTAACTCATTTAATCCCAATATTAATCCTATCAAGTGGGTGCCATTGTTAATTCCATTTTACAGATGAACAAACCAAGCTCGGAGTGGTTAAGCAACTTGTTCAAGGTCTAGTGATTGATAAACTGTAGAGGCTGTGATTTGAATCTGGCAGCGTGAAGGATTCCTCAAAGGGCCACGCACTGAGGGGCAGAGAGAGCTTCCCTAGTGTCCCGGATCCATGCTCCAGGGCCCAAAGTGAGGCTCAGAGCGTCGGTGCTGTGGGAAGCCAGGGTCTAGAGATGTGGTCCTGGACTAAGGAGATGGCGTGGTCTTGCATGTCACCATGCTGGGGCCCTTCATCTTATCCCTGAGACTGTAACCTCCCTGGGGGCAGGGGAGGACCATGATTCCTCCTGCATCTATCTCCCCACCCAGTTCTGGCAGAGCCCTGCCCATAGTAGGCAGAGCCTGGCATCTCCAGGTAGGAATCCTAATCCTGGTTCTGCTGCAAGCTGTGTGATCTAGGAGTCACTTCTCTCTGGACCTCTGGGTTCTTCTCTGTCACTCTAGAGTAGCCATCAGTGGGGCTCAAGAGGAGACAGCCTAAAAATGCTCTAACTCAGCACGGGAAGGAGGAAAGCTCGGCTTTGGGGTTGGACCAACTGGTCTTTGAGTTCCAATGCTGTGTGACCTTGGCCCAGAACTCTCTGGGCTCTCTTTTTCTCATGTATAAGATGGGGCAGACAATGAAGGATACTATGCCAGACAAGTGGGGAGCAAGTCCAAAAAGCCAGCAGGCAGTCGCTAGTAGCCACGATACCTCCTGGCCTCTTCCTCCCATGGTGCTCAATACTGTCCTCCATGGGATGATGGGCGCAGTGCTCCTCATTTCCTTTGCATGTAACTCACTTACTTAAATTTTAACTTTTTTTTAAAGAAATGAAGGAAAACACAGTTAAACAGCCATTTAGAATCATGACTCCATAATCCAGGAATTCTCTTTCCAACACAATCTGTTCAACAATTATTTTGTGAAGTGGGAGGGAGAGCACCACACTAAGTATGGTGTGCAGATTCCCCTGGGAGGGTGAAAATGCAGCTCCTCCAGATTGCTTCTCTCCCCAGAAATGTCAGTGTGTGTCCCAGTTTGGAAATATAACGTATCGAGTTTTGCTGTGCTCCAGGGGAGGGGTTCCTGCCTGCCAAGTCAGCGGCTAGTGGGGATGGGGTGAGGGCAGCCACGTTGGGAAGAAGGTTTTGGTTTTCTGCTGTTAAAATATCTTGTTGTCCTCTGGGGCCAGCCATGTTCCAGGGCCTGGAATTGGGCTGTGTCATTCACCCGATGGCCTTGGGAAGAGCTGGGCTTAGGGTCAAGCTCCAGCTTTGTCACCTGCTGGCTACGTGGCTTCAGGAAAGTCTCTTAGTCTCCCAAGCTGGGCCTTTGTCGAGGAGGAACGGGATTCCTGTAGAGGAGGGAGACAAAGGCACAGAAACCCATTTTCTAAGCTCCCTGGAAGGACTGGTATAAGGTTTCTCCCACAGGACTTTGTATACAACAGGCGTTCAACCCATGCTCTCCTCTCTCAGGGCCAGGTGCTTTGTGGATATGCAATGTACTCAGCCCCACAGGGCTCAGCACACAGTAGGTGCTCAAGTGGAGAAAGTGGATTCTCCTTTCTCAGGGCCCAGTGCCAGGAGTATGAAATACACATCCCTTCCCCAAACAGGGCTCAGCACATAGTAGTACATGCTCAGGTGGAGAAACTGGATTCTCCTCTCTCAGGGCCAGTGCAGGGGGTATGCGATACACACCCCCTCACAGGGCTCAGCACACAGTAGGTGCTCTATGCACTTCCTTTCGCTCAAGGATTGGCACGCCGTCGGTGCTGGATGCATGTTCCCCTCTCGCAGGGCTCGATACATAGTTATGTTCAATACATACCAGCATCCTTCCCCTGCTCATTCCCCTCTGAGAGCAGAGACTGCGTCTTTCCTGGATGCCCCACTGCACTGCACTTGTGGCTGAATGCACAGCACGTGTACAGTTCATACAGACTGAACGGGCCCTCCTCCTTCCCAGCTGGGGTGAGCACAGCGAATGAAGACCATGTAGGCACGCGGAGAGAGGACAGCTGCTCCACATCCGTGAACTGGACCCGATGTGTGAACACAGTCACAGTCCCGGCGCCCCTTCCCCAGCCCTCTGGGATCATTTGTTTTGTTTTGTTTTGAGACAAAGTCTCACTCTGTCCAGCCGAGGCTGGAGTGCAGTGGCGTGATCTCTGCTCACTGTAACATCTGCCTCCTGCGTTCAAGCGATTCTCCTGCCTCAGCCTCCCGAGTAGTTGGGGTTATAGGTGCCCGGCACCACGCTCAGCCAATTTTTGTATTTTTAGTAGAGACAGGGTTTCGCCATGTTGGCCAGGCTGGTCTGAAACTCCTGATCTCAGGTGATCCACCTGCCTTGGCCTCACAAAGTGCTGGGATTACAGGCATGATGGGGTCAATACTCTGACTGCAGTCACTGCCTGGCTAACCTGCTTGTGGGCTCCTTGCTGGTGATCGCAGGTATGCAGCCACCACCTGCCTCTCTCTCCCTCCCCGCCACTTTCCTGGGAAGCAACCAGGCCAGACAGGCTGTGCAGGGCACCCTGGCAGCTTCCAGGCTCCACATTTCTCAGTCTGTGCCAGGACCAGGGCTGGACTCTGTGTGATGGAGGATTGGCAAGTGGGAAGTCAGCCAATATGCCTTTCAAAGGAAGCACAGGAGGCACCATGACCCGGAGGGTGCTGGAGCCCATGAGGACACCTCACGCCCTCCCCACCACTAGGAGTCTGGGTGCTTCATCCAATCTCATTTGTCTTGAGCACTACCTCTGCCACACTCAGAGCTTGGTGCTAGGGATCCTGAGGTCCCTGATCTCCAGGAGCCACAGTACCCTGGGGGAGGTGGATTACAACAGAGATGTCACAACGCAGGTAGGAAGTGCTTCTGTCTCCAAGGAAGCTCCGATGTCCCTGCCTGGAGTCATCGGCGGGGCTTCAGGAGAAGGTAATATTTGAGTTGGGGCTTGGTGGCTGCTGAAGATTACTCCAGAGGAGGAGGTGAAGAAGAGGACATCAAGTAGTGAGAAAGTGTACTGAGAGAGGCTCTTGGGTCAATCCAGGGAGCAGTGGGAAGCGGTGCTGTGATGGATTAGCCATGTCTGCCATGGGAGCACCCTGGGAGGGAGGCACCCCGATCTGGTTGCCCATGTCCCCCTCATTTTACACATGGAGAAAGCCCAGAGAGGGTGAATCATTTGCCCAAGGACACACAGAGTGAGGGAGAGAAGCCAGATCTCCTTTCCCAACCCAGGGCTCTTTCTATGATACCAGAGGTTCTCAAATCTGAGCATGCATCAGAATCACCCACAGGACCTGTTAAAACACAGACACTGGGTCCCATGTCTGATTCAGAGGCGCTGATTCAGAAACCTGCATTTCTTTCTTTTGGGTTTTTCTTTTGATATAGGGTCTTGCTCTGTCACCCAGTCTAGAGTGCAGTGGCACAAACGCAGCTCACTGCAGCCTCAACCTCCTGGGCTCAAGTGATTTTCCCACCTCAGCCTCCCAAGTAGCTGGGAACACAGGTGCATGTCACCACAGCCAGTTAATTTTTTTTTTTTTTGTATGGATGGGGGTTTTGCCATGTTGCTGGTCTCAAACTCCTGGCCTCAAGTGATCCTTCCACCTCAGTCTCCTAAAGTGTTGGGATTACAGTTGTGAGCCACATGCCTAGCCTAGAAGTCTGCATTTCTATTAAGCTCCGAGGTGATGCTGCTGCTGATGGTCTGGGGACCTCACTTTGAGAACTGCTGCTGTACATCAACCTGCTGGGAGTAGAGGGCCTCAATTTTCTTTTCTGAAAAATGGGGATAACCATTTACCCTCCTGAGCTCCTAGGGGTGTATAAGGGCTTATGAGGCAAAGTTTGGGAATATACTCTGTGAAGTTAAAGCAGTGGTCCTCACCTTGGCTCATACCTGCTTGACTTTAAAATCCTGATGCTCAGGCGGTAGTTCAGACCAATTAAACCAGAATCTCTGGGGGTACATCTAGGCTTCAGTGTTTTCTAAACTGCCCAGGGTGATTCTAACATGCAGCCCAACTTGAGAAACAGTGGAGGATCATGTTAAAAATGCAGATTCAGCCGGGCGCAGTGGCTCATGCCTGTAATCCCAGAACTTTGGGAGGCTGAGGCAGGTGGATCACCTGAGGTCGGAAGTTCGAGACCGGCCTGACCAACATGGAGAAACGCTGTCTCTACTAAAAATACAAAAATTAGCCGGGTATGGTGGTGCATGCCTGTAATCCCAGCTACTCAGGAGGCTGAAGCAGGAGAATCAATTGAACCTGGGAGGTGGAGGTTGTGGTGAGCTGAGATTGCGCCATTGCACTCCAGCCTGGGCAACAAGAGGGAAACTCCATCTCAACAAGAAAGAAAGAAAGAAAGAAAGAAAGAAAGAAAGAAAGAAAGAAAGAAAGAAAGAGAGAGAGAGAGAGAGAGAGAGAGAGAGAGAGAGAGAGAGAGAGAGAGAGAGAGAAAGAAAGACAGAAAGAAAGAAAGAGAAAGAAAGAAGGACAGAAAGAAAGAAAGAGAAAGAAAGAAGGAAAGAAAGAAAAGAAAAGAATGCAGATTCACATTCAGCAGGTCTGGGAGGGGCCCTGGAACCTGCATTTTTGACAAATGTGTATGGGCCAATTCTGCTGGTCCATGGACCATGCTTTGAGAAGCAAGGTCCCAGAGGAGAGAAAGAAGCTGCTGGTATCATTGTCAGTACTCGGCACATTTCGAGATTTTTTTTTTTTTAAAGAATTGGGGTCTTGCTACTTTGCCCAGGCTGGACTTGAACTCCCGGGCTCAAGCGATTCTCCCATCTCCAAATAGCTGAGATTACAGGCAAATCCACCCGCCCCCGCCCTGCTGCCCTGTGCCCAGCTCAAGATGCTTCAACTAGGCATTAAGTGTTCATTCTCATATTGCAAACCCTCCTTCCTGTTCCCAGTGTTCCCAACATGCTTCGCTGACTGCAGTATTCCCACCCTTTCCCAGCCCTGACTGGGGGACCTGGGGACCACTCTGAAGTTCACTGTACAAGCGCAGCCCCTGCAGGCCCCAAGCTGCTTGTCAGACAGGAGCCAAGCACACCATCCGCCACTGCTCATTTCCCTCATCTCCATTCTGATCTTTAGCAAATAGCGTCAGATATGATAGATTTTTTTTGTTTGTTTGCAAACCCAGCCTCAAGGCTGGAAATTGACGTCTCCTTTTCTCCTGATGCATCCTTTGCATCACCCTGTCTTTTTGCCCATGATTCCTCCTTGTCAGTGCCCCCCCCCCAAGTTATTTCAGCCAATTCACACATTCATTGAGCATCTACTATGTGCAAGGGGGATGACAGTGTGCTCTGTGACTGTGAGCAAGTCTGTTACTCACCCCAACTGGGCAGCATGTGGGTCGGGACCTTGTTTAATCACCTTGGTATCCAGCACAGTGGCTGGAAAATTAGTGAGTGCTCAACAATATTTGCTAAATAAATGCTGTTGAAGGAAGTCATGAGCTTAAAGAGATTTGGTTTCTTTGCTTGTAGAATAGGGAGTAGAGCAAAGGCCTATTTCATGTGTTTAGTGAGGCATACCATTATTGGAGAGGGCTCCAAGTTACGCAAGTAGCAAGTCATCAGAGAAAGTGGAATTAGAACCCACGTCTATTACATTCAGGAACCTCCATTGAAGGCAAAAAAGTCCTTTGCCTTCTGAGGCAGAGTGGCTAGGTCAGCAGTACTGCTGGGTCTGGGAGCTGAAGCCAAGCAGGAAGCTCTGTGGGCTGGTTGGAAACAGAGCCAGTGGCAGCCCCGGCCCTGGCAGAGGAAAGTGGTCCAGGAGCCAGGTCAGTCATTGGCACCTTCAAAGATTGTCTGTGCAGGTGGAAAAACCAGAGCAAGGTAGGAGCCTTCATTCTCTTTCCTGGAATATCTGCTCAGAAAAGTCAGCCAGCAGGAGCCGGTGATGATGCCAAGCTGGAGGTTGGCTTGCTGGGACCAGTGCTTGGCTCAGAGGAGTCTGGTTTGGGGCAGCCTTCCCTGCAGGCCAAATGCAACCCTGTGGAGGGGCGACCTCACTGCCCACTTCTCTCTCAGAGCTGCCCTTGTGCTTCCCAGTCCCCTGCTTGAAGGAGTCTCTCCTACCAACATTGGCCAGTGTCCCAGACCAGCTTAGACCACATCTCCTCCTTGGATGAGAGGGTGGCATCTAGGAACACAACCATGGAGGGCTGCAAGTAGGTGCCATGGCCCAGACAATGAGCTGGGATTACGAATCTCACTGTATCCGGCTCATCTAGGCTGATCTGCAGACAAGGGCCTGGCCCTGCTGGACTTTCTGGTCCAGGACAAATGTGCCGGCACTAGTGGGGGTACATAAAGGCATGTGGTTCTTCCACATTCATAGCTTTGGGCCCCTCCGCTTGTTCCCTGAGTCAGGCTTAATCTCTAAGAAATTCCAACTCTGAGAGTCAACACATTTATGATTCTAAGCATCCTTGGCTCTAGGAATCTAAAATTTTATTATTAAAGGATTCTAAGTTTAGTTGTAAGAAACAGAAAATATGTTCTGCCTGGTCTCATAGTCATAGAAAAGTCCAAAAGTAGAACTAGGACTTCAGGTATAGCTTGATCCAGGAGTTCAAGTCATGCCTCCCTGTCCTTCAGTTCATGGTTATTTTATTCTTGGCATTGATGTTGTGGCATGATGGCTGCTGGTAACACAAAGCCTATACCCTCTCAGGTTCAAGTCCTGCAGGAAAAATGGTCTCTTCCCCAGCAATTTCACAAAAAGTTCACAACTGAGTTCTCATTGGCCTGGATTTGCCATGAGTCTATCCCTGAACCCATCACTGCGGTCAAGGGGATGATGGGATACTCTGATTGGCTTAGGCCTGAGTCACGTGTGCATGCACCCCACCCAAATCACATGGCCTGAAGCAGGAGGGTAGTTCTTTGGAAATTGAGGGGCTGCTGTTAGAAGAAAGGTGAACAGATGCAGGAAGGAAAACATAAAAACTGCATCCTGACATTCTGAGGCTACAGAGAGCAGTGATCCTATGAGAACTTGACTCAAAGCTCTGAGGGATTCCTAAAGTTAATCTCTCAGATTTGGGACAATGGACAGTGTTGGAAGCTGGGGATGAAGGGAGATCTCCTTCACTGCCCTTCCAGAGTTAAACAGACCACGTGTCCTTCACTCTTCCTTTATACCCAACTCTTGGAGCCCGAGTGTCCTCTTTACCTTCCTTCTCTGTTGTCATCTTGCAGTCAGCATGGCTAGTTTCAGATGGGGATGGTGGGGAGTGAGCCACAGTCTCTGCAAGTAGTGGCTGCAGGGAAGGGAACTGGGGGGCTTTGTCTAGTGGCTTTGGGGGACAGCCAGCTGTCAACCTGAATCTGTAAGAAAGAAAGTGGAAGCATAAATGCAGCATAGAAGACTGAATTATCGGGCTCCATTCTTCACTCTCCTGGAGTAGTATTTCACGTTCACATCCTTGCCAAGGCCACACAGTGAGCCTAGTCTACTTCCTCACCACTTGACTCTGGGCTTGGTCAGGTGTCTTGCTTTGGACAATGAGATGGTAGCAGGTATAATGAGGGAAGAACCTTGAGATGTGTTGGCGTGGTTCTGCTTGCCCTCTCATTCTCCTGCTGTAGCCAGAAAAGGAACTTGACCAGGGTAGCCTTGGCCCCTAATATGACAAGTGGAGCAGACTTGAGCTACCTACAGCCTGAAGCAGAGCTCCCTGCTAGCTTCTAGACCTGTGAGCAAATTATTGGTGTTAATTGTTAAATGCTGCTGAGATTCAGAAGCACAGCCTGTTGTGGCAATAGCTGATGAGGAGGATTAGAGGTTCTGGTATGGATCAGCCCAGCCCTGAAACTGGGACTTTGGGAGCCCTGCAGGATTAGGAGTTGGAAGCCTAGGTTCAGCCATCCCCCAGGAAGCACCATATGATCATGAGAGAGTCGTTCCTCCATTGTCCCATCTCTAAAATGAGAAGAATATGGTCTGACCCCAGCTTCAGACCTATGAGCCAGGTCCTGGAGTAGATGGGCCTGGCTCTGCTGCTTATGATCTGCCTCCCCCGTACCCCAGCCCTGGCCTGGGGAGTGGCCCCCCTAGAGAGTCATCATGCACCCTCACGCTTAGACAACAGACTGTATATAGAAAACACATCAGCCTATGATAAATGCAGAAATAGATGTGTGAAATTGTTCCAGGAGCAAAGAGGAGAGAGAATTGAAGGCTCTCTGGGGGAAAGAGTAGGGTAGGGCGTGGGGGTGGCTTCCCCATGGAAAGGATGTGCTGGGCCCTAAGGATGAGTAATATTCCCACTGGTAGGGAAGAAGGGAAGGAGCACTCCAGGTAGAGGGAGTGGTGTGGGGAAGGGCTGGGAGGCAGGAAGGAGCCGGCATGTTTGAGCAACAATCAAGCCAGGCGGGTCGGGGCTGCTGGGGGTGTGGACAGGGACTGCCAATTAATGGGGTCAGAGAGACGTCATTGAGGAGGAGCAGACCTTGAGTGCCATGTTCAATGTCAGGGCTGTGTCTGTCCCTCAGGCAGTGGGGTGGGGGACATGCAGTGCTTGGAGCAACAGACACTCCCCAAGTGACCGGCAGGAGTGGCTGGAGTGTCTTAGGTCTCCTATGAGCCCAGTGGGGAGCAAGACTTGAATTTGGGGTTTCTACAGGCACCCATGCCGTGGGAACCCTGCAAAGTGAGCAAGTTTCAAGCGTAGGAAGCCCCAAGGCACTCAGCTGGAGTTAAGGAGGAGTGTGTTTTAGAAATAAACAATTCAGTAAGAAAGGGCAAGCTTCCAGCTGAGGCAGGTACAAGAGAAAGCATGAGAGTGGGAAGAGGAGCTCACCTGGGTTGTGGCATTGGAGGAGACTGGCTGAGCCACAGGTGGGACCCATGAACCTTAGAGACATGAGGCTGCAGCGGGAAACCCTTAGGCCTGGGAACCAGTCAGACCCCAGTTCAAAGGGCTTTGCCATTTACTAGCTGTGTGACCTTGGACTTATGACTTAACCTCACTTTCCAAGATTATTGTGGAGACAAAACAATAATATGGCTGGGCTGGGTGCAGTGGCTCATGCCTGTAATCCCAGCACTTTGGGAGGCCGAGGCAGGTGGATCACTTGAGGTCAGGAGTTCAAGACCAGCCTGGCCAACATGGCGAAACCCCATCTCTACTAGAATTACAAAAATTAGCCAGGTGTGGTGGCGGGTACCTGTAATCCCAGCTACTTGGGAGGCTGAGGCAGGAGAATTGGTTGAACCCAGAAGATGGGGGTTGCAGTAGGCCAAGATCGTGCCATTGCACTCCATCCTCAGTGACAGAGTAAGACTCCATCTCAAAATAATAAAATAATAATAATAATAATAATACAGCTGAGGCCAGGTGTGGTCTCATACCTGTAATCCCAATGTTTTGGAAAGCTGAGGTGGGAGGATTACTTGAGCCCAGGAATTTGAGGTTGCAGTGAGCTATGAAGGCACCACTGTACTCCAGCCTGGACCAAAGAACAAGACTCTGTCTCTAAAAATATAATAATAATAATAATAATGATAACGGCTGACATTCACTGAGCACTTCTTATGTCTGGGCATCGATCTCACAACTTTCCAGGCACCCCCTAACTTCTTAGCACAGCATCGAGATGTAGGCACTTCTATTAGCCCCTTTTACAATGAGGAAATTGATGCACAGAAAGGTTAGGTGACTGTCCAAAGTCACACAGCTAGTAAGCGACGGAGCTGGGATTTGAACCCAGATCATTGGTTTCCAGGGCTTGTGCTCTGAACCTACATGCTCTATATATGATATGAGCAATTTGCACATCACACAAAGGGCACATAGAAAAATGTTGGCTATTACCTTGTAATCTAAATCCTACCAAATATTTGGCAGAGGAAACAACTCCTAGGAAATGAGTCTTCAGGGGCCCCCACGGGCTGGAAGGAATATGTTTTTCCAAGTTATTTAGATCCACAATGAGATGGAGTAGGGCAATCACATTACCTGGGGACAGCTATGTGCTGGTCACACTATACACACAGACTTATTTGATCCTCACAGCTGCTCTTTGAGGCAGGTGTTGTCTCCATTTTACAGGTGAGGAAACAGGCTCAGAGAGTTGAGGCGACTTGGCCAACATCACCCAGCCAGTAAGTGACACAGCTATGAATAGACTGAAGTATGTCTGTCCACAAACTCCATATTCTGAGCCACCTGCTCTGCACGCCCCTTTGATTGGATTGAAAATGATGACAACCACAACATCCTTGGGGACAGGGGAAGTCCTCTGAACTTAGGTCCCACATGTGATGGTCTGGTTCCACTTTCCTGAGTCAGTGGAATGTTGACCATCAGCTGACCCCTGGCTGTGTGTACACACATTGGGAAGTAGAGGTTGAGAAGGAACAGAGAATGAAGCACACTAGGGGTGGGGATGAAATCAGCTTAGAGTTTTAAATAAAAATTAAAAGAAAAAAAGGCGTCTGCCAAACAACACATCCAAGATCAAAAGAGAATGGATGGCACCATCTCTGGTCTTTTTGCCCCATGTGTGATGAAGTGCTACTGTCCCCCAAAGAGCAAAGGAGCAGGAGAGTGTGGGATCGAAGTCAGCTGGGCTATACAAACCCTGACCTCTCTGACCTATATTTTCCTCATCTGTGAAAGAGAGATGATTATTCTCCAAGGGTTGTTATGAAGATTAAAGAAGATGGTACAGGCCTTGTCACACAGTAAGTACTCAGTAAATGTTTACTGTCATCATTATCAAAGCAAGGAATGATTGTAAAGGAAAGAAGGCAGGGAGTTTGGGAGTGTGGGAGAGAGACAGGAAAGAAGACAAGGAGAAGGAAGAGGAGAAGGGGTGGAGAAGGAGGAAAAAGAGGTGGAGGAGGAGGAAAAAGAGAAGGAGGAGGAGGAGTAGAGGAGGAGGACTTGCTGCCAGCCCAGCTCTCCAAGCACAGCCAGCTGTGCTGTCCTGGCCTGGGCTGCTCCCCATGTGGCCATTTAGGCCACTCATGCATTCCTTCTGCATCCTGCTGCCAGATGTGGCCCTAGATGCCAGCAAGAACAGCTGTCCTTTGTCGTGCCCAGCTGCAAAATGAGAATGCAGGGATGTTGGGAAGGGCGCAGAGGCTTGGAGGGGTGGCCAAAAGGACAGTACTGTCAGGAGGAAACCACACCACCATGCTCACCCGCCCTGGGCCTCAGTCTCCCCATTTGTGAAATGATAGGCTAGGCGATGACTTGGCATTTTGTGCCAGGTGATGCCAATCCCACGGTGTGTTTACAGCTAGTGGCCCTGGCCCCTGCATCTTGTCCTGGAAGTATGGGCATGACTCGGCCCTCCTGGGTCCTGGAAACTACCCTGCCAGTTTGCAGGATGGCATGACTCTGCTGGTTTCCAGGGAAGAATCTCATCAAATGAAGCCATTCTCAAGTTGGAATGTGAGCTCTGCCTTAGAAAGTTTCCCTTGGTAGATTGGGCTCAGAGAGAGGCTGTGACTTCCCTAAGGATGAACAGGGAGATGAGTTTAGTTGTGATTAGACTTAGGGTGAGACCTCAGTGCCACAGTAGGGAGTGCTGAGAGTGGGCACCCAACAGGGACTTAGTTCCATGGAGAGCAGAAGAGTAGAGCAGATAAACAGTATCTACCGCATCAGCAACGTTGGGTTCAAATCCTCTCCATTACTGTGACCCTCACCATGTCTTTCAACCTCTCTGACCCTCAGTTTTTCCAACTGTAAAATGGGAAGAATAATGTCATATAGAACTTGGGCTATAGTCAAACTGCCTGGGTGGGTTTGACTGGGTTGCTACCTGCTGTAGCAACTTACTACTCTCTGTACCTCAATTTCCTCATTTGGAAATGAGGATGATAAGAGGACTTGCTTCATGGGGTGGTTGTGAGTTTGAAGGAAATAATACATACATAGGATCTGGCAATCAAGAAATGGCAGCCATTAATGATTATTGTTGCTGATGTTGTTAGTAGCATCCCTTGCTGCATAAAAAAGTATTTTAACTGCCAGGACACTGATGATCTGCCTACCAGCCCTACATGTCAGTTCAGGGGTCCTGGCACTGAACAGGCTCCACCCTGCCTACACTGAAAGTGCCGGAATAGGAGCTGGCACTGAGGCAGCCCATCAGAGCTGCACAGATTCCTGACTGGGACGATGCCAGAAAAGCTCTTTCTTGCTGTCACTGCTGAGGCTCAGATGGGATTTGGTGG
Organism: Homo sapiens; assembly: GCF_000001405.40. Taxonomy (NCBI): domain Eukaryota; kingdom Metazoa; phylum Chordata; class Mammalia; order Primates; family Hominidae; genus Homo; species Homo sapiens. The sequence goes on from NC_000001.11 coordinate 11,473,012, forward strand.
CCAGGGTTAAAGCTGACCTGGCTCCTGGCACCAGTGGGCCAGCCAGGCTGACTGGGGTGGTCAAAGGCACTGGGCAACTTGTGCCGGGAAACCAAAGCCAGAGAGACAGAGGAGCAGGGCAGAGTGGGGAGGTGGGGCTGGGATTCTGTGCTGAGTCACGAAGAGCCCGTACACAGGTAGGTGCACCAGGAACCTTAGATATTCCTAGGAGGGGGCACAGAGGAAGACCCCTACCCTCTGAAGGTTTAAGCAACCCCACTGGGCACTCAAAAGTCAGGTGTGTCCTGGTGTGGTGGCTCATGACTGTACTCCTAGCACTTTGGGAGGCCAAGGTCTCTAAAACTCTGTCTCTAAAAATATAATAATAATAATAATAATGGCTGACATTTACTGAGCACTTCTTATGTCTGGGCATCAATCTTTGGAAGGCCGAGGTGGAACATTGCTTGAGCCCAGGAGTTTGAGACCAGCCTGGGCAACATGGCAAAACCCCATCTCTACGGAAGAAAAAATTAGTTGGGCATGGTGGCCCATGCCTGTAGCCCTAGCTACTCAGGAGGCTGAGAAAATTACCTAAGCCCAGGAAGATCGAGGCTGCTGTGAGTCGTGATCACACCACTGCACCCCAGCCTGGGTGACAGAGAGAGACCTCATAAAAAAAAAAAGCCAGTTGTAACTGCTATTCTTGAACCTGGACCTGCTCAACATCACTCACCCTGAACATCATACTGCCTCCGAGTACTCAACTCGGTGGCTGAGTTCTTGCCCCTCATCCCTTCGCCCTCATCTCCACCCCAGCTGCCAGCAGCCACTGTCCATGGTTCTGAAACACCCCAGGGACAAGGCCTGTGCTGGGACTTCTACTCAGCCTTTCCCAGGAGTTCTGAACAAGATGATGACTTTTATTTTCTGTTTTGATAAAAGATATGTGGTTTCTTTTACCACCGCAGAACCAACAAATGTGTGACTGTGGCTTAACTATTTATGTGCCTGCCTTCACACACTTTTGGCGGTTCCATCACATTGACCACTGCTCCCGTTTACCTCCTTGGAAAATCGGGGATTGCATATTCCCTGTGGCCTCCTACCCAGTCTGAACTCATTCTGTCTTCCCATATTCTCCTGGAAGATCACAGTCAGAGGGGCCCTGGAGCACATCTAGCTCATGTACTCATCTGTCAAATAGAAACAAGAGGCCAAAGATGGAAGGTCACCAAGACCACAGAGCATGTTAGAGCAAATCTAGGGTCAGCATCCTGGCCTCCTAACTGCCCATCTGCCTTGTTCCCCATCACCCTATACTTCTCTGGGGGTCAGGAGATCTCCTTCTGGAGCTTTTTCTGGATCAAACACAAGCACAGCCATTTATTCCAGCCCACTCTGTACCATTCACTGTACTGCTATGTGCCCCTGCAAAGCATGTCCCTTAATCCTCCTCCATGGGAAGGGGTGGCCACTGCCCCCAGCTTACAGGTCAGGACATGAGCTCAGAGATGCAAAGGGCTTCTCCAGAAACCACAAAGCTGGTATGTGACTGAGCTGGGATTAAAACTAGAACTTTTTGGGTATTTATGACCTCCTTTCAGGCCGGTTCTATCAATAAGAACCCTCAGGGTATCCACGTAAAACCCTCAACCTGGAGGTTATAATCTCTCCCCAACAATGGGACTGTCTTTGGCTAATGTCACACTGTCCAGATCTTTGGCAGGATCCTGCTCTTCCCTGCCAATGCCTTGGCTCTGCTATGCTAATAGCCCCTCGGGTCTAACCCCTCCAGTGACTTTTCCTCTTGAAGAACTCAGCAATATTTAGTCTTCTCCAGATGTTGGGGTCAGAGCAAAGACCCCTAGAAATGTGGATGGGGGACAAGGGGGCCGTCTTGTTGGAAGAGGATTATGCGACAGCGTGAATATTGATGAAGCTGTAATTGGCTCCCTCTCTCAGAGCCTGGGTGTCTGCAGGCCCAGGCGCTGGGGCTAATTGTTGCAGGCAATTAATAACTTGGATTGTACTCACTCTGGCACAGGATGCCTGCTCTCTTGGAGGAGGCAGGCAAGGCTGAGAAAGGAGTGCTAGGCCTGGCTGTTTGCAGAATTCTGGGGGAGGCAGGAGGGGAGAGCTGCCATCTGTCCAGCCTCCCCCAGGCCGTGTCTGCAATACCCCTGCCCTAAGCCTAGCCCTGTCAGCCTTCCTCAGGCCCTTCTTCAGAGCTCTCTCTGTTCTCTTTAATTATGAGACCCTCTAATGTTTTCCCCAACCATAAGCTCATGCTCATCTCCTGAACAGAGCTTCAGGGAGGAAGGCGCTGGGGAGAGGAAGGATGGTGTTTCTGGAAGCTGGGAGAACTGGAGTCCAACCCAAGCTCTTCCACTAAGTTTCTATGTGACTTGGAGTCAGAAATTCATTCACCAGGAACTTGGGCAAGCTCCTTGAGTTTTTTTGTGTCTATTATGTCACATGAAGTGCAATCAACCCTGAAAATAATGGAAACAGGGATTAATCATCCTATTATCACTTCCTATATATAGTTATAACTATATCTAGAACTAATTATCAAATGGCTACCTATAAATCTGTGTTCTACTTTAGCTGAAGAGACTATTAAGCAGGAATATTTTTGGCAGTGGTCATTATGACTCCCACTTTGCAGATGAGGAAACTAAGTCTCAGAGAAATGCAGTGACTTGCCCAAGGTCATACTAATAAAAGACACACATAAAAATCAAACCCAGTTTCCTAAATCTAGAGCTCTTTCCAGCATACCCCAGCCTACCTGACTCTGCCCAGTGGCTTCCTGGAGAAGGTGAGATTGGGGCTGGGGGCCAAGAGCGCCAAAGTCAATGCCTTAGCAGATTGAAGAGGGGATTACTTATAAATCCATTTATTCTATTCCCTGGTGCTGGGACAGTGCCTTAATACCATATTTTAAAAGATAAACACTCCCAACCCTCCCCATATGCTCAACCCTCAGCTGCTCACCCATCTGGTGGGAGGACTTGATTTGCATACAACCCCCCTTCACGGGGCGGTGTGGAGGGGTGTCACAAAAAGTGAGATGTGTTATGGTCAGCACTTGCCAAGTAAGCGGTAACAATATGATGAAGAAACTGCTAATGTGTATTTAGTGCTTAATGTGTGCCACAAACTGTGCTAAATGCAATTTTTGCACAGAGATGATCTCATTTATAACTATAACCACTGCAATGAGACAGATATTCTTACCATCCCCACTTTATAGATGAGACAACTGGGGCTCAGCAAGGTGAAGTGACTTTCCCAAGGTCACGCAGCTGGTAAGGGGCAGAACAGAAATATGGCTTTACTGGGAGAGGTAGAATCAGAAGCTCAGCTCAGAGGCTCTGCTTCAGACCTAGTTGGAGAGAAAATAGAAGTAGAAATAAAGGGATAGGAAGAGAGGACAAAGCAGCCCTTTATAGCTCATATCCCTTGCAAAGAAGGCTTTTCAATTAGTTGTGAAGACAGAGTATAAGGGGAGCAGCTTATCGGCACCATGAGGCATTTAAATCAGACCCAGGAAGAACTTCCACCAGACAGCACTGGAACAAGGAGCCAGAGGGGACACAGAATCTTAATCTCTGCAGCCTTTCAGCTGGGTGGATCATTATCCACCAGAGTCATCTTTACTACTCACCTGGAGGTACAGGAGGCTTCAGGGAAGTACCCTGTGGCTGGGCAGGGATGTGTGAGGCCAGCATCCCCAGGCCCCTGTAGTAAACACGCTTCCTGCAAGCAGGCGCGGGCAGGGGAAGGGGAGGAAACCTGGGGATGAACCCCAGGAGGAGGATTCTCATGACTTTCCACACCTGCACCAGCTCCACTGCCACCACCGGTTCCCCTTTATGGCAGGCATATTTCAAAGGCCTGGTTCCATTTGCATTTTTAAAACCTCACTGATGGCCTGGGAAAATTGCATCCTTCCAGTGTTCCTGGATACCACACCGTGCACCTCCTCTCCCCCTCCACAGGCCTCTGCCTCTGCACCCTCCCTTCATAGAAAATCCCCCACCAAGGGCAGAGCAAGCCCAGCCCCACTGGAGATCCTCTGGAAGTCTCCAGAGGCCAGAGAGGGTTCTGAGGAGGGTGTGGCCAAGGTGGCCACAGCTATGGCCAGCTAGGCAACATGAAGCAGGACCCCTTTGAAGGTGGTGAGAATTTCATCAAGGACCTATATCAAACCCACTAAATCTATTTCCCAGCAGAGTGGCAGCTGTATCCCCAGGCATGGACTGAGGGTGGCACAGCACCATGGGGCACACCAATGGGATGGCCGGTGGATTTGTCAGACTGAGAGGAACAGTGCTGGAGCCTTGGAGAACTTTGAGGAGGCTCCTAGAAGCAGCCTTAAAACAAACGGAAAATAATCAAGCCATTCTCCCAGCCAAGAAAACCCTTTGCTCTCAGCTGGGCTTGGGAACACACTTTGTGTCTCTCTATTGCTCCCTTAAAAACAAATCTTTTCCTTGTTCTCCCTCCTCCCACCCTCTCACATGGCTCCTCATTCTCTGCCCTCCCTCTAGGATATGGCAAATGGGACTAGAAGTTTGCAGGGTGGTGCCAAGTCTGGTCCTCTGTACTCATATCAGATTTGGCCTCTGGTCCTGGGACAGCAATTTTCACACCCTCTACTTCTCGGGAGAGATCTCCTGTCTCTTTCTCCCCTTACAGCTCACAGTGGCACCCTTCACCCCAGGAACTGCCCCCAACTCTAATGTCTTTAAGGCCAGATGGAGCCATTGGGAGTCTTCTGACAGACTTGGCCAACCTGGCAATGGCTCTCTTGAGACCTTGAGCACATGGGGAGTGAGTGCCAGGGCAGGGACACTGGCTCAGGCCATTTGCTTCTGCATAGATAAGCTCTCAGGGCACCCAGAGTCATAAATACCAATGCGTCTAGTTGACAGCCAGTCAGTGGGTACAGCTTCCAGCCAGGGACTGTACAGCAGAGAGACAGAGCAGGAGCAGCAGGTGAACAGCACAGGAGATCCACTCAGCACCCTGACATTTAGAGGTGCGTCTCACCCAGTTTTCCTCTTTTAAAAATAAGGGCTGGGGATGGGGAGGGGCTGCTGTGGGTTCAGCATCAGTGTGTTGGCTGGCCGGGTTTGTTATATTTCATTCATAACTCTCCCATATTCTTCTCTCTCCCATAAGCCGGAAACCTCCTGAAGGCAAGGATTGTGTCTCACCATTGCCCTATCTTCCCAGGTCCTTGGTCGGCACACACCCAGGACAAATGACAAGCTCATGGCTCACCCTCACACAGCATGGCAATGGCCTCCCTCCTTTCTGGCTTCCGTCACTGACATCCCTCCACCCTGCAGCTGGGGGCTGGCAGCTGGCCCCCTTTTGAGGGGTCCCACTTCACTCTCCCTGGGCAACACCAATGCCAATGCTCTCTGAGCCCTGATGGAGAGAAATGGGCCAGGGTACTGGCCTGCCCCCCTCCCCCAGGCTCTTTCTCCTTGTGGCCCTTTGGCTAGGGGTGTCAGGCAGGTCATGTGCTAGAGCTGGAGGGATGCCCGGTCCCAGGGGCTGGTATGGCTCCGGGTTCTGGTGCCAGAGGGGTAAATGAAGAACAAACGAGGAAGGGACGGCGCCAGGAGCCTGGGCTTGGCAGCTCCCTCCGGAGGGCGCCCGGGGATGCCCGCGAGTGTCCAGGAGGCTGGTGACCTGCCAAGGCTGGGCGGGCTGGCTGGAGAGGAGCGGGAGCGCGGGCCCGGGAGAGACTTGGGTATCAGGAAACTCGGAGGCGGGGCTGGGGGGTGGTGCCTGGCCCGGACCGTCTGCAGGGGCGGGGACCGACCCCCAGGGGTCGCTGCGCCTTGCGCTTCCCCCGCCCGCGGGCGCCAGGGCCGGGCTGAACCACCGCGCGGATCGGCAGGGGGAGCGGCGGCGAAGACAGCGCCAGACAGCGGGTCCCAGAGACCGCAGCGCGCGGCGTGGCGCAGGGTCTCGCCGGCCACTGATTCAAGGCGCGGCGGCGCGGAGCCCGAGAGGCGCCAGGGATTGGGCGGCAGCGCGGCTCCGGAGCCTGGCTCGGACACCCCCGCGACCCGTGGTAGGAGCCCGGACCCAAACAAAGGCGGGCGGCGAATAAAAGGCGGCGGCGGAGCGGAGTGCTCGGGTTGCGAGCTGAGGACTGGGATTCGCGCGCAGCTTCCCGCGGTCTGCTTGCCCTGGAGCGGAGGGGGAGCCCCAGCCTCCTGCGGCTCCGAGAAGCTTCCCCCTGCGACTTCCGCGAGGAGACGAGTCTGCGCAGCGTGGTGGCCGCCGCCCCCCGACCCTCTGCGCACTCTCTCCCGCGCCGGCGGCTCAGCCTAGCCCCGTTCGGCCGGCCGAGGTGAGTGCACGGCCGCGGGGCGCCATCCGGGCTTGGTCTCGGGGCTGGGGGATGCATTGCTAGGAGGAGGGGGAAGTCCTCCGCGCCGTCCGCACCCCGACCTGCTTGGCGCCGCGCGCGAAGTTCTCTCGCTCTCCAGCCAGCCCGGGATGCGGGCCTCGGAGCCCCCCGGGAAAGACGGTCAGGGGTGGACAGAACCCAAGCTTGCCCTCTACGACCGGGCCCCAGCTCCGCACCATCTCCCCGCGGGACTGCAGCATTCTTGGTCGGCCAAGGGGAGTTGGATGTTGGATGTCCAGGAACGGCAAGGCTTCCGACCTCTGGCCCCTGCTTGTCCCCTCTGAGGGATATCTGGGTCCATAAAAGTTGAGCGTCAGTCTGAAGCCGCCCTTGGATCGGGCTCTCGCCCATGCTAGAGCGGAGGGAGGGGACAGAGTAAGGCTAATGACCCCCTCCACCCACTCCCTACCTAGCGTACTCGTGCTCTCGGAGGGACATTTCCCCGATTAACCTGGCTGCAGGTCCGGCCGGGGAGGGCGCGTGGGGGCTTGGGGCGGGCCGGGCCAGCGATGGATCCGCGCGCGCGAGGGTCCCCAGGCTCTGCCGAGAACGCGAACGAGGGTGGAGGTGGAGTGGGCAGCCGGGCAGTGGCGGCGCTGAGGGTCGGGAAAGATTCCCAGCGCAAGGGGCGCCAAGTCCCGGGAGCCAACCCCACCGCCGGGAGAACTTTTCCCAACTCCCTGGGGAGGCCGGCAGCAGGGCTGGGAAGGCGCCTCCTTGGGGGCTTCTCTTCTCGGCCTCTGCTCCACGGCCGGCGCCAGCTTCCCGCTGTCCCCCACTCACTGCGAGACTGCGCGCAGGTCTCCGTCAGCCCACTCCCCGGGTCAGCACCGCGGACAGCGCCTCGCGGCCGCCCTAGAAACTCAGAAGCCCGCGCACACCCACAGTCCACGCGCACACTCACACCCATCCATGCGCACACACATATCTACAGACCACTGGAAAACAGTCCACACACATACACTCGCGCAAGTACACACCCACCCACAATCCTCAGGCGCACACAATCCACGCAGACCCACGGTTCACACGCACGTGGGCGGACAGATCTCACAAGCACACACGTTCGTGGACCTGGGCAGCATCTTCGCCCCCGCTCTGCACTCGAGGTTGCTGTCTCCGGACTCACTGACTAAGCCCCAGATTCCAGAGCCCACCACCTGGTGTTCTCACCGATGCCCAGTGACTCACAAAGCCACTCAGACTCCCAAGCACAGACACACTTCCACCCCCAGCGCGCGCGTGCACACACACACACACACACACACACACACACACACACTGTCCTGCTCCTATGGGCGAAGCATGGGGATTTAGAGCAAACACCCCCTCCCCACCTCCTACTACTACACCTGCCAGGGGACCAGGGGATCTTCTGGAGGGAGGGAGGAGGCTGTGGCTCGGTGGAAGCTCCAGGCAGAAGCCCAGCCTGGACAGGTGCCTTACAGAATCTCCATTTTCAGCCCAGGGTCCATTTTGCTTGGCTCTCTACCTCAATACTCACTCCTCTTTCTCTAACCTTAGTCCAGACACACACATGTACAATCAGGGTCCGCATTCTTTGCTTGTACCCTCTGTTTCCCTGCTCTGTTCCCTCCCCCAGGTTTCTCTCTCTCTCTCTCTCTCTCTCTCACACACATACACACACACACACGCACATGCACCCTCTTTTTTTGGTCTTTCCAGTCATCCTTCCCCACTGTCTTCACTTCTCTCCCCAACTTTCCTTAGGCTGGGTCTGACCCAGTCTTTGCTGGGATGTGGGCACAGCTGACCCTTAGGGGGAGCTGACTCCATTCTCTCAGACTTGCCTTCTTCACTGCAGGTTCCATGTCCCCGTTACTCTCTCTTTGGAAATCTGACGACCCTCCACCGTGGCCTCAGCAGCTTCTGTTCCCCTCCCCAGGAAGTTTTCTAGGGCCAGATGCCACAGAGCCCCAGTGATCTCTCCAAGGGGCCAAGAACTTTGGGTGAAGCATTCTGGAACCCCCCTCGAGATCTGGCTAGCCATGAGATCTGGTAGCCATGACCTGGCTTGCCCTTTGACACCTCTCCTGCTGTTGTCCTTCAAATCCAGAAACTGGGTTGAAAGAAGAGTAGTCCCAGCATGGTGTGGTGGAAGGAGCACTGGACTGGAAGTGAGGGGACCTGGATCCTAGTCCGAGCTTAACCACAGACTCCCAGTTTGCCCTTGGGCAAACTACTTCCCTTCTCTGAGCTTCAGGTTTCCCGTCTGTTAAAGGACTGCCTGAGGTGACCTGTAGGGTCACTTTCTGGCCCTAATAATCTGGAACATTGACTCTCTAGTGAGTCTCTTGAGTGTGGGTGGGATTGAAAATTGTGATTCTAACCCCAAAGATTACCCTACCTTTCCCCTTCCTTAGAGCACCCACCACTAGTGAAGTCATCCTGTTCCCTGAGTGAGGGATGTTTAGATGATTTCCTTAATAGGACCAGAGATGTCAAGTAATTTTCTTGAGGTCATACTGCTGAAGTGCAATCTTCATTGGGGCAGGCATTACTTCTACTGTCTATATATCCTCTGCATATACCACTGGTTCTGCTGGTAGATGTGTGGTGAATGAATGAATGAATGGACAAATGAATGAATAGAAGATTTAAACCTGGATCTCATGATCGCCAGGTCCTTGGATGGTTTAAGCCCCTTTCTCTGCTAGTATAGACATACTTCCCTCGTCTCCCCATCCTCCCCATCCCCTATTCCCCTAGTCCTCAAAGGCGGTGGATGGAATTGTCTGAGTTAAGGTCCTTCCTCCCAAGTGGCAGACACTGGGCTGGTTGTAAATGGCCACAGAGAAGGGAACAGCTGAGAGCAGCTTTAGAGGTCCTGCCCAGTGAGTAGGGGCTTTGCAATCAGCCTCATGTCCTTGGACCCAAGCAAGTAGACTGCCCATGGGCAGTTGGTTGCTGGCCAGGCTCTGATGCCAAGAGGGAAGATGGCCATCACCACCATGTGGCTAAGCAGCCTCTTTTCATAGCCCTATGAGCTGGGGATGGCAAAAATAGCCTTCACAGATGAGCCAAATGAGATGCTGAGCAAGGAGGTGGTGTCCCTAAGGGCCATCAGTCAGCCCACTGCCAGCAATAAAAGTAGGCACCCCAAAATGGTGGGGTGGTAGTAGTGATGGTTGACAATAACAATACTATAGGTGTTGATAATGATGTTAGCATTGTTAAAATCGAGAGCTCAGTGATTAGCCTTTTTGGTTCCCTTCCCCCTCTTTGAAATGGTTTCCCCACCTGAACCCCTCTTATACTCCTCCCCACACCCAAATGTGGAGAAACGGAGGGCTGGGACAGTGAGGCAGGGGTGTGGGATTGTCCATCAGTCCTAGCCAAGGAAGAGGGCTTGTCGTTTGAAATCGTCTTCTTCTCTGTCTGCCCTCCCCCTACCCAAGCATGGTGTCTTGCCAAAGGAGCTGGGAGAGGTGTCAAAGTCTGTCAAAACACCCTTCCAAGCTAGATTCCAAAGCATCGAAGCCCAGGGAAAATAAATAAAGAGAGCAGTGTCGGCCCAAAATAGAAACATGCTCCAACTCACAAATATGTATGTTTTCCAAAAGTCGCATTTCACGGGCAGACAGTGCGGCTCACGCTGCAGCTGCCCAACAAAGGCCGGAGGCATGGATGCTGCGGGACCAGTCCAGGGATGGCGGCAGAGCCTCCCCCAGTGAGCTCACTCTCTGCCTGGCCGCTGGGAGACCAGACAGCCGCACTCCACTCTGCACCAGCTGGAAGGTACACGGGCGGGAGGATTGAGAGGAATATGTGTCTGTGTGTTGTCAAAGCTCTTTGGAAACGGGCACCAGACATGGCTGATGGCCTCAGGTCCTCCGCCTTATGATGGGAGGCTGGTGATAACAATACCAACCAATCATAGCTGCCATGTGTTAAATACCTACTATGTGCCAGGTGCTAAGCATTTACATGGACTGTCTCACTTAAGCCTTGCCACCATCTCATGTCACATGAATTGTCATCCTCACTTAATGTGTGGGAAAAACAAAGTTCAGAGAAGTGAAGAGACTTGCCCAAGGTCACACAGCGAGAAGAGGCCAAGCTGGGATCAGATTTTGATCTGAATGAAGCAAAAACCCCCATTTTGCCAAGTACCCTGTATTGTTTTGGTTACTGTCATTCAATAAATATTTTCTTGTCGAGAAACCTGTTTATATGATGGGTTTCAAAAGAATGTAAATTCCTCTGCCAGACAGGCCAGAAGTGAAGGGCGGTACCCTCACCTGCGTTCATCAGTCAGTGGCCTGGGCTGGGTACTCAAGGCTTCTGAGCCATGGCTGGGCCGGAGCTGAGTCCCCGTGAGAGTCTGGAATGGGACTCAAGCTGTGAACCTTGGAGTGTGAAAGACAACTTAACTCTGTAAGAGGTCAAGGATATGAGAAGCCTCTGCAGATGGGGAAGTTACTTCAGAGAGGGCAAGTGAGTTGCCCAGCATCACACAGCATGTTGGTAGCAGAGCCTGAGTCTCAGAATCCCAGGCCAGGGATCTTCCCAGGCAGCCGGACTGGCTTCCTTGGGTGTGTGGGAATTGTCCAAACCACACCAGGGAAGGGGACCTAACTGATGCAGCCAGTAAACCTAACAACTTCCTTCCAAGTGCAGAGGTGAAATGCTGCTTGCTGTCATCGCTCCAGTCCTCTCCGCTGCACCCCCTCTGACATTAGCCAAATGCCAGGCAGTGTGCTAAATGCTTCCTGGACCTTAACTGATGTAATCCCCATAACCACTCAAGAGGGAGGTGCTCTGATTCCATTTCACAATGGAAAGGCCTGAGGCTAGAGAGGTCAAGTCACCCGCTCAAGGTCACACTGCTGGTGAGGAGGCAGGTGGAGCCCAGCAGAGCCCCGCTGGCTGGTTCTCTCTGGGGGAGAAGAAGGTGAAGGTTTGGAACTAATGCCAAGGGGGCGGAGGAGCTGATGGGCAGCGGCAGGCTATTTATATTACACCTCCAGGCTGGTCACGCTTGCTGGCATGTGTACCAGCAGAGGCTGTGTGTCTGCCAAAACCTGGAAGGAAGAACCCGGTGCAGCATCCTGGGGCCATCCCCTGAGGGCATTAGTGAAGTGTAAGGTCTGGGTATGTTTCTCCCTGAACTCAGGGGAGAGAAGATGCTGGAGAGGGTCTCGTCTGCAGAACTCCCGGCATGCCCTTGATCTTGGCAATTTACTTCCTCCCATCCGTTCCTCCCTCTGAGCAAACCAGATGGGGAACCTGCCAGTTTGGAAAAGGCTGTTGGGTGGCAGGTTATGGTGTTTCTGTATACAGTGAGCTTGACCTGGGAACAAGGGGGTGGTAAGGACAGTGGGAAGGATTGGCATGGATTTAGATTCTAGCAGGTACCATTTACAGGGGCACTTCTTGGAACCACAGAGTGATGTCCTGGGAGATAGTGTCCAGGGACCTCAACCTCCTTTGCCAGAAAAGGCCTTCTCCATTATTTCCCATCTCACAAGCATCTGCCTGAGTAGTCCTACTGTGTGCCAGGTGTGGGCTTGTAGAAGTGTTAGGTTGGTGCAAAAGTATAATTGTGATTTTTGCCATTGAAAGTAATGGCAAAACCCCCAATTCCTTTTGCACCAACCTAATGGAAAGGTCTCTGTCTCTGTCCCTGTAGAGCTCATCAGAGTCCCCATTCCCACCCCCCAGGACCTCTAGCTGAAGGAGCAGAGGTGATAGATGATTAATGGTGTCTCAGCCAGGCCCCCCACCACAGTAGAAGAGGGACCCAGCTGTCCCCTGGGGCTGAGACGGCATGATCCAGTCAAGTGGTCTCTCCAGGGTCAGGAGGAAGGTTTCCTGTAGGTGTTGCCCCCAGTGCAACTAGACTGTCCATGAGCTTGATGTCTTGGTAGGAGGAGGGTGCAGTGGAGAAGGCTCACTCCGCCCAGCCATCTGCTCGGGGCATCCAGCACATACACTGGCACCTGGATGATGTGTCCTTTGCCAAGCCTTGTTAATAGAGGAGACGTGACTGCCAGCTGGAAGCCACTCCTGTCGTGAAGGAGGATGTGGTGATCTTGTCTCTGGGGAAGGCAGCTTCAACGGGGGTCAGGGTGGGGAAGGTTGTGGCAAATTGGTGTTCCTGGGAGGTTTGGGAAAAGTATGTGTCCCCCACACCCTGCAACTGCATTGACCTTTGCACTGTCCTGGGAGATCTCTCTGTTCTTCGTTGGGGAGCTCTGCAGGGCAATCACCCTGATGATAATGATCATGATAATAACAGTCAACATATTTTGAATGTTTACTACCTGCCGGGCCCTGGCTTAGAACTTTACAGATATGATCTCATTTCATCCTCATACCTGCTCAGCAAGGGGGATAGCACTGTTATCTCCATGTTAAGGATGAGAAATGTGAAGTGCAGAGAGTCTAAGCAGCTTACTAATAAGCAGTGGAGATGGGACCCAGCTGCCATGCGCACAAGGACTGAGCCCCACACTCTGGCCTTTACTTTCACTTGATTTGGGCCTTTGAGGATGAGTATGATTGAAGCCAAAGTACCTTATGAGTCCTTCAGTAATCTGGGTAATTGTGCATAGGGACTCGGGCTCTGTGTTCTGATGGATAGGGTGATGTGGGCTGACCATTTGCTTCTCGACTGCTAAGCCACCGAACAGATCACTTTTTGAATGTCCAGATGTGGGCAGCATCTGGCAGAGTGGCAGGACGTTGCTGGCTTTCATCCAGATGTTTCCCCCTTTTCCTTCCATGTAGACACAGCTGAGACTTGCACCCCTCTGGACATGATCGTGTGTGGGGACGCCCAGGTTGAAAAGTATTTGTTGGTTTTAAGGCATCATCTTGTGACTTCACAAAGGCAGGATGTTGGTTTTTGTTCCTCCCTGCAATCCAGGCCTGGGAGACATTAGAGAGGAATCAGGCTTTGGAGAAGTGTCAGCAGCCGGAAGAGAACCCCCGCCCCCTTCCCTTCTTTAGCCGGGGAAGCTGGGAAAAGGCTGGCTGAGAGTGTGCATTACAAGCTAGTAGCTGCTGTGGGTTCCCTCCAAGGGTTTCTGACTTTCTGACCTGGTGCTCCAGAGACTTCCAGCAGATGATCCCAGAGTAACAGAGCCAGGAATCTGCAATGAACAGGGACATGTCAGCCAACTGGCGTTCTTGGGAGTTAATGAACATGCGAATAGATCTGGGGTGAAAAGGTTCATGGAGCCTTCAGGAGGAAAGGAGTTGAAGACATCACTAAGTTAAGATTAAGATTTTTTTTTTTTTTAAGATAAGCTCTCTGTCATCCAGGCTGGAGTGCAGTGCTGCAATCACAGCTCACTGCAGCCTCAAATGCCTGAGCTCAAGCAATCCTCCCCCGTCAGCCTCCTGAGTAATTGGGACTACGGGTGCGCATGACCACGCGCCGGATAAGTTTTTTACTTTTAGTAGAGACAAGGTCTCCCTATGTTGCCCAGGCTGGTCTTGAACTCCTGGGCTCAAGTGATCTGCCTGCCTTGGCCTCCCACTGTGCTGGGGTGGCAGGTGTTAGCCACCACACCCAGCCAGATTATGATGATTTAACAGAAAGTCCTCATTTTATATAGCAAGCACCAATAAGTGAATGAAGTTAGAATGAGTGAATGAATTGGTAAATGTATGAATTGGGGAATGGGGCTGAGGGACTTTGACAGTCAGGGCTTTGATTTGGCAGGGCCTGACCCCAAGTATGGACAAAGGGAAGGGTCCTTCTCTTGTCCTCATCCCCCCAGTCTTGAAAGAATGTCCCCCACCCCAGGAAAAGCTGAGAAGCCACCCTGGTCGGCAGCAGAGTGCCCTGAGTCGGAGGAGCCTGGGGAGGGGGAGAGGGAGCTTTGGCTCTGGATTGGAGAGAGTCATGGATGTCCTCCCTTCCTGAGGGGACATGGAGAACGGGCAGCTACATGGAGAATGGGCAGCTGAGCCCAGCTCTGGGGTAATGGGGCGGCTGCCACCGCTACCCCTGCTCAGAAGTTGCTCTGAGGCTCAGCAGGTGCGCTTGGAGGTGATTGCTTCGGGAAAAGGAGGCTTCTGCCTTCCCTGCCACCACCTTGCCTGGGACAGCACTTGAATAGAAATCAATTTGCATCATTCCCGCTGTCACCAGCCTAAAAGACTAAGTAGCTTAAGTAGCTTATTTCTCCCTCTGCAGACCTACTCTCAGAGCATTCCCAGGCTTCACCTCCTCCAGCTGCTTCCCCCGTCCTGGAGTAATGAGGGGCCCAGAACACCCTTGGCTCAGGTTCAGTAGAGAGACTGACTCCCTGAGCGTTGCCCTCTCACTGCCTGCCCCACCCTCATCCCATTCTGCAGGACCCTCTGGTCTTGGGATGTCTCTGGCTTCTGGCTGTGGCATGGATTGGAACCCAGGAGGCTGAAAGCGGATGGAAGCTGCTGCCTCAGGACCCCAAGGACCCTATAACACTTTTGACCTTCTCAACTGGTTCCCCAGCCCTAAATTACCCCATCCTCTCTCCTGTGTCACACTCCTGTGTCCTGGCCCTCTATCATGGAATAGACGGAGCCCCGTTATCATGGAATAACTGGTGCGTGGGGAGGGGCGTTCCCATTAAACTTTGGATAACACTCCACCATTGAGCAGGGTGGGGGTGTGAGGGAAGCAGTCTGAGATTTTTGAGCCCAGGTAGCTTCGCTGGGTCTCTCCTGGCCTTTGGGGCTGGGAGCAGCAGTTCTTAGTTCCTGGGGCCCTGAGCCTCCCAAGCATTTTATGAGAAAGGCAGCAGAGTTGGAGGGGGTCAGTACTTGAGGGGCCACTTTCCATCCCCAGCCCTAGAGGCTGAGCACCAGCCCCGGACTCCTGTCTCCGTAGGCAGCTGCATCATTGTGGAGGGGGTGCTGAGGCTGAGACCAGTGTCAGACTCCCCCCACCCCACAGCAAGGGCCTCTGTGCTGGTCCCAGGGGCTGAGGGGTACTGAGCCCATCTCCTGGATGGACACCTGCTCCCCACTATCCATGCCTGAGCTGTCACTCACCAAGGGAGCCAGGAAGCCTTCCCTGGAGCCACTGACCTGGGTGGGCACCGAAGGTGAGATTCCACCTGGGCACCCGTGGTGGGGAACTTGAAGGTCAGTCTCTCATGTCTCCACCCTCCTCCCTTCCGTGGGACCCACAGTCCAGCCAGCGCTGTACCTAAGCTGTGACCAGAACGGCTGAGGGCAGATGCTCTGTGTGTGTGTGTGTGTGTGTGTGTGTGTGTTTGCAGACACGTGCGTGCATGCATGCACAGACACCCAAGTGGGGGTTGGGAGGACTGATTCTAGGACCCTGAGATTTTCAAACATGTAAGACTCAAATAAAATCTACCACAGTGAGAAGGGTACTGAGCTCATCAGAAATCAGGTTCAAATAAGTCCCTTCACTTCCTTAGCCTCAGTTTTCTTGTCTGCAAATTGGAAATAATTCCTAGGAGGAGAAAACCTACGCAAAAATGACCTGGAAGCTGGAATTTGCTGCGTGGATGCAACATGATTCAGTCCCACCGCCTCCCCCGCGATGAGAGGATTGAGGATGGGAAGAGAAAGGGCTCTGGCTCAGGAACACAAGGGCAGCCTCCACCATCTCCTCACTGTGCCCCTTTCATCTGCTGCTGGTCTCCTCAGCCCTTC
The DNA here is from genome assembly GCF_000001405.40 of Homo sapiens. Lineage (NCBI taxonomy): Eukaryota > Metazoa > Chordata > Mammalia > Primates > Hominidae > Homo > Homo sapiens. Next base: position 11,489,078 of record NC_000001.11, read on the forward strand.
ACAGGCCCAGGCAGCAGGGGACGGGGGAGCCCCAAGTTCTCAGAGGGAAAGAGATTTGCCCTAAGGTTCTCTGTTCCTTCCCAGGCAGTGAGGCTGCGGGTACAGCCCTCTCCCAGAGCTCCATCCCGAGTGCCTCATGGCGGCCCCTCAGCAGGTTTGAGCACGTTTAGCTTCTGATGTATCCTCCAGCTTCTCTTTGGGCGCTATGGGGCAAAGAAGAGTTTTGCAACATCTCTGGACCCACAGATTGTGGTCTGGGCGGGCTGGGGCTGTAGGAGGGATTGCAGTCTCCCAAGCCTTCCGCAGAGCTAGGAACTGGCAGGTGACCACCTGCTGTGTCCCAGCAAAGCTGATGGCACCCAGTACGTGGCTATTGGCTATTCAGCTGTTCTTGCCACTTGGCCAGGCCCCTGTGCGTGCTCCCCTCCAAAGACAGCAGGATCCCTGCATGCTGCCCCCTCCAGTTATTCTGCAGAGAGGTGACGGGGAGCCTCTCCCAGCATCCAGCCCCCCTTGCTCTGCCTCAGTCTGATTCTCTGACTGAGAATCAGAGGCAGAAGATTTAGAGAGCATCTCTTCCCGCTCCCCATCTGGCAGACGGAGAAACTACCTATCCAGAGATGTTAAGTGACTTGTTCTAGGTCACACAGGCGAGTGGCCAGGCAGGTTCCAACCCCAAGTCCTTGGGGCCACTTCTGCTGCCCCAGGCACAGATCCCCTGCTTCCTCCACCTCCCTTGCCCCCAAGCTTGAACTTGCAGCAAGATCCCAAGATGAGATGCTGAGAGAATTGTTTTACATATTTGTTAATCACGTCTCAGAATGAAAAGGGCCCTGAGCTCATCAGCCAGGAAGAAAGCCAATTTGGCTTTCATGGCCGTAGTTATTGGTCATATATCGTTGGGATCTTTTTATCTTTTATTAACCCAGCAGTCTAGATGCTGGGGTGCTGGACTGGCTGCTGGGCCCAGAGGTTCCTCTGTACTTGGCAGCTGTGATCTCCAGCCTCATACACCCAGGACTTGGGACTGAGGGTGGGAGAGATGTCGGGGGTGGGGGTGGTCTGGACGGATTGGCCAAGGCCTGCAGTGAGAGTTTCCAGGAACCTGCTGACCCGTCAGGCCAGGGGCATCTGGGAACCTGGTCATATTTCACAGGTTCTGTAAGTGTTGCTGGGGTTTTTTGTTTTTGTTTTTGTTTTTGTTTTTGGGATGATGTTTCGCTCTTGTTGCCCAGGCTAGAGTGCAGTGGCATGATCTTGGCTCACTGCAACCTCTGCCTCCTGGGTACAAGCAATTCTTCTGCCTCAGCCTCCCAAGTAGCTGGGATTACAGGCACCCGCCACCATGCCTGGCTAATTTTTTGTATTTTTAGTAGAAACGGGGTTTCATCATGTTGGCCAGGCTGATATCAAACTCCTGACCTCGGGTGATCTGCCCGCGTTGGCCTCCCAAAGTGCTGGGATTACAGGCGTGAGCCACCGTGACCGGCCATGTTGGTGATTTTATTAAGCTTCCATTGTCTTTTCCTCATTGATGCCAAGGCTGCTTTGTGGGCTCCAGGCTCCAGTGCTGATGGGTCTTGGAGGTGAGGCCTGAGTTGTGCAGGCAGGGGCAGGAGGTGGCCAGAGAGGGTTAGTCGGGTGGAATTCCTTTTGGCATCAGGGCACGGTGGCTAAAAGGATGGGCTCTGACATTACCTCCAGAGGCTCCAATCCAGCTCAGCTCTGTAAGCAGCCTTGTAGGGTGGGGGTTGGATCAGACGTGATATAAATAAATAAAGCACCTCCCATGTGCCAGACACACAGTAGTGCTCAATGGATGGTAAACTCCCCACCTAGTCCCCTTTTAAGGGGCCTGGCAGATAGTAAGCCCTTGGACTTCTAGTTCCTTTTACTGTCTGGCCCTACCAAGAAGAGCTATTTGGCAGATCTGGGTGTGCTGTTTGTATCCCCCTGTCTGGCTGGCCCAAATGCCATCATTTCTTCCCTCCCCATGGATGGAGGAAAAGACACCCTGAGGAGTGAGCCTTGGCTAGAGATACAGCAGCCTGAGTCCATACCCCGGACCTCCAGGGACACATGTGAGCCACGGTGGAGGGATGTGGGGAGGCCAAGGCTAAATCAGTTGCTGGAGGGAGCCACTGGGAACAGGGGAGGATGACCAGGGCAGCAGGGGTTTTCCAAGAATGCTTCTGGACCGCCTGTATCAGAATCACCTGGGGAGGTGGTTTAAATACAGATTCCAGGTTGGGCATGGTGGCTGACACCTACTGTAATTCCAACAGTTTGGGAGACTGGGGCAGAAAGATTGCTTGAGTTTGAGATCAGCCTGGGCAACCTAGCAAAACGCCATCTTTACAAAAAATTAAAAACAAAAAACAAAAACAGCCAGGTGTGGTGGCATGCACCTGTAGTCTCAGCTACTTGGGAGGCTGAGCGGGGAGGACCACTCGAGCCCGGGAGGTCGAGGCTGCAGTGAACCATCATAGTGTCACTGCACTCCAGCCTGGGTGACAGAGTGAGATCCCATCTCAAAACAAACAAACAAAACAAAACAAAACCCGGATTCCTGGGCCCCACCTCCTCTGACCTGGAATCTGACCTAGAGTTTGCACTTTAACGAGTATGCCTAGTGACTCCGATTCACGTAAAAGTCCAAGGATCTTTGGGGCAGAGAATAAGGGAGTCCGCTCCAGTTGACTTGGGGACCTGCCTACAGCAGGGGCCAGTCCTGGGCTCTGGCTGGCTAAGAAGTTAATAATTGGCCGGGCGCGGTGGCTCACGCCTGTAATCCCAGCACTTTGGGAGGCCGAGGCGGGCGGATCACGAGGTCAGGAGATCGAGACCATCCCGGCTAAAACGGTGAAACCCCGTCTCTACTAAAAATACAAAAAATTAGCCGGGCGTAGTGGCGGGCGCCTGTAGTCCCAGCTACTTGGGAGGCTGAGGCAGGAGAATGGCGTGAACCCGGGAGGCGGAGCTTGCAGTGAGCCGAGATCCCGCCACTGCACTCCAGCCTGGGCGACAGAGCGAGACTCCGTCTCAAAAAAAAAAAAAAAAAAAAAAAGAAGTTAATAATCGTACTAGCTGCTCTGGTTCAGCAGGGGAGCAGTATCACCATCCCCATTTTACAGATTTCCCTCTTGGTGTTAGGGGGTCGGGTTCTGTCCCACTGAGCCCACTAGAGAGGGGACACCAGAACAGGAAAAGTGATAGTGGCTGTTGTGCCCATGAACGTTGGATCCCTCTGGTGTTGGCTGGGACGTTTCCTCAGGTGATATATTGACCCAGGCAAAGCTTGTTTGCCTGATAAATATTGAGCCATTGGGTTTTTCGAGTCAGCGCCCATAGTTTCCTCACCAGCTGTCAGCCCCAGGAGGCCAGTCATCCTTCATCCACTCCATCTGTGCAGCCTGACCTTCTCTGAGAAATGGGGGGCTTGGACAGGCTCGCCACAGAGCCCCCACCCGATTCCTCTCCCCACCCCCACCTGGGCTTCTAATAATAAGCCCAGATTTTCTTTGCAGAGAGGAATGGTCATTTGTACCCCCTCTGAATTTCCGGCTGGCAAATTGAGCCAACAAAGATCGTGTTTCTTAGGGGGCAGCAGGGGTGATGGGGAGTAGAGGTAGGTGCTTGCTTCAGCTGCAGCCACAAAGCCAGGTTTCCCTGGGGCTGGGGCAGGAGATATGGGGTGATAGATTCAGGATCTTCTTGCTGGGGAAAGAGCTCAGACAAGTGTGGAAAGTCACTCAGCCATACCCCTTCCTCTATGGATCTGGAAGGCATTCCCTGGCTCTGTTGCCGTGTTCATTTGAGATTCTAGGTAGGACTTGGAACATCTTCAGAGAAGACTCTGGGAGGGCCCTAGGATCCAGCTGCTAGGATGGGGCTCCCTGCTTCACTCCTACTTTCTCTCTGGGATGCTTCACGGCCCCATTGTATTAGGGTTCTCCAGAAGAAAATAACCAATAGCATATATATATCAGAGAGAGATTTATTAGAAGGAATTGGCTTATGTGATTATGGAGGCTGAGAAGCCCCAAGATCTGCAGGCAGCAAGCTGGAGACCCAGGAGAGCTGATGGTATAGTTGCAGTTTGAGACTGAAGGCCTGAGAACCAGGAGGGCCAATGGTGTAAGTTCTAGTCTGATAGCTGGCAGGCTGAAGACCCAAGAAGAGCTGATATTTCAGCTTGAGTCCAAAGGCCAGAAAAGACCAATGTCCAAGCTCTAGCAGTCAACAAAAACAATTTCCTCTTAGCCTTTTCATTCTATTCAGATCTTCAACTGATTCGTTGAGGCCCACCCTCATTAGTGAGAACCATCTGCTTTACTCTGTGTACTGATGCTGATCTTATCTGGAGGCTGGGCTTGGTGGCTCACTCCTGTAATCCTAGCACTTTGGGAGGCGGAGGTGGGCGGATCACTTGAGGTAGGAGTTCAAGACCAGCCTGGCCAACATGGCGAAACCCCGTCTCTACTAAAAATACAAAAATTAGCCAGGCATGGTGGCATGCACCTGTAATCCCAGCTACTTGGGAGGCTGAGACAGGAGAATCATTTGAACCTCAGAGGTGGAGGTTGCAGTGAGCTGAGATCATGCCACCACACTCAAGCCTGGGCAACAGAGCAAGACTCCATCTCAAAAAAAAAAAAATCTTATCTGGAAACACACTCTCTCTCTCACACACACACCCAGAATCATGTTTGGCCAAATATCTGGGCACCCCATAGTCCAGTCAAGTTGACACATAGAATTAACCATCACACCCATGACCCATTGAAGGGAAAGCCAAGCTTCTGAGGTTGGTGGGAGACTTCCTTTACATCATGCCCTGAGTTGCCACCTGCTGAAAGCAGAATTGCCAGGCCCCGAGTGATCTGTGGTCTTATGGGGATGGGGCAAACTTGCTAAAAGGCAATGGGTTTCTTCAACAAGTACTGACATATCAGCTCTCAAAGAGCTCATAGGCTACCTGGTATGGCCAAAAGAGCCTGGGCTTTAGGATCAATAGACCTGGGGTTCAAACTCCAGTTCTGCCCCTTAGTAGCTGTGTGACCACCAGGGAGTCACTTAACCTCTCTGATTCTGATTTTGCTTCTGTAAAAAGTGAATGCTCATAATGCCTTCCCTAGCGTCCTTGCAGGGCTGATGTGAGGATGACAGAGGATGGATAAGGAGTACTGGCACGTGGTAGATGCAGAGTTAATTATTATGATGGTCTTAATGGGTGTCAGAGTTTCTGCATTGAACTAGCTGGGCTGAACTAGCTGGGCTTTTGACTGCACTCCATGTGTGTGATTTTGCCCGTTTCACCACCACATCTCCAGTGCCTCTCCAGCCTCCTGGCCTAGGTGGAGTGTCCAGGTCTCGGGGAAAGGTTTGGGATTCTGATGACTGGCACATAGCCAGGACATCCGGAGAGCGGTGGATTCTCAGAAGACGGAGTATCAGGACGTAGGACAGTGATGCCTGGGAGGCACCAAGGCCTCCTCTTTTCTTTCCTCCCTTCTCTGGAGCTGTTCAACTCAAAATAACTCATTTTGAGCTTCTGCCCAAAACTCTCGACCCAAGGGTAAGAGAATCAAAGACCTCAAGATGTTCAAGGACCAGAGCTGAACCAGGGAAGGCAAAACATCCTGAGCCAGGAAGAAAAAGCTGATTAGCTCCTAATTGCCGTTAAATTGTATATACATATACGTAGTTTAAGTCAAATCTCCATGTCTAATGTGATTTTTTTATTACATTTTAATAGTCTGGCTGGTATGGGGGAGTGGAGAAGGAAGGGTTCTGTCATCCTTTGCCAGAGGAGGGAAGTTATAAACAGGACCACAGGGAGGCTCTGGCATGGGTTCACATCCCTGGGAGCCCCATCTGCTCTGGAGAGGAGTGAGGCCTGGCAGGGGCCTGGGGGTGTTTTTGAGGCAACACCACCTCCCACCAAAGCCCCATTCTGTCCAAATGGGGAAGTCCATCTGGCCTGTGACTTGAAGATTGGCTTTTCTCTTCAACTTCAAAAATGGCTCTCCCAACTGGGTGTGGCGGCTCACACCTGTAATCTCAACACTTTGGGAGGCCAAGGCGGGCAGATCGCTTGTCAGGAGTTCGAGACCAGCCTGGCCAACATGGTGAAACCCTATCTCTACTAAAAAATACAAAAATTAGCCAGGCGTGGTGGTGCATGCCTGTAGTCCCAGCTACTCAGGAGGCTGAGGCACGAGAATCGCTTGAACCCGGGAGGTGGAGGTTGCAGTGAGCTGAGATCGCACCATTGCACTCCAGCCTGGGTGACAGAGCGAGACTCTGTCTCAAAAAACAAAACAAAACAAAAACAAAAATAGCTCTCCTATTTTGGCATTTTGAGTCCAGAAGCCATCTCACCCCAGGTCTGGTTGTTTCCTGGGGCTGCCAAAAACTGCCCCCAGAATCTGGGGATGGAGTAGAGTGAAAACTTCATCCAGGAATCCTGGTCCTGCCACTGATAAGATGATCTTGGGTTAGTCCCTTCTCCTTGACTGGACCTGGGGTCTCAGTTTCCCCATGTGTAAAATGAAGGCATTGGACAAGGTATACTCAGGTCTCTTCTGGGTCCAGTGGGCCATTAGCTACTTCCTGCTCATTGAACGATCCCTCTCCCCATCTCAGGGGAATAGGTGATTCCACACTCACCCACAGGGCATTTGCCAGCTCCCCCTGTCCAAGGTCCTTCTGCTTTCTCACTGGGCGCTGTCCTGCTACAACCTAAGCCAACTCTCCTTGGTTTCTCTCCTCGGAGGGCAGAGCCCTCCTCCCCTGCCTATTACAGTAATTCTTCAAAGAGTTGAAGGCTGTTAGCAAAATCCCTTCCCCACACATACACACATATTCTATTTTTAAATAACATTTATTTCTGATTCTAAAAGTAAGGATATACCTGATCATTGCAGAAAAATTAGAAACAGACAAGTACAAAGGAGAAAATAAAAATCACCCATAATCCTCCCAAACAGGTTACTGCTATTAATGGGTTTTTAAATGCATATAGATGTGCGTTTTTTTTTTCTGTTATAAAGCTGGGATTTGACTGCAGATATGGCTTTGGATTTCCACAAGCCTGGGCTTGAAAGTGGGTGAAGTCTTTCCTTATGAGGCTCCCTAGGGCCTGTTCTCTTTTAAGCAGCTGCCTCGGTTGCCTTTCCCAAGAGGAGGATGGTTGGTTTCGTGGATATGCATCCACCTTGATTCATGGGCCCCGGCAAGGCCCAGAGTTTAATTTTTGACTACCTCTGAGTGTGCCTGTATGTGTGAGAGAGAGACAGAGACAGAGGCAGAGAGAAAGGGCATTGGTCACTGAGAAGAACATTCCCAGGGCCCAGAAAGGCCTGATCACAGCCCCTACTCTACCCCACCTCACTCCACCCCCATGGCCACAGTCCTCCTAGTCCTACTCCGGGCTTTGTCTGAATCAATGACAGCTACTACAGGAACCACCTTGGTTCCTTTCCACGGAGCAGCTGGAGCTCCTTGCTAAGCTAATCAATTCCCATCATTTGAGGAAGGAAAACAAATTTACAATTTGCTGCCCATCCTACCAGCTGTGGAGGGGCCTGCGGAGGGAGGTGCTGGCTGAGGCATTCGTGTTCCACCCTTACCAGCCCAGCCTCAGTTTGGTGCGAGGGACTCTCAGATGGCTCTTGCCCTACTCGGGCTGCAGACTGGGAGGTGGGAAGGGCTAGCTGGGGTTTCTTGGAGACTCCAGGGGTGGCACAGCTGGAAGGACCTGGGCTTTTACCATCCCGCTCTGAGATAGGGGAGACAGAGCCCCAAGAAGGGCAGGACATACCCAGGGCCACCCAGAAAGCTGGTGGCTGGGCCAGGCCTGGAGACACGTGGGTTGACCACCAGTCTGGTGTGATGCCCTTGTGGCACTTTTCATGTTGGGGGCAGACTGAGAAGGCAGGCACGGGGTGGGGAGGGTGCATGATAGACCAAGAACTCATCAAATCCACTTCCTGCCTTGTCCATTTCACACTCTTCCAGATCCTTCCCAACCCGGAGGAAGCTATATCCCCTGCCTATGCTTATGTGGCTTGGGATCTGACTGCCCTTTCTGTCCAGGGGAAAGTTCTTTTTTTAAAAAAAATTAAAATTTTAAAAAATTTTTCCATAGGTTATTGGGGTACAGGTGGTACTTGGTTACATAAGTTCTTTAGTGCTGATTTGTGAGATTTTGGTGTACCCATCACCCAAGCAGTATACACTGCACCCTATTTGTAGTCTTTTATCCCTTGCCCCCTCACCCTTCCCCCCAAGTCCCCAAAATCCATTGTATCATTCTTTTTTTTAGACGGAGTCTTGCTCTGTCGTCGCCCAGGCTGGAGTGCAGTGGTGCGATCTGGGCTCACTGCAAGCTCCGCCTCCCAGGTTCAGGCCATTCTCTTGCCTCAGCCCCCCGAGTAGCTGGGACTACAGGCGCCTGCAACCACGCCCAGCTAATTTTTTGTATTTTTAGTAGAGACGGGGTTTCACTGTGTCAGCCAGGACGGTCTCGATCTCCTGACCTCGTGATCCGCCCACCTCGGCCTCCCAGAGTGCCGGGATTACAGGCATGAGCCACCGCACCCGGCCCATTGTATCATTCTTATGCTTTTGCGTCCTCATAGCTTAGCTCCCACGTATCAGTGAGAACATACGATGCTTGGTTTTCCATTTCTGAGTTACTTCACTCAGAATAATAGTCTCTAATCTCATCCAGGTTGCTGTGAATGCTGTTAATTCATTTGTCCAGGGGAAAGTTCTATTGAATACCTCACCCAAGTTCATCGGAGACTCCTTTTCCTTCTTTGTCTCAACAAATATCTGACTGCCCCCCCTCCCCAAGGGTGTTTTAGGCCACGAGAAGCCAGCAGGGAATATGACAGCCAAGTAAGTCCCTGCTCCCTTAAAGCTCACATCTACCCGCCTGTGGGGCTCTCACTGGGAGGTGGAGTGGCTGGGCCCAATTTTCTGGTCACTTAAATCCAGCAAATGCTGTCTGCAGGGTATGGAGCCACACATACAGAACAAGGCTTCACTGCAATTGTTGCAGTTGCTATTGCTATGTAACAAAACATCCCAGAGTGCAGAGATGTATAATAACTATCGTGCATTCCGCGGGTCAGGACAGGGCACAGGAGAGGATGGCTGAGCTCTACTCTGTGGTATCTGGGCCTCGGCTGGAAAGACTTCAAGGCTAGTGGTTACTCAATGACCGGGGGCTGGAATTGTCTGCAGCAGCGTCGCTCACATGCTCACATCACATGGTGGTTGATGCTGGCTGTCAGGTTGGTTGTCAGCAGGAAGTCCTACGAGTGATCTCTCTGCATGGGCTAGTTTGGACATTCTCGTAACACAGTGGCTGATCCCAAGGATGAGCGTCCGAAGAGAGCCAGAAGGAAGCTGCATCTTCCTTTATTTCCTAATGCCTGCATTCCTTCCCCTTGAATCTGGGTGGGCTGGTGATTTTGGCAGCCTTGCCTGCTTGATGGGAGGAGTGTCAAAGTCACATCATGAGATAAGCATGTGAGATGGCAGATATTGTTGCAGCCATCTTTGGAAAACACAGCCAGGTACATGTATCTGTTAGGGGTTCCAGCCTTTGGAGGGAAGTAGCATATGAAAGAATAGTAGCTGTCATTTCCCAAGCACTTATACCTACCAGGCACCGTACTCAGTCTGTTGTGTACGCCATCCTTCTGACAGTTTCTGCGGTGAGTACTGTTATACCCGTTCTGCAGATGGGGAGACTGAAGCTCATCAAAGTTACACTGCCTGCCCTAAATCTTACAATTGGGATTTGCACCCAAGTCTGTCTGCCTCCAAAGCCGTAGCTCTTAACACGCTGCTACACTGCCTCTCCCTCCCTTCCCCGCAGTAATTTTTACCAGGCAAAATCTAGTGAGGATGGCGAGAAGCTTAGACAGGAAGCTGGGGGGTTCAGATCTGGGAAAGCTTCTTGGAAGAGGTAACGCTTGAGCAAGGACTTGCATGATGAATTCAATGTGGACCCCTAGGGGACGGGGATGGCATTCCTGGTGGAATAGCAATGGGATCAAGGGGCCTTCAGATCACCCAAGGAGTGTTGCTGTGACCCAGAATCCTGGCCTTTGACCCCCTGCAACACCAACACACTGTAAACTGTACTCCCCACAAGGCAGGCTGAGGCACGGGCAGGATGGATGGGTTTAGTTCCCAGAAAACTGCAAACACGGCCCCTCCCCTCTCCACCTTATTCCCATCAGCTTTCTTCTTCTAAGGCCAAGAATCGGGCAGAGGCTCCCACACTCACCTCCACATGCAGACTTGGTTTTTCCCTTTGGAGATGGGGTGAGTCTGAGCTGCCTCCAGTGCGAATACAAATCGGGACTCAGAGCAGTTACCATCCCCTCGGCAAGCTGGCAGGCTCGTGTTAGGGCGTTGCAAATGGGAAGTTTAATTATTTCATTAATACGAATCTTGCATATTACAGGAGCAATTCCCACCCCTTCCAGGCCTCTCTCCTGCAAGTCTTCCGCTGCGCACCCCTCCTCTCCCCCACATCCTCAGTCATTCTTCCTTTCTGTTTCTTCTTTTGTTTCCCTATTTGCATCTCAGTCTCTCCCTCATCCCCCACCATTCCACTCTCCCTTCGGTCTCTCTCCTCTTTTCCTCTGTCTCTGTCTCTGTTTCCCTCCTTCCGTCACCTCCTCTTGCTTACTTTCTCTGGACTGACGACAGCCTCTCTTCCTGGACAGATCATCTAATTGAAATGGAGCACTCCAAAGAATGTTAATAGGAAAGGCAGCATTAATTAGCTAGCGCTAGCACAATTAGCTTCCTCCTCTTACCGCCTAGCATCTAACTGGATAATGAGTCTCTCTCTGTCCAGAGGGCAGGCAGGACAAAGGGGATAGGCCATGCCGGGGATGCCGGAAAGCCTCCTCTCTTTGGGCCACCCCGCTGGAGTCCTCGGGCTGCCCAGCCCTGCCCTCTCCTGCCAGGCCCTCCTGCTGCTGCACTCAAGTCTCTGGGAGGCAGATGCCTGGCCCCTGCCCATGCCCAAAGGTTTGATGTTGCTGGAGCTGCATATTAAGTGGCCCGAGCCTGACAAACAGTGCTGCAGCTGCAGCACCCCATAGAAGGGGTGGGAAGCTACTGAGGGTTCTCCAGGAGAGCCGTGACAGGCACCTAGCCCTGGCACAGTTCCTGGGCAATGGCTGAGCATGTTACAGTCCCCAGCCGGGAGCAGGGAAATCTGCTTACGTGACTGATAACTAACATACTACACAGACTGCAGAGTACTTCCACCTTTGACTCCACAGTCGTACGAGGCAGCAATGGCCACTTCTATTTTATAGATGAGGACTCTGAAGTTCAGGGAGGCTCACTGCCTTGCTGATACTCATACTGCCAGGATCCAAATCAGGGTCTGCCTGATTCCAAAGATCATGCTCTTTCCCTTGCACCCTGATACTTCCTAGAAGTACTTTACAGCTGCTCATTAAATGAGAGTGGTTGCAGTGGAGTTACATCTTACATTGGCCTTGAGTTCTAAAGTCAGAGGATGCAGCAAGCATTAGAAAATTGTGTAGTCAGATTTTTTTTTTAAATCCCTCACCCCAGGAGAAACATCTTTTCTGTTTGCAATTGTTCTGCGATTTTCCTTTTTTCTGTGGCCTCAAAAGCCAAGACCCAAAAGGGAGAAGTGATGGGCAAATAACAGGAATTTTCTCTGTATTTTTTACCGGTGGTTTAATTCAGTTGTGTTGATGCATGCTTGATGCAATTCCATTGCAGTATTAGTATTTGGTTATGAGTGGACAGGGTTGGTACCTAGGGCTGGGCGAACTGCACCACAGGGCACCTTCCCCTCACTGTCTCTCTAGCCTGCTGACCCTCTCCCTCTCCTGCAGACTATGGACACGGAGGATGACCCCTTGCTGCAGGATGTGTGGCTAGAGGAGGAGCAGGAGGAGGAAGAAGCAACGGGTGAAACCTTTTTAGGGGCCCAGAAGCCAGGGCCCCAACCTGGGGCAGGGGGACAGTGTTGCTGGCGGCACTGGCCCCTGGCTTCCCGACCCCCAGCTTCGGGCTTCTGGAGTACCCTGGGCTGGGCCTTCACCAATCCGTGCTGTGCTGGGCTGGTGCTCTTCCTGGGCTGCAGCATCCCCATGGCCCTGTCAGCCTTCATGTTCCTTTACTACCCACCGCTGGACATTGACATCTCCTACAACGCCTTTGAGATCCGCAACCACGAGGCCTCACAGCGTTTCGACGCTCTCACTCTGGCGCTTAAGTCCCAGTTTGGATCCTGGGGGCGGAACCGGCGCGATTTGGCCGACTTCACCTCCGAGACGCTTCAGCGCCTTATCTCAGAGCAGCTGCAGCAGCTGCATCTCGGCAACCGCTCGCGGCAAGCCTCCCGAGCCCCCCGCGTCATCCCCGCGGCCTCACTCGGTGGCCCAGGCCCTTACCGGGACACTTCCGCGGCTCAAAAGCCCACAGCCAATCGGAGCGGGCGACTTCGGCGTGAGACCCCGCCCCTGGAGGATCTGGCAGCCAACCAGAGTGAAGACCCGCGAAACCAGCGGCTGAGCAAGAATGGGCGGTACCAGCCCAGCATCCCGCCCCACGCGGCAGTCGCGGCCAATCAGAGCCGTGCCCGCCGAGGCGCCTCGCGCTGGGACTACTCGCGCGCCTATGTGAGTGCCAACACTCAGACGCACGCGCACTGGCGCATCGAGCTCATCTTCCTGGCGCGCGGCGACGCGGAGCGCAACATTTTCACCAGTGAGCGCCTGGTCACGATCCATGAGATCGAGCGCAAGATCATGGACCACCCAGGCTTCCGGGAGTTCTGCTGGAAGCCCCACGAGGTGCTCAAGGATCTGCCGCTGGGCTCCTACTCCTACTGCTCGCCCCCCAGCTCGCTCATGACCTACTTTTTTCCCACCGAGAGGGGCGGCAAGATCTACTATGACGGCATGGGCCAGGACCTGGCGGACATCCGGGGTGAGCCGCCGGGATGCTGGGAGGGGGCGTAGGTCCAGGTTTCATACAGCTCTTTATGGAGATTTGGCCCAGGCCAGGCCCAGGCCCAGGCCCAGGCCCAGTCAGTCTGGAACTGAGTCCTGGGCATGGCCGGAGGGCAAGGTGAAAAGGGCTGGGCTCAGGTGTGAGATGAGCGTAAGAGGGAACTGAAGAGGGAAGCTTGGACGCAGACCCAGGTGAAGGATGGTGGGGGGTTCTGCTGTGGTCAGAGGTAGAGAAATCGTGGGGTGGGCCTCGGGTGTGAGGCTGGTTAAGAAAAGGGCCAGGATGTGGTTATACAGAACCAGAAATCTGGCCATAGGAAGGCAGGAGAAATGATTGGGGTTGAAGAAGACTGAGATAGGGTTCGTTTTAGGTAAATTAGGGATGGGGCTTGAGGAAGGGTGGGGCAGGGTCAGAGAGAGGTTGTGGGGCCTGGGGTGGAGTTTTGGTGGATATGGACAGGGGGAATCCTGGGAGGCAGGGCTGCAATGAGACTGGATGACCTTGAGGGAGGGTTGGTGGGAGCTGACCAGCTGAACTCTTGGGGCCCCCACCCCTGTCCTTGCAGGCTCCCTGGAGCTGGCCATGACTCACCCTGAGTTCTACTGGTATGTGGATGAGGGCCTCTCTGCAGACAATCTGAAGAGCTCCCTCCTGCGCAGTGAGATCCTGTTTGGAGCACCCCTGCCCAACTACTACTCAGTAGATGACCGCTGGGAGGAACAACGGGCTAAGTTTCAGAGCTTCGTGGTCACCTACGTGGCCATGCTGGCCAAGCAGTCTACCAGGTAGGAAGTCCAGCTGCATCCTGTGTGTGCATGCCCATTTTTGATTTCCAATTGCCTCTTACTCTTAAACCCCATATCCCTTTCCCTATAATCTTTTCCTTTGGAAGTCTTTCTTTCCAAATTGGGGCAGAACCAAGTACATCCTTGCAGTCTCTCTGACAAATGGAAGTACGCTTTGCTTGATCAGTGCTAATAGTTGGTGAACATGACAGCTTTGGGCCAGGTAGGAAATCCTAGACTCTGCCCTGGAGGTCTTGGGTATTGATTTTTCTCCTGAGATGGTGCTCGAGGTCTTTCTGGAAAGAGTATTGGCCAGGGAATAAGGAGTTCCTCACTGTATTAGTCAGGGTTCTCAAGAGAGATGGAACCAGTAGGATAGATAGAGAGAGGGATATGTGAGAGGAGATTTATTAGAGGAATTGGCTCATGCAATTATGAAGGCTAAGTCTCATGACATACCATCTGCAAGATGCTGCAAGACCTTTGGATGCTGGTAGTATAGCTCAGTCCAAATTTGAAGGCCTCAGAACTAGGGAAACTAATGGTGTAATTCTTCGTTCAAGACCAAAGGCCTGGGAACCCCAGGGACTGCTGGCATAAGTCCTGGAGTCCGAAGGCCAGAGAGCGTAGAGTTTTGATGTCCAGGGGCAGGAGAAGAGTGTCCCAGCTCCAGGGGGGAAAGAGAGAGAGGAAATCACCTTTCTGCCCTTTCATTCTATCCTGGCCCCCATCCAGTTGGACAGTGCCCACCCCAGCCACTGAGATGCCAGTCTCCTCTGGGAAAACCCACACAGACACACCCAGAGGCAATGCTTTATGAGTTCTCTCCATATTCCTTAATCCAACCACATTGACACCTAAAATTAACCACACTTCCTGCCTCTAATACCCAGGGAGGTAATGGGCAAGTCACGTCACTTCTCTGGGTGTCAGTGTTCCTATCGTTAAAATGGAGAACACGATTCTGGCTGCCCTCTGGAGTCACTAAGAGATGAGCTAACAGATGTGACGGTGCTTTGGGGTGGAAGGTGCTTGGGGATGGTGTGCCCAGGAGTACAACTGGGTCCCTCCCCACCAGAACAGAGCAGCAGTCCTTCTGGGCAGTAACTGTAGTGCTTTCCCAGTCCCCCACCCTGATAGGCCAGTCCCAGGCACAGGAGGAATCATCTGCCTGAAACACCCTCATTCCTTCCACTGCTTATCCTTTATATTGAGCAACTGCTGGAATAATCAGAGCTAATGTTTATTGAGCACTTACACTGTGCCACACACTGTTCGAAACCCTTTATACATACCAGCTCATTTAATTCTCACACCAACCCAATGAGGTGAGTGCTGTTATGATTATCTCCATTTTATAGTTGAGGAAACTGAGACATGGCAATTAGGTAAGTTGTCCACAATTTTAAAGCTCATCAGTGGTGGAATGAGATTCAAATCCAGACCCTCACCCTTTGTGTTTTTGTGCCAGTTATTGCACTGGGAGCCTTCTCCCTGCCTTATTTCTTTGTCAGGCAAGCTCCTATTCATCTATTAAGATCCAGCTTGGGCAGCATTGCCCAGAGGCTGGACTAAATGCCCACTACCTGCTATGGTTTGGATATGCTTTGTCCCCCGCAAAACTCAGTGCAGCTGTGTTGAGAGGTGGGGCCTAGTGGAAGATGTTTGGGTCATGGGGGTGGATCCTTCATAAATAGATTAATGCCATCTTGTGGGAGTGAGCTAGTTCTCACTCTTGCAGGAATGGATTAGTTCCTGAGAGAGCAGGTTGTTATAAAGCGAGGTTCCTCCTCTTTTTTGGTCCCTTTTGCCTGTTCCCCCTTTGACCTTCCTTCGTGTTATGATGCAGCACAAAAGCCTTCACCAGAAGCCAATGCCATGCTGTTGAACTTCCCAGCCTGCAGAACCATGAACTAAATAAACCTCTTTTCTTTATAAATTACCCAGTCTCAGGTATTCTGTTATAGCAACATAAATCAGACTGAGACACTACCTGTTTCCACAGTCCCCTTTCTTCTCCTTAAGGGAGGCAGGAAAGAGCATACACAGACTTTGGAGTCAGATATATCTTGGGTCCGATCCCAGTTATTCAAATTATTGTGAGTTTTAGTGAGCTTTTTCACCCCTCTGAGCTACAGTTTTATCACAGTGCTTCTCACTCTGTCTTTTAATTGTAACTCACAGTACATTCCTCCAGTCAACAACATCGGCATCACCTAGGGGCTTGTTAGAAATGCAGAAGCTCAAGTTCTGTCCCAGACCTGGCAGTATTTTCAGGTGATTTGTTTGCACATTTAAGTTTGAGAGAGTCTGGTTTAATTATCTGTCTCTACAGAATGTGAGTTTGTTGAAGACTGGGATTGTTGCTGGTTCAGTTTCTATGGGCCAAGCCCCAGCACAAGGCCAGTTACCCATTAGTAAGGATTTGTCAGGGGAGTGAATGAATAAATGAATGGAGATGCCTCAAGGAAAGGTACTTGGCTGGGTTGGGAAACTGAGAGGTGATGACTATAGAAGGACTTTCACGGTTTTAGGTACCAGTATTAACTCTGCCCAGATGTTTAGCTGCTGAGACAAATCCCTTGCCCTTAGGGAAAAAGCCACTCTTTTCTGTTTTCTCCCATTAGAGCGTCACAGCAGTGGTGACAATCCTGTAGACTTGACTTAAGCGCTTTTGGATGAACAAAATTCTTAAAATTACTCTGTTATTGGTTACCCAAGAGATGGCAACATGTACCTTGACTTATAACAGAATAATATAAATGATCACTTTTATTGCTTTTAATACTGGAATCTTAGAATGTGCTCACTGCATTTATTGAGCTTCAATTTTTTGCATTTATGTTGCATGCATTTTAATTCTTAATACATTTAAGCCCCAGAAGACATGACATCATTATTTTACAGAGTCTGTGTTCATTTATATTTATTCACATATTTACCGTTTCTGTTGGTGTTCAATACTTTGTATAATTTCATGTTTCCCTCTGGGATCATTTTCCTTGTGTCTAAAGAATTCTTTAGCATTTCTTTCAGTACAGGTTTGCTGGTGATAAATTCTCTGTTTTGTTTGCCTAGTAGACATCTTTATTTTACTTTCATTTTTGAAGCATATTTTTGCTGGTATAGAATTATAAATTGGCACTTATTTTCTTTTAATACTTTACCTGAAGATGTCACTCCATTGTCTTCTGACTTCCATCATTTCTGTAGAAAAGTAGGCTGTAAATCTTTTTTGTTGTGCCATTAAAAATTCTCTTTTTTCTGCTTTTAAGATTTCTTTGTCTTTGTTTTCACCAGTCTTACTGTGACGTATCTTAGTGTGTTTTCTTTGTGTTTGTTCTGTTTGGGGACACAGAGCTTCTTGAAGCTGTAGGTTGATGACCATAATCAGTTTTAAGAATGTCCTAGCTATTATCTCTTCAGATTTGCTTCTATCTTGTCTCTGTTTCCTCTTTTTTGCACTCTGATTACACAAATGTTAGATCTTTTCACTGAGCCCCATATGTTTTCAATGCTTTTTTTCTGGGTTTTATTTTTTTATTTTTTTTTCTATGCTTTGGTTTAGATATTCTAATTCACTGATCCTGCTTTCTATTTGTTGTCTCTAATCTGCCATTTAATGTCTATTGAGGTTTTAATGTTATTGTTCGGTTTTTCCTTTTTGAGAATTTCCATTTGAATCTCTTATAGATCTAAATCACTGGTGCAATTATTTTATTCATCATTTAGTTAATTTTGTCCACATTTTCCTCTCTGTTCTTAAACATATTAATTATAGTGTTTTAAAATTCTTACCAACTTTTAATATATGGATAACCTGCAGATTTGTTTCTGTAGTCTGTTCTTTCACTTGGTTTGGGATCCTGTGTTCCTGCCTGTGGGTATACCTGGTAATTTTTATGTTTTTATTTTTATCTTTTTGAGACAAGGTGTCACTCTCATTAAGGCTGAAGTGCAGTGGCATGGTTATAGCTCACTGCAGCCTGAAACTCCTGGGCTCAGGTAATCCTCCCATCTCAGCCTCCTGAGTAGCTAGGTCTACAGGCATGTGCCACCATGCCCAGCTAGTTTTTTGTTTTTGTTTTTGTTTTGAGACAGCGTTTCACTATGTTGCCCACACTGGTCTCAAACTCCTGGCCTCAAGTGGTCCTCCCACCTTGGCCTCTCAAAGTGTGACTTTTATTCAGTGATGAACATTATGTGAAAAAAACACACACACACAGAGGTCCAGACGATGTTATTTCCTCCAGAGAAAATTTATCCTTCACTTCAGAAGGCACATAGAGTCGTGGCTGATTACCTTAAACGGGCAGTGACCACACTGAGAGTTGAGGATGGTTTGCAATCCTGGAAAGTCTCAGTCTACCTCTAGTTTGCCCTAGATTCTCTAGGATTTTCAACTGAGAGCTTGGTGTATTCTACAGAGTCCTTTCCCCTGATAGGTTCCAAACTCTAATCTTTTATCTCTCAAAAGCTGCTAAAAAAAATCACAACAAAGACAAAAATTCCACTCTGCTTTTTCCGAGGCTTTCTGCTTAGGTTTTTTTGGCTTCAGGCCCCACACAGCCCCAGACTTCTGCAGAAGTGCTGAGGGAAAACCTGGCCATGTGTTCTGCTGATCTGCAAGTGTCTGCCCAAAGCTCTGCTAGCTTATCTGACTCCCAGCCAAGTTTTTCAGCCTTCTGCCCATGTTTAGAATCAGCAAATGCCTCCAGGGTAAAAATGGCTGTAGAAGGGCAGCTTACCTTTCCTAGGTTCTTTCCTTTCTGGAGTCTTAGCCCTCTAATTCGATTACTTCAGCAGCTCTCTACTGTCATCACAGATAGTTTCTGAATTTTAGCAGACATTTTAGTAGTTTTAGGTAAGGATACTGGTCTTCCATGAGCTATTTCTTTCAACTTGAGAGTAAAAGTATGGGCCTATGTCTTTTTATAATCAGCATCTAGTACAGGACCCAGAATCTAGAAGATACTCTATAAATGCTTTTCAAATTAATGTGTGAATGAATAAATGATTGATTTTCTACTCTAACAAAAGGATAGTTAACCTATTTAATTCAACAAAGTAGATAATCCAGAGATCCTTTCAACTTGGCTTTTTAAAGTCCTGTTTACATTTTTAACAACTTTATTGAGGCATAGTTGACATACAACCAACTTCACATACTTTACAATTTGATTAGTTTTGACATGTGTGTATACACTGGGAAACCCTCACCACCATCAAGACAGTGAACACTAGCAGGGTACCGTAGTTCATGCCTATAATCCCAGCTACTTGGAAGGCTGAGGCAGGAGGATCCTTGAGGCCAGGAGGTTAAGACCAGCCGGGGAAACAGCAAGACCCTCTCTGTAAAAACACACAAAAATTAGCCAGGCATGGTGACACATGCCTGTAGTCCTTGCTACTTTGGAGGCTGAGGTTGGAGGATCCCTTGAGCTGAGGAGTTCAAGGCTGCAGTGAACTATGATTGGGCTACTGCACTGTAGCCTGGGTGGCAGAGCAAGACCCTGTCTCTTAAAAAAAAAAAAGAATTGTCAAATTTGTTGGTATAAAATAATTTATAATATTTCCCTATTATCTTTTTAATGTTTGTAGAAATTGTAGTGGTGTCACCTTCCGTGTGTCTTCTTTTTTTTCATGATCAGTCTGGCTAGAAGCTTATCAGTTTTATTGATGTCAAAGAACTAGCTTTTGGTTTCATTGATTTTCTTTTTTAAGAATTAGATTTATTTATTTTTATTTTTAATTTTCATGAGCACATAGTAGGTGTATATATTTATGGGGTACATGAGATGTTTCAATAGAGGCCTGCAATGTGAGGTAAGCACATCAATGGGGAATGGGCTTTCCATCCCCTCAAGCATTTATCCTTTGAGTTATAGACAATCCAATTACACTCTTATTTTAAAATGTACAATTAACTTATTATTGACTGTAGTTACCCTATTGTGCTACCCATTTCAATGATTTTCTCCATTGCTTTTCTGTTTTCTATTTCCTTGATTTCTGCTCTGATCTTTATTATTTTCTTTCTTTGGTTTATGCTACATTTCATTTTCTCTTGTACTACTTTCTTAAAGTAGAAGCTAAGGCCATCGATTTGAAACTTTTCTTTCCTAATAGAAGTGTTTAATGCTATAAAATTCCCCTTAAGTATGACTATTTTAGCACATTTCAAAATTTTGATGTGTTGTTTTCATTTTCATTCAGTTCAAAATACTTTCTATTTTTCCTTTTGATCTCTTCTTTGACCCGTGTATAACTTAAAAGTGTGTTATTTAGTTTTCGAATATTTGGGAATTTTTCAGGCTTTTTGTTGCTAATTTTTAATTTAATTTCATGATGGTTAGAGAACATATTTTGTGTGATATAAGTTCTTTTAAATTTATTGAGTCTTGTTTTATGGTTCAGTATGTGGTCTTTCTTGCTGAATGTTCCCTGTATACTTGAAAAAAAAAAGTTCTGTTTTTGCATGAAATGTTCTATAAGTCTTAATTAGATCAAGTTCATTGATTGTGTTGTTCATGGTCTTCTATATCCTTACTGATTTTCTGTCTAATTTTTCTAGCAATATTGAGAGAGAGAGATATTGAAATATCTATCTACAATCGGGGCATTGTCTATTTCTTTTTTCAGTTCTGTTAGTTTTTACTTCATGTATTTTAAAACTCTGTTATTAGCTATAAAAACATTTAGGATTGTAGTTTTGATGATCATTTTGAAATTATCTTCTTTGCCCCTAGTTATATTCTTTCCTCTGAAATTTACTTTATTTTTTATGAATATAACCAATCCAGCTTCTTTTTTGGTTCATGTTAGCATGGTATATCATTTTCTATCCCTTTGCTTTTATCCTATTCGTGTCCTTATATTTAAAGTGGGTTTCTTGTAGTCAGCTAGGTCTTGACTTTTTTAAAGGTCTCCAGGTGGCTCACGCCTGTAATCCTAGCACTTTGGGAGGCCGAGGCAGGTGGATCCCAAGGTCAGGAAATCGAGACCAACATGGCTAACATGGTGAAACCCATGTTACTAAAAAATACAAAAAATTAGCTGGGCGTGGTGGTGGGTGCCTGTAGTCCAAGCTATTGGGGAGGCTGAGGGAGGAGAATGGCGTGAACCCGGGAGGTGGAGCTTTCAGTGAGCTGAGATCGTGCCACTGCACTCCAGCCTGGGTGACAGAGTGAGACTCTGTCTCAAAAAATAAATAAATAAATAAATAAAGGTCTCTGATACTTTCTGCCTTTTACTTGGGGTCTTTAAGCCATTTACAGTTAATGCAATTATTAATATGGTTAGACTTAAGTATATTTTATTCTATTTCTCCCATATGCTTCTTGTTTCCCCTTTCCTGTATTTTGCCTCTTTTGAACTATTGAATGTTTTTTATGATTCTATTTTATCTCCTTTGTTGGCTTTTATGTTGTAACTCTTTTAGTAGTTGCTTTAGGGTTTATAGTATACATCTTTAAATTATTACAGTGTATCTTCAAATGATAGTATATCATTTCATATGTAGTATAAGAGCTTTACAATAATATACTACTATTTCTTCCCTCCTGGCCTTTATGTTATTGTGGTTATGCATTTTATTTTAATGTATATTATAAACCCCACCCTACATTATTTTTGTTTAAACTGTCAATTATCTTTTAAAGAGATTTAAATAAATAAGAAAATTGTATGTATTTATTTATGTCATTACCATTTTTGTATAGACCCATATTTCCCTATTTCCATCTGTTACCATTTTCCTTCTTCCTGAGGACTTCCTTTAACATCTCTTATAGGCCGAGCACAGTGGCTAACACCTGTAATCCCACTTTAGGAGGCCAAAGTGGGAGGATTGCTTGAGGCCAGGAGTTCAAGACCAGCCTGGGCAACATAATGAGACCCCATCTGTATTAGTTCCTTTTCACACTGCTGATAAAGACATACCTGAAACTCGGAGAGAAAAAAAAAGAGATTTAATTGGACTTTCAGTTCCACATGGCTGGGGAGGACTCAGAATCATGGCAGGAGGCAAAAGGCACTTCTTAGATGGCGACAGCAAGAGAAAATGAGGAAAAAGCAAAAGCAGAAACACCTGATAAACCCATCATATCTCATGAGACTTATTCACTACCATGAGAATAGCATGGTAAAGACCAGCCGCCATGATTCAATTACCTCCTCTTGGGTCCCTCCCACAACACATGGGAATTCTGGGAGATGCAATTCAAGTTGAGATTTAGGTCAGGACACAGCCAAATCATATCATTCCACCCTGGCCCCTCCAATTCTCATGTCCTCACATTTTAAAACCAATCATGCCTTCCCAACATCCTCCAAAGTCTTAACTCATTTCAGCATTAACCCAAAAGTCCACAGTCCAAAGTCTCATCTGAGACAAGGCAAGTCCCTTCTGCCTATAAGCCTATAAAATCAGAAGCAAGCTAGTTACTTCCTAGATACAATGGGGGTACTGGTATTCGTTAAATACAACCATTCCAAATGGGAGAAATTGGCCAAAACAAAGGGGTTACAGGGCCCATGCAAGTTTGAAATCCAGCAGGGCAGTCAAATTTTAAAGCTCCAAAATCATCTCCATTGACTCCAGGTCTCACATCCTCACATCCAGGTCACACGGATGCAAGAGGTGGGTTTCCATGGTCTTGGGCAGCTTTGCCCCTGTGGCTTTACAGGGTACAGCCTCCTTCCTAGGTGCTTTCATGGGCTGGCATTGAGTGTCTGCAGCTTTTCCAGGCACATGGTGCAAGCTGTCAGTGGATCTACAATTCTGGAGTCTGGAGGACAATGACCCTCTTCTCACAGCTCCACTAGGCAGTGGCCCAGTAGGGACTCTGTGTGGGGACTCTGACCCCACATTTCCCTTCCATACTCCCCTAGCAGAGGTTCTCCATCAGGGCTTCACCCCTGCAGCAAACTTTTGTGTGGGCATTCAGACGTTTCCATATATCTTCTGAAATGTAGGTGGAGGTTCCCAAATCTCAATTCTTGACTTCTTTGCATCCACAGACTCAACACCATGTGGAAGCTGCCAAAGCTTGGGGCTTCCACCCTCTGAAGCCACAGCCTGAGCTGTACATTGACCCATTTCAGCCACAGCTGGAGCGGCTGGGACACAGGGCACCAAGTCCCTAGGCTGCACACAGCGTGGGGACCCTGGGCCTGACCCATGAAACCAATTCTTCCTCCTGGGCCTTCAGGCCTCTGATGGGAGGGGCTGCCATGAAATTCTCTGAAATTCTCCATTGCAGAGAATGTTAATCCCCATGGTCTTGGGGATTAACATTAGGCTCCTTGCTACTTATGCAAATTTCTGCAGCTGGCTTGAATTTCTCCCCAGAAAATGGGTTTTTTTTTTCCATTGCATTGTCAGGCTGCAAATTTTCCAAACTTTTATGCTCTACTTCCCTTATAAAACTGAATGCCTTTAACAGCACCCAAGTCACCTCTCAAATGCTTTGCTGCTTAGAAATTTCTTCTGCCAGATACCCTGAATCATCTCTCTCAAGTTCAAAGTTCCACAGATCTCTAGGGCAGTAGCAAAATGCCACCAGTCTCTTTGCTAAAACATAACAAGAGTCACCTTTGCTCCAGTTCCCAACAAATTCCTCATCTCCATCTGAGACCACCTCAGCCTGAATTTTATTGTCCATATCACTATCAGCATTTTGCACAAAGCCATTCAACAAGTCTCTAGGAAGTTCCAAACTTTCCCACATTTTCCTGTCTTCTTTTGAGCCCTTCAAACTGTTCCAATCTCTGCCTGTTACCCAGTTCCAAAGTTGCTTCCACATTTTCAGGTATCTTTTCAGCAGAGCCCCACTCTACTGGTACCAATTTACTGTATTAGTCCGTTTTCATGCTGCTGATAAAGACATAACTGAAACTGAGAACAAAAAGAGGTTTAATCAGACTTACAGTTCCGCATGGCTGGGGAGGACTCAGAATCATGGCAGGAGGCAAAAGGCACTTCTTACATGGGGACGGCAGGAGAAAATGAGGAAAAAGCAAAAGCGGAAACCCCAGATAAACCCATCAGATCTCGTGAGACTTATTCACTATCATGAATAAGTCTAGCACGGGAAAGACCGGCCCCCATGATTCAATTACCTCCCCCTGGGTCCCTCCCACAACACATGGGAATTCTGGGAGATACAAGTCAAGTTGAGATTTGGGTGGGGACACAGCCAAAGCCTATCACCATCTCTACTAAAAAATAAAAAAAATCGGCCAGGCATGGTGGCATGCATCTGTAGTCTAGCTACTCAGGAGGCTGAGGTGGAAGGATTGTTTGAGCCCAGGAGTTAGAGGCCATAGTGAGCTATGATCATGCCATTGCAGTCAAGCCTGGGTGACAAAGTGAGACCCTGGCTCAAAAAATAAATAAATAAATAAAATCTCTTTTAGTACAAGTATACTGGATATGAATTATTTCAGTTTTTGTCTATCTAAAAAAGTTTTCTATTTTGCCTTTGTTTTTTAAATGTATTTTTGCTGGGTATAGAATCCTGGGCTGACTGTTTTCCCCACTGTCTGCAAAGGATGTTGATCCCCTGCCTTCCCACGTACCCTGTTTTTAATGGGAAGTCTGCTGTCAGCCTTGTCTTTGTTCCTATGTGTCTTTTTCTCAGGCTGCTTTTTAAGATTTT
The DNA here is from genome assembly GCF_000001405.40 of Homo sapiens. Classification (NCBI taxonomy): domain Eukaryota; kingdom Metazoa; phylum Chordata; class Mammalia; order Primates; family Hominidae; genus Homo; species Homo sapiens. Next base: position 11,513,559 of record NC_000001.11, read on the forward strand.
CTTTTGGTCACTATTTTTGAGCAATTTGGTTATGATGTGCATTGCAGTTTTTTTGTGCTGGGGCTTCATTGCTGAAGCTTCCTGTATCAGTGGGTTTATAGTTTTCATCAAGTTTGGAAATTTTTCAGCCTCCTTTGGGGAGTCCAATATCTCATATTTTAGGCTGCACTGAGGACTGGAAACTCTCAAAGCACTAAGCCAGGATAAGCATAGGACTCATTTTGTTTCTCATCTCTCAGGGATCGTCATCCTTGGTTGCCTTGTTTCATACATTTTTGTTAGTTCCAGTGAGAAGATAAATATGGACTCCATCTTGTTACTCCATCTTGGCCAGAAGCAGATGTCACTTATGTTTGTATTTTAAGACACAGTTTGACCAGCCTGGTTATGTTTTTTTTTTTTTTTAATTAAAAATAACTTGTGTTAAGGACACATTGAATAGCAGTGTAAAACTGGATATCTAGCAGCCAGTTTGAATTTAGAACTTGGCCATAGATATGGAGAATTGGAAGATGACATAGAAGCTGATTATAATTGATCACAATCTGCGTAGAGCAGTGGTTCTCAACCTTGACCCTACATTTGAATCACCTGAGAGAGTTAAAGAGCACTGATGATTCAGACCCACCCCAGCAGTTCTGATCTAATTTGTCTGGAGCCTGGCCTGGACATCAGGATTATTGGAAGCCCCCAGGTGATTTTGATATCCAACCAAGGTAGAGTCACAGGTGAAGTGGACAGCTCCTGATACTCCTCTACATGTTCACATGTTCACAGCCATCTCTAATCCTCTTCCTGTCATTCTTTTCTCCACGTCCTCCCTTCCCCCAGCAAAGTCCAGGTTCTCTATGGGGGGACAGACCTGTTTGACTATGAAGTGCGCAGGACGTTCAACAATGACATGCTCCTGGCCTTCATCAGCAGCAGCTGCATTGCTGCCCTGGTCTACATCCTCACCTCCTGCTCAGGTAGGGCTTCTCTCAAGCCAGCCCCCTCCTCCCCTCCCAGGGTGCTCCTGTCTGCCCAGAGCCTGCCTTCTCAAGAATGCTGCAATACTCTTGAGCCCAGCATGTCAGAGCTGGGGACACAGGGATATGCACACAAATCATCTTCCAACCCCAAACAGGCAGACTGAGGCCTGGAGGCAGGTTGGGCTGTACCAGCCCGGGTCACACCCTCTACCCTGGGCCCCTGCACAGTTGGACCTTTTGCCTGTTGACCATCTTTCTCCTATTGATAGCCTTGTGCTGGGGAGTCTGGGGTATTGTATTCCTTTGTGGATTACTTTGTAGCCTATTTTGGAGTCCCAAGTCAACTGCCATCTGCCCCCCGATCACTTTTTCACCTCCGTGTGCCCCTGGATACTAGCTGCTGCTTACTCCTGTCTGTATACAGTAGGCACACTCTACTGCCCAAGCAGACAAGACAATGGTAATACTTTCCAAAATGGAAAAGACATTCATTCGTCCATACAACAGATATTTACTGGGCACCAAACTATATGCCAGATGCTGTAAGGTGCCAGGGATCCAGACACAGTTCCTACCCCCAGGTAATATGTAATGTTCACAAGGCTCTTGAGGTAAGGTCTGCAAAGAGGAGGACAGTCTGCCACTTGGGCCTCCTGCCCGGTGCCCTTTTTGGGTGTGGAAAACAGAATTGGCCCTGTGCCTGTGCTGGGAACAGAGTGGTGAATGGTGACCAGGGTTGGGGAGAAGAGACAGGACCCAGCTGAGGTCAGGGACTCTAGTGGGGTTTGTGTCCCATGAGGGTCCCCCCACCGTCTCCCTGTGTCTCTTACCCTGCCCAGTGTTCCTGTCCTTCTTTGGGATTGCCAGCATTGGTCTCAGCTGCCTGGTGGCCCTCTTCCTGTACCACGTGGTCTTTGGTATCCAGTACTTGGGCATCCTGAATGGGGTGGCCGCCTTCGTGATCGTGGGCATTGGTGAGTCGCCTCTGTTGTCATGGCAGTGCGCCTCCCACATGGGAAGTCTGCCCCATCCCCTTTCTCCCTGGATACAAAGCCTGGCTTCCCTGGGGGCTCTACACAGCGCCTGCTGAGGCCTAGAGCCTTGGAGTGCAGGGTTAGAATGTGGGTGGTGGGCGGATCCTTGGCATAGGGTGAGTGGAGAGAGCAGGAAGGTTTGCTGGATGGAGGTGAGGATGGTGGGAAAGGCCCAGGAAGTGTGGGAAGGAGGTCAGGATGTGGGGGAAGGCGCCTAGCTCTGGGTGAGGTTGGGGCCAAGGAGTGTGGTGGGTGGGGCTTGAACTCTTGGTGGGAGGAGCCAATCAGAGGGGTCTCTCCAAACTGTAAGCTCAGAAGCAGGACTCCTGCAGCCTGACCTCCCAGGAGGCCACTCACACTTGGTCTAGGGCCAGGTTGGGCCTAATCCTGGAGACAGCAGAATAATCCTGAGCCTGGCTGGGGACTCCCTCCCACAGGTGTGGACGATGTCTTTGTGTTCATCAACACCTACCGCCAGGCCACCCACCTGGAAGACCCACAGCTGCGCATGATCCACACCGTCCAAACTGCAGGCAAGGCCACCTTCTTCACCTCCCTGACCACAGCCGCCGCCTACGCAGCTAACGTCTTCTCCCAGGTGCGGACCTGTCCTCCATTCCTGTCCTGGCCTCCCACACGCTCATGCATACCTAGCCGCTGGTCTCTGCCCTTCCCACCACCGCTTGAGTGGCCATATAGCCTTCACCTCAAGGTACTTGCCCTGGCTCTAGAGTTCATTTTTGTCACGAATCACCCATTACCCAAACTTAACAAGTGGGAATATTATAATAATCCAGACAGCATGCATTAGGGATCCTCAGTAGTAGTAATCCAGCCTCCACCCTGGAGGACATTTGGCAGTTTCCAAAGCTCTTTCTCGTTTAATCTTCATTACCACGGTAATTGACAAAGGTACAATTACCATCCTATTTTCCAAAAAAGAAACTTGGCCCCTGAGAGGTAAAGTGACTTCCTCAGGATCACACAGCAGATAAGTGAGAAGCCTGACCAAGTCCATAGTGATTCCCCTTCTGCCTGCTTCTGGCTGCATTTTCCTCCCTTGTGCTGACTTCCTCTTGCTGCCTCTGAGTGGGGCTTAGGAGAAGGCATTGAGCCCAGGCTGGGTCCTTGGTACAGAAAGACAGTGAATTGGCCCAAGTCTTTGAGAAACTTTACGACCTGGGCTGAGTAGCCCCTCTGGAAACCAGTAGATGCTTTAGGATTATCCAGGTCCTTCTAGAGAATCACTTCTAGAAGGTAGGCAGAGCTGGGTTCAGCTTCTGCAGTGTGACCTTGGGCAGGCTGTGTGACCTCTCTGAGCCTCGCTTTCCTCATGTGTGGATTATCCAGGGACTGAGATGCGAGGATGATTGTGAAAGTGTTTCACAGAGTGTAGGCTGCTCTGTTGGTGGCTACAGCTTCCTTCCAACTAGCACCTCCCTGTGTGGTCCCTGTCATACTTCTGGAACATACCCATTGCTCCTAGTCCCCAGGGTCCCTGCCTCCGTCATGTGGCAGCATTCTCTCCCTCCCCCTCACTAGCACATGGCCTGGTCTAGCGGGATGTGTCTTCCTCTGTCCCCCATTCATTCGCGTAATGACAGCTACTGACCACTGCCTCTGTGCCAGGCACTGTTCTGGGCAGTGGACTGCAGATAGACAAGAGCCTCCACTTGAGGTGGGGACCCTTCCTGTGCTGCTGTGTCCTCTGACACCAGCCCTTGGCTCCTGGTGTCCTGTGAGGCTAGTGCCTGGCATTCTGGCAGCCTGGGCCTCCTCCTACTGCCTCAGTCTGGGCCAGATCTGGGGTCCTGAGTGTCTCTGGCTGCAGGGGGCACCCAGGCCCCCTGACTGCAGGTCCAACCTGTCCCACATCCCTCTCTTCCTTTCCATCACCAGATCCCAGCCGTCCACGACTTTGGCCTGTTCATGTCTCTCATCGTGTCCTGTTGCTGGCTGGCCGTGCTTGTCACCATGCCTGCAGCTCTGGGCCTCTGGAGCCTCTACCTGGCACCACTGGAGAGCTCCTGCCAGACCAGGTAAGTCGGGCAGGGCCTCCACCCACAGCAGGGTATCCACAACAGGCCTCTATGAGCCACTCAGTGCAGCAACCTCTCTTCCAAAAGCCTTCTGTATGACCAGTCCTTTGCTAGGCAGGGAACAGGGAAGGAGAAGATGCTTCCATCCAATAACTGCAATTTGGGATCACCAGTGTCACCAGGAAGTGAGCAAAGCACTTGTGTCCAAGATCTTATGACATCACCATTCACTTCCCAAAGAACCCTGGGAGCTGGGTTCTCTTGCTGTGCCCATTTTACAGATAGAAAACAATGACTCAGGGAGGTTGGGCAGCTTTTTCAAGGTCACCTATTTAGTAGGCAGTAGAGCCTGGATTTAAACCCAAGAACTCTGCTTCCAGATCCCATGCTCTTAGCCACCATGTTAAGTGTCCTCAGGTTCTCATCTTTAGATGTAGTGAGACGTGTGCAGAGTTGAACGGGTCAGTTCAGAGTTGCTGCTGGAGGTTTAGGGGGAAAGACCTTGTGGGCCTGGTGGTTGGGAAGATGGAGGTGGATGGTGGTGGAGTTGAATCAGGCCTGGGTGGCTGCCTGGGGTTGGGAGGATGGAGGGTCTCTGGGCTTGGAACAGGGCCCACTCATTGTGATAAAGGCCTTGGTCAGTCGTGTTCAGGGACCCATGACAATGTCCGCTCGCCCATGGTGAGCCCCAGAGGGGCTGGAGGGAGAGAAGGGCCCAGCGAGGAGCTTAGACTTGGGCCTGAGATGGACTCCTCAGCTCTCCCCACTCACATCTTCACCCTTCAGGACCCCGCTGTGGTGGTGCAGGTTGGCACTGCACACAGGTGCCCCGGCGGAGGCACTGCTCTGTGTACCATGGGTGCTCAGATTTGACTGTTTTCCGTGACAGTTTCATGATATAGAAGCAGCGTCATGGGGAAAGGGCGCCTTTTCTGATCTCTACAGAGATGCAAAATAAGCCCCACGTCTGCCCCCCGGCCTGGGGCTGTCTCCCCAGTGGTCCTATTGGGCACAGTCGTCTTCCCAGTCAGTCAGATGTGGGCTTCAAGCCCAGCCTCCTCCCTCGGCAGCCATGAAACCCTGGACAGGTGACTTCACCTCTGCATCTCAGTTTCCTTTTCTGTGAAATGGTTGTGATGTCAGCAGCACTGTGATACCTGGGTTCATCTGTGTGTGAGTCCCATGAGGATTAAGTGAGATAATCCACGCAGGGCTCCCAGCTCACTGCTGGCACGTGGCAGTGGTATTAGCCACACACACAGCGCTCGTATCAGCCGTGAGGATTATTCTGGTGCCCAGTCCCTAGGTTGAGCTGCGTCTCTCATGTGTTCACTCCAGCTGAGACCTCGGCCACGCAGCTACACCCTCAGCCCAGCCCTGTTCCCTCCTCCTGGCTCCCCTGAGTATTAAGTTGGAGGCAGAGCCCCTGGGCCACACAGCAGCAGAGGAATGAGTCCCCTGATTTGATCACCTTAGTGCCCGGGCCACTGTGTGTTGTCATCCCCTCTTCCTGGGTAATGTTTGCTGTCACCATTTGTCTCTCTGGAGGAAGACTGGCACCTGAGGGCCCTGGGGTAGATGGTACTAGAAAGAAACCAGGTGACCAGCTCCCAGAAGTCTGGGGTGCTCATCCTGTGTGTGACGTCAGCAGCACTGTGATACCTGGGTTCATCTGATCCTCAGGGCCCTGCCCCACCCTCCCTGGGTACCCAGGACCCTCTGGTTCACCCCTGTCCCCTACTCTCTCCACAGCTGCCACCAGAATTGCAGCCGGAAGACCTCCCTGCACTTCCCCGGAGACGTGTTTGCCGCTCCCGAGCAGGTTGGAGGCAGCCCTGCCCAGGGCCCCATACCCTACCTGGATGATGACATCCCCTTGCTGGAGGTCGAGGAAGAGCCAGGTGAGAGCTGGCACAGGCCTGCCCTACTGACCCCAGTGAGACCCAGCGCTGCCTCTGCCAGGGGAGTAACACTTGACAAGTTGGTCCTGAGGCTGGGGGCCGGACAAGATGGCCTGTGGGCTTCCTCACCAGGCATCTGGGCTTCCCTGGAAGCGAGCGTGGACCACAGTGGGCTTTGATTCAGGCTCTGACGGGCCACTGCTCTGCCCTGGCAGTGTCACTGGAGCTGGGAGACGTGTCCCTGGTGTCTGTGTCCCCCGAGGGTCTGCAGCCAGCCTCCAACACGGGCAGCCGCGGCCATCTCATCGTGCAGCTGCAGGAGCTGCTGCACCACTGGGTCCTGTGGTCAGCCGTCAAGAGCCGCTGGGTGATTGTGGGTAAGTGGGCCCTCCGGCCCTGCCCCCTGTCTCACAGCTCCACCCCCAAAACACACAGGAACTGGGAGCCCACCCCCTCTCGCAGATGCCCCAGGGTCAGAGGCCTGGGCTGGGGTCTCTCCCTCTCTGACCCCCCCTCTTTCCTGTGCAGAATGAAGCCGGTCATGGCGGCTGTTACTCATTGGCCCCTGCTGTGTGCCAGCCACTCACACTGGGCAGTAGCACAGAGCATGCCACACATGGGCCCTGGAGTTAGACCCACTTGAGTCTGAGTCCCAGTTTGGCCGCGTCCTAGCTGTGTGAATTTGGCTATTCCAGTCCGTTTAGCACTCAGTTCCTATTCTGTAATTGAGGATGAGAACGGTGGCTAGGAAGGCAGCTGTCAGTGGAGAGTATGTATAAAGACCTCAGCCCAGCGCGTGGCGTGCGGTAAGTGCTCAGTGAATGTCAAGTGCTATTATCATTGTCATCTTCGACACTATTTCAGAGTTGTGTGAGATCAAGTAGTGCACCAGCTCGTCATAAACTATGAGGTGCTCTGAGGTGGTGGCCGCCTCTTGTCCAGGAGTATTAGATTATAGCTTATAGTCAAACCCCATGGGACACCACAAAGCAACTGATCCCTGGCCCTGTAGGACCATCCCCAGCAAGCTTTGCCCACGGGCTGGCATGCAGGGCCTTCCCCCGCACCCTTAGGACACCCGCCCCCCAACAACCAGAGCAGTTGTCTCCCGGCACTTTGGAGCCCCACTGGGAACAGACCAGCTGGGCCCAGCCCCGCCTGGTGTAGCGCCCTTTCCTCACAGGGCTGTTCGTCTCCATCCTCATCTTGTCCCTGGTGTTCGCCAGCCGGCTCCGCCCCGCCAGCCGGGCCCCGCTACTCTTCCGGCCTGATACCAACATCCAGGTGCTGCTGGACCTCAAGTACAACCTGAGCGCCGAGGGCATCTCCTGCATCACCTGTTCAGGTGAGGCTTCTAGCCAGGCTGTCCCTGGCCCGCTCAGGTGTCCGGGTCCCAAAGACTGTTGGTCTGAGAGATGCAGGATCCAGGGTCCCCATCAATGCCAGACCTCAGGCAAATCCCACTCCCCTCTGAGCCCCCATGTTCCCACAGTTCATTCAACAGATGCCTGCTGGGTGCCTGCTGGGTGCTGGCTCTGGGGAGGTACTGTGGGCGGGAGGCATAGGCTTCCCAAGCTCAGGGAGTTCACATTCCAGCTCTAGGGCCCGGTCACTGTAATAGTAGATCTGAGCTTTGGCGGAGGAAGAATAGGGTGTCTTAGAGGCCCACGTCATGGAAGGCTTCCTGGAGGAAGTAACGTCTAGGCCACAACTCACAAGAATTGGGAGGAGTTAGCCAGGCTGGGAGGGGAGAGGAGGAAAGAAGAGGGGTCAACCAGGTGGGGAGGGGAAAGGAGGGAAGGGGTGGGGTTAACCAGGCTGGGAGGAGAAAGGAGGGAAGAGGAGGGGTTAGCCAGGTGAGGAGGGGAGAGGAGAGAAGGGGTGGGGTTAGCCAGGCTGGGAGGGGAGAGGAGGGAAGGGGTTAGCCAGGCTGGGAGGGGAGAGGAGGGAAAAGGAGGAGTTAGCCAGGTGAGGAGGGGAGAGGAGGGAAAGGGTGGGGTTAGCCAGGCTGGGAGGGGAGAGGAGAGAAGAGGAGAGGTTAACCAGGCGGGGAGGGGAGAGGAGGGAAGAGGAGGAGTTAGCCAGTTGAGGAGGGGAGAGAGGGAAGGGGTGGGGTTAGCCAGGCTGGGAGGGGAGAGGAGGGAAGGGGTTAGCCAGGCTGGGAGGGGAGAGGAGAGAAGAGGAGAGGTTAACCAGGCTGGGAGGGGAGAGGAGGCAGGAGTCTAGGCAGAGGAGAGCACCAGAGGTGGGAAAGACCAATGCCACATTTGAGAGAGGCAGCTGCAGGAACTAAGTCTGGCCCAGTGGACTGGGATAGGGCAGATGGGCTGAAGTGAGGGGTCTGGATTTTATTCTGATTGTCACTGGAAGCTAGTCACGTGGTTTAAGTGGAGAAGCGGGGTGAGGGAGTCTCCCAGGTGCTGTGTGGAGGTGGACTAGGGCACTGGGGTGGAAGCTAGCTGGGAGGCTGAGAGCTGGTGGTGCTGGGACCAGCATGCTGATGGCAGCGATGGTGGAGTCAAGAGGTTTTTAGGAGGTGGTTTCCATAGGACTTGGTGACGGAGTGGGAGTCGGGAATGAGCCAGGAGGGAAGACAGAGATGGCTCCTTGATTTTGAGGTAGCTGGCCCAGGCCGCATTTTACAGAGGGGGAGCAGGCGAAGTCAACCCAAGGTCATCTGACTTTGCCAGGGCAGTTAGAAACCAAATGAGAAGACGCCTGGGTGAGTGCTTCCAGCTCACAGGAGCAGATCTGCTGGTGCTGTCATTACCTTTATTTAATTAGGGCGGTGCTGAGATCAACCTGGCCTTCCCCTTGGTAATGGCAGCCAAATGCGTGATAATCCACTGCAGCTCCGAGAGGCACCAGAAGAGCCCCTCACACTTCGGAGCCAGCCCTGGCCACGTCCCCAGCTCCTCTACCCCACTGCCAGGATGTGGCATTGCTCCCCATCATCACCGCCGCCACAGGCCTCCTGCCCACAGATGGACAAACCCCGAAGCTCCCTGACAACATCTGGGGCCAGGACCCAGCCAGAGCCCAGCCAGGACCCAGCCAGAGCCCAGCCAGGACCCAGCCAAGACCCAGCCAGGACCCAGCCAGAGCCCAGCCAGGACCCAGCCAGAGCCCAGCCAGAGCCCAGCCAGGGCCCAGCCAGAGCCCAGCCAGGACCCAGCCAGAGCCCAGCCAGGGCCCAGCCAGGACCCAGCCAGGGCCCAGCCAGGGCCCAGCCAGGGCCCAGCCAGGACCCAGCCAGGACCCAGCCAGGACCCAGCCAGGGCCCAGCCAGAGCCCAGCCAGGACCCAGCCAGGACCCAGCCAGAGCCCAGCCAGGACCCAGCCAGAGCCCAGCCAGGACCCAGCCAGAGCCCAGCCAGAGCCCAGCCAGGACCCAGCCAGAGCCCAGCCAGGACCCAGCAAGGACCCAGCCAGGACCCAGCCAGAGCCCAACCAGGACCCAGCCAGGACCCAGCCGGAGCCCAGCCAGAGCCCAGCCCCTACTCCCTGTGCCTCTTCCTCTGGGAACTGCCTCTTGGAGGGACCCCTTCAGAGTACAGCAGAGTGCTTCGGCTTTACAAAGGGCAGGCGAGGCCAGAACCCAGCGGGGCTGCAAGTCCCTCCCTGGGCAGGTCCTTTCACCTCTGCTTTCCACTCCATCAAGTGGGGTTCATGGGAACAGCCTCAGGATGGCTGTGAGGATTAAAACTTTGAAGGTGTAGTTCTCTCATTTCTAATTTAAAAAACCCAAAGGAAGGGCTAACACACAACGCTTGAGGCAAAACAGGAATATATGTCTCCCACCATGTCTGCCAGCTGATGACCTTGGGTCACTCTAACAGTCACTCCTGTTAATTGGATGCAGAGGATGTGATGTCCCACCCCCGAGGGAAGTGTGGCATCATCTCCACCCGACAGAGGCGGCAGAGTGGCACAGAGAGGGTGAGCACGGGGGCAGAGTGGCACAGAGAGGGCAAGCGGGGGCAGAGTGGCACAGAGACAGCAAGCAGGGGGCAGAGTGGCACAGAGAGGGCGAGCAGGGGGCAGAGTGGCACAGAGAGGGCGAGCAGGGGGCAGAGTGGCACAGAGATGGCAAGCAGGGGGCAGAGTGGCACAGAGACGGCGAGCAGGGGGCAGAGTGGCACAGAGACAGCAAGCAGGGGGCAGAGTGGCACAGAGAGGGCGAGCAGGGAGCGTTTCAGTGTTTTTCTCTGGGCAGGCTGATGGTGCCTTTCTCTGGGCCTAAAATTCCTATAAATTTGGTATTTGATTTTTTAAAAGTTCTTTCTAGTTTCTTTCTGACCCCTGACACCCACCCCCTCCAGTCCCTGGGCCCCAGTTCCTGAGACTGTCTCAGATCCCAGCCTCTTCCCTCTGCCCATCGGGCCCAGGCCAGGATGTCCTGCTGTCCTGCTGTCCTTGACATGGCGCTGGGGGGCAGGTCTGTTCCAGGAGAAGCCCCACAGCCTGCAGAACAACATCCGGACGTCCCTGGAGAAGAAGAGGCGAGGCTCAGGGGTCCCCTGGGCTAGCCGGCCTGAGGCCACCCTGCAGGGTGAGCACTGGGGGTGGAGGGTGGGGAAATCCTCCCTGGTGCTAGGGTTGAAGGCCCTGTAAGGAGAGCAGATAAAATTCCTTCTGGATTCTCCTTCAAGAAGGAGATTGTGTGTTCCTGGTCACTGCAGAGGAGCTGGGGATGGGGGGTGAATTTGGGGCCCTCACCTCCCATCCCGCCAGGACAGTAGGCTCCCGCGACACCCTGGTCTGTGGTGCCCCCAGAGCCTCCCTGTGCACCAAAGCCACCCTGAGTGTCCAGGGGCAGAGGTGGGCATCCTGGGCCCTGAACACTGGCTTGTCCCTGCTGGAGTCTCCCTCAGAGGTGGGTGCTGGGTCAAGTGTACTGGGGGAATGAATGCCCCATCAGGCAGCTGTGTCTGTCCCTGTCACCCTATGGCACTGTTGCCACCTCTCTCCTACTACTGTCACTCCCAGCACCAGCCCTGTACCAACACTAGCACATTTTCAGCAGGATGCCCTCCATCACTGTCACCTCCGCTATCTAGTCCACCCCATCCCAGTGACTACCACCTCCCCCACCATCCCTACCACCCCATCCAGTGCCCACGACCTCCCCCACCATCCCTCCTACCCCATCCCTGTGCCCACCATCCCTGCCACCCCATCCCAGTGACTACCACCTCCCCCACCATCCCTGCCACCCCATCCCTGTGCCTACCATCTCCCCCACCATCCCTGCCACCCCATCCCTGTGCCTACCATCTCCCCCATCATCCCTGCCACCCCATCCCTGTGCCTACCATCTCCCCCATCATCCCTGCCACCCCATCCCTGTGCCTATCTCCCCCACCATCTCTGCCACCCCATCCCCGTGCCCACTATCTCCCCCACCATCCCTGCCACCCCATCTCTGTGCCCACTATCTCCCTCACCACCTCCCCCACCATCCCTGCCACCCCATCCTGTGCCCACCACCTCCCCCACTATTATTGCCATGGACCTGGTCCAGTAGAGAGGGGCACAGCCAGCATTTTGAGATGAGCCCAAGGCCAGGACTGAGCTCGTTAGTCGACAGAGCTGAGGGTGGGCTGCTCCAGGGTCAGGAGAAGCCAGTCGAGGTCAAGTCCACCCCTCTTTCATCCCTTATTTGTCCGTAGATTTCCCAGGCACCGTGTACATCTCTAAAGTGAAGAGTCAAGGCCACCCCGCTGTCTACAGGCTCTCCCTCAATGCCAGCCTGCCTGCTCCTTGGCAGGCTGTGTCGCCTGGGGATGGAGAGGTGCCCTCCTTCCAGGTGAGCCTGGGCTGTCGTGAAGTGAGCCGCCACCACTGTGGGTGGTGGGGGGCTCTCAGGGCCACACTGGTGGGCAGCCCTGGCCAATAGGGAGGGAGAAGCAGCTTTGAGGATGAAGACCCCCCTCCCCTAAACCAGCCATGTCTGTGACAGGGACCTGCCGAGTGGTAGCAGCGTGGGCTTCTGAGTCAGCCAGGCCTGGATTCAAATCCTGGCTCTGCCATTTATTAACTGTGTGTCTTTAGGCAGATTACTTACTCTCTGAGCCTCAGTTTCCTCATCTGTGACATGGGGATGCAACAAGCACCAGCCAGCATTGTTGGAGGGGTGTGAGGTGAGGCCTGTGCCGTGCAGAACGCCTGGGTGCAGTCCCTCCTCAGGCAGTGGCGGCCAGGAATCTTGCTGTCCTTGGTAGCTGCTCCAGCGCTGCAGAAAGGAGTCCCCGAGCCCAGACTTGAGTTTTCCCCTTCATGGGAGTCATTTGTGTTTCTTTTCTTTTTCTTGGGGGTGGGGGGAGGACAGGGGCTTGCTCTGTCACCCAGGCTGGAGTGCAGTGGCATGATCATAGCTCACTGCAGCCTCGACCTCCTGGGCTCAAGCGATCCTCTCTCATCAGCCTCCTGAGTAGCTGTGACCACAGGCACACACCACCATGCCAGCTAATTTTATCTTTTATTTTTTGTAGAGACAGGGTCTCTCTGTGTAGCCCAGGCTCATTTGTGTTTCTTTAACGTGGTACACACCCTCCATGGTGACAGGGACACGCGCCAATTCATTTGTTCAGGATTTATATTTCCATTTGGAAGATGAGGTCTCTGAGGCTTTTCCTGCCTCTAAGCCTCGCATGTGCAGTTCCCACTGCCTGAAAAGCTTTTCCTTCAGCTTCGTGCGTGGCTGACTCCTAGGTGCTCGTTCAGGTCTCAACATGCCTGTTGGTCCCCACAGAGCCCTGCCCCGGCGCCTTTCTCGCCTTGCCCTCCTCTCCCTGCCATTTATCCTGTCTTGTCTTCCTTATTCTTGGAAGCCATCATCATTGCCAGCTCCAAGAGGTCAGGGACCGTGCCCCTCAGAGCCTGGCACAGTGCCTGGCATGGGACAGACACTCAGTGAATGATTGTTGAAGGAAGAAACAAGGCTCAGAGAGGGAGGAAGGGATTTGCCCAAGTGCTGAACTCAAACCCAGGCCTCCCAAGCCTCTGCCCAGGGCTCTGTCCCCAACTCCGAGGACTGGGACAGGGTGAACTATGCCGAGGAGGGAGGGGACGGAGCCTGAGGCTGGCCCAGGCCGAGGCAGCCCCCCCGAGTCATGTGTCTTGTCTCTGTCAACCCACTGCTTAGGTGTATAGAGCGCCTTTTGGTAACTTCACCAAGAAGCTGACCGCTTGTATGTCTACAGTAGGGCTGCTCCAGGCGGCGAGCCCCTCCCGCAAGTGGATGCTGACGACCTTGGCCTGTGATGCCAAGCGGGGCTGGAAGTTTGACTTCAGCTTCTACGTGGCCACCAAGGAGCAGCAGCACACCCGGTAACAGAGCCTGGCAGACAAGCCGGTGCCCATCAGCCCGGCTGCTTCTTTGCCCTTTTCTCTCTTTTCTCTCTCTTTTCACATGAGGGATGCCAGCAGGCCCCCTCACTTTTTTTTTTTTTTCTTACTCTGTTGCCCAGGCTGGAGTGCAGTGGCACAATCTTGGCTCACTGTAACCTCTGCCTCCCAGGTTCAAGTGATTCTTCTGCCTCATCCTCCTGAGTAGCTGGGATTACAGACATGCACCACCACTGGTACCTGCTTAATTTTTGTATTTTTAGTAGAGATGGGGTTTTGCCATGTTGGCCAGGCTGGTCTTAAACTCCTGAGCTCAGGTGATTCACCTGCCTTGGCCTCCCAAAGTGCTGGGATTACAGGCGTGAGCCACTGCACCCAGCCCTGAGGGATGCCAGCAGACTCCTTTAAGAAACTGCTGGCCAGGTGCGGTGGCTCATGCCTGTAATCCCACCTCGGGAGGCCGAGGTGGGCGGATCACGAGGTCAGCCGATCGAGACCATCCTGGCTAACACAGTGAAACTCCTTCTCTACTAAAAATACAAAAAATTAGCCAGGCATGGTGGCACGCACCTGTAATCCCAGCTACTCAGGAGGCTGAGGCAGGAGAATCACTTGAACCCAGAGGCAGAGGTTGCAGTGAGCCGAGATCGCGCCTCTGCACTCCAGCCTGGGCAACAGAGCGAGACTCCATCTCAAAAAAAAAAAAAAAGAGAAAAAGAAACTGCTGTCCATTTCCACCTACCTGCTCAGATGGGTCTCTGCCCAGGGCTGGGGAGTGGAGAACATTGGCAAAGAGACGGGCCCGGGAGCTGCTCCCCACCTTGATAGCTCCTCAGGGGTTGCAGTGGCCACCTGGCTGTCCCTCTGGCATACCAGGCCCCTTTCCATCTCAGGCCCTTTGCATTTACTGCTCTCTGTGCCTAGAATGCTTTTCCCAGCTCCTCAAGTGTGAGACAACTTCTCAAGATTCAAGTCCCTGTCCAAAAGTCACCTCTTGGGAGAGGCTGTCCCTCTCCAAGTGCCACATCCAGCCTCTCTCCATACGTCACCCACTGCTCTCCTGGCCCCATTGCCACCTGCCACCATGCTGACCTGCAGTGTTACCTGTCTTCCCACAGGAGCACACAGGCATCCTGTGGTAGCACCTTGGCCGTCTCATTTGGTGCCGCCTCCCCAGCACCTGTCACGGGTGTCTGGCGTAGTAGGTACAAATAAGTACTTGCTGAATGAATGAATGAGTACACTCCACACTTCCTTGACAAGGCACTCACCCACACTCTAAATATATCATTAATTCAGAAAATGTTTATTTAATGCCCCTGCCCCTTCTGCTGGAAGGAGAGCGAGGGGAGGGCCCCTGTTGTATTCACTTGCCACAGGCCCAGTCCCTGCTAGCACCCAGTGTGAAGTCGGGTCCCTACTACATGCCGAGTCAGAGGCTGCATTCTGTGCTCTCGGGATCTCCACGCCATCCAGGGGCACCTTTTCTGGGGTTTCATTCCCCATGTTGTAAACACAGCCCTGCATCCATTTATCTGTGGAGGCCATATTAGCCAAAGGTCTCCTCTCTCTGCCGTTCACTGATTTAACAAACTGTGGGCTTCAACTGTGCTGGCACTGTGCTAGGGATATGGTAGTGACAAAGACAGATGTGACTCCTGCCCTCGAGCTGTCTAGTGGGAGACAGGCCACTAACAAGTAAACAGCGATATCATTACAAACTATGATACGTGCTCTGAAAGAAATAGCCCCACTGTCATTGTGGAGAACAGTGGTACAAGGCCATGCTCGGTGACACACAGGGACTGTGGTCTCTGACAGAACTCGGTGATACGCGGGGACTGTGGTCTCTGACGGGGCTCGGTGACACACAGGCACTGTGGTCTCTGACAGAACTTGGTGATGCACGGGGACTGTGGTCTCCGATGGGGCTCAGTGACACATGGAGACTGGTCTCTGACGGGGCTAGCTTTGGAGTGTCAAACACCCACAGGAGCCTGAACTCTGCATGGGGCTGAGGGCTGCAGCTTGGAGGCCAGGGAATGGCAGGACAGCCACCCACTGGGTCCCTTCCAGCCTGGGACCCTGACTCGGGGGTGGGGGCCCCTCTGCCTGTCCTCCCCTGAGCCCCAGGCTGGGCTCACTCTGCACAGACACATCAGTGGGCCAGGGGTCAGGCAGGCTGCCTGGATGAGCTGGAAACATTCTAGAAAGAACTTTGAGCTGCACTGGGTCTAGTGGTTAGCCAGCTGTTGACACTGGAGCCCTTCCTTCCTATAGAATCTAGAGACTCCCTAACTGTTGGGGTTGAGGCAAGGCTGGGGGCTTCTGAGCGAGGACCACTAGGGTTGGCCCTGGGGGTCCCTCCTGAACCCTCGTACCCCCGGGGGACAGTTTGAAAGCTGCTGGTCTTCTCCACCCTTCATGACTCCTATGGGGAGACTGAGACCCAGAGGGGCAGGGCCTTTACTAGGTTCCCATAGTCAGCCTTGGCAGGGGCAGGGCTAGAACAGCCTCCAGACCCCCAGCCCAGGGCACATCCCCCAGCCCTCAACCTGAGAACAAATCCCCATGCCGGGGCAGAGCCCGAGTCCAGACCCCATGACACCCCAGCCCCAGTCCCAACCCTGGCCTGCTGGCCTCACCTCCCCTGACTCCTCCTAGCCTTTCCGGCCTCAGCCCAGCCTCCATTCCCTCCACAGGAAGCTGTACTTCGCCCAGTCCCACAAGCCCCCCTTCCACGGGCGCGTATGCATGGCACCCCCTGGCTGCCTGCTTAGCTCCAGCCCCGATGGGCCTACCAAAGGCTTCTTCTTCGTGCCTAGTGAGAAAGGTACGGCAAGGGCACACAGGTGGGGACCTCAAGAGCTGAGACCTCGGGGCTCAGGAGCTGGACCCTGCCTTCCCTTACAGCTGTGACTCCCTGTTCGCAGTGCCCAAGGCCCGTCTCTCAGCCACCTTCGGCTTCAACCCCTGCGTGAACACGGGCTGCGGGAAGCCGGCGGTGCGGCCACTAGTGGATACCGGGGCCATGGTCTTTGTGGTCTTCGGCATTATTGGCGTCAACCGCACTCGGCAGGTGGACAACCACGTCATTGGAGACCCGGTACGGGGCATGCGTCGGGCAGATGCCGAGGGCCCCAGCTGCAACAGTCTTGCAAATAAGCACCTGTCCAGGGAACCATGTCCAGCTCCTCACACCCCCTCTTGGCTCCTCAATGGCTCCTCTAACCCAGACAGAACCCCTATGGGCCCCTGGGGGTCCGGTTTTTCTTGAGGACTCAATGGCGTTGACCTCTTAGATTCACCCAGGAATCTGGGTTTAGGGCCCAAGCTGGATGCCTGTGAGGGACTGGAATGGAGAGAGGGCAATCCAGGTGGACACCTCCGTGCCCTCCTCCTTGCCCTCCCCCTTCCTCTGAGCTCGGCCGTGGCTTTCTCTCTGAGGCCTCCCTCCCTCACATGCACTCCTGTCCAATGTGGGGCTCTTCAGTTTTTGAAAGCACTGCTTGAGCCGGGACTGTTCTGGGCACGTAGTGGGTGCTAAGGATTCCTAGGAGGAAGGACAGGTGGGTGTCCTTTGCCTTTATTAGTCACAGCCCAGCGGGGTACACGGGAATGGCAGCCATGGAGTAAGTCGGGGGCAAGGTGGAGTCGGAGGAGATCTGTGTGTTCAGTCCACACTGGGTGTCTGCAGGCGCTCGGAGCAGGGGTGGGGGGACCAGGCAGGTTCTGCAGGACAGTGAGGATGTGGCTGTCTGGGAGGGTGGGGAGAAAAGCAAGAAGTCCAGGTGAGAAGGTGGTGAGGGAAGGGGAGGAGGTGAAACAGAGGGTCCTGTGTGGGGTGGGCAGTGATGGGAGCAGATGTTGCTGGCGGGGGCAGGGCAGAGGGTTAGGGTGGAGCAGTGGGTGAGCAGTTGCAGGCTGCCAACATGAGGGTGACAGGTAGCAGGAAGCTGCTGGAGGTTCTGCCCCAGGGTTGGGGGTGAGCACCCAGGACTGAGTCCCCGTCTCACTGAGCGGCCCGGGCCGGCTTGTTTCTCCTTGGGAAAGGGTAGTGTTGTCTACGACAGCAGCTTTGACCTCTTCAAGGAAATTGGGCACCTGTGTCACCTCTGCAAGGCCATCGCAGCCAACTCCGAGCTGGTGAAGCCGGGTGGGGCCCAGTGCCTGCCTTCAGGTGCGTGGGGTGTGGGGAGCTGGTTCCTCCGAGGGAGGATGGACTGACTGGGGAGGCACAGAGGCCGTGGTCCAAGGTAGACAGCCCGAAGGACAGTGTCTGGCATGTGGGGGTCTTTTGCAGATGTGTATCTGTGCTGAGCATGTCCACACCAGGGTGGGGTGTGTGCCGGCAGTCGAGGGTTTTTGGATGTGAGCAGGCTTGTGTGTGAACAGGACTGGTGCAGAGGTGCATGTGTGTGGGATGGGGGCACATCTGCGGGAGTAGCTTTTCCAAAATTAGGGGGCGGGGCCAGGGGCTGGCCCCACAGCCAATGTGGATGAGGTCACCACCGGGGTGTCCCTGGGAGGGGCCCACAGGTCATGTTCCACCCCGATGGCAAATGCATGTTGTAGGTTTCCCAATGCCGTTGCCAATGGTTACAAGCACTCTAAGCCTCAGAGGTATGTGAGTGCGTGGGCACAGGTGTGATGCAGGGGGACAGGCTCTTCCAGGGCCACCACGCACTCCCTTTCTTGCCTCTCCCCGCAGGCTACAGCATCTCCTCCTTCCTGCAGATGTTGCACCCTGAGTGCAAGGAGCTGCCCGAGCCCAACCTGCTCCCGGGGCAGCTGTCCCACGGGGCAGTGGGCGTCAGGGAGGGCCGCGTGCAGTGGATCTCCATGGCTTTCGAGTCGGTGAGCCCAGGCAGCCTCACTGGGTGCCATGCTGCGTACTTGCCCGGGGTGTGCCACCTCTGATCCCAGCCCTCTTCCCAGATCGGGGGGGAGATGCTGAGGCCCAGAGAGGTGGAGTGACTTGCCTGAGGTCACATAGTTAGTGGGTGTCAGTGTCGAGTGTGAAACCAGACCGCCTAACTGCAGAGCTCTGCCCTTTCTTCCCCATGGGCGGCCTGCCAGTTCCCTTCCACCCACCTTTCCCCTTCCCTCCCTCTCCACCAACTGGGGGTCCACGGTATTTTTTAGTCTCTGGTCTGTAGGGGCCGGTGGAAGTCCAGGATGCCCCCCTCTGCCACTGTGGGAGGCCAGGTTGGGGCCCCAGACCCTGGCAGCCTCCCTTAGGGTGGCCAGGAGTCCGGCCATCCCCCGTACCTCCCTGCTGCCTGTCACCTCTGGACGCTCGCTGGGCTCTGCCCAAGGAGGCATAGGCACACATGTGTGCACATACCCACACATGCACACACTCCTGACCTGGGCACTGTGGGGACTCTCGGCCCTGGCACATGGCTCTCCCAAGCTTGGCAAGTCCGTCCCTGCTGCCTCCGTGCAGAGACCTGGGCTCAATCGTTGCTGGGATCCTGGTGTGCTCTGTGTCCCTGAGCAAGTTACTCGTCCCCTCTGGCCTCATCTGTAGAAGAGCCCCTCTGGCAGGTGTGGAGATAAGAACACATGGGAAAGTCTGGGGACTAAGAATCAATGTGACGGCTTAACTGGGGAGGTGATTCTCCTCTGGCCCCCCACCCTGACTTCCTTCCCACTATTTATTTGTGTTACTCATTGCACAACCAACAAAACCAGCCATGAACCAGGAGGGCCTCAGAGCCCTCAGCGAGCCCCCAGGCAAATGCAGACACCAGTTCAAAGCCCCAGATGGGTCTTTTTAGGTTATGTTTTTTTTGCTGTGGTAAAATATACATAAGGTAAAATTGACCATCTTAACCGGTTTTTTTGTTTGTTTGTTTGTTTTGAGTCAGAGTCTCTGTCCCCCAGGCTGGAGTGCAGTGGCACGATCTTGGCTCACTGCAACCTCCACCTCCCGGGTTCAAGCACTTCTCCCACCTCAGCCTCCCCAGTAGCTGGGACTACAGGTGCACACCATCACACCTAGCTAATTTTTTTAATTTTTATTTTTTGGTAGAGACGGGGTTTCACCATATTGGCCAGGCGGGTCTCGAACTCCTGACCTCAGGTGATCCACCCACCTCGGCCTCCCAAAGTGCTGGGATTACAGGCATGAGCCACTGCATCTGGCCTGAACCATTTTTAAGCATACGACTCTGTGGCATTAAGTATGTTCACACTGTTATGCAACCATTACCATCATCTACTTGCAGAACTTTGTCTTTCCAAACTGAAGCTCTGTCCCTAGTAAACACTAACTCCCCCTCTCCCCCTCCCACAGCCACTGGCACCCACCATTCTACTTTCTCCATGAATTTGACAACTCTGGGGGCCTCATGTGAATGGAATCATATGGTGTTTGTCCTTTGGTGACTGTTTCTTTTTTTTTTTTTTTTTTTTTTAATGGAGTTTCACTCTGTCACCCAGGCTGGAGTGCAGTTGCGCAATCTTGGCTCCCTGCAACCTCCGCCTCCCAGGTTCAAGTGATTCTCCTGCCTCAGCCTCCCAAGTAGCTGGGATTACAAGTGTGCGCCACCACACCTGGCTAATTTTTTGTATTTTCAGTAGAGACAGGGTTTCACCATGTTGGCCAGGCTGGTCTCGAACTCCTGATCTCAGGTGATCCGCCTGCCTCAGCCTCCCAAAGTGCGGGGATTATAGGCGTGAGCCACTGCGCCCAGCCGGTGACTGGCTCATTTTACTCAGTGCAAGGTTCACCATGTTGCAGCAAGTGTCAGAACTCACCTCCCTCTGCAGACTGAAGCCCCAGGCAGTTCCAGGGAGGAGAGAAGTCCCCACTCAGGCTCACCACACGGCAAGGTGCCCGCTTCCAAGCTGACCCCACCAGCACTCAGACACGCATGCACACACACACGCAGACCTACTATGAACTGGCTTGTGCTCAGCAAGAGCAGAATTGATGAGCAGATACCTTAAGAATCTTTTAGAGCAGGGTGAGTGCCTATTTCTCTCATTCATCATCCATGAGCACCTCTCGGGACTGGGCACTGTGGGCCAGCCAGGCTGCTCCTGCCCTTGCAATTCACAGTCCCACCTGCCAGGGCCAGGCAGGTTGCCAGGCAGTGACAAGAGCAGGGGAAGCACTGAGGGTTTGGAGACACTAAGGAGGCCCACCTTGGGGCATCAAGGAAGGCTTCCTGGAGGAGATGGAACCCCAGAAAGCCCTGAAGGATGAGCAGGAACTGGCTGAGCAGGCAGAGGGAACAGCATGCACTCTGTGTGGACAGGAGAGCATGGGGAGCCCTAGGAGCTGAAGGGAGTTCTGGTGGGCAGGGACTGTGGTTGCATGTGGATCAGTGCTGCTGTCACAACCACATGATGCCTCCAGAAGCTGGTGGGGACTCATTTTGGATTGAATCGTTGTTCACACCCTCCCCAACACACGCACCACTCCATTGGTGGCCGCAGAACAGACCAGCCATGCCTGGGAAGGGCGGGTGGGCCACAGTCCCTGCCTGTCTCACTAGCTCACATCTCTCCCCACAGACCACGTACAAGGGCAAATCCTCCTTCCAGACCTACTCGGACTACCTGCGCTGGGAGAGCTTCCTCCAGCAGCAGCTGCAGGCCTTGCCCGAGGGCTCAGTCCTGCGCCGGGGCTTCCAGACCTGCGAGCACTGGAAGCAGATATTCATGGAAATCGTAGGCAAGCGGCAGCCTCGCCCCTCCATCCTGGGTGGGCAGGAGGCAGAGGGACCTGGGGCCGGGAGGGCACAGAGCGGCCTGAGTCACAATCTCCATCCTGGCCAAGAGCCCTGAGGAAACCGGGTGGCACGGTGGCTGGGACATTGATCAGAGGCTGGAGTTTGGGTCCTCTCCTGTCGGGGGCATCTGGCCACGTTCTCTGATCTGGACTTTGGCCACCTAAAAAGTAACAGTCATGACCATGATGGCAGCTGCCAGTTACCAGCCCCTCCTAGGTGCCTAGGCTCCGGGCTGAGGGCCTGACCTGTGTTCTCTTCAACTCCAAACAAGGCCGGTAGGGTAGGTCCTGTTATGACCCCATTTTACAGACTGGGAGTCGGAGTCTCAGAGAGGTCAAGGGCTCACCCCAGCAGCACAGCTTGCTGCGACCGCCCACACAGCAGCGCACTGAGGCCCTGTCCTCCCTTGCAGGGGTGCAGAGCGCCCTGTGCGGCCTGGTGCTATCCCTGCTCATCTGCGTGGCCGCGGTGGCCGTGTTCACCACCCACATCCTGCTCCTGCTGCCCGTGCTCCTCAGCATCTTGGGTACGTGGGCGAGGGGCTGGCAGGCACCCTGCTGGTAGGGACGGGAACAGACAGTCTCCCCGGTGGCCCCAGGTAGCCTCCAGGCCTCTGAACCTTTCACTGTCACATCTCAGCGGAGGCTCATAGGACTGTCTCTCCTGCATGTCTGTGCTCCTGAGCAGAGCCGGGGTACCCAGGTAGTAGCCCTCAGCTCAGTGATGTGTTACTGCACCTGTCCCCTCCCTCAGGGGTCCCCTCGGTGTGCCTTGTTTCTCCTGTCACCTGAGGGTGGGGGCTGGACTCCAGACCTCCCTGTTCCTCTGAGGCCTCCAGGGCGGGGGATCCGAGCTGCCCCCCCTGCTGTCTCCTTGCAGGCATCGTGTGCCTGGTGGTGACCATCATGTACTGGAGCGGCTGGGAGATGGGGGCTGTGGAAGCCATCTCCCTGTCCATCCTCGTTGGCTCCTCCGTGGATTACTGCGTCCACCTGGTCGAGGGCTACCTGCTGGCTGGAGAGAACCTGCCCCCCCACCAGGCCGAGGTGCGCACCCTGCCCGCCTTACCCACTTCCCACCACATTGGGTCTTCTCCCACCTGGGTGCAGCTGAGGGACCCTCAAGGGCAGCTGAACATCCCAGCACCAGGACCCCCATGCAGGCTGTGTTCTAGAAACTAAGGTTTCCCAAAGCTGATCCCCAAGCCCCAGGGACTCAAGTTCTAAGGTCCACACCTCCCAGCCTCAGTCTTCCCAAGTGAACAATGAGAGGGTTGGACAGACGCAGGATTCCAAGGGGGCCCTCCTGCTTCACACTGCCCCAGGTCCATGACTCATTCTCCTTCCAGCCACGACCCAGAGGCCACAAGTCTGCTCCAGCCCCTGGTGGCTTGGTGAGGACATGTTCACATACTCAGTGCCAAAACCGGCTCTGGGCCTAGTAACGATTTTTTTCTTTAGTTTGGAATTGCGTTGGTGTGAAAACATTCACAAATGTGTAAAGATCAACTCAGTTACACAGGACCTACTGTGCAGACCCTCGCGTCCTGTTGCCATAGCAACACCTACCTGGTTCCTACCCTCCCAACCCTGGGAGGCCACTTGCAGCTCTCATCCCAGTAACAGAGCAGGAACCTGGCGTGGGGTGGGGGTGCGTGATTCCCCAGGTGCTGGCCAGAGGGGTCCCGCAGGCAGGCTGGGCTCCCAGCTCTCCTCTTGCCCCCAGGACGCCCGAACGCAGCGCCAGTGGCGTACGCTGGAGGCCGTGCGGCACGTGGGCGTGGCCATCGTCTCCAGTGCCCTCACCACGGTCATCGCCACAGTGCCCCTCTTCTTCTGCATCATCGCCCCATTTGCCAAGTTCGGCAAGATTGTGGCACTCAACACGGGCGTGTCCATCCTCTACACGCTGACCGTCAGCACCGCCCTGCTGGGCATCATGGCGCCCAGCTCTTTCACTCGGACCCGGACTTCCTTCCTCAAGGCCCTGGGTGCCGTGCTGCTGGCAGGGGCCCTGGGGCTGGGTGCCTGCCTCGTGCTCCTGCAGAGCGGCTATAAGATTCCCCTGCCCGCAGGGGCCTCCCTATAGCCCGGGACGGGCTCTGGACACTTGCACCTTTGGTCCCATGGGTGGGGGACAGGAGCTGCTTCCCAGCTCGACTTCAGCTAGCTGTGTCCCCAGGCCTGGGCCCAGGGCGCCCTGCGGGCCAGCGTGGAGGCTGACACCCACACAGATGGTGTGGACCATGCTGCCTTGTGGAGCTGGGAGTTGGAGACAGCCGCCACCCCACAGGCCGGGCTACTGGCAGCCACACTCGGCTTTTTGCCCAGTGGCAGAAGAGACCAGCCCTCCTCCCATGCCCGGTCACCATGGGGGTCAGGTTATTTTTGTAGGGGGTCTCCCTCTCACACTGCCTCAGTGCTCACAACCTTCCAGTGTGGATGTTACAGGGTGGCCCCCATTCTACCGATGTGAAAACTGAGGCGCCAGGACACAGTGGCTGCCCTGTCGCTGGATCAGTAGCAGAGCCAGAGCTGCCTCCGAGCGCCATGCCGCCCTCGGGAATCATACAGGAAGAGCACAGTGGATCCAGGGTGGGGGCCTCTCACCCCCTAACCCCGCCCCCCCGCAACCCTCCCCTTCAGCTTTACGGCGGCCAGTGCTGAATGGCCCTGTGGCCCTCCCTGGGCCTTTTGGTCTTGGCCAGAGAAGACAGAAGGACCCGGCTTGGGCTTCTGCATGTCCTACCCCTGACCCCAGCCTCAAGGGGCCCCTCAAAGGCCCTCTCTGGGGGCTCTGGGGCTCAGCACAGCTTTCCTCATGGATCTAAGCCCCTGTCTTTCCCACCTGACTCTGAGTGGATGTTTTGGGGGATGGCCCCTGTGGGGAGGAGCTGCCATGCCGGCCGCCTGCTCACGGCAGAAGGTTGCTATTAAAATGACATAGGATTGCAGACTGCTGCTGTTAATACGAGCATTTTAAGCACTGCTGTCTCTACCGCTTTTCTCAAGTTGAAGTGACCTTGTGCGCTGCCCAGCCTGAACGTGGCGCAAAGGCTGGGGCTGGTGCCAGAGGGAGAGGTGAGTGGGCTGGAGGGTGACCGACCCTCCTGGAACAGGTCACAGGGCACCCTAGGGGAGGTGGGGTTCAAGAGATGCTTCTCTCTTTAAGGGGTCCAACTGGCTCCACAGAGGGGGCATTTTGAGGATGCCTTTGGTGTGCTGAGTATTGTGCTGGGCACTGAGCTCTTTCCCTGGAGACAGACATTGCCACCAGGCTTCATGAGTGTGGACTCAGATTGAGCTGGAATGAATCCCTGAGGGTGGGAAAGACATCAAAGGGGGTTTCCAGGCCAGCCCTCCTGGCCTTCTGTAAATATTAACTGGGGGCCTGGGGATGCAAGACAGATGTACACCATTGTGTCCTCCACTTAGCGAGTGTTTGTTGAGGGACTGTCAGACCTTGGCCCACCGTGCAAAGTGAAGACAGACATCAAACAAGCAATGAGTGAGGCTAGCAGGCGGCACTGACTGTGCCAGAGGCTCTCCTCAGAGTTCGTGTCCGTGTCCCGGGGCTGCCACGAAAAAGCTCCACGCACTGTGTGACTTCCACAACAGAAGTTTATTCTCACAGTTCCGGAGGCTGGAAGTCCAAAAGCAAGGTGTTGGCAGCGTTGGTTCCTCCTGCAGGCTTTCAGGGAGTCCGTCTCCTGCTTTTCTGGCTTCTGCAGGTTGGTAGCAAACCAGCCTTCCTGTTCCTTGTCTCCAAGAGGCGTCACTCCAGCTTCTGCCTCTGTCCTCACGTGACTTCCTTATCTGTTTCTCTGTTTAGGTCACCTTCTTTCTAAGAGGGGTACCAGGCATACTGGATTAGGCCCCACCTTAATGACTTCATTTTAACTTGATCATCTACAAAGAGCCTGTTTCCAAATCTCGTATTCACAGGTATCCAGGAGTTAGGACTTCAACATCTTTCCAGGGACACAGCAGGGTTCCCATGTGTGAGCTCACTTGTGAACCATAAGGAATAGGTGTTGTCACACCCATTTTGCACACAGGGCAGCCAAGGAACTGAGATTGACTTGCTTGGATCACGCAGCTACTGAATGGTGGAGCCAGGTGCCGAGCCCCACCAGCCTGTCCCCAGGGTGTTTCCTCAGCCATTAAGATTCACAGCCTCTCAATACAGTCTAACAAAGGCTGATGGTGGTTACAGGGTTGTCTGAGGTTGGTGGTCAGATCAAGAGGCCTGTTCTTAGAAAATCTGGAATGATAACCCTTGTGTTTGTACAATGCTTCATACCTGAGCATCTTCCCATCCAACATCTGGAAAACCTGGACCCTTGGAGGCCCAGCCAAGAGCGCGGTGGCTGAGGGGAAGGACCATGGCCCGAAGCACACAGCCCTGAAGGGCCTGTTCAGGGCACAGGCTGGGCTCTGACCTGGGGCCCACTGGCGGCGGTCCCCAGATGTGCAGGAGGCCACATCTGCAGGGTCAGTCCTCGTCCGAGCGACCACCCATGCAGGGGAAATGGGGCAGGCTGGTGGGAGGAGGCCCGGTAGGAGCAGAGGGGAGGGGAGGGGCTGGCAAATTGACAGGATGCCCCAGAAGGTGCTTAGAAAAAGGATCTACATCTCCAAGTGCTTGTCCTGAGACCTTCCCAAAAGCTTAGTTTTAATATGGTGATAGAATCATTTGCATATCATTTGCATGCAGTTCAAATAATGCCCATTTGGCCAGGCGCAGTGGCTTGAGCCTATAATCCCAGCATTCTGGGAGGCCGAGGCAGGTGGATCACACGAAGTGAAGAGTCCAAAACCAACCTGGTCAACGTGGCAAATCCCCGTCTCTACTAAAAATAACAAAAATTAGCCGGGCATGGTGGAACACATTGGTAATCCCAGCTAGTTGGGAGACTGAGGCCCAAGAATCACTTGAACCTGGAAGGTGGAGATTGCAGTGAGCCGAGACTGGGCCTGGGAGACAGAGTGAGACTGTCTCAAATTAATTAATTAATTATAATAATAATAATAATAATAATGCCCATTTGTAAAGAAACCCTCACCTCGCCCATCTCCTTTTGTGGTACAGCTCTTCTTCCTTCCCCTGGCCTCTGTCTTTTCAGCGTGTTGTGGGGGTTTGGGGCAGGCAGGTCCAGGGTGGAGGAGCCAGGCCCTATGTCACTGTCATCTCCCCCAGGGTGGCGAGGGCTCCGTGGCACATGTACACCTCTGATGTAACCCTCATGCTCCTGTGAGTGGAGTTCCCATTTCACAGATGAGCACTCAGAGGCCCAGAGAGGGGAAAGAGCACACACCCAGCATGCTGCCAGGCAGCTTCCCTCCCCGCCGGCCTCTGGCCAGGGTCACCCCTGGGGATGGCATTCTCAACTTCAGGTCTGCGTCTCATCAAAGCTGACCTGTCTGGCCCTCGTCTGGCCCTGTTTGATGCCTGATCTGTCCAGCTCTCAGTGGGTGGTAGTTCCTCCAGGAGCGGGGCCACGGCCAGGCTGGGGAAAGGCTGTGAGTGTTTGGGAGTTTCCGAGAACTCGGGCCACACAACCAGTTGCCTACTTACCTCCAAATAGATCCCCCTTCATCTTGTTTGTGAATACTGGCGCCACAGGGTCCCAGAGGCACTAACTCCCACGAAAAGAACCTTGACCTTCCTTTGCCACTGAGGCACAGCTCATGGTCTTAATGCGCTTTGCTGAGCGTTAATGAGATGCTTTGTTAGCTCAGGCACAGCAGGTAGCCCAAGGTCTATGAGGATGTGCAGACATTTAGCGTGCCAAGGTGGCAGCGCATGGCACAGAGGAGGGGCTAAGGGCATGAGGAGAGTGAGAGGAGAGGGACCCTTACCCCCTGCCAAGGTTCCCTGAGCCCCCGCTTCTCTCTCCTTCCTCTTGGAGACCAAGAGGTATCAATGTGTGCTTGTGTGTATGGAGCGCCTGCCTTGCCTGGACAAGAATCTGTGCATTCTCGGGAATCTTTAGAGCACTGGTCAGAGGGAATGCTTTTGCCCTATTTCACTGCTAAGCAACTGAAGCCCAGAGACATGAGCTGTGCCCAGGTCCACCCCACCAGCTGACAAGGGGCCTTGAGGAAGGGCAAGGCTGTGCCGACTCCCATGTCCACCCAAGGAAGCTGGACTTTACCCTGGAGGGAATGGAAATTACAATGAAAGGTTTTTAACAACAGAAGACCATTTTACGTTTATCCATTCGGTAAGGATCTACAAGGTTGATAGCACGCTGCTGGCCGGGCTAAGGGGACACGGGCTGCCACGCGTTGCTGGTGGGCATGTAACAGATTCCACTGGAGTGGAGGGTAATTTGGCAGTCACTATCAAAATTACAATCTCACAGTTCTTTTGATTGAGCAATCCTGCTTCTGAGAGTCTATCCTGCAGCTAAACTTCCTACGCTGGCCAAGTGCAGAAGTTATTCACTAGAGGCTTGTCCAGTGCAGCAAAGGGCTGTGAGCCCCCCACATCCATTGGCACGGGCGGTGGAACGTTCTGTAGCCGTATTAAGAACAAGGAAGCATTCTATGTAACAACATGAAAAAAAATTGCCAAGAGATATTACTACAGAAATGTATTATCTAGATGATATTTTGTAAGCAGGGGAGAGACGTGGCTGTCATTTGCTCCTTAGAAACCTCTGGCTGCAGGGCTGAGGGTGGAGGGGAGGCAGAGAGAGCAGGGAGGAAGGAGAGAAGGAGCTCACCCTCTTCAGAAGGCATTGGCAAATGTCAACTGACTTGCTCTGCCCTGGAGGCATCGCCAGGAGATGCTGGCACCAGCGCCAGCCACCCTCCCTGCCTTCCCTGAGTAAGGACGCAGCGGGACTGCCCTGGCCTGCTCCAGAGCCAGAGTCCCAGTCAGAGGCTTTGGAGCATTGAGCAGCATGACATTGCCTGATGCTGCTCCCTTGCCCACCCTTGAAGTTGAGCAGAGGGGGTGCTTGGGAGGGGGCCACACAGGGTAACAGAAAGAGGCCGGAGTTCGGATACAGCCATCCTGCGGTGCAGTCACGGAACCCTTCCTCACCCTGCCTCTGTCAACTGTGTGAATGTAGGCAAGTCACATTCCCCATCTTAACCTGTTTGCCCATCCATTCAATAGAGTGATACCCATCGTGCGTGATCGTGTTTTAATAAGATGATGTTTGCCAAGGGCTTGGCCACAGTGATACCTCTAAAACCATCATCCCGACATCATCGTTGTTATGAAACAGATTTCTCCCAACTCAGGACAGCATTTATGCACTTGGAATTGCAAAGCACTTCGATAAATAGGAACTATTCTGTCCCTGGCTGGTCCCTCTCCAACTGCTGGTGGTATATGTTTTCTTGTCCTATTGACGTGGGGCCCAGCCGTGTGATTTTTGTTGTCCCTGGGGATCTTGTCAAGAGCGAGGCCAGTGCAGGCTTGTAGTTCCTGTCCAAGGGGACCTCCCTGTGCTTCTGTGCCTCCCTGGGAAGAGCAAGCACCAGCGAGCCCACTGGTTCCAGCAGGTTGAGAGACACATGGAACTCACTTCAGCCAACGTGTGGCCTGGAGCCAGGTTGCGCTGGTCCTTGTATAGGTCAACTGACTCCCAGCTGACACCAACAAGTAACCGTCATGCAAAGCCATGGAGTGTGAGGGGTTTGTTTCTCAGCTTTACTGCAGCAATAATTGCCTGAAGCATTGCCTGTTGCCTCCAGAATCAAATTGAAGTTACTTCACCCAGCCTTCCAGGTCCATTAGGGTCTCAGTGACTTCTGTGTCTTTATCTCATGTCACTGCCTCCACGTTGCACCTCAGGCCTCAGCAGAACCAACTTTTCAGTTCCTCAGTTGTGCCGAGCTGTGGCTCCATCGCTGCCTAAACACTCCTCCTGCACCTGCTACACCTCCATAGCCTCCCCTTCTCCTTCAGGACGCAGCTTCCTCCAGGAAGCCTTCATTGGTGCCCAAGTCTGGGTTCGTCGTCCCGGTATATGAACACACAGCGCTGTACTTCCTCTGCCCTGTGTTGTTCATGACCTGGTAATTGGCTCTGTCCCCGCACTAGGGGGAGAAGTCATGAAGTCTCCATGAAGACAAAGACTGGGTATCCCCAGTTCCTGGCGTATAGTCTATTCATCATAAATATCCATTAACTGGACACATTTTCTATCCCTTCAAGCCTCAATCTGCCTTTCTGTAAAATGGGAACAATCTCATCAAAACTGGGGCAGAGCAGTGTCCTGGCCTGTCCTTGCTGCAGCGGGAGGAGCCAGCACCACACCTTTCACTCTCCAGCCGCCTCTGCCCACCCATCCCTGCTTCCCATCCTCCTCCTGCCTCTTCTCCAAGGAACTCCAGGTGAAGATGCGGATTGTCAGCAGAAGATGAATGCCCAGGTCTACCTGACGGGACGCTGCTTGTACTTACCTGGTTTGCATGGGGAGGAGAGAAGAGCTTCCTCCCGGGCTGTCCCCAGTCACTCCACTCTGCCTGCCCGAGCGCCTTCAGGGTTGATCTGCCTTGCCTCGTTGGTGAGGACAGGCAGAAGCCAGGGCACCAGGGAAAGAGGGTGGGAGGGAGGGAAGCTGAGCTGTAACTGAGTCCCTTCCACAGGCCTCCTCTCCACCTAAGCTCACTTCCTCCCCAATACCCACCCCGCGAAAAAGGTGCACCCCCATTTCTCAGAGAGGAAAGTGACCCACCCACCTTCATCGAGTGGTGGGATTGGAACCCAGGCCAGCTGACTTCAAGGACAGTTTGCACTACGTATGAATGCCTCACAGGGAGCAATGGCTCGGAGGGCCTCAGTGAGGCAGGCAGCATCAGAGGAGAGAGAGGGCATCTGTGACACTATTACAATAAGAAGAGAGACTATGTACCTCACAAGAGGCTGGCTCGTTCAGAACCTCACCAGCTCCTCACAACTTTGCGAGGCAGGCATGTTACCACCCCATTCTACAGATGAGAAAACCGAGGCTTAGCAAGGTGGAGTGACTTCTCCCAGGGGCTCACAGCAAATGATGAAGCTGAGGCAAGACTCTTCCCATCTCGTCCCCTGGATCACTGAATTCCAGAGGTCCCACCTAGGGGATCCCTTGTCCCAGGGACACTTTGGCAGAACCTGATACCTTGGGACATATCCTGTCCCTCTGGTGTGGTGATGAGACCATGCCTCCCTACATTCCACCCATAGCTGTGTGACCTGTACAAGCCTCCTGATCTCTCTGAGCCTCTGAGTATCAATGATCTCTTGCTGCCTAACAAACCACTTCAACAACTAGTGGCTTAAGACAGCCATGTATTTAGCTCATGATTCTGTCACAAAAGTAGCTGGGCTCATCTGGGAGGTTCTGGCCCTGGCAGGGCTCCCTGGTGTGTCCGCAGTCAGCTGTTCTGCAGTCAGCTGTAGGTTCACTGGTGGTTCTGCTTTGGGGACTTAGCTGGCTGTCAGGCTGGAGGCAGGGGTCACAGGGTCATATGCCACTCACCACCCAGCAAATTAGCTTGGGCTTGTTCACAGGGCAATGCCAGGGTTCCTGGAGAATGACTGGAAAGGCCCATGGCCTTCGTTATGGGCTTAATTTTATTTCCCCAAAAAAGTGTGTTGGGCCGGGCGTGATGGCTCACACCTGTAATCCCAGCATTTTGGGAGGCCGAGGCGGGTGGATTGCTTGAGGTCAGGAGTTCAAGACCAGTCTGACCAACATAGTGAAACCCTGTCTCTACTAAAAATAAAAATAAAAATAAAAATGGCGTGGTGGCAGGCACCGGTAATCCCAGCTACTCGGGAGGCTGAGGCAGGAGAATCACTTGAACCTGGGAGGCAGAGGTTGCAGTGAGCCAAGATCACACCATTGTACTCCAGCCTGGGTGACAGAGATAGACTACATCTAAAAAAAAAAAAAAAAAGAAAGAAAAGAAAGAAAAAATAAAAAAAAAAAAAAGCATGTTGAAGTTCTAACCCCAGTATCTCAGGATGTGATCTTATTTGGAAACAGGGTTTTTACAGATTGAACCAAGTTAAGATGAGCTCATTAGCATGGGCCTTCATCCCAGCATGACTGGGATTATCCACTGAATTGTGTCACTCCACTGCAAAATTTGTATCTTGATGCCCTAATCCCCAGAACATCAGGATATGACTGTATTTAGAATAAGGTTCTTAAAGGGGTGATGAAGTTAAAACAAGGCCATTGAGATGGGCTGCGATCCAGTCTGACTGCTGTTCTTATGAGAAGAGAAGATTAGGACACCCAGAGAGACACTAGTGGCCTGTAAGCATGGACTGACAGCCACGTGCACAGGTGGCAAGAGGGTGGCTGTGTGCAAGCCCAGGAGAGAGACCCAGGAGAAACCAACGCTGCCCACACCTTGATCTTGGACTTCCAGCCTCCAGAACTGTGGGAGAAAACCTTTCTGGGTTGTTTAAGCCCCCAGTCTGTGGCACGTGTTATGCCAGCCCCAGCAAACTAACACAGCTGGTATCCTGATAAAAAGAGGGAATTTGGGCACAGACACAGCTGAAGGAAGACGAGGTGAAGACACTGGGACAAAATGCCATGTAAGGATGGAGAATAGGTTGGTGCACCCACAAGCCAGG
The DNA here is from genome assembly GCF_000001405.40 of Homo sapiens. Taxonomy (NCBI): domain Eukaryota; kingdom Metazoa; phylum Chordata; class Mammalia; order Primates; family Hominidae; genus Homo; species Homo sapiens. The sequence goes on from NC_000001.11 coordinate 11,545,195, forward strand.
GACAGCCAGCAGAGCGTCAGAGGCTACGGAGAAGCAAGGAAGGAATCCCGCCCCACCAGGTTTCAGAGGGACATGGAAACTATCAGCACCTTGGTTTCAGAGTCTAGCATCCGGGACTGTAAGATGAGACATTTCTGTTGTTTAAGCCACCTGGTTACGCTACAGAGTTATGGCAGCCTTCAGGAACTAGCACCCTCCCCAGGCCTGGCATCAGAGCTGGCACAACATCACTTCTGCCGCCTTTGGCTGTCAAGGTGAGTCCCGGGTCAGCCCAAGTTCAAATGGTGGAGGAATAGGCGCTACCTCTTAATGGGAGGAAATATGAAATGATATTACAAAGGCGTGGGGACACAGGAAGGGGAATTTGTGCAAACAATCAACCACTCACCGTTACTTCATCCATCAGAAAGGACCAAAGATGCACCTAACTCAGTGTTCCGGTAAGGATTCAATATGGCAAGGTTGGGAGGCACTTGGCACAGAGCAAAGGCTCCATAAAAGCAAATGAGATTTAGCAACATAGCTATTTTTGAGGGCAGGGTCCTTGCTCATGTTTGACCCCCAGTTTTATTACAATGCCTGGCATGGAACAGAGGCTCAGGAAGAATCTTACAAATTCGAGCCGGTTTGGTATCGAGAGTCCCTGCATGCCGCAAGGGCCGACCCAGTGCCGCCTCATATCTGAAGCTGCCCAGTCCACCACGTCAAAGCTGCTGCTGAAGCCAACAACCTTGTTCCCATGGCAGTGGCTGCAAAGAACATACAGGCCTGTTAGCCACTCCGAGCTCACTCATCCTGGGAAGCTGCCTCTGGGGCACATGTTCCTGTCTCCTGGTCCAGACAGAGGAAGTGACCCACAGAGAAGAGGGCACAGCCACCTCCCACTCTGAGCCAAGCAGAGCCAGCTCGGAGACAGGTCGGCTCCTCCAGGCTCCCTCCTCTGCTCCACCCTCCTCCCTGAGCTGTCACTGATGCATAGGTGGGTCACAGGTGTGCAAGCTCTTTGCAGCATCCTTCCTGCCCTAATTACTTCAAACACCAAAGACTTTTGAGTAGCTAAAGATCACAAGCTCAGACCACAAGACAGGTGATCAAACCTTTTTTTTACAAAAAGGGAGAAGGCATGAGTTGAGGGGAGAGGAAGGACACACACGCTCACATTTGCCAACCCAAAAATGCAATTTATAAAATGAAAATCTGGTGTCACGTTCAACTAAATTAACAATTTGTAGATAATTCACAATGCTCATGCCATTAAGCAAATGCACTTTAAATTGATTTCAAATTAGCGGGCTAATGATTCCCCCCAAGTCCAGTCTCTGCCAGCCCCCAGTGCAGTGTTTTTAATAAGAGGTAGGTGTGCAGTAGCAGCCTGTTTATTCCATAATTGAAGCCGTAATTGAACCTGAGGTCATAGCCAAGGGCCCTATTGATCTGCATAGAGAGGAAAAGTGCTGACAGTGACCATCATCAGGCCAGAGGGGCTGGTGGGCCATGGGAGGCTCCTGCAGTTGTGTTGCATTTTGAGCTCATTTCCTGTATGACCTGAAGGTAGCTGTGATGGCTAACGGGGGAGCTAAATAACCTTGAGACACGCAGAACTCTGATTCCCAGTCCTGCAGATTGTACTCAGAACTGCCCTAAAAGCATGTCAAAGATCTATGTGATCCTCTAATATTCCTAGGGCCCCAGAATGAACTCTCTGTACCTTCTCTTTGCTTACCATGCCTGCCTGGCCTCTAAGTCTCCAGGACAAGGAAATCCAAGCCAAAGTACACCACAAATGTGTACTCTCCCTCCTCATCCTAAGTTTGGAGTCCTTTATCCTTTAACCCTCAGCCAAAAGCTCTCTTGACCCCAACTCAGAAAGGCAGGGTGAAAGGTCTATGCTCCTGTTGGCATAGCCCTGATTGCTCCCATCTCTCAAAGCGTAAAACATTACCCATCTTTACTGCTGCCTCTACAAGGGCTACGAGAACCTTTAGCTCCATCTGAGGAGGACACAGGAGCCTCATTTTATTCTACACCAGCTACTTTGGCTGTTCTGAATTGAGAGCTCTTTTCTCCAAAGAGTATAGCAGAGAAGAGGAAGTGGGAGGAGAAGATGACAGGGATAAAGAGAGGTCCAGGGATAAGGAGCAAGGAGGATGATAGACCTGGTGTTCAAAAGACAGAGAGTGGCTGGGCAGGGTGGCTCATACCTGTAATCCAAGCACTTTGGGAGCCTGAAGCAGGAGGATCATTTGAGCCCAGGAATTCAAGGCTACAGTTAGCTATGATTGCATCCCTATACTCTGGCCTGGGTGACAGAGCGAGATCCCATCTAAAAAAAGAAAAAGGACAGTGAGAGACAGAGACAAAGGGACAGAAACATGCAGAGAGACAGAGACAGAGAAACAGAGACAGAAATAAAGACAGAGGCAGAGAGAGAGAGAGAGAGAGGGAGAGAGAGACACAGACAGAGAGACAGAGAGCTAGAAACAGACAGGCAGAGATACAGACAGAGAGAGGCAGAGACACACACAGATTGATTTTACAGAGGAGTCAGTGTGTGATTAGAAATCTTGTGACCCCAGCATCAGAGAGGATAGCAGCAGGATGAGGCAAACTCAGCACTGGGTGCTGTAATGAACGGATCAATGTCTAGGACAGTCTATAAAGTACTCCATGTGTGCCCCTGGGATTGTTGAGCTGTCTATAAAACAGTCCCAGTTTGACAGTTTGAGCCTAAAGTTATCTAAACACTATACACAAACTGGGAGTAGATATGTTGCCCCAAATCTCACAGAATCTAAGGAAAATGTGAGGAGGGAGAACAAAGGAGGAGTTTGCTCTTTTTCCTGCTAATTGCCCACTCCTCTTCTTGGAGCAAAGAGCTCCTTGCAGATTGATTTGTTTTGTTTGTTTGTTTGTTTTTGAGATGGAGTCTGGCTCTGTCACCCAGGCTGGAGTGCAGTGGCACGATCTCGGCTCACTGCAAGCTCTGCCTCCCAGGTTCACGCCATTCTCCTGCCTCAGCCTCCCGAGTAGCTGGGACTACAGGTGCCCGCCACCATGCCCAGCTAATTTTTTTATTTTTTTTTATTTTTAGTAGAGACAGAGTTTCACTGTGTTAGCCAGGATGGTCTCGATCTCCTGACCTTGTGATCCGCCCACCTCAGCCTCCCAAAGTGCTGAGATTATAGGCATGAGCCACCGCGCCTGGCCGATTTTTTTTTTTTTTTTGAGACAGGGTCTCACTCTGTTGCCCAGACTGGAGTGCAGTGGCATGATCTTGGCTCACTGCAGTCTTGACCTCCTCAGTTCAAGTGATCCTCCCACCTCAGCCTCCTGAGTAGCTGGGACAACAGGCATGTGCCACCATATCCAACTAATTTTTAAAATTTATTGTAGACGTGGGGTCTCCCTATGTTGCCCAGGCTGGTCTTGAACTCCTGGGCTCAAGCAATCCTCCAGCCTCCCAAAGTGCTGGGATTACAGGCGTGAGTCATTGCGCTCAGCCTCCTTGCAGATTTTTGATTGTCCTTTGCCTATCCGGAGCTCTAGGACTCATCTAGGGTAGCGGGGATGAAGACCACACTCCTGGCTCTCCTTGGCTGGAGTCTTCTCTCAGGCACATTCTAGCCTGAGGTGTGGAAGAAGAAAAGCAGGTGATTTATTCTAAACTCTGCACCATCTCACTCAGATTCCATTACAGGAGTCAGTCATGGTAATAGCCAAAGAGAAGAAAGATGTGAGAGGAGAATAGTTTCCAGGGAGGGATTAGTAGGGAATAGTCATCTAATCAATATTGATCAATAGAGTGACCTAGAAAACTCTAAGGCCACAACTATTGAAACAGAGCCTCCCCCTAGAACATCTCCACTGATCAAGAGAAGACAGAAAAGTTAAAATCAGAAAGGAGAAATTAATTTTTTTCAAGCAATGGCTGTAGACTGATACAACCACTTTGAAAACATAGGTATATGCCACGACCCAGCAATTTCACTCCTGGGTATGTATTCAACAAAAACAAGTGCTCTGTTCATCAAGAGACACGCACAAAAGTGTTCAAAATTCATTCATCATAGACTCAAACTGGGAATAACCCAAATATTCATCAACAGTAGAATGGATAGATAAAATGTGATTTATTCACACAAAAGAATATTAAACAGCAGAGGAAAAAGAATGAACTGCTGATACACAGCAGCATGGATGAATCTGAAGACATAATGTTGAATGAAAGAAGTCAAACTTAGAAGACTGCATATGGAGTAATCCCATTTACATGAAGTTTGAGAACAGGAAAAACTAATCTATGGTGACAGATATAAGAAAAGTAGTTATCTTTGGTGGAAAATGCTTCCTGTTAGGTAGCACAAGGCAGGAGGCATGCTGGAAATGTTATGTGTTTATATCTGGATAGTGGTTACACGCACACATGCATACACACAAATTCTTTTCTTTTTTTTTTGAGACAGAGTCTCGCTCTGTCACCAAGGCTGGAGTGCAGTGGCACGATCTCGGCTCACTGAAAGCTCCGCCTCCCGGGTTCACGCCATTCTCCTGCCTCAGCCTCCCGAGTAGCTGGGACCACAGGCACCTGCCACCACGCCCGGCTAATTTTTTGTATTTTTAGTGGAGATGGGGTTTCACCGTGTTAGCCAGGATGGTCTCGATCTCCTGACCTTGTGATCCGCCCGCCTCGGCCTCCCAAAGTGCTGGGATAACAGGCGTGAGCCACCGTGCCCGGCCCACAAATTCTTTAAGCTGTGCACTTAAGATTTGTGTACTTTATGTTATATCTCAAAATTTTTAAAAAATTTTATGAGAGGGAGTCTCACTCTGTTACCCAGGCTGGAGTGCAGTGGCAATCTCAGCTCACTGCAGCCTCCACCTCCTGGGTTCAAGGGATTCTCCTGCCTCAGCCTTCCGAGTAGCTGGGACTGCAGGTGCGCACCACCAGGCCCGGCTATTTTTGTAATTTTACTAGAGACAGGGTTTCACCATGTTGGCCAGGCTGGTCTTGAACTCCTGGCCTCAGCTGATTCACCTGCCTCAGCCTCCCAAAGTGCTGGGATTACAGGCGTGAGCCACCGTGCCCAGCCAACAAATATTTTTAAATGGTCACCCTGTCACTACAAAATCTAAGTCATTATCTGTCACTTACTTCTTGTGGGCCACAAGATTTACAGAGCTTATTCCTTCCTTCCATCTTGAGGTAAATGGAAACATAGCTGCCCATTGGACACATGGACTCCTGCAGAGGTACCACTGCAGACTAGGCAATCTAAGGCTGAACTGGCAGGTGTCATACTAAGAGGAGATGGTGAACCGAGATCTGTGGACTTTCTGCCCTTTCTCATGGCATTACTGATGGGTTCACAACACCTGAGGCTGGACACACCCCATGGAGCTGCCAAAAGGGCTTAGAATCCCATAGCCCCTCTCCCTAGAGCAGAACAGAACGGCTGTAGCAGTAGCACCTCGATGAGTTTCAAGAGATTCCAAATGAGGATGGAATTATAGTCCAGCCTTGTGATTTCCAGCAGCTATCATTGCAGCTTGACCCAGCAATGGCAGGACGCAGTGACCACGCACTTCTGGGCAGCTCCATGAGAGCGAGGAGAAGGTGAAGGGGAGGGAGTTCCAGCACCTCGGACAGAGGTGTCCCCCTCCCGAAGCCCAGGCGTCCGGCCGATTCAATTGTTTCAGCACCAGGGACAGGGACTCACACATTAAATGGCTATGGAAATAGACTGGGTTGATAAAAAAAAAAAGTACTTGAGGACAGCGGTCTTCCCACGATTTGCTATTTACACACAACGCTACTGCTTCCAGCTTTGTATAACAAATTCAATTTTGACAGCATTAAAAATGTATGTGTGATGAGAAGATTGGTTTGGAAAACACCCAACATTTACCTCCCTTCTACTGCCACCTCCTTCTTCCAATCCAGGTGCTTCCCAAAGGACCCACACTTCAAGGAATGCCCAGGTAAATGGGGTTTCTCATAGTTAGAGTTGTCAGCCCAGCACATGGGTAGAAGAACAGAACCCCTGGGACCCACCTTATTTTCTGAAACATAGACACAAAAAGTCTTTCCTCTCTAAGAGGGTGAAGAGAAGCTATTTTATAATCTCTCCTTTAAAATCTGTGCCACCATCAATTAACTAATTCATTCAACTGCTATTTGCTTAAAACCTACTCTGCAGAAGGAGCTGGAATTATAAGAATGAGCCAAATAAATCCTCTGCTCTCATGGAGTTTACATTCTAGTGGGAGGGGAAGACCATGAACAATAAACATCCGTAACTAGGATAATTTCAGTTTGTTCTAGGTGCTGTGAAGAAAATTAGCAGAGTGATGGGCTCTATGGTGACTGAGTGAGAATTACTTTAGCTAGGATGGTAAGGGAAGGCCTCTCTGAGGAGGCGATGTTTGAGTTGACTTGAACAATGAGGAGGAGCCAGATTTGTGAAGATCTAGCAGAAATGCATCCTGCAAAAGGGGCAGCAACTGCAGTAGCACTGAGATGGAAAGAAATGTGGCATCAGAAGATGGGAAGGGCCAGGCATGGTGGCTCAAACCTGTAATCCCAGCACTTTGGGAGGTCGAGGTGGGAGAAGTGTTTGAGCCCAGGAGATTGAGATCACCCTGGGCAATATAGGGAGACTCCGTCTCCTCACACAAAAAAATAAAATTAGCTGGGTGTGGTGGTGCTCACCTGCAGTTCCAGCTACTCAGAAGGCTAACGTGGGAGAGTTGCTTGAGCCTGGGAGGTTGAGGCTGCAGTGAGCTGTGATTGTGCCACTGTACTCCAGCCTGGGCAAGACAGCAAGACCCTGTCTCAAAAAAAAAAAAAGATGGGAAGGAGGCCAGTATGGATGGAATGTAGTGAATGAAGGGAAGATGGAAGGGAAATAAAGTTGGAGAAGTGGGAGGGGTCCTTGTAGGTTATATAAGGTGTTTGGGTCTTAAGCATGGGGGTGATATGATTTGATTTATGTTTAAAACAAAAGTAACCATCACAGCAGTTTAAAAAGCTTTGACTGGGCCATGGGGTGCCGAAGCATCTGGTCAAACCTTAGTCTGGATGCTTCTGAATGAGATTAACATTTGAATCAGTAGACTGGGTACAGTAGATGGCCCTCCTTAATGTGGATGGATCCCATCCAATCGAAGTTCTGAATAGAACAAAAGGCTGCCCTCCCCACAAATAGGAGGAAGTTCCTCCCGCCTGATTGCCTTTCAGCTGGAACATAAGTTCTTTCTTGCTTTTGGACTTGAACTGAAATGGCTCCTCCTAGGTGTCGAGCCTACCAGCCCTCAGGTTGGAACTATACCATTGGCTGTCCTGGCTCTCAGATCTTTGGACTTGAACTGGAACTACACCATCAGCTCTCCTGGATCTCCAGCTTGCTAACTGTAAATCTTGGGACCAGTCAGCCTCCATAATCACACAGATAAATTCCTTATAATAAATTTATATATATATATATATATCCATAAATCAAAGATATGTGTATATATGTCCTATTGGTTCCGTTTCTCTAGAGAACCCTGACTAATAGAACTGCTCTGTGGAGAAGAGACTAGGGAGGCAGGAGGGGACGCTGGGAGACCAGTTTAGGCTGTTACAACGCTCCACTGAGATTATGGTGATGATAACCTCTCCTTGTCTCCCATCAGGAGCAATTTTTTCTCCAAAATTAACGATGCACTTTCCCAAGTCAACCATGCTCCTTTCCTCTGGTGTCTCTCATGACACCAGATGTAATGCGATGTGAGATATGGTGAGAGAAATTGAGTAGGGTCACATACGATGGTTTAGTTATTTATTGTTGAAAGAATTAATGAGTGGTAGCTTTGGAACCACCTGGCTCATCTAGAAATAGAATATATTGCCACTTCTATGCTGGTTCTTCTCAAGCCCTTTTAACTCATGGGCTACCAGTTGGTGAGGGAGGGCTGGCAGAGTGCTTAATCCACTCTTATCATCTAAGAAACAAACCTCACCACAGCCAGGGAAGTCTGGGCTCACACTGATGGGAGGCCAACAGGGAGACCATACACAATCAGTTATGCAGTGAACAAAAGCATCAATATACATGATAATTAAAGTATTAATAAAACAAGGGTATCACTTCCCAGACCACCCAGAGGACCCAAAGAGACCATCAGTGCATGGTGGGCAAGCCCATGAGACTCAGTGATGGAGGGCGGGTGAGCTCCCAAATTGGGGCTTAGCCCAGGAGGGTTCTTGGCTTTGCCCAGGAAAGAATTAAAGGGCAGGCTGGTGTTGTTAGACAGCAACTTCTATTGAAGTGGCAGTGCCCAGCAGCAACAGAGGCACTGCTCCTTGCAGAGCAGGGCTACCCCAGAGGCAGTGTGCCCACAGTAGAAGCTCAGAGGTACTTCTGCAGCCATATTTACACATACTTTTTATTATATGTAAATTAAGGGGCAGATTGTGCAGACATTTCTAGAAAAGGTGTGGTAACTTCTGGGTCATCAAGTCATTGCCATGGAAAGGGGTGGTAACTTCTGGGCGTCACGATAGCAACAGCACACTGACACGGCACACTGGTGGGTGTGTCTTATGGGGAGGTGCTCCCCTCCTGTCCCTGTTTTAGCTAGTCCTCAATCCAAGCCTGGCCTCTGGAGTTGAGTCCTGCCTTCTACTTCATCACCAGCCACAGGTGCCTTGGGGATCTGCACCAGATATGACTGCCAGGAAGGAAGCAAACTGAACAATGAAGGGAAAACAAGGATCACATGGCTTAGCGTCAGGGCTCCTCCTCCCTCACTAATTCATTCGAGGATACCAGGCAACGGCCTTCCTGTCCCTGGGCCTTATTCTTCTCAATTGTAAAACCAGGGGGTTGGTTTGAATTCCATGATCCTTCAGCTCCAACAGTCCGGAAGTCTGTCAGTGGCCCTAGCACCTGTACTTTCCACATCGCTTTTGCTTCCACACCTGAGTATCCCCACTGGTGCTCCTAAAACTGCCAGTAAGTATGAAAAGCCTGTATTGTTGTGCCCATTTCTCAGGATGAGACCTCAAGGTCACATGGGACTATTCACAAACTTACAAACTGCCTGAGCTAGCGAGAATAAAGATGCCATTACAACTCCACCAGGTAAACCCTTCCTTTCCCAGAGGGGACTACCAACAGCTCGTTCTGCAGGGCCTTCCTCATTTCACTCCCCAGATATTCCCTTCCATTCCTCCCAGCCCCCTTCTGTTACTTTCCTGTGAACTCTGGCTATTGTCAAGAGGTGTGAGGGGCTATGAAGATGGCTGTGCACCACACACACTCTCCGTATGTATCGCTATTTTAGTTTTAAGACCACTGTCAAACTTCACCATTGAGGTCCTTCCACTGGGCTTGTAATTGGAATCTGTCCGCTCATTAACATGAGGAAGGTGGGGAGGACGCTCTGGGCTTTATCCACCAGTCCTCATTTAGTAGGTGTTCCCTTTGCAGCTCCTGGGCCTTGGAGGAATCTGTGTCCTGCTGTGTGTGCCTGTTTGTTAAGGAAATTACCATTTGCCCACACATATAAATCTACAACACACCCTCTTATCATTTCCGATTGTTCCACAGGCAACACTGAGAAGCCTGGGCAGAGTTGAGGCTATTTTGGAGATGCCGACACCTCTTTGTGCTACCATCAAAGGAGTCTTAGCCACCCAAAGAGCTCGTGGAACAGCTTCCAGTCCTCATGAGTTCACTGTGTCCTCAGCACTGCTGTCAGGGATTCACATCCATCACCTCATTCAATCCTCAAATAACACCAATCTACATATTTTATATGAGAACACTGAGATTTAAGTGGCTTGCTCAGTATCACAGGAATGGGAAGCAGACACCCTTAATTACCCAACTTCTACATCATCTCCATGATTCTTGCAATCTTTGGCAAATAAGATCATCATGGGAGGAGAGGAAGAGATAGGGGTCACGTGCTTCATGGGGGTGGGGACTCCCCAAAGCATCTCTCACTATTTCTTCCCTGAAGATATTCTGCCTTCCCTCTGGAGGAAATTTCTCCTCCATAGAATGAGTCTTGGGGCTCCAAATCTTGGTTCTTTCACTACCTTTGTGGTCTAATTGGTCTAATCATCCCCCTGTCCCCTAGTCTGTTGGTAAGAATTCTCTTTTATGCCAGAAACATAAAAATCCTGGGCAGGACCACGTTAGGGACATGATGCTACCCAGAGGCTCAAGCAATGTGGTCAACCCCTGCCTGTCTCTCTCTAACTCCCAGCTCTGCGTGTGTCTGCTTGGAATCATTCTATAGGCAGGCTCGCCCTAGCTGGCAGCCGAGAGGGTCCCCAGCAGGCCCAGACATGTATCCTCCCAGAAAATTCCTTCCCCAAATCCATAGACCAACACCAGGAAAAATTCAAATGGTTCTGCTTGGGTCACATATCTAAACCTGAACATTTCACTGTGACAGATGGATGGGGTAATCTGATGAACCAGTGTAGACCAGGTGACCATTCCTGGAGGGGGACAGGGAACACTATAATAGGCAACCATGCCAAGACCACCAAAGGTATACGTATTTTTCAAAGATGGACCCCACAATATTTCCCATCCCACATGCTTTTCTTCCTTGTTTCATTGGCATTGCAGGACAGTTCTCTGGGTGGCTGTGGACCGACCCAGCCCTCCTTCCTTGTAGAATAACTATAGAATCCGTTGGGAATGCAATATCCTGAGATAAGGCTACTCTATAGAACTGCCTGAAACAGCTTGGGTCTTGTTCCAGTCCTTCCTAGGAAATGTAACATCTTGAGTTAGGGAGGAAGTGCCCGGGACAGCCCATGCTTGGTTCCTTTCTCCCCAGGAAGCAAGATGCCCTTCCAAGCTTTAGCCCAGTGAGTCTCACTGTCCTGATATATATAATAACCCAGGGTGGGCTGCCATTTGGAGTCACTCAGCTGTGGTGTAGGTAGGGCATGTGCACTTGAGGCACATCTGCCTCGGGCAGCTTTCTTGAGCCTTGGGAAACCAGCTCACAATGGATCCCAGTCTTCTGTCTGTGGGTAATAAATCTGCTTCATATACCTTGTGGTGTGTGGGGGAGTTCTGTCTCTCCAGACTCCGACAAGTTGGTAACCAGTGCAAAAGGAACCTGCTTTACATGCTCCTCCCATCTCATAGTTAAATTTATGCCCTTTTTGCTTGAAATTGGGTGGATCTTTTTGTCTTCCTCAACCAATAGAATATGGCAAAAGTAACATTCCCCTCATTTCTGGGCCCAGCCTCAGAAACTTGCAGCTTTCACTTTTTACCTTTTGAGACACTCAAAAGTTGCCCCAAAACCTCCTGAATAAGGACTCAGTCATCATGTAAGCAGAAACAAGCTGTCCCTGCTGTGCCCTTTCCCAGTTTCTGAGCCACAGAAATTGTGAGCATAACGGATTGGTTGTTTTAAGCCACTCGGTTTTGGGTAGCGTGTTATGTAGCAGAAGATAACTGGAAGAGTGTGTGTGTGTGTGTGTGTATGTGTGTGTGTGCCTGAAGGATAGTTTCCCGCAGAATCAAAAGGAGGATGGGGAAGCACACTAGGCAAACAGGCACTGGGTCTTACATCTGAAGAACCTATGGTGCCCGCTATTTTGAAATGTACCAACTTTCATTACTAGGAGGAGTGATTGTGCCATCCAGGCAATGCAGAAGTAGGTATGTTCCAGGTACGGAGCCTCACTTGCCCAGTTGGCTTGCCAGAGCATTAGAGCATTTATCAGGTTCTTCTGCATATGCCCTCTTCTTCTCTTATCCAGTGAGTTGTCTGCTCCTCCAAGTTAGGTCTCCATTCTACCCAAGTCCAGGGGCCACTTGTCACCTAGGCTTCCTGGTAAGTGGTGCCCCTTGAGCTGAGCTGTGCCATGTCCATGGCATTGGCCTAAGGTCCCCATGCCTTTTGCCTGCCAGACCCACCCCAGCCATTCTGGCGGCCCCTCCCTGGGCTCTTCTCCACTCCCTGCTCCCCTGCAGCCTCCTGGACCCTGACCCAGGAATACTCTGAACTCTGCTCCTCTTTTCTAGGCTGTTCCTTCCTTCCAGGCTCTCCAAAGCTGCCCTTCCTCTGAAGTCTTTCCTCCTTTCCGAATGCTTAGGTTCTCAAGAAGGATCCAGTTTCTCCATCCTCCTTTTCCCAGATCATCAATCCAACAGGAAGAAATGAAGATCCTCCTAGGCAAGTGGCACAGCACTGCGGGTAAGACAGTCCATGTCAGACCGCCTGGCTCAAACTCCCAGCTTTGCCACCTGCCAGCTGTGTGTCCTTCAGCACTTTTGCCAATCTCCTATTGTCTCATTGTCCTGTCTGTAAAAGAGAAATAACCATACAGGCTGCCTTGTGAGGCTGTTAGGATTAAACGAGATAACCCAGATAAAGAACTCAGCACTTCGATCGTGTTAAGTCAAATGAGACAAAGGTTCTCAAACTCCTTGTTTAAATAAGAATTCTAATAGAGACCTGGGTTTTTTTTTTTTTCCACCTCATTCCTGCAGAGAGAAGGCAGTGCCCATCCCCTCTGGTTTTACAAAGACTACTCACAAGTATGTATACCTTTCAGAAAACAGGAATGTCCATTTAAATACTATTACCAGAGTAATCAATTATTAAGTAAGACAATCAAACAGAATTATGGAGTTTTTTAAGGAGTAAAAGGTATTTACCATTGATCATTGCAACTGTTCTGAAGTCTCCAAAACTCTTGTTCAAAATAATATTTACAAGGATGGATTTTTTGATGCAGACCAGAATGTGTTTTCCTGTAGCTGCAGGGAGAGTGGAGATGTTTTTTAACTTTCTTATCTTGCTGAGATTTCTTTCTCCAGCAGTTTTTAAGGATCCGTGGTTTTAAGACCAAATATTGAAATTCTATTAGTCAGCACTGAGGGGGGAAAAGGCAGTCTGAGAAGGCCAAAACTTAGCATGTAAAGGAGGAAAAGGCAGAAGAGTTGCTGAGTGAAATGTGGGGTGTTTCATCATTTCTGTTTCTACCTAGTGAATAATAACATTCGGTGCCTGTTAGGTATTGTTTTTGTCTTTGTTCTTATGGCACATAACCTGACTAAAACCCGGGTCCACACAGTGTCACATGAAGACACACGGTCCAGCCACCAAAAAGTTAATGAAAATTATTTCAAAGTCTCCCACTGCATCTCTCAAACCTTTGGAGGCAGGCGCATAGTCGGAGGAACTTCCCCATTGCCTCGTCCTCTCCCACCCGCCTCCCTCTCACTTTGCAGAGTCCTCTAGTACCTCCTTCCTCCAAAACCCCCTAGCCCCGCCTTCATCTCAGCCCTAGATTTTCCTGTTACTCCCCCTATTCTACATCGCAGAGAGCCAAAGAGCCAGACTCATCTCAACAGGAGGGCACTCCCTGGAGGTGGGTGGGGGACTGGGGGGTCTGGAAGAACTGAATAGGCCATGCCAGAGCTCTCTTTAGCAAGCAGGGGAAGGGACAGGCTGGGGACACTCCCAGATGAATCCTTTTTGTCCTGTCAGACCCTCATCAGTGTGACAAGGACACTCGGTGGCCTTCATCCCCTTTCTTCCTGGCAGCATCAGCATCTCCACTTTGACATTTACATCGCCCAACCCCAGCCCACTCAGGGCTGCAGCCAGTCACAGAGTTGGGGGAGTTGGTGCAGAAGAAAGAAGCTTTTTGCTCCTCCCAGCCTGGGCTATCCACAGCACCAGGAAAACAGCCCAAAGATGCTTCCCCTCTCAATCCACAGTCTTGCTGCCAGCCCTACTACCAACTCCCAGGGCAAACTGGAATGAGTCCTTGGAGCCTGCACCTCCTCACCTGCCTGCCCTGTCTGGCTCAGATCCATGGGAGGCTCCAACAAGGTAGTAATTCGGAAGTCCCTCTTCTCCTTTCCCGAACGAGAGATCTCCTTCCCTGCTACGTACATGCTCCCAACATGCCCACCATTCAGCTTTCTCCTTTGGTTTAAGAAATTGCCTCTGAAATGTTCCCTGAGAGCTGCAAGCCTTTAGCACTGACTGTGAGCTTCTTGACCACAGGGACTTTGTCTAGCACATAGTAGGTGCTCAATAAATATCGGTCAATGAATAGATTAGTGGCCATGATGCAAGCACGTAGATTAGTTCAGACCATGTTACTAGCTGACACCTGGCAGAGAGTAAGCTTTTGAAGGAACAGGATGCAGAGATTACTCATTCATCCAGTTAGTAATACTAGTTAAACCTTCATGTTAGGACTTGTACTGGGCACTGGGGTGCAGGAGAATAGGGCATGAACTGTCCCTATCCCTGTAGGGTTGAAAGAAGCTGCCTCAGTTTGACAATCAGGACATCCCTTGCCCCCCCTCCCCAGAACGGAACTCATCCAGCCCCCTGGGCTTCTTCCCTAGAGAACCAGCTCTCTCCAGGCCCCCCACTGTACCCCACCCCATCCTATCTCTTCACTAATCCCCCAACCCCCACCCCAGAGGTGCAGCGATAAGCTCAAACAAGGAGGGAAGACCAGAGGTGAGGAGGCGGGAGTCACTGAGAACAGCCATTATCAGTTTAGACAAGTGCCAGGGCCTCCAGCCCCAGCTGGAGCACCGCCCACAGCCCCAGCTACCAATTTACCAGGATGCTAAAGCCTCATCCATGTTTCATTTCAGACACTGGGCTCCCTCAGCTGCCACCGCTCCCTTCTGTGGACCCATTTGACGCCTCTCTGCCTCAAACAAGACCCCAAACCAGAGGGGACACGCAGGCTCTGAGCTGCCAGTCCCTTCACCCAAAAGTGTTCATGCATGTGCACGCACGTGCATGTGCGCGCGCGCGCACACACACACACACACACACACACAAACACACATAACCGCATTCTATGATGAGTTCAGACCCCTCTCTGAGCCCAAGACCCCACCCTCCCCTCCCTCTGTGGCACCAGAAGAGCTACTCACCCCCCTCACCAGGGCGGGGACCCCGCTCTTTCATGCCTCCCGCTTGGGCATCCTCACCTCCCCCAGGGACCTGGTCCTTGTGCCTGACACAAATCTGAGGATGTCAGCAAATCCGCATGGGGTGGGGGATGCCATCTTGAATCCCTGCAGGCAGATCTGGGACAAGATCAGGGAATTTCAAGCATGAAAAGATCTCCTTCAGAGATAAAGGAGTTACTATTCATCGTCTCCTTCCAAAGGTGGAGTGATAGGCATTTGCCTTTTCCCCCTCCTTGCAAAACCAACTGGAAACTAAAGCAGCCGGAGGGCTCGGCGGGACCCTACAATCTATGGAAACTGCAGGATTTTATTAGCTTGGCTGTAGATAGGCAGGGGAACCAGGGCAGCAAACTCAACCGTGGGGAGACAGGTGGGGCAGAGGGTGGGGGGCTCACCCTACTTCTATCTGAGCACACAGCCCAACTGGGGCTTCAGCAGCAGGGGATGGGAGGGGACCATGAAGCTCTCGGACACAGGGACAGGATCTGGGGGAACAGGGGGATCGGGGGGCCATGTTCTATTTCAGCTCTACTCTGGAGACTTAGACAAGGCCCTTCTCCTTGGCTTTCATTCATGCAGCTGTAATATGATGGAATTGGATTAGATCAGTCAGTTTTCAAACTTCTCAAATCATGGGACCCTCTGTATAAACAGTCTTCAGTGGAAGTTCCGTATGTGAAATGGGTCTGGAAGGTGGTGGCTGGGAGGATCCAAAGTTCTGCCCATTGGCCCTGCAGAGACCCCTGAGGAACAGTGTGCAAACCTCTGGCCTCGACGGTCTCAGGGCTCTGCTGTCCCCGGATTTTCCAGGTGAGAGCAGGCAACGTCCTGCTCCAGAGCAGGTGGGGAGAAACAGGGTGGGCTTCTGGGCGGCCCTTGAAGCAAGCAGCAGGCAGCACTGGAGAGACTCAGTAGAGCATCCCAGACTGCAGGAGGTGCAAAGACCCGGAGGCAGGAACACAGGAGTCCTGGGAGAAGGCCACGGGAGGGCCCCAGCTGGCACAGGGAAGCCCTCTTGGGGATTGAGGAGTCGCCATCAGATGGGCATGGGGAGAGCTGAAGGAGTTGGCTTTGGGAGAATCTTGTTGACTCAGACTGTCCTGTTGCCCCCACCCAAACACTTGGCAGAACCCCTCCCCAGTGTTCCTTCTAGAGTCCCCAGACCTGCGAAATTCCCTCTGCAGGCAGAGGTCAGCTCCAGCACCTCCCTAGAAAGTTGTATATGGCCTGGGTCATCTTCCTTGGGGTGACTGCCCTCCCTCACAGGCTGTGCCAACCTCTGTGTCCCTCCGATTCCCCTCTGTGTCTCCGCGTTCCCGGAGAGTCACCCTGAGATGGAAAATCCAGGGCTTGGGGTGGCTCTAGTTGGAGGCTTGTCATGGCCTCTCTGGGACCTCTGAGATTTGAGTAATGGGACTTGCCAGGGGAGACACACTGCTAAACCTGCCTCCCTCCTGTCCTCAAAAGTGAGCCCTAAATGGGGAAAGAAGAGCCTCTTCAAGCAATGCAGGGACAGTTGGATACTTGTGAGCAAAACAAAAGAGTAGAGGCCAGGCATGGTGGCTTATTCCTGTAATCCCACCACTTGGGGGGCCATGGTAGGAGGATTGCTTGGGCCCATGAGTTCAAGACCAGCCCAGGCAACATGGCAAGACCCTGTCTCTACAGAGAAAGGAGAGAGAGAGAGAGAAAGGAGAGAGAGAGAAAGAAAGAAAGAGAGAAAGAGAAAGAAAGGGAGAAAGAGAGAAAGAAGGAAAGAGAGAAAGAGAGAGAGAGAGAAAGAGAGAGAGAGAAAGAAAGGAGAAAAGAAAGGAGAAAAGAAAAGAAAGCCAGCATGATGGTGTGCACCTTCAGTCCTAGCTGAGGCAGGAGGATCATTTGAGCCCAGGAGTTAGAGTTTGCAGTGATCTATGATCATACCACACTGTACTCCAGCCTAGGTGACAGACTGAGACTCTGTCTCTAAAAAAAATTTAAAAATAAAGGCATGAGATCCTTCCTCACACTGTACACAAACATTAACTCCAAATGACTCATAGGCCTAAATGTAAGAACTAAAATTATAAAACTATTAGAAGAAAACATAGCAGTAAATCTTCATGACCTTGGGTTAGGCAAAGCCTTCTCAGATACAACACCAAAAGCAAAAGTAACAAAATAACAAAACAGATAAATTGGACTTTAACAAAATTAAAAACTTCTGAACTTCTGGCCGGGGGTGGTGGCTCACGCCTGAAATCCCAGCACTTTGGGAGGCGAGGCAGGTGGATCACCTGAGGTCAAGAGTTCGACACCCGCCTGGCCAACATGCTGAAACCTCATCTCTACACAAATTAGCTGGGCGTGGTGGCGCTCGCCTGTAGTCCCAGCTGCTCAGGAGGTTGGGGCAGGAGAATCGTTTGAACCCGGGAGGCGGAGGTTGCAGTAAGCTGAGATGGCACCATTGCACTCCAGCCTGGGCAACAGAGCGAGATTCCATCTCAAAAAACAAAAACAAAAACAAAAACAAAAAAACCTTCTGAACTTCTAAGAACACTGTCAAGGAAGTAAAAAGACAATGTGCAACATGGGAGAAAACATTTGTGAATCATGTATCTGATAAGAGACTTGTATCCATGGCGTAGCAATGAGGGGAGAGGATTTGAATCCTATCCTCCTCCTACAGGCCATGTGACCTGGGGAAGTTATGCAACCTTGCTGGGCCTCAGTGTTCTCATCTGTAAAATGGGAGTGGAAATAAAAGGCCCCACGTCACAAAGTGCTGTGAGGATGAAAGGGGGGAATGTAAGATAACGCCTGGCCCAAGGCAAAGTGCGCCTTAAATGTGGTCGAGTACCTACTGTGCGCCAGGCCTCAAAGGGCTCCAAGCCTAACAGAGAGATGCAGTGTAAAGGGCCCATCCCACCCTGAATGGAGTGACATCAGGGCTCCTTAAAAGCACAGCAACCCCAAGCTCCAAGTGAGGAGGGGGCAATCCTGGGGTGCTGCCCAGAAAAGAGGGCTTCTGAACAAGCTTTGGGTGTGTCCCCGGCCTAGACCAGTGGTCCCCAAAGCATTTTGACAATCTAATCAGATGGGAGTCCCACCCAACCCACTGAGTCCCAATCTTTAGCCTCAGGAGCCTGGGAATCTGCATTTTCCAAAAGGTCCTCTGTTGAGTCTAGCCATGAACCAGGCTTACACACAGCTGGGAGGCTGGGGGACAGGGACAAGGAAGGTGGGGCAGGGACCCACTGAGGCTTCCAAAGCAATAAGCAATGGCATCTGAGGGCACAGGCTGTCTAAGGAGAGCCCCTGCCATCCCTCTGCCCCTTGGGCCTTTGTGTCCCCAGCAGGGAGAGCACATGCAGGGACTCACAGTCTCTGTCCCCGCCAGCCAGCGGGGCTGATACTGGCCGGCCATTATCTGCCTCCCTGAGGTTTCTTTGCTGTCGAGAGGCAGCTCTGCGAGCTCCTTGGAGGGTCCCCCTGGGGCACTGGAGTGTCTGTTTACAGTTCATTAGCTACTTGACAGAGAGGCTCTGAGAGGGAGAGACATAAAGAGGAAGTGTCAGGGCAGGGGCCCCGCAGATCCGTCAGAAATGAAGATAAAGCTGCTTGCAGATGAGGAGGTCTGACAGTGGCGACAGCTGGGCGCCAGGCCTTGCAGGTGGCCGGTGAATGCAGCTCAGCCAGCCTTCCAGACTCGTTGCCCCAGGCCTGCCCAGTCGGCCTGAGATCCCACACCGGGCCTCCACCAGTTTCCCTGCTGCTGGCTGCCAGCTCTGATGACTACTCATGTCCCAGAAACAACCACGAGGTCCAGCAAGAGGGGACTGGCTAGGGAAACGGCCCGGCACTCCCTCTGTGGGGTATTTCCCAGCCATTCAAGATGCTATTTATAAAGACTTGGGCATTACATGAGGAAATACTTATATGCCATAGGAGAAAGTGGAAAAAAGCAAGACACAAAATTATATCAACAGTATCAGGGTAGGTGCGGTGGCTCACGTCTGTAATCCTAGCACTTTGGGAGCCCAAGGAGGGAGGATTGCTTGAGCCTAGGAGTTCTAGGCTCTGTCTACAAAAAAGTCAAAAAATTAGCTGGACATGGCAGTGCATGCCTGTGGTCCCAGCTACTTAGGAGGCTGAGGTAGGAGGATTGCTTGAGCCCAGAAAGTCAAGGCTGCCCTGAGCTGTGCGGTGCACTGCGGTAGGAGGCAGGGCTCAACTCTGGAGGTGGGGCTCAGACATTGGACCAAATTGAGGATTGGCTAAAACAGGACGATGACAGGGGAAAGCAACTTTTCATAAGACATGCCACCAGTGTGCGATGTCAGTTTACTGTTGCTATGGAAACACCTGGAGTTACCGCCCCTTTCCATGGCAATGACCTAGTGACCCAAAAGTTACTATCCCTTACCTAGAAATTTTTGCATAAACTTCCCCTTAATCTGCATGTAATTAGAAATCAATATAAATATAACTCCAAAACTGCCCTGAGCTGCTACTCTCTGCCTGCAGGGAAGCCCTGCTCTGCAGGAGCAGTCACAGAGCTGTAGGACTGCCATTTCAATAAAGCTGTTTCCTTCTACTCTACCACCGGCTTGTCCTTGATTTCTTTCCTGGGAAAAGCCAAGAACCCTCATGGACTCAGCCCCACTTTGGGGCTCGCCTGCCCTGCATCAGTGCCACTGCACTCCAGCATGGGTGACCAGAGTGAGACCCCATATCAAAAAAAAAAAAAAAAAAAAAAAAACACCAGTTTGAACCCAGTGAAATGAAAATAACTCATAGAGAAAAAAAACAACAACACCTGGAAGGAAAGATAACCCAAAATGTTGATGGTTGCCCCTGGGTGGTAGAAACAAGAGTGATCTCTTTCTCTACTTTCTTCTTTTCTACAGTTCCCAAATTTTGCATACTGAACACGTCTGCTATTATAATAGCAGCAACAAAGTCTATTTTAAAAATAAATAGACTTTAAGTCTATTCATCATCTGAGTTCCTGCACCCACAGGGTTGCCTCCTGCACCCACAGGGCAAGGGCAGGCCTGGGGTGAGAACATGGGCTCACCAGTTCCAGCTTTCCCCACCTGGCCTCCTTGAGGCCCAAGCCCACATTTCCTGCCCTGAGCTGGGGGTCTGAGCCATTAGTCACCCGGATCTTTCAGGGGTATCCGAGGGAGTTTCCACACTCACCCCTCCAGCCACAATTTGGAGGCAAGGGGAGCTTCCTGAGAGCTGGGCAGCCCCTCGCAGCCCACCCCCTCACACCCAAGAACGAGCCTCCAGTACCCCATGTTCACAAATGCAGCGGAGCCTGCCGGAGGATCACGGAGGGTGGCAGAGCATCTGTCCCTCAGCCCTGAGACCCAGAGATGAAAAAGCAAGAGACAGAACTCAGATCTGAGTTTTCAAAAACAGAAGTTGGGCTGGGGGGACTGGGGTGTCTAGGGAGGCTGCTACAGAGGTTTTCAGCAAGTCCTTGATGATGACAGCAAAAACCACATCACTGGGCCCATTTTGTGGGCTGTAGTGGGTGGAACCGTGGCTCCCCAAAAGATGTGGCCACCCAGAGCCTGTGGCTGTAAATTTATTTGGGAAAATGGTCTTTGCAAACATAATTAAATTAAGGATCTCAAGATGAGATCCTCCTGGATTACTTGGGTGGTTCCTACATCCAATGACACCTGTCCTTGTAAGAGACAGAAGAGAGACACAGAGGTGAAAGTGATATGAAGATGGAGGCGGAGACGGGAGTGAAGTGTTCACAAGTCAAGGAATACCAAGCGGTTCTGGCAGCCACCAGAAGCTGCGGGAGAGGCACGGATCAGATTCTCCCTCAGCCTCCATAAGAAGCCAACACGGTGGTACCTTGATTTCCAACTTCCGGTCTCCAGAACTGTAAGAGAATAAATTTCCACTGTTCTCACCCATCTGGTTGGTGGTGATTTGTTACGGCAGCCCTGGGAAAGGAATCCACAGCTAAGCCCTGTGCACCACTTTGTCTAATGAGATAGGCTCTTTCATCATCCCCATCTTACAGACAGCGAAAATGAGGTCCAGAGAGGGTAAGTAACTTTCCCAAGGCTACACAGCAGTGATCATGAGGCTGCACCTGGGACCCAGGTCTGCCATCCTTAAGAGCGACTAGCGGTGCCAGGGATCACGCTAAGAGTTTTACACTCACGGTCCCCAGCTCTGGACTCAGGCTCTAGCTCCATCACTTATGGACCACGTGACCCCACACAAGTTACTTAACATTCCCAAGCCTCAGTTCCTTCACTTACAAATCGGAGAGAACATCAGAAACTACCAGTGGGGTTGTCTTGAGGATTTGAGATCTCGTGTCAAGCTGTGCACCAGGGAGCCTCCCCAGATTAGGGACACCCTCTGTACCCCATCTGCTCTCAAGCAGTCCTGCAATGGCAGACAGGAGCCCAGCCTCCCTCCGCCAGCACAGTGCAGACACTTGCAGCTTCCAGCAGGCCACGGCAGCACCAGCTCTAACAGCAACCACAAATTAGACTTGTAAATTAGGGTTTGGCTAATTGTGACTTTATGGACTAGTAGTAGATATTCCTTTAAAAACCCTGTCTGTAAACACACAGCGGCCCTGCTGAGCGAGTGCCTAGTTGTATAAAATTTCTTTTAGGCAGAAATATATGGGCTGTGCTAGCTGACCCTCCGGGACGGCATCTCATTCGTTATGTTTTTTTCTCCTCCCCGTGCCTTAAATGGTGCCGCGTGAAGCTAATCCACCAACGAGGTTGCCTCTCGCTTCACCCCATAAATCCTTGTCTTGCAGTTGCCCTGGGCACAGCCACCTGCCTGTGGCACAGTGACACGGTCACAACTGGGTGTCACCCCACTTCTCAAAAAGCTTAAGGCCTTGTCCTCCTGGGGTCAGGGGGCACCTGGACAGTGGGGAGCATGAAAGAAAAAGAACTCCGAGCCAGAAGGTGAGACCTCAGATTCTCTTTAGAACAAGCCTCACATCCCCCATTCCCCATCCTCACCTGGCGAGACTAGCACTGGGCTGGAGGGTTCAACTGTAGCACATGCATATTTAACAAGGTGGATGGGAGGTGGCAGGGAGGGCTGAGGGAAGGACATTACCCCTACCCTACCCTTCTGCAAGACAAAGAGCTCTGGCTTTGAGCTCAAACTGCCCTAGGCTTGTAGAGCACTGACTAATGGCACCAGGCACTTAGCTCGCCTGGCCGTCCTCACATAAACCTATGCAGGAGGTACTGAGCTCATCCCCATTCTGCAGATGAGAAGACTGAGGCACAAAGCAGTTATGAAATCTGTGCAGGGTCAGCTGGTAAGCTGGGGAGATGGGATCCAACCCCCATGTCCTTATCCCCCATGTCCTTATCCAAGCTCCAACCCCCATGTCCTTATCCACCATGACGTTTCATCTATTAGACCTCTACACGGCAAGTTAATCATCCTGAGCATCTGTGCACCAAATCCGGCCCACTGCCTGTTTTTGTAAATAAAGTTTTATTGGAACATGGTCATGTCCATTTGTTTACACATTGTCTATGGCACCTTTTCATGTGACAAGGACAGAGTTGAGTAGTTGCAACAGAGACTATACAGCCTGCCAAGCCTAAGCTGTTTAACTTTAGGCTCTTTACAGAAAAAGTCTGCTAACCCTTGATCCTGAACCTTGTTTTCTCATCTGCTCAATGACAGCAGTGGCGAGGCTCGCTCTTGAGGCTGTCGGGCAGATGAAATGAGATCACTTGCACACAGGTGCAGTGAGCGCCCAAACATAGCCAGCCTCAACAAGCATTATGCCTTTTTTTTTCCTTTTCTTTTTCTTTTGGGATGGAGTCTCGCTCTGTCACCCAGGCTGGAATGCAGTGGTCTTGGCTCACTGCAACCTCCACCTCCCGGGTTCACGTGATTCTCCTGCCTCAGCTGCCTGAGTAGCTGGGACTACAGGCACCTGCCACCAAGCCTGGATAATTTTTTTGTATTTTTAGTAGAGACGGGGTTTCACCATATTAGCCGGGATGGTCTCGATCTCCTGACCTCGTGATCCGCCCGCCTCGGCCTCCCAAAGTGCTGGGATTACAGGCGTGAGCCACCACGCCTGGCCGGTGTTACACCTTTTCTTTTCCCACTTGTCTTCATCTCCCGCTCCCATACACACGCATCCTTGACTGCCACTGCCCCCATCACAACATATTCACTGGGCACCAAAGGCACATAGCAGGAGAGGCTGATCTGGATTTAGGGACTCCAAGCTGTTAGGAAATCAAAAGAAGAGATTCTACTGTCCCTGCTTCTGCCTGCACCAGCAGGCCAGTTATGTTGAGTCCTGGCCTCAGCACTAAAGTCCTCACTTTTTTTTTTTTTTCCTTGAGATGGAGTTTCCCTCTTGTCCCCCACGCTGGAGAGCAGTGGTGTGATCGTGGCTCACTGCAATCTCCACCTCCCGGGTTCAAGAGATTCTCCTGCCTCAGCCTCCCTAGTAGCTGGGATTACAGGCACACACCACCACGCCCAGCTAATTTTTGTATTTTTAGTAGAGATGGGGTTTTACCATGTTGGCCAGGCTGGCCTCGGACTCCTGACCTCAAGTGATCCGCCTGCCGCAGCCTCCCGAAGAGCTAGGATTACAGGCATGAGCCACTGCACCTGGCCGGAAAAGGCGTCATTTTAAGAATAGAAAGATATTTTTAAAAAGGAATTTTGTTATTGCAACTCAACCACAGAATGAGTTAAGTCTCCACATGCAGCCACATACACTCGAGAAAAGTCACTAAATAAACAGTCCTTAATTTGCACAGGATCAAGCCCTGACCCATTTTTGGGTCTTGCCATTGTAAATAGCCTCTTGATGGTTGTCTATGTATCACCGACCCAGTTTTCTTCCCTGTGTACCAAAGGTTGGACTCTCTTCAGCCCCAGCAGATGCTCAGTTTATTTAAATTACTTCATTTACATATTTGAACATTTGAATTACATTTTGTTTATAACTATTGTCAGTTAATAAATATATGGTGCATGGAGGTTGTCATATACAGCTATGTAGGCTGTGCATTGCACAAATCTAGAAGACACTGATCACACTTTGTGTTCATAGATTTGTATATGAATTAGGATGACTATCTATGACTATCAGATGACAATAGAATATTTTGAGGAAGAGGCTCCGTTTTTGGATTTGCACAGAGGACCGTGAACTGGGTTCTGAGGAAAGAGCTGCAAACACAAAACCTGGAGTCGCTGTCCTCATGGAGTTCATAGTCTAGTAAGAAAATAAGATGAAGGAGCGGCAATAACAAGAGGGATGATGAGAGGACAGGGAGCTGGGGGTGCTCTGGGGACTCTGGGAGTGGCATGAGTGGGAGTCAGCTGGGTGGTGGGGCGGGAGGGAGAGAGGGCAGAATTGGGGGATGTTCTAGGCCAGGCAGCAGTGAGGGAATGGGTGACTTCTCTCTAAAGAAGGGTCCTGGCTGACTCACTTCTTAGTTGTCCGCCTCCTCAGAGGAGCGGGCTGTACTTTCTCCTGGACTTCCCCGGGAGCAGGGGTTTTGTGTCACACCTAATAAAGGAAGAAGGCAGAACATTCTGGCTCGTTCAGTGGTAACGGCCTGCGTGCCGGAACACGGCCGATGGATAAGTACACTTTGTGTTTAGGCACCCGGTGACCCGGAACACACTGTACCTGGGAGAATGAGCACAGGAGCCAGTGTGGCTTAGCAGGTGGCTCAGCCACGCAGCGAGCATCAGCGGAACCAGGGAGGGCCCAGGAGCTTGCTGAGCTGCTGCCCCTGGCAGGAACCAGGGCAGGGCCCCAGGACTCAGCCCCATCTTGTCCTGGCCTTGTCCTTGGTTTCTGTCGCTTTGGGCTCTTCCCAGCAGAGCAGCAGGCAAGGCCAGAGTAGTACTTATGAGCAGAGGTTGCCTGTGTTTGAATCCCATCTCTGCCATCTCTGAGCTGTGTGACCCTGGGCAAGTTACTAAACCTCTCTGAGCCTCTGTTTCCTAGCAAATGTCATAATAAGAGAAGCTAGCTCATAGGATCGTTCATTCATTCAATACTTATTAATGGAGTTTCTTCTGGAAGCAGGCAGCAGGACCCTGCCCTCAGGAAACTCACATGCAGGCATCCCGTGAAAATCCAGTAAGAAAATCTGTATTCAGGGCACAGCACAGAGCCTGGCTCCTGGGAGGGCTCGTGACAATCTGCTCAGCCACCTTCCTCTTCTGTCAGTGTGCTGTCCAGACAGAGGCAGAAGCAGCAGCAAATTTGTGGGTGGCCAGGGTGAGCGGAAATGAAGTTCCAGTAAATCATGGATGTAAGGCACAGAGCTCAGCTGTCCTGTGCAGGGAACCTGAGGGGCCACAGGTAGGGCTGAGAGATTTCAGGGCTTCCACTCCTGATGGGGTGGAGACGATTCACTCACCACTCCATCACCAAGGTGTCAGGATAATTTATTGTGATACTGACCTGTGTATGTGCGGTCTTTACACACGCACACAACACACACACACACACCAGGTAGCTGGGCTTAATTTTCCCTTGCCTGGGGTGGGGAGTGGTTTGCAGGGGGAGAAAACAGAAGCCCTCACACTTTGGGGAAATCTTCAACCCCCTGGAGAGATGCTATCTGAGAAAATGGGAGCCAGGGCCTTTGGAGCCAAGAGAGAGGGAGGAGCAGGAAGGAGCAGAACCTCTGCAGAGAGAAAGGGGATAAGGTACCCCGAAACCACTCACTCCTGCATGCTCCGCCCTCGTGCTGGGAAAAGGCTCCACCCTGAGCCGGAGGTCACAGCTGACTCGAGCTGGCCCATAGTGCCGTTGCAGCCCCTTGACTGCAGTGGACCGTGGGTTTCAGTGGCAGCTACCGGACCCGGACCTGGAAGGACGGGAGGCTGAGCTGCACGGTGCCACCCCAGGAGGAGAGCCTGTTTGAAGCCAACACAGAAGCTGCCAGCCAGTGCAGAGAGAACTGGGCACTGGAAGCCAGGTGCACCCCTAGTTCCGCTGCAGGAACCAATGTGCTTCCTTTTCCGCGTAAGCCACATTGAGTGGGGTTTTCTCACCAGGATTGGTAGCAGCCGCCTGGAGCACTATGTTGGCGAGGATTCTGGGGTTGGGGGAGGACTGCCACACACAATTTTCTGGGTCTGCCACATACATGTCCCCTACTGGCTA
Source organism: Homo sapiens (assembly GCF_000001405.40). Taxonomy (NCBI): domain Eukaryota; kingdom Metazoa; phylum Chordata; class Mammalia; order Primates; family Hominidae; genus Homo; species Homo sapiens. The sequence goes on from NC_000001.11 coordinate 11,571,337, forward strand.
CCCTGACCCAGAGGCACCAGGCAGAAGCAATCAGCCCATGGGCACCACCAAAAATGACCCAAGAGTTGGAGAAGTGGCCAGTGCTGACTCTCTAGGCAGCAGAGTGCAATGGTTTAGCCCACATGCTCCAGAAGCAGACTCTGCGGGTTCAAATCCCAGCTCCGCCACTTATCAGCTATGGAAGCCTGGACAATTTACTGTATCTCCTTCTGCCTCAGTTTCCCCATTTGTAGCACAGAGATGATGAAAAGTGCCTATCTGGTGGGGTTTTTGGAGAGAAACACATAGTGTGTCTCCAGTAAGTGTGAATTCATAAGGGTTAAATTCATGTGTATAGTGCTAGTTGCATTTCTAGGCTATCAGCTCCTGCTTTTCTCCCATACAAACGCATGCACACCTGCACACACACATGCACACTTGCACACATACACACACACTCAACCTCTTCCTTGCCAGCCCCACAATCGTGTGAGCCAATCCTTAAATTTCTTTCTCTATGTATATACACATATATGGTACACATATGTACAGATATATATATACACACACAAACACACACATACACATAGATAGATGGATAGCTATAACTATAGATATATCTTACTGATTCTGTTTCTCTGGAGATTCCTAATTAATACAGATACCTACCAAGTTTTCTGGAGCCCTCTTTGACAAAGGGGGGGCGGTCTCAGATATCATAGCTCAGACCTGTGCATCAGCCATTAGACGTGTCAGATGGGACGACCCAGCATGTGTCTAAAGCAGTGATTCATCCCTTGACAAGCCCAAAGCCTCCTCTTCAGAAACAGTGAAGAACTGCCTGGAGGCCGTGGCCATGTCTCGGGATAGACTTGGCATTTACTACCCAAGTTTTCAGAACCACTAGTGGCACTTGTAGGGTCAGCTCCTGAAAGCTCCATTCAGCTGGATGCAGGTGGCCACAGCAGACACCATATTTGCCCAGGAGCTAAGCCAGGGCCATGTAGAATCAAAAAGATTTTTAAAAACAGCGCCCCCTGCCATGTGGGTTAATGTGGTGGCTTTGGTTCCTGCGGAGGCGAAGGGAAATGACAAGCTTGAAAAGATTAGGAGGCTGCAGGTAGGCAAGAGTGGGGAGGAAACAGCTTTCTTCTGCAAGCACTGCAGCAAAGCTCCTCCCCTGGGAACATTCGGCAGCTCTGGCCAAGGCAGGAAGTATGACCTTGCTTGCCCTGGTCACCTCCAGTTTAGCCCTTTCTTATACCAAGGGACCAGGGGTCTCTGGACCCACTCAGACCTGAGATGCTCTACATGTTCAGCTGGGCATGTCTCCCAAGTAAAAAGCAAAGAGCAAATCAATTGCGCTATCCGTGTAGGGTAGGGGGTTCCATTTTTCTCTACTTCCAACATTTGTTTAAAGTTACACTTACACAGTCCTCACCACACACCAGGCACTTTGCAAATATTAATCCTTGAAATCCTCACAACCAATCTCTGTGGGCCCAGTCCAGGTAGAGCCGAGGCTCAGAGGGATTGAACAATTTGCACAGGGTCACACAGCCAAGAAGTGAGTCTGGCTACAGAGTCCATGCCCCCGATCACTACTCCACACTGCCTTGCAAAAATGTGACGACTGCTCTTTGGGCTTTTCAAGGGATGAATCACTGCTTTAGACACATGCTGGGTCGTCCCATCCGACACATCTAATGGCTGATGCACAGGTCTGAGCTGTGATATCTGAGACCCTCCCTCATCAAAGAGGGCTCCAGAACACTTGGTAGGTATCTGTATTAATTAGGGATCTCCAGAGAAACAGAGTCAGTAAGATAAACCCATAGTTATAGCTAGCTAGCTATCTCTGTATATGTGTGTGTCTATATATATATCTGTACATATGTGTACCATATATGTGTATATACATAGAGAGAGAAAGAGAGATTTATTTTAAGGATTGGCTCACATAATTATGGGGCTGGCAAGTCGGAAATTCCCAGCACAGCCTGGAGATTCAGGTAGCAGTTGATGTTGCCATCTGGAGTTTGAAATCTGTGGGGCAGGCCAGCAGGCCAGAAACTCAGGCAGGGTTTCTGTGTTGCAGCTGAGGCAGAATTGCTTCTTCTGCAGGAAACTTCAGTCTCTGTTCTTGAGGCCTTCCACTGATTAGACGAGGCCCACCCACATTGTGGAGGGTCATCTGCTTTCCTCAAGGTAAACTGGTTGTAAATGTGAACCACATCTAAAAAATACCCCCACCGCAGCATCCATCTAGAGGAGTGTTTGACCAAACAGCTGGGCGCTGTGGCCTAGCCAAGGTGATGCAGGACATGAACCACCATAAGATCCAGGCAGGCACGTGAATTCTAAAGGAAAGATGCTTTGCTGGGAAGTCAGGCAGCTGTGGCCAGCTCTGCCATTGACTCTTTCCCAAAGCACTGGTCAGCTGATCTGGTGCGTCCTGGGGACCCCCTCACCTCCTTAGGATGACAGTGCATCAAAGGGGACAGAGGAAGAAACAGACAAAGAAGCCAGCTCCATCTTGGGCAGGACTGGTCCTTCTCCCATCCTGAGCCCTGCTGTGTGCAGGACAGACGACTGATGTCTCCGGAGCTAGATTCCAGAAGGTGCCCACCACCATTCTGGCGTTTGGCAGGAGCAAAGCCAGGACACACCTGCCCAGTGCAAAGGTCCTGAAACAAATGACACCCAACTGACCCCACAGCAGTCGGGGGGCAAGCTGATTGACAAAAGCTAAGTTTATCTATGTCTTTTCAGCTCAGAAACCATAAAAAGCCAACTTCAAGTTCAGACGGCTCCTAGTAGATCCCAGAACCATCCAAGCCCCATCCAAGATCATCATTTTGGTTTCTTTCTTCGCATGGTTGAGGAAGAGGCGGGGCTACTTCTGCCCGAAGGCCATGGCCCAAGCCTCCAGGCCTCTCTGACTGTCAAGGTTGAATCATGTCCCTGTCCCCCAAATTTATATGTTGAAGTCCTAACCCCCAGTACCTACAGAGTGTGTCCTTATTTGGAGATGAGGTCTTTATAGAGGCAACTAAGTTAAAATGAGGTCTTAAATTAAGGTAGACACTAATCAAATATGACGAGTGTCCTTATAAATAAGGGAAATTTAGCCAGGCACATTGGCTCACATCTGTAATCCTAGCACTTTGAGAGGCCATGGTAGGAGGATCACTTGAGCCCAGGAGTTCGAGACCAGCCTGGGCAACACAGTGGGATCCCATCGCTACAAAAAATTTAAAAATTAGCTGGGCATGGTGGTGCACACCTGTAGTCTCAGCTACTCTGGAGCCTGAGGTAGGAGGATGGATTGAGCCTGGGAGGTCAAGGTTGCAGTGAGCCATGACCACACCATTGCACTCTAGCCTGGATGACAGAGTGAGTCCCTGTCTCAAAAAAAGATGGGGGGGTTTAGACACAGACACACAGAGAGGGAAGACAATAGGAAGAGGCACAGGAAGAAAATGGCCATCTGCAAGCGCAGGAGAGAGGCCTGAAACAGACCCCTCCCTCGTAGCCCTCAGAAGGAACCCTCCCTCTGATGCCTTGATTTCTTTTACTTTCCTTTTTTTTTTTTTTTTTGAGATAAAATCTCGCTCTGTCATCCAGGCTGGAGTGCAGTGGCATAATCTTGGCTCACTGTAACCTCTGCTCACTGCAACCGCCACCTCCCGGGTTCAGCAATTCTCCCGCCTCAGCCTCCCGAGTAGCTGGGACTCTAGGCATGCACCATCACACCTGGCTAATTTTTGTATTTTTAGTAGAGACGGGGTTTCGCCATGTTGGCCAGGCTGGTGAACTCCTGGCCTCAAGTGATCCTCCCGCCTCGGCCTCCCAAAGTGCTGGGATTACAAGCATGAGCCACCACACCTGGCCCTGACACCTTGACTTCGGACTTCTGGCCTCCAGAACTGTGAGATGGGAATCTTTGCTGTTGAAGCCGCATAGTCTGGGGTGATTTGTTGTGGCAGCCCCGCGACACTAATTCAATGCAAGGACCACGGACCCAAACAGCAGCCTTCCTGATTCAGCCTCAGATCGTGGGCAGCCCGGGCACAGGCCACTTCTTCTCCCTCCTTCCCCCTTCCCACAGCCCTTGCCTTGGAAAGAAAGTCCTCTTCTTCCACCTCCCAAAAGTGGGTTTAAAAAAAAAAAAGTTCTTTTTCCATCTCAGACCCCAGAACCTGTGGAAAGGGGATTGGGGGGTTCAGGAAAGCAGAGAAAAGGGGCCTGCACCATGTGGTAGGGGTCCTTCACCCATCATCTCACCGGAGGCCAAGGGGAGGGAGAGCAGGAAAGTGGGCGGTTTCTGGAGCTGGATAGCCTGGGTGTGAGTCCTGCCTCAGTATTCACGTGCTCTGTGACCTTGGGAAAGCTACTTAACCTCTCTGTGCCTCAGTTTTCTCATCTTTAAAGTGGGGCTAATCATCATACCTGCCTATATTAGTCAGGGTTCTCTAGAGGGACAGAACTCATGGAATAGATATATATATAAAGGAGAGTTTATTAAGTATTAACTCACACGATCACGCAGTCCCACAATAGGCTGTCTACAGGCTGAGGAGCAAGGAGAACCAGTCCAAGTTCCAAAACTGAAGAACTTGGAGTCCGATGTTCAAGGGCAGAAAGCATCCAGCACAGGAGAAGATGTAGGCTGGGAGGCTAGGCCAGTCTCTCCTTTCACGTTTTTCTGCCTGCTTATATTTTAGCCTCGCTGGCAGCTGATTAGATGGTGCCCACCCAGATTAAGGGTGGGTCTGCCTTTCCCAGCCCACTGACTCAAATGTTAATCTCCTTTGGCAACACCTTCACAGACACACCCAGGATCCATACTTTGTATCCTTCAATCCAATGAAGTTGACACTCAGTGTTAACCATCACACTGCCCAGAGGGCTGCCGTGAAGATTAAATGAGTTAAGGTGCATAAAGCACTTAAGCAGCATATCTGGTACAGGTGGCCTGTGACAGACGTCGGCTGTTATTATTATCCCCATGACAACACGTGGGGAAGAGGCTGGTGGTCTGTTTTCCTGATGTGGAGCTAGGCCCAGAGAGTTAAACATGCATTTAGGAAAGTGGCCGAGCGATTGGGGCCTAGGCTGTCTCACCAGCCACCTGCATATTCCCTGCTTCACCGGAGCAGCCCCGACCTGTCCCCAACCCACAGCTCCCGCAGCCTGCCCCGTCTCAGTCCAAACCCCTATGTCAGCCTGACTGCTCTTTCACATCCCTCAACCAGCCCAACAGCAAGTCCCCTCAGCGCCGCCTTCTACATCCAGAACCCGTGGTTCCTCGTCTCCTCCCAGCACCTGCTGGCCCAAGCCTGGAGTGCCACAGGGTCTCCCTGCCAGGATCCAGCAGCTGCCCTTCCGGCCCCTGCAGCTTCTTCTCCAGAAGCAGCAGCTGGAGGATTCTGTTAAATCCTAAATCAGATTGTGCTCCCAGGCCGGGCGCAGTGGCTCATGCCACTTTGAAAGGCCAAGGTGGGAGGATCACTTGAGCCTGGGAGTTCAAGACCAACCCGGGTAACAGAGTGAGACTCCAGCCGGGAGCAGTGGCTCATGCCTGTAATCCCAGCACTCTGGGAGGCCAAGGCGGGTGGATCACCTGAAGGTCAGGAGTTCGAGACCAGCCTGGCCAACATGGCGAAACCCTGTCTTTACTAAAATTACAAAAAATTAGCCGGGTATGGTGGGGACGCCTGTAATCCCAGCTACTTGGGAGGCTGGGGCAGGAGAATCACTTGAACCCGGGAGCCAGAGGTTGCAGTGAGCTGAGATCGTGCCATTGCACTCCGGCCCGGACAACAAGAGCGAAACTTCATCTCAAACAAAACAAAACAAAACAAAACAAAACAAAACACAGTGAGACTCCATCTCTACAAAAAATAGAAAAATTAGCCAGGTATGGTGGTGTGCGCTTATAGTCCTAGCTACTCAGGAGGCTGAAGCTGGAGGATCACTTGAGTCTGGGAGGCTGAGGCTGCTGTGAGCCGTGATTGTGCCACTGCACTCCCGCCTGGGTTACAGAGCAAGACCTTGTCTCTGTCTCTGTCTCTCTCTCTCCACACACACACACACACACACACACACACACATACCACACACAAGACTGCACCCCTGCTGTGCTTAGACCCTTCCAATGGCTCCCTTCTGACTTAAGGCATTGACCCCAAGGTCCTGCATCCTCTGGCACTGGTCACTCGCTCACCTGCTCCAGCGAGTTCCTCAAACTCACTGCCCTGCTCCATCGCGTCTACCTCAGATGCTCTCCCTCCACAGACCCACAGGGCTCACACCCACCCCTGCTGCTGGTCTTTTTGTTCACAGGCCACCTCCTCAGAGAGCCTTTACGGACCACACTGTTTAAAATTACAAATCCCCCCAACCAGCCCCACTCCCCACTTTACCTCATCACCATCCCACAAGCCATAGTTATTAGTAACCATTTACCTATTTATCTTGTTCTACTTGATTTTTTTCCACTAGAATCTAAGTCCCAGGAGGCAAGAATACTTGCCTGCTATATTCCCAGTGCCTTAAAACTGGGCGTGGAGCATAGCAGGTGCTCAGTGAATGTTTATTGAATGAGAGAATGACCTGGTGGAGCTTAGAGAATGAGAAGCTGAGTTCAGCACTCAATCCCTCCCCTCCTCTCCCCCTGGACAACATCAGTAATGCACACAGCTGCCCGCAGTGGGAGCTCAGTTAGTGGCTATGGGATCTGGATCTCCCTGTCTTTTATTTGGTGGCTGTTTAGAACATCATTTCTGAGCCCTTTCCATCTGTCGCTAAGTGACTGTGTTGATTTTCCTGTGTTGATTCTCTCCGGTGGAGAGAGAGCCCAGTCCCCACACAGAGCCATGTTCAGGGGTGGAGAATGGCTGTGTGTCACTGCTGGAACTAGTGAATGGCCGTTCACATCCAACACGTGCCCAAAGAGAGTCAGGATGAAAGAGGACGGCCAGGAGAGAGAGCAGAAAAAGAAGATAAAGCCTTTGGAACTCATTTTCATTGCCCCTACACCACAGCCAGAGTAATCGAAATGGAAGGTTAAAAAAAAATCACCCACAGTCCTGATTCTCAACAAATCATGCTGTGACACTTTTACTTGTGATTAGAGGCCTTCGGCAGAGGGCACAGTCAGAGGCTCCTGGGACACAGAACAGGGACGGGGTTCCAGAGCCCCTCCCAGGGTTCCCAGGTTCACTGCCGACTCCACCGGATGAGCCAGAATAGAAGCTGAGCCCACTTCGGCTTAGGTCCCTGCCTGGTACGGTGGCTCACACCTGTAATCTCAGCACTTTGGGAGGCCGATGTAGGCGGATCACTTGAGGTCAGGAGTTCGAGACAAGCCTGGCCAATATGGTAAAATCCTGTCTCTACTAAAATTACAAAAATTAGCCAGGCATGGTGGTGCAGGCCTCCCAGATACTCCAGAGGCTGAGGTGGGACGATCGCTGGAATCTGGGAGGCGGAGGTTGCAGTGAGCCGTGATCGCGCCATTGGATTCCAGCCTGGGAGACAGAGTGAGACCCTGTCTCAAAAAACAACAAAAACAACAACTTAGGTCCCATCTGGAAAATGGAATGGAGTATGCAGGGCTACTGGGGAGTGGGGTTAGAGGGAGGCAAAGTGGGGAGTGGTTAGAAGCGAAGGCTTTGACACCAGGCAGCTGGGAGTGGACCTCATGCCCACCCTTTCCTGGCTATGTGAACCTAGGCAAATAACTTCATCTCTTGAGCCTCAGTTTCAGCCTCTGCAAAATGGTCAGGTACTCATCTCACAGTGTTGTTGTGGAGATTAAGTAATATAATACTTATATATTTATACTTACATATTTAGATATACATAAATATATATTTATATATTACATATATATCATTTTGCATATACAGTAAGCCCTCTGTCAATAACCGCTATTACTACTGCTACTATTATTCCATAGAAGGAAATAACAAATGAAGAGGTAAAGAAAATCAAGAATGAAAATACTTTTCTTCTCCTGTGCTTGACTGAGATTTTTGAACCCAATAGACAGAGGAGGGAATGCCTTTAGAATATATCATTCAAAGCACAAGAAATGGTTGTTTTCCAACCAAAACCCCCAGAAAAGTATTCTAAGAAATCTCACATACACATATTTGCTTTAATCAAAATCCAACTAATGTGATTACCAAGCCCCCAGGGCTGCTCCCGGTTCATTTCCCCTCTGCAGGCTTCCCAGGCAGAATTCCCACCTCAGAGCCCAAAATCCCGCCAAGTGGGGAACCGACAGCTCAGAAAATTGCAAGAATCCTGTGATTTAAAGAAATGCACAGCACGGAAGCTAAGTAAGCTCCTGGATTCTCTCTGCCTCCCACTTCTTCCCCAGGTGGCTCCTCGAAGGAGCACAGTCGTGTGTCAGGAAGCAGGAGGTGCACAGTGTAGAAGCACAGGCTCTGGGTCAGGTTCCCTGGGTCCAAAGCCCAGCCTCCTCCCCTCCTGGAGGCGACCCTGAGCCAATATTTTGACCTCTTCAAGCCTCAGTTTCCCCATCCGCAAATGGGGGTCATCAGAGTCTCTGCTTCCTGAGCTGCTGGTGGTGATGAAGGAGATGGAGTGTGCAAATCACACAGCAAGACACTCTCACAGGGAATGCCACATGCACCCTCTGAGCCCACTGACACTCACTGTATTAGTCTGTCTTCACACTGCTGTAAAGACATAGCCGAGAATGGGTAATTTATCAGGAAAAGAGGTTTAATTGACTCACAGTTCTGCATGGCTGAGGAGGCCTCAGGAAACTTACACTCACGGCGGAAGGAGAATGGGAAGCGAGGCACCCTCTTCACAGGGCAGCGGGAAGGAGCAGTGCCGAGTGAAGCAGGAAGAGCCCCTTATGAAACCATTAGATCTCGTGAGAACTCACTCACTATCACGAGAACAGCATGGGGGAAACAAGCCCCGTGATTCAGTTACCTCCACCTGGTCTCTCCCTTGACACGCGCAGATTATGGGGATTATGGTGATTACAATTCAAGATGAGATTTGGGTTGGGACACAAAGCCTAACCATATCACTCACCCTCCCTGCACAGCCAATGGCTTCCCACTTCAAGCCTCTGTGTGTCCTTGGCCAGAGACCTCACTGCAACAGGCCTTTCAGCACTTTCGTAGGAATAAAGAAGGGTTGGTGGATATATACCCAGCCTCTTTGCTCCTCACCTGGGCAACATGAAGTCTGTTCTATCAATTATCCCAGCAGTCCCCAGGAGAGTGAACCCCAGTTGCCCACAACAGTCATTCTGCCCATCAATATCCCCTGTATTGGCTTCCTTCCCTCACCCTCTCCAACTTCGTTTCTTCCAACCAGTGTTCCTGGTATCACCTTCCAAGTAAACTATTTGCACTCATGTCGCATCTCCGGGCCTGCTCCTGAGGAAAACAACCTAAGACAGTGCTCAATGTCAGCCATTAATAAAAATAGGAATACTTATGATGCAGTAGCCTCTTGAGTCTGAGCTCCCAGCAGAGCATCTAGTTTATGTCCAGTCCGAAGTTCAAGAGAAGCCAGGCATCGTGGTGCACCCCCATGGTCCCAGCTACTCAGGAGGCTGAGGTGGGAGGATCACTTGAGCCCAGGACTCTGAGGCCAGCCTGGGCAACACAGTGAGACCCCATCTCTAAAAAATAAAAATAACGCTCCAGAGGTGAAGGTGGCAACTAAGGATTACCTACAGAGACAATAAAAGACTTTTTTTGTTGTTTGGTTCTTGTTTTCCAAAGATTTCTAGAAGCAGAAATGAGTTGGCCAGACCCTGTTGGAAGTGGAAACAAAACCTGTTTTAGAGTGAACCAAAGTACCCCCTGAAGGTATTGTATTGCAGCAGATCTATCTAACGAGATGTGTAGTAAACTTTTCCTCAATCTGCAGGTGGATGTGCTTCCTAAGAAGTACCGCCTTGCCCTGTTCCAGGTCTGTCTTGTGCTCCCAGGAAACTGCAGGAAGACAATTCACGCTGATTCTTTAAGACAGGGCTTTCTCTTTGGTTCTCAATTGTGAAATCTTGACTGTACTGAATGTGAACAATTTTCCCTTAAGGTCAAGTTCTGAGGATGGCCCCTCCACATCTCGTTGCAAATCGTAACTAGAAGTGTTATTTCTCATTTGTTTATTTATCACATATTTATCTGGGGCCAAGGACGGGAGAGACACAGTTATTGAGGTAGGAGGCAGAGCTCCAACATTGGACCAAATTGAGGACTAGCTGAAACAGGGTCAAGGTAGAAGCAGCTTTCCATAAGACACGCCCACCCGTGTGCACTGTCAGTTTACCATTGCCATGGCAACACCTGGGCGTTACCACCTTTTTCCATGGCAATGACCCAATGACCCAAAAATTACTAGCCCTTCCCTAGAATTTTCTGCATAAACCACCCCTTAATCTGCATATAATTAGATGTGGGTATAAGTATGACTGCAAAACTGCCCCGAGTTGCTACTCTCTGCCTACGGGGCATCCCTGCTCTGTGGGAGCAGTCATAGAGCTGTAACACTGCCTCTTCAATAAAGCTGTTTTCTTCTACCACTGGCTTGCCCTTGAATTCTTTCCTGAACAAAGCCAAGAACCTTCATGGGCTAAGCTCCACTTTGGGGCTTTGCCTGCATTATTATGAAGGCTTTTAAAATGGGTGTCTGGCAGAAGGAGATTTTAGACGTTAGTTTCACTCAAATGTACTAGGGAATGTTGGGGAGGAAAGGAAGGCGGCTGGACAGACAGCTGGGGGCACAGACATTTGGAGGCCAAGTGAGGAAGAGGAAACCTGTGCCAGCCAACAGGGTGGAAGGATTACCAGTGAAGTCAAAGGAGGAGGACATCAAAGTGGTGGAGATGGGTTGGGGAAATTTTTCACTATCAAATTGGAAAAAGTTCTAATAACAATTCACAGTGTTGTTGAAGACATAAGGTAAGGAAATAAGCCCTTTTTTTTTTTTTTTTTGAGACAGAGTCTCACTCTGTCACCCAGGCTGGAGTGTAGTGGTGTGATCTTGACTCACAGCAACCTCTGCCTCCCAGGTTCAAGCGATTCTTCTGCCTCAGCTTCTTGAGTAGCTGGGTCTACAGGCACATGCCACCACGCCTGGCTAAATTTTGTATTTTTAGTAGAGACGGGATTTCACCATATTGGCCAGGCTGGTCTCAAACTCCTGACCTTGTGATCCACCCGCCTCGGCTTCCCAAAGTGCTGGGACTACAGGTACGAGCCACTGTGCCCGGCTGAAATAAGCACTTTCTAACATGACTGGTGGGAGTATAATTTGACATAATTTTTTGGAAGGCAATTTAGTAATGTGTATCCAAAGCCTTTAAAATACGTACACCCTTTCTGAGCAATTTTACTCTCAGTCATTTATCATTAGATTTCACTTCTTTTTTGTCATTTTGTGTCTAACAGGGAAAATTGGGAATAATGTAAATATTAATACATTCTAAAAAATACCAACAATAAGCAGTTGGTTAAATAAATTATGGGTTTTTAAAATCCAGACTGTGAAATATCAGGAAGGTGTTAAAATTGATGGTGAGAATGTTTGTAGACATGAGAAAAGATTCAACGATATATCAAGTAGAAAAGCAACTCATGTAATCATAGGTTGAGTAGGATCTCAAATTTCTTTCCAGTCATTAATATATATTTATTAAAGTCTATGAGAACTAAAACACAGTATCAAAGAGGATCTTCTTGGTGATAGATAGTGAGGGTGTCTGTGGGGTGGGGCATCAGCTTCCAAGAGGTTCCTAGTGCTGCCTTCACATCATGCCCACCCCAATTGTGTCAACGTCTCCCAACTCTCTTCTAACACACCTTCCCTATTGCAGAGATTGGGAAACCCAGAGCAAAAACACTATATTTCCCAGGCTCCCTTGCAGCTCAGTAGCCTCAGTAATCTTGCAAGTTTAAAAATACTGCTACGGACTAAATTTTACCCCCCCAAAATTCACATATTAAAACCCTAACCCCCAGTGTGATGCTATAGGAAATGAGGCCTTTGGGAGGTTTAGATAAGGCCATGATCGGGGGACCCTCATGATGGGATTAGTGCCCTTATAATAAGAGACACCAGAGACAAAGGGAGAAGGTGGCTGTCTGCAAATCATGAAGGGAGCCCTCACCAGGAACAAAATCAGCAGTCACCTTGATCTTGGACTTCCCAGCCTCCAGAATTGTGAGAGATAAATGTCTGTTGTTTAAACCACCCTCTCTATGGTAGCCCAAGTAAACTAATATAAATACCATGTCTGTGTTTTATGTGGCAAGCCAGTCTTCTGATGTCTGATTATCTTCCACTGCTTAAAGGTAAACTTCTTTTCTAAATGCTATGACCTCCTCCTTTTACACAGGGCTAGGCTACTTTGGCTATTTCTGTCTGGTTGCTCACAGCCCCACTTACAGGGGGTTCCAGTGACCTGGAGTTGAGTGGCAGGGTTCAGGGCCCCAATTTTGCTGGTGTAAATGGTGGCAGCTGCACCCTAATTTGGCAGCACGTTCAGGGCAGTGTGATTGGGAGTCCGTAGCTGTAAGAGCAGCCTCCTGATTTCACAAGTGGCTTCCTGACCACAGAGGAGACGACCTCCCTTTTGGTGGCCAGTTCTGCCATGTGACTGTAGGGCTCAATCCTCAAAGCTCAAGTGGAAGTTTGGGCCTTTAGCCCCCAGTGATTCTGTAGATCACTGAAGACTCTGCAAAATAGCCCTTCTCTGCTCTAAAACTGGCCCTAGTGTCCTTGTCTTGTTTCCCCGGCACAGGGGATGTGGAGTTGGGATCACCCTTCCTCTCTGCTCTGTTTTTATTGCACAAAATTCAAACCCAGCTTCCTTTGGGACTTCCCTCTTCATCCTCAAAAATCCCAACAGTGACTATTCCTGTCTCTGGGCTCCAGCCATAATTAACCCTCTTGCAAAGCGAGCCTTCTACCTGACCAGGATGGGTTGGCTACAAGGAGGGATGGGTCTGGCGAGGGAGTGCAGACAAAGTCACAAAGATCCTATTTCAAAAATCTAGAACACCAGCCTGGTGGCTTGAGCTTGTAGTCCAAGCTACTTAGGAGGCTGGGGCAGGAGAAATTTGAGACTAGCCTGGGCAACATAGTGAGATAGGGAGACCCCCAGATCACCATATCTGAGTTTTTCTGATATTTAGAAATGGTCATGTATTGCTGATACACAAAAGAAGTTTCTGAAGTAAAGATTTAACATGTGAAGGTGAGACAAGGGACAGCTGTGCCAGCCACAGAATAAATTCTAGGCATCCACTCCCTGAAAAAGAGGTGGTTGGGTTTGGCTGTTGGGTCCTTGGTGAGTCCTCCAGGTATGTGCTGTCCCATACCATGGTCACTTGGCCACATGTGGCTACTGAGCGCTTAAAATGCGGCTAATTCGTATAGACATGTGCTATAAATGCAAAATACACATCGGATTTTAAAGACTTTGTACAAAAAAAAGAAAGTGAAATATCTCATTAATAATGTTTATGTTGATTACATGTTACATGTTGAAATGATGATAGTTTGGCTATATTGGGTTAAATGAAATATGTTATTAAAATTTATTTCACCTGTTCCTTTTCCAGTTTTGAACGTGGCTAGTAGAAAATGTTAAATTCCATATGTGGCTCACATCCTATTTCTACCATCTGTGCTACCCAAGAGCATCCCAGGGACCGGGGAGGAACAAGAGCCCCAGCTTAAGATCAGGGAATGAATATCTTAAAAGCAGACAAAGATGGGGTGGAGAGGGAGCATGGAGAAGGCAGTTTTTTTTTTTTGTTTTTGTTTTTGTTTTTGTTTTTGTTTTTGTTTTTGTTTTGTTTTGTTTTGTTTTGTTTTTCAGAAAATTGGCAGTAAATTCATAAAAGAACATGGACAAATACCTAGAAGAGGAGAGAGGATCCAAGATGAGGAAATCTAAGAATACTGGCTGAAAATTTGAGCGCAAGAGAGGGGAGAGCAAATATATTTGAGAGGAAGAATATATTGAGCCAGTCCCAAAATGGGGGATGGAAGATGGGGGCAGACATTAAAATTCCTACCGAGGAAGAACATTTATGGGCATTATTCTCTTAACTGAAACAGCAGTCTAAAACAGTACAATGCAAGACAATATGTTACGTGTTGTAATATACCCTTAGAAAAAGGCTGAGAATAAATTGCCAAAAGCATTAGCAGTCTGTGCGCGGTAGGATTACTATATTCCCCCGTGTGGGTTTTTCTGTGTCTGTCTTCCAGCTCTCCTTCACTGCGCAGGTATTGATCATGTAATTAGGAAAACAAATAAAAATTTTTAAGACCCCAAGAGGCCCGGGAAGCTTCTGCATCGGAGAAGGGCACACAGAAAGCAATTGTTCCGCGTTCCCGGGGGTCACCCCAGACCCCACCCTAGGCTTATGGAATCTGAATCTTGGAGTAGGGGCTCCCCATTGGCTTTGAAGGAAGCCCGTTCGGGAAGCTGGCACAGAGCTTCATCAACCTGCCTGGAGTACAATAATGCTTTGTAATACAGACGTGGGCCTTGGGTCCTTCATTCTCTTAGCTCGATGGCCCCTCCCGGGTTGCTGGCTCAGCAGCCAGTTCTTGGGCAGCAGCTGAAATGCCTGGGAGGGTTGCTGGGATTAAATCCAATCCCGAGAAACCGAGAGCCCCTCAACCAGGGCTGAGGCTGAGAGAACGGGGTGCATGACCACCTTGCCAGAGACTGCAGGTGCCTCAGAACTGCCTGTTGCTTTCAAGTCCTCATGACCTCTGGCCTTTAATCCCCTGCTTCTTGGCAGGGACTTATTTGGATTGCTATGTCCTACGTTGAGTTCAGGATGAAATGAGTCTACAGAGAATTTAGGGAGCACTGAAGATGCGACTAGTGCTGGGGAGACAGTGGACAAGCCCCATCCCATTTAATCTTCATGCCGTCCCTGTAGACGACATCTATTACCATCCCATCTTACAGTTGAGGAAACTGAGACTCAGAGAGTTAATTGCCCAAGGAAATTAAGGCCCCAGGCTGATAGCTAAGCAACAAAGTTGAGCTTGAACCTAAGTGTGTTCACTGCACAGCCTGCCCTGAGCCTTCTTATTTACCTGCCTTGGCCATCGGTGTACACATTTGAGAGTCACATGGATGCAGGGTTTGGACTGGAGGGAAGAGCAGAATTTAGTCTGTGTGCCTCTTTCCATCCCCCATGAGAAAGATGGGGAGAGCCTGGGGTGGCCTCTTAAAGGGAGAGGCTCAGGGGAGGTCCTTTTAAGGAAAGGACTCCTGAGAGGGGCTCAGAAGTTACTGTGCTTAATACTGCATCATTTTTAACTTGTTGGAACTCACCAGATGAATTACAAAATAAAGCCCCAAATGACAGAATAATGAGCAATTCATTTGAAATGTAAAATAAATAGATAAATCTCCAGTGAGAAGGCAGAATAAATGGTATTTGGATGACTTTTGGTGATTAAATTAAACAGTAATGAACCCATGAATAATGTGCCCTGGGATGGCCAGGGAGGACTAGTTTGTTCCCCAAAGCACGGGACTTCGAGCCCCAGCTGTTCTCACTTCTCAAGTTTAGGAGCCTTGATGGGGGTCATGAACTCCGGGGGTCGGAGGTGGGCAACCGCCCCATCCACCCCACCAGAGGCTCAGGCTGGAGAGCAGGAACAGCCTTGTGCTTCGGAGAGTCAAGTCCAGGTCTATCAGTGCTGGAGAACCCTCGAGATCATCTAGTCGATTTTCCTTATTTTGTACATTGGGAAATTCAGTGCCAGAAAGGTCAAGAGAGTTGCCTGAGGGTGACCATCAGAGCCAAGACTGAGATCCAGGTCTTCTGACTCCCAACACAGAGACCTGGCTGCTAAATCACATCTTCTCTTTAGCCCTGGACAAGCTGGTCTCCAGAGATGACCCCCCAATGAACAACACCTCTGATATTCACACCTTTTGTGGTCCCCTCCCCTTATCAGGACAGGGGAGCCTGCGACTTGCTTTTGGCCAACAGGATGTGATGGAAGTGATGCTGTGTGACTTTCAAGGCTAGGGCACAGGGAACCTTATCATTTCCACCTAGGAATCTTGGAACCCTAGCTCTAGGGAAAGCCAGTCTCCATGTAAGATGTCCAGCTATCCCCCATGCTGTGAGGAAGCCCAAGCTAGCAGAGATTCCTGGGAGGCCCCCAGCTGTTCTAGTTATCTCAAAAGAGGAGCCAGACATGCACATAACGAAGCTGTCTTGGACCTCCACGCTGCTGAGTTTTCGGATGGTTAAGCCCCAGCCACCATCTGGCTATAAGCACATGAGAGATCCTGATATGGTTTGGATCTATGTCCCTACCAAATCTCATGTTGAATTGTAATCCCCAGTGTTGGAGGTGGGGTCTGGTGGGTAATTAGATCACAGGGGTGGAGTTCTCATGAATGGCTTAACGTCATTTCCCTGGGTCCTACTCTCATGATAGTGAGTTCTTGTAAGACATGCTTGTTTAAAAAATGTGTAGCACCTTCCCTGTCTCTCTCTCTTCCTCCTGCTCTGGCCATGTAAGACATACCTGCTCCCCCCTCCGCCTTCTACCATGATTGTAGGTTTCCTGAGGCCTCCCCAGAAGCTGAGCAGATGCCAGCATCATGCTTTCTGTACAGCCAGCAGAACCGTGTGTCAATTAAACCTCTTTTCTTTATAAATTACCAGTCTCAGGTATTTCTTTATAGTAATCCAAGAACAGACTAATACAGACCCCAAGAGAGAGCCACCCAGTTGAGTCTAGTCATCCCACAGAAATGTAAGAGTCGATAACACATTGTTGCTGTAAACTACTGAGTTTTGGGCTGGTTTGTTACACAGCAATTGGTCATCAGAATATAACTGACTTTCTAAAGAAGGAAAGCTACAGCAGCTGGAGACCAGGGTCCTCAGGTCCCTCCTTCCAGGTTAAATGTTCGTTAAACTTGAACTCTAGATCTTCCATGAGAACCATCACTCCAAGGTCCAAGGGAGGCTGTCAGAGGTCCTGGTGAACCTAACCCTTTGGTTTGTTTATTTTATTATTATTATATGTATTTTTCTGAGATTGAGTTTCACCCTTGTTGCCCAGGCTGGAGTGCAATGGTGCGATCTCAGCTCACTGCAACCTCTGCCTCCCAGATTCAAGTGATTCTCCTGCCTCAGCCTCCTGAGTAGCTGGGATTATAGGCACACACCACCACACCCAGCTAATTTTTTTGTATTTTTAGTAGAGACGGGGTTTCTCCACGTTGGTCAGGCTGGTCTCAAACTCCTGACCTCAGGTGATCCGCCTGCCTCGGCCTCCCAAAGTGCTGGGATTATAGGCATGAGCCACTGCACCCGGCCTGGTTTGTTTATTTATTCAACAAATGTGAATTAAGTTCTGCCATGTGAGCAGTTAAGACAAAGCTGTGAGAGAAACAGAAATTGATTTTGCTCTCCTGGGACTGACAGTTCCACAGGAGAAACAGACACCAATCTTAGTGACCCTGAGGGTCAAGTTACAGAGAAGGAAAAAGTGGTGCAGCCCCCCTCCACTGCCCCCCACCCCCCCACAGACAAACATCCACCCAGCCCTGCTTATCAGGAAGGAGGTGATGTACAAGAAGTCACCTGGAGTGCCTTATCTAAGGCCCCTTTGGGGAAAGAGTATTAAATTAGAAAACTGCTCATAAGTTACTCATCATAAGTAGGGGTGCATCCTGCCCAATAAATGGTGGCTAGACATTTGTTTATTTACAGTGGCTCATGCTTGTAATCCCAGTGACTCAGGAAGCTGAGGTGAGAGAATCACTTGAGGCCAGGAGTTCTAGACCAGCCTGGGCAACATAGCAAAACCCTGTTTAAAAAAAAATTTAAAACTTAACTGGCATGGTGGTGTGCACCTGTAGTCCCAGCTACTCAAGAGGCTGAGGCAGGAGGATTGCTTGAGCCAGGGAGTTCAAGGCTGCAGTGAGCTGTGATCATGCCACTGCACTCCAGCCTGAACGACAGAACAAGACTCTAACTCTAAATACGTAAATGAGTAAATAAATGGAGGCTGTTGTTTTTCTTTTATTAGCATTATTATTAATGAAAGAGGAGCTGCTTTAAAACCTTCTTCTATTTCTTTCCAAATTAATGGAATCTTTATTGCGAATCTTCTCGCTGCCTGTTTTGTGAGCTGGTGCAAATGATGCTGTCAAAGCCCTTGAAATGTAATGTCTCAAATTTTCCTCCTCTCAGTTTTCTTCCAATGATGCTTCTTCCAGTCTTCTTAGCTCCACTAGTGGCTCCAGCACCCATGGCTTAGGGGACACAAGGAGCTGAGAGAAGGGATGTGGCTGGGAGTTAATGGAGTATGGGAAGGGTCAACTTCCAAGCTAAGGAGGACTGGTGGACATCTCGTATCTACAGCCCTTCAGGGTCCCTGGCAGCACCCACATCCCCCAGGCTGGAGGTGGGTCAGCTTCCTGATAGATCCAGGAGGCTAATTTCTCACTAGGAAGTCAATCCAGACTTCATTTCTCATTTTGCCACAGGCGGCGGCCAGATGGACGCATTGGGCATTGGTCACTGTGCCGTTGGCGGCTGGGGCATCTCCAGGACGTCTACACTGGGGTTCGGGTGAGTGGGTGTTTACACCCAATCTGTCTTCACCTTGAAACTTACACTTGGAAGACGAGTATGACCTTTCTGAGGCCCTCCTGATCCTCCGTAGTCAACCTTCTGTGACTTCCTCCAGTGACAGATGCTCTTGGTCCTGCACCATGTCCCTCAGCACTCACCTCCACACACCAAAGCTGCTGGCTGCAAATACCTCCAATTCACTCCCCATGTTCCAGGAAGCAAGGGCACCCCCTGACATGGTGGCCACTCCAGCCTCACCCCGGGCACAGCTTCCGCAAGGACTCTTTGGTGGATTGATGAAGGTGGGGTAAAACTTGAACTCTAGATCTTCCATGTAGACCACCCCAAACTTATCAGCAGCAAGATTTACTCAATCTCATGAATATGACCCCTAAAGCTCAGAAACCAGGGCCAATGAGGAGGCCACCTCCCTGTTGGTTCACTCATTGAAGGCATATTTACACAGCACCTAATATGTGCCAGGCAATGTGATGGATACTAGGAATACAGCAGTGAACAAAACAGCCTCACGCCCTGATCTCCCAGAGGCAAGGCCTTAGAAGGTGAGTGTGGCTCACCCCTCCCCTCTCCTTCTCCTGGGCATGCCGGAAAACTACATTTCCCAGCTCCCCTTGCAGCCAGGGTGGGGCCATCTACCTGGATTCTAGCCAATGAGGTGCAGGTGGAAGTGGGCACCACTTCTGGGTCTGACCATAAAACCCCTATAATTTCATCTATACTTTCTCTTCCTCTCTTACACTGACTTCAAGGGCACAAATTTCAGATGGGCAGCATCACACAGCAGGATAAGCCTGGATCCTGTACGTCCTGCCTGGAAGAGGGCAGCCAACTGGCATTGACCAATCTACATGAGACTGCAGCTAGAGTAAGAAACACAGCTCCCTCATGTTAAGCCACTGCTGACTAATGAAATAGGCTGGTGACTGAGTGTGGGAAAGTGTATTTTCCAAAGATGGTCAACAATACTGGCCAGGTGCGGTAACTCACATCTGTAATCCCAGCACTTTGGGAGGCCACAGTGGGCAGATCTCTTGAGGTCAGGAGTTCAAGACCAGCCTGGCCAACATGGTGAAACCCCATCTCTACTAAAAATACAAAAATTAGCTGGGCATGGTGGCGCGTGCCTATAATCCCAGCTACTCAGGAGGCTGAGGCAGGAAAATCGCTGGAACCCAGTAGGCAGAGGTTGCAGTGAGCCAAGATCACACTACTGCACTCCAGCCTCGGCCACAGAGTGAGACTCCGTCTCAAGAAAAAAAAAGCCACACACAAAAAAAATACGTCCCATGCTACATGTTCTGATACTCTCATTGAGTAAGGGTTCTATGTCTCCTCCCTTGAATCTGAAGAAACTGTGTGACTGCTTCAATAGAAATGATGTTATGTGGCTTCTAAATCTAGGTCATAAAGGGTGAGACAGCCTGTGGAGACAAAAGTGACTCTACCTTGGATACTACTAATCTGCCGTGTTGACTTCTGATTAGCCCAAGTCCCATGAATGCCTCCTGATCCTACTTTGTTTATTGTCCCTAGTGTAAGAACAAATCAACCATGATGCTATCACATACATGGTGAGCTGTGATACATATAGCACTCTCACCTGTTCTGGCGGATTGCCTTTAATTGTCTTGCTAGAGCACATACCCCCTTTCCCTGTGGTATATAAGCCTCAGATCTGAGGAGTGACAGCACGGAGGTCTACCTGTCTTGTGCCTGCCCAAGATCATGCTACTGTCTATAAGTTGCCCAATAAATCACCCTTTACTGGCAAACTAGATTTGTCTGCCTCATTCTTAGGTTTCTTGGCTCCTTCTGCATTTGGGGGCCTTTTTTTTTTTTTTTTTTTTTTGCATATATGGCCCTTCCAAAGAACACGGCCTCTATTCACTTCTCTTGGAATGCTCACTCTTAGAATCCAGCCACCATGCTGTGAGGAAGCCCAAGCAGCCCATGGAGAAACTGACATGGAAAGAAGACGAGGCCCTCGGCCCATGGCCTCAGCCAAGCTCTCAGCTGAGCCAGAACCAACATACCAGGCAGGTGAGTAGCCCATTTTGAAAGTGGGTGCCCCAGTCCCAATGCAGGCTGCCCTGCTAATGCCGCACAGAGCACCCAAATTGAATAAAATAAATGATGTTGTTTTAAGCCACTGAGATTTGGGATGATCTGTCATGCAAGCAATATAATGGGGACACAGGCCCTGGAGATCTCCCCACCACACCACCTAAATACTCACAAAAAGTTGCAGAGTTCTTAAAATAATAAAAGTTATCATTTATTGAATTGTTACTATATGTCAAACACTGTGCCATGTGTTTTATGTGTATTTTCTGACTTAATCCTCCCAACAACCCCATGAGGTCGAAGCTATTATCATCCTCACCTTACAGAGGAGGAAACAGACTGTAAGTTCTGTAATCTGCCCACTGTTGATGAGGGAGGACCCAGGACCTAAATCCAGGACCTCCTGACTTGACTCCAGAGCCTGCTCCTTGGCAGCTGCCCCACCTAACACCAAATACAGGTTAAAACAACAACAACAACAACAACAACAACAGAGCGGATTCTCTGAGACGTTCCCAATTTCATACCATTGCATTCTTTTTAATACAGGCAATTTTAAATTTTAAACTTATTTAATTTTACACTTAAAATATTTTCCATGAATCAGTATCAAATACTGTAGCATCCAGCCTAGCAGTTCTCTGGAGATAGGCTGCATTTGAATCCTGTCCGTGCTACTCACTAGCTGTGTGATGTTAACCTCCCTGTGCCTCAGTTTCCCCATCTGTACAATGGAGATGATCAGTGCCTATCACACAGGTTGTGGTGGAATGAAATGAATTCGTAGTACCCGCAAGGCTCTTGGAATTGGCCTGTTAGCAATTACTCAACAGATGTTAGATAGGTTCCATTTGTTCCCAAGGGAACGTGGTCTCAGCACAGGCAGGATCAGCTGGTCATGGCGGAAGCCACAGGTGGAATCTGTTACCAGCACTTCCTTTCTATCATTCAAAGACCAGGCTGCCAGTCCTGGCTCTCCCCTTCCAGGCTGTGCCATCCTGGGTGCCTCACCTGTCTGAGCCTCAGACCCTTCCCAGGTGGGTCGTGAGTGTCACCATCGGCCTCCCTCCCAGGGTGTGAGAAAGTGCTGAGAACTACAAACTGGGGAGAGTCACAGCAGCAGGAGGCTCTGCTCCTGGCCTCCTAGCCTCCTGGGTTAAGGCTAAGCAACTTAAGAGTCTGAGGAGGCGAGACGGAGGGGCAGGTGGTGACAGGAACAGGAAAGGGGCGGGCAGAAGGCAGAGTCCATGGGGGGCTCCCTGGGCTCCCATAGGCATCTGAAATTCCAAAACCTTTTCTTGCCCCACACTTCTGCAAGCAGAACGAGCCTTGCCAGCTCTGGGCTTCCAGAGCAGGGGTTTTGCAGGAGAGTCAGAGGTTTTCCAGTGCCAGGGGGCCCTGAAAGCAACAGCCACCTGCAGAGGCGGCCCAAGGAGAGGCAGTGGTCAAGGCCCCCCGGTGAGTGACAGGGCTCTGAGCTCAGTCACAGGCAGAACAAGCAGGGTGGTCAGCCAGGTGAGGGTTCAAATCCCACCTCTGACTCTTCCTAAATGTGTGACCTTGGGAACGCCACCAACCTCTACAAGCCTCAGTTTCCACCTCCGTAAAATGGAGTTAGTAACAGTTCATCACGAGACGGTAGAAGTGTCAGCTTTATTATTACTGCTGTCGTTGCTGCTGTTAGCATAATTCTTCTAAAGGGAAGGTGGCTCTGTCTCTGGTTGTGACTCTCGTCACTCAGAACGGCTGTCTCTCCCAAGCCAGCAACTGCAGTGACTTGTGTCCAGCTTCCCCCAGGATTTCTGGCCTGGGCAGGATGGAGGGGAGGCCAACTGCAGAGGGAGAGCCAGAGGACGGAGGCACCTGGACAGGTGTGGCCAGGAGGAAATGGAGACATGAGTCTGCACAACATTTTCAAAGGGTCACAGTTACCAGGAAACAAAATAACTGTTTCTTCTGGGAAGTTGGGAGGCCCTTGTCCCCCACCCCTTCCACAAGCATCCCTCCCTGTGTCCCTTCTGGCCCAACATCTGATCCAAATCCCTCCAGCCAAATCCAGCTTTGGAAAACAGGCTGGGAGCAGGGAACCAGGTCTCTGCCTCGGCCCTCCCGCTGCCCTGCAGGCTTCTCCACTGAGACACGGAGCCGACGGCAGCCTCAGTTTCCCCAAAATTCCCCTCAGTGGTTGCTGGGGAAGGGAGAGGAGCCAAGAGTGGGGAGTGTGAAGCCTCTGACTTTAGATCTGCCTCCACTCTCTGAAGTCGACATTGCAAAACTCAGGATGCTGCTCCTGTGCCCTGCCCCCTCTAGGCAGGAATGTCGTGAAGCTAAAATAACATAATCAGGGCAAAAGCTTTCCAGAGTAGAGGCGTTTCAGCACTCAAGCAGTGTAGCCGGAGATGCCTCCCGTGATTGTGGATAACAGCCCCATCAAGACGGCACGCTATTACTCAGCGCCATCATCAAGGAACTTTGTGTCTCTGAGCTTAACTCGCGCCCCACCCCCAATGACAGGACGGGCCCTGGGGAGGCTGAGAGTCCTGCCTGCCGCTCCTGTTCTCTTTCCCTACAAGAGGCTCTTGACCTCTTTACTCAGTGGCTCTTCTTGAACCTAGAAATTATGGAAAAAGAAAAAATGCTCCTGCTAGTGAATTTTCAAACCTCCATCTCTAGCCGCTTAGTCAAGGGAATGCACTTCGCCTTAGAGTGAAAAATAGGAAGCCCCTCACCTACTCCCATCAGCCCCCAAGTGTGTCTGCCCTGAGCACCACACGGATAGACATCTTTGTCCCAGCCCCAGGGCCTTTGCACATGCTGTTCCTGCTGCCAAGATAACCACAGCACTGACCCTCACGCAAGTCTCCATTCAAATGTCCTCTTCTTAAGGAGGCTCCTCTAACCTCCCTCTAAGGAGCATCCCTAGGCCTCTTTATCTCCTTATCTTGCTTAATTTTTGTTCTTAGTTCTTGTCATTGTTCTTCATTAGGTTATGTATTTGTTGGCTTGGTTCTGGCCTGCCTCACCCACTGAAATCTAAGTTGCAGGAACATTGCCTCACTCACGGCCGTATTTCCAGCCGCTAGAACAAAACAAGGCACAGAATAAGTGCTCAGCAAACACTTTTAAATGGACAAGTAAAATCAATATTTATGCCTTTATTCATTCCTCAACTATTTATTGAGTGGCTTCTGCCCCAGAGCCCAGGGGGTATAACAATAATAAGCCCCCATCCTGCCCTCAGGGAGCTCACAGTCCAATGGGAAGCACAGGAGTGAGCAGGGGAGCATGAGCACGACACCAGGAGGTGAGGCTCTGTGTATCCAGTGATACTCACGCCTCCAGCCTTGCCATCTCTCTTCAGCTCCAGGCTCAGATATGCAGATGCCTGCTTGAAATGCTCACTACAATGGGAATTCAAAACAGGAATTTCAATTTCCTTCTGCACCCACCCCTCCCTTCCTGTTCCCCGTCTCAGCTGCTCAGGCATCATCCTCTTTGTCCCACCCTCTGTGTCCAACTGGCAAATTCCATTGGCTCCATTTCCAAAATACGTCCCAGTTCTCACTGTTTCCTAAAACACCTTGACCCACCATTCCTTCTCCAAGTCAACTCCCTAAATGCTTCCAGCTCTACCGCCCACCAGCAGCCAGAGGGATCCTTCTATTATGTTATTTATTGATTTATTGACAAATTAAATATTGATATTGCCACCCAGGCTGGAGTACAGTGGCTCAATCACAGCTCACTGCAGCCCCAACCTCCCAGGCTCAAGTGATCCTCCCACCTCAGCCTCCCAAGTAGCGACTACAGATGTGTGCCACTGCATCTGGCTAATTTTAAAATTTTTCGTAGAGATGGGGTCTTGCTATGTTGCCCAGGCTAGTCTCAAACTCCTGGGCTCAAGCTATGCTCCTGCCTCAACCTCCCAAAGTGCCGAGATTAGCCACTGTGCATGGCCAGGATCCTTTTATTTTATTTTATTTTATTTTATTTTATTTTATTTTATTTTATTTTTGAGATGTTGTCTTGCTCTGTTGCCCAGGCTGGAGTGCAGTGCCGCGATCTCAACTCACTGCAACCTCCGCCTCCCGGGTTCAAGCGATTCTCCTGCCCCAGCCTCCCGAGTAGCTGAGATTACAGGCATGTATCTCAGCCTGTAATCACCATGCCTGGCTACTTTTTGTATTTTTAGTTGAGACGGGGTTTCTCCATGATGGCCAGGCTGGTTTCAAACTCCTGACCTCAGGTGATCCACTTGCCTCGGCCTCCCAAAGTGCTGGGATTACAGGCCTGAGCCACCACACTGGCCAGAATCCTTTTAAAATATAAATCAGATGATGTTACCTTTGCTTCCAACACCTCCCGCTGAATTCTGGAGAAAATTCGAGCTCCACCTGCTGATTTCTCTGACGTCACCCCAGGCATCGTCCCTCAGCCACCACCCTCACCTCACACCGGCTGTCCTGTCACTTCCTAAACACGCCAGATTTGCTGCCTCTACCTCGGGGCCTTTGCATTTGCTAGTTCTCCTGTTCAGAAAACGTCCTTCAGCTCCTTGAAAAGCCAGCTCTGTCTCATCATTCAGCTCTCAGAACAAATACCCTTTTCTTAGAGAGGGCTCCCTTGACCACTGGACCCCTCTCACCCCACTCCCAGTCACTTCCATCTCAATACTGACCACATCATGCTAACTGGACACCACTGAGACACTCAGCTCACCTGTGTGTCTAGAAAGTGTGTGTCTCTGCCATTCACCTGGGGGGTAAACTCAGGGCAGAGCAAGCCATGTGGTGGGGAGGTCTGTAGAAGGAAGACAGTGGGACCTGCTGGGCTGTGTTGAGTCTGAGGGCCCTGGGGTTGGCCAGGTGGGGATGCCCAAAGGACTTGGGACTCAGGAGGGTGTTGGGAGTTGGATGTGGGAATCTATTCTTTTTCTTTCTTTCTTTCTTTTTTTTTTTTTTTTGAGATGGAGTCTCAATGCTGATGCCCAGGCTGGAGTGCGGTGGTGTGATCTCAGCTCACTGCAACCTCCACCTGCTGGGTTCAATCGACTCTCCTGCCTCAGCCTCCTGAGTAGCTGGGATTACAGGCATGTGCCACCACGCCAGACTAATTTTTGTATTTTTTAGTAGAGATGGGGTTTTGCCATGTTGGCCAGGCTGGTCTCAAATTCCCAACCTCAAGTGATCTGCCTGCCTTGCCTCCCAAAATGCTGGGATTACAGGCATGAACCATCACGCCCAGCCAGATGTGGGAATCTTAATGCACTCCCGGAGAAGGGGCTGAAGAATGAGAAGAGGAAGTAGATTCACACAAGAGGAGCTGGCAGCTTCAGCAGGTTCTGAGCAAGCAGTGGGGAGGCCTAAAGAGAAGGGCTGTGGCCAGGCACAGTGGCTGAGGCAGGAGGATAGCTTGAGGCCAGGAGTTCGAGACCAGCTTGGGCAACAAAGAGAGACTTCATCTCAAAAAGAAAAAAAAGAGAGAGAGAGAGAGAAAGGGCGGGTCAGATAGGCCAAGGGGAGCAGACCCTGCGCCTTGGGGAACCTACCCAGATGGTCCTTGCAGAGGGAGATGGGGAGGGAGCCACAGAAACAGGACCCCCGTCACACGGCCTCCTGGGAGCGCATCCCTTTCCCTTCTTCAGACAGGTCTGAAATGCCACTCAGGACCACAGCTGGGGCCCAAGCCCAAGCCACTGTCTCTGCCTGACCACTCTGCAGGGACAGCCCCGCCAAGCCCTGGAACATCGACCTGCCTGCCCCTCTGGCTCTTCCAACAGCCCCTGACAATCAATGACACTGAATCCTGTCAATAGGGCAGGGCCAGGGGTCTAAGGCGGAGAAATAATCACAGTCTTGTTGCTGCCAACATTGCAGGGACAGATTTTCATTAACCCAGTGGGCCTCTCCCGGAGCCTCTCCACGTGATCTCCACCCACAGGCCTCTAACTCTTCATCCCTCCTTGTCCCCAGCTCCCTGCTTGCAAGAGTGGAACTGGTGAGCACACTGGGCTGGTGTCAGGGCTGGGCATGGAGGCCTCCAGGGGCTGATAGTCCTGCAGGAAACAGCCTTGCGGGAGGCAGCTGAGCCCTCTCCGCCAGCATCAGGCCCAGTTCTGGGGAACCAGGGGGCCCAGAGGGGAAGGTGGCCTTCCAAGGATGGAGTCTCAGGAGGATTCTGGAGTCCCACAGTGTTGAAGGCCAAAGTGTCAGCAGGGGCAGCATCACCTAGTGGTTGGGGGCTCGGGCCCTGGAGACCCTGGCCTGCCTTCAGATCCCTGCTCTGCTACTTTCAAGCTGCATGGCCTTAGGCCAGTGGCCTGAGCCTCAGCTTCCTCACCTATAAAATGGGGACAATAACAGTACCTATCCTCAGAGGGCTGTGGGGAGGGTTAAATAAGATAATGCAGGTCAAATGCTCAGCACAGTGCCTGGCACCTAGTAAGTGCTCAAGAAATCTCGGTGTTCATTTGATTTCATCTTTGAATTCAAATGAGGCAAAGGAATGAGGCAGAGGGCCACACGTTTCCTTGGTGAATAATCTCCATACAATTTCATTTCCTTCCAGATTGTCTGACTCAGGGGAGACTGTGCTCAGCATTGTCTAGAATGTTCTTCGATATCAGCTGGTCAAAGCGAAAACACATTGCTGCTCCCTGCAGCCTCTCACCCAGAAAAGGTATGGCCAGGCACCCAGGTGCCCGGGCCCCCTGCCCTGGAAGCCCCACCCCTTGGCAACTCCACCCCAGGGAGCAGGGCCTTCACCCAGCAAAGGAGCCAATCAGGAGACTCCTGGCAACATTCAGGGACTCTGGGTCCCCTGGCTCCACTCTTTGATCAGAGTCGGGAGGGGACTGAGGGTGGGCATGGGGGCGACATGGAACCAGAGCTGGGCCAGTTACCAGCAGCAGGTGCCACTGCAAGCCTGGGCTTCTGGGGACTCCCAGGACCCTGGGAGAGGGAGGGGTCCTGGAGGGTGGTATTTGTAACGGCTTGCACCAGGAGCTACATGCTCTTGTTTGCTGTTTCTCCAGATGGAGTGGTTCCTGTGTGACAAATCACAGATGTAATTGCATCTCTCCTGGATGGGCAGGTGGGTGCCTCCTGCAGAGAAGGTCCAGGTCTCAGGAAATGGAAGCCAGGGAGCTGCTGCCACCCCTCAGGGTGGGTACAGCGCACCACTGCTCCATTTTGCAGATAAGAAAACAGACTCAGAGAGGTTGAATGCCTTGCCCAAGGTCACACATTCATTAAATGTGGAAGGAAGGGTCTGAAGCCCAGGTTTCTGCCTCCAAGTCCAGACCTCTCTCAGGGGTAGGGGAAGTGATGGAGAGACAGTCTCTTGGGGAAATGATTAGAGGTCACCTGCTTTTTGGCCACCACAGGGGCTGGGTCCCTTGGTCTCCCCAGTGGAAGGCCCTGCAGTGGGAAGTGGAAACAGATGGGGGAGGTGAGATGACATGGTGGGAACCAGGGGATCAGGATGGGGTTCTGGCCTTGCTTTGATCCTAGCTCCCTGTGTGACCTTGGACAGATCCCTTCCCCTCTCTGGACCTCATTCTTTTCAGCTGTAAAATGAAGAGGTTTCCATCTTCAAGCTGCCCTTTCTTGCTCTCAGACTTCAAAGGGATGATCCAGTCCTCTCAGATGTCACGTGAAAGAATTGAGGCTCAGAGAAGGGCAGGGTCTCACCCAAGGTCACACAGCTCTTCATGGAAGAACCAGACAAAGATCTGGCGCTGGACTGGAGATGGCCCACCAGTCCAGTCATAGGTGTCCTTTCATGGGCTAGTTCCAAGACACCTCTGCCCAGCTGAGCTGGGCCAAACCCAACCTTTGAGACTCTCCCAAGACCTCACTTTCCCCTAGTCAAGCCCCATGGCTTTAATCCCAATATTGTCTATGCTGTGGGCTTGCAGCTTGGTTCCAAGGAGTTGTTTTTTTTTTAATGAGGAGATGGCAGAGGGACCACGATGACTGAATCAAAGGGGCAGGAGGGGCTGCCGCCGGCTCCTTCCCGGCTTCCTCCTGGCTCCTCCTCTGAGCCCCTCTCTCAGCCATGGTGAGGGGTTCCTGCCAGGGACAGTGAAGGTGTCAGAAAGGCTCTGACTGAGACTTCACAGAAGCCAACAGCAGGCCCTAGACCTGGGCCAGGCCCAACACAAAAGGACTTTTAAAGCCCTCCCCAGTATCAAAGCAAACAATGTCCAGTAACAGCCCACACTCAATAGAACATATTTGCCAACAATTTTTAAAGGGGATTTTATGATTTTGCTTTTGGAATTGCCTGGCTACCAGGCACTGATTTAATTGGCAGTTGGCTATGCTTTCTCATCCATTCTCTTGTCTACTTGGGAATTCTTACCAAGTGAGAAAATGTAGCTGACAAATTGCTTTCACGCATAATGACACATTTATGAATACCTAATGTGGTAATTAATGCAGTTGACCTAATATTACATTTTGTAGACATTTAACATTTATTAATTTCGATTTCACAGTTTTCTTTTCCCATTTGGTAGCCAATAAATATTTTAAGGTCTCAGATATTTTTGCAGGATCTTTAAAAGCTCATACACCCAAAGTCCTAGAGTGACCTGGAATAAGGAACTTCTCTGGGCCTCAGCTTCCCTGTCCTGCTCTCCAGCCCCCCGAAGGACTCTTTAGAACCACACTTGGTCAGTCCAAGGCCAAGGCCAATAGGAGCTGCCAGCAATGCCCACAATGGAGAGAAGCGCAGAACCACACGAAGACGGAAACAAAAACCTTCCTCTCACCCATCAAGAGCAAAGCAATAAAAAATGTTATTTTGCCAGTCGGTTGAATTTCATTTGTGTGGTTTGGAGTGTATTTCCTAGTTAATGAACCTGCCACATTTATGACCTCCCTTCTTCAATTCAATAGAGAGGAATGGGGAAAAGAAACGGGGAAAAGCTGCAATATTTCCCCCACGCAGCCGGCAGCTGACAGCTGCAGGTCTGGGCAGGGCAGTGCTGCACAGCTGTGGACCCAACAGCCCAGTCAAGGACAAGCCTGCCAGGAAAGCGTTTGCACCTGCAGCATAAGTGTTCTGGGTTTGCTCGGGGAGAATCCTCAGCAGACAGGTGTGCGCTCCCCTCCAGGTATCTTGACTGGGTAAAGGTGACTGGGACTGCCTTTCTCTGCCAGGCAGGCTCTGAGGTTAACAACTGACCAGGGCCCTCTACCTAGATGAGTAGGTTTGGGAGAAAAGGCCAGAGAGACAGGGACACACTCATGGGAAGAGGAGAAGAGGGGAAACCCGTGGCAGATGTGATTATCCATGAGGCGGCATAGGGGTTGGGTCCTGAATTTTCCATGGCAGGGGGAACCAGTGGTTCCAGCCACAAACACACTTCCCGCTCCTTCCCCTAACCCAGTACTGCTCCCTGGGCTATTTAAGAGGCTGGGCGGGTTGTGCATCGTGGCTCATACCTGTAATCCTAGCACTTTTAGAGGCCAAGGCTGGAGGATCGCTTCAGCCCAGGCATTCTAGACCAACCTGGGCAACATGGTGAGACCCCATCTTTACAAAATAAAAATTTAAAAATTAGCCAGGCATGATGGGCCATGCCTGTGGTCTTAGAACTTTGGGAGGCAGAAGTGGGAGGATCACTTGAGCCCAAGAGGTCAAAGCTGCAATCATCTGTGTTTGTGTCACTGCACTCCAGCCTGGGTGACAGAGTGAGACCCTGTCTCAAAATAAATAAATAAATAAAAAAGGCTGGGCCACCTTCCAGGGAGGAGCCCAAGGCCTCACCCTCTGGGGAGGAAGACCTCGGCTGGGGAGCCCACCATCACCCAAGCTGAAGACATTCCCATTCCCAACCACACTGGCCAGGGACGAGAAAGGCATCAACTGGGGTGACTTTGCAAGGCCACCATGAGCATGGGCTTTGGCATGGAAGAACCTGTCCAAGCTGGAAGAATCTCTTTTCCTCTCTGAGCTCTGCCTCCATGGCTCCCGCCCCTCTGGCCTTCACTGCAGGCCTGGCTGAACTACACAGGAGTGGATTGTGTCTTCCTCCACTTATTCACACGCACTTCGCATCTGCTGTGTACAGACACTGGGCTAGACACTGGGTGGAAGGGAGATGGCCGTGAACAAGGCACACAACAGCCCCGTGCCGCTGGAATTCACAACCCTCCTGGAGAAACAGACAAGTACAGCAGTCACAAGAGATTAAGCCACGATCTGATGGGGGAAATTCAGAGCGGGGATGCCTCCCCAGGTGGAATGTTTAGGGAAGACTTCCTGGAAGAGGGGCAGCTCAGCCGGGAAGCAAGGAGGGGACTCCCAGAGGGAGCCTGGAGCCAGGATGGTCCGTTCAGCTCCACCAGAGTCAGAGCCCCGAGGCCTGCCTCCAACAGCAGCAGCAGCAGCACCCACATAGTCACTGGGGATGGGGAGGGGCACCCGTGGAGTCGGTCTAAGTCCCAATTTCAGGCTTCCAGGGCCTCAAATCTTCCACTTTCCAGAGCAGCATGAGAAACTGAAAACAGCCCTGCCTGGCCCTCCCAGGGGATTTGCATTTTAAGAGGGATCTGAGCCTGGAACAGAAAGATCCACCCCCTGTGTCAGCCCCTGCTCCTCATTCTCCATCCCAGCCAGCCTCGGCCTCAGGCACCCTCTCCATTCCCACCTCTAGTCTCCAGCCCCAGACCCAGGCACACATCTTGTGGGGTGACCCACACTGGGGCTCCTGTTTCCCTGATTAGCCTGGGGAACACTGAGTCTTAAACAACAACTCCCACTCTTGGCTCGGTCCAGCCCTGAGCTCAGTGTCCCCACCATGTGATGGGGGAAGGGGGAACTCCGGGTCCTCCAGGGCCCAGCTCTCCCATAGGATGGTGGTAGGGAGGGGAATCAGGAAAGGAGAAATGATGGATTACTACATCCTCCGACCTGCTAAGGCATTCACATTTCAAGAGGGGTGTCTAGAGACAGTGCCTTAAACTTTAGGAGAAGGGTCAGAGGTGAAGTTGAGGAAACTGAGGCCCAGAGAGCTTGGGGAACCAGCCACGGTTGGGTTGCAGAACTAGTAAGCATCCCTGCCCTGGCCTACATCCAAATCTGCCTGGTTCAAAAGTTTATGCAGTTAACCACCAGACCATCAGGCCACAAAAAACCCAAACGCCTGCCTAACAAGGTCAAGCAGGTCAGGAGGTGAGCGGACTGTGAGTGGTAGGCACCACCAGGAGCTGGCACACACAGGTGCCATCTGCAGAGACAACCAAAGTCCAGTTGCTGTCGATGGCTGCCCCGTGGAAATGCAGGCCCCCATGTTATGAGACCAGCTGATTTTTCCAGAAAGCAGGAATTCAGATTTTTATATGAAATACTCTGGTTTGTAAAAGCTATCTAATGAAAATGCATTTAATTAGATGCTGTGTAGGTCAAATAAGACATACTTACCCCCAGTCTGCATAAATTCATTCAATAAATATTTAATGAGCACCTATTATGTGACAGGTAGGGTGACCAAATAGTCCCCATGTACCCAAGACTGTCCCAGTTTTAAGACTGAAAGTCTCAGCCAGGCACAGTGGCTCATGCCTATAATCCTAGCACTTTGGGAGGCCGAGGCGGGCGGATCACCTGAGGTCAGGAGTTTGAGCCCAGCCTGGCCAAAATGGTGAAACTCCATCTCTACTAAAAATACAAAAAATTAGCCAGGTGTGGTGGCACGTGCCTATGGTCCCAGCTACTCAGCAGCCTGAGGCAGCAGAACCATTTGAACCTGGGAGGTGGAGGTTACAGTGAGCCAAGATGCACCACTGCATTACAGCCTGGGTGACACAGTGAGACTCTGTCTCCAAAAAAAAAAAAAAACTGAAAGTCTCACATCCTGGGAACCACCTCAGTTCCTTAGCAAGGTACCGTGCTACGCTTTGGTGCTATGGTGGGGTGGGAGTATAGAGAATACGACAAAGTCCCCACCCTCGAGGAGCTTACACGATGGTAAACACATACCCAGGGTAAGGCACAGAAAATAACACAGGGAAAAGGATAGATTCAACGGTGACTTGGGGAGCAGAGTGGCCGCTTTGGCCAGTGCAATCAAGGAGGACTATTCTGAGGAGGTGACATTTATTTAAGATGAATTCTGAATAAGAAGACGGTCAAGAAAATCTCTACAGTAACAAAGATACTCTGGCGAAAATATGAAAAGATGTTTGCACAAGTTTATTCACGGCAGCTCCACCCGTAAAAGCAAGACTGGAAACAACCCAAGGATGATTAATATCGGAGTGGTTGAATAAGTGATAGCACAGGCCCACGAAGGAGGAGAGCTACGCAGCTGTAGACAGGAGTGAGGGAATCTGTGTAAACTGCTGTGCAGGGATAGGGTCTCACTCTGTCACCCAGGCTGGAGCGCAGTGGTGCGATCATAGCACCAACCTCTAACTCCTGGGTTCAAGTGATTCTCTGGCCACAGCCTCCCAAGTAGCTAGGACTACACGTGTGCACCACCATGTCTGGTTGACTTTTTCTTTTTTGAGATGGAGTCTCACTCTTGTTGCCCAGGCTAGAGTGCCATGGCGCAATCTCGGCTCACTGCAACCTCTGCCTCCCAGGTTCAAGCAATTCTTCTGCCTCAGCCTCCCGAATAGCTGCAATTACAGACATGTGCCACCACCCCTGGGTAATTTTTGTGTATTTTTAGTAAAGATGGAGTTCCACCATGTTGGCCAGGCCGGTCTTGAACTCCTGACCTCAGGTGATCCACCTGCCTCAGCCTCCCAAAGTGCTGGGATTACAGGTGTGAGCCACTGTGCCTGGCCAGAATTTTTTTGTTTTCAGTAGATACAGTGTCTCACTTTGTTGCTCAGGCTGCTCTCAAATTCCTAGACTCAAGTTATCCTCCCATCAGCCTCCCAAAGTGCTGGGATTACAGGTGTGAGCCGCCACACCCAGCTGTGCTTATATTTTTAAAAAGTAAGCATAGGAAGGGCACAGTTCAAATCTTTGATCACATCAGGCCTGCTAACATCCCACTGACCCAAACAAGCCCAAAGTCAATGGACAAGGATGTACTTTATGCTCACTGGGTGGCCCCAACCTGTGTGGATGTTTACATAGATCAATGAAGAATGGACTCAGTCTACCACAAAGAAGGGGTGCTGGATTAGGACAGGGTTTCTCAGGGGTTCTCAGCCTTGGAGATATTGACATCTGGGCTGGGCAACTGCTGGGCGTGTGGGACTACCCTGTGTGTCATAGGATGTTTGGGAGCAACTCTGGCCTCTGCCCATGAGATGTCAGTAGCATCTCCCCAGTCCAAAAATGTCTCCAGTCATGGCCAAATCTCTCTTGGGGGCAAAACCACCCCCACTGGACCACTGGATCCAATACCACCATTATACATGCCCTTATGAGTTAAAGCATCTATGCTATGCTCATCAGTGGCTGGTTAAACTCACAAAAAGAGAAAGCATGTCATTGTGAACCTCCCAAAGAAAGCACACTGCATTGCTGCGCGCCTGTAATCCCAGCTACTCGGGAGGCTGAGCCAGGGGAATCGCTTGAACCCGGGAGGCAGAGCTTGCAGTGAGCCGAGATGGCGCCACTGCACTCCAGCCTGGTGACAGAGCAAGACTCTGTCTCAAAAATAAATAAATAAATAAAATAAAAAAGAAAGCACACTGCATTACCTTTGGCGTATTCTTGCTCAATATCTCACCTGACTGTGATCAAGCCTCTAGACCTAACTGCCATTTTGCAGGAGCAAAAGGGACAGGAGAACATATTAAATGACACATTGAAGATACGATCAGCAAAGTCCAGAGAGC
Organism: Homo sapiens; assembly: GCF_000001405.40. Taxonomy (NCBI): domain Eukaryota; kingdom Metazoa; phylum Chordata; class Mammalia; order Primates; family Hominidae; genus Homo; species Homo sapiens. Next base: position 11,605,862 of record NC_000001.11, read on the forward strand.
AGGAACTCTAAAGTATATGCAACTCAGTTTCTTCACCACGTCAATTGCAAGGACAGAGAGAGAGAGAGAGAAAAAAAAAATATGAAGGGTTAACTTACAGAACAAACAAGGCAAAGGCATAAAATAAAAGAACACTTACCTGCATTAAAAAGCCACCTAATTCTGGAGACGGGCAGAAACCCACAGCGTTCCAAGTAAAAGTGCCATAAAAATAAATTGAAACCTTGCATTTAAAAAATGTATGGGCCAATGGGGAAAATTGGAACACTGACTAGATTTGGATGATATTAACAGAATAAGGTTTATTTCTTAAGTTTGATAAGAGCATCGCGATTATGTTTTGAGGAAGAGCATTTTTTTAGAGATAACGCTAAAATATCAACAGAATAAATGACACGATGTCTGGTTTTTGCTTCAACACGATACATTGGGGAGAGGGGTTCATTATTCGATTGTGTTTCTACTGTCTCTGAAAGTTTTCCATAATAAAAAGTAAAAACAAACAAAATAGGATGGGAGTGAGCGTTCCAGACACAGGCTTCAGAGGCCACTGCCAAGGTCCTGAAGCTGCTGTGAGTCTGACCAGCTCGAGGGTAAGCCAGGCCAGAGCCGCTGAAACCCAGGAGATGACCGGGAGAAAAGCAGACTGAGCTCAGACACAGGAGGGGCCTGCCTTGCAGAGTCTTGGGGCCAGCAGAGGGGCATGGGGTTTGCTCTCATTGCCAGAGGAGCCATTACAGAATTGTGGGAAGGGACATGGTAGAACCTGATCCTGCCTTTAAAAGAGACTTTTGGCTGGGCACGGTGGCTCATGCCTGTAATCCCAGCACTTTGGGAGGTTGAGGTGGGATGGTCGTTTGAGCCCAGGAATTTGAGACCAGCCAGAGCTACATAACAAGACCCCATCTCTATAACAATTTTAAAAATTGGCCAGGCACGGTGGAGCATGCCTGTAGTTTCAGCTATGCAGGAGGATGACTTGAGCCCAGGAGTCCAAGGCTGGAGTGAGCTATGATTGTGCCACTGCACTCCAGCCTAGGTGACAGGGCAAGACCCTGTCTCAAAACAAAACAAAAAAGAACCTTTTGATTAACAGCATGTGGTATGTCCATGCAATGAAATAGTACTCAGCCATCAAAAGAAATGAAGTTCTGATGCACGTTGCAATATGGGCGAACCCTGGAAGCACCATGATAGATGAAAGCAGCCAGTGACTCAAGGCCACATCGTGCGTGACTCCACTTAAATGAAATACCCAGAATTGGCAAATCCACGAAGACAGCAGCTTAGTGGTTGCCAAGGGCTGGGAGAGGGGAGAATGGGACCAAGTGCTAATGGTACAGGGCTTCTTTCTGGGGGGATGGAAATGTTCTGGAATTAGATAGCAGTGATGATCGTACAACATAGTGACTATACTAAAAATGGCTGAAGGGTTCCCTTTAAAATGGTGAATTTTAAGCCGGGCACGGTGGCTCATGCCTGTAATCCCAGCACTTTGGGAAGCCAAAGTGGGTGGATCACCTGAGGTCAGGAGTTTGAGACCAGCCTGACCAACATGGTGAAACCTTGTCTCTGCTAAAAATACAAAAATTAGCCAGGTGTGGTGGCATGTGCCTGTAGTCCCAGCTACTCAGGAGGCTGAGACAGAATTGCTTGAACCCGGGAGATGGAGGTTGCAGTGAGCTGAGATGGAGCTACTGCACTCCTGCCTGGGCGACAGAGCAAGACTCCATCTCCAAAAAAAAAAAAAAAAGGTCAATTTTATGTTATAGGAACTATGTTTCAATAAAAACATTTTTTTTTAGGCCAGGTGCAGTGGCTCACGCTTGTAATCCCAGTACTTTGGGAGGCTGAGGTGGGTGGATCACTTGAGGTCAGGCCTTCAAGACCAGCCTGGCCAACATGATGAAACCTCGTCTCTACTAAAAATACAAAAATTAGACTGGCATGGTGGTGGGCACCTAGCTACTCGGGAGGCGGAGGCAGGAGAATCGCTTGAACCCGGGCAGTGGAGGTTGCAGTGAGCTGAGATCACGCCATTGCACTCCACCCTGGGTGAAAGAGTGAGACTCCGTCTCAAAACAAACAAAATAAACAAAAAACAAGCTTTTTTTTTTTTTGTTTTTTTTAGTGGATGCATGGAAAGGATCCTTTTGGCTGCTCCATGGGGAATCAGCAACTAACTAGCCAGGAGCCTGGAATCATGAAGCACAGCAGAAAGTGCCATGGGCACCCGTGCAAAAGACCAAGCAGCAGTGATGGGAAGCACCCAGTCAGCTCCCCCACGGGGCTTCATGGAGAGGAGGGAAAGAAGGAACAGGGAGGACCCCAGGCCTGAGCCTGTGGGTGGAAGTTGCCACTACTGGTCAAGAGGGAGCAGACTAGGCTTGGGCCGGAACAGCTTCTGCTTCACGTTTGTTAGATTCCACGTGTTGGGGTGGTCATTAGGGCGGTTCTCCTCCAGGCACTTGTAAGCTAGAGGGATGTGCAAGCGGGGTGGAGCAGGTATTTGATTGCTGATCCCAGAGGTGCTGGAACTAGCCGCACCAGGGTGGCCAACAACATTCAAGGTAGTGGCTGCCCCACCAGCCTGAGTCCTGGATGGAGAAGACACAAGCAAAGCCCCCTGTGGCTCAGGACAGCTGTCAGCAGGTGAGGAACACGCCTTTGTTGTTGCGAGCCCCTGCAATCTCAAGGTGGTTGTGGTTGTGAGAGGTGACAGCGTGCTGGCAGTCCTCACAGCCCTCGCTCGCTTGCTCTCGGCGCCTCCTCTGCCTGGATTCCCACTTTGGCGGCACTTGAGGAGCCCTTCAGCCCACCGCTGCACTGTGGGAGCCCCTTTCTGGGCTGGCCAAGGCCGGAGCCGGCTCCCTCAGCTTGCAGGGAGGTGTGGAAGGAGAGGCGCGAGCGAGAACCCGGGCTGCGCGTGGCGCTTGCGGGCCAGCTGGAGTTCCGGGTGGGCATGGGCTTGGCGGGCCCCGCACTCGGAGCAGCAGGCCGGCCCTGCCGGCCCCGGGCAATGAGGGGCTTAGCACCCGGGCCAGCGGCTGTGGAGGGTGTACTGGGTCCCCCAGCAGTGCCAGCCCACCGTGGGGCAGGGCTCGGGACCTGCAGCCCTCCATGCCTGAGCCTTCCCCCACCTCCGTGGGTTCCTGTGCAGCCCGAGCCTCCCCCACGAGCGCCGCCCCCTGCTCCATGGCGCCCAGTCCCATCGACCACCCAAGGGCTGAGGAGTGCGAGCGCATGGTGCGGGACTGGCAGGCAGCTCCACCTGCAGCCCCGGTGTGGGACCCACTGGGTGTAGCCAGCTGGGCTCCTGAGTCTGGTGGGGAGGAGGAGAACCTTTATGTCTAGCTCAGGGATTGTAAATACACCAATCAGCATCCTGTGTCTAGCTCAGGGTTTGTGAATGCACCGATCGACACTCTGTATCTAGCTACTCTGGTGGGGCCTTGGAGAACCTTTGTGTGGACACTCTGTATCTAGCTAATCTGGTGGGGACGTGGAGAACCTTTATGTCTAGCTCAGGGATTGTAAATGCACCAATCAGTGCCCTGTCAAAACAGACCACTCGGCTCTACCAATCAGCAGGATGTGGGTGGGGCCAGATAAGAGAATAAAAGCAGGCTGCCCGAGCCAGCAGTGGCAACCCGCTCGGGTCCCCTTCCACACTGTGGAAGCTTTGTTCTTTTGCTCTTTGTAATAAATCTTGCTACTGCTTACTTTTTGGGTCCACACTGGTTTTATGAGCTGTAACACTCACCACGAAGGTCTGCAGGTTCACTCCTGAGCCAGCGAGACCACGAGCCCACCGGGAGGAACGAACAACTCCAGACGTGCTGCCTTAAGAGCTGTAACACTCACCGTGAAGGTCTGCAGCTTCACTCCTGAACCAGCGAGGCCACGAACCCACCAGAAGGAAGAAACTCCGAACACATCTGAACATCAGAAGGAACAAACTCCAGACGCGCCACCTTAAGAGCTGTAACATTCACCGCAAGGGTCCGCGGCTTCATTCTTGAAGTCAGTGAGACCAAAAACCCACCAGTTGCGGACACAGTTGTTGTCACAGCCCGGCCTGCCCCAACCTGCCTCAGAGGAAGCATCGGAGACACTCCACCAGCTTCTCCCATGGCTTCCCTCATCCTGGGGCCAAGGCAGCATCTGGTACAGAGCTGAGGCAGGGGAGAGATATCCTTGGAGCCAACATCCATGTGTTTAACCTGGATCCTCTGTGCCTGAGCAACTCAGGGTGGGTACATAGGAGAGGGCCAAAAAGTGTGGCCTGCAGTCAAGCAGGGGGGTACCAGAGCAGACTCGGGGAAAGGGGATTGAAATCAGTTGGAAAAGTTAAAGCAATTTAAGGAAAAGCAAATATCAGGGCTTAATCAAGTGCTAAATTGAATATAATCCACTGCCACAGAGGGTTGACAGCTGTGGACACAGCCAGTCCAAGCGGGTGAACAGCAGGGAGGCCTGGGCGCTCAGGAAGGTAGCCCTGTGTGTTTCAGGGCACAGGAAACGCAGCAGCGTAGGGCAAAGGCACTGATGGGAGGACCTGAGGGACCCAGGAGGGAGCAGGACACCCTTGAAAGAGCTACCCAGGTTCCCTGGGGTCTTTTGTGAGCCTGGTCCCTGCAGGGACCCCCAGGAAGATGAATCCATTGTTCTAGCGTTTTCACCCCTGTGCCTCCTCATCTTTGGGGTAAGACCTTGGCTCTAGAAGGCCCCTGTCACGATGCACACTTCCTACCAAGAGGGAGAGTGTGCAGGCAATAGATTAGCTGCCCCCCCAACACCCCCAAGAGACCGGAACCCTGAAGAACCTGGGGTGACGGGCACCACTGTGAGGGGCATGTTGCCACCACAGACCAAACATAAGCCTGCGCCTCCAGCCCAAAGGAGACCTGCGTTCTAGGCACCAGCCCCTCCGCACTCCCACTCCTAACCCTCACTCCCACTCTCCTCCTCACTCCCACCCTCTCCTCCCATGGCTGTTTGAAGTCAGTCACACACAGGCCAAAGCCACTTTGAGAATCATACTGTGTGTGACTTATACCCTCTCATGACCCACCCTTGAGGCTCTACTACTGGGAAATCAGCCAGGTCCCTGACCCAGCAGCTCTGAAGACCAGGGAGGGAGGAGGCACCTGGCCGGTTATTGGGCATTTAACAGCAGTGCTTGGCACAGGGATGGCCTGGGAGGCTCTGCCTTCCTGAGGAACAGAAGAGACCCAATCCTAGCCCTGGGCTCTGACCCTCCAGTGGAAATTGTTGCCAAGAGAAAATCTCAACCCATCACTTCCTAGCTGCAAGATGCTGGGAAAATTACTGCATCTTTCTGAAGCTCAGTGTTTCTATCTAAAAAATGGGGATTAAAAAATACATATAAGCACCTAAAGAGGAGAATCCACGTCAAGTGTTTGGAATACTGCCTGGCACATCATGAGTCTTCGTTGCATGTTGTTGTTATTGCTGCTGCTATTATTAAAGCCTAGGAGAAGCTGGCCTCTCCTCTCGCCAGACTCTGCCTGGATAACTTCATAGCAGCTTCTGGCTGGAGGAAGCTGACTGTTTGGAAACAGACAGAGACAGGTTCAATCCCAGCGACACTATTACTAATTAAATGACCTTGAATGACCTTGGGGAAGTTGCTTAAATTCTCCATGCCTCAGTTCCCCATTTATGAAATCAGCATAGTAACGGTACCTATCTTCCAGAATTACCTGGCTCAAAGGAAGTGTTGACTGTTGAATTAAATGAATAAAGAAATGAATGCTGGTATGCCAGTCAGGGGCTTTTGGTCACGAGCCACAAAAGCCCAACCAAGCTAGTTCAAGGGGAAGGGCATCTAGCAGCTCTGGTAATGGAAAAGGCCAGGTGTGATAGCACTGGCTTCAGACACAGCTGAATCCAGGGACTAAAGCCTATCCTTTGACCTCTTAGTGCTCTCTCTCTGTCTCTGTCTCTTCTGCACACAGCTTCTTCCATGTGGCAGGGGCGGGGTGAGGCCACAGACAGCTCCAGCTCACATCAACCCAGCTAATGGCTTCACAGGAAAGAGGGAAGCAAAATCCCAGAGAAGTCTGATTGGCCCGGCCTGGATCTCATGGCTGTGTAAGTAGGGAGGGCTGCAGGGATGCAACCGTCCCCACAGCCAAATGGAGTGACGGGGGGATGTCTCTCCAGGGGACGGGGTTCTGTTACCAGAAGGGGAAGAAATGAGACTGGGCAGGTACAAACGGTATGGCTATATCAGGGGTTCCCAGCAGAGGGCCTGGGCAGCTAGCCAGGGTGGGGCCACAGCCTGTGAGCACAGAGGAGAGAGAAGAAGACAGGGGAAGGAAGTAGAGGGGGAATAAGGGAAAGGGGTAGGGCCTGGACCACCTGGGCTAAACCTCTGAGCTAAGCATCTATATGGGCCCCCAAAACACACACATCCACTGTGTAACAACCACCCTGTTTGTGTGAAGCCAACCCCACGATAGCCCCAAACCCTCCTGCCAAGAGGTAACCCATGCCCCTCGCCACAGCAATTGGTTTAGATAGTGAGCTGATCAGTTTGTGTCATTCCTCTGGCCATACATCTTGGCTCTGAAGTAGGGGGGCCAGTCAGCCCTCCTTCAGGCTGAGGACTTTTGCTGGGATTCTAGGACACAGACATCTCTCTCCTTTTGGACTAGGAGGTACGGCTGGAACTATGCAGCCTTTCTGCCACCATGAGGGAAGCCCTCTTCTAACCAAAACTAACATCAGAAATAGAAAAGACTGGAGAGATAGGAAAATAATTGGGCCTTGTTGATACCAGCTGCTGAGTCAAATAACCCTGGAGACTGCCTTAGCCCTGTACTCCCAGTAACACCTGCTGATAAAGCCCTGGTGTGGCTGAAGCCACTTTGAGCTGAGTTTTTCTATTACATTTTTGCAGGGGCAATGGAAAAGCTGAGGGAACTGGAGAACAGCTGCTGTCCTCTCCCTGCGCACATCTGTTCTGCCTCATGCCAAAGGGAGACAATGGCTAAAGGGGGCCTGTACTGGTCAGGCCCTGCAGAGAAACAGAACACACAGGTTGTGTATGCATGTATAGGTAGGTAGGGAGACAGAGAGTGGGGAGAGAGAGAGGTTCGAGAAATTGGCTCATGTGATTACAGAGGCTGGCAAGTCCAAAATTTGCAGGGTGGGTGATACGGTTTGGCTGTGTCCCCCCACCAAATCTCATCTTGAATTGTAGCTCCTGTAATTCCCACATGTCATGGGAGGGACCCCATGGGAGGTAATTGACTCATGGGGCTGAGTCTTTCCCATGCTGTTCTCATGATAGTGAATAAGTCTCAGGAGATCTGATGGTTTTATAAAAGGGAGTTCCCTGCCCAAGCTCCCTCTTGCCTGCTGCCATGGAAGACGTGCCTTTGCTCCTTTGCCTTCCACCGTGATTGTGAGGCCTCCCCAGCCTCGTGGAACTGTCAGTCCATTAAACCTCTTTTTCTTTATAAATGACCCAGTCTCAGGTATGTTTTTATTAGTAGTGTGAGAACAGACGAATACAGTGGGCCAGCAGGTTGGAGACCCAGAGAAGAGCCGATGCTGCAGCTCGAGTCCCAAGGTTTCTGCTGCAGAATTACCCCTTCCTCAAGGGAGGTCAGGTTTTGTCTTATTCAGGGCTTCAACTGATTGGATGAGGCCCACCCACATTATGGCGGGCCACCTGCTTTCCTCAAAGTCCACTGATTTGAATGTTAAGCTCATCCAAGAACACCTCACAAAAAGATCCAGAATAAGGTTTGGCCACATATCTGGGCACCATGGCCCAGTCAGGCTGACACATCAAATTAACCATCACTGGGTCCCCAGATGCATCTTGTTCGACCTCCTCATGCAGAGATAAAGAAGCAGAGGTCCAGAGAGGCCCAATGGTCTGTCCAAGGTCACAGGGCAATGTAGCAGCAGAGCCTCACTGCCTCCATCCTGACTCCCAGGCCAGGGGTCTCTGGACAGTCCCCTTTCTCCTGTATGGCTCATGGAAACCCAGGGACCAGAGGAGACAGACCAGAACAGGAGCCACAGGCGACAGGCCTGAGTCATTGGCCTGAGAGAACAAATTCAGGTTGGCATGCAATTTGCATACTATTTCCATGTTGTTCCCTAAAGTTCAAAATCTACAGAAATTCCCCAGTTCTGCTTCTTTTCTTATGGCCTCCTGGTTTCAGCTGCATCTGTTTGGAAGGACCCCAGAAGGCACTGGTTCTTTGGGTGGATCACCTGCCCCCTGCCCTCTCCTGACGCTGGCCCTGAGACTGCAAGGGCCACCAGGGCAGGAAGCCCTTTCTTCGACCTGATCCGGGTTCTCCACGGTGTCGACGCACCACTGCCCACGTGGGTGTCGCTTTCAGGTGGTGCACGTGTGGACATTTTTTAATAGTCATGTATTCATTTTTATGTTGCTCTGAATTTATGACTGGGGATGCTGGTTTCCTATTTATGGTGGTGATATAAAGTTTCCCTTTAAATGAAATTTCAGTTTTTTAAAAGTGAGTCAATGAAAATAAAAATAGTAAGTAAATAATAGAACAGGCAGTATGTCGATATGGCCAAAACAGAGATGAAATGACTGAGAGTTTTAGGAATGCTGGACTGATGGAAATGTCTCCTGCTACCATGTCAGCCCAGTGCCCAATTCCACTTGACCTGTCGTCAGTGGAGGGGGTCTTATGTGTTGGGAAGAAGTGCCTTACTAGCTTTGAGACACTGAGGCACCATGGTGTGCCCAGCCACCTTGACCCAGAACCCTGTAGTCCCAGGAAAAGGTCTGGCACTAGTTCTTGCGACCCAGCGTCTATCCACAGAGCATCTCACCAGGACCCTCTTCCTCCCATGCCTCCCAGAAGGGGAGTTGTGTTTCCCCACCTAGACCACCCACCAACATGGAAACAAGCCATTTCTCCATGCATAAAAGCCTGCAATGTAATTAATATCCCCTCCATTTAACCGGACTATAATACTCTCACCGTTAATAAGCTAGCTAAGAGCTCCGCTTGAAATTAATAACTTGTAAATGACCCAAGAGCCCTGGTTTCATACCTTCTTTTTTTAAACAACAACAAAAAAACCGCGCAGAATTTAAATAGAAAAGCAATTTTCATTTATGAGCCAGTATCATTATTCATAGCTGGAGAATTGTAAGGAGTAAAAGTCTCTTCCACTTAATTAGAATCTTGAACATCACAGGAAAAGAGGGGAGCCCATATCTAGCACCAGGGATGAGAAGGCAAGAAGCACAAATCAAAAGCAAAACATCACCCCATGTAGCTGCAGGTCCAAACGGCCACGCAAGGAGCAGGACCCAGCAGCTGTGCATGGAATCCAGCGCTCGCAATCACGTCAGGGCTGAGGCCGGCAGGGGAGGAATATGCAGAGACGCCAGCGTGTCATATCCGTGTCCTCAAGACAGAAGCGATAACGTCTAATCTTAAACTACAAGGGAAGCCGGAAGGGAGAGAGCAGAGATAGTGAATGGAGAAGCAGAGGCGAGATTAGAGGCTCAGGGAGGAAGAGAGAGGATTTGAGGCAGGAGGGGAGAAAGAGGAAAGAACGGTGCGCTTTCTCCCACGCTGATGGCCCAGCCCTGTGGCCCAGCCTGGCCCCACCCTACTCTAGCCACCAGACACTTGGCATATAGGATCTCATTTTTAGCCTCACAGTAATAACCTGCAAGCCTCACAAAATAATCTGTATTTCAGCCAGGCACAGTGGCTCACGCCTGTCATCCCAACACTTTGGGAGGCCGAGGCCGGGGGATCGCTTGAGCCCAGGAGTTCGAGACCAGCCTGAGCAACATGGCGAAACTCCATCTCTACTAAAAATACAAAAAGTTAGTCAGGCATGATGGTGCATGACTAATTTGTAGTCCCAGCTACTTGGGAGGCTGAGGAGGGAGGACTGCTTGAACCTGGGAGGTAGAGGTTACAGTGAGCTGAGACTGCACCACTGTACTCCAGCCTGGGCAATACAGTGAGACCCCCGTCTCAATAATAATAATAACCATCATCATCATCCATATTTTAGTAAAAGTGAGAAGATAGTGCTCAGAGAGATTGATGAACTTGCCCTGGGGTTGCCCAGCCAGTGGGTGACAGAGCTGGGAAGCAAACTCAAGTTTCTTTGACTGCATGCCAGGCAGAGCACCTCGGCCACCAACGCTTTTTGTTTGCATGGCAGATTCTGCTGTGCTCGTTCTCCCCACTGCCCTCTGCTCCCTCAGCATCCTGGTGAAGTAGACATCACAATCACACACCACAGATTTGGAAGCTGAGGCTCAGACTAGCCAAAGGCAAGTCCTGGCCAAGGCCAAGGACTGAAACTGGAACACACACCTTGAGACCAAAGGCCAGAGCTTGCCTCACTCTAGGGCACAAATATCAGGTAAGCTGATGGTTCACCGAAAGCACACCAAATTCTGCTGATCCCCAGGAGGAGGTGTCTGGGCCTGGGGATTTGCAGGTCGCCTGCTCCAGCGGTTCCCTGCCAGACCCCAAGGATCCCCTGTCACCCACAGCCGCCTGGAGGGTTCAGAACCTACCTCCAACCCACCCTGGAAAGTGTGACATGCCTAACCCAGTTCAACTCTATAAATAATAACACCAACAATAGCTGTCCTTTGTAGAGTCCTTCCCATGGGCGGGGCAGCATGCTAAGCCTTCACCTGGAGTAACTCAGCAGACTCACTGGAATGAAGTAGATGCTTTTCTCCTCCTTTTAGAAGAGAGGAAACTGAGGCACAGGGAGGTCAGGCAACAAGGTCACATGGCTGGTCAGCAGCTCAGCCTCCACGGCCTGCCCATAACCCCAAGCAGGTACAGTCCTCACTAATACTAACAGCAACAACAATTGCTAAGTGCCCACTGAGGACCCCCTGAGGGAGGGGCTGTTAGCATCCCCCACTTGATAGGAGAGAAAACTGGGGCACAGAGGGGAGTGGCTGGCCCAGGGTCACACCATTGAGGGCAGAGCTGGGATTTGAATCCAGAAAGGGCAGCCCCGGGACCATGCTTTGAGCCGCCTCTGCTCACGCGGTGGCACGGGGGGGCCCCAGGGCATCCTGTGGTTCTCTCCAGCTGTCCAGCAGAAGCGTTTCTGCCCCATTCTCCCCTCCCTTCCTGAGCTCTTGGTTTGCTACTCATCTGGCCTGATCAGCTGGGGGCCTGCCCTCTGGCACCTGCAAGCTGAGCCCCTCCTCCATCAAAGCTGCCTTCTCCCCCACCCTCACAGCACCCCTCTGTGTGGCCCTCTCTCCCGCAGAGCCCTCTCGACGGACTAAAGCAGACTCAGAAGGTCCAAGCTACAAACCCACTGGACAGGTGGGAGGACAGATGCCCCAAAGAGGATGACCTGACTTGCCCAAGGCCACACCCTGCTCCCCTCCCCACTAGACTTAAGCAGCCTGCCCCACAGCCTCCGGTCCCCATCCCAAGCCAGCACGCACATCTCTTCCCCAAATCTCATCCCCAACAACAGCATGGAGTGAGACCTCCTGCCAGTGTCCCAGGAAGAGCTCTCAGCTCCGAGATGCTCTGCCAGCTGGCAGGGCCAGGTCCCCATAGAGGCCACCTGCTACGTGAGAACACAGGGCAGTCACCACCAGGAGGCTCTTGGGCCAGTCTGGCTCAGCAGCTACTGTCTCTTGCCAACTGTATGCAGGACACACCCTGTTAGCTTTAGGCTAGCAGAGCCAACAAGCCCAGATGCCTCAAAGAGCCAGTTCGTTCATTGTCCCTTTCAAGGGACCAGATTTCTTAGGCCGTAGTTCCCAAGCACCAGGTTGTGAACCAGCTACAACGGAATCACTCCTCAAAAATAATAGCTTCCAGGGTCCTGCTCCGAAGAGAGTGTGATCCAACTGGTCCTGGGGAGGGTCTAGGAATCTGTATTTTAACAGCCCTGTTCCCACCCACATCATCCTGGCAAGCAGGCTTCGGAACCTCTCTTTGCTCAGAGCAAGCACTTCACTCACAGAGGGTCAAACTTGGAGGCAGTTTAAAGACCTTCTAGTCTAGCCCACCCATTGTCCAGACAGGAACACTGAGGCTTAGGGGGCTTGTCCTGGGTCACAGAGTGACTCAGTGACAGTGCTATGACCCAAACCCCAGTGTCCCAACTCCTAGACCAGGAAGCTTGCCCTTCTGTTAAGACATTTTGGGAAGATGGCAAGAAAGTCCTTCCAGCTCAGGGCAGGAAGTCGTCCTTGGCACAGAGCAAGACCTTTGTGGAAAATTGGTGGATAGGAATGAAGAACATTGAATTGGGGGCAGATACTGCCTGTTTCTGCCTGTCTCTCCCCCATTCCATGAGGTCCTGGTAGGGCTTAGTCACAATGCTCTACAAAACATAGTCACGGGAACACACACACACTCATGCACATACAGACACACACAGACATACACACACACACACTTCGTGGGTGTGAGATCAGGCCAGGCTGCCCAGAATTCTAATCCCCCTGATCACACTGATTGGCTCAAGAATGAACACCATGGGTTGGGTGTGGTGGCTCACGCCTGTAATCCCAGAACTTTGGGAGGCCGAGACAGATGGATCATCTGAGGTCGGAAGTTTGAGACCAGCCTGGCCAATATGGTGAAACCCCGTCTCTACTAAAAATACAAAAATTAGCTTGGCATGGTAGCACGTGGCTGTAATCCCAGCTGCTCAGGAGGCTGAGGCAGGAGAATCGCTTGAACCCGGGGAGGCGGAGGTTGCAGTGAGCTAAGATCATACCACTGCAATCCACCCTGGGCGACAGAGCAAGACTCTGTTTCAAAAAAAAAAAAAAAAACACCTGACCCAAGAAGATCAATCAGAGATTTGACACCTGAACCCAGCAAGGAAGATCTCTCTTCCTTTTGGGTAATGAGTTATAGGGGTTCGGGGCTACCATTGGCCTTCTTCCCTAACACGTGGAGAAAGGCTTTGTGAGAACACCTGAAGGGACGCAGACTCCAGATACGCAAAACAGATGATGTCCTGACAATAGCATTTGGGCTCCTGGATCTAGCCTTTCCTGAAACTGGGAAACCCTGAGCACCCAGTTATGTGAGCCAATAAACTCACTTTTTGACTTAAGCTTGTTTAAGGTGGGGTTTTTGTCACTTGCAACCAAAACAGTGCTGACTAGGGTCCTGGGACACACCTGTTTGGGGGCAGAAAGTGGGAAGCAGAACATTTCATTGCCCTCAGCCCCTGTGACGGTCTAGGGAGGCCCTTGTCCATAAGGAAGGCATGGGATCTCGGGAGAAGCCACCTGAAGATCACAGGGGCATGTCCTGGACCGAGAGTCAAAACACCTGGGCTCTTTCACTCCCAAGCTGCGTGACCTTCGACCAGTCAACCAACCCCTCCTTTATCAAGCATGCCTTTTATTTTCTGTGTTCTGATACTTTGACATCTGGGGCTTTGTGACCCTGGAGGGTTAAGAGCTGGTAAATTCTTAGAGATAGTAACCAACTTGCCCATGAGCCCATTTGCTTTGAAAATGCAAACCAACCAATCCAGAGTCTATACCAGCAACTACCTCCTTTATTGGCTCTCACACTTTGGACCACTATCCACCTGCCCTGATCACTCCAGGGTCATCTACCAGACAACTAGGGGCAGCCCTTGTGGCCCAGAATGCACTGAAATTATTCAAACTAGCCAACCCTAAGCCGGCTTGCTCTGCCTCATTCGTTCCTTCTCATGGATACCACAATAAATGTTCTTGCCCACGATTTCCCCCTCCCTCTACCTCCTGACTGCCCCTATGTGCCCCCTCATGGCTGGACAAGCCCGCTCCTCTTGGGATCTGTGAGTGTAATAATCTGTCTTTTTTTTTTTTTTTTTTTTTTTGAGGCGGAGTTTTGCTCCTGTCACCCAGGCTGGAGTGCAATGGCGCAATCTCGGCTCACTGCAACCTCCGCCTCCCAGGTTCAAGCGATTCTCCTGCCCCAGCCTCCCAAGTAGCTGGGATTACAGGAGCCCGCCACCATGCCCAGCTAATTTTTGTATTTTTAGTAGGGACGGGGTTTCACCATGTTGGCTAGGCTGCTCTTGAACTCCTGACCTCACGTGATCTGCCCGCCTCAGCCTCCCAAAGTGCTGGGATTACAGGCGTGAGCCACTGTGCCTGGCCACAGACTGTCTTTTCAATGTCAGCTGTCTGCTAATCTGTTGACCTCACCATATCTGGAATCAGACGTGATTGTGTAAAAGCCTTGAAATTACAGAGGGCTCTGCAGATGAGAGAGGGTGCATTCAAACCCAAAGACAGTCCTTCTAGAACACTACCATTAGATTGCCTTTGGAGCAAGTAGAACTGGAATTATCATCCTACTCCTCAGATGGGTAAACTGAGGCACAGCAAGGTTAAATGCCTTGCCCTAAGACTTGCAGCTCGTTTTCCAAAGATCCAGAACTGGAAGTCAAGACAGAAGAAGGTATAATCCAGGCCAGCTGGGGTTAACCAAGGAGTGTGTCTTGGAGGAGGTAGACAGGCGCCCGCCACACACATGCACACCCTGTATGCACACACACCCATGCACACTGTCTCTTTCTGCCAGCCCTGGCTGAATTAAGAATGCATGTGCTGTAGAGGACCGGCTAGACAATTTTCCTGTCACTCCCGCTCCTAGTTTCTCCCACCTCGTCCTTGGACACAACTGGGAATCTCTTTAAGGCTCACAATTGGGCCCTTTCAACTGGCATTGGTTCCACGCCTCACCACGTGACTCCGCCTCTCCCCAAGCTTTTCAGTGGCCACTTTCTCAGCCCAACGAAGCCTGACAAATCCTTCCTGCAAACGTGCATGTCCCGGGCTCAGAATAACCTACCAAAAGAAAATAAAACCCCCATGAAGTGAGTCCAGGTGACTCAAAGCGTTCTGTTGGCAGCAGCATTTCCGGCGTCTGCTTTCTCTCTGGATCACAAACATTTCTCATCTGCTGGAGCCATTCAAGACAAGGCCACAGGCAGCCAAGGAAGCCCATGGCCCTGGAGACCCCAAACAACTGCACTGAAATGATTAGATGCTCCCCATCTTCCTGCCAGGAGTGTGTTGGGGGCCGGGGAAGGAAGACATCTGGTCTTTTGTACAAATAGAGAATAACAACAATCGTAGTAATTGTCAGTACAAAGTTATTGCCACTCACTATATGCCAGCCATTGTTCTGTTAATAGGCACTTTGCATTTCTTAGCTCATTTAGTCCTAACACCAAGTCACTAAGACAATTATTAATACTGTGCCCATTTTACAGTTGGGAACACTTGCAAAGACTGAATCCATCTGACAACCCGTGATCAACACCCTTACATGGCAATGATCAGTGGAGCAGAGAAATGGCTGCCCCTTTAGGTGGGACGCGCTGTTCCAATTTGCCACAGCCCCCACCAGTCCCTGTTATATTACACCCTGTCTGTCTCACCCATTTAAGTCACTTGCTCTGCACCTATGGGTGTCTGAGTTGTCAACCTCTACACTATGCTGCCTCCTCCCTCATACTTCCTTCACTCTCATCTCCTTCTTCAGGAATCAGGATTTGGGGCCTAAATCTGCAGAAAGCTCGACCCTTCCCTTTCCTACAGACTGACTCCTCCAGGAAGCCTTCCCTGCTTAATCACCAACGCTGCAAATGTCTAAGCTGAAAGGATTATTTGAGGTCATTTGGTTCTAACCCGTCAGTTACAGATGAGGATACTGAGGCCCAGAGAGCTAGGAATGCTGCTGTCTGCCTGGTCCTACGCCTAACGGTGATCAAGCCCTGTCCGCCAACAAGGTCAGCATGCCCCTTCCTACCTGTCGGGGAGGTAGGGCTGGGGTTGTTCCCGTGCCCATTTTATGGATGAAGGAACTGAGGCAAGATGCTGGGTCTCTCTTTGCAATGTCTGAGGCTGCTCTCACTTCCGAGGGCTCCCTGACCACGGGCCAAGGCTGTTTGGCCCTCCCAGTATTCCTGATGCTTCCATCAGTCCCTGAGCTCTAGAACCAGGTCTGAGCCCCCTCACCTTTGCCTGGGCACAGGGCCTCAAGGAGCCCTAGCTTTGTGCTGCACCTAAGCCTCCTTGTCTGATATTCTGGCCCTTCGTTCCACCTCCTGCATTTCACATCTGGCCCAGCTACACTGTCCTTCCAGGGGTAGGTGGAGCCTGTATTCTGCTTATTTCCCAACAGAAGAAAGAGCATCCCAGAGAGGCTAAATGTGACCTAAGGTCACACAGGGACTCCTGGCAAAGCTGGCAGCAGCACCTGACCCCAACCCCTGTCTTACCATGTTTTTCTCTCCACTCTGTGACCCATTCTCTCTGCTCAGGCCTCCCTCTGGGGACCCCGACCATCTGGAAGACATTCCTTTTTCTGAGTGGGCAGTAGAGTCTTAGACCCACCCCAGACAGTCATTTTTGTGGAACCTTTGATACACACACCCTGGCAGGACCCTTAGGGTCCCCTCCCTCCTACTTCCAGGACCTGCCTATCTCTGGATAACCCAAGACTGTCTGTACAGCTGTGCAGGTTGCACACTGCTCGCCCAGCACAGCCACTTACTACAGTCCTAATTGTCACTCACTAGGCATCCCCACACATCCTGCACAGTACAGCTGCCAAATGCAGGAAGGGTTGCAGCAGCCTGCCACTCCCGGGCACCAGTGAGCTTCTCCTTCTCCACTCTGCACCTCCTAACCCTCCCACCACCACCTCTGAAGCAATCAGGAGGCCACCAGGACTGGCAGGAAAGGTCCCCTGAGTAGGGGAAATCTTGCTTGGCCATAATTAAACTCCACTGCTGTGCAGGCTGCAGACAAAAAGGAACCCATAATGGGATTAGAATTGTAATAAATTAAAATCATAAATTCAATAAACGCCTTCTTGGCCTCCCTCTGGAAATGGCCAGCCCACAGCAACTGGCTTTGGTAGGCATAACGGAGGGGCCATGGGAAGACAGGTCAGTGCAGACAGGCAGGCTGCAGTTTCAGCTGCTGGTCCCAGCTGACTGGGGCCAGGTCAGGGACCCTTCTCCAGAGCAGACTCACCCAAGGACAGGCCATGACCACCGGTGGTGCTCCAGAACCCACTGTGGCTCCCTATCACCCCACCATTTAATCCAGCTTAGCCCTTCACCAACTTCCTGCCTTAGGATTTACTGACACACGCCTCTGCCATCCATCATTTGGGCATCCATTAAATGGCCATTGGCCTCAAATGTACAGGGTGGTGGAAGGGACGCATTTGACATGGGAAGGTTCTGAGTTTGAATCCCAGCTCTAGCACATGCGAGCAGTGAGACCTGGGATGGGTACGTGCATTCAGGTGTACTCCCCCCTCCCACCCTGAGAACACCTTTTACCCACCCTTGTACTCATCCTCTCATTTTGCCTGTAATTTATTGAGTTCCTACTGTGTGCTGGACTCTGTGTCAATCAGTGGGGAAAACAGCAGCAAGACAGGCAAGGTCACGGGGCTGGCATTCCAACAGGGGACACAGCAGCAGGCAAGTTCACGAATCATGAGTTATCACTGCAGAGGGGCCACAAATCAGAGGTCCAGGAGACCAACTGTGGGGAAGGGGGAACATGAAAGGAGAAGATTTCTTTTTTTTTTTTGAGACATAGTTTCGCTCTTGTCCCCCAGGCTGGAGTGCAGTGGCGCAATCTCAACTCACTGCAACCTCTGCCTCCCGGGTTCAAGCGATTCTCCTGCCTCAGCCTCCCGAGTAGCTGGGATTACAGGTGCCCAGCTCATTTTTGTATTTTTGGTAGAGACAGGGTTTCACCATGTTGACCAGGCTGGTCCCAAACTCCTGACCTCATGTGATCTGCCCACCTTGGCCTCCCAAAGTACTGGGATTATAGGCGCGAACCACTGTGTCCGACCAGAGAGAAGATTTTTGTGGAGCACTAAAGCTTGAGCTGAAGTCTGAGGGTTAAGCTAAGAGAAGAGAATGGAGGAGACATGGAGCACTCTCAACACAGATGAGAGCATGTGCAAAGGCCCTGGGGTGGGAGCAGCAGAGGATCCTAGGTTGTGGTTTGCGGGTTTTTTGAGACGAGGTCTCACTCTACCCAGGCTGAAGTGCAGTGGCACGATCACGGCTCACTGCAGCCTTGACCTCCCAGTCTCAAGAGATCCTCCCACCTCAGCCTCCTGAGTAGCTGGGACTACAAGCGTGCACTGCTACACCTGGCTACATTTTTTAAAAATTTTTTGTAGATTGGGGTCTCACTATATTGTCCAGGCTGGTCTTGAGCTCCTGAGCTCAAGCGACCCTCTTGCCTCGGCCTCTCAAAGTGCTGAGATTATAGGCATGAGACACCACACCCCACTGGACTTTTTTAAAAGAATGTAAAATTAGGCATGAAAGTTCATGCTTATTTAGAAGGAAAAAGTGTTACAAATTACATTTAAAATACATTTTAAAATATATTTTCATTAACTGCTCAACACACATATTTTTTTCTTTCATTTTTGGCTGCATGTTCTTTTTGGATTCCCCCTTTAACTGTCAAGATTTTGTAATATCATTTTCTAGAGAGAAGATAGATAATTCCTCCAGCATGGCTGAGTGAAATATACACATACAAATTAGCCAGGTGTGATGGCACACTCCTGTGATCCCAGCTATTAATATTATACTTGGGAGGCTGAGGTGGGAAGATCATTTGGGCATGAGAGATCAAGGCTGCAGTGAGCCATGACTGTGCCACTGCACTCCAGCCTGGGCAACAAAGCAAGATCCTGTCTCAAAAAAAGAAAATATATATATACATACATTCATATACACAGACACATATGTGTATATATACATACATATATAATAAATGTATTTTGTTATGTAGGATGCACAAAACATGTGTCTTAACACACACTCACACACACACACACACATTTATTGTCTGTAGAGCTGCGACAGGTTTGTGCCTTACTGTGGCTGGCAGAATAATAGCCCCCCAAAACTGTCTATGCCCCAATCCCCTGTGACTATATTAGGTTACATGGCAAAGGGAGTTGAAGCTGCTCATCAGCTGACTTTAAAATAGGGAGATTATCCTGGATGAGCCAGGTGGGCCCAAAGTCATCATAGGATCCTTAAAAGTGGAAGAGGGTGGCTGGGTGCGGTGGCTGATGCCTGTAATCCCAGCACTTTGGGAGGCCAAGGCAGGCGGATCACTTGAGGCCAGGAGTTTGAGGCTGGCCAATATAGCAAAACCTCATCTCTACTAAAAATACAAAAATTAGCTGGGCATGGTGGCTCACACCTGTAATCCCAGCTACTCAGGAGGCTGAGGCGTAAGAATTGCTTGAACCTGGGAGGTGGAGGATACAGTGAGCCGAGATCCTGCCACTGCACTCCAGCCTGAGCAACAGAGCAAGACTCTGTCTCAAAAAAACAAAACAAAAAAAAAGGCGGAAGAGATAAGAGGGAGAATCAGAGACAGAGCAGTGTGAGAAGGACCCAGTTCAACATAGATGAGGGTCGGGGCCACACACCAAGGAATGCGGGCAGCCTCTGGAAGCTGGAAAATGCATGGACGTGAATTTCCTTTTAAAGCCTCCGAAAGGGAATGCACCTTGATTTTGGCCCAGGGAGACCCACTTTGGACTTCTGACCTGCAGAGCCGTGAATTAGTCCATTTGTGTTGCCGAAGCCACTGCATTTGTGATTGTTTGTTACAGAGGCTGTCAGAAACGAACGCACCTCCAAATGCAGGCATTCTGATCAATCCCGTTTCATCTGATCACTTTGCGGAGGCGGGAAGTCTGAGTGGACAGAGACAATAGTATGGTCGGTCTTCATGGACTGCAGTTCACATCATCTACATCTGCAAATTTTACAAACACACATAAGCGTGTGGACATGAGGCTAAGGCCCCTCTCAGGGCCTCGGAAGGGATCTGTGCAATAGAAGGCCCCAAGCCCTGAGAGCCATCGGTGTTTGGCAACTCCGCATTAGTCTCATTCAAATAACTCAAAGCAGATGTGGTGTTGGGGCCACAGAGAGCCTGGAAGAGGAGCTGGTGCCAGTCCAGCTGGGGCTTCGTGGCTCAAAGTAGGGGCCTGACCTCGTCCTATTCCCCAGTGGTGCTGGCGTCAGTCCCCAGTGGCTGTCGGGTGGTGGACGGGCTGGAGGAGAAGGGGTGGGCGCCAGGCAGATCACTGCAGGAGTCTCCCCTTCAGGATGTGGTGGAGGAGATGGTGGGATGGGGGTGAGGGTGAGGAAGGGAAGCAGGGGAACCGCTTAGCAGGGAGCAGCCCCAAGAGTTTCTGCCAGGTGGGAGGTGGGCTTGGGGAGGAGCAATGTCAGAGCTGACTCCAAGACTCTGGCTGAGAGTTGGGAAGAGCCCAAGGGGTGGGGTGGGCGGGGGCTGTGACAGAGAAGAGGGCACCCGTGTGCTCACCTCCCCTTCCCACCTCCAGCCTGCAGGACAGAAAAAAGCAAGTCTTTCCTCACTTCCCTGCACCTGCCAAACCACCATGTTGGGACAACACCAGACCAAGGACCCCTCCCCACCCAGTGTTACCAGTAAGGCTGAGAGCTTCAGCTCAGGACGAGGTCTGCAAAAAACAGACAGAAACAGAAACAAACAGGTTTCTTTCCTCTTTGACTAGGCTCTCTGGGCTTCTCAGGTTCCTACAGGACCCCGCCCATTCCCAAGCCCTGTGCTCTGCCCCACCTCTGCAGCCCCCCATGCCTAGCCCTCTGGGGGTCTCCATCCCTCCCATCCCAACGCCCAAGCCAAGCCCAGAGTCATTGTGAGCACTTATTAAGCCACTAATTAATTGAATTTTTCCCCCTCATTGCATGCTGTTAATTAGTTTCTTGTAGTAACATAGACTATTATTCTTGGAAGTAATAACTTGGTCCCGGAGGCAGTTTTAATGCTACTTATAATTACCAGAGGAGGCAGAGTCTTGGGCTTAGGTGGGCGGAGCTAATCCAGCACAAGAAAGGAGGAAAGTCAACATGGTTCTTCCTTGTCTAAAAGATGTCTTTTATTTTGCCTTACTATTGTTCTGTATTTTCTAAATTTTCTGCAATGGAAAGCATTTTTTTTTTTCTTTTGAGACAGAGTGTCGCTTTTACGCCCAGGCTACAGTGAAATGGAGCGATCTCGGCTCACTGCAACCTCCACTCCCCGGGTTCAAGCGATTTCTCCTGCCTCAGCCTCATGAGTAGCTGGGATTACAGGCATTCGCCACCACGCCCGGCTAATTTTTGTATTTTTAAGAGAGACAGGGTTTCGCTATGTTGGTCAGGCTGGTCTTGAACTCCTGACCTCAGGTGATCTACCCACCTCAGCCTCCCAAAGTGCTGGGGTTACAGATGTGAGCCACCTTACCCGGCCGGAAAGCATTATTTTTATAACATGAAAAGTAAGTTTTTTTAAAGGCAGGAAAGCTTTAGAGTGGCTGTGAAATTGTCCCTGGGAGAAAGGAGCTACAGAGGGCTGGGGTAGGGCCCAGTGGGGAGTGGATGCCATTTCCTTCTGCAGCTTCTGTTCCAGGCTGTCCTTTCTGTCCTCTCCCTGTGGCCCCATGGCCAGTAAGCACCAAAACCAGCGTGCAGAATCAGGGCTCTGAGTCCAAGTTCAGAGACCTAACCCTGGCCTCAAACCCCCTCATCTGGCATCTGATAGGCGGGTGTATTAGGGAGAAATCAGCCAGGGGTAAAGTCTTCCCAGATCAAGCACCAGAAAGCCACAGGGAGGAGAGGATGAACAGGAAGCATAAGAAGTTGCAAATTGCCTGTAATCCCAGCTCTTTGAGAGGCCAAAGTAGGCGGATCACCTGAGGTCAGGAGTTCGAGACTAGCCTGGGCAACATGACAAAACCACATCTCTACTACAAATACAAAAATTAGGCAGGCATGGTGGCACACACCTGTAATCCCAGCTACTCGGGAGGCTGAAGCACAAGAATCACTTGAACCCAGAAGGTGGAGGTTGTGGTGAGCTGAGATCACACCACTGCATACCAGCCTGGGTG
Organism: Homo sapiens; assembly: GCF_000001405.40. NCBI lineage: Eukaryota > Metazoa > Chordata > Mammalia > Primates > Hominidae > Homo > Homo sapiens. The sequence goes on from NC_000001.11 coordinate 11,627,866, forward strand.
ACACAGCGAGACTCCGTCTCAAAAAAAAAAAGAACTAAGCCTCTCTTGCCTCAGTTTTCCACTCATGGACGTTGTAGTCTAGTGAAAGAAATAGACAAAGAGGTACGTCAACAGAAAATAAACTAAAAGAGAACTGTAGGGCAGAGAAACATACCATAGATAGGATGGTCAGGGTCACCGGGCGTGGTGGCTCACACCTGTAATCCCAGCACTTTGGGAGGCCGAGGCGGGTGAGTCACGAGGTCAGGAGATCGAGACCATCCTGGCTAACACAGGTGAAACCCCATCTCTATTAAAAATACAAAAAAATTAGCCAGGTGTGGTGGCGGGCACCTGTAGTCCCAGCTACTCCAGAGGCTGAGGCAGGAGAATGGCATGAACCCGGGAGGCGGAGTTTGCAGTGAGCCGAGATCACGCCACTGCACTCCAGCTTGGGCTACAGAGCAAGACTCCGTCTCAAAAAATAAATAAATAAATAAAAGATAGGATGGTCAGGGTCTCCTTGAGGGCACGATGTTTAAGCTGAGATCAGAAGGATGAGCAAAGAAAAAAAAAGACACTAGCATAGAAAAAATGCATCCTAGAGGACACATATGTGTTTATCTCTTGTGGGGGGGGTGTTCAGTGCACTGCCCCCTGACCAGATTCCTGCCATGTTCTCAGAGCCCAGTGAAAAGCTATCACTCACACCAATAAAAGCACCTATTAACCTTGAGTGAGACCTCAATTAGCAACAAGGCCTTAGCTCCACCATCAACCTGGGTATGGGAGGGAAGGGTGGCAGGGCACCACACCCGACTGTTAAAGCCACCTGTGATGTTAAAAAGTGGCCACGCAGGGGTTGAAAACTCTTAACTCTCCAATGGGAATTCATGTTACTATTCCTCAGTTCTTCCACAACAAGCAACCGCTTCCCAGCAGCAGAGACATCTTTTGCTGCTCCAATGTGACAGCCATCCTCTGCTGCTGCTCCAGAGAAGAGCATCAGTCAAAGCATCTGGGTGCAGTGGTGCACTGGTCCATGCTGAGATAGCCCTGCAAAGAGGAAACCCCCTGATTGACAGCACCTGCCCATTCCCATGGTATAAATACTCCCACTGCAGTCAATTTCACAGCACCTGCCCATTCCCATGGTATAAATACTCCCACTGCGGTCAATTTCACAGCACCTGCCCATTCCCATGGTATAAATACTCCCACTGCAGTCAATTTCACACCACCAACCTGAAGTCATCGAAGGCCAAGTTGGGAAGAGAGGCATACGGCTATAGCCCACTGCAGCACACCGCCGCTTGTGGCGTGACCCTGGGCACATCTCCTCCTCTGTACAATGGGGGTTAAATGGGATAACGTAAGTAGCCTTGGTGAAGGGCCGGACAAGAGTTGGGGTTGAAAAAGTAAGAGTTTCCTTCTCCCACCCAGGAGAAGGAAACTCCTCTGCTTTTGCAGAGGAGTCCTGGGACAACGTTGGGAAATATCACTGCAGCATTAAGGGACTGAGTTATCTTGCTCAACCATCTGGGCCAATGTGGGATGGGGTGGGGACGGGAGTGGGAGAGGGGGCAGGACAGGGAATGTAGAGATCTATTCCCGCCCCCAGCCAGAGCTCATAACAGTCTTGCCTCCTGGGTGGGAGCAGAAAGATGGAAAAGGAAACACCACTTATGCTCCCAAGGACAGGACCCGGCTTGGCTGGTTCGCCCCTGTATACCCAGCCCCCAGCCCAGTGCGCAGCAGGAAACAGCAGATGTTCAATAAATGTTTCCCAGATGAATGAGGGAATGAATGAATCATGGAGTTCTCCCCAAATAGAGGGTGACTGCCTCCTCCCCTCTCTCAGCTTCCCCAGCGCAGCACCCTGACAGGCAGCCTGAATCGTGAGCTGGGCTCTGGAATGGATTGCCAGGCAAGCTGCCCCCTGGGACCCTGGAAAGTCTCTCCGGGCCTTCGGACAGGCCTGCGGTGCTGTGTGAGAGCAGGTTAGAGACAGCCCTGTGATTCATGGCAGCAAACGCCTGGGAAATAAATATCACACTGCCCTAGCCCTTCCCATCTCAGCCTCTAATATCCTTTCTGAGGGAAGAGACCTGATTATTCAGGGCCCGTGGTGACAGCTAACAAGTAAATCAGTGCCCTGGAGATTGCTCCCTGGGGAAATTGGCTGTGGCTTCTGGTGATGGCCACTTCACAGGGGCTGTATGGGAGGAGGAGGGGTCACACTGGGGCAGAAGTAGGGGCAGAGGTGCGTGTAGAGAGACTCCCTGCCCCTTGTCCTGCTTCCCGTGAAGCTCACCTGATGGGGAGTGCCCCTCACCCCACCCCAGGGTGGTCATTGTGAATAGGAATGTCCCTTGCTTCCACCCCAGCCCTATGCTGTCAGGGGCCTTCCTGGGACAGTGCCAGCTTGCAGGTGAAACAGACAGAGGCACAATTCAAAGTGGGCATCGTATGGTCTTCTGGGCATGAGTCCTCCAGAGCCTGCCTCCCAGGCCCTAAATCCTGGACCCAAATCCACCCATGTAGGCTGGGGTGGATGGGAACCAAATTCACCAACAACAGTTTTCTGAGATCACATCCCCATTCCCAAGGTGAACACCTAATTCTTTTGTTTGCCTGTCTGTCTTTAGACAGGGTCTCCCTATGTCATAGGCTGGAGTGCAGCAGCACAAACTTGGCTCACTGCCGCCTCAACCTCCTGGGCTCGAGCAATCCTCCCACCTCAGCCTCCCAAGTGGCTAGGACCGCAGGCGTGTACCTCCATGCTCAGCCTTTTTTTTTTTTTTTTTTTTTTTTGTAGAGAAGGGGTTGAACCGTGTTCCCCAGGCTAGTCTCAAACTCCTATGATGAAGTGATCATCCCGCCTTGGCCTCCCAAAGTGCTAAGATTACAGGCATGAGCCACCATGCTCGGCCTCCTAATTCTTTTATGTGCCTGGCACATATTAGCCCCTCAATAAATACTTGCTGAATGAATAGATGAATAAATAAAGGCATGAAGAAACGGTTACAAACAGAACAGGCACGGGCGTGCATTTTTCATCTGTTTCTCTGGCTCGTTATGTTCCTAATCTTTCCAAGAATGCACCAGCACTTTTCATCATGGCAGCAATAGAATTCACTGGGTCACACTAATTTCTACTCTCTTGCTTCAAGCACTGCTTGGGCTTGGGACTTTTTCTTCCTCCAACTGTCAAGATGACACTACCCTGAAATCCTCTTGCTAGCTCCAGATGGTGGGCGTCACATGCAAGATGACTCCTGTGCCTGCTGACCTCCAGGACAGTAGAAAGTCTTTCTGCATCCCCAGCAGGCCCCATACGACAGCCCTCATGGTCAGAATTCCAGATGCTGGGGTGGGCAAGAGGACACTCCGGGGGGAAGGGAGCCTTCTCTGTTGCCTTAAAACCTCATGGAAGAGTGAGCTCAGGGGACTAGTGCCTACAGGGCTTTGCAGAGAAAGTAAACATGAACTTGGTAAGAGTTAAGAGCCCAGTTCTAAGTTCTCCCCAAGGTCAGCAGGATACAGCAGCACCAATCCCACTGCCTGCCACTCCGGCAAGTCTTTCTCCTAATTATATCTGAATTATGCAAATCAATACCAATGTCAGTATATGATTTCCTCTAACAAGTTGAGAACATGCAAGAAGTGAAGACCTGGGGAGACGGAAAGCATCTAATTAGGAGCGAGTTTCTGTGTTTTTCTTTTGGTTGAGGGAATAAATGGCTGCATGACAACCCCAGAGAAGACCAGGTAAAGGATGGAGCAGGACAGAGAGTGGAAAGAACACGAAGATGGGCTGTGGGCAGGGGGCAGGGAGATTGGGGCCATGCTGAGAGCGTGATGGGTGCAGCATCAGATGCAGAGCAAAAATGTGATCTTGGCAGCTCTCTTTCCACCAAGCAGTTAAAAATGCCCCAACACTGGAAGTTGGGGGCCCAGTAACACTGAGTAGGCACAGACTGTTACTGAGGACATGGGCTCAGAGAGAGAGAGAAAGTGGAAGGAATGAAGGAAGGAAGGAAGGAAGGAAGGAAGAAAGAAAGAAAGAAAGAAAGAAAGAAAGAAAGAAAGAAAGAAGGAAGAAAGAAAGAAAGAAAGAGAAAAAGAAAGAAAGAGAAAGGGAGGAAGGGGAAGGGAAGGGAAGGGGAGAGGGAGGGGAGGGAGGGAAGAAGGAAGGAAGGAAGGAAGGAAGGAAGGAAGGAAGGAAGGAAGGAAGGAAGGAAGGAAGGAAAAAGAAAAAGTAGGCCAAGTGTGGTGGCTCACACCTGTAATCCCAGCACTTTGGGAGGCTGAGGTGGGAGGATCACCTTAGGTCAGGAGTTTAAAACCAGCCTGGCCAACATGGCAAAACCTCATCAAAAATTAGCTGGGCGTGGTGGTGCAAGCCTGTAATCCCAGCCATTCAGGAGGCTGAGGCAGGAGAATCGCTTGAACCTGGGAGGCAGAGGTTGCAGTGAGCCAAGACCACTTCATTGCACTCCAGCCTTGGTGACAGAGGGAGACTCCATCTCAAACAAAACAAAACAAAACAAAACAAACAAAAACAAAAACAGAAGGGAGCGAGGGAGGGAGGGAGTGTGGGAAGGAGGGAGGAAGGAAGGAAGGAAGGAAGGAAGGAAGGAAGGAAGGAAGGAAGGAAGGAAGGAAGGAAGGAAGGAAAAGGAAGTTACAGCTGTCTTATGCTGGGCCTTTGCTGTGTGCCCCTACTAAGCACTGCACCTCCACGATCTCATTTAATCCTCAACACTCTGAGTTAGGTATGATTAGGACCCCATTTCAGAGATGAAGACAGTGAGGGCAGGAGGTGAAATGTTTGCTATTTACATAGGCTGTAAGTAGCAAAGCTGGGGCACAAACCATGGTATCCAACTGCACCTCACTGCCCCATTAAGTGCAATTGGGGGATTACAGACAGACAGAGCACAGAGAGCCGGCAGGGAGTTGTCTATGGTGGAGAGGGGGAGAGAGGATAAAGACTCCCCCCTTTAAGCTCTGGGGGTCTTGGCAAAAGGATCCCCCCTCTTGAAAGCCTCTAGTGCATGAAAGAAGCACCAGGGCCTGAGGTCCAGGAACGGGAAGTTCATCTGGGTGGGGGTTAGCTTAGCTCCCTTTGGATCACTTTGTTATGGCATCTCCTCCCTGGGTAGGGATAGAACACACCCGATGAGCCCTTTATGTGTTCAATGAACAAATATTCTCCAAGCAGAGGGCCCTGAATGTGGCATTATAGCATAGTGGTTAAGAAGCTGGAATCTGGAGACAGGCTACCTCCGTCCACTCCCAGCTCTGCCACTGGTAGCCATTTGGCTTGTGACAAGTCACCCTCCATGCCTCAGTTTCTTCATCTCAAAAATGGGACTAGGCTGGTTGTGGTGGCTCATGCTTGTAATCCCAGCACTTTGGGAGGCTGCGGCGGGCAGATCACTTGAGGTCAGGAGTTCGAGACCAGCCTGGCCAACACGGCGAAACCCCATCTCTACTAAAAATACAAAAATTACAACCGGGCATCGTGGTGCACACCTGTAATCCCAGCTACTCGGGAGGCTGAGGCAGGAGAATCTCTTGAACCCAGGAGGGGGAGATTGCAGTGAGCCAAGATCGCACCATTGCTCTCCAGCCTAGGTGACAGAGTGAGACTCCATTTTTTTTTTTTTTTTAACTTTTTGAGACAGAGTCTTGCTCTGTTTATTTTACTTTTTGAGACAGAGTCTCACTCTGTTGCCCAGGCTGGAGTGCAGTGGCACTATCCCGGCTCACTGCAACCTCCACTTCCCGAGTTCAAGTGATCCTCCTGCCTCAGCCTCCCGAGTAGCTGAGATTACAGGCGCATGTCACCAAGCCAAGCTAATTTTTGTATTTTTAGTAGAGATGGGGTTTCACCATGTTGACCAGGCTGGTCTCGAACTTCCCACCTCAAGTGATCCATCCACCTCGGCCTCCCAAAGTGCTGAGATTACAGGCATGAGTCACCATGCCCGGCCGAGACTCCATTTAAAAAAAAAGGGGGGGACTAATATTAAGTCCCATGTATGGTTCATGAAAAAATATTTTGATGGGACTAATGATAGTGCCTGCTACATAGCAGGTGCTCAATAAATGTTAGCTATTGTCATTGTTCAGGGCAGAGCACTGGGTCTCAGAACAAGGCACTATCACTGTCCTTAAGGGGCTCACAGCATACAGAGACTGGCGAATAGACAACCCCATGTTAAGTCAGCTATGAAGGTGAGCAAGGGGCCATGGGAGAAAAGGAAACTTAACCTGGCCTGGATCAGTGCTTTGGGGAGGCATAGGGTACTCAAGGAAGGCTTCCTGGAAGTGGTGACATGACGGCTGAATCATGAATGATACACTGTGCTCACCGGGTGGATAAGAAAAGCAATGGCTGTCCAGGCAGAGGGCTCAGCTCGTGCAAGGGCCTGGAGGCATTCAGGATGTCTGCAGCTGCCAGTGGCAGGCACCAAACCTGGAGAGGGAGGCAGGGCCTTGCCTTCCAAAGGCCTTGAATGCCAGACTAAGAGATTAGGATTTCATTCCAGAAGTGCCAGGGAGACCCTGAAGTGAGACAGGATAAACTTCACCCTTTGGAATGGTTGCCCTGAAGCTGAGTGGAGGATGGCACAGAGGCGTGGAGGGGGTGAGGCAGGAGGCGGAGTCCCGGAGCCCAAGCCCCTAACTCCCAGCTCCCAGCCATACTCCCTCTGTGAGGGCAGTGGTGGGAGCCGGAGCTCAGCAGGACCAGAGAAGTTATTAATCGCTTCACGACATTGCAGGCCATGGTCCATTTGCTGCTTTTCCCGGTCTGTTTTGAAACTGTGAAATGAGCCCCAGTCTTCAAAGCGCCTGTAATAACCATCCTGATTCTGACATTTAAATTACAGATGGCATTTTCAATTAAACAGGCACTCTCAGCAGGTTTAATTTAGCTATCAGTTCTGGTCTGTTCTTTAAGTGCTTAAAAAAGAAAGGCCAGTGAATTCTAGGTCTCCCTCCAGGAGGAGGGAGGAGGGAGAGTCTTTGAGATATGACACCACCTCTCATCTTCCAGCTCCCATGGGGTCTCACACAGCCTCCTGTAAACAGTCACACTCCACTGAATTCACCCTCGTGCACACCCAGAAGCACTCACAAAACCACACACAAATGCAAATGCAGCCTTCTAGCCACAAATGCCAGCAGCCCTGGGGGCCATGGCTGCCACAAGTGTTTGAAGGCTGTGCCTCTCCCATCCGATTAGAGAGACAGTAAGATGGAGATCCTGGAGCCAGATGAACTTGGACAGAAGTCCATGCTCTACCGCTAACTAGCTGTGTGACCTGGGCAGCCTATTCAGCCTTGCTGAGCCTCCGTTCTCTCCCTCGTAAAATAAGAATAAAGAGGAGGCCGGCCGGGCGCTGGGGCTCCCATCTGTAATCCCAGCACTTTGGGAGGCTGAGGCGGGCGGATCACGATGTCAGGAGATCAAGACCACGGTGAAACCCCATCTCTACTAAAAATACAAAAAATTAGCCTGGCGTGGTGGCGGGCACCTGCAGTCCCAGCTACTCGGGAGGCTGAGGCAGGAGAATGGCGTGAACCCGGGAGGCGGAGCTTGCAGTGAGCCGAGATCGCACCACTGCACTCCAGCCTGGGCAATAAAATAAAGAGGAGGTCAAGTTGAGCTAATGTATTAAAGTGTCCATCACCAGTGCTGGCTGATAGAAGGGCTAATAATCCTTGTGCCTCCCCTCTCTCCTTCCCTGAGGGCAGGGACTGGGTCGCCCTGTCCACTTTGGGGTTTTTTTTTTTGTTTTTTTTTTTTTGAGACGGAGTCTCGCTCTGTCGCCCAGGCTGGAGTGCAGTGGAACGATCTCGGCTCACTGCAAGCTCCGCCTCCCGGGTTCACGGCATTCTCCTGCCTCAGCTTCCCGAGTAGCTGGGACTACAGGCGTCTGCCACCACGCCCGGCTAATTTTTTTGTGTTTTTAATAGAGACAGGGTTTCACCGTGTTAGCCAGGATGGTCTCGATCTCCCGACCTCGTGATCTGCCCGCCTCGGCCTCCCAAAGTGCTGGGATTACAGGCGTGAGCCACCGCGCCCGGCCGGGGCTCTTCCTTCAGGATCCACACTCCTCACAGCTCAGGTCTCTGGGTCTCAGAGGCTGGCAGGGCGCTGTCCGCAGTGCTGAAGCGCCTCTCTCTAGGTCCGGGTTCCACATGGTTTCCCTTCCATCCTCCAGCCTGGTTGGCAGGCTGTGAAAATTCTCCCCACCCTAAGGCAGCTGCTGCAGGTGATCTGAATGGCACAAGACCAGATCTCTCCCTAAAGGTCTGCCTCCCCACATTCCAAAGTGACTAAAACTCAGGGCTGGGGTGCAAAGTCACTCAAAGGAAAAGCATCACTGGTCCCCAACCGCCAGACCCTGTGGACACAGGAAACACCCGGCTTCAGCTAAGCAAAAGTGCAGCTGCTGGACTCTGGCAAGTTTTGTCTGCGGTGTCTGTTGTGCCAGGTAGATCCCTGCTCTTCTTGTGGGTTCTGGACAGGGTATGGATGGGCTGTCTTCTCTGGCCACAGTGTGTGCTGACTTCCAGTATTTGAGGGAGATGCTGGCTTTGGAGAAACCTCATATGGCTGCGTAGTGTGTATTTGCATGGACTGCCTGTCCCTTCACAGCCAGACCAACATTTTCTCAGGTGGAATTAGCACTGATGGGGGAGAAGACAGGGATTATCACCTCGACATTATAGTCTAGCTCACCAAGGCCCAGAGAAAACCAGCAATCCACCCAAGGGGTCAGGTCAGGCCTAGAGCTCCAGTCTACCCTCAAAGCTAACTGACTGGGTAAATGTTCTCCCAAAGACATTAGAAATTGAGGAATGGGGTCAGACTGCAGCCCAGAATCTGGTGAAAACAGTATCTCCCAGTCTGTAAGTTTGCAGTGGCGCGCGCCTATAGTCCCAGCTACTCAGGAGGCTGAGGCAGGAGAATCGCTTGAACCTGGGACGCGGAGGTTGCAGTGAGCAGAGATAGCACCACTGCACTCCAGCCTGGGTGACAGAGCAAGATTCTGTCTAAAAGAAAAAAAAAGGCAATTGCAATATCATGACATGACTTTATATCAGGGGAAAATAAAACAGATATGCAGTGTTCTCACAGTAGGGACTATAGAGATAATAAAGCTTGGCAAGATCAACTTGGCCATTGGGGATCTTTCCTACATGAGGAGAACGGGGGTAACACAGAGTGAGCAGTGCATCTATGGGGTGAGCCAGTGAGCGCTTCTCAGCTTGGGGCACAGGGCCCCCCATTGCACCCTTCCCGGCCCCCAGCTCCTCTCTCACTGGCCAGACCTCCAGCCCCTCTAGAACCAGAGCCTGGACCAGACACAGCCACCTCCCTCCCTGGAAACTCCCTTGGCCCCAGCTCATTAGCCCTGAAAAACCTGCCCAAATCCAGGGGGAGGTTTTTCAGCTAAAATATCTCCCTCTTGGGCTAGCCTTTTCCTCTCTTCCCCACATCATTAGTGAAATTGCAGTCTCTGCAGCTCCCAGGGTGTGTGGGGTGAGGAATGCCTCCCCTTCCCTGGGGACTTTTGGCCAGGCAGAGGGCCGATGCCTGGTACCTGGCCTGGAGATGGGAGTAGAGGCAGTGAGAGGCCATGAGGGAGGCCGAGGAAGTCCAGGGAGGGCCCCTCACACCCTGCCCAGGAGGACGTGGCAGCCCCCTTAGTGGAAACAGAAGGAGTCACTGTCAGCAGAGCTGTGGCTGGCTGAGCACTTGCCCTGTGGCAAGCACCATGGTGAATTCTTCCATGTCGAGACCTGTGAGGAATGGGGCTCTGTGTTGGGTTTTTGACCCAGCACCCTCTGCACTCTTCTGTCAGCCACGTGGTTCTCACTGGGTGACTCCACCCCAAGCCTTGCCCAACAGGGCACCGGCCCGCTAGCCACAGCAACTAGCTCAGAGGTGGGCGCGTGAACCCATTGAACTTGATGGTGGAAGGACATAGGCCTGGGGGGCTGCCGACCCCTTCTGGAGTGAGCCTGCTTGGGATGAAGCCACACAGAGCTGAGAGACAGAGAAAAGCTGAGTTCTGAATACACTGTTGGGGCCTCTGGATCCAGCTGTACCTGAAAGGACACTGCCAGAAATCCACACAGAGCTTCTCATCCATGTGAGCCAGAACCTTTGCTTTTGGATTAAAACACTTGGAATTGCATTTCTGCCCTTTGTATCTGATAGAGTAGCAAACACTACAAGGACTGTGATTAACGCTGTTTTCTGAGTCAGGAAACGGAGGCCTAGAGAGGAGAAGCTACTTGCCCCAGGTCATACAGCTATGGACATGAAGAACCAGTGCTCCAGACAGGAAAGCTCCCAACTCCAACTTGCTCAACCTGGGGTTCCCTGGGAGGGCGGGGGACATTTTCAGCAGGACCCAGAGGACAGGGACATAAAGGTAACAGGTTGCTATGGTTACCAGCTCACTGTGTGGCCTCAGACAAGCAACCTCACTTCTCTGAGCCTCAGGCTGGGAACAAAAACATCTCGCCCCTGCAGAGTGCTGGGGGTCCCTGGGGCAGAAAGCATGGCTACCTCTTGCCCCCGAACCCAGAGAACTGTAAGTGGGGGGCTTCCTCAACCCCAACTGACAGAAGCCCCAGTGGCTGTCAGACACACCCCACCAGCACACACACTCCACTTGGTTTTAAATGTCTCTCAAAGACCAAATTCAATTTAGTAGAACTCCACCAGCTCTGCAGTGCAGAATTCATCGGATGAGGTGCCTGCTTTTCGGGGAATAATTCATTTTTCCTGTGTCGGAGAGGAAAGTAATTGATCCAAGGGGTTGATGCCTCCTCCCTCCTGCTCTCCCTCCCCGGGACAGTCTGATTCCAAATGCAGACCCGAGACTGTTAGGTCAAAGTCGCAGCAATAAATAGGAGTGGGGACTTCTGCTTTAATATATTGGATTATTCCACTTGGTGGTGACGAAAAACAAGATTTAATTCCCCAAGAAATGCCAGCCGAGAAAATCATTTTCCCTGCCGGCTTCCCCCTTCCTTTTTTTTTTTTTTTTTTTTTTTTTAGTTTTCTTTTTTTCGAGGACATCTTTGTCTTTCTGCAGCTTTGAGGGCCTCTCTACACCCTGCCCCACTGGAGACCTCCCCACACACTGCCCACAGCGTCTGGGGGCCTGTTTTTCTGTCCTAGAACATATTCAGGATGTTTTCCTCCCACCCTCTCAATCATAGGTCCCTGAGCACAGAGATTTCTATTCGAATCCAGATGCTACTACAGTGCTTCGCACATTGAAAAATTATGACAATAAGCCCCAGGAAAAGGCCAGTTAGTACTGCAGCTCCCAGTGACAGCCCAGGAAGCTACAAGCTGGCTAGGGAAGTAATTCACCCTCCTACCATCACTTGGGTCAAGAGTCCATGGACCGCCTCCTCCAGGAAACCTTCCTGATCAAGGTCTATGTTAGATGTCCCTCCTCTAAAATTCAGTAGGCTTCCCCTCACCACCCTTTTACTATTATTAGACTATAGTTGCCAGACTTGTCCATTTTATTTAACAAACTTGTATGTAGCACCTTTTATGTGCAGGCCTTGATCTAAGTGTCTTACCTATATTAATTCATTTGATTCTCATAACAATCCTATCAGGTAAGTAACAAAATCATCCCCATTTTACAGATGTGGAAACTGAGGCACTAACTGGTCACACACCTGGGGAGGGTCAGAACTGGGAACCCAGATCCTTCTCTCCCTCTAGTCTGTGAGCTCCTAGAGGACAAGGACCTCATTGGTTCACTGTTGTATCCTCAAAGCATAACAAGGTGCTGACACGCAGAAGGTGCTGAGTAAATGCTTAAGTGACCGGGCACAGTGGCTCACGCCTGTAATCCCGACACTTTGGGAGGTCGAGGCGGGCGGATCACTTGAGGCCGGGAGTTCGAGACCAGCCTGACCAACATGGTGAAACCCCATCTCTACTAAAAATACAAAAAACAGCCAGGTGTGGTGGTGCACACCTGTAATCCCAGCTACTTGGAGGCTGAGGCAGGTGAATCACCTGAATCTGGGAGGTGGAGGTTACAGTGAGCCAAGATCATGCCACTGCACTCCAGCCAGGGAAACAGAGTGAGATTTCGTCTCAAAAAAAAAAAAAAAAAAAAAAAGCTTAAGTGGTAAATCCTTCCACATATGAACCAAAGATCAATTCCTGAGGCTGAGTCTAAGTGTGTGATTTGTGGGACACAGAAAACTCCACCAATTCCAACTGAACCCGGAAGCCCACGGCCTCCACCACAATTCCTGTCTGCACAGAGGACTAGAATCCCTCCGCAAGAATCACTTCACCCAGGAAAGCCTGCAGGTGGTGACAGGGGGCGAGGAGAGGCAGCTCTGGAGGGGATTCCAGCCATGCAAAGCCCTTGCTGTGTGACCTGGGGCGAGAATGCACGTCTCTGGGCCTCAGTTTCATCTCAGCCTCTGAAATGGGAATAATAGCACACAGATGTGCTTGGAGGATTAAATAAAACCATACACAGGTGATGTTTTGAACACACCTATCACATGGTGAGTGCTCAGCGTGTGCTGAGATAGCATAGATTGTAAAACTGGACTTTGAGGCTACTTTTGCCATGCTCAGAAAATAAAAAAAAATAAAAAAAAATTAAAAAAAAAAACCTCATCAATCCGAGTAAATGAAGCAAACTTAGATCTGGATGGGAGGGTAGAGTTTTCTTCACAGTAGTAGTGAGGTAGGTGAGTTGCCAAGAATTACCAAGAAGAATTTCACAAATCACACACAATCCATTTACTTCTGGGAGTTATCAGGATGTGGGAGAGTCTGAAACGGAACTTACTGGACCAGAAATAGCATTTGATGAGCGTTTCATTCATCCGGCCAGCACACACTGAATGCCTTCCATGTGCACGAAGCAATGTGCAGATGAGGAAAGGGCTCAAGCTTTGGGGGCCATGGCGACAGAAGCCCCGTCCCAGCCAACTCTGCAGCCTACAGCTTGGTGACCTCGACCAAGGGCCCCACCTCTCTGAGCCTCGGTTTCCTCTTCAATAAATTTTGTGATGACAAAATAAAGCCTCCCGAGGAGGCTGCTGTAGGCAGTCGATGAGATAATGCAGCAGTAGACCAACAAATGTTGGTTCCCTCACCTTCTGGCAACGGCCCACAGCAGTCAGGCCACTCCATTCAGCTTCACTGTCTTGTTCCAAGAATCTAGTGGGTGCAGGAACTGGAGGCACATTAGTGCCTGGGAGTATCAAACCAGGTTGGCAGGTGAGGATCGTAGGTTCCATTTGTGTGGTTGAGGACAAGGGGCAAAGCCAGGTGAAGCCCAAGTGTTTCTGTCTCTAATTATTTTTATTTTTATTTTAGAGAAAATCTCACTGCCACCCAGGCTGGAGTGCAGTGGTGCGATCTCTGCTCACTGCAACCTCCATCTCCCAGGTTCAAGCGATTCTCATGCCTCAGCCTCCCAAGTAGCTGGGACTACAGGCGTGTGCCACCAGGCTCAGCTAATTGTTTTGTATTTTTGGTAGAGACGGGGTTTCACCATGTTGCCCAGGCTGGTCTGGAACTCCTGACCTCAAGCAATCCACCCGCCTCAGCCTCCCAAAGTGCTGGGATTACAGGCGTGAGCCACCGCGCCTGGCCATGTTTCTGTCTCTAAACCCAAGCTGTTAACACTGGACAAATGGCCTCCCTGATTCCTAGGAGAGGAAGGGAGGAAAAAAAGCAGAGTGGGGAGGAAGCCAGAGACCCCTGAATGCAGCTTCATTCATCAAAGGTGACCGCAGAAAGGCAGGGGAAGGTCCCAGGGGGCCTCGGATGGACATGGTCAGGGGAAGGTCCCAGGGGGCCTCGGATGGACATGGTCAGGTGGCTGGGAACTTCCACAGCGTTCCCCTCCACGCCTTAGAAACATCACCTCTGTGAGTGATTCCAAGCTCTTTGCACCCTCCTCCTTGGTGCCAGCCCCCTCCTTCATTCTGGCAGTTCTCCCTAACATCTACCTGCAATATTTCCTGCTGCATGACCAGCAGACCCCAGTGGCAACCCTAGCGAATGGCCCTCAGCCCTGTTCCATCCTGTCTGCAGAGCTCCTAGCAAGCAGCTCCTGGCTCCAGGCAGTAATCCTACTGACAATTAATTGGCTTTTGTTGGAGGAGAATGAATACCATCTCATCTTAATCTTCTTCATTATTCTCCTTGTTCAGCAGAGTCAACACAAGATTAGGTTTAATTTACGGTGGTGGGAAATAGCAAAGTCATTATGCACCAGGAACTCAGGATTGGATCTGTCTGGGTGTTCTGTGTTCACTGCAGGCCTGGCACCATCAAGCAAGGCCCAGGGCTCTGCCGAGGTGGAGATGGACTTGGGGGGGTTCTAGACTCCCAGACCTACTTGGAGCTAGATCCCAGGATACCACCAGCCCTCCCTAGTTGGGAGGGGCCCAGCTCTGGAGGGGAGTCCAGCCATCCAAAGCCCTTGCTATGTGGCCTGGGGTGAGACCCAGGGGCCTCCCAGGCCTTGGAGACCTAGCCTCCTAAATGTTTCTCATACAGCCTCTGGGGTCAGAGCAGCACCAAATCCCAGCCCCTGAAGAGCCAGGCTCAGCCCCAAACAATGGGAAGAGACCAGGACTTGGATTCAAATTCGACTTTTCCTCCGCAGAGAAATGGGCAGGACAGACACAGCTTGGGGACAGCCTTGACAATGCTGACACCTAGTGGTACTTGGAGGAACTGGCCCTTCCCTCCCTCTATGTGCACAATTGAATATACCATGTCCACAACTGAATACACCGCGTACACAAAAATCCAGATTTTTAAGGTAAAGAAACCAGAGGCCAGGTGCAGTGGCTCACGCCTGTAATCCCAACACTCTGGGAGGCCGAAGTGGGCGGACCACAAGGTCAAGAGTTCGAGACCAGCCTGACCAACACGGTGAAACCCCGTCTCCACTAAAAATACAAAAATTAGCTGGGCGTGGTGGCGCACGCCTGTAGTCCCAGCTACTTGGGAGGCTAAGGCAGGAGAATCATTTGAACCCGGGAGGTAGAGATGCAGTGAGCAGAGGTCGCGCCACTGCACTCCAGCCTGGCAACAGAGCGAGACTCCGTCTCAAAAAAAGAAAAAGAAATCAGAAAGGGGAAGAGGGACTTTTCCATTACCAAATTGTTAAACATATGTTTCCACTGAGAAATCTAAGAGGAAATTCATTTTACCTTCCCTGACCACTTAGCCAAAATAGCCCCCAAACACCTAGCATCCCTCCTACTGCCTGGGGTAATGGTACGCACAGACACTCTGGAGCCCAGTGTCCTCGTCATCTCCAACTCTTTCTGCTCTTCCTCACCTGGGAGCCCCCAGCTTCTGTCCTTGCTCTGTCCCCCAGCATGTGGCCCCTTCTGATTCTGTACCCCAGCAAAGTCATTAAAACTTAAGCTGGTGAGGCAGGAGAATCACTTGAACCTGGGAGGCGGAGGTTTCAGTGAACTGAGATTGCGCCATTGCACTCCAGCCTGGACGACAGAGCGAGACTCCATCTCAAAAAAAAAAAAAAAAAAAAACAGCAACACAACCCACAACTCCCCTCTTTCCCTCCTGCGGACTGAAAATGTTTGCTTGGCTCTGTGAAAATAATGTTAATTAAAAGTCTATATACACATATAAAATGTCAATTTAAAGAAAAAAAGACTTAAGCTGGAAAGCCAGCTTCAACTCCTTATTCATTGCATGACCCTGGCAAGCTACCCTGCATCTCTGAGTCTTAGCTCTTTTATCTAAGGGGGCCACTGCACAGATTAAATGAGCCTGTGCACTGAGCTCATGAACTGGCGCTCTAGGTCCTCAGCAAATGCCTGTCATCGCCATCATTGCTGCCATCAGCATCATCACCATCATCATCATCCTGATCATCCTGCTACTCTTGGGAAATTTGGTTTCATCAAACAAGATTGTCAGCAGCTGATGTCTAAACCCCCATCCCTAGCTCCTGCTGAACAGAGCAAAGGTTTTTCCTTAATGGAAACGATATCATATCTGCTTCCTAGAGCATTTATATCTTATAGGGCAGAGCACATAGTAGGTCCTCAGGAAACTCTCTGGGTCACCTTCCTACATCTCCAAGCTCACGTCAGATCACCTCCTCACTTGCTCACTGCTCCAGCCATGCTGGCTGCCTTTCTGACCTGTGAATAAGTTCATTCCCATGTCGGAGCCTTTGGCTGCCTCTGCAGTGCTCTTTCCCCAGAGCCGTATGGCTGGTTTCTCGTCATCATGTGATTCAAGTGTCACTTCCAGCCAGGCGCCGTGGCTCATGCCTGCAATCCCAACACTTTGGGAGGCCAAGGCAGGTGGATCACTTGAGGCCAGGAGTTCAAGACCAGCCTGGCCAACATGGTGAGACCCTGTCTCTATTAAAAAAAAAAAAAAATTAGCTGGGCATGGTGGTGCACGCCTGTAATCCCAGCTACTCGGGAGGCCGAGACACAAGAATCGCTTGAATGCGGAAAGTGGAGTTTGCAGTAAGCTGAGATAGCACCATTGCACTCCAGCCTGGGCAACAGAGTGAGACTCCATCTCAAAAAAAAAAAAAAAAAGTCACTTCTTCAGACAGGTCCTCCCTGATCACCCCAACCAAAGTAGCACTCCTGCCCTCACTCTCTACACTACAGAGGCCAAGTGCCTAAGTGGCTGAGTAGAATTCCAGTTCCCGCCTGGCGTGATGGCTCATGCCTGTAATCCTAGCGCTGTGGGAGGCCAAGTCAGGTGGATCACTTGAGGTCAGGAGTTCAAAACCAGTCTGACCAACATGGTAAAACCCCATCTCTATTAAAAATACAAAAAAAAGCTTAGCCAGGTGTGGTGGCGGGCGCCTGTAATCCCAGCTACTCGGGAGGCTGAGGCAGGAGAATTGCTTGAACCCGGGAGGCAGAGGTTGCAGTGAGCTGAGATCACGCCTCTGCACTCCAGCCTGGGAGACAAAGCAAGACTCCGTACCAAAAAAAAAAAAAAAAAAAAAAAAAAGAATTCCAGTTCCATCACTTCTTAGCAGTATGGCCTAAGGCAAGTTGCTTAATCTCTCTGTGCTTCAATTTTATTTTTCTTTTCTTTCTTTTTTTTTTTTTTTTTTTTTTTTTGAGACTGAGTTTGGCTCTTCTTACCCAGGCTAATTTTTGTGTATTTTTAGTAGAGACAGGGTTTCACCATGTTGGTCAGGCTGGTCTCGAACTCTTGACCTCTGGTGATCCACCCACCTTGGCCTCCCAAAGTGCTGGGATTACAGGTGTGAACCACTGCACCTGGCCCAATTTTCTCATCTGTAAAAATGGAAGTAATCACAGTTTCCACTTCGTGAGGTTATTATGACAAATTAATATAGATAAAGCTTTTAGAGTAGTGCCTGGCTTATTGATGAAGGGCTATCTCATGTGGGTAATTATCTTGTTCACTCATTTAGTTGCTTGTGTTATGTTTCTCCATCTAGACTGTATATTCCAAGAGACCAGAGACTTTGTTTTGTCCCTACCTTACATATAGTAGGTGCTCAATAAATATCAAATGATTAGGAAGAACTGGCCAGGCACGGTGGCTCACGTCTATAATCCCAGCACTTTGGGAGGCCGAGGCAGGAGGATTGCTTGAGGTCAGGAGTTTGTGACCTGCCTGACCAACATGGCAAGACCCTATCTCTATAAAAAATAAAAATTAGCCTGGTGTGGTGGCACGTGCCTGCAATCCCAGCTACTCAGGAGGCTGAGGTGGAAGGATCGCTTGAGCCCAGAAAATTGAGGCTGCAGTGAGCCATGATCACACCACTGCACTCCAGCCTGGGTGACAGAGTGAGACCGTGTCTCTAAAATTTTTTTTTTAAATTTTAAATAAAAAATAGGATCATAGGAGACATGAAAGCCCTATCTGCTGTCTCTCGCTTCAACTGTCCCCACTGTCCTAGAGACAGCCCTGGGGTGCCCCCTGCTGGACGCCACACAGGTTTTTCCTTACAGGCAGCTGGTATATGCCATCCTATAACGTTTACACGTGGGTCCAGCTCTGTCCTCCAGGGTAGGGGACAGTAATGCTGAGAGGAGTTAAGAGCACTCACTTAAGAGCCAGATGTGCCTGGATGGGAGCTTCTGCTTCTCCAGTTACTCTGTGTCACTTGCCAGAAAACCGTAAAAGGGATGACCATGCCCTCTCCCCTGTCCCACCTGACTGGACTGTAGGGTGGTGTGATAGGACGTGCCCTATGCCCAGTGAGCCTTCTGGCCCACCTCACACAGCCCTTTGAAGGCTGAGAAGCAGTTGTCTTATCTTCCTGACCTAAACACCACTGGTGTACCCGATGTCCCTCTAGTGACAGCAAGAGTGAGCCTGAGGCCCCTCCGGTCTCCTCTGAGGGCCCCATGCTCTGGGGAGAGACCACAGCAGGCTCAGAGCCTCTGGGCTTCTGGGCAGGGCTTCTGGCTCCTTCCTCAGGCTCTTGGCTGCAGGTGGCCTTCTGGTCTTGCACCTTCCTCCCACCCATCTCCCTGCCTTCCTGGCTGCCCTGCTTTCCCTGTCCCCGGTCAGTCCGGTCTGTCGTGAGCCCAGAGGCCTCTCCTGCCTCACTCTGCACCTGTTCCCGCCCTTGGCTTTGGTTGCTGGCCACAGACACTGCAACTCCTATACCTGCATCGGCAGCCCAGGGCCCCACACTCTTTATGGGCCTCTTTCCCGAACGTCCCATGCGCACCTGAAACTCAGGGGCGCTCCCCTCCACCTGCAGCACATTCCACACCCCCCACATTCCTATGCTGACCTCCAGTCCTTGAAGGGCCAGGCCCTACCTGGCCTCCTGGCCCCTCATGCCCATGACCTGTCTCCATCTTCAGTTTCCTCCCATAGCCCAGTGCAGGCTCCGGTCCTTTCTCCACTCACCCCATCTCCTCTTAACCTGGCTCCCCACATGCCCACCCTTAGTCTCCCACCCCTAAGCATGGGAGCTCATGGGGTGAGCCTGTTCCTCCATAGCCCTTCATCAAGCTGGACCCTGAGGGCAAGGCATCAGTTCCTTTGTCTGATTGGCAGCTCGGGTGAACATGGACTGTGCCTTCCCCAGCAGACTGAAATCCCCCAGACAGGACGGAGGGCATCCTTATGGAAGAGGTTATGCCTCTCCCTTGAAACTGAGAGTTTTCTGAAGTCAAGGTTTTGTCTCCCTTGTCAGACTGAGGATGCCCCCAGAGCAGGGGCTGCATCTCCACCACTGCACTGGAGGGCCCAGGACACTGGCTCCCCCTCCCCTTGGGTCCCACCCTTCATGTGGCCAGGCTGCTGATTCTTCCTGGGAAGGAGTCTCTTATTCCCCACCGTAACTTCAGGGCCCCCACACATGACCTGGCCTGGGGTTGGGGCTCTGGGAATTGTAAATAAATGAACTAGTGAATGAATAAACAATTGCAGGCAGGCCCCAGCTTGAACCCTGCAATCCCACCAGAACAGCAGGTAGCATCAGGGTTCAGAACCGAGGCAAAGCTGGAGACTCTCGGTGATTTTACTGGTCTCCATTTCAGGAGAGGAGGGCAGAGGGTTCCAGGCCCTTCAAATGCCCACCCCTAGGACCAGCAGCTGACAGTCTTTGGAAGGGGCTGGGTCGGCCGGAAGGAGCGTGCCGGAGCACAGAGTCTGGCACAAGACCCTCCCCACCTCCCCTCCCCCAGGCCAAAGCCTGGGCCAACCTCTGGGCCAGGTTTGGAAAAGGGCCAATGAGACCAGATGCTAATGACTCCAGGGGGTGGGCACGAACTAAGAGAAACCCCAAACCAATCCTTTTTGTGCTTCCCCATCCCCACCTCCCATCCCCTACCCCAGGCCCCTCACCTCCATCCCTGGGCCCAAGAGAACTGGTACCCTAGACCCTAGCACAGTCCACACCCACCCCAGTTGCCAATCAGACAAAGGAACTGACACCTTGCCCTAGGGGCCCAGCTTGATGAAGGGCTGTGGAGGTTTGGGGAAGGTGAGGACGCTATGGACTAAGTTAAGGCCTATCTACTCCCAGCCTCTACCCTTCCAAGCAGCTGGGGGAGGGTGGAAGCAGGGCCGCTCAGGGCTCTACCCACATGCTGCTATTGGTCACCCGGGCCCTGAGAACTGGTACACCCCCAACCCCACTCTGCCTTTAGTAAAGGATGGGGGGTCATAGCAAGGCTTAGGATACTCACTGGACCAAGAGAGGCCTGGAGGGCAGCCCCCCCGCCAACATGCCCTATTCTGGCCTCTGGGCAGCTTGGGTGTCGGTCAGGCGCCAGGCTCAGCTCAACCTTCCTTGGTCTCACAATCCCAGCTTTGTCCTCCCTGGCAAGGCCGGGCCCAGCTGACTCCATACTGGCCCAAGGTCCGCTGGAAACCAGAGCAGCTGGAGCCCTACCAAGTATTTTTCCAGGCTATGCCGGGGGCCCTCAGGAGACAGAAAAGGATGGGAAGGGAGCAGTGTTTATCCATTTTTTCATTCATTCCTTCCTTGGACAAATAATATTTATTGAGAGCCCACTTTGTGGCAAGCACTGTGCTAGGTGCAGGGAATCAGCAGTGGGTCCAGTCCAAGCTCACGCCCTCACGGATCTACATTCTAGAAGCCGGCTACCTAAGCAAACCTATGCCAACAAAACTTCTCTCTCCCTGCTCAGGGGCTGGGATCGGAGCAAGGGATGGGAGGAGGATGTGTGGCTTGGGGAAGGTGAGGACGCTATGGACTAAGTTAAGGCCTATCTACCCTCGACCTTTGCCCCTCCAGGCAGCTGGGGGAGAGTGGAGGCAGGGTCGCTCAGGGTTCTACCCACACGCTGCTGTTGGTCACCCGGGCCCCGAACCAGCCCTTCCAGTAGACGGAGTCCTGCCCCCCGTGCTCGAAGCGGACGAAGCGGACGCCCGGCCCGTAGTCGGTGAAGGTGTGGGAGATCTGGGGGTGGAGGTAACAAGAGTCAGCCTCGGAGGTCCTGAGGCCTCTCCTGCCGCCCCACCCCGGTACACCGACCGACCTGCAGCTCCCCCACTCGGTTTCTCCGCGGTATTCAGAACTCTCTCCACCACCCGGTGACTATCTCAGCCCAGCCCAGCCCAGCCCACCCCAGCCCAGGAGCGCTGTGGGCGGGGTCTCCTCGAGCCACGCCCCTCATGTCCGTGCCCCACCCCTCCGCCCTGGGTCCCCCAGGCTCACCTCCATCCAGCCCCCGCCGTCACTGTCTTGGGGCACTGCCACCTGCCCGCTGCTGAACTCAGCCAGCACGTTCTCGTGCTCGGACAGTAGCTTAACGGTGAGCTCGTAGAGGCAACCAGCGTCGCTGCGGCCCGAGTACCTGCTCAGAGGGAGGGAGCGAGGTGGGGGGCGGGAGGTGGGGTGGGGGCATGGCCTCAGCCCTGCTGAACACGTCCTGGGGATGGGGATTTCCACAAAAGTCCTCCTGTGCGCCCAACATCCCTGTCAGCCAGCACTGCCAGTGTTCCCAGTTTACAGATAAGGGAAACGAGGCCAGCAAGAGAAAGTGACAGCCCACGAGCGAAACACGAGGACTACATTCCAAGTTGGCCAGACCCCAGCTTGGGGCCAAAGCCAGTCCACAGAGTGGCCTTTGGTTTGGACCGCAGACTGATTTTGAAATATATACATTACATATATACAAACATATATATGTGCATATATTTGCCAACATTTAAAACTCAGGAGGGGAGGTGGGTTTCCAGGTTCTCCTGCAAACACGGAAGTTGTCAACCTTTGCAGACCCGTGGCCCACGTGGCCTCAACCCCTGCAGTGGGGAGGCAGCACCCCCAGGCGGGGGGTTCCCCAGCTGGCTCTCCCCTCTGCCTTACCCCGCTCCTCCCAGCCCCATGCCACCCCAGGACCCTCTCACCAGTCCTTCACCACGATGGCCGGCTGAGTCGTGTCCAGCAGCTCCTCCCAGTAGCCCTCAGCCTGCAGGTCAATGACCTGTGCTTTGCGACACCACCTGGGAGAACTGGAGTTAGGACAGAGCGAACGCTCCCCCCTTCCCACCTCCTCCACCCCCTTCTCCTTACTCAAAGGAGGAGGCGAAGTACTTCTTGACGCTCTCATCGTGGGTGAACTCCACCCCACTGTCTCCAGGCAGCTCCTCCACCCTCCAGCCGTCCCCACCATGCTCCACGTCACACCAGCCTTCCAAGTCCTCTGTAGGGACACGACAGCCCCACCCTGGTCACTCAGTCCCTGCTAAGGCTGGCTCTTGCCACTATGTGGTGGGGGGCAGGGCAAAGGTCGCACTTGGTGTCTTGGTGGGCAGATGATGAATGAGAGGGTGGACCAGTGGGCAGTTTCTAAATCTGCCTCCCGGGAGGTATGTCCCCCATCCCGCCCTGCCCCAGCTGGCTGAGGGTGGGAGGACCCGGGAGACCCCAGGGCACAGGTGGCCAGAGAGCTACAGTAATAGACAGCCTTGGGGCTACCCAGTGCTGGCACTGAGCCAGGCGCTTAATCCCATTTCTCCCTCAAAGCCAGGCGGCGCCGTTTCGGCCCATTTCGCAGCAGGGGAAGCTGAGCTCGCCCAGCGAGGGCCTCTCACCTTCCCCACACGGGTTACGCAGAAGGTTGCGGCGCCGCTTGCTCAGGAAGTAGAACTGCTGCCAGTGGTCGCGCTCCTCCTCCACGCCGCCCTCGGGCACCAGCCCCTCCTGCTGGCACTTGAGCAGCCACAGCGGGGCGCCGTCCACCAGCTCCTTCCAGCGCAGGCACACCAGGCGGCAGGCCTGCACCAGCTCGGCGGCCGGCAGTGCGGCCAGCACGCGCAGCAGCAGCGGCTCGGGCAGCTCGTCCAGGTACGCGGCGGCGGCCGCCGCCTCCTCCTCCTGCTGGTCCTCCGGCCGCTCCTCCTCAGCACTCGCCTCCTCTGGCTGCTCCTCCGGGCTTGCCTCCTCGGGCTGGCCCACGCTCTCTGCAGGCAGGGATGGGTGGGAGGCTGTGATTCCTCCACCCTGTACTCCTCCAGGCCCCAGGACTGCAATGTGCCCGTAACCTCCCCCACCCACCGTGGGACAATCCACAGCTGGGGCCGGAGATTCTGTGACTCCATACTGGTGCCCAAGGAGGAGGGCCACAAGGCCACAGACCAACCCCGGATCAGCCCCTAAGTCCAAAGAGGTGCCTCAGAGGCCTATTTCCTCTGCTGGACCAGTAAACCCCACGCCTGGGCAGATGGCAACAAGGATCATATTATTATTATTAATGGCATCCATCTATAGCACTGCACAGTGCTTCACACAGGAACTTCTTTCTTCCTCCCAACCACCCTCTGAGATTCCTGCTCCCCTCACCTCCTCAGGAAGCCTTCCGGGACTTCCCCCTATGACACCCTCTCACAGCCCTTCCTAGCTTTTGTCCTGGGGTGTGATCCTGTGATAAACGCCTGTCTCTGGACCATACGGAGCCTTATAAGGGCCAGAACATGGTCTGGAAAACACACAGCTTCATGCCCTGTGCCTGGCATCTGGCACTTTCCTGGTCTGTTGTCAGGAACTCATGTTTTGGGGGCACTCATCAAGTGTTAGGCACCGTCCAAAGCATTTCAACTTCATTTACTCTTTAAATCCTCATACCACTTCTTTGAGGTTGCTCTTATTGCTGTTCTTATTGCATTGATGAGGAAACTGAGGCACAGAGAGGTGAAACGGCCCAGGATCACACGGCTAATCAGTGGTTGGAGCCTGGATTTGAACCCAGACAGCCTGGCTCCAGAGCCATCTTAAACCACCACAGCCTCCACAGAATAATTCACTGAATTAGTAGGCAGTGTTAGGATTTTGACTTTTTTTTTTTTTTTGATATGGAGTCTCGCTTGCTCTGTCACTGCTCAATCTCAGCTCACTGCAACCTCTGCCTCCCGGGTAGCTGGAAGCTGAGAAGCGATTCTTCTGCCTCAGCCTCCCAAGTACTGGGATGACAGGCATGTGCCACCACGCCTGGCTAATTTTTGTATTTTTAGTAGAGACTGGTTTCACCATGTTGGCATGGCTGGTCTCAAACTCCTGACCTCAGGTGATCCACCCGCCTCAGCCTCCCAAAGTGCTGGGATTAAAGGCGTCAGCCACCACGCCCGGCTGACTTTTCTTTTTAAAGATAGGGTCTCACTCTGTTGCTCAGGCTGACCTCCAACTCCTGGACTCAAGCAATCTTCCTGCCTCGGCCTCCTAAAGTTCTGGGATTACAGTCATGCTCCACTACACCCAGGCCAGGATTTTGACTTTGCAGGTGCAAATGCTCAGGCTCAGGGATGAAGTGACTTGTTGAAGGACACACTGCCAGTATTTAGGGAAGGGGACATGGGACCTGGGGCCTTCAGGGGCTGGAGAACAGAGCCTGGAGACCCAGCTGTCCCCAGCTATTGTGTGACTTGGGGATGAGGAGGGACTTATTAAAAGAAACTCTATCAAGCAAGGAGATGACATAGGGGCTTGGGGAAGGAAACTTTCTCCACCTCCTTTTCCCATCCGTGGCCCTCAGTTTTCTCATCTATAAAATGGGGGTAATCATTGTGCCAGGCCATACAAACAGGACAGACGTCCAAATCCCCTGAGGAAGGGGACAAGGGCATTCTGAATTGTAAGGAGGCAGGCAGATGTCACCGCGGCAGCCGGACTGTCTCTTGCATCCCAGTCGGCTTCAGCTGGGCCATCACAGCCTTGAGTAAGTGGACACCGAGTGCCCAAGATGCCTGGACGAGGGAGAGCCAGTGAGGAGGAGACGGGGCCACTCTGGGTGATCAGGAAGACTACAGCTCTCAGACCTACGGATGGGGAGTTCCCATGGGCTAGGCCCTGGAGAGCCAAGGCGGTGGTGGGAACAGGCCAGGCACTGGGGAAGGGGACAGGTGGCAGGACCCAGACCCAAGTCTCCAGGCCCACCAGCCCCTAACCTCCTCATATGCAGCCTCTCCTCCCTGCCCAACCCACAGTCAGGCCCTTGAGAGCTTTCACAGAGCCCAGAGCACACAGTGAGTCCTCAGTCAATCTTACTGAGTGAACCTCATTGAACACAGCACTTCTCCTTCCTTATTAACATTTTTTTGGCCACATCTTTATGATGTGGGGATTTACACCGGCCCCTTTGGCAAAGAGGAAACTGAGGCCAAAAAAGGCTTAACAGCTTCTCCCAGACCACATCGCAGAACGGCAGGAAGACAGAGGAAAATGCCAGGCCCTGAAGTCACATCACCTGCCCAGGCAGATGCCCACAGCTCTCTGGGGAGCTAGGCCCAGTGTCCTCACCTCTCCAGCCCTCCCTCCGGCCCTGGCCCCATCGGACACCTGATGCTCCCCGAAAGGTGCACCTCACCCAGTCCCCTCTTCTGGCCCCGGGGCCTGGCACTCGAGGCCCCAGATCCAATTACAGCTCCCCCCACCCTCTCTCTTACACACACAACTCCCCACATTGTTGCCGGCGGAAAGTTATCTGGCCCCTGGAAGCTGCCTGCCTGCGAGGCTGACTCACTCACCTGGAGTGGGCCCCAGAGTCCAGGGTATAGCTGATCCCTGGGAAAAAGCAGGAGCCAGTTCTGGAGCCCTACAGAGGGTGTGGCCAGAAGGCCGTGGATTGGGAGCAAGGGCTGCGAGAGCTGGAATTTTCAGGGCTGGAGGCGGGGGAATGGGGGGTGAGGGGGGGCCTGAGCTTTCATCAGTCTGTTTGCCACCGCCTAACCCAAGCAATGCCCATCCCCAGCTGGACCTGATGAGGAAAGAGTGAGGGCTGTCTGCAGGCAGGTCTTGTTTCCATCCTGACTCAGCAGGCAACCCCTGCAGGCCCCGCAGGGAGTTGGAGGGATGGGGGTGAGGGGTCTTGGGTGCCAGAGAGGATGACTGGGCAGCCTGGGAAGGCCCTGAGCACCAGCCAAAGCTGCCCCCAACGCTCCCTCACCGCTAGTCGGGTCCCCACTGGGCATCTCACCACCCCGGGGAGGGGCAGCCCCTCCAGACAAGGGAGCTCAGGAGGAAGGCAGGAATAGGTGAGGCCAGGCCTGGGACCCCAAGGAACCCACGGGGATTCAGACGGCCCAAGGCCCAGAGCTGGAAGAGCTGATGAAAGAAAAGGCTCGCAGCCTCCCTCCCAGACGCATCCCAGGCCCCCGCCAGACAGACCCTCAGGAAGCTGGGAGGCGGGAATGTGGGGGTCCTCTGGTGCTACTTCCTGGCTAAATGGGACCCAGGAGTTCTCTCTCCTTGCCAGTCGCCTCTCAAGGCCTCCCGCCAGACCAAGATAGCAGAGAGACGTGCTCTTTGGAGACCGCCTCTAGGGCTTCGCTGGCGTGAAAGTTTGCCGCGCCAGGTCTCCGGGTCCCCTCGCTCTCTGACGCCCCTCTGTGCAGCGCTCGCCCGCCGACCCCATCTCCCCTCCCCGCCGCAGCGAGCGGTCCAGGCGTCGGCTACCTGGGTCACCGTCTCCGTCCATCGCTGCGGAGGGCGGTCGCGAGAGGAGGAGCCGGAGCGCTGCGGGCTGCGCGAGTCCCGGGGCGGCGAGTCCCGGCGCTGTCCGCGTCTGTGTCGGTCCCGGCGACCGCGCCTCTTAAAGGCCCCCGACCCGACCCGCCCCGCCCCGCCTCTGGCCCCGCGCCCGGCCGCCCCGCAGTCCCAGCAGTCTGCTCGAGGCCCGGGGCTGCGGGTTCCTCAGCGGACCGAGGAGGCTGGGAAAGGTCAGGAGTCGTTTTTTTTCCAACTGGGGAGGGGTCCGATTTGGGGCATCTCGCAGCTCGCTCCTGGGGGACTGCTGGGAGGAGGCGGCTAGGGGAGGCACGGAGAGGCTGGGTCAGGCCGAGGGTGAGGGGCGGGTGGCCCAGGCGGAGTCGGAGTATAGGAGGTGCCTTCCGCCCCACCCCCCACACCAGGTAATTTTCCTACGACGCGGTGGGGGTGCGTCCCTGGCCCAGCGCTGCGCGGGGCGGGGCGCGGGGCGCGGGGGCGGGGCCTGGCGGGCCGGGGCGGGGCCTCGCTTTCCAGGCAAGCGCAGGTCCAGGCGGTGCAGCTTGGGCGGCCCAACGGATCGTGCCGCGGCGGCCGAGCGCAGGTGACCGGCAGGAGGGGGCGCGGGGGGCGCTGGGGAGGGGGCGCGGCTGGGCGGGGGCTGCCGGGAAGGCTCCTGGGTTCCGGGTCGCGCCGCAGTTGCCGAGGGAGGCCTGGCACCGACCAGGCCCAGGCCGCCGAGCTTGCCCGGGCTGCGCTGCGCGGCTGCGAACGGGGGCTGGGGTCGCCATCGATGTACAGGGGTCCGAGCCCAGACTTTGGGGGGCATTTTAAGGCACAGCGTGGGAAGGGGAGGCTGCAGGCGCGCTGGCGGACTTGGGGCTGGCGGAGCCCAGCCGCGGGGCTGGGGGTGGGAGTGGGGGTGGGGAGATAGGAAGGGCCCTTCCCTGTCGCCCACCCTCTTGCCACTCCCACCTAGGCAGGAGATCATGTCCTCTGAGATCTTGAGAAGGTGGCTGGAGCCCTTTGGACCTCCGCGGGAGGCAGTGATAATTAGCCTCCTCCTCCCATCATGTTCTGAGGATGGGAGAGAGGATGGTGACGGCACCGGAGGCCTGGGGTGCTCTGCCCGGCTGCGCATTATATCCCCATTAAAGACTGGCCTACTGAAAAAGGCTGGCCCTGGAATCAAAGAAGATCCGGGCTTCTTCCCCCTCTGCCCTTATTTTTGACCTTGGGCAGTGCCTTCCACCTCTATTGTGAGAGGCCAGAGAAAAAAATCAGAGCTCACCTTTTATTAAAGTACCTGATGTGTCCCAAGCTCCTTGGACCGCCCCAGTGACCCCTGGAGGTAAGGCATCCATTTACAGAGAAGGAAACAGGCTGGGAGAGGCACCATGCTCTCCCGAGATAAATGGCAGAGCAGGGATGAGGCCTGCAGCATAGCTTTTCAACAGCTACAGGAGGGTGTCCAGAAGCCACAAGCCATGGCTGTGGGGAACATCAACGAGCTGCCCGAGAACATCCTGCTGGAGCTGTTCACGCACGTGCCCGCCCGCCAGCTGCTGCTGAACTGCCGCCTGGTCTGCAGCCTCTGGCGGGACCTCATCGACCTCGTGACCCTCTGGAAACGCAAGTGCCTGCGAGAGGGCTTCATCACTGAGGACTGGGACCAGCCCGTGGCCGACTGGAAGATCTTCTACTTCTTACGGAGCCTGCACAGGAACCTCCTGCACAACCCGTGCGCTGAAGGTGGGGTACAGGCCGGGTCTGGCATGCCTCCAGTACACAGTCATGACACCAGGAACATGTATTGAGCACTTAGTATGAGCCGGGTACTTTGGATGGTTTAACACCTTTACTTCTCTCACAGTAACCCAAAGAGGTAGCTACTGTTAGTGCACACATTTTTCAGATGGGCAAACTGAGGCCAAGAGTGGTGTTTCTTATTCTTACTATACTCTTTTTTTTTTTTTTTTTTTTTTGAGACGGAGTTTCACTCTGTCACCCAGGCTGGAGTACAGTGACACAATCTTGGCTCACTGTAACCTCCACCTCCCAAGTTCAGCCTCCCAAGTAGCTGGGATTACAGGCATGTGCCACCACACCTGGCTAATTTTTTTTTTTTTTTTAGATGGAGTCTCGCTCTGTTGCCCAAGCTGGAGTGCAATGGTGCGATCTCGGCTCACTGCAACCTCCACCTCCTGGGTTCAAGCGATTCTCCTGCCTCAGCCTCCCGAGTAGCTGGGATTACCGGTGCCCGCCACCACGCCCAGCTAATTTTTTGTATTTTTAATAGAGACACAGTTTCACCATGTTGGCCAGGCTGGTCTCAAACTCCTGGCCTCAGGTGATCTGCCCGCCTTGGCCTCCCAAAGTGCTGGGATTACACGCATGAGCCACCGCGCCCGGCCTCTTATTCTGCTCTTAAGATTATTTCCCCAGTGACCTTTCCTAGGCGAGGGAATGTTGGCCAACTGAGACTAATTCTGCTCAAGACACAAGGCCAGGAAGTCAGAGCCATATTTTGTTGGCCTAGTTTCTAGGCTCCAGGGTTGGGCCTACTGACATGGTCCCAGAAGGCCAAAGGGGTTTTGCTTGTGGAAGAATGGGAGATCCAGTCGTCTTCTCAGTATGTTACAACAACAGGTAAAGCAAGGCTTCCACTGATCCTTGCTTGCTGTGTTGTTGGGTTGACACTGGGATGGCATGGGAACCTCATTTTCCACAACATGACCAAATTCTGGAGCAAAATGATAATAAAACCACTCCTCCAAGCTGTGCATGAGCCAAATCTGGCTGAGGCATTAATAATTGTTCTAATAATTGTTTTTACATTTTTAAAGTGTTATAAAAAGAAGAAGAAGAAACAACAAAAAACTATACAATAGAGATAGTTTATGGCCCACAATTCCTACAATATTTTCGCACTTTGCCAAAAAAGCTTCCCAGCCCCTATTCTTAACTCCAGTTTACAGAGGAGACAACTGAGGCTCAGAGAGGAAAAGCAACTGGCCTGAGGTCACACAGCTGAGTACTGGTAGAGCTGGGACTAGACCCAGGTCTGTCTGGCCCACATCAGAGCTTTGTCCATCACAGAAGGCAGCTGGGCTGGGTGCAGTGGCTCACACCTGTAATCCCAGCACTTTGGGAGGCCAAGGTGGGTGGATCATCTGAGGTCAGGAGATCGAGACCAGCTTGGCCAACATGGCGAAACACCATCTCTACAAAAAAATACAAACATTAACCAGGTGTGGTGGCATGCACCTGTAATCCCAGCTACTCGGGAGGCTGAAGCAGGAGAATCACTGGAACCCAGGAGGCAGAGGTTACAGTGAGCTGAGATCGAGCCATTGCACTCCAGCCTGGGTGACGAGCGAAACCCTATCTCAAAAAACAAAAACAAAAAAAAAGATTTGTGTTTTTAAGGGGTTATAGGAAAAGAAACAACAACAAAAAAACTATACAATAGAGATAGTATGTGGGCCACAAGTCCTAAAACATTTTGGCACTTTGCCAAAAATGCTTCTCAGCCCCTATTCTTACTCCAGTTTACAGAGGAGACGACCAAGGGTCAGAGAGGAAAAGCAACTGGTCCAAGGTCAGACAACCGAGTACTGGTAGAGCTGGGACTAGACCCAGGTCTGTCTGGCCCACATCAGAGCGTTCTCCATCACAGAAGAGGTCTGGTCATTTCCATCACCATGTGTCTCAGGGCCCCCAGGGAAGTCACCTCCCTGTGCCTGCAACACAGGAAGCACCTAATACGCGGTGGGCACTGTGATCTGCAGCGTCCCACAGCACAGGGCTTGAGGGCAGCCGCCAAGATGCAGGCAGAGGAGTGGGGAGGAAGGGGCATTTGGGAGAAGGCGGCCACTGAGGGGCTTCCCTTCAGTGTGAACTCTGCTTTTCCATCAGAGGGGTTCGAGTTCTGGAGCCTGGATGTGAATGGAGGCGATGAGTGGAAGGTGGAGGATCTCTCTCGAGACCAGAGGAAGGAATTCCCCAATGACCAGGTCAAGAAATACTTCGTTACTTCATATTAGTAAGATCCGGGGACTTGGGGTAGGGGAAAGCCCAAATCAATTTACCCTGGGGTCTCTCCCACCCTGGAAGGGGCAGTCCTAGCCCCTCACTGCCCTAGTGGTGAGCCCAGCCCCTCCCACCCCTCTGCCTGCCCCCAGCACCTGCCTCAAGTCCCAGGTGGTGGACCTCAAGGCCGAAGGGTATTGGGAGGAGCTGATGGATACCACACGGCCGGACATCGAGGTCAAGGACTGGTGAGTGCCTGGGGCGAGGGTCTGGGGTGGGGCATGCCAATCAGGCGCCCCACCCCCGCCCTGCCCCCAATCTCCGAGGCCCTGATGGGCCCTCCCTCTCCCTGCAGGTTCGCAGCCAGGCCAGATTGCGGGTCCAAGTACCAGCTGTGCGTTCAGCTCCTGTCGTCCGCGCACGCGCCTCTGGGGACCTTCCAGCCAGACCCGGCGACCATCCAGCAGAAGAGCGATGCCAAGTGGAGGGAGGTGCGTGGGCCTGGGGGACGGGGGCAGAGGCAGATCGTCCAAGGCTGAGGCTGTGGTCAGACGGGGCCTAGGTTCAGATCCAAGCTCTGCACCTTCTCACCTGTGCTTCCAATGCTCTGAGCTTCACTCGCTGTTTCTGTAAAATGGGTATATAGTGTTTCCCTCATAGAGCTCTGAAAGAAATCAGTGAAATGATGCTGGCAAAGCCAGGGCCAAAAAATATTCCAAAAGGTTGGCAGGGCGTAGTGGCTCACACCTGTAATCCCAGCACTTTGGGAGGCCCAGGTAGGCAGATCACCTGAGGTTGGGAGTTCGAGACCAGCCTGACCAACAGGGAGAAACCCCGTCTTTACTAAAAATACAAAATTACCCAGGCGTGGTGGCACATGCCAGCTACTTGGGAGGCTGAGGCAGAAGAATCGCTTGAATCCAGGAGGCGGAGGTTGCCGTGAGCCGAGATCGCGCCATTGCACTCCAGCCTGGGCAACAAGAGCGAAACTCCATCTCAACAAAAAAAGAAAAGAAAAGAAAAAAAATTCCAAAAGGTTGACTGACTGTTACTAATTACTAGTATTGATTACTACTGTTTTCTAGACTGGGGTCAGCAAATATTTGTTTGTTTGTTTGTTTGTTTTAATTTACTTAACATATTTTTAGGGACAGGGTCTCTGTCACCCAGGCTGGCGCATTCATAGCTCACTGCAGACTCAAACTCTTAGGCTCAAGTCATCCTCCTGCCTCAGCATCCTGAGTAGCTGGGAGTACAGGTGTGCACCACCACTAATTAAAAAAAAAATTTTTTTTTGTAGAGATGGAGTTTTGCTTTGTTGCCCAGGCTGGTCTCGCACTCCTGGCCTCAAGTCATCCTTCTGCCTCAGCCTCCCAAAGTGCTGGAACTACAGGCATGAGCCACTGTGCCCAGCCCTAGCAAATGTTTTCTTAAAATGGCGGATACGAATATTTTAGGCTTTGCAGGTCACATTGTCTCTGTCACAATTACTCAACTCTCCAACTCTGCTGTTGTGTGAAAACAGCTCTAGACAATATGTAAACGAATGGACATGGCTATGTTCCAGTAAAACTTTATTTATAAAAACAGGCAGTGGGCCTGCAGGCCATCGTTTGCCAACCCCAGCCCTGTCCAATAGAACTTTCTGTAGTGATAGAAATGGTCTGTGTCTATGCTATCCATAAGGTAGCCAGTAGCTACATGTGACCACTGAACAGTTAGTAAGAGCCAGTTCCTAGTACAACTGAGTACCTGAATTTTTTATTTCATCTAATTTTACTTAATTTTTTTTTCTTTTTTGAGACGGAGTCTCGCTCTGTCACCCAGGTTGGAGTGCAGTGACGCGATCTCAGCTCACCACAACCTCTGCCTCCCGGTTCAAACGATTCTCCTGCCTCAGCCTCCTGAGTAGCTGGGATTACAGGCATGCGCCACCACGCCAGCTAATTTTGTATTTTTAGTAGAGACGGGGTTTCTCCATGTTGGTCAGGCTGGTCTCCATCTCCCGACCTCAGGTGATCCACCCGCCTCAGCCTCCCAAAGTTCTGGGATTACAGGCATGAGCCACCGCGCCGGGCACTTTTACTTAATTTTAACCTAAATAATACATGTGCCCCGTGATGAGTATATTGGACATCCTTTGGCAGCTTGCAGTTTCTTTCCATTCCTTTGGGCTGAATGATAATCCTGTGGAGTAGACCAGCAGGATTTTGCTCCATTTTATAGATGAGGAAACTGAAGCACAGAGAAAGGAATTGGTCTGTCCCAAATCACAGAGTTCAAACTAGAACTCCACTGATTTCTAGCTGGCACCAAGAACTCAGCCCCTTCCTTGTTCCCCTGCCCCCCTCAGGCAGTGCCACACTCAGAGTCTGCTCCCACCCTTTTTGTTAAGGCTCATCTTTTATTTCTTTTGTTTTTTAGAGACACGGTCTCACTCTGTTGCCCAGGCTGGAGCGCAGTGACGTGATCACAGCTCACTGCAGTCTTGAACTCCTACTTTAGCCTGTACTCCTGCCTCAGCCTGCCTAGAACTACAGGCACACACCACCATGCCTGGCTAATTTTTTTTTTCTTGTAGAGATGGTATCTCACTCTCTGGTTTGCGACAAGACTAGTTGCAAACTCCTGGGCTCAAACAACCCTCCCACCTCAGCCTCCCAAAGTACTGGGATTCCCGGTGTGAGCCGCCACACCCAGCCTGAGTCAGCTCCCTTGACCTTTCTCCCCCCTCTACCTGCCCTGCCAGGTCTCCCACACATTCTCCAACTACCCGCCCGGCGTCCGCTACATCTGGTTTCAGCACGGCGGCGTGGACACTCATTACTGGGCCGGCTGGTACGGCCCGAGGGTCACCAACAGCAGCATCACCATCGGGCCCCCGCTGCCCTGACACCCCCTGAGCCCCCATCTGCTGAACCCTGACTGGTAAACAACTGCTGTCAGAAAAGGGCTGGGCTTGGGAAGGGGAGGTGGAGGCCAGGTGTCCCCAGACCTCTAACCCTTGCCCCTAGCAGCCTCTTCTTTGTGGAGCCTCTCAGTGTGGGCAGCCCTCGCATGCTGGGGTCGGGCCAGCTCTCCCCGAAAGGTCTTGACCTGAATGATGGCCGGGGAAGCCTGCGTGTGCCCCTTTCAGAGACGGAGCACCTGAGATGTGGGAGGTGCAGCATGTTCCCCTGGGCCCCTCAGAAAGTCGAGCTTGGAGGCCAGCCTGGATCTGTCTCTCCCTTCCCCTCCTGGGACCATTCTACCTGTGTTCTTTGACCCTCGGAGCAGGGACAGGCAAGACAACTGGCAAGCTTGCAGCTGCCCTGATGGTGCAGGTGCAGGGAGGTGACCATGTAACTCTGACCAATCTGGGAAGTGGAGGGTGGGCTCATGGGCCGTGCTCTGCCCCTGTCTGCTGCTCCCAGTCTCTCGCTCTGCCTGCCTGCTCAGAAGAGGTGGCTTTGGCCCAGAGGCTCAGGCCGGGACTGAGATGGACAGACCCAGGGTGGGGTGGGGTCCAGGTCGGGTGTGGACTGTCCTCACTGTCAGTGGAGCCCCAGAAGCTAGATGGGTACCAGGTGGGGTTAGGTTCCCAGAGGACTGAGGGAATCCTGTACAGGATGTCCCAGGGTAGATGGGGAGCAGGATTGGGACCTGCTCTGACAGCTGGACACATGAGCCCTGGATGAGTATGGTAGGGGGTTTGAAGAATCCCCTGTCCACCTCCCAAATCCAGGCCCGGCCCCCTCTGGCTTGGAGAGCATTCCAAGCCCCCACCCCACCCCTAGAACTGCCATTCCCAAGACCTCTGTCTCCCAGCCAACCACCCTTGGAACTTGCCTCTTGTCCTGCTGGAAAGATAGCAGTGTTCTCCTGACTTCGCCCTACTGCATGCAGCCAAATAAAAGGTGTGCCCAGTCTAACCTGTGCCCTGTGGTTTCTGGAAGGAAAGGCAGACTTTAGGTGGTCCTGCCTGGACCTGCAGATGGTACAATGGCATGGCTTCTGTCTAAGGTACAGAGGGGTTGGCATTTCAGGAACCAGGCCATCACAGAAACAGGTTCATGGGCAGACCCCTCAGTGAGCTGCAGGTATCTCACCTGGCAGCCGTCCAGTACTGCTGGCTTCCTCTGGAGGCCCAGCCACAGGCTGGGGTTGGGGTGTGTGGACATCTCTGGGCAGCTCTTGAGTCCACCTTGTGCCAGATCAGCAGTGCCACCCAGGCTCTGCCTCCTGGTGTTACTCTTTGCCAACAGCTTTACGGACATTGGATGAAGCCGAAGCATTTAGAATGGTGCCTGGCACACAGTTGGTGCGTGATATGGTTAAGCTTTGTGTCCCCACCCACATCTCATCTTGAATGGTAATCCTGGGTGTTTAGGGAGAGACCTGGTGGGAAGTGATTGGATTATGGGAGCGGTTTTCCCCCATGCTGTTCTCATGATAGTGAGTGAGTTCTCACGAGATCTGATGGTTTTACAAGTGACGGTTTCCCCGGCTCCCTCCTGCCGCCATGTGAAGAAGGTCGTTGCTTCCCCTTCACCTTCCACCACCATGATTGTAAGTTCCTTTTTTCTTTTCTTTTCTTTTTTTTTTTTTTTTTTTTGAGATGGAGTCTCGCTCTGTCGCCCAGGCTGGAGTGCAGTGGCGCAATCTCAGCTCACTGCAAGCTCTGCCTCCCAGGTTCGCGCCATTCACCTGCCTCAGCCTCTGGAGTAGCTGAGACTACAGGCGCCCACCACCATGCCCGGCTAATTTTGTTTGTATTTTTAGTAGAGATGGAGTTTCACCATGTTGGCCAGGGTGGTCTCAATCTCCTGACCTCGTGATCCACCCACCTCGACCTCCCAAAGTGCTGAGATTACAGGCGTGAGCCACCGCGCCCAGCGATTGTTTCTTGAGGCTTCCCCAGCCATATGGAACTATAAGTCAATTAAACCTCTTTCCTTTTATAAATCACCCAGTCTCGGGTATTTCTTTATAGCAGTGTGAACATGGACTATAATCCAGTGCTCAATAAGTACTCCTCACATTTAGCTATCTCAGTCAAGGGTGAGCTAGATAAGGGCTTTGGCCAGGGCAGGATCACCACCCACCAGCCCATGGCAAACTGCAAAAGGACGGCCTTCCACGGAGAACATGTAGCCCTGACTGCAATTAATGTGTCCTGGGCCAGTCCCCTTGTGCAGTACACAGCCTGCACAACCCTTGGTGGTTGCCTGAACAAGGTGCTTGCTAAATATTTGTTGACTGATGGAAGAAATTCATGAACTTAATCCTGATAAAAAACCTCAGAGGTTTTTTATTTTTTGAGACAAGGTCTGGCTCTGTCGCCCAGGCTGCAGTGCAGTGGTACAGTCTCCACTCACTGCAGCCTCCCAGGTTCAAGCGATTCTCCCACCTCAGCCTCCGGAGGAGCTGGGATTATAGACCTGTGCCACCACGCCCGGCTAATTTTTGTATATTTAGTAGAGACAGGGTTTTTGCCATGTTGGCCAGGCTGGTCTCGAACTCCTGACCTCAAGCGATCCTCCCCACCTCGGCCTCCCAAAGTGCTGGGATCACAGGCGTTAGCCACCTCCTAGCACCTCAGGTTTTTTACCTTTGAGTCTATGAAGCCTGCGGAGGTCACGCCCTAGGGAAAGAAGGAGCCCACTGGGTGTCAGGTCCTGCCTCTAGGGAGGGGACCGCGGGTCAAGGGTGGAGCCCTGGGCCGCATAAGGAAGGAACTAGTGCGGAGGTCCGGGGAGCGGCCGCGCGTTCGGGAGCTTCGGCCCTGCGTAGGAGGCGGGTGCAGGTGTGGGTGCTGAGCCGCCCGCCGCCTGGAGGGGGAGACAGCTTCAGGACACGCAGGCCGCAGCGAGGGCCCGGGCCCTGGGGATCCCAGGTTCGTCTTCCCGCGGCGAGGGTTAGGGGCCGGGCCGAGAGGGACGGCAGCGGGGTCCGGGGCGGGGGTGGGGACCGAGCGCAGCGCGTGACGCGGCGGCGGGGCCCAGCGACAACGAAGCCGAGGCCGTAGGCTCGGGCCGACCTGGAGCTCCGCCGCTGCGCCCAGGTCGCGTCCCCGGGGGGACGGGCGGCGGGCGAGTGGGGAGCCGGGGTCTCCGGCGCCTGGGCGTTCACGGAGCCTGCGGGCGCTGGTCCGGGCGGCCAGGGGTGGGGGGCGCGGGCGGCTGGGCCCGGACTTCGACTGGGGGCCTGGCCCCGGGGCCACCCAGGCGGAGGCTCTGCGGCCGCCTCCACCCCGGCCACATCCCGAGGCCGGCGCCGGGTTCGGAGAACTGTCAAGGGACCTCCAGGCCCCCACACGCCTGCGAGATCCGGCGCTTGCCTTGCCCCAGCCACAGTTTCTGTTTCCGAGAAACCGGTGAAGTAACAATGCCACTAGAGCTTGCTGGGAGGGTGGGTGCGGAGAAGGCGAGCACGAGACGCCGGGCCGGGCAGTTGGGGACCCCGATCGGTGTGAGAGGGCTTCCTAGGGCTGGCATGGACTTCCCCACCACAAAATGCCCAGGGCCGGGGGGGGGAAGGGGCGCAAGAAAATGCGGACTGGGCCAGAGACCAGACTTCGGTCACCACGGTGGGAAGCTATTGGTGCCTAGATGCCTCTAGCTTGGAGCCCAGTGACTTTTATTTCGTCTAGAGTCTAGACAGTGCCTTTAGAAGCTGCCAGCATTTATTTATTTATTTATTTATGGCAGAGTCTTGCTCTGTCACCCAGGCTGGAGTGCAGTGGCATGATCACGGCTCACTGCAGCCTCGACTTCCTGGGCTCAAGCGTTCCTCCTGCCTCAGCCTCCTGCATAGCTGGGACTACAGGCACGGGCCACCAGGCCTAGCTAATTTCTTTTTTTTTTTTTTTTTTTTTTTTTTTGAGACGGAGTGTCGCTCTGTCGCCCAGGCTGGAGTGCAGTGGCGCGATCTCAGCTCACTGCAAGCTCCGCCTCCCGGGTTCAGGCCGTCCTCCTGCCTCAGCCTCCCGAGTAGCTGGGACTACAGGCACCTGCTTCTCGAGTAGCTGGGACTACAGGCACCTGCAACCAAGCCCGGCTAATTTTTTGTATTTTTAGTAGAGATGGAGTTTCACTGTGTTAGCCAGGACGGTCTCGATCTCCTAACCTCGTGATCCGCCCACCTCGGCCTCCCAAAGTGCTGGGATTACAGGCGTGAGCCACCGCGCCCGGCCTTTTTTTTTTTTTTTTTTTTTTTTGAGACAGATTCTCACTCTGTTGCCCAGGCTGGAGTGCAGTGGCACGATCTCGGCTCACTGCAACCTCCGCTTCCCGGGTTCAGGTGATTCTCCTGCCTCACCCTCCCGAGTAGCTGGGACTACAGGCGTCCGCCACCACGCCCAGCTAATTTTTGTATTTTTAGTAGAGACGGGGTTTCGCCATATTGGCCAGGCTGGTCTCGAACTCCTGATCTTGTGATCCGCCCGCCTCGGCCTACCGAAGTGCTGGGAATACAGGCCTGAGTCTGTGCACCCGACCTAATTTCTTTTTTTCTAGAGACAGAGTCTCACTATGTTGCCTAGACTACAAGCATTTTTAATTGACAACTTTTACATTTTTTTTCAAATGCTTACAGTTGCTTCTCAGAACTTAGAAGACTTGGCCACATTGGGTTTTTTTGTTATTTTTTTTTTCCATCAAAGCATTTTTCTTTTCTCTTTTTTTTTTTTTTTTTTTTTGAGACAGTTTTGCTCTGTTGCCCAGGCTGGAGTGCCATGGAGCAATCATGGCTCACTCTGCTCCAGCAGGCTCCTTCTTTCCCTAGAGTGTGACCTCGGCAGGCCTCATGGACTGTAAGGTAGAAAAATCTGAGGGGCTGGGTTCGGTGGCTCACACCTGTGAGCTACTGCAGCCTTGACCTCCTGGGCTCAGAAGATCCTGACGCCATAACCTCCCAAGTAGCTAGGACCATAGGCACTCGCCACTATGCCCGGCGAATTTTTTCACTATTTATAGAGACGGGGCCTCCCTGTGTTGCCAAGGTTGCAAAGCCTTTTTTCTTTTCTTTTTTTTTTTTTTTGAGACGGTGCCTTGTACTGTCACCCAGGCTGGAGTGCAGTGGTGCAATCTCGGCTCACCACAACCTCCGCCTCCCAGGTTCACACGATTCTCCTGCCTCAGCCTCCTGAGTAGCTGAGATTACAGGTGCACACCACCACGCCTGGCTAATTTTTTTGTATTTTTAGTAGAGATGGGGTTTCACTGTGTTGGCCAGGCTGGTCTCGAACTTCTGACCTTGTGATCCGCACCCCTCGGCCTCCCAAAGGGCTGGGGTTACAGGCTTGAGCCACCGCACCCGGCCTGCAAAGCATTTTTCACGAGGCACAAGTACCTCACCTGTTTTCTCTGCCATGTAAAGTGTTCCTCCCTGGGCAGAAGTGAGCATGCACCCACCCTCCTGTTTTCTGAGATGGGAGCCTTCAGAAGACCATGAACTGCTGCTTTGGCCAAGCCTCTATGGAAAATCAGAAGAGGCCACAGCAAAAGGCTGGGTACAGTGGCTCACACCTGTAATCCCAGACTTCAGGAGGCTGAGGCGGGTGGATCACCTGAGGTCAGGAGTTCAAAACCAGCCTGGCCAACATGGTGAAACCCTGTCTCTACTAAAAATACAAAAATTAGCTGGGTGTGGTGGCGGGCACCTGTAATCACAGTTACTTGAGAGGCTGAGGCTGGAGAATTGCTTGAACCCAGGAGGTGGAGATTGCAGTGAGCCGAGATCACGCCATTGCACTCCAGCCTGGGCAACAAGAGTGAAACTGTCTCGGGGTGGGGGGGAAGAAAAAAAAAAAGAGGCCAGCAAGGTTCTGTTTCCCTGCTTGTAGGTGGAGAACATTCTCTCCTCATGTGTAAGCAGATGAGGCCCACCTGAGTGACAGTGCAGAGCCCTGGCTGCCGGCCAACCCCCACCTACCTGGGGCAAGTACCTGGGATCCCCTTAAGAGGACTAACCAGGTGCCCCCAGGTAACAGATTCAGGCCAGGGCTGTGGCACTGCTTGAAGTTTTCCAGAACCCGTGCGCAGTGCAGAGGTACAAGGAGGACAGTGTTGAGAGCCGGTTTGTGCTGACAGCAATGCTGACTGAAGCTCTGTGCTTCACTTGGTCCTCCTGGCCCTTCCAGGGTCGGGACAGTTACCCCCTCCTTTTCACAGCTTCCCAACTGGTCACTGCAGACCAGGATTCAAACCCAGGCAGTCTTCTCAGCCACCCTCCATCTGATTTTTTTTTTCCGGCCATCTCCAAGTGGATTCTGGCCTGACACCAAAGACAGCTCAGCCGGGTGCCGTGGGGGATTCCCATGGGGTTGTTTTATCACATGTGACTTCCAGGCCAAAGTAAGCTTCTGGAGATAGGAAGGTGGTTTCTCAGCGCTAGCTCACCACTAAATGAACATTAATGAGTCTGGGATGTAAAACTGATTTTATATTCTGGCCGGGTACGGTGGCTCACGCCTGTAATCCCAGCACTTTGGGAGGCCGAGGTGGGCGGATCATGGGGTCAGGAGATTGAGACCATCCTGGCTAACACGATGAAACCCCGTCTCTACTAAAAATACAGAAAATTAGCTGGGTATGGTGGCATGCGCCTATAGTCCCAACTACTCGGGAGGCTGAGGCAGGAGAATCGCTTGAACCCAGGAGGCGGAGGTTGCAGTGAGCCGAGATTGCACCACTGCACTCCAGCCTGGGTGACAGAGCAAGACTCTGTCTCAAAAAAAAAAAAAAAAAGATTTTATATTCTAACAGTGAATCCAGAGCATTAAAATAACAATCACCAAAACCCTCACAGAACTTTGCAGACAAGTGTGGCCTCCACAAAATCTTACAGTCCACACAACCCACTGGCTTTAAAATTAAGCAATTTTTTTTAAATTGGGGAGGGGCCTTTTAAAAAATGTGTCTCTAAAGACTTTACTATTTGTATTGCACTCTTCTGAATGTGTGTCCCATGACTACTCTTTCCACTGAGGGGCTACTGTTTACTGGAAGGACCCTCAGCCTCAGAAATGCTCTTTTGTGGGTTTTTTTTTTTTTTTAGCCAGAGTCTTGCTTGGTTGCCCGGGCAGGGGTGCAGTGGCGCGATCATAGGTCACTGTAGCCTTGAATTCCCAGGCTCAAGGGATCCTCTGCCTCAGCCTCCCAAGTACCTGGGACTCCAGGCATGTGCCACCACACCTGGCTAATGCAGGGTTGGAGAGGAGTCCCTGGCCTGGTTCCCTGGGGACCTGAGGGCCCACCTCCCTGGTCAGGCTCATAACTGCTGTTGCCCCCACAGGCCATGGATGCTCCCCACTCCAAAGCAGCCCTGGACAGCATTAACGAGCTGCCCGAGAACATCCTGCTGGAGCTGTTCACGCACGTGCCCGCCCGCCAGCTGCTGCTGAACTGCCGCCTGGTCTGCAGCCTCTGGCGGGACCTCATCGACCTCATGACCCTCTGGAAACGCAAGTGCCTGCGAGAGGGCTTCATCACCAAGGACTGGGACCAGCCCGTGGCCGACTGGAAAATCTTCTACTTCCTACGGAGCCTGCATAGGAACCTCCTGCGCAACCCGTGTGCTGAAGGTGGCATGGGGGCAGGGTGGAGGCTGCCACCAGGCTCGTTCCTTCTCATCCTTGGGCCTTGGCACTTGCAATTCC
The DNA here is from genome assembly GCF_000001405.40 of Homo sapiens. Taxonomy (NCBI): domain Eukaryota; kingdom Metazoa; phylum Chordata; class Mammalia; order Primates; family Hominidae; genus Homo; species Homo sapiens. The sequence goes on from NC_000001.11 coordinate 11,669,020, forward strand.
CACACTACCTGGAATATTCTCTAACCCTAAACACCCACCTCACTTCCTTGGTTCCTTCTCATTCTTCAGGTCTCAGTTCAGAGACCTGCCCTGTGCTCCCAATCTAAAAACAGCCCTCTCCACCTCTAGCATAGCACCCCCATTTCATGCCCTGTAACACTTTTCACAAGGCGCGGTGGCTCACGCCTGTAATCCCGGCACTTTGGGAGGCCGAGATGGGCGGATCACCTGAGCTCAGGAGTTAGAGACCAGCCTGGTCAAAATGGCAAAGCCCTGTCTCTACTAAAAACACACAAAGTTGGGCATGCTGGCCCACGCCTACAATTCCCAGCTACTTGGGAGGCTGAGGCAGGAGAATCACTTGAACCTGGGAGGCAGAGGTTGCGGTGAGCCGAGATGGCTCCATTGCACTCCAGCCTGGGTGACAAGAGTGAAACTTTTAGTCTCAAAAAAAAAAAAAAAATTTTTTTTTCAGAATTTCCTTATTTTTTTCTGCTACAAACTTCAAGCTCCAGGGGCCAAATGGACCTTGTTTGCCACACTATAGCATCCACAGTGACACCTTCACATATACACACACACACATATGTATACATATACGTATATACACATGTATACATATATACACGTGTATACATATACACATGTATATATGTACACATATATACGTATATATACATATGTATACATATATGTGTATACATATATACATATACATACACACACACACACACACACACACAAGTAGTTGGGATTACAGGCGCCCACCACCATGCCCAGCTAATTTTTGTACTTTTAGTAGAGATGAGGTTTTGCCATGTTGGCCAGGCTGGTCTCGAATTCCTGACCTCAGGTGATCTGCCTGCCTCGGCCTCCCAAAGTGCTGGGATTACAGGCGTGAGCCACCACACCGCCGGGGGCGGTGGCTCACGCCTGTAATCCCAACACTTTGGGAGGCTGAGGCGGGCGGATGACGAGGTCAGGAGATCGAGACCATCCTGGCCAACAAGGTGAAACCCCATCTCTACTAAAAATGTAAAAAAATTAGCTGGGCGTGGTGGCAGGCACCTGTAGTCCCAGCTACTTGGGAGGCTGAGGCAGGAGAATAGCGTGAACCTGGGAGGCGGAGCTTGCAGTGAGCCAAGATTGCGCCACTGCACTCCAGCCTGGGCAACAGAGCAAGACTCCGTCTCAAAAAAAAAAAAAAAAGTGCCCTGGTGATTGCCTGGGCAGCGCCAGTAGAGAAGCGCCATTGTCTTCTAAGGTCCTCTAAGTTCAGTGTGAAGAGGGTGATTGCTCCCCTGCACCCACCAGGCCCACCTAATGGAGGCCCACCCATGAATGTTACCACAGCGCCCAGCCCAAAGGGTACCTGTTCTTCCACTTGGCACTCTTGCCCTGGGCAGAGGCCATCTGAGCCCTATGGGAATCTTGGTTCCCATGACCCACCGACAAACCCACAAACCCATCCTCTAGGGCCTCCAACCTGGGTTATGTAGTTAACCAAGGGCCTCTCCCTCCTGGACATCTGGGATGCCATCTGGGTCAAGTAAGCAGTCTGTGTTGGGATGAACACGTTAGCCTTTTTTAAAAAATTATTTTACTTATTAAAAAAAAAAGGGGGGGGGGGTGTCGCTATGTTCCCCAGGCTGGTCTTGAACTCCTGGGTTCAAGCAATCCACCTGCCTTGGCCTCCCAAAGTGCTGGGATTACAGGCGCAAGCCACCGTGCCCGGCTTCACATTAGTCTTTGAGGACAGTACTCTCACAGGCCTCTCGTAATTTTTTGAGAACTGATACTTGGGTATTTCCCAGAGTTCCACCGCAACATGGAAGTGAGGAAGGGGTTGGTTTAGAATTTCTGGTAACACGCATTCTTTTCTCCAGCTGCGTGTTAGGAGTGAGGCCAGTTTGGGACTGAGTGGGAGGGACAGAGTCAGATCAGAGCTGATATGGTGAGGACAGTTGGGAATGTGTTGGAGGGGTGCTTTGTAGGGGTGCTCCAAGGTGCAGTTGGGGTACACTTGGGCTGGTGGGGTACCTTGGCCACACAATGCCCTTGAGAAGGAACAAGCTGGTTAACCCTTTGGTGTCCACAGCCGCAGAGACCTGAGCATGAGCAAGTCCTGCCTCCCAAGAAGGTCACTAACGCCAACCACCCTCCCTCCCGCCCTCCTGGGACTAAGTGGGGAGGGCTGGACTTTGGATTTACACAGGGGGTCTCACCTTGGCTTCTGTTCTTCCTAGAGGATATGTTTGCATGGCAAATTGATTTCAATGGTGGGGACCGCTGGAAGGTGGAGAGCCTCCCTGGAGCCCACGGGACAGATTTTCCTGACCCCAAAGTCAAGAAGTATTTTGTCACATCCTACGAGTAAGGCAAACTGAACCTACCAGGCTTGCGTGGAGGGGACAGAGGGTCAGGACACCTTTGCCAAGTCTCAGGCAAAGTCTTCCTAAGGGAAGTCCTCTCTGCGAAGCTCGAGGGAGGTGGCCCCAAAACTTGCCCAGAGTCACTGCTTCCTGAAATCACTCAGTGCTGTGTTAATGGACAGTGGGGGTGGGGATCACTGAAGCAGGCCAGGAGTCCATTGGGCAGTTAAGATAAGCCAGGGCTATCTACAGGCATCTGTCCGTAAGCTAGGAACTTGAGTTTACAAAAGTGCCCTGGAACAATGGGCCTTTGGACTGGGATCAAATGCCGCCCAGGCACAAGTGGGTCAAACTCCCTCCTGCACTGGAGGAAAAGCCAGAGTCAGCCCCAGCCAGTGCCTGTCCCGCAGCGGCCAAGGGGTACCCTAGGTCCCCAAACCACCTCCCTGGGCTCACAGGGGCTGCCAAGGCCTGGGTGAGGGGGGGGGCCATGCAGAGCACACCCAGGTATGCAAGCCCCCAACTCTGCTCCCCAGAATGTGCCTCAAGTCCCAGCTGGTGGACCTTGTAGCCGAGGGCTACTGGGAGGAGCTACTAGACACATTCCGGCCGGACATCGTGGTTAAGGACTGGTGAGTAGGGTCCATGGCCTGTGTCCCCACACTCTACATGCTCCTCTTACTGCGCTGCATGTACGTGAGACAACCCATAGCAAGTGCCCACTCTGCACAGCAGTGCCCTGGAGCCAGGTAGCCCCGGCCTCCGCCCCTGCTCTGCACCCACACCCTGCGGCACCTCCTGGCCTCCCCACCACCCTGTGACGTAGTCAACAGGACACAGTAGCCCCAGTGTGCAGGTGAGGAGGCTGAGGCCCCCAGGTGCACTGTCATGGACAGGCACTTTTTTTTTTTTTGAGACGGAGTCTCGCTCTGTCACCCAGGCTGGAGTGCAGTGGCGTGATCTTGGCTCACTGCAACCTCCGCCTCCCATGTTCAAGCGATTCTCCTGCCTCAGCATCCTGAGTAGCTGGGATTACAGGTGCCCACCACTACACCCGGCTATTTTTTTTTATATTTTTAATACAGACAGCGTCTTACCATGCTGGTCAGGCTGGTTTCAAACTCCTGACCTCAAGTGATCCACCCACCTCGGCCTCCCAAAGTGCTGGGATTACAGGTGTGAGCCACTGTGCCCAGCCACTGTGCACTGACAGGCACTTGGGCAACAGAGGACCTCAGCCCTCTCTGGACTGGGTGGGAACCCCCAGGTCCCCTGACCTACCTGCCTCCCCTGCCCCTTTCCCTATTCATCCCATGACTCTTTTTGGAGCTCCTACTCTGTGCACAGAACTGTGCCAGGCTCTGGCTTGGCCGGTGGCAGAAGCAGGACCCCAGTTCTAGGCAGGCCCCAGGGCTGCCACTCTGAGGATAAAGCGGTGAGGATGGAGGGGTATGCAGAGCTGCAGGGGGGAGAGGTGGCTGGGCTGAGCAGAGGGTGAGCTTTGTGCCAGCCCCATTACACAGGCCACCCCCTTGACTCTCCCACTGAATCCACAGCCTGGTCCATTGTAAGTACAGGTGACATGGCTTGGACAGACCAGGCCTCTCTGGAGGGGTCTTTTGATTTTTGAGGTCATATCTTTAGTAGGATGCCCAAAAGGGTCCCTCTTCTCAGATGGGGTAACAGAGGCCAGCATGGACAGACAGCTTATCCCCGGGCCACAGTGGGGCATAGGGAGCGCTGAAGCCAGCTGGGCCTTGCAGGCAGAGCAGTGTCAGCTGATGGGAGATGAAGCTCCGAGCTCCAATGTATAGGTCCCACCTGCCCCCACCCCTGGGGCCAGCCCTCGGTGGCTTGGACACAGGGCTCTCAACCCCTCCACCAGGTTTGCTGCCAGAGCCGACTGTGGCTGCACCTACCAACTCAAAGTGCAGCTGGCCTCGGCTGACTACTTCGTGTTGGCCTCCTTCGAGCCCCCACCTGTGACCATCCAACAGTGGAACAATGCCACATGGACAGAGGTGAGGCCTCACCCACTTGCTCTCTCTACCCACTCCTCCCAGGGCCAGGATGGCAGGAAGCAAAGGGCAGCCTCAGGGCCCAGGGTGCCCCTGCTGGCCTGGAGCTGTTGCCTTCCAGCCTGGGCAGCTCTCTTAGAGGACCTGGCTCCTGCCTTCCCCTCCCCCGTCCCGGTGGTCACTTCCTCTCCCTTCCTCCCAACAGGTCTCCTACACCTTCTCAGACTACCCCCGGGGTGTCCGCTACATCCTCTTCCAGCATGGGGGCAGGGACACCCAGTACTGGGCAGGCTGGTATGGGCCCCGAGTCACCAACAGCAGCATTGTCGTCAGCCCCAAGATGACCAGGAACCAGGCCTCCTCCGAGGCTCAGCCTGGGCAGAAGCATGGACAGGAGGAGGCTGCCCAATCGCCCTACCGAGCTGTTGTCCAGATTTTCTGACAGCTGTCCATCCTGTGTCTGGGTCAGCCAGAGGTTCCTCCAGGCAGGAGCTGAGCATGGGGTGGGCAGTGAGGTCCCTGTACCAGCGACTCCTGCCCCGGTTCAACCCTACCAGCTTGTGGTAACTTACTGTCACATAGCTCTGACGTTTTGTTGTAATAAATGTTTTCAGGCCGGGCACTGTGGCTCACGCCTGTAATCCCAGCACTTTGGGAGACCGAGGCAGGTGGATCACGAGGTCAGGAGATAGAGACCATCCTGGCCAACACGGTGAAACCCTGTCTCTACTAAAAATACAAAAAATTAGCCGGGCGTGGTGGCGGGCGCCTGTAGTCCCAGCTACTCGGGAGGCTGATGCAGAAGAATGGCGTGAACCCGGAAGGCAGAGCTTGCAGTGAGCCGAGATCACGCCACTGCACTCCAGCCTGGGTGACAGAGCGAGACTCTGGCTCATAAAATAATAATAATAATAAATAAATAAAAAATAAATGTTTTCAGTAAAACCAGCCTGGGGTTGGTTTTAGGAGTGGGGAGAGGGGGTCCCTGGCATTTTGGTGGAGAAGCAGCCCCTCTCCCAGGTTACCCTGGCCATACCTGTCCCTCCCACTCCAGTTAATGATGGCTCAGCTCAGCCCAGCCCTTGGGGCCCCTTTATTGAAACAACTCACAGCACAGTATTTGAGACAGACAGTGTTGGCCGGCGGAACCCCAGGAGGCTGAGAAGTCGAGGTTGCGGCATCCCTCACTGCCCTCCTGGGGGAGGCATCCTCCAAGCAGACCTGAGCGGCCCCGGGCTGGGGCGGGCGATCCACACACAGAGGCGATAAGAGCACTTGGAATCAGGGCAGCCATGCAGCACTGCCCTAGGCGGGGATCCCCCAAAGTCTGACAGTTTGGGCATCAGTGGGGTGGCAGGTGCCCCCTCAGCTGCCTTTATGAGCGCGCTCTTCCACGTAAAGCTGCATCTGACGGACACAAGCAAACAGCCACAGTCAGCAAGACAGCCAGGGCATCCCTGCTGGAGGACACAGAAGCCCCTGGTGGGCAGACCTCCACCACAGGTGGGGCCTCGTGGCCATAGCCATGGTGGAGAAGAGTAGAGATGGGAGGAGCCCTCCACCAGGCACTCCCCCGTTCTCTCCCGCAAGCCCTCTAGTAAGGCCTCAGCACCGGGCCTCACTTCGTTAAGCAGCCCCTAAATAAAGCTTCCCGGGTCCCCACGAAGCTCACCTTTAAAATGTCCGACGTCATGGTTTTTAGTGGTATCAGCCGGGGGTCATGCATGTGGACATCCTGCTCATCCGCCAGGATCCAGGGGAAATCCTAGGGAGGAGACAAAGGTCAGGGGGGTGACGGGGCTGGGCCCTGGCCTGCCCTCACTTTGCTGTCCCTCCCACTCCAGACCAGGGGCCTCCAACCTGAGCCTCAGAATCACTAGGAAGCTGTTGGTGATGCAGACCCCAGGACCGCCCCCATCCCCCACAGAGGCCAAGTCCATAGAACCCAAGTGACGAACAGGCTCCAGGCACCAACGCTGAACCTGGTGGGCTAGGACCCCTCCCTGGAGAGCCCCCACTTCAGAAGAGCCAGGATGAGCTGGGGGCCCCAGTAGGTGGCTCCACCTGGGCTCCTCACTGCCCCAAGTGCCCAGATGGAGCAGTGGACAGGCCTGAGGACCTGCTGGGTGCCAGGCGCTGCCACACCAATGTAATGGGTGGCTGGCCACAGGCAGTGCCCCTGCCCGCCTGGAACTGCGACATCACGTTTCTAGAGCCTGCGCCCAGACCCAGACCCATCTCATCTCACCTTGATGACCTGGATCTTCTCCATGTTGCGAGTGGCGGCTTCTCTCGTGTGCACCAGGACTGTGAAGGTACAGCCTGGAGAGGCAAGAGGTTGGTGGAGGCTCCCCCACCGCCCTGGTGCCAGCCACTGGGCCCAGCCTCTTCCCACTTCCCTTGCTGGCTCAGCAGCACCCCCAGAGCAGATGGCAAAGCAAGTGCTAAGAAAAGCCCCAGTCAATAGGGAGATGGAAGCCAGGTAGAATCAATCAGGGAAGCTTCCCAGAGGAGGTGGACTCTCAGGGTTAGGAAGAGATGAGTCTCAGAACAGCCAAACATGGACCTGGGAACACAGACCAACCCGAGATAACCATGGAAATGCCAAGGGAAGAGAGGGTGGGGAGTGGACACACCTGGGGGGTTGTGGTCCAGGACGGCATCGCACACGCTGATCTTCAGGATGAAGGCCCGGAGCAGCTGCTCCACATGAGACAACAGCGAGTCTGAGCTGGGAGTGAGAGGAGGTCTTCCCATCACACTGGCGCCCTCCCCTCCACCACAGGCATCAAGCCTGGATGCAGACCTGGGGTACAAGACCCCCTCCAGTGCCTGTGAGAGTGCTGCATGCCTAGGACCCAGCTCCCTATCCGGTCCACACAATTAAACCAGCAAGGGAGTTTAAAAGAAATGCCCAGCCCCACCCCAGATAAAGTCAGAATTCGGCGGGGGGTAGGGGACAGGGGAGGTAGGGGCAGCCTGAGGAGGCCTCCCTAGGTGGTTTTAATGTGCAGCCAGGACCCAGAACCAGGACACCAAGCCAGGAGGGGAAAGGGCTTGCCTAAGGCCACACAGGCCGTGGGGACAGGTTGGTGCCAGATTCCAGTGCCCTGACCTCACCATTGGAAGCATGCAGTTGACCAACTAACGCATGTGCCAGAGGTCAACTTCGAGTTGACTGGACACTTGCCTGGGGAGTCAGAAAACTGCTTCTGTGTCCTGGGCTCTGCCCCCACCCAGGTGACCCTGGGTAGCTCATGTCATCTCTCTGGACCCATCTCAGCTGCTCACAGGCTGTCCCCTTGTCATGCTGGTGCTTCTTGCCCTTTCTCCTCCCAGGCCTTTACCAAGGTATTCAAGGGCCGCCTTAAAGGGGTGGGTGTGTTGCCAGAGACACACCTGATGCCAGCTAGTGGGCGAGGGGCAGGGGCAGCCCACCTGATGGACAGCAGTGGAGGCTGGGTGATCTCAAAGACGAATTTCTCCACTGGGCGGTGCTCTTTATCCAAAATCACCACCACCACTTTCTCCACATCATTCTGCAAAGAGAGGAACCCCCACTGCAGAGCCAGGCACCCCACCCCGACTACACCACCCTGCCTCCACCCCCTTGCCCAAGGAAGGAGGAGAAACGGCCCACTCACAGCCCTGCTCAGCTGCTAGGCTGGGGGTCCCCAAGAGGCCAGATAGCGAGTTTGAGAAGCCGGCACCCTCCAGCATGAGTGGTGTAGGCTGAGAGAATGCCCGGGCCCCATAGGGAAGGTCCCAGGAAGTCTGAGATCAGGACTAGATGGGGAAGAAACCCTGAGGGGCTCAGCTCAGACAGAACGTTTAGCGTGGAGAACAGGGGACGGATGTGAGAAGAACCCCGAACCCTCTGGGGCAGCCCCTACTTAGAGCCAGCTCCAACCCGGGCTCCCAGGCCCAAGGCACCCTGAACATGGCCCGCATGCCTTGGGGCCTGCCCCTGGGTTGGGATGGTCTCCAGAGTGCAGGGAACAGGCTTCTGGGTATTGGAGCCATGAAGACCCCACAGAGTCCTAGCTTCACCCCATCCCAGAGTTGGACTGTGAGCACACAGGGACGGGGGTGAGCATGGGGTGAGATGGCTGGGGAGCCCAGTGCACCCTCACCTTCTCCAGGAGTGGCTTGACGCAGTGCAGCGTGTCCTGGATATACTGATTCAGCTCCGGGTGGCAGGACATCTGCACACAATACCATGCGGCTCGTGAGGCCCAAAGCACAGATGGGGAAACCACCCAACACAACCAGGAGCCTAAGGCCCCATCTGCCTTCGGTCCGAGGCCCAGCAGCTCTCCAGGGCTCCCTACCCAGGAGACCCCACTTTCCCTCAAGAGGCTAAGAACTGGCCGGGCATGGTGGCTCACGCCTATAATCTCAGCACTTTGGGAGGCCGAGGCAGGTGGATCACAAGGTCAGGTATTCGAGACCAGCCTGGCCAATATGGTGAAACCCCATCTCTACTAAAAATACAAAAATTAGCCGGGCATGGTGGCAGGCACCTTAGTCCCAGCTACTTGGCAGGCTAAGGCAAAAGAATCGCTTGAACCCGGGAGGCGGAGGTTGCAGTGAGCCGAGATCACGCCACTGCACTGCAACATGGGCAACAGAGCGAGACTCCATCTCAAAAAAAAAAAAAAAAACCAGAGGCTAAGAACTGTGAACTTATCCATAGAGAAAGAAGTTAGAAGATAAGAACTCAGGCTGGGCACAGTGGCTCACTCCTCTAATCCCAGCACTTTGAGAGGATGAGGTGGGTGGATCACCTGAGGTCAGGAGTTTGAGACCAGCCTGGCCAAAATGGCAAAACCCCATCTCTACTAAAAATACAAAAATTAGCCAGGTGAGGTGGCACCTGTAATCCCAGCTACTTGGGAGGCTGAGGCAGGAGAATCACTTGAACCTGGGAGGCGGAGGTTGCAGTGAGCTGAGATCAAGCCACTGCACTCCAGCTTGGGCAACAAAGCAAGACTCCATCTCAAAGGAAAAGAAAGATAAGAACTCAATCCCAATATGAGCATTTAATATACCATTAGGGGTTCTTAATGTGGGGTCCATGGACTCCTCCAGAGTCTGAAAAATCCCTAAAGTTGTATCTTTGTGCACTTGGGCATTTTTCCAGAAAAAGGATCCAGGAAAATGTAATCAGATGTCAAAAGTTAAGAACTAAGGAACTGTGTGGCCTCAGGCAAATTCCTTAACTTCTCTGGGCTTCAATCACTTCATCATAAAGAAGAAGTGAGTAAATGTCAATTGTTTTTTCCTTTCCCCTCTAAAGGTGACCTTCAACTTACTATGGGTTTATGTTTGGATAAACCAATCAAATATCGCCAGCGGAAAATGCAGTTAATACACATAACATACAGAACATCATAGCTTAGCCAGGCCTACCTAAACACACTCAAAACACATTAGCCCACAGTTGGGCAACATTATCTAACACAAAACCTGTTTCATAATAAAGTGCTCACGCCTGTAATCCCAGCACTTTGGGAGGCCAAGGCAGGTGGATCACCAGAGGTCAGGAGATCGAGACCAGCCTGGCCAACACGGCGAAACCTTGTCTCTACTAAAAATACAAAAATTAGCCAGATGTGGTGGCACACGCCTGTAATCCCAGCTACTCGGGAGGCTGAGGCAGGAGAATCACTTGAACCCAGGAGGTGGAGGTTGCAGTGAGCCAAGATCACGCCACTGCACTCCAGCCAGGGCGACAGAGCGAGACTCAGTCTCAAAAAATAAAATAAAATAAAATATAAAATAAAAAATAAAGTGCTGACTACCTCAAGTAATGTCTTGAATACCATACTGGAAGTGAGAAAACAATGGTGGTGTGGGGACTTGAAGCGGGGACCACCTGGATGTCCTTTGAGCTTCTACCACTTATTCTCATGTTTCCTGAGTGCCTTCCAGAGACAGGCACTTCTAGGGACTGGAGCTACAGTGCGATGCACACTGCTTTGTCTGCCTTTTAGCCTTAACCCATTGAGTTTAGGATAAATGGTAGGGAGAAGATTTGGAGGTTTTTGGAAATACCCTCCTCACACCAAGGTTCACCAGCTTCACGAGCTCCTTCAAAGTGCCACCATGCCCCCAGGGTAACTTTTTTTTTTGGAGACATAGTCTTGCTCTGTCGCCCAGGCTGGAGTGCAGTGGCACGATCTGGGCTTACTTCAACCTCTGCATCCCGGGTTCAAGCGAGTCTCCTGCCTCAGCCTCCCTAGTAACTGGGATTACAGGCGCGTACCACCACACCAGGCTAATTTTTGTATTTTTAGTAGAGACAGGATCTCATCATGTTGGTCAGGCTGGTTTCTTGAACTCCTGACCTTGTGATTCGCCCGCCTCAGCCTCCCAAAGTGCTGGGATTACAGGTGTGAGCCACCATGCCCGGCCACCCCCGGGGTAACTCTTATCAGGCCTGGTCCCTAACTTCTGGCAAGGGGAACTCTCTTCTGAGGGGTGGGTAGGCATCACCACTTTGGAACTGGAAGGCATTGGAAGGCATGGGCAGGGCCCTGCGGAATGAGGTGGCTTGGCCCGAAGTGGAAGAGGTTTTTTTTTTTTTTTTTTTTTTTTTTTGAGACGGAGTTTCGCTCTTGTCACCCAGGCTGGAATGCAGTGGCACAATTTCGGCTCACTGCAACCTCCGCCTCCTGGGTTCAAGGGATTCTCCTGCCTCAGCCTCCTGAGTAGCTGGGATTACAGGCCTTGGCCACCACGCCCGGCTAATTTTTGTATTTTTAGTAGAGACGGGGTTTCACCATGTTTGTCAGGCTGGTCTCGAACTCCTGACCTCAGGTGATCCGCCCGCCTCGGCCTCCCAAAGTGCTAGGATTACAGGCGTGAGCCACGGCGCCCGACCAAAGAATTTTTAAAAGTCCACCCTGTACCCACTCTGTGGTTCTGGGACGTGCCTCACCTGGACCGGCACGTTGTACTTCTTGCGTTTCTGGAAGATGCCCACGGGGTAGACCTCGCGCACGTAGAGGATGAGATGCACAGCCACCTCCAGGAACTCGCAGAGCACATCGGCCACCACTGCAGGGGGGCACAAGCCGGTGGCGCGCTCGAGGAAGCCCGCCGGCCCAGACGCCCCCGCCCCCGGGCCCGCAGGTCCAGCCTCCCTACCTTGGCCAAAGTTGAGGTCTTGTCGTGTGAGCGTGGTCATCCTTCCCGCTACCTGAGTGTTGGGGCAAGGGCAGAGGGTAGTTCCAGAGACCCAGGAGCCCAGAACCCGCTCGCTTCCACCGTCTCTTCCCTCCCCACAGTCTGTGGGAACTGGGGAAGGACCTCCCGCTTCGCACAGGCTCAGGGCAGCTGGAAGAACCTCCACCCCCACGCTGGCGTCCGTGCTTGGGGGCATCAGCCTCTATCCACTGGCCGCCCGCGCCCCCTCGCCCCGCTGTCTCGCGGGGTGGAAAGACCACAGCTGTGCCCCCGAAAAGGGCAGGGCCGCGGACGCAGAGGGAAACAGCGGGATGCCCAGGGCCGGGAGCGCAAAGCGGGACATGCGGAAAGCGAAGCGGGGTTGGAATAAGACTCCGCCCCCTGCTACGCCGGATCCCTCCCGGCGGGAATCCCGCCCCCTCTCCCCTCCCCCAGTACCGGCTCTGCGCTCGGTTCCCGCCCGAGATCGGGCCCGGCCCCGCCGCGGGGAGCCACCGACCGGACCGATCGCGCCTCCCGCTCAACCCGGGGCCTCGGCGCCGCTCGGTGACGTTCACGGCGCTCCGGTGGGTCCTAGCGCCCGCCCCGCCCAGGCCACGCCCATTCCCGCACGGCCCAAACCGGGCCTCGCAGAGGGCGGTTCCGCATGCGGGGGCGGGTCTCCGAGGGGCGGGGGCCGGGCCTCGGCGTCCGGGAGGGGCTGAGACCCGCCGCGCCACCTCCCTTCAACTTCGGGTGGGCGCGAAGAAAACACAACGTTGATCTCCACGTTCCATTGGATCGCTACATATCTTCCCCCGAGGGCATTTCTCTCGCTTTAGCAGGCGCCGGAAGAGGGCTGGGGAGGGACGGGGGAGCGCGCAGCTGGGGACTAACGGCAGCCACATCTGAGCTAGCCCGAGTCACCATCCCTGCAGCTGCCCACGCAAAAGCGAATCCTCTGGCTCGGGGGCGGGAACAGGGGAGGACAGGATTGTACCGGTTGTCAAGGCCCGGGTGAAATTTTAAAAATAAAAAAAAGAGGGCGTGCACCGGCGTCGCCCCTGCTCCGCCCCCACCGGGTACCTAAATGCAGCCTGGCCTGACCGCCCAAGAGGATGAACCCTCCCCGCCCTACGCTTCATAACAATAGCTGACCTTTTTGGAGCTCCAGCCGAGTGCTGGGCACTGGGCTAAGTGTGTCCGTGGATTATCTCAGTCCTGGGAGTAACTCCATGAGGCAGTTACTGTGACTGTTCTCTTTATACAGATAAGTCAAGCGAGGTGCAGAAGGGTGAATAACCTGCCCGAGTCTCCCAGCTGGTGGGGTGGGCGATGGCCGAGGTGCCTCCTGCCACTACATTTTACTGCTCCCAAGTCCCCCAGGGGCGTGGACTCGGTCTGGAAGTCCTGTAAGGGCCCTCAGAGATGATATTACTAAAATAATAAAAAATAATGACTAACATCGAGCACTTCTTATGTGTCAAACACTGATTCCGTTAATTCTCTCATTAACCCTAGCAGCTAAGTCTCCATTTTATAGCCCCACTTTACAGATGGTTAAACAGGCCCAGAAACGTTCTCTAATTCGCCAAAATCACACAGTGGGAATACAAACCCAGCTCTGATGCCTCTTCTGACACCAGGGCTTCCACTTATTTACAGCCCCCTTATTTTACAAGTGAGAAAACTAAGATCTGAGAAGCAGCTACGGAGTTAGTGGGCAACAAGTCAGGACCAGAAGCCAAGAGGACTTTGTCTGTGACCTCCAGGGACGTAAGAGCTTGTTAGTCCCATCCGTCTGTTTGGACACAGATCTAGCCAGACTTGTTTATCGTTTACAGCTCATTATAGAAGACCTGGATCCCTCCCCCCGCCCCCTGATGCCTTCAAACCTGCATTTCCAGACTTCTAATGGGGAGAGAAAAAGTAACCTGTAAGTAACCCATTAAGCTAGGAATGTCAGCAAAACATTTCTTCAAATGCAGTCCTAGGAAATCTGCATCAGAATCCCCCAGGAGCCCATTAATCACAGCTGCCCTGCTGCCTAGAGCAACCTGATCGAGGTGGGGTGCACAGCAGGGCACTGGCCCTTTAACAAGCTCCCCAGGGGCCCGGATGCCCAGCAAAGTGTGGGAATCACCACAGAGGTTTGGACTGTTCCCAGAGAATATCTTCATTTTGTAAAAATGCGATGCATTTTGTAAAATTGTGATGTAAAATCATCCATCCAAAGGGATGGATGATTTTGTTTTAGGAACTGGTGCACTTGGCAGCACATTCTGGGCACAGCAACCATTCTCAAGATATGGGGATCCTGCACACATCATGCCATTTCCACACAGAGCTGGCCAAGCAACTCACTGGCTTATACACAGAGTTCCGTGGCTCCTTGAGACTGACTCATTGCAGAACTTGGGAAAAGCAAGGGTCTTTCCTTTCCCTCTCTGGAGGCTGCTTAAGCAGCTTTTGCATTGGTGACAGGCAGTGGCAGTCATAGGGGGCAACTCCTTGCAAAGGAGCCCTTCAGACTGGGGCCTGGGGTGGGGAAACTGAGAGCCAAGTGACTCCTGTGGGATGGCCTTCAGGACACAGTGTGAGGGGCATTGGGGCTCAAGTCAGGCCCTCCCTCCATGAGCTCCCAGCCCCAGCCCTCTGCCCTGAGAAAACACAATACGAGCCACCCGTAGAACTCCTGACACACAGAGCTAAGAACGTCAGAAAAACCTTGGAGGACATAAACTCAACTGTCATTTTTCCTTGGGGAAACTGAGGTCCCAACAGCTCTTGACACTGGAGTACCCACCCTGTCAACTAGAAACCTGTGGATAAAAATATCTGGGTTTGCAAATATCATATGTTCTCACTTGTAAGTGGGAGTTAACCTATGAGGATGCAAAGGCATAGGAATGATATATTGGACTTTGGGGACTCGGGGGGAAGGAAGGGTGGGAAGGTGAGGGAAGGGTGGGAAGGTGAGGGACAAAAGACTACATACTGGGTACAGTGTACACTGCTGAGGTGATGGATGCACCAAAATCTCAGCAGTCACCACTAAATAACTTACCCATGTAACCAAAAATTATTGCAATTAAAAAAAAACGTCAGCTGGGCACGGTGGGTGGCTCACGCCTGTAATCCCAGCACTTTGGGAGGCTGAGGCTGGTGGATCACCTGAGGTCAGGAGTTTGAGATCAACCTGACCAACATGGAGAAACCCCATCTCTACTAAAAATACAAAATTAGCCAGGTGTGGTGGCGCATGCCTGTAATCCCAGCTACTCAGGAGGCTGAGGCAGGACAGTCACTTGAACCCGGGAGGCGGAGGTTGTGGTGAGCCAAGATCGCACCATTGCACTCCAGCCTGGGCAACAAGAGCGAGAACTCCATCTCAAAAAAACAAAAAAAGTCTGGGTTTGGGGCCTTGGGTTCAGATCCAATCACAAACAGAAGGAAGGTGGGTTAGGAAGCAGATGGGGAGGGATTCAAACCCATCTGACCCCAAACCCCTAAAAGGCTTCAGTCTCATTAGTGAAATGAACAGGCCAGATAGATGTTCCCTAAACCTCTGATGGCCTCAGGTTCCATGGGGGCGGGGGCAGGGGCAGGGGGCCGAGTCAGCATGGGCCCATCCGGGGAGCTCTGCCAACACTCCATCCATGCGCTCTTCAGCATCTGGTTTTGCATATCTTAATCGCATCAGCATGATGGATGGTTGTGGGATCCAGATTACATTATGGGGTTAATTTATTACATTTTTGAACATCCGTCTGCTGGGAGACTGTTGTTCAAAGTTATTTGCATATTTTTCACCATAATGACAATATGTAGGAGGGCGGCTGGGAAGGAAGGATGGGTGTTTAGGGGGAGCAAGAGTTTATTTGCCAACTAGAGCAGGTCCCTGAGGATCTCTGATGGGGACGGAGGGAAAATCACTCCCAAGAGACACTGAAATGGAAACTGAGAAGGTGAGCTGTGAGCACCAGCCCAGCAAAGAGGAAGACCTGCTCGGGCAGAGGAGGACTGCTGGGGTTTATGGAACAAACCCACAGTGAGTGAACCGGGCAATGAAGTTTCCAGACCCCAGAAATGATTCCAAGACCCCTCCCATCCCCACCAGGCTGATGGCAGAATGAATCAGCTCTCCCACCCTGCCTAAGGTTCCCAGGACACCAATCACATGGGTATGGGGGACATACAGAGTGAGACACACATAGCCTGGTGACAATCTCCTGATATCCTGACGCTCAGGGGCCCATCCAGTTGCAATGCTCCGGGGCAGGGACCCAGCCCTCATTCATTATTTCAATATAGTGCCTGGCCAAATTCAGGTTCTCTCTCTCTCTCTCTTTTTTTTTTTTTCCCAGAGACAGGGTCTCTCCTTGTCACCCAGGCTAGAGTGCAGTGGGGCAATCATAGCTCACTGCAGCCTGAAACTCCTGGGCTCAAGGGATCCTCCTACCTCAGCCTCTTGAGTAGCTAGGATTACAGGTGTGCACCACCACACCTGGCTGATTTTTCAAATTTTTTGCAGAGGCAGGGTCTCCCCATGTTGCCTAGGCTGGTCTCGAACTCCTGGGCTCAAGTGATCCTCCTGCCTCTCACCCTCGCAAAATGCTGAGATTACAGGCTTGAGCCACCATGCCCAGCCCGAATTCAGGTTCTCAGCAAATGTGTGTCAAATGAGTGAATGAAAGAATGAATGGCAGAGGAATGAAGTGATGGTGGACAGTGGCTCATTACCACTTGCCTGACTTGAATCCCAACTGAGTCTGGATGAGGAGCAAAACACGTCGACTTCAGTGCCCGGGCTATGGGTGGCACTATGCAGAGAAAAGCTATTTTCAAAAACAAAAGCAAGGGCTGTGGCATGTTCCCTATGGTGTCCCCAGCACCCACTGGGCCTGCTCATGTGTCCAACCTGCTGCTTCTCTCCCCAACACTGCCCCTTAACCAGCTGCGAGGCCCTTCTTTCTCTGAACCTCAGTTTGCTCATCTGTAAAATGGCATAATGGTAGTTCTAATTTCATAGGATTGAGCAAAGAGCAAATGTTTATGTCCATGTTCATGTTTATAAAAAATATAAAGTGCACAATGCCAGGCATGGTGGCTCACGCCTATAATCCCAGCTTTTTGGGAGGCCAAGGTGGACGGACCACTTGAGCTCAGGACTTCGAGACCAGCCTGGGCAACATGGCAAAAACTCTACAAAAAATATAAAAATTAGCTGAGCATGGTGGCGTGCACCTGTATTCCCAGCTACTTAGGGGGCTGAGGTGGGAGGATCACTTGAGCCCAGGAAATCAACGCTGCAGTGAGCCATGTTTGTACCACTGCACTCCAACCTGGGTTATAAAGTGAGACCCTGTCTCAAAAAATAAACAAATAAATAAAGTGCACAATGCCTGGCACATAAATGCTCAATTAATGACTGTTATGACAATGATATTAAGGTCTATATACACTATTTAAGCCCCCAGAACAAACCCTCTGGACAAGCTGTCACACTTTTCAAAACCCCATCCAAACCATCCTTAGCGGCATCCCCATAGCTCCATTTCCATTTCCCAAGGCAGCAGGCAACTCCCAAGGTGCCCTAGGGAGGACACGCATCATCACGGAACAAGATGCCTAAAGACAAGGACTTCCTGCTGACAGCTCCTCTCCGCTCTCATCTGCCTTCTGGTGTGAGGCCTGACCTGGACAGCTGTCCCAGATCCCAGGGTTCACTGCTGACCTGAGATGGCTTCCGACACTTCAGCCAGAGCAAAGCCCTCACCTGCCATTCCCTCCGTGGGGTTCTACTGATTCCCAGTGTTGCTGACCCCTCAGTGGTCAGGGGGACCTTACTGATCATCTGCTCTTTTTTCATAGAGACAGGGTCTCGCTGTGTTACCCAGGCTGGTCTTGAACATTTGGCCTCCAGAGTTCCTGCTTCAGCCTCCCAAAGCTCTGGGATTACTGGCATAAGCCACCGCGCCTAGCTAATTTTTTTGTACTTTTAGTACAGACGGGGTTTCGCCATGTTGGCCAGGCTGGCCTCGAACTCCTGACCCCAAGTGATGTGCCCGCCTCCACCTGCCAAAGTGTTGGGATTACAGGCTTGAGCCACTGCGCCCGGCCCAGAGACACTAAATGCCTTACACAACATCAGGAGTGTCCAGATATATTCAGAAGCCATCCTGGGCCACAAGGTAAGAACTTTTGATCCAGCTCAACTGCCACTTTAAAAAAAAAAAAAAAAAAAAAAAACTTCTCTGTGGAGATATAATTCACAAACCATAAAGTTCACATTTTCCCTGGGTACAATTCAGTGATTTTTAGTATAGTTACAATGTTGTACATCGCTACTCTCTAATTCGGAACATTTTCATCACTCCTGATGTCTTGAGAAGGGTTGTTCATGCCCAAAGTGTGTTGCCAGGTACATCAGTTCCAAAACTACTAATCTACTTTCTGTTCTATGGATTGTCCAATTTTTTTATTTTTTTATTTTATTTTTTGGAGACAGGGTCTCACTCTGTCATCTAGGCTGGAGTGCAGTGACGCAATCACAGCTCACTGAAGCCTCAACCTCCTGGGCTCAAGCGATCCTCCCACCTCAGCCTCCCCAATAGCTGGGGCTACAGGTGTGCACCATCACACCCAGCTAATTTTTATTTCATTTATTTCTTTTTTGAGACGGAGTCTCTCTCTGCCACCCAGGCTGGAGGGCGGTGGTGCAATCTCGGCTCAATGAAATCTCTGCCTCCCCGATTCAAGCGATTCTCCTGCCTCAGCCTCCCGAGTAGCTGGGACTACAGGCGACCTCCATCACGCTTGGCTAATTTTTAAATTTTTAGTAGACATGAGGTTTTGCCATATTGGCCAGGCTGGTCTCGAACTCCTGACCTCAGGTGACCCACCTACCTTGGCCTCCCAAAGTGTTGGGATGACAGGCATGAGCCACCACGCCCAGACTAATTTTTAAAATTTTCTGTAGAGAAGGGGTCTCACTATGTTGCCAGGCTGGTCTCCAACTCCTGGCTTCAAGAGGTCCTCCTGCCTCACCCTCTCAAAGTGCTAGGATTACAGGCATGAGCCACTGCGCCTGACCTGGACTTGCCAATACGGAACATTCCATATAAAAGTAATTGTACAAAATATGGTCTTTTATGTCTGGCTTGTTCCACTTAGCATAATGTTTTCAAGATTCATCCAGGTCGAATCACATATTGATACTTCATTCCTTCGTAGAACCAAAATACTCCCGTGTATGGATAGACCACATCTGCTTATCCAGTCATCAGTTGATGAATATTGGAGCCTGCTTTGGCCCCTCAAGTACCTCATTTTACAGACAAGGAAACTGAGGCCCTAAAGTCATCATAAACTGGATGGGATAGGAGTCCAGGCCTCTCCTAACATCCACCTTTTCATATTGTGTCACCCCAGCTCCAAGCACATCGGAAGATCACCCAGCCAGGGGACAGCCACAGTAGCAGCATTTGAACCAGAGACTCCAAGGTTTTTCTCCTGGCTCATGAATACTGGCCCACAGCTCTATCCTTGGCGACGCAAATCATGCTGGCTGCACACTGCCCCCTCTCCCAGGCCCAGGTGACCATCATCTCTTCTCTGCCACAGTACTTAGCTGGTCTCTTGCTTTCACCCTTGTCCCACTGCAGACTACTCCCAACCTTAGGAATCAGCACACGTGGCCGGGCACGGTGGCTCATGCCTGTAATCCCAGAACTTTGGGAGGCCGAGGCTGGCGAATCACCTGAGGTCAGGATATCGAGACCATCCTGGCTAACATGGGGAAACTCTGTCTCTACTAAAAATACAAAAAATTAGCCAGGCATGGTGGCAGGTGCCTGTAGTCACAGCTACTCAGGAAGCTGAGGCAGGCGAATCGCTTGAACTTGGGAGGCAGAGGTTGCAGTGAGCCAAGATCGCGCCACTGCACTCCAGCCTGGACAACAGAGCAAGACTGCATCTCAAAAAAAAAAAAGAAAAAGCAATCAGCAAACCTGCTAAAAACCTAAGTCGGATCATGTCTCTGCTCTGCTCATGGTCCCTCTAAAAAGCTCAAGTCCTCCCTGTGGCCTTTGCAGGCTCACATTGTTAGAGGTGTCTGAACCAGAGCAACCCCATCTTGAGTAGGGGCTGGGTCAAATGGGGTTGGGACTTGCTGGGCCATATTCCCAGATGGCTAAGGCATTCTAAGTCACAGTATGAGACAGGAGATCAGCACAAGATACAGGTCATAAAGACCTTGCTGATAAAACAGTTTGCAGTAAGGAAGCCTGTCAAAACCCACCAAAAGCAAGATGGCCACGAGACCAACCTCTGGTCATCCTCACTGCTCCACTCCCACCAGTGCCATGGCAGTTTACAAATGCCATGGCAACATCAGGACGTTACCCTATATGGTCTAAAAAGGGGAAGCAAAGGCCAGGCACACTGGCTTACCCCTGTAACCCTAGCACTTTGGGAGGCCAAGGCAGGCAGATTGCCTGGGGTCAGGAGTTCGAGACCCGCCTGGGCAACATGGCGAAACCCTGTCTCTACTAAAAATACAAAAAATTAGCTGAGCATGGCGGTGTGTGCCTGTAACCCCAGCTAACTGGGAGGCTGAGGCATGAATCGCTTGAACCTGGGAGGCAGAAGTTGCAGTGAGCCGAGACTGTGCCACTATACAAGCCTGGGCAACAAAGTGAGACTCTGTCTCAAAAAAAAAAAAAAAAAAAAAAAGGCTGGGTGCTGTAGCTCGAGCCTGTAATCCCAGCACTTTGGGAGGCTGAGACAGGTGGATCACCTGAGGTCAGGAGTTCAAGACCGGCCTGGCCAACATGGTGAAACCCCATCTCTACTGAAAACACAAAGTTAGCGGGCATGGTGGTGTGCACCTGTAATCCCAGCTACTCGGGAGGCTGAGGCAGGAGAATTGCTTGAACCCGGGAGGTGGAGGTTGCAGTGAGCTGAGATTGTGCCACTGCACTCCAGCCTGGGTGAGAGCAAGACTCCCTCTCAAAAAGAAAAACAAAAGGCGGGGGGAGGGGAGAAGCATGAATAATCCACCCTTTGTTTAGCACATCATCAGGAAATAACCATAAAAATGGGCAACCAGCAACCCTTGGTGCTGTGCTGTCTATGGAGTAGTCATTCTTTTTATTCCTCTACTGTCTTAATAAACTTTTTACTCTATGGACTCGCCCTGAATTATTTCTTGTGCGAGATCCAAGAACCCTCTCCTGAGGTCTGGGTCAGGACCCCTTTCCTGTAACAACATGGTCCTATCCCAGCTCCCTGTCTGATGTCACCTCACTCTGTTCCAGACTGACTCTTCTCCACCAAACACACCAAGCACACTCCCGCTCCAGGACCTTTGCAGTGGCTCTTCTGCTTGCAAGTCTTCTCCCCACAACCACGTGGCTCATTACCTCCTTTTCTTTGCCAAAAGAACTGCCCCAGCAAAGAGGCCTTTCCTAATAACTTTATGTAAAACAACACCTCGTCCCTTCATGCTTTGTCTGTAATGTGCTTTACTTTTCTTCATAGCACTAATCACCACCTGACATCATTTATATTTATTTGTTCACTTATCTTCTGTCTCCTTCACTAGAATCTGAGCTCCATGGGGGCAGGGATTCTTGTCCATGTTGTTTACTACTGTACCTCCGGTGCCGGCACATAGTAGGTGTTCAATAGGTATTTATGGGATGGATGACTCAAACCTTTCAGTGAATAAACAGTTCAGTGTTCTCATCAATCCATCCTGGTGCCCACCAAGCTAATAATATCACGGTAACAATGGCAGCTAATTTTACAGGAGCATTTCCTATGGGCCAGACCTTAGAAACGTTATCTCCTTACACAGGGCACTGCATTCACGCCTAGAACACTGAAATTTAGGTATAATCATGAGCTCAGAGGTCAGGCGACTTGCTCGAGGTCATAGGGGACGGCATCAGAAGAGGAACACAGACATTTAGCCTGACGGCAGAACTGTGTTCTAAAACCTCAAAGTCATAATTTGCCACACGCTGGAGAAAGAAAACAGTCGAAATGGAAGCCACCTGGCGAGCTCAGGGCGCCAGGTGGGAGCGCTGCTTCCCACATATGGGAGTCCGGCCCCATCGCTCTTTGATCTTTGCAGCGTCCGTGGCCCCACCGACCCCGTCGTGAGTTATGGGAGGCACGGGACCCATAACCCAGCATTCTCAGACTCCCAGGGTCGTCAGGACACGGCGCCCCGCGCGGTGATGGATGAGCCGGCCCCAGCGCTGGCTTTGTCCGGGTTGGGCCGGTCTGAGAAGCTTCAGGCCGGCTTTGGACGGGGCGTGGCGAGAGCCGCGCCGCGTGTGAGTGTGTGTGTGTGTGTGTTTGTGTGTGTGTGTATTGGGGCGGTTGTCTTTCTCCCTTCCCTACCGGGAAAGAGGGCACAGGTGCGCCGTCAGCGCCCCAGGTGAGCTGGTAGCACTTTGAAGACCCTTTGTACCCCTACATCCAGGAGCGACCTCTCGGAGAACCCCGCCTGCCCACTCTGCGCACTTTCTGCGGCTACAAAGGCCCCGCCGTTCCCCGTCCCGCCTCCCCCGCCCTGGGCATTTCTTCCGTCCCTTTTGACAGTCTAGGCGGAATAATCCTTTTGTGGCCCCGGGCCCCTGCCCTGACAGACGCGGCCGCAGCTGAGCGCGCAGCCTCGCTCCATTGTTGGGGTCCACCGAGGACCGCCCGCCGCGGCCCTTTGTCGCCCGCCCTGCGCGGGGCCGCTCCAGAGGCGCCACAACTGCCGGAGCCCCTCCCGTCCCACGCGCCCTGGGCCGCGCCGAGGCGGCTCTTACGCACCGGGAGGAGTGGGCCTGCCTCGCCCGGTGCCCGCACGGCTGCTGGGCTGCGCCCGCCTTTGTCTGCCTCCTTTGTCTGCCCCGCGCCCTCGCGGCGGCGGCGCCTAGGCCTCTGGGGAGCTGGCCCAGAACTCAGAGCGCAGCTGGCGAGGGCGCGCTGGCCGGGTGCGCGCCGGGCCCGGCCCCGGGGCTGCCCCTCGGCTGGGGGCAGTCGAGCCCGCCACCCGCCGCCCCTCCTCTGTCCCCTCCCCGCGCTCCCGCCCCCTTCCCTCCTGCCCGCCCACTCCCCCTTCCTTCCAGTCCCGCTCAGCCCGGGCACATCCTCCGGCTGCCCGCGCACCTCTCCACGCCGGCCCCGTTCCGCGGCTCGCCCTCGGCTGCGCTCGGCTCCCGCGGGCGCTCGGCCCCGAGCCCCTCCTCCCCCTACCCGCCGGCCGGACAGGTAAGGCACGGCCTCGGCCCGCCCCTGGCTCCGCCCCTCCCGCCCCACCTGGCTGCGAGCCCGGACAAAGGTGGGCTACCTGGCGCGCCCAGGGGCGGGGTGCGCGGGGTCCCGAGGCTGGAAGTGAGGATGCTGCCTCCTTCCCAGCCCTCGGACCCGTCTATCCGCCAGTCCTTCCGCCGCCTCCTCTCCTCGCCGCGTCTGCCCACGGACCCTGGCTCTGCTCCCGGGCTCCCCATCCGTCCACCTACCGCTGGACGCCCACTTTTCCACGCTCTGACACTCGGCCTCGCGCGCGCCCTCGCCGCCCTCTGGGGTCCCGGCTCGCACCTACTCTCCTCGGCACTAGCCTTCTCTCTCCCTGACCCAGTCTCCCTTTGTCTCTCTGTCTCTGAGTCTCCGGGTGGTCTCTCAGGCAGGGGGCCCCAGTCCGCCACCGTTGGAAGAAGTCTTCGAAGACTCCCTGAGCCCCGGGCAGAGCTGGCGGGCGTGCCCTCCAGCCCCTTTCGAGGCCGCCCAGGAGGCTGGGGTGTGTGGCCGGGGTCGCTGAGTGCGCCCGGAACCAGCACCGCCGGTGGCCCCGCGCCGTCCCATCTGTGCCCAGGAAGGTACTCAGCCTGGCTCCCCCGACGGCGCTGGTCTTTCGCCTGTGGTCTCCCGCTCTGTCCCTCCTGCTCCCCACCGCCGGCTTTTGGCTTTTCTCCGTCCGCTCGTCAAGGGTCTCAGCCGCCTTCGGGGCCGGGGTATGAGATGAGAGAGGGCTGGGGTTTCCCGCCAAGTCTTTCTTGCTTTCCTCAGCTGGGTGCTCCCTGGGCCATCCTCTCCGCCCGGTGGTCTCCCCTGCCCTATATGCTCCCTCCACGCTGCCCACCTCCCAGCCCAGTGACACACTGGTGTCTGGAACCGGTTCAGTACTATGCATCTGGAGTCGGGTACACTGGGGCTCTGGGAGTGATCTCGGACAAAGGAATGCACCTCTCTGAGCCTCAGTGTTCCTGTCACAAAACAGGGATGGTGCTAGTCCCTACCTATAGGGATGTGTGTGGAAATTGTGGGGTGCCGCTTGGTGCTGGTTCACACACCCTGTGGAGGAAGGGAGGGGAGGGGAGGGGAGTCTACAGACCTGGGATGGGGTGGGGACAGGGGGCTCCACAGAAATGGATCTCAAAGTCAAGGCTTAGAGACACTTCAGAGTAACCCCACCACCACAGCCTCTTCCCCCATCACACTTCCTGTCACCTTCACCTCCTCGTGCCCATACAGGCGTCCACACCCTTGCAAGCACTCTTCTCTTTCTCTCTCTCCTCCTCTTTGCTTGTCCTAAAATCAGCTAAAACAATCAGGGCCAATGGGTCACTTTTTTTCAAAATGAGATCAGTGTGGCTGAGCTGGTGTTGCCAACAACTGATCACCCATCAGAAGGCGTCCGGTGACTCACCCCCAATTCTGAACCTCAGTCTTGGCTTGATGCCTTTAATAGCGGCACCAGCTCACAGGCCACTTCCTTTCCTCTGAGGGGATTGTCTTGCTGGCTCCTGGACCTGCTGTGTGCTTGCCCAAGCCCCCTGACCACTGTCTAGGTGGTCATAACATGTGACACACCACTCCAGGAGTCTGGCAGTGACGTGGCCTGAGTGTCTTAATGAGGGCAACTTCAGAAGAGGGAAACCTCCCAGCTGGCAGGTTCCAGGCTCCCCTGGCTGAGTTCTTATTTCAGCCACAGCCAGGGCTGGCAACTGGAACCTTTCTCTTTAGAGGCAAGAACGGCTGGATATCCCCACGACATCCCCCATCCAGGCTCCTGCTCGAAATCCGACCTGGCAGACAGGCCCTACTTTGGTGAACCCGGCCCTTCATACCATCTCTACCCCCTGCCTTCTGCAGCAAAGCCAGCTCAGAGGCTTGGGAACCTTGCTCAGGTCCTCTCTGCTCTCTCCGCTGCCTTCCTCCCCACTATTCAATTCATCGCCCTCCCAGTCCATAGTCCTCAGTGGCTCACTGTGGCCACTCAGTTAACTACAGAGACCTCAGCCCAGCCTAGCCCTGTCCTGCCTGCCTCCCAGCATTGTCCCCTCTGCGTCCCAGGTTGCAGCCACGATGGAGAACTGACCATCTCCACAGTCTGCCCTCCTCTGAGCTTTTGCTAGGGCTCTTTCTGCCCTGCCCTGTGTTTGATCTCAGCCCTCTGTCTTTGCTGACCAAGGAGGTCTGATGTCCTCTCCTGTGGGAAGCACCCCGGCACTCCCTTGCCTCCCTAGCTCTTGTGAACTGCACGGCATAATCCCTATCTGGGAGGGGTCTGCTCCTCCCTGGGTGGGGGCTGGGTCTCCTTCTGCTTGTGGTCCCAGTGCCTGGCACGCAGTAGGGGCTCTGTGCACACCTGTTATATTGAATGTGATTCCTGGTCAAAGGCACAGGAATGAACTGAAAACTGCAAGCCCCAGTGTCTTGCTGAGTTCTGCTGGGTCCTGCTGGTGGGGCCAGGGCGGAGCTGGCCCTCTGGCTGGGGAGGTTGGAGGGGGAGCAAGCTGCCCGGAAACCCCTGTGATACTGAGGCCCTGTATCACTCTGGAAAATGAGGGTGGTCTCTGTGCCTGTTATAGGGGTAGAAACTGAGACCAGAGAACGAAGTGGCTCACCCCAGCCGTGCAGATTGGGTTTGAAGCCCAGCTGATCACTTAGCAGCTGTGGGACCCAGAGGGAGTTCCTTCACGTGTGTCGGCCAGGAATGTGATGGAGCAGGGACTTGCATCCCAGCCTCCCCGAACTTCCCTCAGAGGCATGAGCATGTTCCTGGGGGGCAGGTCATAGGAGCACCCCTGTTCTGGCCCAGTGGGTTGGAGCTGCCTCCCTCTTGCTCCGCTGGCCCTCTCTGCATGCCCTACTCCAGCCTTCCTTCTCAGGGGTGAGTCGCTGTGGCCAGTGGTCCCCAAGAAGAAGAAGGTTGTGGGAGGATGGCTGAATCCTTGCCAGTAGAGGCTCTGCCACCCCAGGTTCCAGCTTGACAACGCCCCATGCCCCAACACCATGACCCACCCATGCCCCAACACCAAGACTTCTCTTGATGGGATGGGGTTGAAGGGGTGGTTATGAGGGATGAGGCTCCTGCTAGAACCCAGAGCAACTGGAAGGAGCTCATTGCAGGACTTAATGGTTTTCAGGTGTACCAGGCTCTGGGTCAGGCCCCAGCTCATGCCACCTTCCCTGGGACTCACAGCAGCTGCACTGGTGTTGGTTACTGGATGGCAGCATGAGGAGCAGTCTCGGCCAGGAATGTGATGGAGCAGGGATGATGAGTCTGAGGAGTCAGATGGCTGTGGGTTCGAATCCCAGCTCTATCACTTGCTCTACTAGGCTATCTTAGGCAAGTCCCTTGGTCATTGTCTTAATGTTCCTACACAGCCATTGTTGCTATTACCATCTGAAAAATATTATCCACTTCAGGCCAGGTGCAGTGGCTTATGCCTATAATCCCAGCACTTTGGGAGGCCGAGGCAGCTAGCTCACTTGAGGCCAGGGGTTCGAGACCAGCCTGGCCAACATGGTGCAACCCTATCTCTACTAAAAAAAAAAGATACAAAAATTAGCTGGGAAGTGTGGTGCACGCCTATAATCCCAGCTACTTGGGAGGCTGAGGTAGTAGAATCACTTGAACCCAGGAGGCACAGGTTGCAGGGAGCAGAGGCTGCAGTGAGCTGAGATTGCACCACTGCACTCCAGCCTGGGCAACAGAGTGAGATTCTGTCTCAAAAAAAAAAATATATATATATATATATACTTCAAAGGGTCAAGTTAAATAATGCCTATAAAGCTCTGGGCCTAGAACCTAGAACAGTAGATGATACCCAAACAAACACAGAGCTAAATGGTCTAGGTACCAAGATAATGAAGTTTGAGGAATATGGAGGCTGAGGGTTGCTTCCCCCACCCACAAATTGCCTAGGAGAGGAGGAAGAGGGGCCACAAGTACCTATAATCTAGCAGGAGGTAGGACTCGAGTTCAGCAGGTGAGCGGGGAATGCTGGAAGCTGGAGGCCTTTGAATGGGTGGGGCCTCTGATGAACTCCCGCAAAGCCCCTGTACAGGTTTTTAAGGTGTGAGGTCTGGGGTGGGTTGAAAATCCCAAGGCTGCTGTCGGAAACAATAAAAGCAGATGGAGCTGCCCCTGCAGGGAAGCCAAACCTCATTTGCCAGGACAATGGTCCCCTCCAGGCTGGCCTAGGACAGTCCTGCCCTGCCATCGATCACCCCACTGAGGACAGAGGACGCAGCCACCTGCGCCTGCCCCTTTGCACACCCAGGCACAGATGCACAAATGCTTCCAGGAAACTCCCTGGCCCCCACCACACCCATGCCTGCCACCTTACTCCCTCTGTCTCCCCTTCCCATAGTAACAACTACTGTTTATTTCACCCTTCTGTGTCCCATTTACTTTATAAACATTTACTCCCCAGCCGGGTGCGGTGGCTCACGCCTGTAATCCCAGCACTTTGGGAGACAGAGGCAGGCGGATCATGAGGTCAGGAGTTCGAGACCAGCCTGGCCAAGGTGGTAAAACCCCGTCTCTACTAAAAATACAAAAATTAGCCGGGCATGGTGGTGGGAGCCTGTAATCCCAGTTACTCGGAAGGCTGAGGCAGGAGAATCGCTTGAACCTGGGAGGCGGAGGTTGCAGTTAGCTGAGATTGTGCCATCGCACTCCAGCCTGGGCAACAAGAGCAAAAATCTGTCTCAAAAAAACCAAAACAAAAAACACTTTGGGAGGCCAAAGCGAGCAGGTCACGAGGTCAAGAGATCGAGAACATCCTAATCAACACGGTGAAACTCTGTCTGTACTAAAAATGCAAAAATTAGCCGGGCGTGGTGGTGTGCACCTGTAGTCCCAGCTACTCGGGAGGCTGAGGCAGAAGAATTGCTTGAACCCAGGAGGCAATGAGCCTCCTGGTTTCAGTGAGCCAAGATCGCGCCACTGCACTCCAGCCTGGTGACAGAGCAAGACTCTGTCTCAAAAAACAAAAACAAAACAAATCAAAATAGCCAGGCATGGTGGTGCATGCCTGTAATCCCAGCTGCTTGGGAGGCTAAGGCAGAAGAATCACTTGAGCCCGTGAGGCAGAAGTTGCAGTGAGCCGAGATCGTGCCATTGCACTCCAGCCTGGGCAACAGAACGAGATTCCATCTTAATAATTAAAAAAAAAAAAAAAAACAACTTTTACTCCCCAATCCTCATGACAGCTAACATTTTACAAGAGAGGAAACTGGGGCCCAGAGAGGTTAAAAAACTTGCCCAGGTTGTCTAGCTCCTTCTGCTTTGCTCAGTGAGGGCCCTCCCATGGGTCAGCTTAGTGGGTTTGGGCTGACATCTGTGAGCTGGAATCGGTAGTAGTGATGTCTGGGCCTCCACCTCTCATTAATGAGACCTGTGGCCTCTCACCCGGACTGTCTCCCTTATCAGTGGGGACACCTGGAGGCAAGGACTGTGTCTTTGCTGGCAGATCAGCAGCTCCATGTTCTGGGACCCTCCCAAGGCCAGAGTTGTGCCTCTCCTATCAGATTGGCAAATTCCTGAGGACAGCAACTGTATCTACCCTGCTAGATGGGAGGCTTCCCCAGGGCAGGGGCTGCTTCTGGCTTAGATTGAAAGCACTCTGCAGCCATGGGCTAGGTCCCCTAATAGTCATAGAGTCCTCTAAGGCATGACCTGGTTCCCTCCTATCCCAATGAGCCAGGACTATGTGTCCGCCCTCAGACTGGTGGTTTCCAGGAGCAGAAGCCAGGTCTCTCCCTTCAGACTGGAGCAGGTGCCCTTGTCTGGCATCCTGGTTCTGCACACAGAGGGGCTCAGCTAGTGGCTGACCACCGGGATTCACTCTCCCCTGCGATCTCCATCGCAAGGAGGCAGCAGTCCCCAGCAGAGCAAAAGGCAGAGCTCTGTGCCTGAGAAAGACCCGTGGAGGGGTAGGTGGGGCTCTGGCTGCTCTGAGGCCTAGGGGTTGCTGAGAGGCCCCTTCCTATTGGTCAGGTGACACTTTGGGCGATACAGAGCCACAGGGAGGCAGGGAGATGGGTAGGGACTAGTCCAGGATGATCAACGCACCAGTATGCCAGTGAACACCCAGCAGGGCAGCTGCTGTGAATCCCACCCGCCCCATCCTCTATGCCACCTGCACTGCCGGGCTCCATCCATACCCGGAACACCACCACCACCCACCCACACACAAACCACACAGAAGCACTGACTTCCTAAGTAGTCAAGTCTCATGGCAGCCTAATAATCCCATTTCACAGACAAGGGAATAGACTCATGAAGGGAGGAGATGTTGGGAGGGATCAGGAGGGGGGTTAGAACACTCTCGTTTCAAATTACCTTGGGAAGAGCTCAGCCCAGGAATTAATTTAGAATCCATACAGTTGTTCCCCAACTCTCATGTAGGATATGACTGTTTTGACTGAACAAGAAAATTACCCACTTTCCAGCCCTAGGGGTGTCAGCTCCACCTAAACAAGACAGAAGTCTGCTCCTAGGGGGCCGGGGCTCCAGGAAGCCCTAACTAGATCTGGGGCTGACTGCAGAGTGGCCACACTCTGCTAAGAGCAGATGGGGCTTCCGGACTGCACTGCCCATCTCCAATTCCTGCCGTTTCAGGAAGTGTCCATGTGAGTGATGAGGAGTAGCCAGAGGGAAAAGTTGGGCAGATCAATCTCAAGTTAAAGCAATTGCTGGGCCCGGGACTCACGCCTGTAATTCCAGAACTTTGGGAGGCCAAGGTGGGAGGATCACTTGAGGCCAGAAGTTCAAGACCAGCCTGGGCAACATAGGGAGAGACCTCATCTCAACTAAAACTAAGAAAAAATTAGCCTGGCATGATGGTTTGTGGCTGTTGTCCCAGCTACTTAGGAGACTGAGGCAGGAAGATTGCTTGAGCTGGAGAGGTTGAGGCTACAGTGAGCTATGATGGTACAACTACTCCAGCCTGTAGGGCAGAGCAAGACTCTGTCTACAAACAAACAAAAAAGCAATCGTAAAATCTTCCTGGAACTACAGAGACATAAAACCTGAGATGATTCCTGCATTCAACAAAATCTCCTGAATCTGGGGATACAATTCCTCCCCACAGAGCTCCTAGGTTGGGAGTATCCGGAAGGGAAGATTTTGCCCCTAGCTCCTGGAGACTCAGTCCACACCCTACTGGATATTGTCTGTCACCCCTCCCCATAGGGGTCTGACAGTTGAACAGACAGACAGATGGAGGAGTCTTATCGTCATAGATCATAAATTCTCAGGCTCCCTTGGCAGACAGGGCCTTTGGGACCACCTAATCCAATGGCCCAGTGGTCCTCCTCCCCTACTCCCTGCCAAAAAGAAATGTTTTGAGTAGTGCAAATCTTTTCCCAAATGAAATTCGATCCGTAATCCCAATACATAAAATCAACAAAACAGTGTTTTATAAGCAGTGTAGCACTCCACCACCACCAAGAATGCCTTTCCCCAAATCAAAAATGTCTCTATTTTATGCAGACACAACACACCTTTAAGCCCTACTTGCGATCAGACTAACTCTCTTTGGCTTCTCCCACCTAGATTCTGTGCGACCACTGCTTTGCCCCAGTTTATAATAATTACTTATTTTAATTTTTGTTAAAAAAATTTTTTTTTAGAGACAGGGACTTACTATGTTGTCCAGACTGAATTCAAACTCCTGGGCTCAAGGGATCCTCCTGCCTCAGCCTCCCAAGTAGCCAGGACTAATATTTACTTATTTTAAAGCAAACCGCCGGGCGCAGTGGCTCAAGCCAGGCATGGTGCTCACACCTGTAATCCCAGCACTTTGGGAGGTCAAGGTGGGTGGATCACCTGAGGTCAGGAGTTCGAGACCAGCCTGGCCAACATAGTGAAACCCCGTCTCTACTAAAAATACAAGAATTAGCTGGGTGTGGTGGTGCGTGCCTGTAATCCCAGCTACTCGGGAGGCTAAGGCAGGAGAATCGTTTGAACCTAGAAGGTGGAGATTGAAGTGAGCCGAGATGGCGCCACTGCACTCCAGCCCGGGTGACACAGCGAGACTCACTCTCAATAAATAAATAAATAAATAAATAAAGTAAATCCAGGTGTAGTAGCTCACACCTGTAATCCCAGCACTTTGGGAGGCCAAGGTGGGTGGATCACGAGGTCAGGAGTTCAAGACCAGCCTGACCAACATGGTGAAATCCTGTCTCTATTAAAAACACAAAAATTAGCTGGGCGTGGTGGCAGCGCCTGTAATCCCTCAGGAGACTGAGGCAGGAGAATTGCTTGAACACGGGAGACGGAGGTTGCAGTGAGCCGAGATTGTGCCACTGCACTCCAGCCTGGGTGACACAGCGAGACTCTGTTTCAAAATAAATAAATAAATATAAATAAAGTAAACCAATGAGAAAAAAAGAAGCTGTTCTCCATGATAGAAAATGATGTAATGGATATCAGTTACACTCATGGATGTGAGGCTGCGCTTCTAACTGGCTTTGATTATTCACGTTCAGAAAATCCTGGAGCATGCAATTAAGTAGCTGCAAATGGCAGCGAGTCTTTGAAACTGCTCACCTTATATCCCTGGAATACTCTTCAGTGAACCAGAAGCCCAAGTTATGATGGGGCCGTGCCCATGTTCAAATTGGGTAGAGAATGTATTCGAGAGTGTCTGTTATTTTTACTACAGTTTTCAAAATAATTTTAAAAATATATTTTTAAAGTGAAGCTAGAATCAGATGCTTACAGAACCCCTGAAACATTCCTGCCAAATACAGTCGCACGAATTTGTCGCTTTGGCACATGAGTAGATTCGGGGTAAGGGAGGGAGGCTGATGGGCTCCGGTTCTCCCCGTGGGGGGTTGCCTGCTTCACATCATAATCCTTCCGCACCATCTGAGCAGCACTGATATCCCTGACCCAGGATTCCCATGGGACCCGCCTTGGCCAGCCATGACTTGCTCCCCCCAACCCACTATGCAACAGGAAGGCCGATCAGCGCCGCAGGAATGCTGGTCCGACAGCTGTCCCGAGAAGCCTGGTGGCCGAGCTCCACAGTTGTCCCTCAGGCAGGCGGGGCAGGATCCCCCGAGTCTCCTGGCCCCCAAATGCAAGGCTGTTGTGGGGGGAGGGGCTCAGGAATCAAAGCTGACTCCAGGCTCGATTCATCGCCTTCGTTTGCATACGGCGATGCTGACAGCTCTCCAACTCTCCCCTAGGATGGGGGACAAGATGGGGGCTTGAGATAAGCCCCTTCCCCTCCCTGGTTAGTGTCTGTTTCCCAGCTGCTGGTGGCTCCTGGGCCCTGACTGCACTCAAGGAGGAAGATGCCTCTCACCGCGAGGATGAGCGGCTGCGTGAGGGAGGCAGGTGGCCCCACGGGCAATGGGGACAAGAACCATGTCCTGTGTGCACCGGGTGCCAGGAGAACCCCGGCCTTGAGATGGGCTTTGCCACTTGCCAGTTGTGCCATCTTGGATTTGTGGCTTACAACCCCCTCGCCCCCAGAGCCTCGGTTTCGTCATTTTAAAACCATGGAAAAGTCTCCCTGATGTACAGCGCAGTTGAGAGGAAAAATGAGATGTGAATGAAAGAAAGAAACGCGGAAAGGCCTGGGCTTCACAGCTGCTCGGGGACAGCAGCTCCTACAATTACGATTGCTTTTGTTTTAATTTGTTTTGTTTTTAATGATTCGCTATCAGACCTCAGTTGTGAAAGGGGCCGGCTGTGGGTTGTGGATGTTCCTGCCATCCCTCAGCAACTCTGGTCCAGGGCTACTCCGGGCTGCTGACTGTGCTCGGCTGGGAGGAGCAGACCCTGGGCCAGAAGCGCAGGCTTTGTGAGCAACCCGGGCCGGGCAGAACCGCCCCGGGCTGCGGGGAGGCGGAGGGGGCTGCCTCCTCCTTCTGCCTGGTTGCCTGGTGCTTTGTGACACAGCCTCCAACTGGCTTTCAGAGTGACAGAAATGGATTGGAGCCCTTGGTCGCTGTGGATCCTTGGCACGACTTCTGTAGCAGCCCACGTTTCCTCGGGGGCTCCCTGCCAGGCTGGCATCTCAGTTGCTGGGCTGTGCCAAGAGCTGTGTACAAATCCTTGGGCTTGGAGAGAGGGGCCCGTGTAGTCTTCCCCCAGCCCCTCCTCCAGCTGACACACACTGTTGCACACAGTCCACACCCATGCTCACAAACATGCTTGTGCACACACATACGCTCACACATGCTCACAACACACATGCTCTCACACACGCGAGTTCACACACACATGCTCACACTCATACGTACACGCCCACACACATTCACGCTCACACATGCTGACAACACACATGCTCACACATACACACATGCTCACACACACCCATACATATGCTCACAACACATACACGCTCTCACACACACATGCACATACACACCCATACCCATACATATTCACACTCACATGCTCACAGCACACACACACGCTCACGCACATGCTAACACTCCCACACATACACTGACAACACACACACCTACACACCCACACATTCACGCTTACACATCATCACACACACGCTCACACATGTTCACACACACATGCTAACACTCCTACACACTCACAACACACATACATACCTACACACCCACACATATTCATGCTCTCACATGATCATAGTATACACACACATGCACTCACACATGCTCCACACACACACATGCTAACACTCCCACACACTCACTACACACCTACACACCCATACATATTCACGCTTACACATGATCATAGTACACACACACACATGCTCACACATGCTCCACACACACGTCATGCTCACACATACATGCCAGATGCTCACACACACACACTCACACATCCTGGGGATTTATTTATGATCTTCTGCCGAGGTATGAATTCTTTTTTTTTTTTTTCTTTTGAGTCTCTCTCTGTCGCCCAGGTTGGAGTGCAGAGGCACAATCTTGGCTCACTGCAACTTCCGCCTCCAAGTTTCAAGCAATTCTCCTGCCTCAGCCTCCTGAGTAGTTGGGATTACAGGCGCATGCCATCATGCACGTCTAATTTTTGTATTTTTAGTAGAGGCGGGGCTTCACCATGCTGGCCAGGCTGGCCTCGAACTCCTGACCTCAGGTGATCCTCCCACCTTGGCCTCCCAAAGTGCTGGGATTACAGGCATGAGCAACTGTGCCCGGCCTGATACATAAATTGGATTGTGCTCAATCCACTTCTGTTCTGATCCATGGCTACCAGCGCCTATTATGTGCAGGGCCCTGGAGGGGCCGCAGAGCAGAAGGGAATGTGCAGAGTCCTTTATGAGCTTCCAGTCTAGCCAGGGGCTCTAAAAAACCTGACGGTCCCAGCACAAAATGACACACGAGGTCTTCAAGAGCAGGACAAAGGCATGTGGGAGCACCAAGCGGAGAGCACATGGAGTCAGGGGACTGAACAAGGCTTCCTGGAGGAAGGGACATTTGGGTTGAGTCCCAAAGGATGGGCAGGACGTGGACGGAGAGAGATGAGGGAGAGGGGGAGAGGTTCCATGCAGAGGGGACAGGCAAAGTGAGAACAGAGAGCCAGAAAGCAGGGGTGTGTTTGGGGCCCAGGGAGCAGTCTCTGTTGCCTGTGAAGGGGAGAAAGTAGAAGTTGGAGCTGCAAAGCTTGGTTGGGGCCACATTACACAAGGTCTTCAGTGCCAAAGTAAGGAGTCTGTGGTTGCATGGGAAGGCAATAGGGAGCCATAGACAGTTTTGAGCAGATAAGGGTCACAACCCGAGTAGCCATACCACCAGTATATGCTGGGTCTGGGGACAGGATGGAGCCCCCTTGGATGCACCCCCATGGGTGCTCTGGCACTGTGCACTGAAATCCCACTTCCTCTGTCCCAGGCTGGCTGCGTGGGTGATATGTGGTTCTTGAAGGGTGGGAGGGAACAAAGATGGCATTCAGACTGGGGTTCCACTGGCCCTGAAGCAGGATGGGTACTGTGAATGGACCCACAGCCAAGTAGGGTCGTGGCAACGGAGCTTGGGAAGGTGGCAGTCTGGGTGGGATCATGCTGCTTCGGGGTGTTGGAGTGGGGCAGGAGTGGGAGTTCATCTCCTGGCTCTGCAGGGAAGGAGCTGTCCTCCAAGACCAGCACCTAGGCTGCTCACCAGGCTCAGAGGCGGCTCTGAGGTTTACTGACAGCCTTGTGTGTCCCCAGGGACAGCAGACTAGCTGAGAAGCTGCCCACCTCTCTACTGAGCCTCCTCTGCTCTCTTGCCCGCACTGTCTGGGTTTTCTTCCTCATTCCCCTCAACCCCCAGGACAAGGAGGAGGTGGTGATTCCTTTCATTGGCCAACGTCCCGAGGTTTCCCTGTCCCTAGGACGCTCTTCGGGCTTCTCCCAGGCTGTCATGTCCCTGCAGGACAGAAAGGCAGGGCTGGGTCTCGGACATGGACGGGATCCCATATGCGCTTGGCCTTTCCAGTCACAAGGAGAGCAGGGGGTGAAGTCTGGCAGTGGTCAGGCTAAATGCCAGCCCAGAGAGCAGCCCCGCTCCACTGGCCCCGAAGCAGGATTGAGGTTCCCTCTGCGCCGAACAATGCTTGAGTGACAGGCCTTTAAAATGGGCCCCTCCTCCCCCTGGGCTGCCTCAGGAACCAGGGACACAGGTCCCGCTTGCTGAGCTCTGGCCTCAAGAGCACTTGTTAGGGAAGGGCTGGAGGCAAGGCCAGTGGGACAGAGCCTTCCGTTGCTGGTGACGTGACCAGGACAGTAGCAGGGACTGTGGTGCAGGGTCTGTGGCCTTAGGAATGGATGCAGGTGTGATGGGAGACAGGGTTGTCACAACAAGCCTGTCCCAGGGTCCCACGCACGTCACCAAGGCTCACCTAGTATCTTCAGCCAGATCCCCGGGATAGGGGACAAGATGGAAAGTGACGGCCACCTCCTTGTCTCCATCCACAGTTCTAGGAAGAGCTGAGCTGTGGACAGTGGAGGCCAGGGCCCAGGATCCCAGGGGACCAGGACATGCCAGGCTGGGATGGAGGCAGAACTGGGTGAAGCCACCACAGACCCTGCGAGGCTGGAGAAGGTGTTTCCCCCCTCCCCTCCACGAGTGCGTGGTCAGAGCTTCGAGGGCACAGCAGTTTCCCTGCCCTACCACCCTCCCTCGGGGTCGGGGCTAAGGTGACACTGGGGTGGGCCAGCCAGCATGGGGGCCGCAGGGAGAGGCGCCGGGAAGCAGGGAAACATCACAGGCCCACCAACCTTTTCTCAGCCCGGGACAATTATATGGCCACAAATCACAAAGAAACGGTGGCGTAAGCACCCTTGCCAGCCTAGTGGAATACTCGGGAGGCCATAAAAATTCAATTAGCCTGGCTAACCTAGTGCCTAGCTCCAGGATACAGTGAGGTTGGTGCAATGGAGAGGGGTGCGTGGGGGAGCAGCTGCGGGTGGTGCACGGGGGCAGGAGGTCTCCAGAGTCTGACAGACGCCCCCACCATCCCCTGAGCTGCAGCTTCTCCCTCCAGTGTGGAGGGAGGGCACTGGGTCCCCTGAGGGGGATATCCTGAGGCTAGGTCGGGTTGGCTCAGTCTACCCTGCAGGGGTCAGAGCCAAGTCTGCAAAGCTGTTCCCAAAGCCCCTCCCCCAGGGGAAGGGACAGTGTCAGAACATTCTGGGGCCTCAGAGCTCATCATGAGAGGAGAAGAGAAAGGCAGAGCTGGGCCATCCTGGGACAGCCACACGGGGTTCAGGGCTCAGGGACAGGAATGACACAGTGCCACTTACTAGGTGTGACTTAACCTCTCTGAGCCTTCATTGCCACTTCAGAAAAATGGGGAAAATAACAGGAGCCATTTCAGAGAGCTCTTGAAAGGGCGAAGTGACATGAATTCACACAAAGCACTTAACGTGGGTCCTGCCTACAGCGTGCGCTCAAACGCTATTATTCCATTTGTATGGAATTAGGCTCCGAGTCAAGTCTCAGGGGCCAGAGGCATATTTCTGAGCTCTGAGGGACTCGGTTCCCTCTAGGGGACTTGGTAAGGGGCAGAGGTTTGTGCAGAGAAAGGAATTCTGGACTAATCTGGAACTTGAATGCTGCTGAAATGATTTAAGCCGGGGGTTCTCAGCCTCGGTACTGTTGTTTTTCTGGGCCGGATGATTCTTGGTTTCGGGGGCTGTCCTGTGCATTGTCGGGCGTTTAGCAGCATCCACGGGCTCCAACCTCTACCTGCCAGTAGCACTCCCCAGTTTTGACAACTAAAATATGTCTTCGGGCATTGCCAAATGTCACTGGGAGCAAAATGTCCCTCTATGGCTGTTGAGAAAAACTGGGCTTTAATCATTTGAGTGAGGGGCAGCAGAGAGAGGCCTGGGGCTGCGCATTCATGGTGTTGCTCTTCTTGCAGGGAGGAGCCAATGGCTGGGCCTGCCATCCACACCGCTCCCATGCTGTTCCTCGTCCTCCTGCTGCCCCTGGAGCTGAGCCTGGCAGGCGCCCTTGCACCTGGGACCCCTGCCCGGAACCTCCCTGAGAATCACATTGACCTCCCAGGCCCAGCGCTGTGGACGCCTCAGGCCAGCCACCACCGCCGGCGGGGCCCGGGCAAGAAGGAGTGGGGCCCAGGCCTGCCCAGCCAGGCCCAGGATGGGGCTGTGGTCACCGCCACCAGGCAGGCCTCCAGGCTGCCAGAGGCTGAGGGGCTGCTGCCTGAGCAGAGTCCTGCAGGCCTGCTGCAGGACAAGGACCTGCTCCTGGGACTGGCATTGCCCTACCCCGAGAAGGAGAACCGACCTCCAGGTTGGGAGAGGACCAGGAAACGCAGCAGGGAGCACAAGAGACGCAGGGACAGGTTGAGGCTGCACCAAGGTAGCTGGAGGGCTGCGAGGGGTGGGGATGGGGGTGATTCCTGCCATGGACTGAGGGGAGCAGGAGAGGATGCAGGCAAGGGTCAGGGGCATGAGGTCCAGAGGAGAGGAGGGGTCTCACTGAAGCCAGAGGGACCTGGTAAGGGGAGGAGGCTGGGAGAGGCCTGGGGTTGGGGCATGGGAAGAGGAGAGGGATGTGTTGCAATACAATCTGTCTTATCGCGGCCCGGTGCCGTGGCTCACGCTTGTAATCCCAGCACTTTGGGAGGCCGAGGCGGGCGGATCATGAGATCAGGAGATCGAGACCACGGTGAAACCCCGTCTCTACTAAAAATACAAAAAATTAGCCGGGCGCGATGGTGGGCGCCTGTAGTCCCAGCTACTTGGAAGGCTGAGGCAGGAGAATGGTGTGAACCCAGGAGGCGGAGCTTGCAGTGAGCTGAGATGGCGCCACTGCACTCCAGCCTGGGTGACAGAGCGAGACTCCGTCTCAAAAAATAATAATAATAATCTGTCTTATCAACAGATCATCCTCCTGAATCAGGAAGTTCTACCTTGTATCTGACCTAAATTTCTCCTACTTTAAGTTCTGAGTAGAAATGGAACAGTTCAGCGCCCTCCAAGCACATTTCTTACTCGACTCTGACGCATCCGGTAGGAGCTAAGAGCCTAGACTCTGAAGCCAGGTCTGCCTGAGATCAGGTCCTGCCTCCACCACTAGGGTGTGGCCCTGGGCAAGTTCTCTTTCTGTGCCTCGGTTTTCCCCTCTGTAAAGCAAGGAGACTGGTCCCATCCCATCTACCCTCAGTGTCGTTGCAGAGACTTGGTTAGTGGGGCGCTTGGAGCTCAGCTGGCAGGGCCATGAGCAGTCATTGTTCTGGTTAATCTCAGCCACCTGCTGAGGCCAACTCAGTGTCCTCCAGCCTGGACACAGGTGACTCCAGGAGAGGCATCGCTTGCCTACCGCTCCTGCCTCTGCCCTGTTTGTCTCAGTGCTCCCCTAGCCCTTCCCACCTTCCTTAACGTTTCCCCCACATCCGCTGGGAGCTAGCTAGCCCCCTGCTGGCCCAGGCTTCCCCCTCCCCGTGCCCATTCAGTCTCGGAGTAGACATGTCCCCTCAGCTCCAGTCAGGTGGCTCCTCCCAGCCTTGCCTGGCCCTAAGCCAGGGAACTTGGCTTCTAAGCTCTCCATGTGACCCGACTGCCTCTAGGGACATGCCGAGTGCCACAAATGCAGTGGTGACAGCAGGGTTCTTTGGCAGGAAGGCAATGGAGCTTCAACACCCCTTCTCGTGCAAACAGCTGAGGCTGGCTTCCCTGTGAGGCCTGAGAACCCCCCAAGAGGGCAGAGGTCAGTCAGGGTCCCCCGGCTTCGACTTTCAGCCTCCCACTCCTGGAGTTACCTGTGTCAGCTTTCAGGGGAGGATGCTGGGACCTTTGAGGACAGCTAGAGGGCACGCGTGGGGTGTGGACCCGTCCTGCTGGGCTCCGGCTCCGCCAGCTCCAGGGCTGCAGCCAGGCCTCCTGGGAGAGTTGATATGGTGAGGAGGAGGTGGGGAACGGAGAAGGTTTGCGGGCTAGGCCCTGCTCTGCTAATGACTGGCTGTGAAACCTCAGGCCAGGCTGGGCGTGGTGGCTCACACCTGTAATCCCAGCACTTTGGGAGGCTGGGCAGGCAGATCACTTGAGATCAGGAGTTGGAGACCAACCTGGGCAATATGGAGAAACCCCATCTCTATCAAAAATACAAAAATTAGCCAGGTGTGGTGGCGCATGCCTGTAATCCCAGTTACTCAGGAGGCTGAGGTGGGAGAATCACTTGAACCCTGGAGGCAGAGGTTGCAGTGAGCCAAGATTGAGCCCCTGCACTCCAGCCCTGCTGGAGCTGAATCCAGACCCTGCTACTCATGAGCTGTGCATCCTTGCGTGAGTCACCTAACCTCTCTGTGCTTCAGTTTCCTTCCCTGTAGATGAGACTGAAGGAGCACCCACTTCCCAGAGCTCTTGCAGTAGTTAGACGAAATAACACTTGTGACACAGCTCCTCTGGGACCCAGCACACAGCAGGTGCTCCATTAATGGGGTGATGACTAATTGTCACCACACAGGATGCACTCACTTGTGTGTGATAAGCAGTGATTCCCACCTCCCAGCTTCCTCAAAGGCCACTGCAATGATTCTCAGCCTCATGACATTTCTCCCTACTCAAACTTCACCTCCTCCAGGAAGCCTTCCATGGTTAATCCTACTAGTTCCTATTTGTTATACTTACATATCTGGCTGCGCCCAGCCAATCTGGACTTGGACTTGCTGGAATGTTGCTTTACAGGGAGAATCCTTGGACTGTCTCCCCAGCGACACTGCAAGTTCTTCCAAGACATTTTCCTCCGAGTTCCCATCCCCCAACCTCCCAAGAAGGGTAGGAAGCAGGAATGGGGGCTGAACCAAGGGCTTGTCACACAGTGCCTGCTGCCTCCTAGTTTGCAGCATAAAACGTGGGTTCTACTGTAGACTGCCACGAGGTGGCAAGCAGATATAGCCCCCGTGCTCCCCACCCTGTGTCTCAGGCCGAGCCTTGGTCCGAGGTCCCAGCTCCCTGATGAAGAAGGCAGAGCTCTCCGAAGCCCAGGTGCTGGATGCAGCCATGGAGGAATCCTCCACCAGCCTGGCGCCCACCATGTTCTTTCTCACCACCTTTGAGGCAGCACCTGCCACAGAAGAGTCCCTGATCCTGCCCGTCACCTCCCTGCGGCCCCAGGTAAGGGGTCCCCAAACAGCCTCGGATCTGGAAGGGTCCTTGAGCCCATGTCATGGAAAGCCCTCTTAATACATGTAGGGAGACTGAGGCACGGGGGCAGGAGGCCACAGAGCTTACTTAGATTGAAACCAGATCTCCTGCTGCCCATCCAGTCTAGCTCCAGCCCTGGTGGGTGCCCCATCCTGACAAGGGTCTGCCACTGTCCAGGGCAAAGTGCTCCTGGGGGCCCACTCTGGGGACAGCCAAGGAGGCAAGCGGTAGCTCAGCATGCTGGTGTCTGCATGGAGAGCAGCAAGGCCTGGGGAGGAGCTTTCTGTGTACAGAGGAGCATGAAGCATAATAATGGTGATTTTTAAAACTGTGTCGTCAAGACCCAGAATTAATAAGCATTAGCTAACACTTGGACCCATCTGCATCAGATCTTTAAAAAAGATATGTGGGCTGGGCGCGGTGGCTCATGCCTGTAATCCCAGCACTTAGGGAGGCCAAGGTGGGCAGATCACGAGGTCAGGAGTTCGAGACCAGCCTGGCCAACATAGTGAAACCCCATCTCTACTAAAAATACAAAAATTAGCTGAGTGTGGTGGCGCACGCCTGTAGTCCCAGCTACTCGGGAGGCTGAGGCAGGAGAATCGCTTGAACTTGGGAGGCGGAGGCTGTAGCGTGTCAAGATCGCCCCACTGCACACCAGCCCGGGTGACAGTGTGAGACTTTGTCTCAAAAAAAAAAAAAAAAAGAAATGTGGGGCGGGCACGTTGGCTCAAGCCTGTAATTCTAACACCTTAGAAGGCCAAGGCACGAGGGTCACTTGAGCCCAGGAGTTTGAGATTATCCTGGGCAACATAGTGAGACCCTGTGTCTACAAAACTTTTTTAAAAAATTAGACAGGCATGAGGGCATGTGCCTGTAGTACCAGCTACTTGGGAGGCTGAGGCAGGAGGATCGCTTGAACCCAGGAGGTCAGGGCTGCAGTGAGCCATGATTGCACCACTGCACTCCAGCCTGGGCGACAGAGTGAGACCCTGTCTCAAGGGAAAAAAAAAATGTGGAGAGAAAGTAAGCGGCAAATGTGGCAAAAACACTACCCACTGGTGATTCTGGAAGAGGGGTATATAGGAGCTGACCGCATCGTTCTTGCACCTCTTCTGTGGCTTTTAAAGGTTTTCAGGCCGGGCGCGGTGGCTCATGCCTGTAATCCCAGCACTTTGGGAGGCCAAGGCGGGCAGATCACAAGGTCAGGAAATCGAGACCATCCTGGCTAACATGGTGAAACCCCATCTCTACTAAAAATACAAAAAAAAAAAAAAAATAGCCGGGCATAGTGGCAGGCACATGTAGTTCCAGCTACTTGGGCGGCTGAAGCAGAGAATTGCTTGAACCCGGGAGGCAGAGCTTGCAGTGAGCCAAGATCACGCCACTGCACTCCAGCCTGGGCGACAGAGTGAGACTCCATCTCAAAAAAAAAAAAAAGGTTTTCAAACTAAAATTATTTAAAAGGATCAATAATATATATGTATAAAAAATACATAAAAAAGAAATAGGCCAGGTGCAGTGGGTGGCTCACGCCTGTAATCCCAGCACTTTGGGAGACCGATGCGAATAGATCACCTGAGGTCAGGAGTTCGAGACCAGCCTGGCCAACATGGTGAAACCCCGTCTCTACAAAAATACAAAAGAAATAAAGCTTTTTTAGCAGCAGATCTTTCTTATCCTTTTTTGGGGTCTTGCACCCCCTTGAGATTGTGATAAAAGCTGCAGACCATTTCCCAGGAATACATGGTTATCCGTCTTATCATCCAAGGCCCCCTGCAGGCCAGCCTAGAAGGTGCGGTTCCTGCCCATGCCCTAGTGCTCGCACATGCCCGTGTGTAGATCCAGCTATTGCTGAGGACCTCTAGCCCTCTGCATTCCTGGGGCCACTGGCCCAGGCTGTGAGTGGGACTGAGCCCTGGTTGTGGCCTCAATGGTGCCACGGATTGCTGGTAACCTCTGCAGAGAGAGGAAGGGATGGGAAAGTCCAGTGAGTGGCTGGGCTACTTCCAACACCCTCCTCGTGGGCTTAAAGACCCTGGGCAAGCAAGGTTGCCTTCCCAGCCTGCAGGTGGTCTCTGCCCCTCCTCAGAGGGCCTGGTAGGTAACTCACCTGTGTGTGTGTGCATGGTCCTTCTTGAGTAATGGCTGCACAGGAAGGAAATTACCTAGTGGCCACTGGAACAGGAGCCTCCGGCAGCCATCTTTATGTCCTTGGGCTGAGACTCCAGGCTGCCCAGCAGAGGATAAGGTGGCCTCTGAGAAGCCTCTTTTTTGTCCTCTGACCTTGGGACTCCACACTCCTGCTTCCATGGATTTGAAGGTTCCAACATCCCCCTTCTCCACGGTCTCCAGCAGGCACAGCCCAGGTCTGACGGGGAGGTGATGCCCACGCTGGACATG
The DNA here is from genome assembly GCF_000001405.40 of Homo sapiens. NCBI lineage: Eukaryota > Metazoa > Chordata > Mammalia > Primates > Hominidae > Homo > Homo sapiens. Next base: position 11,711,899 of record NC_000001.11, read on the forward strand.
GCCTTGTTCGACTGGACCGATTATGAAGACTTAAAACCTGATGGTTGGCCCTCTGCAAAGAAGAAAGGTATGCCCACCTACCCCACTATCTTCCATGCCTGGGTGCCCTGCCCTCCCGCACCATCTGTTGAGGTGGGGGCCCCAGTGAGCCCTGTCTGATCTTCAGATGTCCAAAGGTGGGATGTGGGGAGAGGGGGAGCATGGAGCCTAACCTGGAAACACCACTTGGAACGGAGAATGCTGTCAAATGCTTATCACGTGCCACACGCTTCCATGTTTCCACTCATGTTACCCTGAGGGAAAATACCTGTTAGGTCCAACAGTGCCTTGTCCAAGCCATGCTGTAGAGTGGTGGTATGGGCACTCCAACATCTGAGTCCCTGTGCTTAACCTCTGCTCTGCTGGGCCCCAGCTTCTGACGACAGATCTTCTTATCCCCAGAGAAACACCGCGGTAAACTCTCCAGTGATGGTAACGAAACATCACCAGCCGAAGGGGAACCATGCGACCATCACCAAGACTGCCTGCCAGGTACCAGCCAGCACCCACATTCAAGGCACCAGGCTGGGTACTGGGAGGGAACCTGGGTGGGAGTGGGGGTTCCCACATGTGCAGGACCTGAGAATCCTTGACCCTTCATGGATGATAAATAATAACAACAGCTGCCACTTTCCTGAGAGTTGCTGTCAGACATCCATTCATTTCATACATTATTCACAGCCAGGCACGGTGGCTCACACCTGTAATCCCAGCACTATGGGAGGCTGAGGCGGGTGGAACACCTGAGGTCAGGAGTTTGAGAGCATCCTGGCCAACATGGCGAAACCCCATCGCTACTAAAAATATAAAAATTATCCGGGCATGGTGGAACATGCCTGTAATCCCAGCTACTCGGGAGGATGAGGCAGGAGAATCAATCGCTTGAACCTGCAAGGCAGAGGTTGCAGTGAGCTGGGATCATGCAACTGCACTCCAGCCTGGGCGACAAGAGGGAAACTCCATCTCAAAAAAAAAAAATACCCTGGGCATGGTGGCTCATGCCTGTAATCCCAGCACTTTGGGAGGCCGAGGCAGGCGGATCACGAGGTCAGGAGTTTGAGACCAGCCTAACCAACATGGTGAAACCCCGTCTCTACTAAAAATACAAAAATTAGCTGGGCATGGTGGTGTGCGCCTGTAATCTCAGCTACTTGGGAGGCTGAGGCGGGAACATTGCTTGAACCCGGGAGGCGGAGGTTGTGGTGAGCTGAGATCGTGCCATTGCACTCCAGCCTGGGCAATAAGAGTGAAATTCCGTCTCAAAAAAAAAAAAATACATTACTCACAACAACGCAGTTTTCAAGCCAGGTGATTGAGCCCCAGAGAGGCTGTCTTGCCCAAGGTCACACGGTTAAGAAGTGGCTCCAACCTGGCCTGGCTGGAAAGCCTCTTCACCACAGCCCCATGCTGCCTTAAATCGGGATGATCCTCTCTTGCCCTCTTCCTCCTGACACCAGGCAGGGCTTAATGCTGTCCTTGTCCCATCGCAACACTGCCAGGCATTCTGGAGATGCTTTTGGTGACATCCTCACTGTTCGGCAGCCGTCTCCATGGAGACAGTCTAAAAACAAGAAGCCGGACGTTGTAACTAATGTCCTAAACCCTGGGGGCCCTTGGGGGTCCGTCGGACCTTCCAGGAAGCAGATACTGAGGTAAGTTAGAAGTGTGAGACCGGGTGCAGTGGCTCACACCTGTAATCCCAGCACTATGGGAGGCCGAGGCGGGAGGATCCCGTGAGCCCAGGAGTTCAGGACCAGCCTGGGCAACACGGGAAGACTCCATCTCCAAAAATAGTAATAATTTAAAAAAATAACCAGGCTTGGCTGGGTGCGGTGGCTCACGCCTATAATCCCAGCCCTTTGGGAGGCCGAGATGGGTGGATCACAAGGTCAGGAGTTCAAGACCAGCCTGGCCATGAAACCCCATCTCTACTAAAAATACAAAAATTAGCCGGGCATGGTGGCAGGTGCCTGTAATCCTAGCTACTCAGGAGGCTGAGGCAAAGAATTGCTTGAACCTGGGAGGTGGAGGTTGCAGTGACCCGAGATCGCACGACTGCACTCTGACAGAGCGAGACTCTGTCTCAAAATTAAAAAAAATAAGAAAATAAAAAATTAACCAACCAGGCTTGGTGGTGTGCGCCTGTGGTTCCAGGTATTCAGGAGGCTAAGGCAGGAGGATCACCTGAGCCTCGGGGGTCAAGGCTGCAGCGAGATATGATCGCACCACTGTACTCCAGCTTGGGTGACAGAGCAAGACCCTGTCTCAACAAAACAAAACAAAAAGCACAACAGATTTATTTTGGGGTGGGCTAGGGGTGGGAAACACTTGTGAATGACGAAAGGTGGAGGAAGCATGGAGGAAGCTTCAGACATCATGCACCGGATGGGCGCTCCAGTACAGAGGTGGCCTGTTAGACGAGGCCCGTGCTGAGCAGAAATGGCTGGGCCCCAGAACCCCCATGCCCGTCATTGGCAGGGGCTGCTGGGAACAGCCTGCCATGGGCCAAGGTGGCCCTGAAGCTGTACCAGCTGGAGGCCGCCAGCAAGTGCTTTCCCCAAGAGAGATCGGAGCGGCACACCTCCACGGCACCACGATTGTTAGATCAGTGACCAGAATATTCTACAAAACAGCAACCAAACCAGCAATTAGCATTGTATAAGGCAAACCACCAGCTCCCTGACAGGCTGCTTCATTCCCAAACCATTGTTTTCACCCTGGGCACAAAGAAAAGGCCCGCATTTGGGCCGACTGGACAGTCGCTCTGGGAGCCGGCTCCATGGCAGGTGCCCAGGACTTCAGTTTCCCCATCTGTCAAAAGAGGACATTGGTTTTGGGGATCCTGAGGCCCCTCCCAGCTCTGAGCTGACTCCACACCTGGCAGCCCCCAGCTGTTCTACTGGCTCTGTCTGGGAGGAGACCTCACACCACCTTCGCTCTTCCCATGGTCAATCAGTACCCCATCTGAGGCAGCTGGGGTCTCTGCCACCGACCCTTGGGGGCCTCGGCCATGACATCTCCCTGTGGTTCCACTCAGGAGCCTTGCACACCAGATGGCCCACCCCGCCAGGGCGCGGCCTGCCACAGAGATGATGGATCTCTTGTCCAGTGGGACCGAGTGCAGGGCTGCGGGGAGGGGCGGCTCAGCTTGGCTGACTGCGTGTGCTCTCTGTGTTGGCAGGGACTTGCTGCGACCTGCGGGAGCATCTCTGCACACCCCACAACCGAGGCCTCAACAACAAATGCTTCGATGACTGCATGTGTGTGGAAGGTGGGTCCAGACTCCTTTGCGGGGGGCTACCCATGCTCTGAGAACCACAAAGCCTCCCTTTCTCGAAGCGGCTTCTGCACCGAGTGGGGAACAAGCTTTCCTGGCAGAGGGTGGATCATGGGCCTGCGGCGGGGGTGTAGGTGGGAGAATCCCTCGGGAGCCGAAGACGTGAGCAAGAACAGCTTTATCAGTGCCTTCCCAATCTGTGAACTCATTTAGTCCTGATTCTTGGCATCATTTCTGAGATTTGCTTTTCTCAACTTTTGAAATACAAGCTGGCACAATCTCCCACTATCTGGAAGAGGGAGAAGGGAGGAGACAGGAGCACATCTCTTTAAATTAGATCCAGCCTCAGAAGGCTGCCGCTTTCACACCAGAATTCTATCCCAGAGGAGGCATTGAAGTGTGATAATGGGGTGGGGGTGGGTTTCCCAGCATGTCCCAGGGAAGGATGCACTTGCCCAGCTGCCTCTTCAACTCCTCCGTGCCCCCACCTCGCCTAAGTGTGCTGGGCTCTGTGCTGAGCACTTTTCTACTGAAATCCCCATGACCACCCCTAGAAAGGAGCTATGATGATCCGCACTGTACAAATAAGCCAACTGGGGCACAGAAAGCTTAATGATGCCCAAACTTACACAGCCAGGAAAGTGGGGGGAATAGTTTCAGGTTTTTGTTTTGTTTTGACAGGTTTTACTCTGTCACCCAGGCTGGAGTGCAGCAGTGCAGTTTTGGCTCACTGCAACCTCTGCTTCCCAGGCTTAGGTGATCCTCCCATCCCAGCCCTGCAGGTAGCTCTGACTACAGGCGCATGCCACCAGCCCAGCTAATTTTTGTATTTCTGGTAGAGGCAGAGTTTTGCCATGTTCCCTAGGCTGGTTTCAAACTCCTGACCTCAAGCGATCCACCTGTCTTGGCCTCCCAAAGTTCTGGGATTACAGGCATGAGCCACCACACCCAGCCAGTTTCAATTTTGTATTCTGCAAAGTTTCAAATATATACTAAAGTAGTTAGAATAGTCTAATGAGCGCCCATTTCTCATCACTCTGCTTCAATACCAACTCACGGCCAATCTGTGTCTATCATCTCTCACACACTTTCCTTATTCCGACATGATTTCTAAGCAACTCCTGGGAGCTTACAGGTATTTCACCTGTGAATATTTTAGTGTGTACCTCTGAAAGACAAGTACTCTTTTAAAAACAAAATGCCAAACATGAACGATAATTAATCAGTTCCATCCAATATCAAATCAGCATTCACACATCTCCTGGATGGGGGAATTGGGGCTCAGCCCCTCTGTGGACCTGAGATACATGCCCCGTTTTGCTCATATTAGCCTCAGAGAGTTATCTACCATGATCGTGCCACTGCACTCCGGCCTGGATGATGGAGCGAGACCCTGTCTTAAAAATGATGATAATACATCTTTTTCTTCCCAATTTTTAAAATTGTGGACTTTTAAATTTAATTTAATTATTTTTTGAGACAGGGTTTCACTCTGTCACCCAGGCTGGAGTGCAGTGGCGCAATCCCAGCTCTCTGTAGCTTTAACTCCCGGGCTCAAGGGATCCTCCCGCCTCGGCAATAAAGCTATGTAGTTCTGATTATTCACTCATCTAATCAGTTAAATATTTAGGGAGCACCTACTGCGTATCAGACATTGCTCTGGACACTGGGGGGTTCAGTAGTGAAAAGAACCAGCAAGTTCTGTGCCCATGAATTACATTCTAGTGATATGAGCAGACAACAATCAAATACATAGATAGTATGTCTTTAGAAAATAATAAGGGCTATGGCCGAGCATGGTGGCTCATGCCTGTAATCCTAGCACTTTGGGAGGCCGAGGCAGGAGGATCACTTGAGGTCAGGAGTGAGACCAGCCTGGCCAACATGGTGAAACCCTGTCTCTACTAAAAATACAAAAATTAGATGGGCATGGTGGCACTTGCCTGTAATTCCAGCTACTCGGGAGCCTGAGGCATGAGAATCGCTTGAACCCGGGAGGCAGAGATTGCAGTGAGCCGAGATCCTGCCATTGCACTCCAGCCTGGGTGACTGAGTGAGACTCTGTCTCAAAAAGAAAAAAAAAGTAAGTAATAAGGGCTATAAAGATAATAATATGATAATGAGTCCTACAGTTGTTTTAGAAAGGGTAGACAGAAGTGGGCATTGGAGGCCAGGGGAGTGGTTCATGCCTGTAATCTCAGCACTTTGGGAGGCCAAGGCGGGCAGATCATGAGGTCAGGAGTTTGAGACCAGCCTGACCAACATGGTGAAATCCCATCTCTACTAAAAATACAAAAATTAGCCGGGTGTGGTGACGCGCACCTGTAATCCCAGCTACTCAGGAGGCTGAGGCAGGAGAATCTCTTGAAACCAGGAGGCGGAGGTTGCAGTGAGCTGAGATCGTGCCTCTGCACTCCAGCCTGGGCAACAGAGAGAGACTCCGTCTCAAAAAAAAAAAAAGAAAGGGTAGACAGAAGTGGGCATTGGAGGCCAGGCGGGGTGGTTCATGCCTGTAATCCCAGCATTTTGGGAGGCCAAGGCAGGTGGATCCTTGAGCCCGGAGTTGGAGACCAGCCTTGGCAAGGTAGAGAGACACTGTCTCTACCAAAAATACAAAAAAAAAAAAAAAAATTAGCCGGGTGTGGTGGCGCACACCCATAGTACCAGCTACTTGGGAGGCTGAAGTGGGGAGGATCACTTGAGCCCAGGAGGCAGAGATTGCAGTGAGCCGAGATCTTGCCATGCCACTGCACTCCAGTCCAGGCAACAGAGCAAGACCCTGTCTCAAAAAAAAAAAAAAAAAGGGAGGCCCGGCACGGTGGCTCATGCCTGTAATCCCATCACTTTGGGAGGCGGAGGTGGGCAGATCACTTGAGGCCAGGAGTTCAAGACCAGCCTGGCCAACATGGTGAAACCCCATCTCTGCTAAAAAAAAAAAAAAAAAATACAAAATTAGCTGGGTGTGGTGGCGCATGCCTGTAATCCCAGCTACTCGAGAGGCTGAGGCAGGAGAATCACTTGAACCCAGGAGGCAGAGGTTTCATAAGCCAAGATGGTGCCGCTGCACTCCAGCCTGGGTGACAAGAGCAAAACTCCATCTCAAAAAAAAAAAAAAAAAAAGCAATGGCTCTCCATAGGATGTTTTACAGGGAAGGGCAGAATTTGAGCCACTTAAAAAAAAATTTAATAACCTTTTTCCTTTCCAATTTTCAAGATTATAGACTTTTTAATTGAATTTATCTGTGTATTTTATTTTTTAATTTTTTTGAGACAGAGTCTCACTCTGTTACCCAGGCTGAACTACAGTGGTGCAACCAAGGCGCACTGCAGCCTGGAACTCCTGGGCTCAAAGGATCCTCTCATGTTAGCCCCTCCTTCCTATAGTTGGGACTACAGGTGTATGCCACAATGCCTGGCTAATTTTTACATTTTTTGTAGAGATAGGGTCTCCCTATGTTGCTTAGGCTGGTCTGGAACTACTGGGCTCAAGCGATCCTCCCACCTCAGCCTCTCAAAGTGCTGGGATTACGGGTGTGAGCCACCGTACCCTGTGGACTTTATTTTTAGAGCAGTTTTCTAGAAAAATTTCACAGAATGTGGTTCTCATATACCTGCTTTGCCCCTGCATGCAGTTTCTCCTATTAATAACATCTTGCAATCATGTGGTAGATTTGTTTGTTTGTTTGTTTGTTTGTTTGTTTTCTGAGAGGGAGTCTAGCTCTGTCGCCCCAGCTGGAGTGCAGTGGCATGATCTTGGCTCACTGCAAGCTCCACCTCCCGGGTTCATGTGATTCTCCTGCCTCAGCCTCCCAAGTAACGGGGATTACAGGCACCCACCACCATGCCCGGGTAGTTTTTGTATTTTTTTAAGTAGAGACGGGGTTTCACCATGTTGGCCAGGCTGGTCTCAAACTCCTGACCTCAAGTGATCCACCTGCCTCGGCCTTACAAAGCGCTGGGATTATAGGCGTGAGCCACCGTGCCCGGCCTCTCTTGGTACATTTGTTGCTTGACAAACCAATAGTGATGTATTATTATTACTAACTGAAGTCAACGTAAGTTATAGTTCACTGTGCGGTGCATTCTGTGGGTTTTGACAAATGCATGCCATGTCCCACCATTACGTGTCACACAGAATATGTTCACCGCCCCGACCGCCCTGAGTCTTCTCTGTTCTCCTTCCGTGTTCATTCCTCCCCTCTTCCGGGTTCGTGTCTTTTAAGCTCATTGGGGCTGCCGTGAGGAAGCTGGGTTGTAGGGCAGAATAATGAAGGCAGGAGGGAGCTGGCTGGCCCCGAGCGTGCAGGGGAAGGAAGGGGAGGGCACGGGCCCTTCGCGCCTCTGACCCCCCTTGCCTCCACTCGCCCAGGGCTGCGCTGCTATGCCAAATTCCACCGGAACCGCAGGGTTACACGGAGGAAAGGGCGCTGTGTGGAGCCCGAGACGGCCAACGGCGACCAGGGATCCTTCATCAACGTCTAGCGGCCCCGCGGGACTGGGGACTGAGCCCAGGAGGTTTGCACAAGCCGGGCGATTTGTTTGTAACTAGCAGTGGGAGATCAAGTTGGGGAACAGATGGCTGAGGCTGCAGACTCAGGCCCAGGACACTCAACCCCAGGAGGGGAGCCGCTCGGCGAATGAGCTGGGTGGGTGCCCAGGAGCCGGCCCGCAGCACCTGCACACACGAAGTCCGGACCCACGCAGCCTCCATCCCGCGTGTCTTGCTCTCCGCGATGGCAATGCCGAGAGTGCCCTCTACTGTCCGACTCCAGCACTGCAACAGCTTCAAGTTCAAAACCAAGAGGCGTTTTTGAGAGTGGAAAAGAAATTTAAACTTCCCGAAAGAAGGTCCACCATCAGGAGATGAATATGGAACATCTCCTATGTACCAGGCACTGTGCTAAGTGCTGGAATACATTATCTCATTGAATTATCACAACGACCTTTTCAAGTAGGCATTATCACCATGCGACAGGTTGAGGACCGTGAGGCACGCTGGAGTTATTTGACTCGACTTGCCCAGGGTCCCAGGTCAGTGCTCCTCAAACCTGAACATGCTAAGAGTCACCTGGAGGTCCAGTTAAAAATGTACATCTGGCCGGGCGCGGCGGCTCACGCTTGTAATCCCAGCACTTTGGGAGGCCAAGGCGGGTGGCTCACCTGAGGTCAGGAGTTCGAGACCAGCCTGGCCAACATGGGGAAACCCCGTCTCTATTAAAAATACAAAAATTAGGCCAGGCGCGGTGGTGCACACCTGTAATCCCAGCTACTCGGAGGCTGAGGCACCAGAATCGCTTGAACTTGGGAGGCAGAGGTTGCAGTGAGCAGAGATCGTGCCACTGCACTCCAGCCTGGGGGACAAGAGTGAAACTCCATCTCAAAAAAAAAAAAAAAAAAAAGCACATCTGACTCAGTGGGCTCTGTGCTCTAACAAGCTCCCAGGGAACGCGAGGCTGCTGGCCCAGGGACCCACTGAGAGGTCCTGGGAAGTACATGGCAGAGCAAGGACATGAACCTGGGCCAAGGCTGTCCAGCTCCAAGGCCCACGTTCTTGCTGCTCCACAGCCAAGAATTTCTTCCAGATTCTCTAAGGCTTTTGGCAAGAGAGGCTCACACCCTGGTATTCCCTTCCTCTGTGGCTGGAATAACTTGACTGTTCTCTGCCTTCCCTGGATAAAGGTGTATCATGTTTAAAAACAAAACAAAATACAACTTAAGCACATACTTGCTTGCAGGAATAAGTTGGGCAGGTTGATCCCTGTGGTCTAGTAGCTGATATCCTGGGATAAGAAGTGTTTGGGGAAAAGAATCATGTTGGCCTTTATGTCCCTGTGGTCCTGATCATCCAGTCCTGGACAGGCACTTTACAGTTTTCTGGAGCACTTCCCCCCCAGGGGTTCTGATGCAAGCATGGAATCCAAAAAAACCCCACACATATTGCCCATGTTTACCCACTTTGCATACTGTTTAGTGATTTCCAGGACCACAAAACCATCCCTGGAACCCCACCCCACATTTTTGCAGCAGAGCCCACTGGGAAGTTGAGGCTCACCTGAAATTGAGGTGCTATCTGAAGCTAACTGCCCCTAACAGGCCAGACTCACAATGCCCACCCAGGACATCTGTCCCAGCAGATCTGGCTTCAGGGGTCACTTCAGGAGAACCATTTAAATCCCCCCACTTGGCATCTCACTCCTGGCCAACCCTCTGTTCCAGGGCGAACCAGGTTGCAAATGACAAAAGACTTTCCTGGCCAAATTCCTCACTGGCCTGGATCACGCCCATAAGATGCCAGAGATGTTTACTGCGTTGGAAAAATCAGTCGGGGTCAGGGGTCAGGCACCAAGGAAAGCAGGCAGATCTAGAAGAAATTAAATATGCTTGTTCTCTCCCTATCCAAGTTTGATGGGCATGGGAACCTTGTGGGGAGGGAGCAGGGAGGGCAGGGGAACTGGGAGATCAAAGCAGGCTAGCTGAAAGGCAGATATGGCTAGACACAATGGCTCATGCCTGTAATCCCAGCACTTTGGGAGGCTGAGGTGGGCGGACCACCTCAGGTCAGGAGTTTGAGACCAGCCTGGCCAACATGGCAAAACCCGGTCTCTACCAAATATACAAAAATTAAGGCTGGGCACGAGGGCTCATGTCTGACATCCCAGCACTCTGGGAGGCCGAGGTAGGCAGATCACTTGAAGTAAGGCGTTCGAGAACAGCCTGACCAACATGGTGAAACCCCATCTCTACTAAAAATACAAAAATTAGCCAGGCATGGTGGCAGGTGCCTGTAATCCCAGCTACTCAGGAGGCTCAGGCGGGAGAATCACTTGAACCCAGGAGGCGGAGGTTGCGGTGAGCCAAGATCACGCCATTGCACTCCAGCCTGGGCGACAGAGTGAGACTCCAAAAATATAAAACACTTAAAAATGTAAAAAGGCAGATCTGCCAGCAGCTTCGTACTTGAGACCAGACAACCCACACATGCTGTGTGTGCCTCACATTAAGTGGTGACTCGGGACTGTGCTGGCTCTGTGGGGCTAGAACCCTAAGGAGTACCGCCGGAAGAAAGCCCAGCATTACTATGGCTGGGGGACAGCTGTTAGATGGTCCTAGGACATCAGCCATGGAGAACACAGAGGGTCAGGACAAAGCTAAAATGCCCATAGAACTGCCACTGGTTGCCAGGGTAGTTCCATGGTTGGAAATTCAAGGCCCGTCTCTTTGCCCTAGCTATCTCTATTTGACATTTCCAAAGAGGGATGGGTGGATGGAACCTCTTAACTCCAGAGCTGGGAATCCCAAAGCCCTCTCAAGTGTCTAACCAACCTCTCTGCCAGGAAGTTCTTCCTTAGGTCTATCTTAAATTTATTTTGCTCATACAGAAGCCAGTTTCCTCTAATCCAGGGTTTAGCAAACTTTTACTGTGAGGAGCCAAATAAACATTTTAGGATTTGCAAGCCATCTGATCTCCACCAGCTACTCAGCTCTGCCGTAGCTCGAAGCAGCCACAGAGAGTGTGTAAATGAATTCATGGCTATGCTCCAGGAAAACTATTTCTGGACACACATGTGAATTCTGTATACTTTTCACATGTCACAAAATATTATTCTCTCTTTCCTTTTTTTTTTTTTTGGAGATGGAGTTTTGCTCTGCTGCCCAGGCTGGAATGCAGTGGCTCAGTCTCAGCTCACTGCAACCTCTTCATCCCAGGTTCAAGCAATTCTCCTGCCTCAGCCTCCCAAGTAGCTGTGACTACAGGCATGTGCCACCACACCTGGTTAATTTTTGTATTTTTAGTAGAGATAAGGTTTTACCATGTTGGCCAGGCTGGTCTCAAACTTCTGACCTCAGGTGATCCGCCCGCCTCAGCCTCCCAAAATGCTGGGATTACAGGTGTGAGCCACCGCACCTGGCCATAAAATATTATTAGTTTAATTTTCTAAAACCATTTAAAAGTGCAAAAACTGCTCTTTGCTTGCCAACTGCGCAAAACCAGGCAGTGGGGCAGATTTGGCCTGAGGGTCACGGTTTGCCAACCCCTGCTCAAGCCTGCTCACTCTCAACGCTGGCTGCACGTTGCAATAATCCAGGAACATTCACAGGCCTGGGGCCCACCCACAAAGCTTCTGTTTTGTTTGGTCTGGGCTTCATAGTTTTTCTCCCAGGTAACTTCAGGTGCAGCTGGGGCGGAGAGTCTCTGCTCTCCCCTTCCATCTGTAGCAGTGTGGCTGGTGTTAAATCCACCTATTCCACCTCTCACAGCTTTGGCAACCTTAGGAAAGTTTCTTAAGGTCTCTGTGCCTTGATTTTTTCATCTGTAAAATGGGAATAATAACTCTCCCTTCATAGGGTTGTTGTGAGTAGTGAATGCATACTTCTTTTTTTTTTTTTTTCTTTTGAGACAGAGTTTCACTCTTGTTGCCCAGGCTGGAGTGCAGTGGCACGATCTCGGCTCACTGCGACCTCTGCCTCCTGGGTACAAGTGATTCTCCCGCCTCAGCCTCTCGCGTACCTGGGATTATAGGCAAGCATCACCACGCCCGGTTACTGTTTGTATTTTTAGTAGAGATGGGGTTTCACCATGTTGGCCAGGCTGGTCTCAAACTCCTGACCTCAGGTGATCCCCCCGTCTCAGCCTCCCAAAGTGCTGGGATTACAGGCATGAGCCAGCATGCCTGGCCTGTGAACGCAGAATTCTTATAAGGTGTTTAGAACAGTGCCTAGCACCTAATAAACCTCCAGTGTTAGCTAATTTGTTATTCTAGGAGAATTTTAGATGTCGGTTCTTTGACAATGACCCATCACATACTCTGAGATCATTTCTAAGTCACCATTCAAGCTCCTTCCCCAAAGTGTGTTCCATAGAACACTGGGACCATGAGATGCTCTATTAGAAAGGGTCAGGGTACGGTTCCATGGTCAGAGAGGTTTGGAAAACTGTTCTGGCCTCAGCCCTTGGCAGCATGTGCAGATTCCAGGCACCGAGGCAGGGCTGGAGGAGTAAGTGGCTTTGCAATAAAATGGGTGCTGGAGTCTAAAATGATACCCTGGGTGGAGTGGGGGAGCTGAGCAGGAGGCCAGGTGGCAACCAGTAGCTGCTGGGCCCGTGGCCTGAACCCTCCTGCACTCCTCCAGCTGGAGTCTCACCGCGGATCCCAGGAATACCTGCTGTTCCCACAGGGCTGCCTTTCCGTAGTTTGTCTGGAGACACCAAGAGTGGTTTCCATGCCTGCTGGGAATAGGCTGAGCATGCAATGACATGAGGGCCAAGGCTTGTGGGAAAATGACAGCTTCACAGCCCCTTGAGGAGTGACCAAGCCACAAAGTAAATCCTAAAGCCACAACCCCTTCTACCACTGAGCTGCTGGAGGTGGGTCCTTATTTCAAGCCATATTCAACCCACCCAACAAAACCTAACATTGAGGTGGTGGGCACACGGCCCCTGCCGTGGGGCTCACTCTGCAGCTGGAGAGACAGCATACCTGAAACCTGCAAGGAACCGGTTTATAAAACAACAGAACAGCCAGGAAAATGGTGCTAGGAGAGACAGTGGAGAGGCCAGAGAAGCAAACCACTGTGGCTCCTCACTGGGGGTTTCACGGGGTTGGACTGAGCCCTGTCACCTCTGTGATAGTCTTCACTCTGACAGGCAATGGTGACTGTGTGTGTTTCCTGGGGAGGAGGTTAGCAGGGACGGTTGCCTTTCCTGGGAAGGGCAGTTTGCAGAACCAGGGGTTTATATTGCAGGGAGTGTATTTTCTGAATTCTAAGTCAGAACAAGCAGTCTGATACAGGATCCATGGCTGGGTCACTTCTGGGTGCAAGAGGCTTTCTAGACCTTAGACACTCAAGATTACGGTCCCGGGCCAGTAACAGCACCTGGGAGCTTGGTAGAAATGCAGAATCTTAGCCTAGGCAACATAGGGAGACCTCATCTCTGCAAAAAATAACAAAATTAGCCGGGCATGGTGGTGCACACCTGTAGTCCCAGCTATTCTCCAGGCTGAGGTGGGAGGATCGCTTGAGCCCAAGAGGTTGAGGCTGCAGTGAGCCATGATCGCACCACTGCACTCCAGCTTAGGCAATACAGCGAGACCTTGTCTCAAAAAAAGACAAAAAAAACAAAAAGAAATGTAGATTCTTGGGCCCCACCACCCCACGCCTACTGAGCCAGAATCTCTGGGGGTGGGGCCCAGCCATTTGGCTTTTCACAAGTTCTCCAGGTCATTCTTGGGCACGATCAAATTTGAGAATCACAGGTCTAGGATACGACGGGGAAAACAGAAATGTGGGGTGGTCAGGGACATTCGGATAATTCGGGCTATTTGTATTCAGGTGTGAGCTGGCAAATCCGAGACCTGTTTTGCGTAGCTAATTACCAGCAATGACAAACTCCCAGGCTCTGAGGCCCAAGCCTCCTGGGCTGCAACTGGTCTTTATTTTTGGAGGCAATGAATGGAGCACCTCGGCCTGGGACCCTCAGTGTAGGGTTTTCTGACTCTTAGGCAACTTCCTAGGGTGCTGTACTTCCTTTTTAAAGTTGGGGAGCGGCAGGGGGAGGGGGAAGTGCCACGCCCTTGTAGTTTCATGATGTCATGTTGCATGTGCTCTTGAGCTGTAAATAAAGAGACGATGGTTAAAAAGCCCACCTGGTGTCTCTCTTTGTTCCTCCAGGAGACGGTCTGTCTGTGCTGGTAGTGAGCTCTACAGGGGCATTTGGAGGGGATCCTTAGCCTGGTATTCCACCTATGACTTCTCAACACACTGGACTGAGCATTTGCCCTGAGCTAAGCAGCAAACAAGGCAGACAGGACCCCTGCCCTCGCCTGGTCCTCATCATAATCCCTCAGCCAGACCTCTTGACTGCGAGTCTCAGATTTTTTTGTTGTTTTTTTTTTTTTAGACAGAGTCTTGCTCTGTCACCCATGCTGGAGTAAAGTGGCACGGTCTCGGCTCACTGCAACTTCTGCCCCCCAGGTTCAAGCAATTCTCCTGCCTCAGCCTCCCGAGTAGCTGGGATTACAAACGTGTGCCACCACGCCAGGCTACTTTTTGTATTTTTAGTACAGACGGGATTTCACCATGTTGGCCAGGCTGGTCTCAAACTCCTGACCTCAAGTGATCCACCCACCTCGGCCTCCCAAAGTGCTGGGATTACAGGCATGAGCCACCGCACCTGGCCGGAGTCCCAGATTTTTATCTCCCTACCCATTTTAGGGTTGGGGCAGCTGAGGTCCGAAAGAGATTCTGAGGTGGGTTGCAGCAGGCCGGTCCCCAGCAGCTTCCTTCCGAGCCAAGGTGGCCGAGTGCAGAGAAGAGCAGAAGCGGGACTCCTGCAAGATAAGAAAGGACAAGGCAGCTCAACAGAAGCCAGGGCTGGGGCAGGGTCAGTTGCCATCTTGGGAAAGGGCATGAACTGGTGAGGGGGTGGCCTGGCTTGGCACCAGGAAGGACATCTCTTATCGTGGTGGCAGTTCCAGCCAGTGCCGCCCAGCTCTGCTGACCAGGGCTTCCTCGGGCAGGCTGTTATGTCTCCCAGTGACCTTGATCCTAAAGCCAAGGTGGGGCCCAGACACCCCTGGGGGCCGTGGTGACCACAGAGATGGGGCGCCCTGAGAGCCTGGTGTCCGTATCTGCAGAGACGTCTCTGCCTAGCCAGGACAGGGAAAATCAGGCTTCCCAAATCCAGGGTTTCCTAAAACATGGGTCCTCGGACCCCCAGCATCAGAATCCTGTGGACGGCAAGCCCAGGTTTCTGAGCCCCACCTGGGCCTCTGACTCAGAATTCCAGGCATGGGCTTGGGAATCTGCACAACTGAAACTCAAGTCTGAGAGCTGCTGCACCAAATCTTCTGAGAACTCACAGTCCTCCCCACACAGCCCCAGGTGGCTGGAGGAGCTCCCACGGGGGATGGTTCTGAGGAGCTGAGCCCAGAAGGCCTGTACCCCTCCAAGAGACTTTGCAAGTCATACCCTCTCTGCCCACTACTCAACTCTGCCATCGTCGTATGAAAGCAGCCATGGATCACACAGAAACAGATGCATGCAAATGAGTGAGCACAGCAGCGTTCCAATAAAACTTTATTTACACAAAAGGGTAGCGGGCCAGATTTGGTCCAGGAGCTGTAGCTTGCTGACCCCAGTCTGTACTACTGACCCCTGGGTCAAAGGTTACAGAAAGGCATGCTGGCCATCTAAAAGCCAAACCCCTCTGTCCTGGGATGTCCACTGGATCCCATTTCTACTAATAAAGGTCAGAACAGTGCTGAGATAAGGGGTTAGGGCAGTCAAGCCCAAGGCCACAGGATGTCAGCTCTCAGTGCCAGCAGCCTGGGTGCAGCCCTTGGTGGAGGGCAGATGGCTGCACTGGGGTGGATCAGTCAGGGTTCTCCAGAGAAACAGAAACAATTGGATATTATTTATATATCTTAAAATATCTATGTATTTATATATCTCATGTGTGTGTGTGTGTGTGTGTGTATACACACAGTCATGTACCATATAAACATTTCAGTCAATGACAGACCACACATACAACAGTGGTCTCATAAGATTGTTTTGTTTTGTTTTTGAGACAGAATCTGGCTTTACGTCTAGGTTGCGCACAGTCATGACACTATGTCTAGTGGCACAATCATGGTTCATTGCAGCCTCAAACTCCTGGGCTCAAATGATCCTCCTGCCTCGGCCTCCGAAGTTTTGTATTATTAATGCAATAATAATTATTGTATTATAAATACAGTAATTAGCCTGGTTAATTATTGTATTTTTTGTAGAGACGGGGTCTCGCTATGTTGCCCAGGCTGGTCTCAAACTCCTGGCCTCAGTGATCCTCTGCCTCAGTCTCCCAAAGTGCTGGGATTACAGGCATGAGCCACCATGCCTGTAATGAGCCACCATGCCATAAGATTCTAATACCATACTTTTACTGTACCTTTTCTATGTCTAGATATGTTTAGATACACAAATACTCATCATTGTGTCACAGTTGTCTGCAGTATTCAGTACAGTAACATACTGTGCAAGTCTGTGGCCCAGGAGCAACAGGCTATCTCAGAGAGCCTAGGTGTGTGGGAGGCTTCACCATCTAGGTTTGTGTGAGTACACACTATGATGTTTGCAGTGTGTAATGCTATGATGTTTGCCCATCAATGAAATTGTCTAATGACACATTTCTCAGAATGTATTCCTGCTGTTAAGCAATGCATGACTGTATATAAAGAGATTTATTTTATGGAATTGGCTCCCATGATTGTAGGGGCTGGCAAGTCTGTAATTAGTAGGACAGGCAGGCAAGCCAGAAACTCAGGCAGGAGTTAATGCTGCAGTCTTGAGGCTGAATTTCTTCTCCCAAGACCTCAGTTTTTGTTCTTAAGGCCTTCAACTGATAGGATGAGGCCCACCACATTCTCAGGGGTACCCTCCTTTCCTTCAAGCCAACTGACTGCAGATGCCCTCACACACACCTACATTCTTTTTTGACTGAAACCTTGGATACTAGAACTTGCCCAAGCTGACACACGAAATTGACCATCATGGAGCTTTCTGGAGCTCAGCTCCCCAGCTCAGATCCCGGTGACTGGACGTGCGACAGAGTTGACCGTGGCGGGTCATGAAGCTCTGGGCTTCCTCACTCTGTTTGGCAGCTTGAGCCTCAGTGTAGCGGTGGCCAACCCTGGTCATGAACATGGACACACATGCTGTGGTGGGCCCAGACCAGTGTCTACCCAGTGTTAGGACATGAAATTGCAATTTGGGGTGGGATGGGGTGGGGAGGGATCGGGTGAGGAGCGATATGAATGGATGCCTGACTGGGTCAGCAAATGACAAAACAGAGCTGCCCCTGTCCCTTCATCACACCTCCCCCAACACACGATGGCATATCCTGAAACTCACACGTTTGCACTGGGGAACCACAGTCAGGAGCCTGGGCTCTGTCCCTGCTGGCGATTAGGCACTGCGGCAAGGGCACAATTGGACGGCGCTATATGCTGTGGTCTTGAACTGGCACTGTGCATCCCGACCTTGACCTGTGTCAGCGCCTGGCACAGAGCAGAATACCTGTGTACAGAGGGAACACCTTCCTCCAGACACAGCCCTGGCCTCCATTGACGGCGTGAGGCGCCCCTCCTCTTGCGTAACTGGGAACTGTTAGACCTTCTTTTGCCAAGCATGAAAATGGAAGCACAAAGGAATTAAGGCCACTTGCCCAAAGTGGTGCTGGAGAGGCCTCCCCCAGGTCTGCCTGACTCCAAAACCTGATCATGTCCATGACCCCGTGTTGCCTCTCAAATACCTGAAGTTTACTGAGCACCTACTAGGAGCTGATCACTGATCTCACCCCTACTCCCACCTCACAGGCACTGTGCCACTCATTTAGGACCCATCGAGGCCGCTGTCAGGCAGGGGGCTGCCAGGACCGAAGTTGGATTCACCTTCAGGCCGGCTTCCCAGAGAGGAAGAGGGCTGGATTCCTTCCAGAGAGCCAGTGGAAGCACCCTCCCCTCCCCCACCCACTTCCTCGTTCTTCTCTTCTCTCTCCCTGTGGCCACTGGCCCCCTGCAAGGAAGATGAGACCTCGAAGAGCCTGCAGCAGAGTCAGACGTGAAAGCCACCGCCAGTGAGGCCTGAAAGCAGTGAAAGCAAACACCAAAGATAAACCCCATGGCAGATAGGCGTCTCGGGCCGTCGGGCTCAGTGACCACAACAGGCCTCATGTGTGTATCTGAGCCATCACTCAGATTCAGCCAGAGCCCTCCAACGCCTCCCTTGGAATTCCAGCAGCATCCACGTGGAAAAATGGGAGAACGAAGAGAGGAGGAGGAAGCAGCCTGAAGTTATGACACAACCAGGACAGGCCATGGGAGGCGGGAGGCAAGCAGCACACATTGAAACTCGCTCCGTGCAGGGCCTGGGCCAGGGGCTGGAGTTGATCTCTGAACAAGATGCTCAGAGTTGAGGAAAGCACGTGAGCATGCACATGCACACACACACACGCACCCACACATACATGCACACGCACACACACGCACCCGCACATGCAGACACCCACACCCACACACATGCACACCCATGCACATGCCCATGCACACCTACACACATGCACACACACACACCACCGCACATGCACACCCATGCACATGCCCATGCACACCTACACACATGCACACACACACACACCTGCACATGTGCGTGCACACGCACACAATAAAATAAGAGGATTGCTGCTGTATGCAGCAGGGGTTGAAGGAAATACCATAGGTCAGAATTTGAGAGTAGCTGAAGTGCCTCTCCTTCCTCTTGGGCAATAGCCTCTTACTTCCGCTTGTGTTCTGGGTGGTTTCTAACACAGCCACAGCTTCCTGGACTCCAACAGGGCACAGGCAATTTCCTTTTCTGCCTTTTCTACAATCACCAAAGGTTCCATAGGGCATTCTGATGGGTTCTCTGAGCACAAGGGTCTCTGGAGGGACAGGGCACTATTGCCACATGTCTGGGAAGGCCTGGCGGGGATCATTCTTAACCGGCAGTAATTTTCATAGGACCCTGATGAGGTGGCAGAGCAGCCGGAACATCAGGCATGATTTCCTGTGTTTTAAAGCTCAAGGAGTATTTATGGAGGCTGGCTGGAGTCCATAAGTGTCAGCAAGGGATGCCGCTGTAAGATTGAATTCTGTGCCATCGGGACAAATCGTTCAGAGTCAGCCCTCATTAGTTTTAAGTAGTCACAGAAACAAATGTCCCCTCTGGCCGGGCACGGTGGCTCACGCTTGTAATCCCAGCACCTTGGGAGGCCAAGGCAGGTGGATCATGAGGTCAGGAGTTTGAGACCAGCCTGGCCAACACAGTAAAACCCCGTCTCTACTAAAAATACAAAAATTAGCCGGGTGTGGTGGCACATGGCTGTAGTCCCAGCTACTTGGGAGGTTGAGGCAGGAGAATTGCTTGAACCCGGCAGGTGCAGGCTGCAGCGAGCCAAGATCGCCCCACTGCACACTAGCCCGGGCGACAGTGTGAGAGTTCATCTCAAGAAAAAAAAAAAAAGCAAAATTAGCTGGGCATGGTGGTGTGAGCCTGTAATACCAGCTACTTGGGAGGCTGAGATGGGAGGATCACTTGAGCCCAGGAGTTGGAGGCTGCAGTGAGCCAAGGTTGCACCACTGTACTCCAGTCTGGGTGACAGAGCACCTAGAGGGCCCTGTCTCAAAAAAAGAAAATAAAATGCATTTAATACACCTAACCTACTGAACATCATAGCTTAGTCTAGCCTACTTTAAACATGCTCAGAACACTTACATTAGCCTACAGTTGTGCAAAATCATGAAAAACAAGCCTATTTCATAATAAAGTGCTGAAAACCCTATGGAATTTATTGAACACTATACTGCAAGTGAAAAACAGAACGGTTATACTGGGGACTGGAAATATGGTTTCTACTGAACGCAGATCGCTTTCGCACTGTTGGAAAGTAGACAAATCATGTCAGACCATTGTAAGTTGGGGAGTGTCTGTACTCACTCAATACATGACCCCAAGCCTTGTGGAATGCCACGTGGGGGTCTATTATGTCCTTCCATAGCCAAGAATAGGTCGTGGCAGGAACTCCGGTTCCTTTGAGGATACCGACAGTTTCACTTTCTTTTGTTTCTCCGTGCTTCCCACCTCCCCGCATCCCCCCAACCCCACCAGCCTGCCAAGCCCGCCCAGCCAGCTGGGTGTTCTCGTGCTCTCCTCCCTCCGCCTCTGGCCCCAGCTGGTGGAGATGAATACAGTGTCAGTGTCTGAGCCACAGGGACGTTCCACAGGCCCAGCCTTGTGCTGCCTTCCGATCCTTGTCTTCTCCTACTTGCTTCACTCTATCCTTCTCATTTCAGCCCTGGCCGGATTTTTCTGCTGTGTGGTTACACGTCAGGGTCCTGGAGCCAGGCTTCCTGGGTCCCACCGCAGTTCCAGCAGCAATTAGTGCTGTGCCTGCAGCAAGCGGCTTCACTTCTGTTGATTTCAGTTGCCTAAGTGTAAACAGGAATAAGAACAGCGCGTGCCATAGTTCTGTTGTGAGCATTTACTATGAAGAACTTTCTTTTTTTTTTTTTTTTTTTTTGAGACAGGGTCTCGCTCCGTCTCTCAGTCTCTCAGGCTAGAGTGCAATGGCAGGATCTCGGCTCACTGCAATCTCTACCTCCTGGGTTCAAGCGATTCTCATGCCTCAGCCTCCCGAGTAGCTGGGATTATAGGCATGTGCCATCATGCCCGGCTAATTTTTGTATTTTTAATAGAGACAGGGTTTCACCATGTTGGCCAGGCCGTTCTCGAACTCCTGACCTCGGGTGTTCCACCCGCCTTGGCCTCCCAAAGTGCTGGGATTATAGATGTGAGCCACCGTGCCTGGCCCACTATGAAGCCCTTTCACACTGTCTGCCACACGACAACTACTGTTGGGGCTCAGAAAATGTCACCCCAATATCTGGTGCTTTGGCATGCTAAGTACTATGAACTACAGAAGACTGGAGGCCTCAAAAGCAAGGTCTCTGTGACGCCCTCCTGACCTCCTGTCTCCAGCCCCTCCTTCTCCCGTGAGGCAGTCACAGAACAAGAATTCCTCCTTTGGCAGGGGATGAGGTGACTCAAGTCTGTAATCCCAGCACTTTGGGAGGCCGAGGCAGGTGGATCGCTTGAGCCCAGGAGTTTGAGACCGGCCTGGGCAACATGGCAAGCCCTGTCTCTATAAAAAAAAATACAAAAATTAGCCAGTCATGGTGGTAGGTGCTTCTAATCCCAGCTATTCAGGAGGCTGAAGTGGGAGGATCACCTGAGCCCAGGAGGTTGAGGCTGCAGTGAGCCATGATCACACCATTGCACTCCAGCCTGGGTAACAGAGCAAGACCTTGTCTCAAGAAAAAAAAAAAAAAAAATCCTCCTTCTCCAAGGTGGGTCACAGAAACTAGAACCCGTGTCTCCAAAGTAGCCATAAAACCTAGAAAGGTGGCTCTCTCCCTTCTCTCTTTAAAGACCTCATTACAGAGGGGTTCTACCTCATACCCAGGAGGAAGGAATGCTGCATGGAGAGCCCAAGAAGAATCTGGACAAGACTTGTTCATTTTCTTTTTATCCAATTGCATTGCTACAGGGCTGTTCATTCTTCCTTGAAACTAAGCACAAAAATGGACAGATTTCCCAGGGCCTTTGAGTCTTCATCTCTGAAGCCTCCCATGTCACATGAAGCTTTGCTTAACTAAACTTGGTATGCTTTTCTCTTGTTAAGCAGTCTTTTTTTACAGGAGTGTCAGCTGTGACCTTTATGATGGGTGAGGAAAGGTATCACACCCTTCCGCCCCTACAGGGTCCTGTAAATGTCAGTTTAGTAAATGTCAGCTCTAATCCTAGGAGTTGTTTTGCGGTTTTTTTGTTTTTTTTTTGACATGGAATCTCACTCTGTTGCCCAGGCTAGAGTGCAGTGGCAGGATCTCGGCTCACTCCAACCTCCACCTCCCAGGTTCAAGCAATTCTCCTGCCTCAGCCTCCCAAGTAGCTGGGACCACAGGTGCACACCCCCATGCCTGGCTAATTTTTGTATTTTTAGTAGAGACGGGGTTTCATCATGTTGGCCAAAATGATCTCGAACTCCTGACCTCAAGTGATCCACCGGCCTCAGCCTCCCAAAGTGTTAGGATTACAGGCTTGAGCCACCGTGCCCGGCCTGTTTTTCATTTTCTCCTTACAAAGTGATCACAACTTTATTATATACCTAAAGGCTTGGATTAAATCCCTCTAGAATCTGGAGTGTATGGGAAATATTTTTTAGAAGGAAATTGATCAGGCTGCGCACTGTGGCTCACGCCTGAAATCCCAGCACTTTGGGAGGCCGAGGCGGGCAGATCACCTGAGGTCAGGAGTTTGAGACCAGCCTGGCCAACGTGGCAAAACCCTATCGCTACTAAAAATACAAAAATCAGCCGGGCATGTTGGCACCCACCTGTAGTCTCAGCCACTCAGGAGGCTGAGGCAGGAGAATCACTTAAACCCGGGAGACGGAGGTTGCAGTGAGCTGAGATCGCGCCACTGCACTCCAGCCTGGGTGACAGAGCCAGACTCCATCTCAAAAAAAAAAAAGATAATAATAACATAATATTCTAATATTGACTGCTTACTGAGAAATTACTCTCTTCTAAGTACTTTACTAATAACAATAATTAATTACCAATAATGAACTAATAATAATAATAGCAACCAGTCCTAAATCAAACTGGATGTAGCCATTTGGCTGGTCTCTAATTTACCCCTAGACTGGGGGGATCTGTGCCTCCTAAGAGGGCATTAAGTTAGGCCTATGGGCCCTGCAGCCCTGCAAAACTCTCCTCATCCATCCAGAGAAACCCTTTCTTTGCATCTGGAGAGACTATGGGTCTTGGTATTATCTAAGGACTCACCCAGGCAGTTTTGTAGGTTCCCACCTGGTTTCCCCCACCCTAGGAATAAGACCAAGTGCTCAGGTGTACCCTGAAGGTTTCCATACCTAGGTGACACTAAACAAAAGCTGGTGTTCTCTAAAGGAAAGTTGATGTTAGGAAGGGACCTGGAGGTAGAGCGGATTAATGTTCTTGTTGCGGTGGGGGGATGTGGTGGTCAACAATCTTTAAGGGAGGTGCCAGGTGAGGCAGGAGACAGCCCTTTCTTTCCTCATGTACAATTGGGGGAGGAATTTCTTATGGTTTTTCAGCTAGAGTTTTCTAAAACTTTTGGTATGCTGATTAAAGTGGGCTCCCACCAATTTGGCTCCTCAGGTGTTGCTTTTTGTTTGTTTGTTTTTCCCAGACAAGGTCTCACCCTGTCGTCCAGGCTGGAGTGTAGTGGCGTGATCTCGGCTCACTGCAGCCTCCCCGGTTCAAGCAATTCTCGTGCCTCAGCCTCCTGAGTAGCTGGGACTGCAGGTGCACACCACCATGCCCTGCTAATTTTGGTATTTTTAGTAGAGACGGGGTTTCACCATGTTGGCCAGGCTGGTCTCGAACTACTGAGTTCAGGTGATCCACCCTCCTTGGCCTCCCAAAGTGCTGGGATAACAGGGGTGAGCCACTGCGCCCAGCCTCATCTTGTGTTGGTAATAACAATAGCTTGTGTGTCCTGCCCATTTACTAAGTGCCGGGCACTGTTCTCTCCTAGAACAAACCGTAGTTAGACTCCTCTGAGTCCTCATCTTGACTAGGCCTCGGCCTTGGACCTCTGTGTCTTCCTGTCCTTGCTGGGCCTGAGCCTGCATAATAAACCAGTTTCAGCAAGAGTCCTGCTAAGTTAGCAAGAACTCCCCCATCCTTGATGTCTCCTCCTAGGAATCTTCCATTCCTGCTCCCTCATTCTGCTCTGGCTATAAATCCCTCCTTGGTCCTTGTTGTATTCGGTGTTGAGCCCAAACTCTCACTCCATGGCAATAACCCTACAGCAAGTCTTGAACAGTACTGGTTTAACAACAGTCCCAATAACGTTTTCTTTAACAACAGCAGTTAGCTCATTTAATCCTCATAAGGATCATATGAGGTAGGTAGCCTAAATAGCCCATTTACACAGGGAAGTGGGAAGGAGAGAGGGTGCCCCCAAGGATGAGACACAAGCTGTTGCCACATCAGCACTTTGCGCCTGGACGGTCCCCCAGTTGTCCTGGCTGCAGGCAGTCCGAACAGTCCGCTTCCTGGAATATTAGCCAGGCAGGATACGCCCTGGGCGACAGAAACTCCAACTTTCGCCAGCGGCCCCCAAGTACTGCCTGGGCGGTGGCGGGAGTCTGGAGCTTGGCTGAAGGCGCGAGCTGCCGACGCCGTCTCCTAGCAACCAAGCGGCGGTCACGTGACCCGCTCCAGCCCGTTTCACGTGGTCTTGAGCTGCGCTGGGGTTGGAGTGGCCGCAACGGGCGGGGCGGGGCGGGGCCGGGCAAGTTTGTTCCCCGAGTTCGGAGCCTAGGAGCCCCCCGCGGCTGCGGCGCAGGTGCCCTCGGCCTGAGTCGGGATGGAGCTGCCTGCTGTGAACCTGAAGGTGGCGACGGGCTGGGGGGAGGGTCCCCTTTGCGGGAGGAAGTGGGACATTTGCATTTTCCCGGAAGGTGGGAGGAAGGACCGGAGTTTTGGGGAAAGAGGGATGGTAGGGAGGAAGGGAAGGTACAGACCCCACGCAAGAAGGAGATGGGCAGGCAGGCCACAGCAGGGAGAGTGATCCAGGCACAGGCCAGCAGGGCGACACTGAGGGGCCGTGGGAGGTGGCAGCGGAGGGCAAGGGCCGCCCCCTCCCGGACTCAGACCCTCCCAGCGGGCAGCGCCGGTCCCAGCATTGCTGTTGCCTGCACGCCCAGAATTCCCCTGGAGGAGGAGGAAGGTGCGCGGGAGGGGCTTGTAGGCGGCTCACCTCCCCCGCGCGGGGTCAGGGACTGGGCTTGCCCCCCGGGTCCCAGCACCGTTTCAGGAGCCTCCTTGTTTGCTAAGTCGGGTTAAGGAAATCAGATGTTCCCAAGCAGTTGGTTTTATAAAGTTTACACATCCAGCGCCCTTATTTCATAATCAAGAAGCGCGAACTCCAACAGAAATTACTTAAAAGCAGAAAACCCCAACTTTGTGCACTGGGGAAAACACTGCAGGGCTTCCTGTGGTGTCTTCATTTCCCGAGCCGTGAGCTCAGTCCGGGTCTGGGTGCCAGCGGCTGTTCTTTTTCTCCCCGCCCAGCCCCGCCGCCCACGTGTCTGGGCTCCATTTGCATTAGAGGGGCTAGGGGCTGTAGTTTTGGTCAGGAAGGTGTGGACCTTGGACCAAACCGGCCATTTTGGGTCTTAGTGCAGCCTCCTTTGAGGCAATATCCAGGAATGTCCTCTTACTCATGAATGACAGAGCATTTAGCTCCCTGTTGGTGTCTGGGACTAAAGGAACCTGAGAAATAGATGGTTACAAAACAATGGCTTAATACACTTTATTATTACACAACATCTGTGCTATGACTTGCTATAGGCATGTTTCCCTTCTTAATCATACTTGCTTCAGCAAACCTTCCTGAAGCTTCCAGTCAAAGGTGGTGGGGAGACATGGCTGGAGCAAGGGAATGGGCTTGGATGGAACGTTCAGCTGGGAAGAAATTTACGTGACAGCAGCCGAGGCTTGTTGGTATCAATATGCACTCTATTCCAGGCAATGTGGGGTTAACACCAACTGCCTTTTCTCTGATGAGGGATTTGCTTAAAATAATTGCTGACAGAGGATCAGGTGAGGGCAGTGGGAGGGACAGAGCTCTAATTTATGGGCTTCTGTGGTGTGCCAGGTTATTTAATCAAGGCAGCCTTATGAGAAAGCTGATATGGTCATCTTTTTACAGATGAGCAAACTTCAGCTTAGACTGGGTAAATTGCCAAGGTCCCACGGGGAGTAAGTGGCAATATCAGGATTTGAACCCATAGGGATCAGACTCCAGGGCCAGGTCCTTTCTGGGGTACCAGCTTAGGGCTGACTTTAACGTTGGCTGTTTCTGTCCTTTGGGAGGGCTTAGTCTCTTTGGGGCTTTTTTTGAGCAACTTTTTGGGCCTGACAGGCTAAGAGCATCCACAGGTATGAGCTATGCTGGCTTTCGGTACCCAGGATGAAAAGGCTGGTCCTCCCCTTGACTTGGCAAACGAGACCCCAGTCTCCAAGGGTGTTAGCCGCTACCAGTCAGAGACAACAAAGTGCTGGAAGGCCCTGAGGGGTCAGGGTTGTCAGGTCGTGTACAGGAGATCCAGGTGAATTTGAATTTCAGATCAACAACGAACAGTTTTTTAGTATGAGTAAGTCTCAGGCAATATGTGGGACATATTAACAAATTATTCATGATCTGATATTGGAAATTAACTGGGTGTTCTGTATTTTTGTTTGCTGGATCTGGCCACCCTGTGGAGGGCAGCTGTTGACTCCTTGCTTATAGGCACTTAGGGGATGTTCTGAGTTCAGAGCCCTTCAGGAGGTGGGGAACTGCTCCCTGTGGCCTGCACTCCCTCCCCACTCCCTCGTTTTGTATATTCCTTGGGCAAGGGCTGAGTGCCTGCTTCTGCCCAGCTCAGCCAGAGTGGGCAGTGGTGCCAGGTGAGAAGAAACAACTGCCCCAGGCCCTTTGCACAAAGGGCAGCTCCTGACCAAGCCCTGTCCATGTCTCTTGAAGCCAGGTCCTGAGCTGCAAGAATGACATTGTGATGAGCTTAGAAAGGACTGGACTAGGGTACAGAGGTCTTGTGGGAAGAAGACCTTGGGAGGAGGATCTGGTGGTCTAGGAGGTAGTCGTGTAGCATTTGGGTTAAAAACTCAGTAATGAGGACTGCTGGGATGGAGGGCTGAATTCCTCACAGGCACTGTGTGGAGCGCTTCCCACACCTCTCCACCTCCCTGTACCACTGGATCCACACAACAACACTGAATCAGGCAGTATTGCCCTTCTTTGCAGAAGAGCCAACAGCTGTTCTGAGAGGTCAGGTGACTTGCCTAAGGTCACTAGGTTCTAAAGTCATGGAGCCAGGATCAGATCCACCTGTTTGCCTCCAGTACCCACGAAGTTAACCGCTGCACAACTCTGCCTCCCATCCTTGGCAGCCCTGACTGGTGTCCCTGGGCCCCGGCCACCCTGGGGGATCTCACTAGCACGTGTAACAGGCCACCAAGTGTTTGCACAGGACTGGTAGGAGTTTATTCCATTTCTGGGAAGTCCTACCCCGCCATGGGTCCTCTAGTGGCAAACAAAGGGTTTAAGTCTTGGTCTGCATGCCCTGCTGGTTTCTCTTCAGCCTTTCCTTCTCCAGGTTAGACTTCCTCATTTCCATCTGCCCTCTACGGCTCTTCGAGATCCTGACGGTGTAGCACAGTGGACAGAGCACAGGCTTTGGGGGCAGGCAGGTCTGCATTCAAGGTCTTGAGTAGGTTTCTGTGTGACCTTGAGTAGGTTTCTGAACTCTCTCAGTATCTATTTCTTCATTGTAAAAAGAAGTTAAATACAGTCCCTACCTCCTAGGATGATGGATCCATGGTCCAGGACGTAGTCTAGAATTAGGGTTACAAATTCAGGCTGGGCCAGGCGTGGTGGCTCACACCTGTAATCCTAGCACTTTGGGAGACCCAGGCAGGTGGATCATTTGAGGTCAGGAGTTCGAGACCAGCCTGGCCAACATGATGTAACCCCACCTCTACTAAAAATACAAAAATTAGCTGGGTGTGGTGGTGCTCGCCTGTAGTCCCAGCTATTCAGGAGGTTGAGGCACCGAGGATCACTTGAACACGGGAGGCAGAGGTTGCAGTGAGCCGAGATCGCACCACTGCACTCCAGCCTGGGCGACAGAGCAAGACTCTGTCTCAAAAAAACAAACAAAAACTCTGGCTGGATAGATTGATTCTGACATTTGTGTCTGGGCTCTGTTGTTTGTAAGCTTTATGAATTGGGCCAATTTACTTAATCTCTCAGAGCCTCAGTTCTACCCCATACAGTTACACGGATGACATGAGTTAGGGGCAGTGCAGTGTAGATGCATGGCAGGCTGGTGCTTGTCAGTAGCAGGAGTTGCTGCTGTCGTTGATGATGCAGGATCCCTGCCCCACATAGGTATTTAACAGTTAGTAAACGGATACTTACAGTGACCGTCCAGATAGATGCTTGTCTCTGGCAGTTGAGGCACCCCCGTGGGACAAATGGGTACTGCCTCCGTTTCGCAGAAAGGAGCCTGAGGCCTTGGCGCCTGGACCAGCACCCAGGTTTCCTGTTCCAGCATAGCATCCTGGGACCCTCTGCTGCCTTGGTCCATTGACCCCTGTCTGGGAAAGAGCTGGGCGGCCTCCCCTGGGCTGAGCACTGTAGTGAGAGTCCAGGGGCTCAGGTCCGTCCTTCCTGCCCAGCTGGGAAAGGTCCTGGCCCTGCCACCCGTTTAGCTCAGGTTCCTTCCCTGCTTCCAGCTCCTCTTTCAGGCCATACCTGAGAATCCTGTGTCTCTTTGGCTACCAGGAAGCTCCCCCAGGGCCAAAAGACAGTGGTTTTGTCCTGACAGTTACTGGCCCCTCTTTCCCTGGGCTGCCAGGAAGTGCAGGGCCCGTTTGGCTCAGTTTCTCCCTGGAGTCTTCCTGCACATTAAGGCCTCTCTGGGTGTCCTCCTGTTACACAGATGAAGAAACTGAGGCAGGGGAGGCTTAGGCTTCTGGACGTTTCTTTTCCCAGGGGCTTAAGAGGAGCAACTGGTGCTAACTTTGTTCATATTTATCAAACCAAAGTGACGTCACGCAGAGGAGACTGTGTGTGTGCTAAGGATCTGCAGTATTTCCAGGTTACGTTGTTTTCTTCCCTAACAGAGATGGCAGAGGTGTGGGCCCAGCTGGGTGCTCACTCTGTATTACAGGCCCTTCCAGCGCTAGGAAAAGCCTTTACCTCATAGGTTGTAAGCATGACCCTTAGGGTATCCTGCGGATCAGAGGCCCCCCTGGGACTCAGCCTTTCATGCTAACTGCCATTCTTTCCGGAATAATCCAGGGCTCTGCAGGGCCCATTTATTAAAGACCTACTCTGTGTACAGTCTAGGCATAGGAGCGAGAGCATTGAAAATGAAGATCATTTCCAAAACAAGCCCAGAGTGGGAAGAGTTAGGTGTCGATTTTGGGGAGGAAAGGGGTGATGGGAGCTACCTTCCCTCTGTCTCTTTCCTCGGTGTCTTCTTTAAAAGCTGGATGTTGGGACCACTGTGGCTGACTCTGCGGTGTGGCCCTGAGCAAGTTCCTTCCTGTCTGTGGTCCAGGGTTTACTATCAGATGGAGGGGACAGTGGTTAGCTCTGAAGATAAAGATCAGAATCGTCCTCATGCCCAGCCCTGCCTGCCCCCAACTTCCTGTCCCTCCCTCCTCCACTCCCCTCACCTTCCACTCCAGCCACACTGGCTTCTGTTCAGTTTCCAGAAAGTTCCACGCCCCCCTTCTGCCACAGAGCCTTTGTGAGTGCCGCCCCTCCTGCTCAAAATGCTCTTCTTCCCCCTCAGCCTCCCCCATCCCTTCCTCAGAGAAGCCCCTGACCACCCCAACCCTCCCAGCCTCCCTGCTGTTCAATCAGGTGCCCTTTCCCTTGCTTTCCTTCAGGATGCTTTCCTTCAATCAGGTGCTTTCCTTCGGGATGAGGGTTCACTGCACCTCCATTCCTAGGGCAGAGTACCTGGTTAGCGAGGTCAGTACTGAGAGCGCAGCTCCGAATCTGCTCTGCACACCTCTGACTCCCCAGGGTGAATGAAAAGCAGGTGCCAGTGATGCTGGGTGACACTAAATGTTTAAGAAACTTAACACCGTTTATCACTTCAAGCCCCTGGGGATTGAAATCCATGGAAGACTACACCTCTCTTGCCTCAGTTTCCCCATCTTTGTAATGGGGAGAGGCCTAATGGCTGGACAGCACAGCCTGGGTTTGAGTCCTGGCTCTGCCACTGGCCTGCTCTGTGACCTTGGGCAAGTTACTTCCTTCTGAGCCTCAGTTTTCTCAGCTGTAAAATGGGGATAATAAGACCTCAGAGGATTGTAAGGATTTAGTGCATTTATATACAGAAAGCACTTAGAATGGCACCTAGCACATAGGAAGCGCTCAATAGTAGACGAAGGTAGGTGAGGTGATGGCGAAGATTCCTTCTAGAGCTAGACTTCTGTAACACACTACTCAGCCTGGTCAGAGTCTCGAGATCTTAAAGTTGGGTGCATCGGTCCTTACAGAATTATTTTCCTAGTCTCTTGGAGCTGAGAAAGGAATTTCTTTTGGGCCACAGAGCCAGGCCCCTTGTGGTTCACTCTGGCCCTGGGCCCTGGAGGTAAAGGTGAAGTATCTCAGCCACCAGCTCTGGATTCCATCTGCCCCCATGTGTGGACCTTTCTCACAAGCCCAAACAGTTCCCAGCTGAAGGCCTGCGCCCCCAGCGGGGAGGTTGGGTGCACTGGTTTTGGAGGCGAGTTTGAAATTTAATTCCAGTTTTGCCACTTGCTACCTGTGGAGTCTTGATCAACATAATTTATCTCTGAGTCTGGTTTTCTCATCTGTGAAATGGGAATAATAGTACCAGAGGCTGCTGTGAGGTCCAGATAAGGTCATGTGAGACGGTTGGCATAGGGCCTGGCACATAGTTGGTGTGTGGTCAAGAGTAACTCTTCTAGAAATGCTTTTTCCTCTGCTGCCAGAGTGAGTTTGTCTGTCTTTCTTTTCTGTCCTTTCTTTCCCTTCTTTCCCTTCCTTCGTTCCTTCCTTCCTTCCTTCCTTCTTTCCTTCCTTTTCTTTCTTTTTCTTTCTTTCTTCCTTCTCTTTCTCTCTTTCTTTCTTTTCTTTCTTTCCTTACTTTCTCTTTCTGGCAGGATCTTGCTCTGTCCCCCAGGCTGTAGTGCAGTGGCATGATCTTGGCTCACTGTACACTTGACCTCACTGGCTCAAGTGATTCTCCCACCTCAGCCTCCCAGGTAGCTGGGGCTATAGATGTACTCCACCATACCTGGCTAATTTTTTGATTTTTTGTAGAGATAGGATCTTACTTTGTTAGCCAGGTTGTTCTCGAACTCCTGGGCTCAAGCAGTCTTCTCCCTCCACCTCCTAAAGTGTTGGGATTACAGGCGTGAGCCACCAGACCTGGCCCACAGTTCTTTTTTGCAGGTGGTGAGGGCTCCTTCTGCCCTTCCACCCAGGCCAGAAACCCCGGCCTTCTTCGCAAACCTTGCCCATGTCTGCGCCAGGACACTGCCTCTGCCCCAGGCATGTGGCATCTCTCCCTTCCAGCCTGACCCCTCAATCCCTTGAGTAAACTTCTAGGGCCCTCATTGACCACCAGGCCCGTTGAAGCTCCCAATTTGGGGCTCCTGGCCTCCCAAAGTCTCTGTGCCACCCCACCCCGACCTCAGTTATCTCCATGCCCACCGCCACCCATGCAGGGCCTGGGGCTTGGCCCCACTTTGCCTGGCCGAGCCCCGCTCATACATTGTGCTCAGCCTGGGTCCCTTCCCTTTGGAAGCTCTTTCTGCAGCTGCCTGCCCTCCCAAGGCATCTGTCTTTTCTTTTCTTTTTTTTTTTTTGAGATGGAGTCTCACTCTGTCACCCAAGCTGGAGTGCTGTGGCCCATTTTG
Organism: Homo sapiens; assembly: GCF_000001405.40. Classification (NCBI taxonomy): domain Eukaryota; kingdom Metazoa; phylum Chordata; class Mammalia; order Primates; family Hominidae; genus Homo; species Homo sapiens. Next base: position 11,743,315 of record NC_000001.11, read on the forward strand.
GGCTCACTGCAACCTCTGCCTCCCAGGTTCAAGTAATTTTCGTGCCTCAACTTCCGGAGTAGCTGGGATTACAGGTGCCCACCACCATGCCCAGCTAATTTTTGTCTTTTTAGTAGAGACAGGGTTTCGCCATGTTAGCCAGGCTGGTCTCGAACTCCTGACCTCAAGTGATCCACCTGCCTTGGCCTCCCACAGTGCTGGGATTACAGGGGTGAGCCACCGCGCCCAGCCCATCTGCCCTTTTTCTTTCTTTCCTTTTTTTTTTTTTTGAGGCGGAGGTTTGTTCTTGTTGTCCAGGCTGGAGTACAATGGCGCGATCTCGGCCCACTGCAACCTCTGCCTCCTGGGTTCAAGCGATTCTCCTGCCTCAGCCTTCTGAGTGGCTGGGATTACAGGCATGTGCCACCATGCCCGGCTAATTTTGTATTTTTAGTAGAAACGGGGTTTCTCCATGCTGGTCAGGCTGATCTCGAACTCCCGACCTCAGGTGATCTGCCCACCTCAGCCTCCCAAAGTTCTGGGATTACAGGCGTGAGCCACTGTGCCCAGCCTCCATCTGCCCTTTTTCTATGTGCTTTCCAGTCAGGGCCTTGTTGATGTCCCGGAGTAGAGACCAGTTCCAGGAGAGGAGGCTGTCATTTTAAGGACACAGAGGACATTAAAAAGGGTAAAATATTGTAGCTGGGTGCAGTGGCTCCTGCCTGTAATCCCAGCACTTTGGGAGACCAAGGTGGGTAGATTGCTTGAGCCCAGGAATTTGAGACTAGCCTGGTTAACATAGGGAGACCTTGTCTCTACAAAAAAACAAAAATTAGCTGGGCGTGGTGGTACACACCTGTAGTCCCAGCTACTGGGGAGGCTGAAGCAGGAGGATCACTTAAGCCCAGGAGTTTGAGGCTGCAGTGAGCTGTGATGGCGCCACTGAACTCCAGCCTGACCCACAGAGCAAGACCCTGTCTCCAAATTTAAAAAGAAAAAAGTAGAATATTGCAGAAATCCAGAAAAATAGCCAGGGGGATTTTGTTGTTGTTTTTCCTTACCATAAGGCATACCAAGCTATCTCCCTGTAGAAAAGTCTCAGTGGTGTCCCTCGTTGCACTTGGCATGAAGCCCACGCTCCTTCCCGAGGCCCTCAGGCCCCCCTACCTGTCCCCAGCTACCCTCCCTTTGCCCGCTCTCTCCAGCCACAACAGCTGCTTTCCCCTCTGCCCCCCACAGTGCGCCAGCTCCAGTGTCCCAAGAAATCACCCTCACGTGAGTCCCCACCGCTCCGCTTCCCATCGAGGCCTCTTCTGATTTCAGAGCAGATTCCCTGCATTCCACAAAGGAGCCTCCCACCCTTGTGTTACAGGAAAGGGGTCCCAATCCAGACCCCAAGAGAGGGTTCTTGGATCTCGCACAAGGAAGAATTCAGGGCGAGTCCATAGAGTAAAGTGAAAGCAAGTTTATTAAGAAAGTAAAGGAATAAAAGAATGGCTACTCCATAGGCAGAGCATCCCTGAGGGCTGCTGGTTGCCCTTTTTAAAAAAATTAATTAATTAATTAATTTACTTATTTTTGAGATGGAGTTTCTCTCGTCGCCCAGGCTGGAGTGCAATGGCACAATCTCGGCTCCCTGCAACCTCCACCTCCCAGGTTCAAGCAATTCTCCTGTCTCAGCCTCCTGAGTAGCTGGGATTACAGGCACACACCACCATGCCCGGCTAATTTTTGTATTTTTAGTAGAGACAGGGTTTCACCATGTTGGCCAGGCTGGTCCTGAACTCCTGACCTCAGGTGATCCACCCACCTCGGCCTCCCAAAATGCTGGGATTACAGGTGTGATCCACCGCGCCCAGGCTGGTTGCCCATTTTTATAGTTATTTCTTGATAGTATGCTAACCAAGGGGTGGATTATTCATGCCTCCCCTTTTTAGACAATATAGGGTAACTTTCTGACGTTGCCATGGCATTTGTAAACTGTCATAGTGCTGGTGGGAGTGTAGCAGTGAGGACAACCAGAGGTTACTCTCGTGGCCATCTTGATTTGGGTGGGTTTTAGCCGGCTTCTTTACTGTAACCCGTTTTGTCAGCAAGGTCTTTATGACCTGTACCTTGTGCTGACCTCCTGTCTCATCCTGTGACTTAGAATGCCTTAACCATCTGGGAATGCAGCCCACTAGGTTTCAGCCTTATTTTACCCAGCTCCTATTCAAGATGGAATTGCTCTGGTTCATACGCCTCTGACGCTTGGAAGGGGTGTGGGTGTCAGCTGCCCCATGGGAGGGGTGAAGGCATGAAGCGGCCCCTCCCTGGCCTGGCCTGCTTTCTTCCTCCTCCTTCACTCCTGGGCCACCTGCAGTTGCTGGTGTGCCTTTTCAACAGACATTACTGAGGCCCTCAGAGGTGCCAGGCGCAGGGGCGTCCTGTGTTTTCTGCACCCGACGCTTTCCTGCCCCTGTGGTGGTCATGTTCACAGACCTCTTCTCTCCCCCTTGTTGTGCCACAGGTGATTCTCCTAGGTCACTGGCTGCTGACAACCTGGTAAGTGACTCTGTGGGTATCTTGTGTGTCTCCTGCGGTCTCAGGGTCTGTGTCAGCCGGGTCAGGTCCTGGTTCTGCCGTGTTTTAACCAGGTCACTTTGGGCCAGACAGCTCTGCCTCTCCGGGTCTTGATTTCCGTCTGTACAATAGGCATAAGGATTGCACACCCTGCAGGAGCTGGGAGGGAGACGTGGAAGTGCTCATCAGAGCTCCCCAGGGCCTGCCCCACAGTGAGGCCTCAGCACTGCAGCTTGATTTTCACCTTTACCATCTCTTTTAATCTGTTGAGCTTCTGGAGACATTTCTCTGCCAAACCAAGACTGGAAACCATTGAGCTCACCTGTGCACTTTGCAAACTTCGAAGTGCAGCGCACAGGGCAACAGCTGTGAGTAATGTGAACTGTAACCATCATGATTCACGACCTTGAGAAGCAGGGCCAAAATACAGATTTCTTAGTCACACTTCCCCAAGATTCTGAGTTGGTGATTCTGGGCTGGGACCCAGGCACCTGCTTTCTTAAAAGCAAAAGATAAGATGGTTTATTCAAAGACCTATTGAACCGAATGGCACTCCACACCTGCCTTGCACATGTCTTCTGCATGTTACACTTTAGTGAATGTCCTATAAATCTAGGAAGCGCCCGCTGCATGCAGGGGAAGGCAAGGCCCAGTGGGTTTGGTAATAAATGAGGTAGACTCAGTCCCTGTCCCCCTGAGTCTTCCTTGCAGCACAGCAGGGTGAGCAAGAGCATGGCCTCTCCAGCCAGACTCCAAATCCCAGCCCCACTGCTCAGCAACTGTGTGACCTTGGGCGAGTTACTTAACCTCATTGTGTCTCAGTTTCCTCATCTCTAAAGTGAGGGTAACAATAATACTTCCTTCCTATGGTTATTAACATAAATGTACATGAATGAGTTAATTTAAAACAGAACCATGCTAGGTACTAGCAAGTGATCGGTGTTCACTATGATTTTGATTGGATTGACAAGTAAGTCAACAATGTCAGTATCAGTACCCTAAAAATAGAATAGGGCGGGCCTTGTGTTAGGAAAGTGACGAACTTGTACTTAGCACCGGTGGGCAAGGGAAGGAGTCTCAGGGTGAACATTCGAGTCTCAGGGTGAATGACAAAAGGAGGGCCAGGTGTCAGGGTAGAGGGCGCCCGCCGCACAGGGCAGTGGCTGGGAGGTCAGTAGGGCGAGGCTGTGTCCGGGATCCCACAGGCCCCTTAGGCCCTGGTGAAGAGTCTGCATTTTATTCCAAATGGGACAGAAAACTGTTGGAGGATTTTTAGCAGAGGAGTGACAGCATCTGACTACGTTACCGGTTGCTGTTTAGAGAACAGAGTGGCAGTCAGGACGCTGGCACAGGGTGGCTGCGGCTGTCATCTGCCAGGAGAGGGAGGTGCTTTGGATCTACAGGGACACAGCCAGATCCAGGGTCTGGGTGGGAGGCGGAGCCCATGGGATTTGCTGGCACACAGCCGGGTGGCCTCGAAGACTATGGCATGTTCTGGGAGGAGGCCCTGAGACGCCGGAGCAGGAGGGAGGTGACCTGCGGGGTGGTGGCCTCCTGACGGGACTGAGCTACCTCTTCCTACAGGGGCTGCATTGTATTCTCAGGCTCCTATGCCTGGGCCAACTTCACCATCCTGGCCTTGGGCGTGTGGGCTGTGGCTCAGCGGGACTCCATCGACGCCATAAGCATGGTGAGCCAGGGTGGGGGAGAGGCGGCAAGGCGGGGAGCCGCAGCACAGGGCAAGACATAGCCTGGCTCTGCTACCCCGTCCCATCCCAATCTTCCCCCTCTTCCTTGGGCCACCACTTCCCATTGTCTAAAGCCTGTTCATCAGCCTCCTGGGCTCCGGCCCATGCCTGTGTTCAGGAGCCCAGCCTGCTGCTCTTCTTGTCTGGCTTAGAGAACCCCAAGTCTGCCATTATCTCCCTGAGGAAAGCCATGGGGTGGGTCCCACCAGTGCCTCGGATTAGCCACTTCGCAAGAGCAGTGGAACATCCCCTGTAACCTCCCTCTGCGGCTCTCTTTTAGGGGAGGGGATATGGCTGGGAGACCCGGCCAAGAGGGCATTTCACTACTTTAGGAAGTAGAGGTGACCCTGCCCCACCGAAACCTCCCACAGGGGGAGCTTCTCAGCACCCACGGAGCCCCGTGGGGCAGTGAGCACTCCCGCACGGGCTCTTCAAGCCGAGGCCAGGGCCTCAGGATGACTGAGAAGAGATTTTCTTTGTGTTGGAGAAGGACTGGGTGAACTCCAAGGAACCTTCCTCTATGGAGGTTCTAGAGCCAAGTCTTGTGCCCATCATGGCCTTGGAGATGACGGGAAATGGGTGGGGAGGGAGGCTCTGGTGGAACCGAGACCTGGGCCCCCGGCATCCCTGCCCCCAGACTGCAGTCTCAGCCAGCGGCTCCCCAGCGGGGCCCTGCCTGCTTGCTTGATCCATTTTCCCGCAAGCCCCAAGGACACAGCAGGGCATGAAACGGCTTCCCATCCGGTGTGTGGCGGGGGAGCCACGGAGCGTGGTGGGGGTGTTGTGCTCATCAGTGTGGTGTGTCTTGCAGTTTCTGGGTGGCTTGCTGGCCACCATCTTCCTGGACATCGTGCACATCAGCATCTTCTACCCGCGGGTCAGCCTCACGGACACGGGCCGCTTTGGCGTGGGCATGGCCATCCTCAGCTTGCTGCTCAAGCCGCTCTCCTGCTGCTTCGTCTACCACATGTACCGGGAGCGCGGGGGTGAGCTCCTGGTCCACACTGGTGAGGCCACCACCTCCAGCCAGCTCCTCACCGCTCCCTTCTCTCCCTTGCCTGGCCTCCAGCCTCTCCCTCAGTGAGCCAGCCTTGCCCCATGGGGCCAGGGCTCAAGGTGCAGGGAGAGCGTGGCATGGGCGCTCTGTACTAGGCTGGACAGGTCCAAGCTCCTAGTCTCTGCTGCAGGAGCCCAGGGGTCCCCTGGTTGTCCTGGTCTGCCGTGACCTTCTTCTGCTGTGAAGCTGAGGCTGGGCCCTTCTCTCAGCCCAGAACACAGGCACAGCTGGGGGTACCATTTAGTTCCCAGGGGCAGCCCTGGGCTGTCTCCATCCTGAGGGCCACGGGCACCTACAGGTCTCCTCTCTGTTCTCACCGGGGCCCATCACTGGAACCCCATTTCCTGCCACATGGGGTCTTCCCTCTCCTGCTGCAGAGACTGCTAGGTGGCCAGGGCAGAGCCCGTGCCAGTGTAGGCTGTGGGAGCCTCAGTGAAGACAGCCCTGAACAGGGGGCACTTTCCCTGCCCACCGGCCCCTCCCCACTCACCCAGCCTTACACCTGCCCTCTCCCACGCCCTCTCTGAACTCCTGTACTCCTTCTCCTGGTGGCCGAGCCATTTGCCTGCTCTCTGACACCTCTCTCTCTCTTCCTTTCTCTCTCTCTTTGAGAGGAGTGGAGGGAGGTGGTAGGGTGTGGCCTTCTGCCTTTCACTCCTGAGATGAGATGCCCCACGTGGCCTGTGACTGCCACCAGCTGGTTGAGGGTGGGAATGGCCTGGGGCTGCCCACAGTGGCTGACCTCAGCACTGCCTGGGCCTGCCCCCAGGTGAGGGGTGCCAGAATGTTTCTCCCATTGGACAGATGAGGAAACTGAGGCCCACATCCTTTGGGACTTGTTCAGGGTCCCGGGATGAATGTACAGAGTAGGGGATGGGAGTGAGGCATGTGGCGTACTCGGAGCCCTACGGCCCTGCCTTGGACCCAGCCCCAGCCTCCGAGGCCATCTGGATATGGTAATGTGGTGTCCTTGTACCTGGGAGGGGAGCTGGAGAGGAGTGCGTGGGCCCGGGGCTGATGTCCCTCTGCCCAGGTTCCTAAGCACGTGCTGCCTGGGGAAGCCCATGGCACAGGGGCCAGGAGCCTGGCTTTGGACTCGGCTGCCTAGGCGTGGGTCCCAGCATCATCAGCTTTGAGCTGTGTGATCTCGGGCAAGTCACTTCATCCCTTTGACCCACAGTCTCCTCATCTGTAAAGTGGGGACAATAAAAATACCCGTCGCACAGGGATACGGCAGGATTGAATGAATAATACACGCTAAAGGTTTAGGGCCTGGGGCTGCTGCCTCTGTCTCTGTGCATGGTGTCAGGATGCCCAGCCCGAGGGTGGCGGGGGTGGATCTTGGGTTGGACTCAGCTGAACATCCCGAGTTCTCACCCTTCATTTTTCTTTCCCACCATGTCCCCTGTCACCTAGGTTTCCTTGGGTCTTCTCAGGACCGTAGTGCCTACCAGACGATTGACTCAGCAGAGGCGCCCGCAGATCCCTTTGCAGTCCCAGAGGGCAGGAGTCAAGATGCCCGAGGGTACTGAAGCCAGCCACGCTGCGCCCGGCCCTGCCCCGGGCCTTCCTCGTGCCTGGGAGGTCGTTCTAGGGATGCTCCTGACCTCCGTCTCTTGGACCTAAGATGGAATGTGTCCCCAGCTCAGGGATTGCCTGAACCAAGAGGCCAGGAGCCCCCATGGGCCGCCCAGTACCATGCACACTCCTGTCCCGAACTCCCTGAGGCCTCCCCTCCCTTCAGGGCACCCACTGGTTCCCAGGCTGGAACCAGGGTCTCTCTTTACCTCCTACCCCATGGTGGCACCACAGAGGCCCTCAGCCGAGTCCTGCCTGAGTGTTGCAAGCTCAGGCCTTTAAGGACTGCTGATGCCCCCTCAGGCCTCCCCCAAGTTTGCTGGGCTTTGGTGGAAGCCCTGAGAGCTTCAGGTCCTGCTCAGCCCGAGGAGCAGTCTGGCATGGGAGTGAGGCCCCGTCCTTCTCACTGCCTGGTCACATGGTGCCTAGGGATGCAGGGCTGGAGGCCAGAGGTGTCAGCAACACTGTGTCCCACCACAACCTCCAGCCTCCCTTTTCAGAGCACAGCATTAAAGTTTGGGGAATTCTGTAGATGGGCTGTGTTTTGAACCACCTTCAATCTCCTGGCTGGGCTGGGGCCTGGCCTTGTTCCTGGGAAGATGTCTCCTGCCAGTTCCCAGGTGGAGCCTGTGCTGTGCTGCCCCATTCTGTCATGGCAGGAGGAAACAGGCATGTGCGTTGGCTGAGCTGGGCTTGAGCCTGGCTCTGGCCTAGCAGAGGCCACAGGAGAGAGAGACACTGGTGGGTGTGGTGCGTGGGCATCCGTTTCTCTGAACCAGATGACCCAGGCACTCTTTGGAATCCTGCTCTGCCACTTACTAGCTGCATGCCTTCAGTGTCTTCTAGAAAGGGTTGGTGCCTGCTCCAGGTGTGAAGTGCCTGGCGTGAGGAGGGCTCCCTAAGTGATGGTGAACTTGTTAGCAGTGGACCTGCTCCTCAGGCCAGTGACGATGCTAGGTTAGGAGGCAGGGGCGACCTCTTCCTGGTAGCCCCTGTGTCTGGTCACAGCTGACTTGGGCTGACACGTCCAGAAGTTCCCCAGGGCCTCGGCCCACCCCACGGACAGGTCTAGCTATTCACAGCTTGCTCTTCTGCCCCCTGGGCACCAAGTGCCAGGGCTTTCCCAGGCCATCCTGGCTTGTCCCTGGCACAGGGTCAAGGCCTAGTGCACAACTCCCATTATTCTCTTGCGTCCATCTGTCAATCAAAAGAGGCTCAGTACCTGCCTGGTGCCGAGCGGGCTTGGGGCTGCAGTGGTGACCTTGGGAGCCTGCTCTCAACCTAGGAGTCTTCCCACCTGGAGGATTACAGACAGAGGCAAGAGCCCCGAAAGAAGAGGACATGGGCCTCTGGGTCAGGGAGGAAGGCTGCTGTGGGGAAGGGGCTGTGCTCCGGGCAGAGGGCTGCTGAGCAGCTGCAGTTGTGAGAAACTGGAAACAGCCTCACTGTCGGGAGACGGACCAGTAAGCCACGGTCCATTCATTACAGGGAGTATGGACCAGGAAGCCACAGTCTATTCATTGTAGGGAGTATGGACCAGGAAGCCACAGTCTATTCATTGTAGGGAGTATGGACCAGGAAGCCACAGTCCATTCATTGTAGGGAGTATGGACCAGTAAGCCACGGTCCATTCATTATAGGGAGTACGGACCAGTAAGCCACGGTCCATTCATCGTATGGAGCACAGTGCAGCAGTTACAGCTGTTAAACCAGACCTATTTCCACCAACGTTGGCCCCCCGCAAATGTGAACAAAGCAGATTGCAGAATGGCATTGGGATGAATTTTCAGACCTCACAGCAATGCCATATGTTGTTCCTGGGTGTATGTGCGGTAAAATAGAAAAGCATGGACTAGAAGGACACCTGTCAGGTTCATGACTGTAGCCACCCTGGGTGGAGGAGGAGCGTGACCCGAGGGGAATGGGACTAAGACCCAAGTCCGTTTATCTTGTGTATACAGCATCCTGGCCCCGGGAAGGCTTGTGTACCTGCGTCGTGAACGTGTCAGATTCCCAAAGGGAATGAAAAGCCAGGGCAGGGGCTTGGCCCAGGCAGTGGGGGCAGATGATGCAGCCTGGGCCACGCACAGGGGAGTGTATCTAGACACCTCAGTCCCTCATCGTCCCAGACCCCCAGGTTGAACCGGCTCTTTGCGGGAGAGGACAGAGGAAAGCTCCTGTCTCAGAGTGTACCCCAGAAGCAGAGCCTGCGATGAAAGCAAGGGTGCCAGGCTTTCCAGTCATTGGCTAGGAGCTGCTCAGGGAGTGGGAGAGGGTGGCTTAGATTTGCAGGCACTGTGCCACCCCCCGACTGTGCAGGCAGTCGGGAGCCGGAGGGCCATCAGAGGCAGACAGAAACGGTGGAGGAGGCAACCATGTGGCTGCCCCTTCCACACAGCGGCCTTAACAGGGAGAGCTTCTAACATACAACAAGCGCCCCAGAGCCCACTGTGAGTGAGGCCGTGTTCCAGAGGCAGGGGATGCCAGGGTGCGGGAAAAGTCACCCAGGGGCATTCCATTTAGCATGAGAGGTTCTTGGTGACAGCTAACAAGGCCTGAGGCAGAGAGTGGCTGAGCAGAGAGGGTGGGGGAGGGAGAGAAGAAGACAATGAGGTCAGAAGGTGGCTGGGGTCAGATGTGCAGGCTTAGCAAGTCATTCTGAGGACTCCAGTTCTGGCTGAATGAGATGGGAGCCCCTGGAGGGTGTTGGTCAGAGCCGGGCAAGGTCTGCCTTATATTCTTTTTTTTTTTGAGACGGAGTCTCCCTCTGTCGCCCAGGCTGGAGTGCAGTGACGCGATCTCAGCTCACCACAACCTCTGCCTCCCAGGTTCAAACAATTCTCCTGCCTCAGCTTCCTGAGTAGCTGGGATTACAGGCATGCGCCACCACGCCCAGCTAATTTTGTATTTTTAGTAGAGATGGGGTTTCTCCATGTTGGTCAGGATGGTCTTGATCTCCTGACCTTGTGATCCACCTGCCTCGGCCTCCCAAAGTGCTGGGATTACAGGCGTGAGCCACTGCGCCTGGCGTTTTGTTTTGTTTTGTTTTGTTTTGAGACAGAGTTTCGCTCTTGTTGCCCAGGCTGGCGTGCAATGGTGCAATCTTGGCTCACTGCAGCTGGGTTCAAGCGATTCTCCTGCCTCAGCCTTCCAAATAGCTGGGATAACAGGTGCCTACCAACATGCCCAGCTAATTTTTGTATTTTTAGTAGAGATGGGGTTCACCATGTTGGCCAGGCTGCTCTTGGACTCCTAGCCTCAAGTGATCTGCCCACCTTGGCTTCCCAAAGTGCTGGGATTACAGGCATAAGCCACTGCACCTGGCTTGCATTCTAAAAGGACCATGTTGGTGGCTTGGATGGGGGCAGTGGTGGGGGTGGTGACAAGTGGTCAACTCTTGGACACTCTCTGAAGGCAAAGCAGCAGGACCTGTGATGGGCTGGATAGAGGATGCAGAGACAAGCCCGGGACTGTGAGGTGTGGGCCTGACTGGAAGGCTGGAGCTGCCGCTAGCCAGGAGGGAGGACGTGGGAGGGCAGGTCCAGGATGAGGGCAGGTCCAGGATAAGCCCAGGACTTCAGCCATGGACGGGCTGCACTGTGCTAACGAGGCTTTCCAACTGGACATTCTCACCACTGTGCAACTTTTAAAAGGCCCATGTCTGTAGGGACTTGGAAGTAGGGCACCCTGCAGGTTTATATAGTGTCTGACATTCTTGAGGCTGTCAACCACAGGAAGCAAATTCCTCTTGCCTCTGGTCTCCTGCTGGAGAGGGCTTGTATCAGTCTGTTCTCATGCTGCTGATAAAGACATACAAGACGGGGTAATTTATAAAGGAAAGAGGTTTAATGGACTCAAAGTTCCACATGGCTGGGAAGGCCTCACCATTATGGTGGAAGGTGAATGAGGGGCAAAATCACGTCTTACATGGAGGCAGGCAAGAGATAGAGCCCTTGCAGAGGAACTCCCATTTATAAAGCCATCAGATCTCATGAGACTTATTCACCATCACCAGAACAGTATGGGGAACCATCCCCATGATTCGAGTATCTCTACCTGGCCCCGGTCTTGACACATGGGGATTATTACAATTCAAGGTGAGCTTTGGGTGGGGACACAGCCAAACCATATCAGGACTGAAGTCACACTTGTCCAGTTTGCAAATCTATTTCTTGTTTTCACAAAGCTGAGCCTTCCACATGAGGAAGCCAGAGAAATTGCCCCACAGGAGGTCACTGCCTTCTCCTGTTGGCCAGAACTGGACCAGAGCTGCAGTACCTACAGGGCCCCACCTCAGGCCGGTTCTCAGAGTCTCCGGAATGGCCTGGAAATGCCAACTCTCACACTGTGTCTCTAAACGGGCTCTGGAGTCAGTGAGCCTTGGTTTAAATCCCCTATGCACTCTGTAACTGGCTGTGTTAAGAGACACTATCTCTTAACCTCACTGTGCCTCAGCTTCCTCATCTGAAAATGGGGACAATAATAGTGCCTGACTCGGGTATTAGTGAGGACTGAAAATGGTGCAACATCAGTGTTTAATAAATGTTAGATCTCATTATCTGTACGACTGTGTAATCATTTAGAGAGGGAAGGAGTCCAGGTGGCCTGTGACTGGTACCAGCCGGTCGAGGGCAGGAGTGACCTGGGGCCTCCCACCCTGGCTGACCTCATTGCTGCCAGACCTGTCCCCAGGTGAGGGGCACCAGAATGTTTCTCCCATTGGACAGACAAGGAAGCTGAGGCCTGCAGCCCCTGGGACTTGTTCAGGGTCCCAGGATGAATGTACAGAGGAGAGGATGGGTGTTAGGAGTGTGGGGTACTTGGGGCCCTACGGCCCTGCCTTGGACCCAGCCCCAGCCTCCGAGGCTGTCTGGATACAGTAATGTCGTGCCCTTGTGCCTGGGAGGGGAGATGGAGAGGAGTGCGTGGGCCTGGGGCTGGTGTCCCTCTGATCAGCTTCTATGGGGAAGGCCATGGCACAGTGGCCTGGAGCCTGGCTTTGGGCTGGGCTGCCTAGGCATGGATCCCAGCATCATCAGCTTTGAGCTGTGTGATCTCGGGCAAGTCAATTCATCTCTTTGACTCAATGCTATGAACATTTCTTGAGTGCTTTCTACAAGTTTTCAAAAGATTGGAAAATTTTTCAGGAAGTAAAACAGATTTTCCTCACTAGCAACAGAACTCAGGACCCAGTTCTCCAGGTGGTCAGGTGCTTTTGTTCACACGTCTAAGTCAGAAACTACAGAGTCAACAGGTTGTCATAAAACATTGTCATATCTGAGATGAAAATTCAGTATCACAAATTTGAACTTGAAGGAAACTTAGACCTCCCCTAGCCCAGTGGTTTTAAAAATATTTTATTTCAAGGCCAGGCGCAGTGGCTCATGCCTGTAATCCCAGCACTTTGGGAGGCTGAGTTGGGAGGATCACCTGGGGTCAGGAGTTCGAGAACAGCCTGGTCAACATGGCGAAACCACGTCTTTACTAAAAGTACAAAGACTAGCCAGGCGTGGTGGCTCGTGCCTGTGGTCCTAGCTACTTGGGAGGCTGAGGTGGGAGAATCACTTGAACATGAGAGGCAGAGGTTGCAGTGAGCTGAGACTGCGTCACTGCACTCCAGCCTGGGCGACAGAGTGAGACTGTCTCAAAAAAAAATTATTTCAAATCCCTTGTTTAAAAGAAATATTCAATATATAAGAGGCAGCAGGTCTGATCAAGTACCCTCTCATCAGTACCAGGGAACCCAGGGATCCCCAGAGCACAACGTGAAAGCTGATCTCCTAGTTCCTAAATCTCCTAGACACAGGCCCAGAAGGGACAGCCTTGGACAAGGGCACACGGAGACTTGATTTCAGAGCTGGAATGTGGCAATGCAGAGATCAGGATTGCCAGTGGAGTTTTAAAAGAATGAAACAGAAGTATAAATGAAAAACACATGATTGAAATCAGAAACTCAATGCCTAGGTTAATTCATAGAATAGATTTATCTGAAGAGAGAAATGGTAGCCTGGGAGATAGATTTGAAGAAATCACCCAGAATGCAGTAGAAAGAGACAGAAAATACAAAAAAGAAGTTAAGACACAGGTTGGGCATGGTGGCTCATGCCTGTAATCCCAGCACTTTGGGAGGCCCAGGTGAGCAGATCACGAGGTTAGAAGTTCGAGACCAGCCTGGCCAAAATGGTGAAACCCCGTCTCTACTAAAAATACAGAAATTAGCTGGGCATGGTGGCAGATGCCTGTAATCCCAGCTACTCGGGAGGCTGAGGCAGAAGAATTGCTTGAACCCGGGAGGTGGAGGTTGCAGTGAGCTGAGATCACACCACTGCACTCCAGCCTGGGTGATAGAGCAAGATTCCATCTCGGGGGGGAAAAAAAGAAGACACAAAGGATAGAGTGAGAAGGAGCAATATAAATATAGCCAGAGTTCCTGAAGGAGATGATGAGAGAGAAGCAACATTCAAAGAAATCATGTCAGAATATTTTCCAAAATGGAAAGACAGCAAAGCTCAGGTTCAAGAAGCTAAACAATTCCCAAACGGGATAAATAAAAAGAGGTCGGGCGCAGTGGCTCACACCTGTAATCCCAGCACTTTGGGAGGCCAAGGTGGGTAGATCACTTGAGCCCAGGAGTTGGAGACCAGCCTGGGCAACATGCCGAAACCCCATCAATACAAAAGACACAAAAATTAGCCGGGAGTAGTGCCTGTAGGCCCAGCTACTCAGGAGGCTGAGGTGGGAGGATCACCTGAGCCCAGGGAGTTCGAGACTGCAGTGAGCTGTGATGGCACCACTGCAACCCAGCCAGCCTGGATGACAGTCATTCTAACAGAACATGGTTCATTCACTTCTATACCTTCAACACCTAGAACAATGCTGGCACCCATGGCACCCAGTTAATGCTTTGTAAAAGTTGTAGAATGAATGAATGAATGAAAACTACAGAACACCAAAGACAAAAATTAAGCTCCCAAAAGCAGCCAGATAGAAAAGGTATTGTCTCAAAAAGATTGACAATTACTGGCAGCTGATGTCTCAACAGCAACAATAGAAGTCGGAAGACAGTGGAATGATACCTTCAAAGTGGTGAGAAAAATAACTGTCAACCTAAAATTATGCACCTGTGGTCATCCTTCAGGGATGAGGGTAAAATAAAGATACTGAGAAAAATACAGTTGAGTTTATCACCCATAGATCTTTGATATAGAAACATCTGAAGAATCTTTTGATGGCACATGGAATTTTTCTCAGAAGGAAGATCTGAGATGCACAAAGGAAATAGTAATTTTGACCTAAAAGGAGATTAAATATTGGCAATTAACTTTAGTTTTTGTTAAATATACATATTAAAATATCTTGGAGCCAGGCACAGTGGCTCACACCTGTAATCCCAGCACTTTCGGAGACCGAAGTGGGCAGATCTCCTGAGGTCAGGAGTTCAAGACCAGACTGGCCAACATGGCAAAGCCCGGTTTCTACTAAAAGTACAAAAATTATGTACAGACGCATGGTGGCAGGTGTCTGTAATCCCAGCTACTAGGGAGGCTGAGGCATGAGAATTGCTTGAACCCAGGAGGCAGAAGTTTCGGTGAGCCAAGATCGCACCACTGCACTCCAGCCTGGGGGATAGAGCAAGACTCTGTCTCTAAATATACGTGTGTGTGTGTGTGTGTGTGTGTGTGTGTGTGTGTGTGTGTGTAGGATAACCACAGAAAGAATAGATATGAAATGTGCAGTTTCCAAGCCAGTGAGGAGCAGGGGGGACCTGAAGAAAAAGAAAACCTTGATCAATTCTTAAAAATGCAAGAAAGGAGGCCAGGTGCAGTGGCTCACGCCTGTAATCCCAGGACTTTGGGAGGCCGAGACAGGTGGATCACGAGGTCAGGAGATCGAGACCATCCTGGCTAACACGGTGAAACCCCGTCTCTACTAAAAAATACAAAAAAAATTAGCCGGGTGTGGTGGCGGGCGCCTGTAGTCCCAGCTACTCGGGAGGCTGAGGTGGGAGAATGACGTGAACCCGGGAGGCGGAGCTTGCGCCAAGATGGCGCCACTGCACTCCAGCCTGGGCGACAGAGCGAGACTCCATCTCCAAAAAAGAAAAAAAAAAATGCAAGAAAGGAGAAATATGAAAACTCTGGCTACTAGCAAGCACAAAAATAAGATAGAATAAATATGTCAAAATCATACATTTGTAAAGAATTAAACTCAAGATACATTGTCAGATCAGATTTTTTAAAATTCCAGCTATATTGTGTTTACAAATGACAAACCTAAAATTATGGACATGGGAAGGCTGAAGGTAGAAGGACGAAAAAGTTATACCAGGCAAATAGGGACCAAAGTGGAACTGGTGGTGCTAAATTAATATCCCACAAATTTGACTTTAAGGCAAAAAATATTACTACAGATTAAAGAGAGTCAAAACCTAAAGAACAGGCCAGGTGCGGTGGCTCACGCCTGTAATCTCAGCACTTTGGGAGGCCAAGGCAGGTGGATCACCTGGGGTCAGGAGTTCAAGACCAGCCTGGCCAACATGGTGAAACCCCGTCTCTATGAAAAATAAAAAAAATTAGCTGGGTATGGTGGTGCACACCTGTAATCGCAGCTACTTGGGAGACTGAGGCAGGAGAATCACTTGAACCCAGGAGGTGGAGGTTCCAGTGGAGGTTCCAGTGAGCCAAGGTTGCACCACTGCACTTCAGCCTGGGCAACAAGAGTGAAACTCTTTCTCAAAAAATAAATAGGCTGGGCGCAGTGGCTCATGCCTGTAATCCCAGCACTTTGGGAGGCCGAGGTGGGCGAATCACCTGAGGTCGAGAGTTCAAGACCAGCCTGACCAACTGGAGAAACCCCGTCTCTACTAAAAATACAAAATTAGCCGGGCGTGGTGGCACATGCCTGTAATCCCAGCTACTATGGAGGTTGAGGCAGGAGAATCGCTTGAACCTGGGAGGTGGAGGTTGCGGTGAGCCAAGATCACACCATTGCACTCGAGCCTGGGCAACAAGAGCGAAACTCCGTCTCAAATAAATAAATAAATAAACAAACAATAAAATAAAATAAAATAAATAAACCTAAAGAACAAAAGCTTCCATCCACCAGATTTAGGAGGAAAGATTAGACACACAGACCTATAAAGGGAGCAGTAATCACCCCCTCCTTCTTCAAGAATTGCTTTAGCATTTAAAAAGTTCTTTGGCATTTATTTGTTAAACATCTGACCCTCACATCAAGGCAGAGAGGTAGGGGAGGGAGGTGTTACCACCCCCACCACTTTTGTTTTGTTTTGTTTTGTTTCGTTTTGTTTGAGACAGTTTCACTCTTGTCACCCAGGCTGGAGTGCAGTGGCGCAATCTTGGCTCACTGCAAACTCTGCCTCCCGGGTTCAAGAGATTCTCCTACCTCAGCCTCCCCAGTAGCTGGGACTACAGGCACGCACCACCACTACCAAGCTAATTTTTATATTTTTAGTAGAGACGGGGTTTCGCCATGTTGGCCAGGCTGGTCTGGAACTCCTGACCTCAAGTGATCCACCCACCTTGGCCTCCCAAAGTACTGGGATTACAGGCGTGAGCCATTGCATCGGGCCTAACCATCCCCCTTTTACATATGAGGAACCTTAGGTTTAGAGAGGTTAGGGACTTGCCTAAGATCACACAGCAGCAGAAGGATTTTTTTTTTTTTTGAGACAGGGTCTCACTCTGTTGCCCAGGCTGGAGTGCAGTGACATGATCGTAGCTCACTGAAGCCTTGAACTCCTGGGCTCAAGCAATCTTACTGCCTCAGCCTCCCAAGTAGGTGGGACCACAGGTGTGCACCACCACAGCCGGATGATTTTTGTATTTTTTTTTGTAGTGATGAGGTCTTGCAATGTTGCCCAGGCTGGTCTTGAATTCCTGGGCTTATGAGAGCCTCCCACCTCAGCCTGCCCAAGTGCTGGGATTGCAGGTGTGAGCCACTGCGCCTGGCCAGCAGAAGGAGTTCATCACAGGTTTTCTGACTGAGTGCTCTTTCCTCTCCCAGCAGGTGCTTAGAAAGGAGAAAACATACAGTCTGGACAGAGGAAGGAGTGGGATGGCTGGGCACAGTGGGGAACAATGTGGGCAAAGGTTTGGGAGGTGGAAAGTGGACGGACCTTTGCAGCCTTGAAGGAAGTGTGATCGAGCTAGGCTGACGGCACGGCAAAGCTTGGGTATTAAGGTGGAGTCCAGCCAGTTTCTGAGGTGCCTGAAGGCTGGGAGAGTTTTTCTTTCTTTTTTTTCTTTTCTTTTCTTTCTTTTTTTCTTTTTTGAAACAGAATCTCACTCTGTCACCCAGGCTGGAGGGTAGTGGCATGATCACCACTCACTGCAACCTCCACCTCCCAGGTCCAAGCAATTCTCCTGCCTCAGCCTCCTGAATAGCTGGGATTACAGGTGCACACCATCACACCAGCTACTTTTTGTATTTTTAATAGAGATGGGATTTTGCCATGTTGGCCAGGCTGGTCTTGAACTCCTGACCTCAAGTGATCCGGCTGCCTCGGCCTCCCAAAGTGCTGGGATTACAGGCATGAGCCACCACATCCAGCCTTTTCTTTTCTTTTCTTTTTTTCTTTTTTTTTTTTTTTTTTTTTTGAGACAGAGTCTTGGTCTGTTGCTCAGGCTGGAGTGCAATGGCAGGATCTTGGCTCTCTGCAACCCTTGCCTCCCAGGTTCAAGTGATTCTCCTGCCTCAGCCTCCTGAGTAGCTGGGATTACAGGTGCCCGCCACCATGCCCGGCTAATTTTTGTATTTTTAGTAGAGACAGGGTTTCACCATGTTGGCCAGGCTGGTCTTGAACTCCTGATCTTGTGATCCGTCCACCTCAGCCTCCCAAAGTGCTGGGATTACAGGTGTGAGCCACTGTGCCTAGCCTTTCTTTCTTTCTTTCTTTTAACAAGAAATTTGTTATAGTTTTATTTTCCTTTGCATTTGCAAAATACTTAGGACCAACATGAAAAAGAAATACCTTCTATGGGGAAAAAAATGGCATTAAAAAGGAAGATGGGAAGGCTGAAAGGGATTTGTGCCTTAGTTGCAAGGAGCTGCAGCATCTCTGGTCCAAGGAATCAAAAAGATATTGGGAAGATATAACAGGAGGAAGAAGAATGTGAATTTACTGAGGGAGAGGGCCCCAAAGTGGGCCTTGAGGGGGAACTGGAGGCCCCGGAGTGGGTCTGGGTGGAGGGAGAGTCCCCCCCGGAAGCCATAGGGTGGGTGTTGGGGAGGGCCAGTGTATCCATGAGGCAGCATCGGTGGAGGAGGTCCACACATACCATGGAGGCATAGGACGTGAGTGACCCATGGGAGATCCAGACCGAGACCCCTTGGGGGACATGCTCATTGGAGGAGGTCCAGGATGAGGCATTCCAGGTGGTGATCAGGGTGGTGGCTGCCCCCCAGATCCTGGGGTCCCATCACGGGTGTGTCCTCAGCCATGAGGGCCATGGTTTGCCAGCTGCATCTGAGACATCCCTGGATGGGACATCGCACCTATTGGGAACGGGTGAGGATGTGAGTGTCCATGACCCGGATGTCCTGCCCCTGGGGTTCCTACCAGTGGGAGCCGGGGGCATGTCCTGCAGCCCCAAGAGGCATAGGTGGTGGGGACATGGCTGGGGGTATCCCAGATGTGCGGGGGCTCCAGGAGGCAGCTCTAGGTGCGGGAAGGAGCCAAGAGGAGGCACGCCTGGTGGAGGAAGCCCAGACCCCAGTGATGCTGCCACAGGATTCGGGGCAGAGGGTGGAGGAGGTTCCCGGGGACCTGATGGCCAAGAGAATGTCGCTCATCTTGCACGTGCAAAAGTTGCCCTGGGACCACGTGCCTTGCCTGCGGAGGACCCGGCAAAACCTGTACCAGGACGTCGGTGGCCACGCCCACGGCTCAGGGCTGGGCGGGGCCAAGCGCGGGGCAGCACGCTCTGCTCTCCGACGTCCCCTCCCGCCCGCGACCTGCCGACCTGCGGGGATCGTTAGCGGTCCCAGCCCCCGTCTAGATTCAAATCCGACTGGGTGAAGGAGGACCCGAGGAGGACCCACGCACGTGAGGGCAGATCCATGAGGGCAGGAAACTGACCTCAGACTCTTTTGGTGGCAAGAGGAGGGAGGCTGTGAGCCCCCTTAAGTGGACAGGGGTGGGGGTGGAGTGGGAGGGGGGAGTCTGAGGGAGACGGACGAGGAGCGGAGAAATGGACCGAAGAGCTCCGGCGTGAGGGGCAGGGGTGCAGGAAGGTCTCCTGTGGATTGAGCGGCCTCAAGTCAACTTGGGCAAGAGGGGATGGTGGGGTGTTCTTGGTTAGGAGTCTGCGCTGTGGAGCCAGCCCTGGGGTGCTCCCTCTGAGGCCTTGGGTGGGACAGGCCCTTCTAAGCTCCTGTCCTCATTTCTAAAACAGGGAACCTAAGTCCCAGGGCTGCAGTGCAGATTAAATGGCAGGACGCCTGCTGAAGGCTGCAAGGTGCCTAGCACGGTTGTCATTTATTCAATGTGCATTTACAAGCCCCTGCTGGGGGTCAGGCATTGTTCTATGGGCTGCAAATCCAGCAGGGAAACAAACAAACAAAAAAAACCAGCCTGCCCTCGTGTGGCTCCTAGGCCACTGGAGGGAGAAATACACTAATTTCTTCACTATGTTAGGTGGCCGCAAGTGCAGGGCAAAGAGAGTGAGGAGAGGCCAGGTTGCTGCAGTTGGAGAGACAGTGGGCAGGGAGGGCTCACTGTGATGTGGGAGGCAAGACTTGAAGGCAGAGGGGACAGCAGCACAGAGGCGCTGAGGTGAGGTCGTGTGTGCCATTTGGAGGAGCAGCCAGGGGGCTGGTGTGTGTGGAGGACAGTGGGCAAGGGGAAGAGGAATTGGGGAGGACCATAACTGGCAGCCAGATTTTAAAGACTTTGCGGGGCTGGGTGTGGTGGCTCACGCCTGTAATCCCAGCACTTTGGGAGGCCGAGGCGGGCCAATCACCTGAGGTCAGGAGTTCGAGACCATCCTGGCCATCATGGTGAAACCCTGTCTCTACCAAAAAATAGAAAAATTAGTCTGGCGTGGTGGCATGTGCCTGTGGTTCCAGCTTGTTAGAGGCTGAGGTGGGAGGATCCCTTGAGCCCAGGGAGGCAGGCGGAGGTTGCAGTGAGCCGGGATCACGCCATTGTACCAGCCTGGGTGGCAAAGTGAGACTCCGGCTCAAAAAAAAAAAAAAAAAGGTTTTGCAGCCTAAGGTATCTTGCAGCTATTGAGCTCTGCTATTGCAGCTGGAAAGCAGACAGTCTGTAAACAAATGGGCTTTGTTTCAATATAACTTTATTCACATAATAGACCACTGGCCCAGGCAGTAATTTGCTAACCTCTGGCCTACAGCCTTGAAGGCTCACGGGGCATTGAGGGGGCTGGAGAGCTTCTGTGGCATTAGAGTTGAGGCAGGGCATGATTTGATTTCAGTGTTTACAGGATCACCCTGCCGCCGCATGAAGAGGAGGCTGTCGGGCGTGAGGACGAGGCAGAATAAGGGTGACCAGTTGGGAGGTGGCAGGTGAGGGCCACTCCGCCCAGTGCTCCAGGGGTCAGATCCTGGATGCGTGTGGGAGGCAGAGCCTGTCAGAGCAGCCACTGGTGTGAGGGAGAAGGGGAATCGGGGTGGCTCCAGGATTTTTGTTTGAGCCACCAGAAGGCCGGAGCTGCCATCCGTGGAAAAGGGGGGCACCAAGATGGGAGAGAGCTGGTTGCGAGGACGGCTGGAGTTCAGTTTTGGACATATTAATGCTGAGATGCCTGTTAGACATCCGGGTAGGCGTGGAGGAGGTCGCTGGACCTGCATGTTCAGACCTGTATGCAGATCAGCCGAGAGGTCTGGGGGGCAGGATGGGGCAGCATTTGACCTGGACACTTAATATGGAAAGGGGGGTGATAAGTAGGGCAGGGAGAGGAGCCACTGAGAGACCAGAACAGTGAGGGGCAGGCCCCAGGCAGCTGGGACCAGGCCAAGAGCAGCTAGGAGTACTGCTAAAGGGAGGAGGTAGGGATCAGAATGGGGTGGGGTTGAATGAGAGCCAGGGCAACCTGTCCTCTCCCCGCAGGGCCCATCTGATTAAACAGACCAGGCCACTCACTGTGGAGTGGACCAAGGATACTCCTGTCCCTGAGCCCATGGAGCTAAGGTCTGATGCCAGCCACAAGGAGAATGTGTCCCCAAAGCCTGCAGCGCTCCCGAAGCCAGGCAAGAGGCTTAGTGGGCCTGGATGGGCAGTTACAGGAGCAGGGCCCTCTCTAGGTATTGGCCCAGAGCCCCCCTCCCAGGCAGGCCAGCCTATAGGGCCTGGCTAATTCCAGAGATCAGCCACCCACGGTCGGCTGGACATAGGACAGAGTCTTCCCAGCCTGGGGCCTAAGGAGGGGGGTCTTGGGAGAGTGAGGTCAGGAAGAGGCCTGGCTGGTGCCCCTGGCTAAGATGGGGCCCCCACAGCTCGGTCCTGGGGACATCCCTTCTCAGGCTGCTGAGGCTTTAAGAAAGCCACAGAGGGCCGGGCGTGGTGGCTCACGCTTGTAATCCCAGAACTTTGAGAGGCCAAGGTGGGTGGATCACCTGTGGTCAAGAGTTCAAGACCAGCCTGGCCAATGTGGTGAAACTGCGTCTCTACAAAAATACAAAAATTAGCCAGGCATGATGGCGGGTGCCTGTAATCCCAGCTACTCGGGAGGCTGCAGCAGGAGAATCACTTGTACCCAGGAGGCGGAGGTTGTAGTGAGCCGAGATGGCACCACTGTGCTCTAGCCTGAGCCACAGAGCAAGACTCTGTCTCAAAAAAAAAAAAAAAAAAAAAAAAGAAAGCCACAGAGCTGGGCCAGCCAAGAAGGGGAGCAGCCCAAGAACAAATGTAGATTCTTGAATTCACATCCCAGTTTCTTCGTGTTCCAGCTGTGTGACCATGAGGCAAGTTGCTTGACCTCTCTGAGCTTTAGTTCCCATCCACAAAGGCAGTAACTTTTATGGCCCACTCTACCTGCCAGGCCCTGCGCCCAGAGCCTCCCGGTACCTCATCCATCCCCACAAGGACTCTGTGCCTGTGGAGTGGGCTTGGGGGCTGGGGAGGAGCTCCAAGGCCCCTCTCCATGTTCCCAGAGCAGCTTACCTTTAGCCGTGGCTCTATGGGGTCCTGCTTTCACCCCAGCCCACTGCCCCCACCACCTCTTTGCTCAAGCCAGAAATCAAGGAGTCCCCCTTGATTCTTTTCTTTTTTTTTCCCTTTATTACCTGACTCTTCCAAGCCCGCTGGCTCCATCTCTGAAGTTTATCTGAATCTTCTCTTTACCCACCTGCTACCCCGATCCCACCACCGTCATCTCTCTCCTGGGACCCCCTCAACAGCCTCCTAAATATCTCTCTGCTTCCCTCTGTCCAGCTCCAAGACCCCCCTACTCCAAGAGCCCCCGGGGCTGCCCATGGCTTCACCCAGGGAGACAGAGCTGGCAGAAGACCCTGGAAGTCTTAGCTCCCTCCCGCTGCTGGGGCCCTGTCCCCTCCCTGGCTCCGAGGCCTGGAGAGCTTCGCCTGTCCCACCTGAGTGCCAGCCACCCAAGTCATGACTGTCTCTCCTCTCTTTAGAGCAACGAAGATTCCGGAGGAGCCTGGGCATCGGCCTGAGTGGTAGACATGACCAGTGGGTGCCCGGGTGCCAGGTGGAGAGGGGAGGGCCTGCTGCCACACCCTCCCCAGGGGCAGTGCTAGACCAGGAGCCCTGCCGAGTCCAGACCAACCTGGCCAGCCCTGGTCCCCGCCTGGGCCTAGCTCTGAAGGACACGACTGGCCAACTGGTCAATTCAAGCTTCTGGCAACAGAGCAACCTGCAGTCCCTGGCCAGGAGGCGCCAAGGGAAGGCCCGAGAGTTTGCCATCCAGCAGAGCAACCTGAGCATCAACGAGACCAGCAGCCCCCACCTCTGCCCAGAGCCTGGGGGAAGCTCTGGGCCCCACAAGCTTCCCTGGGGTCCTCTCCTATCCCAAGAGCCACTGGCTCGCCCATCTTCCTGCCTGAGGCAGTCCGGGCTGCCGGCCCCAGGCACCCCTAGCGGGGACTTCAGGCCCACTGAAGCCTTTGCCCCTCTCGATGGGCATACACAGCCAGGCCTCAGATCCTGGGGTGGTCTGGGGAGCTGGAGGTCCAGGCTGGTGGGGGAACCTCTCACCCTGGAGGACCTGGCTGTCCCCAGTCAGAACCAGACTCAGGCCCCATCCCGTGCTGCCGTCCACCAGCTGCTGGCTTCTGTACATTGCCTGGCGCAGGAGGCAGCCCGACTCAGGTGCCAGGCTCCCCAGGAACCCCCCGGTGCTGTGCAGCAGGACCTCTGGACCGGCGGCGGCCAGCCATTCTCCGCCCACCCCCAGCCCAGCCAGCCTGTCCTTGCTTCCTCGGATGGGAGGAGGAGACGCCTTCGAGGCCACAGGGAAACTGCGGCTTTCTTGGAGACCCCGGCTAGTCTCTCAGACTCTTGGGCACAAAGCAAGCTAATGTCACCTGAGACCACTTTGGGGACACGGACCAAGGATTCCCTTAATCCTGAGCAGGGGCTCCCTCCTGCCCACCCCCTAGGGTCAGGGGACAGCTGCTCCCCCTGGTCTCAAGATGGCAGGGCACAGAGGGGTGACCCCAGTCTCCCTCGAGGGGTGGGAAGCAGGGGGACCGACCCCTGTTCCTCAGCCTTCTCCAACACAGCCTGGGGAGTCTCACCCAAGCAGAAAGGAGAGGAGGGGGCCCCGAGGGAGCGGGTCCACAGGGAGGAGGAGAGGACAGCTTTCCATCTGTCAGACACAGTCCCAGCGAGCAGTGCGTCGAAGGTAGAGGCCCGGGGAGGCTGGAGGTGGGGTAGGGGGTAGGAGGTGTTGCTCCAGGGCAGGGAGGCTTGGCAGGGGGTGCCCTGTCCTGCCTGCTGCTTGGCCTGAGAACTGTGTTATGTACTCTTGCTTTCCCAGAACAAGGCACAAAACATCACAGCCCCAGAGTCTGAGGCAATCTGGTGAGGCCATGGCTGGGTGGGGACAGGGGTTGGAGTTGGGGGACACGTGCTCAGGACTCCGCTCCCATTTGCCTGTCCAAATGGAGATGAGGGCCTGATGGAGAGGAGGCAGGGTTTCAAGGAAGAGGAACTTACTACCTGTCCCTGCTGGGGGATGAAGGGAGCCTCCAGGGCCCCAGGGACAAGAACGAAGGGACTGATGCTCATGGGTTTGGGACACTGAGTGTCCTGAACTTCCAAGGCCACCCTGGGTTTTCGGCAAACAGGGCAATCTCTGGCTGGATGCGGTGGCTCATGCCTGTAATCTCAACACTTCGGGAGACTGAGGCAGGCAGATTGCTTGAGCTCAGGGGTTCAAGACCAGCCTGAGCAACATGGCAAAACCCCGTCTCTACAAAAAAAATTACAAAAATCAGCCGGGTGGGGTGGTGCATGTCTGTAGTCTCAGCTACGCAGGAGGCTGAGGTGGGAGGATCACTTGAGCCCAGGAGGTCGAGGCTGCAGTGAACCGTTATCATGCCACTGCACTCCAGCCTGGGTGACAGAGCAAGACTCTGTCTCAAAATTATATATATATAAAAGAAATAAAGAGGGCATTCTCCCACCCCCAGGGCCTTGCTTGTGTGGGGTTTCCAAGTCCAGCCATCAGTAAGAGGGAAGTTCTTCCAGTCTGCAGTGTGATACTCCTGTTGTGGCGTGGGTCATCACCCTACTGATTGCTGGAAAGGCATCTCAGAGGGTATCCAGCCACTGGGCTGTCCCTGGGGATAGGAGGGCAGTCCACACCCTGATCAGCCCTGGTCTGTCCCCAGCTGGCAGCTGTTGTCCAGATGTTTTCGATCCTGGAGGCACTTGGTGAAGAGGCAGCGGGAGCCAGCGGCGGCGGCAGTGGCACTGGGCCGCTGGCAGCTGTTGCGAAAGTGCCTTCAGGCCTTGTGGCTCCGGGAGGCTCAGCTGGAGGCAGCATGGGGGCAGTACACAAAGGTTCTGCTGGTCCGGAGCTTCCGAGAGGTCAGCGGTCTCCAGGTTGGGCCAGGGGGCCGTGTGAAGCAGTGGTGTGTCTGGGGAGGAGACTCAGTCTACGGAGAGGACACCCACTGGGCATAGGTGGCACCTCATGAATGATCAGCAGTAAAGGGTGTAGTTGTGAGTCCACACACCTGAATCAGCTCTGCCTGAGTTCAAATCCTGCCCCCTCTACCACTTTCTAGCTGCGTGACCTTGGGCAAGTTACCTAACCTCTCTGTGCCCCAGTCTCTTTATCTCTAAAATGGGATGATGATGATAATAGAACATACCTCTCTCAGGGTCGTTGTGAGATTAAATTAATAAGGGACTCAGAACTCTGCCTAGCATATAGCAAGCTAGTAGATAAGTGGTTGCTATTTTTTATTAGAGGTTTGCCAGCCAGGGCTGGGAGGGAGCATCTGTGTCCTTCCCTCCTTGGGAAAGGGGTGCTCTGAGAGGGTCCAGTCGCAGCTTTCATCTTTTAAGGAAAGCGTTGCCTCTTGGGATGCATCGCTCTATATTTGTTCATTCATTCATTCCTTCATTCCCAAAGAAGGAATGAATAGGCAGAGTAATGGTTAAGACCACAGGCTGTGGAATCTGATAGGCATGTGTTACTCCTGTCCCCGCCCCTGCCTGGTGTTCCCTTGGGAGGCAGATTCAAGGCCAACATCTCCTTTCCCCTTCTCTCTTGAGCCAGTGGAGAAACCTGGCTTTACAGCAGAAACAAGTACAGCCCCACATGCAGGCTGGGCCAGGGTCCCCGCCCTCCAGGAGAGCCCAGGGCAAAGGCCTCTCCTTGGGAAGAAGCACAGTGGTGGACCCCGCCCAGAGAAGCAGGCTGGAACACACCAGGTTGGTCAGTGTTGCCTGGGAAGCCGGTGGCCTTTCTTCCCCAACTTCCTGCCTTGCCCCCACTACTTCCTCATCCCCACAAAAGAATGGGAATGAAATAAGCAGATGTGGGCAAAGATTTATGCAAAAAAGATGTCCATCATGGCATCATTTATAATTGTAAAAACTTCAAAACAGCCAGGCACGGTGGCTCACACCTATAATCCCAACACTTTGGGAGGCCTCGGCCAGGAGTTAGACACCAACCTGGGCAACATAGCGAGACCCCGTCTCTAGCAAAAAAATGTAAACATTTAGCCAGGCATGGGGGCATGCTTGTAGTCCCAGCTACTCTAGAGACTGAGGCAGGAGGATCACTTGAGGCCAGGAAATCAAGGCTGCAGTGAGCTATGATCATGCCACTGCACTCCAGCCTGGGCAACAGGTCAAGACCCTGTCTCAAAAAAACAAGCTGAAAAGCAGCCTAAATGCTCAACAGTGAGTGAGGAAATGATGGTTTGACCATGTGATGAACAATTAGCAACCATCCAATATGATGTTTAGGAAGTTTTTTTTTTTTTTTGAGATGGAGTCTCGCTCTGTCGCCCAGGCTGGAGTGCAGTGGCACAATCTCAGCTCACTGCAAGCTCCGCCTCCCAGGTTCACGCCATTCTCCTGCCTCAGCCTCCCGAGTAGCTGGGACTACAGGCGCCCACCACCATGCCCGGCTAATTTTTTGTATTTTTAGTAGAGACGGGGTTTCACCGTATTAGCCAGGACCTCAAGTGATCCACCTGCCTCGGCCTCCCAAAGAGCTGGGATTACAGGCATGAGCCAGCCACCACGCCTGGCCAGGAAGATTTTTTACTGGTTATGTTTCCAATCATAGCAGTAATGCATGCTCAATTTGAAAAATATTCCAAATAGTTGGAAGTCTATTAATTAACTTGAAAGCTTCATCCTTTCATAGCCCCCTCCCTGGAAGTATTTTTATGAATATTTGCATAGCATTTTTTAAAAAAAAGGGAAAATGGTGTGGCAATGTTAAATTTTTCTTAAAGGAGCATAAAAATGTATCCAAAATATTTTTCCCAACCACATAGTTGCATAGAAACCACATGGTGCATAGAAAAAGGACCAGAAAGAAAAAAAAAAACCTGAAAATGTGCAATGTGAAAATCCCTAACACTGCTGAACTGTACACTTAAAAATGGTTACAATGGTAAACTTTCTGATGTGTATTTTACCACAATTAAGGAGTAAAAGATATTTCATTTAAAAATGCTAAAATGGAAACTATGCTTATCTCTGGGACAGTGGGATTAAAGTCGGTTATATTTTTCTTTTTTTTTTTTTCGAGTCAGAGTATCGCTCTGTTGCCCAGGCTGGAGTGTGTGGAACAATCTGGCTCACTGCAACCTCCGCCTCCTGGGTTCAAGCGATTCTCCCGCCTCAGGCTCCCAAGTAGCTGGGATTATAGGCACACACCACCACGCCTGGCTGATTTTTTTTTTTTTTTGTATTTTTGTATTTTTAGTAGAGATGGGGTTTCGCCATGTTGGTCAGGCTGGTCTCAAACTCCTGGCCTCAAGGTATCTGCCTGCCTCAACCTACCACAGTGCTGGGATTATAGACGTGAGCCACTGCGCCCGGCCTCTGGTTATTTTTTTCTTTATTTCCCCAATTTTCTACTACAGTTGGGTATTTTTTTTTTTTTAAACAGAGCCTTGCTCTGTCACCCAGGCTGGAGTACAGTAGTGTGATCTCTGCTCACTGCCACCTGTGCTTCCCAGGCTCAAGCAATTCTCATGCCTCAGCCTCCCGAGTAGCTGGGACTACAAGTGTGTGCCACCACACTGGCTAATTTGTGTGTGTGTGTGTGTGTGTGTGTGTGTATATATCACCTCTGGCAGCGTGTGTGTGTATGTGTGTGTGTGTGTGTGTATATATATATATATATATATTTTTTTTTTTTTTTTTTTTTTTTTTTGTAGTAGAGACGGAGTTTCACTATGTCGGCCAGGCTGGTCTCAAACTCCTGGCTTCAAGTGATCTGCCCGTCTCAGCCTCCTAAAGTCCTCGGATTACAGGTGTGAGCCACCATGCCTGGCCATGTTCTTATTTTTAAATTGAACAAATGTATTTAAATAATTATTTAAATGATATTTATTTTAATACATGTTTGTTGTTTAAAAAAATCCAAATAGTATTAAAGAGAATAAATCAAGAGCAGAACCTCCCCCCAGCAATAGCTTTTAAATCCGACATAAAATAAACTGTCCAGAAGAGGGTAGGGGGACTCAGCGCCCCCTGCTCCCAAGGGCAGACCGCACCTGCCTGGGGTGGGGCGGACAGGTTGGGACCGAGTGCCCTTCCTCCCGGGTCATCAGCTTCTCTCTGGGCAACTTTGCTTTTAGTCCAGGAAGTCTGAGGGAGGAGGAGATTGCTCAGCGGCTTCTGTCACATCCTAGGCAGAGAACAGACAGCAGACACGAGAGAGTCCAGATCCTGCAGGCCCTGCAACTGGCTGGTGAGACGTGGGGTGCTGGGAAAGCGGGGAGATGGAGCCTGGCCACGCAGGGCCTGAGCTCCACACTGGGCAGGGGCGGGGGACCCTGGGCGAATGAATGTTTATTTTGCATCTGCTTTGGCACATTCCCAGAGACAATCTCATTTGAGCCTCACAGTGACCCCCAAGAGGAACTGTGCCCATTTTACGGATGGGGAACTGAGGCACAGATAAGTTAAGTGACTTGTTTGAGGACACACAGCATGAGAGGAGCACGGCCTGCATTTCTGGGCTGATACACTGATGCAGGCCCACACCAGAGGCTGGAGTATTGGAGCTAGACTTCACTTACTCAGAGATGGGGGGTGCCCTGCGACAGGCACCCCACATGTCAGGGGCCCCTCCTGGCTCAGATCCTCCCATCTGCTTACTCTCTCTTTTCTCTCCCTCCTCCCTCTCTCCTTAGTGTTCTTCCTGTGGTGCCAACAGAAGAAACGGGCCAGACAGGAGAGGGAGACTCTGCGGAAGGCCACCAGGGCCACACAGAGGACAGGGAGCTTCCCCCAGGCCTGGCACTCTACTGCTGCAGGTGTAGCCTGGGTGGCCCCACTGAGCCCCCAGCACCAGAGAGCTTGGCTGTGCAGGTAGGATGCCCTTCCCTTTTTTTTGAGATGAGGTCTCACTCTGTCACCTAGGCTGAAGTACAGTGGCACCATCTTGCTCACTGCACCCTCCACCTCCCTGGCTCAAGCAATCCTCCCACCTCAGCCTCTCGAGTAGCTGGGACCATAAGCATGTGCCACCACGCACAGCTAATTTTTTTGTATTTTTGATAGAGACAGGGTTCCACCATGTTGCCCAGGCTGGTCTCGAACTCCTGAACTCAAGTGATCTGCCCACCTTGGCCTCCAGAAGTGCTGGGATTACAGGCGTGAGCCAGCATGCCTGGCCCCCACTTCCCTTTAAGTCAGCTCTTGACTCCTAGTATTGAGAGGCAAGGATGCAAATAGGAAATGAAAGCAGCCATCGACTGAGCATGCCTAGAACATGCTAGCCCGCCCCACTGGCTGGGATTTGGATATAAGCAAAGCTTAGTCCCGGCCTCCCACCTCTGCCCATCATCACAGTGGAACCCATGGCTGGTGGGGGAACAGACAGGAAACTAGCAGTCCCAAGGGTGTATGTGAATACCACCTGGCTTAAGTGTTGTGAAGAGAAGGAACACAGATCTATGAGTTTCTTTTTTTGCTCCCTGGTGGTTAACTTTTTATTATGGGGCATTATTATTATTATTATTATTTGAGACGGAGTCTCGCTCTGTCACCCAGGCTAGAGTGCAGTGGCACGATCTCGGCTCACTGCAACCTCCACCTCCTGGGCTCAAGCGATTCTCCTGCCTCACCTCCCAAGTACCTGGGACTACAGGCACATGCCACCACGCCCGGCTAATTTTTTTTGTATTTTTAGCAGAGTCAGGGTTTCACCATATTGGTCAGGCTGGTCCTGACCTCAGGTGATCCACCCACCTCGGCCTCCCAAAGTGCTGGGATTACAGGCATGAGCCACCGCACCCGGCCTGTGGGGCATTTTTCTTACTCAAAAGTAGAGCAGATAGGATAATAAACCCCAGCGCACCAATTACCCAGCTTCAACAAAATCAGCCTCTCTTGAAGCTTGTTTCATGTGTACTCCAAATACATCCCCCGCTCCAAATTATTTTGAGGCAAATCCCATGCATTATACCATTTCATCCATAAATATTTTTATATGCCTCTCTAAAAGATAAGGACTCTTTAGAAACATAACCACTGGCCGGGCGCGGTGGCTCATGCCTGTAATCCCAGCACTTTGGGAGGCCGAGGCAGGTGGATCACTTGAGGTCAGGAGTTTGAGACCAGCCTGGACAACATGGTGAAACCCCATCTCTACTAAAAATACAAAAATTTGTCGAGTATGATGGTGAACACCTGTAATCCCAGCTACTCGGGAAGCTGAGGCATGAGAATTGCTTGAACCCGGGAGGCAGAGGTTGCAGTGAGCCGAGATCGTGCCACTGCACTCCAGCCTAGGCGACAGAGTGAGACTCCATCTCAGAAATAAGTAAATAAATAAATAATAAAAACATAACCACAATACCACTCTCACAACTAAAAAATAATGAAACAACTGTTCCTTAATACTCACGAATATCTGGCCAGTATTCACATTTGCAAGTATATATTGTATTAGAGTTTGCAATGAGGTCCATGTATGGCAGTTGGTTGATAAGTCATTCAAGTCTTTTTATTTTTAATTAAAAAAAAATAGAGACAGGGTCTTACTGTGTCACCCAGGCTGGAGTGCAGTGGTGCAATCATGTCTCACTGTAGCCTCAAATTCCTAGGCTCAAGGGATCCTCTCACCTCTGCCTCCAAGTAGCTGGGACTATAGGTGCATACCACCACACCTGGCTAATTTTTAAATTTTTTGTAGAGATTTAATTTTTTGCCACGTTGCTCAGGCTGGCCTCGAACTCCTGGACTCAAGCAATTCGCCCACCTTGACCTCCCAAAGTGCTGAGATTACAGGTGTGAGCTACCATGCCTGGCGAATTTTAAAAAATTTTGGTAGAGACAGAGTCCCACTGGTGAGCCATGATCGCACCACTGCACTCCAGCCTGGGCTCAAGCAATCCTCCCACCTCGGCTTCCCTGAGTGCTGGGATTACAGGTGTGAGCCACCACGCCCGGCCTGTTAAAATCTTTGTAAACTATAGGCTCCCCTTCATTTTTTTGATTGCACGTTATTTGTTGAAGAAATCAACTTGCTTGCCTGCTAGTTTCCCACTGTCTGCATTTTGCTGACTACATCCCCCTGGTGTAGTTTTCTGTGAGAATTTTTAGTGCAGGAAGCTGACCTAGACCAAGGTTCAGTGGTGATGTGAAGGATGAAGAGTTGCCTGGTGGAGGAAGATCAGAAAAGGGTAGAGTGTTCAGAGGCCTCTGGCCGGGAGTGTAAGATCCTGAGGCGTAGCAGAGCCGAATTGGACCCTTGTTAGTACAGGGTAGGGGGGCTGAGGGTAGTTGAAGATGAGATTGGAAAAATCTGTGGGGACCAGATCAGCACCTGGTTGGCTGTGGGGAGGGGCTGAAATTTGATGGTAGAGCAAGGAGGCTACCGCTGGAGGATTAGCAGGTGACTCTGATGATTTGATTTGAGATTGGAAAAACACCACTGGGTTACTGAATAGGAAATGACTGGAGGAGGCCGAAAGTGGATGCAGGGAGGCCAGGTCAGAGGCTGCTGAGGCCACCACGCTGCCAGAGGTGATAGTGTCATGGCCTGAGCAGGTGACATGCAATGCATCTTCAAAGCAGCCCCATTTTACAGATGAGAAAACGGAGGCTTGGCCAGACGCGGTGGCTCAAGCCTGTAATTCCAGCACTTTGGGAGGCCAAGACGGCCGGATCACTTGAGGTCAGGAGTTCAAGACCAGCCTGGCCAACATGGAGAAACCCCATCTCTACTAAAAATACAAAAAAAAATTAGCCGGGCATGGTGGTGCATGCTTGTAGTCCCAGCTACTTGGGAGGCTGATGCAGGAGAATCTCTTGAACCTAGGAGGTGGAGGTTGCAGTGACCAGAGATCGCACCATTGCACTCCAGCCTGGGCAAAAGAGTGAAACTCCGTCTACAAACAACAACAACAAAACACGGAGGCTCAGAGAGATGAAGTGGCTTGCCCAAGGCCTGGGTAGTGTGTCTGGCAATGGCAGGCAGCTGGAGCCGCAGTCATCAGATCTTGCAATTGACATGGGTACTTTCCCTCTGTTCTCCCAGGTGCTTCGGGGCGTGGCAGCAGTTCGTGCAAAGAGGGTCCCGGTACCGAGACCACCTGGCTGACCGCCGGACGGGGACCCTGAGGAAATGCCTGGAACAGTGGGTGCGGATGAAGCAGCTCCGGGAATCAGATGGGGCAAAGGTGACCCAGCTGTCCCTCTGCCGGCAGAAAGCAGGTGAGCTAGTGTTGGCTTCCGCCCCAGCAAACCGTGTCACTTAAGCCCCTTCTTCAGTGGTCCCCAGTTGAATATGTGAATTCTTGTGGGAGGTGATAGAACTGGGGCTTTCTAGGAGGGCAGCCTGTAGGCCTGGGAGGGTGCAGGAGGGGTCCCAGAGTGGGCAGGCCCCAGCTGAGCCACATCCCTATGTCCCATTATGAGCTGCTGTGGGTGACAGACTTGGTTCTGCTCCTCCCACTGCAGGCTTTCTCAGTGCTGGTATCCTAGATCCTGCCCAGAAGGGATGTGGGCCCTGCTCTTGGGAAGCTCCTGGTGTGATGGGGGACACACAGCCCTAATCCCCACCCCAAAACTTAACTGGGGGCCCGGTGTAGTGGCTCACGCCTGTAATCCCACACTTTGGGAGGCCGAGGAGAGTGGATCACCTGAGGTCAGGAGTTCCAGACCAGCCTGGCCAACGTGGTGAAACCCTGTGTCTACTAAAAATACAAAACTTAGCCGGGTGTGGTGGCGCATGCCTGTAATTCCAGCTACTCGGGAGGCTGAGGCACAAGGATCGCTTGAACCCAGGAGGCTGAGGTTGCAGTGAGCTGAGATCGTGCCATTGCATTCCAGCCTGGGCGACAAGGGCAAAATTCTGTCTCAAAGAAACAAAAAACAAAAAACAAAAAAACACTTAACTGGGGAAGATGGGATCTTTGAGGTGACCTGGAGGGGAGGGCTTGGAAGCGGTGGGACGGGACAAGAGGGGAGAGCTCCCAAGAGGGGCCTGAGGCAGCAGCTATCAATGGCTGTGGGCAGAGTGAGGTCAGTGGGGAGGCAGCTGACTGGACTCTTGACGGTTTCTCAGGACGTGAGGCTGTCTACACCGCAGGCCCTGGAGCCTGTGGCCTGGGTGCAGTGGGCCAGGCCCAGGGGCAGCAGGAGCAAGGCCGGGGCTCCCTGCAGGATGCCTGCTGGACACTGGCCCTCTGCTGGGCGCTGCTGCTGTGGAAGATGCGGCTTTTCCAGCGCCAGTGGGCCAAGTAGGTGTCCTCGAGCTTGTGACCTGGGGTTGGGCCTGGGGGCTGTGGGGTGGGCACGTGAGCAGTGCTCAGCACCAGGAGGAATGCGGGAGGAATATCCCATAGGGCAGTAACTGCATCCCACTCCTCCCCGTGGCCCTGCACAGGGCCTGGCACACTGCGGTGCCCAGCCAATGTCAGGCCCTGGGAGGTGGCCTAGGGACACTGGAACAGTGATTGAGCAGAGGGCCACTGGGGGCCAGGGGGCTGCCAGAGACACAGACATGGAGCTCTACAGGGGTGGCCGGAACCCTAGTGAATGCCCGTCTCCCTGCCAAGTGTAAGTCCCTGGTGGCAGGAACCATGTCTGTCTCGCCGTCACCGCTGGCTCCCAGCTCCCTGCAGGTGCCTGGCATGTTGCAGGCACAGAATAAATACTGTAAAGGAACAAGGGCAGGAGCCAGGGATCAAGCTTTTATCTCCTCTCCCATTGGCCTCATTACACAACTAGAGAAACTGAGGCTCAGAGGGCTGGAGCAGCTTGCTGTAAATCCCAGTGGGAGTCAGGAGCAAGAAGGTCCTGTGTTGAGACCTGGGTGCTGCCCCCACACAAGATGGTCACTGATGGAATTCGGAGCCCAGAAGAAGGCTGTAGGTGAGGGGAGGGTGGCGATCAGGAGAAGCCAGCTTCCCGGAGGGGATGTCAGGAGGAATGGAAGCGAGCAGTTGCAGGGTTAAGAATTCTGTCCTTGGCTGGGCGTGGTGGCTCACACCTGTAATCCCAGCACTTTAAGAGGCCGAGGCCAGTGGATCACCTGAGGTCAGGAGTTTGAGACCAGCCTGGTCAACATGGCGAAACCCCATCTCTATTAAAAATACAAAAGTTAGCCAGGCGTGGTGGTGCTCGCCTGTAATCCCAGCTACTTGAGAGGCTGAGGCAGAAGAATGGCTTGAACCTAGGAGGCAGAGGTTGCAGTGAGCCAAGATCATGCCACTGCACCCTGGACAACAGAGCGAGAATCCATCTCAAAAAAAAAAAAAAGGAATTCTGTCCTTGAAAGCCACACACCCACATGGTCCACATGGACCCTCAGCCTCTTTCAGTGTACCCCTGCAACTTCAGGGGAATTCAATTCACCGTGACCTTTCAGAATGTGGGGGCACTGCTCACATGCCTGCCCCACAACCCCCAGGCCCTCCCTCTCCAGCCCATCCTCTGGCCTTTGGACTTCAGGGCACAGTTCATATCTCCTGGCAGCTCTCCCGGGGCACCCTCCTGGGCCTAGATGAGTCCCAGGTCTGCTGCTATTTGGAGTTTGGGGAAATGATCTTCCCCTGGGCTCAGCTTTCTTATCTTTATAAGTGAGTGCAGGCAGAAGTACTGGTGTGGTTGTAGGGGTGGCCTCTGGAGTCTGGGATCCCTGAGCCTGGGGACCAGCTCCACCTCTGATCAGCTGCTTGGGCTCCCAGCCACCCCGGGAGCATGATGAGGCCAGCCAGTGAAGCAGGTGGAGCACTAGCTCGGTTAGCCAGACGTGGTGGCACGCACCTGTAATCCCAGCTGCTCGGGAGGCTGAGGCGGGAGAATCACTTGAACCCAGGAGGCAGAGGTTGCAGTGAGCTAAGATTGTCCCACTGCACTCCAGCCTGGGTCACAGAGCCAGACCCTGTCTCAAAAAAAAAAAAAAAAAAAAAAAAGCATCAGCCCAGTCAGCCCAGTCTCAGCTGCTCACTGAGGTCACTCAGAGAACCCCAGAAAAAGTCTGGAAGCCCAGACTGTACCCTGACCATTAAGTCAGAATCTAGCAGAATCTAGGGTGGGACCCTGGTGGGCATCGGTACCTCTTGAAGCCCCCAGTGATTCCAGCATGCAGCCGCTGTGGGGGGCAGCAGCGTGGAACGCTAGCCCAGCGTCTGGCCTGTGGCGAGCACCCTTTCAGCCCATCTCTTTCACAGCGGCCAGGGTAGGGTAGCCCCTGCTTGGCCACCCTGCACAGCCTGAGGGTGAGGCTGGGTGGGTCACTCACCTGCCCCTTCTCTAGCTCCTTCTTCCAGGGCCTGCAGCAGCGGATGCTGCAGCGCAGCCTGAGATGGTGGCACTTGAGGGCACTGGGCCCAGATGCCACATCAAGCTGCACCAAGACCCCCTCGGCTCTGGAGCCACTGAGCAGCAGCACACTCCAAGACTCTCTGGAGAAGGTGAGAGGTAGGAGGGTGGGGAGGGGCTGGGGCAGGTAGGGGTGGATGGGTGGAGATTGTGGGAAGGGGACAGGGTAGGGGACCAAGGACTCCACATCTCCTTCCCCAGGTTCCCAGGGCCCCCACCCTCCCGGACACTCTCCAGGGGAGCCTTCTGTGGGCAGCTGGGCAGCGGCAGCAGGGGCAGTGCCTTCTGCTCTGGCAGGCACGGGCCCAGCAGTTCCAGGGCACAGCCAGGTGGTACCAGCATACCCGCCAGAGGCGGTAGGGATCCCTCCCCATCCGCCCGCCACTCTATGGACTTACTGTTTCCCGGCCCCTTCTCCCTTCCACCCTTGGCCTTCACAGCAGCAGCCCCTTGGGGTCTGCACCTCAGGGGGCTTCAGTTCCTCCTGTCTTCCTGCCCCGTCCTACTGAGAGGGTGTCGGGGAGTGGTGAGGCACTCTACAGAGTCACTGTTCCTCTTGGAGATTTTGCAGCTGAGGTTCCTTCATTTATTCATTTATAGCACAATGCATAAGAGTTGGTCTCCCTGGGTTCTAATCCCAGCTTTGCCCCTCATTGGCTGTGTGATCTTGGGCAAGTTGCATAACTTCTCTGTGCCCTATTTGCCTATCTGTAAAATGGGGTTAATAGTACTGGCTCCAGTGGGGCAATGGCGAGGCACGGCACATACATTCCCCAATGCCGTGTGTGGCACGTTGTGAGTGCTCAGTCCATAGCAATGTTTATGGCTAGTGGTTGAGCACAGGACTTGGCAGTGGGGGTCTAGAATCCCACCCTATCCCCACCACTCATCATCGTGACCCTGGGAGAGGTGCTTGGCCCCTCCAGTCCCCAGCAACCCACCCTCCCATAATGGAAACAGAAGAGTCACCCAGAGCCTCCTGCTGCTGGGGAGAGGAAGAGAAAGGAGGGTGGGGCAGGGCTGGCCTGGGATTTGGGGGACAGTGGCCATCCTCAGGGTGGACCCTCCCTTTCCCAGCATCTTCCTCAGCTGGAGCCGCTGGGCAACAGCCCAATGGGCCTGGAGAGAGCTGGCTTCCCACCGGGCCTGGGATCGGACCTGCAGGGCTGTGCTGGGCCTGTGGCGTCAGCGGCTGCTGCAGTCACGGCTGGTGGAGTGGTGGGCCCAGGAGCGGGGCTGGCGGCTGGCACGAGATGCCCTATGCCACTGGCACTCCTGTTGGCAGGGTGAGTGGAGACTTGGTCGGGGGCACTGCGGGTGAGGGCAGGGCCAGGGTCTGTCTGAGACCCAGACTGCAGCCCTGGCCAACAACTTGACTGTAACCGCATGGGAGAACTTGAGGCAGAGGCTAAGCTACATCTGGACTCCTGACCCATAGAAACTGTGAGATAACAAACATCTGTGGTTTAAAACTAATAAGTACTTGGGTAATTTGTTACACAGCCATAGCTAACAAATGCAGTTGATCAGAGAGGTCCGCTGAGCTGTGACACTGACCTAGCTGGGTTCAAAGAAAACAGGCTGACCAACTCTTACACATTGTGCTATGAATGAGCAAATGAATAGACCTCAGCTGTGAAATTTCCAAGAGGGACAGTGACTCTGCAGAGTGCCTCACCACCCCCCATACCCTCCCATCCCGTAGCAAATTCTGGTGATGAGACCCCCACAGGGCACACCCAGGAGTCAGGTGGCAGAGCAGAACCTGGGGGCTTGGACTCTGTAGTCTTGAGTTTGAATCCCTGCTCTTCCATACCCTGACTGTGTGAAACTTAAACAACCTAGTTAACCTCCCTGAGTCTCAGCTTACACATCTGTAAAATGGGGATAATGTAGTCCCTATGTCATCACCTTTATCTTCATCCTTATCCTCACCTGGCCTCTAGGAGTCACTGGTCGGAGCCCTGAGTTGGGAGAGAAGTGGGCAGAGTCATGGTGCCCTTAGGGGCCAGCAGAGTTAGTCAGGGAGGGTCCCAGGAGGAGGTGAGGAGGGCTCAGCGGGCAGAGCAGTGGCGAGAGAGGTTGAGGCGTGGGAAGGGGTCAGCAAAATAGGGCAGTGGGAAGGACTGGATTTGCAGAGGCTGGCTGAGGGTGCAGTGTGTTAGAAGCCCTGAGGAATGTGGCCAGTGAAGGGAGGAGGGATGGTCCCAAGGCAGGCTTGCTCTCTGGGTCTTGGCCTCTGGGCAAAAAGAGCTGTTGCATGGCCCAACCAGTCTTTTTTTTTTTTTTTTTTTTTTGAGACGATCTCGCTGTGTTGCCCAGGCATGCAGTGGTGCGATCTTGGCTCACTGCAACCTCCACCCCCTGGGTTCAAGCAATTCTCCTGCCTCAGCTCCCCTCGTAGCTGGGATTACAGGCGCCTGCCACCACACCTGGCTAATTTTTGTATTTTTAGTGGAGATGGGGTTTCACCATGTTGGCCAGGCTGGTCTCGAACTCCTGACCTCAAGTGATCAACCCGCCTCGGCCTTCCAAAGTGCTGGGATTACAAGCGTGAGCCACCGCACCCGGCCCCAACCAGTCTCTTTATAACCTGATATCAGAAGTGACATCCCATTGCTTCTGCCAAATTCTGTCTGTTAAAAGCAAATTAGTAAACCCAGCCTGTATTCAAGGCGGGGCATTGCCCAGGACACGAACACAGGATGCTGTCTTGGAGGCTGCCCACTACACCGACATATCGCATTAATGAGCTGGCAGGCAGGGCTGTGGTGGTTCTAGAAAGTCATGTCCTGTCCGCTGGAGACAGCTGCTTATGCAGCCCAATCATTCCCCGGCAGGAACACTGAGCCAGTGTTTCCAGAACTTCTAGTTTTTACAGAAAAATTGAAAATTAGATTTTTGGGCCGGGCGCAGTGGCTCACGCCTGTAATCCCAGCAATTTGGGAGGCCCGGACTGGCGGATCACGAGGTCAGGAGATCGAGACCATCTTGGCTAACATGGTGAAACCCCGTCTCTACTAAAAATACACAAAATTAGCCAGGCGTGGTAGTGTGCGCCTGTAGTCCCAGCTACTCGGGAGGCTGAGGCAGGAGAATGGCATGAATCCAGGAGGCAGAGGTTGCAGTGAGCTGAGATTGGGCCACTGCACTCCAGCCTGGGTGACGGAGTAAGACTCCGTCTCAAAAAAAAAAAAAAATAGAAAATTAGATTTTTACCTGAATTCTCCAGATTTGAAAATACTGTGGCAAAATTAACAAACAAAAACAAACCCAACAACTCTATGAGCTGGGCTGGCCTGGTCACCAGCAGGACACCCATAATAGAGGCTTTTTAACCCAGACAGTCAGGGTGGCCTCCTCTGTTCCCACCTGGTAGGGGGCGAAGGGCTGGCTGCGTAGAGGCCCATGGGGAGAGGCTGGGGTGAGCACCCAGTGGCTCTTCAGCATCTCTCTGGCCCCAGGGCAGCAGTTCCTGCATGAAAAGTGCCAGACATGGGTGCAGGTCCACCTCCAGGGCCTGCAGAAGGTGGTGTTCCGGAGCTGGCAGCAGGCAGCAGCTCATCAGAGATGCACAGTGACCCGGCCAGAGCAGCTGCTACTGCAGAGGTGGGTGGGCCTGGGGGTGGGAGGGTGTTGGTCCTCCCCACGCAAGGAATAGCAAGGAGAGCACCCAGGGGGTGGGAAGCTCAGACGGTGGCCCAGATAGGAGGCCTGTGGCCTGGGAAAAAAGGGGCATGAAGGGAGATCCTAGCCTGGAAACACAGGGCCATGACCACTGACACCTTATTACCTATTTTGGGAGTGGTGGCAAACCCCACCCCTAACCTGTGGCCCCAACAAGCCCCGGGAGTCCAGCTCCTGGCCAGGTCAGTTCTTTGGTTTTAGAGGATATGATTAAGATGGGAGAAATCAGCTGGGAACAGTGGATCATACCTATAATCCCAGCACTTTGGGAGGCCGAGGAAGGTGGATCACTTGAGATCAGGAGTTCGAGACCAGCCTGGCCAACATGGTGAAACCCCATCTCTACTAAAAATATGAAAAATTAGACGGGCATGGTGGCAGGTGCCTGTAGTCCCAGCTACTTGGGCTCAGGCAGGAGAATCACTTGAATCCGGGAGGCGGAGGTTGCAGTGAGCCGAGATTGCACCACTGCACTCCAGCCTGGGCGACAGTGCGAGACTCCATCTCAAAAAAAAAAAAAAAAAAGGAGGAGAAATCCACTCCTCGGAAATCTACCATAACGCCCATTGTGAGGAGTTACAGCAAGGAGAATTCTGCTGTACACTGTCGCTAAGAGAAGAGAGTGAAATCTTCATTTAAGTAAAGATGTTCTGGTGGAACATGTATACAGTTCATGAATGCATATTGTAAAACCAAGCAGAGGACACAGAATGGCTCCTCCCACAGTTCAGTACAAATTTGCGAATGTTCAGTGTCCCCGTGGGGCAGTGAACTGTTGGCTACAGAATGGCTGACGTCTGTGCTTTTGCATCTGAGGGTGTAGATGGTTATTTTGTTTGTTTGTTTGTTTTTTGAGACAGAGTTTCGCTCTTGTTGCCCAGGTTGGAGTGCAATGGCGCGATCTCGGCTTACCACAACCTCCGCCTCCCGGGTTCAAGTGATTCTCCTGCCTCAGCCTCCCGAGTAGCTGGGATTACAGGCATGTGGCACCACACCTGGCTAATTTTGTATTTTTAGTAGAGACGGGGTTTCTCCATGTTGGTCAGGCTGGTCTCGAACTCCCGACCTCAGGTGATCCGCCCGCCTCTGCCTCCCAAAATGCTGGGATTACAGGTGTGAGCCACTGTGCCTGGCCGTAGATGGTTTTTTTTCTTGGCTTCTCACTGAGTGAGAGATGGTGTTCCTCTCCCTCACCAACCACCTGGGCATGTGATGGGAGGCAGGGCATGGCTGATGTGGGACTTGAACCCATACTGCTGGTTCCCATCCCCCTCGCAGGGCAGCCCCTGCCCTCTGAGGCTGAGGTTGCAAGATGGAAAGCCAGTGCTTTCACCTGTTACTGGTCGTTTACTGTTTTGTGGGAGATTTGCAGGTGTAACTTTGAATAAATGTGACTTTTGACTCTGAGAACGAGACAAGCCCTCCCATGCATCTGTTTTTGTTTTGTTTCATTTTGTTTTTTTGAGATGGAGTTTCACTCTTGTCACCCAGGCTGGAGTGCACTTGCGCGATCTCGGCTTACTGCAACCTCTGCCTCCTGGGTTCAGGCAATTCTTCTGCCTCAGACTCCCAAGTAGCTGGGATTACAGGTGCCCACTACCAGGCCTGGCTAATTTTTGTATTTTTAATAGAGACGGGGTTTCACCACGTTGGTCAGGCTGGTCTCAAACTGACTTCAGGTGATCCACTCACCTTGGCTTCCCAAAGTGCTGGGATTACAAGCATGAGCCACCACACCTGGCCCAATGTGTCTGTTTTGCAGCTACTTCCAGGCCTGGTGTGAGGTTGTAAGAGACACGGGGGTGCTCCGGGCCCAGCATCAAGCCTTTCAGGATGGCCTGAGGAGAAGAGCACTGGGGGCCGTGTTTGCCACATGGCGGGAAGCCCAGGAAGTGGCAGCCGGGGCACAGGAGCAGCGTGTGGCCCAGGCCTCCCTTGCCCGCTGGAGAAGCTGCGGGCAGCAAGGCCAGGAAGATGGGCAGCAGAAGAAGGCCCGGGCCCCACAGGCCTTCCCAGCATGGCCAGTGGCCCCGGGCATGCACCATGAGGCCCAGCAGCAGGCAGGAGAGAGCGCTGGGGCCCAGGCAGCCCAGTGCTGGACTTGGTGCTGGGCTCTGTGGGTGCATGAGTCCTGTCGGGGCCAGGTCAGCCGAGCCCATGCTTCCTGGAAGCCGCGAGCCTGGTGAGTGCTGTGGTCTAAGTGCAGCCCCACTCTGTGCTTCCAGCTCAGGCCTCAAGCCTGTTTTTGGCAGGGGTAGAGCGTAATTCATGGCTGGGTGGCAGGGCAAAGGCTCAAGAGGGTGGTTGGGGGTGACAGGGAGAGGCCGCCCTGGCCATCTAGTCCTGGGCCACATCCTGACACCGCCTCTTGCTGTGTGTCCCCTCCTTGGGGAAGTCTCTAATGGTCATGCCTTGCAGTCACCAGCACAGCCAGCCACTCAGCAAGCGCCATAAACGCGCTCTTGCCAGGGAAGGGGAGGCAAAGTGGCACTGGCAGGACTGTCCCCTCTCTGCCCCTAAACAGGATGCTTGTCCCCGTCTGTGATTTTCTCCTTCCAGGTCGCTCTCCATCCTGTTTACCCAGATTCTCCCTCCAGAAAAGGGAGTGTGGGAGGTGGGTGGGCCCCAGCCTGGGGCTGGGCCCGGAAGGCCCCCTCCCGCAGGGCACTGGGGGGGCTCCCTGCAGAGAGTCCTGGCCTTTATGGCCCTGGCTGCAGACTCCTTCCTCTCCCGCAGGGTCCTAGAGGCCTCGGTGCAGTCGGCGGTGCGCGGCGGTGTCCAGCGAGCCATCCTCACCCAGCTCCGGCCGGCTGAGCTCAGGCGCTTCCTGCGGACAGTGCAGCTCAGGGTGCGGCTGGGACTGCCAGGGGCCGGCAAGGTACGCCCCAAGCCCCAGACTGACCTCACGCTCTGGCCCCGGATGGCCAGCAGGGGGAGCCTGCTGCTGGACGCCCCAGCCCCTTGGAAACAGGTGAAGGGAGCCTAGGCAGGGCGGGAGGTCCAAAAATGACCCTCGGACCACCGGCCTTAGAATCAGCTTGATTCAGCCGGTGGTGGCAGCATGGCTGGATGCCTCCCCAGGGGCCCAGCAACCTCGTATGCACCACCTCTCCCCAGTTCTCAGTCAGCCTCTGACAAGCAACTCTGAATCCATCAGCAAAGATGAACCTGGCACCTCTCGAGTGCCAGGCCACTGCAGGTCCGGCCGCAAAGACCAGCATGTTGGGTCACAGCCTGTTAGGGAGACATTGAAATGCATGCTTTCTCACGGTGCAGTTGAGGATCAGAATAGGTACACGAGGACAGTAGCATTTTTTTGTCAAGTTTTTTTGTTTATTTTTGAGACAGAGTCTGGCTCAATTGCCCAGGCTGAAGCAGAGGAGTGATCTCAGCTCACTGCAACCTCTGCCTCCCGGGTTCAAGTGATTCTCCCGCCTCAGCTTCCTGAGTAGCTGGGACTACAAGTGCACGCCACCACGCCTGGCTAATTTTTGTATTTTTAGTAGAGACGGGGTTTCACCATATTGCCCAAGCTGGTCTCGAACTCCTGAACTCAAGTGATCCTCCCACCTCGACTTCCCAAAGTGCTGGGATTACAGGTGTGAGCCACCGCGCCAGGCCAAGTTTTTTTTTTTCTTATTGGAAAAGTGAAATATGCTTATTACAGAAACCTCAGAAAATATAAAGTAGAAAAATACCAAAATTTCTTTCATAATTCTCTCTACCCAAAGGCATCGGTCAGTCCCTCTCCAGACCAGAAGCAGTTAGTTCTGACACCAACAAGTGGTGATAAGAGGTTGATAGCCTAGCAAGGGGGAAGAAGCCACCACCAAACCAAACACAAAAAATGACACTGCACAGCAGTCTGGGGACATGTCCTTGAAGGACACAGCCCCAAAGATACTGGCAGGTGAGGTAGTGTCCCTAAGATCAACAGGCATCATCATGAATCCTATTTCAGAATGCCACAAAGAATACGTTTTAGAGAAGATTCTAAGAGAAAAAGCTAAGGTGATTTTTTTTTTCAGTCGTTTTTTGTTCTCAGACAGTGTCTCACTCTGTCGCCCAGGCCAGAGTGCAGTGGTGCGATCACAGCTCACTGCAGCCTCAACCTCCAGGGCTCAAACGATCCTCCCACCTCAGCCACCTGAGTAGCTGAGACTACAGGCGTGTGCCACCACACCCGGCTAATTTTTTTTTTTTTTTTTTTGTAGAAATGGGATCTCACTATGTTGCCAGGGCTTGTCTCAAACTCCTGGGCTCAAGCGATCTACCTGCCTTGGCCTCCCAAAGCATTGGGCAGGCCCATTACGCCATGAGCCACCACACCTGCTGGTTTTTGTTTTTTAAATGGAATTGAAAGGAACTAGCCTTGGCTAGTTGCAGAATTCACACATATGGGGCTATGGCAACAGCAGATTCTGGAGTCTCAGGGTCTTTTCTTTCTAGATAAGTTACAGGGCAATTGCTTTTCAGAGTACTTTTACATTTCTATTCCATTCTTGTCAGTAAAGACAAGGATCCCATAAGCTGATGGAGAAACTGAGGCCTCTAGAAACTAAACGCTGGGAATGGCACCCAGGGTGCTGAATTCCAGGGTCTCCTCTTTTCTGCCACAGGCACACATGCCCCAGCAGCCCCTTTGGAGAGCCCCCTCTCTATAGGGTACTAGCCGGGGGCTCAGACTCTGGAGTCAGACGGCTTCCGAGGGATGAGGCCTCAGACAAGTAACTCAGCTTTGAAATGTTTTCAGTGGGGAGAGAAATAGCCCCCTCCCAGGGCTGTGCTCCGGGAACTGACTGAGGGCTAACTATTATGGGCCCACCCCATTGTTGGAATGTCTTCAGCCACATGGGGGAATGGGTGGAAGAGGCCGGGATGTGTCCTGCCAGCTAGAGCAGCGAAGAAATCCCAGCGGGGCCCCAGGAAGTCCAAGCCCATGGGGTTCAGGTGCTCCTCTCTGGCTATTCCTTCAGACCCGCAGCTGCTGGACACAGGCCACAGAGCTGGTGCCTCCCGCGCCATCAC
This sequence comes from Homo sapiens, assembly GCF_000001405.40. NCBI lineage: Eukaryota > Metazoa > Chordata > Mammalia > Primates > Hominidae > Homo > Homo sapiens. The sequence goes on from NC_000001.11 coordinate 11,787,440, forward strand.
TGCAGTGCAGCCTGGGTGGACGGAGGAAGCCAAGGGGAACGGCCTGGGCTCAGAGTAAGGAGACCTTGCCCCGGGGGACAAACGGTGTCTGAAGTGCAGGGGTGAAGCGGTCTCCAGTCCTCAGGGGCCTGGAAATCAGCTCCTTGGGACACGGTCTTATGTGTATTGACCATTCTCCCCATCCATTCCCTCTTCGGAATGTTTCAGCTGTTCTGAGAAAACACTTTGCATTCCTGCCCCGCCCCTGTGATTTCTCTTTGGGCGGCAGGCAGCCGGGAGAGGCTGGAGGCCTGGGGAGATGGGGGCAGGGCACAAGGCTAAGCTCAGCACCTTCCTCCACCCTCCTCACTGTACTCAACTCCTAGGCGGGCACTAAGAGCAGCTGCCTTCCTGGACCCACCTTAACCTCTTGTGACTCAACTCCCCTTTCCAGGGTGCAGGGAACATTCCCTCTGCCCTGCCTTCCAGCTCTGGCCACAGTGGCCTGGACAGAGTAGCTGGGTCCCAGGCCTGCCCCTGTGGACGAGGGACCAGGGACCAAGAGCGCACTCCAGCCCTGAGCCCAGAGCCTGCAAAGCCCAAAGCAAGGCCCATAAACGGAGGCTACGGTAAGAGGAGCTGTGTGTGCAGTTTGGTGGGTCCGAGGGATGGGGGCAAGGGCTGAGGGGCTTGCCTGAGCCATGGCTACAGCTGGGCCCTCTCTGGCCAGTGCTCGTTCCTGCAGGATCCTGGAAAAGCAGGCCCAGGCCCATGGCTCTGCCCTCCTTCTGGCCCTGAAGGGTCACGATGCTCTTGGCCATCAGGAGGAAGTACCTGCAGCGCCGGTGCCTCGAGGCACTGCTTCACGGGCTGCGGGGTTCCCAGCAGGCCAGGTGCCTGGCAGTGGCATGGCAGCACTGGGTGGATGCCCAAGGGGCAGAGCAGCTGGTGCGGACCCTGGTGAGTGGGTGCACCCCTCTCCACACTGACCATCTCCCATTTCACCTCATACTTAACCCAAACCCCTCTCAAAAGTATGGCCCTTGGACCTACTGACTCCAAAACCTTGGGGGACAGGCCCAGGAATCTGCATTCTTAATACTCCTCAGATGACACCCCCTTGCCATAGCCCTTTCACTCTGGTGCAGCAGTGTCGGGGGAGAAAGGCAGAAGGGCTGGGGACTGCGGGGGAGCGTGAGCACAAGAGGCCTTCTCTGCCAACTGTCCCCAAAGCTCAGGGAGTGGCACCTGAGATGGGCCTGGCAGACGTGGTGGCAGCGGATCCTGCGACTGCGAGTGGCTCAGCAGTTACAGCAGCAGGAAGATGGGTGGGTCCTTTCCCAGGTACTGCCCTCTTCCCTGCATTCCACTCAGCCAGCCTTCCAGAAGTCTGTGCCACAGCCACGCACCGTGGAGCTTTCCCTGCTTGCCAGCCCCGGGGCCCCTTCGTTTTCAGGGGAGGGGGTCAGTTCCATTACAGAACACACAGGCTGGATGCTGGAGCCCTTGCTTTGATTTGTGGCCCCAGCTCAGGCCAGGCCCACCCGGTCCATCAGTTTGCGAAGAAGGTGTGGCATGAGGCATGGCTGCCACTCACACTAGCCCATGGAGGGCCTGGGTCCTGAGCGCCCCCTCCCTCATTTGCTCTGCTCTGAGTACAGCTTCCCAGCTCACCATCAGATCTATTCTGAGCTTGTGCATTTGGCCTAGGCAAGACTGGCTGGCTGCTTGGGGCAGAGGGAGGGGCCCTGGGGACAAAAGGAGCTGGGTACAGGGGTTGCTCTAGCAGGCACAGCACAGACCCCGGAGAAAGCCCACAACAATAGCATTTCCTCTCCTCCCTGGTTCCAGGCCTTTAAGAAGTGGCACCAACGCCTGGCAGCCAGGAGCCCAAGGAGAGGAGCTGCCAGTAGCCCAAGACCCTGGAGCAAGCCAGGCCCCAAGGGCCCCGAGAGTGGACAGGAAGCCGCCAGAGCACCGCGGGGTTGGGGGCTTGGGGCAGAGCATGGGGCCCAGCTGCAGCTGTGACTTGTTCTCATAGAATAAAAAACAGAACTGAACTTAGCCTTCCCAGGGAAGGAACCATGCCCCACACATCCAGGGAGTGATGACAGAGGGGACAGCTTGAAGAGCTCTGAAGGACAATAAAACCCACTCCTCAGTCCTAGCTGCTGCTTTCAGTCTCTCCTAGCGGCTGCCCCTCTGCCCCAGCCAGTGAGGCCAGGAAGGGAGTAAAGAGGACATCCCACAATTGCGTCCACCCCCTTGGCCATCAGGCTGCTCTTCCACTACACGAAACAGCCCATCTGCACCTGCCAGTCACTGCCCCCAGGCCCTGGGGCTTGCAGGTGACTCGTGGGGAGCCAGGCCAGGCAGATAACCTCTGGGACAGGACGAGGGGATGAGGAAGGCAGCTGGCAGGACAAGGGCCTACCTGAAAAATACACCAGGAAGCTGGGCTGCTGCACAGGCCCAGGCAGATCTGGGGCCCCTGTGCTGGCAAATCTCATCTTAGCCTCTGACAGGGAACGGGGCAGCATCAGGCCTCCACAGCCAGGCAAAAGGGGAAGGCCACGAGCCCCACCAAGCACAAGGGTTCAGACTGCCTTCAACCCTTAAGGGGCACTTTTTCTCTCAAGGCTCAGAATAGACAACTGTGCCAAAAAGCAGCATGGTAGGTGTCAGCCCAATGCCCATCCAGGGGGCTGGTGCCATGGACGGCTAAGTGGGCAGGCAGGGCAGTGGTGTGCCCCTTCAGTCACAAGTAGGTGGGGCCCAGCTGCCCACCTCTAGGAGGTGGAAGGGTACAGCACTTTGCCACATCTCTTCTACGATGCCACCAGTGCCTGATGCCCTTGCGTGTTTTGCCTGTACTGCACGGGCTCCAAGTGTAAGTTCACTGGGAGTCCCAGGCTGGCTCTGGAGGCTGCCTTGGTTCGAGGGCTTAGTTGGCAACAACCACTCTCCTCGCCTTCTCAGGAGGTGCCACCCACTGTGGTCCTCTGCAGGACGCAAGTGCTCCCCACCAAAAGAGCACAGACTCCTGGCTAGAGCAGAGAGTACTAGGTTCCCATGTGGGGCCGACTCAGGTCCAGGAAGAGCCTGGAAGCCTCACTCCAGTCTAGCTGCCATTGTCAGGTGGGGGAGTGGAGGCCGGGGTGGGAGAGACACGAAGGAGAGTGGAGTTCCCAAGAGAAGCAGCACTGTGGAGGAGGAAGGCGGGACAGGAGTGGCTCCAACGCAGGGCGTCAGGACGCAGGGTCATGGAGCCTCCGTTTCTCTCGCATTCTGGGTGGGCCTGTTGAGAAGCTCCAATGTGTCTTCCACCACCTGCCAGAGGCAGTTGTCCAGTGGGAAGTCATTGTCCACCAGGTTGACCAGGAAGTAGTTGTCGTGGATGTACTGGATGATGGTGCGGGACGGGGACTCCTCCTCATACAGCTTTCCCCACCGCTCAATCCACAGGGCAAAGGCCTCGTCCTACACACACATACCCCCGCACACACGCACACATGCACACACACACAGAGGCAAGATTAACAGGGCTCTCCAAGGGCTCTGCTCAACAGGACATTTCCCGGAATAGAACAAGGCCCACTGCCAGTATCACTTCCCACCCCTGCCCAGAAATAAACACCCTGCATCAGCAGTGACATGGGTGAGTCAGAGCTGGGTGTGCCCTGAAGGCTGGGTCCAGTGTGGCCTTCAGCACACGCTTGGGACTTGGTCCCAATCCCTCCCCACGGTTTTCCAGGTGGGCGGGGCAAGCTTGCCCCCGGCTCCTTTACCTTCCAGAACATGAAGCTGACGGGATCCACTACGGTGGGCTGGATGATCTCTCGCCCAGGGAAGATGCCCCAAGTGACAGCATTCGGCTGCAGTTCAGGGGCATTGGTGATGTTTTCACCCTGAGGGGATGTGGGGTGGGGGTAAGACCTGGGCCAAGAACAACTGGAGTCCCACTGCCTGGACAGCCTTGACTCAATGAGGCTGTCTGGGCTCAATACCCTCTGCCTGCGCCTCCACTCCCGGCCTCCACTCTCCCTGCGCCTCCACTCCCCTCTCCCTGTGCCTCCGCTCCTGGCCTCCTCTGCCTGCATCTGTGAATGATATCTCTCCCCACACAAGCCTGAACCTAGAGGCGTCCTGGCCACTTCCCCTCTCCTCCTTGAGCACCCCCTGCTCACTCTCTGATCCATTCCCTCTTGTCTAGCCCACCTCCAGGAGTGTGTTTGGCTTGGGTCACTCCAGGGGTCTCTTCACTGGCCTCCCCGGCTCTAGCCGTCCCCAATCTCTCTCATCCGTATGACTATCCACTGTGATTTGCCTAAAATAAAGCAGGAACCAAGCCACCCCACTGCTGGAGAAAGGCTTCCCTTGCATTGAGGGAAAACTCAAATTCCAGCAGGACAACCATGATCTCTGCGGGCCTGGCCCCTGCTTAACACTCCCGCCTCCTCCTGCTCATGTTCCCCGTTTCCCCAGATGGTGCAGCTCACTGCCTCTGCCTGTCCTCTGCCCTGTCCCAGGAATACCCTTCTCTCCTGTTGGCCAACTCCTCTTTGTCCTCAGTGATTCCCACAGATGACCCTCTGAGAAGCCTTCCCTGGCCTCCCAGGTGAGATATCCCTCCTCTGGACCCGACAGCATCCTCTCCTGAACTTGATTTTCCCACTTACACTGGCTGGTGGTCACACATTGATCTGCCTCCCTCACTCTAGGCTGGGAGCTCCTTAAGAGCAGGGCCCCAGTTCTGCCTGTATCTCTCTGTCTTGCACAATGCCTAGCCCAGGCTAGGTGCTGGGTGTTTGCTCAACGAAGGGCCTGGTACTCTGTGGGAACCCTGGGGCCTGGCCTACCTTCACATTGACAAGGTGGTAATTAACCCGGAGCTCGTACTTCTTCAGCACTTGCAGAAGTGCTTCCGCTGTCTCGCGGGAAGTGAAAAACTCTAAGTAGGCCTGTGGGAGAGACAGGTGCCTGTCACCAACCCCAGCCCTGCCAGACGCCCTTTCGCAGACACCTAAGGTATCAGGACTACTGGCAGCCATGTGGGCGGAATAATGAACTGTGGCGTTGGCACGTCCATAAGCAAAGGGTGAGGGGAGTGGGGACGTGAGTTTCTCAGTCTGGACAGGTCTGAGGGCTATCAGCCACCCCTCTCCCAATCAGTCAGGGAAGACTCCACGAAGAAGCCATTTCTGAACAGCAGCAACTGGTTTGACAGGCCGAGTCATGGGAGAGAGGCCCCACACATTCCATCCTCCCCAGTGCAAGCTGACAATGACATTGACATCTCCTCTAGAACCAGTGCCTATCAGGGATTAAGCTGGGTTTACTCAAACTCATTTGCTAGAATGCTGATAATACGGGAGGCTGGGCACAGTGAGCCCCACGTGAGGAAAGTGGGTTCAGGGAAGTTGAGCACGTTGGCTACTCTGACAGTAAACAGTAGAGCTGGTCCTTAAACTCAGGTCTTTCTGCTCCAGGGCCTGTGGGCCTTAGATCAGAACATAATGTTAACTCCAGCAGCCCTGGGAGAAAGGTGTCAACTCAGGATAGTAACAGCAGCTGCCTTTCAGGGAGTGCTTCCTGCTCTTACCATGTGCCAAGCACGTTACATGCTTTGTTAGGTTTCATGCCCAGAACACAAGCTACATCCCATTTTACAGACGAGAAAACCAGGCTCAGAGAGGTCGAGTGACCTGCCTCCATAGGTCTGATTTCTATCTTTTTTTTTTTTTTTTTGAGATGGAGTCTTGCTCTGTTGCCCAGGCTGGAGTGCAGTGGCATGATCTCAGCTCACTGCAACCTCCGTCTCCCGGGTTCAAGCGATTCTCCTGCCTCAGCCTCCCAAGTAGCTGCAACTACAGGTGCCCGCCACCACACCCGGCTAATTGTTGTATTTTTAGTAGAGATGGGGTTTCATCATGTTTGTCAGGCTGGTCTCGAACTCCTGACCTTGTGATCTGCCCACCTTGGCCTCCTAAAGTGCTGGGATTACAGGCATGAGCCACCAAGCCCAGCCAATCTTTTTTTTTTTTTTTTTTTTTTTTTTTTGAGACAGGGTCTCACTTTGTGGGCCAGGCTGGAGTGCAGAGGCACAAATATGGCTTACTGGAGGCTCAACCTCTCGGACTCAAGCGATCCTCTCACCCCAGCCCCCTAAGTACCTGGGACTACAGGTGTACACCACCATGCCTCGGTCATTTTTGTATTTTTTGTAGAGAATGGGTTTCACCATGTTGCCCAGGCTGGTCTCGAACTCCTGGGCTCAAGTGATCCACCCGCCTTGGCCTCCCAAAGTGCTGGCCGGGTTCCGTGCCCAGCCAGGTCTATCTGACTTAAAGCATGAGCTCCCATCCGCTCCAATCCATGCTCATTCAAAATTTAAGAGCCCAGGAGAGGCAGGCTGCTCTGCCCTAAGCTCTGGGGAACCCACGGGTGCCGGTCAAGAGAGGGGGGCACCCCGTGCCTCCCTACCACACCTTCTGGAAGACATAGCCCCCGCTGGGGCCCCAGCCCACGATGGGGTCGGAGGACGGCTTCCCGTTGATGTTGGGCTGTGAGTTGATGGTGAGGATGCCCTGGCGGTTCACCCGCAGCAGCTCCTCCTTCAGCAGGCTGGTCTCAGCCGCCAGGGGCTCATCGTTCCAGGGCAGGCAAGTCACCTGGGAGAGACGGTGAGCTGGCTGGGGCGACCATCAGGTTTGGCACCCTGAGTCCCTCTCACGGCCCCCAACAAAGACCCAGCCTGTCTTTGCCTCCCTAAGCCCTTCCAGGTGGAGGTCTCCCAACTTACCCTTCTCCCTTTGCCATGTCCACAGCATGGAGGGGAGGGCACAGGATGGGGAAGTCACAGCCCCGCAGCCTGGCCTGCAGCTGGGGTCAGGCCAGGGGCAGGGGATGAACCAGGGTCCCCACTCCAGCATCACTCACTTTGTGACCATTCCGGTTTGGTTCTCCCGAGAGGTAAAGAACGAAGACTTCAAAGACACTTTCTTCACTGGTCAGCTCCTCCCCCCACATCTTCAGCAGCTCCTCCTTGGGGGACTTGCTCTTCAGGTAGAAGAGGTAGTAGTCCTTCAGCTCCCCAAAGGCAGGGGAAGAGGAATTGCCCCTGGCAGAGGGGTGCCCAGAGGTCAGGGCACACTCCTGACAGAGGGCAGTGCCACCACATGCCCAGGAGGCCATTCCTGTAAATTCTGCCCCTGACTCCTCCCAGGTCAACCACAAGCATGCAAACTTCTTCTGCCCTCCCGCTCCCAAGAACAAAGATGTATTTGCAAGGAAGGTCTGCAGGCCCTCACCAGCGGCCGTTAGGGAACTCGTCCCACTCCTGGGTACGGTAGATGTAACTCTTTGGTCTGGAGGCCCAGAAGATGGGACGTACATCTTCCTCTCGGCGCTTGGGGTGGGCGCTGAGAGCCCAGGGTAGGGGACGCCTGGGTGAGGATGGGGACAGAGAATTGAGACAAGGGATTGGCTAGAGGGAGCCGGAAGCAGGGGAGCACCCCTGAGGCTGAGTTCTTCCATCTGATGCCCTCTGAGACTGGAGCCTTCGATGTGCCCAGCTAGCCATGGCACAGACATCCATCTGTACCACCGTGGGGAGCCAGCACTGCAGCCGGGGCTGCTCTTGGACCCTCCTCTGGGGATCTCTGGGCCACTGCCCTCACCTGGGGTCCTCAGTCCACATCCCCAGGCGCTTCAGCACCTCTGTGGTAGCCATCTCGCGGTTGAGGGTGTAGAAGTGGAGGCCTGGCACCAAGCCACTGGCCAGAAGCTCCTGGCACAGGCTCACGGCCAGCTCGATGCCATAGTTGCGGATGGCAGCATCGTTGTCTTTGATTGGCTCAATCACGTCCTTGATCTCCTGTGGCACCTCCAGCTTGGACAGCTTCACAAGCTGCCGAAGGGAGTGGTAGCCCTGTCCAAGACATGAGGGGCTGTGGCGGCTGCTGGCCAGCCCGTCTCCCACCCTAAATACTTCTCCCCCTTCCATCATCCATGCCAACCACAGTGTCAGGCAGAGGGACCCACGAAAGTCCGATCATATTCTAGGAGCACACCTGGGCTTGGCCTGCCGTTTTCTCCTCTTTTTTCTGTTTTTAGAGACTGAGTCTCACTGCTCTCAAACGCCAGGGCTCAAGCCATCCTCCTGCCTCAGCTTCTCAAGTAGCCGGGACTACAGGCACGTGCCACTATGCCCAGCTTTCCCACTTTTTACAGAGTAGAGCAGCTGCCCTAAGCATTCCAGCCTTGGGTTGAGCCAGCCTTTTAGCCCTAGATGTGTCTGTTGGTAACATGGTGTCATCTAACCCAGCTGTTCCCATGCTGCACTGATCATCCGAATCACCTGCCAAGCTCAAGAAGTAAAACACACATTCCGAGGACCTCCCTCAGATTTACTGAGTGAGAACCTCCAGGGGTGGGACCTGGAGATCCACTTTTTGAAAAAGCTTATCAAGTGGTTCTGATGACAGCCACCTTTGGGAAACACTGATTTAAGCAGGATTTGTAATGAGAATTAGAATCCCTTTTGGTGATGCTTGTTGGCCAAAGTACAACAAACCCCTCAACAGACACTGTTGCTGGGTTTTGGGGGGAAAATTAGAGGTAACCAAAATGGGGTGGCCAAGCAACGCTGTGCAAGTTCTGGACCTGAGAGGAGATCTGGGAAGAACTCAGCGAACTCAGCACTCCACCCAGAGCCCCCAGCCTGTGCGAGGACGGTGCGGTGAGAGTGGGGTGGAGGGAGCTTATGGGCTCTCCTGGGCCCCTCACCTGGATGGGAAAGATCCCGGGGACGATGGGGCAAGTGATGCCCATGTCGGTGCATGCCTTCACAAAGCGGAAGAATGTGTCAGCCTCAAAGAAAAGCTGCGTGATGATGAAATCGGCTCCCGCAGACACCTTCTCCTTCAAGTGCTTCAGGTCAGCCTCAAAGCTCCCTGCTTCGGGGTGGCCTTTGGGGTAACCTGCCAATAGGGATGACAGTCAGGAGAGGCTGGCCTCCACCTGTTCAAGGCGAGGGATGAAGAGACCACAGGGACTGGGCAGAGAGAGTCCTCTGCTTTGGGGGCTCTGATCTTGCACCTTCCAACAGCACAGCACAGCCTGAACTAAAACAGTGAGTGGCTGGGCTCATGACTGATATGCTTCTGACCCCAGAGATGACTCTCAGGGGAGGTGGCTCAGAGCCCAGTTCCAAGAGTGGGGGTGGATTGCTCCAAACTCCCACACTGTCCTGCCTTGAGCAGCCAAGCAAATCAGGCCTGCACTTGGTGGCCATAGAAAAGAGAAAATGCTACAGTTAGCACTGGCTGGGCAGCATCTGGGGTAGTAAGCTTGACTTTTCTCTAGGCACCGGATTAAACATTGTTTTTAATGTAACACTGAAATTACTCAGGGGTCCAAGATAGTGAAAAGCTAAAAACCAAGTTACACAAGGAAGAACTGAAGAAAGTGATGTTTTCTTCAAAGAAAATAATGGATGGCAGGGTGCGGTGGCTCATGTCTGTAATCCCAGCACTTTGGGAGGCCAAGGCAGGAGGATGACCTGAGGTCAGGAGTTCGAGACCAGCCTGGCCAACATGGTAAAACCCCGTCTCTACCAAAAATACAAAAATTAGCCAGGTGTGGTGGTGTATGCCTGTAATAGCTACTCAGGAGGCTGAGTCAGGAAAATTGCTTGAACCCACGAGACAGAGGTTGCAGTGAGCCGAGATCGTACCATTGCACTCTAGCCTGGGCAACGAGAGCGAAACTCCGTCTCAAAAAAAAAAAAAAAAAAAAGAATGAAAAGAATACAGAAACTCCTTTCAAATGTCCAAAGGTCTGTCCTGGGGAAAAAGGATCCACCATAGGTGAGTTTGTTTTGTTTTGTTTCAGAGACAGGGTCTTGCTCTGTCACCCAGGCTAGAGTGCAGTGATACAATCATGGCTCACTGTAGCCTTGAACTCCCGGGCACAAGTGATCTCCCACTTCAGTCTCCTGAGTAGCTTGGACTACAGATGCAAGCCACCACATCTGGCTAATTAAAAAAAATTTTTTTAATTAATTATTTATTTTTTAGAGATGGGGTCTTGCTATCTTGTCCAGGTTTGTCTGGAACTTCTGGGCTCAAGCAATCCTCCCACCTTGGCCTCCCAAAGTGCTGAGATTACAGGCATGAGCCACTGTACCCAGCCCCCTAGTGAAGTTCTTTATTAGTCATATTCTGTGTTGTTTCTAATGGCAGAACCAGCATCCGGTTCAGAGAGCTGGCTAGAGTACTATAAGCCACTCACAAAACAATGAGCTCCTGGAGTCTGAAAACACAGGGGCAGTGGATGCTGAAGACAAGATTCCAGAATTGCTTAGGAGGTGGGATCAGATGTCCCATAGGCTCCTTACTGGCTCTGTGAACTCTCTGACCCCTTTCCTCAATGACTAAACTTACTAGCCGCCTTGCTCGGTCAGGCAAGCAGGATGACCATAGGCCTTCATGAAACTACATGGAGTGCTGGTTTCATCAGCCCAAGCCCAGGGCAGGACTCTGAGCCAGGCGGAAGGCCAAGCTGCTTTGCTCTGATAAGGCAGTTCCGTTCTTAAGAAACCCAGAGTCATCAAAAAATGAATATAAAAACTATTGTTTCAAGGGGTAAGGGAGTGGGGGATAAAGCAATGGGGCTTCACACTTGCAATAACAAAGCTATTTTCCCAGTAGGAATTTCAGAAACAACAAGGCTTTTTAATAGCTGAAAAGTATAGCTACAATACCTAAATATCACCGAACAAATCTAGCATTTGATTACGTATAGATTTTGCTATTTACTCTATTTTTCTATCATGAACAGCTGAGGGCTTTCTTTTTTAAAATGTTTTTATTTTTTGTAGAGACACGGTCTCACTGTGTTGCCCAGGCTGGTCTTGATCTCCTGCCTCAGTCTCCCAAAGCTCTGGGATTACAGGCATGAGCTACCATGCCCAACAGGTTGGTGTTTTCTAATCCACTCATCTTCATTACCCACTTGATAAGCAAAGTAAGAAACCATTCAGCAACTGTGAGCTCACAGCTTCACTAGTTTCCAATCATTATCACCTAACGCCCATCACGGGTGCATATTCCCCCAGTAACTGACTATATAATGGCTGATACAAGCGATGACAATTTAACAGTTGGAAATGTCTGTTCTCTGACTCCTAATCAGTGCTTCCCAGACTTAGCACCTAAACACCCCTGTTGACAGAATGGACATGTCCATCGGGGGTTAGGGACAAGGCCAAAGTTACTCACAACATGTAATTTTCTTGAAGCCACGTGGTTTGTTTTTTGGGTTTTTTGTTTTGTTTTTTTTGAGACGGAGTCTGGCTCTGTTGCCCAGGCTACAGTGCATTGGTGCGATCTCGGCTCACTGCAAGCTCCGCCTCCTGGGTTCAAGCGATTCTCCTGCCTCAGCCTACCAAGTAGCTGGGACTACAGGCACGCGCCACCATGCCCGGCTAATTTTTGTATTTTTAGTAGAGACGGGGTTTCACTATGTTGGACAGGATGGTCTCAAACTCCTGATCTCATGATCCACCCGCCTTGGCCTCCCAAAGTGCTGGGATTATAGGCTTCAGCCACCGCACCTGGCCTTTTTTTTTTAGTTCATATCACTTTAGATGCTACTCCATAACATAGCCATGTTTAATATAAAAATGGTAGGATTTCTCCCAGAATATTGGCAAAAAAACTGTCATCCCAGAAAATGTGCCAATCCCGGGACTTCCTGTCCCTGGTGCACACTGTCTTGCCATACCTGAGCGCTGTCTGAGACGCTGAGGGCTCAATGCCAGCCTTCAGCTTCAAGGGTGGGAGAGAAGTCCAACCCACCCATTTCTGTTGGGGGAACCTGGTCTTGTGGCTGTGGCCAATGGTGATTCTCTTTCCTGGGAATTTGGAACGGAGGCCTGTCCATTAGCCTGGGGAACTGGCTGGAACTGACACTCTGCACACTCAGGAGCAGGCCAGGTGTGTGGAAAAGCATGGGTATCAGGTCTCCCAGATGAAGCACAGATGTGCAGTGGGAAGCGGAGATGGGGGACCCTGTGGCCCCAGAGGGAATGAGGGAGGGCCTTGCTTTTTGACCTCTTCCAGTGCCTTGTGAGGTCTGAGGCCATCTCCTGATCTTGGGTTCCCTGCCCTCTGGAATCCTGTTAGTAAATATCCCTCTTTTGTGGGGTGTTGTTTTTTTTTTTTTTTTGAGATGGAGTCTTGCTCTGCCACTGAGGCTGGACTGCAGCGGCACCATCTCGGCTCACTGCAACCTCCGCCTCTTGGGTCCAAGAGATTCTCCTGGCTCAGCCTCCTGAGTAGCTGGGACTACAGCCGTGCACCACCACACCTGGCTAATTTTTGTATTTTTAGTAGAGACGGGGTTTCGCTATGTTGGCCAGGCAGGTCTCAAACTCCTGACCTCAGGTGATCTGCCTGCCTCGGCCTCCCAAAGTGTTGGGGTTACAGGTGTGAGCCACCGCGCCCAGACCCCTCTTTCGTTTTAAAGAAAAGAATAAGGCCAAGCAGGCTAAGGGCACAGCCAGGCAGAGGAACAAAAAGCTAGGGGTCGATGGTGGCAGGCCCAGGAGGGGAGTGGGTGATACAAAAGGAGCAAGGACATGGTGCAGTTCACCTCTGCATGTCCTTCATCCAGCATGGACCCATGAGTGCCCCTGATCACTGTGTCCTGAACCGAACACCGACAGGCTCTCTGGGCATCTCAGCCTCCCTAGCTCCATCCCCGCCACCAGGATGATCCAGCCACTCACCTGCCACACAGATGTCAAAGTAGTCACCAAACTCACTTCGGATGTGCTTCACCAGGTCCACTGCGTAGTTGAAGCCTCCCTCCTCCTCTTCCCACTGGTCACCTATTGGGTCTGCAGGGTTGGTGGAGGTCATAGTCACTGGGTCTCACCCAACCTCCAGAGACCCTTTCTGTTCCCTCTACCTAGCCCCGACACCCAGGACTGCGAGTCCCTGGAAGGCAGAAACTTCATATTATTTAGGTTTGGTTCGTCTCTTTCTAGCACTTGGTAAGACAGCAGGAGGGAAAAAAGCAGCCCACCAGTTCAATATTCACTGCATGCTGACCCTGTGCTGGCGGTGGAGAATAGGAGACCACCGCTGCTTCTCACCGTGCCTGGAGGATTGGAGAGCCCTTCCCTACTTCTACCTGGGCATGCCTGCCACCCTCTCCCATCCCACGGCCTTGGGGCTCCTGCCTCCTGGGAGAATTTTCTACTCATCTCAAGTGAAGGGGTCTTGTGGTAGGGAGCACGAGGCCATAGGATCCCACCCATCAGGCTCCCTCTTCCCACTCTTAGGTGGCCTGACAACAGCGGGCACCAGAGGCCTGACCGGCTATTCTCACTCCTGGATACTCTGTTACTCTGTGATTGGGCCAAGTGCTGGGTGCAGCCAGCAATCGATGCAGTGGTGTAGGCAAGGCAGAGGGTTATCAGGCCGCGACTGCATTCCTGACGGAACTCCTATGTCGAGGTCAAGAGGTGGAAGAGGTGGCTGCCTGTGTGTGGTGCCCAGGATGACTCACTACCCACAATGCCTACTGACACTACTGGCGGGGATGGGATCCTGCGGATCCTCAGCGTGGGGCCCAGGAAGAAGTAAAGGACCATTTCAGGAACCAAGTTCAGGCTACCAAGTGGCCTCCGGGAAAGCCAGAACCCAGAGTGTAGGGGAGTGCTGGCTCCACACCTCCCCGCAGCGCCATGATGTTCTTCAGGCCCAGCTGCTTAGCTTTGTGCAGATGGCCCGTGATCTCCTCCAGGCGCTGACGGCAGCAGGTCATGTGCAGGATGGTCTCCAGGCCACAGTAGTTCACGGCGGTGCTGGCGATCATCATGGAGGAGGTCTCCTTGTCTGAGCCAGGGTCACCTGCTGGGTGCCAGGTCACGTCTATGTAGAGGGGGCCACCTGCTGCCATCCGGTCAAACCTGTAGGGGGTTTGTTTCTGAAGAGAGGTTCCAGGAGAAATACCATCCGTCACTGCCTTCCCATGGGGCCCGGGAGTTAGAGAAGCATCAATGAAGGTTGGAGACAGACCAATCAGCGTTCATATCCTGGCTTTGCTACTTATAGCTGTGTGATCTTGGGTACATTACTTAATCTCTGTGAGTTCTGTTTCCTTATTTATAAGACACGGCAGATAGTAGTACCCACTTCATAATAACACTAGGATGCTGGGCGTGGTGGCTCACGCCTGTAATCCCAGCACTTCAGGAGGCTGAAGTGAGTGGATCACTTGAGGTCAGGAGTTCCAGACCGCCTGGCCAACATAGTGAAACCTCATCTCTACTAAAAATACAAAAATTAGCTGGGTGTGGTGGTGGGCACCTGTAATCCCAGCTACTTGAGAGGCTGAGGCAGGAGAATTGCTTGAGCCAGGAGGCAGAGGTTGCAATGAGCCAAGATCACACCACTGCACTCCAGCCTGGGCCACAGAATGAGACTCTGTCTCAAAAAAAAAAAAAAAAAAAAAAAAGCAACAACAACAACAAAAAACCATAACACTAGGAGAATATGACGGCAGCTGGTTCCACAGAACTTAGAACAGTGCCTGGTGTACAAACCGAATACTCAGTATATGTGAGGTGCCGTTATAATCACTATTACAGAGGTAAGACACAACAACAGCGCTATCATTTTGTGTGAGAGCAGCACTTCAGACTTTTCACAGCGCTTGCCTGTTTATTATCTCAGGTGAGTTAAGACATCATGATTGAGAGTTAGGGGAATCCTAACTGTGGCAAGCACAGCCTCGCTGTAGGAACAGTTAGAAAGAGGGTCAGCAGACTCACTTTCTTTCATGCCACCCCCCAAGCCCTGTGCAGCAGCTTACAGTTATGCAGACCAAGGCCAAGTTCCGAAACGAGACTCAAAAAAAAGCCTGGATGTGCACGAGTACTTGTGTTACAAGCTATCAACGGTGTATTTAAACATCCTTGTGCATTTAAACTTCAAAAACTTGGGAGTGACACGTGAGACGTGCATACAGTAAAAGGCATAAACTTAAAAAAAAAACTGCAATTCATGAAGTGCTAATGTAATTCAGTTGGCATTTCTAGAGTTCAAGAAGCATAATCCAAATTTCTAACTTGCTGAAAACAATCTCACTGCTTTGTGACTTCCTAAACTGCACTCGTGATCCAGCCCCCAAGTTCCCTCAAAGAATACAGTGTGAGAATCAACATTTTTAACCCATTGAAGAGTGTGTCTAAAATACCTTGACACTGTGGAGGGACTTTTACAGGCAACAGAGAAGTTGCAGATCAGATGACCCACTCTGCCTTCTCCTTCCTGCCCCCTCCGGCTGCTTTTTTCTGCCGGGTTAAAGGGCAGCCCAGCCTCAGGGCTGACAGTTTGCTCCCCAGGCACCACCACTCCCGCCTCCCACCTTAACCTTGCATGAGTTTACCTTGAGATGAGATTGACAGCTCCCTCAGCAGTTCGAGGAGGGAAGAATTCCAGGGAGAACCACTTGTCACCAGATTCCAATCGCCGCCTCATCTTCTCCCGGAGTCTCTCATGCCGCTCGGGGTCCAGGCCCGGGGTGGAACATCTCGAACTATCTTTGGAGCTCTCACTGCCACTGCTGGCACTGCCCTCCAAGCAGGGGTTGAGGCTGCTGTTTCCTCTGGCTTCGTTCACCATGGCTGGGTTCCTACTGCACAGGGTGGGGCAGGGAGCATCAGGGGGCAGGCAGCCACACCCCCGACACATCAAGACACCTGAGTGGCAGGTTCAAGCCGGAGGCGCTGTATTTCCACACAGGAAGAAGGCCAAAAAAGGTGACACTGCCCCCTCCCAGTGGCTCCATGCTCCTCAGCTATGGCTGTCCGGGCCGCCTCACTCAAAGCCTTGCCCTCCGCTGCTGCCAGGCTCCTTGCATGCAAGGCAGCCCCCACCCGGCACTGCAACATGCTCCTCGGTGACAGCTACCTGATGGAAGGTGGCACAGAGGACCTCACGCTGCCGACCTGCGAGGCCCATATTCCTAGCGAGGGGCAGTAGTGCCCAGCTGGGAGGACCCTGGCTTTTCGATGGTCCATCTCTGTCAGCTCAGGCCCAGAGTGCGTGGGGAGGGAACAGAGGCACCTTCCCCAGCGGGTGTGTTCAACTGGGCGGAGCTGCGACAAAGGAAGAGGCTTGAGCTCCAGCCAGCACAAGGGGGCGGGGGCAAGGCTTCCAGGCGAGGAGGGAGGGCTGAGGCTCTAGTAAGGGGAGGCGGATGGAAGGAGGGGGACTCAGGGGCAGAGACTGCAGGGGTTGGTGGAGATGAGGCCAACAGGCGTTCAGGGATACCAGATCACCCTCCAGAGAAGGAACAGCTCACTCTGGCTGGCTCTGCCTGGAACATCTGTTACTTGAAACAGTTCGTGCACAGGATGGAAGGGGTGAGGGCTTGACTATGCAGCCAGATTTCTCCTGAATTCATGCTACTCCAAAAAGACCGTGTTGTGGGTTAGAACTTGATGCTGGCCATGTTCCAAAAATAGCCAGACCCAAGTTCAGTAAGGGCACGAATTTCTCAGAACAAAAGCTGCCCCATCTGTGCTTGCCTTGCAGGCTGCTCTTCTTACACATCACAGAATTCAATTCAAATCATCACAGTGACCCAGCTACTGGGAAGGCTGAGGCAGAAGGATTGCCTGAGCCCAGGAGTTCAAGGCCAGCCTGGGCAACATAGCGAGACTCCATCTCTTAAAAAAACAAAAAACACACCTGTAATCCCAGCACTTTGGGAGGCCGAGGTGGGTGGATCACCTGAGGCCAGGAGTTTGAGACCAGCCTGGCCAACATGGTGAAATCCCGACTCTACTAAAAATATAAAAATTAGCCAGGTTTGGTGGCGGGCGCCTGTAATCCCAGCTACTCTGGAGGCTGAGGCAGGAGAATCGCTTGAACCCGGAAGGCAGAGGTTGCAGTGAACCAAGATTGTGCCATAGCACTCCAGCCTGGGCGACAAAAGCAAAACTCCATCTCAAAAAAAAAAACAAAAACAAAAAACAGAAACAAGTAATCAGAGCCACCAGGGCACAGACAGGCCAACAGAGGGCATAGGGTCATCTGGCAGTCTGGTTAAGAAAATAAGACAAACACTTAAAAACAAACAAAACACTTGCACAGCAATGGGCAAACACACAGTAGTGAATGGGTGTGTGGTGACATGGCACAACAGAGGAAAGCCCAGGTGAGGTTCATTTCTTTCAGACTGTCCACCACTAACCCTGTGTACCTAACCATTTGGGGTCTTAGACTCTTTTGACAATCTGATTAAATGCACTGCTCCCTTCCCCTGAAATACACACACAGGTGCACAGACTACACGGGGATACATCCAAAGACAAGGAGTTGATTCCAGACTAAGAACCCTGGGCCAAAGCTTTCTCCCTCTAGGGCTGCTCTCTTTCATTCTGACCTCAAACTCCAGATTCTCAGTGGGGATGGCTGTGGGGAGTGAGGAACGGGGGCGGGGGGGAGGAGTAACAGCAAGAGCAGCCAGTTGGCTTTCCTCCAGCGTTTAAGGGCGCACCTCGTTAATTGCTTGCTGGAACAGAACCTAGAGTAGGAGGAAGCTGAACCACCTGTAAACCCTCTGATTTTCAAAGACTTATTGCATTCCTAGTATATGCCACGCATGTGCCATATTTGTAAGCCAACTCCCACGATTTATCCGTTATCAGCTGGACTCCCATAGCACCCTGGGTTGTAACTGTGGGTGAAAAGGCCTGTCTCCTTTCTCTTTCCCCAGTTCCCTGAGACAGGACCGGTGTCCTGCCTGGGGTATCCCCAGAGTTTGGCACACGGTGATAGCCAACATTCACTGAGCGCCAAAGGGCCAGGTGCTGCCACTCTCTCAAAATAAGCCTCTGCCACTTACTGAACAACTAGTCTGCGCCAAGCACTGGGATACTAAGCCTACGACTCCCAGAAAGGTCCCGGCGGACCCCCGTGCGCAGCGGGACGCAGTGGGCGCCAGGGACCGCAGTGCCCCGGGCCCAGCGCTCTTCTCCAGGTGATCGCCGGGGAGGCAGGTTTAAAAGGCAGGAGCCGGAAGCCGTCTCGGCGCCCAGGTGGCCGAGAATCCAGTCACCAGGTCACTGAGTCACCGATGGGGGCGAGGACACGGGCCTGGGCCGGTCAGAGGGGCGGGATCGTCACCCCTGGCTCAGGGGCCCCTCCGTCCAGGCAGGGAGCCAAAGTCAGTCTTCGCTTGAGGGTTGGCGGTCGCTGGAAGTGGTAGCCATTGGGAGTTACACTAATCCCGCGAAGGGTGCGCAAGGGAGGCGGCAGCCCCCCCCAAGAAGAGAGGCAGGCCGGCCTCCAGCGCTCCCCGCCCACAAGCACGTCCTTGCCCCCGGGAGGTTGTTTGCCGGCTCCAGGATCTCCCTCCCGGCGACCCCGGCCTCGCCGTCACTCACCCTCCAGTCCCGGGTGACTCAGAACGCTCGGCCGCCGGCCGCACCACTGTGGCCGCTGCAGGGGCGGGGAACGCAGTGAAGGGGCGCGGCGCAGGTGTCAGGTTGCTGGAGAGGCGGGCCTACAGGGCGGAAACCACCGGCGCGGGTGACCGGAAGCCCCGCCCCCAACATGGCCGTGCCCACAGGTCTCGTTGGAGGCCGTGCCTTTATCGTCATGTGACGCGAGTCCTCGCCCCACCCGTCTGCAGCCACTCCTGGTCTCAGTCCCAGAGCTCGAGAGGGCCACGTGACCGTCCCGGGGCCAGTCACGTGAGGCGCAGATCCTGGCTGGGAGGGGGTTGGTAGAGGGGTCCAGAGTGGCAGTAAAGGAGGAAGATGGCGGGGTGCAGGGGGTCTCTGTGCTGCTGCTGCAGGTGGTGCTGCTGCTGCGGTGAGCGTGAGACCCGCACCCCCGAGGAGCTGGTAAGAAGCCGGCGGAGTCGGCCTGGGGAGGGGGCGGTTGCTAAGGGACTGAGAGAGGCGTTGCCGGGGGTGGGGCCGGGCCAATCTGGGCCCGCAGGTGGCAGCGGGTGGGGCCTGGGGACCGCAGCCAGGGCTCTCGAAGCGTCTACCCTGCTTCACGTGCCTAAGTCTGGGGTCTTTTCTCATAACCCCTCCTGGAATCTGAGGGAGAATCCAGGCCAGCTCCAGTAAATCCCACCCATGTTTCCTTTTATTTCCATCTGAAAAGAGTTTGGAATGAAACAAGCGTTTTCAGAATGAGCTTCCTCACAGGACTTTGTGCTTATCATGCTGCTGTTTTAGCTTCTCCAGTCCTTTCTCACTCTATCCCTCACCCTTTCTGGGTCACTGACAGTCCAGCTTCCCCCTGCAAAGCATCCTGGGAAAACTTGAGTTGTGTTCCCAGAGTTGACAAGTCCTTTCTGATTTCAGATACGTCACACTGTCAAATGGAACCTGCATTTTTACCCCCCTTTTCAGCTGGCGTTGGACATCTTTGAGGTGTCCTGAAGAGGAGGGTGGTTATTTGGAGACTATCAGTGGAAATGAAGAGCTCAGCTGATGGCTGTAGATCCTCACCCACATGGTCCCTCACCCCTGAAAGGTTTTTTTTGAGGGCTGGTTCCTATTTGATAATGGCTCCAGATGATTTAGAAGCTAGCCACTGATTTCAGTAAATACTTCTGCCTCCTTCCACTCCTAACCACTAAAAAAGGCTCCCTCTGCGGATCTGTTTTTCTAGACCATCCTTGGAGAAACACAGGAGGAGGAGGATGAGATTCTTCCAAGGAAAGACTATGAGGTGAGCTCCTTTGATACTGCTTGGGCAACTAAAGTAGTGAGTGGCCTGGTCACTTCAGGCCGAAGCATTATGATTCCAACCAGAGATGCTCTTTGACCTTCTGTCCCAGGGAGTGAGTGGGTAAGAGAACTTCCTTCTAGGAAAGAGACTGTTTAGCAAGCCCTTTTCTCACCTTAACCCCAAAACAAGGTCTGGTGTTTTTACACGTTTATAAATCTGTGGCACCTTAACCTGGATAGAGTATGTATTTGCCATTAAACTGTTTGCTTTTACAGCTTACAGAGAGACTTAGAGTGAAAGGCACTGGCAGGCAGTATGTGCCCCTAACAGGTGTGTGCTTATAAACTGTTAAGGAGGCCTTGCTTCTCTTCTAGGAGAGCTTGCTTTTCAGATATTTTCTTGCTCAAGCAGCTTCTCTCTGACATGTTCTTGATTAAGTTCCACCTTTCATGTATGGGATTCTTAGAGTATGTGTTTTTAGTAAAGCCAACACTGCTGGGGTGAAACAACATGCGTGACTTTTTATCATTAAATTCTTAAACGTAATAAAGAAGGTAGAGAAAAGCCTATAACTCCATTCATTAAAAGATGACTGTTAACACCTTACTAAGTATCTTTCTACATCCTTACCCATGCTTTTATATACATGATACATGCTTTTTTTAAGTAACAAAAATGAGATTCCACTAAATCATCTATTTTAACCTGTCCCACTCACCCCCTTTATTATACTTTTTGTATCATTAGGTAATTTTCCACAACCTTTTCTTTTTTTTGACAGAGTCTCACTCTTCCATAAATTCTTCATGCTGTAGAATTTAGTGTCAGCGTTAGGATTTGTAGCACTTTTTTGTTTAACTTTTATTATGAAGGATTTCAACTATATGCAAAAACAGAATAATCTGTTGAAACCCCTTGTCCTCATCACACAGCTTCCACAGTGATTTAGCTCAAGCCCAGTCTTCTTTTGTCTGTGCTTTCGTTATCCACTTCTCCTTTCTCATATTATTATTTTTTATTGTATGTGTGTGTGTGTTTGTGTGTGTGTGTGTGTGTGTGTGTGTGTGTGTGTGTGTGTGTTTTAAAGTAAAGACAGTCTCCCTATGTTGCCCAGGCTGTTCTCGAACTCCTTGACACCAGCGATCCTCCCATGTCAGCCTCCCAAAGTTCTGGGATTACAGTCATGATCTACCATACCTGGCCGCCCTTCCCATGTTATTTTGAAAGAAATTCTGTACATCATATTATTTCACCCATAATTCTATATGCATCTCTAATGGATAAGGACTTTTAAAAAGCATAACCCAATACTATTACCACATCTAAAAAATTAGGAATTTCTTGATATCAAATATCTACTGTCCAGATTTTCCAGTTTTCTTGTAAATGTCATATGTATTTTAACTTTATTTGAATTAGGTTCCAAAAGTCCTTTTTTATTTGTTTGATAAATCTGTTAAATCTCTTTTAATCTGTAGCTTCTTCCTTCATCTTTTTTTTTTTTTTGTAAGTTATTTGACAACATAATTAGGACCTGGGATTTTCTACTGTCTAGATTTTGCCATTTGGAGCCGTTTGTATAGTTTAATATGCTACTCTGATGGGACTGCTTTGAATGAACCAAAAAGCACTGTATCCACTGCTGTGTTTTGTTCTATTTCTTTTTTTTTCTTTTTTTTAAATTTGAGATGGAGTCTCACTCTTAGTGCCCAGGTTGGAGTGCAATGGCTCGATCTCAGCTCACTGCAACCTCCACCCCACCCTAGGTTCAAGCGGTTCTTCTGCCCCAGCCTCCCGAGTAGATGGGATTACAGGCGCCCACCACCATGCCCGGCTAATTTTTGTATTTTTAGTAGAGATAGGGTTTCACCATGTTGGCCAGGCTGGTCTCGAACTCCTGACCTCAGGTGATACTGCTTCGGTCTCCCAGAGTGCTGGGATTACAGGTATGAGCCACTATACCTGGCCATTTTCTTCTGTTTCGTAAGTATTTGTTTTCTTGTACATAGTTGAGAAGTTTGCAGGAATTAGTATAAGATACTCCATATTGTTCTGTCACCTTGCACTCCCTCACTGAACCCTGTTACATCATCCTGACTGTATCACCAGGACTGAGACTGTCTCACAGCCTTCATCCTACTTCTAGGAGCTCACCAAGGCTTCCCCATTGACACCCAGGCTCCCTCACCCCTTCTACTAAATTGTACTTACATTTGTAATGTGCTTGCCTTCAGCTGATATGCATATTCATGTAAATTTTTGTTGTTCTTGTCATTGTTTGAGACAGAGTCTCACTCTGTCGCCCAGGCTGGAATGCAGTGGTACGGTCTTGGATCACTGCGACCTCCACCCCCGCCTCTGAGTTCAAGCTGTTCTCCTACCTCAGCCTCCCAAGTAGCTGGGACTACATGCATACACCACCATGCCTGGCTAAGTTTTGTATTTTTAGTAGAGATGGGGTTTCACCATGTTGGTCAGGCTGGTCTTGAACTCCTGACCTCAGGTGATCCACCCACCTCAGCCTCCCAAAGTACTGGGATTACAAGCGTGAGCCACCACGCGTGGCCATATTCATGTACATTTCATGGGTTAATGTTCTTTTGATATTGGTCATTGATATTTCTCAAC
The DNA here is from genome assembly GCF_000001405.40 of Homo sapiens. Lineage (NCBI taxonomy): Eukaryota > Metazoa > Chordata > Mammalia > Primates > Hominidae > Homo > Homo sapiens. The sequence goes on from NC_000001.11 coordinate 11,809,819, forward strand.
CATCTTCAAGAATGAGCTTCTTGAGAGCACTTGCTTTGTGTAAGAACAAATTCAGGCACTTAAACAGAAAAGTCTGGATTTTATTTATTCAATAAATAAATCAACTTGACACAAAAAGTATAATAAAGAGGGGAGTGAGTGGGACAGGTTAAAATAGTTGATTTAGTGGAATCTCATTTTTGTTATTTAAAACACGTGTTAAAAGCATGTGTATAAAAACGTGGGTAAGGATGTAGAAGGATATTTAGTAAGGTATTAATAGTCATATTTTAATGAATGGAGTTATAGGGTTTTCTCTACCTTGATAGTCAGTCAACTAGAAAACCCTTCTGTTGAATATCTTTCTAAAAAGTGCCCCTTCTTCCTGTCTCAGGAAGAGTTCATTGCACATATTTGACTCTTTATTTGATAAATTTAGGGTCTTACAAAATGTTAGAATCCCATTTTGACATCCATTCTCATTATAGGTGGTTTGAAAAATGGTAACTTTCTGTGAGATGTGCCATTGCAAACAGGAATGTTTTCATGCAGGTCACACAGTCTATTTATATTGTACCTTTGAATTAGAAAGAGGCACACTCAGAACGTAAGACTTAGAATTAAAGGCCTCCCCCACTGGCCATAGCAGCACCCCTAGCTCACAACCAGTTGAAGGTGGTTTTGGTGTGAACACTAAGATGCCCCTTCCTGGTTGAATTGGGGCTGGTTCAGCCCCCACCTCCCTCCCGGCCAGGTGCCATTTTGCTCGTAACCCCCTGTAACAGCCCTGCAAGACACAGATAACATTTTATTTTTTTAAAAAGTTGTTAGTCCCCTAAACCAAAGAGCAACATATACTGCAGAAATAAAAAGTTAGTCATAGCAAAGGAGAAGTAACAGTATCTGGTTTTAATAATAGCTCATATATTCCATTGGTACATATTTACAAAGGGCCAAACTCAACTAATTTATTTAAAAAAAAAAGAAGCGTGGCACAGTGGCTCACGCCTATATGCTCAGCACTTTGGGAGGCCAAGGCAGGAGGATCGCTTAAAGCCAGGAGTTCAAGACCATCCTGGGCAATAAAGTGAGACTTTGTTCCTACAAAAAAATTTGTTCAAAATTAGCAGGGGGCCGGGTGCAGTGGCCCACACCTGTTACCCCCACACTTTAGGAGGCTGAGGCAGGTGGATCACTTGAGCCCAGGACTTCATACCAGCCTGGGCAACATGGCGAGACTCCATCTCAACAACAAATACGAAAAAATTAACGAGGTGTGGTGGCTAACCTGTGGTCCCCCCTACTCAGGAGATCGAAGCAGGTGAATTGCTTGAGCCCAGGAGACGGAGGTTGCAGAGAGCTGTGATCACGCCACTGCACTCCAGCCTGGGTGACAGAGCGAGACCCTGACAAAAAAAAAAGGGATTCTGGTGTTCTAGCGTTGCGGTTGTTTCTAAATGCCCTTCTTAGCAGTTTTATTGCACTATAATTGGCATACTATTCAGTTCACCCATGTAGAGTGTACAATTCAATGGGGTTTTAAAAATTAGTATATTCACAGAGTTGTACAACCATTCCTACAGTCAATTTTTTTTTTTTTTTGAGACGGAGTTTCGCTCTTGTTGCCCAGGCAAGAGTGCAATGTTGTGATCTCAGCTCACTGCAACCTCTGCCTCCCGGGTTCAAGTGATTCTCCTGCCTCAGCCTCCCAAGTAGCTGGGATTACAGGCGTCTGCCACCACACCCGGCTAATTTTGTATTTTTAGTAGAGACGAGGCTTCTCCATGTTGGTCAGGCTGGTCTTGAACTCCTGGCCTCGGGTGATCCGCCCGCCTTGGCCTCCCAAAGTGCTGGGATTACAGACGTGAGCCACTGCGCCCAGCTAATTCCTACAGTCAATTTTAGAATATTTTCATCACCTGAGAGGAAACCCTGCACTCATTAGCAGCCACTGCCTGTTCTCCTTGCCCCTGACTCCAGGCAACCAGTGATCTCCTTTCTGTCTATTTGCCTATTCTAGATATCTAAAAACCTTCTAAATGTTTACGGAACCATATCATTATTAGATGGAACCATCAATGAAGTACTTGACCAGTAATTTCCATACATATTTTGGATGAAGGCAAGGGTATTGTTTCTCCTCTGCTCTCAGGCACCACTCGCGGAACACTGCTAACACCGATATGTGGAGGTTGTTTCCCCACTACTCAGGAGGCTGAGGTGGGAGGATGGCTTAAGCCCAGGAGTTGGAGGTTGCAGTGAACCGAGATTATGCCACTGCACTCCATGCTGGGTGACAGAGAAAGACCCCATCTCAAAAAAAAAAAGTAGTAGGTTGTCACCTGCATTTCTCAGCAGCTGGCAGTGAATTGAAGGTTCACAGGACTCCCTCCTTGAGTTTGGTTAACTTGCTAGAGCGGGTCAGAAAACACAGAAATGCTACTTACATTTGCTAGTTTATTAATAAAGGATATCATAAAGGATACAGAAGAACAGCCAGATGGAGAGATTCAAGGAACGTGGGAGGGGGCACGGAGCTTTCATGCCCTCTCCAGGCACGCTACCCTCCAGGAACCTCCAAACGGTTCAGCTGTCTGGAAGCTCTCTGAACCTTGTCATTTTGGAGTTTTATGGAAGCTTTTTTATGCAGTCATGATTGATTACATCACCAGCCCTTGGTGATCAGCTTAACCTTCAGCTTCGGTCTCCTCCCTGGAGGGATGGGTGTCCCACCCCGCTAATCCTGCCTTGGTCTTTCTGGTGACCAGCCCCTTTTCTGAAGCCATCTAAGGGCCCCCAGCCGCCACTCATCTCATTAGCAAACAAAAGATACCACGGCTCAAAAAAAAAAAAAGACAAAGTATGTTTGTGTGTGTGTGTGTGTGTGTGTGTGTGTGTGTGTGTGTGTGTGTGTATTGTTGGGGCTCAGAAAATGATACCTGGAAATATGGTGCTTTGATATGCTGAACTCTCCACCCTCACACTTTGTCTCTCCCAAAGCACAGGATGAGGCTCTTCTCTGCCGTTCCCTTATCTACCTAGAAACTGGACCTACCAGAGAGGAACACAGTTGTCTTTGATCCCTTTCCTGAAATGTCATTAACCAGGGAACATTAAAACTCATCTTACAGAGGAGACTGAAGACCAAACAACATACCTAGAGCCTGGACAAACTGTCCCAACCGTTGTTTGTTCACTGTCCCATACAATTTCCAAAGAGAATCATTCACAAGATGATATCTGCTTCCCAGATCCATTCATTCCCCACTAAGAATTATTTCCTCCCACATCCCTATCTCCCCTTCCCCTGTGAAGAAGAGTATAGAAGCGTCTGTACCTCGCTGGCATTATTGGGTAATCATTCTGCAGTTCCCCTGTGCAATGCATGTTAAATAAGTGGATGCCTTTGCTCCCATTAATCTGCCTTTTGTCGGTTCACTTTCAGCAGACCTTTAGAGAGTGAAAGGGGAAGCTTTTCCTCTTGGCCGCTACAATACATATGTAGGTGCATATATGTTTAATCACTTATGGATGAGTCTAGTTTCTAAAAGTACTTTTTTCATCACTGTGTTTCTTTTCTGATCAGTAAAAAAGATTTTTTTTTTTTTTTTGAGACCGAGTCTCACTCTGTCGCCTAGGCTGGAGTGCAGTAGCACAATCTCGGCTCACTGCAGCCTCTGCCTCCTGGGTTCAAGCGATTCTCCTGCCTCAGCCACCCTAGTAGCTGGGATTACAAGTGTGTGCCACCACACCCACCTAATTTGTGTATTTTTGGTAGAGACGGGGTTTCGCCATGTTGGCCGGGCTGGTCTCAAACTCTTGGCCTCAAGTGATCCACCTATCTCGGCCTCCCAAACTGCTGGAATTACAGACGTGAGCCATCACGCCCAGCCGATCATTTTTTAAAATATAAAAAAGCACACCATTTGTGCTATGAGAATTTCAGACAACACCCAGAAACAAATATCTCCTTAAGCACTACCTCACGGATGTTTTCCCATTATGAATGCTGACGTACAAATAATCCTAATTTTGTTTAATCAAAAAGGGATATTATACTTTTAATTCTCCATCCTGCTTTATTTTTATTTTTTAATTGCATCTTGCTCTTTTGCTGAATAATTTTTGGAGATTTTCCATATCTTTCTATATAGACTTAACTATAATCATTTTATTGGTGTATAGTTTACTATATTTGGATGTATAATTGATTTACTCAGTCACTTGTTGGTACTCCAGGACTCATAAAAAAAGAATTTGGACTAACTCTAGGTAGTCATATAGATAGAATAAATTGTCACTCATCACATGTGTTTGGCTGACTTGAAACTATTGTCTGGGAGTGTGGCTGCCACCCAGCCAATGTCCAGCTGATGTGGGTAGGAACAGGTTGTGGGAAGGAGAGCTGATGGCCGACCATTATTTTTCTTTGTTGCCAAACTGCTGCGTCTTTTTTTTTTTTTTTTTTGAGAGTGTCTCACTTTGTTGCCCAGGCTGGAGTGCAGTGGCATGATCTTGGCTGGCTCACTGCAACCTCCGCCTCCTAGGTTCAAGCAGCTCTCCTGCCCTAGCCTCCCGAGTAGCTGGGATTACAGGCGTGCTCCACCACTCCCAGCTAACTTGTATTTTTAGTAGAGATGGGGTTTCACCATCTTGCCTAGGCTGGTCTCGAACTTCTGGCCTCAAGTGATCCTCCTGCCTCAGCCTCCCAAAGTGCTGGGATTACAGGTGTGAGCCACTGCACCCAGCCCAGACTGCTGCTTCTCTAACAAGACAACTAAAATGATTTCCTTTGAATTGTTTCTCTAAATGTCTGTGGCATACCTGCAAGTTGCTTGCAGGATTTCTGTGTTTTGTGATGCATGTTGTAAAGGATGCTGCTTCAGATGTAGAAGTTTTAGGAGCCGAGAGCCAAGCTGAATCTGTGCCTCTTCCTAACATAAAGTGGAAGTTGGCCAGGCGCAGTGGCTCATGCCTGTAATCCCAGCACTTTGGGAGGCTGAGGAGGGCGGATCACGAGGTCAGGAGATCGAGACCATCCTGGCTAACACGGTGAAATCCCGTCTCTACTAAAAATACAAAAAAATTAGCCGGGCGTGTTGGCAGGCGCCTGTAGTCCCAGCTACTCAGGAGGCTGAGGCAGGAGAATGGTGTGAACCCGGGAGGCGGAGCTTGCAGTGAGCTGAGATTGCGCCACTGCACTCCAGCCTGGGCGACAGAGCGAGACTCCGTCTCAAAAAAAAAAAAAAAAAAGTGGAAGTTGCTTTTAAAAATACTTTCCATGTTAGTTTGTCTTGTGACTAACCTCATTTCCATAGACACTAACTACAAAAGATAATTATAACTAATTGACATTCTAAATTAATTTGGTTCTGGCTAACTGAAACTTTTGTTCATATCTAATGGAGTAAGTTTCATAAGGCTGATGATAGCTGAAGGTCTTTAAATATTTTGCCAAAACAGGAAGTTTAAAAATAGGTAATTTAAAACTTCTCCTAAAGCATGAAGTATGAACCTAAAGCAACACCACTCAAATTTTAATGTGCATCTGAGTCATCTGGGGCTGCAGGGCTGCAGGAGTCTAAGATTCTGCATTTTGTTTTTGTGTTTGTTTTTGAAACGGAGTCTCGCTGTGTCACCCAGGCTGGAGTGCAGTGGTGCGATCTCGGCTCACCACAACCTCCACCTCCCAGGTTCCAGTGATTCTCCTGCCTCAGCCTCCAAAGTAGCTGGGACTACAGGTGCGCGCCACCATGCCTGGCTAATTTTGTATTTTTAGTAGAGACAGGGTTTCACCATGTTGGCTAGACTGGTCTTGAACTCCTGACCTCAGGTGATCCACCTGCCTTGACCTCCCAAAGTGCTGGGATTATAGGCATGAGCCACCGCACCCAGCCAGATTCTGCATTTTGAACCAGCTCCTCCTGGGTGCTGCAGGTACCACTGCTCTGCCCATCCACACGTTGAGTAGCAGGAACCCAGAGGTTTGTCCCTTTGCAGGTCTTCTCACCTGACATGACCTTTTGACTCAACTTTGCCTCTTTTCAGAGTTTGGATTATGATCGCTGTATCAATGACCCTTACCTGGAAGTTTTGGAGACCATGGATAATAAGGTGGGTCTTACAATTCTTCATCTCTGGGGATCAAATCAGTCTTAACATGGCATTTTTTTTCTCTTCTAAAGGCCCCAGTAAACATCTTTACACCTTGTTTTTTGAACCTTTTCATGCGATACAGGCAGACCTCACTTTATGCGCTTTGCTTTATTTCACCTCGCAGGTACTGCAGGTTTTACAAACTGGAGGTTGGTGGCAACCCTGTGTTGAGCAAGGTGCCATTTTTCCAATAGCATGCATTTTGTTTGCATTTTTTAGCCATAAAGTATTTTTTAATTAAGGTAGGTACATTTTTGTAGGCATAATGCTATTACACACTTTATAGACCTCAGTATAGTGTAAACATCACTTTTATATGCACTGGGTAACCAAAACACTCGTGTGACTCACTTTATTGTGATATTTGCTTTATTGTGGTGGTCTAGAACCAAACCCATGCTATCTGCAAGGTAGGCCTATGTTGGCATTTATTCCCTAGGCCTTTATCCTGCCAACCAGAGTTCCCCCTGTCAGTGCACCTTGCCCAGCCTCTTAAGAGTCCATCATTTTTGCACTGTAAAGCACCTGAAATCCCAACATCATCTTTACTGTGCCTGCTCTCCACGTGGAATTTAGCTTAAAACTGGTTGGCCAAGATGTATTTCTTCCCCTCTGCCACCATAACCCTGTAAACTGAATCATTCTTTTCCTGTGTGAACAGAAAGGTCGAAGATATGAGGCGGTGAAGTGGATGGTGGTGTTTGCCATTGGAGTCTGCACTGGCCTGGTGAGGAGGCAGGGCCTGGAGGGATGGTGGGCCATAGGGCTGGAGGGGCTTACAGGGAAAGCCCTGGCCTGGTGAATAACATTGTCATTTGTCATTATAACATTTATAACATTATAATGCAATAACACTTGTCATTATAATCAAGAGTGCCTTTTCTTTTTTCCCTTTTTTTTTTTTAAATGAATAATCCTGGCACAGTTTTTCACACTTCCCCTGCTTTTGCTTTGTGAAATGAAAGCGAGACACATGACAATGGTGCTCTTGAAGCGCTCAAAGGTTTGGGCAGGACTTTATCTTTTATGATATGATTATGGATCATAATCTCTAATCTACCTAGTAAACTAGATGTCTCCCTAATGGGTAGATAATGCATTGGGTAGAGTAAATAATGGAAGTTAAAGTTACTTTTTTTTTTCTTTTAATTTAAATAGAGACAGGGTCTCGCTTTGTCACCCTGGCTGGAGCACAGTGGCGTAATCACAGTTCACTGCAGCCTCGACCTTCTGGGCTTGGGTGATCCTCCTACCTCAGCCTCCCGAGTGGTTAGGACTCTAGGCAGGCATGAGATCGCTCTTTAGGGAAAAAGCGAAGTCGTGGGTACGGAACTGTGAACATCGTGCCCTTCATTTAGCACAGCGTGCCAGTGAACAGGGTGGCACACCATAGCTATTGATCTCATGCAGGGAGTTTATGGTGCTATCCTGGGCTCCTCCCCGTACGTCGTTAATGTTATCTAGAAGATAGAGCCAGCAGCTGTGAGTGAAGGGATATGCCCGTATGAACAGAGTTGGTGGAGGCAGCAACTTCACAGGTGAATCAAAGACAAGGCAAGATTGGAAACATGGCCAAAGATGAGGATAGCAAAAAGTCTGGAACCAAAACTGCCGACTTCACATTGTTAAATATGAGGAAGAGAAGCTGGAAAAATCAGCATCAGTCAAAAAGATCCATGTCAAATCTGATTCCGGTCAGTACAGTGTTGGGATAGGGTATCTGTCCTCAGTAACAGCCTGTTGACCACCTTTATCTTGAACTGGCCACAAGCCTCCTACTTAATTTGACATGATATGCCTAGAAAATGTACACATGTGTTCGGTATAATATAGCCACAGGGGCCAACCACAATTTTTATTTTCATGGCATGCATCAAATTTTTACTATAGTAAATCCACAAGTAAAGGAACATCTTACTAGGTAAGACTGATGGCATTCAGAAGCCCTCTTCAGTGATATTCTGATGGATACCATTTTGGGGAAACTTGGGTTGATTTATTGTTTTATTTAAATCTCAGGGTGTTGGGCCAGGGACGGTGGCTCACACCTGTAATCCCAGCATTTTGAGAGGCCGAGACAGGAGGACTGCTTGAGCCCAGGAGTTTGAGACCAGCCTGGGCAACGTAGGGAGACCCTGTCTCCTTAAAAATAAAAAAAAAATTAAAAAAAAGAAATCTCAGGGTATTTATTTTGCTATATATGTTTCTGGTTGCAGATTTCTCTATAATAAGCATAGTCCTTAGGCCTCTAGTTGTTAGTGTTTGTGCTACTTTTATATCAAACTCTTTGGAGCTGCCACTTGTCAGTACTACAGGTTGAGTGTTCCTTATCAGAAAATCCAAAATGCTCCAAAATCCAAAACTTTTTGAATGCTGACACGATTCTCAGGAAATACTCATTGGCGCATTCAGATTTTGGATTTCAAATTTTTGGATTTGGGATGTTTAATCAGTATAATGTAGATATTCGAAAAAAAAATCTGAAATCCAAAACACTTCTGGTCCCAAGCATTTCAGATAAGTGTTACTCAAGCTGAAGCAACTTTACCTCCTACCTTTGTATTTTAGGAAGGCACACCTGCCTTTATGACATAGCACTCCCAACTCTTGTCCATTGATGTGTGGCCACTTTATGGCTTCAGTATCAAAAAGCCTCCAGGCATTGGCTTGAGGGAAGGCCAGAGTTAAAGGCAAGAAGCTTTGATCCTGAATCCATAAAATTAGAAGTCTTTCTAGTTCTCCTTTAAGCCCTGAGCACTTTGGAGAGTGGAATACTGGAATTTGGTTGTTTTCTCTACCCAGAGTAACTATGGACTATAAGATGGTTATAAGTCAAGCCTGGCACAGTGGGGTGTGCCTGTAATCCCAGCTACCTGGGAGGCTGAGGCAGGAGGATCTCTTAAACCCTGGAGTTCAAGGCCAGCCTAGGCAATATAGCAAGACCCCATCTCAAAAAAAGATGATTTCAAGTCAAAATAATGACTTACAAAATAGAACCTGCTAATAAGGAACATGCAAAAAGCACATACACCTAAATGAATGTTGTGTTTTAAAGCAAGCTTGTCCAACCCATGGCCCAACACAGATTCATATACCTTTTAAAAACATTTATGAGATTTTTCTGAGTTTTTCTTTTCTTAGCTCATCAGCTGTCATTAGTGTATTTTATGTGTGGCCAAAGACAATTCTTCTTCCAGTGTGGTCCAGGGAAGCCAAAAGAGTAGACACCCCTGTGTCAGTAGTCTTTCTTGGTCTCACATCTTTTTCTGCACCTGCTTCCCTCTTTGTTTTCCGTTGCTTCACTCAACTTAGCTGTACTCTCTGCCTTTGTTCTTTGGAGGGGCAGTGGGACTGGGCTGGAGAAGGGATCTCCTCCTTCTGCGCTTTTCTGCTGTGCATTCACGTACTGCTGGCTGGTGAGCAGCCTCCGTATGTGCAGTGGGGGAGGAGATGCCTTCAAGAGGAGCACACCTGTACTATACTTGTGCTACACTTGGAAATAAGGCTGTGTGACAGATCTCTTGCTCTTCACAGGTGGGTCTCTTTGTGGACTTTTTTGTGCGACTCTTCACCCAACTCAAGTTCGGAGTGGTACAGACATGTATCCTTTTCACGGTTCCTGGTGTTCGTGGACTTCAGTGGTCACCAAGATTCTTTCTTACATAGAAATGGGTCTAACAGTAAGCATAGTATTAGAAGGGCCGCTTATTAGCTATTCAGCTTTAATATTTCTAATGATCACTGAAGGACACAAAAGAAGGACTTTAATAAGCAAAGACATATACCTATGTTTGTGGTTGATAAGATTACAGATGCCGCAAAGATGCCTGTACTCCCTAATCTGTAAATTTAATGTAGTTCCAATCAAAATTCCAATAGAATTTGTTGTGGAACTCAGAAATTCTTTGTAAATTTGTGTAGAAGAGTAAAGGGCCAAAAGCAGTCAGTATAGTTCTAAATGACAAGAAGGTGGACTTGACCCTGTCAGATATCAAGTCTTATAAAATTAACAAGTTTGGGGAGTTAGGGAAAAAAAAGTCATAAAATTTAAGATACAGTCATTGAAATTGGTCATATTGGTGCAGGAATACCTAGACAGTGGAAAATGATAGAGAAGCAGAAGCTGGTCCTCACATACATGGAACTTTGGTGAATGACAGTTAATATTACAAATCAGTGAGGGAGTGATGAATGATTTAATAAAAGACGCTGTGTTATTTAATAAATAAAAGATACACATCTCTGTAGTCCCAGCTACTTAGGAGGTGAGCCCAGGAGTTTGAGGCTGTAATGCACCATGACTGTGCCTGGGCAGCATAGCAAGACCCTGTCTTAAAAAAAATGATGCTGGGACATGGGTGATCCATATGGAAAAATAGTTATATTCCTATTTCATACTATAAATAAGATAAATTCCAGATGAAGATGTAAATATGCAGAACAAAACTTCGGGAGACTATATGTTGTCAAGAGTGGGGAATAATTTCTTAAAACTCCAGAAGGCACAGACTATAAGAAAAAACATCAATGGGGCCGGACACAGTGGCTCACGCCTGTAATCCCAGCATTTTGGGAGGCAGAGGCAGGCGGATCACAAGGTCAGGAGATTGAGACCATCCTGGCTAACACGGTGAAACCCCGTCTCTACTAAAAATACAAAAAAATTAGCTGGGCGTGGCGGTGTGCGCCTGTAGTCCCAGATGCTGGGGAGGCTGAGGCAGGAGAATGGCATGAACCTGGGAGGCGGAGCTTGCAGTAAGCCAAGATCACGCCACTGCACTCCAGCCTGGGTGACAGAGCAAGACTCCGTCTCAAAAACAAACAAACAAAAACATCAATGGCTGGGTGCAGTGGCTCATGCCTGTAATCTCAGGACTTTGGGAGGCCGAGGCAGGCAGATCACCTGAGGTCAGGAGTTCAAGGCCAGCCTGGCTAACATGACAAAACCCCATCTCTACTAAAAGTACAAAAAATTAGCTGGGCATGGTGGCGGGTGCCTGTAATCCCAGCTACTTGGAAGGCTGAGGTGGGAGAATCGCTTGAACCCGGGAGACAGAGGCTGCAGTGAGCCGAGATCGCGCCATTGCACTCCAGCCTGGGCAATGAGAGCAAAACTGTCTCAAAAAACAACAACAAAAAAAAAAAACAAACAAAATCAATAAATTTGACCACATCAAAGTACATATTGTATTTATAAAGACAAAAACTCCAAATAACAACAATAAAACACCATAAATAAAGTGAAAACAAGTCCACAGCCTGAGAGAGGTTATTTACTATGCATTTAAGAGGCAGATAATTAGTATCCAGAATACAGGAAGAGGCTGGGCGCGGTGGCTGACGCCTGTAATCCCAGCACTTTGGGAGGCCGAGGCAGGCGGATCACTTGAGGTCAGGAGTTCAAGACCAGCCTGGCCAACATGGTGAAACCCTGTCTCTACTAAAAATACAAATTGAGCTGAGTGTGGTGGTGTGCACCTTTAGTCCAGATACTTGGGAGGCAGAGGCAGGAGAATCACTTGAACCCAGGAGGCGGAGGTTGCAGTGAGCCGAGATTGCAACACTGTACTCCAGCCTGGGTGACAGAATGAGACTCTGATTCAGAACAAATAATACAGGAAGAACTCCTGCAACTCAATCAGAAAAACAACAGATGGTCCAATGGAAGGAAAACGAGCAAAGGATGTGAACTGGAATTCTCAAAAGAGAAAAACTGGCCAGTAAACCTCTAGAAAAAGGAAGGTGCACATTCCTGTGACTCATACATTCCTCTTAGAAATTTGAACCGTAGACATGTACAAAGGTGGTAATTATAGCTTTATGATAGCAAAAAGCTGGAGTCACCAAATGGGAGAATGGAAAAATTATGGTACATTCATATGGTATCATTTTAGACATCATGTCATTTCTGTAGATTGTAAAATAAAAATTTTAGACAAGTGAAAGTGAACGAACCACAGAGTTGTGTGTATCAACATGGCTAATTCTCAAAGACTTAATGTTGAGAAAAAAAGAGCAAGTTACAGAATATACAAGTGCCGTGTACAACAGTGTGGACACTTTTGAAATACACACAATAATTTCAGGTTAGTGGTTTCTCCCAGGGGAGAGAGGAAGGAAAACTGTTTTTTTTTTTGTTTTGTTTTGTTTCTTAAAATGGTACTGAATGTTTTCTTTTTTAAAAATACCTGGAGCATATATGGCATGTTGTTGAGATTTGTTAAAGCTACAGTTGTGAGGGTATGGGTATTCGTTACTTTTTGTAATGTTTGAAGTATTTCCTAATGTCAAAGGCATCTCAAACAATTTTTTCTTTTTTTTAAGAGATGAGGCCTCACACTGTTGCCTAGGCTGGAATGCAGTGGTGCAATGACAGCTCACTGCAGCCTCAGCCTCCCAGGCTCAAGCGATCCTCCCACCTCAGCTTCTTGAGTAGCTGGGACCATAGGCATATACCTTTTGTACTTTTTGTAGCGACATGGTCTCACTACATTGCCCAGGCTGGCCTCCAACTCTTAGGCTCAAGTGATCCTCCTGCCTCAGCCTCCCAAAGTGTTGGGATTACAGGCATGAGCCATTGCACCCAGTCATCTCAGGCAGTTTTTAAAAAATTTTTATATATAGAGAAAAAGTGCACTCAGCAGCCAGCATGATCCAAAGGAGAAGCAGCTGCACCCTCTCAAGTGATGACGGGGACACCCCTCGGCTGATGAACAAGTTTCCTTAACCCAGTTTCCGCAGCGGTGGAGGAGTGCAGCCAGAAAGGCTGCCTCGCTCTGTCTCTCCTTGAACTCCTGGGTTTTAACCTCACCTTTGTCTTCCTGGCAAGCCTCCTTGTTCTCATTGAGGTGAGGTGGTTTGGATTCACCTGCTCGCTTAGGAGGTTTTAGAGTCCCGCACTCCTTTTCCCCACCTCCTTCCAGAATGTCAGGAAACTGAGAATGCAGATTCCTGCAGAAAGTGGCCTCTTGTTCACTAAAGGTAAAGGTTTCACCTCTGGTGAGATTAAAGAAGAAAGGCCTCCCAGGTGATGCTCATTCACAGGGAACTTGTACAGATTCTGGGGGGAGGAAAAAAGGGGGAAAGGGCTGAAAACAAAACTGTTGGGTGCCATGCGCACTACCTGGGTGACAGGATCATTCATGTCCCAAACCTCAGCATCATGCAATATACCCTCGTAACATACCTGTACATGCAATCCCTGAACCTAAAATAAAAGTGGAAATTATTTTTCTTTAAAAAGTGCAAGTCTGGCCACTTTGGGAGGCCAAGGCGGGCAGATCACCTAAGATCGGGAGTTTGAGACCATTCTGACCAGTGTAGAGAAACCCTGTCTCTAGTAAAAATACAAAATTAGCCGGTAAAAATACAAAATTAGCCGGGCGTGGTGGCGCATGCCTGTAATCCCAGCTACTCGGGCGACTGAGGCAGGGGAATTGCTGGAACCCAGAAGGCGGAGGTTGCAATGAGTGGAGATTGTGCCATTGCACTCCAGCCTGGGCAACAAGAGTGAAACTCTACCTCAAAAAAAAAAAAGAAAAAAAAGTGCAAGTCCTCCCATTGCCCCTCAGACCTCCTGAGTCAGATCCTCTGGAGTGGGGCCCAGCAGCTGTGGTTCTGCAAGCCCTCCAGGTGACGCTCACGCTGCTAATGAAGGTGGCCAGCTCTCCCTCTTCCGCCGCCCAGATTGTTGAGGGTAAGCCAGAGAACCAATGGATTTCGAGTTATGGGTGTGCCTGCTCTCCTCCATCAGCCGGTGGCAGCAGGTTCCGGGATACCCGAGGTCAAATGCTATCTGAATGGCGTAAAGGTGCCAGGAATCGTCCGTCTCCGGACCCTGCTCTGCAAGGTCCTTGGAGTGCTGTTCAGTGTGGCTGGAGGTAAGAAGGGTCCAACTTGTATCCTTCAAATACTCAAAGGGCAGAGACGACAAGAAGCATGATGTATTTCAGTTATTAGATTTGGACTGCAGGGCCCAGCCTCAAACAGCTGATGTCTGCACTTTTTGTTGATGGGCTGTTTTTAAATGCAGACACTGTTCGTATGTTACCATTCAGATACCTGACAAACACACTCTTCAGTTTTGGGATTTGGAATTTAGCTTGTGGAATTAGCTTTTGTCAAAATTAGCAAGCTTTTTGTGTCAACAGCCAGATAGTAAATATTTAAGGCTTTGTGGGCCAAGAATCAGAATGGAAGCTCTTATGTAGATGTTTATGTAACTATTTACATGTGTGCATTTAAGAACGTAAAAGCCAGTCTTAGTTCTCAGGCCGTGTAAAACCAGGAGGGAGCTGGTGGTCTGGGCTCACAGGCTCTCATTTGCTGACACACAATTTAGAATGTAGAGTGTTTTCTCTTCTAGCAAGACTTGAAATGGAGCTTATTTGGTGGGAATTTGGCTCTTTCTCTTATAAAGTCTTAGGATCATCTCTGTTCAGTTGTCACGAGGAAGGTTTTTGTAGCCAAGGTCTCCTGACCCAGGGGCGTTTCTGCACTGACTGTTGGTCTTTCCTTTTTCACCCTGCCCAGGGCTCTTCGTGGAGAAGGAAGGCCCCATGATCCACAGTGGTTCGGTGGTGGGAGCTGGCCTCCCTCAGGTAAGATGGGCTGAGAGGGTGTGGGCCTCTGGGCAGGCCTAGTGGGAGGTCTGGTTACACTGGGCCAAATCCATTGGGACACCCTGACATCACATTGGAACCTGGTGCCATTCTGGCTTCACGTGTAAACCATGTGTCTATCTCTCAGGAAAGGGCATAACTTATACTTGGAAGTTTTAATGATGCCCTACCGAGCCCTAGGAGCAAAAATGAGACATAGAGAAAAACTGTGACGTGGCGGATGAAAGTCACTGGGTGCTTCCATAGCCATCACCAGGCGCCTCTATATAGGGTGGCTGGGTGGATCATCTCAGTGCTGCCAGATCCAAGAGGCTCGAAGCATCGACTGACATGGTTTTAGGCACAGTTCCGTGCTGATTCTAGTTGGCGTGGTACAGTCATAATAACTGCTGCTAATTATGGTCTGTGTGCCAGACGCCATGTATACTAACTGCTTTCTCCTTATAGCCACCTTCAATGATTCGTTGTTATTATTACCCCCATCCTCAGATGGGGAAACTGAGGCTTAGAGAGGTTGAGGTACTAGCTCGAGACCTCAAAGCTCCCATTCTTGGGGGCTACTCCAGATCCCTGGCTGCTGTTGGAGAAGTCTCAGTTCCCTGTGAACTGTCACTCTTAGTCATTTCCCTCTCCAGTCCTGAGAAGAGGGAGTTATTGTGGTTGGGAGTCTCTGAGGTGAAGGAGGGAAGATTCTTTCGTCCAGAGCTCGTCTTTTGGTCTCTCTCCTGCTACTGCCTTGAGCACCAGATCTGGCAGAAGTGAGCCAAGGGGTGGAAGGCCAGGCGTGGAGTGGGCATCAGTGTGCACCTTTGTGGGGCAGACAGAGGACAGGCTCTGGGCCCTTCTCTTCCTGGCGCTGCTGAGCAGAGCAGACTCGGTCTTCTGCAACAGCTTCCGCGTCCCCTTCCCTCAGCTCAGCCATTTGCCTTTATTCTTTCAGACTTGTTGACTCTGCACAAAATGGGATTTCAGAAGGTCCTAGAAACACGAGGGCAGGAAAAATAAGCTCCTCCCAAGGGTGGGGGGTAATCTCCTTTTTTCCCAAGTTTTTTTATTTTCATTTTTTGAGACGGAGTCTCACTCTGTTGCCCAGGCTGGAGTGCGATGGTGCCATCTCTGCTCACTACAGCCTCCGCCTCCTGGGTTCAAGCGATTCTCCTGGCTCAGCCTCCTGAGTAGCTGGGATTACAGGCATATGTCACCACGCCTGGCTAAATTTTGTATTTTTAGTAGAGACAGGGTTTTGCCACGTTGGCCAGGTTGGTCTCCAACTCCTGACCTTAGGTAATCAGCCGTCCGCCTCGGCCTCCCAAAGTGGTGGGATTACAGGCGTGAGCCATGAGCTACCACGCCCAGCCTCCTTTTTTCCCAAGTTGCTGTTCTGGACTTTCCTTCCTGCAGCACACTTACCCAGGTGTGCTCAAGCAGAGGGGCCTCCCCTGATGCCGTGGATTCCCATAGTTTCAGTCCTAGGCTGCCCCTGACCTGTGTTCTTTTTTTTTTTTCCATAATTACTGGGGTACAGGTAGTATTTGGTTATATGAGTAGGCTCTTTAGTGGCTCTCTTTTCTCTTGCTTTAGTTTCAGAGCATCTCCTTACGGAAGATCCAGTTTAACTTCCCCTATTTCCGAAGCGACAGGTATGGAAAGGTTAGAAATTGGTTTCTTTTTTGGAAACAACATGTTCATGCGCTGCGGGTCAGACTCGACACTTGCTCTAGCCTGGCAGTATCCCCTGCGGGGAAACCCGACTGGGAGAAGGGGGCGGGCTTTGAACTTTTCTTCTGGAAATAAGAAGCCAAAGCACCAGGCTGGCATCGTGACTTTTATTTTGTCATGCCGTAAGGCCTAGAAGCATCTCAGGCAAATGAAGATGGTCCCAGATTAAAAACCCAACCAAGAAAGGCCACAGACAGGCATATTCTTAGGAAGGCGTTTTGTATTCCCCAGTGATTCACTTGGTCAGCCACCCTCCTGGGTCAGAAGGTACTCTTAGTAGACTTCTTAGCCCTGTATCAGATGTGTGTGTTACTGACCTGCCGGCCTCGTAAGGCTCTTTCAATCAGAGACTCAGTTTAGAGTCACGGACCACCTTCTTTTTGTATTCCTGCAAGTTCGGCACATACCCAGAAGGCACCTTGATGTTTTTACTGATGCCGGGGTTTTCTGGAAGGAAGATCCGGTGGGAACATGGTGCAGCAGTGATCGTGCCGATCTTTGATCTGCCCCCTGAGCTGGGGGCTGAGATTCTGAGATCACAGAAAACACAGAGGTCAGGGGCTCCTGTTCCCAGGCAGAGTAGCCGCCATGCTGAAAGGGACTCTGGTGCTAAGGTGTGTGGCTCTCGGGTGGACACACTCGCGGCAAAGGCTGCCTCACCAGTGACCTGCCCTTCCAGGATCCCTGCCTATTCATTCACAGGTGTGAGAAAATGTTCATGATAAGGAAGTCAGAAACCACCTTTTGGGGGCTGGGGGCTCTTTATTGGATAACCCGTCTCTCTCCTCTCCTCAGAGACAAGAGAGACTTTGTATCAGCAGGAGCGGCTGCTGGAGTTGCTGCAGCTTTCGGGGCGCCAATCGGGGGTACCTTGTTCAGTCTAGAGGAGGGTTCGTCCTTCTGGAACCAAGGGCTCACGTGGAAAGTGGTGAGGAGGACCTTCAGTGAAAGCATTAACCACACCCCCCGAATTACACTGGGTGTCCCTTACTCGGTACATGGAATGGTAGTTTTGATGAGACTGGGGGGTCAACTGGATCAGAAACAGCTTTCCTCTTGTGCCCATAACCTCCACACTGGACTTTCTGTACTTCTCATATCAATACCCTCCCTAACCCCAAATCAAACCGCTGTTACTTTTTTTTTTTTTTTTTTTTTTTGAGATGGAGTCTTGCTCTGTTGCCCAGGCTGGAGGGCAGTGACGCGATCTCGGCTTACTGCAGCCTCTGCCTCCTGGATTCAAGCGATTCTCCTGCCTCAGCCTTATGAGTAGCTGGGATTATAGGCACGTGCCACCGCATCCAGCTAATTTTTGTATTTTTAGTAGAGATGGGGCTTCTGACATCAGGTGATCCACCCGCCTTGGCTTCCCAAAGTGTTGGGATTACAGGCGTGAGCCACCACGCCTGGCCTTGTTATCCTTTCTTGATGAACCACCTGACATGAAAATGTGAAACTGGCTGTTGTCATAAAGCAGGAAGTGATGGGGCTTGGACTGGAGCCGGTCTTCTCCCTCAGAGCAGGCTGTCCTTCCCTTTGCATTGATCCTTCCTTTTGGTGCAAGGTCTGGTCTGTAAAGGCTGTAAATAGGCTCTCATAGTAGAGTAGGCTGCTGGAACGGAAACTTCTTAAAGCCCAATCTAGAGTTGGTCATACCTGGGGTGTATCTACTGTAAGGGTGACTAGATCTCTGTACCCGGATGTAGATTCCGGAGGTCTCTGCGTAGAGCAGTGGGTACCAGGAGGAAGGGTTGGGAGAGAGTAGGACATGCCACTCCTGAACCTTCTTGTCTTTTGTCACCTCTCCCCTAGCTCTTTTGTTCCATGTCTGCCACCTTCACCCTCAACTTCTTCCGTTCTGGGATTCAGTTTGGAAGCTGGGGTTCCTTCCAGCTCCCTGGATTGCTGAACTTTGGCGAGTTTAAGGTATGTTTTGTCCTTTCCCCAAGGATTTTTAATTTGACCCATGAAAATTTCCTCTCAAGTGAAGGACCAGAGAGAAATGAGCAGAGGGCTAGGTACAACTTCCAGGGACACATCTCACCCATTAGCCTCTGCCGTGCGGGAAAGCAGCCCCACTCTTGCTTCTGTCTTCTCTTCTGTCTCTTCCGGTTCTCATGGCTGCTATGGTTTTTCTCTCCCTCTCCCTTTCCCCTTCTCTCAGTGCTCTGACTCTGATAAAAAATGTCATCTCTGGACAGCTATGGATTTGGGTTTCTTCGTCGTGATGGGGGTCATTGGGGGCCTCCTGGGAGCCACATTCAACTGTCTGAACAAGAGGCTTGCAAAGTACCGTATGCGAAACGTGCACCCGAAACCTAAGCTCGTCAGGTATCTGCACAGTCGCCTCCCCCCCGAGCCTGCTGCGGCTCCCTGAGCTTGGTGTGGGCCGCGCCATCTCTCCCGAGGAGCGGACCCTGCCTCCACGGCTTTGATTTCTCATCTAAGACTGAGAATCTAAACACGGCCATGCATCTTCCCTACTTGACAGGCCAAAGGGCTGAGCCAGCTTAATTGATGTCAGAGTTGCTGGTTGACTCCCTGCCTGTCCTGACTTGGCCACTCGGACACATGACAAGGTTAGAAGGGTCACCGTGGCCCTGCCGAGCAGCTTGCTCTCAGGAGGCTTCTCGCCCCAGGACTTATTATAATGGAAAGCCATTCATTCCTTGGAGAGAGATGATGTGGACGTAGCAGCCCACTTTAACTGTCCACTTTTTACAAACAAATTGCTGGAATACAGCAAATCACGGATCAATTCTGCACACATGTTGACTGACCAGGGGCTGCTGTGAATGCTGTTTGGAGAAATCGGGGCTGGGGGTAGGCAGGGTTATGTTTTGAATTTCTGAGACCAGAGCTTCTTTCTGTGGCGTTGTAACAGCTGTGCTTTGCCTCCTAGAGTCTTAGAGAGCCTCCTTGTGTCTCTGGTAACCACCGTGGTGGTGTTTGTGGCCTCGATGGTGTTAGGAGAATGCCGACAGATGTCCTCTTCGAGTCAAATCGGTAATGACTCATTCCAGCTCCAGGTAACCCCAGTGCACCTGCTACCTTTATCCCATACCACGAGGAAGAATCCAGAAATGTATGACCTTCCTCTGTTGAGAACTAATAGATATGTTGGGTTCATCCTTCCACACCCATTACCTGAGCGTTGAGAGATATGGGAATCTGTAGTCGTCTTTTTACCTCAGAGAAAGTGCACACCACATGCCCTGTGTCTTTGCCACTTCTGTGAACAACCCTGGCGTCACAGAGGGGAACCTGGGAACAACCCTGGCGTCACAGAGGGGAACCTGGGAACAACCCTGGCGTCACAGAGGGGAACCTGGGAACAACCCTGGCGTCACAGAGGGGAACCTGGGAACAACCCTGGCGTCACAGAGGGGAACCTGGGAACAACCCTGGCATCACAGAGGGGAACCTGGGAACGACCCTGGCGTCACAGAGGGGAACCTGGGAACGACACTGGCGTCACAGAGGGGAACCTGGGAACAACCCTGGCATCACAGAGGGCAACTCCTCTCTGTTGAACAACACTCATGGGAAACAGACACTTGGAAAGCTGACAGCAAGGTGCTTTCTGAGCCCCAGTTACTCTTCCACCTCCCCTTGCCTGAAGGGGCCACAGCCCAGAGGCTCAGCACCCACCTCATGGCCTCTGTGACTATGACAGTCACTCTTGAGAGGAAGAAATATCTGTGTCAGGGCAAGGAGGCTTCTCTCTTCCCAGCATCCTCTGCCTCTTCCCGGCGTTGGGTCCTTTGTGGGTGCGCCACCCTCCTGCACTCCTCCTTTTCCCTTCTTGGGGGGCGCGATATTTTCCAGAGGCTTTCCCTGAGGAGTGGTCCCATGAGGTAGTCCGTGGAGCCTACTCCACGCTGTGTTCTTTCGGTCCAACCCGGAGGCTCTGAGAGCTACACCTGTGGTTCAGTGAGTCAGCCAGATGTGTGATTCCAGCCCTTGGCTGCAGACAGGTGAGCATTCTCTAAGTGCGGTCGGCCATCCACATTTGTGGGTCCTGCATCCATGGAATTACGTAGGGTCAACCAACTGTGGAGCAAATATATTCAGGATGCAAAACATAAAAAAGAACAAGACAACAGTAAAAAATAATGCAAATAAAAAACAGTACAGTGTAACAATTATTTACATAGCATTTACATTGTATTAGGGTATTATAAATAATCTAGAGATGATTTAAAAGTATATAGGAGGACCTACATAGGTTATATGCAAATATACACCATTTTATATCTGGGACTTGAGCATCCCTGGATTTTGGTATCCATCGGGATCCTGGACCCTATCCCTGGTGAATACTGAGGAACAACTGTACTCTTTCCTTGTTGCTTCTCTGTAACCACTTGAATCTCTCAGATCCCCATTGGGGCCCTTGTCTTGGAGGACAGCCTCTTCAGTGTCCCCAGTTATATGTATATATTATATATATATATATATATATATATATACACACACACACTATATATACACACACACACACACACACACACACACACAAACACACATTATATATTTCTGTTTGTTTTGTTTTTTTAAGACGGAGTCTTACTCTGTTACCCAGGCCGGAGTGCAGTGGCGCGATCTTGGCCCACTGCAACTTCCGCCTCCCAAGTTCAAGTGATTCTCCTGCCTCAGCCTCCCGAGTAACTGGGATTACAGGCACCCACCACCATGCCCAGCTAATTTTGTATTTTTAGTAGAGATGGTGTTTCACCATGTTGGCCAGGCTGGTCTCGAACTCCTGACCTCAAGTGATCCACCCATCTCGGCCTCCCAAATTGCTAGGATTACAGGTGTGTCACCACGCCCAGCCTGGTTTATATATATATGTTTTTGTTTTTGTTTTTGTTTTTGTTTTTGGCAAAGTCTCACTCTGTTGCCCAAGCTGGAGTGGAGTGGCAAGATCTCGGCTCACTGCAAACTCCACCTCCTGGGTTCAAGCGATTCTCCTGCCTCAGCCTCCCAAGTAGCTGGGACTTCAGGCACGCACCACCATTCCCAGATAATTTTTGTATTTCTAGTAGAGACGGAGTTTCACTATTTTGGCTGGGCTTGTTTTGAACTCCTGACCTTGTGATCCGCCCACCTCGGCCTCCCAAAGTGCTAGGATTGCAGGCGTGAGCCACCGTGTCCAGCTGGTTTATATATTTTTAAAGGGTTGAGAGAAAAAAAAGAATATGCCGCAGAGACTGTACATCACTGGCAACTTCTAAAATATTTACTGTCTGGCTCTTTATGAAAAAGTTTGCCGACCCCTGTTACTAGTTATTCCCAAGCCTAGCTCATTACCAGACAGATACCTTGATGCGTGTGATTTAAAGCATACAAAAAACGATTCTGTGGTCAAATGGGCTAGGAATTAAATATGCTTCTTTATCTTTTTAGAGACAGGATCTCACTCTGTCACCCAGGCTGGAGTACGGTGGTGTGATCATAGCTTATTGTAACCTCAAACTCCTGGGCTCAAGCGATCCTCCCATCTCAGCCTCCCAAGTAGCTGGGACTACAGGTGCATGCCACCACATCCAGCTTATTTTTATAGAGACAGGATCTCACTATGTTGCCCAGGCTGGTCTCGAACTTCTGGCCTAAAATGATCTCCTGTTTTAGGAGTGCTAGGATTATAGACACAAGCCATAGCACCCAACCTAAATACGTTCCTTTAGTACAGAACTTCTAGGGCCTTATTCCCATAAGTGTTATAAATGTTTGGTGTCTTTATTGTGTACCAGATATTCCACTGAGTACTTTATATGATTTCATTTAATCCTTATCAGCACTGTGCTTGCTGGCCAGTAGCTGTGCCCCCATTTTACAGCTAAGGAAGCTGAGGCACAGTATGGTCTTGACCAAAAACCTTCAGCTAGTCATATATAGTGAGAGGGTAGGTGTTGTTACCATTTTATAGGTGAGGAAACTCACAAAATGAAATATCCTTCTCAACGTCACTAGAGAGTGGCAGAGTTTAGAGACAAAGCCATCTGATTTTGGAGCCTGTGCTCAGCTTTTAGCAGACACACTGATTTCCAAGAATTGCTAGGATGTTTCTCAGTGCAGTTGACCACAGGACTCTCTGGAAAGCCTTCAGGACTGAACTTCCTCCAGACAGTTTGGGAAACACTGCATGTGTCTATTATGAAGCCATCAGCTGAGCTCATCCCCCGTGCACTCCACAACGCTGAGGCTCTGCACATGGCTCACCAGTGCCAGGTGCTGCCAGTCAGCAGTGCCGTGCTGTTTGCACAGCAGCCTGCATACGTCTATATTGCCCAGCCCGTTTCACCTGGCGGGGTCACACAAACCACCCCCTGGTATTGTTAGCACGTCCACATAATGGCATCTCCACAGCTGTGTCATCCAGAAGAAACCCATAGCCTTGATTAACCTTTGTAATAAGACTCCCTATTTGCATGCACAGTGATAGGTGTGAAGTACAACCTTGTACCGTTGTACACTGTCAACTAGAAAATAAAACAGCACACTTGAAACACCCTTGCCTTCTAGCAAAGATCCCATCTTCCCACACAGAATGATGGCAAGAAAATGAGGTCTAAAATGTGTAGAAGTAGTAGAAGAAATAATCTCTTTTTCTGTTTGGGTTTTGTTCCCCAGATGGGGTCTAGAAGGAGAGGCAGCCTGGAGGACTGGGTCTGCTCTCCAGGCATTATGGAGGTGGGTTTTCTTTTGCAGCAAATTCAGGTGCTTTTTTTTTTTTTGTAGCAAATTGCAGCAAAATCAAAGGCTTTTTCTATTTGGAACCAGAGTTGGGGCTTTCGGTCAAGTGGTGCCCTGGATTTTCCTCCCCAGATACCTGTCAACTCCCAGTCACTTGCTCTCACCTGCCTCATATTCCCCCAGTCCTAGGGCTCTCAGGCCAGGCTTCTAGCAGCATCACTTAGAAAGTTAGCACCGGGAGAGGAAGCAGAACCAAATTCACGGTGAATCACGGCCATAGTGACATTTTCATCATGAGTGTGGATGAACAAAAGGCCCTCATCCCGATTCTTTCATCTGTGCATTCAGAATGTGAAGAATACACTTGCCCGTGTGGCTGCCGTTGGTAGAGGTCAGTTTTTGGCCTGTTTGATTGATGGGGAAAGCTGTGCAGCCACCTGTTTTGGACCCGGCTGGAGACATCCCACTTGAAGACTCAAAGTCAGGTGTCCTTGTACTGATTTTCTGATTCCTTCTTCTCAGGTCACAGAAGATGTGAATTCAAGTATCAAGACATTTTTTTGTCCCAATGATACCTACAATGACATGGCCACACTCTTCTTCAACCCGCAGGAGTCTGCCATCCTCCAGCTCTTCCACCAGGATGGTGAGTGTCTGCACTGCAGCCCAATCGTGGGTGATTGGTGTCATCTCGGACACAGCCAGGCTTGCCCTTCATTCCAAGCAAGACCAGGACTTCTTTGTAACGCCCACCCAGACAAAAGATTGGTTTCTGCCTCCTGTGTTGGAAGGGGAACTGGTATGGGGTGTGGTCGGGCCCGGTAGGTCTACTGGGCCTTGGCAGGCATCCGGTAGTGGGACTCAGGTTGGCTCTTCCCTTGCAGGTACTTTCAGCCCCGTCACTCTGGCCTTGTTCTTCGTTCTCTATTTCTTGCTTGCATGTTGGACTTACGGCATTTCTGTTCCAAGTGGCCTTTTTGTGCCTTCTCTGCTGTGTGGAGCTGCTTTTGGACGTTTAGTTGCCAATGTCCTAAAAAGGTACTCTGTGTGTGTGCGTGTGTGTGCGCATGTGCATGTGTGTGCACGTGTGCGTGTGTATGCATGTGTGTGCGTGTGCGTGCGTTGATGTGTCTGTGCCCATGCATGCACATATGTGCATAGGCACAAGAGTATGAGCTGTAGGTCCTCCCCACAGCCTATCAGTGTGGTTCAAAGCCATGTTCTCGGTGTTTTCCTTCACTAGCTACATTGGATTGGGCCACATCTATTCGGGGACCTTTGCCCTGATTGGTGCAGCGGCTTTCTTGGGCGGGGTGGTCCGCATGACCATCAGCCTCACGGTCATCCTGATCGAGTCCACCAATGAGATCACCTACGGGCTCCCCATCATGGTCACACTGATGGTGAGCACACTCCCTCCAGGCCCCTGTCAGGCTCAGGGCCACGTCCGCCCCACAGGACCTATTTTTAGGTCTTTGCTTTGTGTTTCAGGTGGCCAAATGGACAGGGGACTTTTTCAATAAGGGCATTTATGATATCCACGTGGGCCTGCGAGGCGTGCCGCTTCTGGAATGGGAGACAGAGGTGGAAATGGACAAGTAAGGCCATGATTTTGCTCATGTCCTAGTTTCAGAATGTATAAGCTCTGAGGCCTAAGGAATGTTGTTATTAGGGTAGGAAACAGTAACTCACTTTTCTTGGGCTGAAAGAAGCAACACACCCATTCCTGAGCATGTGTGAGAATGTGGAGCAGCCCATGGGCTGGGGGCTGCGGGGGCAGGGCAGGGGACACGGGCACTGTGGGACTGCAGTGGGCAGGGCCTCTTCGTGGTGGTTTGACTCCCATGGCATTCTGGTTAGATATGAGGTGAGGTCTCTGGATCAAGTTCGTGATGTGATTGAATGTTTAAGGGTATGCCAAGCCCCAGGAGTGAGAATAGCCTGTTTCACATGTGCCCACCAGAATGCCCTACTGCCAGCCGGGATTGTTCTGGGCATAATCACCTCATAACCCACCTGCTAATCCACAGGTACCTGGGCTTCCTGTGTCTAGATAGCAGGCAAGGCCCTTACGGGCTAACACGGGGGCCAGCAAGCCGTTTCTGTGGAGGGCCAGACAGGAGTTTATTTTCAACTTTCCGGGCTGTATGGTCTCTGTCACGACTACTCGACTCTGTCATTGCAGCAGGAAAGCAGTAAGCGTGACGGACTTGATCAGTGGGCTACAGTTTGCTGTGCCCTGATCTAAAGGGGGACCCAAGTGCTGTGTTTATTTTATTATTATTGTTTTTCTTTTTTGGGACAGGATCTCACTCTGTCGCCTAGGCTGGAGTAGGGTGGCATGATTATAGCTCACTGCAACCTATGCCTCCCAGGCTCAAGCGATCCTCCACCTCAGCCTCCTGAGTAGCTGGGATCACAGGCGCGTGCCACCACACCTGGCTAATTTTTAACATTTTTTTTATAGAAATGGGGTTTTGCTGTGTTGCCCAGGCTGGTTTTGAACTCCTGGGCTCAAGCAATCTGCTGGCCTCGGCCTCCCAAAGTGCTGGGATTACATGCGTGAGCCGCTGCACCCAGCCCACCCATTTACCCAGTTGTGGTAAATGCTGTAGCAGAATTAGCAGTTCAGGGGTAGTATGTGGAGCGTGCTGCAGGGCACCGAGGAGGGCGTGGCCAGCCCCTGGACCAGCAGCCAGGGCTTCCTGGTGAGGGGATGTTGCTGTTGAGCTGAGGGATGAGCCCGAGCCCATCAGCCTGGTACAGCAGGGTACGACATTCCAGGTGCGGGAACAGCATGTGTCGGGGGATAGAAGTACAAAGGAATGCATCGGGTTTGAGGGAGAGCTGGGGCAGTTCAGAAGAGCCCCCCACCCCGCCCGTGGTCTGAGCAGGGCTGGAGAGCCAGCACAGCTTGCTCCCAGGGGCCTGCGGGCACTGTCATGAGGCTGGATGACTTGCCCTCCTCCCCCAGGCTGAGAGCCAGCGACATCATGGAGCCCAACCTGACCTACGTCTACCCGCACACCCGCATCCAGTCTCTGGTGAGCATCCTGCGCACCACGGTCCACCATGCCTTCCCGGTGGTCACAGAGAACCGCGGTAACGAGAAGGAGTTCATGAAGGGCAACCAGCTCATCAGCAACAACATCAAGTTCAAGGTAAAGAAAACGGCATGAGAGGAAAGGCAGGTGAGAGACAAGCGGTCCCGTCTCACACGGCTTAGTGCTTTGCCCACCCCTGGCTGGGGTGGACTTACCGGCTCTCAGGGGAAGTTGGCACTGTTCTCATCACATGCGACAGGGAGAGTAGATTTGACAGCAGGGGCAGCTTTATCAGGCCGTGAAGATGTGTGTGCGTTCTTGCCGCAATGAGCATGTGGACAGATCTGTTTTTCAAGTCAGCAGCTTTCATGGTTTGTTTACCATGTGAGAGTATCAGGGAGAGTTCTAGAGATGCCAGCAACAGAAATGGACTTCGACCTCCTTAAGAAAGAGAAAGAAATCCACAGGAAAGCTCAGGACAGCTGGGAAAGCTGAAGGACCAGAACCATGTGCTGTGGGGAGCAGTGCAGGGTCTAGCAGACATCCCTTGGGTACCAGGAGGAAGGAGCACTGGCCCTGGGTTCCTCCTGATTCCGATTCAGAATCCAGGGAGAGGGGGTATCCTGTTGCCTCACTTGGGTCATGTGCCACTCCTTGGCTTTGGGGGCAGGCACGTTGATTGAAAATTCTATCAAGACAGGATGTAGGAGATGGCTTGTTCCCCTCTGGAGAATCAAGCTGCTCTTCCCAGATTAAAGGAAACCACAGAAGCTGCAGCCAGGTCCTAGGGTTCAGGCTCATTTGAACCACCAGCCTGAGCCACTCTTTTGAACCTCAGCCCCATTAAGTTCCTGCGTCCGGATGTGCTTCTGACCCTCCCTGTCACCCAAATCCTTAAGCTCCATCAGTACTGCTGTGTTCGTTTGCCCATGCGCAGTAGCCTGTGGCCTCCCCACCCACAGAAATCCAGCATCCTCACCCGGGCTGGCGAGCAGCGCAAACGGAGCCAGTCCATGAAGTCCTACCCATCCAGCGAGCTACGGAACATGTGTGATGAGCACATCGCCTCTGAGGAGCCAGCCGAGAAGGAGGACCTCCTGCAGCAGATGCTGGAAAGGAGGTGAGAGCCTGGCGGGGCCCCCACTGCCCGCAGGGCTACACAGCGGTGGGGTGAGCCTTTGGCTCAGATGTTGTGAGGTGGCTCCTGAGTTTCCTGGGAAAGTTGGATGGGGAGCGGGCTGGGAACATGGATCAGAAGCGCTCCCGCTGAGGGTATCCCAGGCAGCATCTGGTTTTTGTGTAACAGATACACTCCCTACCCCAACCTATACCCTGACCAGTCCCCAAGTGAAGACTGGACCATGGAGGAGCGGTTCCGCCCTCTGACCTTCCACGGCCTGATCCTTCGGTCGCAGCTTGTCACCCTGCTTGTCCGAGGAGTTTGTTACTCTGAAAGCCAGTCGGTAAGTCTCTCCGAGGCAGAAATCAGCCAGGCCAGACCTGACGAAGCTCGAGGGGTTGGGCGCTGCCGGCGGGCCGTGAACAGTGCCATAGGGAAAGCTGAATGCAAGGCGAGAAGTGCAGAGTGGACTTAGGGGAGGAGTCGCCACAGCCGGGTGGTGAGAAGCAACAGCGGTTTATTCCTTCATAGTTCAAGGCCAGAAGTACAAAATCCGGGTGTCACCAGGGCAGCGCTCCCTGGCTCTGGTGCTGTCCTTGCCCCTTCCTAGCTCATGGGAGTTGCCTGCAGACCTTGGTGCTCCTGACTGTGAACACAGCCCCCATCCTCGCCACTGTCATCACACGGCGTTCTCCTGTGTATCTTCTCTCCTTTCCCTAAGGACGCTTGTCACCGGATTTGGGGCCCGCCCTAATCCAGCATGGGTTCATCTGAACTCGGTCACATCTGTAGAGACCTTGTTTCCAGAAAGGTCGCATTCATAGGTACTAGGGCTTAGGACTTGGCCATATCTTTTGGTGGGGGGACACATTCACCCCCCAGCCACTTTACTTAGTGCTTTCTCACTTAAACTTCCTAATAAGCCATTTGCATCTCATGAATCAGGAAGAAAGGGAGTGCAGACAGATCAGGGGACTTGCCCAGGGTGCCACAGCTAGGACTTGGCCAAGGACTTGGTTTGACTGGAGAGCTCTCACTCTGGAGCGCTTGCTGCTGCTGCACCACCTGCCTCAGCAGCCTGGAGCTGGGCATATTCAGGCATCAAGGGGAGGGGCTCTAAGGTGACCCTGCTGGCCACTGCTGCCTGAGCACGGACAGTGTCTGGGTTGGAATTGCAGAGCGCCAGCCAGCCGCGCCTCTCCTATGCCGAGATGGCCGAGGACTACCCGCGGTACCCCGACATCCACGACCTGGACCTGACGCTGCTCAACCCGCGCATGATCGTGGTGAGAAGGGCTGCCCCGGCCTGTCCCATGCGGAGCTGCCTCTTCATGCCGTTGGCGTCTCAGGCAGTCAGTGACACGTGGTCTCTTTGCAGGATGTCACCCCATACATGAACCCTTCGCCTTTCACCGTCTCGCCCAACACCCACGTCTCCCAAGTCTTCAACCTGTTCAGAACGATGGGCCTGCGCCACCTGCCCGTGGTGAACGCTGTGGGAGAGGTGAGCGAGGCCCCGGCCCTGCCCCCACCTTTGAGAGAGGATCCCCTAGCCAGGTGCTGTTTGTGCACCCAGGCTTCTCACCAGAAACGTAGGCATCCCACCAGGAGGGGAGAGTGTGGCCCAACACTAGCTTTGAACCCTGCTCGGCTTCCGTGCACTCGGGACCCTTTCCCCTGCCTGCCAGCAGATGGCACCAGCGTCCCACTGGCCGTCCTTTCCAGCCAGAGCCGCGCCTCTACCAGGCTGTGTCTTCCTCCTGAAATGTTGCTCTTCACTCCGTACCACTGGTGTTCCTTGGTTCTCCACCTGCGTAGGGATTTGCGCATTAGATGAGAGAATTTCAAGCAAAATACTTTGAGTTTTACAAAGATATAAAACACCTAGTAATTATTGCTGCAGACTTTCCTTTTTTCTTCTTTTTAGAACTTCATTATTTTCTTATTACACAAATATTTTCTTATTACACAAATATGATTTCATTGTAGGAAAATACAAAAACACATATGAGCAAAAAACAAGCAAAAACCAAACCCTCGTCCCTACCCTGTCGCGGTAGCCCTGGTAACTTTTCAAGGCCACCCTCTCAGTCTTTTGTTGTTGTTGCTGTTGTTGTTGTTTTGAGACAGGGTCTCACTCTGTCACCCAGGCTGGAGTGCAGTGGCAAGATCTCGGCTCACTGCAGCCTCGACCTTCCAGGCTCAAGCAGTCCTCCCACCTCAGCCTCCTGAGTAGCTGGGACCACAGGCATGCGCCACTATGCCCAGCTAGTTTTTGTATTTATGGTAGAGACACGGTTTCGCCATGTTGCCCAGGCTGGTCTTGAACTCCTGAACTCAAGTGATTCACCTGCCTCGGCCTCCCAAAGTGCTGGGATTACATGCGTCAGCCACTGCACCCGGCCTCAGTCTTTTCTTCTATGCGGCACAACCCTGGCATGCATAGTGCGTACTTACACAGGTTTTGTTGCAGTAGGTTAACTTATGTCCCTTGAAATGTAATTGCCAACTACACTGACAGAGTCCTAACATAGTTTATGACGTGGCTTTGGAGTTCCCAACAACAGTGACACGTGGGAACCACTGTAACGACCTGTAACAAATGACTCCCATAGGTCACTTTGCAAGGTGGTGAGTATGAGGCATGGCAGGGGTCATAATCTCAGGAGACTTCAAGGGCCCCACCGCTTGCACATCTGTGAAGCAGGCTGGTCATGATGGGAGCTGAGCGCTGAGCATGTGCCCTGTGGAAGGACATTTTAGTTCAGATGCCAGCTGGCCCAAGCCCTTTTTGGAGCTAACCTTGTCCCCTTGGCCTCCAGTGTGTGAGCCCTCGTTAGCTGTTTATCCCAATCAAGCTGTGTCTGGCTGTGCACTATCCAGGCCTCCACATTCTGTGACAAACTAACAGGGCCGGCTCCTGTCACTCCTGTTCTCGCCAGCGGGTTTTACCCTGAAGGTGACTCAGGCCTTCTCTTTGCCCTAGATCGTGGGGATCATCACACGGCACAACCTCACCTATGAATTTCTGCAGGCCCGGCTGAGGCAGCACTACCAGACCATCTGACAGCCCAGCCCACCCTCTCCTGGTGCTGCCTGGGGAGGCAAATCATGCTCACTCCGGCGGGCACAGCTGGCTGGGGCTGTTCCGGGGCATGGAAGATTCCCAGTCACCCACTCACTCAGAAAGCCGGGAGTCATCGGACACCTTGCTGGTCAGAGGTCCTGGGGGTGGTTTTGAACCATCAGAGCTTGGACTTTTCTGACTTCCCCAGCAAGGATCTTCCCACTTCCTGCTCCCTGTGTTCCCACCCTCCAGTGTTGGCACAGGCCCACCCCTGGCTCCACCAGAGCCAGAAGCAGAGGTAGAATCAGGCGGGCCCCGGGCTGCACTCCGAGCAGTGTTCCTGGCCATCTTTGCTACTTTCCTAGAGAACCCGGCTGTTGCCTTAAATGTGTGAGAGGGACTTGGCCAAGGCAAAAGCTGGGGAGATGCCAGTGACAACATACAGTTCATGACTAGGTTTAGGAATTGGGCACTGAGAAAATTCTCAATATTTCAGAGAGTCCTTCCCTTATTTGGGACTCTTAACACGGTATCCTCGCTAGTTGGTTTTAAGGGAAACACTCTGCTCCTGGGTGTGAGCAGAGGCTCTGGTCTTGCCCTGTGGTTTGACTCTCCTTAGAACCACCGCCCACCAGAAACATAAAGGATTAAAATCACACTAATAACCCCTGGATGGTCAATCTGATAATAGGATCAGATTTACGTCTACCCTAATTCTTAACATTGCAGCTTTCTCTCCATCTGCAGATTATTCCCAGTCTCCCAGTAACACGTTTCTACCCAGATCCTTTTTCATTTCCTTAAGTTTTGATCTCCGTCTTCCTGATGAAGCAGGCAGAGCTCAGAGGATCTTGGCATCACCCACCAAAGTTAGCTGAAAGCAGGGCACTCCTGGATAAAGCAGCTTCACTCAACTCTGGGGAATGCTACCATTTTTTTTCCAAAGTAGAAAGGAAGCACTTCTGAGCCAGTGACCACTGAAAGGTATGTGCTATGATAAAGCAGATGGCCTATTTGAGGAAGAGGGTGTCTGCCCTTCACAAACACCTCTCTCTCCCCTGCACTAGCTGTCCCAAGCTTACATACAGAGGCCCTTCAGGAGGGCCTCCTGTGCCGCAGGGAGGGTGCGTGGGGAAGATGCTTCCTGCCAGCACGTGCCTGAAGGTTTCACATGAAGCATGGGAAGCGCACCCTGTCGTTCAGTGACGTCATTCTTCTCCAGGCTGGCCCGCCCCCTCTGACTAGGCACCCAAAGTGAGCATCTGGGCATTGGGCATTCATGCTTATCTTCCCCCACCTTCTACATGGTATTAGTCCCAGCAGGCATCCCTGGGGCAGACGTGCTTTGGCTCAAGATGGCCTTCATTTACGTTTAGTTTTTTTTAAAACCGTGGAGGTTGCCCACGGGCCTCGGCACCTGGCCCTGGCAGCACAGCTCTCAGGCCCAGCCCTGGGCGACCTCCTTGGCCAAGTCTGCCTTTCACCCTGGGGTGAGCATCAGTCCTGGCTCTGCTGGTCCAGATCTTGCGCTCAGCACACTCTAGGGAATAATTCCACTCCAGAGATGGGGCTGCTTCAAGGTCTTTTCTAGCTGATTGTGGCCCCTCCATTTTCCCCATTTTCTTATCTCCCTGACCAAAATTGCTTTGACTTCTAAATGTTTCTGCTTCCCAGAATGCACCTGACTTATGAAATGGGGATAATACTCCCAGGAAATAGCGCAGGACATCACAAGGACCAAAAAGGCAATTCTTATTTAAATGTTACTATTTGGCCAGCTGCTGCTGTGTTTTATGGCAGTGTTCAGAGCTTGATCACGTTATTTCTTCCTTTTATTAAGAAGGAAGCCAATTGTCCAAGTCAGGAGAATGGTGTGATCACCTGTCACAGACACTTTGTCCCCTCTCCCCGCCCCTTCCTGGAGCTGGCAGAGCTAACGCCCTGCAGGAGGACCCCGGCCTCTCGAGGGCTGGATCAGCAGCCGCCTGCCCTGAGGCTGCCCCGGTGAATGTTATTGGAATTCATCCCTCGTGCACATCCTGTTGTGTTTAAGTCACCAGATATTTTGTTCCCATCAGTTTAGCCCAGAGATAGACAGTAGAATGCAAATACCTCCCTCCCCTAAACTGACTGGACGGCTGCCAAGGAGGCCCCAAACCCAGGCCCCATGCAAAGGCACGTGGTTTCCTTTTCTCCTCTCTCTGCATCTGCGCTTTCCAGATAAGCCCAAAGACAGCAACTTCTCCACTCATGACAAATCAACTGTGACCCTCGCTCCTTCCATTTCTGTCCATTAGAAACCAGCCTTTTCAGCATCTC
This sequence comes from Homo sapiens, assembly GCF_000001405.40. Lineage (NCBI taxonomy): Eukaryota > Metazoa > Chordata > Mammalia > Primates > Hominidae > Homo > Homo sapiens. The sequence continues at coordinate 11,842,543 of NC_000001.11, forward strand.
ACCCATTAGCAGCCCCATCACCCAGTGATCAGTCGCCTCAGTAAAGCAGATCTGTGGATGGGGAGCCTACGGGTGGTAAGAAGTGGTGTTTTGTGTTTCATCTCCAGCTTGGTGTTCCATGGCCCCTAGGCGAGGTGATCAGGGAGTGGGGCCAATGGGCCCCCGGCCCTGGCTTTGGGACCTTGTGCTGAGGGATGATTTGCTCCTGACCTTGATTAACTTAACAGTTCCCAGCTGGAAGGGACACTTTCAGGACCCAGTCCACTGTATGGCATTTGTGATGCAGAATTATGCACTGACATGACCCTGGGTGACAGGAAAGCCTTTCGAGAGGCCCAAGGTGGCCTCGCCAGCCCTGCAGTATTGATGTGCAGTATTGCACCACAGCTCTGCGGACCTTGGCCATTGCCGCAGTCGCAGCTTCCTTTTTTCTGTTTGCACTGTTTGTTTGTATGATGTTAGCTAATTCCACTGTGTATATAAATTGTATTTTTTTTAATTTGTAAAATGCTATTTTTATTTGAACCTTTGGAACTTGGGAGTTCTCATTGTAACCCTAACATGTGAGAATAAAATGTCTTCTGTCTCCTCTGTCTCCTTTAGCCTTTTGTCTCCATGCTGCTTTCTTTCTTTCTTTCTTTTTTTGAGACAGAGTCTCGCTGTCACCCAGGCTGGAGTGCAGTGGTGCCATCTCAGCTCACTGCAAGCTCCGCCTCCCAGGTTCACGCCATTCTCCTGCCTCAGCCTCCCGAGTGGCTGGGACTACAGGCGCCCACCACCATGCCTGGCTAATTTTTTGTATTTTTGGTAGAGATGGGGTTTCACCATGTTAGCCAGGATGGTCTCAATCTCCTGACCTGGTGATCCTACCCGCCTCGGCCTCCCAAAGTGCTGGGATTACAGGCGTGAGCCACCACGCCCGGCCCTGCTGCTCTTTCTTTCAAGGGATACTTGCTTTTTATTTTACTCCCCCTCTTTCTGATGTGTGGAAATTACACTAGGACGTAGTTTTAGAGTCTCAGAGCTCTCCCTATGCAGCTGGGCAGTGGGGCTCTTCATTCTTGCGGGTCCACTTCTCTGTATTAGACAGTGACCTTAATAAGAACAGATTTCATCCTGTGGATCTTAGCAGAGGTCACCGTTGTCTGTTTCTCCCTTCAGATGAACACTCTTCCTGATCCTCTCCTCTAGAATTCATCTCCTCCTGCTAGCAGCCGCGTCCTGGAGGAGCAGCGGATGGGGAATCCATTCTGTTTCTTCCTGGTGTTTAGGAAGTTGCCCCACACACAGATTGCCCCGATGTCCAACCAGAAGAAGTGAAACTGCTGCTGGGTCTGGAGAGGTGAAGACCCGTGGCCAGCTTCTGTTGTTGCCATCGGCCATTGCTTTTTGTTCGCTTGCTTTTGGTTTTGCAAGAAGAGCGGCCTCTGTCTCTGATCTGCTTCAAATCATCATTCCATCAGTGACAGAAGTGGCTGTTCCATCAGTGGTCGCAGCCAGTTCAGCTCCTGCATCCATCCCCAAGTGTTCTGTAAGTCCCAGGGGCATTTTCTGCCTTGTGTTTTTGTCATTTTTCAATCAGTTTCATTCAATGAGAACTCCCTGTGTTACCTGTGTTACGGTGACACCTTGAGAATGGGCTACTTCCCCTCCTAGCAACCCGCAACACCATCCCAGACCTCAGGAGCCAGGTTTGGGCCAGTGCTGTCTCCTGTCGCTCTTACTTTCATCCTTGTCATTCTCTACCCCCTGGTTTTCCTGGTATTTAAAGTCCAGGTAGAGAAGATTTTGACTGGAGGTGGTTAGGTGAGGCTCTCCCCCCACCTCAACCCCCTGCCATTAGTTCACTGGGAGCCTCCCCCTTTCCTCCGCAAGGAGCAAGTTACTACTTCATTTCCTCTTTTCCCAATTTCTGGACAAGACCAAGGCAATTTGACCAACATTTATGGGGCATCAACTCTGAGAGTGCTGAAGGGGCATTTGCCCTCAAAGAGCTTGCAGTCTAGGGACGTAGACACAAGCAATTGCACATAGGCAACTCGTGTTGTGTGCTATTATAACAGTTACATGTGCAACACTGCCTACGAAGGGACTCATTGTTACTAGGCATGAGGTACCAGGAAAGAAGTAGTGTTCATATGAGCCTTAAGAAATCAGTACAATGTCCTCGGGAGGACCAGAGGAAGGACACCCCAGGTGGAAGGAACAGCAGAAATAAAGGCACAGTGGCATGTGTGGGTGTGGGGTGTTGGAGTGTCATAGAATCTGATGAGGTTGGGATCCATGGGGGTAACAGGTGGGAAAACAGTTTACTCTGTTTAAGGTGAACTTATTGCCTGGTGTTTTGTGCTCAGAGCAAATACCCTCTTCAGGAGCAGATACAAAAAGCCGGCATCTTCTCCAGCAGCTCTTAGTAAAATACAAGCCCAGGCCCTTCAGACCCGGATTAGGCAAAGACTATGTCTGTTTTCCAAATACTTGTTAGTACACAAAAGGCACATGAACTTGTAGTTTGTCTGCATGGCAAACCTTTCTTCACTTTGCTCAGTTTTTATTTTTTTGAGACAAGTCTCATTCTGTCACCCAGGCTGGAATGCAGTGGCACAATACCAGCTCACTGCAGCCTCCACCTCCCAGGCTCAAGCCATCCTCCCACTTCGGCCTCCTGAATAGCTGGAACTACAGGTGCACATCATCATGCCTGGCTAATTTTTAAATTTTTTGTAGAGATGGGGTCTCACTCTATTGCTCAGGCTGGTCTTGAACTCCTGGGCTCAAGTGATTTGCCCACCTTGGCCTCCCAAAATGCTGGGATTACAGGAGTGAGCCACCACACCCGGCCTGCTCAGCTTTTAAATTCAACACTCTGCCTACTCTTTTCAAAACTAAAAGTACCATTACCTTAGCTGTAGAACCTAACTCTCTCGAAATGTACCAGAGAAAATCTAATTAATACTCTCATTTTCTGAATGTTCCCCCCTAAAAACAACAAAAACCCCACTAGGAGTGGAATTTGAGGCCTCCCCAACCACCTACCAAAAAAGGAGGGTGAAATGAAAGGAAGAAGAAAAACTCAGCATTCTTTCCTCTGACAAAGAGTAAAACGACAAGGAATATCGGCCTGAATTCTCTTCCCAAGAAGAAAGAAAGCACACCAACGCAGGCATTTGTCTTCTGTCCATGGTGCTGAAGTTTATTCACTTTCAAACCACTTTCAGTAACAGGTGAGGTTCTACCTTAAAATTTAATGCATGGGGTGGGAGAGGCGAGGAAGTCACCATCAAACCACTTTATCTACAGTTAGCATAAGATGTGAGAAGTGTTGACAGGAAGCTGCAGCTTAGATGGGATGATCACAACTCCATGGCAACAAGATGACACAAATGCAGCAGAGACCCCAGGGGACAGGAGCCTCTTGCAGTCTGTCCCTAGGCCCAGCCCTGCTTGTCCTCCCTGGCTGTTATCTTCAGTACTGCAAAGAGAACACAGACATATCTGGCTTGGTGACCTGGCTGTCCTGGAAAAGTCAGCTTCATGTATGAGTGTGCCCATCCTCTGAACTTGATTACTGACCACCTGCTTCCCACCGGCCCCCACCCCAGCCTGATGACCCTCTGAGCTTCATGAATTGATAAGCAAGTTACTCATCAGAGTAAATTTCACTTAAGCCCTTCAGGATCTTGCAATTCTGGGGAGGAATATGAACTGCTAATCAGCCATGCAAAGATAACTTGGCTCTATGAATATTTTAATTTCCCAGTGCTAGTGGCAGTTGCTTTTTTTTTTTTTTTTTTTGAGACGGAGTCTTGCTCTGTCGCCCAGGCTGGAGTGCAGTGGTGCCATCTCTGCTCACTGCAAGCTCCGCCTCCCGGGTTCACGCCATTCTCCTGCCTCAGCCTCCGGAGTAGCTAGGACTTACAGGCGCCTGCCACCACGCCTGGCTAATTTTTTGTATTTTTAGTAGAGACGGGGTTTCACCGTGTTAGCCAGGATGGTCTCCATCTCCTGACCTCGTGATCCACCCGCCTTGGCCTCCCAAAGCGCTGGGATTACAGGCGTGAGCCACCGTGCCTGGCCTTTTTTTTTTTTTTTTGAGACAGTCTCGCTCTATCACCTAGGCTGGACTGCAGTGGCGTGATCTCTGCTCACTGCAACCTCTGCCTCCTGGGTTCAAGTGATTCTCCTGCCTCAGCCTCCCAAGTAGCTGAGAGTACAGGTGCCCGCCACCACACCCAGCTAATTTTTGTATTTTTAGTAGAGCTGGGGTTTCACCATGTTGGCCAGGATAGTCTTGATCTCTTGACCTCATGATCCGCCTGCCTCGGCCTCCCAAAGTGCTGGGATTACAGGCGTGAGCCACTGTGCCCAGCCCCCCCCCCTTTTTTTTTTAAGCATTTTCTCAGCAGACTAGCTAAGGACAATAGATGGCATGTCCTGACACCCATGGGGCACTCTGGGTGTTGGGGCAGAAACTTGAGAGGGAATGAGCTTCTGCATTGGTCCCTTTCCTGCTGAAGGTGTCTCCCAGTAGTGTCCATCCCATCCCATTTCCATCCCCAGTTCCTCTTACCCGGAAGCTGTTACAGCCCAGTCCGCTCTGGGCTCCAATCCTGTCCATCCTGCCCCCGAAGCAGCTGGATCTCCGCAGGCTCCGAGGGGCAGTGAGCAGCGCCCTCAGCTTGCTTTTTAGGAGGGCAGATCGATCAGAGGAGTCCCAGGGGCCCCGCCCGAGGGCACCTCCATCTCTCTGGGCTGGGCTGACTTCCCCGGTCCAGGGAGGCACCTCAGGGAGGGGGCTGAGAGCAGCCCCCGCTTCTTCATTCGGCTCACTGAGCACTTGTGGGGGCACGACCTCATCTTCTAAAGGCATCTTTTCTTCCAAATGGTCCAGCAAATTCTTTAGAAAAGGAAAATACAGGGAAAGGGATAAACCTCACTGACTTGGAGGAAATCAAGAGGAGTGAGCACAGCATCAGAAAGCCCCCTGGCCCCAGACTGCACCCGCTTTCCTGGCCCTACCTTGAAATCCATCAGGTCTGCGTTGGACACGGCATTGTACATGGGATTAGCTCTGGTCTGACCTAGGAGCTGGAATGCCAGTAAAAGGAGGAAGCTCACGGTGGTGGTGGAGAAGGAGCTCATGCTGGCGTCGTCAAGGAGCAATCCACTGCTTGCTGCTCTGTCTCTCCCCTCTGGTTCCTCTCTGGTTCCCCTCTCTTGGCCTACGTCTGTCCCTGTCTCCCAGCTGCCCAGTGCCGCCTCTTTTTATAGCCCCCCAGCTCTCCAAGCACGCAGGAGAGACAGAACCCTCCCCATTCTGTCACTTGCAGTGATAAAGCTGCCAAGTGAGAAGCCAGCAGGAGATGCCCTTTTAAAGTTATCATCCCGCAGGGCTTGTCACAGCCCCTCTCTGCCTTGGGCAGCCCCAACAGCCCCCCAGACCCTCAGCTGCAAGAGCCGCATTCTTACTGATTTGACTCAAGAGGCTCCCACTTCAAAGGTGTGAGAAGAGTAAAAAAGAGTCCTTGGTTATCTCACCGCCGTGCCTCAGGATTCTTTCTCCTCGACGCTGGTACCCGTGCGGGGAAACAGAGGGTGACGCTTGGCTGGTGCCCAGCTCCCCTGGTTTGTTTGTGGCTCAGCTGTCAGGGCCTCCAAATAAGGGTGGAGAGGAGGAAATGGCAGGCAGCCAGCAGCCCGAGACAAATGGATCCAGATGCTCAAGCTGGCCTCACACCTGCCTCATCCGCCACGTGGGCAGACCTCTGGCCTCAGACAGGGCTGCCTTCACCCCTGGCAGTCCCTCTCCATGGTCAGGCGAAAGGAAGTTATTTTTTAGTATATAAAGTCAGCTGAGAACCAAATGTGATGAAGCTCCCAGGAATCCAACCCCCAAATAGAAATAGCAAGAAAAGGCGGGGGAGCACAAGCATCCTCTCTCCAAAGCTCCTCCTCTTCCATGTCCCCCGCGACCCTCCTCCAGCATGCTGCGGGGACAGGCTTAGAGGACGCAGCCAATTTCATTTCTTCCGTTGCTGTTTATAGATGCTCAGACTCTTCGTGTCTGAAGTTTGTTAACATCCCCCTGCCCTTCCTGGGCTTGTGCCCGTGGCAACTTGACCGATGGAGGAAGGGAGGTGGGGGTGAAGGAGGTATAGTCAGTTTCCCTCAATGCCTTCTACATCCTTCCCTGAGGACGTGGCAAGTGGCAAGTGACCGAGCCACCAAGGTCACAATTTCCCTGGCCCCCAAAAGGGAAATAACAGGCAGCAAGTCTGTCTATGTTTAATGAATGGCCTGTTTGCTAAGCACTGAACTCAGTGTTAGCCATTACCATTCAATGCAACGTATACTGGGGGAAAACTCTAAATTTGAAGGGCTGAGAGACCAGTACTGTAGCCCAAAACAAACCAGTTGCATACCTCTTCGCAGCCTTACTTTCCTTGTGTGTAAAATGAGAAAGAATGTTAAAAACCGGCCGGGTGCAGTGGCTCACACGTATAATCCCAGCACTTTGGGAGGCTAAGGTGGGTGGATCACCTGAGGCCAGGAGTTTGAGACCAGCCCTACCAACATGGCAAAACTCTGTCTCTACTAAAAATATAAAAATTAGCTGGGTGTGGTGGCATGTGCCTGTAATCCCCGCTACTAGGGAGGCTGAGGTAAAAGAATTGCTTGACCTTGGGAGGCGGAGGTTGTAGTGAACCAAGATCGCACCACTGCACTCTAGCCTGGGCAACAGAGTGGGACTCGGTCTCAAAAAATAAATAAATAAATGAATGAATAAAGTAGAAATCTTCCCTGCCTACCTTGCAGGATTGTTGTGGAGCCCAAGTGAGCTGAGAACGTGTCAACACATAACAAGTGTGCAGTGCTGAGTCCCTGCAAGATGGCCATCATAGTTGTCTTTATTGGTTGCTTGTAGCATGCCTAGCACTGTGCTGAGAACTTTATGGAAATGATTTTATTTTGATCACCATCCCCAGGTGGTAGATAGCATTGTCCTTGCTTACAAGGGAACAGAACTGAGCCCGAGAGGCTATGCCACTTGCCCAAGGCCACTAGGTGCCTAAGTGGCGGAACCAGGACTGGATCCCCAGGTCTGACGCTGATGTCTGTATCCTAGCCTATTTCACGTAGAGAGCTGCCACCTTACCTCTTAGCTGCATTCCCCAATTAAACCCCCATTCCCCATCTTTCAGATGCCCCAAGGGAGCTCCTTCACCTTCCCCATGCCCCTGGGGCTGTAGCTTTTTTGTGCACTTACCAAGTCTGTGTGTGTTGGCTGCTCTCCTGATCTATTTCTACACCGAATGTGTTTTAATCCACTCCTTAGAAGCTCAGAAAATGTGTGTTGAGTGACCAGCTCTGTCCTGGCTGGCCAGATCTGTCCCCAGGTGTGCTGACCTCATGACTGACCAGGTGAACAGGACGTTGTGCAGCCATAAGGTTGGAAATCAGGGCAGCAAGTGACTAGAGGTCACAAGAGGTATCCAGGGTGATATTATTCTAAGATAAGATAAAAGGGACCCTCTTTGGCAAGCCTTGGGGTTTGTCTGTAGGTGGGGATCTAATATTTCATGGGGTGGTTAGAAGCAGCCTGTAGGAGTGAGAGAGAAGAAAAGTAACAGGCACAGAAAGCCAGGCCCACCTCCATCCCCACCTCTTCCACGGCTGAAAAATCAAAAGCCTTTTATTTCCTTATCACTGGAAAGAAGTCATCTTAGTCATACAACGGGTGGAGCACTGCAAACGGGTGGGAGAATCCAGAATCCGGGTGTTGCCAGATTCCAGCCCAGAGTTTGGCTTCACGATTCTCTGGGGGTATGCCTTGGGCTGCTGCAGGGAGCCCCAGAGTGTGCAGTGTCACCCGCGTGCAGAGCTGGCACGAAATCCCCAACACATTCGTGGCATGATTCTGCGGGACCCAGATGGTCTAAAGCAGAAGCCCCAGTTGGGAAAAATTGGTTCATACTTAGGGATGATCGTTGCTGACTTTGAAAATGATGTTTTGTTTCTTTGGTTTAATATGGAGGTCACTAAGGGCTGAAGACTGGGGACAGTTTCCCTAGAAAACAAAGCCCAAGGCAAAAGGTCACTCGCTAAAGTTTTGTGGGGGTTCCTATTCAAAGGAAGCAAGAGTGAGGCGGAGTGAGAGGCTGTTTTAGTTAACTACTGCCGGGTAACAAGTCACCCCAGACTGGGCGTGGTGACTCACGCCTGTCATTCCAACACTTTGGGAGGATCATTTGAACCCAGGAGTTCAAGACCACCCTGGGCAACATGGCAAAAACCCATTTGTACTAAAAATACAAAAAATTAGCTGGGTGCAGTGGTGCGTGCCTGTCATCCCAGCTACCCTGGACACTGAGGTGGGAGAATCACCACAGCCCAAGAAGTTGAGGCTGCCGTGAGCCATGACCAAGCCACTGCACTCCAGCCTGGGTGACAGAGTGAGAACCTGTCTCAAAAAGAACAAAAGCCAGGCATGGTGGCTCACGCCTGTAATACTAGCCCTTTGGGAGGCTGAGGCAGGAAGATCTCTTGAGCTCAGGAGTTCCAGACAAGACTGAGCAACATAAGGAACCCTGTTTTTAATAAATAAACAAACAAAAAACAAAACAAAAACCAAGTCACCCCAAACCTTAGCAACTTCACACAATGCACATCTATTATCTCATCACCTCTGTGCTCTGTGGATCAGGGATCTGGCCCTGCTTGGCCTGGGGCCCCTGGGCAATGAAGGCGTTGGCTGCGGCTGCAGTCATCTCAAGGCTTGGCTGGGGGAGGATAGGCTTTCAGGCTCACTCCTGCAGCTGTTGGCAGAAGCCACAGGTTCTCGCTGGCTGGTGGCTGGTGGAAACATCAGTTTCTTGCCACGTGGGTCTCTCCATGGAGACGCAACTGTCTTCTATTAGGTCAGGCGAGAAAGAGAAGTTACGGAAGAAGCCACAGTCTCTTTGTTACCTAATCTCAGAAGTGACATCCCATTCTTCATGTTGTACTGTTCTGTGTCCCTTAGAAGTGAGTCTCTGGGTCTCACTCACACTCTAAGGGAGGGGGTTACAGAGGGTATGAAGACCAGGAGGTTGGGGATCTCTGGGGGCCTTCTGAAAGCACTGCCCACACAAATAGAGAAGGAAGGAAAGCAAATGTAAGGTGACATTGGCTGAGTGCAGTGGCTCATGCCTGTAATCCCAGCACTTTGGGAGGCTGAGGTGGGTGGATCACTTGAGGTCAGGAGCTCGAGACCAGCCTGACCAACATGGTGAAACCCCGTCTCTACTAAAAATACAAAAATTAGCCAGGCATGGTGGTGTGCACCTGTAGTCCCAGCTACTCGGGAGGCTGAGGCAGGAGAATCATGAAGGGCAGGGCTCTGCAGGAAGGTTGACTTATTTGGGAGTGTCTTAGTTTAAGTTCTCTTGAACCGGAGACAGATATTCCAGTATTAGTGGCTGATCTTGGAGACAAACCCAGGAAATGTCAGTGGAGAGTGGGGAAGTGATACAGAAAAAGTAGAAGTCAGTGACCACCTCTGGCAGTAGGTGCTTAATCCTCCTCCCACAGAGAACTCCAAACAGGTTCTCTGTTTGGAGAACAGAGACACATGCCACCTATGACTCAAGGGAGCTGGGTGTTTGTTTTATTTTATTTTATTTTATTTTATTTTTGAAACAGAGTCTTGCTCTGTCACCCAGGCTGGAGTGAAGTGGTAATTTCAGCCTTGACTTCCCGGCTCAGTGATCCTCCCATTTCAGCCTCCCGAGTAGCTGGACTACAGATGTTCACCACCATACCCGGCTAATTTTTTTTCTTTTATTTTTAGTAGAGACGAGGTCTCTCTTTGTTGCCCAGGCCGGTCTCGAACATCTGAACTCAATTTATCCTCCCACCTCAGCCTCCCAAAGTGCTGGGATTACAAGTGTAAGCTGCTGCACCAGGCGTGAGCTGGGTCTTTAAATGCCAACTCCTGGCCAGGTGCAGTGGCTCACACCTGTAATCCCAGCACTTTGGGAGGCTAAGGTAGGAGGATTGCTTGAGGCCGTGAGTTCAAAATCAGCCTTGCAAACATAGTGAGACTCTCCATCTCTACAGAAAAAAAAAATTATTTTAATTAGCCAGACATGGCAGCATACTCCTGTAATCCCAGCTACTTGGGAGGCTGACGTGGGAGGATCGCTTGAGCCCAAGAGTTTGAGGTTATAGTGAGCTATGATCATGCCACTGCACTCCAGCCTTGGTGACAGAGCAAGACTCTGTCTCTATTTAAAAAAAAAAAAAAAAAAAAAGCCAGCTCCTGTCAGATGTTGGTTGAGCACTGCTCAGGTCAATGTCAATTCCCCAGCACTTCCTGCCGGCCCCAAGGAGCTGAGTGGGCTGCGGCTGCCAGAGAAAGTTCTTAGGCAGAAAAGTGCAGTGCTGCTGGATGAAAGGATTGATGTGTGCTGAAGATCAGGGGCTACGGGCCTCTGCCGTGCCCGAAACGGGACAGCTAGAGGCAGGAGAGTGGGAGCCAGTGTCCAAGGGCAGATACTGAGTTTGGTTCTAGAAACGCTTAAGGCAGCTGTATGGGGCAGGCTCCAGACCCCAAGGGAAAAATGGATCACTTGGTGGAATAAGACTGATTATTTAAGCTAAGGCAGTGGATGAAAAATCCTAGAGAGAGGCTGAGATCTACAACATGAACAAAGACAAATGGCCAAGTTCATGTCATGGTTTAGACCCAGCTCTGCAGGAAGAGAAATGCATTTTTTTTCCTTGCCACAAATCATTCTCAGAAAGGCCAAAGCAGGTGGGGCACGGTGGCTCATGCCTGTAATCCCAGCACTTTGGGAGGCCGAGGAGGGCGGATCACGAGGTCAGGAGATGGAGACCATTCTGGCTAACACACTGAAACCCCGTCTCTACTAAAAATACAAAAAAATTAGCCGGGCGTGGTGGCGCACACCTGTAGTCTCAGCTACTCGGGAGGCTGAGGCAGGAGAATTGCTTGAACCTGGGAGGCAGAGGTCGCAGTGAGCCGAGATCGCACCACTGCTCTCCAGCCTGGGCAACAGTGAGACTCCATCTCAAAAACAAAACAAAACAAAACAAAACACAACAACGAAGGGTCAAATCAGCCATAAGAGGGAGGGAGAGGGGCTCAGTGTTCCTTGAGACTATCCCAGGTGCAAAATCACGGACATGAGATGAAGCTTTCAGGCCCAACGTTGTCCTGACTTCTGTGACTTCAACACTGAAGACCTGAAAAAAACCAGTTCACTCTCTATTGAAGCTTCTTGCAGCTCTGAAGCCATGGACTAAATCTCCTCAGTCTGTTTTCACCAACACGTCTTTCTGGAAAGATTAAAATAACAAGAGTCCGGGTGTGGTGGCTCACGCCTGTAATCCCAGCACTTTGGGAAGCCGAGGCAGGCAGATCATTTGAGGTCAGGAGTTCGAGACCAGCCTGGCCAACACAGTGAAACCCCGTCTCCACTAAAAATACAAAAAGATTAGCCAAGTGTGGTGGTACACGCCTCTAGTCCCAGCTACTCAGGAGGCTGAAGCAGGACAATTGCTTGAACCAGGGAGGCAGAGGTTGCAGGGAGCCAAGGTTGTGCCACTGCACTCCAGCCTGGGCAGCAGAGCAAGACTCTGTCTCAAAAAATAATTAATAAATAAAAAATAAGATAACAAGCGTAAGGCTGGGCACAGTGGCTCACACCTGTAATCCCAGCACTTTGGGAGGCCAAGGTGTGAGGATTGCTTGAGCCCAGGAGCTTGAAACCAGCCTGGGCAACCTGGTGAAACCCCATCTCTACAAAAAATTAAAAGTAAAAAAAAATTAGCCAGGCGTGGTGCATGAGCCTGTGGTCCCAGCTACTTGGAAGACTGAGGTGGGAGGATTGCTTGAGCCTGAGAGGTTGAGGCTGCAGTGAGCTGTATTCATGCCACTGCACTCCAGCCTGAGCAACAGAGAACTCTGTCTCAAAAAAAAAAAAAAAGAAAGAAAGAAAGAAAAAAAAAGTGTCTATGGAGATAAATCATTTGGCAGCTTCTTTGGGAGACAAGGTTGGTAACGGGGAGTCAGGGAGGTTAAGGCCATGGCTACAGCTACGTGGGGAATGGTTAGGGAGGGCTGGTTTTAAGGGCATCTACATGCGGTGTGTGTACCACAAAGCTGCCTGCAAACACCAACCACGTGGAGAGCTTGATGAGATGTCACTCACTGGGTACAGCAGGCGGCCCGCTACCGCTACCCAGCTCCAACTGTCACATTTGGCTCCTTCGCAGGTCACTTTGGGGTCCTCTTTCCTTGCTTAGGGAAAGGACCCAAGTAACAGGATGTATGGTGTGTACAGCCTCCACCATCTGAGCCCCATTTATGGATGAGCCAGACTCATCTGCAGGAATTTGAAAGTGCTGGCTGGGTTTGGGGAGTATTTTGGGAGGGGTGTGTCCTCATCACCTGAGCAGAGGGGAAAGGCCACCAGCAGGCAGTGGCCCAGATGTTGAACTGAGTGATGCCACCAGGAGGGGGACCTCCATCCCACCCACAAGCCTAATTCACTGGCTTGGAAAAAGCTGGGTGGGACAGTGGTTAGGGGTACGGGTCCTCGAATCTTGGCTCTGCCACTTGCTAACTACATGACATTGACAAGTTATATATCTCTGTGCCTTGGTTTCCCCATCTGTAAAAAGAGGGATGTAAGAGTTTTAACTCCAGGCCAGGAGCAGTGGCTCAAGCCTGTAATCCCAGCACTTTGGGAGGCCGAGGCGGGTGGATCACTTGAGGCCAGGAGTTCGAGACCAGCCTGGCCAACATGATGAAACCCCATCTCTACAAAAAATACAAAAATTAGCTGAGGGTGGTGGTGCATGTCTGTACTCCCAGCTACTCAGGAGGTTGAGGCGAGAGAATCGCTTGAACCCGGGAGTCAGAGGTTGCAGTGAGCCGAGATTGCACCGCTGCACTTCAACCTGGATGACAGAGTGAGACCTGTCTCAAAAAAAAAAAAAAAAAGAAATTTAACTCCTTCATTGTTGTGAGGTCTATATGACTGTGCCTGGTACATGAATGAGGCCTTTATGAATATTAACTATTCTAATTACTCATTGCTCTCCCCGGTTTGGAAGCATTAGACATGACTCACAGTTGGTGGAAAAATAAGCTGCCCCTAAAACCTCTTTTTTATTTCTTTTATTCTCTTTTTTTGTTCGTTTGTTTTTTGAGATGGGGTCTCCCTCTGTCACCCAAGCTGGAGTACAGTGGCACAATCACAGCTCACTGCAGCCTCCCCGCTTCCAGGCTTAAGCGATCCTCCCACCTCAGCCTCCTGAGTAGCTGGGACCACAGGCATGCACCACTACACCCAGATAATTTTTTTCATTTTCATTTCTTGAAGATATGGGGGTCCCATTATGTTGCCCAGGTTGGTCTTGAACTCCTGGGCTCAAGCCGTCCTTCTGCCTCGGCCTTTCAAAGTGCTGGGATTACAGTGTGAGCCACTGTCCCTGGCCTAAAACCTCGTTTTTGAACAATTTTTTTTTTTTGAGATTATGGAGTTTCACTCTTGTTACCCAGGCTGGAATGCAGTGGTGCAATCTTAGCTCACTGCAACCTCCACCTCTCAGATTCAAGCGATTCCCCTGCCTCAGCCTCCTGAATAGCTGGAATTACAGGCACACACCACCATGCCCGGCTAATTTTTGTATTTTTAGTAGAAAGGGGATTTCACCATGTTGGCCAGGCTGGTCTCGAACTCCTGACCTCAGGTGATCCTCTGGCCTCGGCCTTCCAAAGTGCTGGGATTACAGGTGTGAGCCACCGCACCCAGTCTAAACAATCTTAATTGATGTCATTAGATATCCATAAATCCTCAGATGCACACTGGGTGAAAATGATAAATAACACAAAGTTCCACCCTCTAGGTCACTCTCATTCAAAGAAACATCTGATGAGAACATCAGAAAAGACTTGAGAGTGAAGTTCAAGGGCAGGAGTGTGGGGCTCAAGAGTCAGAGAGCACAGGCTCAAGAGTCACCTGGATCTCCGCTCAGTTCCCACACCAGCGCTTAGTCGCTGTGTGCTCTTGGATAGGACGCTTGGTTTTCCAGGGTCTCAGTTTTCCCGGGTCTCAGTTTTCCCATTTGGAAAATGGACATAATAATAGTGGACCTCATGGTGCCTTACCCCTCAGCTGAGCTGGAATTATAAATGGCATTGTGAGAAAGCGAATGACATGAGGCCCTTCCCAGGAATCTGAAAGGAGAGGAACTCAGCACTGCGGAGGCCTGGATTGCAGGGTGTGTGGGAAGGGGACCCATAGGAGAGACAGCCTCCCCACTGGTTAAGGCAAAGAGAAGAGATGATGCAGCCCCAGGGGAGGGGCACCCTGGAAAGCTGGGCTGATTGCCAGACCCCTCTCACTTTGTGGGTTGGAGTTTTGAAGGCTCCTTTGCAGGATGACCCCAGGAATTGGAGTTTCAAAGCTGATATTTGGGGCAGGATGGAGGGCTCACCCCGGTATGGGAATGTAGATGAGCCACACCCACACACACTGCCCCCAGTCGTTGACATTTTAGCTGAGACCTGAAAGCAATAATCCCCAGGGAGAGTGCTTTAATGGTGGAATTCCAGGCAGAGCAAGGACGAGTGGAGAAAACGGCTGGATACGTGCCCTCAGGTTGCACACGTATCCTGCCCTGCTTTGAAAAGCAGTTTCTCCCAAGTGCCTCAAGTGCTTGAGATATTCAATAACATTTCAGAGCATTAAAAACTCTGAAAGAAAAGAAAGCCTGCTACCTCTGAGGCCACATCCTCATCCCACCATGAAGATGCCTTGAGATCACAGGGCTTTGTGGTTTTAGTTGGGTTGGTTTCTTTGAAATGAGGGATTATTTTTAATGCGCCAAGACAAATCAGTTTCAAAAGATAAAGCTTATAATGTTGACTTTATTTCACCGTGGAAATTTTGTGCTCAAAGGTAAGAAACCATCTTATATAAAACAATCAAATAAATACATAAATACATTAAAAAAATGAGTCACTTCAAAGGCGGCCACAGGGTTGAGGAAAAAGCCCCTTGTGGAATCAGAAGCAGGTGTCTGCAGCCAGGACTTCCTCTTAATGCCGCCTCAGCACTGTCAGGGAAAGAGAGAGGGTGATGATGGTTAGGGTGGGAGATGGAGGCAGGGGCTGAGCTTACCTCATCGTGTGCCACCCACCACCCTGTTAGTCATCAGACGTTTGAGGCTTAATGCAACTCTCTGAGCCTCAGTTTCCTCATCTGTAAATTGGGGATTATCATTGCTCTGGTGATCCTGCTCTCTGCCTTTGAGACTATAGACAGTTTAGAGGAAACCAGGAGGAAATGTTTGGTTCTCTTTCTGCACCACTGGGGGGCTGCCAAATGATAAACAGACCCCCAAAGGAGATTCTGCCCCTTTGATAAGAAGTAGGAGGTGGGGAGAAGGTATTGTGGGCATGGTAATGAAATAAGCCCACATTTACTAATTCCACAAAGGCACCCCTTGGCCCTGAAGGCTGTTAACAAGAGGAAGCGATGTCCAGGTGACCTTTTCTCAAAGAGTGTGGTTCCCAGAGACAACAAACCCCAAAGTGACTCTAACAGTGTCACACACTGGAATGGGGGAAGGCGGCCGGGGTGGCAGGGGGTGCTTACCTTTGCAGCCCAGGCCACTGGAGGAGCTGATCCGGTCCATCTTCCTCCCAAAGCAGCCAGACCCTTGCACCATCTTGGGGCTTCGTGGTGCCCGCAGGGTGTAGAGGACCATTTTGCGGTGCCCACGGATGCCCTCGGTGGCTACCTCCCGGGACTTCCAGACACCTGTGGGACGGGGGCTCTCCTGGAGGGGCTCCAGGGATGTCTGCTCCACCTGCAGCTCCGACAGTTTGCCCTGCAAATGGTTGCGCTGCTCCTGCAATGAATGGGGGCGTCCAAGCCTCAGGGACCCACCCCTGGGCTCACCAGCCCTTCATGGCACCCAAGTGAACCGACTGCCTTGGGTACAGGGTCAGGGCACCCAGTCTCTCCATTTTCTGATTCCTTTATCACTAATTCCAAAGGAAAGATGAGGGCCTCTTGGGACAGCAGGTGAGGACCCTTTCATTGCTGCTGTCCAATCCCCCTGAGCTGCCCTCCGCTCTCACCTGTAACCCGGACGTTTCCAAGTCCGAGGCTGAACCGGGGCTGCCCAGCGGGTGGGAACGACCTCCCAGGAAAGCCAGATGCAAGAAGAGCAGGAGCAGGAGCGCCCGGGAAGGTGCTGTCTGGGGATCCATGTCTCTGGAGGGACTGCGGAGGCTGCTGCTGCTGCTTCTGCTGCTGCTGCTGCTGCTGCGATGCGTCCGGGTTTGCTTCCCACCTGCCCTCAGCCTGCGGGGTGCTCCTCCTGGCTCCTCGGGACACCGTGGCCTTTTATCCTGGAGCTGAGTGTCGGGCCTGCCCTGCCATGCAGGGTTATCTCTGATTTATCAGCCACATTCCGGGCCTCTGAGATCAGGGCCCGGGAATGAGCCCCTCCGCGCCTGCGACGTGGGAGGTGGAGACCGGGCAGAGCCGACCTTGTATAGAAATGGGCCGGGTCGGGCCGGGGGGCAGGAACGCGCTGGAGACACAGACAAGTCCCCGTCTCCCGCTTCTTCCTTTCCTGCAAATGTCCAGGTGTCCTAGGTTGGCGCTTTCTTCCTGCCTCCCCACCCCACCGTTGCTGGAAAAGGCAGGGAGGACCCCGGCTTTCCGAGGACCGACGTGAGCGCGGGGAGCACGGGGTGACTCACAGCGAAAACAGCCCCGGCCAAGACCCCGCCACCCGCGGCGCCTCTCCCCTCCCCGCGCGAGTTCCCTGGCCCGCACGTAGCGCAGCACCTGCTCGCCGCTGTGCACCCTGCCTGCCTGCGGGTCCTCGGGGGCGCCCTGGCCGCTGTCCGTGGTGCTGATCACCCCGAGGGAACTTGGAGCAAACTCTCAAGAGCTGCTCTCTTCAACGGGATTTTCAGGCCAGAAAGACCTGCGTGGAGCAAGGACAAGAGACCTCCGAGACCTTTCCCTATGCTCTCACAATCCGCCATCTTATAGTCCTTACAGCAACGGGATGCTGATTCCCCAGTGGCAATTCATTAAAAGCCTGGGTATGACCAGGAACTTCTGGAATGCTGACCCTTCTTTCACTCCTTAAAGGGAAGAGCAGATTTCGCTGGAATTTTGAGAGATAGGGTCCAGTGATGACGAAGTCACCCAAGAATGCCTTATATGTGTGTCCTCCACGTGTCAACACCTCCTCTCCCCCACCAAGCCAACACAGGATGGAAAACAAAAGGATAGGCTGGGCATGGTGGTTCACGCCTGTAATCCCAGCACTTTGAGAGGCCGAGGCGGTCGGATCACGAGGTCAGGAGATCGAGACCACGGTGAAACCCCGTCTCTACTAAAATTACCAAAAATTAGCTGGGCATGGTGGCAGGCGCCTGTAGTCCCAGCTACTCGGGAGGCTGAGGAAGGAGAATCACTTGAACCCAGGAGGTGGAGGTTGCAGTGAGCTGAGATCACGCCACTGCACTCCAGCCTGGTTGACAGAGAGCGAAAAAAGAAAGAAAGAAAGAAGGAAAGAAAGAAAGAAAGAAAGAAAGAAAACAAAAGGATGGCTGGAATGATGGTTATCTATTTGCTGGGATACCAGAGATATGGGGATTTCCCCTCTCCCAGTGCCTCCTTCATCTGACCACCCATGATCTAATTATCATTAGCAGGTGGCCTGGTGATTAGAAGTGAGACTTTGGAGAGAAATGCCCCTGAGAAGAGTCATAGCAGCTTAAATACCCCCCTAAAGCATATATGACTGATGTCACTCCCCTTCCAGAGAATTGGTGTCAACAAGCAGCAGGCTGGAGGAGTGGAGCTGTCTATGAGGGGAGAAGAGTTACAGCAGAGAAGGGCAGCAATAAGAAACTGGGACCTCTAAGCAGATCTTGCCTAAAAAATAGCATCTGCCCCTGAGGTGAGAAAAGCACGGTTATTATTCCTCACTTCAGAGGAGGAAATGGTGTTCATGAATTAATCTACTTTCCAAAAGTCACACAATTGACACATGATAAATCCTGGATTCTAACCAGTCTGATTAGTCTAGCCAGCAGTCTGATTCCAGACCTGAAGCTCATAATCACTGCCAGGGTGATCACAAGGTGTTTCTACAAAAAGCAAGCTTAGGTGAATCCCGTGTCATCTATGAAGGCTCTGGGAGCTGTGCTGTGGGGGATGTGCAATTCTAGTGGTGACTGTGTGTGCAGGAGAAAGAATGGGAAGTGGCTCAGATGAGCATTTTGCAGATGAAATATAAATGGAGGTGGGTGGGTAAGGGCTGTGTAAAGACACCAGTGCTGGAAATGTTCTGGGGGGCTGGGGTAGTTTTGTGTGTGTGTGTGTGTGTGTGTGTGTGTGTGTGCGTGCACATGAGCATGCCACAGTAAGAGTATCAAAAGGCTAAGAGGAAGCTAAAGAGGTAAGAAAATTCAGCCAAGTGCAGAGGGGAGTCAGTGGGCGAGAGGCTGCTGAGGGTGCAGAAAGCCCCTCATGCTGAGTACCATGAGATAAAGGGTTCAGAGCAAGGCAGGATTCATCAACCAGCACCATCAAAAACTGACTCTGCATCTCGCCAGAGCCTCACTTTGCTCTTCGGCAAAATGGACAGTCCTTGCAAGGACTAAAAGGAAAAAAATAATATCTGCAAAAGCCCGTGGCACTGTATAAAGGGCCAAATAATTAGTAGTACATGAGAGTTGGTCTTTACACTGAAGGAGATTGTGATCTCACTGGGGAGACAAAGTGACCCCAAGTGAGACAATTAAGTGTCTAAGTGTCATACACTCTGACAGAGTTTCTATCTGTCCCCAGTGGAGGGGACTGTGGAAGAAGACTTGAGGAAGACACAGAACTAGACACATCCTCCAAGGCCTGCTGTCCAGGGAGGAGGATATGTTGTCAACTAACTCTCACACCAGATCAGCCCCATCAACATTTATCGAGGGCCTGTCATATGCTATGTGCTTTCCAAGTCTATTTAATGAAGCTAATCATAACACCTCTGTTGGAGCATTAATGTACAAGGATTAAATTTGATGATGTCTGTGGTAAGCTGAATAATAGTCCCCAAAAGATGTCCATATTCTAATCCCCAGAATCTGCGAATATACTACTTTACATGGTAAAAAGGACTTTGCAGGTGTGGTTAAGTTAAGGACCTCAAGGTGGAGAGATTCTCCTGGATTATTCAGGAAGGCTCAATGTCATCACAAGGGTCCTTATAAGAGGGAAGCCAGAGGATCAAGGTCAGAGGGACAAAATGTAAGGATGGGAACAGGTCAGAGAGGAGAGAAGAGACTACACTGCTGGCTTTGAAGATAGAGGAAGGGGCCATGAGCCAAGGAATGTAATCAGCCTCTAGAAGTTGGAAAGGGCAAAGAAATGGATTTTTCCCTAGAGCTTCCAGAAGGAATATGGGCCTGCCAATACCTTAGTTTTAGCCCAGTGAAACAGATTTCAGACTTCTGATGTCTGGAACTGTAAGAAAATAAAATCATGTTCTTTTAAGCCAACAAGCTTGTGAGACTTTGTTTCAGCAGCAATGGGAAATTAATAGAGTATATGTCAAATGCCAAGCATAGTGTCTCTCCCATAGTAAGCCCTCAGCAAATGTTGTTATGGTAGAAGTATTGGTTCCCCACCACCATCCAACTCTAAGTGCTTAATCTGGCCACACAGAAAGAAATAAGACCCTTAAGTCATTCAACAAACTTTCACCGAGACCCTGGGGTCACAGTAGCCCAGACCCAAGACTGAAATCACAGTCTGGGCTCAATTTCACATCAACTTCTTGCTACCTTTGTGTGTTGGGCAAGTTGCTTCCTCTCTCTCCTTGTTTTCTCATGGCTACCTCATAGGGTTGTTGTGAGCATAAAATGAGACTGTGCAGGTTAAAATCTAATATTTCTGCTGGAAGGTGGGGATACATAACGGACAAGAAAGTCCCTGCCATTGAGAAGCTTACAGTGCAGGGGGAAAGGTGGGCACAATCACAGGCTCCCCAGGCTGCCACAGTGAGTGACAGATACAGTGGCAGTGAGTCCTGGATGCTCTGTGAGCACAGCAGGAGTGCGCAGTCGAGAAGGGAGTTTGTTGGAGAAGGTGGGGCTGGGCTAAGGCTTTGAAGGATAAGAATGAGTTAGCCACAAGAAGGAAGATGGAAGATGGGGAGGGCACTCTGGGCAGAGCAGATGCACAAGCAGAGGCTAGAAGGGCTGGTTAATGGATCAGCTACCACCCCTATGCTCTCTGCAGAAGGAAGAAGCTGTGCAGAATACAAGGTTTGACTAGTCAGAGAGTAGGACTCCAGCTGCAAGATTTTTCTGTAGCTTCCCTCTGGCCTCAATCTCCAGTCTAGTCCTGGGCAGCCAAAGTGGATGGTATGAGAGCACTGGGCACCTGGGGGAAGCAAAGGAGGAAACAGAGGAGCACTGACCCAGGAGGCAGGAGGCAGGCTCGTCTCTGCCCGTGGCTGACTCACGGTGTGGCTCTGTTCCAGGGATTCTTTTTTTTTTTTTTTAATTTTTTTGAGATGCAGTCTTCCTCTTTCACCCAGGCTGGAATGCAGTGGTGCGATCTCAGCTCACTGCAACCTCCGCCTCCTGGGTTCAAGTGATTCTCCTGTCTCAGCCTCCTGAGTAGCTGGGACTAGAGGCACGTGCCACCACACCCAACTAATTTTTTATTTTTAGTAGAGATGGGGTTTCACCATGTTGGTCAGGCTGGTCTCGAACTCCTGACCTCAGGTGATCCGCCTGCCTCTGCCCCCCAAATTGCTGGGATTACAGATGTGAGTCACCGTGCCCGGCCTGTTCCGAAGATTCTGCTCGGTTTGCTTCTCTGTTCTAGGATGGTTTCCCTTTGTGTAGAGTGAAAGGATTAGACTAAGGTTTCTGCCAGGCACAAAAGCCCTAGTTGTAATAAGTCAACTCACCCTATATATATACTATACACATTTTTTTTTGAGACAGAGTCTCACTCTGTCACCCAGGCTGGAGTGCAGTGGGGCTACCTTGGCTCACTGCAGCCTTGACTCCCCCAGGCTAAAGCAATTCTCCTGCCTCAGCCCCCTGAGTAGCTGAGACTACAGGCATGCACCACCACACCTGGCTAACTTTTAGAAATTTTTCATATTTTTTGTAGAGACAGGGTTTCGCCATGTTGCCTGGGCTGGTCTTGAATTCCTAAGCTCAAGTGATCCTCCTGCCTTGGCCTCCCAAAGTGCTGTGATTACTGCTGTGAGCCACCACGCCTGGCCAGCTTACCAGCTTACCCCATTTTATAGGTGAGATTGCTAGCTCCCACTTCCCCAGTAGTGCCTCTGTCTTCTGTGACCCTTAGACTTCCTCCAAAAGCCAGAAACCACCTGCATAGGGCCATCAGGCCCTTCACAGCTGTGGCAGACATGCAGGTGTGCACACAAGTGTGTGTGTGTGTGTGTGTGTGTGTGTGTGTGTGTGTGTTAGGGGGTGCTTTGGAAACCAGCATGGGTCTGTAGACCTTCTCTGCTCTTGAAGTAAATCTCTAGACATGGTTAACAGAGGGAGGGCTGTGCTTGGCAGCTTGAAAGAAAATAATTACTAATTCCCACCACTCAGTCTGGTGTGGTGGTGCACACCTGTAATCCCAGCACTTTGGAAGGCCCAGGTGGGAGGATTGCTTGAACCCAGAAGTTGAAAGCCAGCCTGGGCAACATCGTGAGACCCTGCCTCTACAAAAAAAAAAAAAAGAAAGAAAGAAATTAATTAAATAAAATAAAAAATAGCCGGGTATGGTGGTGTCACCTATAGTCCTAGCTACTTGGAAGGCTGAAACGGGAGGATCACCTGAGCCCAGGAGCCCAGGATCACCCCACTACACTCCAGCCTGGGCGACAGAGTGAGACCTTGTCTTCAACAATAACAACAATAACAACAATAACAAAACCAAAAACTTCCAACCCTCCATGTCCAGCCTCACCAGCAATTTCTGAGCATAGAAATTACTGTGTGTTGCCAGGTAATATTCTCTCTCTCTCTCTCTGTCTCCCCCGCCCCCCACTTCCTCCCTCCCTCCCTCCCCTTGCTTAGGAACAAGGGACTCTGAAAGGGTCACCTTATCCTTCCTACCACCTCCAGAAAGAACTGTGCTTCACCCATATTTTCCCCATCGCTGGCATTCTGGTGACAGCATTCAAGTCCCTGGATCCAGCAATGCCTGATGTCAATCTACTTTGGACTTTGCAGTTATGTGAGCCAATAAATCTGCCCCTTCGACCTCTTTTTCCCCAAAGCAACTTAATTAGATTTCTGTCACTTCCATTCTAAAGATTCTTAACTGACAGTCTCCAAAAGAAACTGCCTGCCTTTTTCTTAGAAATGTTTGAAAACAAGATATTTCAGCCCTCGATAACAGCCGGAGTCTCAGAGTCTTTGCAGACAAATGTCCTGAACATTGTCTGATTTAACTCTCTCCTTTTGTAATGTGAGTTAGTCCCCTTTGGTCAGACAAAAAGCAGAAAATGTGTTCAACAACCTTAAGGAGCTGGAGAGAAAAATCAGAAGCCTGGCTTTCTTCATGTCTCTCAACAGCAGGGGCATGGCTCAGCAGGTGTGAGGCTGCCGGAGAAAGGATAAGAGGTCCGTCCCAGAATCTCGCCCTATCACCCAGGCTGGAGTGCAGTGGTGCAATCTCGGCTCACTGCAACAAACCTCCACCTCCCGGGTTCAACAGAGTCTCATCCTCAGCCTCCTGAGTAGCTGGGATTACAGGCGTGTGCCACCACACCCAGCTAATTTTTGTATTTTTAGTAGAGACAGGGTTTTGCCATATTGGCGAGGCTGGTCTCAAACTCCCGGCCTCAAGTGATCCGCCTGCCTCAGCCTCCCAAAGTGCTGGGATTACAGGTGTGAGCCACTGCACCCAGCTGAAAGCATGGTCTTAAAATGAATGATGATGATGGGGAGTATTGGAGGAAAGGGGTGGGGGCATCTTCTTCCTCGTTAGTTTCTACAGGATCCATAATTTCCTCCTGTAGTTGTTTGCCAGGGCTGCAGTAACAAAGAACCACAGACAGGGGGCTTGAACAACAGATGTGTACTGTCTATCAGTTCTGAGGACTGGGAGTCCAAGATCAAGGTGTGGGTGGGGCTGGTTCTCCTGAGGCCTCTTTCTTTGGCTGCAGATGCCGTCTCTTCCTGTGTCCTCCCATGGTCTCCCTCTGTACATATCTGTGTCCTAACCTCCTCTTTTTTTTTTTTTTTCTGGATACAGAGTTTCACTCTTGTCACCCAGGCTGGAGTGCAATGGCGCAATCTCGGCTCACTGCAACCTTCACCTCCCGGGTTCAAGCGATTCTCCTGCCTCAGCCTCCTGAGTAGCTGAGATCACAGGCGTGCACCACTACGCCCGGCTAATTTTTGTATTTTTAGTAGGGATAGGGTTTCTCCATGTTGGTCAGGCTGGTCTCAAACTCCCGACCTCAGGTGATCCACCCACCTCGGCCTCCCAAAGTGCTGGGATTACAGGCACGAGCCACTGTGCCTGGCCTCCTCTTCTTATAAGAACACCAGTCATATTGGATTAGGGCCCACCCTAATGACCACATTTCAAAGTATAGGTTGGTGCAAAAGTCATTGTGGTTTTGGCCATGAAACGTAATGGCAAACTGCAATGATTTTTGAACGAACCTGATAATTACCCCTTTAAAGGCCCTGTCTTCAAATATAGTCACATTCTGAGATACTGAGGTTAACTTTTTTTGAGATAGGATCTCACTCTGTTGCCCAGGCCGGAGGACAGTGGTGCAATCATGGTCCACTGCAGCCTTGACCTCCCAGGCTCAAGCAATCCTTCCACCTCAGCCTCCTGAGCCGCTGGACTACAGGCACACACCACCACGTCCAGCCAATTTTTAGATTTTTTGTAGAGACAGGGTCTCCCTATGTTGCCCAGGCTGGTCTCGAACTCCTGGGCTCAATCGTTCTTCTTGCCTCTGCCTCACAAAGTGCTAGAATTACAGGCGTGAGACACCACACCCAGCCAGATTTCAACATACGAATTTGGGGGGACACAGTTCAGTTTGGTTCATTACACCCCCTTACTCCCTCATTTCTGTTCATTGCCACATCTCCAAGGGCCACCACCACTCTCTATTGTTCTGATGATTTTCAATGTCCAACAAACCGCCCCAAACTTAGTGGCTTAAAAGAACAATCACTTGATTGTATCTCGTGGTCCTAGGGGTGGATGAGGCTCAGCTGCATGACTGTCACTTGGGGTCTTTCATGTGGTTGTAGTCAGATGGCGGCTGAGTCAGGAGTCACCTGAAGATTTCATCCATGCCTCTTACCTGGGCTGCAATGGCGAGGACAGATGGAGGCTGGTCCATTGTGTCTCTCTCCATGCAGCCTCCTTGTGTGGCCAGCCTGAATTCCTCAGTGGTGATGGCCTTCCCCACAGCAAGTGGTCCAAAGTGGAAGCTGCCAGTCCTCTTCTAGGAACTGGCCCGGTGTCTCCTTCATCATTTTCTATTGGTTAAAACAGTCACAGGTGGCCAGACGCGGTGGCTCATGCCTGTAATCCCAGCACTTTGGGAGGCTGAGATGGCCAGATCACCTGAGGTCGGGAGTTCAAGACCAGCCTGAACAACATAGAGAAACCCCATCTCTACTAAAAATACAAAATTAGCTGGGCGTGATGGTGCATGACTGTAATCCCAGCTACTTGGGAGGCTGAGGCAGGAGAATCGCTTGAACCTGGGAGGCGGAGGTTGTGATGAGCCAAGATCGCACCATTGCACTCCAGCCTGGGCAACAAGAGCAAAACTCCATCTCAAAAAAACCAAACCAAACCAAAAAAAAAAAAAAAACAGTCCCGGGGGCCGGGCACCATGGCTCATACCTATAGTCCCAGCACTTTGGGAAACCAAGGCAGGAGGATTGCTTGAGCCCAGGAGTTTGAGATCACCCTGGCCAGCATAGCCAGACACGATCTCCACTAAAAATAAAAACAAAAATATTAGCTGGTCATGGTGACCTGCGCCTGTAATCCCAGCTACTTGCAAGGCTGAGGTGGGAGGATCACCGGCACTCCAGCCTGGGCGACAGAGTGAGATCCCATAACAAAACAAAACAAAAATAGTCACAGGGAAACCCATACATAAGAGAGTAGAGGAATGGATTCTGCCTCTCAGTGGGGAACTACATGCATCTATAGGAAAGGAGAGAATTGGTGGCCACCATCCTGAAGATGAACGACCTCATCCATTAATCAGATTCTCTCCCAGAGGCAATGCGTTATTGAGGCTGCTGGCTTTGAGCCATTCACTTCCAAGCTTCTTTCTTGTAGCTGGCGCTGTGAGCCACTGAGTCCCAAACCTGTGTTTGGTATCTGGACGCTCAGTGCTGGCCTTTCTCTTTCTGAAGATGACTCTGTGTGTACTTTGTTTATTAACTCTGCTCCCTTCTCCCTCCTCTTGATACTGTGCCTTTTTTTTTCTCTCTTTCTTTCTTTTTTTTTTTTTTTTTTTTTTGACACAGGGTCTTGCTGTGTCCCCCAGGCTGGAGGGCAGTGGATCAATCATCTGCACACTGCAGCCTCCACTTCTTGGCCTCAAGTGATTCTCCCACCTCAGCCTCCCAAGTAGCTGGGACCACAGGCCTGTGCCACCACACCCAGCTAATTTTTTGGTATTTTTTGTAGTGACAGGGTTTCACCAGGTTGCCCAGGCTGGTCTCGAACTCCTGAACTCAAGCGATCCTCCCATCTCAGCCTCCCAAACTGCTGGGATTACAGGCGTAAGCCCCCACACCCGGCCTGCGTTGAGTCTTCTAAGCCTCCCTTGCCCTGTTGACCCTGCTCAATACCTACAGTGGCAGCAGGAGGTCTGCTGGAATTTGGTGGCTTTTTTCTACTTGCGGGTTATCTGAAGTTTATTGTGTTCTGTCTCCTAGTAATGTTGAAGGATTGAGTCATGGCTTCATTTGCATTCTTTGTTGACCTTATACATTTAGGTGAGGATGCATTCAAAGATTTTAACTCAGATGGCCACCATTAACCTTGCTAGTACACTTTAGCTGTATTAGCTCAGCCTTCAAAGCATCCCTAGGATAAATTATTACCCCCATTAAATGGATGAATATCCTTGATAGATGGTGGTTGCCTTTCGTGCTGGGAATCTTTAGTCGCCCGTGCAGACCCCTCTCCATCCTTCCCTCCCCTGTTCAACGCTCATGAGGCTGACTTTTATGGCTTATGTTGGATTCAATGAATGGTGGTGAGCGGCAGAATATCAGCAGGAGAAAGAGAAGAGAGGGAGTCCAGGGTGTTTTTTTCTGCCAGCTCTGACTTGCCGTGCCACCTAGCGTTGGCACCTACCACTTCCCCAGCTCTCTCTGTGTCAGGATCCTGCAGACTTAAGGGTGGCAATCTGGCTGCTGCTGTTTTCCCTGGGCACAATTTCTAGTGGTTTCTGTATCTATCTGCATTTATTTATTTTTATTTTTCATATTTTTTTAGACAGGGTCTCACTCTGTCACCCAGCTTGGAATGCAGTGGTGTGATCATGGCTCATTGCAGCCTCCAACTTCCTGGGCTCAGGTGATCCTCCTGCCTCAGCCTCTCAAGTAGTTGAATCCACAGGCATGCACCACCATACCTCACTGATTTTTTATTTTTTTTAGAGATGGGGTCTCACTGTGTTGCCCAGGCTGGTCTCAAACTCCCGGACTCAAGGGATCCTCCCATCTCAGCCTCCCAAAGTGCTAGGATAGCAGGCATGAGCTACTTCACCTGGCCTCTGAATGCCTTTATACACTATGCCTATATCTTTGTAAAGTCTTTATTAACGTTTCTTGAATTGTCCTAATGTGAGTGTGCTATTGGTTTTCGGCTAGGACCCTCACTGATACCTTTATCATCATCACCATCATCATGGCCATCAACATGACCTCCACCACATGTTTTCGAGCTTGAGCTTGGTGGCTGTTCCTCCCAGTTACACCTGCTGTGCCTGCCGTTTGGACAATTCTCATAGTTTGTCGGGGCAGGGCTGGTTGAGCTAAGCCCTCTCTTTGGGTTGGGGAGAAGGGAGCATCCCAGGCCTGAAAATGGGGCAGGAGGAAGCCAGGGTGGTAACAGGATGGCTCTGCTAGGGACTTATTTTAAGGTAGCTCTTGGGGGCCTGTCAACCACCCACAGCCGCTATCTCCCACAAGGCTCCCAGGACATACAGTCTGGGGGAGTGAGGGTGCCTCACACATACCTTTCCACTGAGCTCTCCTTCCCAGCCTGGCTGCTCTGGCCTGCAGCACTGGAGCTGGGCCATCAGGCGCTCACATCTTCTTCCTGCTGGAGGGGCCGGAGTGGGCTCAGAGGCTCTAGATGGCTCTAGATGGCTCTAGATGGCCATGGATCAGGGAGCAGCTGGCCAGCCTCCAGTTCTCCCCAGGACAGAACAGCACCTGTGACCTGTGTCCTGACAGGGAAAGGGAGGGCAGGCAGGGCCACTCAGAGGTGGCACCCAACAAGCTCTCTTTCCCTAGTCGCTGCATTTATCCTTGGAAAGGCCCTAATTCACTCATTCATTCCACCAAGATTTACTGAATGCCTACTCTGCTCTAGATACTGAGGATACAGTAACGAACAAAAGAGATAACATCCCTGTCTTGGGGGAGCTTCTGTTCTAGTGGAGGGGAGATGAACAATAACCCAAATCACTAGAGTATTTTGTGTCTTAGAAGGTGACCATGCTGGCCAGGTGCAGTGGCTCACACCTGTAATCCTAGCACTTTGGGAGACCGAGGCAGTTGGGTCACCTAAAGTCAGGAGTTCGAGACCAGCCTGGCCAACATGGCAAAGCCCCGTCTCTACTAAAAATACAAAAATTAGCTGGGCGTGGTGGTGGGTGCCTGTAATCCCAGCTACTAGGGAGGCTGAGGCAGGAGAATCCTTGAACCTGGGAGGCGGAGGTTGCAGTGAGCCAAGATGGCACCACTGCACTCCAGCCTGGGGGACAGAGTAAGACAAAAAAAGGAGAAGGTGTCCATGCTTGCTAAGGAGGAAAACGAAGCAGAGTGAAGGGAGGGGCTGCTGGGAGTTGGGCTTTTAGCAGGAAGGTCAGGGAAGAGCTCACTATGGAGGTGTGTTGGAACAAAGACTTAAAAGATATTTAAGGGAACAGGCCAGGCTCGGTGGCTCATGCCCGTAATCCCAGCACTTTGGGATCCCGAAGCTGGTGGTTCACTTGAGCCCAGGAGCTCAAGGCCAGCCTGAGCAACATGGTGAAACCCCATCTGTACAAAAAATATAAAACTTAGCTGGGGTGGTGGCATGCCCTATAGTCCCAGCTACTTGGAAGGCTGAGACAGAAAAATCGCTTGAGCCCGAGAGATAGAGGTGGCAGCAGTGAGCCAAGATTGCACCCTTGCACTCCAACCTGGGTGACAAGAGTGAAACCCTGCCTAAAAAAATATATATATATATATATATATATTTAAGGACACAGGCCAGGCACGGTGTCTCATGCCTGTAATCCCAGCACTTTGGGAAGCTAAGGCGGGAGGATCACTTGAGCCCAGCCTGGGTAACATAGCAGTGAGACCCTTATGTCTATAAAAATAAAAGAGAATTTAGAAGATATTTAATGGAACAGTGTTCCAGGGAGGAGGAACAGCCAGTGCAAAGGCCCTGCGTGTGTCTGAAACATACAAGAACCAGAAGGCAGTGTTGGGGAGTGAAGTGAGTGAGGAGAGACACGTAGGAAATGGCTCAGAGAAGCCGTCAGCGTGCGACAAAGCACAGCCTTCCAGGTATGACTCGGAGTCACTTTCCTCCAAGTCAGATGGGAGCCATGGAGTGTGTTGTTGTTGTTTGTTTGTTTGTTTGTTTTTTCGAGATGGAGTCTCGCTCTGTCACCCAGGCTGGAGTGCTGTGGTGTGATCTCGGCTCACTGTAACCTCCGCCTCCTGGGTTCAAGCGATTCTCCTGCCTCAGCCTCCCAAGTAGCTAAGATTACAGGTGCCTGCCACCACGCCCCACTAATTTTTATATTTTTAGTAGAGGCAGGGTTTCATTGTGTCGGCCAGGCTGGTCTTGAATTCCTGACCTCATGATCTGCCCACCTCAGCCCCGCAAAGTCCTGGGATTATAAGCATGAGCCACCGTGCCCGACCAGCCATGGAGTGTATTGAGCCAAGGAGAAATATGATCTGACTTTGATTAAGTGTGGCCATGCCTGTCTGGAGAGCTGGCCCCAATATCTGGCTTCTTCTGATTCTTTCCATCCCCTTCAGAGGTCTGCGTCCCAGCCCCAAGGGACTCCTCCTCCAAGCTTCTAAGTTTTAACAACTTCAGCCTCTTTCCTTCGTTGCCCTTGTCCAAGGACGGTAGCTACTTCCTGCAGTTTCTCTGTCCGTGACACTTAGTGTTTTCTCTTTGCCTTTTCAAGTTTTCAATATCTAGTTAACACTTTTATATACTAAGTTCTCTCTGTTAGAATAACTGGCATGGTTCCTGTCTCCAAGTGGACCCTGGCTGCACTCTCAATGGTAGACATCCAACTGTGAATAAGACTTTGTCTCTAGGTCTCCCTCTGTCACCCAGGCTGGAGTGCAGTGGCGTGATCATGGCTCACCGCAGCCTCAAACCCCTGGGCTTATGCCATTCTCCCACCTCAGCCTCCCTAGCAGCTGGGACTACAGGTAGGTGCCACCACGTCTAGCTAATTTCCGTTTTGTTTTTTTTTTTTGGTGGGGGGGTTGGGGGCAGGTAGAGATGGGGTCTCACTATATTGCTCAGGCTAGTCTCAAACTCCTGGCCTCAAATGATCCTCCCACCCCAGCCTCCCAAAGTGCTGGGATTACAGGTGTGAGCCATTGTGCCAGCCTCAAGCAATGATCTTGAAGTTGGTTGCAAGGAAAATGCCTTCCCTGCATTTGTTTCCCAGGGCTGCTATAACAAATGGCCACCAACTCGGCAGCTTCAAACAACAGAAAAGCATCTTTCATCATTCGGGAAGTCAGAAATCCAAAATCAAGATGCTGTCCAGGCCGAGCTGCTTCTGGGGCTATAGGGGAGATCTTTCCCGGCCCCTCTAGCTCCTGACAGCTTCAGGCGTTCCTCAGCTCATACATGCACCACTCCCATCTCTGACTCTGTCCTCACATGACCTTCTCTGCATCTCTGTGTCTCAAATGTCTCTCTCCCTTTCTTTTATAAGGACCCCTGTCACTGGGCTTAGGACCCACCCTATATCTAGGATGATCTCTTCTCGAGATCTTTAATTTCATGACGTCTGCAATGACCTTTGTTCCAAATAAGATCACACTCACAAGTTCCAGGAGCTGGGAAATGAATATATCTTTTTGGAAGCCACCTTTCAGTACATTCTTCGGTGGCTTGTCTGTTTCCCCCTCTGGGATGGAAGCTGCACAGGATATGTACTTGGAATGGCTGGTGCAGGACTGGACATATGGAAGGAGCCTCACCAAAGGTGTGTTGCCTGGCCAATGTTTACTATGTTTACATATTTTGCATTTACATGTTTTAATCCATATTTTAAAAATCTATGTACAGGTTTTTTTTGCTTTGTGTTTTTTGAGACAGGGTCTTGCTCTGTCACCCAGGCTGGAGTGCAGTGGCGTGATCACAGCTCACTGCAGCCTTGACCTCCTGGGCTCAAGTGATCCTCCCCGCTCAGGCTCCCAAGTAGCTGGGACTACAGGCAAACACCACCACACCTGGCTAATCTGGGGGGGATTTTTTTTTGTTTCTTTTTTTTTTTTTTTTTTTTGT
Source organism: Homo sapiens (assembly GCF_000001405.40). Taxonomy (NCBI): domain Eukaryota; kingdom Metazoa; phylum Chordata; class Mammalia; order Primates; family Hominidae; genus Homo; species Homo sapiens. Next base: position 11,873,403 of record NC_000001.11, read on the forward strand.
AGAGATGGGATTTCACCATGTTGCCCAGGCTGGTCTCAAACTCCTGAGCTCAAGTAATCCTCCCACCTTTGCCTCCCAAAGGGTTGGGATTACCGGCGTGAGCCCCGGTGCCTGGCCTGTACTGAGTCCTTTAAGCCTCCCTTGACCTGTTGACCCTGCTCATGACCTATAGAGGCAGTGGAGGTCTGCTGGTATTTGGTGGTTTTTTTCTACCTGCAGATTATTTGAAGTTTGTTGGGTTCTGTCTCCTAGTAATGTTGAAGGAGTGAGTCATGGCTTCATTTGCATTCTTTGTTGAGTTTTTACATTTAAGTGAGGATGTGTGCAAAGATTTGAACTCAGGTGGGTGCCATTAACCTTGATAGTACACTTCAGCTATATTAACTCAGCCTTAGCAACAGCTCTAGGATAAATTATTACCCCCGTTAGATGGATGAATATCCTTGATAGATAGCAGTTGCCTTTCATGCTGGGAATCTTTAGTCGCCCCTGCAGACCCCTCTCCATCCTTCCCTCCCCTGCTCAGCACTTGTGAGGCTGCCTTTTATAGCTTATATTGGATCCAATGATTGTTAGGGGCAGCAAAATATCAGCAGGAGAAAGAGAAGAGAGGAAGCTCAGGGTGTTTTTTTCTGCCACACTGCAGTCCCCGAGGAGGGCCACACAGCGCACGTCCCAGCCGGGCATTGTTAACTTAAACTATGGTGTGAACGCCGCTGCCTCTCACTCATGGGTCACTGTGAACAGCAAACACATGGCACCTTGGATCCTGCAGACACGCTGGCAGTGGAGAAAGGGAGGGAGCCAGCCACGCCTGGGGGTCACTCTCATGAATGGCGTAGAGTGGGGGCCACACGTGAGGACAGGAAGCATGAATGGCCGTCCCAGAACATCCACATGAGGGTTATTAATAGAGCCGTCCCAGGAGAGGACGCACTGTGCTTGGGAGGGACAACCGAGGAACAGAGCCGGCTGGACCGTAAGAAGTCCTGTGACATGTGGGAAATGAGGGAGGCGCTGGCAGGCTACCAAAGGCCCTCTGGCTGCCTCTCCTCCCTGACCTTACTCCCCAGTGAAGGTGGCCACTGCCACTCGGGCTCTGCGTTCTAGGCCCTCTGAGGCTGGCTGCATCCTCCTGGGTGTGCTTGATGACCCAGGAGCCATGTCCCTCCATTTAAAGGGCTGTGCGGAGCTTGAGGGGCTGGGAACATAGGCAGGCCATGACTGGGAAATCAGACAGGGCCATTGTGAGTTGAATCATGTCCCCAAAATTCATGTCCACCCAGAACCTCAGTGTGTGACCTTGTTTGGAAAAGAGATCTGTGCAGATGTCATTTGTTAGGATGAGATCATACTGGATTAGGGTAGGTCCTGGTCCAATACGGCTGATGTCCTTGTAAGAAGAGGAGAGATGCAGACACAGACAGGCAGGGGGGAGGCTGAGTAAAAGCCGAGGCAGAGGCTGCAGTGATGCATGTACAAGCCAAGGAACACCCCTGATTCCCAGCAACCCTGGAGGCTGGGAGAGGCAAGGACGGCCCCTCCCTAGAGTCCTCAGAGAAGGCATGGCCCGGTCCACGGTCACAGCCTGTTGGCCTCTGGAACCGTAAGGAGACCATTTCTGTTGTTTGAAGCCACCCACTTTGCGGTGCTTTCTTAGGACAGCCACAGTAAACGAACCCAGGCATCTTGTATTTGCAAAGGGTGTTTGCTGTGGGCCTCACTGCATCCTTAGTTTTGCTTTAGGTCTTTGGGAGACTTGGCCTGTCCTGGGGCAGCCCCATGCAGCGGTGATGCAGAAGTCAGGACCTGCATTCGGCCTGCCTGGGTTCGAATGTCAGTCCGGCCTCCTCCTAGTGGCGGCAGATTGAATCTCCAAAGATGGCCACGAGCTGCCCCACCCCATGTGCTCCCACCATGGGACACCGACACTCCTCCCATCGGAAGCAGAGTCCACGTTCCCTCCTCTTGAATCTGGACAGGCCTGGGCCTGTGGCAGAAGTGACGCTCTGTGACTTCTCAGACTAGGTTATAGCATTGAAGTAGCTTCCACTTTCCTCACCAGAGCACTTGCCTGGGAGCCCTGGGGCAACCATGGTGTGAGGAAGCCCAAAGCCACCGCTGGAGAAGCCCTGAGACTCCATGAAGAGAAATGCCTGGCCAGTCCCCTCCTGTTCCGACTCCAGCCACTGTCTGACTGCAGTAGCATGAAAGACCCTGAGACAGAGCCACACAAAATCCCAAATTCTGGCCAGTCGCAGCAGCTCACGCTTGTAATCCCAGCACTTTGGGAGGCCAAGCGGGCATATCACTTGAGGTCAGGAGTTTGAGACCAGCCTGGTCAACATGGCAAAACCCCATCTCTACTAAAAATACAAAAAATTAGCCGAGTATGGTGGTGGGCACCTGTAGTCCCAGCTACTGGGGAGGCTGAGGCAGGAGAATTGTTTGATCCTGGGGAGGCAGAGGTTGCAGTGACCCGAGATCGCGCCACTGCACTCCAGCCTGGGTGATAGGACAAAACTCCGTCTTTAAAAAAAAAAAAAAAATCCCAAATTCCTGATCCATGGAAATCAAGAGCGGGAATAAAATGATTGTTGTTTTAAGCCACCAAGTAATTTGGGGCTAATTTGTTACATAGCAACAGAAAGTGAATACAGGGGAGTACCATGATTTCTGTTGTATAAATGAGGAAAGTGAGGCATCCGTTCATCCATTCAACTATTTATTGAGTGCTTGCTATATGCCAAGCACTGTCTGAGCACTGGGATCACAGCAGAAACAAGGAAAACAGGACCCCTCATTTATGGAGCACAAGATACAGACAGGCTTAGTAATGGCTGAACTTTAATCTAATCTAATCTAATCTTCAATTCTGTGATCCTAACGCCCAGGGCTTTCTCACCCTACAAAGAAAGTCCTCTGAGGTTGAATTCTTGTCTCTCACCCCAGCTTCTTCCTCCAGTGGAGGTGAGAGAGAGAACTGAACCCTTCCCGTTGGAAGTTCAGCTCCATTCCCGGGGTGAAGAAGGCAGACAGTGTTTTCTGCCCCACGTTACCCTATTGTTGGGGGTAGCATCAGGCACTTGGGCTCCCAGAGGAAGCTTTGAGGAGGGAGGAGAGTGGCGGGAATGTCCCAGGGTGTGAGCACTTGGGGAATAAAGCCAACCAAGAGCTTTTGCCTCGCTCCCCAGCACCTACTGTGCTTATCTTAATGGGATCACTTTTCTAGCATGATGTGAAGTAGCTTCGGGCAGAACTCCAAACCTTAGAGAGATCATTTGAAAATACCATTTGGGCTGGGCGCAGTGGCTCATGCCCATGATGTCAGCACCTTGGGAGGCCGAGGCAGGTAGATCACTTGAGATCAGGAGTACGAGAGCAGCCGGGCCAACATGATGAAATCCCATCTCTACTAAAAATACAAAAATTAGCCAGGTGTGGTGGCGCACGCCTGTAGTCCCAGCTACTCAGGAGGCTGAGGCAGGAGAATGGCTTGAACCCAGGAGGCGGAGGTTGCAGTGAGCTGAAATCGCACCACTGCACTCCAGCCTGGGCAACAGAGCAAAACTCTGTCTCAAATACACACACACACACACACACACACACACACACATATATGCACATATATATGTGCGTGTGTGTTCATGTATATATGTGTGTGTGTGTTCATGTAATTATGTGTGTGTGTGTGTGTGTGTGTGTGTGTGTGTGTATATATAAAATTGTTCATCATAAGTGACAGATGACTCCTGTTCTCGGGAGCCCATCAGCCATCAGTCTGTTTTTTTGTCTCTGACTGTGGGGTGAGGGTCATATTCAAGCCATTTATTCAAGAACCACGCGACTCCCTGCTTGACTTAGATCCCAGTTCCAGCAGAGCTGTCTGCTGTGCTCTGAGAGCGAGCAGTTCCTTCTGTCTGGGTGAGTTTTTAAGTTCATGCTCACAGGCTGGTCCCCGTCACCAAGACAGGTCCGCTGTTCTCAGCCTCAAAAACAAACAAATGAACAAACAAGAATGAAGAGGACTATTTATTTATTTATTTATTTCAGAGACAGCATTTTGCTCTGTCACCCAGGCTAGAGGGCAGTGGCATGATCACAGCTCACTGCAGCCTCAAACTCCTGGGCTCAAGTGATCCTCCCACCTCAGCCTCCTGAGTTGCCAGGACTACAGGCGTGCAACACCACAGCCCAGCTAACTTTTTTTTTTTTTGTAGAAGTGGGGGTCTCCCTATGTTGCCCAGGCTGGTCTTGACCTCCCGGGCTCAAGGGATCCTCCTGCCTCAGCCTCCCAATGTGCTGGGATAACAGGCATGAGCCACTGCACCCGGCCAAAGGGAGCTTTAAAAAGCATCCAGAGCAACTTCCGCAGGCAGCTGCATAAGCTGCGGTACCGCCGGACGTCAGAGCCACCTTGGCGTTCACCCTGGGCTCTGCCTATACACTTGGCTGGCCACCCCGAGTCACCAAGGACAAGGGTCCTTCCCTCAGAACCCTGTCCCACAACCTGGTCAAAAACTCCAAGAAGACCATCAGGCACCAGCATGTCACTCTTAAGAAGTACAACCCCCCCAAGCTGGCAGCACCGGGGCCAGCTGCCCCCTGAAGACCAAGGGGACGAGATCTCAGTGTCAGAGGAGCTGGAGCCCAGCACGCTGACCCCGGCCTCAGCTCTGAAGCCCTCAGACGGCATGACCATCAGCAGCCTGGTGGAAGAGGCTTGCTGCCGCAACTAGCAGTACCTCGGGCTGGGCACCCTGAGCAGCAGCCTGAGCTGGGCCAAAGCTCTTCCGCATTTCTCTGGACAACCGCATGTTGACCACCAACTGCTGCAGCTACCCGGGGCTGCTGATCGTGCCCCAGGGTGTCCAGGACAATGCCCTGCAGTGGGTGTCCCACTGCTACTACCAGAACTGCTTCCCCGTAATCTGCTGGTGCAGCGGGTGGTCCAAGGCAGTGCTGCTGCGCTCTGGGGCCTGCAGGGCAGAGGTGTCCTCGGCCTCTTCAAGGCCCAGAACGCACCTTCTCCAGGCCAGTCCCAGGTGGACTCGAGTAGCCTGGAGCAGGAGAAGTACCTGCAGGCTGTGGTCAGTTCCATGCCCCACTATGCCGACGCGTCGGGACGCAACATGCTTACCGGCTTCTCCTCAGCCCACATGGGCAGTCACATTCCCAGCCCCAGAGCCAGGGTCATCACACTGTCCAACCCCATGGCGCCCTTGCCCTCCAGATGGACTGCACCCCGAAGTAAGTGGGGCAGTGTCCAGACCAGCGGGCGCAGCAGTGGGCTTGGTGCCAATATGGGCTCCTGGTTAGTTGGCAGAGACGTGCTGGCCCCACCCCAGGCAACAGGGCCCCCTCGCCCACCCGGGCTTCCTGCGGCTGCAGCGAGTAGCCCTCTACATCCTCGGGAACAAAGCCCAGCTCAAGGGTGTGCGGCCAGACTCCCTGCAGCAGTGGGAGCTGGTGCCCATTGAGGTATTCGAGGAACAGCAGGTGAAGGCCAACTTCAAGAAGCTGCTGAAGGCATGTGTCCCGGGCTGCCCCGCTGCTGAGCCCAGCCCAGCCTCCTTCCTGTGCTTGCTGGAGGACTCGGAGCGGCTGACCCCAATCCACAAGCTGCTGCAGGTGCCAGTGCTGGTGGTGGAGCCCCTGGATTCAGACTCCTCTGTGCTGGTGGGCCTGGAGGATGGCTGGGACATCACCTCCCAGGTGGTATCCTTGGTGCAGCTGCTCTCAGACCCCTTCTATTGCACGCTGGAGAGCTTCCGCCTGCCAGTGGAGAAGAAGTGGTTGTCCTTCAGTCATCCCTTCAGCCACCGTGGAGCCCACACCCTGGCTGGGCAGAGCAGCGGCTTCACACCTGCCTTCCTGTAGTTCCTGGACTGTGTAACACCAGGTCCATCTGCAGTTCTCCATGGAGTTTGAGTTCAGCCAGTTCTACCTCAGGTTCCTCGGCTGCCACCATATGTCCCGCCGTTCCGGACCTTCCTACTTGACTCTGACCCTGAGAGCATTGAGCTGGGGCTGCTGTATGAGGAGAAGGGGGAACGCAGGGGCCAGCTGCTGTGCAGGTCTTTGTGGGAGTGTGTGGACCGGCTGAGCAAGAGGACGCCCATGTTCTACAATTACATGCATGCACCCGAGGACACAGAGCTCCCGCAGCCCTACAGCAACGTGTCCAACCTGAAGGTGTGGGATTTCTACACTGAGGAGATACTGGCCAAGGGCCCTCCCTATGACTGGGAACTGGCCCAGGGGCCCCCTGGGCCCCTGGAGGAAGAACGGTCTGACGGAGGTGCTCCCCAGTGCAGGCACCGCGTGGCGTGGCCCTGCTACGACAGCTGCCCCTGACCCCAGCCTGATGCTATCTCACTTCTGCTGGAGGAGCTGCAGAGGCTGGAGACAGAGCTGGGCTAATGCCCTCAGTGATGGAAGGACACCTGGGACCAGGTGAAGGCTGCACAGCGCCTGGAAGGCTGGCCAGACGGAAGTGGCACCCCTAGCTCCCTTCTAGTGTCCACTGCACCCCACCACCACCGTTCCTGGGTGTGTGACTGCCGGAGGGGCCCGTGGGCTCCACCCTGAGCCTCAGCCTGGACAGCGACCAGAGTAGTGGCTCGACCGCTTCTGGCTCCTGCCAGGCTGCCCGCCACAGCACCAGCACCCTGTGCAGCCAGTTCCAGAGAGCTGAGAGTGAGAACGGGTCCAACGAGGGCACTCTGTAGAAGAAGGAGGCCTTCATGAAGCCTTGGAAGGCCCGCTGGTTCATGTTGGACAAGACCAGCACCAGCTGTGCTACTGCAACCACTGTGTGGACACAGAGTGCAAGGGTGTCATCGACTGGCGGAGGTGGAGGCTGTGGCAGGGGCACGCCCTAAGACCATGGATGAGAAGGCTTTCTTTGACGTGAAGACAACACTTTGCGTTTACAACATCTGTGCCCAGGATATGCCCTTGGCCCAGCAGTGGGTGGACGGGATCCAGAGCTGCCTGTCAGACACCTGAGCCTCCCGGCCCCGCCCAGCTGCTCTGCTTCCGGTCGTTACTGACCACTAGGGGTGGGCAGGGCTGCCCCAGCCATCTTTACTGCCCCAGCCCTCAACAATATTGAGGCCCTGAGCCCCCAGCACATGGTGCATACAGCCCCTGCCCCATCCCGCCCCGCCCCACCCAGCTGGCCCTAACTTATTTTGGGGTCACAGCTGAGCACTGTCCCTGGAGGTGACCAAGGTACAGCCCGCAATGGGCCTGTAAATAGCCCAGCCCTGTCAGCGTGTGCTGGTCCAGCCAGCCGGCTGCAGGCGAGTTGTTTCTAGAACCAGAGTCTATATAAACAGAGAGCTAATGCCAAAAAAAAATAATAAATACATAAAGAAATCATACAGAGCAAGACAAATCATCCAGAAATCACCTCCAGGGAACTGAAGCACTTATTCCAGGACATTTGACCCTGCAGCCTGGTCCCTCTCTCCCTCCCTCCCGCCTCCATCTTTCCCCCCTTCCATCTTCTGTGTTCAGATAAACACCAAGAGCCTTCAAAGAGCCCCCGGGAAATAACTCAGTTTCTTGGGCACATATCAGCTGCCATGAATGGTTCTACACACTGAAGTCCATTATCTCAGTGACTGCGAGGACTGAATGAGCACAGCCTGGAGCTGAGTCAGTGTTCCATAAAAGTTGGCTCTTATTTTTATTATACTGGACACAGAAAGGCCAGATGCCTTCCCCAAAGCCCCTCCCTGTGGGTGGCAGTGGCCCAGGAAGTCTGGCACTAATGTCAGTGCTGTCACCTGCCACTCTGTCCTCAAGGGCCTCTGGGACATGCTGGGAAGGCAGGCCGTGAGCCAGATGTTGCAGAGCTGGGCCCTGAGACGCTGTCCCTTCAGTGACCTTTCCTGTCCAGGGCCCACAGCGGAAGCTGACATGTGTGCTGCCCCTCCCCTCCGCTCCCCTCCCCTCCCCACCCCATTCTACTCTATGGGCTTTGGTGGGAAAAAAACCAGGGCCCCATCCCCTGAGGCCTAGGCCAGTGCAGACATAGACCTCGAACTCTGCCCAACATGGATGGCCTCTGCCCAGGTGTGGGAGAACAAAGGCAAGGAAAGGCTCAAGGAACGTTCCAGGCATCAGGAAGCCAGGCTTCCCCTTCAGGGCTGTCGAGTGCTCAGGTTTCTATGCCTGTCAGTCACCAACACTTTTGCAGTGGGCAGCTACTATGTGCCAGGCACAAAGGGTAACTGGGCACACCTCTTTTCTTGGAATGGGTCAGAGGTTGTCATCAAGGAGGTGATGTTTAAACTGAGCTCAGGGGAATAAGGAGGAGCCAGGGTTCGGGGAAGAGCATCCCAGCAGAGGACAGAGCCAAAGCCAGCGCTTGAGGAGGCAGGGGTGGAAGGAATGTAGTGGTTTGAGGAGCCCTGGCAGGCTGGTGGGGCTGGAGAGGGAGGGTAGGTGGGCTAATTAATGCCCTCGCAAAGACGTCCACTCCCTAATCCCTGCAACCTGGGAATCTCACCTTATATGGCAATAAACAGACTTTGCAGAGGTGACTAAACTTTTGCAGTGGTGACTAAATTAAGGCTCCGGAGATGGGAAGACCATCCTGGATTATGCAATGGACCCTAAATATGATCACAAGTGTTCTTATTATACAAGAGGGAGGCAGAGGGCGACACCACCACACACAGAAGCAGGGAAGGCAGTGTGACCACGGAGGCAGAGACTGGGGTGATGCGGCCACAAGCCAAGGAACACCTGGAGCCACCAGAGGCCGGCAGAGGCCAGGAAGTATTCCCCTGACAGCCTCCAGAGAGGGCGGCCCTGCCACACCTCGACTTCAGCCCAGGGATACTGATTTTAGACTTCTGGCCTCCGGAGCTATAAGATAATACATCTGTCTTGTTTTACGCCACCGAGTTGTTGGCAATTTGACACAGCAGCCGCAGGAAACTCATACAGACGCAGGAGGAGAGCTTCGAGACGGTTTAGGAAACTCACATGGAGGGCAGCTCGAGGAGAGCTCTGAGACAGCTTAGGAGGCAGCTGGGGAAAGGGGGAAGGGGCTGGATTTTGTTCTTAGTGCTTCTCCATCCCCCTCTCATTCACCTCCTCCTTTCTCCCCTCAAAGCTCCTCAGCCCTTTTAAAATAATTTCACTTGTTGCAGTAAGCAGGTGTCAGTTTTTGTGAAGGTATGAACACGTTTTAAAACCTTGCGGAAGGTCGAGGCTGCAGTGAGCTGTGATCGCACTACTGCACTCCAGCCTAGGCAACAGAGCAAGACCCTGTCTTTAAAAACAAAACAAAACAAACAAAAAGACAAATATATATATATATAAAACTCAGAGACATTTCCTTTAAAAATAAAATAAATAAAATCTCTGGAGGAGAAACAAGCTTCTGGGCCCATCTCCTCCTCCCTCTCCTCCCTGCCATCTCTCCTCTCCTCAAATGTCCCTGCAGTGTGAACCCCGGCCTTGAGGCTGGGAGCAGGGAGGCCAAGAGAGGAAGCTGTACTCCGCCTAGCTCCTGGCTGTCAGCACCCATGGCTGGCAGGATTGCCACAAACTCTGGCGCTCTAAAGGCTGATAAAGCCCCACAGCCTGCACGTCTGGAGCCTGGGCCTCCAGCCCTGATAAGCTGGACCTGTCAGCACCATGGCCACACCTGCTGTAGGCAGTGAGCGCCACCCGCCTCCCCTGGCCACTCCCACTCACGGCTTCCTGTTCCCTGTGCACAGCCAAGCCCTGGCCACCATGCCTAGGCCACCCCTCCCTGGATGAAGAACAAAGTGGAGTGGCCATGGGCAAGCAGATTTGCCCATTACATTTCATCTCTGCATCCCCCCAACCCCATCCCGCTCTTAAGCACCAGCGCTGGGGATCAGAAGACCTGGGAGATTCAGGATAGGGGTGCTGGAGCCCACCAGGCACACAGTTCCCTGAGGAAGTCACATGGGCCGATCACACGCAGAGCATGAAGTGCTGTCAGCAGCTCCAACACATTCCTGGGATTCTCCAGCCCACCCCATGTGGCCCTGAGGGGAGTGTGCAAGTGCATGGGGGCTGAGAGCCTGGGTCATTGTCACGGCCAAGCAGGAAGCAAACTATGAGAGTCTTTGCTCCAGCCGGGATCACCTGTGCCCGCACGTGAGTGGGTACAATGTTCTCCATCCCTCGCCCGGGAAGTCATCGTTCATCAAGCCTGGGCTACTTCCCGTGGTGTGGAAAACCTCCACTCACCACAGCCCACCAAGCGGGCTCCAGGATGGACCCAGTCTGCCGGCTCTGGTAGGAGAGTTAGAAAGGCCTCTTGGAAAAGGTGGGCAGGCAGCCAGGGACAGGCACCCCTAAGAGATCCTCCAGGGCTCTTGCTGGTGAGGGACCCGCTCGCCCTTCTCACCGTCCTGGGCTTAGTTTAGCAAACACCTGTTCACACCTACCATGAACTCACCACTGTTGGACGAAGGCGACCCCCAAATGTCCCTGCCCTCGAGGAATGTGTAGTCAAAACAGAGAAAGACCAAACATGTTTTGTCGGGTTTTTTGCTTTGTATTTTATTAATTACAAAGCCCAGATGTCACCAAGTTTCCCACCAAACCTCAGAAATCAGTGGTAGAAAAATAACAAAGTAAGAAGCCCCAAGCCATATAATATAAACCTGGGGGTTCAGGCTAGAGGGGTGAGGGGCGTGCAGTGGAGGTTTTTTTGTTTGTTTTTGCTTTTTTGTTGTTTGAGACGGAGTCTTGCTCTGTCACCCAGGCTGGAGTGCAGTGGCGCCATCTTGGCTCACTGCAAGCTCTGCCTCCTGGGTTCACACCACTCTCCTGCCTCAGCCTCCCGAGTAGCTGGGACTACAGGCGCCCACCACCACGCCCGGCTAATTTTTCGTATTTTTAGTAGAGACGGGGTTTCACCGTGTTAGCCAGGATGGTCTCGATCTCCTGACCTTGTGATCCACCTGCCTCAGCCTCCCAAAGCACTGGGATTACAGGCGTGAGCCACTGCGCCGGGCCCTTTATTTTATTTTATTTTTTTTGAGAAAAAGTAACTCAAGTTTACTTTTCTCAAAAAGTAGTAGAAATCATGCCAGGCATGGCGGCTCACACCTGTAATCCCAGCACTTTGGGAAACTGAGGCCAGAGGATCGCGTGAGGCCAGGAGTTTGAGACCAGCCTGAGCAACATAGTGAAACCCCATCTCTAATAAAAAGACAAAAAATTAGCCGGACATGGTGGTGTGCACTTGTGGTCCCAGCTATTAGGAGACTGAGGCATGAGAATCGCTTAAACCGGGAGGCAGATGTTGTAGTGAGCTGAGATCATGCCACTGCATTCCAGTCTGGGTGACAGAGTGAGACTCTGTCTCAAAAAAAAAAAAAACAAAAACAAAAAACAAAAAACAAGAAAAACACACCCATATATGTATATACATATGATTCTATATATCCTGTATATATAGAAGAGGACGCACAATTAAAGGTAACTCCCTCCCATCGAACTCCCAGTCCCTCAGCTCCCACCTACTCCCCTCCCAGGCATCGCTGATCAATTTCTTATGCCTCCTTCATGAATTTTCCTCTACAGCACAAGCACATGCAATTTTTTTGCATATTTGTACTACTTAAATTATTAAGTTATTTAATTACTAAATTGTCTTAGAGATAATTCCATATGAACATATTTAGACCTAATAGCATAACCATGTAACATAAATTCCAAACCAGGATGCGTTGGTATGACATGGGTTGTGTTAAAAAGCCCCCCAATGGATGGATGTAAACCAGAACTGCCCCAGACAAATGTGTCTTAGCAGGAGCTGGGAGAGAGCCAGCCAAGCAAAGCTGATGCAGCCCCATTCAACTCAACACAGCTTTTCTGGGTGTGTTTTATTTTTATTTTTAATTTTTAATTTTTTAATTTAAAAAAATAGAAACGGAGTCTTGCCATGCTGCCCAGGCTGATCTCAAACTCCTGGACTCAAGCGATCCTCCCGCCTCGGCCTCCCAAAGTGCTGGGATTACAGGCATGAGCCACCGCACCCGTCTGAGTGTTTAACAAGCCTAAGCATGTGACAGTGGGACCTGGGGTAGGGAGGGTCAGGCTCTGAGCCCCCACAGGCACTGAGCCATCTCTACTCATATCCAGGAGACAGTATGGGGGTTCTGAGGGGAACAACTATGCCAGTTTTTGGGGAAACATGTTCATCATTTTCCTGAGCACTTCCCTCTACCTTTGCTACGGAAACCCCAGCTCACCCTCCGAGCCTGATTCAAGGCCCATCTGCTTGTCGGCTTTGGTCTCGGAGAGGTGCCACGGAGTCAGGCTAAAGAGCAGGGCAGGACAGGGGACCTGCTGGGGCTGACCGCTGAGCCACGGACAGCCCTGTGGGTGAGACCGGTGGACATTGTCCCCAAGCCCCATTCCAGCAGTGCACCCTCCCATGGTGTCATCCTTCTGGCCTCCTTTGGTAGACCAAGTCTCCTTTGCCCAGGTAGCCTGTCTGTGACAGCCACCTCCCTGCATTTCTAGGCCCCCATTGTCCAAGAGTGACCAGGGCACTTCCCTCTTGGTTTCCACCTCAACGAGGGCAACGTGTATCTCTGAGCCCCGGCTTTGTGCCAAGCACTGGAGTTACAACAGCAGGCAGATTCCATGGAGCTGATGTTCTGATGGGGAGCACCAGCACACAGCAAAAACGGTCCTACAAGAACAGATGGCAATAAGCCTGAGCCTAATGTCCTGGCCTGGGCAGGCCTCTCTAGGGAAGGGACATTTCCATTGTCTCACATTACATTGAGTAAGTGGGACTCAGCTGGGCGAGGAGGAGAGGGTGTGAACTTGGTGTGTTGGAAAACAGGAGAGATGGTCACGGGTCTAGGGCTTGGAGTGAGAGCTGGGCAGGGCTGGAATTTGTGGGGCCTTCTGGACGGTGATAAATTCAGACCCCATCCCAGGGCCATGAGCAGTCGCTAAGGGAATTTAAACAGGAGTGTGGGGACAGGATCAAATTTGCCACCCTCCCTCTCCAGGGAAAACACCTTGGGCTAAGAGGAAAGGCAAATGATGAAGCCTTGGACTCCAGGCCGGGGCCCTGAGAGGAGGGAGAGGGGTCGCCTCCATCTCCGAGCAGCGGGACTAAGAGCCCTTTGGCGCCTCACCCCAGGAAGTCGGCTCTGTAAGGACTTCCCCAGCTTCCTCTGAGGCCAGAGGAGGAGACAAAGAAAGAAAGTCTTGGGCTGGGCACAGTGGCTCACACCTGTAATCCCAGTACTTTGGGAGGCCAAGGCAGGCAGATCACTTGGGGTCAGGAGTTCGAGACCAGTCTGGCCAACATGGCGAAACCCCATCTCTACTAAAAAATCCAAAAAATTAGTGGGGTGTGGTGGCGCATGCCTATAATACCAACTACTCAGGAGGCTGAGGCAGAGAATCGCTTGAACCTGGGAGATGGGGGTTACAGTGAGCTGAGATCGTGCCACTGCACTCCAGCCTGGGAGACACAGCAAGACTCTGCCTAAAAAAAAAGAAAAAAAGAAAGTCTTGAGCTTCTCTGTCCCTGGGGGACAGCAGCCTAGGCCCATCTGGGCTGGGGATACCAGGCCCTTTCCTGGTTCATATTTCCCCCCATCCCGCCCTCAGCCTCCGGGAACACCAGCCTCCAAGCTGGCTGCTGCTTCTGCATCCCACCCCATGACGCACATCCAGAATGGAGCCAAAAGCATAAGAAGCCAAAAGGACAGTCAAAAAAGGAAGGCAGCCTGGAAGGGCAGCAGCACCGGGAACATGAGGCTCTGTCCGCTCGCCCTTGCGCTGGCTCAGTGCAGACGGGAAGCGGTTGGAGCCAGTTCCAGCATTCTGCAGGTGGGGCTGGCGGGGGGAGAGGTGCCCATGCCCACCGGCCATTGGGCGGTCCCATGCGCCCTGCAGGCTGACCTCATTGTCCAGAATTGTGAGCGTGCTTCCTGGGGTCACATTCCGTGCTGAAGAGCCCCTCTTCAAGGCCTCGGTTGGCGCCAATGTCTTTTTAGGAACCAAGCCTCTAATTTTAGTGTCCCAGCCTTGACACCTTCTCAAAATAGCTCCCTGTTTTCTCTTGTGTCCCTGGCCCTTCCTTGGAGAAGGTGAACCCCCTGCATCCCCGTGATCTGAGTTGGTGAGCACAGGTCCAAGGCCTTGTATGGGTTTGGGTGTAGGGATCCACGCCCCTGCCATGTGTTTTGTGTGGCAGGACCCAGAGAACTCACCTCTGGGAGGGCAGCTCACAGCACCCACCATGGCAGGGGTCCTGCGAGAGCCCACTCCCAACTCCTCCCTGGGGGTCTGCCATGCTCAGGCGTGGCACAAACGAAAGTGACTCAAATCCAGGTCCCCAACCCCTGGAAATCAAGGCTTCATAGCCGCAGCTCCACCTGTAGGAATCGTGGGTGAGCTGACACCTGCGCCCCGGGAGCTCCTCTCTTCCTTTGGCAGGTTCCATGCTGTTCAGGTACCAATCCTAACAATGGCCTTTCCTGAACATTTCAATGGTGCCAAGTGCATCTCTTGCATAATTTTGTTTAATCCTCTCAGCCATCCTATGCAGTAGGTGCTATAATTGTCCCCAAGGTCATGGAGCTGCCAAGCGATGGAACCGGAATTTGGTGGGTTTTTTGTTTTTGTTTGTTTGTTTTTTGAGATGGGGTCTTGCTCTGTCACCCAGGATGCAGTACAGTGGCACGATCTCTGCTCACTGCAACCTCCGCCTCCCGGGTTCAAGAGATTGATTCTCCTGCCTCAGCCTCCCAAGTAGCTGGGATTACAGGCATGCACCAACACACCTGGCTAATTTTTATATTTTCAGTAGAGATGGAGTTTCACCGCGTTGGCCAGGTTGGTCTCAAACTCCTGACCTCAGGTGATCCATCCGCCTCGGCCTACCAAAGTACTGGGATTACAGGTGTGAGCCACCGTGCCCAGCCTAGAACTGGAAGTCGAACACAGGAAATCGGGCTCCCAGCCCTCGGCCTCATGCTACTCATGGTGCTGCCACATAAACATTCTCCTTGCACCAGCCCTTTCTCCACTGCCTCTGTCACAGTCCCTTCCAGAGTGCTCTGCTCAGATTCTTCTAGGCATCCTAAGCGAGTAGAGCAGAGAGGTTGTGCCGCTTGCCTGAAGTCACACAGCAAACTAGGGGCAGATGAAGACACACAACTCCAGAGGGCTGAGATCCAGGAAGCATTCCTGGAAGGAGGCTAAAGCTTAGCCAAGAGGTGAGCAAAGACTGTGGTCCCAGGCAACAGCCAGGCAGTGTGTCGGGACCTGGCAGGGCTCATCTAGCAGTCTTTTCCCCAACAGATTCGTGTTCTCAGCGGCAGGAAAAGCCCTCTAAAGGTGCCACCAGCTGGCCGAGTGGCAGGTATCCAGGAAGCTTGATTCGACAGCTCCCAGGGACACTGGCCACTAGGACCCATATTTTTCTGGGAAAGAGACACACTGGAAAGGAGAAAAGCCAGGGTGGGTCCTTCCTGGGCCTCCTCCTGCTGCAGTCAGAGCCCAAACCCCACACCCAGGGGCTCCCTGGAGGGACTGTGAGTGGCCAGAGCTCCCTTCAGGGCCCGAGGTCTGGCTCCTCCCTCAGGTTCATGCCCTGCAACCTGAGGGCCTGTCCCATTGATCACGATGGGGTGGGGAGGGGGAAGACAGAGACCGGCTGGTGCAGGTGATGGTGGGGAGACCAGGGCACTGGGCCCCATGGGGCTGGCTCACTCCACTCAGCCAGGGAAGAACACATTAGGGGCTTGGGAAACTCCTTCAAATCCCTAAATTGTCTAGGCTCATCCAAGCAGTTTTCGACTATCAGGACAGGAAAATGCAGTTTTTGTCTAAGTGAGTCACAGCCACTCTTCTGAAAGTGCCAGGTGGGTGGGTACACATGCAGGGCCAGAGGGCGCACCAAGAAGAAGAGAGGGGTCAAGACTCAGCCAGAAGCAGGTGCCCAGCCTTGGAATGACCGGAGACAGTCATCATAACACTGGGCTTCCCACTTAAATTATGCCGAGGGCCGGGCACAGCGGTTCACACCTGTAATCCCAGCACTTTGGGAGGCTGAAGTGGGCAGATCACTTGAGGTCAGGAGTCCAAGACCAGCCTGGCCAACATGGTGAAACCCTATCTCTACTAAAAAAAAAAAAAACGAAAATTAGCCGGGTATGGTGGCACACGACTGTAATCCCAGCTACACGGAAGGCTGAGGCATGAGAATCGCTTGAACCCAGGGGACGGAGGTTGCAATGAGCCGAGATCATGTCATTGCACTCCAGCCTGGGTGACAGAGCTAGACTCTGTCTCAAAGAAAAATAAATAAATAAAGAAAGAAAGAAAGAAAGAAAGAAAGCTGGGGTTGCCAACCCAAACACCTACAGGGGCCGGGTGGTTGGTGTAATGAAATAATGAATGAAGCCAGCCAGGTGACAAATTGTGGGGAAAAGAAAGAGAGATCATATTGTTAGTGTGTCTATGCAGAGACAGGAAGACATAAGAAACTCCATTTTGATCTGTACTAAGAAAAATTGTTCTGCTTTGAGATGCTGTTAATCTGTAACTCTTGTCCCAACCCTATGCTCACAAAAACATGTGCTGTATGGACTCAAGGTTTAAGGGATTTAGGGCTGTGCAGGATGTGTTTTGTTAGAAATGTTTTTGTAGGCAGTATGCTTAGTAAAAGTCATCGCCATTCTCCATTCTCGATTAACCAGAGATACAATGCACTGCGGAAGGCCGCAGGGACCCCTGCCCAAGAAAGCCCAGGTATTGTCCAGGATTCCCCCCACTGAGACAGCCTGAGATGTGGCCTCGTGGGAAGGGAAAGACCTTACAGCCCCCCAGCCTGACACCCACATAGGGTCTGCCTGAGGAGGATTAGTGAAAGAGGAAGGCCTCTGTGTTGTTGGGATAAGAGGAAGGCATCTGTCTCCTGCACGTCCCTGGGAATGGAATGGCTCAGTGTAAAACCGACCATACATGGCCGGGTGCCGTGGCTCACGCCTGTCATCCCAGCACTTTGGGAGGCTGAGGCGGGCAGATCACGAGGTCAGGAGATCGAGACCATCCTGGCTAACACGGTGAAACCCCGTCTCACACACCGGGCGTAGTGGCGGGTGCCTGTAGTCCCAGTTACTCGGGAAGCTGAGGCAGGAAAATGGTGTGAACCCAGGAGGCGGGGCTTGCAGTGAGCTGAGATTGCTCCACTGCACTCCAGCCTGGGCAACAGAGCGAGACTCTGTCTCAAAAAAAAAAAAAAAAAAAAAAACCGACCATATATTCTATTCTGAGATAGGAGAAAACTGCCATATGGCTGGAGGCGAGACATGATGGCAGCAATACTGCTCTGTTACTCTTTACTGCACTGAGATGTTTATGTAAAGTTAAACATAAATCTAGCCTATGTGCACATCCAGGCACAGCACCTTTCCTTAGACTTATTTATGACACAGATTCCTTTGCACACACATTTTCCTACTGACCCTCTCCCCACCATCACCCTATAGTCACACCACATTCCCCCTGCCAAGATGGTAAAGATAGTGATCAATAAATACTGAGGGAACTCAGAGACCGGGGCCGGTGCAGGTCCTCACTTACTGAGCACCGGTCCCCTGGGCCCACTTTTCTTCCTCTATACTTTGTCTCTGTGTCTTATTTCTTTTCTCAGTCTCTCGCCTCCACCTTGCGAGAAATACCCACAGGTGTGGAGGGGCTGGCCCCCTTCAACAAATAACACCTGACCCTTGGCCTAGGTGTTGAGGACATACTGGGCATTTGGGAGGCTATGGGAACTGGAGAAGGGAGCAGCTCAGTGCGCTTGAGTACTGCCTTGTGGGAATGCACCTGTACTGTCAGAGACAGAGGGATATCTTTAAAATCTTAGGTAAGTATCTGTTTTTTTAATGTTGGCAAAAATTTTAGAATTTTTTTTACTGTTGAGAGTTTCAAATAAAATGTGTCTGCAACCTGTATTCAGCTGTGGAGAGAGATGGAGAGGTAGCATGTGCTGTGAGATGATGCTTTTCTTGTTTGCAAAACACAGCGTCTTGTATAATTGTCACTCTAACTCTGTGAGGCAGACTGGGCAGGTCGGCCGTGCCCATCTGATAGATTAGGAAAACTGAGACCCAGATGAGTGAAGCACTTTGCAGGTGTCACACAGCAGTGGCAGAGCATGGATTTAAACTCAGTGCTGCCAGACAGGGGGGCTCATGCCTGTAATCCCAGCAAGGCCAAGGTGGGAGGATTGCTTGAGGCCAGGAATTCAAAACCAGCTTGGGCAACATAGCAAGATCCCATCTGTAAAAAAATAAGAAAAAATTTGCCAAGCTATGGTGGTGTGTAACTGTAGTCCCAGCTGTTGGAGAGGCTGAGGTGGGAGGATCGCTTGAGCCCAGGAGATGGAGGCTGCAGCAAGCTATAATTGAGCCACTGCACTTCCAGCCTGGGCAACGGAACAAGACCCTGTCTCAAAAAAAAAAAAAGAAAAATAAATAAATAAACTCAGGTGTCTCTGATTCCAAAGGTTGCCCTTTCTGCTCTGCTATGTCAAGGCTGTGTAGTGAGTGAGGGAAGGGGTGGGCAGCTCGTGGGACTGGGAGCCACTCTCTGCACTTTTCACCAGGAGAGCTGACCCAAGCCCTGTCACCTGAACTCTCAGCATCTAGAGAAAAGCAAATGGTGGAGATAAAGTTGCTGAGGTGCTGGTGGAGCATGTGACATGAAGATTTCTGTAGGTCCAAAGATGGCCCCCACCTCTCTGGGGCTGGCCAGTGGAATGCAGAAAAGGAGAGTCCACCGGGCGTCGGTGATGAACGGATTCCAGTGTCACTCCCAGGAGCTCCAGACTGAGACCTGCCCCACCTCAGAGGCCCCCTTCCCCATCCATGGGCTTCCTGTGTCTCACTCAATCTGATTCCTCACCCTGCAAAGGGTCCTCATGTCCCTGGAGCTTGCCTGCTTCTTGGAGTCCCATAGCTCTGAGATCTCAAACCTCCAGTGGGGGAAGCACAGCCCAGGTGCCTCCCATCCTACCCATCCCATCCACAGGACAGGAGCAAACCAGTTTGCTGTGGACCCTGCCTTCGAGACCACCTGGCATTCCTGGTCCCCTAAAAGAAGCCTAGGAGAAGCTATTTGGGACCAAAGACAAACCTCCCCAGCTCATCTCCAGCTTCTGAACACCCAGGACACAAACACACATTGGAAACACCTGTTTAGTGTCTCCCCTGGCACAGGACTCCCAGCTTTACCGCCAACCCACTCCGGGGCTTAATCACTCACTGCCCAGATACAGGTGCTCTAAGCACCAGTTTGTGGGGACAGACTCAGCCTTTCCAAGGGAAGTAAACAGAAATCGCCCACCTGTAGGACTGAGTTCTTGTTGTTTTTTTAAGATGAAGTCTCACTCTGTCACCCAGGCTGGAGTGCAATGGCACTCTCTCCGCTCACTGCAACCTCCACCTTCTGGTTCAAGCAATTCTCCTGCCTCAGCCTCCCAAGTGTCTGGCATTACAGGCACCTGCCACTGTACCAGCTAATTTTTGTATTTTTATTAGAGACAGGGTTTCACCATGTTGGCCAGGCTGGTCTCGAACTCCTGACCTCGGGTGATCCACCCGCCTCAGTCTCCCAAAGTGCTGGGATTACAGGTGTGAGCCACTGCGCCCGGCCAGGACTAAGTTTTGTTCTTTTCTTTTCTTTAGCTTTTTTTAATAGGGGTCTCACTGTGTTGCCCAGGCTGCTGTCAAACTCCTGGGCTCAAGCAATCCTCCAGCCTCAGCCTCCCAAGTAGCTAAGCTTACAGATGTGTGTCACTGTGCCTGGCTTTGTTGTTTTGTTTTTTTAATCCCTGATGCATGGTAACATGATGAGGTTTTACCTGCCAGGCTTTTCCTAGCAAAGCAATTATTTTTTAGGTAGAATTATCCCTCCAGCCTATTGTGAAAGAAGCAGAAGTTACTGGAAAGTTGGAGTGATTGCCCAAGTCCCCAGAAGGAGGGGGCAGCTATTAGTGCAGCTGTCTGTGGGCTTGAGAAGCAGTTTCTGGAACTTTCCTCACCCCACCCTTCAGTCCTGTCTTATTAGAAGCCCAATTCTGTCCTTGTTCAGGAACAGTGTAGCCATGAATACAGCCCCATGCTGGGCTCTGACAGCTGACAGGACCACCAACATGAGGCCCGTGGATGGTGGAGGGAACCTGCACTCACTGACCACCTATCATGATTTGGTGCCGACCCGTTTAACCCTTATGTTGACCTGACAATAGGCATTATTACCACATTTTACTGGTAAGCAACCTGAGGCCCAGAGAGACAGAGCAACTTGGCCAAGATCACACAGCCTTTAAGAGGCAGAGCTGAGATTTGAACTGAGGTCTGTGTATTTGCAAAGTCTATGCCTGGGCAAAAATCTCAGGAGAGATGGAGTGAGTTGACTCAAACCACCGCGTACTGGTCCCAGACCAAATGGGGGACAGGCCTCCTGCACAGCCAGGAGCACCCACCCAAGGACCAAGATCTCATCTGAGAGTTCTGTGTCTCACCTACCACCTGGGGTGTGGAGTGGGGAAGAACCCAGCCTGGCCTTGGGCTGGGCCACCACCCTGTCTTCCCACACCTGGTCAGCCTGCTCCTTCCCAAATCAAGCATGCAGTGTCGCCCAGGTAAGGAGAGAGCCTCCAGCGCCACCTGCTGGAGATGCAGTAGCAGCGCCCTCCAGGGGACCCTGCATCCCCAGAGTGTCTGGGGAGAGTGGGGTGAGATATAATGGGGGAAAGGGAGGGGGTCAGTGCGTCTCGCAGGCAATTATCTCCTATACTTGACCCCATGAACAGGGGTGAGTATTCCTCCTTCTAGAACCTCAGAAAGTTGCAGCTGGAAGGCTCAAAGCAGGGAACTGATCTTGCAAGGATGGATGGGTGGATGGGTGGGTGGGTGGGTGGATGGATGAATGGGTGGGTGAGTGGATGGATGGATGGATGAATGGATGGATGGATGGATGGATGGATGGATGGATGGATGGGTGGGTGGGTGGATGGATGGGTGGGTGGATGGATGGGTGGATGGGTGGATGGATGGGTGGGTGGATGGGTGGGTAGGTGGATGGATGAATGGGTGGGTGAGAGGATGAATGGATGGATGGGTGGATGGATGGATGGGTGGATGGGTGGGTGGATGGATGGATGGGTGGATGGGTGGTTGGATGGGTGGGTAGGTGGATGGATGAATGGGTGGGTGGGTGGATGAATGGATGGATGGATGGGTGGATGGGTGGGTGGATGGATGGATGGATGGATGGGTGGGTAGGTGGATGGATGAATGGGTGGGTGAGCGGATGAATGGATGGCTGGATGAAAGCATGGATAAAGTCATGTCTTCTGCCAAGGGCCAGACCAGGAGAAAGGCTAGCTAGTTTCTGTGCATGGAAACAAGGCAGTTTTCTGCACAATGTCCTGGCTGTTTGAATTCAGAGAGGAAGAACAGAGGAGCCATCTGGGGCCTCATGTCATCCCTATTTTCCATCAGCCTGAAATTTTCATACCAATCATTATCATTAGCAAGCGTTGCAACTATAAACCTCCCCATCTTCCTTCTCCCAGCCTTGCTGCTGGCACAGCCTCCAGTGATGGGGAGACAGGGACAGGGCTCACCCTGACCCCAGGAACCTGGCAGGGGCAGGCAGTTCATCTCTGGGGAGGAAAAGAGGCAATCCAGGGCTGTCCCCACAGCTCACATAGATCAAGTGTGTGCTATGTGTCAAATCCTCTGCCCAGCACACTGAAGGCATGGTCTCATTGACCCTGGCCGTGACCTATGAGGGAGGAAGGGAGGGAAGTTTATACCCAGAGTGAGGCATCAGTGTCCCCCAGTCCTCTGTCTGCATAGAAGTCCCCAGGACCCAGTCCTGCTGACACCTTCTCCTGTGTAGGCCACGAAGGGAGAAGCATCAGGGACGGATGAAGCAAGCCACTTCCAGAGCCAGACTGCCTTATCTGGTGATCACTGATCAGCAGTGTGATCTCGAGCAAGTTACTCACCTTCTCTGAGCCTCAGTTTCCCCCGGGCACAGGCAGAATAACAGCATGTGTTAATTCTGATTGGTGGCTGGGACATATGCTTATTACACTAAAAAATATATATATAATATATATAATTGAAAATTAAAAATATAAAATTAAAAATTTATATAAAATTAAAAATTTCAGGCCCTGTGCAGTGGCTCATGCCTGTAATCCTAGCACTTTGGGAGGCTGAGGCCAGAGGCTTGCTTGAGGACAGGAGGTGGAGAGCAGCCTGGGCAACACAGCAAAACCCAAGACGTAATCTCTAAAAAAAAATTTTAAGCCGGGCACGGTGGCTCATGCCTGTAATTTCAGAACTTTGGGAGGCCGAGG
The DNA here is from genome assembly GCF_000001405.40 of Homo sapiens. Lineage (NCBI taxonomy): Eukaryota > Metazoa > Chordata > Mammalia > Primates > Hominidae > Homo > Homo sapiens. The sequence goes on from NC_000001.11 coordinate 11,895,829, forward strand.
CGGGCAGATCATGAGGTCAGGAGTTCAAGACCAGCCTGACCAACATGGTAAAACCCCATCTCTACTAAAAATACAAAAATTAGCCGGGCGTAGTGGTGCGTGCCTGTAATCCCAGCTACTCAGGAGGCTGAGGCAAGAGAATCACTTGAACCCGGGAGGCAGAGGTTGCAGTGAGCTGAAATCGTGCCACTGAACTCCAGCCTGGCAACAGAGTGAGACTCCATCTCGAAACAAACAAACAAACAAAAAGAAATAAAAGAAAAAAAGAGAAAGAAAAAGAGCATCCGGGCACAGTGGCTCACGCCTGTAATTCCAGCACTTTGGAAGACGGAGACAGGAGGATCACCTGAGGTCAGGGGTTCGAAACCAGCCTGACCAACATCTCTACTAAAAATATAAAATTAGCCAGGTATGGTGGTGCATGCCTGTAATCCAGCTACTTGGAAGGGTGAGGCAGAGGAATTGCTTGAACCTGGGAGGCAGAGGTTGCAGTGAGCCGAGATCCCGCCACTGCACTCCAGCCTGGGCGACAGAGCAAGACTCCGTCTCAAAAAAAAAAAAAAAAAAAAAAAAAAAAAAAAAAAGAAATTTACAAACCCTCCAGCTTTTTAAGGGTTTCATTTTATTAATTAAAAACAAGATCAGACACATCTGCAGTCTGGATTCAACCAGCAGGCTGCCAATCTGTCACCACTGGCATAACTGACCAAGTGACAGTAGCAATGCCGGGCGTGGTGGCACATGCCTGCGGTCCCAGCTACTCAGGAGGCTGAGGAGGGAGGATCGCTTGAGCCCAGGAGTTCGAGAGTTTGAGGCCAACCTGGGCAACATAGTGCAACCCTATCTCAAGAAAAAAAAGCAAGGTGCTAGGCCAGGTACGGTGGCTAACACCTGTAATCCCAGCACTTCGGGAGGCTGAGGCGGGTAGATCATGAGGTCAGGAGATCGAGACCATCCTGGCTAACACAGTGAAACCCCATCTCTACTAAAAATACACAAAATTAGCTGGGTGTCGTGGCGGGAGCTTGTAGTCCCAGCTACTTGGAAGGCTGAGGCAGGAGAATGGCATGAACCCGGAGGTGGAGCTTGCAGTGAGCCAAGATCGTGCCACTGCATTCCAGCCTGGGTGACAGAGCAAGACTCCATCTCAAAAAAAAAAAAAAAAAAAAAAAAAAAAAAAAAAAAGCCAGGTGCTGAGAAATGCTTCATGATCATCTAATGCTTTGCTAGCCCTATAAGGTAGATGAAGGGCTGTTGTTTGAGATATTTAATGTCAAACAAATAAAATTAAAAAATGACAAATGGAATCTAATCAGGGTTGCCGATCTGACATCTAGTTTAAAGGAAGTTCAGAGGGCATAGGAAGAAATTAAATTTGCAGGAAGAAATTCTGCAAATCAGATCAAATTCAGGATGAGGGATATTCCATAGGATAGGTAACTGATCCAGTCCTTCAAAAGTCTTCAGTGCCCCCCCTCCCCCCGACACACACACACACAAGGTGATGGGGAATAAGAGTCGTTCAGATTAAAGAAGGCTGAAATGATATAATTACCAAATGCACTGTGAGGATCGTTTTAGGACGCTGATTTGAATTAATCAATTCTAACAGGTCGTTTCATAAACAAGTAGGGAAATTTGAATATAGACTGATGTCTAACTTTATCAGAAATAACAGAGACAAGAAGATAATTGAATATATCCACTTACTTTAAACTGCCAAAAGAATAAAAACCCTGTGAATGCAGAATTCCATATCCAGCTAAAATTTCCTTTAAATATAGGTAAAATAGATGATTTTAGACCAAAAACAGCAAGAGCTTTTCTTTCAATCACAAGCAGTTGCAGATTTCTTTGTTCCCTCTCCATTCCCTGCTTTCCTTCACTAGCCTTAAAAAAAAAAAAAAAATTGTCTCAAGGCCGGGCGCGGTGGCTCATGCCTGTAATCCCAGCACTTTGGGAGGCCGAGGCGGGTGGATCACGAGGTCAGGAGATCGAGACCATCCTGGCTAACACGGTGAAACCCCGTCTCTACTAAAAATACAAAAAAATTAGCCGGGCGTGGTGGTGGGCGCCAGTAGTCCCAGCTACTCGGGAGGCTGAGGCAGGAGAATGGCGTGAACCCGGGAAGCAGAGGTTACAGTGAGCTGAGATCGCGCCACGGCACTCCAGCCTGGGCGACAGAGCGAGGCTCCGTCTCAAAAAAAAAAAAAAAGAAAGAAAAGAAAAGAAAAAAAAGGAAAGTAAATCTATTGCGGAGTCACATCGTGCACTCCCAAGCCAAGGTGAAATGATGTAAATTCCCGAGGCCTGTGTTTGGCCCGCTCTATCCACCTGGATGGCAGAGCACTAACCGGGCTAGTGGGTGGGAGATGGCCTGGGGACAGGGAGTGGGGACGCAGAGGCGGGATAGGAAGCCGCCTTCTCCGGGATGCCCAGACGCCTAAGCCTGGCAGAGGCAAAGCGCTAGACGGAGCACCGCAAAAGCCCCCATGGAGCGGTGGGAGGGCCGAGGCCCAGCCGGGCACAGTTCAGGCCAGAGACTTGAATTCTGCCGGCGATTTAGAAGTCGCCTGGGGTGGGTGGGGGGGGCTGTATCGAATTTCTGGAGCCGCTGGGCCATGGGAGGGCTGACTCGGGGATCTGGGTTGCCCTGGTCCATGTTCTGGCTCCCAGTGCCCTGGGGCGATGGAAGCTGGCGGGGTCAGGGCGTGGGGAGGGGCGGGGAGCGGCTGGTCGGGGCTGCGCTTGAGAAAGGGGGTGTCTCTGGAAGGGCCATGCGCTTGGGCGGGCAGGGACAACGTCCCGCACCTGTGCTGGCCCCGGCTTCTCCTTAGAGTGCCTCTGGCTGCCTCCCTGCTCTCACCTCGGGGTTTTCCTTTTTGCGCCATCCCCGGAGGGCAAGACTCTGTCCAAGCTGAGACAAACGTGGGGGGCGGTGGGGAGACTAGGTCTTCTCCTGCCCCTACCCCAGATCGCAGAGCCCATCTTGGCTGCCGGGACCCGAGGGCGCTCCAGGTTGGCTCCGCGGGTCGCATCACCTGCCAAGTGCTCGGGAGCCGCAGCACGGGCACCAGGGGGGTCCAGGATGGAGGGGCCACGGAGGTCTCCAAGGGAACTGCCCGGGCTGAGATTGGCCAGGGAGGGGGCCAGGAACTAGTGGAGCTACGGAGCCGCCAGTGGATCTGAGGACCCACCTGGATCCGAGGTCGGCCCCTGTCCCCGGTGCTGAAATGCGGGCGCCCGCGGGGTTCACGGCCAGGACTCAGCCCTGGAGTCCCTGAGACCGCTAGCCCCGTAGCAATCCCCTATGTAGGATTTGTTTCAAGGGCTCAGACCGGCACAGAGCCCCCCAGCTCTTCCTTGCCTCAGATTCTGTCCTTGGGTGATCAAATCCTGCTTTCTGTCTCCTAAAATTGTCTCTAGCGCTTTCTCTGGGACCACTCTAGTGCCTCTGAGCAGGCATCACAGGCTGGCCCATCGGATCATTATTTGTACTTTGGTCTTATGCTTTATCCCCTCCAAACCAACGGGCTCCCACTCTCAGCTGGGCTGCAGAATTTCCCATCCCCCTGCCTCTAACATTCCTAGGGGACTCTGTTCCTTTCCTCCCTCCTATCCCTTGCTTTCAAGTTAGTTAAAGCTAGACAATGAGGTCGGTGCAATGCGTCTGCATCTGGCAGGGGCAGCCACCTTCCTTGGAAATGGGGAGAGATGGTGCAAGAGAGAAGAGAGCCGGGAGAATAGGGGTGGGGCCCCAGGGCTGAGGCATGCCCTCCTGAGCTACTGCAAACTGCAGCCCCCAAGGGCCCAGGTGACATCATGTAATGGGCCTTAGCAAGACCCCCTTCCACTTCTGGGCCCTTATCTTCCCCTCTCAGCTCCTGACCCCTCCCCAGTCAGATGCCCTTGTTTGTAAGCTCTGCATCTCTCCCCTTCCCTCTCTCTCTTTCCCTCTCTTTTCAATATCATTGTTCTTTTATTCTTCTGATTATAAAAATTACTGTTGGCCAGGCCCTGTGGCTCACGCCTGTAATTCCAGCACTTTGGGAGGCTGAGGTGGGTGGATCACGGGGTCAGGAGATCAAGACCATCCTGGCTAACACGGTGAAACCCTGTCTCTACTAAAAATACAAAAAAATGAGCCGGGCATGGTGGCTGGTGCCTGTAATCCTAGCTACTCAGGAGACTGAGGCAGGAGAATCGCTTGAACCTGGGAGGTGGAGGTTGCAGTGAGCCGAGATAGTGCCACTGCACTCTAGCCTGGACAACAGAGCAAGACTCTGTCTCAAAAAAAAAAAAATTTCACCGGGCGTGGTGGCGAATGCCTGTAATCCCAGCTACTCAGGAGGCTGAGGCAGGAGAATCACTTGAACCCAGGAGGTGGAGGTTGAGCTGAGATTGTACTACTGTACTCCATCCTGAGCGACAGAATGAGACTCTGTCTCAAAAAAAAAAAAAAGTGTGTTTCTTTGCACACATTTTTGTACATTTCTGTTTCCTTAGGATGTATTCCCACATGTGAAATTATTGGCTTGACATATATTAACTGTTAAAATACTTTTGTTAGGCTGGGCGCGGTGGCTCACACCTGTAATCCTAGTACTTTGGGAGGCTGAGGTGGGTGGATCACTTGGGGCCAGGAGTTCAAGACCAGTCTGAGCAACATGGTGAAACCCTGTCTCTACTAAAAATACAAAAATTAGCCAGGCATGGTGGCACACACCTGCAGTCTCAGCTACTCAGGAGACGGAGGCACGAGAACTGCTTGAACCTTGGAGGCAGAAGCTGCAGTGAGCCAAGATCGCACCACTGCACTCCCACCTGGGCAACAGAGAGAAACTGTGTCTCAAAAAACACTTTTTTTAGGGCTCTTGATACATATCATCAAGTGACATTTTAGTAAGATTGGGCCAGTTCCTATTTCTACCTGTGGCATCTGCGTTCCTGTTTCACTGTAACATGGCTGCCTCTGAATTTTATATTTTAAAAGTATTTGCTAATGTAATAGATGGGACGTGACATACAGAGTTGCTTGTATTTGGAGTCCTCTGATTACTAGTAAGACCAAACAGGTTTTCACATATTTATTAGACATGTACATTTCTTCTGGAAAATTTTTCTCTCTACTATCAATGATTTTCTATTGCAGTTTAGTATTGATCCCATTAATTTTTCTTTTTTTTTTTTTCTTAGATACAGGGTTTCACCACATTGCCCAGGTTGGTCTTGAACTCCTGGGCTGAAGCCATCTGCCCTCTTCAGACTCCCAAAGGTCTGGGATTACAAGCGTGAGCCACCGCACCCAGCTTTATCTCATTAATTTGTAAGGCTTTTTGATATAGTACAATTGTTAACCCTTTGGTGTATTGCAAGTATGATTCTGGTGGGAGGCTCACCTTTTTGCTTGATTATTTTTGACACACAGAATTTCAAAATGTCAAATATATTTACGGTAACTTTTTAAAGGCTCGGCATGGTGGCTCACACCTGTAATCCCAGCACTTCAGGAGGCCGAGGCTAGCGGATGGCTTGAGCCCAGGGGTTCAAGACCAGCCTGGGCAACATGGAAAAACCCCGTCTCTGCAAAAAATACAAAAAATTAGCCAGTATGGTGGCATGAGTGCCTCTAGTCCCAGCTACTCAGGAGGCTGTGGTGGGAGAATCACCTGAGCCAGCGAAGTTGAGGCTCCAGTGAGCTATGATCACACCACTGCACTCCAGCCTGGGTGACAGAGCGAACTCCATCTCAAAAAAAAAAAAGAGGCTGGGCACAGTGACTCACGCCTATAGCTGTGCTGGAAGGCCGAGGCGGGAGGATCACCTGAGGTCAGGAATTCGACACCAGCCTGGCCAACATGGTGAAACCCCATCTCTACTAAAAACACAAAAATGAGCCGGGCGTGGTGGCTACTCAAGAGGCTGAGGCAGGAGAATCTCTTGAACTCAGGAGATGCAGGTTGCAGTGAGCCGAGATCACACCACTGCACTCCAACCTGGGTGACAGAGTGAGACTCTGCCAAAAAAAAAAAAAAAAAAAGAATGGCCAGGTGCAGTGCTTCACACCTGTAATCTCAGCACTTTGGGAGGCCGAGGTGGGTGGATCACGAGGTCAGGAGTTTGAGACCAGCCTGACCAACATGGTGAAACCCCGTCTCTACTAAAAATTCAAAAATTAGCCGGGCGTGGTGGCGGGTGCCTGTAATCCCAGCTACTTGGGAGGCTGAGGCAGGAGAATCACTTGAACCCGAGAGGTGGAGGTTGCAGTGAGCCGAGATCACACCACTGTACTCCAGCCTGGGTGACAGAGCGAGACTCCGTCTCAAAAAAAAAAAAAAAAAGAAAGAAAGAAAGAAAAAAGAAAAGAAAAGAAAAAGAAAAATGCTATAATCCTGCTAAAAACTCCCCTGTCTCTGTCTACTTTAGAACGCTGACCATTCCTTTGGAGTTGGTGTTTCCGAATTGTCCATCCTCACACTTTGTGCTTGAATAAACACTCTTTAAATTAGATTCTAACCCTTTTGATGATTTTAGGTTGACATTTTGGTGACCCACAGATGGGACCCAAGGCAAGCCTCCCACAATCCATGCTGCTTTGCCAACATTCTGAGCTTTGGTACCCGCAGGAACAGCTTTCACTCGTCTGACCTCATCAGAGCTAGCGGGGCTTCCTGGCATTTTCTCTTGGGTTTCAAATCTCCCTGGCTTTGGCTGAGATTCAGACTTTATTCAAGTACCCTGATTCCGCAATTCCATGCTCTATGGAGCTGGATTTGAAGCTCTACTTTTAAAAGTAGAAGTTTCAGGCCAGGCATGGTGGCTCATGCCTGTAAACCGAGCACTTTGGGAGGCTGAGGCGGGCAGATCACTTGCGGTCAGGAGTTTGAGACCAGCCTGGCCAACATGGTGAAACCCTGTCTCTACTAAAAATACAAAAATTCCCCAGGCATGATGGCACACATCTGTAATCCCAGCTACTCAGGAGGCTGAGGCAGGAGAATTGCTTGAACCCAGCGGGTTGAAGGTTGCAGTAAGCCAAGATCTTGCCAATGCACTACAGCCTGGGGAACAGAGCGAGACTCCGTCTCAAAAGAAAAAAAAAAAAGTGTGTGCCAGGCGTGGTGGCTCATGCCTGTAATCCCAGCACTCTGGGAGGCCCAGGCAGGTGGATCACCTGAGGTCAGGATCTCGAGACCAGTCTGGCCAACATGGTGAAACCCCGCCTCTACTAAAAATACAAAAATTAGCCACGTGTGGTGGCGGGCACCTATAATCCCAGCTACTCAGGAGGCTGAGGCAGGAGAAATGTTTGAATCCAGGAGGCGGAGGTTGCGGTGAGCCAAGATCACACCACTATACTCCTGCCTGGGTGACAGAGTAAGACCCTGTCTCAAAAAAAGAAAAAAAAAAAAGGAAGAAGAAATAAACTATATGTGTGTGGTTATTGTTACAAAACACACACACACACACACACACACACACAGAAAATTTAAACTAGAAACTATTGAAAATGTGTTGGGTGCAGTGGCTCACACCTGAAATCCCAGCACTTTGGGAGTTGGGAGGATCACTTAAGCCCAGGAGTTAGAGACCAGCCTGGGCAACATAGTGAGACCCCATCTCTATTACAAATAACAAAATGTAAACAAATTTTCTTTAAATAAAGAAACTATTGAAAATGGGGATGAGTGGAAACTGGGCGAAGGGGCTAGGGACAGGAGTGGGACTTCTCTGAATATATGTTTTTACATAGTTTTGATCTTTGAGTCTTGCATTTTTCATTTTCAAAAAGGAAAAATCTTAGCCGGGTGTGGTGCTGCATGCCTGTAGTCCCAGCTACTTAGGGGGCTGAGGTGGAAGGATTGCTTGAGCCTGGGAGGTTGAGGCTGCCGTGAGCTGAGATTGTGCCACTGCACTCCAGCCTTGGTGACGGAACAAGACTCTGTCTCAAAAAAAAGAAAAAGGAAAAATCAAATTATAAAGAAAAATGTATTATGACTTAAATGGGCCTTATCTCAGGAATGCAAATAATTAACATCCAAAAATCTAGCAATGGCCCAGGAGCAGTGGTTCACACCTGTAATCCCAGCACTTTGGAAGGCCAAGGTGGGTGGGTCACCTGAGGTCAGGAGTTTGCAACCAGCCTGGCCAACAGGACAAAACCCCATTTCTACTAAAAATAGAAAAACTAGCCAGGCATGGTGGTGCACACCTGTAATCCCAGCTACTCAGGAGGCTGAGGCACACGAAACGCTTGAACCTGGAGGCGGAGGTTACGGTGAGCTGAGATCGTGCCACTGCACTCCAGCCTGGGCAACAGAGTGAGACTCTGTCTCAAAAAAAAAAAAAAAAATCTAGCAATGTAATTCACCATATTGCTGAATTCAAAGGAGAAAATTTATACAACTATCTCAATAGATTCTGAAGAGCATTTGATAAAAAAACTCAGCACAGAGAAACCTGATGATAGAAGGAAATTTCCCTAACATAATTAATACAGGCTGTATGTTAAAATCTTACACCAGGCCAGACGCGGTGACTCATGCCTGTAGTCCCAGCACTTTGGGAGGCTGAAGCAGGCAGATCATGATGTCAGGAGATCGAGACCATCGTGGCCAACATGGTGAAACCTTGTCTCTACTAAAAACACAAAAATTAGCTGAGCATGGTGGCGTGTGCCTGTAATCCCAACTACTTGGGAGGCTGAGACAAGAGAATCACTTGAACCAGGGAGTTGGAGGTTGCAGTGAGCTGAGACCACGTCACTGCACTCCAGCCTGGCAACAGAGCGAGACTCCGCCAAAAAAAAAAAAACAAAAAAAAAAACTCACACCAAATATCACACATAACAACGCATTTTCCCTGATCAGGGGAAATGGGCCAGGCATGGTGGTTCACACCTGTAATCCCAACACTTTGGGCGGCTGAGACAGGAGGATCACTTGAGGCCAAAAGTTTGAGACCAGCCTGAGCAACATAGCAAGATTACAGCTCACAAAAAATAAAAATAAACAAATTAAGCCTGGCCAATATAATGAGACCTAGTTTCTACAAAAAATAAAAAAAAAAATTAAAAATTAAAAATTAACTGGGCAACAGAGCAAGACCTCATCTCTAAAAATTAAAAATAAATTCAAAACATTCACAATGTTGTAATACCATCACTGCCATCCATTTCCAAAATTTTTCATCACCCGAAACAGAAACTCTATACGTTACCCAATAACTCCTATTATCCCCTCTTCTAGATATTTTACCTAAGTACAGTCACACAATCTATGCCTTTTTGTGGCTGGCTTCTTTCATGTAGCATGCATCCTCAAATTTCATCTACAATGTAGTGTGTACCAGAATTTCTCTCCTTTTTATGGCTGAATAGTATTCCATTGTATGGGTAAACCACATTTTGTTTATCCACTCATCAGCGGATAGACACTGGGATTGTTGTCATCTTTGGGCTGTTATGAACAACGCTGCTATTAATGCTCATGTAGAGTCATCTGTTTGAGTCCCTGTTTGGAAATCTTTTTTTTTTTTTTTTTGAGACGGAGTCTTGCTCTGTCCCCCAGGCTGGAGTGCAGTGGCACGATCTTGGCTCATTGCAACCTCTGCCTCCTGGGTTCAAGCGATTCTCTTGCCTCAGCCTCCCAAGTAACTGGGACTATAGGGGCCTACCATGCCCAGCTAATTTTTGTGTTTTTAGTAGAGACGGGGTTTCACCATGTTGGCCAGGCTGGTCTCGAACTCCTGATCTCAGGGGATCCGCCCGCCTTGGCCTCCCAAAGTGCTGGGATTACAGGCCTGAGCCACTGCGCCCGGCCCCAAGTTTCTTTTTACTAAAGAGATTTCCATCAGATTTTTTTCTAAAATAGAAATACAAAGTAAAAGTGCTTTGCTTTGTTGTGGCTGATGGTGATGAGGTTTAGGAAGTCTTTCTTCCTTCCCCACTTCCTCCTTCACTCCTCTCTCTCTCTCTCTCTCAGGTTAGGAGGTAAGGAAGCCTACTCATCCGTCTAGAAGATGAGCCAGTAGGGGGGGTGTCCTAGTTCAGGTGCTATGACAAAATACCTTAAACTGGATAATTTATAAACAGCAGAAAGTTATTTATTGCTCACAGTTCTGGAGGCTGGGAAGTCCAACATCAAGGCATCAGCAAATTTGCTGTCTAGTGAAGGCCTGTTCCTCATAGACGGCGCCTTCCCTGTGTCCCCACTTGATGGGAGGGTGAAAGGGACAAACTCGCTCCCTCAAACCCTTTTATAAGGACACTGATCCCATCCATGACCCAATCACCTTCCAGAGGCCCCACTTATCAATACCATCACCTTGGAGATTACATTTCAGCCTGTGGATGTGTGAGTGGCCACGACATTCAGACCACAGCGGGAGGGACACGGAGGGTGCTGCTGGGGGATTGCATGGGAGGGGAGCCATCTTTGTGGAGTTGGGGTTCAAAGCCCAGGAGGAGGGCCGTTCATGGGAGGAGGCAGAAGATGAGCCAGATGCGGTTGCAGGCGGGCTGGGAAGATGAGGGCGTCTGGCCTCTCAAGGAAGCCCCTGGGATGTCGTGGGCTGACACGGTGAGTTGCAGAGGGGGAAGCTGAAGGGAGAGAAGGATTAAAAGGGGTGTTTGTGTGTTTGTTTGTTTTTTGAGACGGAGTTTTGCTCTTTCACCCAGGCTTGAGTGCAATGGTGCGATCTCGGCTCACTGCAACCTCCGCCTCCTGGGTTCAAGTGGTTCTCGTGCCTCAGCCTCCCAAGTAGCTGGGATTACAGGCACGCGTCGACACACCAAGATAATTTTTGTATTTTTAGTAGAGACGGGGTTTCCCCATGTTGGCCAGGCTGGTCTCGAACTCCTGACCTCAGGTGATCCGCCTGCCTCCACCTCCCAAAGTGCTGGGATTACAGGCGTGAGCCACCGCACTCGGCCTAAAAAGGACATCTTGAGGTGGGAAATGGAGCCAATCAGAGAAACAGGTGAAGTGGAGGCCTGTATGGGAGGTTCCCCTGCTGTGGAATTTTTCCAGCAGTTCAGCTGCTACAGGGCAGAGGCTGGAAAGATGGCCCTGGGATCTTCCCAGGTGAGAAGACGGAAGGAAAGAGGGGCCAGCAAAGGAGGGGCTGCAGGGGAGTGAGAGAACAGGGGTAGTGGGGGGGCCCAGGCTCCATGGACCACGATCACTGCGGGGAGGCACCTGCACCGCTTCTCCTTCCCATCTGCAACCAGGAGCCAGCTACCGCCCCCTCCCCATCTCCTGCCCCTCCTCACCTACTGTTTCCTTCCTCTCTCCCAAAGTGTTGGGATTACAGGCGTGAGCCACCGCGCCCGGCCAGGAAACCTCCTCTCTGCCCTCGGTTTCTGTGAGGCTCCCAGTCCAGGTTTTCCTCCTGCCTCCCTCAATTTCTCTAATCTCTTTCATAGGCTCCTGCACTGTCCCCTCCTTTTATGCCACCATCCCCCAGGGACCTTCCTTGGCCTTTTCTCTCCTCATTTCACAGCCTTTCCCAGGCCTTCCCCTGCTCAGCCAGTAATCTGTCTCCCAAACTCCTCACTCTCCATATTTCAGGCACAACAGTTGCCAACAGAGGTTCTCAATGTGGCCTCCATCAGAATCACACGGAGGATGAGTTCAGACTCAGGGGGCTGGGCCCAATCCCCAGGCCTGCAGTAGGTCTGGAGTGGCTAGAAGTGTAAGAATTTTTTTTTGGAGACACGCTCTCGTTATGTTGCCCAGGCTGGTCTTGAACCCCTAGTTCAGGCGATCAGCCTGCCTCAGCCACCCAAAGTGCTGGGATTACAAGGGTGAGCCACGGAGTCCAGCCAAGATAATTTTTTTTTTACTTTTTTTTTTAAGTTCAAAAAAATTCTTTACTTATTAGGCTAATTGTGCAATTAAAAAAAAAAAAAAATTGCAAAAACCGCAATTACTTTTGCACCGATCTAATAGCTCGCCCACTGTAAGTAAAGCAGGTAAAGTCAGCCTTTTTCTTCTGGGACCAGACTCTGCTCTGCCCCGCGGTGGTGGCCTCAGGCGCAGCGCTAAAACGCATGAACCATTTAAGGTATTTCCTGAAACTGGAGCGTGATTGGTGAGACTTTATTTGCATACCCACAATGCATTGCGCACTAAATAATGTTCGTCTTTAAAATTATTTCCCCTTTTTCCTTCAACATATCTTTCTCGGAACCGAGATTGCTGTCCCAGAATTGTCTGAAGAAAAAGGCTGAAGTCAATAGCTCTTTTGGGCCGAAGGAAAGTTACCATTACCCGTTTAGGAGTAGCCGTTACCTGAGAACTGTAGTGTCGACGACTGATGTTATACTCTGGTTTCTCTTCAAATCGTATAAATCTTTCGCCTTTTACTAAAGATTTCCGTGGAGAGAAACGAGTGTGAGTCTGAAACCAATTTTTTGAGGCCTTGCGTTTCTTAGCAGGGCTTATTTTAAGTGTTTTAAAAACAGATGCGATTCCGTTAAATCGCGTGTGGAGCTATGTAAAGTGTATTATAGAACAAATGCGAGTTACGGTTTTTCAGCTTTTCGCTTTGTTAAGGTATGTGATATCAATTGTATTGCATTTCTGAGCAGTTATAATATTAAGATGTTGGGGTGGCTTACTGCTTTTGACCAAGAAGTAGGGTTTGTTGGTTGATTACACCAGTGGTTTTTAACCCCAGCCACTGAGTGATGGAGGGTTACCGACTCACAAGCGAGCATTAACGCCTGAGGTCCGCCTGCTGTCAGGGCAGCAAGGCATCAGATTCTCCTAGGAGCGGGAACCCTATTGTGAACTGCGTATACGAGGTATCTAGGTGCGTGCTCCTTTTAAGAATCTAATGGCTGATGACGAGGGGCACAGTTTCAACCTGGAACTGTCCACACCCCCTACCCACCTTCCCCCGCCCTTGGAAAAACTGCCTTCCATGAACTGGGTCCCTTGTGCCAGAAAGGTTGGGGACCGCTGGACTATCCGATCAAATGAAGCAGGGACTCGGGGCGAGCTCCCCCGCTGCTCCCGCCGGCTTCTCCGTGTAGAATCGAAGAAGGCAGTCCCAAGGGCTCTTCTGCCCCGTATCCCCGCCTGAGGAGCGTGCCAGGCGCGCAGCTAGTCCTCCCCCGACCCAACCGGTTTGATGAAACGCAAGAGAAAGTGAATTTTCCAGCCACTCCCATTGGCCAGAATTCGTCTCAGCCGCAAGGGAGGCTGGGAAGTGCAGTCATGCCTTCAGGTAGCCGTGAGCCCTGCTAGCGATAGGAGATTCTAGAGAGAGGTTGAGTACTGGGGAGGAAAAACTAGCAGGGTCTGTCCCAGTAAAGGAGGGAGGAAATCCATCGCAAAAAATCCTGACCCCCAGGCCGGGCGCGGTGGCTCACGCCTGTAATCCCAGCACTTTGGGAGGCCGAGGCGGGCGGATCACCTGCGGATCACCTGAGGTCAGGAGTTCGAGACTGGCCTGGCCAACATGGAGAAACCCCGTCTCTACTAAAAATACAAAAATTAGCCGGGCAGGAGGGCGCATGCCTGTAATCACAGCCACTCGGGAGGCTGAGGCAGGAGAATCGCTTGAACCTGGAAGGCGGAGGTTGCAGTGAACCGAGATCGCGCCACTGCACTCGATCCTGAGCGACAGAGCGAGACTCTGTCTCAAAAAAAAAAAAAAAAAAAAAAAAAAATCTACCCCGGGCTCAGGCCCTGAAGCAGCCGCCCACAGCCCAGCCCCGCCGTGCCCCGCCGTGCCCCGCCGTGCCCCGCCGTGCCCCGCCATGCGACTCAAAGCCCCATTCAAGCTACGTAGGAGGGTAAATTGTCCTTTTCCCCCAAGGCCAGCTGCTCCTCCAGAAGCCAGCTCTGGTCCTTCAGACTCAAATACTAGGGAACAATGTTTTCTCTGAGTTTTGAGTGTGTTTCTTGTTTCAGAGTAAATACGAACCGTCGTAATGGCTAAGGGCATCTACTTTTAAAACGCTCAAATAAGCCTTGCTAAAAAATGCAAGACCTCTAAAAAATTGGTTTAAAACTCAGAATTATTCCTCTCCACGGAAATCTTTAGTAAAAGGCGAAAGATTTATGCGATATGAAGAGAAACTAGAGTAAGAACTTCGATGAGTGGCACTCAGTTCTCAGGTAATGGCTACTCCCAACAGGCTAATGGTAAATTTCTTTCTGCCCAAAAGAGCTATTGACTTCTGCCTTTTTCTTCAGACAATTCTGGAACAGCAATCTCAGTTTCAGGAAAGATAGATTGAAGGAAAAAGGGGACTAGTAATTTTAAAGACGAAAATTATTTGGTGCACAATGCATTGTGGGTATGCAAATAAAGTCTCAGCAATCAAGCTCCAATTTTGACAAACTGGTGAAGCCTTAGGGACTCCTCAAAAAAAGGTTTTCTGTTGCTTTTGTTTTGTCTTAAATTTCTGATTTTTAATGTTTGTGGGTACATAGCATGTGTATGTATGGGTTACATGACAAGAGAAAGGTTTTGTTTGTTTGAGATGGAGTCTTGCTCTTGTCACCCAGGCTGGAGTGCTGTGGTGCGATCTCAGCTCACTGCAACCTCCGCCTCCTGGGTTCAAGCGATTCTCCTGCCTCAGCTTCCCGAGTAGCTGGGATTACAGGTGTGAGCCACCATGCCCGGCTAATTTTTGTATTTTTAGTAGAGATGGGGTTTCACCATGTTGGCCAGGCTGGTCTCGAACTCCTGACCTAAGGTGATCCGCCTGCCTCGGCCTCCCAAAGTGCTGGGATTACAGGCGTGAGCTACTGCGCCCGGCCCCTGCGAATGCTGTGTAGTTGTCTCTTCCCAAGGTTTTATTCTGAGAGGAGCCCCAGCCTTTCTCACGAGCTCACTTGCCCAGTGTTGCCGTCTCCCAGGACAGCCACAGAGCAGTCACACTGGTCCCTGGCCCGGGTTTTCAGAGCTCTCCTCCACGTGTGTGTTAGGGTTCTCTAGAGGGACAGGACCAATAGGATCTACGTATATATGAGAGGGACTTTATTAAGGAGAATTGACTCACACGATCACAAGGTCAAGTCCCATGATAAGCCGCCTGCAAGTTGAGGATCAAGGAAGCCAGCAGTGGCTCAGTCCAGGTCCCAAAACCTCAAAAGTAGGCAAGCTGACAGTGCAGCCTTCAATCTGTGGCTGAAGGCCTGAGAGCCCCCAGCAAACCACTGGTGTAAGTCCAAGAGTCCAAAAGCTGAAGAACTTGGAGTCTGATGTTCAAGGGCAGGAAGCCTCCAGCACGGGAGAAAGATGAAGCCCGGAGGACCCGGCAAGTCGGCTTTTTCCACCTTCTTCTGCCTGCTTTTTCTAGCTGTGCTGGCAGCCGACTGGATGGTGCCCCCGACACTGTGAGTGGGTCTTCCTGTCCCAGTCCACTGACTCAAGTGTTAATCTATTCTGGCCACGCCCAGAAACATCCAGATACACCCAGAAACAATACTTTGCATCCTTTGATGCAATCAAGTTGACACTGTTTTTTTGGTTTTTTTTTTTTTTTTTTTTTTTGAGATGAAGTTTCTCTCTGTCACCCAGGCTGGAGTGCAATGGCACGATCTCGGGTCACTGCAACCTCTGTCTCCTAGGTTCAAGCGATTCTCTTGCCTCAGCCTCCCAAGTAGCTGGGATTACAGGCACCCGCCACCACACTCGGCTAATGTTTTGTATTTTTAGCAGAGATGGGGTTTCACCATGTTGGCCAGGCTGGTCTCGAACTCCTGACGCTTACCATTAACCATCACAAGCTGTTAGCAGAGGTAATGATTAACACACCATTGGCTGGGGGTACATCCTGCAAGGGTGCCACCACCCAACTCCATGAGTGACCTTTGACCTTTAGCAAGTCACTGTTTTTCACCGGGTCTCAATTTGCACTTTGTAAAACATGGTGATAAAACCGTTCTTTGGTTTTCAGGGAAGCTGTAGATTGGCTAAAATTATGACAGTAATAAGGAGAGAAGAAGGGATACGTCCATGGGAGGAATGATGATCTCTAATGTCACTGTTGCCGTGAATTAGGGCCAGAGCCCACCCTTTGTCCCTAGAGGTCAGTGATGCCAATGAAGAAATCCAATTCTTGGGTGGGTGCAGTGGCTCACACCTGTAATCCAACACTTTGGGAGGCCGAGGCGGAAGGATCGCTTGAGCCCAGGAGTTTGAGGCCAGCCCGGGCAACATGGCGAGGCCCCATCTCTACAGAACATTTTTAAAAAATTAGCCGGGTGTGGTAGCATGCACTTGTGGTCCCAGCTACTCAGGAGGCTGAGGTGGGAGGATCACTTGAGCCCAAGAGCTCGAGGCTGCAGTGAGCCATGATTGTACCACTGCACTGCAGCCTGGGAGACCCTGTTTCAAAATAAAGGCTCCCTGGCTTCCCTACACCCACCCACCTCTGTGCATTCATTCGTTCACTCAGGCTCTCCACTGCTTAGCTTGGCTGACTCCCATCATCTTTCGGTTTCCAGATTGGAGGTTTCACCTTCCTCCAGGAAGACCTCCCTGACTTTCAAGGGGAGGTTAGATGTCCCTGCCCCATAGTCCCGCAGCCCTGACTGCAGTATCATCATCCACTTTCTCGTCTATAGGGTCCAGCCCTACGGGGTTTGGCGGGTGTTCTCCCCATGTGCGGAGACAGACATAGTAAGAAATAAAGACACAAGACAAAGAGATAAATAGAAAACAGCTGGGCCTGGGGGACCACTACCACCAAAACACGAAGACCGGTAGTGGCCCCGAATGGCTGGGCGCGCTGATATTTATTGTATACAAGACAAGGGGGGCAGGCAGGGTAAGGAAGGTGGGTCGTCCAAGTGATTGATAAGGTCAAGCAAGTCACGTGATCATAGGACAGGGGTCCCTTTCCTTTTAGGTAGCTGAAGCAGAGAGGGAAGGCAGCATACGTCAGCGTTTTCTTCTGTGCACTTATCAGAAATTCGATCAAAGACTTTAAGATTTTCACTATTTCTTCTACCGCTATCTTCTAAGAACTTCAAAGAGGAACCAGGAGTACGGGAAGAGCATGAAAGTGGACAAGGAGCGTGACCATGGAAGCACAGCACCACAGGGAGGGGTTTAGGCCTCCGGATGACTGCGGGCAGGCCTGGATAATATCCAGCCTCCCACAAGAAGCTGGTGGAGCAGAGTGTTCCCTGACTCCTCCAAGGAAACGGAGACTCCCTTTCACGGTTTGCTAAGTAACGGGTGCCTTCCCAGGCACTGGCATTACCACTTGACCAAGGAGCCCTCAAGCGGCCCTGATGCAGGTGTGACAGAGGGCTCACCTCTTGCCTTCTTGGTCACTTCTCACAATGTCCCTTCAGCCCCTGTCCCTATACCCGCCGGTTATTCCTTGGTTATACAACAAAGAGTAATATTAAAAGTTAATGATTAATAATGTTTATACTAATGATTTATAATGTCCATGATCATCTCTATATCTAATTTGTATTATAACTATTCTCATTCTAACTATTTTGTTTATTATACTGAAACAGTTTGTGCCTTCAGTCTCTTGCCTCGGCACCTGGGTAATCCTCCGTCCACACTCGTCTGTCTCTCCTGCAGGCTGCATTCGCTGAGGTGTGTCTGTGTTGTTCCCCTTTGAGTTCCAGTCAAAAAAGATTCCTAGAGAGAATTCGCTCTCACGCCAGGGCTAAGCTCCTCCCACCAGGTTCATGAGCCTGGAAGTAAGTGCCGTCCACCAATGTCCTGCCTGCTCTTCAGAGGCTCCTCAAGCCTTCCCTGCCCAGAGAGATTCCGGGATGAAAAGGAAAAACGTCCCTGCCTGGCAGAAATTGATGCTGCTTCTGGAAACGTAGGGCGGGTGGTTGTTTCCAAAATGTGTCTGCCATCACTTGAGCTAGTAGTGGGAGCATCTAGTTTTGGAGCTGGACAGGCTTGGGAACGCATCCCTGACTCCACAAATTATGTGACTTTGGCTTAATGACTTATCATCTGGGAGCCTCACTTTCCTCATCTGTAAAACAGGACTGACACTCACCTTGCAGGAATACTGGAGGTCTGTACTGCGCTGCCAACATCTATTCGCCCTCATCCGTGACAAGAGTACCCACAATTTCCTCTGGGAAGCTGCTCCTCTCTGATTAGTGTCTGTTCAGTGGTTGGAGGTTGACCCTACCCCAGCTCTGAGACGGCCTGGCCAGCCTATCCTAATTAGCATATCCCTTTCACCCTGGCCACAGTGATTGACTTAGGGCTGGGCTGTGCAGAGGTGAGCCTCAGCTTTTTGGGTAGGAACACCAGGACTTGGATTCCAGTGGGTTTAATGCTAGGAGGGCATCAAGCTTGTGATAACTGTGGCCATTTTTGTTACCATAAGGGTAGCCAGTCTGAGGATGGAAGCCAATCTACAGGAAACAGAGCTAAGAGATACTAATGCATCCCTAAATCACTTGAGTCCTGGATCAAACCGTTCCTGAAGCTCCTACTAAGCTACACTGTTATGTGAACCAATACTCTTCCTTTTGTTTAACCAGTTTTTGGTTTTGTGGGTTTTTTTGTTTGTTTTTGTTTTGTTTTGATATAGGATCTTACTCTGTCACATAGGCTGGAGTACAGTGGTATGATCTTGGCTCACTGCAACCTCCACCTCCTGGGCTCAAGCGATCCTCCCACCTTAGCCTCCCAAGTAACTGGAATCACAGGTGCACGCCACCACCATGCTCAGCTAACTTTTAAAATTTTCTGTAGAGACAAGGTCTCACTATATCACTCAGGCTGGTCTCGAAGTCTTGGGCTCAAGAGATCCTCCTGTCTCAGCCTCCCAAAGTGCTGGGATTACAGGTGTGAGCCACTGTGCTCAGTCAGAATCTGGTTACTCCTGCACCAGAAATACCCTAAGATTTATTTGGCCAGGCACGGTGGCTCACGCCTATAATCCCAGCAGTTTAGGAGGCTGAGGTGGGCGGATCGATTGAGCTCAGGAGTTTGAGACCAGCCTGGGCAACATGGTGAAACCCCGTCTCTACAAGATATACAAAAAAAATTAGCCAGGCTGAGTAGTCCCAGCTACTCAGGAGGCTGAGGTGGGAGGGTTGCTTGAGCCCATAAGGCTGAGGCCGCAGTGAGCTGTGATTGCACCACTGCACTCCAGCCTGGGCGACAGAGCGAGACCTTGTCTAAAAAAAAAAAAAAGAAGCATCCACGGTCCTATGACTCTCTGTATTCTTGGTTTGTTATCACCAGAGAAGAGTTCCATTTCTCCGCTGGAAGGATATGCCCGTATTGGTGTGTTCCGGCTGCTCTAACAATATACCGTAGACCGGGCAGCTTCAAAACAGCAGAAATTGATTTCTCCCAGTTCCAGAGACTGAAGTTCGAAATCACAGTGCCAGCATGGTTGGGTTCTAGTGGGGCCCCTCTTTCCGGTTGCAGACTGCTGTCTTCTCATTGCATTCTCATATGGCGGAAAGAGGGTGAGGCAGCTCTGTGGGGCCCCCTTAGAAGGGCCCTAATCCCATTCATGAGGACTCTACCCTCATGACCTAAGAACCCCCCTAAAAGCCCCACCTCCTAATCCTATCACATTGGAAGTTAGGACATCAACACAGGGGCCTGGTATGATGGCTCACACGTGTCATCCCAGCACTCTGGGAGGCTGAGGCAGGTGGAATACTTGAGCTCAGGAGCTTGAAACCAGCCTGGGCAACATGGCAAAGCCCCATCTCTACAAAAAATACAAAAACTGGCCAGGTGTGGTAGTGCACACCTGCAGTCCCAGCTACTTGGGGAGCCGAGATAGGAGGATTGCCTGGGCCCAGGAGGTTGAGGCTGTGGTGAGCCATGTTCACGTCACTGCACTCCAGCCTGGGTGCACTCCACAGTTCTCAAAAAAAAAAAAAAAAAAAAAATTTCAACGTAGAAATTTGAGGAGGGGACACAATTCAGCCCATGTCAGTGGCCACGGAGAATCCCACTTCCTCCTGGAAAAATCGTCCAGAGGAGCCACAGGCCTCTTGGTTAGTGCCTTAGCCTGGGTCTCCTACCCGGGGCTTGATCTTGTGGGGACCTTCTGTTTCAGTCCATGTCATGTTGCTATAACAGAATACCTGGGGCTGGGTAATTTATAAAGAAAAGAGGTTTTTTTTTTTTTTTTTTTTTTGAGGCGGAGTGTCGCTCTGTCGCCAGGCTGGAGTGCAGTGGCATGATCTTGGCTCACTGCAACCTTTGACTCCTTGGTTCAAGCGATTCTTCTGCCTCAGTCTCCTGTGTAGCTGGGATACGGGCATGTGCCACCATACTCAGCTAATGTTTGTGTGTTTTTTTTGCTTTGTTTTGTTTTGTTTTGAGACGGAGTCTTGCTCTGTTGCCCAGGCTGGAGTGCAGTGGCGCAATCTTGGCTCACTGCAAGCTCCGCCTCCCGGGTTCACGCCATTCTCCTGCCTCAGCCTCCCGAGTAGCTGGGACTACAGGTGCCCACCACCATGCCCGGCTAATTTTTTTGTATTTTTAGTAGAGATGTGGTTTCACTGTGTTAGCCAGGATGGTCTCGATCTCCTGACCTCATGATCCGCCCGCCTTGGCCTCCCAAAGTACTGGGATTACAGGCATGAGCTACCACGCCCGGCCAATTTTTGTATTTTTAGTAGAGACAGGGTTTCACCATGTTGGCCAGGGTGGTCTCGATCTCCTGACCTCGTGATCCACCCGCCTTGGCCTCCCAAAGTGCTGGGATTACAGGCGTGAACCACCATGCCCAGTCAAGAAAAGAGGTTTATTTACCTTACGGCTCTGCATGCTGAGAAGTTCGAGGGCATGGTGCCAGCATCTGCCTGGCCTCGTAGCATGGTGGAGAAGGTTGAAGGGGAAGCAGACACGTGTAAAGAAGCAAAACCCAAGGGGCTTCCTGGTTTTATAACAACCTGCTCTCTCGGGAACTAATCCATTCCCACAAGAGGAAGAACTCACTCACTCCTGAGAGAAGGCACCAAGCCATCCATGAGGGATCCACTCTCGTGACCCAAACACCTCCCACAAAGCCCCACCTCCCAACACTGCCACACTGAGGGCCAAATGTCAACAAACCATATCCAAACCGTAGCACCTTCTGAGGAGCCGAATAAAATGTGCCTCCGAATTGTCCACGCCAGTGACAGAAGAGGAGAGCTTGTGTCTACTGGCTCCATGTCCCACGGGTGAAGGGTGGCCCCAAACGGTGTTGTCATTCACATGCTTCAAGGCTACATATGCCTGAGTGCCTCGCAGCTTCCTAAAGATGACAGAGGCTGATGTTGGGTGCTGCCAGGACACTCAGACCCATGCAGAGCTGGCTGTCGCCACAATGGCAGGAGTCAAGGTGGCTGAGAGAGGCCGGGTGCGATGGCTCAAGTCTGTAATCCCAGCACTTTGGGAGGCAGAGGTGGGTGGATCACCTGAGGTCAGGAGTTCAAGACCAGCCTGGCCAACATGGTAAAACCCCGTCTCTTCCAAAAATACAAAAATTAGCCAGGTGTGGTGGCACACGCCTGTAATCCCAGCTGCTCAGGAGGCTGAGTGAAGCAGGAGAATCGCTTGAACCTGGGAGGAGGAGGTTGCAGTGAGCTGAGACTGCCATACGGCCCTCCAGCCTGGACAACAGAATGAGACCCCGTCTCAAAAAAAAAAAAAAAAAAAAAAAAAAAAAAAAGAGGTGGTTGAGAGGATGTGAGATGGGACAGAGGTATGAGGTGCAGGTGGATTTTCAGGGAGTGAACACATTTCCAAACCAATGTCTCGGCTGTTGGGAAGCTTCAGATAGTATGCAATTAAATTTTCCACACCAGATTTCAGGCCCTGAAAAAGCAATTTGAAAAAGGCTCTCTGTGGCCGGGCGCGGTGGCTCACTCCTGTAATCCCAGCACTTTGGGAGGCCGAGGCGGGCAGATCACGAGGTCAGGAGATCAAGACCATCCTGGCTAACATGGTGAAACCCCGTCTCTACTAAAAATACAGAAAATTAGCCAGGCGTGGTGGCGGGCGCCTGCAGTCCCAGCTACTCAGGAGGCTGAGGCAGGCGAATGGCATGAACCTGGGAGGTGGAGCTTGCAGTGAGCCGAGATCGTGCCACTTCACTCCAGCCTGGGTGACAGCGAGACCCTGTCTCAAAAAGAAAAAAAAGAAAAAGGCTCTCTGTGCAGCCACAGCCTCCACTGGACCGTGCAGATGGGACCCACCAGGGTTACTGCTTGGCCCGCTCCACCATGGACCACCAGCATCTCCTCTCTACCATGGTGGCCAGCTGGAAGCCCTGTGGACACTGAGCCATGCCACAGAAGCCATCAGACGCACACCATGGGGAGAAATGGCAGTGTGGGGATCCAAGCAAGCCTGCACCGGCATCGAGGCAGAGTTTGCACTCCAGTCACTCCATGGTCGCGTGGCCTTGGACAAATGATTCACTGTGTGAGGTCCAGGTTCCACATCTCTCAAACTGGGATCTTAACCCCCAGCAACCTCTTCATCCCAAAAGGCCATGTTGATGTGAAATATCTAACACGTATGGTGAGCACTTAATGAGAGCTGTACTTTACAAACCTCAGTTTATTGACATTCTAATCATTCGATAGGTATTTCTCAGGCACCACATACAAAGGTTTGTTTTTTTGAGATGGAGTTTCGCTCTTGTTGCCCAGGCTGGAGTGCAATGGCGCGATCTCGGCTCACCACAACCTCCGCCTTCCAGGTTCAAGTGATTCTCCTGCCTCACCCTCCCGAGTAGCTGGGATTACAGGCATGCACCACCACGCCTGGATAATTTTGTATTTTTAGTGGAGATGGGGTTTCTCCATCTTGGTCAGGCTGGTCTTGAACTCCCGCCCTCTGGTGATCTGCTCACCTCAGCCTCCCAAAGTGTTGGGATTACAGGCGTGAGCCACCACGCCCGGTCTTGTTTTACATTTATGGGAGCCTACAACATGCCCAGTTCCAAGTTCAAGAAGGAATGGGAGCTGCAGTTGTTGTGGTCTAACAGCTTTCCGTTTAATGTCACACTGTAAATGACACCAATTGCACCCCAGGAGGTTCCCACTCTGTAATAGGTGAACCAGCCCGTGGCCCACGGCTGGAAGATCACATGTCAGAGCTCTGCATGAGCCAGGGGAGAAGGTGCTGCATGGACAGAAGTAAGTGGGTGACCAGTGCCACTAAAAGCAGAGCTTGAGTTTACTCTCATAACCATCGGCTGTGGGCCAGACATTTGGCTGCTTTGCAGGCAGACCAGGCTTCCCGGTGAGTCATGCTGCTTAAAATGCTGTCTGGGAACGCAGAGAAAGTCTAAACGCCAAGACGCTGAGGACAGCCCCGCAGGTGGACTGCCATGCCCGGCTCGGCCCCTTTTTGGTCCCCAGAGTGGACCCTTCTCCTCCCCACAGAGGGGAGGCATCTGATGGTGGCTTCAGCAGACAACCTGGAGAAGAACCACTCAGGGTTTGTCTTGCTGACGTCCTATAGCCAGCAAAACCCAGGGCAGGAGAACCCTGGCTCTTTAGGGCAGGTGGGGGAGAGGGCATCTTAGCAGGGAAGGAGCTAGGGTAATGCCAGAAGCAACCCACTCAGCAGGGCCACTCAGCAACCCCCTGGCGAGCAGAAAGGTGGCAAACAACACATCTTCTGGGCAGACTCCTTTGAAGAGAGGTAGAACATACCAGAAAGGAATAGCATTGTGACAGCAGGGCCGGGTGGGTGTCCTGCTTCTGACAGATCTAGTGCTGAGGGCAGACGTGGTGCATGTCTCCAGGTTTCAACCACACACAAACCGGTCGTGAAAGTTTGAAAGATATTTATTTAAAAACAGAACAAAAAAGCTTTGGTATTTCAAAACCTGACAATCATCAATCACTAGAAAGTTAAACACCTCCCCTGAAGCCCCAAAGTACAAAACCACAGATGTCCACAGGCTCCTAAAAAAGGGCGTGCAAACCCGAGGATGACAGCACAACCCGCACCCTCCTACAGGCAGCAGCACAGCCACCCTGGGGGGCCCCGGCCCAGCCTCGGGACCGTGGGGCCTCCGAACGCCGAGATGGACATCACCGCCAACACTCACCATCTACAGGGGATGCAAAAGCCATCTAGCAAAATCTCAACAAAAATAAATTAAAACTTCATTAAGAAAGAACACGTTAAATTAGGAAAAGGACACAACTTTTCCTAGACAAGAGTCTTTTCAAAAGATGATCTATTTCCTGGGACAGAAGAAAGGGGGAAAGTGGAAGGAGTGAGTTCCATTTCAAGTATTTGCCATACAGGTTCATTTTATTGAGTGGAAAGCTTACAAAAGGTCCACTGGCCCCTTCCCTCCCCACGTGACACTCATTCCTTCCAATGCAAACTCTGGTGTATCCACACTCACTTCTGCGTCACCGGTTTCCCCCAACAAGGCACAAAGGGCGGGTGCTTCCAAAGGATCCCTTGCTCCTGGCAGCGGGACTTTCAGTGCTGGGTGTCTTGTGCAAATGGTGGCTGAAAGCAGGACTGTTAGTTCACTCAGACACTGGGATCTTCCTGTTCAATTCACAAAACAAGTGTGATTACTGTTCACTGCCAACCCCAGTGGCCAGCTATAGAAATAGGCTACGGAGACAACCCTAGTGGCACCACACCCTGGCTCTGACCCAGCCTTGCAGAATTACCACGGACTCAGTGGCCTGGGCCCTTCTGGAGCTGAGTGTTCACTGGCTCCACTCTGGCATGGCCCAGCTTGAGCCTAAGTCAAGGAGAGATCGGTCAGTACCCCATGAAGGTAGTTTGGCTCATTTGCCCAACTGTGGGAGGAACCGAAGGTGCACTCAAGAGCGAGGGCAGAGAAGCCACCAAGCAGCAGGGAAAAGCAGCCGCCTGCCAAACAGACGGCAAAACCCACACGATGCACATTTGGCACCTGTCCTAGTGCAGCTAGTTCAGAGGCGGCTCACAAGGAAGGCCTCTGTGCAGTCCTTTTTGATCTGACTTTTGATTTTTCTTCGAACTTGAGGAACTCAGCCCTGTCTCCCACTCTTCTGCTCTTTCAGGTCAAGTTCTGCTTCCTTTTCCAAGTCCTGGTCTTGGGCCAGAAACTAGAAGCCGCAGGCATCCCTGTGGATGTGATGGGACACTTCCCATTTCTCCAGGGTGGGATCTGGGCTCTCTGACTACTTGGGGGCACAGACGCAGAGCCTAATATACCTCTCTACTGTCACTACAGTTTAAAAAGAGAAGATAAAGGAGAAAAGAAGAGAAGGGAGGGGAGGGGAGGAAGAGTAGAGGGGAGGAGACGGGATACAGGAGGAGAGAAGAGAAAGGGAAACAGCTCAGCTCTTTGGGAAACATTTTCTTCTACAACTGCTAACAAAGGCCTCCCCCTGGAATCCCTGCTGGTCTTTCTCCTGAGGAAGCACAGAAGGCCGGGCGGCAGGGCACAGTAGGCAGCCTCACCCCGCGACAGCAATGCTGATGCTAAGATGCTGCCCCGATGACAGTCTTGCAGCAATGATGGCCAAAATCACCGCTTCCAGGGGCAAACATGTCTCAGGAAACTTGAGGGCAATGCTTCTGTCCTGTGTCCTATGCTAACGAGATGGCCACTCTGGTCCGAGGCCTGGAGCAAGGGGCTGACCTCTGCATGCCATGAACAGGCACATGGGGGGAAGCTGGGGATCCCGCCAGCAGTTCAGACAGAGGCTTCAAGTCAATCTAGGGGCTTGTTGCAGTTATTTTTATTTTATTATTATTATTATTTATTATTTATTTTTTATTTTTTTGAGACAGAGTCTCACTCTGTCACCCAGGCTGGAGTGCACTGGCATGATCTCGGGTCACTGCAACCTCCGTCTCCCGGGTTCAAGCAATTCTCCTGCCTCAGCCTCCCGAGTAGCTGGAATTACAGGCATGCACCACCATGCCCAGCTAATTTTTGTATTTTTAGTACAGATGGGGTTTCACCGTGTTGGCCAGGCTGGTCTTGAACTCCTGACCTCAGGTGATCTGCCCGCCTCAGCCTCCCAAAGTACTGGGATTATAGGCATGAGCCACTGCACCCAGCCTCATTATTATTATTTTTAGACAGGGTCTCACTCTGTCACCTGGGATGGAGTGCAATGGTGTAATCACAGCTCACTGCAGTCTCAAACTCCTGGGCTCAAGTGATCCTCCCACCTCAGCCTCCTAAGTAGCTGGGACTACAAGCGTGCACCATCACGCCTGGCTGATTTTTAAATTTTTTGTAGAGACAAGTCCTCGTTATCCTGCCCAGGCTGGTCTCAAACTACTGGGCTCGAAGGATCCTCCCACCTCGGCCTCCCAAAGTGTTGAGATTATAGGCATGAGCCACCAGGCCCTGCCTCTAATTTTTTTTTTTTTTTTTTTTTTACTTTTATTTGCTTTTTTGTTTTTTGCTTTTTTGAGACAGGGTCTTGCTCTGTTGCCCCAGCTAGAGTGCAATGACACAATCATAGTTCACTGCAGCCTCAAACTCCTGGGCTCAAGGGATTCTCCCATCTCAGCCTCCCAAGTAGCTGGGACTACAGGCACAAGCCACCACACCCAGCTTGCAGTTATTTTTAAATGCTGAGATTTATGATGCGGGAGGAGGGGAGGGCTGCCCTGGAAAGCCAGAAGACCATCAATTCACACCTGGATTTCCAGCTTTCCCTTCCTCGTCGTCTCCTCTCAAAACACTTGTGCGCGCTCTCTGGTGTCAAGGGCTGAGGGCATCAGGACACCCATTCCTGCCCAGGCCTCACCCCCCCTCGCCAGGCTAGCCCCTTCCGAGACACAGGGCTGAGAGCAAGGCCAAGGCCTCGGGTTTCGACCAGATGGCGGCTTCCTACCTTACTCCTGAAGAGGGGCTTGGCTCCAGGCCCACAGTACTCGTTGTAGATGAGCTTGAAGAGGAAGAGGTGGAAGAGGGTGATTAGGGAGGCCACGCTGAACCAGAAGAGGAAGGGCAGCCCGGGGTCCTGCTGGGCCATGTGCTCATCATGGGCCAGGATGGCCTTGAGGTGCAGCGTGTGCCGCAGGTCCTGCAGGTGTGTGAGGTCGGTGGAGATGTAGAGCAGTGGCGTGATGGGCTGTGTCACCATGACCGAGAAGGTGTGGCCCGTGGGCGCCGAGGTCAGCTCCACTGGCTCGTCCAGGCAGCCTGCCTTGCAGGCATAGATCTTGACAGGCTGGCCACGGGACTCCACGGACACGTGTAGGTAGGGCTTGCCCTCGGCATCCGCCAGCACGGCCAGGTTGATATGGTCGTTCTTGTAGCGGATGCCATGCAATGCATAGCTGTTGTGCAGCACGTCGGGGTCGGCCTGGAACTGGAGGTGGTTCTCTGTGAACTGCAGCCCCCCAAAGCTGAGCACCATCCCCTGCAGGATGCCTGGGGCACCCACCTTCACCAGCCCCTTGCAGCCACGCTTCTGGAGGGTCAGCCTCCACAGGTCAGAGAGCTGCAGGATCTGCTGGACGGAGGACAGCCGCCCCGGCCACAGGTTCTCGGCGTGCATGGTGGCGTGCCCGCTGAAGCAGTGATCTTCATAGTTGAGCGTCGACTCCATCTGGTCTCGCTCCCTGTGGCTCAGGGAGGGGCTGAGCAGTGGGGCTGGCGAGCAGGAGAGCATGTAATAGAGCGTCAGGTTCACGGTGAGGCCAGACGGCGTGTGGGTGTCAGTGATCTTCTTCATTTCCACTCCTGCAACACCATGAAAGCGGCATGTTAAGGGGGAAGGACAGCTGGGAGGCAGAGCATACGAAATAAAGACCAAGGGCAGCAGAAGAGTGAGGTGTTGTGCCTTAATGATAAAGACAGTGGTGCCCATCTCCCTAAAGTATAGAAGAAAGTCAGCCTGTCTTGTTTACACGACCAACTTGAGCCTGTGGGCCTGAAATCTAGAATCCTGTTAAAAAGCAGCGGGGCCTGGTGCCAGAGCCCAGAGGAACACAGACTTAGCCAGGACTTGGCACCAACCCTATGGTCAGACATCCTGCGCCAGATCAGTCACCAGTGCTGAGGCCAGTCTCAGGCCACTTCTCCTCTCTGTCCTTTCTCTCTCCAGTCTTGTAGCTTTATGTATGTATGTATTTATTTGTTTATTGAGACAGAGTCTCACTGTGTTGCCCAGGCTTGAGTGCAGTGGAACGATCTCAGGTTACTACAGCCTCCGCCTCCCGGGTTCAAGTGATTCTCCCGTCTCAGCCTTTGAGTAGCTGGGACTACAGGTGCAGGCCACCACCCATGCCTAAAACAGCCCTGGCAGAAGCATTCAATAGACACTTGCTGAATAAACACGTGCTGGGCCCCTTTGCTACTGATGGATTCAACAGCCCTAAGATTTAAAAACATACACACACACAACTTTGTTTCTGTGAAGATGACCATCCTCTCGCCGGGCGCGGTGGCTCACGCCTGTAATCCCAGCACTTTGGGAGGCCAAGGTGGACGGATCATGAGGTCAGGTTAAGTTTTGTATTTTTAGTAGAGACAAGGTTTCGCCACGTTGGCCAGGTTGGCTTGAACTCCTGACCTCAGGTGATCCACCTGCCTCAGCCTCCCAAAGTGCTGGGATTACAGCGTGAGCCACCGCGCCCAGCCAGCACATTCTAGCCTAAAAAGATGCCTTATTTTAATTTTAATTTTCACTTTTCTAATGTCTGTCTTCCTCCCAACCAGAATTTAAGCAAGCACCATGAGAACAGGAACTCTGGTTCCCATCTGCACCCCCCCATGCATAGAACAGCCCTGGCAGAAGCATTCAATAGATACTTGCTGAATGAACTCAACTCTCTGAGCAACCAAACACAAAGGTTCAGACAATTGGAACCCTGGAAACCAAAACCCCTCTCTCATCCAGAACAGGATTTTCTTTTCTTTAACAGTCAACGAGAGGAGAGTTTTCATCGGGCGGGAGCATCTCAACCTGCTAAAAGGGATTCTCCAACCTCCCTGTGAACCAGTTGCAGCCACAACTGCCAGGACGCACCTCAGCCTAGCAGGGGTTATGTCAAGAAGCCCACGTCTGTCACCAGGCCGACTGCGGTGCTGAGCAAAGAATCAGGGGATCCACCTGCTGGTTTCACCTCTGCAAACTGACTCTAAAACACTTCACTCTGCTCACATCAGGCCCCATCTACCAAAACAAGTAACAGAAAGAATTGACCTTTACACTCAATTGTCCACTACAGTCTCATAAAAACCTTCTGAGGTAGGCGTTATTGTTATTAAATACAGGCCCAGAGAGATTAGGCGACGAATCCAAAGGTCGCACAGACACTAAGCAGTTGAGCAGATTCAACCACTGGTGAAACGCCAAGCCCAAGTTTCAACCACCCCACCATCACCTTCAGTGTCACCTCTGCAGACTTGGGAGGGACATATCTAGGGTGGACCAAGCGCTGGCCAGGACTCACCTGGGCTGAAGAGCTGAGCCCAGAGGAGCTGGTGGTCTTGAAGCAGCTCCGCCGCTGGCATGTCCAAGAGCTCCAGCATTTCCTTCCGTGCCAAGTCCTGCAGCGCCTTGAGCTCCTTGGCTGCTTTGCTTTTGAGCACCTGGGGGTTAATGGGGCCAGAGACGTGCACCACCCACAGCACCGTCTCATCCAGCTGCGTCTTGGGAGCCACTTGGAGGCGGTTCACCAGCTTCTTGGCGGCCACCACCACCAGGTGCACCAACCCAGTGGGCGTAGGCGGGGACCGGCCTGAGTAGAGGAGGAACTGATGGTCTCCGACCTTCTCCAGGGTACTGGTGAAGGCCTTGGGGGCTGGGCCGGCAGTGGGCCCCACAGTCTGCAGCGCGGCCACGCGCTCCGTGGGGTTGTTGAGCTGGATGCGCTGCAGGTAGACGTGGGGTCGGCCCCTGTGCGCCAGAAAGTCCTCTTGCAGCAGCACGCAGTCGCGGCCGGACCCCGCGGCAAGGCCAGAGACGGAGGCGGGCCCGGGGCCGGCGGCCACGGGGCCAGGACCTGGGGACCCCAGCTGCAGGCAACGCACGCGGCGCAGAAGCCCCTCCCGCAGCAGCAGCACCGCCTCTCCAGCTTCAGCCAGCGCGCTCAGCGGGCGCAGCTGCACGAAGGGCACAAAGTCCGGCGCCACGGCGGGCTCCCGCTCCCCGGGAGTCACCCACAGCCGATTGGCAGCCACGTCCAGGGCCAGGAAGCCGTTGGCCACCAGGGCCGGCACTCCAGGACCCAGCGGTACCACCTCACCGCGCTCCCGCAGGCCGCGCCAGGCGCGGGTGGCCGCCTCCAGGCAGGCAGACGGCTCGGCGGCGCCCGGCTCACCGCGGGACCAGGGCAGCAGGTGCAGGCCGCCCGCCGCCCGCCGCGCGCCGGACCCCCCAAACCACAGAAGCAGCAGCAGGAGGCCAAGCAGGCAGAGGAGGCGGCGGGCCCAGCTGCTCGACAGCAGTCCCGGCAGCCCCTTGAGCCGCTGCTGCAGCCACATCGGGCCGCCAGGCGCGGGCAAGGGTGCGAGGGCGGCCGCCGGGCCCGCCGCCCAGCCCACCGGCCCGGCCGCCCGCGCCTCACTGCCCGGCCCGGACCGCGGCGCCCACCCCGGCCCCCGCCGCAACCGCCGCAGCAGCCGCCACCCCTGCTTCCTCCTTCTTCTCGGTGGCCTCCAGCCGTCAAACGACGCCGGCGGTCAAGCGTCGCCGTGTCTTTTACGACAGATGGAAAACGGGAGGGCGGAGGGAGGAGAGAGAGCAGGCCGGAGAGAAGGGGGCGGAGCCACGGCGAGGGCGGGACAAAAGCTGCCGGGGGCGGGACCACTCGTTCCCAGGCCGGAAGAGTGAAGTCCAGTGGAGTTAAGTGCAGGGGTCTGGGGAGGACTGGAAGCATCCAATTCACTCGTGAAAAAAACATCGAGCCAGCCAAACCGAACACGTGTTGGGCCCCTTTGCTACTGATGGATTCAACAGCCCCAAAATTTAAAAACATACACACACACACACACAACAACTTTGTTTCTGTAAAAATGACCATCCTCTCGCCGCGCGCGGTGGCTCACGCCTGTAATCCCAGCACTTTGGGAGGCCAAGGCGGGCGGATCACGAGGTCAGCAGTTTGAGACCAGCCTGACCAACATGGTGAAACCCCATCTCTACTAAAAATACAAAAACTAGCCGGGCGTGGTGGCGCATGCCTGTAATCCCTGCTCCTCAGGAGGCTGAGGTAGGAGAACTGCTTGAACCCGTGAGGCGGAGGTTGCAGGCTTGCAGTGAGCCGAGATCACGCCACTGCACTCCAGCCTGGGCGACAGAGTGAGACTCTGTCTCAAAAAAAAAAAAAAAAAAAAAGACTATCCTCACTGCAAAAAAACACTTGGAACAATACGAAAAAGTGGAGGAAAAAAAAAGGAGAGAGAAGAAGAGGAAGAAAGAAGAAGAAAGGAAAAGGGAGGAGGAGGGGAAGGGGAACCACCAGAGGCCAGGAGTGGTGGCTCACGTCTGTAATTCCAGCACTTTAGGAGGCTGAGATGGGCAAATCACTTGAGGTCAGGAGTTCGAAACCAGCCTGACCAACATGGTGAAAACCTGTCTCTACTAAAAATACAAAAATTAGGCTGGGCACGGTGGCTCACGCCTGTAATCCCAGCATTTTGGGAGGCCGAGGCCGCCAGATCACGAGATCAGGAGATCGAGACCATCCTGGCTAACACGGTGAAACCCTGTCTCTACTAAAAATATAAAAAATTAGCCAGGCGTGGTGGCAGGCGCCTGTAGTCCCAGCTACTCGGGAGGCTGAGGCAGGAGAATGGCGTGAACCCGGGAGGCGGTGCTTGCAGTGAGCCAAGATCGCGCCACTGCACTCCAGCCTGGGTGACAGAGGGAGACTCTGTCTCAAAAAAAAAAAAATAAATAAATAAAAATAAAAAAATAAAAATGCAAAAATTAGCTGGGCGTGGTGGTGGGCGCCTGTAATCCCAGCTACTTGAGAGACTGAGGCACGAGAATCGCTTGAACCAGGGAGGCAGAGGTTGCAGTGAGCCGAGATCGCGCCACTGCACTCCAGCCTGGGCAACAGAGCGAGACTCCGTCTAAAAAAATAAAAAATAAAATAAAAACTAACCACCAGAAACTAGACTTCCCCAAAAATATTTTGTTAACAGACCTGTCTAGCTGCATGCACACCACACGTGGACACAAATCCAGCCAAGGGCCATCAATGTCTCCACTACACCAAATCGTCTTCTTGATGTCAGTCCTAAGTTTTAACTTATTAAATAACATAAGACACTAACGTCTCATACTTTGAAAATGGCTTTAAATTGTGAATCATCGATGCAAAAGATAAATATTGCTTTGTATTTTGGGAAAAAAATTCAATATAAGCACAGAGGCAGACAATGGGTGATTGTTTCCACTTTGGTTTCAGTACATTCCAAAGCCAGACAGTGCTTCCCAGTTGTTGGAAATTAAACGGTCATTTGAGGTGGCCTCTGGTGGGCTGTGAGCAGACACAGAAATGTTTGCTGAGGCCAGTGCCCTTTAGAAGGAACTGTCCAGGTGGTCCTACAGTCTGCTTACCATTTTTATTTTTTTTATTTTTTTTATTTTTTTTTATTTTTTATTTTTTTGAGACAGAGTCACACTTTGTCCCCCAGGCTAAAGGGCAGTGGTGCAATCTCAGCTCACTGCAACCTCTGCCTCCTAGGTTCAAGCAGTTGTCATGCCTCAGCCTCCCAAGAAGCTAGGATTACAGCCAACACACCTGGCTAATTTTTGTGTTTTTAGTAGAGACCAGGTTTCACAACATTGGCCAGCATGGTCTCAAACTCCTGACCTCAGATGATCCAACTGCCTCAGCCTCCCAAAGTGCTGGGATTACAGGCGTGAGCCACTGCGCCTGCCTTATTTATTTATTTATTTATTGAGACGGAGTTTCACTCTTGTTGCCCAGGCTGGAGTATAGTGGCGCGATCTCGGCTCACCACAACCTCCACCTCCTGGGTTCAAGCAGTCCTCCTGCCTCAGCCTCCCGAGTAGCTGGGATTACAGGAACCTGCCACCACACCTGGCTAATTTTTGTATTTTTAGTAGAGATGGAGTTTCACCATGTTGGCCAGGCTGGTCTGGAACTCCTTACTTGTGATCTGCCCACCGTGGCCTCCCAAAGTTCTGGGATTACAGGTGTGAGCCACCACCCCCAGTCCTATTTATTTATTTATTTATTTAGAGAGAGGGTCTCACTCTGTTGCCCAGGCTGGAGTGCAGTGGCACGATCACAGCTCACTGCAACCTCCATCTCCCAGGCTTAAGTGATCCTCCCAACTCAGCCTCCCAAGTAGCTAGAACTATAGGCCGTCACCATTATGCCCAGCTAATTTTTTTTTTTTTTTTGGTATTTTTTGGAGAGGCAGGTTTTTGCCACATTGCCCAGGCTGGTCTTGAGCTCCTGAACTCAAGCAGTCCTCCTACCTTGGCCTCCCAGAGTGCTGGGATTACAGGTGTGAGCCACCACACTTAACCTTCTTTATTTTTTTTTTTCAATTTTTATTTTAGGTTCAGGGAGTACATGTGCAGGTTTATTACAAGGGGATATTGTGTGATGCTGAGGTTTAGGCTTTTTTTTTTTTGAGATGGAGTTTCGCTCTTGTTGCCCAGGCTGGAGTGAAATGGCACGATCTTGGCTCACCACAACCTCCACCTCCCAGGTTCAAGCAATTCTCCTGCCTCAGCCTCCCGAGTAGCTGGGATTACAGGCGTGTGCCACCATGCC
Organism: Homo sapiens; assembly: GCF_000001405.40. NCBI lineage: Eukaryota > Metazoa > Chordata > Mammalia > Primates > Hominidae > Homo > Homo sapiens. The sequence continues at coordinate 11,929,513 of NC_000001.11, forward strand.
TGGCTAATTTTTTGTATTTTTAGTAGAGACAGGGTTCTCCATGTTGGTCAGGCTGGTCTGGAACTCCTGACCTCAGATGATCCACCTGCCTCAGCCTTCCAAAGTGCTGGGATTACAGGCGTGAGCCACCGTGCCCAGCCTTAAGGTACTGCACTCCAGTCTGGGAGACAGAGTGAGACTCTGTCTCAAAAAAAAAAAAAAAAGAAAGAGGACATTTTATTATGATTTATTTTTACTATTATTATTATTAGGGAGGCTTAAGTGCTAGTGAGAGGTGATCATCCATCTAGCAGCACAGAATATGGCCATCCTACCGAAGCCCTTGCTCTTCCTGGGGCCAAAAAAGGAAATGAATAAAAGAAAAGGATGAAAATGAGAAAAGCCCCTCATGTCACCGGGCAGCTGCCCTCCAGGCCAGCTATCCTTTCTACACCTTCCCTAGAAATCTGAGTCCTGCGCCTTTAACTGTCCACAGCACGTGCAGCACGTACCAGAAGTAACATCTGGACGGCAGCCACCACTGGTTAAAGAGACAGGCCCCCTTTCTCCATGAAGCTTGGGCAGGGTTCAAGTTTCAGCAATTTGGTGAAGGGAACAGGAAACAGATACCAAAGGAGGAGAGGGCAGGCTTTGCCAGAGTGAATCCTTTCTCCCAGAGAGGCCAGCAGCCTCCAAGATTGATTCCCCCTCCTGACTTAAAATGACTTTTGGGCATGGGACTCCCACTGCCCAAGGGGTTTTTTCTTTTCCTTTTTTTTGAGACAGAGTCTTACTCTGTAACTCAGGCAGAAGTACAGTGGTACAATTACGGCTCACTGCAGCCTCAACCTCTTGGGCTCAAGTGATCCTCCCACTTCAGCCTCCTGAGAAGCTGAGATTACAGGCGCACACCACCATGCCCTCCTAATTTTTTTTGTGGAGACGGGAGGTGGGTGGGGGCGGAGGGACGGGTCTATGTTGCCCAGGCTGGTCTTGAACTCCTGGTCTCAAAGGATCCTCCCACCTCAGCCTCCCAAAGTGTTGGGATTACAGGCGTGAGTCATGGCACCTGGCCTCAAGGTTTTGTTTTTTTTTTCTATTCATAGTACATCACCATTGAGGTTCTCCTTGGACTACAGCAAATGGAGGGTTAGAGCTGGGTTCCAATGCTGCCTCCCTTACTGTAGTTCTGCATCAGTTGTGTGGCGTCGAGCAGATTGCTTCACTTCTCTGGGTCTGTTTTCTCATTTTGCAAATGGGGCAATACTGTTTAATTAGCAAGGCTGTTGCGAGCAGGGAATGAGGGAGAGTTTTGAAAACTGAACCAGGGGCCGGGAGCATTGGCTCACACGTGTAATCCCAGCACTTTGGGAGGCTGAGGAAGGCAGATGTCTTGAGCTCAGGAGTTTTAGACCAGCCTGGCCGACATTGTGAAACCCTGTCTCTACAAAAAAAAAAAAAAAAAAAAAAATTAGCCAGGCAAGGTGCATGCCTGTAGTCCCAGCTACTCAGGAGGCTGAGGTGGGAGAATCACCTGAGCCCAGGAAGTTGAGGCTGCAGTGGGCTGTAATCACACCACTGCACTCCAGCCTGGGCAGCAAAGTGAGACCCTGTCTCAAAAAAAAAGAGAACATGGAACCAGCCAACAAATGCTCATTCTCCTCCCTCTGCTCCTCCTGGCATTTCCTCTTCCTCCAGGGGTCTGGAGTCTGAGTCTGCATCCTCCTGAATCCAAAACATCCGGTGGATTCTGGCACCAAGTCCTGTCTCCAGATGCTGAAACTCCCAGCCCTGGATCCCAGCTGGGAGGTAGGGGCCCTGGATTCTGCTCAGGCCTCTTCCTTTTACTTGCCTTGGGACCTTGAGCTTGCTGCCCCATGCCTATGGATATCACTTGTGCTATCTGTGCAATGAGCACATCTCCATACAATGAGATGATTTCCACACAATGAGATGATTTCCAAGGTTCCCAGTGACTGACTCTATCTTTGTTTTTTTAATAGAGATGGGGGAAGGGTTTTGCTATAGTGTCCAGGCTGGTCTGGAACTCCTGGGCCCAAGCAGTCCTCCTGCCTTGGCCTCCCGAAGTGCTGGGATTACAGGCATGAGTCTCTGTGCCGGCCTGGACCTATATTCTAAAAATAGCATGTATTGATTTTGTTTGAATATATATATATATTTTTTCAAGACGGAGTTTTGCTCTTGTTGCCCAGGCTAGAGTGCAATGGTGCGATCTCGGCTCACTGCAATCTCCGCCTTCCAGGCTCAAGAAATTCTCCTGCCTCAGCCTCCCAAGTAGCTGGGATTACAGGAATGCGCCACCATGCCCAGATAATTTTGTATTTTTGGTAGAGACAGGGTTTCTCCATGTTGGTCAGGCTGGTCTTGAAATCCCGACGTCTGGTGATCTGCCTGCCTCCACCTCCCAAAGGGCTGGTATTACAGGCATAAGCCACCATGCCCCGCCGATTTTGTTTGAATTTTACAAATAGTATATATTTATTGAAAAAAAAAGAAAAATATAAATAACAAAATAAATACTTGGAAATAATATAAAACATCAAAAATTGTCTATATAAATATGAAATAATCCCACAACCTGGAAATAATCACAGTAAATATTTGGCCATAATTTTCTCCTAGCATTGTCTCTATGCATGTATACATCGATAAGAATATATTTTTGGCTGGGCGCGATGGCTCACGCCTATAATCCCAACACTTTGGGAGGCCGAGGCTGGTGGATCACGAGGTCAGGAGTTCAAGACCAGCCTGGCCAAGATGGTGAAACCTCATCTCTACTAAAAATACAAAAATGAGCCAGGCATGGTGGCAGGCACCTGTAATCCCAGCTACTCGGAAGGCTGAGGCAAAGAATTGCTTGAACCAGGGAGGCGGAGGTTGCAGTGAGCTGAGATTGTGCCACTGCACTCCAACCTGGGCTATACAGTGAGACTCCATCTCAAAAAAAAAAAAAAAGAAGGTATTTTTACTGAGTGGAACCATACTATATATTCTGCTTTTCCACTTAACATCATATGGGTAGTGTATTTCTCTGGCTGCAGCATCTGAATGCTATTTTGTTTTTATTTTTATTTTTTGGTTTGTTTGTTTTTTTTGAGGCAGGTTCTGACTCTCTTGCCCAGGCTGGAGTGCAGCGGTGTGATCATGGCTCACTGCAACCTCCACCTCCCGGGCTCAAGTGATCCTCCCCAGTCAGCCTCCTGAATAGCTGGGACTACAGGCACATGCCACCATGCCCAGCTAATTTTTGTTTTTTTAGTAAAGAAGGGGTTTCACCATGTTGCCCAGGCTGGTCTTGAATTCCTGGGCTCAAGCAATCTGGCTGTCTTGGCCTCCCAAAGTACTGGGATTACAGGCATGAACCACCGCACCCAGCTCATCTGAATGCTGTTGATTTATTAATATCTTTTCCCAGCACAGACGCATAGCCTGCTCTTTGTCGTCCATTGACATTCGTGACATTCCTTCTCTCCCACCCCTTTGCCCCCTGCAGGGAACCCCCTGCCAGCCTAGGGTTACACCTGCCACCCACTCCTCTGGAGCCTAATCAGCTGGGAGAAGGCTCCTGGGTCCCTGTCTAAGGTCTTTTTTTTCTTTTTTTTTTTTTTTGAGACAGAGTTTCGCTCTGTCGCCTAGGCTGGAGTGCAGTGGTTCAATCTTGGCTCACTGCAAACTCAGTCTCCTGGGTTCAAGTGATTCTACTGCCTCAGCCTCCTGAGTAGCTGGGATTACAGGCGCGCGCCACCACGCCTGGCTAATTTTTGTATTTTAGTAGAGACAGAGTTTCACCATGTTGGTCAAGCTGGTCTTGAACTCCTGACCTTGTGATCCGCTCGCCTCAGCCTCCCAAAGTGCTGGGATTACAGGTGTGAGCCACCGTGCCCGGCCTCTGTCTGAGGTTTCTTCCAAGGAAGGAAGGATTTTTGTTCAGAGGTGGCTGCCCCTGTCTGACATCTGGTCCAGGAGCCCTTACTCTAGAGACCGTTGAGTTGTTTGTTGGGCTTTGGGTATCTGTGAAGAGGCCCTAAAAACTTTCATCGATTCGTTTACTCATTTAACAATTAATCTCTCTAGGGTGTGGTGGCTCAGCCTGTAATCCCAGCACTTTGGGAGGCCAAGGCGGGTGGATCATCTGAGGGTGGGAGTTCAAGACCAGCCTGACCAACATGGAGAAACCCCACCTCTACTAAAAATACAAAATTAGCTGGGCATGGTGGCACATGCCTGTAATCCCAGCTACTCGGGAGGCTGAGGCAGGAGAATTGCTTGAACCCGGGAGGCGGAGGTTGCCGTGACCCCAGATCTCGCCGTTGCACTCCAGCCTGGGCAACAAGAGTGAAACTCTGTCTCAAAAAAAAGGTAGAAAAATTAGCCAGGGATGGTGGCTCAGGCCTGTGATCCCACCTACTTGGGAGGCTGAGATGGGAGGATCGCTTGAGCCCGGGAGGTCGAGGCTGCAGCAAGCGGTGATCACGCCACTGCACTCCAGCCTGGGCAACTGAAAGCAACCTTGTCTCAAAAAAATGAAAAAAAAAAAACAAAAAACAAAAAAACCTCAGAAGCAAGACTTTCCTTGGCTCAGAGGTTTGCCTCCCAGGGACACAAAGGGAGATCAAGTGATTGCCTTTTGGGGAGAGTGGAGACGGGCTTCCTGCATTTCCAGTGCCTGGGTGGGCCACGTAGGGGTGTCCGTGTCTCTGAACGCATCCGTGCCCACCCTCACCCCTTGGGTTTTGGGAAGGACTAATGAAATCATGAAAACTGACTTCCTTGGGGCTTGACCTGGGGCTGCTCTAAGTGCGCTACAGGTAACGCCATTAACCCGTGCAAGACCCAATGAACAGACGCTATCATAAGCCCCACTTTTCAGGCGAGCAAACAGGGGCTCGTGGCTATCGATGCCATGGAGCCTTGGCCCAGAACCTGGGGTCTAGAAATCGTGGCCTCTCTCTCCTCTCACCGCCCTCTTTCTGGTCGGAGTGAACCCCCCAGAGAAGGGAGGGAGACGGCAGGGCCTGACGGAAGCCCCGGGAGCTGCACAGAGAGGCGGAGGGAGCTGCCCTAATAAGGAGAGGCCCGGACTTGGGCATATCTGCAGAAAAACCCTTCCCCACTAGGCAGGCGCGGGGGAGGGCGTGGAGGGGCGGGGTGGTGCCGCCCCCGGGGCGGGCCCAGTGCGTGGCAGCGGGACCTGCGGCCCCGTCGCGAAGTTTCCAGCCCTGCGAGCGCCGCCGGGTCGGCCGATCGTCCCCCATACCTCGGCCATGCGGCCCCTGCTGCTACTGGCCCTGCTGGGCTGGCTGCTGCTGGCCGAAGCGAAGGGCGACGCCAAGCCGGAGGGTGAGGGAGCGAAGGCCGGGGGCGGGAGCGCGGATCCGGGCGGGAGGGCTGGTGTCGGGCTGCCTCCCTGGGAACGACCTGAATGGGAGGCCTGGGCTGGAGAGGGAGTCTGGGTTCCGGCTCCTTGTCCACTTAATCGCTGGTGACTTGAACAAATCACTTCCCCTCTTGGGGCTGCGGTTCCTGCTTCGGGAAGGAAAGGGTGACAGCTGAGTCCCATTCAGCACAGAAAGGCTCAAATAATAATAGTTTTCATAATAATAACCGACAATGGCTATTCTGCCCAGTGCTCACTATGGGCCAGGCATCAGTTAGGCATGATTGCTACCCTGGTAAGTGTTTCCTTCTATTATCCCCGTTTTCCAGCTGGGCAAACTGAGGCTCCAGAGTTCATTCACTTGCCCAAGATCATACAACTTGTGGGCCTTGGAACCAGGATTTACCCCACCCACCCAGGTGTCTGGTTCCAGAGCCAGGAGGCCTCATGACCATGGGAATGAGGGGTCTTGAGGGGGACAGGGGAGGAATGGGGGTAGAAGGTGTGGCTCACTTTGTGGATAAGTTTGTGCTTTCATCCATGTCCCCTGTGGTCTGCTTAGCCCCTGCCAGGGTGGTCTTCCTCTCTGCAGTTTATTTTTTTTATTTTACTTAATGTATTATTTATTTAGTTATTTATTTATTTTTGAGACAGAGTCTTGCTCTGTCGCCCAGGCTGGAACGCAGTATGCGATCTCGGCTTACTGCAACCTCTGCCTCCCAGGTAAAAGCAATTCTTTTTTTTTTTTTTGAGATGGAGTCTCGCTCTGTCGCCCAGGCTGGAATGCAGTGGCACAATCTCAGCTCACTGCAACCTCCACCTCCCAGGTTCAAGTGTTTCTCCTGCCTCGGCCTCCCAAGTAGCTGGGATTACAGGCACGTGCCACCATGCCTAGCTAATTTTTGTATTTTTAGTTGAGATGGGGTTTCACCATGCTGGCCAGGCTGGTCTTGAACTTCTGACCTCTTGATCCGCTGGCCTCAGCCTCCCAAAATGTTTGGATTACAGGCGTGAGCCATCGCGCCCGGCCGGTTCAAGCGACTCCTGTACCTCAGCCTCCCAGGTAGGTGGGATCACAGACATGTGCCACCATGCCCAGCTAATTTTTGTATTTTTGGTGGAGATGGGGTTTCACCATGTTGGCCAGGCTGGTCTTGAACTCTTGACCTCAGGTGATCAGCCCACCTTGGTCTCCCAAAGTGTTGGGATTACAGGCGTGAGCCACCACACCTGGCCCTCTCTGCAGTTTATACTTGAGGAAACTGAGGCCCAGACAGGTGAAGTGACTGTCCAGGGTGGTCCAGACAGAGGTGGTTGGTCCGAGGTCAGCTGGGCTCCAGTCTAGCGCTCTTTCTACTTCCTCAAGGCAGATTGGATTGCAGTGTGTGCCCCACTGTCCTGAGTGGGTGCTTCCCTCCTCCCCAGCCCTCCCTGGCATGGGCCATCTCCAGGGCTGTCCCGAGAAGGGCATAGACTGCGGACAGTCCCAGCAAAGCCAAGCAGAAGTGGCGGTACTTTCCATGGCATTCTCCTCCTTCAGCTTACCCTCCTGGAGAACCTGAAACTGTATCACCAGAAGGATCCCGGGTTCTTTGGGTCAGGAATGGGAACCACCATTTATTTTATTTTATTTATTTAATTTTTTTTTGAGACAGTGTTTCACTGTGTCCCCCAGGCTGGAGTGCAGTAGCATGACCTTGGCTCACTGCAACCTCTGTCTCCTGGGTTCAAGCAATTCTCGTGCGTCAGCCTCCCAAGTAGCTGGGATTACAGGCCTGCACCACCACGCCCAGCTAATTTTTGTATCTTTAGAAGAGACGAGGTTTCGCCATGTTGGCCAGGCTGGTTTCAAACTCCTGACCTCAAGTGATCCTCCTGCCTCGGCCTCCCAAAGTGCTGGGATTACAGGTGGGAGCCACTGCACCCAGCCAGGAACCACCATTTCTTTTCTTTTCTTTCTTTTTTTTTTTTTGAGGCAGAGTTTCACTCCCGTTGCCCAGGCTGGAGTCCAATGGTGCGATCTCAGCTCACTGCAACCTCCGCCTCCCAGGTTCAAGCGATTCTCCTGCCTCAATCTCCCTAGTGGCTGGGATTACAGGCGGATGCCACAACGCTCAGCTAATGTTTGTATTTTTAGTAGAGACGGGGTTTCACCATGTTGGTCAGGCTGGTTTCAAACTCTTGATCTCAGGTGATCCGCCTACCTCGGCCTCCCAAAGTACCGGGATTACAGGCGTGAGCCACCGCGCCCGGCCAGGAACTGCCATTTCTTGAGTACCTCCCTCGGACCAGGTTGTGCCCAAGGCCCCACGTCTCCCAGTGGTAAAGCCGGCGGTGCTTGCTCTCTGTGAGGCTTGGTGTTCTAGCCTGCAAGACCCGGTGATACTACCTCACGCCTGGAGCTCTAACAAGAATTCCAGGGGATGAAGTTGGGGAGAGTTCAGCTCAATGCCTGGCCCATGAAAGGCCCTCGGCAAAGGGCATTTTCTCTCCCAGTCCCAGGGCTGCTGGCTTACAGCAGGGCAGTAAGACAGCTCAGAAAGTCCAGTGATGGAAACGCTGACCACCGGGCTGTGCAAAGGGCTCTCGGCCTGGGTCCCCTCACTGGCCAGGAGCCCTGTTGTGGCCTAGTTTTCTGGGCCTTTGATCCCCCTGCTTCTGCTGACATGGGGTGCCTGCATCCCAGACCATCCCAGGAGAGAAACCGCAGCTGCCCATGATGAAGCCCGGTGAGTTGAATTGAAGAGGGACCAGACTGATGACAGGGCGTTAGGCACCCTGATCCCCAGCAAGTGACAGGAGGAGGGCAGAGCAGATCCAAGGAAGCCTTCACAGAGGGTGCTGCTATGGGCGGAGGACAGGATCAGTGTGCTACTGAGGTAACCCAGGTAGAGCACCTGGTAGGTAGAAAGCACATCTGTGCTCACTGATGCACAAGAGAGCAGATCCCCAGGCCTGGGGCTAATGTCAGGCCAGTCTGAGTTGGGCCCTTTGCTTCCCTTCTCCATTTGGATCCCTCCCTGTTTTCCATTTTTTTTTTTTTTTTTAAGTTTTCATTTTCTTTTTTTTTTTTTCTTTGAGACAGAGTCTCGCTTTGTCGCCCAGGCTGGAGTGCAGTGGCACGATCTCAGCGCACTGCAGCCTCCACCTCCAGGGTTCAAGCGATTCTCCTGTCTCAGCCTCCCAAGTAGCTGGGATCACAGGCATGCACCACCATGCCTGGCTAATTTTTGTATTTTTAGTAGAGACGGGGTTTTGCAATGTTAGCCAGGCTGGTCTCAATCCTGACCTCAAGCGATTTGCCCACCTTGGCTTCCCAAAGTGCTGGGATTACAGGCCTGAGCCACCACGCCCGGCCAGGATCCCTTTGCTAAGTAAGAAATCATCAACTCCATTTTGGAGATGGGAAGACTGAGGTCCTGGTAGGTTAAACATCTGGTCTCTCATTGCCAGAGCTGGTTGGAGGTGGGGTCATTGTCTGGAACTCAGACCTACTGTTCATTTCTGCACCTCTGGACGGGAAGGGGGTGCTGTTGCCTGGAAATGCTGCCTGGGGGAGCCTGCTCAGCTCCCCCAGACCCAGCTGAGGTGTGACCTTTAGCCAGCTGGACAGGAGGACAGAGTGGGTTGCTCATCTTCCCTGCAGGTCTTGCCTGAGCATCCCACTGACTAGTGTGTGTGTTTGGTGGGGGGTACCCCAGCAGCCCCCAAAGAGGCCAGCTCTTCCCTTTCCCTGGCAGATGGATGGGAGGAGGCAGCTACTGAGGTGGATTCAGCTGGAGTAGGGAAGGGGATTTGCTGTGGAGTCTCGGGGAGTGAGATGGGTGGGGTGCTGTCAGCAGCTTGTCTGTCCCCTCACCCAAAACGCATGGCCTTGGTGCATGGAGAGAAACATGGACCGTTTTCACTTTTGGGGGCTCCCAATGAGAGGGGGGTACAGAGCACCTCACTTCAGTAGACACCCCACGTCTGAGGGAAGAGATGTTGCGCCATCCTGGGGGGGCTTCCAGAACAAGATGGGAGACACAAGAAGGCTTCAACAAAGCAATATCTTCCATCACAGGGAACTGGGAGAATAAAAGGCAACATCCAAACAGGCAGATATCCCTAGAGCCGAGGTCAGATGTCCCACAGCCCTTCCTCCCGTTTGTAGAAACTTCTAGCAGATCTCCAGCTCCTGCCTTTCCCTGTGGGCCTTGATTTGGCCGTGGTGAGAGAAGGACAGCTGCAGAGATCAGAGGCTCAGCTGGCCGTTCAGGTCATGCTGTTCCCTACTAGAGAACAGAAGGGTCCCAGGAGTCAGTCAGGCTGCACTGGATGGTGTGGGGGTGGGGCCGGGTCTGGGGAGACCTAAGTGGGCAGCTGGCCCCGGGGAGGCTAAGGTTGGCTCCCACGTGCAGGGCATCCCAAGCTCCTGCCAGACCCTGTTCCTGGCTTCAGTTCAAGCCTGGGGTGGGGATGAAGGATGGGGGAGGGGAGAGGGCGGAAGGGCTTCATTCATTCCCGCCTCCCCAGGGAGCAGACTGGGTGTGTCATGACTGTGCCTTGACTCAGGCCACACAGTGACCACCCACGCCTTGGGCTGGGACTGCTTGGGGAGGAGGGGGCATCCGGTGGCACAGTCAAACCAGGGGTGCCCAGAGGTCCCATTCTTCCAGGAGCTCATCACATACGCACACCCCAACCAAGCCCTCACCGTCAGTCTCTCCACATCATTCTTTTTCTTTTTCTTTTTTTGAGATGGAGTCTCGCTCACCTAGTCTGGAGTGAAATGGCATGATCTCAGCTCACTGCAACCTCTGCCCCCTGGGTTCAAGCAGTTCTCCTGCCTCAGTCTCCCGAGTAGCTGGGATTACAGGCGCCCACCATCATGCCCAGCTAATTTTTGTATTTTTAGTAGAGATGGGGTTTCGCCATGTTGGCCAGGCTGGTCTCGAGCTCCTGACCTCATGTGATCCACCCGCCTTGGCCTCCCAAAGTGCTAGGATTACAGGTGTGAGCCACCGCACACATCATTCTTCTCTTAAAAGTTTTTCTAAATTTTATTTTTTTGTACAGACAGGGTCTCACTGTGTTGCCCCGGCTGGTCTTGAACCCTCAGGCTCAAGTGATCATCCCCACCTTGGCCCCCCAAAGACCGGGATTACAGGTGTGAGCCACTGCACCTGGCTAATTCCTGTGGCCCAGTAGCATGACTATAGCTCACTGCAGCCTTCACCTCCTGGGCTCAAGCAATCCTCCTGCCTCAGCTTCCTGAGTAGCTGGGCCTAGAGGTGCGTGCCACCATGTCTGGCTAATTTTTTAATTTTTTGTAGAGACAGGGTCTCACTTTGTTGCACAGGTTGGTCTTGAACTCAGGGCCTCAAATAAGCCTCCTGCCTTGGTCTCCCTAAGTGTTGACATTACAGGTGTGAGCCACCCCACCCTCTGCATCATTCTTGCTCTCAGGAAGGCAGCTCCCCTTTATTCCTGACCCCCAGGGCAGCATCTACCAAGACACAGCTCCCCTTTAGGGGAGGCACCCTGTCGCCAGAACCCCCCCGCAGCTACCAAGGCAGGCACTGTGCCAAGCGCTTTACGGCATTGGCTCATTGAATCCTCATGAAAGTCTCTGGAGGGAGGTACTATCATCTGTATTATTCCCATTTTACAGATGAGAAAACTGAGGCACGGAGAGGCTAAATTCCCTGCCCAGCAATCTGTCTTTAGCACCCTCTCTGTTGTATCTCATTGATTTCTGCTGATCCTGGATCACGGGTTCATCTGGGGAAGTCATTGCTGGACTTTGGGCAGTAGGTGGGGAGGGCTGAGAGCTCTGGGTGCCAGGCCTTGGCCTTAGCCCAAGGCAGCTGGCTGGACCAGACAGAAAGCAGATGGGAGGGGCCTTGGTACTCGAAAATGAATCTTCCACATCCATGCCTTAAGGGTTTCTCTGGCCTGGCCTAACAGTGAGCTGGGAAAAGACCTCACCACGTGACTGCAGTTGGGTGCTTGTGCTGCAGAGGCCAGAGAGAAGGCACTGGAAGCGCTGGCTTTTGTCTGCAGCCAGGAGTCTGGCATCTTAGGATGTTGGGCTCTTGGACAGGGAAATGAAGACAAGAGCATGGGCATTTAGAATTCCAACTCATTCCCATTTCACCTAAAGGTTCTGTGACTTTGGGTCAGGTATTTAGCCTCTCTGTGCCTCGGTTTCCTCACCCGAAGAAGCAGTGATAAAAATATCACCTTCCTCGTAGAGTGTTGACCGTGAAATAAGATAATGAATGTAACATGCCTCATACAGCACACGGTATCTCACCGGGTTCAGTGGTGGTAGCTGTTCCTAAAAGTACTTTGTTTGTTTGTTTTGTTTTTTGTTTTTTGTTTTTGAGAGGGAGACTTGCTCTGTCACCCAGGCTAGAGTGCAGTGGCACCACAAAAGTACAAAAGTACCTTCCATGTTGCTGCTTTTTTTTTTGAGACAGAGTTTCACTCTGTCACCCGGGCTGGGGTGCAGTGGCACAATCTTGGCTCACTGCAACCTCTGCCTCCTGGTTTCAAGTGATTCTCCTGCCTTAGTCTCCTAAGTAGCTGGGATTATTATTATTATTATTATTATTATTTTTGAGATGGAGTTTCACTTTTGTTGCCCAGGCTAGAGTGCAATGGCACAATCTGGGCTCATTGCAACCTCTGCCTCCTGGGTCAAGCAATTCTCCTATCTCAGCCTCCTGAATAGCAGGGATTATAGGCGCCTGCCACCATGCCCAGCTAAATTTTTTTTGTATTTTTAGTAGAGACGGGGTTTCATCACATTGGTTAGGCTGGTCTCAAACTCCTGACCTCAGGTGATCCGCCCGCCTAGGCCTCTCAAAGTGCTAGGATAACAGGCGTGAGCCACCGCGCCCGGACTAGTAGCTGGGATTACATGCACCACCGTATAACTTGCAGTATGTAATATGCACCACTGCCTGGCTAATTTTTGTATTTTTAGTAGAGACGGGGTTTTGCCATGTTGGCCAGGTGGGACTTGAATTCCTGACCTCAGGTGATCTGTCCACCTTGGCCTCCCAAAGTGCTGGGATTACAGGTGTGTGAGCCACTGTGCCCGGCCTTTTTTTTTTTTTTTGAGACAGAGTTTCACCCTGTTGCCCAGGCTGGAGTACAGTGGCACAACCCTGGCTCACTGCAACCTCTGCCTCCTGGGTTCAAGCAATTCTCGTGCCTCAGCCTTCTGAGTAGCTGGGACTACAGGCTCTTGCCACCACGTCTAGCTAATTTTTGTATTTTTAGTAGAGACGGGGTTTCACCATGTTGGCCAGGCTGGTCTCAAATTTCTGATCTCAACTGATCTGCCTGCCTCAGCTTCCCCTCACTTCCCAAAGTGCTGGGATTACAGGTGTGAGCCACTGTGTCAGGCCTCACGTAGCTGCTTAAGGCCAGAATGTACAGTGTGTCTTGGTCATGCCCAGTCCCAGCCATGGTGAGGGAGAGGGAGACCAAGGAAATAAAGATGTGGCCCTGGCCTGGCAGAGGGAGAAGGAGCAGGTTTGTACCAATACGTCAACTACTGGGCAAACCAAGACTGCACGTGCAAAGGAGTGACCACATGGGATGAGATTAAGGAGGGCTTCCTGGAGGAGGTAGACTGGAGGCCTCTTTAGGGGAAGGAATGTGTGTTGCAGACAGGTCAAGGGAATGGGGTGCAGGCTGGGTTTACTGAGGCTGTTTCCTTGGGGATGTTAGGAGGTCATGCCAGGGTCTCTTGTTGGAGGGCTTGCCTTCAGTTCTCTTGTTGTGAACCGCCTCCCAGACCCCTGCATTGCAGCCCAGTGTCAGCGGACCAAGGGGATGGATTGGACCAGTGATTCCCAAATGTGGCTGACATCAGAAATCACCTGGGAAAGGTAGGAAAAATCCAGACTCCTGGGCCCACCTCAGACCCCTAGCCCTGGGGCCTAGGAGCCTGGATTCCACAACCTCTCTTGTGATGCTGATGTGTGGGCAGGTTTGGGACCCTCTGAACTGGACAATCACGTGGGATCCTCAACCAGAGAGGCAGGCTCTGCGTGGCCCAAGGAACCCGGGAGTTTTTTTTGTTTGTTTGGTTTTTTGTTTTTTGTTTTTGTTTTTGAGATGGAGACTTGCTCTGTCACCCAGGCTAGAGTGCAGTGGCATTATCTCGGCTCACTGCAATCTCTGCCCCCTGGGTTCAAGCAGTTCTCTGCCTCCACCTCCCGAGTAGCTGGGATTACAGGCTCCCGCCCACCACCATGCCTAGCTAATTTTTGTATTTTTAGTAAAGATGGGGTTTCACCATGTTGGCCAGGCTGGTCTTGAACTCCTGATCTCATGATCCACCTGCCTTGGCCTCCCAAAGTGCTAGGATTATAGGCATGAGCCACCGTGCCCGGCTTTTTTTTTCTTTCTTTTTTTTTTTTTGAGACAGAGTTTTGTTCTTGTCGCCCAGGCCGGACTGCAATGGCACAGTCTCTGCTCACTGCAGCCGCCACCTCCCGGGTTCAAGCGATTCTCTTGCCTGAGCCTCACGAGTAGTTGGGATTACAGGCATGTGCCACCACGCCCGGCTAATTTTTGTATTCTTAGTAGAGACAGGGTTTCACCATGTTGACCAGGCTGCTCTCAAACTCCTGACCTCAGGTGATCCACCTGCCTCAGCCTCTCAAAGTGCTGCGATTACAGGCGTGAGTCACCACGCCTGGCCACGGAACCTGGGGGTTAAGGTCCCAGTGTGGGCTCTCAGCAGCACTGTTTCCCTGGAAAACAGGGAATAGACAGGTTATAGGGAGGAAAGTGGGCATGTGGGGAGGGCACAGCTAGACAGCTCCCTTACATAGATAGAGAGACAGGGCCCTCTCAACAGATGGCCTGGCCACCGTCCCTGGCTGGGCAGTGCATGCATTTAGGTTAAGAGAGGAGACTCTGGGTTCAGGCTTGTGTCCAAGTCCTGGTGCTGCTGCTTCCTAGCTCCCTTGGGCACATTACTCGCCAGCTGTACCCTTGGTTTCCTAACTGGAAAGTCGGGGGTTAGTATGTGTGAAGTGCTTGGAACAGCATTGGCTGGGCACGGTGGCTCATGCCTGTAATCCAGCACTTTGGGAAGCTGAGGCAGGCAGATCACCTGAGGTCATGAGTTTGCGACCAGCCTGGCCAACATGGTGAAACCCCATCTCTACTAAAAATACAAAAAATTAGCTGGGCGTGGTGGCCGGCACCTGTAATCCCAACTATTTAGGAGGCTGAGGCATGAGAATCGCTTGAACCCAGGAGATAGAGGTTGTAGTGAGACAAGATCTAGCCACTGCACTCCAGCCTGGGTGACAGAGCGAGACTCTGTCTCAAAAAAAAAAAATTGTGTCTGGCACACAGAAAATGCTCGATGAAGGTAAGCCATTATTGTTGCTGTTATTGAGAAGCAGGAACCTGAGAAAGGGGCTTTGAGCCACGCCACCCCATCCCCTTCCCCCACCCCTGCTGCTGGAGTTCAAGAGCCTGTTCCATCAAGAATCCTGAATTGCGCATGCACGCGTACACACACACACACACACACACACACACACACTCACTCACATGCTCTCACGCTGGCTTTTTCCATCCATGAAATGTGACACTCTTCCTGTCCCCAGCAGCCCCCTGTTGCCAAGAGGGCCTCAGAGCTGGTGGCTCTGGTTCTCTTCACCTGGGGAGAGACTTCACCGTCCTGGCAGGAGCTCGGGGGAGCCCTTCCCCAAGTGTGAGCAGCATCCCTCGTTTCTGGATCCCAGGTTCAGGTAGTGAGGCCTCTCCTTCCCACACCTGCCTGGTGTATCCACCCCCTCCTCCCCCAGCACCGCAGCTAATCCCTGCCAATCCCTGCTGGGCCGCCTGGCGCCAGCCCTCTGCCCTGGGGCCAGCTCCCTGCCCCGGCTACCCCTGCCCCAGCTACCCCTGCCCCGCCAGCTCTGGCAAGCCAGGCCCCTTTGTTCCTACAGTCTAGGTTCCTCCTGACTTCCTGAGGTGGTGGGAGGGGAGGGCCTTACCTGCCTGCTGTCAATCTGGCCACCAGGTGAGAAGTGTAAGCTGCAGACCCTCAGGGAGCTAAGACTCACCCAGGGAAACAATGATGAGCACTGCAGTGTGGGTCTTGCCTCTGTGGCTTGGAGGCCAGAGAGGGCAGGAGAAATCCGAGAAGGCTTCATAGAGGTGGAAGGGACGTCATTGTCACTGGCCCTGGGACCTGGAGGAAGGTTAGAGAAAGGAGACACAGGCCGGGTGTGGTGGCTCACGCCTGTAATCCCAGCACTTTGGGAGGCCAAGGTGCGCAGATTGGTTGAGGCTGGGAGTTCCAGACCAGCCTGAGTAACATGGTGAAACCTCATCTCCACTAAAAAATTTAGCTGGGCTTGGTGGGGTGCACCTGCAGTCCCTCCCAGCTACCTGGGAGGCTAAGGTGGGAGGATCACCTGAGTGCAGGAAGTCAAGGTTGCAGTGAGCCATGAGCCATGATTGTGCCTCTGCACTCCAGCCTGGGCAACGGGAGTGAGATTGGGTCTCAAAAAAAAAAACCCAAAAAACAAAAACAAGAAAGGGGACACAGAGGGAGCCATGGTCCCTTGCATGGGAGGTCCCTTGCATGGGAGGTCCCTTGCATGGTCCCTTGCATGATCCCTTGCATGGGAGGAACCCAGCAAGGAGAGACCCCCTCCAGTTGGAGGAGGGCCTGCATGATGGAGAGGGATGAGTATATCACCCGCCAGATCAGAGAGGGCCTTGAATGCCAGGCCAAGGCATTTGCTTCTCATTAATCAGCACCAGTAATACCTCTTTATTTTTATTTATTTTTATTTTTATTTTTGAGGTGGAGTCTTGCTCTGTCACCCAGGCTGGAGTGCAGTGGTGCGATCTTGGCTCACTGCAACCTCTACCTTCTGGGTTCAAGCAATTCTCCTGTCTCAGCCTCCCAAGTAGCTAGGACTACAGGCACATGCCACCACGCCCAGCTAATTTTTGTATTTTTAGTAGAGACGGGGTTTCACCATGTTGGCCAGGCTGTTCTCGAACTCCTGATCTCAAGTGATCTGCCTGCCTCAGCCTCCCAAAGTGCTGGGATTACCGGTGTGAGCCACTGTGACCAGCCTTCAGTAATACCTCTTCATGTGTGCCGAGCATCCCAATAAAGATTTTACATGCCTGATCTCATTTAATTACTCCAGCAGCCCTGAGAAGTAGGTACTATTATTATCCCTGCTTTCCAAGGGGGAAACTGAGTCTCAGAAGGGCTAGGGACTTGCCCCAGGTCACATGGCTATTAAGGAGCAGAGCTAGGATTCTAACCAGGCAGGCTAGCTCCAGACTCCTCGCTTCTCAGAGAACACAGCTTCAAAGTGTGCTCTGAGAGGGGCTTCCCCAGGGCTCCCTGAGATGCTCTCTGGGGAGTTATTTCCAGAAGATTCTGTTGCAGAGGCAGGCCACACTACAGAGCCTGGGAGAGGTTCCTTGTTAAAATTGTAGGAATGGCTGCCCTGGCCAAAGGTCAGCAGTGGACCAGTAGATTTCAAGTCAGTTTCCACTCTGGGCCGACTCATTGGTTCTAAGAGCCTCAAGCATGGTGTTGGGAGAATCTAGAGCCATGTGATACTCAGCAAGAAAGACTGTGAGATAGATTAGCAATGTCTGTCCTGGGTTAGGTATGGAGAGCAGGGACCTGTGAGCCATGTATTTGCTGTCCCTGGGCTAATTGTCTATCATTGGCCAGAGAGATCTTCCTGGTGGTCAGCATTCAGAGTAATCTTCCTTCCACACCCTCTAAAGCCAGAAACTCAGTCCTATAATGTAGGGTGTAGACACCTCTCCTGTCTACAGCACATGCTTCATGACATGTTGGTCAGTGTATTTGTCTGTTTTATGTTGCTGTAAAGAAGTACCCGTGGCTGGGTGATTTCTCAAGAGGTTTATTTGGCTCACAGTTCTGCAGGCTGTACAAGCATACCACCAGCATCTGTTCTGCTTCCAGTGAGGCCTCAGGAAGCTTTGACTCATGGCAGGCATGTCACATGGTGAGAGCTGGAGCAAGAGAGAGGAGGAAGTGCAAGGCTCTTTTAAACAACCAGCTCTCTGCTGGGCACGGTGGCTCATGCCTGTAATCCTGGCACTTTGGGAGGCCAAGGCGTGTGGATCATTTGCGGTCAGGAGTTTGAGACCAGCCTGGCCAACATGATGAAACCCCGCCTCTATTAAAAATACAAAAATTAGCTGGGCATGGTGGCGAGTGCCTGTAGTCCCAGCTACTCAGGAGGCGGAGGTTGCAGTGAGTTGAGATTGTGCCACTGCACTCCAGCTTCGGTGACAGAGTGAGATGCTGTCTCAAAAAAAAAAAAACAAAAACAAACAAACAAACAAAAAAAACAACCCAGCTCTCTTGGTCGGGCATGATGACTCATGCTTGTAATCCCAGCACTTTCGGAGGCTGAAGCAGATCACCAGAGGTCAGCTGTTCAAGACCAGCCTGGCCAACGTGGCAAAGCCCCGTGTCTACTAAAAACATAAAAATTAGCCAGGTGTGGTGGCACCCGCCTGTAGTCCCAGCTACTTGGGAGGCTGAGGCAGGAGAATAGCTTGAACCCAGGAGGTGGAGGTTGCAGTGAGCTGAGATCATGCCACTGCACTCCAGCCTGGGTGACAGAGTGAGACTCTGTCTCAAAAAAATAAAAACCAACCAGCTCTCACATGAACTCAGAGCAAGAACTCACTCATTACCAAGGAGATGGCACCAAGCCATTCATGAGGGATCTACCTCTGTGACCCAAACACCTCCCACTGGGCCCCACCTCCAACAGTGGGGATCACATTTCAATGTGCAATTTGGAGGGGACAAATATCCAACTATATCGGTCAGTTACTGGGTGGAGGGAGCCCTGGAGGAGACTCAGGAGACCTGGGTTATTTCCTGCTCTATCATCCTTTCTTCCCTGGGCCCTGTTCTGTAATGGGTTGACATGAAGACACTTCCTGCCAGAATTTGACAGGTCACTGGGAACAAAGACCTCCTCCCTGTCACCTCCCTCATCCTCCATTCCCATTCACCATACCCTCCTCTGTCTGCAGACAACCTTTTAGTCCTCACGGTGGCCACTAAGGAGACCGAGGGATTCCGTCGCTTCAAGCGCTCAGCTCAGTTCTTCAACTACAAGATCCAGGTAAGGGGTTTCCTGGGTGAGGCAGAGACAGTGAGGGGTGGCAGGAGGATCTAGGAGCTAGTGTCCTTTCCAAACTACCACGTCTCTTAAGATAGACTTGGGGCCACAGGGGAGGCTTCTGGAAGCCTGAAGGATGAAAATGAGTTAGTCGGGAATGGGAAGACACAGCAGAGGACACAGCATGAGTCTAGGGGGTGATGGAGAGGGAAAGAGTTGGCTAAAGAAATGCTCAGATGTTAGTGTGCAGGAGCCTCAGCTGAGAGGCTAGTTTAGAGGACAGGGCCTCGGGATCAGCATTTCCACAAGTACCACCCCGTAATTTGGGGATGGGCACGGTCTAGACATCTTCCCGGTATTATAAACACTGCTCTAAAGAAACATGAGTGGTCCCGCACAGGGGCTCACGCCTGTATTCCCAGCACTTTGGGAGTCTGATGATCCACTGAGGTCAGGAGTTCGAGACCAGCCTGGCCAACATGGCGAAACCCCATCTCTACTAAAAATATAAAAAAATTAGCTGGGCATGATGGCACGCACCTGTAATCCCAGCTGCTTAGGAGGCTGAGGCGGGAGAATCACTTGAACCTGGGAGGCGGAGGTTGCAGTGAGCCGAGGTGGCGTCACTGCACTCCAGCCTGGGCAATAGAGTGAAACTCTGTCTCAAAAAAAAAAAAGAAAATAAAAGAAAAAAGAAACATGAGCTAATGCCCGATCGACCACTGGCATGGGCTTGGTGTCATCTGTGTGCAGTCCATGGGGCTGAGCCCTGCAGGGAGACGAGTATCCTGAGTGCTTCCTTATGTCAGGCACAAGGTTGGGCACTGGCAATAGGGTGATGGACAATACAGAACATGTCATTGCTTACACAGAGCTTGCAATCTAGTGGCATTAAGTCAGCAAGCAAGTGTATCAGCTCACATGAATGAGGGTTGCAGCAGAGGGTTGCTTCAGGCATGGCTGGATCCAGGGATTCAAGCAGCAAAGTGAGGGCCTTGTGTTTCCATCTCTAGGCCCTGTTTGTTTTAATCGTGGTGGCAAGATGACCACCAGCCACAGATTCATGTGCCCCAGTTTCTCAACTTCAGCAGAAGGAGACAGGCTTTCCTTTTTAGGAAAGGCCTGCAGACTGTTCTGTTTTTCACAGAACAGTCCCAGGGAAGGCGCTGATAGGCCATGCTGGGGTCACATGCTCAAATCTCCGGATGTGGGAGGGGCAGGAAGGGTGGGACATTCTGATTGGACAGGCATGGTCACATGACCACCAGGAACCGGCTAATCCTCATACAGGTGGAGAATGGTTTCCTTACAGGGGAGGGTCAGAGTTGCTGGACCCACAGGAGCAAAAAAATTATTTCTTTTTCTCTTTTTTTGAGACGGAGTGTTGCTCTGTCTCCCAGGCTGAAGTGCAATGGAGCGATTTCGGCTCACTGGAACCCCCACCTCCCGGGTTCAAGCAATTCTCCTACTTTAGCCTCCCGAGTAGCTGGAATTAGAGGCATGTGCCACCACACGCCGCTAATTTTTGTGTTTTTAGTAGAGACAGGGTTTCGCCATGTTGGCCAGTCTGGTCTTGAATTCCTGACCTCAGGTGGTCCACACGTCTCGGCCTCCCAAAGTGCTGGGATTACCAGCATGAGCCACCACGGCCAGCCCTGGAAAAATATTTCTTTACCAAAAGCCCGTGTTAAGGGGTGTTTCTCTCCAGGCGCTTGGCCTAGGGGAGGACTGGAATGTGGAGAAGGGGACGTCGGCAGGTGGAGGGCAGAAGGTCCGGCTGCTGAAGAAAGCTCTGGAGAAGCACGCAGACAAGGAGGATCTGGTCATTCTCTTCGCAGACAGGTAGGTGGGTCAGGGCTTCCTAGCCTGGGCCCCTCCGCGGAAGATAGAAGAATATTCTAAAATGAGGCCCTCCCAGAACATCGGGGAAGAAGGGGGACCACTCTAGCTAAGGTTGCCTAGTTTTAGGGTGTCCATTCCCGGTCTTAGTAAAGCCCATTCCCAGGCTTGGTGAAAAGATAAAGAGGAGGTGACCCATGAGTGTGATGGGCCCCCTTTAAGTAAGAGAAGAATGACATGTTGTGGGGACCATCTCTTTGCCCAGGGTGCGGGTGGGAACATGGCAGGCAGGGCTGCAGACAGAGACAGGTCCATTTCCCAGATGGTGGCCCAGGCTGGCGTGGGCAGAGGGCCATTTGTGGAGCACTTGATCCCTGGTCCCTCCTGTCTGTGCCCTCACTGGGCCCCTGCTCACCCTTGCCCTGCTCCGTCTTCTCGCTGCTCTGGCCACAGCTATGACGTGCTGTTTGCATCGGGGCCCCGGGAGCTCCTGAAGAAGTTCCGGCAGGCCAGGAGCCAGGTGGTCTTCTCTGCTGAGGAGCTCATCTACCCAGACCGCAGGCTGGAGACCAAGTATCCGGTGGTGTCCGATGGCAAGAGGTTCCTGGGCTCTGGAGGTGAGAGGCCTGGGTGCAGGGCGCTTGGCCCAGCAGAGGGGTCCATCTACTGCCTTTGTGGGGACCCCCCTTGTTTGACGTGCAATCTGGGTGTCTCACAGGTCTCCAGTGCAGAATGTCCTGAATAGAGCTCCTGACTTTTCAACCCCAAATGTGCTCCCCTGCAGTTCTGATCTCATTCAACAGACACGCAGCCCCATAGACAGAACCCAGGAGTCACTCCTGACTCCTCCCTTGCCCTCCTCCACCTACGTCCAATGCCAGTCACCTGTCTACTACTTTTTAAATTTTGAGACGGCATCTCAGTCTGTTGCCCAGGCTGGAGTGCAGTGGTGGGATCTCAGCTCACTGCAGCCTCCGCCTCTTGGGCTCAAGCAATCCTCCTGCCTCAGCCATCCAAGTCACTGGGATTACAGGCATGCACCACTATGCCCGGCTAATTTTTGTATATTTAGTAGAGATGGGGTATCGCCATGTTGGCCAGGTGGGTCTCGAACTCCTGGCCTTAAGTGATCCACCTGCCTCGGCCTCCCAAAGTGCTGGGATTATAGGCATGAGTCACCACACCTGGCCACCTGCCTCCTACTTCCTAAAGATCTCTGGAATCTGCTCTCTCTGGCCCACAGTTCACTGCCACCATTCTCACTGGGCTCCTGGCCGTTGGTAGGAGCCTCCTTACTGCTCTGCCATTCCCTACCCTCATGCCCTTCCAGGCCATTCTCCATCCAGCAGCCAGAGGTGTCTTTAAACGATGCAAATCCAAGGCCAGGCGCGGTGGCTCACGCCTGTAATGTCAGCACTTTGGGAAGCCGAGGTGGGAGGATCACTTGAGGCCAGGAGTTCAAGACCAGCCTGGCCAACATGGCGAAACCCCATCTCTACTAAAAATATAAAAGGTAGCCGGGCGTGGTGGTACACGCCTGTAATCCCAGCTACTTGGGAAGCTGAGGCAGGAGAATCTCTTGAACCCAGGAGGTAGAGGTTGCAGTGAGCTGAGATGGTGCCACTGCACTCAAAAAAATAAATAATTTTTTTAAATAAAAAATAATACTATATTTTTTTATAATGTAAAATATATTATATATATTATATATAATAATTTATATAATATATATAATATATATATTGGTGGCTCATGCCTGTAATCTCAGCACTTTGGGAGGCCGAGGTGGGCGGATCACGAGGTCAGGAGATCGAGACCATCCTGGCTAACACGATGAAACCCCGTCTCCACTAAAAATACAAAAAATTAGCCAGGTGTGGTGGCAGGCGCCTGTAGTCCCAGCTACTCGGGAGGCTGAGGCAGGAGAATGGCATGAACCCGGGAGGCGGAGCTTGCAGTGAGCCGAGATCGTGCCACTGCACTCCAGCCTGGGCGACAGAGCGAGACATTGTCTTAAAAATAAATAAATAAATAAAGATGCAAATTCACACACATCACTTAATGACTTTCCACTGCACGGAGAATAAAATCCACAGGCCTCTTTTCAACCTTAGATGGGGATCTGCCATCTGCCCTCAACAGACACTTTTTTCCACTGGTCCAGAGTAAGCACAGTCCAGATGGCCTTGCCCTGGCCCAGGCCCAGGAGTAGGGATGTCCCATTGCTCTTGTGGTTGCTTGTCACCAGTCTGTACTCTAGCCAGGGGCCCATGTGGGCTTCCCCACTATGCCAGGTCTCAGCCCCCAAGGCACTCTGTGAGCTTGGCCCAGCCTTTCCCTTCTCTGGGCCAGGTTTCCCAGATAACTGTAAAAAGGGACACCAGGCCTGTATCCTCCCAGCCCTGCTCTCCAGGGGCTCCTCGTACAATCCGTTTCTTCACCACCTATATGGTGCCCAGCACTGAACAGTACAGCTTAGTGGGCACCATTGGTCTTATTCTTGGGGTCATTAGGAACTCATTAATAAGTGACATTCACTGGCAGCCCCATTTCCAACCTGCAGCCCCACCTCCTGTCAATTCAGGAGGACTTCTGAGAGGTGACAGGGTTTGTGGGCATATGAGTGGAGGTGGATAAGAGGGAAGGGTGGGAGGAGGCCCCTGACTTAGAGGCTGGAAGCTAAGGGTCCGTCTTGGTGTCCCCACCCACCAACCTTCAGGCTTCATCGGTTATGCCCCCAACCTCAGCAAACTGGTGGCCGAGTGGGAGGGCCAGGACAGCGACAGCGATCAGCTGTTTTACACCAAGATCTTCTTGGACCCGGAGAAGAGGGTAAGAGGCAGTGGGCGGGCCAAGGAGAGGGGGCTGGGGATCCACCGGCCAGGCTGCACGGGAACAGCTCCTCTCAGGCCTGAACCCCTGGGTTGGTGTCTTAGTCTATGCAGGCTGCTCTGACAAACTGCCATAGGCTGGGTGGCTCCCAAACAACGGATGTGGATTTCTCATGGTTCTGGAGGCCGGAAGGGTGAGATCACAGTTGGGTTCTGGTCAGAGCCCTCTAACTGGTACAGACACAGCTGACTTCTCTCTGTGTCCTCAGATGGTGGAAGGGGGTAGGGAGCTCACTGGGGCCTCATTGATAAGGACACTAATCCTATTTTTTTATTTTTGGGATGGAGTCTCACTGTATTGCCCAGGCTAGAGTACAGTGGTGCGATCTCGGCTCACTACAGCCTCTACCTCCCTGGTTCAAGCGATTCTCGAGCCTCAGCGTCTCGAGTAGCGGGGACTACAGGCGTGCACCACCACGTTTGGCTGATTTTTGTATTTTTAGTAGAGACAGGGTTTCACTACGTTCGCCAGGCTGGTCTCGAACTCCTGTCCTCAGGTGATTTACCCGCCTCGGCCTCTCAAAGTGCTGGGATTACAGTCGTGAGCCACCGTGCCCGGCTGTCGGGTCTTAAAGAGGCAGCATTGTTCATTGGTTCAGAATAAGGACTTCAGGGCCAGGCTGCCTGGGTTCCAATCCCAGCTCACCATTTACTAGCTGTGTGACATTGGGCAACTTCTCTGTCCCTTGTTTTTTCCGTTATGAAATGCAATAATGGGCCAGACCCAGTGGCTCATGCCTGTAATCCCAGCACTTTGGAGGCCAAAGCGGGTGGATCACCTGAGGTCAGGAGTTTGAGACCAGCCTGGCCAACATGATGAAACCCTGTCTCTACTAAAAATATAAAGATTAGCCGTGCGTGGTGGTGGGTGCCTGTAATCCCAGCTACTCAGGAGGCTGAGGCAGGAGAATTGCTTGGACCTGGGAGGCGGAGGTTGCAGTGAGCCGAGATTGTGCCATTGCACTGCAGCCTGGGTGACAAGAGCCAGACTCCATCTCAAAAAAAAAAGCAATAATGATAATACTTTCTCACAGAGATGTTGTCAGGATTAAATTGATTAATATATGTAGAATAGTTTATTTATTTATTTGAGACAGGGTCTCACTGTCACCCAGGCTGATGCGCAGTGGCAGAAACATAGCTCACTGCAGCCTCAGCCTCCCGGACTCAAGCGATCCTCCCACCTCAGCCTCCTGAGTAGCTGGGACTATAGGCCTGCGTCACCATGTCTGGCTAATTTTAAGATTTTTTTATAGAGATGAAGTTTTGCTATGTTGCCCAAGCTGGTCTCAAACTCCTGGGCTCAAGTGATCCTTCTGCCTCAGCCTCCCAAAGTGCTGGAATGACAGGAGTGAGCCACCGCACCCGACTCGTGTAGAATATTTGGAGTAGCGGCCAGGTGCGGTGGCTCACACCTGTCATCCCAGCACTTTGGGAGGCGGGGGGCGGGGGCGGATCACCTGAGGTCAGGAGTTCGAGACCAGCCTGCTCAATGTGGTGAAATCCCATCTCTAGCAAAAAAAAAAAAAAAAAAAAAAAAAATTAGCTGGGTATGGTGGCACATGCCCGTAGTCCCAGCTACTCAGGAGTCTGAGGCAGGAGAATCGCTTGAACCCAGGAGGCGGAGGTTGCAGTGAGTCGAGGTCGTGCCATTGCACTCCAGCCTGGGTGACAAGAGCGAAACTCTTTCTCAAAAAAAAGAATATTTGGAGTAGCTATGTGCGTGTAGTGGAGTGCTTGGCAGGTGCTGGTTACTCTTAACGGCCGTCATTGTTGTAGGTGAGCCGGCTGCATTCTTAGATTCCTTCCAGTTCAGAGTCCCTGGTTTTCTGTGAGTAGAGCCACTAGACTGTAGACCCCAGGAGCTTGGCTGCTGGCCTTCTCTGGGCACCTAGCTGCCCTGATGTGACGTGGCAGAGTCGGTGTGGGGAATGAGGGCTGAACTTGGGGACAGATTCCCCACACTGGGTGAGATGTAGCCCCAGCCTCCCCCAGGGCCTGTCCCTGCTGCAGTCTGGTACCTTCTTTCCTGCAGGAGCAGATCAATATCACCCTGGACCACCGCTGCCGTATCTTCCAGAACCTGGATGGAGCCTTGGGTGAGCAGCCCCCACGGGGAGGGGTGGATCCTCAGAGGGGTGATAGGAAGAATTCCAGGCAGGGCCCGAGCCCAGGGAGGAGAAATGGGCTGCTTCTTTCTGGCCATTGTGCTGAGAGGTCACTGGCCTCATCCCCAGGTCCCCAGGGGCCACTTGGATATCCTGGCGCAGAGCCATGTCTCTCTTGGGGGCGGGGGACAAGTGAGCATTCAGCCTGGGAGGAGTTGGGGGATGCGCACAGCAGGTGCTGGACCCCCTGCCCTGCATACCAGGTCCTTACAGGTGGGCCCTCTTTCCCCACTTTCCCGGCCCTCCCACCTTCCAGGTGAAGGAGTCCTGGGCTAGGGGCAGGAACTCAGCTGGTGGGACAGGCAGCTTGGGAAGCAAAAGGCTACTTGACCCTTGATGCCGCAAACATCCCTGGGCCTGGCCTCATGTCTGTGGCTGGTGATGACATTGCTTTGCCGCAGGTCTTCCTGTCTTCCTGAGTGACCTCAGGCAAGTCACACCTCCTCCCCACAGGGGACTCAGTTTTCTTATCTTTACAAAAGGGAAGTGAACCGGATCCACTGATTGCTGATTTTGTGGATAAATGGGCCCTTTTGAGAATCTGATGAAAGCTACGGCTCTGCTCCCAGAGAAACGCAGAAAATGCCCTTTGCCTGTGGTTTCTGGGGGTTAAGAAGCACTGAGTTCAGATCCACGCAGGTCAGGAGCTATCTGTTTTCCTTTTTTTTTCTTCTTTTTTAAGATGGAGTCTTGCTCCATCGCCCAGGCTGGAATGCAGTGGCGAATTCTCGACTCACTGCAACCTCCGCCTCCCAGGTTCAAGTGATTCTCCTGCCTCAGCCTCCCAAGTAGCTGGGATTACAGGCGCACACCACCATGCCCGGCTAATTTTTGTATTTTTTTAGTAGAGATGGGGTTTCACCATGTTGGCCAGGCTGGTCTCGAACTCCTGACCTCAGGTGATCCACCTGCCTTGGCCTCCCAAAGTGCTGAGATTACAGACGTGAGCCATCGTGCCCAGCCCTATTTTAATTTTTAAAATAGAGACAGGGTCTCACTATGTTGCGCAGGCTTGTCTCAAACTCCTGGGCTCAAGTGATCCTCCCACCTTGGCCTCCCAAAGTGCTGGGATTACAGGTGTGCGCCAGCGTGCCCAGCTGAAATACCCATTTTCCTATGTGCAGACTAATAGGGTCAAACATGGGTATTGGGGGCCAGGCACTGTAATCCCAGCACTTTGGGAGGCCAAGGCGGGTGGATCACCAGAGGTCATGAGTTCAAGACCAGCCTGACCAACATGGTGAAACCCCGTCTCTACTAAAAATACAAAAATTAGCTGGGTGTGGTGGCATGTGCCTGTAATCCCAGCTACTCAGGAGGCTGAGGCAGGAAAATCACTTGAACCTGGGAGGCGGAGGTTGCAGTGAGCCGAGATCATGCCACTACACTCCACACTGGGCAATAGAATGAGACTCCATTTCTAAAAAACAAAAAACAAAAACACACACAAAAAACATGAGTATTGGAACCCTGCTGCAGGGGCTCCCTCCACTGGGACAAGATCTGTCCTGATCATGCCCAGGCCTCCCCTGCATGTGGCTCTGGCATTTTCTCAGTGCTGCTCTGCCTACTCAGAGAAGGCGCGTCCCAGACCCTTTCTCTTGGGGCTTCTCTGAGGTGCCTGGAGCTGGGATGTTCCAGGTCTTCGTTCTTCTCCCAGCCCCTGCTTCTGACTGTAAGTAACCACAACAAGTACAGGGGTTGCCGTGGATTCTGTGCTCATGATGGGCCAGGCTTGGTGCCCCACGCTTGTTCAACACAAATCCTCCCCCTCACCCCATGAAGAAGGGATTATTCCTATTTTATAGATGAGGAAACTGAGGCTTAGAGAGAAGTGACTTGCCCGAGGACATAATCTACTCACTGCACAGCTGGGATTTGAGCCCAGCTGGTTGGACCCTGAGCCTGACCTCTGGGTCTGATGCTGGGTGGGACTGTGCTTTCTGACCCCCAGATGAGGTCGTGCTCAAGTTTGAAATGGGCCATGTGAGAGCGAGGAACCTGGCCTATGACACCCTCCCGGTCCTGATCCATGGCAACGGGCCAACCAAGGTAGGGGGTCCCCAGCCCCTGGGGAGTGTGGGAGGGGGCCAGAGCCCTAATTTCATTCTCACTGTGACCCCACAGTGTCTCCCTGGGGCCAGGGCCACCTTCCTGGGGCCTGCTATGAACTCACTGCCTCTGTCCTCACATCTGAGCTCAGCGTGATGCCTTCTTTTCCTGCTGTGGTGGTCAGTGGTACTCTGTCTGTTCTTGCTGGTCACAGGACACGTAGGAGGCTGCCATCCCCTTCCAGGCCTAGGCTGGGCTACCAGAGCCATCTGCACTGTCACCCCAGGGCAGAGTCACTTATTCACTCAGTAAACCTTTATTTCATGTTTGCACCAGACAGTAAGACATAGTCATAAGCAGGACGGATGTCCTGCATTCATGGTGACAGAAGGGACTGGGTGCAGATGCGGCCAGGGACAGAATGGACCTCACTGGTCCCTGGGGAACTGGCTCATAGCTCATAGCATATTTGAGTGTGGTCCTTCACCGCTGGAATGAGGGAGAGGAAGGAGGATGTGATGTGTTTAAAATGCAAATTTGCTGATTTCACCCAGGATCTGTTCAGATGGAATCTCTGAGCGGGGTGGGACCCAGGAATCTGCATTTTACAAGCTCTCGGGAGAAGCACTAGAGTGCCAAGCCCTCCCCTGCCCTCTCTCAGAGCGGCTTGGTGATCTCCTGGGGATGGAGCATTATCTCCAAGACCCTCTTAGGGAGTGGGAGGGGGCTGGATGGTGCTGACCCACTGGGGGCCCAGGGAGATGTGAGTCAGGGCTATGGCAGGTGGGGCTGGCTGGCTTCTCTGTGACCCCACGTCTCCCCGACAGCTGCAGTTGAACTACCTGGGCAACTACATCCCGCGCTTCTGGACCTTCGAAACAGGCTGCACCGTGTGTGACGAAGGCTTGCGCAGCCTCAAGGGCATTGGGGTGAGGCTGCGCCCAGGCCTGTGCCTGAGGGACACGGGGGGCTCAGTCCCCTGAGATGGCGAGATGGGTGATTCTGGAATAGACTCCATTGTCTTTGGTGGAAAGTGAAGGGGTCACCTCCCTGCCTGGGGTTCTATCCCGGTTGCCACCCAAGTGCCTCCTCCTGGAAGCCCTCTCAGATTGCATGTCTCTAGCTTCCCCCGAGATGTCCAGGTTCTGGTTTCTTCTGCCTGGTCCTTCAGGCTCTCCTGCAGCCCCCTCCCCATCCCATGAACCTCATCCTCATTTATGACTCACCTCGAACACCACGCCAGCCACGATCTCCTGACAGCAGGCCCTCAACCGAGTCCTTGTTCCAGGCCTGGGCTCCTGCTGCTCTCTCCCCGGGGCACCCTCCTGCTGCTTCCCTGCCCCCCCGTACCCCCTGACTGGAGTTCCCCGGCCCGGGCACCTTTCTTGGGAAGTCTACATGCTTCTGATTCTGGCTCTGACTCCCTTGGGCCACCCTGGGGTGGAGTGGCAGTGCTGTGACTGGACACTGCTGGACTCTTGTGCCGCCCTCCCTGGTGCAGGATGAAGCTCTGCCCACGGTCCTGGTCGGCGTGTTCATCGAACAGCCCACGCCGTTTGTGTCCCTGTTCTTCCAGCGGCTCCTGCGGCTCCACTACCCCCAGAAACACATGCGACTTTTCATCCACAACCACGTGAGTAACAGGCGCTCTGTGGGGTCGTCATGTGGCTTAGATCCAGGGCCCAGCTTCACAAGGTAGCCCGAGACCTCTGAGGGTCTCACCGAATCTAGCTTATCTGGGCCAAATGACAATCACCAGTGGACTGTGTCCCCAAATCACTGAGTTAACTTTGGAGTCAGACTGGGTGAGTTTGAATCCCAGCGCCGCTATTTTATTGGCTGTGTGACCTTGGGCACATTACTCAACCTCTCTGTGCTTTAGTTTCTCATCTATAAAATAGGCATAAAAGTCGGGCGCGGTGGCTCATGCCTGTAATCCCAGCACTTTGGGAGGCCCAGGTGGGCAGATTATCTGAGGTCGGGAGTTCGAGACTAGCCTGACCAACATGGTGAAACCCTGCCTCTACTAAAAATACAAAATTAAGCTGGGTGTGGTGGCAGATGCCTGTAATCCCAGCTACTCAGGAGGCTGAGGCAGGAGAATCGCTTGAACCTGGGAGGCAGAGGTTGCAGTGAGCCGAGATTGCGCCATTGCACTCCAGCCTGGACAACAAGAGCAAAACTCCGTCTCAAAAAAAATAAAAATAAATAAATAAATAAATAAAATAAAATAGGGATAATAATTGTGCAATCACACAGAATTGCTGCAAGGGCTAAGCAAGCTGACATGCGAAGTTCGTAAAAGGTGCCTGGTGCACAGGACGCATCTAGTTGCTTCTAACTGTTGTCATCTTCACTTCCATCCCTGTCACTGTTAATCCTTCCTACCTTCCTAATTGTACCTGGTGGCAGTCAAATTGGTTTTCTTTTCTTTTTTTTTTTTTTTGAGACAGAGTCTCGCTGTGTCACCCAGGCTGGAGTGCAGTGGCACGATCTCGGCTCACTGCAACCTCTGCCTCTTGGGTTCAAGCGATTCTCCTGCCTCAGCCTCCCAAGTAACTGAGACTACAGGCATGCGCCATCACAACTGGCTAATTTTTTGTATTTTTTTTTTTTTTTTTGAGACGGAGTCTTGCTCTGTTGCCCAGGCTGGAGTGCAATGGCGTGATCTCAGCTCAGTGCAACCTCTGCCTCCCAGGTTCAAGCCATTCTCCTGCCTCAGCCTCCCGAGTAGCTGGGATTACAGGCGCCTGCCACCGTGCCTGGCTAATTTTTTGTATTTTAGTAGAGATAGGGTTTCACTATGTTGGCCAGGATGGTCTCGATCTCCTGACCTCGTGATCTGCCTGCCTCCGCCTGCCAAAGTGCTGCGATTACAGCCATGAGCCACCGCACCCAGCTGGATGGTTGTTTTTCCTTTTTTTTTTTTTTTTGAGATGGAGTCTTGCTGTGTCTCCCAGGCTAGAGTGCAATGGTGCGATCTTGGCTCACTGCAACCTCCGCCTCCCAAGTTCAAGCAGTTCTCTGCCTCTGCAACCTCCGCCTCCCGGGTTCAAGCAGTTCTCTGCCTCAGCCTCCTCCCGAGTACCTGGAATTACAAGTGCCTGCCACCATGCCCGGCTAATTTTTGTATTTTTAGTAGAGACGTGGTTTCACCATCTTGGCCAGGCTAGTCTTGAACTCCTGACCTGGTGATCTACCCGCCTCGGCCTCCCAAAGTGCTGCGAATACAGGCGTGAGCCACTGTGCCTGGCCTGGACTGTTGTTTTTCAAAGCGAAGTTGAGGATCACCTGGCACATTTTGTAACAAAGTGGATCTCTGGGCCACACCCAGGAATCAACAATGTCTCTGGATGTGGGATCCTGAGCGTGGTGGCGGAGCTCTATCCTGATGACAGAGGCTCTTAGGAGGCCTGACCTGGTCAGAGGAGAATGGGCAAAGGATGGCCAGGGAAGGGTGTTCCTGGCACAGGGCTGGCATGGGCAAAGGTCTGGAGACAGGAAAGCAGATGGCCGGGGTGCCAGAGATGAAGGGGCACAGCCTGGCAGTGACAGGAGGTGCTACAGTCCCTGGGTGGAAGCTGTGTCCTCCTCCTCACCCCCGCATCCCCTTCCCCATCCCCAACCCCAGGAGCAGCACCACAAGGCTCAGGTGGAAGAGTTCCTGGCACAGCATGGCAGCGAGTACCAGTCTGTGAAGCTGGTGGGCCCTGAGGTGCGGATGGCGAATGCAGATGCCAGGAACATGGGCGCGTGAGTTGTGGGCCACAGTACTCTCCACTGACAGTGGGGGCAGGGGAGCTGTGGCTGTGGTAAGGAGCAGCAGGCTGAGTGACAGGAGTTCAGAAGGCTGTGTGTGCTCTAGCAAGTTCCTGCCCCTTTCTGGGCCTTGGAGTTTCCATCTGTCAAAAGGGGAAATAGCCTCTGTCCTGCCAACCCCCGGGGCTCCTGGGCAGGGCTGAGCCATGTTATTTGGGTTCAGGAAGCAAATCAGAGAAAGAGGAAGGACTGGGGGCAAAAGTAGACAAAGGCTGACTATTAGGGAGCCAACCTTGAATGTTTTACTTTATTATATATAAAAAAAAAAGGCCGAGAGCAGTGGCTCATGCCTGTAATCCCTGCACTTTGAGAGGCCAAAGTTGAAGGATTGCTTGAGGCCAGGAGTTCAAGAGCAGCCTGGGCAACATAGCGAGACCCTATCTCTTCAAAAATTAAAAAAAAATAGCCAAGTGTGGTGGCTTGAACCTGGGGTCCCAGCTACTGAAGAAGCTGAGGCAGGAGGACCTCTTGAGCCCGGGAAGTCGAGGTTGCATGAGCTATGATTGCACCACTGTGTTCCAGCCTGGGAAACAGAGCGAGACCTTGTCTCATAAAGCAAAACAAAAACAAAGAAAGAAGTAATTTGTGTTGCTTGTAGAAGAGTCAGACAGTCCAGATCAAAGGTTGGCAAACTTCCTGCTAAGGATTAGATCATAAATCTTTGCAAATTGGCTCTGCCGGCTCTGTGACAACCCTCAGCTCTGCCCTAGTAGCACAGAGGCTGCATTCCAGCAAAATTTCATTTATGGACACTGAAATTTGACTTTCATGTCATTTATTTTTTTTTCTTTTTGAGACTTGGTGTCACTCTTGTCATCCAGGCTGGAGTGCAGTGGCAGGATCATAGCTTACTGTAGCCTCAAACCCCTGGGTTCAAGTGATCCTCCTGCCTCAGCCCCCCAAGAAGCTGGGACTACAGGCATGTGCCATCACATCCAGTTAATTTTTAAATATTTATTTATTTATTTATTTAGAGACTGAGTCTCACTCCGTCACTCAGGCTGGAGCGCAGTGGCGCGATCTCGGCTCACTGCAACCTCCCCGTCCCAGGTTCAAGCCATTCTCTTGCCTCAGCCTCTCAAGTAGATGGGATTACAGGTGCTTGCCACCACACCTGGCTAATTTTTGTATTTTTAGTAGAGACGAGGTTTCACCATGTTTTCCAGGCCTGTCTCAAGCTCCCGAACTCAAGTGATCCGCCCGCCTTGGCCTCCCTAAGTGCTGGGATTACAGGTGTGAGCCACTGCGCCTGGTTAATTTATTTATTTTTATTTTTTGTAGAGACAGGATCTTGCTATGTTGCCCAGGCTGGTCTCAAACTCCTGGCTTGAAGTTATCCTCCCGTCTCAGCCTCCCAGAGTGCTGGGATTACAGGCATGAGCCACTGCACCTGGTGATGACCTTCACATAATTTTTACATCTTCTTTTGATTTTTGTTTTCTTTTTTTTTTTTTTTTTTTTGAGATGGAGTCTCGCTCTGTCACCCAGGCTGGAGTGCAATGGTGCAATATTGGCTCACTGCAAGCTCTGCCTCCCACGTTCACGCCATTCTCCTGTCTTAGCCTCCCGAGTAGCTGTGACTACAGGTGCCCACCACCATGCCCGGCTAATTTTTTGTATTTTTAGTAGAGACGGGGTTTCACCGTGTTAGCCAGGATGGTCTCGATCTCCTGACCTCGTGATCCATCCACCTCAGCCTCCCAAAGTGCTGGGATTACAGGCGTGAGCCACCACGCCCTGCCGATTTGTTTTTTTCTTGAAACAACTTAAAAACATAAAATCAGCCAAGTGCAGTGGCTGTAATCCCAGCACTTTGGGAGGCCAAGGATTGCTTGAGCTGGGGAAGTTGAGGCTGCAGTGAGCTATGATTGTGCATTCCAGCTTGGCTGACACAGTGAGACCCCCATCTCTAAAAAAGGAAAAAAGGCCGGGTGCAGTGGCTCGCATCTGTAATCCCAGCACTTTGGGAGGCCGAGGCGGGCAGATCACCTGAAGTCAGGAGTTCGAGACCAGCCTGGCCAACATGGTAAAACCCTGTCTCTACTAAAAATACAAAAATTAGCCTGGCATGGTGGTGCACGCCTCTAATCCCAGCTACTTGGGAGGCAGAGGCAGGAGAATCGCTTGAACCCGGGAGGTGGAGGTTGCAGTGAGCTGAGATTGTGCCATTGCATTCCAGCCTGGGCAACAGAGTGAGACTCGTTCTCAAAAAAATAAAATAAAATAAAAATAAAAAAAAGAAAAACATAAAGCTGTTCTTAGCCCATGAGCTGTACAAAACCAGGCAGGGCCAGAGTTTGACTCACAGACCCTCGTTTGCTGAGTCCTGTACCAGATAAACAAAAGTAACACAGATTTTTAAGGCTTTTGGTACAAGTTACCAAATTGCATTTCAGAAAGGCAGCCCCAGCTTACTCCCCACCCTGGGCCATGTAGGCACCTGTGGGCTGTGTTCTTCCCAGTACCAGGATTTTCAGGGCACTTGATACCAGTTGCCAACCTCTGGGCCTTGGGTGAGAGAGCCCAGCAGTCCAGGGGTTTGGGACTCAGAGTCGGGAGGAACCTTTGAGGCTGCTGGTGTGACCTCTCTAAAGCCCCTTGGCTGATATGTGGTGAAGCCAGACTGTGGTCACAGATGTGAGCAGCCACCAGTAGCTCCAGGATCAGGTGCACTGACCCTGTGTCCTCCTCCTTGCAGAGACCTGTGCCGGCAGGACCGCAGCTGCACCTACTACTTCAGCGTGGATGCTGACGTGGCCCTGACCGAGCCCAACAGCCTGCGGCTGCTGATCCAACAGAACAAGTGAGGCTGCTCCGTCTGCACCCAGCACTGCTCAGGACTGGCCTGGTCCTGGGGTGGCAGCCCTCCTTGCCTTCCTCCTCCTCCTCCTCATCCACCTCCTCTTCCTCCTCTTTTTCCTTCTCCTGCTCCTCTTTCTCCTCCTCGTCTTCCTCCTTGTCTTCCTCCTCCTCTTCCTCTTCCTCCTCTTCCTCCTTTTTCCTCCTCCTCCTCGTCTTCCTCATCCTCTTTCTCCTCCTCCTCTTCCTCCTCCTCCTTGGCCTCACCTATTACCCAGAGCTGTGGATCCCCAGCCTGATACCCCAGGTTCTGATAGAGAAGGTGTCCTGCCCTGTCTGCTCCTGGCTGCCCCATGGGAGGGAGCAGGTACCAGAAGAGCCAAACCCCCGACACCCCGGCCAAGGCACTGCCTGTCTCAGTGAGGTGCTTGGGGATCCCTGCGTGCAGGTTGAGGGGCACCTACCTCCCCCCATCCCTGGTTAGTGCTGTCTCCTACTCCCAGTGGGCAGCGACCTCCTACTGAGGTGCTCCCTTCCCTCAGGAACGTCATTGCCCCGCTGATGACCCGGCATGGGAGGCTGTGGTCGAACTTCTGGGGGGCTCTCAGTGCAGATGGCTACTATGCCCGTTCCGAGGACTACGTGGACATTGTGCAGGGGCGGCGTGTGTGAGTACCTGCAGGGTGGGGGTGGGTGGGGGACACCTTCATCTGGCTTCTGCCTGGGCTTGTGGGGCTCCCTCCCTATTATTCCTGTTCTTGTTACCCTCAAATTCCTGTTGAACCTGAAGCAAGGAAGACTTCAGTTAGACACACAGAAGGACTTCCTGACAAATAGGCCCATGTGTCCAGGGCGGGGGAATCAAATCAGCACAATTGTGCCCCCCTAGCCTGTGACTTCCCTTCTCACACCCAGACTCCAGGCTATGACTCCCCACCACCACCCTGTGACCCCCTCCATCTTCCCCACCACCAGCCTCTGACCCCCACCCGCTTTCTGTCTCTCCCACAGTGGTGTCTGGAATGTGCCCTATATTTCAAACATCTACTTGATCAAGGGCAGTGCCCTGCGGGGTGAGCTGCAGTCCTCAGATCTCTTCCACCACAGCAAGCTGGACCCCGACATGGCCTTCTGTGCCAACATCCGGCAGCAGGTCAGCCAGGAGCGGGCAGCACAGGACGCCCTCTGGATGGGGCAGGCGGGAAGGTGGGCCTCCAGCTCTGACCCTCATGGTGGGCCGCCTTGTCACCGTAGGCCTGGGAGCTCCAGAGATTCTAGCAGGGCATCTCGGAAGCCACCAGGGCCTGCTGGAGGAATGGGGGCCGTCGGGCACGAGGGCTGGTCCTCAGGGGTCTGCAGGGACCATTTTAGCTGACCTGGTTTTTATACCATCTATTTTATTTACATTTTTGGAATAGCCCAAAGAAAACGGAACTTTCCACCTAAAGGTACTCCAAGTGATGTGCCCGAGAGACACCTCACCCTGTCTCTGCGCCCCACCCCATATATTTTTGTGACTTTTTTTTTTTTTTTAAACATGCAGCAAGATGAAGTTTTCCCCTGTGACCAACATTTCAGGACCAGAACACGCTCCTTTTCTTTTACGCATTTTTTCTTTCATTCTGTGTTCAGTCCTCTGGGAAGACTTCCCTGATCACATTCTTAGTGTCAGGCCTGGGCTGGGCCCTGGGGACATAGCGGTGACTGCACTTGGTCTCTGATATTGGGAACTTCAGTTCGGCGGGTGGAGGAGGCTGCACTGTTGCCCGTCTGGGAGCGTGCAGGGGAGGGGTGAGGGCAGGGGAGGGGTGGGGGAGCGCCTCTTCCACCGGGCCTGTCCTCCCCAGGATGTGTTCATGTTCCTGACCAACCGGCACACCCTTGGCCATCTGCTCTCCCTAGACAGCTACCGCACCACCCACCTGCACAACGACCTCTGGGAGGTGTTCAGCAACCCCGAGGTGAGGCCAGGGTGGGCACATAGGGGCTGGGAGCAAAGGGGCCCAGTGATCCTGCAGTCGGAGGGACTTCCCTCTCAGAGTCTTACAACAGCCAGGACCCCTGTAGGCCACCTGCCACCCTCCCTTCACCCCAGGAGGCTATAGGGCAGGATTTGGGTAGGGAGAGAAGGGTGTCCAGAGAGGCAACACCATCTATTGGAGGAGGGACCAGGACTCAAGAGGCCTGGGTTTGTGGCCTAGATCTGCCATCATCTGGGACTTAGTTGAGCCTTCCAGCTTTGGGGACCTTAGTTATCTTAGCTCCAAAATGGGTATACTGTCCCAGCCTGTCTTACCCATGAGGGTGTTGTGATGATCAGAAGGGGAGACAGTTGTAACTGTTTCTAGACGTTGGGAGCTCACAGCTGATGGGTGTAAGCACATGCCTGCACACAGACATATACACACAAGCACACACATGTACATACATGTGCAAACACCACCTCCTATGGGCACACCTGTGCACCCAGACAACACACACGCACCCAGTGGGTGCAGGTGAACACCTGCCTCTGTCAAGCACGTACACCTTCACTCCCACTTTGAGGGGTCTGCTCTGAGCATCCCTGGCAGTTGAGCCAATGGTGAGGACCCTAGCCTGCTTCCCACTTCCCACAGGACTGGAAGGAGAAGTACATCCACCAGAACTACACCAAAGCCCTGGCAGGGAAGCTGGTGGAGACGGTAAGGGCCATGGACACCCTCTTGGACCAGCCTTGCCTGCTGCAGGGGGCAGGGCACAGAAGGGAAACTGCTTGCCCTGGGGAGTGGGGGACAGCAGGATGGGAGTTGGGGGTGGAGGGATGGGAGTTGGGGGGCGGCAGGATGGGAGTTGGGGGTGGCGGGATGGGAATGGGGGGGCGGCGGGATGGGAGTGGGGGGTGGTGGGATGGGGGTGGGGGGAGGCAGGATGGCCCCTCTACCTGTTGGCACTTTCCTGCTGGAGGCTGTGGGAGTCTGCAGGGCCTCTCTACCTGGCCCAGGCAGGAAGGAGGAAAACATCCTGGATGTGATGGCCACTGTGGCCCACCATGCCTGGACCACTTCGGGGAGTGGCTGCTTCTCTCCACTCACTAATGTCTGCTTCCCCCGAGCCTGGGGCCTCTGCCCCCTCCCTCCCTCCATGCCCATGTTTCTGTCTGACCTTGGCGCTGGTAGCTCTGTGACCTCGGCTGGGAAAGTCTGTCTCTGGGCTCTGCCTCCTCCTCCCCACTCAGTCTCTCCAGGATTGACAAGGCCCTGCTCCCCGGGGACACTGGGAGGGCTCCCTGGCTTGGGTGTGTGGCCCTGAAGAGGAAGGAGGATTCTGTGGTGCCACTGTGGACCCCCTTGACTGAGTCCCTGCCCTCCCCAGCCCTGCCCGGATGTCTATTGGTTCCCCATCTTCACGGAGGTGGCCTGTGATGAGCTGGTGGAGGAGATGGAGCACTTTGGCCAGTGGTCTCTGGGCAACAACAAGGTGGGACCCTGATGCCTGGGCTGGGGCCGCAGGGAGGCTGCCTCTCCATCAGTGCCGCTCACTGTCTGGGGTCTTCTGGCAAGCTGGCCTGGCCACCCTTTCTGGGACTCTTGACATAGGGGTGCTGGCATGGGTATCTGCAGGCAGGTAGGAGTAGAGGGATTGAGAAACCTGAGATGGAGTTTGGTCCCTGAGCTGCTGTTGCCACCGTGTGGCTTTGAGTTGCCTTGACCGTAAGCTACTAGGTTTTCAGTTCCTGGTTTGCTATTGGAATGGCTTAGCTTGGTTCCCTAGACTTCCCCCAGGTGGAGCTGGGGAGGAAAGGGCCAAGGTGGGATGAGGGGCATTAGGAAGGGCTGTCGGGTCCAAGTTCATCAGACAGCAGGAGCAGGTGGCCTGCTGAGGGTGCTAGGCCCTGTGTTCTCTCCGTGAGAATCCCAACACCTGTTCCTGTCCTGGAAAGTTCAGGTACCATTTTTTTTTTTCTTTTCATGTGTGTGTGTGTGTATATATATATATATATAAAAAGAAATATATATAGATTTTATTTATATATATATATATATATTTTTTTTAAATAATAGAGACGGGGTCTGGCTGTGTTGCCCAGGCTGGTTGTGAACCAGGCACAATTTCATTTTATTTATTTTAATTAATTAATTAATTAATTAATTTAGAGACCGAGTCTCACTCTGTCGCCCAGGCTGGAGTACAGTGGCGCAATCTTGGCTCATTGCAACCTCTGCCTCCCAGGTTCAAGAGATTCTCATGCCTCAGCTTGCCGAGTAGCTGGGATTATAGACGTGTGCCACCACGCCCAGCTAATCTTTGTATTCTTTATTTATTTAATTGTGTGTGTGTAAATTTTTTTTTTTTTTTTAAGGCAGTGTCTCGTTCTGTCACCTAGGCTGGAGTGCAGTGGCATGATCTCAGCTCACTGCAACCTTCCTTTCCCAAGTTCAAGCAGTTTTCTTGCCTCAGCCTCTCCAGTAGCTGGGACTACAGGCGTGTGCCACCATCCCTGGCTAATTTTTGTATTTTTAGTAGACACTGGGTTTCACCATGTTGGCCAGGCTGGTCTCAAACTCCTGGCCTCAGGTAAGCTACCCACCTCGGCCTCCCAAATTGCTGGGATTACAGGCGTGAGCCACCGTGTCTGGCCTAAGGCACCTTTTTATTTTATTTATTTTTTTTATTTTAATGATCCCAGAACATTTATTTCCATAGGATTTTGATAAAAGAGCACAATCTTGAATAAAAATACACCACTGTACTTAAAGGCAACATTACCTACTAAGCAAACTCTGTCCTTAGCCCTTTCACAGAAGAGAAACTGCAGAAAGGAATTTTTCGTCTCCTGACAGTTTTACAACATTCATATCTCCTATGTACTTCAAGCCCCAACCCACCTCTGATTTTCTTTTTTCTTTTTTTTTTTTTTGAATGGAGTCTCGCTGTGTCGCCCAGGCTGGAGTGCAGTGGCGCCATCTCAGCTCACTGCAACCTCCGCCTCCCAGGTTCAAGCAGTTCTCTTGCCTCAGCCTCCCGAGTAGCTGGGATTACAGGCGCCTGCCACCATGCCCGACTAATTTTTGTATATTTAG
Source organism: Homo sapiens (assembly GCF_000001405.40). NCBI lineage: Eukaryota > Metazoa > Chordata > Mammalia > Primates > Hominidae > Homo > Homo sapiens. Next base: position 11,968,696 of record NC_000001.11, read on the forward strand.
TAGAGATGGGTTTCACCATTTTGGTCAGGCTGGTCTCGAACTCCTGACCTCATGTTGTGATCCACCTGCCTCAGCCTCCCAAAGTGGTGGGATTACAGGCATGAGCCACCGCACCGGGCACCCCACCTCTCATTTTCTACGTCCTTTTTTTTTTTTTTTTTGGTGAAGTGGAGCCTCGCTCTGTCGCCCAGGCTGGGGTGCAGTGGTGCAGTGGTGCAGTGGTGCGATCTCGGCTCACTGAAACCTCTGCCTCCTGAGTTCAAGTGATTCTCTTGCCTCAGCTTCACAAGTAGCTGGGATTACAGGTGCTGGCCACCATGCCTAATTTTTTTTTTTTTTTTTTTTTTGAGACGGAGTTTTGCTCGTCACCCAGGTGGAGTGCAATGGCACAATCTCAGCTCACTGCAACCTCCGCCTGAGTAGCTAGGATTACAGGTACCCACCACTACGCCTGGCTAATTTTTGTATTTTTAGTAGAGACAGGGGTTTCACCGTGTTTGTGAGGCTGGTCTGAAACTCCTGACCTCCGGTGATCCACCCACCTTGGCCTCCCAAAGTGCTGGGATTACAGGCGTGAGCCACCGTGCCTGGCCTCATTTTCTAAGTTGTTTAACAGAAATGTGTGTTCCCAAGTTTAAGGCACCGTTTTTAAAGGCACATGAGACCCTGGACCTGTGTGCCAACCTCTGACCTGGCAACTGGACTAACCTGAAGTTCTGGTTATCTTCCTAATCCACATGCTTTGGTTGCTGAGCTGATCTCCAGAAGCCAGGAACTGGACTAGCCCGTGCATTCTGGGGGCTGGCTGATGCTTGTGCTCCAGTGACAGGGCCAGACCTCGGACCCCAGCTGACTCTGGCCCTGGAACAAGTTTTCAGTGCTCTGTAACAAATGACTGTGGCTCAGAATAACACCCGTGTGTTATCTCCTGGTTTCTGTGGGTCAGGAATCTGGGCCCAGTTTAGCTGGGTCATTGAGGTGTCAGCTGGGGTTGGGGTCTCATCTGAGGCCCAGGATTCCATTCCAAACTCACTTGGTTGTTGCAGAATTCATTCCCCTGCAGCTGTAGAACTTAACTTGCTTCTTCAAGGCCAGCAAGAGACAGAATCTCTCTTCAGTATCCTCCTTTAGCCAGGCGCAGTGGTTCATGCCTATAATCCCAACACTTTGGGAGGCTGAGGCAGGAGGATCGCTTGAGTCCAGGGGTTTAAGACCAGCCTGGGCAACATAGTGAGACCTCATCTCTACAAAGAATAAAATTAGTGGCTGGGTGCATGGCTCACGCCTGTAATCCCAGCACTTTGGGAGGCCGAGGTGGGCAGATCACCTGAGGTCAGGAGTTCGAGACCAGCCTGGCCAACATGATGAAACCCCATCTCTACTAAAAATACAAAAAAAAAAAAAAATTAGCCAGGCATGGTGGCGCACGCCTGTAATCCCAGCTACTCGGGAGGCTGAGGCAGGAGAATCACTTGAACTCAGGCGGTGGAGGTTGCAGTGAGCTGAAATGACGCCATTGCACTCCAGCCTGGGCAACAGAGTGAGACTCCGTCACACACACACAAAAATAAAAATAATAAAAATAAAATTAGTTGGGCGTGATGGTGCGTGCCTGTAGTCCCAGCTACACGGGAGGGTGAGGTGGGAGGATCACTTAGGCCTGGAAGGTTGAGGCTGCAGTGAGCTGAAGTTGCGCCACTGCGCTCTTACCTGTGCAACAGAGGGATACCCTGTCTCAAAAAATAAGGTCTTTCTGCAGATGACTCACCTAGTAGGTCAGGCCCCCCCAGGATAATCTCCCTTTTGATTAACCCAAAGTCAACTGATTAGGAGCCTTAATTGTATCTGCAAAGCCTGTTCAGTTTTGTCATGTAATGTGGTCCGGTCACATTCCCGGGTGTAGGAGAGGGGAGTAGACAGAGCCTGGGGGCCATCCTAGAATTCTGCCTAAACATTCACCTCGGTCACCTCCAGGACAACCGCATCCAGGGTGGCTACGAGAACGTGCCGACTATTGACATCCACATGAACCAGATCGGCTTTGAGCGGGAGTGGCACAAATTCCTGCTGGAGTACATTGCGCCCATGACGGAGAAGCTCTACCCCGGCTACTACACCAGGGTGGGCAAGCCTGGGGCATAGCCAGGATGCGGGGACAGTTGGGTGGGGTGTCAGTGGAGTGGCTGGGACTGGTGGGGGTAGGGTGGGAGGTGGAGAAACTGGGAGGGGCCGAGGTGGAGTGAGGGTGTGGGGAGCGTGGGAGGGGCAAGGGTGGGGCATGAGGTAGAGGGACTGAGGGGTGGGGATGGGGTTGGGAAGAGCAGGGGTGGGGTGGGAAGTGGTAGAGAAGCTGGGAGGGGTGGAGAGGAGTAGGGAGCCTGGGAGGGGCAGGGGTGAGTGGGAGTGGAAAGCCTAGAGGGGCGGGGGGGCAGGGGTGAGGGAGTGGAGAGACTGGAAGGGGCAGGAGTTGGTGGGGAGGTCGAGGCCAGTGTGGGGCAGGGGGATGGGGTGGGAGGGGTAGGGTGGAGTGGGGGGCTTGGGTGGAAGGGCCAGGGGTGGGTGGGGGCTGGAGAGTCTGGCAAGGGGAGGGGCTGGGGAAGGGGTTGGGTTGGAGTACGGGTGGAGGAACATCCCAGCTTATGGGAGAGGCCTGGATATTTGGTCCCCAGGCAGGAGTGAGGTCTCACCGCACACACCCCCTCCATCTAGTAGCGTGTGGGAAGACAGGGTGCTGGGCTGGGACTCTAGGGCCGGCTAGTTGGCCTCTAGCCTGAGCTGGAGTCTCACTCAGCCTCATGAGTAGCTGGGATTACAGGCACCTGCCACCATGCCTGGCTAATTTTTGTATTTTTTGTAGAGACAGGGTTTCACCATGTTGGCCAGGCTGGTCTCAAATTCCTGACCTCAAGTAATCCGCCCACCTCTGCCTCCAAAAGTGCTGGGATTACAGGCATGAGCCACCGTGCCTGGCCGACCTCAGCTCTTTTGAATCTTTCTTCCTTGTCATTAACCCTGCCTCAGTGGCTCCTATACCAGCCCACCAAAAAAGCACCCCTGCCCACCTTAGCTGGCCAGCGTGCCCACTCCCTCCCTAGCCACAAGCCTGTGCCCCACGCCTGGGCCCTGCTTCGTCCGAAGCAGCCTTCTTCCAATAGTGAGGAAAACCCTGAACTCCTGTTACTGACAGTTGTCATTCATCCCTTGAATGCTTACTGTGGTTCCCCGGAAACAATTACCTGGCTGGCCTCGGTTAATTCTCACAATTCTTTCCAGTGCTATCACTCATGTGTCTGTCCACTGCTACCTTGGCTTTCTCCAAGGTACTTTCTCCAAGACTCAGTTCCTTCCTTGGTCTCTGGTTTCTCCAGATACCTGCCCATGGCGTGCCTGGGTCCTGCCTCAGGGAATCCAGCCTGGATAGTTGCCAGAAAGGGTTGTGAGGATTGGATGCCCCCCTTTGTCTTTGTCTTTTCATTCATTCCTTCGTTCCTTTCTTCCCTTCCTTCCTTCCTTCCTCTCTCTCTCTCTCTCTCTTTCTTTCTCTCTCTCTTTCTCTTTCTCTGTCTCTTTTTCTTTCTTTTCTTTCGCACTTGTCACCCAGGCTGGAGTGCAGTGGCGCAATCTTGGCTCACTACAATCTCCGCCTCCCAGATTCAAGCGATTCTCCGGCCTCAGCCTCCCAAGTAGCTGCGATTACAGACGCCCACCACCATGTCTGGCTAATTTTTTGTAATTTCAGTAGAGATGGGGTTTCACCATGTTGGCCAGGCTGGTCTCAAACTCCTGACCTCAGGTGATCCGCCCACCTTGGCCTCCCAAAGTGCTGGAATTACAGGCGTGAGTACCATGTCCGGCCTCCTTCCCTTTCATTTCTTCTCTTCCCTTTCATTTCTTCTCTTCCCTTTTCCTCCCTTCCTCCCTCCCTCCCTTCCTTTCTTCCTTCCCCTCTGTTCTCTTCCTTCCCTCCCTCTCTCCCCTCTGTCCATACATTTTTGTTGAGAACCTTTTCTGTGCCAGGTAGTTGCAGGCACTCGAGCATAGAGCCCCATGTAGACCTGGCCCCTGTAAGCTGACCTGCAGCAGGCCAGACCAGGCCCCATGTGTGCACCCTCCTCTCCTGGCCTTTGTGTCCTCCTTAACTAACACGGGCTCTCTTGTCCCCCTGCCTTGGTACAGGCCCAGTTTGACCTGGCCTTTGTCGTCCGCTACAAGCCTGATGAGCAGCCCTCACTGATGCCACACCATGATGCCTCCACCTTCACCATCAACATCGCCCTGAACCGAGTCGGGGTGGATTACGAGGTGAGCAGGAGCCAGCCGGGGTCAAGGGGCCGGCAATGGGGATGAGGAGGGCTAGCTGAGGAGAGGCTTCAGGGTGGTTGAGGCAGAGGGGCCCCAGGTAACCAGTGCCAGAGAACCAGAAAAAAAAGGATGTGGGTCTGTGGGAGGGCTTCCTGGAAGGGTTCACAGTCTAGCAGGAGGAGGGGCCAGGCTCTTAAGCTACTATTTTAAGAGATTTTTGGGCTCGGCATGGTGGCTGATGCCTGCAATCCCAGCAGTTTGGGAGGCCAAGGCAGGCAGATCACTTGGGGCCAGGAGTTTGAGACCAGCCTGGCCAACATGGCGAAACCCCATTTCCACTAAAAATAGAAAAATTAGCTGGGCGTGGTAGCACACACCTGTAATCTTAGCTACCCAGAAGGCTGAGGCATGAGAATCTCTTGAACCCAAGAGGTGGAGGTTGCAGTGAGCTGAGATCATGCCACTGCACTCCAGCCTGGGCAACAGAGCGAGACTCTGTCTCCAAAAAAAACAAAAAGAGGTTTTTTGAACTTAGCCCTGGGCTGGGTGCTGTGGAGAACACTCATAAAAACAGCTATAATCCTTTTTTTTTTCTTTTTCGAGACAGGGTCTTGCTCTGTCACCCAGGCTGGAGTGTAGTGGCATGATCACAGTTCACTGCAGCCTCAACCTCCTGGGCCCAAGCAATCCTCCCACCTCAGCCCCCCCAAGTAGTTGGGACCACAGGCGTGTGCCACCATGGCCAGCTAATTTTTTTTCTTGCTTTTAGAGATGGGGTTTCACTATGTTGCCCAGGCTGGAGCTATAATTTTTTGAGAGCTTACAACAAACATATCAGGCATCCCTAATCCAAGGATTCTCAACCAGGAGCAACTGTGGCCTGCAAGGGACATTGGCAGTACCTGGAGACATAATTGGTTTTTACAACTATGAGGGGCTACTGGCATCTAGTGGGTAGAAGTCAGAGATGCCCGGGACAGCCTTCCACAGCAAAGTGTCTATAGTGGTGAGGTTGGGAAGCTTGATCCTCAGCTCTCAATTGTAACATCTCATTTAATTCTCACTATCCTGTTCTGTTTAACCCTCATTTTACAGAAGGGGAAACTGAAGCTCAGGTTGGTCACAGTTAGTAAAGAGTGGAGGTGATGTCTGCCCAGGGCTGCCTGACTCCAAGGACAGAGCTCTTGATCACTTACTCTTTGGGTTTTTTTTTTTTTGAGACAGTCTCATTCTGTTGCCCAGGCTGGAGTACAGTGGCGCGATCTCGGCTCACTGCCTCCTGGGTTCAAGTGATTCTGTCTCAGCTTCCCGAATAGCTGGGATTACAGGCGTGCGCTGCTACACCCAGCTGGTTTTTGTATTTTTAGTAGAGATGGGGTCTCACCATGTTGGCCATGCTGGTCTTGAACTCCTGACCTCAGGTGGTCCACCCGCCTTGGCCTGCCAAAGTGCTGGGATTACAGGCGTGAGCCACCACTCCTGGCCACTACTCTTCATTTAGTGTCTTCCTTAGCAGCGCTTGTGGCTGTCACTCCAGAAGGCATCCCCAGGCAGGCAGTGCTGAGGGCCACTTGGCCATGACAGGAGATCATGACGGGAGAACAGACGGGCAGGGGGGCGGTGGGGAAAGGCCACTGATGCTTTCTGTCTCCCAGGGCGGGGGCTGTCGGTTCCTGCGCTACAACTGTTCCATCCGAGCCCCAAGGAAGGGCTGGACCCTCATGCACCCTGGACGACTCACGCATTACCATGAGGGGCTCCCCACCACCAGGGGCACCCGCTACATCGCAGTCTCCTTCGTCGATCCCTAATTGGCCAGGCCTGACCCTCTTGGACCTTTCTTCTTTGCCGACAACCACTGCCCAGCAGCCTCTGGGACCTCGGGGTCCCAGGGAACCCAGTCCAGCCTCCTGGCTGTTGACTTCCCATTGCTCTTGGAGCCACCAATCAAAGAGATTCAAAGAGATTCCTGCAGGCCAGAGGCGGAACACACCTTTATGGCTGGGGCTCTCCGTGGTGTTCTGGACCCAGCCCCTGGAGACACCATTCACTTTTACTGCTTTGTAGTGACTCGTGCTCTCCAACCTGTCTTCCTGAAAAACCAAGGCCCCCTTCCCCCACCTCTTCCATGGGGTGAGACTTGAGCAGAACAGGGGCTTCCCCAAGTTGCCCAGAAAGACTGTCTGGGTGAGAAGCCATGGCCAGAGCTTCTCCCAGGCACAGGTGTTGCACCAGGGACTTCTGCTTCAAGTTTTGGGGTAAAGACACCTGGATCAGACTCCAAGGGCTGCCCTGAGTCTGGGACTTCTGCCTCCATGGCTGGTCATGAGAGCAAACCGTAGTCCCCTGGAGACAGCGACTCCAGAGAACCTCTTGGGAGACAGAAGAGGCATCTGTGCACAGCTCGATCTTCTACTTGCCTGTGGGGAGGGGAGTGACAGGTCCACACACCACACTGGGTCACCCTGTCCTGGATGCCTCTGAAGAGAGGGACAGACCGTCAGAAACTGGAGAGTTTCTATTAAAGGTCATTTAAACCACTGAAGGGAAGATGCTCAGGGCGAGTGGGTGTGTGTGTGTCTTGGTGTGAGTGTCTGCAGGGAGAGAGGTTTTAAGAGCCCTCTTTTTTTTTTTTTTTCTTTTTTTGAGACAGAGTCTCACTCTGTCTTCCAGGCTGGAGTGCAATGACGCTATCCCCGCTTTCTGCAACCCCCGCCTCCTGGGTTCAAGTAATTCTCCTGCCTCAGCCTTCCGAGCAGCTGGGGCTACAGGCACCCATCACCACGCCTGGCTAATTTTTGTTTTTTTATTAAAGAAAGGGTTTCACCAGGTTGGTCTGGCTGGTCTTGAACTCCTGACCTCAGATGATCCACCCACCTCGGCCTCCCAAAGTGCTGGGATTACAGGCATGAGCCACCGTGCCCGGCCAAGAGCCCTCTTTTTAGAGCCTTTAAGAAAGGTCATGCTAGCCTCTCGACCCCTGAGTAGCTGGGATTATAGGTATCCATGCCTGACACATTTTTGTATTTTTTGTAGAAACGGGGTTTCATTTCACCGTGTTGGCCAGGCTGGTCTCGAACTCCTGACCTCAGGTGATCCATCCGCCTCGGCCTCCCAAAGTACTGGATTACAGGCGTGAGCCACCATCCCAGGCCTGAAAGTCTTTTAAAAAAGATTTTTGAGGCCAGGCACAGTGGCTCACACCTGTAATCCCAGCACTTAGGCTGAGGCAGGCGGATTACCTGAGGTCAGGAGTTTGAGACCAGCCTGGGCAACGTGGCGAAACCCTGTCTCTACTAATAATATGAAAAAATCAGCCGGTTGTGTTGGCATGCGCCTGTAATCCCAGCTACTCGGGAGGCTGAGGCAGGAGAATCGCTTGAACCCAGGTGGTGGAGGTTGCAATGAGCCAAGATTGGGCCACTGCACTCCAGTCTGGGTGACAGAGCAAGACTCCATCTCAATTAAAAAAAAAAAAAGATTTTTTAGTCTTTTCATTTTCAAAATTGACTCATTGTAAATTCAAACAGCACAAATCTTAATCTTTCTGTCATCCTTTCCCCCCAGCTGCTCAGTTCCTCTCTCTGAAAGCCACCATGTCTAATCTGTTTTTTGAACGTTCTTGAGCTGGTTTGTGCCGACACAAGCCTGTGTGTGTGTTTGTGTATGTTAGGGTTATTTTTGTTTTTGTTTTTGAGATGGAGTCTCACTCTGTCGCCCAGGCTGGAGTGCAATGGCATGATCTCGGCTCACTGCAACCTCTGCCTCCCGGGTTCAAGCAATTCTCGTGCCTCAGCTTCCCGAGTAGCTGGGATTACAGGCACCCGCCACCACGCCCAGCTAGTTTTTGTATTTTTAGTAGATATGAGGTTTCACCATGTTGGCCACGGTGGTCTCCAACTCCTGACCTCAGATGATCCACCTGCCTCGGCCTCCCAAAGTGCTGGCATTACAGGTGTGAGCCACTGTGCCCGGCATAGGGTTGTTTTTAACTGTTAACTTTTTTCTGATTACAAACTCATCTTCACCATGAAAAAGTCAAACAAAATAGGTAACATGGGGGGCCGGATGCTGTGGCTCACATCTGTAATCCCAGTACTTTGGGAGGCTGAGGCGGGTGGATCACTTGTGGTCAAGAGTTTGAGACCAGCCTGGCCAACATGGCAAAACCCCCATCTCTACAAAAAAATACAAAAATTAGCCAGGTGTGGTGGCAGGTGCCTGTAATCCCAGCTACTTGGGAGGCTGAGCTGGGAGAATCACTTGAACCTGGGAGGTGGAGGTTGCAGTGAGCCAAGATTGCACCACTACACTCCAGCGTGGGTGACAGAGCAATAACCTGTCAACAACAACAACAACAAAAAGTAATATGGACCGGGTGCAGTGGCTCATGCCTGTAATCCCAGCGCTTTGGGAGGCTGAGGTGGTAGGATCACTTGAGGCCAGGAATTCTCAACCAGCATGGCCAACATGGCAAAACCCTGTCTCTATTAAAAATACAAAAATAAGGTGGGCTTTATGGCACATGCCTGTAAACCCAACTACTCAGGAGGCTGCAGCACGAGAATCGCTTGAACCCGGGAGGCAGAGGTTGTAGTGAGTTGAGATTGTGCCACTGCACTCCAGCCTGGGTGAGAGAGCAAGACTCTTGTCTTAAAAAAAAAAACAAAAACGTAAGAAAGAAAGGTCTCCTGGAGTTGTACATCAGTGTGCTCTGCACCCATTCCCAATAACACTCAGCACTGCTAGGAGAGTTTTGTCATCCCGAGGGTTGAAACGAGGATTCAGCCATCTCAATGAGAAACACATGTTAATGGGTTGAAACATATCTCCAAACTGAGATTTCCTCTACTTGCTGGGCAAGTATGCAGATGTGTTTCAGAGATAAAGCCCAGCTGCTGGGCAGAGTACAAGACTAAATGCCTGGGAATGGATTCAGAGGTTCCTACAGCAGTCCAGGCAAGTGACCAGGACCTAGACCAATGCTTGCAGGGAAATTTAGGGAAGAGGAGGGAGTGGGCAGGGGAGATGTTTAGGAGAGAGAACATCCAGGCTTTCACCTGACGGGCAAGATTCTGCTAAAAAGGAAAAGGAAGGCTGGGCGTGGTGGCTCACACCTGTAATCCCAGCACTTTGGGAGGCTGAGGCGGGTGGATCACCTGAGGTCAGGAGTTTGAGACCAGCCTGGCCAACATGGTGAAACCCCATCTCTACTAAAAATACAAAAATTAGCCAGGCATGGTGGTGCACGCCTGTAATCCCAGCTAGTGGGGAGACTGAGGCGGGAGAATTGCCTGAGGCGGAGGTTGCGGTGAGCCAAGATGGTGCCACTGAGCTCCAGTCTGGGCAACAGAGTGAGAGCGAGACTCTTTCTCAAAAAAAAAGAAAAAAAAAAAAAAAGAGGAAATGGAATTTATAGTTCCTGCCCTCAGAGAATGGAAGTGGAATTTAGAGTTCCTCTCCTTAGGGAGTCCAGAGATTGTGGAGGAGGAAACAATCCGACCCAGTACCAGGCAGCTAGCAGCTGAGGCCCCAAGGCACGCTACATCCCAGACAGGGCCCTGTCTACACCCTGAGGCTGAGTCTGCGTGTGGCCCCACAGTCCACAGTCAGACCCGCGGGGCACTAGGCTACTCAGAGGGCAGTGTGGGCAGGACAGCTCCCTTTGGCCATCGTCATGAGACTGATAAACCAGTCACTTCTATATCAGAGTACTGATTTGCCTCTTGAGGTTGTTTGTGGCAATAAATTGAGGTTGTTCTACCATGGTTATAGAGCAGCACCATCCCACAGAATTACAGTTTGACCCACAAATGCAAGCTACTTATGTAATTTTAAATTTTCTAGTAGCGACATTTTTAAAAAGAAACAGGTGCAATTAATCTTAGTAATGTATTTAACCCAAATGACCCAAAATATTATCACTTCAACATGTAGTCAGCATATAAATAGTAATGGGCTAATAGCCCTGCACTGTGGCAGGTACCTGTAACCCGGCATTTTGGGAAGCCGAGGCAGGAGAAGATTGCTTGACTCCAGGAGTCCAGGAGTTCAGGACACCAGCCTGGGTAACAAAGTGAAATGCTTCCCCATGTCTACAAAAGATAAATACTAGGCATGGCTGCAGCATCTGTGGTCAGCTACTTGGGAGGCTGAGTGAGGTGGGAGGATTACTTGAGCCCAGGAGTTCGAGGCTGCAGTGAGCCGTGATTGCACCACTGCACTCCAGCTTGAGTGAGAGTGAGACTCTGGCTCAAAGATAGATTTTTTTTTTCTTTTTTGAGACGGAGTCTCTGTTGCCCAGGCTGGAGTGCAGTGGCATGATCTCGGCTCACTGCAACCTCCACCGCCCGTGTTCAAGCGATTCTCCTGCCTCTTCCTCCCGAGTGCACTATCATGCCTGGCTAATTTTTGTATTTTTAGTACAGACGGGGTTTCACCATGTTGGCCAGGCTGGTCTTGAACTCCCGATGCACCCGCCTCGCCCTCCTAAAATGCTGGAATTACAGGCTTGAGCCACCGCGCCCGGTCGATATTTTTTTTTCCTAAAAATTGAGATAGTTTAACAGCCTTTTTTGTCCTAAGTCTTATAGCGCATCTCCGTTTGCACTGGCTCAGGACTCGAGAGCCACACGTGGCTAGTGCCTACTGTTCTGGCGCGCTCAGGCTTGGAGCCTTCTCTGCGGAGGCCAAGTCCTGCAAGGGATCTGTTTGCTGCGGTTTCCTAGTAGTGTCTGCCGCATCACTGGGGCCCGGTGATCTGGGTAACCATGTGAGCTTGGGTAACCTCTCCTCTCCCTCTCCTGGGACTGCTGTGGACGTTAAATACAGCGGTGGATGTTAGAGACGCAGTTCAGTCACTGGCATTGATTCGCCGTTGTTGCTGCTCTTCTTTCCTCAAAGGCGACTGAAGGGCAGCAGGCCCATGCTCGCTTCTGTCTGCCCGATGAGTCACTTCACCCTAGGCCTGGCCCTCTAGAGAACACTCCTCTAAGATTACAGAATGCAAATCTGGATTCCAGAGCTGGCAGAGGCCCCAGGGTCAGGCTCTAGGACAACCGGCGAAAAAGCGGGAACCTCTACTCCACGCCCTTGGTTTTTCGCCCCTTGACAGCTTGAGGCTCCGCCCCGCTTTGCCCCGCCCCCCCAGCTCCGGCCGACGCCCACCGGAACTACAGCCCCCATGATGCAGTGGGAGTCCGAGCCTCTGCGTCGTCCGCTTGGGACGCGCCGGCGGAGGAGTGGCGCGCGGAGGAGTGGCGCGCTGAGACGCCGCTCGAAGCGCCGAGTCGCGGGGCAGCAGAGGCGTAAGGAGTAGGCGGGGCGAGCCGGCTGGGCTCAGGGTCCACCAGCTCACCCGGGTCGAGGGGCAATCTGAGGCGACTGGTGACGCGCTTATCCACTTCCCTCCTCCCGCCTCCCCCTGGGGTGGCGCTCGCTGGTGACGTAGTGAGTGTGATGGCCGCCGCGAGGCCGGGAAGGTGAAGGTGAGAGGGCGAGCAAGCCGGGGTGGCGGGGACTGGCCCGGCCCGGCCCGGCGAGTCCTGAGCAGCTCGGCGTGGGCCGACGGGATTCTGGGGCCACGGGGGTCTGGGATGCAGTCAAGCGGGGTCCCCACTCTCCGGCCTCGCCGCCGGGCCCTCCCCGGCCCTGAGAGGAGGGGGCGGGCCACGGGACCTGGGACTGGTCGGTGGGGTCCCCTGTAGCTTCTCATCGCCCCCGCCTTTCCACCCTTCACGGCCATGTTCTACCCCTGCCCCTTCTCTATTTTTCATCCTGTCTTCATTTTGCCAGCATTTACTCAGCACCTGATAGGTGTCCACGTTCACCGCGGGAGCGCCCTGCCATCCCCACTTTGGGCAGTTACTGCCTTCTCGTTCAGCCCTGTTTACTTATATGACTTCTCACCGGACTGTAAGGCCCTGGAGGGCAGGACTGTTTCTTATCCATTTCTAACGTGGCGCCTGACACACACAGAGAAGGCACACAGAAAATGTTGAATAAATAGCTGTTAAGACGCACGAAGGCAGAACTGCCCGTTACCCCCTCTCGTAATCCTTCATTGCCCTCTTTAAATTCTCAATCATCTCTCTCTCTTCTACCCAGAAAAGGGCTCTGGTTATCTCTTTTCTACCCAGAAAAGGGCTCTGGTTATCCGCCTCTGGTGTCCCAAGGTTTGGGGCTTGGGGGAGGAAGGCAGCTCAATGTAGTTAAAAAAGGAAGGAGGCCGGTCGCAGTGGATCACACCTGTAATCCCAGCACTTTGGGAGGCTGAGGCGGGCGGATCACCTGAGGTCAGGAGTTGGAGACCAGCCTGGCCAACATGGTGAAACCCCGTCTGTGCTAAAACCAAAAACTAGCCGGGCTTGCTGGCACACGCCTGTAATCCCATCTACTCAGGAGGCTGAGGCAGGAGAATCGCTTGAACCCGGGAGGCGGAGGTTGAGCCGAGATCGCGCTGCTGCACTCCAGGAGCTTTGGAGTCAAAGGGAGCTAATATTTCAGATCCCAGCTTAGACAAATCTTCAAGTATTCCAGCCCTCTGTCCCACAGAATAGAGAATTAAGTGAGATACTTTACAGTAGCTGAACACATTGGCTTTCAGTCAGTTCTTCTGTTCCTCAATAGTCAGCTGTTCCACAGTCCTCAAGCCCAGTTTTGTTCCTAGTTTTGCTCTGTCCTCTTCTCCCCTCTCTGGATGTACCTTTCCCAGGGCTCCTGCAGGGACCTCCGTGGTGCCTCAAACCCGCACATGGCGGAATACGTGTGCACAGTCAGGATTGGTCCCACACCTCTGCGTTTTTTTCCCCAGGGCACTTCCTCACATGCCAGCGCAACTCCCCAATACCTCAATGAGTAAGCTTCCCTCAGGGATGAGTTTGTTTGGCTTGAAACCTGATTAGACATGTTTTGTACACCAGTGTTTTTTTTTTTTGGACACCGGATCCATCTCCCTTTTCTTTTCTAATAAGTCAGGACTGGTGGAGTCAACACAGTCAATCAATAGCCAACCTCAACCTGAGACAGGACAGAAGAGAACTCAGAATCTTTTTGTCTTTTGGACTTCAGCCATGTCCATGATGCCTACCCTGTGAAGATCTCTCACCATCCAAAAAAGTAAGTAGTAGCTGTGACTTCTGGCACCCTGGATTTGAGCTGAGTGGACAGGGGTGTGCTCTCCTGGACCTCTGGTGGCAAGTCTCTTGAATGGCATCCTCTTTGTATAGAGCCACAGCTTTCTAACTTGTGTTGAAAAACTACCGTATCTTTTACTTCCGTGAAGGATTTCGCTGGTTGCTTAGAGAGCCTGTTTAAAAGTTGACAGTTCAGAAGTGGCTGGGATCTCTTGGGCTCCCTGAAGAGTTAGTCTCTGTCTCCCTCATTTGGTCTCTGCTGTGCTGGCTCTTCCCCATCTCGGCCCAGCACAGGTTGGCTCCTTGTCACTGCTCTTTTAAGACTCTGCTCTGTCCCCTTTACCCTGTATACTCTTTTTGTTTCGATTTCTCAGCTTCTCCTCTTTTCCAGTTGTGCCAGCAGACGATCCGTGGATCCATTTTATTTTCCCTGCTAGGAGTTGCTGTACATAACACTGGGTAAGGAGGTGGTGTGGATTCAGGGACTGTGCTTGGGATCCAAACACACCTTGCAGTGAATTTTGCTACTGCTGTCTCTACACCCAAGATACCTAATACTCCTCAACGAATAGCCTAGGTTGAGGCAAAGCTGTTGACCACCTTGGAGGGCTAATAGCAGTTTCCATTTAGAACTGGGTTCATTTCTGGTCTTAGGTTAATATTTATTAATACTGTGCCCTGGCACTTTTTAGGGGTAGGGGCAGGAGAGTACCAGAAAGAGTGGGCTTTTCCCTAAAGTGTGATCCTCGGGATTTTAAAAGCTATTACACAGAAGGGTTTTTTCATTGATTATATTTGTGAAATGCTGAATTCAACACAGTTAAACTAGTGTCTTTACAACAAGGCTTCCTTCCCAAACTCTTTTGCTGTGCTCACGTGCTCCACTGAGGAAAATGGTAGCATATGGTGTTTTTTGTTTGTTTGTTTGTTTTTTGTTTTTTTTGAGACAGAGTCTTGCTCTGTCACCCAGGCTGGAGTGCAGTGGCGCGATCTTGCAGTGGCGTGATCTTGGCTCACTGCAAGCTCTGCCTCCCAGGTTCACACTATCCTCCTGCCTCAGCCTCCCGAGTAGCTGTACTACAGGTGCATGCTGCCATGCCTGGCTAATTTTTTGTAGTTTTAGTAGAGATGGGGTTTCACCGTGTTAGCCAGGATGGTCTCGAACTCCTGACCTTGTGATCTACCCACCTCGGCCTCCCAGAGTGCTGGGATTACAGGCGTGAGCCACCGCGCCTGGCCTAGCATATGGTGTTTTACAAACTGATTCTACTATTGAACCTTCTTTACATGGGATATTGGGTGCAAGTCGAGTTCTGTGGACCACGCTTTGGGAAGTGCTGCCAGAAACTATCCAAAACAGTAATCTCCAGAGCACTTATGAGGCAGTCACAGCTTGAAGTGTGACGCTTAGTGTGTCACTGATGTTGGAGCTGGGCTCTCAGGCTATGCTTGCAGGATGGTCCCCACGTGCCTGTGGCAAGGTCTGTGGTGAAGCAGAGATTATCAAGGCTTTCCAGAGGCAGAGGAGGAACCCAGCTGCCCTGCATCACCCTGGAGGAGTAGGGAGTCAGCAGTCAAAGCCTTGAGATAATTGGGGAACACAGGATGTGATAAAAACCAGAAGTCTGTGATGTTGTTTGTTCTCTATGAGGCATCAGAGGAGGCTTCATGGAGCGGGTGACACTTGAGTTGGGTCTAGAAGGACAGTAGGAGTATGCCAAATGGGTGGAAAAGGAAGGAGGATTCCAGGCAGAAAGCAGCTCATGCAACACAGATGTGGAATCTCAGCTTGCAAGTTAGCAGAGCCAGATAAATCAGGCAGAGTTTGGAGGGGTTGACAGTAGGTTTTACGCCAGGGGTTTGGATGCAGCTGCAGGCTGGGTATTAGTGAGAGCAGGGAGGCTCCTGGACCGGCTGAACTCCCAGCAGACCTTGTAACCTGGAGCTCCCAAGCTTCTACTGGTGTACACGCTGTCGAGTCTTGCAGTTAGTGAGCACTAATGCTTTTGGTTTTATATCTCCTGGGCTTGCAAACATTGACCAGAACTTAAAAGCACCTGCTTCTGATGGCAGGGAACTTGCTTCCTGCAGCAAGTCACTTCTGGAGTGGGGTATCGCTGATCCTTCCCCAGCTGACCTGTTTATTTGATCTCCGTGATAGCGGGTAAGGGAGTGGTGTGTGTGGTGTGAGTTGGCGGAGTTGCCTCTGCCCTCCCTGAAGGCTGGGTGTTCATGGAGAGAGTCTTGTGATCTTGCTGGTAGAGTTTGTTGTTATTGTTTTATAACATGTAAAGCTGCCTTTAGCTCTTACTGTAGTGAAGCATGTTGCTTGCGTCATCAACTTTAGTCTTCTCACAGTTTAGATGGTATTGTGGTATTAGGATATTGGTTTTCATCCACGGATCCAGGCTCATAACTCCTATCCACAGCCCTTGTTATGGTTTTTTGATATAATGTTAGATGTGTTAGGCCTCAGGGGCAGGCCTCTGACCTTCTGCTCTCCTTCCACCCTAATCTTTCCCCACCTGATTGTGGGCCTTAAAACCCTCCCCTGAGAGGGGTGGACCCTGTATCCTGGGGGAAGGAATGCTGATGTCATGAAGCTTCCATAAAAATCCAAGAGGACAGAGTTCAGGGAGCTTGTGGATAGCTGAACACACGGAGGTTCCTAGAGAGAGGCCTGCTCAGGGAGGGCACAGAAACTACACGCCTCTTCCCCCATACCTCGCCCTAAGCGTCTCCTTATCTGTATCCTTTGCGATATCCCTCATAATAACCTGGTAAACGTAAGTAAGTGTTTCCCTGGGCTAGGTAGGCTGCTCCATCAAATTAATTGAACTCAAAGAGGGGGTCATGGGAACCCCAGCCTGAAGCCAGTCGGTGAGAAATTCTGGAGGCCCAGACTTGCAACTGGTATGTTTGAGGGGTGGTGGTGGAGAGGCGGGGCAGTCCTGGGGACTGAGCCCTCAACCTGTGGGATCTGACACTCTCTCCAGGTAGACAGCATGGGAACTGAATGAGAGGATACCCAGCTGCTGTCCGCTGGTTGGTGTGTGGGGAAGAAACCCCCTCACATTTGGTCACAGAAGTCTCTTGTGTTGATGATTATGGTGTGAGAGTAGAGAAAAAAGATAATTTGAGACAGTTTCTCTCTCCAGTAGGTGTCTTGTTTGTTGTACACATGAAGAAACCAAGGTTCTGTGATGAAATAACTTGCTTAAGTTTAAGCAGCCCAGAAATAATGTAGTCACAATTTGAACCCAGCTCTGCCTGATTACAAAACCTGTCATAGGTAGTGCTATATCATGCCCCATCCTTGATCCCTTTTTTTTTTTTTTTTTTTTTTTTTTTAAAGAGAGAGACTTCGCTCTGTCACCCAGGCTGGAGTACAGTGGCGAGATCTTGGCTCACTGCAAATTCTACCTCCCAGGTTCAAGTGATTCTCCTGCCTTGGCCTCTGGAGTAGCTGGGACTACAGGCATGCGCCACCACACCCAGCTAATTTTTTGTATTTTTCATAGAGACGGGGTTTCACCATGTTGGCTAGACTGGTCTTGAACTCCTGACCTCAGGTGAGCTGCCTGCCTCGGCCTCCCAAAGTGCTGGGATTACAGGCATGAGCCACCGTGCCTGACCCCTGATCCCTTTTCTATTCCTTTTGGATGGCTTTCCTCTTGTGCCTGCCACATCCCCTCTTTCTCGAACAGTCTGATCTGCCAGGCCATGGCAAGCCTCATTTCAGCGCACTCTCCTTTGCTGCTTTGGAAGAGTGAGAGTAGCATTTTCTTTGCAGTTTCCTTTCTCAGAGCTGTACTGTCTTTAAGCCCTGGACATATGGCTTCCATGCTGAGAAAACATCTCTCATAGCTGTGGCGTCATGCTGAGGAGGAATGTAGAAACGGAAGTGGGGTCACTTCCTTCCCTTGTCTCCAGAGGAATCATTAACATTGCACAAGAACTTGTTGGTTTGGGCACACATGTGGGTCCCTATCCCGCTTTGGGTCGGTCTGTCTTCTGCCCACTCTTTGGGATGGTTAGTTACTAAAAGTCCGTTTTGGCATTTGGTCTTCATGTACCTCTTCCGGGTGTTCTTTCTGCTTTTCAGGACCTTGTGCAACATACTTTGGCCCCATTTGGAAGTTTTTCACGTGTGCTTGCTGGGGAGCAACACCTCATTTCCAATCTAGAGAGAGTGAGCTTACTGCTGGGTGGAGAACTGAGCAGTAAGATTAGGGTGGCTGGGGAGGCAGTGACAGACCCAGGCACAGTCAGCTGTGCACACACCCCCTCATCCAGGAGGGCCTTTGCCCTTTGACTTCCTGGGATTGGTGGGCTCTGCTCAAGAAGTAGCTTTCGCCGTGGTGGGAACTCTGAGGGACCTGGCAGGGGTCCACTTTTGGGGTCGGAATTCCCAGTCTTACCCTGGGCACTCCTTCTGGTGTGTACGCCTCTTTTTGATCTTTTTTTTTTTTTTTTTGAGATGGAGTCTTGCTCTATTGCTCAGGCTGGAGTGCAATGGCGCGATCTTAGCTCACTGCAACTTCCAGCTCCCAGGTTCAAGCAATTCTCGTGCCTCAGCCTCCCGAGTAGCTGGGATTACAGGTGCCTGCCACCATGCCTGGCTAATTTTTGTATTTTTAGCAGAGAAGGGGTTTCACCATGTTGGCCAGGCTGGTCTCAAGTGATCCACCCGCCTGGGCCTCCCAAAGTGCAGGGATTATAGGTGTGAGCCACCATGCCCAGCCTCTTTTGACCTTTGACCAAAGACCTCTAGGACTTTGGAGTCAAGTCTCATGACCTCTAAAATGTTGTTATATGAAAAGATAAGCTACAAAGATATGTAGGATTGAGTGAGAGCAAGAGAGACAGTCACACAAAAATAGACTGTGATAATATGGCTGGGTACGGTGGCTCACGCCTGTATTCCCAGCACTTCGGGAGGCCGAAGCAGATGGATCACTTGAGGTCAGGAGTTTGAGACCAGCCTGGCCAACATGGTGAAGCCCTGTCTACGAAAAATAAAAAAATTAGCTGGGTGTGGTGGTACATGCCCGTACTCCAAGCTACTCAGGAGGCTGAGTGAGGCAGGAGGATCGCTTGAACCTGGGAGGTGGAGGTTGTAGTGAGCTGAGATTGCACCACTGCACCCAGCCTGGGTGACAAAAGTGAGACTCTGTCTCAAAAAAAAAAAAAAAATTATAATAAACAAAATGTTGGGCCGGGCGTGGTGGCTCATGCCTGTAATCCCAGCACTTTCGGAGGACAAGGTGGGTGGATCATTTGAGGTCAGGAGTTCAAGACCTACCTGGCCAACATGGTGAAACCCCACCTCTACTGAAAATACAAAAATTAGCCGGGCATGGTGGCGAGTGCCTGTAGTCCCAGTTGCTTGGGAGGCTGAGGCAGGAGAATAGCTTGAACTCGGGAGGTGGTGGTTGCAGTGAGCCGAGATCATGCCACAGCACTCCAGCCTGAGCGATAGAGCAAGACTCTGTCTCAGAAAAAAAAAAAAAAAATGTTGGCTGGGCATGGTGGCTCACGCCTTTAATCCCAGCACTTTAATCCCAACACTTTGGGAATCCAAAGTGAGAGGATCATTGGAGCCCAAGAGTTTGGGAGCAGCCTGGGCAACATAAGAAGACCCTGTCTCTACAAAAAATTTTAAAAAAATTAGTGGGGCGTGGTGGTGCATGCCTGTGGTCTCATGTACTCAGGAGGCTGAGGTGGGAGGATTGCTTGGACCCAAGAGGTTGAGGCTGCAGTGAGCTGTGATTGCGCCACTGCACTCCAGCCCAGGTAACAGCGAGATCTTGTCTCAAAATAAAAAATAAATAAGTAAATAAAATGTTAACATTGCTTATCACAAAATGATGGGGTTATGGGTTTTTTTCCCCTTCAGTTTCCAAATTTTCTGTAGCACACCTGTGCTATACTAAAATAGACCAATAGTTTTTGTGTGTGTGTGTGTGTGTGTGTGTTTTTCTTTGTTGAGACTTGGTCTGGCTCTGTCACCCAGGCTGGAGTACAGTGGTGCGATCTCGGCTCACTGCAACCTCCGCCTCCCAGGTTCAAGCAATTCTCTGCCTCAGCCTCCCAAGTAGCTGGGATTATAGGCGGCCACCACCACACCCGGCTATATTTTTTTGTATTTTTAGTAGAGACGGGGTTTCATCATGTTGGCCAGGCTGGTCTTGAACTCCTGACCTTGTGATCCACTTGCCTCAGCCTCCCAGAGTGCTGGGATTACAGGCATAACCCACCATGCCTGGCTGTTTTTTTTTTTTTTTTTAAATAGAGACGGGGTCCTACATTGCCTAGGCTTGTCTCGAACTCCAAAGTTCAAGTGATCTGCCTGCCTTGGCCTCTCAAAGTGCTGGGATTATAGGTATGAGCCACTGAACCTGGCCCCTAACCAATAGTGTTTTTATGTGGTCTTGCTCTGTCTCCCAGGCTAGAGTGCAGTGGACTGATCATAGGTCACTGCAGCCGAAACTCCTGGGCTCAAGTGACCCTCCCACCTCAGACTCCCAAGTAGCTAGGACTGCAGATGCATGCCACTGTGTCATGCTAATTTTGTTTTATTTTTTGAGACAAAATCTCGCCCTGTCACCCAGGCTGGAGTACAATGGCATGATCTTGGTTCATTGCAGCCTCCATCTCCCAGGTTCAAGTGATTCTCCTGTCTCAGCCTCCCAAGTAGCTGGGATTACAGGTGTGTGCCATTGGGTCTGGCTAATTACTGTATTTTTAGTAGAGACGGGGGTTTCACCATGTTGGCCAGGCTGGTCTTGAACTCCTGACCTCAGGTGATCCACCTGCCTCAACCTCCCAAAGTTCTGAGATTACAGGGGTGAGCCACCGCGCCCAGCCTGAGACACTGTTCTTATCTCACCGTCCTTTGTTCTAGTCCTGGAGGTTGCAGTGACCTGAGATCCCCATATTCTTGATTCTCCCCAAAGCATTCCGCCATCTCCCTAGCAGGATGTCCCGAGGTAGGTGTTGCTGGGTTCGCTCACGTTAGCTTCTCTTGCAGCGCAATGTCCCTGCTCTTCTCTCGATGCAACTCTATCGTCACAGTCAAGAAAAATAAGAGACACATGGCTGAGGTGAATGCATCCCCACTTAAGCACTTTGTCACTGCCAAGAAGAAGATCAATGGCATTTTTGAGCAGCTGGGGGCCTACATCCAGGAGAGCGCCACCTTCCTTGAAGGTAAGGGGGCACCGGCTCAGCCAGGCCCGCTCTTACCTGTTTAGATATTTAGCTAGTGGGATTTGCGGGTGGGGAGGTATATCTCTGCTCCCAGGGAAGTCATAACCAGATAGCCTTAGAAATGCTCTGCTCTTGAAATCATGTGGAATTGGAGTCTGGGGAGATGAGGCCAGGAAGACAAGGGAACTGCCATTTAGTAATTACTTTAAGAAGTCCACATGTTTTGTTTCATTTAATCATGAAAGATAGGTGAATCTTATCCCCATCTACAAGGCAAGCAAATTGAGGTTTGAGAGTTGTCCGATACCTTGTAAGTAATAGATCAGGGTTTTACCCAGGTGTCTCCAACTCCGGAGCCCACGTGTTTTCCTTTGCCTAGTTCTGGCTGCCATTAATACCAGGCACTGTTTGGGTGTCAGTGATCCCTGACCAGGGCGCCCTTTCTTTGATATTTTTAGATTGGTGACAGAACTATAGGAAACTCACGTCACCTATGCCTTTTCTACTAGTTACTAATTTGAGCCCAACCTCTAGTTCCTTGTCTATCAGCAGAGAAGGACTGGTTCCCAGGGCCCCGCTCGTCTGAGTGTCAACTCCAGCACTGGCTTCCTCAGGCTCCCTCTTTAGAAGGACACTTTGGCGCCAGGTCCTGAGATTGTCTGTGGAGACCCAGTAACTGAGTCTTATCTGCCCTTGGTTTCCTCACTTGTGAAAGTGGGGCTCAGGTGTGAACAGTGGTTTCAGATTCTAGTCTGCAGAACCCTAGAAGTTCAGTGGTGGTGCTTCGGGGGTTGGCCCCTGGCTCAGGGGGGCCACCTTCTTTCCATTCTGCTTTCAAATAGAGCAGCTTGGCTTCTCGTTGTTTTACATGCCAGGCTGCTACACGAGGCTCCCTTTGAAGAAAGAGACTGTCCAACTTCATGCCCTCATCTGTGCCCTGCCCTTTGCGTGGCGCTTGATGCCACAGAAGGTGTTTCCTAAATACTTGTTGAACTAAAACAAATCTGAATTTTAAAGTAGTATGATTGGTAGTTGAAATAATCCCAACTCATTGCCTGTTTATCAGTGGCTATGGTGTGCCAGCCGTGTGCCAGGTGCTGGGCATGCAGAGATGGGGTAGATCAGGCCGCTCCCCTCTGGGAGCCCAGACTAACCCTCTTGGAAGCTCTGAGTCACCTACTCAGATGATGTGGTGGACAAACACATGCGTAATGCAGGTGTTTATGTGATGCATGCTTTGATTTCTCTGTGTGTGAAAATATGAGGCCTCCCCTGTTGTTTAAATGGAAGGGAAAGAGCTGGAGTGATCCTGAGCTGTGCTGGGTCAGGGAAAGAATGGTTCCTGCCTGGGCACTGTTTCTAACGGGCAGGTAACAAGAGCTTGTTGGCCTGCTGGCTCTCGCTTTTAAGTGTAGTCACATGCTTGAGAGCCAGCTTCCTCCGAGGGACATTCCAAAGGCCATGCCCAGGTGCCCATATAAGGGAGGAATATTGATGCATCTGGGGCAGAGGTGACCGGTGGACATAGCGGGAGGGGAGATGGGGGTGTTGTTGACTTGGTCATTTCCTTTCATGGCGCTGGCTGTGGGGGAAATTCACTGGGCAGGCCCTTGTCATGCTTCAGATGCTTTCGGAGTGTTCTCAGGGCTGGGGCCTGTCAGCCTCATAGTTCCCAGGAGTGTGCAGAGGGGCTAAACACCCGTCTGTGTTCCAGCCAGCTGAAGCACCTGTCTGGTGCGAGTTCTAGACAGGACAGTGGTGGGATCTCACTCAGTTGCTCCTGTATGGAGTAATTTGTTGGCCATCTGCCTGTTAAGGGCACTGGGAAAAAGCAGTGCAGTGATCCAAAGGTCTGCTCACGTAGCAAACATTTGTGCACCTGCTGGGTGCTGGGGTCAGATAGTGTGGCCCTCATGAGGCAGATGACACAGACAGGTGAGCTGTACAGTTACCTTATGGTGAGGTGAGAGCTGAGATGGGAGAAGTGCAGGGTGCTGGGGCACACAGAGAAGGGGTCCGGGGTCCTGACTCAGGTTAGAGGGGTGGTCAGAGAAGGCTTCCTGGGGGCAGTGCTGTCTAAGCTAGACCGGAGGCCAAGTGAGAATGAGCCACGCTGCCCCAAGGCAGTGTAGTGTGTCAGTTCTTCAGAGAGTGGGGAGGGGGTTTGGGCAGCAGGGAATGGAGCCAGAGGGCCGAGGAAGCTGGTGAGTTTGGGGATATGGTGAGGGAGACCGTGAGGCAGCGGGTGGCAAGAGGCCAACAGGGCCAGGGCAGGGAGGGCCTCAAGAAGTGACATAGAGGCCGGGCGCGGTGGCTCACGCCTGTGATCCCAGCACTTTGGGAGGCCGAGGCGGGCGGATCACGAGGTCAGGAGATCGAGACCATCCCGGCTAAAACGGTGAAACCCTGTCTCTACTAAAAATACAAAAAATTAGCCGGGCGTAGTGGCGGGCGCCTGTAGTCCCAGCTACTTGGGAGGCTGAGGCAGGAGAATGGCGTGAACCCGGGAGGCGGAGCTTGCAGTGAGCCCAGATCCCGCCACTGCACTCCAGCCTGGGCGACAGAGCGAGACTCCGTCTCAAAAAAAAAAAAAAAAAAAAAAAAAAAAAGAAGTGACATAGAGTGGTTAAGAGCCTGGACTCCAGAGCCAGGCTGCCTAATTCAAATCATAGCTCTGCCTTTTACTAACTCCGGAGCCATGTTAATAAAGAGGACCAAAGGAGAGAATGAATTTGAAAAGTGAAAGGAACAGTGCCTGGCATGTGGTAAGAACTTCGTAAATATTTGTTAAGAAAAAATAAACAAGGAAGGCAGTTAACATTTAAGTATTCATCTTCTACCAGCCGCCATTCACAGCATTTGTGTTTCAATTCGTTTGATCCTCACGATGTTCTCATGAAGTAGATAATGTAGTTATCTCCGTTTTGTGCTTAAGGAAACTAAGACCCAGAAAGGTTCTTTTGCTTGAGGCCACAGAGCTAGAAAGTGGTAAGAACCAGCTTCAGAACCAGGCAGTGTTGCTCCTGAGCCATCTTCTTAACCACCACACCGTGGGGCCACCATAGAGGATCTGGAGCTCAGCCTGTCGGCTGCAGGGTGCCAGAGGTGGACTCGTTTAGGGTAAGCAGGGCCGGCGCTCTGGCCCTTCCAGACTTGGGACTGTGGAACTCCTCTGACCACGTGGTGACCCATTTTCAATCCCCACCTCCAGACACGTACAGGAATGCAGAACTGGACCCCGTTACCACAGAAGAACAGGTTCTGGACGTCAAAGGTTACCTATCCAAAGTGAGAGGCATCAGTGAGGTGCTGGCTCGGAGGCACATGAAAGTGGCTTTTTTTGGCCGGTAAGTCCTTGAGGCACCCACCCTTTCTTTCTTCCTGGCTAGGAGGGAGGGAGGCACTTTGTGCAAGGTCACAGAACGTTCCAGGCAGGGACATGCTTCAGAATTCATTGCTTTCCTCTTAATTTATATTTTATTTATTTATTTGATTTTTGAGACAGGGTTCTCTGTCACCCAGGCTGGAAGCTCATTACAGCCTCGACCTCCCTGGGCTCAGGTGATCCTCCCACCTGAGCCTCCTGAGCAGCTGGGACTGCAGGTGCATGCCATCAAGCCTGACTTTTTTTTTTTTATTTTCTAATTAAGGTTAAAGGCATATAATATAAAATTTACCACCTTAACCATTTTAAGCATACAATTCACTAGTAGGTATATTTGCAACCAGTCTCAAGAGCTTTTTCATCTTGCAGAACTGAAGCTTGTATTATAGCCATTAAACAATAACTCCCTGTCCCACATGTCCCTTGCCCTGGCCACCACCATTCTACTTTCTGTCCCTATGAATTTGACTATTCTAGATGTCTCACGTAAGTGGAATCATACAGTATTTGTTTTTTTTTCTCCATTCATAAAACTTTTATTCCACTTACATGAATTTAATACACGTGTTCTTAACAATTGTGCTTGTATTGTTCATGAAAATTTCGTAAGACATTAAACAAAGCTAGCCATCATCTCAAGTTATTTCCCTGTTAACTATTTTTACAGTGCATGCATGTTAGGCAAGCATCAAAAAAAAATCACAAAAGCAAAGAATCTAAAAATATGCCGGGCATGGTGGCTCACACCTGTAATCCCAGCACTTTGGGAGGCCGAGGCAGGTGGATCACGAGGTCAGGAGATCGAGACCATCCTGTCTAACACAGTGAAACCCCATCTCTACTAAAAATACAAAAAATTAGCCGGGTGAGGTGGCGGGCGCCTGTAGTCCCAGCTACTTGGGAGGCTAGGGCAGGAGAATGGTGTGAACCCCAGGGGGCGGAGCCTGCAGTGAGCCGAGATCGGGCCACTGCACTCCAGCCTGGGCGACAGTGAGACTCCATCTCAAAAAAAAAAAAAAAAATCTAAAAATAAGTTAAATACGTGTTTTTTTTGTTTTGTTTTACTGCTAGCTTGATATACATGAAGTATTCATTTTTCCTGCATCTTTACTTTTACATTTGTTCTTAGGTTGCCTGAAACATTTTAAATACAAATAAAATGAGTGTAGCAAAAATAATGAAAGCTAACAGCAGATAACTTTACAAATAATGGAGTGTGAACCATTTCTGCCCTTATCCAGATTGAAATGGGTCACAACTTTGTTTAAAGGAACACTTCCACAGCTGTAGTCAAAGGTGTGCACATTGAGATTGAGTATTCCACAGACACACATGGTTTAACATGTGATAACCATGGGGTATCTGTTTCTACCACAGCCTTGTAAGTGCTCCAAACCTTAAAGTACCCACATTTACTATACCTGTGACTGGAACCAATGATCCTTTTTATTCCCCACCAGGACAAACCAATATGTAGGCAGTTTTCTTTGCTTTGACATGGAAGCAGTTTTAACACTGGCCCTTGTGAAGCCACAATGTACCTAAAGTACTAGGCCAAACATTTATAACTTGTATAATGACCAGGCACGGTGGCTCACGCCTGTAATCCCAGCACTTTGGGAGGCCAAGGCAGGCAGATCACAAGGTCAGGAGATTGAGACCATCCTGGCTAACACGGTGAAACCCCATCTCTACTAAAAATACAAAAAAAATTAGCTGGGTGTGGTGGCGGGCGCCTGTAGTCCCAGCTACTTGGGAGGCTGAGGCAGGAGAATGGCATGAACCCAGGAGGTGGAGGTTGCAGTGAGTCAAGATCGCGCCACTGCACTCCAGCCTAGGTGACGGAGTGAGACTCCGTCTCAAAAAAAAAAAATCTAATACAAGAAAAAAGGCATCTAGACAGATTGTATGCTAGGCACACAGTGGTAGCCTGGGGAATAGGCACTGTGCCTAGAGTCTTGACCCTGATGAACTGTAACCTCAGGTGTGGTCCTCTACTCCTCTGAACTATCATTTCTTCATCCTCACCTGGGAGGTATGACCCCCTACTTAGGTGAGCTAGTGGGCTTCCTGTCTCACTGGGTGCAGGTAAGGTCATTGTAGTTCTGCTCTAGTGATATGGCTGAGAAACTTCAACTCAGAATGAGAAACACTGTGTTTAGCACAGGTTGAAAGCTCTGAGACTCAGAGCAGATGAGTCTGCTGAGCAGAGCTATTCTCAAGAAGCAGAAATGGTGGGGTGCAGTGGTTCACACCTGTAATCTCAGCACTGGGAGGCTGAGGCAGGAGAATTGCTTGAGCCCAGGAGTTTGAGACCAGCCTGAGCAACATGGCAAGACCCCATCTCTACCAAAAATTTAAAAATTAGCTGGGCGTGGTCGCAGCTATAGTCTATATATAGGTGGTACCTATAGTCTAAGCTACTTGGGAGGCTGAGGTGGGAGGATCATTGAGCCCTGATGGTCGAGGCTGCAGTGAGCTATATTCATGCCACACGCTACTGCACTCCAGCTTGGGCGAGAAAGCAAAATCCCATATCAAAAAAAACAAACAACAACAACAACAACAAAAAACCCCACCAGAATACATGAAAGGGGTGTGATAGGTAAGAATGAGAAAGTAGGCTGGGCATGGTGGCTCATGCCTGTAATCCCAGCACTTTGGGAGGTTGAAGCAGGCAAATCACCTGAGGTCAGGAGTTCGCGACCAGTCTGGCCAACATGGTGAAACCCTGTCTCTACTCAAAATACAAAAATTAGCCGGGCATGGTGGCACATGCCTGTAGTCCCAGCTACTTGGGAGGCTGAGGCAGGAGAATTGCTTGAACTCAGGAGGCAGAGGTTGCGATGAGCTGAGATCGTGCCACTGCACTCCAGCCTGGGCGACAGAGTGAGACTCTGTCTCAAATAACAATAAAAAAAAAAAGAATGAGAAAGTAACCTTCCCTTTAGCCTGGCAGTTGTCAGCTGGGACTCACAAGGTGGAGCTTCATGTGTAAGGAGGAGCGTGATGGGAGAAAAGCAGCGAAACATGCCCTGTGTAGGAAACACTGGGGTCATTTAGACTGAGGAAGACACTCTGGGGGTTAGTCGGTGTTTCAGGTAGGCCTGAATTAAACTTTGGAGACAGACAGACAGTCTCTATAAGTGTTGCTGAGGGTGGCTGTGTGATTCAAGGGGCAGACAGCACGCAGTGAGCCTCTTGTAGATTGATCTGAAATGATGAACCAGGGGCATGTCAGAGGTTTGGGCCTGGGGGTGTTTATTCATTTTAATAAACAGTGCCTACTCTTTGTCTCTCAGCACTGTCTGGGCACTGGCAACATTGCACTGAATAGGGCTTTGGCCTTCCAGGCTGGTATCTGCGTTGTGAAAGTAATTCAGGTCAGATACTGGTGGCTTTGCTGACAGCTGTTACTTCCTTCTAGGACGAGCAATGGGAAGAGCACCGTGATCAATGCCATGCTCTGGGACAAAGTTCTGCCCTCTGGGATTGGCCACACCACCAATTGCTTCCTGCGGGTAGAGGGCACAGATGGCCATGAGGCCTTTCTCCTTACCGAGGGCTCAGAGGAAAAGAGGAGTGCCAAGGTGAGGGTGCCAGGCTGGCTGTCAGCCCTGTGCCTGCTGGGGGAGCAAGTCCTCCGTTGTGACACGGCTGACCTCACCTCTAGGGAGGGGGCAGCACCACCCTGTGGAGGTGAATGGGAGACCCTATTTTAGATGAACTTTTTGAAGGATGTAAGAGCTTTTGGGGGCTGGCGGAGGTGGTTTTCAGAAACGTGGATCACCAAGAATGAGGACCCTGCTGTTCCTCATACAGCTCTGAGTGGCCACTGACCTCTCTTCACTAATTAAGGAAGACAGTATGTGCTGTGTTCTTCCTTGGGATATTGCCAGAGAGGAATTCCTGCATTTGCTGTGTGTCTCTGACCTATCAGTCAGGGACCGACACTCTGAGTTTTCTGAGAGGCAGCTGCATTCTTGTTTGGGGCCAGATGCTCAATTTGCTTCATAAAGAATCAATTGGTCGGGCACGGTGGCTCACGCCTGTAATCCCAGCACTTTGGGAGGCCGAGGTGGATGGATCATTTGAGGTCAGGAGTTCAAGACCAGCCTGGCCAACATGGTGAAACCCCATCTCTACTAAAAATACAAAAATTAGCTGGGCGTGGTGGTAGGCACCTGTAATCCCAGCTAGTCGCGAGGCTGAGGCAGGAGGACTGCTTGAACCCAGGAGGTGGAGGTTGTGGTGAGCTGAGATCACGCCACTGTACTCCAAACCTGGGTGACAGAGCGAGACTCCGTCTCAAAAAAAAAAAAAAAAAAAGAATCAATCAGTGCAGAACAGATGACTTTAGGGTGATATCCGGGAAAGAAGCTCAAAAGAGCAGTGAAGAAAGTGGGTTCTTATTGACAACTCCCAGCTGTTAACTTTTTATATGTGGAAGAAGAAAGGGTAGCAGATGGGCAGCATTCCCAGCCACTGTGCTGTGATGCAGCGGCACAGGAAATCTCCTGGCCTGGTGGTTCCTCCTCAGCCTCTTTCTTTCCTTCCTCTGCCATCAGACTGTGAACCAGCTGGCCCATGCCCTCCACCAGGACAAGCAGCTCCATGCCGGCAGCCTAGTGAGTGTGATGTGGCCCAACTCTAAGTGCCCACTTCTGAAGGATGACCTCGTTTTGATGGACAGGTAAGAGGGAGGTGCCCTCCTAGGAGGTCCAAACTGGAAGGCACCAGGTTTCCATTTCTGGATAATCTAGGCCAGGGTCCCTGGGCCCCATCCTTGCTCTGCTTAAGTATTACTACCTTTCAGATGGGCTCAACCAAATCCTCTGGCCTCTTGGCTTTCCTCTGGAGTCTGGTTACTATACCTATTTATCAGTACCCTGCAGATGTCCCAGGGATGGTCTGTAAAAGATAGGAGGGATGCTCAAAAGTTGGTGGGGGAGGTTCTCAATCTCAGCCCAGTGCCAGCATGTGTACTGGGGGTGGGGAGTTGTGGCGGAGTCAGAGGTGTATTTTATTTCCCTTGAAGAAACACTTTGCCTTGGCTTGGTGGACTGGTTATAACTATACCAACATGTACAGTATTGTAGTGTTTATCTGGACTCACATCAAGTCACAACTTCACCTTAATTGTATATCATCTTTTTTTTTTTTTTTTTTTTTTGAGACAGAGTCTTGCTCTGTCACCCAGGCTGGAGTGCAGTGGTGCAGTCTCGGCTCACTGCAACCTCCGCCTCCCGGGTTCAAGTGATTCTCCTGCCTCAGCCTCTGGAGTAGCTGGGATTACAGGTGCCCGCCACCATGCCTGGCTAAATTTTGTATTTTTAGTAGAGACGGGGTTTCACCATGTTGGCCAGGCTGGTCTTGAACTGCTGACCTCATGATCCGCCCACCTTAGCCTCCCAAAGTGCTGGGATTACGGGCATGAGCCACTGTGCCCCGCCTGGTATATCATCTTTAAAGTAGAATTACAAGTAATTCTGTTTTTATAAAAGCAATAGATATATGTGTTTAAAAACACTCATTTCTGCCAGGCACGGTGGCTCATGCCTGTAATCCTAGCACTTTGGGAAGCTGAGGCGGGCAGATCAGGAGGTCAAGAGATCGAGACCAGCCTGACCAACATGGTGAAACCCTGTCTCTACTAAAAATACAAAAAAATTAGCTGGGCATGGTGGTGCGTGCCTGTAGTGCCAGCTACTTGGGAGGCTGAGGCAGGAGGATCGCTTGAACCTGGGAGGCGGAGGTTGCAGTGAGCCGAGATCGTGCCATTGCACTCCAGCCCGGGCGACAGAGCAAGACTCTATATCCAAAAACAAAACAAAACAAAACAAAACACTCATTTCCAGGCAATCTGGAAGGATAGGAAATGGGAAGTAAAATCCGTTAATGAGGGCCAGGCCTGATTTCTCTCCCGTCCCTGGCTTTCTCCTCCATGACCTGCCTGCCTCACAAGTCCCAGGTCTGTTCTCAGCAGGAAGAATAGGGCTCCTGCTCTGCCTGATGATTTGGTTTACCCCTGTCACCTTTAGCCCTGGTATTGATGTCACCACAGAGCTGGACAGCTGGATTGACAAGTTTTGTCTGGATGCTGATGTGTTTGTGCTGGTGGCCAACTCAGAGTCCACCCTGATGCAGACGGTAACTCCTCCTCTGCCTTCTCCCAAGCTCCCAGCACCCCCTGGGCAGGCAGCTGATGGGGCCTTGGCTGTCAAGCTCCTGCTCCACCGAGGTCTTACCCTTTATCTAGGAAAAGCACTTCTTCCACAAGGTGAGTGAGCGTCTCTCCCGGCCAAACATCTTCATCCTGAACAACCGCTGGGATGCATCTGCCTCAGAGCCCGAGTACATGGAGGAGGTTCGTGCTTCTGTTTGGCAGTTTGGGGAATGCAACCCCGAGGGAGCACTGCCTGCCACTGGGGCCACTTCCTGCACCCCTGGATCTAGTGACTTCCCTGAATTAATTTTATTGCCAAAGAATTCTCCAAATACTCTTCTGTGGTATCTTCTGGTGGTCTTTCCCCTCTCCCATCCACTTTGCTGGATGCACCCCCTCTTCAAGCCACTCTCCCCTAGGCCTAAAAAGGATCCCTGCTGCATTAGTGCATCTTCAGTGCCGGTGCTCAGTTTGGTTTCTGAGGAATTAATACAGAACAGGCTCAGCTCTAGGGAGGCCTCTGGGAAAGAGGCTGGAAAGAGGAATGGAGAATAACTGGTTCTTACTGGTGACTTACAACTCTTAGCTATTTACTTATTTATTTAGAGACTGGGTTATGAGGCTGGCTAATTTTTGTATTTTTGGTAGAGACGGGGTTTTGTCATGTTGCCCACGCTGGTTTTGAACTCCTGGGCTCAGGTGATCCACCTGCCTCAGCCTCCCAAAGTGCTGGGATTACAGGCATGAGCCACCACGCCTGGCCTCACAACTCTTTAAATATGTGAAATGAAAGACAAAAGGGTAACAAACGGCATGGTGGTGCACACCTATAGGCTGAGAGAGGATCCCTTGAGAGTAGGAATTTGAAACCACCTTGGGCGACGTAGCAAAACGCCATCTCCAAAAAAATAAAGGGTAGGCCGGGCGCGGTGGCTCACGCCTGTAATCCCAGCACTTTGGGAGGCCGATGTGGGCGGATCACGAGGTCAGGAGATCGAGACCATCCTGGCTAACGTGGTGAAACCCCGTGTCTACTAAAAATACAAAAAATTAGCCGGGTGTGATGGTGGCAGGCGCCTGTAGTCCCAGCTACGCGGGAGGCTAAGGCAGGAGAACGGCGTGAACCCGGGAGGTGGAGCTTGCAGTGAGCTGAGATTGTGCCACTGTACTCCAGCCTGGGCAAGAGAGTGAGATTCCGTCTCACAAAAAATAATTAAACAAATAAAGGGTAATAAGATTGATAATATGGCAATATGGGATGATAAAACATGCAGTTGCAGTCAGTAGGCCAGAGTCCAAATTATTTATTTTTTTCGAGATGGAGTTTTGCTCTTGTCACCCAGGCTGGAGTGCAGTGGCACAATCTCGGCTCACTGCAACCTCCACCTCCAGGGTTCAAGCAATTCTGCCTCAGCCTCCCGAGTAGCTGGGATTACAGGCACCCGCCACCACACCTGGCTAATTTTTGTATTTTTAATAGAGATGGGGTTTCACCATGTTGGCCAGGCTGGTCTTGAACTCCTGACCTTAAGTGATCCGCCCGCCTCGGCCTCCCAAAGTGCTGGGATTACGGGCGTGAGCCACTGTGCCCGCTTGTGACTGACACTAGGCAGTGTGACTTTGTTAGCTTCCTTGACCCTTCTGGTAATCCAATTTCCTGGCCAGTGTGATGGTGTGATAAATAGACTTGTTGAGAGGATGAAATCTGTCAAAAACACCTGACACGTGGTAGGTGTCTACAAGAAGCTATTGTCACATTTTATCGGTAGAACCCCAGGATGTCAGAGCCAGGAGGGATGTTCTAGTGATGCCCACTCCTTTTATAAACAATGCCCCAGGAGGACACAGCTTGTCAGAGTATAGGTCCCAGATTTAGGTTTCTTGACCTCAGGGTTCCTTTCCTGCCAGGGCACCAAAATGAGGCACTATATAGGCTTAACAAGAGGCAGTCTAGGGCACGTTTAAGCATTTCTGCTTGTATATGCATAAAATATCTTTGGCACGCTCACTGCCAAGTAACCCCCACACGTTGGTCTGGGAAACTTGGTGGTGAGAGAGCAGAATAGTGGGGGACATTACACTGTGTATGTGTTTGTGCCTTTGGCTGTTGAGCCATGTGAATATATTGCCTATTCTTTTTTTTCCCTCACTCTGTCGCCCAGGCTGGAGTGCAGTGGTGCTATCTTGGCTCACTGCAACCTCCGCCTCCAGGTTCAAGTGATTCTCCTGCCTCAGCCTCCTGAGTAGCTGGGATTACAGGCGCCTGCCACCATGCCTGGCTAATTTTTTTGTATTTTTAGTAGAGACAGGGTTTCACCATGGTGGCCAGGCTGGTCTTGAACTCCCGACCTCAAGTGATCCACCTGCCTTGGCTTCCCAAAGTGCTGGGATTACAGGCGTCAGCCACCATGCCCAGCCTCTTATGACCTATTCTTTTAATAAAAGAGGCAGGTGGGGGCTGTGGGGCCACCTACACTCACTCTGGACACATTTGTTTGGGCTCCAGGTGCGGCGGCAGCACATGGAGCGTTGTACCAGCTTCCTGGTGGATGAGCTGGGCGTGGTGGATCGATCCCAGGCCGGGGACCGCATCTTCTTTGTGTCTGCTAAGGAGGTGCTCAACGCCAGGATTCAGAAAGCCCAGGGCATGCCTGAAGGAGGTAATGATGAGAACAGATGTCCTCCTTTTCTCTGATGTTTGAGACATTTTGTCTCGTGCTGAGGAGTCTGTCAGTAGAAAATCCTTCTGAGAAGGGGATGCTGAGAAGAGCAGAGAGGCTCTTGCTCTTTAGCCAGTGGCTTGGTTTCTGGGGATTTCATCGTTTTCCTCTGCTGCCAAGTTGTTTCTGGACTAATGCAGTACAATCCTCCTAGGGGGCGCTCTCGCAGAAGGCTTTCAAGTGAGGATGTTTGAGTTTCAGAATTTTGAGAGGAGATTTGAGGTGAGTCCTCTGATTCTGGTATCTGGCGATTCTGTGCCTCCCCAGCTCCCATTGGCTGTGTCCCTGGCAGTGAAAACCAGAGTCTGGCCCTTGGTTGTAGGCCCCTGGTGGCCCCCACCTCCCTCCGTGCCTCTGTGTGTTCCAGGAGTGCATCTCCCAGTCTGCAGTGAAGACCAAGTTTGAGCAGCACACGGTCCGGGCCAAGCAGATTGCAGAGGCGGTTCGACTCATCATGGACTCCCTGCACATGGCGGCTCGGGAGCAGCAGTAAGAGTCCAAGACTGCAGATAGGTGGAGAGAGCTGCCGAGACAAGGGTGCTCCACCCCTGCCTTGGGCAGTTAGGACACGCCTTGATGGCAGGGCTGAGTCTCTGGGCTCCCATCCAGAGCCCTTTCCCTGGCCACCAGACCATGTTAGAACCACATAGACAGCCTGGTGAGGAGGGCGGCTGGGTGCTTCATCACCCCACCTGGTCTGTGCAGCACGATTCCCTGTGTTGGAGGTCTTGGCCCATGCCCTGCTGAGCTCTGCAGCCATTCTCAGAGCCTGAACACATTTTTCAAAACAACATTCCAGCCAGGAGCAGTGACTCACACCTGTGATCTCAACACTTTGGGAGACCAAGGCAGGAGGACTGCTTGAGGCCAGGAGTCCAGCCCAGATAACATAGTGAGATCCCATCTCTACAAGAATTTTAAAAATCAGCTGGGTGTGGTGGCACACACCTGTAGTTCCAGCTACTTGGGAGGCTGAGGCAGGAGGATCACTGGAGCCCAGGAGTTCAGGGTTCCAGTGAGCTGTGATCGCACCACTGCACTCCAGCCTGGGCAACAGAGTGAGACCCTGTCACTAAAGAATAATATGAAAACACCTTGCTTCTATCACACAGAATTGACTTTCTCAGTTGTTTATGTTAAGTTAAAATTTTAAAAAGTTCAGTTCCCTTTTGATTCTTTTGCACTTGTCCCAGTGTCACTCTGCCCTGAGGCACCATAATCATGAATTTACATTGTTCTATCACCCAAACAGTACTTTTTACATAAATGCTGAGGAATATGTCAGGTTTTTACATGCTTCAGATGTACAGATGTGGCATCACACTGTCTGTCACTGTACCTGGCTTTGCTTTCTCAACATCGTTTTTCCCTCTATCCTTGTTAGTATGTGTAGTTTGTTTATGAATCGGAACTGCTGTAGTATATTCCATTGTGAATATGCCTCATTTTCCTATGGATGGAATTTTAGATTTTTTTTTTGCTATTGGAAACCCTACTGCAGTGGACATTTGTTCATGTGTCCCCTTGTGCACCTTTTTAAGAGTCTTCCTGGGGTGAGTTCCTAGGGGTGTGGCAATTCTGTTTTAGGGTACACGCGTTTCCAGTTTTAGTCAGTTTTCTTGATGCTCTTCAGAACAGCCGTACCCATTCATTGCATGACCAGTACTGTCCATAGGCCTTCCATTTCATCAGCCCTCACCAGAACTTCAGACCTGGTCATTTTTGCCAGGCCTTGGTAGAAAATAGTGCCTTTAAAAATTTCATTTACAACTGGGCATGGTGGCTCACGCCTGTAATCCCAACACTTTGGGAGGCCAAGGCGGATGGATCACCTGAGGTCAGGAGTTCAAGACCAGCCTGACCAACACGGAGAAACCCTGTCTCTGCTAAAAATACAAAATTAGCTGGGTGTGGTGGCGCATGCCTGTAATCCCAGCTACTCGGGAGGCTGAAGCAGGAGAATCGCTTGAACCCAGGAAGTGGAGGTTGCAGTGAGTGGAGATCGTGCCATTGCACTCCAGCCTGGGCAACAAGAGTGAAACTCCATCTCAAAAAAAAAAAAAAAATCATTTCTGTGATTACTAGTGAGGTTGAGCTTTTTTCCCTATATTAATTGGCAGAATTTGTTTAAACCCCCTTAAAGCGCCCTCCCTGTTTTGTGCCCACCACCTGACCCACATCGAAGACTGAAGAGTGCATGGTTGGCTGCAGGGTCCTCTTCTTACCTGGGAAGGGGAAGGCCATGCCCCTGGGTGCGTGTGTGCAGCCCTGCCAGGCAAGATAGCGGGCAGGGCGGCGTGGGATTTCTGGCATCCCCTCTTGCTCCTCTGCTTAGTCAGACAGGAACATGGATTTCTCACCAGTACTCTGCTTTCAGGGTTTACTGCGAGGAAATGCGTGAAGAGCGGCAAGACCGACTGAAATTTATTGACAAACAGCTGGAGCTCTTGGCTCAAGACTATAAGCTGCGAATTAAGCAGATTACGGAGGAAGTGGAGAGGCAGGTGAGAAATGAGGAGGAGGCATTCTGGGAAGATTTGGACTCCGAGTAGAGTCCAGAAGAAAGCAGACCTCCTCCTCTTAGGGACTTCTCAGCCTTTCAGAAGAAAGTTGTGGCCCTGTTTCAAGAATACAGAGCTGCCGTTTGGGTTCCATTGTCGGGTTGTGTGATGCTGGGCATGTTCCCTTTCCTCTGGACCTCCACAGATCATGTGGGCGTTTGATCAGCCAGTTTCCCAGACCCTCTCACTTCAGAGGCTTTAATTCCATAGAGGAGCTGAGGAGGCTGCTGGTTTGAGAGGAAGGATGTGCCATCTGCTAGGATCTCTCCTGGTGCTGCAGGAGTGAACTTTGGTCTTCCTTGATACTTAACAGTGTGCTTCCTTTTGCTGTAGGTGTCGACTGCAATGGCCGAGGAGATCAGGCGCCTCTCTGTACTGGTGGACGATTACCAGATGGACTTCCACCCTTCTCCAGTAGTCCTCAAGGTTTATAAGAATGTGAGTCATGGAGCAACAGGTCCTCTTGGCAGGAGGCCCCCAAAAGTGATTCAACCCCTGTTGGTCTGGGTCAGGGCCCCCCAGCAGTGACAGTAGAAGCCACAGAGACAAGGCCCAGGCTTCCGTCAGCCTTCTGGGGTCACCTGGTGGATGTGGCCTGAAGGGAATTTTGATGGACATGCTTCTCTTAACTTCCCTCTTCTGGTGGCAGGAGCTGCACCGCCACATAGAGGAAGGACTGGGTCGAAACATGTCTGACCGCTGCTCCACGGCCATCACCAACTCCCTGCAGACCATGCAGCAGGACATGATAGGTTAGTGCCCATGGGGAACTGGGCAGCTGTGGCCCTGGGCTGCCCAAAGATCAGATGCGGAGGCCAAGCTAAAGAAATCAGGACTTTCCTTATCTGTCACTTTTCATGATGATTCAACTCGATACCTTCAGGTTCTGGGTACATGTTCTGAACTCATTCTTGTTTGCTTTTTGAGACAGAGTCGCACTCCGTAACCCAGGCTGGAGTGCAGTGGCATGATCTTGGCTCACTGCAACCTCTGCCACCGAGGTTCAAGCGATTCTTCTGCTCCAGCGTCCCGAGTAGCTGCGACTACAGGCGTGACCACCACACCTGGCTAATTTTTTTGTATTTTTAGTAGAGATGGGGTTTTGCCACGTTGGCCAGGCTGGTCTCTAACTCCTGACCTCAAGTGATCTATCTGCCTTGGCCTTCCAAAGTGCTAGGATTACAGGCATGAGCCACCGGCCCTGGCCTTGTGAACTCATTCTGTACACAGGGTTGGGGAGCCCATCTTGTTCTACTACATGGGTCTACCCTAGGCTGAGAATTGGGCCTGCTCCTTTAAGTCCACGTGAGGCATAAGTGTTAGCAGTATGGCATCTGAGTCCACACTTGCCTGGGAGAGCTGGCCTCAAGTGAGGCATGCTCAGTCTCACGGGCCAACTTGACTGGGGTGTGGTTCCCAGGCAAAGCTGTTCAGCATCCCTGGCAGTAGCTGGTAGAGCCCTGTCTCCAAGGCTTGGTGCCGCTGTGGTGCAGGGCTGAGCTGATAAGCTTTTCCTCCATTTCTCTTCCTGACAGATGGCTTGAAACCCCTCCTTCCTGTGTCTGTGCGGAGTCAGATAGACATGCTGGTCCCACGCCAGTGCTTCTCCCTCAACTATGACCTAAACTGTGACAAGCTGTGTGCTGACTTCCAGGAAGACATTGAGTTCCATTTCTCTCTCGGATGGACCATGCTGGTGAATAGGTTCCTGGGCCCCAAGAACAGCCGTCGGGCCTTGATGGGCTACAAT
This sequence comes from Homo sapiens, assembly GCF_000001405.40. NCBI lineage: Eukaryota > Metazoa > Chordata > Mammalia > Primates > Hominidae > Homo > Homo sapiens. The sequence goes on from NC_000001.11 coordinate 12,005,926, forward strand.
GACCAGGCAAGCAAAGTTCCTCACCTCAAGGGCATTGTGGGGGGTCAGTCTGTACCCTGCCTCCAGACACGGGAACCATTCTAAAACGGGGGTTCCCTAAGGTCAGCAGCTGTGGTGGTGTGCCCCACCACACAGTACACCACAGACAGAATTTTTGCTACTGATTGACCTGGATTTGTTCTAAGCAGTGATATTTGTGAAATGACAGATGCTAGTATTTTTCTCTAATACACATTAAAGTAAGTATGTAACTATTAAAAATAGACGACTTTAAAAATAACCACCTACATACGACTATTTTAAAGTTCAGATTTTAAAAACATTCATCTCTAAACCACTTGAGTTGTCACATGTACTGCCCTCTGTACACATCCCACACTCGGGGAAGCTGCCAGGCGGGTCAGGATGGCTCCTGCTCACATTTTGCACGTCCCGTGGTGCTCACCTGAGGGTCTCCTCTGCTACATCTGAAGCTAGTTGTCCCCTTTTTGCCTTTTGGAAATTGAAGAGCCACTCTGTGTCCCTGTTCCCCAGACTAGGGCAACACTGAGGGTTCACGTGAATGAGAGACTCAATACGTCCCCCTCACCCCTCTCATGTTTCTCTCCTCAGGTCCAGCGTCCCATCCCTCTGACGCCAGCCAACCCCAGCATGCCCCCACTGCCACAGGGCTCGCTCACCCAGGAGGAGTTCATGGTTTCCATGGTTACCGGCCTGGCCTCCTTGACATCCAGGACCTCCATGGGCATTCTTGTTGTTGGAGGAGTGGTCAGTGACCAGTTCTGCTCGGGAAGGTGGGGGCGGAGGGCAGGTGGGCGGGGCCTGAGGGCTAGGTTCCTGCTGTGGCCCCTGCATTGGGCCACACTCCACAGTCCACTGCATACTTTCTCCTCTGTGATTGCATGGGGAGCGCTTACTCCCTCACCAAGTTTCCCTCACTTCCTGCTGGACATGGTCCCAGACCTTCTGGCCTCGGTGGGATCAAAGGAGACATTGAAAGAGGAACTCAGAGTAGAAACATGAAGGCTCCTTGGCTGGGGCCCTTCAGATGGCCCTGGTAGTGATGGGCCCCAGAGGAGGGTGGGCCACAGAGAGGCTGCACTCCAGGCTGACCATGTGCTCTGCAGGTGTGGAAGGCAGTGGGCTGGCGGCTCATTGCCCTCTCCTTTGGGCTCTATGGCCTCCTCTACGTCTATGAGCGTCTGACCTGGACCACCAAGGCCAAGGAGAGGGCCTTCAAGCGCCAGTTTGTGGAGCATGCCAGCGAGAAGCTGCAGCTTGTCATCAGCTACACTGGCTCCAACTGCAGCCACCAAGTCCAGCAGTGAGTGGCCCTGTCGGACCCCAGCAGGGGACTTCCTTTAGGCAGGGTCAGCCCCATCTCCCTTCCCCATCTCTCTTCCCACGTGGCCTGGAAGCCACTGGGTCCTAAGCATCGTAGACCCTGGGCCTTCAGGTGTGCAGGGCCAGCTTTGAGGCCAGTCATGGGGAGAGGGGTCTCCCAGGGACACTTTGCGTCTTGGGCTGGGACGGGGTAGGCCTCTGGGCCCCTTGGTGAGGAAGAAATGGGAAGGCAAGAGATATTCCTAGTAGGAGTTTTAGAGGTTGCCTTGAAGAGCTTGGGCTGTGGATGTAGTTTTGAAGTTTTTGAACCCAGCCTGATCTTCGTGCACATCTTAGGTCAGGTGGGAATCTATTGCCTAATCTGGGGTGGTGGGGATGAATATCCTCGCTTCCTTTTTTTTATTGTGTGTGGCAGACCCTTTGCTCTAGACATTTTGCACCTAATTATTTCTCTGACTCTTGGAGGTAGATGTTGTCTTATAGCCATCTCCTTTTTCTTTCTTTCTTTTTTTTTTAATTGATCATTCTTGGGTGTTTTGGCAGGGTCATAGGACAATAGTGGAGGGAAGGTCAGCAGATAAACAAGTGAACAAAGGTCTCTGGTTTTCCTAGGCAGAGGACCCTGGGGCCTTCCGCAGTGTTTGTGTCCCTGGGTACTTGAGATTAGGGAGTGGTGATGACTCTTGACAAGCATGCTGCCTTCAAGCATCTGTTTAACAAAGCACACCTTGCACCGCCCTTAATCCATTTAACCCTGAGTGGACACAGCACATGTTTCAGAGAGCACCAGGTTGGGGGTAAGGTCATAGATCAACAGCATCCCAAGGCAGAAGAATTTTTCTTAGTACAGAACAAAATGGAGTCTCCTATGTCTACTTCTTTCTACACAGACACAGCAACAATCTGATTTCTCTATCTTTTCCCCACATTTCCCCCTTTTCTATTCGACAAAACCGCCATCGTCACCATGGCCCGTTCTCAATGAGCTGTTGGGTACACCTCCCAGACGGGGTGGTGGCCGGGCAGAGGGGCTCCTCACTTCCCAGAAGGGGTGGTTGGGCAGAGGCGCCCCCCACCTCCCGGATGGGGCGGCGGCCGGGCGGAGGCGCCCCCACCTCCCTCCCGGACGGGGTGGCTGGCCGGGCGGGGGCTGACCCCCCCCACCTCCCTCCCGGACGGGGCGGCTGGCCGGGCGGGGACTGACCCCCCACCTCCCGGACGGGGCGGCTGCTAGGCGGAGACGCTTACTTCCCAGACGGGGGCGGCTGCCTGGCGGAGGGGCTCCTCACTTCTCAGACGGGGCGGCTGCCGGGCAGAGACGCTCCTCACCTCCTAGACGGGGTTGTGGCTGGGCAGAGGCGCTCCTCACATCCCAGACGGGGTGGTGGGGCAGAGGCGCTCCCCACTTCCTAGATGGGATGGCGGCCGGGAAGAGGTGCTCCTCACTTCCCAGAGTGGGCAGCCGGGCAGAGGGGCTCCTCACATCCCAGACGATGGGCGGCCAGGCAGAGACGCTCCTCACTTCTCAGACGGGGTGGCGGCCGGGCAGAGGCTGCAATCTCGGCACTTTGGGAGGCCAAGGCAGGCGGCTGGGAGGTGGAGGTTGTAGCGAGCTGAGATCATGCCACTGCCTGGGCAACATTGAGCACTGAGTGAACGAGACTCCATCTGCAATCCCGGCACCTCGGGAGGCCGAGGCTGGCAGATCACTGCCGGTTAGGAGCTGGAGACCAGCGCGGCCAACACAGCGAAACCCCATCTCCACCAAAAAAATACGAAAACCAGTCAGGCGTGGCGGCGCGCGCCTGCAGTCGCAGGCACTGGGCAGGTTGAGGCAGGAGAATCAGGCAGGGAGGTTGCAGTGAGCAGAGATGGCGGCAGTACAGTCCAGCTTCGGCTCGGCATCAGAGGGAGACCGTGGAAAGAGAGGGAGAGGGAGACCGTGGGGAGAGGGAGAGGGAGCGGGAGAGGGAGAGGGCCATCTCCTTTTTCAAAATCAAGAAACTGAGATTTGAAAAATAGTGACGTGTCCTCTGCTACTCGGCTGATGAGCAGCAGAGTCAGGATCTCTTGTGCCCAAACCAGGGTGCACAGCTCTGTGCTGTTGCTTCTCAGGCCGTGGTGATGCTGAGTGTGTTTGGTTGTTATGATTATTCAGTCTCAGCAGGGTGTAGGAGATTCTGCCAAACCAGGCCTGGCTCAGGGCAGAGCTGCTGGCAGGGATATAGACAGGCCCAGCTGCTCCCTACTGTGGGTGGGCTAAGCCACCAGTGGCATCTTGCTCCACACACCCCAACTGGGTCCCTTCTCTCTCCTCCCCAGGGAACTGTCTGGGACCTTTGCTCATCTGTGTCAGCAAGTTGACGTCACCCGGGAGAACCTGGAGCAGGAAATTGCCGCCATGAACAAGAAAATTGAGGTTCTTGACTCACTTCAGAGCAAAGCAAAGCTGCTCAGGTGAGGCTGGCCCGTGTGGCCAAAGGTTAGGGCTCCAGGGTGCAGCCCAGGCACACTGGGGCTCAGCTGCTGGGCTTGCGTCTTGGGTGTGGACACAAATTTTTCTGGTGGGGATTTAGCTCATTCGTGTTAGATGTGTACCATGGGCTGGGCACGGTGGCTGACGCCTATAATCCCAGCACTTTGGGAGGCTGAGGCAGGTAGATCACCTGAGGTCAGGAGTTTGAGACTAGCCTGACCAACATGGTGAAACCCCGTCTCTACTAAAAATACAAAGATTAGCTGGTCGTGGTGGTGTGTGCTTGTAATCCCAGCCACTCGACAGGCTGAGGCAGGAGAATGGCTTGAACCCAGAAGGCGGAGGTTGCAGTGAGCCGAGATTATGCCATTGCACTCCAGCCTGGGCGACAAGAGCAAAACTCTGTCTCAAAAAGAAAAAAAAAATGGATGTGTACCACGTACCTCATGGATGCCAGATGGTGCTGGAGGCTCAACAAGACACAGCGTCGCTGCCTTCAAGGCACTTGCAGTTGAAGGCATGATGGCATCACAGTACTGCGAGACTGCAGTTCACAGCGCCCTGTGCTGAACCGCAGGGCCTACAGCGCTTAACATGTGCTATTTCACTCAGTCTTCCCTATTTCTCCATTTTCTACATAGAAATGTTGGGGAACTTGTCTGGCATCTCAAAAAATGGCCAGGCTAGGAGGGGAGCCCAGGTGTACTTGGCTCCAGCAGCCCCCGCACTCTGATTCTCCTTACCTGCCACTCTTTGGACCCATGAAGAGGGCATAGCCCCCCATTTACCCACAGAGAAGCTGGTTACTTGGCTGGGGACTGGCAGAGCTGGGATTGGAACTCAGATCTCCATGGGGTCTCTGTGGAGCTTTCATTAATAATTTGCTGGAAAGAACATCAGTCTGAGGAGTCTGGAGTCCTGGGTTCTCTCCAGCCACTCATGTTTGGCCCAAGCTCTTAACTCTCCTGTGTCTCATTATTTTCATCTGTAAAATGGGAGTAAGATTTCATGACACAGCTGCATGACTGAATGTAAAAGTGCCCTGCAAAAGTCCTCGGCCTGCCCAGCTCATGATAACATCAGCACACGGGGACCCTGCAGAAGTCCTCGGCCTGCCTAGCCCATGATAGCATCAGCACACGGGGACCCTGCACTTCCTGCCCTCGCCCCTGACGTCAGAGTCTGCAGGGTGGCAGAGCCAGAGGGGAGATGGATCAGAGGGTGTCAGCTCCAACCCTCACCGGATCACTGGGCTTTCCCTGCCCTCGACTGCGGATGTGCCCCCCCCGCACCCCCACCTGGGGACAGCTGCTTCCTAGGGACACACTGCTTGCCCTCTGGGGACTCTCAGAAAGGGGGAATGGGGGGAACTGCTGCTTGTCAGCCACAGTGACACAGCTGAACCTGGAAAGGGTCTCCTGTCAGCACCTCAACCCCTTGCTTGGCAAGCAGGGAAACTGAGTTCCCGACAGCTCAGGGACTTGCACATGGTCCTGGGTGAAGGAAACACAGGGCTTGAGAATCAGAAAAGCCTAACTTGTAGCTCCCTGGCTTATTAGCCGTGTGGCCTTGGGAAGTTATTTAACCCCTCTGGGCCTCCTTTTCCCCATCTGTGAGACAGGGATAAACACGATTGTTGGAGGATGATGTAAGGGTGTGTGTCAAGCGTCCTTAGGATGGTGCCTGGCGGGTAGTCCTAATACTGCCTATCATCAGCTATCATGGTTACAAAAGAACCATTTCTTTGCAGGAATAAAGCCGGTTGGTTGGACAGTGAGCTCAACATGTTCACACACCAGTACCTGCAGCCCAGCAGATAGTGGGCACCTGAGGCGGAGTCTGCGTGGAGAGGGGCGGTGCTGCCAGCCCTAAGTGCCATGTGGGCTCCCCCAGGGGCACGTGTGGCTCCTGCCCCCTGGCCACTGCCAAGAGAATGAAGCACCCAGTCTCGTACCATTTTGAGCCCTCCAGCACTACTTATTTTCCCCCACCTTTGCCTGCTGTTGCTGGAAGAGCTGGCTCATACCCCCAAAGGACACTTTCAGCGACAGCTATGGACAGCATGGTACCAAGGAGTTAAGTTGAGGCTTTTTCCAGCTTTCTCTGGTTCATTTGATTGCTTGATAAGGCCTCAGGATCTCAGCATTGCACAATGCCTCATGGAAGCCTTTGAGGGTATCACACAGACACCCCCACCTTCCTCCAGCCTGTGCGCACCTGCCCTCCTTGCAGCCCAGCACACCTGCAGGTGTAAGGGACGATTGGAGTTTCTTCCCAGAGAGTCTGTCCCAGAAGGACTGTGGCTTGTGTGTGTCCATCTCGCCTGTTGGCTCAGTGCTTCATCCCATTTGCAGAGCCTCAGACACGTCTTGGTGGTGAGGCTCAGTTACCCCTGGGCTTAGGCTGAGGCGGGCCCTGTGCTGGGGGTGGTAGAAAGGATGCTGCTGAGGCAGCTGGAGGAGTGGGAGTAGCTCAGAGGGGAGGGCTGTTGGATGTATGGGGAGCTGGCAGAGCAGGTGGCAGTCACTGGGACAAGGAGGGACTTGCCTCTCTTCTCATTATTGTGTCCTTTGCTTTAGTGTCAGTCCTGGACTTGTGCAGGCCTGTTTTGTGTAGATCTGTTTTGGAAGATGGCATGGTCTAGGTGGTTGAAGGATGTAGTAGAAGGATGGATGGTGGAAGGTGGGGACGTTGGTGGCTGGCTGAGGTGCATGGGCCCCACACAGGACAGCTGGAGAATGGGCCGTCCACTTGGCCTCGTTCTGCGAGGGGCTCATGGGTCTGAGAGCCCCCACCCACTAGGCTTGATTGCATCCCTGTTGTGCCCTTTAAGAGACATGTTTCCACCCCACCCCCAACCTTGTCCCAAGTGCCCTGGACTAAATTTCCTGTGCCAGTGACTGCAGTTGGCCAAGGGACAATGTGGAAAACCCAGTGTCCATCTTTCCACCCTCCCTGATCTCCAGAACCTTCGACTGACCCCCTTGTCTTTATGCTGATGTTGAGTTTTGGGATTGTTACTGGTTGAAGTGGGGGCAGATGCCTGTCACCAAGGTGTTGACTGTGTGAGAAAAGCAGTTTGGGTGACAAATCCTGTGTGGCACAAGTTGGATCGCTTCCTAGAAATAAGCAACACCTCTCCCAAAAAGCAGCCCACAAGGCAGGGGCCCAGCAGCCCAGCCATCACTCATCTTTGAGGAAATGAGTTGGTAGCCTCTGTGCACTGTTTGGTGGCCACATCACAGGTGATGTCCTGTTCACATACCTGCTTGTATTTAAAGCCCTCAGTCTGTCCTGTTGTGTGGGGCGAAGTGATGGACTCTGCCAGGTGGACATGCTGTGGGTGGATGTTCCCGGCGTGTGCCGGGCCTGAATGGACAGGGGCCACTTCACAGCATGTCAGGGAAAATCACTGTCACACAATTCCAATGGATTTTGTGCTCTTTTTGAAAAAAAAAAATTCTTTAGCGTAAACATGAATTTTTTTTCAATGTAGCCCCTGGGGAATGAATGAAATTTTGAGCTTCTTCAATACGTAAAATTAAATTTATACCACTGAGGGAGAGACCCTTTCTGAAAGAAGTATGGCCAAAAGCACTTTAATGCTGCTGACATTGTTGTTTTTATGTTCATTTGCTGGAGCGCAAGACGTGCTGACACAGTGAGTTTTCTCTGATGTATTTAAGGTGATGTATTTGCTTGAGTTACTCCTGTATCATTGCTCATAATATTGGAAACTAAAATAAAACCTAGTTGGAAATCCTTTGTGAGATCTGTCTTTTTGGGTTCTTGTACAAACTCCTCTTTGACATGGCCAGCTGTATTCTGAAGTGACCATAACTTTGGGGAAGTTCCCACTATAATCTGGCTCCTTATTCTTGGAAGGAATTTGATACTCTCAAAAGAACAGATGGTTTAACTGATCTTTAAGGATCAGGAAATCGAGACTGATTTCTTTACAGATTTCTCTGTAACTCCAGACCATTTTTCACTTAAAAAGTAAATGACTCACTGTTCCATCCTGCTTTGCCTTCTGAGAATTTGGTTGCCACTATTCTTTTTTTTTTTTTTCTTTTTTGAGATGGAGTCACGCTCTGTCGCCCAGGCTGGAGTGCAGTGGCACGATCTCGGCTCGCTGCAAGCTCCGCCTCCCGGGTTCAAGCAGTTCTCTGCCTCAGCCTCCCAAGCAGCTGGGATTACAGGCGCCGACCACCAGGCCTGGCTAATTTTGGTATTTTAGTAGAGACAGGGTTTCATCATCTTGGCCATACTGGTCTCAAACTCCTGACCTTGTGACCCACCTGCCTCGGTCTCCCAAAGTGCTGGCATTACAGGTGTGAGCCACCGCTTTTTTTTCTTTTTTTTTTTAAGGGTCCTCAGGAGTAGATACAGGGGTAGTCAGTCAGTTTCCCCGCCCCTACAGCTGTCCTCTTGGCTCTGGTGCTGCCCAGTGTCCGCCCTGCTCGCCCACAGAGGCCACAGCTCAGCTGATAGCAACCTCATCCTTCCAGATTCCCAGGCTACACACTTGGGGCATCACCCTCGAGTCCACGGTCACACGTGCTGCACCAAATCTGTCACCTGCTGTCTTCCAAGTCTGTTGACCCTGCCCAGTTTCCTCACCTCCATCATAACCATCAGCCCGGATCTAGGTTCCTGTTCCTGCCTTGTCCCCGCCTATCCTCGCCATCTTGTGGCTGTTTCAAGGCAGCAGCCAAAGACTTTCTCAGGTAACAAAAAAAAAATGAATCATTACCTTTTTTTTTTTTGCAATCCACAAAACAAGTAGTTTCTGTCATTAACAAGATGTTATGTACAACCCACTAAATTGTTCACGACAGCATCATCCCGGGTGATGAGCCATAGTTTGAAAAAGGGCCTTCTTGCCTTATGCAAATGCTGCTTAGTTATTCCCAGTCAAGGCCAGCCTCATTCCTGTGCTTTCTCTGACTACCTCATCTGTCCACTGGCGAATCTGAGAGGCTGGAAGTTTTAGCCCTCTGGTAACAATGTCCCTATTTAATCACAAAAAGTAGGTAGTCAGGAATGTTCCACTGTGTCCCAAGCACTGGGGTGACAGCCCAGGCAGCTCTCTCGGAGAGCATCTGGCTTCATAATGTGGCCTCAGAAGCAGGGCCCTCCTCGCAGATGTCAGCTAAGTTGTTCACCGTGTCCTCAAGTGGATGGTTTCCTGTGTCTAAGTGGGACTCTTAGGCTTGAGATAAGAACAGCGAACTTTGAGAGTTTAGTATGTCAGACATTTCATACGCATGAGCCCTAATCTCAAAATCCAATGGTCTATTTTCCCTAATTTCCTCAAATGAGGAAGTTCATTAATTCAGCAAAATATTTGTGCACTTACTATGTGCTAAGCATGGTTCTAAGCACTGGAGATATAGCAGTGACTAAGGTGGATAAAAATCTGCCCCTGGGGCCAGACGCGATGGCTCACGCCTGTAATCCCAACACTTTTGGGAGGTGGGCGGATCACGAGGTCAGGAGTTCAAGACCAGCCTGGCCAACATGGTGAAACCCCATCTCTACTAGAAATACAAAAATTAGCCAGGCTTGGTGGCGTGCACCTGTAATCCCAGATACTAGGGTGGCTGAGGCAGGAGAATTGCTTAAACCTGGGAGGTGGGGGTTGCAATGAGCCGAGATCACGCCATTGCGCTCCAGCCTGGCAACAGAGGGAGGCTCCCTCTCAAAACAACAACAACAACAACAAAAATCTCACTCACTGATTAGTAACCTTTTTCAGTTACAAAGAAAAACAACATACTCGCTAAACTCCCTAACATCAGGAGCCATCAGGCAAATTATCTCAAGTCTTGATTTACAAACCAAACCCTTATGCCTCTGATTACACAGGGGACCGGTCTGACAAACTTTTTTTTTTTTTTTGAGGTAGGTTTTTGTTGGCTGGAGTGCAGTGGCGCAATCACGGCTCACTGCAGACTTGACCTCCCAGACTCAAGTGATCCTCTCACCTTAGCCTCCCGAATAGCTGGGATTAAAAGTGTGCGCCACCATGCCCGGATAATTTTTTGTTTTTTTGTAGAGACGAGGGATCTCACTATGTTACTCAGGCTGGTTTCGAACTCCTGATCTCAAATGATCCTCACACCTTGGCCTCCCAAAGTGCTGGGATTATAGGTGTGAGCCACCATGTCTGGACACAAATATTCTTTTTCTTTTTTTAATTTAATTTTTCAAATAGAGAATGTATGTTGGCTGGGCACAGTGCCTCATGCCTGTAATCCCAGCACTTTGGGAGGCTGAGGTGAGAGGATCGCTTGAATTCATGAGTTTGAGACCAGCCTGGGCAATCTGGCAAAACCCTGTCTCTACAAAAAATACAAAAATTAGCCCAGCATGGTGGTGTGCACTGGTAGTCCCAGCTATTCCGGGGGCTGAGGTAGGAGAATCACTTGAACCCAGGAGGTGGAGGCTGCAGTGAGCCGAGATTGCATCACTGCACTCCAACCTAGGCAACAGAATGAGACCCCGTCTCAAAAAAAAAAAAAAAAAATAGATGGGATCTTACTGTGTTGCCCAGGCTGGCCTCTAATTCCCAAGCTCAAGTGATCCTCCTGCCCCAGCCTCCCAGAGTGCCGGAACTACAGGCATGAGCCATCACACCCAGCCAATAAACATTCTTTTCTGATAAGCAACTGCAGAACTTAAGCCAGTTTCAGCCAGCTTACAGAAGCTGTGAACAACCTGTTTAGCCAATGCACATGAGCTCACCTCCTCTCATAAATATGTATACAGCTTTTCCCTCAAACCTGCTAAATATGTATGAATATGGGCCCTGTGAGGCATAAAACCCAACCTGTCCTTTCTCTCTTGGAAGAGAGCACCTTCAGTGCATGCTGCAAACCATCTCTTCCTGGTTTGCAAACAAGTATCAACAATAAAGTGCTCCTTTCTACTATTTAGCCACCCTGGTGATCTTCTAGACAACATTATGCGTATTTCTGCTAGGAACATTAGTGTTCAAATCTCTGTGTAGGCAGATGTTTTCATTTTTTGTAGGTAGATATCTCAGGCTGGACTTGCTGGGCCATATGGTAAATTTATGTTTAACTTCTACAGATTTTGTGAAGTGGTTATACTGTCTTATATCCCCACCAGTAGTGAATGTGGGTTCATATATATATATAGTTTTTTTTTTTTTTTTTTTTGAGACAGTCTTACTCTGTCACCCAGGCTGGAGTGCCGTGGCACAATCGCGGCTCACTGCAACCTCCGCCTCCCAGGTTCAAGCCATTCTCCTGCCTCAGCCTCTCGAGTAGCTGGGATTACAGGTGCCCACCACCACACCCGGCTAATTTTTTTCTATTTTTAATAGAGACGGGGTTTCACCATGTTAGCCAGGCTGGTTTCAAATTCCTGACCTCAACTGATCCGCCCGCCTTGGCCTCCCAAAGTGCTGGGATTACAGGCCTGAGACGTCGTGCCCGGCCTCATTTCATTTTTTAGAGCATCACAAACTACCTCTCCAGCTCATCTTGCTAGAGTTACTGCATAATCCATGCATTCCTGCCAAGGATCAGCCATCTTCTTGAGTCGGAGGGCTTCCTGCTAGCTCGGTGCCTGGTGTTATCACCCTCGGCTCTTCTGGAGGTAGAGGGGCTACCTATCTTCTTTTCATTCTTTTTTTTTTTTTTTTTTAATTTGAGACAGAGTTTCACTCTTGTTGCCCAGGCTGGAGTGCAATGGTGCGATTTTGGCTCACCACGACCTCCGCCTCCCGGGTTCAAGCGATTCTCCTGCCTCAGCCTCCCGAGCAGCTGGGATTACAGGTATGCGCCACCATGCCCGGCTAATTTTGTATTTTTAGTAGAGACGGGGTTTCTCCATGTTGGTCAGGCTGGTCTGGAACTCCCGACCTCAGGTGATCCGCCTGCCTGGACCTCCCAAAGTGCTGGGATTACAGACGTAAGCCACCGCGCCCAGCCAATTTTTGTATTTTTAGTAGAGACGGGGTTTCGCCATGTTGCCCAAGCTGATCTTGAACTCCTGACCTCAGGTGATCCACCCGCCTCGGCCTCCCAAAGTGCTGGGATTACAGGCGTGGGCCACTGCGCCCGGCCCCAGTTTTTCTAAGTTATATAGTTTAGGTTTCACAACTAGATCTATGATCCATTCTAGGTTAATTTTTGCATATGGGTTTCTTTTTTTTTTTTTTAGGATGAGTGTGTGGATATCCAATTATACCTACAACATTTGTTGAAGACACCATCTCTTCTTGTTTTCCCAAGTTTCCACACACATTATTGATAAAATAAATTTTTTTGGGGGGGGTGCTGGGTGTCGCTGGGCTGTAACTCCTTACCTCAAGCCATCTGCCCACCTCGGCATCCCAAAGCGCTGGGATTACAGGCGTGAGCCACCGCCCCGGGCCGAAGGCATTATCCTTTCTCCACTGAATTGCACTTTCATTTTTGTCAAAAATTAATTGCTCACATATCGGAACTCTATTCTGTTGCATTGATCCATTTGTCTACCTGGACGCCAATACCACACTTTCTTTCTTTTTTAAATTAATTTATTTATTGAGACAGGGTCTCTCAGTCAGGGTGGAGTGCAGTGGTGCAATCAAAGCTCACCACAGCCTCAGCCTCTTGGACTCAGGTGATCCTCCCATCTCAGCCTCCCGAGTAGCTGGACTACAGGTACGTGCCTGGCTCATTTTTTGTAGAGACGGGGTTTTGCCATGTTGCCCAGGCTGGGTATCTTTTTTTTTTTTTTCTTTTTTGAGATGGAGTCTTGCGTCTTGCTCTGTCATCCAGGCTGGAGTGCAGTGGCGCGATCTCGGTTCACTGCAATCTCTGCCTCCCTAGTAGCTGGGTTCAAGCGATTCTCCTGCCTCAGCCTCCCTAGTAGCTGGGATTACAGGCGCCGGCCACCTCGCCCGGCTAATTTTTGTATTTTTAGGTTTACTGGCGTGAGCAACCGCGGCCGGCCCCAATACTACACTTTCTTGTTTACTGTGTAGTCCTTATCTTCTGGCGCAAAGCGGGCACTCGCTAAAAACCTGAATGAAAGTATAAAGCAGGCCGGGCGCAGTGGCTCATGCCTGTAATCCCAGCATTTTGGGAGGCCGGGGCGGGCGGATCACGAGGTCAGGAGTTCGAGACCAGCCTGGCCAACATAGTGAAACCCTGTCTCTACTAAAAATACAAAAAAAAAAAAAAAAAAAAAAAAAAAAAAAAAAAAAGCCGGGCATGGTGGCGCTCGCCTGTAGTCCCAGCTACTCGGGAGGCTGAGGCAGGAGAATCAATCGCTTGAACTCGGGAGGCAGAGATTGTGGTGAGCCGAGATCGCGCCACTGCACTCCAGCCTGGGCAACAGAGTGAGACTCCGTCTCCAAAAAAAAAAAAAAAAAGAAAAGTATGAAACGATGAGTACAATGAGTAGCCAGCCGCCTGCCCCACCTACCCCGCCGCTCCGGACTGCCGCCTGCGCCGAGCCTAGGCCGCCCAGCCTGACTGAAACTGCCGCTGCTGAACTCAGCGTATCCAGTCCCGCAGCTGACCAATCGGAGCTCGCCCTTCCGGGGCCCGCCCCATTCCAGGAATCGACCTCCGCACCGGCCTCGAAAATTGACCAATCGGTTGTGTAGCTCCGCTCTTAGTCCCGCCCCCACGCTGAAACTGACACTTCGGATCGCCGAGTAACGCTCACCAGACGTCCCGGCCCTGCCCCTCACCTGACCAATCAAGACGGCCGGCCGAGGCCCCTGGAACGGCTCAGGCGGCTGCGGCTGCTACGGCGGCGCATGCTAGGGGATTCTGCCGGGTGAGTGCTGGGCGGCAGGACTGGGGTGGGGCGGAAGGGCTCGGCAGGAGGCCCCACGTGCATTCCCGCGAGGGGCTCGGGGGCCGCAGTGGAAAAGAAGGGTAGGCTGCATCTGCCTCTGCGGGGGTCCCGCCTCGGCGTCCGCCCGCTCGCCCTCTGTTACTTCTGCGGCCCCGGTGTTTCTGGAGCGTCGCTTTCCCGGTGTCTCCGCTCAGCTTTTCCCTTTCCAAAGCGCGGCCGGGGCCAGGGGAGGGCAAGGCCTGCTGTGCCCTTTGACCCCGTGCGAAAACGGCGACCCTCTGACTATAGGGGTGTGGCCCAGAGCCACTTGGCCAGTTAGGGGTGGGGGCCGGGATCTTTGTCCTGCGGATCAAACAGTTGGCCCCTCTGGACTGCATCTCCGTGCCCCCCGGCCCTGCGGGGTAATATACGTGTGTGGGGGAGGTTCCGGGGTAGTCGGCTACTCTGTGCTCCAGACCTTGCACCCGATCCTGAGGATCCTTGGAGGTGGGGGGCAAGGGCTGGGAGGAGGAGGCGGAGTTTTCCCAGGCTCCCCCACACTTCCAGGGAAAGGCTTTCCAAGAACCCTGAACTCATGGACCCTGGAGTCAAATTTTGGTTCAGATCTAGCCTCTTGCTAGCTGTGTGACTTGGGGCAAGTTGCTTAACTTCCCTGAGCTTTGGTTTCTTCATATGTAAAAAGAAAGTGAAGGAGGAAGGGAGGGCAGGAAAGGAGGAAGAATCCCTTTTGAAGCCTGATTTGTGTTGGACTCACCAGTTATAAAGCAAGCTTGTCCAAACCACTGCCCAGGAGGCGGAGGTTGCAGTGAGCCAAGAAAAAAAGGAAGCATGCCCTTGCCCCAGCCATTTTGGTAATAATAGACGTTTATTGAATGCTTACTGTATACCACTGTAAGCACTGTATTAAGTAAGCACTGTACTGAGTGCTTTGTTTTTTGTATTTTGTGTGTGTGTGTGACAGTCTTGCTCTGTCACCCAGGCTGGAGTGCAGTAGTGTGATCTCCACTCACTACAACCTCCGCCTCCCAGGTTCAAGCGATTCTCCTGCCTCAGCAGCCTCCTGAGTAGCTGGGATTACTGGCGCCCACCACCACACCCGGCTAATTGTTTGTTGTTGTTGCTGTTTTTGAGACGGAGTCTCACCCTGTCGCCCAGGCTGGAGCGCAATGGTGCGATCTCGGCTCACCGCAACCTCTGCCTCCCGGGTTCAGGTGATTCTCCTGCCTCAGCCTCCCGAGTAGCTGGGATTACAGGCGCGTGCCACCACGCCCGGCTAATTTTTGCATTTTTAGTAGCGACGAGGTCTCTCGCCACGTTGGCTAGGCTCATCTCAAACTCCTGACCTCAGGTGATCCTCCTGCCTCAGCCTCCCAAAGTGCTGGGATTACAGACGTGAGCCACTTGGCCTGTTTTTTGTTTTTTTTACAGTGATGCAACCATGGCTCACTGCAGCCTGGGTCTCCTGGGCTAAAGCTATCCTCCTGAGTAGCTGGGGCCACAGACAAGTGCCACCATGGCCAGCTAATTAAATTTTTTTTTGGCCAGGCACTGTAGCTCATGCCTGTAATCCCAGCACTTTGGGAGACCGAGGCAGGCGGATCACAAGGTCATGAGATCGAGACCATCCTGGCTAACACGGTGAAACCCCGTCTCTACTAAAAATACAAAAAATTAGCTGGGCGTGGTGGCAGGCGCCTGTAGTCCCAGCTACTCAGGAGGCTGAGGCAGGAGAATGGCGTGAACCCGGGAGGCGGAGCTTGCAGTGAGCCGAGATTGCGCCACTGCACTCCAGCCTGGGCGACAGAGCAAGACTCCATCTCAAAAAAAAAAAACAAAAAAACAAAACAAAAAAAAATGTTTCTACAAATGTTGTCCAGGCTTAACATGCTTTCTTTAATTCTAACAACAATCGTATGAGGTAGATACTGTTGTCGTCCAGCAGATGAGGAAACTGAGGCACAGAGAAGTTAAATAACTTGCCTGAGGCAGTACAGTTAAAGAGTGTCGAATGGGGGTCTCTGGCACCACAGGGCACCCTACTGAGCCCCGTGTCCTGCTGTCTTGACTTCAGGTAGAAGAGCTGGGCCTGGAACCCAGCCCTGAGGACATCCTGCGGCCCAGGGGCAAGTGACACCTGCTGAGAGAGGCCCAGGATGGTGGAGGCTGAGGAACTGGCACAGCTGCGGCTGCTCAATCTGGAGCTCCTGAGGCAGCTGTGGGTGGGGCAGGATGCTGTGCGGCGGTCAGTGGCCAGGGCAGCCTCGGAGGTGCGTGCCCGCCTTG
This sequence comes from Homo sapiens, assembly GCF_000001405.40. Lineage (NCBI taxonomy): Eukaryota > Metazoa > Chordata > Mammalia > Primates > Hominidae > Homo > Homo sapiens. The sequence continues at coordinate 12,021,857 of NC_000001.11, forward strand.
GGAACCCCAGAGGAAGGGGCTACCTGACCTTCAGGCCAGCATCCAGGCTTCTGGGCTCATCTTGTTCAATACACCCATTTTACTGATGATGGGACATTGAGGGCTGGGGAGGGAAGAGACTGGCCTTGGTCACTGCTGAGGCCGGAGCAGGATGAGGATGCTTGCCTTGGTGCCTGGCGTAGGCCCGGTGGGTAGGTTCTGGCAGCCACTCCCTGGGTGACCCGGCCCCTCTCTCCAGTCAAGCCTGGAATCCAGCAGCAGCTACAACTCAGAGACTCCATCGACCCCAGAGACGTCCTCAACTTCCTTGAGCACCTCCTGCCCACGGGGCCGGTCCTCCGTGTGGGGCCCACCAGATGCCTGTCGAGGGGACCTCCGTGATGTGGCCAGATCGGGGGTGGCCTCTCTCCCACCTGCCAAATGCCAGCACCAGGAGTCCCTGGGCCGACCGAGACCCCACTCAGCACCCTCGCTGGGCACCTCAAGCCTGAGGGACCCAGAGCCCTCAGGGAGGCTGGGTGATCCAGGACCCCAGGAGGCACAGACCCCGAGGTCCATCCTGGCTCAACAGAGCAAGCTGTCCAAGGTAACGTGGGAGAGCGGGACATCTGCTGATGGGAGGAGCTTCCTTGGGCCTCAGTTTCCCTATCTGACACATGTGCTTGTGGGTAGCCTCCCTTGCAGAATAAGAGGCTCCTGGGAGATACTGTGAGTTGGGTCTTGCTCAGCCTAAATGCTCGCTAGGTGGTAGCTGTGAGTATCTCATACAGTGCTTTGAGAAGAGGCCAGGATTTGTTCACAGCCACACATAAAGTGGGGCCAAACGTTTCCCTTCTTGCTCTTGTGCCCTTGGCTGAGCCCTGGGCTGCAAGTCAGGGTGTAAGTTAAGACACAGTCTCTCTGTCCCTCGAATTGCGGCTTCCTCTGGGCCAGGCCTCTTGGCTTAGTCCTTGTCCCTCTGTGCTTCCTTCCTCAGCCCAGGGTGACCTTCTCTGAGGAGTCTGCAGTTCCTAAGAGGAGCTGGCGCCTCAGGCCATACCTGGGCTATGACTGGATTGCAGGTAAGGCGTGCTGTTGCCCTGCACACACTTTGCCTGGGAGTGGGAGGTGGAGGCCTGGGATCCTCCATGCTCCTGTCTGAGCCTCCACCCGGTGCTGTTGCTTGTTTCTCTGACCGTGCCATCCTCCGTGGGGAGCACCCTCTTTTTTTTTTTTTTTTTTTTTTGAGACGGAGTCTCACTCTGTCCCCCAGGCTGGAGTGCAGTAGTGTGATGTTGGCTCACAGCAACCTCCACCTCCCAGGTTCAAGTGATTCTCATCCCTTGGCCTCCCGAGTAGCTGGGATTACAGGCGAGCACCACCACGCCCGGCTAATTTTTGTATTTTAAGTAGAGATGGGGTTTCCCTGTATTGGCCAGGCTGGTCTCAAGCTACTGAGCTCAAGATATCCACCTACCTTGGTCTCCCAAAGTGCTAGGATTACGGGAGTGAGCCACCGCCCCCCACAGCCACCTTCTTTGTTTTCTTATTTATTTATTTATTTATTTATTTATTTATTTATTTTTGAGATAGTCTCTCGCTCTGTCGCCCAGGCTGGAGTGAAGTGGCGCAATCTCGGCTCACTGCAAGCCCCGCCTCCCAGGTTCATACCATTCTCCTGCCTCAGCCTCCCGAGTAGCTGGGACTACAGGTGCCTGCCACCACGCCTGGCTAATTTGTTTGTATTTTTGTTTTTTTTAGTAGAGACGGGATTTCACCGTGTTAGCTCGCCTCAGCCTTCCAAAGTGCTGGGATTACAGGCATGAGCCACCATGCCCGGCTTTTTTTTTTTTTTTCTTTGCTTTTTAAGAGAAGACAGGCCGGGCACGGTGACTCACACCTGTAATCCCAGCACTTTGGGAGGATGAGGTGGGCGGATCACGAGGTCAGGAGTTTGAGACCAGCTTGACCAACATGGTGAAACCCCGTATCTACTAAAAATACAATAATTAGCCGGGTGTGGTGGCACGGGCTTATAATCCCAGCTACTTGGGAGGCTGAGGCAAGAGAATTGCTTGAACCCGGGAGGCGGAGGTTGCAGTGAGCCGATATTGCACCACTGCACTCCAGCCTGGGTGACAGAGTGAGACTCCGTCTCCAAAAAATAAGCAAGCAAAAAAAACCAGATGAGCAGCAGTGAGAAGAAGGGGGAAAGAGTAGAACAAAGAGTTTGGTCTGTCACTGACTGTGAGTATACAATTGCGATAACTCACTACCTTCACGCCAGCCTCTGAGCACCTTCTGAGCCGTATCTGCTCTCTCAACCTCAGGCACTGAGACGGTGCATCTGTTGAATGAATGAATGAGTCCCAGCTGCCGTATGTTTGAACATTTGTTATGTGCCAGGCCCCTGCACAACTTCATACCAATGCCAGCTCTTTTCACGTTATTGTCCAGCTCTCCCCGACAGCAACCTAACCTCAGCTGCCTTCTGGCTGGTTTCCCCCTGGCCTATGTCCCATTGCTGTCCTTTGCATGTGTATGTGTGTTTGTGTAAATACATAACATAAAATTTACCACTTTAGCATTTTTTTTGAGATGAAGTCTCACTCTTGTCATCCAGGCTAGAGTGCAATGGCGTGATCTCCGCTCACTGCAACCTCCGCCTCCTGGGTTCAAGCGATTCACCTGCCTCAGCGTCCCGAGTAGCTGGGATTACAGGTGCCTGCCACCACACCCGGCTAATTTTTGTATTTTTAGTAGAGAAGGGGTTTCACCATGTTGGCCAGGCTGGTCTGGAACTGACCTCAGGCGATCCGCCCGCCTCAGCCTCCCAAAGTGCTGGGATTACAGGCGTGAGCCACTGCTCCCAGCCACATGTAGCGTTTTTTAAGTGGACTGTTAAGCGGCGTCAACTATGTCTACACTGTTGAGCTATCATTACTACCATCCACCTCCAGAACTTTTTCATCTTCCCAAAAACTTCTCTCCCCATTAAATAATTACTCCCATTCCCCCTCCCTCCAGCCCTGGACAGTCACCATTCTACTTTCTGTCCCTATGAATTTGACTCCTCTAGGGACCTCATATAAGTGAAATCATATAGCCTTTGTTCTTTTGTACTGGCTTATTTTATTTAACATAACGGCCTCAAGATTTATTCATGTTGTACTGTGTGTCAGAATTCCCTTCCTTTTTTTTTTTGTTTTTTGTTTTTTGTTGTTGTTTTTTTTGTTTGTTTTGAGAGAGAGTCGCACTGTGTCTCCCAGGCTGGAGTGCAGTGGTGTGATCTCGGCTCACTGCAACCTTCACCTCCCGGGTTCGAGTGGTTCTTGTGCCTCAGCCTCCCGAGTAGCAGGTATTACAGGTGTGCGCCACCACACCCAGCTAATTTTTGCATTTTTAGTAGAGATGGGGTTTCACTGTGTTGGCCAGGCTGGTCTCGAACTCCTGCACTCAAGTGATTCTCCTGCCTCGGCCTCCCAAAGTGCTGGGATTACAGGTGTGAGCCGCTGTGCCTGGCTGGAATTCCCTTCCTTTTTAAGGCTGAGTGACATTCTGTTGTGTGTAGATGCCACATGTTGTTTATCTGTTCATTCAGGGATGGACACTTGGGTGCTTTCCATCTCTTGACTGTTGGGAATAATGCTGCTGGTGACATGGTTGTGCACTGTCACTTTTGACATAGCAGCCAGAGGGAATTTTTAAACATGGGAATCAGATCATGTCACTCCCCTACTCAAACCTCCCCATGGGCTTTTCCCAGCACTTACTGTAAAATCCAAAATCCCTATCTAGACTTACGAGGCATGATCTGGCCTCTACTGGCCCCATGATGTGACCTCCCGTCTTTCTTCCAGCCTCGCGGCCTCCTCCTTTTTTATTTTTATTTGTTTTCTCTGTTGCCCAGAGTCAAGTCCAGTGGTGTTATTTCTGCTCATTGCAACCTCCGCTTCCTTGGTTCAAGCAATTCTTCCTCAGCCTCCCAGGTAGCTGGGATTACAGACGTCCACTACCATGCTTGGCTTATTTTTGTATTTTTAGTAGAGACGGGGTTTCACCATGTTGGCCAGGCTGGTCTCGAACTCCTGACCTCAGGTGATCTGCCCGCCTTGGCCTCCCAAAGTGCTGGGATTACACACATAATGGGGTGGCCACAGGCATGGCAGGACCAGAAAGGAGGCCACGACCAGGCATGGTGGCTCACGCCTGTAATCCCAGCAATTTGGGAGGCCGAGGTGGGCGAATCACTTGAGGTCAGGAGTTCGAGACCAGCCTGAGCATCGTGGTGAAACTCTGTCTCTACTAAAAATACAAAAATTAGCCAGGTGTGGTGGCGGGCACCTATAATCCCAGCTACTCAGGACGCTGAGGCAGGAGAATCATTTGAATCCAGGAAGTGGAGGCTGCAGTGAGCAGAGATCAAGCCACTGCACTCTAACCCGGGCGACAAAGTGAGATTCTGTCTCAAAAAACAAAGACAGGTGTACTGTGGAGTTGCTGAGAGCAACTGGTGGCGGGGACACAGGCCCTGCCCTTGAGTACTTCTTGAACTCTCAGCTCACTGCCCTCCTTCCTGGTTCTGGGAAAATGGAAGCGCCTGTCCCAGTACCTGCTCTTGGTCCATGCGCTCTGCTCCCCTGCCTTTGCCGAGGTGACTGTCCATGCTGCCACCTGGACCCTGGCCCTGCTCCAGCGTGCTCCGCCCCTCTGCTTCTGGCTCCTCCAGGGTTTCCTTCCTGTGATCCTCTCCCTCTCTGTCCTGCATCCTCATCCTGCCCCTTAGCATGAGCATGAACGTGCAGGAAGCATTCTGGGAGCTGGTTGTATCTCATGCTCCCTGCACCAGGCACCGCTCCGAGCTGTGCTTCCTGTTCCTCCCGCTGACTCCTTTGCCCTTCATGATAAGCTTATTAGGTAGGCACCACCATGGTGCCCATTCACAGATGGGAAGGCTGAGGCCCGGTGAGACAGAATCTTACCAGCAGCTCACATCCAGTCGGGGTAAAGCCGCTGTCTGTTATTTCTCATCCCGATGCCACATTCCTACCTTTAGCCCACATTTGCTTCCAGTGACTGCCTGTTTTCTCGATAACAAAACTTCCTCTTCAAAAGGGCTGTCTAGCCTCGTTGCCTTCAATTTCTCTCCACTACTATTCCTTTTCTTTTTCTTTTTTTTTTTTTTTTTGAGATGGAGTCTCGTTCTTTCACCCAGGCTGGAGTGCAGTGGAGCAGTGATCTCAGCTCACTGCAACCTCCGCCTCCCAGGTTCAAGTGATTCTCCTGTCTCAGCCACCTAAGTAGCTGGGATTACAGGCATGCACCACTACACTCAGCTCATTTTTGTATTTTTAGCCAGAGACAGGGTTTCGCCATCTTGGCCAGTCTGGTCTGGAACTCCCGATGTCAAGTGATCTGCCCGCCTTGGCCTCCCAAAGTGCTGGGATTATAGGCATGAGCCACTGTGTCCAGCCTCCACTACTATTTCTTAAATCGGGCTTCAGCTCCCAGCATTTCATCAACATGGCCCTCAGTTGGGTCATCAGTGGCCTCCGTGGTGCCAACTCCCCAGCTTAGCCCTCATCCACATCTTCCTTTGAGTAGCAGGGGACACAGTGGTCACTCCTGAAGCACTTTCTCCCCTGGACTTCCAGCCACTTGCTTCCCGGTTCTCCCCCATCTCTGTTGGTGCTCCTTCCCAGGCTTCTGGGGAAGGAAAGGTCCTTGTTCTGACTGCTACACCCCTAGGCCTGGGACTCGGTCTTCTGACTCCTCCTCTCTATCTTCCCTCTATGATCTCCCAAACGCTGAGGTGTTTGGACACTTTCTCTACTTCTCCATTTGTATCTCTAGCCCGCACCTCTCCTCCGAATTCCAGACTTGTATATCCCACTGTCTTCTCCACATCACCATGAAGTTATTAACCTTCTGTCCGAAATCAAGGTCCTGATTTCCACTGCTGTGCTCCTCCTGCAGTCTTTCCTGTCTCCATAAATGGCAACTCCAAATACTAAATAGGTCAGGCCATAAACTTGCTGGATTTACCATCCAGCTACATCCTGATACACCCAACATAAGTTGAAAATACTGTTTAGGCCGGGTGCGGTGGCTCACGCCTGTAATCCCAGCACTTTGGGAGGCCGAGGCAGGTGGATCAGGCCAGGAGTTTGAGAACAGCCTGGCCAAGATGGTGAAACCCCGTCTCTACTAAAAATACAAAAATTAGCTGGGTGTGGTGGCGCACGCCTGTAATTCCAGCTCTGTAGGTGGCTGAGACATGAGAATCGCTTGAACCTGGGAGGCAGAGGTTGCAGTGAGCCGAGGTCGCTCCACTGCACTGCACCCTGGGCAACACGGTGAGATTCTGTCTCAAAAAATAAAAAAAGAAACATCCTAAGTCGAATCATGGTAAGTTGGGGGCTGCCCCTACCTCTCCCCAGCTGAATCCTAACCGATGCCTCTGCTTCCCCTCAACTTGAAGCAGCCAGAGGAGGAGTTCTGTAAAAATATGTGGCTGATGTGGTTGTGTCCCTCCCATTCCCCAGACCCTCCCTGGGCTTCTTAACCTCATCTCCTCCACCCTCGCTGCCTTCCTGCCACTTTCCCCTCCTGGCTGTTCCTCAGCTGAACCATGCACATGCCCACCCCGGGGCCTTTGCGCTTGCTCTTTCATCTCCCTGCGATGTCCTTCCTGGGAGGTCTCTGTGGCTTCTCCATGTCTCTGCTCAGGGTCATCTCACTCGGAGAGGCCTTCCCTGGTATGGCTGCCCGGCCATACTAGGCTCTGACGCTGCTCTCTTGCTTTCTGGCAGGTATCAGCATTCAGTCTTGTATCACGGGTTTTTTTTTTTTTGGTGGCTAGTTCATCTCTTGCCACCTTACAGTGTAAGCCTCATTAAGGCCAGGGGCTTTGTCTGTCTAGTTCCTGGCACATGAAACAGCATCTAGCCCTGTCATAAGGGCTCTGTCGATATTTTTTCCATGGATGGTTGGCTATGCATCAGGGTAGACAGACACTGAAACCAACCAACAGTCCCAGTGACTGGAGGGGCCCTCCTGGCCTGTTTGAGGCACAGTAGGGATGAAGCAGGTGGCCTGGGGTGCCAGGGCTGATCGTCTCTCCAAGCCTTGGCCGGTGGCCACACAGCAGCCCCCAGCCCCTCTCCCGTCAGCTGCCTGGTGCTTTGCCCACACCAGGGTCTCTGGACACCAGCTCTTCCATCACCAGCCAGCCTGAGGCCTTCTTCTCCAAGCTGCAGGAGTTTCGGGAAACCAACAAGGAGGAGTGTATCTGCAGCCATCCTGAGTGAGCAGGGGCGGGCGAGGGTGGGCGAGGGCGGCTGAGCGGCTCCATCCCCCGGCCTGCTCATCCCCCTCGCCCTCTCAGACCCCAGTTGCCAGGCCTGCGTGAGAGCAGTGGCAGCGGCGTGGAGGAAGACCATGAATGTGAGTGCGGGCCCTCGGCTAGGCCGCTGAGTAGTCCAGCCTCGCGCTGCCCTGGCCTCCCCTGCCCCAGAGCAGTCCCATTTGAGGTTTGGGGCCTGGGGAGGCCCCTGAGATGTTGAGACTCATGGAGGGAGGCCTGCAGTCTGGACAGGGTGGCCAAGCCCTGGTAGGGGTGGAGTGAGCTAAGGCCTGGCCACCGAATTAGGGGCTGCCCTGTGTGGCACCATCCCACCCTCCCCAGCAGTGCCCCTGTGCTGGTGGGACTCCATCCCAGCTCCTGAGGGCCCCAGGAGGATGTCCCTCCCCACCCCTTAGGGCGTGGGCCCCAGGTTCTGGGAGGAAAGGGGTTAGGAGGAAATGGGCCGAAGGGCTTCCCAGAGGGATTGGCAGCTTGTGTGGTTGGGGGCCGCTGAGGGCAGCACGGAGCCTGGGGACCTGGGTTCCTGGCTCAGGGAGAGCTGTGGCTTCTCATGGGCCTCGCAGGCGTGTACTGTTACCGTGTCAACCGGCGCCTGTTCCCGGTGCCTGTGGATCCCGGTACCCCCTGCCGCCTGTGCAGGACACCGCGAGACCAGCAGGGCCCTGGGACCCTGGCGCAGCCAGCGCACGTCAGGTGAGTGACCAGAGTATTGGGACACCTTGGGGGACAGAGCCTGAACCACTGGTTTTAAGAAAAGATGGGCCTGGGCGTGGGCCCCCAACCGCTGGGAGGCTCCTCAGGGGTCCCCCACTGCCCCCCTGCGCAGGGTGAGCATCCCGCTGTCGATCCTGGAGCCCCCGCACCGGTACCACATCCACCGGCGAAAGAGCTTTGACGCCTCTGACACACTGGCCCTGCCCCGGGTGAGCAGCCACGTGGGGCTGGATGGTGATGAGGGCGGGGCTGGCTCAGACTGGCCCAGATCCCCAGGGAGGGTCACAGAGCGAGACTGGGCTCGACAAGGGTGAGCGCCCAAGTCTCTGGAGCACAGCCTGGGCCTCTTCCATCACCCACACCTGTACCTAAGGGAGGTAGGACCCCCGCTCCACGTACCCCGGTGCTTCCAGGGTGATCTGCCTGCAGGCTGGCATGACATGAATGGGTCCTGTTTATTGCGCTTTTGTGTACTGCAGGCACAGTCCTTAGGGGGCTTATCTCATGGAGCCCCCACAGCAGCCAGGAGTGTAGGCACTGCTGTACCCCCACCCTGCAGGTGGGGAGACCGAAGCAGAGGGGGAGGCGCCTTGGTGGAGGAGCTGGGATTCGAACCTAGGTCTCTGTGCTGCTGCTGCTGCTTTTTTTTTTTTTTTTTTTTTTTGAGACCGAGTTTTGTTCTTACTGCCCAGGCTGGAGTGCATTGGCATGGTCTCAGCTCACTGCAGCCTCCACTGTAGTCCCAGCTACTTGGGAGGCTGAGGTGGGAGGATCGCTTGAACCTGGGAGGCAGAGGCTGCAGTGAGCTGAGATCTCGCCACTGCACTGCAGCCTGGGTGACAGAGTGAGACTCCATCTCAAAAAAAAAAAAAATGTCCTTTCCTGTGTCTCCAGGTCGGGATGGGGTGCCAGTGGCAACTCCCCCTGACTCCTAAATTGAGAGTAGGGCAGCTGGGGTCAGAGGAGGAGAAGGATGCAGAGGAAAGTCAGTTTGCTGGTCCGTAAAATGGACATAACAGCGCCATCCTCAGGGATGTTGGTGGTGAGGTGGGGCTGTTGAGTGAAGCAATCCATGCAGGTGCTTGGAGAGCCTACAGCAGGAAGTACCCTGTGAATGTCACTGTCACCGTCCTATCCTCCTCCCATTTCAGCTCTCAGGGCCCCAGGGATGGCTGGATCTGCCAGGATAAGAAAGGGGAGAGCTGGGGTAGTCTTGTGGGTAGACACAGGCCCTGCCTTGGTGGGGGCCTCCTTCCTAATGGGGGGCACAGTTCCTCCCTGATGGGGGTGTGCCCAGTCAGCGGGGAGCTTGTCCCAGGTCAGGCACTTTTAACTCCTTGCCTTCCACAGCACTGCCTGCTGGGCTGGGACATTTTTCCTCCGAAGTCTGAGAAAAGCTCAGCCCCCAGGAACCTGGACCTCTGGTCCTCTGTCTCCGCTGAGGCCCAGCACCAGAAGCTGTCCGGCACCAGCAGCCCTTTTCACCCGGTACGGTCCAGATCGCATCCTAGCCTGGGGTGCCCCCTAGAGGGACAGAGACCTCGCAGCAGGCCTGGGGACTGCAGAGCCTCCTGGGGGGTAGGATTGAGGTGGGGAGGATGGAGCCTGGGAGTGTCTCTCTGCAGGGTCCAGCCCTCCAGCCCTGACCCTAGCCATCCCTCGGAACTCCTCTGCTCCCTGCCGCCTGCCCTGCTCCACCCAGGAAGGCCACCCTGACTGCAAGATCCAGGAGGGAATGTGGCTGGAACTGGGGATGACCTGTCCCTTTCAAGTGGCCCCCCTGAGACTTCCCTATTCCCCATCCAGGCCTCACCAATGCAGATGCTGCCCCCGACCCCGACCTGGTCAGTGCCCCAGGTCCCTCGGCCCCACGTCCCACGGCAGAAGCCCTGAGGACTGACTCCTGGGGGAGAACAGCATTCCCGCCGCCTCCAGCCTCTCCCCTCTGGCAGGCGCACCCAGGAGATGGAATCCCCTGCCCGCCCAGCTCAGGCCCAGCTGTCCTAGGTTGGGCAGGTGGGTGGACCCAAGCTTGTCTGCTGCCTGAGTTCCAGAGAGGGAGGACCCTGGGGTGGAGGGTGAGGGATTCTGTGGAAGTTTGTAAATAAAGCTCAGTGCTCTGCAGCTCAAGTCCCACGTGTGCTGGTTCCATCCTGCTAATGCACTTGAGGCCCAGAAGGCACTCTGGCCTCTCAGCCTGCCCTCCTGGCACCTGTGGAAGGAAGATACTGCAACCACTGGGACTAGGCAGTGTGTGTCCGTCACCATGAGGGTGGCTCCTTCCGCAGATCCCCAGCTCTGGGTAGTGGCCTCCACCAGATGGGGGAGGGGGGGCCCCTGGGCAGGCTGGGCCAAGGTTATTAAAAAGTCATTTTAGCGAGGGCCTCCGCTGAAGCCGTGAGTCGTGTTGAGTGACTGAGCTCTCTCCTTCCTGGTCCCAGAACCGGGATCCATTGATAGAAGGGCTCTCTGGAAGTCCCTGGGGTCACATGGCTCCTCCACCCAGCCATGGGAGCCGCAGGTCATTCAGAGCCCCAGCAGGGACAGATGAGGAAACAGGGCTGGGCGGTGAGTTGGAGGCAAGGTTAGCAGAGAGCCCAGATGTCCAGTCTGGGAGAGTAGGCAGTGCCCTGTCCTTCACTCACCTCTTGTATGTGTTGGTTGCATAATATGAAATTCTTGTTTTTGTAAGTGGAATAAATGCGGAAACGAGGCATGAACTTTCTCTAAGGTTTCTCGGCTTAGAGATGGAACTGGGCTATGCTGTCCTGGGGCTTTTTCCTGGAGTTTATGAAGCTATAAAAACCTTTCCCTCTCTCTGGAGAAACAAAGTCTGTTTGAGTCCCTGCTTTCCATTATTTTGGGTATACAGAAGTGGAATTGCAGGATCAGAAGGTGATTCTATGTTTTTTTATTTTTGAGACAGGATCTCACTTTGTCACTCAGGCTGGAGTGCAGTGGGGCCATCTCCGCCCACTGCAGCCTCGACCTCTTAAGCTCAAGTGATTGATTCTCTTGCCTTAGCCCCCTAGGTAGCTGGGACTATAGGCGCGTGCTACCACTCCTGGCTAATTTTTTTGTACTTTTTGTGGAGAAGGGGTTTCACTATGTTACTGAGGCTGGTCTTGAACTCCTGAGATCAAGGGATCTGCCACCTTAGCCTCCCAAAGTGCTGGGATTACAGGCGTGAGCTACCACCTCCGGCCAATAATTCTATTTTTAATTTTTCAAGGAAATGCTATACTGTTTTACTTTCCGACCAGTGATGCACAAGAGTTCCAATTTTTCCTCATCGTCAACAGCACTTGCTATTTTCTGGTTTTTCGGTAGTAGCCATCCTAATGGCTGTGAAGTGTATCTCATTGTGGTTTTTATTAGCATTTCCCTAAGGATTAGTGACGTTGAGCATGTTTTAATATGCTTATTGGTCATTTGTATATTTTAAAAATATTTATTAATAGTTTTTTTTTAACTTAAGTTCAGGAGTACATGTTTATTAGTTTATTTTTAATAGAGACAGGGTCTTGCTATGTTGTCCAGGCCTCAGGCTTTTCCTACCTGGGCCTCCCAAAATGCTGGGATTATAGGCACAAGCCACTGCACCCAGCCTGTTTGTATATCTTCTTTGGAGAAGTCAAGTCCTTTGTCCCATATTTCAGTTGGGCTTGGTTTGTTGTTCCACGTGTAATTTTGAGTCGGAGAACCTGTGGGAGTCAGTGGTTTCTTTAGAAATTCTTTGGCCACAGGGAGAAGATAATTCAAAGCCTTTCTGTCAAACAAAAGTTACAAAATCAGGCTGGGCTTGGTGGCTCACTCCTGTAATCCCAGCACTTTGGGAGGCCGAGGCAGGAGGATCACTTGAGGTCAGGAGTTTGTGACCAGCCTGGCCAACATGGCGAAACCCCGTCTCTACTAAAAATACAAAAATTAGCTGGGGATGGTGATGCACACCTGTAATCCCAGCTACTCGGGAGTCTGAGGCGGAAGAATGGCTTGAACCTGGGAGGCAGAGGTTGCAGTGAGCCGGATCATGCCACTGCACTCCAACCTGGGCGACAGTGATACTCTGTCTCGAAAAAGAAAAAAAAGTTACAAAATTTAGGCCAGGTGCCGTGACTGACCCATATAATCCCAGTACTTTGGGAGGCCAAGGCAGGCTGATCACTTGAGGTCAGGAGTTTGAGACCAGCCTGGCCAATATGGCAAAACCCCATCTCTAGTAAAAAATTTAAAAACTAGCCAGACATGGTGGCACATGCCTGTAATCCCAGCTACTTGGGAGGCAGAGGCATGAGAATCACTTGAACCCAGGAGGCGGAAGTTGCAGTGAGCCGAGATGGTGCCATTGCACTCCAGCTTGGGGTACAGAGCAAGACTCTGTCTCAAAAAAAAAAAAATTACAAAATTTACAAAGCTGAGATCAGCTTACAGATTTAGCCGTGTATAACAGAAGTCCAAAACAGCAACAGCCTAACCCAGAGAGAAATGCTTCTTTTCCATCACCGTACAGGCTGGAATGCTGCCACAGGGCCCATAATGCATCAGGGTGCATGGTTTCTCTGGAAAAACAGTTCTTTTGAAACTTTGGAAGACTTCCAGCTTGCTTGCTTCCAGTAAGTTCCATGCACAAGAACCACAGCCCAAAGTCTGTAGACACTGCGCTGAATGAAACCTGTGGCGCCATAGCCTGAAAGACCCTCTTTGTGTGGCGGCAAATAACTCCTGTCTTCCCACGTACTGACCTCTGCTCTGCCTGTTCCTGGCTATCTCTTCAGAAGGCAGCCTCCTTGGGGCCATCTGGAGCCATCAGCGGGGGTAGGAAGACCACAGCCTGAACCAGATCCTTCCTGCTGGTCGCTTGAGAACTCTTTTTCTTTTTAATTTTTGAGACAGGGTCTGTCGCTTAGGCTAGAGTACAGTGGTGCAATCTCGGCTCACTGCAACGTCCTTGCAAATTCAAGTGATTCTCATGCCTCAGCCTCCCGCGTAGCTGGGATTACAGGCGCCTGCCACCATGCCCGGCTAATTTTTGTATTTTTAATAGAGAAGGGGTTTCTCCATGTTGGCCAGGCTGGTCTCAAACTCCTGGCCTCAAGTAATCCACCTGCCTTGACTTCCCAAAGTGCTGGGATTACAGGCATGAGCCACTGCCCCTGGCCTCCGGAGAACGGCAGGGAGGTGCTTGAGAAAGCCCTGGGCCTGGGGCTGCCTCTCCAGTCACTTCTTAGGACTGATTTCAGCATGGGATACAGGCTTATTCAAGCTGAAGGGGCCCCAAGAATGAAGGTTCCAGGCAGGAGGCCCCTAGAGCAGAGCCCATGTCTTGCAGCTCTCCAGCACCCACACAGTTCCATTTCGTGAATGTCCCCACTACCCTCCCAGGTACTTGCAAGCTGTTCTTAATTCTCCTGGGCCTTTCACCCCTACAACTTGGGGTCACCCTGGATGCTCGTCTTGTCTCCCACCCTTGCCCCATCCATGTCTCAGCTTGGATGTCTCTTCTTTCAAGAGGTCCTCCCTGAACCTCTGGGTTCTCAGATCTGCCCCCGCCATCACACAGCCTGCCTTCCTGCTCTTCTCCAAGGCCCCTGAGTAGTAGTATTAAGTAACTAACGGTGAGATGCATTGCCTAAGCTCTCTCCCCTGCGAGAATTGCAGCTTCCTGAAAACAGAGATGGCATTGTTTTTCTTCATTGAAATAGTTTTGTATTGTACTTTTTCAAAAGTACTGGCTGAACTGTGTTCCAGAATTTGGCTTTTCCCTCTAGCCTGGTTTCTTACCTGCCTTGTGAAGGTTACTGGACAAATGCTTTCATTTCTCTGCATGAAAGGACCCTGGTGGTTGGGCACACTCCTGATACACCTTACATGCACCCCCTCTCCCATACTGATAGCATTCTTTTCTTTTTTTGTGCCTTCTGAGTATGTACTGTAAATCCCAAAGGAAAAAGGCAAGATCACCTACTTCTCCCAAAACTAGTGTCTTGTGTTGGTCATTTAGAAATAAGAACAAAGATCTGACTCCTCCATTGCCTGCACCACGGCTTAGAACCATGACCCTGGCCAGGCAGCGGCCTGAAGTTTGTCTTCTTGGACCTAACCATGCTGGAGACAGTCAGCTGAGGACGTGAGAAAAGGCAGAAGCTCAAATCCAGCCTGGGCAACATAGCAAGACCCCATCTCTCTTAAAAAAAAAAAAAAAAAAAAAAGGCCGGGCACAGTGGCTCATGCCTGTAATCCCAGCACTTTGGGAGGCCAAGGCGGGCGGATCATGAGGTCAGGAGATCGAGACCATCCTGGCTAATATGGTGAAACCCCGTCTCTAATAAAAAATACAAAAGAATTAGCCGGGCATGGTGGCGGGCACCTGTAGTCCCAGCTTCTCCGGAGGCTGTGGCAGGAGAATAGTGTGAACCCGGGAAGTGGAGCTTGCAGTGAGCCAAGATCGCGCCACTGCACTCCAGCCTGGGCGACAGAGCGAGACTCCGTCTCAGAAAAAGAAAAAAGAGGCTGGGCATGGTGGTTCACATCTGTAATCCCAGAACTTTGAGAGGCTGAGGCGGGTGGATCACTTGAGGTCAGGAGTTTGAGACCAGCCTGGCCAACATGGTGAAACCCTGTCTCTATGAAAAATACAAAAATTAGCTGGGCATATTGGCAAGCACCTATAATCCCAGCTACTCAGGAGGTTGAGCTATGAGAATCACTTGAACTTGGGAGGCGGAGGTTGCAGCAAGCTAAGATCGCGCTATTGCACTCCAGCCTGGGTGACAGAGTGAGACTCCGCCTCAAAAAATAAAAATAATTAAAATAAGAGCTTTTTTAGAGGCAGGTTCTTGCCCTTGCCCAGGCTGGAGCACAGTGGCTATTTACCCCACTGCTGATCAGCACTGGAGTTTTGACCTGCTCTATTTCCAACCTGAGCTGGTTTAACCCTCCTTAGGCAACCTGGTTTCAAGGAGGTCACCATATTGATGCTCAAGTTAGTGCAGACACCCCATCAGCATAGGGCACCAAAGCCCCGAACTGGGCACAAGTGATCCTCCCGCCTCAGCCTCCTGAATAGGTGAGACAACTGGCGAGCACCACCACACCTAACAAGGCAGGGAGATGGATTCCTCAATAGAAAGGTGTGGAGCTGGCCGGGTGCGCTGGCTCCCACCTGTAATTCCAGCACTTTGGGAGGCTGAGGTGGGCGGATCACGAGGTCATGAGATCGAGACCATCCTGGCCAACATGGTGAAACCTCGTCTCTACTAAAAATACAAAAATTAGCTGGGTGTGGTGGCGTGTGCCTGTAGTCCCAGCCATTCGGGAGGCTGAGGCAGGAGAATCGCTTGAACCTGGGGGGTGGAGCTTGCAGGGAGCCGAGATCGCACCACTGCACTCCAGCCTGGGCGACAGAGTGAGACTCTGTCTCAGAAAAAAAAAAAAGAAAAAAAAAATGTGTAGAGCTGATGAATGCTCTCCAACTGGAACCCAACTCCTTGATATGGTCTGTAATGCCTCCACCATTCCCCCACTCACTCATTCATTCACCAGCCACGTGTTCGACTCCTCCTGTGTGCTAGGCACTGTTCTAGGCTCTGCAGATGCGGCAGTGAAGCAGACAACACTAGCACCCACAGCCACAGGAGCCTGCCCCCTGGAGCTTCCCTGCTGCTGGGTGGGGGGGCTGCAGTCTGAAATAAGCCAGTAAACAGAAAATGTGTCAGGTGGTGGGAAGTGCTGGGAAGAAAACCAGAGCAGCCCGACCACGCTTCCCTGACCCACGTCTCACACCTCCCACACCCCTCCCAGGCGAGGCTCCAGCTCTGCTGAAGCTTTTTTCTGGGTCTTAAACCGGCAGGCTCCCCCTGGCCTCTGGGTCTTTATCTACTCCATTGCCTCTGCCCAAAGCTCTCTTCCACCCAATGAACTCCTACTCAGTCCTCAGCTTCTATTTCAATTCCTCAGAGCCCTTCCCTGAGCCGACCGAACTGGCCAAGGCTCCTGGAGTTGGGTTCTGCAGCATCCCCATTGTAGACTTTGTGACACTTGACTGTAAGCTCCTTGAGAGCAGGAACCAAGCCTGTCCTGTCCTTGGCGCTATCCCCAGGGCCTAGTACAGCATGCGGCATATGATAGACGTTCAATAAATAAATGTTGAATGAACGAGGGAGTAAATGAGCTCCCAGGTCTTGGGAAGGTAGACCTGGCAGCCCTGAGACCCGAGGTTCCTGTTTCCTGGGATTCTAGCACTGGGGCTGAGCTGCTGCTGTTCTAGCTTGCGCTGGTTTCTGCACATCTGTTGCCCTAGGCCTCAGGCAGATTGTGGGGTCTCGGCTCAGCACCAGTCTCCCAGGGGAGTCTAGGACCCTAGGGTGGATGGTAGGGAGCGGCTGGGGACAGCTGAAACATCTTCATCTGGGAAACTCTACGTCCGCCATCCATTGGCAGCTGCAGGGCCCAGTCCCTTGGCGTGCAGATGGAAGTGTATGGAAATAACCCCACCTTCCCTCCCTCAGGCCACTTTTAACCTCCCAGGCAAGACAAGGACCTGTTGGCTACTGATTGCCACCCTCTGAGAGGGAGGCTGCAAAGGGGAATTCTCCCTGGAGGGGTTGGGTGACCCTTCCACTCCCACTTCATCATGAGGTGAAGCGTGCATGGCCCAGAAACACACACACAGCTGGATTTCCCCCCTCTGCCTTTGGAAAGTGGCATTCAGATGTTCTGAGAATGCACACTGGCTCAATGTAGACTTGGCTGTAGGTTTGCTGAACTTTTCAGCCCAATCTGTGGGAGGACATAGAGTGTAGCTCCGAACACCCGCCCTCGGTATTGCCACCCACTGACTGCGTGACGGCGGCCGTGTCACTTAGCCTTTCTGTATGTAGCTCAGTTTTGTCATCTGTACACGGGCGATAACTCCAAGAAGAGGTGAACCAGATCCGACCTGCAGAGACCCGGGCACGTGGTCTGACGGGGAGGGGAGCTATGAGAAATGATAAGACTGTCATCAGCTCTTCCATCATAAGATTGATGCCATCCTGTTGCCTGGAATGGAACCTGCCCCCTGAGTTTGCTCCAGCTCATGCCTTCCCCAGGACGATAAGAGAGAATGGAAGCAGGGCATGGAGTCCTTTGATCCAGTGGCCTTCACCCCCAGCTCCTGGAAGGGCTGTTGCTGGGAGCAGATGCCGGCAGCAGCCTTCTTGCCAGTTTCATTAGCATGGAGGCTCTGAGGACAGGGAGGGAGGAGGGATGTGGGTGGGCAGGACCCTCCCTGGGGCCAGTGCTGAGGCTGTGAGGGTGGATGGCTGAAGCCTTGCAGGAAGTTTTGAGAGGAAGCTGGGCCCACAGGATCGTGATGTGATCAGTTGGGGTGGCATAAGAGTGCCTGATGATGGTTTGGGTGGCCTTTGGGGACATCCCCTGTCATGCCATCACCATGCTGAGCTCTGACCACACTCTCTTTGGCCCTCTTTATCTGTGGCTAAGAGTTGGCAACACAGCCTCTGAAACTCAGCAGAAACCCCTCTGCTTCCCCCAGCCCTGCCTCCTCTATCCCCCACCATTGTTGATGGGATACCAGAGGCACCCAGGTGTCCTGGGCCTCCAGCTCCCGAGGCAAGGAAGCCTTTCTTGGCCAGCCAGGACTCATGACATCTCAGCCAGTGGAGAAGGGGAGAGGGAGGGCTTTGAGAATTCCCCAGGCCTCAGATTTGGTGGGGGAACCCTTCCTGTCCACCAGGATTGAGGGTTACAGAACACCCCAGCCTCGAGGGAGAACTAGCTGCCCCCCATCCCATTCCCAGCAAATTCTGACAAACACCCCCTGACTCCCATGGTGGAAGTTTGCCAGGTGTCAACTAAAGAAAATAAAAAGCTGAAGAATTAGAGTTCGGGCTGGGTGTGGTAGCTCACACTTGTAATCCCAGTAATTTGGGAGGCTGAAGCCAGTGGATTGCCCGAGCCCAGGAGTTTAAGAGCAGCCTGGGCAACATGTAGAGATGAAACCCCATCTCTACTGAAAATACAAAAAATTAGCCAGGCATGGTGACATACATCTGTGGTTCCCAGCTACTTGGTAGGCTGAGGTGGGAGGATCACCTGAGCCCGGGGAAGTCTGAGACTGCAGTGCGTGGTGATCACAACACTGCACTCCAGCCTGAGCAACAGAGTGAGACCATGTCTAAAAATAAATAAATAAATAAAAATGCCGGGCGTGGTGGCTCAAGCCTGTAATCCCAGCACTTTGGGAGGCCAAGGTGGGCAGATCACTTGAGGTCAGGAGTTCGAGACCAGTCTGACCAACATTGAGAAACCCAGTCTCTACTAAAAATACAAAATTAGCCGGGCGTGGTGGCACATGCCTGTAATGTCAGCTACTCGGGAGGCTGCGGGAGGAGAATCGCTTGAACCCGGGAGGCAGAGGTTGCAGTGAGCTGAGATCACACCATTGCATTCCAGCCTGGGCAACAAGAGTGAAACTCCGTCTCAAAAACAAAAAACAAAAACTTTAGAGTTCTTTTTATTCAGAAGTTTTACCAGGACTATAGACCGAGCCTATTGCCTGAGAGCAGCCCTGTGGAGGGGTTCTATCAGCTGCTCTGGCAGTTTCAGTTCACAGTTTATGTACAGGTGGTGAAGCTGTAATATGTACAAAATCACATCGAGGTTTGGGTATAGAGTACATCTGGCTATAGATGACTAAAGCACATCTGCTGAATCGATTGTGGAGGCAGAATCACTAACCCCACCAGATGGTATCTTATGTGTAGGAAAAAGCAAGTCTGGGGCCATTTATCTTTCAAGGAATATAGTGACTCACGCAAGAGACATGGGGCTCTATTCTGTTTTGTCTTCAAAGCATCCCTCCAGAGAGCTGCCCATTGTCACAGAGCCAGCGGCTTGTGAATCCACTCAAGCAGAAATGAGCAAACATAACTTCTTACATTTGCTACTTAGGCTCACCCAGGAGAGGAAGCAGCCCCAGGTGCCAGCTGTGTGTTGCAGAACACTGGACCTGGAGCCTCAGCCTGGGGGTCAGTGTTGGCTGCTGCTCCTGCACAAGTCAGTGGGCTTCTCTGAGCCTCAGTTTCCTCATCTGTAGAATGGGGATTAGAATGCTACCTACTGGGCCAGGCACCGTGGCTCACACCTATAATGCCAACACTTTGGGAGGCCAAGGTGGGTGGATTGCTTGAGCCCAGGAGCTCGAGACCGGCTTGGGCAACATAGGGAGACCCCTGTCTCTACAAAAGAATTTAAAAAATTAGCCAGGTGTGGTGGCACGAACCTGTGTTTCCAGCCACTTGGGAGGCTGAGGCAGGAGGATCACTTGAGCCCAGGAGTTGGAAGCTGCAGCGAGCCACGGTCGAGCTACTGCACTCCAGCCTGGGTGACAGAGCAAGACCCTGTCTCAAAAAACAAAACAAAACAAAACAAAACAACAACAACAAAAAAAAAAAACCCAGAAAACCAAGAATGTTACCTACTGCGTTGGGGTTTTTAGAGGATGAAATTAGATGATCAGGAGATGAAATGCGTAGTGCAGTACTGGGCCTAATAAATGTGCAACATTATTATTTGAAACCAGGGCCTGTGTGCATATTGGCAGATGAGGATCCTGTCTCTAGAGGGGTCCACCCCACCTGGCCAGATACACAGTAAGGAATGAGCCGAGTGGGAGCAGGGGAAGTTTCAGGTGATTCTTCCATGAAATGATGGACACAGGGCGCTGGCCCAGTGTCTGTGCTGGAGTAGGGCCCTGCGGGCCTCCAAGCCTGGGAGGGTCAGAGGCCTGAAAACCACTCAGGCCCTTCCAGGAATCTTTGGTTGGGAACTCTAGGGACTCTGTAGGACACGGTGTGGGAACAGAGCAGGATGGGGGCAGTTACCCACACCTCCATTCCACTCCTCCTGCAGGGTAAGACCTGCTCAAGTCCCGCCTTCAGGCCGGATTGCCCAAACCTTTCCTCAGTCTCCCTGCCTGGCCACGTGGACTCCCCATCCCCGTAAAACCCTCCTGTGGTTCTCCTGACCGGGATGGGTGGGTTCCTTGGGACTTCTTGCCTTGCTGGGCTGGGCCCTTCTGAAGGACAAGGGTCTCCCAGGTGCTGATCCTCCCTGTGGGCCTCAGCTGCCAAAGGACTCTGAGGACACTGACATTTGGGAGAGCCGGCATCTTCTCTGGGTCCCTGATGTGGGTTCAGAGGTGGCCCCCCAAAGATATGTCCACCTAGAACTTCAGAGTATATGACCTTATTTGGAATAAGGGTCTATGCAGATATAATTTTTTTCTTTTTTTTTTTTTTTTTTTGAGATAGTCTCACCCTATCACCCGCTAGGGCTGTATAACAGAACACCACAGACTGCAGGGCTTAAGCAACATAAATTTCTTTTCTTTTTTTCTTTCTGTTTTTTGTTTGTTTGTTTTTGGTTGCCCAAGCTGGAGCGCAGTGGCACGCTCTCGGCTCACTGCAACCTGCGCCTCCCGGGTTCAAGTGATTCTCCTGCCTCAGCCTCCCGAGCAACTGGGACTACAGACGCACACCACCATACCTGGCTAATTTTTTGTATTTTCAGTAGAGACAGGGTTTCACCATGTTGGCTAGGATAGTCTTGAACTCCTGACCTTAAGTGATCCACCCGCCTTGGCCTCCCAAAGTGCTGGGATTACAGGCGTGAGCCACCATGCCCAGCCTTTCTGCAGATGTAATTAAGGTAGGGTAATGGGGCTCTTAAGACGCGAGTCCCTCTCCCTCTCCCTCTCCCTCTCCCTCTCCCTCTCCCTCTCCCCACGGTCTCCCTCTGATGCCGAGCCGAAGCTGGACTGTACTGCTGCCATCTCGGCTCACTGCAACCTCCCTGCCTGATTCTCCTGCCTCAGCCTGCCGAGTGCCTGCGATTGCAGGCGCGCGCCGCCACGCCTGACTGGTTTTCGTATTTTTTTGGTGGAGACGGGGTTTCGCTGTGTTGGCCGGGCCCGTCTCCAGCTCCTAATCGCGAGTGATCCGCCAGCCTCGGCCTCCCGAGGTGCCGGGATTGCAGACGGAGTCTCGTTCACTCAGTGCTCAATGGTGCCCAGGCTGGAGTGCAGTGGCGTGATCTCGGCTCGCTAAAACCTCCACCTCCCAGCCGCCTGCCTTGGCCTCCCAAAGTGCCGAGATTGCAGCCTCTGCCCGGCCGCCACCCCGTCTGGGAAGTGAGGAGCGTCTCTGCCTGGCCGCCCATCGTCTGGGATGTGAGGAGCCCCTCTGCCTGGCTGCCCAGTCTGGAAAGTGAGGAGCGTCTCTGCCCGGCCGCCATCCCATCTAGGAAGTGAGGAGCGTCTCTGCCCGGCCGCCCATCGTCTGAGATGTGGGGAGCGCCTCTGCCCTGCCGCCCCGGCTGGGATGTGAGGAGCGCCTCTGCCCGGCTGCGACCCCGTCTGGGAGGTGAGGAGCATCTCTGCCCGGCCGCTCCGTCTGAGAAGTGAGGAGACCCTCCACCCGGCAGCCGCCCCGTCTGAGAAGTGAGGAGCCCCTCCGCCCGGCAGCCACCCCGTCTGGGAAGTGAGGAGCCTCTCCGCCCGGCAGCCACCCCGTCCGGGAGAGAGGTGGGGGGGTCAGCCCCCAGCCAGGCCAGCCGCCCCGTCCGGGAGGGAGGTGGGGGGTCAGCCCCCCGCCCGGCCAGCCGCCCCGTCCGGGAGGTGAGGGGCGCCTCTGCCCGGCCGCCCCTACTGGGAAGTGAGGAGCCCCTCTGCCAGGCCACCACCCCGTCTGGGAGGTGTACCCAACAGCTCATTGAGAACGGGCCATGATGACAATGGCGGTTTTGTGGAATGGAAAGGGGGGAAAGGTGGGGAAAAGATTGAGAAATCGGAAAAAAAAAAAAAAAAAAAAGGTAGGGTAATGATCTCAAAATGAGAGCATCCTGGTTTAGGGAGGGCTTTAAATCCAATAATAGGTGTCTTATAAGATACAGAAAAGGACACACCACAGAGACACAAAGAATTAGGGAACATGGGCCAGGAGTGGTGGCTCACACCTGTAATCCCAGCACTTTGGGAGGCTGAGGTGGGCGGATCACCTGAGGTCAGGAGTTTGAGTCCAGCCTGGCCAACATGGTAAAACCCCGTCTCTACTAAAAATACAAAAAAAAAAAAAATTAGCCAGGTGGTGCGTGCCTGTAATCCCAGCTACTCGGGAGGCTGAGGCAGGAGAATCACTTGAACCCGGGTGGCAGAGGTTGCAGTGAGCCGAGATCACGCCACTGCACTCCAGCCTGGGCAACAGAGCAAGGCGCTATCTCACTGAAAAAAAAAAAAAAGCAAGCAGGGAACATGATGACAGGGGCAGAGAGGACTGATGAAGGATGGCAGGCAGCTGCTAGAAGCCAGGGGAGAGGCATAGGAGGGACAGATTTTCTGTCAGAGCTTCCAGAAGGAAGCAACCCTGCCAACACCTTGATCTTGGACTTCCGGTCTCCAGAACTAGAGGCTAGAAGTTTCAATTGTTTTAATCATACCGTTTGTGAGCAGTTACTACAGTGGCCCTAAGAAATGAACACAGACTGGGCGTGGTACCTCATGCCTGTAATCCTAGCACTCTGGGAGGCCGAGGTGGGTGGATCACTTGAGGTCAGGAGTTTGAGACCAGTCTGGCTAACATGGTGAAACCCCGTCTCTACTGAAAATACAAAAATTAGCCGGTGTAATGGCATGCACCTGAAATCTCACTTACTCGGGAGGCTGGGGCACGAGAGTCGCTTGAACCTGGGAGGCAGAGGTTGCAGTGAGCTGAGATCACGCCACTGCACTCCAACCTGGGTGACAGAGCGAGACTCTGACTCAAAAAAAAAAAAAAGAAATGAATACAGTTCACAGTTGCCTGGATGAATGATGAATGAGATGCTGGGGTGGCCACGTGACGGCTGTTTGCTCACGGTCAAGTCCACAGTTTAGCTCTTAGCTTCAGTTGGGAATTAATTTTCTGGGGCAAGCAGAAACCTCAGTGTCCTGGGCTGAACTGTGTCCCTCCCCAAATTCACATTTGGAAGTCCTAACCTCCAGTACTTCAGAATGCAACAGTCCTTTGAGATAGTCTTTAAAGAGGCAATTAAGTTAAAACAAGGCCTTTCAGGTGGACCCTAATCCAATACGACTGGTGTCCTTACAAAAAGGGGAAATTTGGCCACAGACCTGTGCACGTACAGAGGAAAGTCCAGGTGAGAACGCAGCGACAACATGGCCACCCGTGAGCCAAGGAGAGAGGTCTTGAAAAAACCCAGCCCTGCTGACGCCTCAACCTTCACCTCCAGAAGTGCGAGGAAGCTAATTTCTGTGGCTTAAGCCACCCCATTTGCGGGACTTTATGGCAGCCTGAGCAGACTAACACGCTCATCATGCCAGAAAATTCCTTGTTGGGCTTGAGGTGGAGTGGGGGGAAGGAAACTCATCCCTGGCCCTCCATCCTGAGATTCCTGAACTCCAAAGCTCCCCGCTGCTTGACCTCAGTGCTCCAAGCTGTAAATGCAGGTTTGTCTTACCGGCCAAAGCAGCCTCTCAAGATGACACGTTGGGGAGATGAGGTCTCCCATAGATGGGAGGGGTGGACAGCAGGCAGTACCCCCAACCCTCTGCCCTGGTCACCGACAAGCTGAGACAGCCTCATGGCCCTTGGTGTCTGGCCACTCCGGCATCTGATGTATCTTGGGGTTTTATAATCCTGGGGGTTCATCTGTCCTAGGTGTACTAAATTCGGGAGCTCATGGCTTGCAGGCATCACTTATGGTAGTAAGAGGAAGATTTTTCTTTCTATTTTTTTTTTATTTGAGATGGAGTCTTGCTCTGTCACGCAGGCTGGATTGCAGTGGCGCGATCTCGGCTCACTGCAGCCTCCACCTCGCAGGCTCACGTGATTCTTGTGCCTCAGCCTCTCAAGTAGCTGGGATTACAGGCACGTGCCACCACGTCTGGCTAATTTTTATGCTTTTAGTAGAGACGGGATTTCACCATATTGGCCAGGCTGTTCTCAAACTCCTGGCCTCAGGTGATCCACCCACCTCTGCCTCCCAAAGTGCAGGGATTACAGGCGTGAACCACTGTGCCCGGCCAGTAAGAGGAAGATTTAGATAGTGCGTATCATGTGCCATGCACTATTCTTATTTTATTTATTTTATTTTTTGAGATGGAGTCTTGCTCTGTCCCCTAGTCTGGAGTGCAATCGCGCGATCTCGGCTCACTGCAACCTCTGCCTCCTGGGTTCAAGTGATTCTCCTGCCTCAGCATCCTGAGTAGCTGGGACTACAGTCACGTGCCACCACACCTGGCTGATTTTTTGTATTTTTAGTAGAGACGGGGTTTCACCGTATTAGCCAGGATGGTCTTGATTTCCTGACCATGTGATCTGCCCACCTCAGCCTCCCAAAGTGCTGTGATTAGAGGCATGAGCCACTGTGCCCGGCCCCACCATGCACTATTCTAAGAGCTCCATATCTCTTACTCTTCGAGTTCTCAAAACCATCCTGTAAGGTAAGGTTATTATCCCCAGTTTAGAGATGGGGCATTTGAGGCACAGAGAGGTTAACTGACCTGTCTCGGGCCACACAGCTATCAAGGGACCAAGCCAGGATTCGAACTCAGACCACCCTGAACTCCAGAGTCCGTCCTTTTGAGCTGCATCACATGCCCCTTGGTAGACATCTGTGCTGACATTTCTCTCCTCCTCTGCTGGCATTGGGTGGACTCCTATTTTCCTCGGGAGGCAGCTTAGCCAGGAGGAGTGGCAAAGCCTGGATTGGGCTGAGTGAGCCCCTATGTGGCCCCGCACTACATAACCTGACACTGAGCTCTGGGCCTTCCTTCCCTTCCTCCCTGGCTGACAGGGGTTAGAGGTGGGGTCGCTGCCCCACTTGCTGTGAAGTTGGGGGAAGGGGATCATAATGCTTTGCTGATCACACACCCTGGCACACTTGCATACACACACACCCTTACACACACAGCCTTGAGCACACACCTACCCACCCACATGCACACACCCACACCCACACACCGTCACACATTTGCACACACAACCTCAAGCACGCAGAACCTCACACACACATCCTTGTGCACACACACCACGTGCATGCGCACATAATCTCAGGGGCACAAGCCCTCGCTGCTCTCACACACTCATACACTTACACACACACCCTAGACACACTTGTGTGTACACCAGCTCACACACACACCCCACTCTCATACACTTGTGGACACACAGCCTTGAGCCCACAGGTCCCTACTTTTGAGGGCACGAGCCCTCTTGCACACCCTCACACTCCCTCCCTTACACACACTCCCTCACATGTGTGCACATGCATACACACACGCACACACACACGCACACACACACATGCACACACACACATGCACACACACACGTGCTGCAGGAAGCCCTGTCATTGTCAGTGTGGCCCCAGAACTTAGTCATTTAATGACCCATTGGGCCGTGTTTCTTTCATGGAAGCCAACACTTGGCTTTTTCTTTACCGAGATCTTCTCACTCAGTTTCTCTCAGTCTCACTTTTCATTTTGACTGGCAAGGAGTTTTTTTCAATCTCTTGTGGTTTTAACAGCACCAGCGGCTACAGCTCAAACCTCAAGCATCCAGGGCCACCGCCTGCCTCTCCGATCGGTCTGTTCTGGCTGGGAGAAGCCCAGGGCTTCCCTGCTTGTCAGCCCGGCCGCTTGCCCAGCAGTTTGTGAGATGGAAGGTGGAGAGAAAGAACTGTGGGGGTGAGAAGTGACGTCACCATAGGGGCTGGGGTTGTGGACAGGCCCCCATCAACCCTCTCCCGCCACCCCCAGAGCACCAATGCGTCATCTTGGAGTTTCTTTAGTGCTTAGGCAGATGAATTCTGACGTGACAGCTGGGAACCCCTGCGGGGGAAGTTGGGGTCAACAGCTGATCCCAGAGGCTCCCGGGGGCACTGACACCTGGGAGCCCCAGCTGTGTTGCCCCTTTTCCAGCCATCAGGTTTGGGGGGCTCCAAGCTGGCATTTATACCCACTGCCTGCAGCCGTGTGAAGTCTTTCAGACTGAGTTCAAGTCTTGTTTCACCATTGTCAGCAGAGTCACTCAGCAAGGTGCTCTGTCCCCTCCCGTGGAAAAGAGGGTGACCCAGAGGTACACAGATTGTTAGATAGGTCCTAAGGTTTGAAAAGTCTTAGAGCATTGCCAGGTATGGTGGCTCACACCTGTAATCCCAGCACTTTGGGATGCTGAGGTGGGCAGATCATTTGAGCCCAGGAGATGGAGACCAGCCTGCCTGGGCAACATAGGAAGACCCCCATCTCTACAGAAAATAACAAAAATTAGCCGGGCATGGTGGTGCGTGCCTGTAGTTTCAGCTACTCAGGAGGCTGAGGTGGGAGGATCAATTGAGCCAGGGAAGTTGAGGCTGCAGTGAGCTGAGATCATGTCACCTCACTCCAGCCTGGGCAACAGAGCCAGAAGCTGTCTCAAAAGAGAAAGAAAAAAAAGAAAGAAAGAAAGAAAGGAAAGAAAGAAAAAGACAAAGAAAAAAAAAAGTCTTAGAACAATTCCTGGGATGAAGCAGATTCTTCCTGCTTAGGAACCTTTCAGATCCAAATCCATGACTCCCTTCTTCCTTCCAAGTTCTCTGGAGTTGAGCCCAGGCACAGAGGACACGGTTATTCATTGAAACAGTAGGACATGTTGCTTTTTTCTTTTTTCTATGTGACTTTGGACAAGTTGCCTCACAACTCAACTTCATCTCTTTCTAAGCCTCCTTGTGGATATGGGAAATAAATGAACTCATGTGGAGAAGAGCCGTTATGGACTGAACTGTGCCTGCTTCTCCCTGCCAAGTTCATGCCCCCCAAATTCATAGGTTGAAGCCCTAACCCCCAATGAGACAGGGCCTCTTTTTGGTTTTTGTTTTCATTTTTGTTTTTGTTTTTTTAAGACGAAGTCTTTCTCTGTCATCCAGGCTGGAGTGCAGTGGCATGATCTCGGCTCACTGCAACCTCCGCCTCCCGGGTTCAAATGATTCTCCTGCCTTGACCTCCCCAGAAGCTGGGATTATAGGCACGTGCCAACAAGCCCGGCTAATGTTTGTATTTTTAGTAGAGACAGGGTTTCACCATGTTGGTCAGGGTGGTCTCAAACTCCTGACCTTGTGATCCGCCCGCCTCGGCCTCCCAAAGTGTTGGGATTACAGGCGTGAGCCACCGCGCCTGGCCAAGACAGGACCTTTAAAAAGGTAATTAAGGTTAAGCGAGGTCCTAAGGGTGGGGCTTTCAGCTAATGGGATTATCACACTCCTAAGAAGAGAAAAGGACACCAGGAATGCACACGCAGAGAAAAGGCCCCTCAAGGACATAGCAAGAAGGTGATGTCCTCAAGTCAAGGAGCGAGACCTGAGGAAAAAGCAAATCTGCTGACACCTTACTCTCAGATTCACAGCCTTGAGAATGATAAGAAAATAAATTTCTGGGCTGGGCGTGGTGGCTCACTCCTGTAATCCCAGCACTTTGGGAGGCCAAGGCGGGTGGATCACCTGAGGTCAGGAGTTTGAGACCAGCCTGGCAACATGGTAAAACCCCGTCTCTACTAAAAATACAAAAATTAGCCAGGTGTGGTGGCACATGCCTGTAATCCTAGCTACTCGGGAGGCTGAGGCAGGATAATTGCTTGAACCCGGGAGACAGAAGCTGCAGTGAGCAAAGATTGTGCCATTGCACTCCAGCCTGGGTGACAAGAGTGAGACTTTGTCTCGAAAGAAAAAAAAAAAAGGAAATAAATTTCTGTTGCTTAAGCCCTCCAACGTGTGTTGTTCTGTTATACTCAGCCCTAGTGGACTAATACAGGGACTGCTATTGCAATGGCTGGTAGGCACCTAGGAGCTGCTGATCAATGATAGCCATGATTATTGTTTGCATAGCAAACAGTCTTGGAAGCTGGAGGTAGCATCTCCCACTGGGCTAGCGAGCAAATGTATTTACTTTCCAGGACAGTAAGGACTCCCTCCCGTCCCCTAGGGAGATGGCTATTCCAGGGTGATAAAGACAATGTCTTCTCAGGACAGAGGTTGAATAGGTTTGCCAGCAGCCCCTAATGAGATTGGGGGTCTCCCATGGTGTGTGCTCAGCACCAGCCTGGGCTGGTTCCTCACCCTACGTGAAGGGATGTTAAGGGCAAGGGCAAGGGCAAGCAATGCAAATTCAGTGCTCATGCTATGTGCAGGGCTGCAGGTAGTAGACCCTCATTTTATTTTTTCTAGACAGGGTCTTGCTGTGTCACCCAGGCTGGAGGGCAGTGGTGCGATCATGGCTCACTACAGCCTCGACCTCCTGGGCTCAGGCCGTCCTCCCACCTCAGTCCCCCGAGTAGCTGGGACTACAGGAGTATGCCACCACACCCGGCTAATTTTTTTTTTTTTTTTTTGTAGAGATGAGGAGTCTCACTTTGTTGCCCAGGATGGGCAGCTCCTGGGCTCAAGGGATCTGCCCACCTTGGCCTCCCAAATTGCTGGGATTATAGGCATGAGCCACCCTGCCCGGCCAGTAGTAAACCCTTTAAATCTAGCTGGGCTCATTGTCTCCTTAGCATCTGAATCTATCAGAATGTGGCAAGCCGAACTAATTGCTTGAAAAATTATTATTATTTTGAGACTGAATCTCTCTCTATTGCCCAGGCCGGAGTGCAGTGGCACAATCTCGGCTCACTGCAACCTCTGCCTCCCAGGTTCAAGCAATTCTCCTGCCTCAGCCTCCTGATTAGCTGGGAATACAGGTGCCCACCACCACACCCAGCTAATTTTTTTATATTTTTATTAGAAACGGCGTTTCACCATGTTGGCCAGGCTGGTTTCAAACTCCTGACCTTAAGTAATCCACCTGCCTCAGCCTCCCAAAGTGCTAGGATTACAGGGGTAAGCCACCGTGCCCAGCCTATTATTATTTTTAATTTGAGATGGTTATATTCTTTTTTTTTTTTTTGAGATGGAGTCTCGCTCTGCAGTGGCGCAATCTCAGCTCACTGCAACCTCTGCCTCCTGGGTTCAAGCGATTCTCCTGCCTCAGCCTCCCGATTAGCTGGGATTACAGGCACCCACCACCACTCCCAGCTAATTTTTTTTTTTGCATTTTTAGTAGAGACGGGGTTTCACCATGTTGGCAAGGCTGGTCTCGAACTCCTGACCTTAAGTGATCAGCCCGCCTCGGCCTCCCAAAGTGCTGGGATTACAGGCGTGAACCACTGTGCCCGGCCTGCTCTATTTATTAATTCAATAAATATTTATTATGCCAAGCCCTGGTAATAAAGCATTGAGAAACTAGCATTGAGAAACTCCCTGCCCTCAGGGAGCTTGCCTTCTCAAGTCCAGAGCCTCCAGGGGGCTGCGTGAACCAGGTGCAAATACAGTGAGGCTTTGTGCTCCGGCATCTGAGGCCCAGGAGACCTGGGGGCCTGGAGGCAAAATGGTGGCCTCATTTGTCCTGTGGCCGGGCCCTGACTAGATGGCCACAAATTTAGAATAGATCCCTGTCTTTGTGGTATTATAGCTGGGTATCCTGGAGCTTCCTGTGCCAAGCATTTAGCATCTCAGATCTTTGCATAAGTCTGTGATGTCAGTGCCATTGTTATTTCCATTTGATGGATAAGAAAGGCAAGGCCCAGGGTGGTTAACCAGCTGGCTCCAAGTTGCTCAGCTGTGGCTGCAGTAAGAGGTGGGATTTGAACCCAGCTTTCTCTGACTTTACCAAATGCTTTTTTCCCCCAACACCTGGATACCTCTAATTACATTTTATTAATACAGCTTTTTTTTTTTTTTGTTTTTAAACAGAGTCTCACTCTGTCACCCAGCCTGGAGTGCAGTGGTGCAATCCTAGCTCACTGCAGCCTCGATTTCCTGGGTTTAAGCAATTCTCCCGCCTCAGCCTCCCAGGCAGCTGGGACCGCAGGTGAGCACTGTATTAGTCCTACATACCTGGCTAATTAATACTAGGATTTAAAAAAAAAAGTTTGAAGCAATGATCACATAAAAAATGTTTTCTGTGTGCTGCTTATTTTGACCTGAGTTCTGAGGAAGGCGATGGGACCAGCTGCCACAAGGCGAAGCTGCCTTGCCACCTGGGGCCTTGCAGGGTTGAGCCCCGAGCACAGGGGCCCTGGTAGTTGAGCTCTGCCTGACCTGGTCATTCTGAAATCAGGGGCCCCTCCCAGGAAGGCTGCGGGCCCAGGAGAGCAGCGAGGCAGGCTCAGAATTGGGGCTTGAGATGACTCATCTGTGGCTATTTATTACCCGTCTCCATTTCTCGGTCTGATTGGGCTGCTCATGGCCAAGCCTCCCTCCCTGTTGGTGCTGAGTAAGCAGCCTGGACCCGTCCTGCCCCTCTGGCCTCATCTGGAGCTCTCTCCTTTCCCTGTCAGTAACCCTCGGGCCCCCCTGGGGCCACTGAAAGTTCCCCCAGCCACCCTCAGCGAGCTCTTCCCAGCAGTCCCACTCTTTGCTGTTCTCACCCCTTTCTCCCCAGCCTGCTCCTTCTTTCAGGTCTCAGCTTGAGCCTCACCTCTGCCAGGAAGCCCTCACTGACCACTGCATCCACCCCACCACAGTCTGGGTAGGTGGCCGCTGACAGGTGCTCCTAAAGCCCCTGCCCTCCCTCAGTAGTCCCTCCTCACCCCAGCTGAAGGCAACGTCACTCTTCCAGTTTCCCAGGCCAAACCTTTGCCTCATTCTCGCACACATCCAATCCTTCAGTAAATCCCATCCCCAAAGTTCACCCCTAATCCGGCCCCTTCCCTCTCCCACAGCTCCCTCCTGGCCCCAGCCTCCACCCCCTCCACCCTGGATGCTTCAGTTGCCCCTGCCTGCTCTCCCCTCTCTCGTCCTCCCCCTCTTTTCCTGGGCCATCTATTTCCCACGCAACAGCCGGAGTGACCCGGACAACCCAAGTCAGGCCATGCCCCTCCCTGATCCAAACTCCTAGTGGCTCCCATCCCTCTGAGGGCAAAAGCCTTGTTCACTGATGAACCCCAGCACCTATCCTGGGGCCTGGTACCCATATGCCTGTAGAAGTGTTTGTTTAAATGAATATTAATCCATGGCGTTGCCTCTTAAGCAGGGATGTGTTCCTTTCGTCCAAGCGTTCTTGCTCCTATAGGCACATTAGACACTGCAGCAAGAGCAGGTCTCATAGGAGTGGTCCTGGCAGAGCCCCAGGTCTTGCTGGGCACCAGGTCTGCTTGACAGACCACACAGGCCTGGATGGTCAAGTGCTGGTCCCTGGAGTACAAGGAAGGGACCCCAGGGGTCAGTGTCTACCCATATCCGTAGATGCTATCAACAGGTTCTTTTTTTTTTTCTTTTTCTTTTTTTTTAGAGTCAGGGCCAGGCTGACTGTTATTCAGGCTGGAGTGCAGTGGCATAATCATGGCTCACTACAGCCTTGAACTCCTGGGCTCAAGCAATCTTCCCACCTCAGCCTCCTGAGTAGCTTGGACCGCAGGTGTGCGCCATGACGCCCGGCCGCCACCAATATGTTCTTTCCTTGGCTCAGTTCAATGGCCCCTGCAGAGCCGGAAGGCCTGGCTCAGAAAGAACCCTGGCGCCTGTGCAGTGTCAGTGCAAGCCAAGGCAGTGGCTGCTGTTTCCACTGCCAAGCATGAGAGTGGGACGCCAGCCAGTGGCCGGGCTCAGGCCCCAAGGAAACACAAGGTGGGCTGCTGCTTTGGGGACGTTGTTTGGAGTCACTTGAAATGCAAGAGTGACCCCCAGAACACACAGGCCCCCCAGGAGGTGGATGTGGGGTAGACAGCACAGGCCATTTCTTGCTAAGCATTTATTTCCACACTATCTCCTTGGACAGATAACAGGATTGTTTTCAGGTAATAGGTAGATAAGCTGGCCGGGCATTGGGGATGATGGATGCTGAGTCTGGGAGGCAAGTGTGTGCTCACACAGATGTGTACGTGTGTGTGCATGTGTGTGTGCCTATGTGTACGTGTGTGTGCATGTGTGTGTGCATATGTGTATGTGTGTGTGTGCAGCACTGAAACAGGCCGCTGACCGCTCCCAAAGCCCTGATGTTCCATCAGCCTCTGCAGTCACAGCCAAGCAGACCCTTGAGACCCCTGCCATCTGCCTCCCTTGCCAGAGTCTGAAAGCTTGGGGTCAAGGCTTTGCTCCCCTGGTGACAGGCCTGGAAAAGGAAAATGATAGCAAGCAGCAAATACACACAATAAAGCCGGGCGAGGGCAGAGGGGCCGGGTGGGGGCTCAGGAGGCTGGGGCCTGGGGGCTGTCCCTGCACTGACTGGCTGTGGGACTTTGGCCTCAGGGTCGGTGTAACTGGGGTAGGGGAGCGGTTGCTGGATGTGGCGACCCCCACCTCAGCTCTCACACTCTGGCCAGTGTCTGATGCAAACCAGAACCCAGTGAAATCACCATGAGTCGATGGGGGTTATGGATGGTAACTGATGGGTTTTTCTCAGGCCAGATCACAGTTCCAGTCTTCAGGGGGAGGTCCCCATGAGTCTCCAGATCTAGCTGAGGCTTGAGTTGTGGCCACGCCTTAGTTTCTCCACATTGCCAGGGTTTTGTGTCTGGTGAGCCCCAGGCCAGACTGGGCCTTCAGGCCTCCTGCCTCCTGTTTGGAGGGAGGGATGATTCTGGGAGTGGGGCAGACCCACTCCCAGCCACATGGAGGGAATGACCAGGGAGATTCCAGAGGGATTTTCTGAATGAATGCCATATGCTGATGGGCAGCTCCTGCTAGGAACAGGGTCCCTGCTGGCACTTTCTGCAGGCACCCACGGCATGGATGATGGCGCAGATGGGCTGGCAGCATGGCTGTGTTCCGGGTTTCACTTTCAGAGCAGTACCTGCCCTTCTCAGCCTTGCTTGGTGTTCTTGGAACACCCCTAGACCAGCCCCAGAAGGTGAGTCTGACGTCCGCCATGTCTGCTAGGACCCCTGTCCTTGGTCATTCAAGTCATTCAATAAAGATTCATGAAGCCAAGCCCTGCTTATGTCAGTGGACCAGACAGACACAATCCCTGCTCCCCAGGCGGGGAAAGTTAGCAATGAGCAAATAAACGATGCCACACTGTGGTACGTCCCTGATGAACAGGGCGATGTGGCAGAGAGTGGTAACATCAGCTGGGGTGGTCAGGAAAAGCCTCTCTGAGGAGGTTCATCTGAGCCAACACCTGAAGATGAGCAGGAGCTGCGGTTTTAAAATGTGTGTGTGTTAATAGCTTCATTGAGGTATAATAGACACACAGTAATCTTGACCAACTTAAAGTATACCATTTTGTAAGTGTTGGCATGTATATACATCCTTCTCCACAACCAAGATGACCACTATATCTGTCACCCCAGAAGTTTTCTCAGAGGGACAACACTTTGCAGAGCTGGGGGAACAAGTTTTCAGGCGGAGGGACCAGCGAGCACAAAGGCCCTGGGGCAGGGACAAGCTTGGTGGCATCAGGAGAGAAAGGAGTCCACTAGGGAGTGTGACGGGGTGGCCGGTGCCCCACCTGGGGCCTTCTCAGCCAAGGTGCTGAGCTCAGGTCTGAATCTAAGTGCTTCCACAACACCCTCTCGCCACACTGGGCCATCAGAATGCCAGGGCCTGCCCTCCACCAAGGCTCTTCTGAGAAACCAGCCCCTGCGACATCTGCCAGGGACTTAGCAAGGGGTTTCTCCAGGAATGATTTACATTTTAACTGGGACCTTCAATTCCTTGACCCAAGGGAGTGACTAGTGATGGAGCTTCAAGACCTGGATGGACCCTTGATCAGTTTCTTCCTCAGGGCTCTATGTTCTCAGCCTTCATGGGATCGGGTGTGCTGGTTTCTTGAAAATTCTGAGTTGCAAGTCATTATTTGAAGACAGGGGTGCCTGTGGCCCCTTCCAATCCTCCAGCGCTGGTCCTGGGCTCGGAGGCTCTTCCTGCCTGATTGTCAGAGACTCGGCCCATGTGGAGGAGACAGGGAGGGTGGGTAACGGGAAACACAAGGCCAATCCCCTTAGAGCAAACTCCCTTACAACAGATGGCTCTGGGGGAGCACAGAGCAGGTCCCAGGCACCAAGAAATGTGGGCTATCCTTTGGCCATCAGGACGACGGGATTTGGGGATGCAAGTTTTAGCAACTGCGACCACCAGGGCAGAGGCTCACTCTAGACTCACAAACCTGGGTTTGAATCTGGAACTTACTGGATGGCTTAGGCCAATTTCTTCTCTGAGCATCCGTTTTCCCATGGATTTTTTTTTTTTTTGACAGGGTCTGGCTCTATCACCCAGCCTGGAGTACAGTGGTGCAATCGTGTCTCACTGCAGTCTTGACCTCTAGGGCTCAAGCAGTCCTCCTTTCTCAGCCTACCAAGTAGCTGGAATTACAGTAAGTACCACCACACTTGGCTAATTTTTGCATTTTTAGTAGAGATGGGGTTTTGCTATCTTGCTCAGGCGGGTCTCAAACTCCTGGGCTCAAGCAATCTGCCCCTCTTGGCTTCCCGAAGTGCTGAGATTACAGATGTGAGTCACCGCACTCGGCTTTTCTTGGACTTTTACTCTCAGACCTCCCTGCACGGACGCACCCATGGGTGCGCTCTCCTCGCCTGCACCTCCGATGAAGCTGCTGCCACCATCGGTTGGTTCCATTTCCTTCTTGCACTCAGTGTCTCTGGTTCCATGATTAATATTGGACTAGGCTTGGTTTCCTGAGAGTCTAAATGACTCACCTCCAACTCACCTCCATTTACAACGGCCCTGCTGAGCAAGAAGGTCTGGGGAAGACGGGGACTCCTCGATAGGGACTCTCAGCCCACGGAGTCATCCCCACCAGGCTGTGGGCCTTGGCCAAGTCTCTTTCCCTCTCTGGTCTCAGCTTCCTTCTTCGTGTCTCTGGGGGATGGAAGGAGATATTGGAAATCGGAAAGCCCAGCTGCTAGGCCCAGGAGTTCATGAGGGTTCACAGCCATGAGGCCAAGGTTAGGTGAAAGGTGCCTGAGCTGGGAGGCTGGCTGCCACTAAGGGAAGGGCTTGGGGGATGGGGGCCCCCTCCAGAGGCTCCAACTGAGAGAGCATGGCCTTCCCATGGTGCTAGTCACATCAACCTGTTTAATCCTCACCAGCCCTTTGCAGTAGATCTTATCATTTTCCCATTATAGATGAAGAAATGGAGGCTCAGAGAGGGTGAGCAACTTGCCCGATTTACACAGCTAGTAAATGGCAGAGATAGCATTTGACCAGGGCTGTCTGGTTCTAGGACCTCTGGCAGCCAGAGGAACAGAGCTGTAAATGCTCTGCAGGAGCCGCCAGGCCCAGAGGAATCCAGGCCTCCCCTCTTCCCCACCGGGGCCTTGCAACAAAAGGACTTCTAAGCAGATCATTGACCCTAGCCCCCCCATTTTACAGATGAGGGCACTGAGGACCCCCAAGAGAAAGTCATGCAGCTAAATGCCAACCTGGGCCACACTGGGGCTCCTGACTTTCCATCTAGTCTTTCCACACCTATCAAGCTGGAGCCAAGACTGAGCCCAAATCTGGTGCCAGAGGTTGGGGGAAGTGTTCCCACAGAGACTGTGTGACCAGCAGGCTGGGCCATGGAGGTGTAGGAAGTGGTCACCCACCTGACATCACCTGAGGGGCCAGGAAAGGCCTCAGACCCCCAAGGTTCCCTCCTGTGGGCCTGCCCTGCATGAGTCACCCCTTGGCTGGAACAGTGGATGTCATGGTAGCATGTTTCTCAGAAAGGGGAACCCCCAGCCATGAGCATTTTAGCTGTGCTCTGGAATGGGAGGTCTGGGGCCATAGCAGGGGCCTGGATAGGCAGTGGGAGGGGGCAAAGGGAAGTAGAGCCCTTTCCATGTCTTTCTTGCATTTCCAAGAGCTTTCTATGTCCATATTTTATTCAAGGCCCATTACAACCTTCAGAGGGCAGCCCAGTCATGCTTCAACACACATCTGGCAGAAGGGGAAACTGATGCTCCCAGTGTTCCCCAGCCCCTGGTATTCATGCCCTTGTGCAGTCCGCTCCCACACTGGGGAGAGCCAGCCTGTATAACCAACAGAATACTGTGGAAATGACAAAATGTGACTTCTGAAGCTAGTTCATAAAAAGCATTGTGACTTCTGTCTTGCTCACTTGGGGTCACTTGCTCTGGAGGAAGCCAGCGCCATGTTGTGGGGACACTCAAGCAGCCCCATGGGACTGAAGCCTCCTACCCACAGCCGTGGGAGTGGCTAATCCTGGAAGCAGATGCTCCAGCCCCACTCAAGCCTTCAGATGACTGCCGCCCTGGCCCACATCTTGATGGCAATCCCTGAGCCAGCATCACCCTGTCAAGTCTCTCCCAAATTGCTGACTCACAGAAACAGCGCAATATAATGTTTATTGTTTTCAGCCACTAGGTTCTGAGGCACATAGCAATAGATAATAATACATTCAGAGAGGAGAAATGACTTCCCAAAGTCACATGGCCAGACCAGGACTTATACATCAGTGCTCTTTCTCCTGGGGAAAGCAAGGGTGAGAGAGGCCTGGGGAGGGAAAAGAAGGCAGCTGAGGCTTCAGAGTCAGACAGGGTTGGAGTAAATCCTAGCCCTGCCACCCTCATGCTGTGTGACCTCAGGCAAGTGACTTAACTACTCTGAGCCTCAGTTCATTTATAAAGTGGGGATAGCAATACTGACTTGAAATCTTGATGCCAGGATTAAATGTCTGACCAAGGGCCTGGTACACAGCAGGAGCTCAATGAATGACACTGTTAATGTTACTATGCAGAATCTTTAAGAGCATCCCCGAGGGCCTCACAGCCTTCCCTCCTGCCCATGGGAAGGGGCACAACAAACCTAGTTCTGGAGAGCCAGTGCCCCTTTGCTTAGTTTCCAACCAGGCTTGGTCTAGGGGTGTCATGCTTGTGGGTGTGCATTGCTGGGGTTCACCCAGGCAGCTGAGAACCCCTAATGTTGGTGCCTCAAAAGGGCAGGGAGATCTGGGGATGTGAGTTGGAGGGAGCCTGACATGGGTCCTGCCGATTAGGACTGGTGGAGGCCAAGGGTGACCCAGAGAAGCCTAATGGAGAGTCCTACTGCTACCAAGGCTCCCAAGAAAGTTGCTCAGAAAAGGTGCACCTGCGGCTGGGCGCGGTGGCTCTTGCCTGTAATCCCAGCACTTTGGGAGACCAAGGCATGCAGATCACTTGAGGTCAGGAGTTCAAGACCAGTCTGGCCAACATGGTGAAACCCTGTCTCTACTAAAAATACAAAAATCAGCTGAGTGCAGTGATGCTCGCCTGTAATCCCAGCTACTCGGGAGGCTAAGCATGAGAATCGCTTGAACCTGGGGAGGGGGAGGTTGTAGTGAGCCGAGATTGCACCACTGCTCTCCAGCCTGGGCAACAGAGTGAGACTCCATCTCAAAAAAAAAAAAAAAGAAAGAAAGAAAAGGTGCACCTGGACCTATTGAAGAAGAAAGGCCCCAGCCTCCCCTCTCTGATTTCCAGCCTCCTACCTGCCAGCTGCTGCCTGGGCCAGAAAGAACCCTTTATCTGCTAAGGGTA
Organism: Homo sapiens; assembly: GCF_000001405.40. Lineage (NCBI taxonomy): Eukaryota > Metazoa > Chordata > Mammalia > Primates > Hominidae > Homo > Homo sapiens. The sequence goes on from NC_000001.11 coordinate 12,059,462, forward strand.
TTTTGGGGCCATTTGGGACTCGGGTTCCCAGCTGTTGGAGGAAGTCCCTGAATTTCCTGAACCAAGTTGGGACCTTGTGTCTTGCTCAGCATCACTTTGGGGACACAGATTCCCAATTCCCCTTGGATGGCTTCCTACTGCATTCACCTTCCTCACCTTTCCTCCAAGAAGCCCACCGAGCTGAGACTGTGTGAGCAAGCGCTCCTCGCTCCCCAGTCTCCTGTAGCCCCTCGGGCTTGGCTTCCTTCCACAGCTTGCTCTGGAGGGCCCCACGACCCCACAACAAGGACTGCTGCTGTGCCTTGCACAGAGCCTAGGGACTTCCCCTTCTACTCTTCACAGCACTTTCATACCACCTGAAACCTGCCGAGGGCACCCGGGGGCTCTATCCACTGCCTGCTTTTAAGAGTCCCATGAATGGCTGTTTTCCTTGGTTGCTACCAGCCCATCTCCCCCTGGGATCCAGCTGGCTCCCTGGCCACAAAATGTGCCTTCCCTCCACTTAAGCCATGTGTCAGCTACTTTCCTGGGCGCCCTGGGGGAATTCTGGTTCTCAGGAGTACACAGTTTCCTGGGGCAGAGGGATGCATGAACCAGTCATTATGGTTATGACATGATGAGATCAGATCTAGAATTGCGGCACAAAAAATGACAGAAACCACTTTTTGACTGGGAAGAGGGCTGGGGGACAGGAGACACTGCCAGGAAAGCAACAAGGAGGAGGTGGCATTGGAACAGGTTAGGAAGATGATCAGGAGTCTGTGTGCGTCCCAGGTGGAGGCCAGCGTGGGCAAAGGCTGGCAGGGGTGAGAAGGCTGCACATTTGGCTGGAGTATAGGTCCAGGAGAAGTAAAAAGGCACAAGGGAGGAGTCAGCCCCTGCCAGGCTGTGAGCAGACTTGTGCACCCTTGCATTTGGGTGACTCTGACCCAGGGGAGCCACTGCAGGGGTTCCTTTCCTGCAGAATGGGCATAAAAGTAGGACCTTGTTCATGGGGTTTTCATGAGGATACAAGAAACCAATGCCTGAAAACTCTTAGCACAAAATAAGCACTCAAAGGTAGCTGTTATTGTTATCATTAAATGAATAATATAATTTTCTACGTGGTCCTCTGCCAAAACACACACCATACTTCCGCAAGGGTTCTCTACAGGGGAGTGTCTTGGTGAGATGTGTGTGCTAGAAAGGTCTCTTTGGAAATCCATGGAGGGAAGGATATGAGGGAGAGACAAGTTTCCACAACATCTATAGATTTATCCTTTTTAATGGATGTGCAATATTCCATTAAATGGATGTACCACAATTTCCGTAATCATTTCTTGTTGTGAATCTCAGAGTATTTCAAAAATTTATAAATAATATATAAGGAAATGTTACTGTATAGTTTTCTTTTTTCTTTTTCTAGTTTTCCAGTTAAATTATTTCCTTAGTTTTTCTTCACTGAGGTGAAATTACTGAGCCACTCACAAGTAGTACACATTTTTTTTTTTTTTTGGCTTTTGCTAAAAATTGCCATACTGCTTTCTGAAAAGGGTTGTAACATTTACCAGCAGAGTATGAATGAGTATTCTGGTCTCACCACAACTTTGGGGTTGGATTTACCAAAATTGTTTTTATAAAGCAAAAAAAAAAAAATGATGATTGTATAGATCTAAAAGGTTATCAAAGGTTGCTTGAATTTGCATTTCTTTAATTACTAAAAAGGTTAAACTTATAAAACTTGTAATTGATTTTTATTTGTATTTCTCCTTGTGCAAGCTATTTTGATGCTGTTGTTCATTTATTTATTCAAAACACCAGCCCTTCTCTCTCTCTCTTTTTTAATTAAACAAAAAATAGAGATGAGGTCTTGCTACGTTACCCGGGCTGGTCTCAAACTGGGCTCAAGTGATCCTCCAACCTCGGCCTCCCAAAGTGTTGGGATTACAGATATGAGCCATGTCACCCAGCTGCCAGCTTTTCTACTTTTGTAGTAGAAAGCTCTGGACTGGGAAGCAGGTGTCTTGCGTTCCTCCTGTCCCTGTCTGGTTCTGTCATTATCACAGGCAGGTCACTTCCATAATTGCTTACCTCATTGTTTAACATAGTCCCAGCTCAAACAGCCTAAGATACTGGGCCTGGTACATCCAGAGGAGAGTCTGGAAGTGGGTCTCTTGGGAAGGGGCATGATGGAGCAGTTTTCCCAAGTGGAGTCCAGCAGCCCCAGGAGGGTTGAGCATGGAGTGGTCAGTTGTGGAGACCTTGCTGGGAAGTTCCTGGTGGGAGGTTATCACTCCTACCCTATAGGGCCTTCACCTGATGGAGGCCTGGTACCTCGCAGGACAGATCAAGGTAGACACAGAAGCCAGAGTATCCTTAGGCTATTCTGGGCTCAGGGAAAATAACTGGCCCACCCTTAATTAGAGCACCTAGGACTGCCTGCCTATTTCTGAGCCTTGGCTTTCACATCTGAAAACCAAACAAAATCAGTCAAAAGAACCCTTGACCTGTGGCCCACCCAGCAGATGCTCAACACAGACACACGGAATGTGGAATAAAAGGAGCAAAGAGAAAACCCAGGGGATGGGGAAGCACTGGAAGGGAAAATCATTCACCAGCAAATGAGAACATAGTACGAGGAGGCTTGAATCATTTCTGTTAGGAGAGAGTGCCAGCCGCCTCCTCCAGGAAGAAAACTCTAAAGGGTCAGGCCTCAGGGAAATAAAATGATCTATACCATCCATCAGTTCCTCCAACATTCAGTCCATCCATCTACCAATCCACCCACCCATTTACCCACTCACCTGCTGCTCATCCATCCATCCATCCATCCACCTATGCATCCATCCATCCATCCATCTATGCATCCATCCATCCACCCATCCACCCACCCATTTACCCACTCACCTGCTGCTCACCCATCCATCCATCCATCCATCCATCCATCCATCCATCCATCCACTTATGCATCCATCCATCCACTTATGCATCCATCCATCCATCCATCCATCCATCCATCCATCCATCCACCTATGCATCCATCCATCCATCCATCCATCCATCCATCCATCCATCCATCCATCCACTTATGCATCCATCCATCCATCCATCCATCCATCCATCCACCTATGCATCCATCCATCCATCCATCTATGCATCCATCCATCCACCCATCCACCCACCCATTTACCCACTCACCTGCTGCTCACCCATCCATCCATCCATCCATCCATCCACTTATGCATCCATCCATCCATCCATCCATCCATCCACTTATGCATCCATCCATCCATCCATCCATCCATCCATCCATCCATCCATCCACCTATGCATCCATCCATCCATCCATCCATCCATCCATCCATCCATCCATCCACTTATGCATCCATCCATCCATCCATCCATCCATCCATCCATCCATCCATCCACCTATGCATCCATCCATCCATCCATCCATCCACCAATTTATCATCCACTCACTGATTCATTTTACAGCAAATGCTTATGAATGGGGATGGGTGGGTGATGGTTGCTTTTTCTGCAGTCTCCCTAGGCCAGTTGTCCCTTCCAAAGAATCTCAAGGGCATGGGAGAAGGTCCTGGCTGATCGTGTCAGGGACAGGAAACTACTCACATTTCACCGTTTCTTGGGGCAGGAGTGGAGGTGGGGGCATTGGAACCCCCTTGGGGCCTCCTAATATCCTGTGAGTCCCCACCTCCAGGGCCAGAAGCTGCCTGCCTCCGCTCCCCGCAGCCCAGGTGCGGCGGGCAGCACACTCCCTAGAGCCAGGACCACTAGTTCCGTCAAATCCGGGGCGGGCCATTCAAACAGCTAAGGGAGGCGTCTCCTAGTGTGCCTTTTCCTGAGTCATCTCTGCACGTGTTTGCCCCCTTTTTTCTTCGCTGCTTGTAGCTAAGTGTTCCTGGAACCAATTTGATACGGGAGAACTAAGGCTGAAACCTCGGAGGAACAACCACTTTTGAAGTGACTTCGCGGCGTGCGTTGGGTGCGGACTAGGTGGCCGCGGCGGGAGTGTGCTGGAGCCTGAAGTCCACGCGCGCGGCTGAGAACCGCCGGGACCGCACGTGGGCGCCGCGCGCTTCCCCCGCTTCCCAGGTGGGCGCCGGCCGCCAGGCCACCTCACGTCCGGCCCCGGGGATGCGCGTCCTCCTCGCCGCGCTGGGACTGCTGTTCCTGGGGGCGCTACGAGCCTTCCCACAGGTAAGCGGGTGACGGGCGCCTGGGGAGGTGCCGGCGGTCCAGAGCCCGGACAGTGTGGGGTGCGTGGGACGCAAGGGAGGACACTCCTCACCCCGTTCCCTGCCCAGCTGGAGTGAGGGGGCGCGGGTGACAAGCAGGAACACCGGAATATGCTAGCACCCACAGGTGGGAGGCTGGCTGAAGGGCTAGTGGTGGGGGGCGCCTCCTTCTCACCCCGCGATGGCTGGGACTGATTCATTCATTCAGTGTGAATTGGACTGAGAGCACTGCCATACGCGGGAGGCGCTCTTTAGCCCGCCTACCTGCGGGCCCGTCGGGGTCCTGGGCAGATCAGGTGAGGCCGTGGGAGTAGTGGGCAGGCCAGATGGGGCCTCCCTTAGCCATGGGAGGTTGGTCGTCCGCGCTCTACCCTGTTGTGTGCGCGGTCCCGTTTGCCCCCTTCCTAAGCTGGCCACTGGCTGGAGGGTCAAGGAAAGGAGGGAGAGTTGGCTGTGGGTGAGAGTGGGGTGAGGGTGCAGGACCACCGGGATTAGCTTCCCCAATCCGCGTCCGGCAAAGCAACGCTGTGGATTGAATTCGCTGGAGCACGTGGTGGGCATTTGCCCCTGGAAGAAGGTCAGTGGTGGGGCTGAAGTCTATGGTGGGTTGCCTCAGAATTGAGTTTGGGGACTGCTTTAGGAAAACTGAGCACTTACCAGTGGCCAGCGCCAAATTAATCACTGTGGGGAGAATGCAAAGTAACCAGGCGTGTTTCACGGAGCCCAGGGGCTGCTGGAGAGAGAGGCCCTCAGCTGACCCAGGACCCCGGTGGACCCCTGCATAGAACCATAGTAGGTGCGAGTGGATGCCTGCTGAATGATACAGAGGGAAAGGAAGGAGCAGGCTGTTAGTCCAGCGGTGGGTCACGGTGGGGGAGAGGGAAGACCCAGTTCCCCTTTAATCCTACAGGAAGAGAGGACTCCATGCTATGGATCAATTCTAGTCATCTGAACCTTAGGCAGTGGGAGGAGAGTGGCAGAGTGGGCTTTAGGCAGGAGGGAGGAACTATGCAGCAAAGGAGGAACTATGCCCTCTTCCATTTCCAATGGGCAATGTGAGGTATTCCCCCTTTCCCCCCAAGAGGGCAGAGGGGACAAAGCCCTGGCTAGAGACACCCTGTCCCAGCTCTGCAAGCCCTCACCTGGGGGAAGGTAAGAGTTTGGAGTGCCAAGGTCTTGGGGAGATGAAGGGAAGGAAGAGATGTGAGAGGTGCTTGGGGGGCTTTGCTGGTTTGGTTTGGCAGCTGAAGCTCATGTGCTTCCTTTCTGTAGAGTGAAGCCCCCTCCACTTTTTTTAATGTTAGAGACAGGGTCTCACTCTGTTGTCCAGGCTGGAGTGCGATCATAACTCACTACAGCCTGAACTCTCATACCAAACCTTTTTTTTTTTTTTTTTTTTTTGAGACTGAGTCTCACTCTTGTTGCCCATGCTGGAGTGCAATGCTCGATCTCGGCTCACTGCAACCTCTGCCTCCCGGATTCAAGTGATTCTCCTGCCTCAGCCTCCCAGGTAGCTGGGATTACAGGCATGTGCCACCACACCCGGCTAATTTTTGTATTTTTAGTAAAGATGAGGTTTCACCATGTTGGTCAGTCTGGTCTCGAACTCCTGACCTCAAGTGATCCTTCCGTCTCGGCCTCCCAAAGTGCTAGGGTTACAGGCATGAGCCACCACACCCAGCCTCCCATACCCTTTTTAAAATAAAAATACTATATATTTAATTGCACAAGGAATATATAAATATATTCTCAAAGCAAAACTGTAAACGCTACAGATAAAGCCAAGTCTTTTGACACCGCCTCATCCTGATCCCTTCAAAGATATAACCACCATAATTGATTTGGTGTGTTTCCTTTGCAGACCTTTATAAATGCATGTCCATATTTATATTGTTTTAATAGACATATATATAGTTTTCCATATACTATACCCTACAGTACATATGGTTCTTCATTTGGCTTTATAATGTCTATGAGGCATCTTGGTGAGCTTTCCATGCTGAAACTTACAGATCCTCTGCCTATCTTTTAAAATGCTATGTGATCTTTTGCCAAATGGGATGTTTCATAGTTTATTTATGTCCTGGATGGATGGGTGCTAAGGTTGCCACCATTGTTCTTTCTTTCTTTCTTTGTTCTCTACTACAGTGCACAGCCCTATATGGATGCTTTTGGAAATAAATGTCTGTGATTCTTTCCTAGACAAGAGACTGAGAAGAGAATACTGAGGTTGCAGGGCGAAAATGCATTCAAATTAAAAGACACCACCGAACTGCCTTCCAGGGTGGCTGGACAATTTACCCTCCCGCTAGCAGTGCAAGAGAGTAGTAACTTTCCCACATCCTAACCGACATTTGATCTTATCAGCATTTTAATTTTTCTCAATGTGATTAGTGAAAAGGGTTATATCCTTGTTGCCTTAATTTGCATTTCTCGCCTACCGGGGAAGCTGAGCATCTCTCTGGGCTCAGGCACTAGGTCATTTCTTGGCAGGAGTCAGGGAGTCCTTGGGGAAGGGACTACCTGCCCAACACAGTACTCCTTTTTGCCCCTCAAGCCTTCTCCCACTTCTGTTTTTTCCAGTAAAGGTTCGGGAAGCTCGTTATTTTAAAAAAAAAATCCCAAATTAGGGCTTGAATTTCCTTGAGTTTAAAATTTTTTTTTTTTTTTTTGAGATGAAGTCTCCCTCAGCTGCCCAGGCTGGAGTGCAGTGGCACGATCTTGGCTCACTGCAACCACCCTCTCCCAGGTTCAAGTGATTCTACCGTCTCAGCCTCCCTAGTAGCTTGGATTACAGGCACTTGCCATCATGCCTGGCTAATTTTTGTATTTTAGTAGAGATGGGGTTTCATAATGTTGGCCAGGCTGGTCTTGAACTCCTGACCTCAGGAGATCCATCCACCTCGGCATCCCAAAGTGCTGGGATTACAGGCGTGAGCCACCGCCCCCGGCCTAAATTTTTTTTTATTTTTTGGGACAGTCTCACTTTGTCTCCCAGGCTGGAGTGCAGTGGCGCAATCTCAGCTCACTGCAACCTCTGCCTCCTGGGTTCAAGTGATTCTCCTGCCTCAGCCTCCTGAATAGCTGGGATTATAGGTGCCTGCCACCTCACCCAGCTAATTTTTGTATTTTTAGTAGAGATGGGGTTTCGTCATGTTGGTCAGGCTGGTCTCGAGCTCCTGGCCTCAAGTGATCCTCCCACCTCGGCATCCCAAAGTGCTGGGATTACAGGCGTGAGCCACCGTGCCCATCCTGAAGTTCTTTTTTCATCTCTATTTGATTTTTCCCAAGACGCCATCATTTTTCGCCTGGTATTCTGAGGCAGGAATGCTTTCTTGCTAGCTGGCACCATCTGAGAGTTGGCCTCTGATGCTTCGTATCACTGTCTTGTCCAATTGTGTTTTTTTGTAATATGACCCAGGATTAACTGGTGCATATCTGCAGAGAAAAATTTATTCCCCCATAGCTCCATCCTTTTCATCCAGGCACCATGTGGTGGGGTTGCGGGGCGGGGGAAGCCCCAGCTTTCCTGTGAACTCTGTAGACTTAGAAATTCCCCAACATCATGTTCCTTGCCAGTGCTAAGGCTAAACAAGCCTTCCTCCCACATCCATGTACCCCCAATTCCAGCCAGATGTAAGCATCTTTGCTCTGGGTTAGTGTGCAGGCTGGGACCAGGAAGGTTCTCATGAAAGTATCTTAGCTGGGGCCGGGCGCTGTGGCTCACACCTGTAATCCCAGCACTTTGGGAGGCCAAGACAGGCAGATTACTTGAGGCCAGGAGTTCAAGACCAGCCTGGTCAACGTGGTGAGACCCTGTCTCTACTAAAAATACAAAAATTAGCTGGGCATGGTGGCAGGCGCCTGTAATCCCAGCTACTCAGGAGGCTGAGGCAGGAGAATCGCTTGAAACCAGAAGGCGGAGGTTGCAGTGAGCCAGCACTCCCGCCTGGGTGGCAGTGAGACTGTATTTAAAAAAAAAAAGAGGAATTTTAGCTGGGGTGATAGAAAAGCTCTATGTGTGACTCCTCCATCTAGCAATTTAACTTTAAAAGCTTAGCTAGTTACTCCATACAGTGTAGTGCTAATCGTGGAATTTCAGGGAGTGGCAAGAGGGCAGGAGAGATTTTCTGGTTTTGTTTTGCAAAAGGGACATTTCCAGGGCTGCTCAAATCCTGCAGGGAGGCAAGGACGGCGGGGGGGCGGGGGGGGGACCTGGAGAGGAGGGGACCCTGAAGGAGTGGAAGGAGGGTCTGGCTTGTCTTAAAGCCATCCCTTCCCAGGGCGGCACTAGTGCTCTGGGGTCAGGGAGTCGTGTTACTCAGCTTGAGAGCAGTGAGTGCCGGAAGGAGGGGCGTTTACTGTAAGTTTCTGCTTCTGCTCCCACTCATATCTGACTTAGACTCGTTTCTTGAGCAGATTGTGATTCATTCTAAGGTTTTTATACTCCCTCATCACCCTTCTTCACATCAGGACAATCATCAGAAGGAAAATGGGGCTGAAGGATGACTGTGTCTGGCCCGGGGGAGTCCTGGAGGCTTGAGGGTCCTTGGCAATGACAGTAGATCAGCCCAGCCTGGGCCAGCTTGTCCAGCCGGTGCACTGACCCTGGGTGTGGCCCATCTGGGATCACAGTCCTCATTTCACAGACAAGGATTCAGTGCAGAGGCCCAGAGGTAGGGGAGAGTCTTGCCTACAGTTCCAGGACTGGTCGGGGTAGAGCCCACCACAGACTAGACACGCAGAATGTCAAAAAAAGGCAGCTCTCGGCCATACCAGTTCTCCACTTCTCTCTCTCCCCTCCCAGGTCCACCCAGGGGATACTGGGGTGGGGGTGGGGGACCTTCTTCCGGTATCTATGGTTGAAAACCACTGGGCATTCTCGTGGCCTTGCTGGTGGGGAGGGACTTTTTATACATGGCTCAGTCTAGTTACTCCCTGAATGCCTAAGTCTTTTGGTGACATGCAAGTATTCATGCATGCATGCATCCAGCAGATCTGAAATGAGCAGCTGTTCTGGGTCAGGCATGGCTCCAGGGACTTGCATTCAGCCTCTGCCTGTATGCCCCCCGTGACAGGATGCTTGCTCCTTGCTGAGGCAGCTCACACCATCCTGGGTTAGCTTTGGCATTTAGATGATCTTCATGATATGCTGAAATCTAGTTTCTTTTTCTTTCTTTTTTTTTTTTTGAGATGGAGTCTCTCTCTGTCACCCAGGCTGGAGTGTAGTGGTGCGATCTCGGCTCACTGCAACCTCCGCCTCCCGGGTTCAAGCAATTCTCCTGCCTCAGCCTCCCAAGTAGCTGGGACTACAGGTGCATGCCACCATGCCTGGCTAATTTTTTGTATTTTTAGTAGAGATGGGGTTTCACCATGCTGGCCAGGCTAGTCTCTAACTCCTGACCTCGTGATCCACCCGCCTCGGCCTTTCAAAGTGCTGGGATTACAGGCATGAGCCACTGCACCCGGCCTTTTTTTTTTTTTTTTTTTTTTTTTTTGATGGAGTTTCGCTCTTGTTGCCCAGGCTGGAGTGCAATGGCGCTGTCTCAGCTCACTGCAACCTCCATTTCCCAGGTTCAAGTGATTCTCCTGCCTCAGCCTCCCAAGTAGCTGGGATTACAGGTGTGTGCCACCACGCCTGGCTAATTTTTGTATTTTTATTAGAGACGGGATTTCACCATGTTAGCCGGGCTGGTCTCAAACTCCTGACCTCAGACGAGCCCCCCCGCCTCAGCCTCCCAAAGTGCTGGGAATACAGGGGTGAGCCACCACGCCTGGCCTGAAATCTAGTTTTGAAAATGAGTCACCTCCCTGTTCTTCAGAAGCGCCTCTGGCAATGTGAAGACTGTGACTTTGGGTCCCCGGAGTCTCTCAGCCAGTCACACACCTGTCCTCCAACATTTATTCCTCACGTAGCGTGAGCTCAAGGCTCCTCATCTGCCTGTTCTCTTCAATTCATTCATTCCACAAACACTTATTGAGCACCTTCTGCATGCCAGGAAGCACTCCGGGTGCTGCGAGTTCATCCATGCACCGCATAGCAGGGTCTCTGCCCCACGGAACTGACATTCCACAGGGGTGACAGTCAACAGACTGCTGCTAGTTGCAATGAGAGGATTAGAATCCTGTAGTGTGAGAGAGACGGGCGGCTCCCTAAGATGGGGAAAACAGGACTTGCAGACGGTAACATACACACGGAATGAAAAGAGGGAGGCAGCCAGTGGGAGATTAGCAGAAAAGCATCCAGGCCCAGGGGGTAAAAGCCCCAAGAGGCTAGAGGAACAGGAAGGAGGCCGGGGTGGCTGGAGGGAAGTGAGTGGAGAGGGGTGGTTAGGAGAAGGTGGCAGGAAAGGTGGTAGATCGTGCAGACCTTTGTGGACTGTGGTGAGGTTTTTGGCAGGGGAGCAATACTGCATGATAGATTTAAAGTTCCTTCTGTCTGCTGTGGGGGGCTGGGGGATTGGGGGGAGCAGGCAGGATGGGAGCAGGAAGCCAGGTCATTGCATTGATCCAGGGGAGGGGTGAGCAGAGGTGGGAATGTGCTTTTTCTTCTTTTCTTTTCTTTTTTTGAGACGGAGTCTTGCTCTGTTGCCCAGGCTGGAGTGCAGTGGTGTGATCTCGGCTCACTGCAAGCTTCGCCTCCCAGGTTCAAGCCATTCTCTCGCCTTAGCCTCCCGAGTAGCTGGGACTACAGGCGCCCGCCACCACGCCTGGCTAATTTTGTTTTTGTATTTTTAGTAGAGACAGGGTTTCACCGTGTCAGCCAGGATGGTCTGATCTCCTGACCTCGTGATCTGCCCGCCTATGTAGAGACAGGGTCTCACTATGTTGCCCAGTTTGGTCTCAAACTCCCAGGGCTCAGGTGATCCTCCTGCCTGCGCCTCCTATTGCTGGGATTACAGGCATGAGCCACTGTGCCCAGCTGGAATGTGCTTTCAAGCTAGAATCAACAGGACCTGTGGATGGGTCTGGTGGGAGCGCAGAGGGCAGGAGGGAAATCAGGGATCCTGTCCGTATTTGGGAGCTCAGAATCTGGCTGCATGGAGGTGTCATTTTGGGATGTGGGAAAAAACAAGCAAAGGATAGAACAGGGGTTTTGGAGAAAAGTTCTATTTTGCCCATGCTCAAGTACCAGTGGGGGTTGGGTGTTGAAATGTGGAGCTCTCTACAGAGTTCAAGCTGCTGATATGAATCTCTGGGTACCAGAGTCAACTGTAGAAGTCCTGGTGCCACCTGGGCCAAAGACCACTCCCCAGTAGACTCACCTTACTTCTATTAACCAAGCCCAAGACCCCCTTTTTTTGGCCCCCACATTATCTGTTCATTCGTTCCAACCCAAGCCTAGGCTCTTTTATTCAGCCTGGTTACAGTATATGCTAGTTTTCTTTTGCTGCTATAGCAAATTAGCACACATTTGGTGGCTTAGAACAACATGAAGGTATTGTCTTATAGCCCTGGTGGTCAAAAGTCTATGACAAGTCTGTAATCCCAGCACTTTGGAAGGCTGAGGTGGGCAGATAGTTGGGGCCAGGAGTTTGAGACCAGCCTGGCCAACATGGCGAAACCCTGTCTCTGCTAAAAATACAAAAATTAGCCAGGTGTGGCGGTGTGTGCCTGTAGTCCCAGCTACTCGCGAGGTTGAAGCACGAGAATTGCTTGAACCTGGGAGGCAGAGGTTGCATCAAGCTGAGATCGCAGCACTGCACTCCAGCCTGGGTGACAGAGCAAGATTCTGTCTCAAAAAAAGAAAAAAGTCTATGATAAGGCAGCAGAGCTATTTTTCTTCTGGATATGCTGTAGCAAAATGTTTCCTTGCTTTTTTCCAGTTTCTAGAAGCTGCCTGTGTTCCTTGGTCCCTGGCCCTGCATCACTCTGAACTCTCCTTCCATCCTCACATTTCCTCTCTCTCTTTTTTTTTTGAGCTCGATCTCTCGGCTCACTGCAACCTCCACCTCCTGGGTTCAAGTGATTCTCCTGCCTCAGCCTCCCAAGTAGCTGGGACCACAAGCACCCGCCACCACGCCCGGCTAATTTTTGTATTTTTAGTACAGACAGGTTTCACCATGTTGGCCAGGCTGGCCTCGAACTCCTGGCCTCAAGTGATCCACCTGCCTTGGCCTCCCAAAGTGCTGGGATTACAAGCACGTGCCACCATGCCAGCTAATTTTTGTATTTTTAGTAGAGATGGGGTTTCACCATGTTGGCCAGGATGGTTTCGAACTCCTGACCTCAAGTGATCCACCCATTTTGGCCTCCCAGAGTGCTGGGACTATAGGCATGAGCCACCTTTGAGAGACAGTAGAGCATTTCGTTAAAGGTATGAACTTTTTTGTCAGCCTGTCAAGGTTATCCCTTGCTTCTGACACTAGATGGTGACTTGAGCAAGTTAAGTTACCTCTGTGTGCCTCGGTTTCCCCATCTATAAAATGGGCTAATAACAGTAGCTACCTTGTATTGTAGGGCTGGTGTAAGGATGACATGAGTTAATATGTGTCAAGTGCTGAGAGCAGCTTCTGGACACAGTGAGTGCTGTGCAAATAAAGGTGAGCCTTATTAGGTGCCTGTTGTATGTGGGGCATTATGGATACAGCCATGGAGATGAACCAGTTCCAGTCCTTGCCCTCGATGGGGGGCAGTGTGGGAAGGGGAATACAGAAGAGAGGGTGGCCAGTACTGCGTAGGGGACTGTCTGGGGCCTGCGGGAGTCCAGAGGAGCCCATCTTTACTTCTGCCTGGGTCAGTAGGGGAAGGAGCCTCCAGAGTTTGCAGTGATGAGGCTCTGCACCACAGATGGTGCCATTGTCCTTGCCAGCTTTGCCCAGGGCTCTGGAGGCAGCAGAAGGGGTCAGAGGTTAAACAGCACATCAGTGCTGGTGGTTGGGGCGAGCCTGGGGCCTGCTTTGGAAGCCCCACCCAGCAGGTTCCCCTTGGGTTCTTGGGTCCTCCAGGGGGCTAAGAACTCCTAGAGGCGTCGCCCACAGCTTCATTTCAGCCATCAACTTTCTTGACGGATTGCTGCCTGCCAGGTACGGTTCCTGCTCTCAGAGAGTGCGTGCACAGATAATGTGGCCTCCACACAGTTTACTGAAATGGTTCCAACCTGCTGAGACCAGGAAACTCCTAAACCCCACCTTCACCTTCCCAGCCTGGGCAGGCACCCTTCCCACTCTTGATTCGGGTGAGGGAGGCCAGGACGCAGCGGCCAGGCCAAGAGTTTCCTCTCTCTCCAAACGGTCTGGGGGGCATGTGCCCTGCCCCTTCCCCACACATAGTCTGGGAGAGGGAGGTGGGCAAGGAAACACACCAGGCTGGGCGCCAAGGCTCACGCCTGTATTCCCAGCATTCTGGGAGGCCAAGGCAGGAGGATCTCATGAGCCCAGGAGTTTGAGAACAGCCTGGGCAACAAAAAATTAGCCGGGCATGGTGGTACACACCTGTGGTCCCAGCTACTCAGGAGGCTGAGGTGAGAGGATCACGTGAGCCCAGGAGGTCAAGGCTGTAGTGAGCCGTGTTCATGATCGCAGGACTGCACTCCAGCCAGGGTGACCGCAAGGCCCTGTCTTAAAAACAAACAAACAGACAAACAAAAAGTAAATACACAAGCCCCTTCTGAGCAACTGGCCTGAGGCTGGCGCAGGAACCTAAGGCACCTCCAAGAGGATCAGAAAGTCGAATACTCCCAGGGAGCTGGGCCCCGCTTCCTTTTCCTTCAGGTCCACTATATCCATCTCTCTCTCTCTTTTCTTCCTTCCTTCCTTCCTTTCTTCTTCCTTCTTCTTTTCTTCTTCCTTCCTTCCCTCCCTCCCTCCTTCTCTTCTTTCTTTCTCCCTTTCCGTTCCTTTCCCTTTCGTTTTCCCTTTCCCTTTCCTTTTCCCTTTCCCTTTTTCTTTTTCTTTTTTTTTTTTCATTTTCTTGACAGAGTCTCACTCTGTCGCCCAGGCTGGAGTGCAGTGGTGAGATCGTGGCTCAATGCAACCTCTGCCTCCCGGGTTCAAACGATTCTCCTGCCTCAGGATCCCGAGTAGCTGGGATTACAGGCGCCCACCACCACGCCTGGCTAATTTTTATGTATTTTTACTAGAGATGGGGTTTCACCATGTTGGCCAAGCTGGTCTCAAACGCCTGACCTCAAATAATCTGCCTGCCTCGGCCTCCCAAAGTGCTGGGACTTCAGGTGGGAGCCACCGCACCCAGCCCACTGCATTTTTCTTTGTAGCTGCCATTGTCCCGTGGCGGCTGTTGCTGCCCGGGAACGTACTTCAGGGCTGGGTGGGTTTTACCTTGTCTGAGTTGTAGCTAAGGATGCAGCTCCAACACTTGCTTCGGCCCTGGAATCTTCAGGATCCCTGCAGTCTCAACAATTGGCTCATGGAGCCGGCACGGGATTGCTGGGAGGCAGGAGGGATTTCTTGGTGGGAAGTGAGGATCGACCAGTTGCTAAATTCGGACTCAAGGCGTGATCTTGCTAAAACGGACTCGCTCTCCTCCATCCTGTCCACCTCCCCACCACATTAATGACCCTGAAACCCTTTAATGCTTCCCTAGTGCCAAAGGCAACATGTCCCAAAGTCACCTTCTTTCTTTCTTTTTTTTTTTTTGAGACAGAATCTCACTCTGTCACCCAGGCTGGAGTGCACTGATGTGATCTTGGCTCACTGCAACCTCCGCCTCCCGGCTTCAAGAGATTCTGCTACCTCAGCCTCCTGAGTAGCTGGGATTACAGGCGTGCACCACTACGCTAGGCTAATTTTTGTAGTTTTAGTAGAGAGGGGGTTTCGCTGTATTGGCCAGGCTGTTTTCAAACTCCTGACCTCAAGTGATCCGCCCGCCTCGGCCTCCCAAAGTGCTGGGATTACAGGCATGAGCCACCAGGCCCGGCCTCAAACTCACTTTCTGGCAATGGCAGTTCTGAGAAAAAAAGGTTCTATGGCCAACGAAGTTTGAGAAACATTGCAGAGTTTTCTGACTAGCTCCCATACCCTTCCTTGGAGAATCAAAGAGTAAGTAACCACATCAAAGGTTCTGAGAAGCCCCGTGATCTAAAATGGAAACCTCTCGAATGGACTCCAGTGATTATTTGTGTTTGTTTGTTTGTTTATTTATTTATGAGACAGGGTCTCACTCTGTTGCCCAGGCTGGAGTGCAGTGTTGCAATCATAGCTCACTGTAACCTCGAATTCTTGGGCTCAAACAATCCTCCCACCTTAGTTCCTTGAGTAGCTGGGACTACAGGCACATGCCACCATGCCCAGCTAATTAAAAAAAAATTTTGTTAGGCCGGGCACAGTGGCTCATGCCTGTAATCCCAGCACTTTGGGAGGCCGAGGCAGGTGGATCACTTGAGGTTACGAGTTTGAGACATGGTGCAACCCAATCTCTACTAAAAATACAAAGCTTAGCCAGGTGTGGTGGCACATGCCTGTAATCCCAGCTACTCGGGAGGCTGAGGCAGGAGAATCGCTTGAACCTGGGAGGCAGAGGTTATAGTGAGCCGAGATTGCACCACTACACTCCAGCCTGGGCGACAGAGTGAGACTCTGCCAAAAAAAAAATTTTTTTTTTTTTTTAAAGAGACAGGGTCTTGCTATGTTGCCCAGGCTGGTCTTGAACTCCTGGGCTTAAGCAATCCTCCCACCTTGGCTTCCCAAAGAGCTGGGATTACGGGTGTGAACCGCTGCGCCTGTCCGTGTTCTGCCTATCATCTGTTACCATCCGGTAGCCCCAGCATTTGATGAAACGCTGTTTGGGAAATGACAGTGAAGAGCTTCCATACTCATCTCTTTTTCTGACTCCCTGACTCTCTCTTCTGCCTCCCTCTTGCATTTTTAAGTTCCCTTAAATTGCACTGGGCTCCCCTGGATAATCCAGAAGAATCTCCCATCTGAAAGTCAGCGGGTTCACAACCTCGATGCCATCTACCACCCTGATTCCCCTTTGCCATGTAAGGAGACGTATATGAGCACATATGTGAATATATCACCCTAGGTCCTGGGGACCCAGTGAGGATGGTATGATTCTTGCTAACTGACAGAGCAGGAGCGTCACCATCTTGGACAAGCATCGCCGTTTTAAATTCTCCTTGATTAAAAACCGCCTAAATCCAGCCCCAAAACATCAGCCTAACGGCTAACGTCAGCATGACCATAAACCACAAATGACACCTCCAACCAGAAACATTCCAACACCCCCATCCGACTGGAGACATGCCAGCCCTGAGATAACCTCCCCTCTGACCAGAGACATTCCCAGCATACAGTAAAACTCTCCTCCACACAGAAACATTCCTAGCCTGCGAAAAGCTCCCATCCCAGAACCCTTAAATACCCTTAGTCCATAAAAACAATGCTGCTGAACGAAATTGGCCAGAAGGCCTTCTTGGTTTTATTCTTTTTTTTTTCTTTTTCTTTTTTTTTTTTTTGAGATGGGGTTTCACTCATCTTGCCCAGGCTGGAGTGCAGTGGCGTGATCTCGGCTCACCACAACCTCTGCCTCCCGGGTTCAAGCGATTCTTCTGCCTCAGCCTCCCGAGTAGCTGGAATTACAGGCATAAGCCACCATGCCCGGCTAATTTTGTATTTTTAGTAGAGATGGGGTTTTACCATGTTGGTCAGGCTGGTCTCAAACTCCCGACCTCAGGTGATCCACTTGCCTTGGCCTCCCAAAGTGCTGGGATTACAAGCGTGAGCTACCGTGCCCGGCCTCAGTTTTATTCTCCAAAATAAACCTGTCTTTGGTAAGCCGCTTTTCATATTTTTTTCTTCTTTCTTCAACTCTTACACAAAAATCATTTCAAGGTGCTTGCCTGTCCCTGAGTTCCTTCCAGCCAGGGACTCCAGGCTCCACCCTCTATGCTGTTTCCGTGTCCACTGTCTTTGGGTTTTATCTCCAACCCTGGGGCCAGGCAGCATGGGGCCCTGCACACTCTTTCTCAGCTGTGCAGGAACTGGGGAAAACTCAACTCGGCACCTGCTTGCAGTGGGACAACTGTGAGAGGTGCTGCCTGTGGCCAGGGATGGAGCCTGTGGCCAGGGATGGGTGTGTTTAAAGAGGTGGAGGAGGAGGACTTTAGTTTCAGGTAGTCTCTTGGTCTGGAGCTCAAGTGAGCACTGAGTGTGGAGAGAGGGGTTCAGAGTCCTACAGTTAGGAGGTGACTACTGAGTTCGGCGTGTGGTGGTATAGTCTAGTGGTTGCTTAGGAGCGAGGGTGTGGCGGTAGACGCATAGTCCCCTAAAACGTCCATACATTCTACATTGTTAATTTGGGACAGGGTCTCACCCTGTCACCCAGGCTGGAGTGCAGTGGCCCAACCACGGCTGAAGAGATTCTCCCATCTCAGCCTCCCGAGTCGCTGGGACTACAGGTGCATTCCACCACAACCAGCTAATTTTTGTATCTTTTGTAGAGACGGGTTTTTCTCCTTTGCCGTGTTGCCCGGGCTGGTCTCAAACTCCTGAGCTCAAGTGATCCTCCTGCCTCAGCCTCCCAAAGAGCTGGGATTATAAGTGCGAGCCACTTCGCCTGGCCAAATGTCCACACATTCTAATCCTTGAAACCTGATACTATGGATCTTGAGACAGGAAGATGATCCTGGATTATCAGGGCGGGCCCAATCTAATCACAGGAGTCCTTAAAAGCAGAGAACCCTTCCTGGCTGTGTTAGAGAGAGATGATAGAGGCAAAGAGAGAGATGTGATGTGAGAAGGACTCAGCCCACCATTGCCGGCTTTGCAGATGGAGTAAGGGGGCCATGAGCCAAAGGATGCCACAGTCCCTAGAAGCAGGGAACAGCCCTTAGTTGGCTGTCAGCAAAGAAACAAGACCTCAGTCCTACAACCACAAGGAACTGAATTCTGCCAACAACCTTAGTGAGCAGGGAAACCAACAGTCCCTTAAAGCTTCCGCTAGGCACACAGCACATGACCTGGATGGGGGTGATCAGAGAGGGCTTCCCAGAGGAAGTGGCACTCATGAGTGAGGTCTCAAGGATGAATGGGGGTACACTGGATTTAGGGACCAGTGCAGGCAGGGAAACAGCACGCACAGGCTGCTGCAGGGAGTGGGGTGCCCGTGGGGTGCCAGTGGCAAAAAGAGGCTGGTAGGAGAGAGTACCAGGGGCTTCACAGGCAGGCAAGGAGGGCAGGGCTTCTTGGGCCACTGTTAAGACTTTGGTTTTTTTTTTTTTTAAATATGGACCGTTTCATGAATTTCCGTATCATCCTTATGCAGGGGCCATGCTAATTTCTGTATTGCTCCAATTTTAGTATATGTGCTATCGAAGCGAACACAAGACTTTGGGCTTTATTCATAGCTGGGTTGGAAGCCATCTGAGGGTCTTCAATAGGATGGAGGGGAAGACAGTAGATCGTGTTTTCAAAAGATCAGTCTGGTGTCTGCACTGTGAGCTGGGCGTGGTGGATGGGGTAGACGAGAGGAGACCCTCGGGTGGTCACTGTCAAGTCCAGATGGCGGGAAGGTGAGGAAGAGCTGGTAGATGTGGGGGTAAAACTGCAGGTTAAACAGACAGAACTAGTGATAGGTTGGGGGCCAGGGAGAAGCAAGCATTTCAAAAAGCAGTCAGTCTCGGCCAGGCATGGTGGCTCATGCCTGTAATCCCAGCACTTTGGGAGGCTGAGGTGGGTGGCTCATTTGAGGTCAGGAGTTCGAGACCAGCCTGGTCAACATGGTGAAACCCTGCCTCTACTAAAAATATAAAAATTAGCCAGGTGTGGTGCCAAGCGCCTGCAGTCCCAGCTACTTGGGAGGCTGAGGCAGGAGAATTGCTTGAACGCGAGAGGTAGAGGTTGCAGTGAGCCGAGATCGCACCACTGCACTCCAGCTTGGGCGACGGAGCGAGTACTCTGTCTTAAAAAACAAAAACAAAAAAACCCTCAGTCTCATGGGGAGTGGGGAGCAGGGATCTCAGAGCCCTGAACTACAGCACCCCCCCACCCCAGGCAGCAGAAGCTGGCGGATCAGAGCACGTGCCAAATCCTGGCCCTAACACTGACCAGCTGTGTGACTTTGGGCAGATTTCTCGTCCTTACGTCTCAGTCTCCCCCATCTGTAAAATGGGCTGACAGTTGTTGGCTATTAGAATTACTTTCGCTATGGAAAGCAAACCGTTCCAGCATTTGCACTTCTTTCTGCTCAGCTTCTGCTAGGTCAGCGCATCTCAAACTCCCTGGGGCTCTTGTTAAAATGCAGATTCCAATTAGGGAGGTCTGGGGTTCTGCATTTTGAGAAAGTTCCAAGGTGGTGCCCCTGCTGCTGGCCCGGGGCCTCACCTTGAATAACAGAGCGCACAGCGGTGGAGATCCCCAGGAGACAGGGAGGGGAGGGGTGCTTACCTCGCTGGCCCTGCTCAGCTCTGGCCCCTTCGGGGATTTTGCATTTGATCTAACTCCCCGCTCACCCCACAACTTCTAGACTCGTCTCCCACAGGTATGGTCCGGCTGAGACCAGGTGGGGCTTTTTGAAAGTGAACTTTAACTGGTCTTGTAGGGAAAACCAAACCAACCTGAAAATAGACAGACCTGAAAATGGTAAGGTTTTAGGCCACCCTCTCTTTATCTTGATGCCACTAAGGTGGGGCGGAGGGCCTCCGGTTGCACAGCTCATTACCTTGTGGACACCTCACTTTGCCTTGAACCTGCGGGGAACTCCACCCAAAAGCCCCCCCTCCAGTCCTTGGGCTTCCCCCTCCCACTCTTCGCTTTCTGATCCCTCCTTCCCTCCCAGGCAAGGGCCCGAGCACATCCCAGCTCCCCTCTCTCTCTTCCCCAGGGCAGCAGGAGCTGATGAGCCAGGCAGGGTGGGCCTGGAAATTCACAGGGCCAGACTTCTCCGGGCAGCGGCAGACGCCCCGGCCCTTGCCTCCTTCTCCACCGGGAGCTGGGACAGGTGAAGGGCCTGTGTAAGGGGAAGGGGGTGCCCCTTCCTCGCTCAGCTCCACATGGAAAATGGGGCCCTAAGTCCTCTGCTCCTCCTTCCAAGGGGATTTGAGAGGCACAGGCTGGCCATCCCACCAGGTTGAGATCCCACAGCCCCTCCGCACAGCAAGAAGACTGCCCTCCGGTGGCAAGCTATGGATTTACCGAGAATTATTGCTGAAAAGAAGCCACCACCTCCCAGCATTTCGTGTCCTTGAGATGCTATTTACATATGTGGCTTTGTACATCTGTGTTCTCACTCTCTTTACATATACTTATCACTACTTTATTTTTATCACTACTTTATTTTTTAATTCTCTATTTTTTTTTTTTTTTTTGAGGCAGGGTCTCACTCTGTTGCTCATGCTGGAGTGCAATGGCGTGATCTCGGCTCACTGCAACCTCCGCCTCCTGGGTTCAAGGGATTCTCCCGCCTCAGCCTCCTGAGTAGTTGGGATTACAGGCATGCACCACCATGCCCGGCTTATTTTTGTATTTTTAGCAGAGACGGGGTTTTGCTACGTTGGCCAGGCTGGTCTTGAACTCCTGACCTCAGGTGATCTGCTGGCCTCAGCCTCCCAGAGTGCTGAGATTACAGGCATGAGCCACCGTGCCCAGCCAAGATGATCCCAGTTTTGTTGGCAACATCCAAAGCATTGTAATCAGGAGCCAGTGGAACATATGCCTTCTTCTCTCCATCCGGCCGAATCAGGGTGCTGACCTTGGCCACATCCATGCCATAGAGCTTTGTCACAGCCTGTTTGCTCTGGTACTTGTTGGCTTTAACATCCACAGTGAATACAAGTGTGTTGTTGTCTTCTATCTTCTTCATGGCAGACTCTGTGGTCAGTGGGAACTTGATAGCAGAGTGGTCGAGCTTGTTTCTCCTGGGAACGCTCTTTCGAGGATATTTGGGCTTTTAATACCTATTTTTATTTATTTTTTTGAGATGGAGTTTCACCCTTGTTGCCTAGGCTGGAGTGCAATGGTGCGTTCTTGGCTCACTGCAGCCTCCACCTCCCAGATTCAAGCGATTCTCATGCCTCAGCCTCCTGAGTAGCTGGGATTACAGGCACCCACCACCACTCCTGGCTAATTTTTTCGTATTTTTAGTAGAGACGGGGTTTCGCCATGTTGGCCAGGCTGGTCTCAAACTCCTGGCCTCAGCTGACCCTCCTGTCTCATTCTCCCAAAGTGCTGGGACTACAGGCGTGAGCCACCGTGCCCGGCCCTGGGATTTTTTTATTTTAAAGATGGGTAGCCTGTGGCCCAGAGATGGGGGAGAATTGGGGACACGGTGAAGCTCAAACCTCTCTGCACTTAGTTGCTGTGTGACCTTGGGCAAGTGGCTACACCTCTCTGGGCTGCAGTTTCCTCATCTGTAACATGGGGTAGTGATCTGGCCCCAAAGAGCTAGCAGTGTGTAAAGGAGGAGTTGTGTGAAAGCAGGCACCCAAGGCCAGACTCGGGGGAGTAATGTGCAATACCATGGGCTCCCCATTCTCTGCACCCCCTACCCCTCCATTGACCCAGGTGTGATGGCAGGAGGGAAGCATAAGCAGCCAGAGCCCCCCAGGTGTGCCCCAGGCCCCAGCAGAGTGAGCAGGGCCTGGGCCCATGGTCCCCATAGACTCCGTAGCTGTCAGTGAGATTAGCAGGCAGGCCGGGAGGGGAGACCAAGGACAAGGACCCAGAATGTTCCCACACTCAGCAGGCCTTGCCAGTGAGCCCTCACACCTCCAGCCAGCCCCAGGCCCAGGCTACTGAACTCACCCAGTGAGATGCTGTGGGTTAGGAGCACTTCGGGTGTCCTGGCAGGTTCCTGCCCCCCTGGAGAGGCTCCCAGGAGCCCTCTGGGTGACTTAAGAGAGGACACTCTCCTCTCCTACTGGAGGGAGGAGGGTGTCCTCAAGGCCCGGGGCTCTGGATTAAATAAGAAGGGAGACAACTCAAGCGCCATGTGACTATTGGGCAAATATCACGTTCATGTATTATTTCAAATTAATATGGTGACATGTTTCAGACATGCAAAAAAAAAAAAGAATGATGTAACCAACACCCCATTTATCCACCTTCCAGCCACGCTGCTGCTTTCTGCTGCTTCCTGAACATGCCGGAAGCTTCACTGCTCCCTCGAGTGGAGAGAAGAGTCAGGCAGCCCTTTAGGCCAGCCAGGCCTCTCTCCTGGGGAAAAGTGGCTTCTGCTTCCTTCCCTAAACCAAGAAAGCCCCACATCGCACCAGGGGCCACCTCCTTTCTGCCAGGCACCATCTTGGATGCTGAAGACATGGAAATGCTACAAGGCTTCCTCCCTGCCTCTTGCCTCACTTCCTGCTTCCCTTCTCTTGCCTCACTTCCTGCTTCCCTTCTCTTGCCTCACTTCCTGCTTCCCTTCTCTTGCCTCCCTTCCTGCTTCCCTTCTTTTCCCTTTTGCTCCACCCTAGAAGTTTCACATCCTGGATCACCCCAGAAAAGTGCAATGGCGTTCCCCTGTCATTCCATCTGGAAAGACAAAACTCCTTCCCTGGAATCTCAACAAAGAATTTCCTCTCTTGAATCCTTTCTTATGATGGTGCTTCACTTTCAAAGAACCCTTGAAACACATGGGGGGCTTGGTAAAAACATATCTTCCTGAGGCCGGGCCAGGTGGCTCACGCCTGTAATCCCAGCATTGTGGGAGGCTGAGGCAGGAGGATTACTTGACCTCAGGAGTTTGAGATCAACTTGGGCAACATAGCAAGACCCAGTCTCTACAAAAAAATAAAACATTAGATGGGTGTGGGGGTGCATGCCTGTGGCCCCAGCTACTTGGGAGGCTGAGGCGAAAGAGAGGACTATTTCAGCCTGGGAGGCTGAGGCTGCAGTGAGCCATGATTGCACCATTGCACTCTAGCCTGGGCAACAGAGTGAGACCCTGTCTCAAAAAAAAAAAAAACAAAAACAAAACAAAAAAAACCCCCACAAAAACCCACAAAACAAAAACCACGCCTTCCTGAAAAGAGTGAGCCTCTCCGACCCCTACTTCACACCATGTACAAGAATGAAACTTGAATATGAACGATTAAACAATCTCATCTAGGAGTTAATGTAGGAGAATATCTAAGTGACACTGAGTGGGCAAATATTTCTTAAACAGGACAAAAAAAGGCATTAACCATAAAAGAAAAGATTAGTATATGTAATTTATTAAAGCTAAGAATGTCTGTTCATCAAAAGCCTCCAAAAAGAAAGTGAAAAGGCAAGCCAGAGGATGCGAGAAGATACTTGCAGTACATATAATCAACAAAAGCCGTGTATCTAGAATATGTAAAGAACCCTACACATCAATAAGAAAAGCCAGACAACCCAATTAAAAAAAAATGGCCACAAGACCTGAATAGGCATCTTACAAAAAAGAATGCCTAAATGGTTAATAAATGTGGGAAAAGGTGCCCAACAACATTACTTATCAGAGAAATGCAAATAAAAACCACAATGAGGTATCACTACAGATCCAACAAGATGGCTAAACTTTTAAAAACTGATACCACCAAGTGCTGACAAGGATGTGGAGCAATTGGAATCCTCAGACACTGCAGGGAAGTGCCTACTAGTACGACTACTTTAGAAGCCTGGATGGAGAATCTATCAGAACTGAACATGCCTTATGCCCCAGCAGTTCCACTCCTAGGTATATAGCCAACAAAAGCGTGTACGTTTGGACACTAAAACGTGTGTACAGGAATGTTCCCAGCAGCACTATCATAATAACCAAAAAGTGGAATGTCTATCGAGAGCAGGCCCGGAGTGGTGGCTCATACCTGTAATCCCAGCACTTTGGGAGGCCAAGGCGGGTGGATCATTTGAGGTCAGGAATTCAAGACCAGCCTGACCAACATGGTGAAACTCTCTCTGCTAAAAATACAAAAACTAGCTGGGCATGGTGGCACACACCTGTAGTCTCAGTTACTTGGCAGGCTGAGGCACAAGAATCATTTAAGCCCAGGAGGTGGAGGCTGCAGTGAGTTGAGATTGCACCACTGCACTCCAACCTGGGCAATAGAGCAAGACTCTGTCTCAACAAATTAAAAAAAAGAGAGTAGACTAGACAAATAAATTGTGCATATTTGTGTGATGCTATACTGCAAAGCAATGGACAGAAATGAGCAACTGTTATTTGCAACAGTGCGAATGATTCTCACAATATAATGCTGAATTAAAGAGGCCGATTGCAGGGGAATGGACTGCGTAATTCTACTTTATGTAAAATCCAAAAGCAGTCAACACTAATAGAGCGATAGAAATCAGCCTTTTGGGAGGAGTGTGTGGGAGGGGGGATGACGGAGGAGCTGGGGCTGGCAAGGTCCCATTTGATGAGTTGGGTGCTGATTGCCTGGTGCGTTCATCTTGTAAAAATGCAGTTGGCTGTAACTTGAGATCTGTGCACTTTTTTGTACGGGTGTGTTAGACTTCAACAAATACGTTTACCAGAAATTTGTATTGTTGGGCCCATCCCAGAGACAAGGTAGGAAGCAATTATGTTAATCCCAGGGCAAGGGGATGGTGACTAGCCCCAGGTGAAGGTGGTGATGATTATGGTATGAAAAGGGCCAGGAGAATTTGCTGATAGGTTGTTTGAGAGGAGAGAGTCAAGGGAGACGCTAAAGTTTCTGGCCTGAGCTGGAGTAGCAGGGGGAAGCGTAAGGGCGGTGTGGGTTTGTGGAATCAGGAGTTCTCGTCCTGATTTCTCTCCTATATTACAAAGCTCCGTCTCAGGCCTCCTGGGACTGGTGGGGACAGAGGGAGTATGGATATCTGGGATCCACCTGGCCTCACCAGCTTTTCTGACCTGCCAGGATCGACCCTTCGAGGACACCTGTCATGGAAACCCCAGCCACTACTATGACAAGGCTGTCAGGAGGTGCTGTTACCGCTGCCCCATGGGTGAGTGGGGGCGTTGGGGGTGGGGAGAAGGGGGGAAATTTGTCCTCAATTGATGACCCTCTTGGGGGATTGATGAGTGGGGAAATTGGAGCCAACCGTCATCGTCATAATTGGCTACAGTTTTCTGCAGGTCATTCCTAGTGTCGCGGAGTCCAAGGACTCTCTCGGAAGGCTAGGGCTGTAGAATTGAGACTGTGTTTCTTGCTGCCACCAGAATGTCCATCTCCATGAGTTTTTATTTTTAACGTAGAGCTGCCCTTTATTGGACACTTACTATCCATGAGTCCGAGACCTTTATATGCACGGCATCATCTCATTAAGTGCTTGCAATGATCCTTTATTACACTCAATTTGCAGATGAGGCTACTGGGGCTTGGCAGGGTTAAGTTCCAGCTACTTCCCTTGATGACCAGGGTCACACAGTTGGGAAATGGTGGAATGATCAGGGCTGGGGCCCAGGGCTCAGAGACCTCAAAGCCTGGGCTGTCAACATCCTCTGACCACCCTTCATTTCTGGGGCCCAGAAGTCCTTTGCAGTTCTTTCTTTTCTCTCTTATTTTTATTTTTATTTTTTTTGAGATGGAGTTTTGCTCTTGTTGCCCAGGCTGGAGTGCAATGGTGCAATCTCGGCTCACTGCAACCTCCACCTCCCGGGTTCAAGCGATTCTCCTGACTCAGCTTCCCAAGTAGCTGGGATTACCGGCATGCACCACCACACCTGGCTAATTTTGTATTTTTAGTAGAGACAGGGTTTCGCCATATTGGCCAGGCTGGTCTCAAACTCCTGACCTCAGGTGATCCACCCGCCTCAGCCTCCCAAAGTGCTGGGATTACAGGCATGAACCAACGTGCCCGGCCTAATTTTTTTATATTAATTTAAAATAGAGACAAAGTCTCGCTATATTGCACAGGCTGGTCTTGAGCTCCTGGGCTCAATTAGTCCTCCTGCCTCAGCCTCCCAAAGCACTGGGATTACAGGCATGAGCCTCCATGCCTGGCCTCTTTGCCGTTCTTGACTGCCCCAGCTCAGGACAGGTGTTTATCCTGGGACAACCTGGACAATAGATTTCTCTGAGACCAGTCTCCCAGACCAGAGCTCCCTTTCTGGAATGTTCCCCCACCCCCAGCACCGTGATTGACTTCTAGTCAATTACCAGGAAATCCTTCTGGAGCTGGGGTGAGTGTTGTTCCTTCCATTTTGTAGATGATGCTTAGGCCCGAGGAGATAAGCAGCTGGAATAGGGTCATGAGGCATTTCTGCCCCTGTGGTTATTATCAAAAGTCCCAAGGCACCACCAGTGGTCTTAGATGGGCGGGGCAGGACATAACGATGCCCTCGTGGTCTCTGACCTCCAGGAACAGAGATTGTCACGGGGACATCAGCCTTTAGCTGTGCCAGCAAGGGTGGGAGGGAGTCTGTGTGTGTCTGGTTCATCATCGCCACTTCTTGCTTTGAGGACAGCAGGCCATTGCAAGTGGGCGGGCATCGTCTGGAGGGCTTCCGACAGTGGGGGCGGAGGGGCCCATCCACCCAGCTGTACTGTCTGGAGGGTGGTGACAGGTTATGGCCATCAGGGCTATTCCACTGGAGCTGCGCGGGAACCCAGGTCAGTCAGTTCCTAGACTTGTGGCCTCAACTCCCCCATGAGATGCAGACCAGGCTCGTGCTCAGGCCACCAAAGGACAGAGGGAAACATTCTTGGAAAGAATTTGATGTTTTTGTATTTGATTTTGATTTGTATTTCCAACAATGATTCAAAGTATTCATTGTATGGGCAAAAGTAGTGGGTTGGATGCTATTGGACTTTCTTGCTTTTATTTTTGGTTTAGTGTTGATTTTGAATGATCTATTAGGTGGGTCCCCTGGTTTTTTCAGTGCTTCACTGGTCGGCCATCCACCCACCCATCCAAGTACCTGCCCCCCTCACCCACCCACCCATCCAAGTACCTGCCCACCCACCCATCTTTTTAACCACTCACCAACCCACCCCTCCCATCCCCTTTCCATTTTTCTTCCCATCTAGCCACTATCCATCCATCCATCTGTATTAGTTTGCTGGGGCTGCCATAACAAAATACTGTAGTCTGGGTGACCTAAACAATAGACATTTATTTCTTACAGTTCTGGAGGCTTGAAGGTCCAAGATCAAGGTTTTTGGAGGATTTGGTTTCTGGTGAGGGCTGTCTTCTTGGCTTGCAGATGGCAGTCTTCTCATGGTGGGAAGATCGATCTCTCTCTCTCTTTCTCTCTCTTTCCCCCTCTTCATATATGCCACCAATCCCCCTGGATTAGGGCCCCATCCTTATGACCTCATTTAACCTTAATTATCTCCTAAAAGTCCTATCTCCAAATACAGTCACACTGGGGTTAGGGTTTCAACACATTTAACATATGAACTTTGTGGGGGACACAATTCAGTCCATAGCACCATCGCCTTCCCATATCCCTCCAATTATCCTCCCATTCACCGCCCCCATCCATACACCCACCCCTCTCCTGGCCATTTTCTCATCTACCTTTCTATCCATCCATCCATCCATCCATCCATCCATCCATCCATCCATCCATCCATCCATCATCCATCCAACAAATTTTTATTTCTCTCTCTCTCTCTTTTTTTTTTTTTTTTTTTTGAGATAGAGTCTGTCTCTGTAGTCCAGGCTGGAGTACGGTGGTGTGATCTTGGCTCACTGGAACCTCCGCCTCCTAGGTTCAAGCAATTCTCTTGCCTCAGCCTCCTGAGTAGCTGGGATTACAGGCATGTGCCACCACACCCAGCTAGTTTTTGTATTTTTAGTAGAGATGGGGTTTCACCGTGTTGGCCAGGCTGGTCTTCAACTCCTGACCTCCAGTGGTCTGCCCGCCTTGGCCTCATAAAGTGCTGGGATTACAGGCATGAGCCACTGTGCCAGGCCTAGTTTCTGGGCCTTTGGACATGCCTGTCCCCATGTGGGATGCCCTCCCCTCCGTCCCTACCTGCTGCAATTCTGGAACCCCTTCCTCCATGAGGCCTTCCCTTGCTAGCCTGATGGTTGGTGGTGGTTCCCACTCAGTTCTCTCAGGGCCCGCTTGCTGTGGTTTTTATCCTCTGGAATGGAGTGGCCCACAGTGTTCTATGACTTTTCATGGGACCCACAATCCCAGCCACAAGGAGAAAGACACTTCCTTCTCATCCTCTTCTGGCCCCTTTGACTCCAGCCTGAAAGGGCCTTGATGGGGAGTGGGTGGAGAGAAAAATGACATCTCAGGTCCCAGGCTCCCTCCACTTAAAAGCTGTGACTTAGGAAGAGGGGGCTCCCTCCTCCCCACTTCCCCTCTCTAAGGCCCAGTGCTGGCTGGGGCTGAATACTCCATATTGGTGTGGTGGGTGGGGCATTTTACTGGTGTTTTATTGACCTTGTGCTTCCGTGTAGCCAGAGAAGAAAAAAGAAAAACCCACAAAAACCCCTTCTTTGATCTCTCGGGGAAATTTCTTGACATTTTGCCTGCCCTGTGCAGCCAGCACTCAGCTGTGTGGCCGGGTTTGCTTGTGGGCGGGTTGGTGGAGGAAGGAAGCTGAGGGACCTTTGAGATTGAAAAATGTAGATGTCATCGAATCCCTCCTTGCACCCAGGCCTGTGATGCCCTCTCCAGCATTCCTGAGAGCAGGTCCCCAGCCCTTTGCTTACATACTCTTGGTGACGGGGAGCTCATTCACTGACTCATAACAATGACCACGATTCATACCGATGGAGCACGCTATGTGCTGGCCACTGTGCTGGGCCCTTTACCGACCTTAAGTTCCTTCAATCCTGATAAGAAATCCAGAGAGGAAACTTGGACACCGAGGGGTTCAGGAATTTGCACAAGGCCACATGCGTATCAGTGGCTCAGCCGGGCCGTGAACATGACCACCGAGTGCAGTCTCCTGAGCTCTTCAACTGTAGTTGATACTGACCCTCAAGGCCTCGAATTTGGGAGGCAGAAGAGTTTACGAGTGAAGAGCTAATGCGGGGGCTACAAAGCCCTTCCTGTTCTCCATCTTCCTGGACTACCCTCTCTTTGTGTGCAGACTCGCTCCCCACAGGAAGGGGTCTCTCCTGCAGATGTTTGAGGCCTGCCCAGGTTCAGGGGAAGGATGTGAGGCCAGGCCAAGTGTTAGGTAGGGAGCATGGCAGGTGTATCCCATCTTGTCCCAGGAGCTGAGGGTTCCTCCGAAGGCTGTGAACAGGAAGGAGGAGGAGGAGGGGGTTTGTGGGTTCCCCCAGCTTCCGCTGCCCTTGGGTAAAGCTCAGCTTTGTGCATGGGCACGCCCATTTGGCATGACAGCTGCTGCCCCTGCCGCCTCCCCCTCCCCCGCCCAGTCCCTCTTCATCCTGGGCTTCAGCTGAGTGTGCTGGGCTCCCCTGTGCCCTCTGACACTGTCCCAGCAGAGCCCCCTCACAGCACCTCCTGGCCCCCCACTGTCCCTGTGTGCTTGACTCACACCTCTGCATTCCTCAGGGTCCACTTAAGTGTAGGCCCTCCCTGACCCCAGCCTGGGCCACAGAGCGAGATTCTATCTCGAAAAAAAAGAGAAATAAACATTTGTTGGATGGATGGAGGGATGGCCCTCCCTGACCCCAAGCCAGCTCAGAGGTCTTGGCTCTGGGCTCTTGGTGCCTCCCATGGTTCCACTTTCCTAACACTCCTTCCATGTGTCATGACTTGTCTATCGTCTTCCTGCAGGATCCCCAGCCCTGACCCCAGGGCTTGGCACATAGTAGAGTCTCAATTTTTGAAAGAATAGGTGAATGAATGAATATGGCTAACTTGCCCCGCATACTCTTCTGTGACAGCCAGCCATTGCCTCACAGGGCCAAGCTTCCATTGTCCCCCTGGCACCTCCCTCTGCTGAAGTCAGACCAGCCTCTCTCTCCTGTCCATCCCACTCGCAGGTACATCCTAGTCTTTTCTTTAAGCCTGAAAAATCCACCAGGGTTCTTTTGTATAGGAGGAAGTATGTGGGCGTGGAAGGGAGGAAATGGAAGGCAGTAGAAGGAAATAGGACTGGCCCAATGCAGCAAGCATTTATTGAGCTCTGTTGGATATAGGGTTATTTGGGGGAGAGAAGGACAAGGTCCTGCCTCCTGGGAGCAACCCACTAGTAGGGGAGGTGACATGCTTATATATATCTGATACTCCAGAGGGTATCTGTGCTAAGATAGTTTCAAAGGAGGAAGAATGGGAGCTTACAGTGAGGAAAAGCCCCTATACCACTGGTCTGCATCCACCCATCCATCCATCCGTTCATCTACACATCCATCTACCCATCCACCCATCTACCCACTCATCCACTCTTCCCTAACCCATCCATCTATCCACCTATCTACCTGCCCATCCACCCTTCCCCATCCATCCATCCATCCATCCATCTACCCATCCACCCATCTACCCACTCACCTACTGTTCCCTAACCCATTCATCTATCTACCCATCTACCCACCCATCCACCTTTCCCCATCCATCTATCTACCCATCCATCTACCCATCCATCCATCTACCCACTCATCCACTCTTCCCTAACCCATCCATCTATCCACCCATCTATCCACCCATCCACCTTTCCCCATCCATCTATCTACCCATCCAACCATCTACCCACTCATCCACTCTTCCCTAACCCATCCATCTATCCACCCATCTATCCACCCATCCACCTTTCCCCATCCATCTATCTACCCATCCAACCATCTACCCACTCATCCACTCTTCCCTAACCCATCCATCTATCCACCCATCCACCTTTCCCCATCCATCCATCCATCCATCCACCCATCCGTCTACCCATCCACCCATCTACTCACTCATCCACTGTTCCTCCACCCATCCATCCATCTACCCATCTACCCACCCATCCACCCTTCCCCCATCCATCCATCCATCCACCCACCCACTCATCCATCCACGTACCCACTCATCCATCCACCCACCCACTCATCCATCCACCCACCCACTCATCCACCTACTCGTTTATCCATTCACCTATGCACTCACTCATCCATCCATCCACCCACCCACCCACTCATCCATTTACCCACCCATCCACCCACTCATTCATTCATTGATTCACCCAATATGTTTTGTGTATTTGCATTCTATCAGACCCTAGAGATTCAACCATGGGGGGGCAGCTATCATCTTGCCCTCACAAACTCAATCTCAATAAGACAAATATTATACCAATTTGAGACTTTTCTACCTGCTTGTAAGAAAAGGGGGTGCCATAGTTTGAATTCCCCCAGAAGTAGACTGTTATGGGCTGAGTCATGCCCGTATCCCCCAACCAATTCCTATGTTGAAGTCTTAACCCCAGAATCTCAGAGTGTGACCTTATTCGGAGATGGGGTCTTTAAAAAGGCAATTGAGTTAAAATAAGTTCACTAGGATAGGCCCAAATCCAATATGACTGGTGCCTTTATAAAAGGAAATTAGGACACAGATATACACAGAGACAAGACTGTGGGAGGACATGGGGAACACAGTCCATCTGTAAGTCAGAGAGAAAGAGCTCAGAAGAAACTAGCCCTGCCCATACCTTGATTTTGGACTTCTGGCTTCAAGAGCTGACAATTAATTTCTGTTGTTTAAGCCACCCTGCTGTCTGTCGTAGTTTGTTATGGCAGCCTGAGCAGACTGATGCACAGACTTTGAGGCAATGATCTGAGTACAGTTGGTGATGCCTGGAAACACCAATTTGGAAGTAGGGAAGTGGCAGACGGAAGGGAAGGCAGCTTATAAAGTTGTGTTAGAAAGCTAGTTACTGCTGTGGGCAACTGGGGCTTAATCCCTCTGGGGGCCTCTGGGAGCCAGTGCAGAACAGCTGAGGGTGAGGGAGCTGGGGTATTTATATGCCAATGTCCATCAAACATTGGTGGAACTGCTCCTGGGGTGGTACATCTTGGTAGGTCTGGCCTGCCACACCCTGGCAGAGCAGGCTCTGGGTGCTCTGAGAGGGTGATTTTAAAGGGACCCAGAGAGAGGATCTGGGTGGGGTCAGATGATCAGGAAAGTTCCATGAGAAGATGGTATTTCAGCCTGATCTGGCTGGGTGTGAAGGGTTCCCAGTGGGTGGAAGATGGAGAAGCCACTTAGCCTGCAGGAAGAACATTTGTGTTAGTTTGCTGGGGCTGCTGTAACAAAGTACCTCAGGCTGAGTGGCTTAAACCAGTGGTCCCCAACCTTTTTGGCACCAGGGACTGGTTTTGTGGAAGATGATTCTTCCCATGAAGGGGGGTCAGGGATGGTTTTGAGATGAAACTGTTCCATCTCAGATCATCAGGCATTAGAGTCTCATGAGGAGCATGCAACCTAGATCCCTTGCACGTGCAGTTCACAATAGGGTTTGCGCTCCTATGAGAATCTAATGCAGTTACTGATCTGATAGGAGGTGGGGCTCAGGAGGTAATGCTCGCTCACCGTCACTCACCTCCTGCTGTGTGGCCCCGTTCCTAACAGGCCATGGACTGGTACTGGTCCCCGGCTGGGGACTGGGGTCGCCTGGCTTGTGGCAGCATAACTCCAATCTTCACATGGCATTCTCCCTGTGTGCACATCTGTCTCTGTGTCCAAATTTCCCCTTTTCTTATTTATTTTATTTCATCTGTACTGTATTGTATTGTTTCAGAGACAGGGTTTTGCTCTGTCACCCAGGCTGGAGTGCAGTGGCATGATCATAGCCCACTGCAACCTCTAACTCCTGGGCTGAAGTGATCCTCCCACCTCAGCCTTTCTGAGTAGCTAGGAGTACAATGTGACATCACACCTGGCTAATTTTCTATTGTTGTAGATGGGGTCTTGCCTTGTTGCCCAGGCTAGTCTCAAACTCCTGGCCTCAAGTGATCCTTCCATTTCAGCCTCCTAAAGTGTTGGGATTACAGGCATGAGTTACCGTGCCTGAAAATGTCCAATTTTCCCCTTTTCTTTTATTTTTCTTGTCTTTTTTTTTTTTTTTTGAGACAGAGTCTCACTCTGTAACCCAGGCTGGATTGCAGTGGCGTGATCTCTGCTCACTGCAAGCTCCGCCTCCCGGGTTCACGCCATTCTCCTGCCTCAGCCTCCCAAGTAGCTGGGACTACAGGCGCCCGCCACCACACCCGGCTAATTTTTTTGTATTTTTAGGAGAGACAGGGTTTCACCATGTTAGCGAGGATGGTCTCGATCTCCTGACCTCGTGATCCGCCTGCCTCGACCTCCCAAAGTGCTGGGATTATAGGTGTGAGCCACCGCGCCCGACCTCTTTTTATTTTTTTTGAGACAGAGTTTCCCTCTGTTGCCCAGGCTGGAGTGCAGTGGTGTAATCTCAGCTCACTGCAACCTCCACCTCCCAGGTTCAAGTGATTTTCCTGCCCCAGCCTCCCGAGTAGCTGGGATTACAGGCACATGCCACCATGCCCTGCTAATTTTTGTATTTTTAGTAGAGACGGGGTTTCGCTATGTTGGCCAGGGTGGTCTTGAACTCCTGACCTCAGGTGATCTGCCCGCCTCGGCCTCCCAAAATGCTGGGATTGCAAGCGTGAGCCACCGCACCGGCCAAGTTTCCCCTTTTCATGAGAACACCGGTCAGATTAGATTAGGCCCACCCTAGCGGCTTCATTTTAACTGGATTGCCTCTTCAGAGCCCCTACCTCCAAATAAAGTCACATCCTGAGGTACTGGGGGTTAGGACTCCAGCATATATATTTTTTTGGGGAGACACAATTTAATCCATACCAACATTCAGGATGTATGAGGGGTGTTAGAGAAAAGATCAAGATACCCAGACTGGCTGTAGTAGAGAGTGCATGAAGTGAGCAATGTACTAGAATGCCAGACTGGGAAGATGGAGACACAGTGTGAGGCCTGGGAGTGCAGGCTGGGGAATGCCGTATGAACTAGGTTGACAGAACATGTTTTAATGAAATATGTGTGAGGCCCTATGATAGGGGAGGCATTGGTGAGTGGACATAGAAAGACTCATCCTCAAGGAGCTGACTTTTTTTTTTCCTTGAGACAGGGTCTTGCTTCGTTGTCCAGGCTGGGGTGCAGTGGCGCTATGCCCGCTCACTGCAACCTCTGCCTCCTGGGTTCAAGTGATTCTCCTGCCTCAGCCTCCCAGGTAGCTGGTATTACAGGTGTGCACCACCACGCCTGGCTAATTTTTGCATTTTCAGTAGAGATGAGGTTTCACCATGTTGGTCAGGCTGGTCTCAAACTCCTGACCTCAAATGATCCGCCTGGGCTGGGTGCGGTGGCTCACGCCTGTAATCCCAGCACTTTGGAAGGCCAAGGCGGGACGGATCATGAGGTCAGGAGATCGAGAGCATCTTGGCTAACACGGTGAAACCCCGTCTCTACTAAAAATACAAACAATTAACCGGTCATGGTGGTGATTGCCTGTAATCTCAGCTGAGGCAGGAGAATCACTTGAACCTGGGAGGCGGAGGTTGCAGTGAGCTGAGATCCTGCCACTGCACTCCAGCCTGAGCAACAGAGCAAGACTTTGTCTCAAAAAAAAAAAAAAAAAAAAAAAATCCGCCCACCTCAGCCTCCCAAAGTGCTGGGATTATAGGCGTGAGCCACCGCACCCGATGGAGCTGACATTCTTATGGGGAATTTAGACACTGTGAAGATTGAGCTCACAAATAAATGTGTGATTACAACAGTTAGGTGTTGAAGGGCAAGGAAATGAGTCTTTGTTTTTATTGGGGATCACGACCAAGGCTCTGAGACAGTGATGCTTTGATCATGATGTGAAGGCTGAGTGGGAGTTACTAGGGGAGAGGAGCATTCGGGGCAGAGGACCAGCTTGTGCAAAGGCCCTGGGGTGGCAGAAGGGAGCATTGCCCCTTTGGGGAACAGGGAGATGCCAGTGTGGCTAGAGATCAGAGGGCAAGGGGGACATAGGTGAGCCGAACCTCACTAGCCATGGTAAGGACCCATCCTGGGAGCCATGAGAAGCCTTTGAAAGTTTTCAGCAAGGAGTGAAGGGGTCAGATTTACCTCTCAGACTACTGGGGAACTACTGAAGTGTCTGAGTTAAAGAGTGACAGCCATGAAGCTAGTTTTTTTTTTTTTTTTTGCTTTTTTTTTTTGAGACGGAGTCTCACTCTATCGCCCAGGCTGGAGTGCAGTGACGCGATCTCGGCTCACTGCAACCTCCGCCTACCAGGTTCAAGCAATTCTCCTGCCTCAGCCTCCTGAGTAGCTGGGATTACAGGAGTGTACCACCATGCCCGGCTAATTTTTGTATTTTTAGTAGAGACGGGGTTTCACCATGTTGGCCAGGCTGGTCTTGAACTTATGACCTCAAATGATCCATGCGCCTCGGCCTCCGAAAGTGCTGGGATTACAGGTTTGACCCACCGCACCCGGCTCGAAGCTAGTATTTTTGAGAGGTTCTTGCGTGTTGTTCTAGGGCAGAGGTGCTTACCCTGGGGTCCATGGACTCAAAGGTAGATTTCACAGGGTTCATGAACCTGAATGGATTCAATTATTTTAATTAGCTTCTAGCTAAAATTCACTTATGAATTCCGCCCATTATGAATTAAGGCAACAAAGCACAGTGGTAATTGTAGTACACGGCTTTGTCCTCAGCGGAAATCATAGATATTCTCAGATTATATTACAGTAGCTGCAGATGTTGTGAAATGTTGTCTGGGCTCATCATTGCTTTGAAACTGTGGAGTTATTTTACCCTATTATTTAATGAGTTTACAAAGAATCACATGTTACTGTATCTTTTTTTTTTTTTTTGAGATGGAGTTTCGCTCCTGTTGCCCAGGCTGGAGTGCAATGGCACGATCTCGGCTCACTGCAACCTCCGCCTCCCGGGTTCAAGTGATTCTCCTGCCTCAGCCTCCCCAGTAGCTGGGATTACAGGCGCCTGCCACGACACCCAGCTAATTTTTGTATTTTTAGTAGAGACGGTGTTTCACCACGTTGGCCAGGCTGGTCTTGAACCCCTGACCTTATGTGATTCACCCACCTCGGCCTCCCAAAGTGTTGGGGTTACAGGCGTGAGCCACCGCACCCGGCCTGTTACTATATGTTATTTTGTTTAATGCTTTGATAACCATATTCCAAGGTAGTTGGATTCCTCTGCATTCCTGCATATTTTATTCATGAATTCATGATTCTGTGCAGTGTCC
Source organism: Homo sapiens (assembly GCF_000001405.40). Classification (NCBI taxonomy): domain Eukaryota; kingdom Metazoa; phylum Chordata; class Mammalia; order Primates; family Hominidae; genus Homo; species Homo sapiens. Next base: position 12,095,700 of record NC_000001.11, read on the forward strand.
ACAGGCTTCCTTAGAATGATTAGGGGCACAAGAAATATTGGGAACCCCCTGGTCTATTTTCATTGTAACTGGCAGAAGGGCTCAAATAAGACAAAAGAGAAATAATTGGCTCCCTAACAGAGAAGTCCATGGACACCCTACATTCAGATGTTTGAACGATGTCCTCAGGAGCCCATTTCTCTCCAACTCTGGCTTCTGCTGGCTTCTGAGTCACCTCCTTCTTAGGCAAGTCCTGCCCACACCATGCCCACGCTCAGGCTGTGATGACCTGGGCAGCTCTGGGCTTAACTAGCCCTTTCAGCCAGGAATCCAGTAGATAAACGGAGGACATCTTTCTGGATTGCTTTTGTGAAACTCTCAGAGATGAGGCTTATTGGCTGGCATGCCTGGGTCATGTGCCCATACTAAACTAATCACAGTGGTGAGGAACATGGAGTACTCTGATTGGCCTGCTTGGGTCATGTGGCAATCCTGAGCCAATTATATTGATGGGAAGAAGTATTCTGATTGGCCTGCTTGGGTCATGTGCTCATCCTGGAAGCAAGGTAGGCAGCGATTGCTGGGTGACTTGTTTATCTCGAAATCAGGCTGGATTAGGGTCTTAGTGGCAGGAGTGTCCAATCTTTCGGCTTCCCTGGGCCACATTGGAAGAAGAAGTGTTAGTGTGGAAGAAGTGAATTTAGTCTAACACTAAGGATAGTGTTTTAGCTTATAGCTGATGAGCTAAAAAAAAAAAAAAAAAAAATCACACACACGCAAATCTCATAATGTTTTAAGAAAGTTTATGAGTTTGCGTTGGGCCTCATTCAGAGCTGTCCTGGGCCGAATGCGGCTAGTCGTGGGTTGGACAAGCTTGGTCTAGACTTTCATGGTCTAAAGTTATGGCTCTCCTAATTCCTGCAGTGAGATAAGACCCCTGCAGAGAATGATGACAACCGGTGCTCATATAGTGCTTGTTGGGTGCCAGGGACTGCTGTAGTACTTTATACATATTTATCTTCACAGTCCATTCAGTCCTTTCAAGAACACTAGGAGGTGGGTCCTATTACTAACTTAATAGTGCTAAATATATACACGTACTATGTACCCTCACACACACACACACACAAATAGTGCTGACAAGGTCATTATCACGCAATTGGCAAATGGCAGCCCTAGAATCCCAGGCCCAGCTCTTCTCTATAACTATGTTGCTTTTCCTTGCCTGCTAGGGGACCTTAGGCGAGGGTTGCCCCTCCTGGGTGTCAGTGCTTCCATCCATAACACAAGAATTGGACTGACAGTTTTCGGGGGTTGGAGGTGGAGCTGGGAGGGGCGTCAGGGATGAGAGGTGTGGGGCATTGGGTCATAAGGCCTTTGCTAAGTCAGCCTGGCTTGGAGCTTCTCTGTTTCTTTTCCCAGGGCTGTTCCCGACACAGCAGTGCCCACAGAGGCCTACTGACTGCAGGAAGCAGTGTGAGCCTGACTACTACCTGGATGAGGCCGACCGCTGTACAGCCTGCGTGACTTGTTCTCGAGGTAAGGGCCTTGTTCTCTCTCCAGGGCCTCCTTCTAGGGAGCATGAGGGGTCCTCAGAGGAGAGGTGAAGAATCTGGAAGGTGGAGAGCATCATGATTTGATGTCTGTTCTCTGAATTGTCCTCCTGGTGCCTCAGTTTACCTCTCTGCATTTGTGATTTGATATCAGCCATGACCTTTTGCATCCATACTTTCACAGAGACTTAACATGTTTCCTGAAGGAGAGGACTCACATTTTTTTGAGTTTAATCCTCACCACAGCCCTAGGGGAGGATTTCTTGCTTATCCTTACTTTACAATGAGGAATTTGAGGATAGGGAGGTTAAGGGCCTTTCCAAAGTTACAAAACTCTGGTAAGTGGCAGAACTGGAGTTTGAGTTGTGGCCTGACACCAAGAGCTGTGTTCTTTTCCTAAGATCACAGGACTTCCAGGAAAACTGTTTCAGTATGACCTTTTATTGTTAGTCTCTTATTATGGTTAGAGAATGCAGTCTGTGTGCTATCTAGTGTTTATTTTTGTGTGGATTTTTTTGGGGGGTAGGGTGGGGGAAATTTGTTGAGATCTTTTTGTGGTCTAATAAATAATAAATGATCATGTATTTTCAGAGTGTTCAGTGTATGGGTGTTTTAAAATGTGTATTCTGTTTGTTGCGTATAAAGTTCTCTACATATCTATTAAGTTAAGCTTGTTAATTGTGTTATTTAAATAATGTGTACCCTTATTTACTTTTATCACCTTTATTTCTGAGAGATGTGTTAAAATCTTATCTCCCAGTATACTTGTTCATCTATTAGATTTTCATTGTGTTCTTTCTATTTTTGCTTCATATATGTCAAAGCTATGTTATTAGGTACATAAATGTTCATGAATGTTATGTTTTTTTGGTGGGTTGGGCTTTTTATCCACATGAATATACCTCTCCATTCCTTGTAATGCCTTTTCCCTTAATTTCACATTTGTTTGGCATTAATATTGCTATTCCTTCCTGGAAGAAGTAGCAAAGGTTAAAAAGAAAGAAAAGTAATAATAATATTGCCATTTCTTCTTTCTTTTTATTAGCATTTATCTGGTGTATCTTTGAATTTCTAAAAGTAATGACTGCATTTTATGAAATGAAAATTATAAACATTTATTATTTAAAATTCAAGCAATACAAAGAGTGTAAGGAAGAAAACAAACATTGCCCTCCCCAGCCCTCCATCTATAGATAACTACTATTATCATTAGATGGCTGACACGCCTCTACCTCTCTGTATAAAGATGGGTAGGTTAGTAACCAGACAGCCTGTACACACTTACAAAGAAGGAATTTTAAGAGAATGGCAACATATTTATGGCATTAAAATGATAATATTTAATTTTAGTCAAAAGTATCAGAAAAAGAAAGCGAAGTGAAACAGAAGAATGCCAAACCTCAGTCAGATTAATGTATCTTCAGCAAAAGATACTGCAATTCCTTTAAAAAAAAAAACCCTCTAAAATTAAGAAAGGAGGTTATGAAAATCAGTAAGTGGTTAATAATCATTTCAGAATCTACTATCTCTTGCAGTAAAGGCAAAATCTGCTTAGTTTGAGTTTTGGACAGTAGAGAATAGATTGACTCCCTGTAATGAAGAACAAAGTAATTATTTTTCCCACCTCCTCATCCTCTTCCTGACTTTTATTCCTTACACAAATTTTACTTTGTCATAATCTATAATGTTTATATTCTCATCTGCAACCATAAGTCCCTTGGCATGTTAGCCTTAACATTTTTTATTATTCATGATGAGTTTATTTGGCACAGCTTCTCTGTTCCTGAGTTTTTCACTTTGATTCATCATTTGAGTGATTGGATTACACTGTCAGGTGGATTTTTCAAGAAGGGCTCGTCTTTGCAATATTCTCTGTTATTTCATGTTTGAGGATGCTTGTCTGTTGCCTATATTTTTGTTTTCTTTTTTTTCTTTTTGAGACAGAGTCTGACTCTGTCGCCCAGGCTGGAGTGCAGTGGTGCAATCTCGGCTCACTACAACCTCTACCTCCTGGATTCGAGCGATTCTCCTGCCTCCTGAGTAGCTGAGATTACAGGGATGCACCACCACGCCTGGCTAATTTTTGTATTTTTAGAAGAGATGGGGTTTCATCATGTTGCCCAGGCTGGTCTCAAACTCCTGACCTCAAGTGATCCAGCCGCCTTGGCCTCCTAAAGTGTTGGGATTACAGGTGTGAGTCACCATTCCCGGCCCAATTTCTTATCTTTAAATTTTAAGACAGGGTCTCACTTTGTTGTCCAGGCTGGCCTTAAACTCCAGGGCTTAAGTGTTCCTCCTGCCTCAGCCTCCCGAGTAGCTGGGGCTGCACTTGCATGTTACTGCACCCAACTTACAATTTTTTTGTGTGTCTCTGAGGATATAAATTATAGTCATGTATTGCTTATTGACAGGAATACATTCTGACAAACGTGTCATTAGGCAATTTTGTCGTTGTGCAAGCATCCTAGATTAGTGTACTTACACACACCTACATGATGTAGCCTACTGCACACCTAGGTTCTATGGCAGATCCTTTTGCTCCTAAGCTACAACTCTGCACAGCATGTGACTGTCCTGAATACTGTAGGCAGCTGTGACACAATGTGAGTATTTGTGTATCTAAACATAGAAAAGGTGCAATAAAAATACGACATAGGCCGGGCACAGTGACTCACACCTGTAATGCCAGCACTTTGGGAGGCCGAGGAGGGTGGATTACCTGAGGTCAGGAGTTCGAGACCAGCCTGGCTAACATGGCGAAACCCCATCTCTACTAAAAATACAAAAATTAGCTGGGCGTGGTGGCACGTGTCTGTAGTCCCAGCTACTCAAGAGGCTGAAGCAGAAGAATTGCTTGAACCTGGGAGGCGGAGGTTGCAGTGCGCCGAGATCATGCCACTGCACTCCAGCCTGGGTGATAGAGTGAGACACCATCTAAAAAAAAAATATGATATGAAAGATAAAAAAAATGGCACACTTGTACAGGGCACTTACCGTGAATGGAGCTTGCAGGACACGAAGTTGTTCTGGGTGAGTCAATGAGTAAGTGGTGGGTGAGTGCGAAGGCCTGGGGCATTACTATGCACTACTGTGGACTTTATCAACACTGTACACTTAGGCTATACTAAATTTATAAGACACATTTTTCTTTCTTCAATAATAAATTAAACAACTTTTTCACTTTATAAACTTTAACTTTTTAAACTTTTGGCTCTTTTGTAATAACACTTAGCTTAAAGCACAAACACATCGTACAGCTGTACAAAAATATTTTCTTTATAGCCTTATTCATTACACTTTTTTCTACTTTAAAATTTTATTATTTTATTATTTTTAACATTTTTAAATTAAAAGCTGAGACGCAAACACCTACATTATCCGAGGCCTACACAGAGTCAGGATCATCAGAATCACCGTCTTCCTCCTCCAAATCTTGTCCCATTGGCAGCGTGCAGTGACTCACACCTGTAATCCCAGCACTTTGGGAAGCCGAGGTGGGCAGATCACTTGAGGTCAAGAGTTCAAGACCAGCTTGGCCAACATGGTGAAACCCCATCTCTACTAAAAATATAAAAATTAGCCGGGCACGTTGGCATGCGCCTGTAATCCCAGCTACTCAGGTGGCTGAGGCAGGAGAATTGCTTGAACCCGGGAGGCGGAGGTTGCAGTGAGCTGAGATTGTGCTACTGCACTCCAGCCTGGGTGACAGAATGAGACTCTGTCTCAAAAAAAAAAAAAAAAGAATCCTGTCCCATTGGAAGGTCTTCAGGAGCGGTAAGGTAACATGCATGGAGTATCGTCTCCTATGATAACAATGCCTTCTTCTGGATACCTGCAGAAGGACCTACCTGAGGCTGTATTACAGTTAACTTTTGTTTTAATAAGTAGGAGTACACTCTAAAATAATGATAAGGCCGGCTTGGTGGCTGATGCCTGCAGTCTCAGCACTTAGGGAGGCCAGGCTGGGAGAATCACTTGAGGCCAGGAGTTTGAGACCAGCCTGGGCAACACAGTGAGATCCCCATCTCTACACAAGATAAAATACATTAGCTGGGTGTGGTGGCATGCGCCTGTAGTCCCAGCTACTCAGGAGGCTGAGGTGGGAGGATGGCTTGAGCCCAGGAAGTTGAGGTTACAGTGAGCTGTGATCATGCCACTGCACTCCAGCCTGGGCAACAGAGCAAGACCCTGTTTCAAAAAAAAAAAATGATAAAAAGTATAGTACAGTAAGTACGTAAACCAGCAATATAGCTTTCTATGATCATTATCAAGTATTACATACTATCCATAATTGCATGTGCTATGCAGCACTTTTATACAACTGGCAGGGCAGTAGGTTTGTTTATACCAACATCTCCACAAACATGGGAGTAACGCACGTGCTACGACATTGCCGTGGCTATGACATCACTAGGCAATAGGAATTTTTCAGCTCCATTATAATCTCTTTTATTGTTTTTTTTGTTTGAGATGGAGTCCTGCTCTGTTGCCCAGGCTGGAGTGCAATGGCGCAATCTCGGCTCACTGCAACCTGGGTTCAAGCGATTCTCCTGTCTTAGCCTCTCAAGTAGCTGGGATTACAGGCATGCGCCACCATGCCTGGCTAATTTTTGTATTTTTTTTAGGAGAGGCGGGATTTCACCATGTTGGCCAGGCTGGTTTTGAACTCCTGACCTCAGGTTATCCGCCCTCCTCGGCCTCCCAAAGTGCTGGGATTACAGGCGTGAGCCACCGCGCCCGGCTTCCATTATGATCTTGTGGGACCATCATCATGTACGCCATCCATTGTTGACTGAAATGTTGCTCTGTGGTGCGTGAAGGTATCATTTCTAATGTTTTGTTCTGTTTTCCCTCTTTTCTGCCTCCTTGAGTGTTAGTGCTCTTTGCATTCAGAGCTCCTCTTCCTTGGCGCTGGTTTTCCTCTGATGTTTGGCGACTTCTAGTTCTGTGCACATCATATCTCATGATGCCGGTGGTCTGCGAATGGGGCTTCTGAAACCCACCTCTGAGGGCAATGGGGCTCAGGTGGGGCTGCAACAGTCTCTTTGCGGGAAGACGCGTGGCCTCTGGCTCTGTGGCATGAGTGATGAGGAGCTATCCAGAGCCTTTCCCCCTTCTTCAGAGAGTCCCCCTTGGCTGCATTCTGGGCTGTGGTCTCCTTCACTCTGATCTTATCTGTCCTCTGCCTTCCGTATTTCGGGGAGTTGTCTTCGTTTCTGATCTGCCAAGCTTGCCCCTTCTTGGTCTCCAGGCCTGTTACACATTAATTATTAGTTTTACCAGTGCTATTTTTGTTTTGTTTTGTTTTGTTTGAGACGGAGTCTCGCTCTTTTGCCCAGGCTGGAGTGAAGTGGGGCCATCTCAACTCACTGCAACCTCCACTTCTCGGGTTCAAGTGATTTTCCTGTCTCAGCCTCCCCAGTAGCTTGGATTACAGGTGTGCACCACCACACCTGGCTAATTTTTGTATTTTTAGTAGAGACAGGGTTTCACTATGTTGGCCGGGCTGGTCTCAAACTCCTGACCTCAGGTGATCTGCCCACCTCGGCCTCCCAAAGTGCTGGGATTACAAGTGTGAACCACCACTCCCCGCCTAGCTGTACTTTTTATGTCTGTTAACCAACCTGTGATTTCCTGCTTTTCCTGCCAGCAGTTGTTATTATCTGTCTTTTTGATTCGAGTCATTCTAGTGGTTGTGAAGTGGTATCTCACTGTGATTTTGACTTGCATTTCCCTAATGGCTAACGGTGTGGGACATTTTTCATGTGTTTATTGGCCAGCTGTGTATCTTCTTTAGAGAAATGTCTATTCCAGTCCTTTGTCCATTAAAAAAATTAATAAACTATTTCTGGCTGGGTGCAGTGGCTCACGCCTGTAATCTCAGCACTTTGGGAGGCCGAGGCGGGTGGATCACCTGAGGTCAGGAGTTTGAGACCATCCTGGCCAACGTGGTGAAACCCCGTCTCTATAAAAATACAAAAAATTAGTTGGGCGTGGTGGTGTGTGCCTGTAATCCCAGCTACTCAGGAGGCTGAGGCAGGAGAATCACTTGAACCCAGGTTGCAGTGAGCCGAGATTGCGCCATTGCACTCCAACCTGGGTGACAGAGTGAGACTCTGTCTTAAAAAAAAAAAAATTAATAAACTATTTCTTAGAGCAGTTTTAGGTTTACAGGAAAATTGAACAGAAAATACAGAGTTCCTATATACCCTCAACCCCCTTCCCAATCTCCCACAGTTTCCCCTATTTTTTGTTTGAAACAGGGTATCACTCTTTTGCCCAGGCTGGAGTGCAGTGGTGCAATCACAGCTCACTACAGCCTCAACCTCCTGGGCTCAAGCGATCCTCCCGCCTCAGCCTCCCAAGTAGCTGGGACTACAGGCATGTGCTACCATGCCTGGCTAATTTTTGTATTTTTTTTTTGTAGAGACGGGATTTCACCATGTTGCCCATGTTTTATAGAGATGGGATTTCACTATGTCGCCATATGAGGGCAAATGATCCTCCTGCCTCGGCCTCCCAAAGTGCTGGGATTAAAGGCGTGAGCCACTGCACCCAGCCTCCCCTGTCACGAACACCTTGCATTAGTGTGGCACAATTGTTAGCATTGATGACCTGATAATGATGCATTATTATTACTAACTGAAGTCCATAGTTTACAGCAGGGTTCACTCTTTGTGTTGCCCATTCTAGGGCTTTAGACAAACGGATGATGACCACGTGCCCACCATCACCGTGGCATCCAGAATATTTTCACTGCCCTAAATGTGTCCTGAGCTCGTTGGTTCACCTCTCCCTCCCCCTGAACCTCTGGCAGCTACTGATCTTTTTACTGTCTCGATAGTTTCATCTTTTCCAGAAATGTCATGTAGTTGGAATGACAGTGTGTGGCCTTTTCAGACTGGTGTCTTTCATTTAGCAATATGTATCTAAGTTTCCTCCATGTCTTTTTTTTATTTTTTTGCATTTTAAAAAATTGGTACATTAATTTAATTTTTAATCCAATTTTAGTGGTCACCAGGGGGTTGAGCTGGGAGGCGGAGGCTGCGTTGCGGACTGCACCTGCCCTCTCCCCCTCATCTCAAGAGCTATCTGGAGAGACGCCTTCCTTCTGTTCCCCTCTGTGACCCCTGTCTGTGTCCCTTAGACGACCTCGTGGAGAAGACGCCGTGTGCATGGAACTCCTCCCGTGTCTGCGAATGTCGACCCGGCATGTTCTGTTCCACGTCTGCCGTCAACTCCTGTGCCCGCTGCTTCTTCCATTCTGTCTGTCCGGCAGGGATGATTGTCAAGTTCCCAGGTCAGTGTCCCCACCCTTAACTCAGGACAGAGATCTATGCTGTTGCTGCTGCACCTTCCGCCCACCCCAGTGCACTGTTGACTTCCGACCTCCCGCTTCCCGGAGACTGTTGGACAGATCATGTCTCCTTTGGCGATGGGCCAGGGATGTACCCAGCACCCAGCCCTTCTGCTGCCCTCCCCCACCTTGTGTTCCAGGTGCAGAGAGACCCTGCTGTCCCCTGGCATAGACCTGGCTGGAGGAGGTCTTGCTTTGGTTTGAGGCTCAAGGCAGAAGTTATCTGATGCCCCATAAACAAGAAGGGAACCTCAAGTCTCTGTCCTGGGAGTTTCCTAGAAGATTGGGGTTGGCTTCCCCCTTTCAGGTTCAGGGCATTGGGAGTTAGAGGTGCTGAGAGATCTGGCCCCAGGCTCAAGACTTGAGAAACTTGGGTTTCTTTTCCAACTTATCGTGTGACCTCAGACAAGTTTCTTACCTCTCTGACTTCTACTTCTCTGATAGTACAAGGTGTCAGGGCTGCTTTTAACCAGAGAAGGGGTATGGGCCACAGAACCTGTCTGGGTGGAGTTGGGACCATCTTCCAGAAGGGAGGCATGAGGAGTGGGTGGGCTTTGGAGCACAGCACAGAGTGGCTGCCGCAGTTGCAGACTGTATGGAGCCGGGGAGATGGGCTCAGAGGCAGCCCTGTGTCCACTGTCCACTGAGGAGAAAAGTGCCACAAAGTGCCTGTGGTCCCTCCCCCAACCAGGTCCTTCTCTGGAGTCCCATGCCCTGTTGTGCAAACCTGGGGATTGGCAGTCACCCCCATCGCTACCACTGCCTGCCCCTTTTATCCTTCCCTCGTTCCCTCATCCTTCACAGCCAGCCCATCCTCGAGTCCTGTAGATTTGGCCTCCAATTATCTTCCCCACCTTCTCACCCCGAATACCTTCTCTTATACAGCCCCCATGGCAGACAGCCAGAATGACCCTTGCAAGACCAAATCTGAATCTGATCCTCTCTCTCTCTCTCTCTCTCTCACTCACTCACTCTCTCTCTGTCTCACACACACACACACACACACACACGGATATATACCTGAAATGCTTCAGTATCTTCCTGTTACTCTAAAGATAAGGACACAAGGCCAGGTGTGGTGGCTTACGCCTGTAATCCCAGCACTTTGGGAGGCCAAGGCAGGCAGATCACTTGAGGTCAGGAGTTCAAGACCAGCCTGGCCAACATGGTGAAACCTCATCTCTACTAAAAATACAAAAATTAGCCAGCCCTGGCAGCAGGTGCCCTGTAATTCCATTTACTCAGGAGGCTGAGGCAGGAGAACCACTTGAACCTGGGAGGCGGTGGTTGCAGTGAGCTGAGATTGAGCCATTGCACTCCAGCCTGGGTGACAAGAGCAAGACTCCGTCTCAAAAAAAAAAAAAAAAAAAGAAAACTCCAGGGACTCACCACGGTGTCCTTCAGGTCCCAAGGCCCCCAGTTGACCTGCCTTCTTCTCTTCATGTTTCAGAGCCTTCTTACATTTATTTTGTACATAATGTCCAGGGCTTTTAGCGGTTCTTGGCGGGAGGATGAGGGGAAAACGTGTCTAAGCCATCTTCCCAGAATCAGAGTCTCAGGATGTGATCCCAACACAGCCCCCTCCTTTCTCCCAGCTTCAGCTCTCAGCACCAAGCCCTCACTCTCTGGGCTCCACCTGCGCTGCCCTTCTTCCAGGTTGGAGGACGTGTGTGCTTCTCTGTCCCACCCGCCCTCTGCACGTGCTGTTCTCTCTGTCGGAGACACCCTTCCCTCCCCATTCACTTAGTCAAATCCTACTCAGCCCTGAGCTCTCCACCCCACTTCCTCAAGAGGCCTTCCCTGGCCTCTCACTAGGGAAGCTGGTAGCACTGTGTCCTTTGCAAATGTGGATACATACCTCTCTCTGTCTCTTGGCTTGATCAATGTCTGTCTCCCTCCCTGGCTGGAAGCTTCCTGAGGGCAAAGACCATGCCCCTGGTGTCCATCAACATCTCCCCACTGCCTGATCAAATGCTAGGCATGGCACCTGCTCCCCATAGAGATTCATTGAATTAAGATATGGGGACACCTGACAGGGAGCTCCGAGCTGGTGGGGGGGTGGAGTTCAAATCTGGTCAAATTCCAGGGTCGGGGGAGAGCGCTCTGCTAAGGAATGATGGAGGCCTCCACCCATAAGCAGGGGAGAGTGCTGGAGTGGACTGGGCAGCAGATACCTAGGATTTTGCAAAGATTTGCAACTGTGGGGCATGTTCCCACCCGCCTCTGGACCTCGGTCTCCCCATCTCTCAAATGAGGAGGTATAACTGAAGGCCTTGGGGGCCTCTCCAAAAAGGCCAAACTTCCCAAAAGTTTCCAGCTCAGAAACTTCTGCATCTTTGTGAAAAACATCTTGAGTTCAGTTGTTCCAGCCAAGGCTTCCTGCTGGAGGGACTGTCTGGGCAGTGTTCCTGAGACTGCCACACAGCGGCGCCAGAGGCCTCCCTTTGCTGCCCCTGGACCCCAGCTGCCCAATGCAGTGCCCCTGGCCCGTGGCACGTGGCCACGCACTTAAAATGCAGCTAGGGGCCGGGTGCGGTGGCTCACACCTGTAATTCCAGCATTTTGGGAGGCTGAGGCAGGCGGATCACTTGAAGTCAGGAGTTTGAGACCAGCCTGGCCAATGTGGTGAAACCTCGTCTCTACTAAAAATACAAAAGTTGGCCAGGTGTGGTGGCGGGTGCTTGAAATCTCAACTACTTGGGAGGCTGAGGCATGAGAATTGCTTGAATCCGGGAGGTGGAGGTTGTAGTGAGCTGAGATTGTGCCACTGCACTCCAACCTGGGCGACAGAGTTAGACTCTGTTTCAAAAAAAAAATCCGATAAAAAATAAAAAAAATGCAGATACGTCTGCATTGAGAAGTGCTGTGTGTACAATATGCACTGGATTTCGAAAACTTAGTATAAACAAGAATATAATTAATTATTTTTTATATTGATTGCCTGCAAACATGGTAATATTTTAGATATACTGGGTTAAATAATGAAAATTAATTGCACTGATTTCTTTTTACCTTTTAAAGTGTGGCTCCCAGAATATTTGAGCTGGCCTGTGTGACTCGCATATCTCTGTTGGACAGCACTGTTTTAGAAGTGTTCTAATCTCAGCTGCCAAACCCTGGTTAATCTCTGGGGTCCCCTGTGGACTCACCCATGGGGCAGCTCTCCGGGGTTGTTGTTTTTTTTCCAGCTGTAAAATAGAAAGCAGTTTCTGCCTCCAGTCAGCCAAGCCCCACGCTAAGAGCCTTCACTGGCTGTCTCTCCTGAAATTCTCACGTCTCCATAAGACAGACAGTATTAGCCCCATTTTCCAGGTGTGGAAATCGAGGTCCGGAGATGGGAGGTAAATTGCCCGCGGAGACAGAGCAGGAAATGTCTAAGCTTAGGTGTCATCACTCCACCATGCCACAGAACACGAGAGGTCAGCATTGCTCGCGCTCACCTCCACGGAAAGCTTCAGAGCGAAGTCCCACACATACAGGCCACCATTTTTTTATTTTTTTTTTTTTTGTGATGGAGCCTCGATCTGTCACCCAGACTAGAGTGCAATGGTGTGATCTCAGCTCACTGCAACCTCTGCCTCCCGGATTCAAGTGATTCTCCTGCCTCAGCCTCCTGAGTAGCTGGGATTACAGGTACCTGCCACCATGCCCGGCTAATTTTTTGTAATTTTAGTAGAGATGGGGTTTCACTATGTTGTCCAGGCTGGTCTCGAACTCCTGACCTCATGATCCGCCCACCTCGGCCTCCCAAAGTGTTGGGATTACAGGTGTGAGCCACCGTGCCTGGCGACATACGGGTCACCTTCTAAGTGTTGGGATGGGAGTCCAGATGGGTGTAAGGACATAGCATTTACCATATGTCATGCAATGTGATGGGCACCTCACGTGCACTCTTCTGTTTATCCTGACGACAGCCTGGTGAAGAGTGTATGATTATAGTCATTTGACTGGGCTGGGCACGGCAGCTTATGCCTGAAATCCCAGCACTTTGGGAGGCTGAGGAGGGTGGATCACCTGAGGTCAGGAGTTCGAGACCAGCCTGGCCAACATGGCGAAACCCTGTCTCTACTAAAAATTAGCCGGGCGTGGTTGCAGGCACCTGTAATCCCAGCTACTCAGGAGGCTGAGGCAGGAGAATTGCTTGAACCTGGGAGGCAGAGGTTGCAGTGAGCTGAGATTGCATCACTGCACTCCAGCCTGGGCGACAGAGTAAGACTCTGTCTCAAATAAATAAATAAACAAGTAAATAAAATGGACTTTCCTGGCACAGTTAGGACATAGCAGGCAAACTGAGGGGCACTGGCTAGACGATGTGTGTGTTTTCTTCTCCACTCTGCTTCTGTCCAGCATTCTTCAGGACTCCTTGGATTGCATGTAGCAAAATCCCCAATTTTTTAGCACATGTAGCTTAAAAGTCTGGGGATAGCTCTGAGAAGCTTCAGGCATGGCTGGATCCAGGGCTCCATCTTGCCCCATCTCTCACCTCTATTTCCCTCTCTGTTGGTTCATCGGCAAGATACTTACAAGCAGCTCTGCCCAGCGCCAGTGGGAAGACAGCTTCCCTTTCTTACATTTTTAATATCCAAAACCAAAACCTTTAAATCCCAAACCAGAATCTTTAAATTCTACCTCACAGGCTTGGGTCACATGTCCGTCCCTGAACTGGCTCATCGTGGCCAGAGGAATGCAACGGATTGATTGGTCCAGCCTGGTCTCATGGCCACTCGGGAAAGGGGGTTCAGTCGGTCCCAACCCCTAACCACAGATGCTGAGATCAGAGGGAGAGTAATTCCCCAGGGAAAGATAGGCTGCTTTACTCTGAAGGGGAACGGGTGCCAGGCGGGTGCCACCTCCAGATGACTGCTGTGTTTTCCAAGGGCCCCATCTCCGACTCTGGCCTGTGGTAGTGAAGGGTGTATTCCGGGAGACTTTGGGTCCCCAACACTGATTCTGAAGGCACTGCTGTCCCCCCTGCAGGCACGGCGCAGAAGAACACGGTCTGTGAGCCGGCTTCCCCAGGGGTCAGCCCTGCCTGTGCCAGCCCAGAGAACTGCAAGGAACCCTCCAGGTGACTCCCTGGCTTTGCCTCCTCCTCTTCCCCCAAGCTGGCTTTCAGATGAGGCTGCCCCACCCCACAGGACGCCCATGGTACAACTGGGCTGGGGGTGTAAGCGGGATTCAGCCCATGGTGTCAGCACTTTGGGGTGCCTCTCTGCCAAGCCCCTCAGATCATTTGAGGCCCTAGGGTGTGCCCAGCCCTGCCCTGAGCACATGGGAGACCCACAGGGCTTAGAAAACACAGGCCTTGCTCCCAGGAGCTTACAGTGGGCCCGCCAGAGGCAGTGGGCCAAGGGCCTGGGACCCCATCTCTGTGGAAACTGTTACTCGTGAGCACAGGCCTCCCTTGCCCCATTGGCAGAATTATCAGTCCCATCTCTGGCTTCTTCCCCAGTGGCACCATCCCCCAGGCCAAGCCCACCCCGGTGTCCCCAGCAACCTCCAGTGCCAGCACCATGCCTGTAAGAGGGGGCACCCGCCTCGCCCAGGAAGCTGCTTCTAAACTGACGAGGGCTCCCGACTCTCCCTCCTCTGTGGGAAGGCCTAGTTCAGATCCAGGTAATTTCCCCATGAAGCTGTGGGTCGTCTCCCTGGGGTGCTCGATTGGTGGATGGCCCATGAGTGGGGGTGTTTGGAGCAGGCGGGCAGTGATCTGTGGTCTTTTCCTGGTGGGGAGAGAAGACGGTGGTAAGGTATGATCTAGGGCTGAAAGCATTGAGGGGCAGAGGTAGACACCAGAGGGCTCATTCATTTGCCAGCAGTGCAGAGGGCCTGCCTTGTGCCGGACACCCGTGCCCCATCTCTCCCTCTATTTCCCTCTACGTTGGTTTGTCAGAGGGAAATGGGTCCCACTCTGCTGTTGTGACACTTGCGACTCAGCTGGCCAGCCTCTGCACGTGTCCATCTGATGCCCTCCTGGTCTCCATGGCGAAGGGTCGACCCTCAGTCATTTTTCTTTTTCTTTTTTTTGAGACGGAGTTTCGCTCATGTTGCCCAGGCTGGAGTGCAGTGGCGCAATCTCGGCTCACTGCCACCTCCACCTCCTGGGTTCAAGCGATTCTCCTGCCTCAGCCTCCTGAGTAGCTGGGATTACAGGTGCCCACCACCACGCCTGGCTAACTTTGTATTTTTAGTAGAGATGGGATTTCACCATGTTGGTCAGGCTGGTCTCGAACTCCCGACCTCAGGTGATCCGCCCACCTCGGCCTCCCAAAGTGCTGGGAGGATTACAGGCGTGAGCCACCGCGCCCAACCTAGTCCCATTTTATTACTGAATAGCCCTCCATGGCGTAGATATGCCGAGCTCTGTTTATCCAGTTTTTGAATATTTGGGTTGTTTCTGCCTTTTGACTATAATGAAGAAAGAAAAATACATCTTTGCGTGTATGTGCTTTCCTTTCTCTTGGGTTGGTTTTGTAAAAAAAATGGATTTGTGGGACTTCTAACAATTTTGGGTTGGAGCTCTTTTCCTATAGTTGTACCTTCTCCCGCTCCATGGCTTTGCTTATTCTCTCTATGATGTCTTTTGTTTGTTTGTTTGTGGTTTGTTTTTTTGAGGTGAGTCTTGCTCTGTCGCCCAGACTGGAGTGCAGTGGCGTGATCTCGGCTCACTGCAACCTCCGCCTCCTGGGTTCAAGCAATTCTCCTGCCTCAGCCTCCCGAGTAGCTGGGATTACAGGCGCCTGCCACCACATTTGGCTACTTTTCTTTTTTTTAGTAGAGACGGGGTTTCACCATGTTGGCCAGGCTGGTCACAAACTCCTGGCCTCAAGTAATCCACCCGCCTCAGCCTCCCAAAGTGCTGGGATTACAGACGTGAGCCACCGCGCCCGGCCCACACCAGTCTTTAAAAGAGGGAGGCAGGAGGCACCCAGCCCCTCCCTGCCCAATACCATTCTGAACAGGAGTTACGCTAGTGTGCTGAGCTCTCAGGGAAGCTGTTCCCAAAGTTTTGAGCAGGGGAGTGACAGAGCCATGAGACAGGGTTGGGGGAAGCTGTGGCATGGTGGCCTCAGGAGGAACAGTGGGCAGGGGCTGGTTGGGGGGCAATGAGTACCCTCCTCTCGTGTGGAATGCACGCAGCATTCCTGTCCTCTCTGAGCCTCAGGACTCCCTCTGAAAGGCTGGACTGAGCTGACATGCGGAGTTTGGGAGCTGGCCACGGTGAGGGATGGGGGGCTTCAGGGTTGGGTGGGGAGTGAGGCCTTTGCCAAGGCGGCCTGGCCTGCAGCTTCTCTGCTTCTTTCCCCAGGTCTGTCCCCAACACAGCCATGCCCAGAGGGGTCTGGTGATTGCAGAAAGCAGTGTGAGCCCGACTACTACCTGGACGAGGCCGGCCGCTGCACGGCCTGCGTGAGCTGTTCTCGAGGTAAGGGCCTCGTCCCTCCCCGGGCCTCAGTTTACCTCTCTGCATTTTTGAACCGTGAACTTCCAGTAACTACTCCCCCTTATGTTTGTGGGTTTTTGATGGGGGTCGCCTCTTTTCAGAGGGCTTCCATTGGCATATTATTTCCTTCCAGGAAGCGTTTGTGAATCACCCACCTGTTCCAAACTCGGCTCATCAATGTTTGTAACTACTCTGTGATTCAAGCATTGTGATCATTCCCCTTTTACAGAGGAGGAAACGGAGGCTTTGGGAAGTCAGGGAACTTCCAAGGGCTGTGGGCTGGAGTTTGAACCCAGACAGGTGCCACCAGGTTCCAGGTTCTCGTCCACTCCACTCGCTGCCCCTATGAGCCACTTATTCTTTTTTTTTTTTTCCCAGACAGGGTCTCACTCCTTCACCCAAGCTGCAGTACGGTGGTGGGATCATAGCTCCCTGCAGCTGTGACCTCCCAGGATCACATGATCCTTTTGCCTCAGCCTTTCAAGTGGCTGGGACTATAGGTGCACACTACCATGCCTGGCTAATTAAAAAAAATTTTTTTTCATACAGATGGGGGTCTCACTATGTTGCCCAGGCTGCTCTCGAACTCCTGGACTCAAATGGTCCTCCCACCTTGGCTTCCTAAATTGCTGGGATTATAGGCATGAGCCACCATGCCCGGCCTGCGAGCTGTTTTGACAAGCACTTACTGAGTGCACAGACACAGCACGATGCAGGTGTGGGGCTTCCCTGTGCCCAGCCCATCACAACCTCCCAGCGCCAGCAGCACCCCGAGGGGCATGTGGGCAGGGGGTGTTGCTCAGGCCACAGGCTGCTGTGACTGTTAGAGGCCCTGGCTATTCACGGAGGCCACTGGGAATGTGTGTCTGTCTCCTTGTCCAGAGCTGCTTTTGGGCAGCAAAGCAGAGTGAAGGGTCAGGGGAGGCCAAAAAGAACCACAGACACTGTTTGTTGTCATTGGAGGTCTCTGTCCTAGTTACTAAGGCTGCATAGCAAATTTTCTTAAAACTTAATTGTGAAAACAAATCATTCTTTGTACTCACAGATTCTGTGAGTCAGAATTCAGACAGGGCACTGCGGGGACAGCTTGTCTCTGCTCCACAATGTCTGAGGTCTTAGCTGGAAAGCCCAAAAGCTGCAGATCAGGAACTTCTGAAGCTTCATTCATTCACCTGCCTTGGGGTTGATGTTGGCTCCTGGCTGCAGCCTTGGTTCCCTTCCATGTCGGCCTCTTCGTGTCTTACCTGGGGCTTCCTCATGGTCTGGTGGTTAGGTTCTAAAGGCGAAGTCTTTTTCTCTTTTTTTCTTTTTTTGTATTTTTAGTAGAGACGGGGTTTCACCATGTTGGCCAGGCTGGTCCCAAACTCCTGGCCTCAAGTGATCCGCCGGCCTTGGCCTCCCAAAGTGTTGGAATTACAAGCATGAGCCATTGCCCCCGGCCATAAAAGTCTTGAGAGAGAGAGACAGACAGAAAGAGAGAGTGAGAGAGAGACAGAAAGAGGGAGAGAAAGAGTGAGAGAGAGAAAGAGAGAGACAGAGAGAAAGAGACAGAATGAGAGGGAGAGAGAGAGTGAGAGAGAGACAGAAAGAGGGAGAGAGAGAGACAGAAAGAGAAAGAGACGGAGTGAGCGAGAGAGAGAGAGACAGAAAGACAGAAAGAGAGACTGAGAGACAGAGAGAGACAGAGATAGAGTGTGACAGAGAGAAAGACAGAGAAAGAGAGAGAGAGAGACAGAAAGAGAGAGAGAGAGACAGACAGAGGCAGCAGCCACCCCTCCTTTTATGACCTGGCCTTGGAAGTCACACAGAACTTCTACCACTTTCTGTTTGTTGAGGCAACCACAAATGTCACTTGAGACCAAGGGAAGGAAAACAGTTGTACTTCTTGACAGGTAGGTGGCAAAGGCTCTGGAAGGGCCAGAACATCACTGCAGCCATGTTTTGGGGAAATACAGTCTGCCACAACCACCATGTGGACATATGGAGAAAGAGGTGTTGGCTCTGGGCCCAGTAATTCCTTCAGCTCTCCTAACTGAAACCCCACGAGGCAGTGGAGTGGTGTATTAGTAGCTAAAGGCATGAGCTCTAGAACCCGAGTGCCGGGTTCAGATCCCGCCTCTCCCACTTGATAGCCTATAACCTCAAGCAGGTTTCCTAACCTCTCTGTGCCTCAGTTTCCTCTGCTGCAAAATGGGCATAGTATTATCTATCTCAGAGAACCATGTGAGAATTGAATACATGATTGTAGGTTAATCTGGGTAGAGTGCTGAGACTACTGTCTCACACATACTCAGTTATCTTAAGAGCTATAATAATAATGATAATAGCTGCCATTGTCCCAAATGGTTTCATTCATTGCTGAGCTCACACACACCCTTTGCACAAATTCCCCAAATCCTGCCCAGTTCCCTTGCTCTGGATGTTGTAAGAAGAGACTGTCCAGCCCTTATCATTATCATGCTGGGTCTCTAAGTATCCTGCTGATTGAGATCTACCCTCGCGGAGAGGTCCCATTTGCCTAATCTACTGATGCAGTCGTTCTGTATTTACCTCTAAGTGGAGCGTTGCAAAATATTCCCGAATACGTACAAATGCATTATTACACTTATTAAAAATAATACCTCTAACATGGTTTTTTTTTGCTTTTGGAGGAAAAAAAATCTTTTTTTTTTTTTTTTTTTTTTTTTTTTTAAATAGACAGAGTCTTGTTCTGTCGCCCAGGCTGGAGTGCAGTGGCACTATCTTGGCTCACTGCAACCTCTGCCTCCCAGGTTCAAGTGATTCTCCTGCCTCAGCCTCCTGAGTAGCTGGGATTACAGGCACGTGCCACCAGGCATGGCTAATTTTTGTATTTTTAGTAGAGACGGGGTTTCACCATGTTGGTCAGGCTGGACTTGAACTCCTGACCTTGTGATCTGCCTGCCTCGGCCTCCCAAAGTGCCGGGATTACAGTCGTGAGCCACCGTGTCTGGCCAAAAAATCTTTTTATTATTAAAAATTTCAAACATATTCAGATGTAGAGTGAGTCAGAGATGGCTGCGTACTATCACCCAGCTTTAAACGGTTATGGAGTCATGGCCAGTCTTGGCTCCTCTGCACCCATGCCCGCTCACCCCGTCCCCTGGAGGACTTTCTTTTAACAGCTTTAGGGAGAGATAGTGGGCATATGGTAAAGTGCATAGATTAAAGGATGCAATCTGATAAGTTTTAACAAATGCATGCAGCTGAGCAACCAGCCATCCCCCTCTAAAAGTTACCTCGGGTTGCTTGTCACCATTTCCCATCCCCTGCTTATGGTCACCATGCAATAGCTTGCATGTAAATGCGACATACAGAATACCCTCGCTTTTTGCCTGCCTTCTTTCACCCTGCAGAATTATTTTGAGCATGCTGGGAGAGCTGCTCAACGGCATAGTCAGACGAGCATTTATTTTCTTGTTGGATGACCCTTGGACAACTGCTTCTCTGTCTTCCTGGGGGCTCTCTGGACCCCCTGCCCTTGCCATACTGATCTTTCTCCGTGATCCTCATCTGTGTCCCTTAGATGACCTTGTGGAGAAGACGCCATGTGCATGGAACTCCTCCCGCACCTGCGAATGTCGACCTGGCATGATCTGTGCCACATCAGCCACCAACTCCTGTGCCCGCTGTGTCCCCTACCCAATCTGTGCAGCAGAGACGGTCACCAAGCCCCAGGGTAAGCAGTTCCCACCCCAGGCCTCGACCACAGGGTGGAGTCTGTGCCCCCACTGTTGTGCCTCTCCCCACCAACAGCCAGGGGTGGAGGCAAATGACCTACACCCTCGGCTGTTCATTAGGTCAGGTTTGGGTTCTGGTTATCCTTTGAGTAGTCAGACTCAGTGAATGGAATGATAAAATCCAGTTTTAGCATTTTGGCAAGAGATTCTGTTGATTAAAAAAAAATTCTTCCTGAAATTATTGGGCTGGTAAAATCTTTATATTTTTGAGATGGAGTTTCGCTCATGTTGCCCAGGCTGGAGTACAATGGCTCAATCTCGGCTCACCGCAACCTGCACCTCCTGGGTTCAAGCAATTCTCCTGCCTCAGCCTTCTGAGTAGCTGGGGTTACAAGCATTCGCCACCACAGCCGGCTAATGTTGTATTTTTAGAAGAGATGCGGTTTCTCCATGTTGGTCAGGCTGGTCTCGAACTCCCGACCTCAGGTGATCCACCCACCTTGGCCTCTCAAAGTGCTGGGATTACAGGCCTGAGCCACCATGCCCAGCCCCGGGCTGGTAAAATCTTGACCTGTTTGCAAGGCTGTTTTATTGACTTAGAGAGATGAATATCAAGTTTCTGAAGAGATTTCTAACAGGACGGTTGGCTTTACCAGTGTGCAGGAAACTAAAACCCTGACAGTTTTTTGTTGTTGTTGTTTTTTGTTTTTTAAGGGCTTTGAGAGATTTTAACAAATCTCCAGGTGGTTTAAAACAGATGGAAGAGTGGTGACAAAACCAAGGGGAATGGCCAGGCGTGGTGGCTCACGCCTGTGATCCCAGCACTTTGGGAGGCTGAGGCAGGTGGATCACTTGAGGTCAGGAGTTCAAGACCAGCCTGACCAACATGGCAAAACCCCGTCTCTACTAAAAATACACAAATTAGCTGGGTGTGGTGGTGGGCACCGTAGTCCCAGCTACTCAGGAGGTTGAGGCAGGAGAATCGCTTGAACCCGGGAGGCATAGGTTGCAGTGAGCCGAGATTGCACCACTGAACTCCAGCCTGGGCAACAGGGCGAAACTCTGCCTAAAAAAGAAAAAAAACCAAGTGGAGGGAAGGTCACCCAATGTGACTCTGTGAGGGCTGCCAGAGAAGTGAGGGGTGACTTGCTTCTAGGACCCCCAGAGAGGCTCTGGGCTTGGAAGAGGCAGGCAGATGAAGAGCGGGAGGGAAGTTGAGAGGTGTGAGGTGTAGTGGCCTGGGACTACTAAATCTTCAAACACAACTTCAAAATGTATTACAATGGCATGGCATGGCCACTGACCAGTTTGCACAGATGATGCCTGAGTTTTTAATCCCCAGTATTGTCTTTTTTTTTCCTCTTTTTTTAGAGATGGAGTCTCGCTGTCTTGCCCAGGCCGATGTGCAGTGGTGTAATCTCAGCTCACTGCAACCTCCGTCTCCCGGGTTCAGGCAATTCTCCTGCCTCAGCCTCCCGAGTAGCTGGGATTACAGGTGCCCGCCACCACACCCAGCTAATTTTCATATTTTTAGTAGAGACGGGGTTTTGCCATGTTGGCCAGGCTGGTCTGGAACTCCTGACCTCAAGTGATCTGCCCGCCTCCACCTCCCAAAGTGCTGGGATTACAGGTGTGAGCCACCGTGCCTGGCCAACAATTGTCTTCTTGAGTCAGAACATTGAAGGAATATCCGGGGAAAGTTCGGGCCACTAGTGGGGTGCTGTCACTCTGTTTGTAAAGCCCTCTTTACTTGGGTATTTGGAAGTGCACCTGTCAACAGGCTAGCCACACCCCATCACCCTGAAATGGAGGCTGCCAGCTCACACTCTCCGCCCATGGGCCCAGGGTTCCCTGGCCAACTTCCTACTCAGGGAAGAGACCCATTGTGAACAGGACATACTAACACAGCAGAAGAAACTGTCCCCGCTCAGTGACTGGAATATTCAGTAGAGTCCTTAGGATTTTATTTTGTTTGCATAAATGTATGGGGTACAAGTGTAATTTTATTACATGCTTAGATTGGGTGGTGAACTCAGGACGTTTAGGGTATCCCTCACCCAAATAGCATACATTGTACCCCTTAAATAATTTCTCATGGTCCACCTACCTATACCTCCCACCCCCTCACCCTTCTAAGTCTCTGTTGCCTTTTATTCCACTCTCCAGCTCCGTGTGGACACAGTATTTCACTCCCACTTAGAAGTGAGAACAGGCAGTATTTGTCTTTCTGTGTCTGAATGTCTGCACTTAAGAATATGGCCTTCAGTTCCATCCATGTTGCTGCGAAAGACTTGATTTCTTTCCTTATGATGGCTGAGTAGTATTCCATTGTGTATAGATGCCACATTTATCTATTGGTGGATGCAGCATAACCCTCCCCCCCCACCCTTTTCTTTTTGAGACAAAGTCTCGCTCTGTTGCCCAGGCTGGAGTGCAGTGGTATGGTCTCGGCTCACGGCAACCTCTGCCTCCTGGGTTTGAGCTATTCTTGTGCCTCAGCCTCCCAAGTAGCTGGGATTACAGGCGTGCACCACCACACCCGGCTAATTTTTGTATTTTTAGTAGAGACGGGGTTTCACCACATTGGTCAGGCTGGTCTCGAACTCCTGACCCCAGGTGATCTGCCTGCCTCAGCCTCCCAAAGTGCTGGGATTACAGGCGTGAGCCACCGCACCCGGCCAAGCATAACCCTTTTAAAATAAATATGAATGAGCAAAGATTTGTAAGAAAAACCAGCCCTACAAAGGAGAATAAAAAGATACGAAACCAGAAATTCTTACCACACATGAAGCTTTGATAAATCCAGGAATAGAAGAGTACTTAGCAACATTAAATTCGTGTCTGCAGAAAAATTCACGAAGTCGTTACATCCATAAGGTGGGCACAGAATGCTATGAAAAGGAACAATATGGGATCAGAGGGCAAGAAAAGGCTTTTTAGAAAGTGTGCTTGTGATCAGCCCATCATCTCTAGGTTCTCCATTCACCTTTCCATCCCTGCCCTGCCATCAACGATGGCTCCGCCTTTCTCCTCTGTAGGGAGCATGCAGTTAAGCCTTGCCAGCAGAGGGCGCTAGAGGGCCATCGCAGGAGGAAGGAGGCTTCTGGTTGCATTTGTTTTTTTGTTTGTTTGTTTGTTTCTTTTCTTTTTTTGAGACAGAGTCTCACTCTGTCGCCCAGGCTGGAGTGCAGTGACGCGATCTTGGCCCACCACAACCTCCACCTCCCGGGTTCAAGCAGTTTTCCTGCCTCAGCCTCCTGAGTAGCTGGGATTACAGGCACGCGCCACCACGCCTGGCTAATTTTTGTATTTTTAGTAGAGACAGGGTTTCACCATGATGGTCAGGCTGGTCTCGAACTCCTGACCTGGTGATCCGCCTGCCTCGGCCTCGCAAAAGTGCTGGGATTACCGGCGTGAGCCACTGCGCCCGGCCATTTGTTTCTTCTTGCTCCTGCTGCCTGGCCTGGTGACCACCTTGATGTGGCTCTCCCAATGCAGACATTGGCACGTGCCAGGCCTCATGTCTGCAAAAGTGTCCTGACTCCCTGATTCCCTCTGTGCATCCCCCACCAGCCACAGGTCTTTGGCACCCCAAAGTGCTCCAGGCGTCTCCCCCACAGTGGCAGCCTCAATTTCTCTGTGCACCTGACCAGAAGCATAGACTTCAGGTCAAAAGGACCTACCAAGAGCAAAGCAGGATTAATGGAAATTACCCACGCTACATGTAATAGATGCACCACCATGATTTTATCTACCTGCCGGTTGATGGCATTTGGGTTGTTTCCAGTTTAGGGCTATTATGAATGAAAACAGCTGTGAATATTCTTTTTTTTTTTTTAACATGTATGAATTTATCTTATATCTTTTATTATTATTTTTATTATTTTTAGAGACAGGGTCTCACTCTGTGTTCCAGGCTGGAGTGCAGTGGCATGATCTTGGCTCACTGCAGCATTGAACTCCTGGGCTCGGGCGATCCTCCCACCTCAGCCTCCCACAGTGCTGAGATTACTGGCATGAGCCACCATGACTGGCCGATTCTTGTACAAGTCTTTGGGTGGATGTATATTTTCATTTTTCATGGGTAAATACCTAGGAGGAGTGGCTAGGTCATTGTGCTGGTCACATAGTCAGAATGTTTTTGAGGACTAGTCAAAGCTGGATACCTCTGGTCTGATACAACCCCTTCGTTTTACACCCAGAGAGAAGCACAGGGCCGAAGCTAGAACCAGAATGCAGGGATCCCAAGGGTCAGCCCAGAGTACTTCCACTGGAAGACACCACCCACCCACCTCCTTCTTAGTTCTGAACCTAGAATTTACCCAGCTAAATTACAGTCACTTCAGCTAAATTACAATCAAGTTTGAAGGCAGCATAAAAACATTTTCAGACATAAAAGGTCCAGAAGGCTTTTCTTCCTATATCCTCTCCTAGGAAGATATTTGAAGATGTAATTCAGCTAAGTGAGGGGGCAAAAAAGAAAAACAACAGGAAGCCATGGAATCTAGAGACCAGCACTCCATCCTAGCAGAGCAAGGAAGGGAAGTCCCAGAATGATGTGGTATAGACCAGTTGAGCCAGATCAGAGCAGGAAAATGGAAGGAAGGCTCCGAGGAAGTGTTCCCAGGAATAGAAGAGAGAATTGTAGTAAATTTCATGATTAGTAGAGTTGAAAAGCCTGAGGATATGGTGAGGGCACACTGTCCTTTTATCAACAAGAAAAAGAAAGGCAATTGAAAACTCCCGGGAAAAGAAAAAGATGACAAGAAATATACAGTCCAAATATGAAGATGAAATTTCACCTGATTTTAAGCGATTGCTGGATGTACAAAAAGAGAATCTGTTTGGCCTTGATGCTGAGACAATTCTTTAAATGGCCCAAGGACTGGGTGTTTGGATTTAAAGAGAAGTATATCCATCTGGTAAATAATATTTTTTTTAGTTCTTAAATGGAGGCTGAGTAGGCAGGTTCTTTTCTTCTCTTCCAGTAGGCCATTACCAGAGAACACAGGCAGACCAACTAGGGGCTAGACAATGCCTTCTCCTCACCTTCAAATCCAAAGAGGAGGAAAAGGGGAGGATCACTGACTCAGGGAGGAAGAAGGAAAGTTACAAGTTAGGTATAGTATATTCAGAGAGGGGATGAGAGGCACCCAAGGGATACTAGGTTCCCCCCTTCTGCACATACAGGAGGGACAGCAGATCTGTCGCTGGATTTCAGCAGGTGTTTCAGCAGCAGCTGAGACCATGGGCCTGTCTAGTTACATCAGGCTGCCTTGGAGAGCAGGCAGGGGGCTCTCTCCTCATGATGCTGACTGGGAATAGCCACAGTTAATGGGTTTGAGCATCAGAGCTCCAGTCCACTCAAAGTAAGTGTTCACTGAAACCCAATGACCTTTCAAACACTGATTCAAATACTGATTAACGAGCATGTAGGAACCATCATAACACATCGCATCATCTTCCCCATAGTCTCCAGGCTCCAGCTAATTCAGGTAAGAGTCCAGTGACCTTCCCCAAAGAGGGGGGTTCCTCAGAACCCTACAATGCAAGAAATAAATTAATCCTGGCTTTACTTTTTTGTCTATTTGAGGAAAAATCTGAGAGGCGTCACGAACACTTTGTAGAGGGGAGATGTGGGTATGTGTGTGGGGTTGCTTTGTACCACATCAAAAAGGGGTGCCTCCACCAGGGCTCTGGGGGTGGAGAGGTGTAGTGACTGAGCATAACCCACTTCTAATGTGGGCCAAATTATCCTGCCCCAGAAAAGCAGGAAGCTTTGAAGAAGGTGCCCAGTCCCCAGGCAGGAGGCAGTGCCATCCAGAGGAGAGTGCTCTGGGCTGGAACTCGCCATCTCTGTTTCCTGGCTGTAGCTCCAGCCCTGCGGCTCTCTCCATCTGTAAAACAAGGTAGCTGGGTCAGACCAGTGGTGGCCAGCTATGAACTGGCCTTCAGAGACATTCCGTCTGGCCAGCATAGCAATCCAGCCACCCTTCCTAGGCACTCAAGAGGAATGAAATTATACGTTCACACAGAGGCACGCACAAGAATACTCACAGCTGCCTTGTTCGTCATAGTTCAAACTGGAAACAACCCAAATGTCCATCAACTAGCGAACGGGTATGTAAACAGTGGTTCATCTGTACAACAGAACGCCATTTGGCAACAGAAAGGAATGAAGCTGAATGAATATCAAAAACATTATGCAGAGTGGAAGAAGCCAGACCCCAAAGAGTACATACTGCATGATTCTGTCGACATGAAATTCTGGAACAGATACACTCCTCTATAGTGACATAAAGCAGATCGGTGGTTGCCTGGATCTGGAGGTGGGGGCAGAGTGAGTGAGGAGGGGCACTAGGGAACCTTCTGGAGGGATGAGAATGTTCTGTATTTTGATTGGAGTTAGTTACCTTTGTCAGAACTCATCAGGCTGTACACACTTAGGGACATTTTCTTTTTTTATTTTTACTTATTAAAAATAGAGACAGGGTCTTGCTATGTTGCTTAGGCTGGTTTCGAACTCCTGAGCTCAAGTGATCTGCCTGCTTCAGCCTCCCAAAGTGCTGGGATTACAGGCGGGAGCCACCCTACCCTGCCAGGGGATACTTTCTTGTATATAAATGTTGCCTTAGGCTGGGCATGGTGGCTCACGCCTACGATCCCAGCACTTTGGGAGGCTGAGGTGGGCGGATCACTTGAGGTCAGGAGTTCGAGACCAGCCTGGTCAACATGGTGAAACCCTGTTTCTACTAAAAATACAAAAATTAGCTGGGCATGTTGGCAGGCACCTGTAATCCCAGCTACTCAGGAGGCTGAGGCAGGAGAATCACTTGAATCCGGGAGGCAGAAGTTGCAATGAGCTGAGATCGTGCCACTGCACTCCAGTCTGGGCAGCAGAGGAAGACTCAATCTCAAAAAATTAAACATAAATAAATAAATAATTCCTTAATAAAGTTGATTTAAAAGAAAAAAACTTTAAAAATTGAGGCTGTATTTAAACATTAGGCGATTTCAGTTTTCTCTTAAAAGCAAAAGGTCTAGCGTCACTGTTTCACCTTCCTGGGTGACCACAGCTGTTAGAGACAAGTAGCAACTTCTCCACTTTGTTTTATTTATTTTGAGTCTTTCTCTGTCGCCCAGGCTGGAGTGCAGTGGCATGATCTCAGCTCACTGCAGCCTCCACCTCCCGGGTTCAAACGATTCTCCTGCCTCAGCCTCCTGAGTAGCTAGGATTACAGGTGTGTGCCATCACACCTGGCTAATTTTTGTGTTTTTAGTAGAGATGGGGTTTCACCGTGTTGGTCAGGCTGGTCTCGAACTCCTGACCTCAAGTGGTCCTCCTGCCTCAGCCTCCCAAAATGCTGTGATTACAGGTGTGAGCCAATGTGCCTGGCCAGCTTTTCCACTTTGATCTTTTGAAACACAAATCTGACTGTCTTAGCTCCCACGGTGTTGCCTCGCTGGAAGCCACCAGTCCCTGCTGGTTAACTCTTTCCTGGAGACACCAGCCTCCTTGGCGCTGGTTCTCAGATGTTACGTCCCCTCTGCAGATATGGCTGAGAAGGACACCACCTTTGAGGCGCCACCCCTGGGGACCCAGCCGGACTGCAACCCCACCCCAGAGAATGGCGAGGCGCCTGCCAGGTGACTCCCCCACCCCTTCTCTCTGTTTGGCTGCTGCAGGAGGGAGCTGTCCCTGCCATGCCCAGGGGATGCCTGGGAGGCAGCTGGGCTGGGGGTGGAGGTGGGGCCTGGGCTGCTCTTTTGTTAAATGTGTGCCCATCTCTTTGCTGACACCATTGGAAAGCCAGAAGGCCTTGAAACCCAGTCCCTGCCCTCAAAATGCCTGGCAGAGACTCGGGGCAGAGGATCTAGGGGCCCAGGCTCTGGTTGCGCAGTCTCCAGAGAAAGGGAATTATTCCTGAAGACCCACTTCCCTCTTCCCATCTTCATCACTCCTGCCTTGGGCTTCTCCCCGCAGCACCAGCCCCACTCAGAGCTTGCTGGTGGACTCCCAGGCCAGTAAGACGCTGCCCATCCCAACCAGCGCTCCCGTCGCTCTCTCCTCCACGGGGAAGCCCGTTCTGGATGCAGGTAATGGTCCCAGCCCACTCACCCCTACTCCCAGCAGGGGCTTCCTCCTGGGGAAGTGTGGATTGGGGGAGCCAGGAGGGAGCTTCTCCTTTGTGGGTATGGTCTGAGAAGGGGGATTAAGGTTGACCCCAGGTTTCTGGCTTCTTGAGTTGGTGCTGTGGCTCTGGCACTTGCTAGTGACTATTCTTTTCTTTTTGAAACAGTCTCACTCTGTTGCTCAGGCTGGAGGGCAGTGGCACCCATCTTGGCTCACTGCAACCTCCACCTCCCAGGTTCAAGAGATTCTCCTGTCTCAGCCTCCCGAGTAGCTGGGTTTACAGGCGCTTGCCACCACGCCTGGCTAAATTTTTTTTTAATTTTTAGTAGAGACGGGGTTTTGCCATGTTGTCCAGGTTGGTCTCAAACTCCTGACCTCAGGTGATCCACCTGCTTCAGCCTCCCAAAGTGCTAGGATTATAGGTGTGAACCACTGCGCCTGGCTGCTAGTGACTATTCTTTAATTCTTGTAGGCAGGAATTTTTTTCACAGCTTCATCCTCGTGGCTTATAATTGCTACTCAGAAAATAGGTCTTTGTTGATTGATTTCATGACTTTGACTAGTTGTTCGAGCCTTTGAGCCTCAGTTGTCTCATCTATACAATGGTAATGGCAGAGACCGTGCAGGGTTATAAGCAGTGTAGCATTGTAGACGGCCTCTGTCAGAGTTAGCTCTTAGGCTGGACGCGGTGGCTCACGCCTGTAATCCCAGCACTTTGGGAGGCCAAGGTGGGTGGATCACGAGGTCAGGAGTTTGAGACCAGCCTGGCCAACACGATGAAACCACATCTCTACTAAAAATACAAAAATTAGCCAGGCGTGGTGGCGCGCGCCTGTAATCCCAGCTACTCAGGAGGCTGAGGCAGGAGAATCGCTTGAACCCGGGAGGCGGAGGTTGCAAGGTTGCAGTGAGCCGAGATTGCACCGCTGCACTCCAGCCTGAGCAGCAGAATGAGAATCAGTCTCAAACAAAACAAAACAAAACAAAACAAAACAAAACAAAACAAAACAAAACAAACAAAACCCCCAAGAGTTAGCTCTTAGGGAAAGATGCCAGGTTACTCATTTTAGGACTTGCAGTTCTAGTGGCTGACACGAGGTGGCAGTAGTGCTCCGGCCAGAGTTTCTGAAAGTGCGGTCCCGTCTGGCAGCATTGGCACCGGCTGGGAACTTGTTAGGAAAGCAAATTATGGGCCCCATCCCAGACCTAGAGAATCAGAAACTGCACTTTAACAAGATCTCCAGGGCACTCATGTGCACATTAACGTTTGAGAAGCACTTAACTGGCATATACTACTTTTTAAACATCTAAACATGGACTTCAATAAAGTGCAATCACTAGCTCTATGATCTCTGTAAGTGACAAAAGGGAAAAACGAAGCGAGTTTAGTACCGAGGTGTGAAGAAGTAGATCTAGATAGGGGTTAAGAGCGTGGCCCTGCAGTCCCCCCGGCCTGGCCTGGCCTGGGCTGGGGCTCTGCCACTTACTCTCAGGGTGACCTTGGGCAACTTAACGAACTTTCGTGAGCCTCAGCTCCCCTCATTTTTAAACTGAAGGTAGTGACGGTGCCTAGGGCATAGGGTTGGGGATCATTCATTCAGGGAACGCTTGTGGGGTGTGTTTATGTGCAGTGGGGACTCCATGCCTGCCCTCATCAAGCAGGTCTAGAGGGTTGGCCGGGAGGGGACTGGGTTCAACCTCTTCCTTCCCCTCACTGCTTGGCCCTCCCCACCCTGACTCCGGCCACACCAGCAGTGCTGCCAGATGCCGGTCACACCGGGCCCTCGTCCACAGTCCCCAAATTTTGGTCTATTGGACCTCAATTCCTTTGTTCTGGCTCCTAGACGCCTCAATTTCTCACTCTCTAGACACAGTTTGCCCTTCTCTCAGCCTTCAATAGTTGATCAGCTTCCTGGAGCCAGGCGAGGGAGGGCTGGATGAGATAAGAGCCTTGGCTTGGAAAGGACCTGTTGTTGTTAGCCATGATGGAAGCTGTGTCCCAGGAGAAGGAGGAAGTCGTCTGGGGCTGGGGCTGTCTTGTGTGGTTGCAGCAAGGCAAAGAGTGTGGGGCGTCTCTGTGTTCCAGGGCCAGTGCTCTTCTGGGTGATCCTGGTGTTGGTTGTGGTGGTCGGCTCCAGCGCCTTCCTCCTGTGCCACCGGAGGGCCTGCAGGAAGCGAATTCGGCAGAGTAAGTGGCTGTGTCCTTGGGGCCTTGGGGAGGACAGGTTGCTCTCTGCCAGCCTGGCCTGGGTTCTTTCCCTGCCTGCTCCTGCTCTCTGAGGCCGCCACCCCCAGCCTTCCTCCTGGTGTCGTTTCAGAGCTCCACCTGTGCTACCCGGTCCAGACCTCCCAGCCCAAGCTAGAGCTTGTGGGTGAGTGTCCAGCCGTCCAAAGGGGCTGCCCGAGCCAGAGGAACACAGGGCAGCTCTGGGCCCGGGGCGTGGGCTCCAGAGACTGAACTTCTACCCCAGCCTCGAAGCTCCCTGTCTGTGGCTCCTGTCGCATTCTGTACATCTGTAGGGATGCAATGTGGGTGAAAACTCATGCGTGTGGAGAATGCAATGAGGTGAAGACTGTACTGGGTGTGACGACTGTGTGGCTTGCCCAGAGCAGCACCTGGATGGATGCTGGCATGAACGTTTAAAAGTCTATCTTGTCTGTCACTTTTTCCTCCAGTACCCCCAGGGGGCATTCCTGCCAGCCTTGCCTTCCTCTCTACATTCTACCCTCCCTTTCTCCCTCTCCCTCCTTCTCTTTCTCTTTCCCCTCTCTCCCCCTCTTCTACCACCTGGCAAGTCAGCCCAGGGGCAGGAGGGGAAAGGAGCACATGGGGCAAGAGGGACCCTGGTTCTGCCACTTACAAGCTGTGTGACCCTGGGTGAGTTACTGAATTGTCCTGTGTCTCAGTTTCCTCATCCGGAAAATGCAGATGGTAGAATCTACTTCAGAGGCTTGGCCTGTGGATTCGTCGAGGTCGGGCTGTTAAGCGCATCGTGGAGTACCTGCCTGCAATCGGTGGCTGCTGCCTATTGACAGGCTGGCCTGTGCCTGGGGCTTTTTCCTTCCTGGAAGCTTCAGGCCTTCCTGAGTCCTGGGTGCTTCTGACCCCCTCCCTGGTCCCTGCACTCTGATCCCTGCCCAGCCTCTGGGCCAGCTCTTCCAGGCAGCCCTTGGGAGCTGGAACCCTCCTCACCTGTCCAGGCAGGGTCGTCTATACAGCGTGTGTCTTCTAGCTCTCACCTGGGGCAGGGGGCTCCCAGCTATCTTGTGCCAAGCACCTTCTCTCTCCTGGGCAGCCCCTTCAAGGCAGGCCAGGGTCTTCCTCAGCACTGCATGGCATGGATTGGGTGCCTGCTCTGTGCTGGGCTCTGATGGGGGAATCGTCTGAGCCTTCGTTTCTGATTTGCAAGGTGGGCTCCCATACAGGCTTCCTGTACTCCCCCAGTGATGACCTTTGTTCTGCAAGGAGGAGGCAGGGCTCAGCAAGGTGGACGGCTGGCCCAGGGCCACACAGCCTGGCAGTGGCACAGCCAGCCTCAGGCACTGGTCCTAGGGGTTTTGGTTTGTAAAGGGCTCAGCCCTGTCCCCTCTTCCTTCCCCCTGCCAGCTCTGTCCACCATCGCAATGCCTACCCAAGAGCCACGTGCTCAGCCTAAGGCCAGGCCCTGGCCCGTCCCCTGATCTCCCCAGGACCCTTGCAGAGGCCCTTGCATAGGCTGACTGTTGACTTGGGCACAAAAACACAGTCCACTGAGGCATGTTTTGAATTTGACGAGTTTCACAAGCAAGCACTGTGGTCCCTGTGCAAGGGGGGTTTTTGTGTTTTGATAGTTTCAAGCCTGTTTCCATGACCTGTCAGGCTGAGTGTCTCATTGAAACCGGCGTTTGCTTTCTTGACATTTTTCTAGTATTAGAATTTCCATTGCCGTCAGTTTATTTTTTTTCTTCAAACCTCTGTGAGAGCAGTTTTGTTACAGAAGAAAAAAAGAAAGAAAGAAAGAAAACACCTTCCCCTAAGAAGCCAGGTCTACAAAGAACTGAGCCCTGAGACTCAATGGTGGACATCTTATCTCAGGTCGTTTTTGACCCTCTAGCTTCTGGTGGGACCTTGGGGTCTGGGTTCCGAGGCTCAAGATGGACAGAAAGTGAAGCCAAGACAGGCAAGCTCACAGAGCACCGGGTGAGAATGGACCGAGCTGGCCGGATGCCCCTTTCCCTCCTGAGCCGTGGGTGGTGAAGGAGGGAAGGAGCACTGGTTTATTGGCACTGGTTTATTGGTTCGTTCATTCATCTATTCACATGGTCTTCACGGAGCACTTCCTCCTTGCAGGCTCTGTGCCGGGCCCAGAAGCTGTTCTAGCTCCCTCCAAGCTTTTAGACTAATTCCGACTGCCCGCAGAGGCCAAAGGCAGACGGGAGGGGAGTGTGCGCCCCTTGGCCTCCCACATCCCAGACCTGGGGCAGAGGGTGCTCTTGGTTCCTTTGAGCAGTGAGCACATCAGGGATCTGTGGTCCGTGCAGGTGCGATGAGAGGCCCACCAACCAGCCCTCGAGTGGATCGACCTTCCCGTGTGTGTCCTCGGTGACAGGCATTTGCAAAGCACACACGTGATCTCATCCACTCCTCCGGTGGCCTGTGAGGTACTTACTGTTATCCCCGTTGCACAGATTAGCAGCCTAAGGCACAGGATGGTGAAGTAATTCGTTTAAGGCCACGTGCTGGGTGAGCCGTAGGACGGGGATTTTATCGTGGTTGTTGAGATGTTTGTAAAAAGATTTTTCACCCTTGGCACCATTGACATTTGGGAATGGATGGTTCTTTGCTGTGGAGCGCTATCCTATAGGACGTTGTACAGCCCCTCTAGATGCCAGTAACCTTCCCTACTTGGGACAACCAAAAATGTCTCTAGACATTGCCATGTGGCCCCTGGGGAAAACCTCCTGGTTGAGAACCACTGGTCTAAAATTCTTTTTTTTTTTTTTTTTTTGAGACAGAGTCTCGCTCTGTCACCCAGGCTGGAGTGCACTGGTGCCATCTGGGTTCACTGCAACCTCCGCCTCACGGGTTCAAGTGATTCTCCTGCCTCAGCCTCCTGAGTAGCTGGGATTACAGGCTCCTGCCACCATGCCTGGCTAATTTTGGTATTTTTAGTAGAGACGGGGTTTCACCGTGTTGGCCAGGCTGGTCTCAAACTCCTGACCTCATGATCCGCCTGCCTCGGCCTCCCAAAGTGCTGGGTTTGCAGGCATGAGCCACCATGCCTGGCCTTAAAATTCTTTTAATCCTTCATTTTTATGAGCACTTGAGTCATTTTCTATTATTCCAGGGAGATTTAGGTTGAAAGAAATTCTTTTTTTGTTTTGAAACAGTTTCAAACTTATAGAAATGGTATAAGTATGAAGAATTCATTTTGACCTGAACCATTTGAGAGTAACTGACTGACTGGATGTCTCTCACCCCGAAAACTTCAGTGTGTGTTTCAGACAGACAAGGGTGTATTTTACACGATGTGGTAAGGATCGTCAGAATTGGAATTCACACTGATACATGACCCACAATGAATTCTCAGGCCCTGTTGAAGTTTCTTTATTTGTCCCAATAATGTCCTTTATAGCAGAGGACTCCAGCTCAGGGCCACGTGTTACATTTGCTTGTCTGGTTTCTCGAGTCTCCTTCTGTCCGGATCCGTTCCCCAGGCGTTTCTTTCACTTACTGGGAAGAGCGCAGGCTGGTGATTTCATGGATGCTCCTTGCTTTGGGTTTGTCTGGTGTTTTCTCCCGAGTGGATTCAGGTCATGCATCTTGGGCTGGAAGGTCCCAGGAATGATGCTGGCCTCTTCTCTCTCAGGGCGTCCTGCCAGGTTTCGATGTCTCCCTTTCCTGGTGCTGTGTACTTTGAGCGCTCGACGGAGGTGATGTCCTGCCGGGCCTCTCCACTGTGACGTCTCCATTTGCTCCTCGGTCATTACTAAGTCTTTAGGGGCGTTACTTGAGACTATGTCAATAGCCCATTCTTCAGCAGACCTTCATTTTCTCTATTTATTTGTTTATTTTTTTGAGACAGGGTCTGGCTCTGTCACCCAGGCTGGAGTGCAGTAGTGTGATCTCGGCTTACTGCAACCCCCGCCTCCTGGGTTCAAGCAATTCTCCTGCTTCAGCCTCCCAAGTGGCTGGGATTACAGGCGTGTGCCACACAATGCCTGGCTCATTTTTTGTATTTTCAGTAGAGACAGAGTTTCACCATGTTGGCCAGGCTGGTCTCGAACTCCTGGCCTCAAGTGGTCCTCCCGCCTCGGCCTCCCAAAGTTCAGGGATGACAGGCGTGAGCTGCCACCGCGCCCAGCCCAGAACTTAATTTTCTTCACTTACATATTTATATCTGTATGGATTCATGGGGCCCTGTTCTGTTCAATGGGTTGTAATCTCTTACCATCATTTTTTATTTTGGTGCTCAAATGGTCCCAGATGAGGTCAGGGAGAGCCCCTTTAAGCTGGCTCTTGTGTGCTTTGGTGTATCCTCATCCTGTGCTTTGAGCACGTCCCTTATTCTGAGATGTTCCCAGCTTAACTTGTGTGCTCCTGCCCCGGCCCTGGAATCAGCTGCCTCTCCAAGGAGCCCGGGGTTTGCATCTCGGGGTACCTGTTGCCAAAGCCTAGCTGAACCTCTGTGCCAAATTCCCCCCTTGGGCCTGTTCTGCTTCCCACAGCACTGGGGAATCACAGGCCAGAGAGGGGAGGGGACTAAAAGTGGAGAATAACAGGGATGGAAGGGACCGAGAGCTTTACATCGCATGTGAGAACGCACGTGCTCCGTGAGCGTGGGCTTCAGAGCAGCCTGTGACACCGTGCACTTGTGCAAGGGGGCCTGCTGCTGCCCAGCATGGTCCTGGACTTGTGTCCCTGGGGGTACCAGACAGGCTTACAAGAAGACAGTGGTTATTCCAAAAGGCAAGGAAACCAACAAATAAGACTAGCAGATAGAATCAACATTTTTAGGGGAAGAGCAGTTATGAAATCTGACCTCTGTACTTGGCAAGATTTGTTCTGGGTCTTTATCAAAATCCTCATGGGTTGTAACACGGCTCTTGTCAATGTCAGAGCCTTCCAGATTCCGCCTTTTTACCTCTGTGATTTTACACTTGTTTGGGAGAGTCGGTATTGAACTCTGACTTTCCATTCAGTGTGACGGAGTGCAGAGCCATGTTACTTACCATCCTGGGCTTTTCCTGAACCTGCTGTGTGCTCAACAGCATCCTGGACACCTTCTTTTTAAAATAGTTTAATTTTTAAAAATTCTAAGTAGGCCAGGTGTAGTGGCTCACACCTGTAATCCCAGCACTTTGGGAGGCCAAGGTGGGTGGATCACCTGAGGTCGAGAGTTCAAGACCAGCCTGGCCAACAAGACAAAACCCCATCTCTACTAAAAATAAAAAAATTAGCCAGGCATGGTGGCACACACCTGTAATCCCAGCTACTCGGGAGGCTGAGGCAGGAGAATTTCTTGAACCTGGGAGGTGGAGGTTGCAGTGAGCTGAGATTGCACCACTGCACTCCAGGCTGAGCAACAGAGCGAGCCTCCGTCTCAAAACAAACAAACAAACAAACAAAAAAACATTCTAAGTGGCCTTCATTTTTAAGTTTTTTGTTTTTTGTTTTTTGTTTTGGAGACAGGGTGTCACTCTGGAGTGCCATGGTACAATCATGGCTCACTGCAGCCTTGACCTCCTGGGTTCAAGTGATCCCTCAGCCTCCCCAGTAGCTGGGACTACAGATACACACCACCACGCCCAGCTAACTTTTCTATTTTTTGTAGAGACCAGGTCTCCCTTTGTTGTGCAGGCTGGTCTCTAACTCCTGAGCTCAAGTGATCTGCCCACCTCGGCCTCCCAAAGTGCTTGGATTATAGGCGAGAGCCACTGTGCCCAGCTAGTCCTCATTTTTTTTTTGAGGCAGAGTCTCGCTCTGTTGCCCAGGTTGGAGTGCAATGGCGCAATCTCAGCTCACTGCAACCTCTGCTTCCCGGGTTCCAGCAATTCTCCTGCCTCAGCCTCCCGAGTAGCTGGGATTATAGGCGCGCGCCACCATGCCCAGCTAATTTTTGTATTTTTAGTAGAGATGGGGTTTCACCAGGTTGGCCAGGCTGGTCTGGAACTCCTGGCATCGTGATTTGCCCACCTCAGCCTCCCAAAATACTGGGATTACAGGCATGAGCCACCACGCCCAGTCTCATTTTTAAAAATAGTTTTAGATGTACAGAAAATTGGAGAAGACAGCACAGGAGTTCCCACATGCCCCACACCCAGTTTCCTCTGTGATTAGCATCTTAAGCCAGCATCGTTCATTTGTCAAAATATGTGAACCATTATTGACACAGGATTACAAACGAAAGCCCACACTGTGTTCAGGGTTCCCTTGCATTGCCTAAGGTTCCAGGATCCCATCCAGGAGCCACGTCACATTCAGTCATCATGTCGCCTTAGGCTACTCTGGCCTGTGGCCGTTTCTCAGATCTTGTTTCTCAAGACCAGTTTCCCTGATGGCCTTGGCAGTTTTTGAGTATTGATCAGGTGTTTTGCGGGACGCCTGTCTCCTGGGATCTGTCTGATGTCTTCCCCATGATTAGACTGGAGTTATGCATTGGGGGAAGAAGACCACAGAGGTGAAACGTCATGCTCATCACATCAAATCTTGGCTGGGCGCAGTAGCTCATGCCTGTAATCCCAGCACTTTGGGAGGCCAAGCCTGGCAGATCACCTGAGGTCAGGAGTTTGAGACCAGCCTGGCCAACATGGTGAAACCCTGTCTCTACCGAAAATACAAAAATTAGCCGGGTGTCATGACACGCACCTGTAGTCCCAGCTACTTGGGAGGCTGAGGCAGGAGGATCGCTTAAACCCCAGAGGCAGAGGTTGCATTGAGCTGAGAACGTGCCACTACACTCCAGCCTCGGTGACAGAGCGAGACTCCATCTCAAAAAAAAAAAAAAAAAAAAAAAAATCAACCTGATTTACCACTGGGCACCTTCACTTTTGATATCTCTTTTAATCTTCTCAACAAGCCCCAAAGTTGATGTGATTCATCCCATTTTCCAGCTGGGAGGACAGAGGCTCGGAGAAGGGAAGTAATATTGTGCTGAGTTTCACCGCCAAGGAGGCCCCTGCTCCAGGGTGGCTAAGCGGCCTCATTGTTTTTGACATTTGGCTGGTTTTCAATTTGAGGGTTATTATAAACCCGCTGCTGTGCTCGGCCTTTTTGTTTTCTTTCGGGTTATTTCCTGAGGGTGTGTTCCCTCAAGAGGGATGACTGGGTAAAGAGTGTGAGGTTTTTGTTGCCAGATGGCTCTTTAGAAAAATGGAACCAGCCTGCAGGGTATGGGCAGCTCTGCGATCCCGTTCACCCACTTCCCCTTCAAGGCCGAGTTGTGTCATTTTTATTTATTTTGTTTTGTTACTTTGTCACACTTTTTTTTTTTTATTCTGTTGGCCACCCCCAGTGACTTGGTACCAAAGAACAGTTGGCTGCTTGTAAAACTCAAAATCACTCTGGAGGGACCATGATTTAGTTTCACTGACGTCATTGAAAAGAATGTGCCTCGGCCGGGTGCCGTGGCTCACGCCTGTAATCCCAGCACTTTGGGAGGCCGAGGCGGGTGGATCACGAGGTCAAGAGATCGAGACCAGCCTGGCCAACATGGTGAAACC
Organism: Homo sapiens; assembly: GCF_000001405.40. Taxonomy (NCBI): domain Eukaryota; kingdom Metazoa; phylum Chordata; class Mammalia; order Primates; family Hominidae; genus Homo; species Homo sapiens. The sequence continues at coordinate 12,133,567 of NC_000001.11, forward strand.
CCGTCTCTACTAAAAATACAAAAATTAGCTGAGCATGGTGGTGCGTGCCTGTAATCCCAGCTACTCGGGAGGCTGAGGCAGGAGAATCGCTTGAACCCAGGAGGCGGAGGTTGCAGTGAGCCGAGATCGCGCTGCTGCACTTCACCCTGGCGACAGAGTTAGACTCCATCTCAAAAAAAAAAAAAAAAAAAAAAAATTACCCCTGGCCGGGCAAGGTGGCTCATGCCTGTAATCCCAGCACTTCGAGAGGCCGAGGCGGGCAGATCACCTGAGGTCAGGAGTTGGAGACCAACCTGGCCAACATGGTGAAACCTTGTTTCTACTAAAAATACAAAAATTAGCCGGGCGTGGTGGCACATGTCGGTAATCCCAGCTACTTGTGAGAATTGCTTAAACCTGTGAGGCAGAGGTTGCAGTGAGCCAAGATCGTGCCACTGCACTCCAGCCTGGGTGACAGAGTGAGACTCTGTCTCAAAAAAAGAAAAAATTACCCCTAAGAGTGTTTCCCAAACTCACCTAGTGTCCACACAGCGTGTTCAAATGGTCAGTCTTGCGTATACTTTATCCTACTTGTTGACTGAGCACTGGTGAGCATATCTGTGAGGACTCAGGGCTGGTGGCTCTCCAGAGCTGCTGAAGTCAGAGATGTGTGCAGGAGGCGGCGTGGCTGACATACGGGCATCTTGGTGGCAGATTTGTCTAGCCAGGGATGTGTGCCTGACAACAGCATATTCCAGATCTCCGTAGGTAGCGTTCTCAGGAGTGGTTAAAAGCTGGGCATCCCTGGAGGATGGTCTGCTCTGGGAACTGACTTGCTCCAGGATGAGTTAGATGCCCGGATGCCCTCTCACCTTTCTCAGATGGCCAGTGAGCCAAGGTTAAATGTTAAATGTCAATATGTGCTTGGGCGTGACCTGGCCCCTGTTTAATATGGGAGAACAATGGGAGTGGAGGGTAGAGGTTTGAGATGAGAAGATAGAGGTTGTGCGTTGAGAATCATTGTATCAGCACCTCCTGAGCCTACAAAAGGATGGGATTGAAGGAAATGAGATGGCCCGAGAGCAGTTGTCCTCCTCGAAGGCTGCCACCTGGGTGCTTTCAGGCACAAGAAAGAGAAAATCGAAGTCCAGCTGGAGTCAGAAGGGCTCCACAGCAGACTGGCTTCGGGCGTGTCCCAGGCAGGGTCCAGGTGGCATCTGCAGGATCCATCATCCTGTCTCCATGACCTGCCTTGAGGTCCTCCATGTGGGTTTTGCCTGGTATTCCAGAGAATTCGGGGCTCTCCACACCCTGGAGACAGTAAGGTGGGCGCAGCAGCCACAGACGAGCCTCTGACCCAGTGGAAGCCTCCTGGGCTCTGGTTGGGCCTGTGCTTCTCGTGAACCAATCCTTGCATGTGCGCGGGGGTGGGGGTTGGGAGAGTGGTTCAGTGTGTTCATTGGTTTAGTCATTAGGAATGAGAGTGGCAGCCAGGTGTGGTGGCTCACGCCTGTAATCCCAGCACTTTGCAAGGCCAAGGCGGGCAGGTCAGGAGGTCAGGAGTTTGAGACCGGCCTGGCCAACGTGGTGAAACCCCGTCTCTACTGAAAATACAAAAAAATTAGCTGGGGTTGGTGGCACGAGCCTATAATCCCAGCTATTCGGGAGGCTGAGGCATGAGAATCACTTGAACCCAGGAGGCGGAGGTTACATTGAGCCGAGATCATGCCACTGCACTCTAGCCTGGGTGACAGAGTGAGACTCCATCTCAAAAAAAAAAAAAAAAAAGGAATGAGAGTGGCCAGGGGATAGAGGTGGTCCCCTGTCCTCCATCTGCCACTGGAGAAGTGAGCCTCCTTGCCTTGAGCTGGGGTGGGCACTGACTCTGAAACCCATCGAGGGCTCTCCAGACTGAGGACCTGACCCCTGGGCTGAGTTCAGCACCACCTGTGATCCAGGAGGACCATTTGCCAATAGTTGGGGCGGGTGGGGCCGGGGGCTGCCAGACTCCTTGGTGAAGTTGCTGCTCTTGCTTTTTGCAGATTCCAGACCCAGGAGGAGCTCAACGGTAAGTACCCCTCCCTTGCCCCCACCTCAGCTTCGTGCCCCTAAATCTGACTCCTTCCCTAACAGATCTGAAGTTTTGAGAGCTGCTGGGGGAAGGGAGAGGGAGGGGACGGACTGGCCATTCCCCTCCCACAGTGCCCAGGGTGCAGGCCCGTCCTGCAAGTTCAGGCTGAGTCTGACCCACCACAGGGACCTCTGTGCACAGAGGCCTCGCCTGGGGCCTCAGCCAGGCCTTGGCTAAGGATGGAGAGCCCCACCCTCATAGCAGCCTCCAGCTCCTGGCTCAGCCTGCCGGGAATTTCCAGAAGGGCCTGCACACAGTGGATTTGGTTTGGGCCACTTTTGGGTACCAGGTCTGGTCAGGAGGAAGACTGTGTTCATTTTCCCCTTTTCTTTACTCTTCCATGAATCTCATCCTCCAAGCTGGATGACAGAGCAGGTGGCTATGGTCCATTCCTTTTTTTTTTTTTCCCCATCTGTCAGTTCTTCCATTACTTTCTTTTAATTCAAGCATTCATACATTAAGAAGGGTTTCTATCCTTTCATTTTTCAATATAATATACACAACCATAATGCTAGTTCAGTTTCAAATTATGGGGGATCACATTCGAATATGCTTGGATGTGACAAGTGGCTGTTACAATACTGAGAAATTTCATGAAAGAGGTATTCAACAATTTGTAAGGTAATCAAATATGTTTTTGCTGCATAGGCCAATGCATTAATAGTAACTTGTTTTAAAATGCAGTCTTTTGGCCGGATATGATGGCTCACACTTAAAATCCCAGCATTTTGGGAGGCTGAGGCAGGCGGATCACCTGAGGTCAGGAGTTCGAGACCAGCCTTGCCAACATAGTGAAACCCCGTCTCTACTAAAACTACAAAAAGTATCCAGGTGTAGTGGCACACGCCTGTAGTCCCAGCTACTCAGGAGGCTGAGGCAGGAGAATCGCTTGAGCCTGGGGGACAGAGGTTGCAGGGAGCCGAGATTGCACCACTGCTCTCCCAGCCCGGGTAACAGAGTGAGACTCCATCTGAAAAAAAAAAAAAAAAAAGGCAGTCTTTTAGCCTTCATATTATTATGAAAGAGTATTCAAGAGTATGTATTAAGGTTGGTGCCATTTGCCATTAAAAGTAATGGCAAACCTGGTTTAACCCTTCTGATAGGTAGTTGTGGATGTTGGGGTTGAGAACAGAATAATCTTTGTCTGGAGTGACACCACACTCTAGAATTTCCACTTTGAAAAATACTCAGTTCTTTTTTTTTTTTTTTTTTTTTTTTTAATTTTTTTAGTATTTATTGATCATTCTTGGGTGTTTCTCAGAGAGGGGGATTTGGCAGGGTCATAGGACAATAGTGGAGGGAAGGTCAGCAGATAAACATGTGAACAAAGGTCTCTGGTTTTCCTAGGCAGAGGGCCCTGCCGCCTTCCGCAGTGTTTGTGTCCCTGGGTACTTGAGATTAGGGAGTGGTGATGACTCTTAGCGAGTGAAGAATACTCAGTTCTAAGCTGTGGTTCCTGGTAGAACAAACTTTATTTTTCTAGCTCAGCAGTGATCTGGAAGCTGAGGAATCTCAGCGCCTTTTAAAAGTTATTATGTGGTTTTGTTTTAAAAAGCTCCTGTTTTGGGAAAGTAGAATTTATGGGTATAACATATGTTCATTATTTGTACATAAAATAAAACCATTTAAAAAGTAAAAAATAATAATAATAATAATGGCAAAGACGTGATTACTTTTGCACCAATCTAAAAGATACGCCCTCTGTGCCTTGAGAATCATTGCGTCAGCACGGGCATCCCTGCCTCCTCTGAATTACTCACACTCACTCCATTTTGAAGGCATCAGGACATTTCATGAGGCCACTTCTTTGCCCTTACCTGTAAAAATCAAAAACTAAACTGACACTTTCCTCATGACATAGCTGTTTTTTTGTTTTTTTTTGTTTTTTTTTTGTTTTTTTTTTAGCATTTAGAAAATATTTATTAATAATATACATGAATTTAGATTATATAGTATAGAGGTCACCGGGCTTGTCACTTGAACTAACAGTAGTCTGTTTTTAGAATGCTTGAGTGTGATCATAAAAGACTACTTTCCAGGATGTCGGGGCTGGGGAGCTGGAGGGGCTGCTCCAGGAGGTGGGGGACCTGGAGCTGGTACTTACAGACTTGGGTGCTTATGAGTGTGGGTTATGGACCAGATGCCAGGGTTCAAATCCTAGCTCAGATACTTATTGATGGTATAACCCTGGGCCAATTACTCGACTCCTCTGTGCCTCAGTTTCCTCATCTGTAAAATGGGGAGTGGGCTGTTACCCACCTCATACAGTGGTTGTGAGGATTAACATATGTCAAGGACTTTAGGACAGGGCCAACGGACGTGGCGAGCACCCTGTGAGTCGCTGACTGTTACCCCTACTATTTAGTACAAATTAAAAGCAACAGACTTCACCCAGAAAGCTGAGAAGCCCGGGGCAGCTCATGGCAGCTTTTAAAGCAGAAAGGGGGACTCACTGGGGTCTGTAGAGATGAAAAAAAAAAGGGGCCTCCCAGTTCAGAGACTGGTGGGGAGGTTGGGGGTACCCTGCAGCAGCACCCATTCCCGTCCCACAGCAGCTGAGGAGTGGTGCGTCGGTGACAGAACCCGTCGCGGAAGAGCGAGGGTTAATGAGCCAGCCACTGATGGAGACCTGCCACAGCGTGGGGGCAGCCTACCTGGAGAGCCTGCCGCTGCAGGATGCCAGCCCGGCCGGGGGCCCCTCGTCCCCCAGGGACCTTCCTGAGCCCCGGGTGTCCACGGAGCACACCAATAACAAGATTGGTGAGTCAGCCTGTTTTGGGAGGTCCCCTGCAGCCCAGGGGCAGATGGGAGATGAATACGGGGCCCTGGGCCCTGGAAGGGACCTGGAGACCCTGGAGTTGAAAGGCCCAGGAAAGGAGAGGCATAGATTCTTCACCCCAATTGAAGTTTCTGTAAGTAGGGACAGCGAGGGTACTTACCTCGTAGGCCATTGTGCGGATTCATGAGCCAGTGTGCATGAGATGCCTGCTGTTACTCATAAAAAACGAACACCACCCCAGCCCCCAACACCGAGCACCCGAGGGGACAGGAGGAAGACGTGCCAGTGGTCACAGGACCTGCCACTTGTCTGGCGCATTCCGGGCACTGTGTAGGTGCCATCTCTTCATCTCTGATGGTCTCACCACCTTCTTTGGATGGTGTCTTTCTCCCCATTTTACAGTTGGGGAGACCGTGGCTCAGAGGGTGAAGTGATTTTCCCCATTGCATGGCTACTAAGTGGCACAGCTGGAACTCGTCCCGCATCTGCTGGGCCTTGAAGCCCGTGGTTTGTCCACGTTACCACCCACCCTCTGCAGAAGCAGGAGGACAGATGGGGCCCAGATGTTCAGAGCTTCCCAACGGCAGCTGCTGCCAGCCTGGACAGACATTGGCTTTGGCCTCCTGTGGGCCTCCCTGCCTCCTCTCTTGCTTCTCATCACCTTGGTACGGCATTTTCCCCAAAATGTATACCTGACCCTATTGCACTCCTGCCGAGAAGCCTCCAGCAGCTTCCCATTCCCTATGGGATGAATTCCAGCATTCTTATTCCAGCACTCAAGGCTGACAGCAAGTTGTAGCTCCCCGACCAGACTCACCTACCTTCTGACCCCACAGTCTGTCCCTCCCCCTCATGGCAGTCTCCCAAATTTACAGACCCCTCTGTCACTTCTGAGCTTCTCAATGGGAGCTACCCCCTCGCCTGAAATAGCCAACTCCACTGCCTTGAATCCAGTTAATTCTGGATATCCTGGGGACCCTGCTTATTTGCCCCTTCCTCCAGGAAGCCTTCTGTGCCCTCTCCACCATGCTATGCTCCCTAAGAACCCAGGCCTCCCCTACCCGGTGTCCTAGCACCCAGTGGTGTGACTGCGTGTTTATAGCCTTCCTCCACCTCCACCTGGCTTTGTGCTCCCTGTGGGCAGGGCCTTGGTGGACCCCACCTCTGTCGCTTCTGGAAGGGTAACTGGCACTGGGATAATACTGAAGAGTCATTTGTAATTGTCCTGTGCATTTCTATGGCAGACAGTGGTGGCCAGAACTCTTCAGGGCAGTCATCTTCTCTTTTTATTTTTTCAGCCTCCTGAGTAGCTGGGATTATGGGCGAGTGTCATCATGCCTGGCTAATTTTTTGTATTTTTAGTAGAGATGGGGTTTCACTCTGTTGGCCAGGCTGGTCTGGAACTCCTGGCCTCAAGGTGATCTGCCTGCCTTGGCCTCCCAAAGTACTGGGATTATAGGCATGAGCCACCATGCCCAGCCTGGGCAGTCTTTTGTAACAAACTGAAGCTTTTGAAATGGTAGCTTTTAGTAAGTTTTATTTGAAAAGTATGTATTTTGGGAAATACCATCAAAGGCTTCTTCAGAATTCCTAAGAAGTCCTAACTGGAACTTCTGAGTCCACACTGAGTACAGTGCCTGGAATCCCAGGGGTGGGGTTCAGAGGGTGTTTGATGGGGAGGAGAAGGAAGTACCAGGCTCCCAGGCAGCTGGCTCAGGTGTGGGCTGCCCTCCCCTGGCATGGCCTGCAGGCCTTGCTGGTGAGTGGATCGGGGGCCACCTCCGCCATGGTGGAAAGGGAAGGCCTTGGAGGTTCTCTTGGGCACCCAAGACACAGGCAACCCCCTTGTCCTCCTAATGCCAGCCCAGGGTAGCGTTCCCCCTTCCCATCCAGTTCCCAAGAGGGGTCACACTGGGGTCTGTACATCGTCCCTCTTCCCCTGGGAACCAGGCAAGGGAAGAACCCCTTTCCCCCCAACTTCCTCACCTGCCCTCCCCACATAGCCAAGATGAATTCCCTGGACTCTGGAGCTCTGGGGAGGGGGCAGGAAATCCATGCAGCCCTTGGAAGCCACCCCCACAGCCTGGGGAGTAGGCAGCCTGTGATGGGGGCAGAGCCAGAGCGGGGCAGACCCCTCATGGCCGGCTCTGAAGTTTCCAGACCCCTCTTTCACTTCCGAGCTCAGTGGGAGCTGCTTCCTCACCCAGAGCAGCCAATTCCACCGCTTTGAATCCAGTTAATTCCAGATTTCCTGGGGACTCCTGCCCATTTCCCTGAGGAATGTGAGGGGACCAGCCTGTCCCCAGCTGTGGCTCCTTCTCCCTAATCCAGCACCCCCACCCTCACTTCCCTCCCACCTGACCCCACCCGCCTCTCATCTTCTCTGCCCATCCCCCTCTGGGCCTTCTCTCCCCTCCTGGGGTCTCCTCTCTCACCACCCCCGGCCCCCATCTTTTGCCCAGCCCTCTATAGGGCTCCTAGGGCTGGGAGCCCACAAGCCTGATGGAGGTGTGGGGAGTGCTGAGGCCCTGCTCTGTTTTGGGGTCTGTGGGGGCGCCCAGCCCATAGCCTGTCCCGCACTCTGGGCCTTCTCCTCTTGCTGCCGTTTGGCGCACTTCTCTCTTTCCTGGGGGTGTTCAAAACCAGAATAGAAGAACCAGCGTCATGCAATAGGGTTGAGGGTGTGGGGGACTCGAGAACCTTTTTGGGGTTCCTGAATCCGAGGGGTATAACTGCATTACCCAGAAAGGCAGGGGTCCCTGCACCCCCACCCCACCCCAGCTCTCAAGTTCCCTCTTGAGCTTCCCCATTCTGGCCTCCAGAGTCCAGCGCAGAACAGCTGGGAGCCAGCCCACCCTGAGCCAGACACCATCAGCTGGGCGGAGGCCAGGCTTCCCCACTCCCCAGCTCCTCGGGCCACTGAACCTGAGCCCCCATGTCCCCTCTATCAGAAGGCCACACCAGAAGCCCCCACATCAGACTGTGGCGAGGACCGGCCCTCCGTCCAAGCTCCCACCATGTGCTCACAGCACAGCCATGCACGCTGCAGGCAGGAGACCGGCTGTGAGCAGTAAGCCCCGAAATTCACGGCCTGAGCCAGGCTGTCTCAATCATGGGCTGCCGAGACCTATTGAGGGGGCCGGGTTTTCTGCAGGATGTGACAGGCTGGCTGAGTTTGCCCGGACCGAGGGGACTCCCAGGACACGGGACTTGCAGTAGTAGAACCAGGAATGTTCCCGGGCAAGCTGGACAAGTTGGTCACCCCGGGTTTTGGCTGCAGGCACACAGATAGGAGCAGAAAGGGCCACCAGGCGGAGTGGGTGGTTTTTTTTTGGGGGATTTCTCCTAACTACGTGGCGACCTTGGGCAGGTCATTTAACCTCTCCAGGCTTCAGATTCTTACCTGTAAATGGGAATCTTGATGGGGTCCGCCTTGCAGGAGGGCTGGGGACCCAGGAGTGGGGGTGTGGAAACTGCTCAGCTCTGCTGTTTCTGCTCGTGCTCTGGTTACCCACGGCTTTGCCTGTTTTTGTCCACAGTTTGCTTTCTGTCCCACCCTGTCCTCTTCTTCCCTACCCATCCGCAGAGATGTGCTGAGAAAATCCTAAGTACAAGTGGGCTGGTTCTTAACTCCTCAAGGCCCAGCTCCTAGCTGTTCTATTTCCTCTGAGCCCCCAGGATGCCTGTAAGGTACATCAGAGAGGCTGTGCCATCAGCCTGAAGCCACCCGGCAGGTGTACCAGCACTGGGCCTCGGCCCTTCTCTGCCTCTTTGCTCCCATCCTGGCTGGTGCTCTGGCCTCCCTCGCTCACCCATCCTTTTGCCTTGCAGAGAAAATCTACATCATGAAGGCTGACACCGTGATCGTGGGGACCGTGAAGGCTGAGCTGCCGGAGGGCCGGGGCCTGGCGGGGCCAGCAGAGCCCGAGTTGGAGGAGGAGCTGGAGGCGGACCATACCCCCCACTACCCCGAGCAGGAGACAGAACCGCCTCTGGGCAGCTGCAGCGATGTCATGCTCTCAGTGGAAGAGGAAGGGAAAGAAGACCCCTTGCCCACAGCTGCCTCTGGAAAGTGAGGCCTGGGCTGGGCTGGGGCTAGGAGGGCAGCAGGGTGGCCTCTGGGAGGCCAGGATGGCACTGTTGGCACCGAGGTTGGGGGCAGAGGCCCATCTGGCCTGAACTGAGGCTCCAGCATCTAGTGGTGGACCGGCCGGTCACTGCAGGGGTCTGGTGGTCTCTGCTTGCATCCCCAACTTAGCTGTCCCCTGACCCAGAGCCTAGGGGATCCGGGGCTTGTACAGAAGAGACAGTCCAAGGGGACTGGATCCCAGCAGTGATGTTGGTTGAGGCAGCAAACAGATGGCAGGATGGGCACTGCCGAGAACAGCATTGGTCCCAGAGCCCTGGGCATCAGACCTTAACCACCAGGCCCACAGCCCAGCGAGGGAGAGGTCGTGAGGCCAGCTCCCGGGGCCCCTGTAACCCTACTCTCCTCTCTCCCTGGACCTCAGAGGTGACACCCATTGGGCCCTTCCGGCATGCCCCCAGTTACTGTAAATGTGGCCCCCAGTGGGCATGGAGCCAGTGCCTGTGGTTGTTTCTCCAGAGTCAAAAGGGAAGTCGAGGGATGGGGCGTCGTCAGCTGGCACTGTCTCTGCTGCAGCGGCCACACTGTACTCTGCACTGGTGTGAGGGCCCCTGCCTGGACTGTGGGACCCTCCTGGTGCTGCCCACCTTCCCTGTCCTGTAGCCCCCTCGGTGGGCCCAGGGCCTAGGGCCCAGGATCAAGTCACTCATCTCAGAATGTCCCCACCAATCCCCGCCACAGCAGGCGCCTCGGGTCCCAGATGTCTGCAGCCCTCAGCAGCTGCAGACCGCCCCTCACCAACCCAGAGAACCTGCTTTACTTTGCCCAGGGACTTCCTCCCCATGTGAACATGGGGAACTTCGGGCCCTGCCTGGAGTCCTTGACCGCTCTCTGTGGGCCCCACCCACTCTGTCCTGGGAAATGAAGAAGCATCTTCCTTAGGTCTGCCCTGCTTGCAAATCCACTAGCACCGACCCCACCACCTGGTTCCGGCTCTGCACGCTTTGGGGTGTGGATGTCGAGAGGCACCACGGCCTCACCCAGGCATCTGCTTTACTCTGGACCATAGGAAACAAGACCGTTTGGAGGTTTCATCAGGATTTTGGGTTTTTCACATTTCACGCTAAGGAGTAGTGGCCCTGACTTCCGGTCGGCTGGCCAGCTGACTCCCTAGGGCCTTCAGACGTGTATGCAAATGAGTGATGGATAAGGATGAGTCTTGGAGTTGCGGGCAGCCTGGAGACTCGTGGACTTACCGCCTGGAGGCAGGCCCGGGAAGGCTGCTGTTTACTCATCGGGCAGCCACGTGCTCTCTGGAGGAAGTGATAGTTTCTGAAACCGCTCAGATGTTTTGGGGAAAGTTGGAGAAGCCGTGGCCTTGCGAGAGGTGGTTACACCAGAACCTGGACATTGGCCAGAAGAAGCTTAAGTGGGCAGACACTGTTTGCCCAGTGTTTGTGCAAGGATGGAGTGGGTGTCTCTGCATCACCCACAGCCGCAGCTGTAAGGCACGCTGGAAGGCACACGCCTGCCAGGCAGGGCAGTCTGGCGCCCATGATGGGAGGGATTGACATGTTTCAACAAAATAATGCACTTCCTTACCTAGTGGCCCTTCACACAACTTTTGAATCTCTAAAAATCCATAAAATCCTTAAAGAACTGTAAGGCTGAGGACATGATCATCGAAATTGAGAGTATGTTATTAATAGAACCCCTGAGCAGAAGTGGCTTTGGGAGTCTCCCAGCAGGGCAGGAATTCCCACTGAACCCCCAGGCACTAAGGTGGCCAGTCTCTGGTAGATTGGATACTTCTGGGGCCGGGAGCCCACTTCCTGCTGGGGCAGTCCTTCTTGTTGCTGGAAGATTTTCCTTATCACTCGAGGCAAATTCTTTCTCCATGTAATTGCCGCTCCCTGGTCCAAAGGCTGCCCTTTGAGGACACTCAAAGCCACTGTCGGCCAGTTGCGGTGCCTCACCCCTGTAATCCCAGCACACTGGGAGGCCGAGGCGAGTGGATCACCTGAGGTCAGGAGTTCAAGACTAGCCTGGCCAACATGGTAAAACCCCGTCTCTGCTAAAAATATAAAAATTAGTCGGGTGTGGTGGCGGGCACCTGTAATCCCAGCTACTCAGGAGGCTGAGGCAGGAGAATCGCTTGAACCTGGGAGGTGGAGGTTGCAGCAGTGAGCCGAGATCGTGCCACTGCACTCCAGCCTGGGTGACAAGAATGAGACTCCGTCTCAAAAAAAAAAAAAAAAAAATGCCACTGTTGTCACAAGGCTCCCTTTAGGTATTCGAAGAAAGGTTTCTGGGCCTCCCCATGGCCTTCCTCCCTCTGGGCTGGGCCGGGCAGCCCCATAGCTTTGGAGAAGGGATTCTCCAAGGAACAGCGTGAGTGCCCAAGCCCTGGGAGGCAGGGGGAGGACCACAGGTATCTGGGATCCCTGGGAGGCAGGGTGAGGACCACAGGTATCTGGGAGTGTTGGGCTTCAGTGTCTGAGCTGGGAGGAGCCCAGCCTGCCTCCCTGGGCACAGCTTTGTGGCACTTTAGGGCCAGCCTCCACCCCAGGCAGCCAGCCTGAGGCCTCCTCTGACTGTCTCCTGTGCGAGGTGGAGAACACCCACAGCCACAGACAGACCCTGTCCACCCCATCCCCAAGACTCCAGCCCACACCCACACATCAGCCCAGCCATTGAACCAGCCATGCACTCAGTCCAGGAGCCAGGGTGGATTTCCCCATCCTGCCCAGCGATGAGCGGACCCCTTCTATTCTCTGGCTGTGCTCACGTCCAGGTTGGCAGATGGACAGAGCTCCCTGCTACTCAAGGTAGCAATTCTCAGGCTGTGACGACACCCCCACACACCTCTTCCTAAACATTTGCGATCAGAGAGGGACAGCAAGTGGTAAGTATCAGATGGAAGCTGTTGCCTTCAAAGAAAAGCCATTGTTTCCCAAGGCACTTTTGTAGGTGGTAAAAACCATTCTACAGTTCACAGAATCTCCACGGCTCGGGTCAGTCCCTAAAACGGAACGAGGGGACCTCCCTAGAGCGTCTCTCGCTCCATCACGACCTCACCCTCCAACAGTGAGGTGTAAAAGACCCAAGGCTGGGTCTTGGTCATCTTTGTCCCATGGTCACTGGGCACTGATTGGTTGGGCTAAGTAGAAATGAAAACCTGTGTGGGGATGAGAGGCGGCTCTCCAGCCACAGTTCCTCGGGTGCCTTCTCTCTTCCCCCCACTTCCTCGATCCTCTGCAGTGGGGGGGCAAGTGTGGGGTGGGGGTTGCTTGGGCCAGAATATGTGGGGACATCAGATTCACAGCCACGGCCCAAGAGAAAAGCTTAGTCAAGGCGAGACTGTTCAGCTTCAAGGGGGGCTCCTTGGGCTGAAGGAGAAGCTGCTGAGGACACCTCAGGCCCCTGCACCCTCCACCAGGCCCCTCTGCCAGGCACCTCCTCCTAAGCCAGCACCCCATGCTGGCCAAACACCCTGGAACCCTTGCCCCTGGCTGACCCAGGGGAGCAGGTGTTCAATGTTGGGGCCATGGGTGTGAGCCAGGCACAGGGCAGAGAGGCTTGCCTGCCATTCTCTGCAGCTCAGACACAACAGCAGCGTGCGGATGGTGATGGCGCTGCGGGGTCACACACAGGCTCGAATCCCAGCTCTGCCATTTATCAGTTGCATGAGCTTGGCTATGTTCCATGATCTCTTTCAGACTCAGTTTTCTTGTCTGTGAAATGGGGGTGTCAGTCTCTACCTGACGGGGTTGTGGGGCTTCCCTGACATGCCACTCGGTGTGTGGCTTGTGCTGAGTGGCAGGTTCTGTCCTTATTCCAGCCTGGTGGCCGCTTGTCAAGAGCGAGCCCTTCCTATGTCTGCAGAATTCAGCCCATCAAGGTTAATCAGAGCTTTCAGGCCAGCCTGGGAACCTAGCCACCCTTGGGGCCAACTTGCTGTGGGAAGCCCCGCAGTGGGCAGGCCTCTTCTTGTTCTGTGGGCTACCCCAAGAACCCTTCAGATCACAGTCATAGGACTGGCTCATTATTCGACGTCTGTAACTCTGGGCATGTCGGCGAAGTGCTGCGGGTCCCTCCGGAGGGACATCTCACTCGTGGTTCTAGCACATTCCAGATTGCACCACATTACTGTTCGAGGGCTTTCCTCAATTAAAGGGTCTAGCTGCTGAGGACTAGTGGGGCACAGACTTGCTCTCGTGGGTCCTGTGTCTGGTGGACGGGACAGACGGTGGCGTCATCAAATCAGTACACAAGGTCATTCCAGAGTCAGATCACGCTGTGAACCACAAGGAGTCTGAGCCAGGTACTGTGGCAGAGTGGGAGGGGAGGGCCACCACTAGCTAGGTGGTCAGGGCAAGCCTCTTTGAGAAGGTGCCCTTTGAACTTGGCCTGAGTGATGTCACAAGCCAGCGAGGTCTGGAAGGCAGGGAGCTGAAGTGGGCACACTCCTGCCTCGAGTTTCAGGAAGAACACAGTGGTGGAAGAGGCACGGTGGGCGAGGGAAAAAAGGAGGTGAGGGGGGAAGGCCTGGGGAGGAGGGCCTGGTGGGCCATTGTGATTAGGCACCTAGATTTTATCATAAAAGTACTGGTCTATGTTTCTTTCTGTTTTCTTCCTAGTAGAACAATAAACATCCTGGTATTATTTCAGCAATCAGTGAGAAAGGCCAAACCAGGGGCGGCAAAGGTTGTTTTAACCTATTTTGGAGGGAAGTTGGGGAAACAGGCAGCAGCTGCTGGCAGCCAGGAAGCAGTTAGATGGGTTTTCTCAGAAAGAACTAAGACAGCATTCCTGGTGATGATTGTAGCTATGGGTAGGGTTAGGAGTCTGCCGGTCTAGCTTCCCCCTTTCTCTGGGTATCTTCCAGAGAGTAAAAACCAAACTGAAAAACCCTGGGAAGCCTGGAGGCCTTTGTTTGTGTTTTGGTGTGGTGATTGTTTTCCCGGTCATGAGGCAGAGGGATCATTTCAGTATCACAGGGTCAGCGGTGGCCTGTGCTTTTTACCCTTTAGCCCTCATGGAGGCAGTGGCCATTTCATGACGGTGGCATGGAGCTGTGGCTTCCGGCTCGACAAGCTCCCAGCTGCTTGGTCCCAAGCAAAGCCCTTATGTGCGTTCAATGTGGGTTTTCTGGTCTGCAAAATGGACCTAATGGGGCCAGATGCGGTGGCTCACGCCTGCAATCCCAGCACTTTGGGAGGCCGAGGTGAGTGGGTCACTTGAGGTCAGGAGTTCGAGACCAGCCCGGGCAACATGGCAAAACCCCGTCTCGACTAAAAATACAAAAAGTAGCCAGGCATGGTGGCATATGCCTGTGATCCCAGCTACTTGGGAGGCTAAGGTGGGAGAATTGCTTGAACCTGGGAGGCGGAGGTTGCAGTGAGCCGAGATCGTGCCACTGCACTCCAGCCTGGGTGACAGAACGAGACTCTGTCTTCAAAAAAAAAAAGAAAAGGAACTATAAGGCTGAGAGGGACTGTGGAAGTCCAGTCTGGGCACGTATGCCATGTTCAGTAAATGACAGCCATCAAGAGCAGCATCTTAAGAGCTGAGAGTTCGCCTAGGCCGCATTCTTTGTACATCTGGGCTTCCTAATAGAACCCTGGACAGTAGATAGGCTGGGTGGCAGCACTCCCTTTTACAAACTGAGGCTCGGGGAGTGGGGGGGAGCGAAGCAACTGGCCCACTGCCACACAGCTGGGAAGTCCCAGAGCTGGAGTTCAACCCCCAACTTTGTGATTCTAAATCCCTCCCCATGCCCAGGTGGCCTGGCTGCCTCTGTGGTCAGGGGTTGTGTTCATATCGTGGTCATCCCCTGGCACTATGCCTTCTAGATAAGTTTCCTTTCATCTTCAAGTCACCACAACTGAGAGATAGAATAGAGGCTGATTTTATTCCTCCCTTTATGGGAAGGCAGGGACAGTTGCAAGAGGCAGGGTAACCTGCCCAAGGTCAAACTCCAGGCTGGGTGTGGCTTTCTGACTGCTCTGACCGGACAGGAAGGACACAGAGCTAACCCAGCCAGGGCCTCCTTCCTTGACACAGCTTTCCTCAAAGGTGTGTGTGATTTTTTTTTTCTTTCTTTCTTTCTTTCTTTTTTTTTTTTTTTTTTGAGACAGGGTCTTCCTCTGTCACCCAGGCTGGAATGCAGTGGCACAAATACAGCTCACTGTAGCCTCAACTTCCTGGGCTCACGTGATCCTCCTGCTTCAGCCTCCCGAGTAGCTGGGATCACAGGCACGTGCCACCATGACTGGCTAATTTTTTTTTTTCTTTCTTTGTAGAGACAGGTCTCTCTATGTTGCCCAGGCTGGTCTTGAATTCCTGGGCTCAAGCAATCTTCCTACCTTGGCTTCCCAAAGTACTGGATTACAGGCGTGTGATTCTGAGGTCCAGGGAGACTCGGGGCTGGGTTGAGTCCAGGGAATCTCTGGGGGAGAACTGCCTGAGAGTGGAATTGCCCTTTCCATCCCCAGTAACACCTCATATCCTGCTCACTGCCCCACCTGAGGCTCCCTGAAGGAAGACGATCAAGAACAAGCCTCCCATTTTACAGATGGGAAAACTGAGCCCCATAGAGGCAAAGCAGTTTTCCCAGGGTCCCAGCTTGGTGCTGTGTGATGGAGATAGCTCTAACTGTAGCTGTCAGTTGGGGCTGGGGTAGGGGAAAGTCACTGTCTAGTCCAAGGGAGCAGTAAAGATGACATGCTGATTTTCATTCTTCCTTTAAAGAAAAAATTGATGTTAAAAGTAACTGTGGTGAGAGGGTTGGGTTCTTACTTACAAGGCAGCTTTGCAAGAGTAAACAGAGTAGACAAAAATATCCCATCAGCTGGGCTTCTGCAGCTTCACAAGCTACTGATCCGTGCAGTCAGAGGGCCCCAGGTTCAGAAGGGCCCTGGGCTTGGTTTAATGCTCTGCTGTCGCCATCTTGAAAGTGATGAATAATTTTTGGCAAGGGGCCCTGTGTTTTCATTTTTCATGGAGTTCTACAAATTATGTAGCTGATCTTGCATGGGGGCAGGGAAATCGTTAATTCAGAATTCACTTAATGCCAAAGCATTTTACCTCCATTGTCATGTGACCTCAGAGGGACCTTATAGATGAGCACACATGTCCCCATTTTTAAGAAGTGTTAAATGACCAGTAACTGATGTAACTGTTCCAGTCATCTCTTGCTACATAACAAATCACCTCAAAACTTAATAGCTTAAAACAATGGTCATTAATTTTGCTCACAAATCTGCAATGTGGCCTGGACTTAGCAGGGGAGGTGCATCTCGGCTCACATAGTACCAGCGGGGGTGATGAGATGAGCTGGAGAATCCACCTCCAAGAGGGCTGGCAAATTGGTACTGGCTGTCAGTTTCTCTCTGTGGAGCTTCTTGGGCTTCCTCACAGCATGGCTGCTGGGTTCCTGGAGCCAACAACTCCGGGGGCAGGAAGTAGAAACTGCCAGCGTCATAAAATTTGACCCCGGAAACTGGCACTGCATCCCCTTTGCTGCATTCCAGGTAGTCACAGAGCCCAGACTCAAGGGGAGGGGACACAGATCCCACCCCTCATTAGGAGGAGTGTCAAAGAATCTCGAGATCTTATGTGTCAGCAGGAGCACTTCACATACTGTCTCATTTTAGCCTCTCGGTAATTTTGCCATTATTGTCCTTGGAGTTGGCTCAAGGAAGCTACATAACCTGGTGGAATCCCAAGTTCCTCTGGCTGGAATTTGGATCCAAGCTGGTCTGTCTCCAGAGTGTGAGCTCTGGACTGAGCAGCTGACCTGTGCATTCAGGGACCCATACAGTCAGAATGTGGCAGGACTGGAAAGCAAGCTCACATCTGTCTGATTAGAGAACATCTGAGCTTGGTACCCATACAAACTAGGCCCTATCTAGTTTTTAGATAGGGAAATCAAGGCTCTGAGAGGTCTTGCCAGGCCTCTCCTGAGGAAGAGGGCAGGGTCTGGGACCTTCCAGGGCAGGATGGGGCCCCCAACTTGGGTTGCACAGAACCATGTCAGGAAGTCACATAGAGTTGTGGGTAGATTATGCAAGTACAGGCTGTCAGGAGGGATGTTGTTTTTCACTGCAATTACACTTCACTCAGGAAATACAGCTTCTGCACGTACTGAGGGAGGGTTCCTCACCCTGTGCAGAAGACCTCCTGGTGAATACCGGGGCACTCGCTGGGTGACCCTGGGTCCTCTGGGCCAAGTTCATGCATCGAAAGTTCCCTGAGAAGCTCTTTGTGCCCATCTGGGTTGGGCTTTGACAATAGAGTTGAAGAGGCTTTATTCCTGCCATGCATGGAGTCACAGGTTAGTAAGAAAGATGATAAGAGCTGTACTTGAGGCTTTCGTGTGCTCTCACTTAAACCTCACAGTGCACTAGGAAGTAGTTATTACATTACCCCTATGTTACAGATGAGGAAACCAACACGCAGAGTGGCTAAGCCAGTTCCCCAGGGTCACACAGCTGCTAAGTGGCGCAGCTAGGCTTTGAACCCAGGCCACCTGGCTGGAGTCTGCGTCCTCACACACTTGGCCATGCTGCTCCATTGTGGCTCAGGCCGAGGTCACCACTGTGCTGAGGCCCCAGCCCTGAGTCCCAGACCCTGTAGAACACTGTGCAGGCATCCATGGGGCTCAGTGAATGCACAGGGAATGGAATTTGCTCTTGGTTTTTATCCCACCTTTCCTTTCCAAAGCCCAGCTGTGGCCAGGCCTCTCCCTCACAGAACCTTCTATGACTCCCTAGTGCCTACATGCCAATGTCTGCCAATCCAGCTTTGCTGCTACCTCCACAGCTCCCATATCTAAACCTCTCCTGAGACCCGACTGTTTCCGCTCAGTCACCAAATACAGAGGGCATATCCTCATCATGAAATCTCTGCTCAGCGCTCCAACCCCTGAATTTCCAACCTCATCTTTCTCCTCCTCCTCCAAAAACCCTTCCAGGACACCCAGGCCCAGGACCTCCAAGCTCCCACAGCACTGACTGTGAAGGGGGACTGGAGGCCAAGTTCTAGAAGTCTTGCAAAAAATATCTCTGAAGAAATGCATTCATTCATTCATACAGCCACTCATTTAGTCACTCAAGCAACAGATCTGTATGTAACACCTACTATGTGTTGGGCACTGTGCTTGGCGCTGGGGAACACAGTGAAGTGGGGCAGTGGCGGGGATATACAGTACTGCTCTCAGGGAGTCACAGTCCAACTGGGAGACCAACCTAGAGTCTGGTCATGGCCTAGAGCATGATATTTGCTTTGATGGAGAGCAGCTTGGGGTTCATGACCCTAGTGGATGGCACCTAGCCCAGATGGAGGCAGGTCTCTGCTTTCCCCTCTGTAGAATGGGTTTAATAAGAGCACCTACCCCAAAGAGATGTTGTAAGGATTAATTTCATCCATTAATTTGTTCAATAAATATTTGTCAAGCTCAAACTCCGTGCTGGGGTGCTGGGGACACACAGCCCTGCCCTCTGCAGAGTGACAAGAAAGAGTATTTGGGATAACATTGGCTGGTGGTAATTGCTGTAAAGAAAAAAAGAAAGTGGTGTGTAGGCCCTCAGTGTGGTGAGGTGTGTAGCCAGGGCTTGGGGATGTAGCACCTGCTGTACAAAGGTCTGGGAGAATGTAGCGATTCAGGGTGTGCAGGGGGAAGTGAGTAGTTATGATCATGAGTCTGTGGTAGACATCGCCCCATCCTTGCATTTGCATCTCTAGGTTTCTACAGAAGAAAGGGGGCAAGGTGATGGAGAGAATTTCATGGGCGGAAATTGTTCTACAGGAGCTGGGGAGGTAGGCTGGCAGGGCTGAGCCGGCTACTTGGTGGGAGGTTGCAACAGCCTCAGGACGGGTGGAGGACTGCAGGGGAACTGGAGCCCAAGGGGGTTTCCTTCCAGGGTGAAGGGGAAAAGCAAGGCTGGGCACTTTGGGAACTTCTCAGGGAAACCCTCTCCTGTACCCTAGGGGACCTGGGCTCCATTCTGGAAAGGCAGAATACATGACCTCCATCACGTTTTGGGTCTGCACTCATTAAGCACTTACTAGATGCCAGGCACTGTAGAGTCTCCATCTCAGATCCTTACAGCACCCCTGTAAAGCAGAGGCTATTTATCCCCATTCTACAGATGAAGAAATGGAGGCTCAGGGAGGTAAAGTGATTTGTCCAAGGTCATGGTTGCGTACCAGTCAATGGCCTGAACAGAGACTTGAACCCAGGTCTAGGTGATGGCAAAGTTGATGCTATTTCTCCTTTTGATATACCCCAACTGTCTAAAGCAGCCCTTTTTTTTGCTAGGCTTCTTGGTGTTTGAAAATTTACCACTCATTCCTAGGAGCTAAAGGTTCCTGGGTTCCTCCTTGGGGCACATGTCTAGGAGCAGGATCTCGATCTGGTGGCAGAGGGGCAGCAGCTGCTCCGTCTGGCATACAGTAGGTGCTCAGTAAGTCTGCGGGGCAGGCAGGACAAGCCTGGGTTGGAAGGAGGTCCAGTTTCTTGGGAGTGAGAGCCTCAAGACCAACTTCACCTGAAGGACAAATGAGAGGTGGCCGAATCACTGCCAGCTACTTCAAGAAGCCCCTAGGACACTCCAGCCAAGGTGCCTTGGTCCCTTTTCTAAGTCGCCTGCCCACCCTGCCCAAGCTCCTGCGGGGAGTGTGCCCACTGTGACTCATCCACGCCCAGCCCTGCCCAGCTCTCACTGGGGCAGCAGTAGGCACACATACTCGTAAAAGTCTGAATAAGTGAAGACTGGGAAATTGCACCAGGGAAAAACTACTTATTTCTTCCTCTTTTGAATTGGGGAGGGGAAATGTTGCGGGGGAAATGAGGTCAGTGACGTGGTGAGCATTTCATGCTCCTTACTGATGAGCAGAGGGCCGGTATCACGTGCTGCCTTCCTAGGGAGGGCTGGGTAGTGCGTCAAGGAAATGGGCCCAGAGCTGTGTCTCGTCCAGTCTAGCAGGAAACTGCCCATCTCACTGTGTCACTCCCTTCTCTGTCCTTGCTCTAAGCCTCTACCCTGACTGCCCTTGCTCTGAGCTGAAATCTCACTAATGAGAAAAAAATGTGCTGGTTTATGCCTCTGTGGGCTGGCTGGGCTGGTAGGTCCCAGGGGGCAGCATGGCCTGGAGGAAACCGAGTGCACGGGGCAAGGATGATGTGCACGAGTGGTATGTGACTCCCAGGGCTCACAGCCTCATGCAGCCCCTCCCTCTGAGAGTATAGATGGGGAAACTGAGGCCTGAGAAGGCGAGAGATGTGCCTGAGGTCACACAGAGAATCCGTGGCCCTCAGCACAAGCACCCAGTTTGCTGGTACTTTAAAGATAAAAATAAACAAACTTTATAAATGGAAAAGATGAATAAAAGAAGAAACGAAGTATAAGGAATATGATAAATATAATAAAAATTACACACAATCTTGGCGAGGCACAGTGGCTCATGCTAGTAATCCTAACACTTTGGGAGGCCCAGATGGGCAGATCATTTAAGGTCAGGAGTTCAAGACCAGCCTGGCCAACATGGTGAAACCCCATCTCTACTAAAAATACAAAAATTAGTTGGGCATGGTGGTGCGCGCCTGTGGTCCCAGCTACTTGGGAGGCTGAGGCACGAGAATCACTTGAACCCAGCAGGCGGAGTTTGCAGCAAGCTGAGATCACGCCACTGCACTCCAGCCTGGGTGATGCAGCCAGACCAAGACCTTGTAACAACAACAACAAAAGTAAAACAATCAGTATTCCTTAAAAAAAAAAAAAATTGCACACAATCCCATCATCCATGAAACTCCTTTAAACATTTTGGTTTCTTCCCTCCTTTCTGAGTAGTTTTTTAAAATTATCTTCAATCATTTATTTATTTATTGTATTTTCTTTCTTTCTTTTTTTCTTTTTTGAGACGGAGTCTCGCTCTGTCATCCAGGCTGGAGTGCAGTGGCGTGATCTCGGCTCACTGCAAGCTCCGCCTCCCGGGTTCACGCCATTCTCCTGCCTCAGCCTGCTGAGTAGCTGGGACTACAGGCGCCCGCCACCATGCCCGGTTAATTTTTTTTTTTTTTTTTGTATATTTAGTAGAGATGGGGTTTCACCGTGTTAGCCAGGATGGTCTCGATCTCCTGCCCTCATGATCCACCCACCTCGGCCTCCCAAAGTGCTGGGATTACAGGCGTGAGCCACCTGCGCCCGGCCCTATTTATTGAATTTTCTAGAGATAGGGTCTTGATCTATTGCCCTAGAGCTGGGATCTAGATCCAGAGAACCAGCAATCTGAGAAAGCTGTTACCTCTCCAGCCTAAGATTTCATTTGAAAGCGTTTCATGGCTGGAAGTGTCTTTGAGAATCTTTGGTTTAGCTCATTCCAGTGCTTTTTCTCCAATGCCAGACCACCTGCAGCCAGGGCAAGAGAACCCCGTGGGCTGGAGAGATCCTGGAGGGCGTTAAGGAGGCAGTGGGGTTGCAGCTGAGCCATTAAAGACGACAATTCAGCATCAGGAATGGGAAGGGGTCCTGTTTCATTGTGGGGGATTGTTTGTATCTGAACTGCCTGGGGGTCTAGGTGGGAGACCTCTGGGGAGGGCTTTGGAGGAAGCATCTGGGGAAGGTGAGGTGAAGACAGGCTCAGGAAAGCTGTTTGCCTTAGGAGAGGCCAGAGGGAGATAGGACAGGTGAGGCCTTTGCAGCCTGGCTGGGCTGCCGGCAGACCTAGGGCTGGCTGGCTCAGGGTGAGCATAGACTGCCGGTGATGGAGCAATGGAGGATGGAGCTAGAGGCTCCTGATAATTCACCCTTTTCCAAGGGCCAGCCCTGGAGAAAGGCTTGTGTTCAGAGCGCATGAAGAACCCCAGGTTCTCCCTCTGTGAAGTGGAACCTCTTTGTGTTGAGTGACACAACTGCACTAGCAGTGCTTGCCTTGGGGCCTGGCAAATCCTTCATGAAACAGAGGTTTGAGATTATAATGAGATTTACTGTAGAGAGATGTGTCCTGTTTTCTGTGTCTGCACTCTGCTGGCTGTGTGGACTGGGGGGAGTTGCTTAAAGTGGTCTATAAAATAGAATGATCAGGCCCTGCCACTGGGCTTGCCTGGAGTTAGTGTGAATGTCAAATGGGGGCCTAGGTAGGGAGGTGACAGGTTAGGGAGGGACGCTGACACCTTTCATCCCTGCCACACCTGAACACCCAGAGAAAAGTGAAAACTATTAAAAGACACAAAGAAGCTCTGAACAGATGAAGCGTATGCCATGTTCGTGGATGGGATAAATTAATGTTGCACAGATGTCAGTTCTCCCAATTCACCTATCAACTCAGTGAAATCTCAATTAAATCACAGCTGGAGTTGTGCAAATGGATTTAAACATGTATGTGGAAGAGGCCGGGCACAGTGGCTCATGCCTGTAATCCAAGCACTTTGGGAGGCTGAGGCGGGTGGATCACGAGGTCAAGAGATCAAGACCATCCTGGCCAAAATGGTGAAACCCCATCTCTACTAAAAATACAAAAATTAGCTGGGTGTGGTGGCGCACGCCTGTAGTTCAGCTACTCAGGAGGCTGAGGCAGGAGAGTTGCTTGAACCTAGGAGGTGGAGGTTGTGGTGAGCTGAGATCGCGCCATTGCACTCCAGCCTGGGCAACAAGAGAGAGACTCTGTCTCAAAAAAAAAAAAAAAAAAAGGTATGAGGGAGCATAAAAACCAAATATAATTTAGTCCATTTTGAAAACAGAGTGCAAACAAGGGAAATTCACTCTACCAAATACTAAATGTTCTCTAAAGCTATAATAATAAAAACCATACGAAACTAGCCCAGGAACAAAAGGCCAGTGGAACAGAATAGATCGTTCAGCGATAGACCCAGGTACTTACGATAAAGAATGAAGGGATGGACTCTTGGGCTGATGGGGTTGGAAAGACTGGCTCATTCTATGGAGAGAAATAAAGGTGGCTCCCTAAACCTTACACCCCATATACAATCCTGATTATTAAAGACTTGGATGTGAGATGGAAAATTATAAAGCTAGTGAAAGAAAATATAGAAAAGTGGCCATGCATGGTGGCTCACGCCTGTAATTTCAGCATTTTGGGAAGCCGATGTGGGTAGATCGCTTGAGCCTAGGAGTTCAAGACCAGCCTGGGCAACATGGCGAGACCCCATCTCTACAAAATATACAAAAATTAGCTGGACATGGTGGTGTGTACCTGTGGTCCCAGCTACTCGGGAGGCTGAGGTGGGAGGATGGCTTGAGCCTGGGAGGCAGAGGTTGTAGTGAGCTGTGATCGTGCCACTGCACTCCAGCCTGGGCGACAGAGTAAGATCCTGTCTCAAAAAACAAAAATAAAAAAATAAAAATAAAAAAGAATAGACTGTTCAGTGACAGAACCAGGTATTTATGATAAAGAATAAAGGGATGGACTGTTTGGCTGATGGTTTAGGAAAAACTGGCTCACTCTATGGACAGAAATAAAGGTTAGTCTCCAGACTTTATACTCCATATACAGTCTCAGTGTATTAAAGACCTAGACATGAGATGGAAAATTATAAAGCTAATGAAAGAAAAATATAAAAAAGTATCTTCATAACCTATGAGTAGCTCTACCTATAGGTCATGATGATACTTTTCTATATTTTCTTTCATTACCCATAAGTAGGGAATTCAAATGCAATTCAAATGGCGAAACATTGATGGATTCCATTGCATTAAAATTAAGAATTTTTTTGCCAACAATAAAGGACACCATCAGCAAGGATACCAAATAGGCGACAGAGTGGAGGAAGTATTTGTGATATCTA
Source organism: Homo sapiens (assembly GCF_000001405.40). Classification (NCBI taxonomy): domain Eukaryota; kingdom Metazoa; phylum Chordata; class Mammalia; order Primates; family Hominidae; genus Homo; species Homo sapiens. The sequence continues at coordinate 12,157,352 of NC_000001.11, forward strand.
AAAATGACAAGGGATTGATATCTAGCGCATGCAAGGAATTATTGCAAAGCTACAAGAAAAAGACAGGAAATAATAGAAATATGGTCAAAGGATGTGAATAGGCAGTTCACAGAAGGGAAAACCCAAATGACTAACAAGTAATGAAGAGGTGCTCAAACCCACGGATATTCAGAGAAATGCAAATGAAATGACACCGGGCTCCACTTCACACCCATCAGATCGGCCCAAATCAGAACATTGGCTAATCACGAGTGTGGGGGCAAGAGAGTGGTAGAAACCCTATAGTCCTGACAGTGGTGGCATCACTGGGGTGGTCATCCTGGAGAAATTCTCTCTTTTCTTTTTTAAAAACCAGCTTCTACATCAAGAACACAGTCCTGGAGAAATTTCTGGCAGTGTTAGTGAAATAGGTAAACAAATACTCCCCGATCCAGCAGTCCTACTCCAGAGAAATTCAAACACCTGCAAACGCCACCACATGTTTTATAAGGACACACTGATTGTTGGAGAGGTGCAGAGGAGGATGAGAACAGGGATTGAGGAAAAAAATCAGGCCAGAGAGGAACCTTGTACAGCAAGATCTGTGCAGTATGATTCACTCAACTCTCTGTACCTGAGGTCCAAAATATGAGAGTGAGAGAGAAGTTACGAAAAAAAAAAAAAAAAAAAAGATTCCATTCAGACCCGCCCCCAAATTTTGAAATACCTAAGGTTTATTGACAAAAAAGAGGAAGGGGGTGGGAGGAGGAGGGACCAGATGAGGGGAATCACGTTCCTCCCCAGGCCAGAGTGGCCTTGTTTGTAAAGAGGAAAAGAGGGGAACTCAGGGCCAGTGGGGAAACTGAGGCCAGAGTTCATAGGATATATGGTGGAAAGGCAGCTGTTGCTTATGTTTGAGACTTTGTCTAGAAAATTGTGGTCCACAGATGGCTCCAGCTGCTACTTGGAGAGACCAGTGAAATGGGGAGGTTTTGGTGGGGTGTGGGTTTTGGAAAGTGGGGGTTGGGGAAGGGGGACAGAGAGTGGGTTTGGAGGGGTTACGGGTTGGGAGTTAGAAGTGGAGAGACCAGGATCCTGGAAAGGGTAACACTCACTTGGCAGGGCCACGATGAGGCTGAAAGAATTGAAAAGAATTGAAAGGGAGAATTGAAAGCCCTTTGAAAATACAAAGGGCTGTAAAAGGAAACCCACTGACAAGATCAAACGCCCCCCGCCCCGCTGCAGATGTGGGGATTGGGACTCTCACACGCTGCTGGCAGGAGTGTCCAGGGTGCAGCCCCCTGAGAGGAATTTGGCAGGGCCCCGTGAAAATGAAAACATGCAAACCCACGGCCTGCCACTGCCCAGCAGTTCTACTTTCCAGGTTTAAGACCTTGAGAAACATTCAACCTTGGGCATTGGGAGACAGATGCAGGAACGCGCATCTCAGTGTGTGCAGTGGAGCCAAAGTGCAAACACCCCAAAGGCCCATTCCAGGGGAGCGGGGCAGCAAGGTGTGAGACAGGCACCGGGCAGGCGCAGCACCGAGTAGCAGCAGCAGCAGGTAGAAACAATAAGCGGATCTGAACTCATCAATATGGAAAGTTCTCAGAAACACAGCCGAGGGGAAAAAAGCAAGGGGCAGGACGGCGCACCTGGTGTTTCATCGTTTGTGTAGATGTAGACGCGTGTATCTAGAATAACACTCTACATTGGTGTGTGGAAGCAGAAAACGGACTGGTGAGAAACACCACAAACCCAGAGGAATTGCTCTTTTGGGGGCTGAATCAAGGGGACTACAACTTTGGCTGGGTGTCAAGGATTTCCATTTGAATTATAAAAGTATTTGAAGCAAAAAATAATCAACATATGTTTACTGAGAGCCTACTATTTTTTTTTAAATATCTAATTGAAGGCCGGGCGAGGTGGCTCACGCCTGTAATCCCAGCACTTTGGGAGGCCGAGGCGGGCGGATCACGAGGTCAGGAGTTCGAGACCAGCCTGACCAACATGGTGAAACTCCGTCTCTACCTAAAAATACAAAAATTAGCCAGGCGTGGTGGCACATGCCTGTAATCCCAGCTACTCAGGAGGCTGAGGCAGGAGAATGGCTTGAACCTGGCAGGCGGAGGTTGCAGTGAGCCAAGATCGCGCCATTGCTCTCCAGCCTGGGCAATAGAGAGAGACTCCGTCTCAAAAAAAAAAAAAAAAAAATTGTCCAGGCATGGTGACACATGCCTGTAATCTCAGCTACTTGGGAGGCTGAGGCATGAGAATCACTTGAACCCAGGAGGCAGAGGTTGCAGTGAGCTGAGATCACACCACTGCACTCCAGCCTGGGCAACAGAGCGGGACTCCATCTCAAAAAAAAAAAAAAATTTATGTATATATATACACACACATTTTATATATATATATTTGATATCTGTGCAGCTTCTTAGCTGCTGGGGACCCAGCAGAGAGCAAAACAAAACAGACAAGTTCCCTGCCTTCATGGGAGAAACAGATGATAAACAGATCCAAAGAGAAATTATAACAACTGCTATTAAGAAAAGTAAAGTAGCTATTTTGGTTGGGGGCGGGGGGGCGGGGGCGGGGTGCCAGGGATGCCTCTCTGAGGATGTGGCATTTGAGCAGAGACTGATAAGGGGAAGTGAGTCATGCAGGTATCTGGAGGAAAGGTGATCCAGGCAGAGGGAACTGCCAGTGCGAAGGCCTCAAGGTGGGAGAATGCTTTGTGTGTTCCAGCAAGGGCGGCCGGGCCAGCGGGCTCAGGGAGGAGTGAGGGCAACCCTGGCTGTTACCACTGGTCAGTTCTGGGTAGTGGAATATGGATTTTTTATATGATGCTTTAATTTTTTTAATTTCTAAAAAAAAAAATCTAAACAAAGATAATGTAGGGTTAAAAAGGTTACTGCTGGGAGGCTGGGTGTAGTGGGGCCTGTAATCCCAGCACTTTTGGAGGCCTAGGTGGGTGGATCACTTGAGCTCAGAAGTTTGAGACTGGCCTGGGCAACATAGTGAAACCCTTCTCTACTATTAAAAATAATAAGATAAAGTGTAACTAGAAGAAAACTTAAAAAAAAAAAAAAAGGCTGGGCATGGTGGCTCATGCCTGTAATTCCAGCACTTTGGGAGGCTACTGAAGTGGGTGGATCACTTTTGAGCTCAGGAGTTTGAGACCAGCCTGGCCAACATGGCGAAACCCCGTCTCTGCTAAAGAAAATGCAAAAAATTAGCCAGGCATGGTGGTGGGCACCTGTAATCCCAGCTACTTGGGAGGCTGAGGCAGGAGAATCGCTTGAAGCTGGGGGAGGCGGAGGTTGCAGTGAGCCAAGATCAAGCCATTTCACTCCAGCCTGGGCGACAGATCGAAACTCTGTCTCAACAACAACAACAAAAAAGGCTGGGCATGGTGGCTAACACCTATAATCCTAGTACTTTGGAAGGCAGAAGTGGGAGGATCATTTGAGCCTAGGAATTCGAAAACAGCCTGGGTAACATGGCGAAAACCCGTCTCTACAAAAAATACATTAGCCAGGCATGGTGGCATGCACCTGTGGTCCCACCTACTCAGGAGGCTGAGGTGGGAAGATCACTTGAGACCAGGAGGTTGAGGCTGCAGCGAGCTGTGATTGCGCCACTGCACTCCAACCTGGGTGGCAGAGTGAGACCCTGTCTCAAAAAAAAAAAATGTTACTGCTGTGTGTAAAATACAGCAGTGTGCTTTGCAGTAGGATGAAAAGGAGAATTTCCTGTCAGGAAAAGGCTCTGCATAAAGGGCAAACTGTGCACCCCTCTACCTGGGCAATCATTCCCACAGGTCAGGCAAGACCTGCCTTGTGCCGATAAAGGCAGGGGTTTGGAGTCAAGCCTAGCCCTGCTGTGCCCCACCGCACACATCTGGTGCACCCACCCCACACATCTGCACCCCACTCCACACAACTTCAGGACAAGAGGGGCACTTGGTCTAATCCAGAGATGGCAAAGGCCAGGTGTTTGTGCTGAGGCCAACCCCTTCCCGCCCAGGGCACACCGGGCTGCTCCATCCTGCATCCTTTCCTGCAGAGCCCAGGCTCAGAGTCCTTCTCAACACAGAGCCCTAGGCAGCCATCACCAAGTGGAGCTGCATATGGGGGGAAACCAGCCTGCTTCCCCTGAAATCCAACTCCTCATGTCACACATGAGGATGCTGAAGCCCAGAGAGGGGTAGGCACTAGCCCAAGGTCACACAGGAAGGGGGCTAGAATGGGGATTCCTGAGACTTAGCTAGTCCCACTTGCTGGGTTTAGAAACCAAGGGTCTTCTCCAGAAGGTCTGGGACTGATTCTGGCGTTGAGTCCTGGGAAGAGGCCACTCAGAACAGGGAGGTTTTAGTGAAGCAAGGGGAGAAGGAGGCCTGGAGGCTCTCTTGGCTTCCTTCCCCAAATTGCCTGTGGTCCTCTTTGAGTACTGGGAGAGAGGGGGTGCTGCACCCCCAGGCCCTCCTCTTCTTTGGAAGGAGATGGGGACAAGAGCTGGTGTTTCTCGGTGCCCCCAGCCCACAGCATGGTATGGCCAGCTCAGCCCAAGATGTGGCCCCAGGGAAGGGAGGAGGACCGGTAGGAGGGCCAGATGAAGCAGGCAGTTGTAGAGCTGTGGCTAACACCAAATGCTGCTTCCTGTTCGTGATTTTAGGACATGAGTCATCAAGGGGCTGGCCCGGCACATTCAGGGCGCTGAGATAAGCAGGACTGAGGGACAAGAAAAGGTTACTTGCCCTGGCTGTGGGCCAGCCTTAAGCAGGGAAGGAGTAGGGTTCCCGCTGTCCAAGCAACCCTGTAAGATAGATTCCCACTGGGACCCTGAGGCCAGGTCAGAAGGAGTTGGCTTTGTGGCTGGCTCTGAAAGCTCACTCCAAAAAGAATATTGCATGGAGACCTCCCCATGGTGGAAAGAGCCCCTCCCAGCACAACCACAGCTCAGCCTTCCAAACTGCCCTCAGCCACACACAGCACCTGCTGCACCTCAACCCTCTGTACGGTTTCTCAGCAGGTGCCCCTCAGTCACTGAGGAGTCCATTAAAAAGCCAGATATTAGGCCCTCAACAGACATGGGCGTGGGGCCCAGGACTCTGCATGTTTCACAAGCCTTCCAGATGATTCTTATGCTGGTTGAAGCTGGAAAGCCACTCCTCCAAAAGATCCACTAGAATGCCCGGTACACAGTAGGTGTTCAATAACTGTCAGTGGACAGACCGGCTGTCCTCGCACACGTGGCCTGCCCGTGGCCCTGCCTTCTTCCACCCTCGCTTGCAGGAGTGCAGTCATCCACCTACTGGGGTGGGAGATGTCAGGGGACCTCTGAGGGCTGTAGACTGAGCTGGGAAGTGAGGAGAGGCTCCAGGGAGTGTCTGGCCAAGAGCTCAGATTCTGCACATGCAGCCCCTGAGTTGAGGACCTGAGGGCCACAGTTCCATCTCTGCTTGAAGACTGTGTTGTCAACAAGGAGCAAATGGGGACTTTTCTGCGCTGTGGGGCTGGGAGTCTACCAGATGCATGGCTTGGGAGTCTGGGTTGGGTATACAGGGCCTAGGAGTGATTGGGCTGGACTGGGTTCCTGAGCCTTGACCCGGACATCCATGTACCCATTCATTCATTCATTCATTCATTCTCTCAAGTCTTCATCCCTTCATCGCCTCCTGCGTACCCTTCATCCTGTATTTGGTCCTTATTCACTTCAACTTTATCAAGCCCCCCGTTAGGTATCTCCTGGGCCAGAACATACAGGAGATGCACAAGAAGGGACTCAATCAAGGGAAATAGAGGGAACCAAGAGCAAGTCCCCCTACCCTCGGGTATCACACAGTTCAGCAGTGTGAGAGCTCCATGCTGAGAAGAGCCCCTTGGCTATGGAGAGGCCACCAAACCAGGTTTGAACCCGCTGTACCCCGTATTAGCTGGATAAGCATACCATAAAGCTTGCCCCCCACCTGGTGCAAGATAAAGTGTGTAAGTCATCTTTCCATAACCGCTAGTATCACAATTACTAAGAGAGGCGAGGGCCGTGTAAGCAACTAATACCGGAGTAAGTGTTATGCTAATAGTCTGTAGACGTACCATGTTATCCTGCCCAGCTTGCTGGGGTGTGGTCAAGGGTGGTTTCACAGGAGAGCACGAGTGGAGCTGTGACTGGAAGGACAAGTAGGTGATCACCAAACAAACAAAGAGGAAAACACACCTCAGGCAGAGGAACCTGCATGGACAAAAGCATGGAGGTGGGAACTCAGGGTTGCTCCGAATGCCCAGGGAGTTGGCCTGTAGAGCTGGGGTTCGTGGTGGGGCTCTGCCTGGTGGGCCAGCTGGGCCAGGACATGAAGGCCTCCAGTGTCTTGTGGAGGAGGCTGAAATCAGTTCTAAAGGCCATGGAGAGCCATGGGCTAGGTTGCTTCTCAACCTTGGCGTTCTGGACGTTTTGGGCTGGATAATTCTCTGTGGATGAGGCTGTCCTGAGCGTTGTGGGATGTTTGGCAGAATCCTGGCCTCTACCTGTGAGATGCCAGCAGCACCTCTCCCTGCCCCCTGCAGCTGCGACCACCCAAAATGTCTCCAGACATTGCCAAATGTGCTGGGGAGGGAGAGGGGGTAAAATGACCTCTGGGTTGAGAAATCCTGGGCTAGGAGAGTGGCATGAGTGGCTAATGCTTTGCAGGGCTGGGCCTGACCACTCCACGGAAAGGCAGATTCGGGGACAGAGCCTGAAGGCCAGAGCCTCATCGGGAGGCCCAGAGCATCATGGGTGGGAGATAGAGCCAGGGCTGGGCTGTGGGGCAGAAGGAGAGAGTCCAGGCCCTCCACACTGCCTCTGCTGTCCCTGAGTTTTACCATATTCCCCAGTGGCAGGTACAATATGGTGAGTGTCAAGATCAATCCCCCCCCCACCCACACTGAAGAAAAAGTCCCGGACCACGTGTGCAGGTCATGTGGAGAGACAAACTGGTTCAGCCAGAACTGGCCATCGCCACCTCCAGCCTAAATAAGATGTGGGGTTGGAGAAGCCAAGAGAGAGGATTTTGGGGAAGGAGTCACCATTGGGCTGAGTGCCCCCTGCTGCCCTTTGGAGCGGAGAGGGCACTTCCTCTTACCTTGGGCCAAGCAGGAGGGGATACGAGGGAGCCATCTGGGGGCTTCATATCCCAGGAGTTTAAGGACCATAACACAGGTGGAAGATTCTTGTCTATTTTGTCCACTGCTGAGTCCCCAGCACTCCAGGGCTGGCACACAGTAGGTGCTTAATAAAGGAGCCTGTGGCTGGATGGACCTGAGCCAGCATTGCTGGAGTGAGCCAGGGTGCACGGAGAGTTAGCTGGGCTGCTATTGGTGCGCAGCAAAGGGCAGGCAACCATGGACCCCAGCGAGGAGGCCAGCCTGACCATCTCCATCCCAAAGTGCTTCCTAGTAGGTAAGGCGGCCTCAGCAGGAGAAGCCAGGAGGACACCATCCTGTAGGAGCTGAAGGGGAGGTGGTGAATTGTGGCCAGCAGGAGGTGCAGGCATTTCAGGTGCTGGGGAGCTGTGGCCAGTGGAGTCAGTAAGAAGGTCTCCAAGAAACCTGCACTAGAGCCCCAGAGAGAATGAGCTGGAAACTGTCCCCAAAGTCCCCAGTGCCAGATGGGTGACAACTTTGGCTGCCATGGAACACTGTGCCCTTTCCTTCCCAAACCCTCACCCCTGGGCCTGACCCTGGAGTCAAGAACTGCACTTGGCAGAGTTCAGAGAGAAGTCGCCTGCTCTCAAGCCTGGGTCGGCCTGGAGAAGGGGAGAAGCCCCATGTTGCATAGAGATTAAGCTTGAATTCGTTCCCAGGATGGGACCTAAGCCTGGGAGGATCCCCACCTTCAGGAGGTGATGGTGCCATTCACTGGGATAGGGAAACTGGCAGGAGGAGCCGGTTGTTGAGGGTTGGGGGTGCAGACAGTCTGTTGGTCCCATTGGTCTTGAGGTGTGTGGGGGACAACTAGAGAGAACTATTGTCCCCTGCTTCCACGAGGTGACATCTCCCTCCTGCCTTCAGCTCTATTTTAGGGATCAAGGAGTCCTTGGAGCTGCTCCTAGGCATTCTCATAAGGGCCAGAAGAGCTCTGCATGTCTGTCCAGCGGCTCTGCAGAGTTAAGGCTGTGGGTCATACCAGCCACACCCTCAGCGTGGTCCATGTCACAGAAACATGTGGAAACCAGGTGATTTCCCAGCCTCCTGGTCAGGAGGTGGGGTTTTCCATCCCCAGGGAGTCACTTCCCAGTTTCTCACTCAGCACTCAGCACCTAGAAGCACCATCCTTGCAGGCTCCACTGTGGGGCTGGTGGCCGGGAGCAAGGGTCTCTGTACCTCTTCAGGCAGCCTGCAGTGAGGAAACAGGGAACAGAATAGCCTCCTGCCACCCAGCCCACCCCAACCCTTAGAAATGCCCTATGTGCTGGGGGCTAGGACCCCCGTAATCCAGGGCTGGAGGAATGTGCTCTGGCCCCGCAGGGCTGGCCCTGTATTAGGGCTGGCACTCAAAGTGGGGATGGGGGGACAGATTGCAGCTGGAATGGGTGCTCGGTCATGATGTAAATCCTGGGGAAGCCAGCTCTCCTGGGCCTGGTCTCAGCAGCCCCTCAGGGCCCTGCAGCTTCCCTGGTGACATTCTCTCCCAGCCTCTGTTCATCTGCCCCCTGCCTGGGCAGGAGACTTGAGCAGGGAAGTGCAGAGTCTTCTCCCTGTGAGAAGGCTGGATGCGTGTTTAAGGATAAATGAACACGCGAAGAGTAGTAACAACAGCCAAGATTTATAAATGCCTATTGTTATATATGTAGATACTTACTTAAGTATATATAAAGTACAGACTGCATTATGTATATTACATATCTTTAAATTTTTAGAATAGTCCTATGAGGTCAGTTCAGAGATCCAGACCCAGGTGGTCTGGCTCTAGAGTCTAAACAGGCCGAGTGCAGTGGCTCACACCTATAATCCCAGCACCTTGGGAGGCCAGAGGCGGGAAGATCACTTGAGGGTGGGAAGAACACGTGAGCTCAGGAGTTCGAGACCAGCCTGGACAACATGGCGAAACCCCATCTCTATAAAGAAATCAGCCTAGCATGGTGGCCCGAGCCTGTAGTCCCAGCTACTCGGGAGGCTGAGGTGGGAGGATCGCTTGAGCGCAGGAGTTGGAGGCTGCAGTGAGCTATGGGTGAAAGAGTGAGACCTTGTCTCAAAAAAAATTAAAAAATAAGAATTAAATATATTTAAAATAGAGTCTAAATAAGTGAATGATCTAGAATTCTCTTGGTTCCCCTAAAGCAGCTGTCAGCTTTGGGGGATGTTTTTCCAAATTAGTGCCTCACCCTCACGGGACAGGGAAGCCTGTGGGAGCTGGGAGGGCAGGTGGAGGCCGGGCAGGTGGAGGCCGGGCAGGTGGAGATGGTGATTCGAAGAGGAGGGGACGATAGGAGGAGGTTGAGGGGTCACCCGAGTGCTGGGAGTGACGCTGGAGGTATCGGCCCAGCGATGCTGGAGTGGTCGGGTCGGAGGCCCAGCAGCGTCTGGGGAGGGGCGTGGGGGAGGCGTGTCCAAGGCCGGCTGGCCCCGCCCCGCCCCGCCGCCTGGCCTCTGGCCCGCTGGGGCGCGGGCTTTCGCTTTCAGTCGAGGGCTAGCGAGCGCAGCGGAGCCTGGAGAGAAGGCGCTGGGCTGCGAGGGCGCGAGGGCGCGAGGGCAGGGGGCAACCGGACCCCGCCCGCACCCATGGCGCCCGTCGCCGTCTGGGCCGCGCTGGCCGTCGGACTGGAGCTCTGGGCTGCGGCGCACGCCTTGCCCGCCCAGGTGGGTGACTCGCGCGGCCCACGGGGGACAGCCGCCCCGCATGTCCACCCGGCTGGTGCGCAGCCTTCGGGTGCCCGGGCCGCGCTCTCCCGGGGCGCTGTCACGGGCTGGGAGGCTGGGAGTCCCAGTCGCCGCCCCCCATCCGCATCAGACACGCGCGCCTCTGGGGACCCGCTGGGGACTCCGGGCCCGGCACACGTGCGCTCGGGGCACAACTCTGGCCCCCGAAGCCCCTCTTACCCGCGTCGTGACAGGGGCGCACCCTGGTTCCTCCGCGAGCGCAGGCCGGGGCATTTGGGGCTGAGCAGCGGGTCCTGGGCAGACCCCCGCTAGACCCGGGACCCCTCTTCCCTCACCCCGGCGACTGCCGCGACAGCCCTTCCCTCCCACGCGGTGGAGAAGGGGCTGTGCCGGGGCGCTGCCCCACTGCCCACGCCGGGCACCCTCTTCAAAAGACTTCCTTTTCCTCTGGGCGACGGTTTTCCGATTTCTTAGAAATACCAGGGTCCTGTGTCTGAAGAGCAGGACCAGGTGTGTGTCAGGTCCACTGAGGGCACAGCTGGAGGGCGAGCTGCCTGTCTGCTTCCTCCGATGCGTCCGGGGGCTACTGCAGAGTCTGTTTTCTGCGGCCTCTGGGGACAGGGCAAGCGAGGGAGGTCTGGGCTGGTAATCGAGCAAGGCAAATGAAGTCTCCGGGGGCCGCAGGAAAATGGAGACAGCAGAAACCCTAGGGCTCCTATTCAATATGAACGTCACTCCCACAGTAGCAACGGGCGTACAAGGGACTGTGCACCCTTTGCCTGTTTTTGACTGTCTCCTGGTCTGGTAACATAGGATAACCCCATTTTTGTTTTACTGTCTCCATGGTTTGGTAAGATAAGATAAACCATTTTTTAGAGAAGGAAAACTGAGGCTCAGAGAACTTGTATTTCATGGAAGGGTCTGGGGGGAACTCTTCCTCCAAAGGGGGCCTCTCCTGCCTTCGGCCCCTGTGCCCTGAGGCTGCGGGGAAGGTGGGCGTTCATCCTTCCTCAGAGCCGCCCCTGATGGACACATGGCCCATCTGCCCCCATCTGACATCTTGACCGAGGAGGAAGGTGGGAGGTGGCACTGGCTTCTGTGGTGACATAAGGTGACTTGTTGATCTGAGGCCAGAGAGTCCAGTTCTTGTGGGTGGAAGATGGGGGCTGTCAGACTAGAATTGACTCACCGACAGTGGGTGTCAGGAGTGGGTCCTGGAGAACTGCCCCAGAGTAAGTCCTGGGTGGCCTTTGGGTCAGGAGAGTCCCCACTCTAGGGCCGAGTGTGAATGGGGACGACCGTGGTCCCCAGCTTGACTTTGGGGTCATGCCATATACTCTGGCCTCAGAGGGGGTCTTCCTGCCGCTGAGCTTGGGCCTGCCTGGGTGAACTCTGGGGTCATGTGAGCCCCTGGATGGGAGAGGGGTGTCAGGCACAGGGCTCAGCAGGACACCAGGCTGCAGTCCTGGAGTAGCTGGAGGAGGTTCCCTCCCACTTCCTTCCCTTCCTGACCAGCTCCTGCGGCAGCTCATATTCCCTCCTCCCTCATCCCTGCTCCCCACGACCCCACCCGGACTATTGCCGCAGCCTTGTAGCTGGTCTCCCGGCCCTGCCCCCTCTCCCGCTGATCCTTGGCAGAGAGACCCTTCTCAAGCATGAGGCACCTCTCTGTTTGCCTGGGGAGCCTCCTGTGGCTCCCAATGGTTGAGGCAGAAACTCCCCTGGAGATCCCAGGCCAGAGTAAGGTACCTGAACTCTTCCTCGCGCCTCCCTGCACATGTGCTCCCCCGCCTCTGTAGAACTGATGATGGTCATCGTGTGTGTCATTGTGCAAAAAGCATTGTCCGTGCCATCCCCTCTCCAAGGGACACTTCTTACCCCTATCCTTCAAGGCCTTCTGCAAATGCCATTCTCTCCAGGAAAGCCTTTCCGCATTCTCAGTTGGATTTGATCTTCTCTTCGAACTCCCAGGCCCTTTTGTTCCCTTTGAGGACAGATTGCATTCTGCTTTTTAATCTAGCTGTGTTTTATCCCCCTCAGTGGATGGAAGGTGTCTTCAGGGCCAGAACTGTGGGTTCCTCTTCCTTCTCATCAGTAGCATCGCCATAGCTCCTGATTTCTGAACACCCACTAAACACCAGGCACTGGGCTAGGTACTTTGTCACAAAATTTCACTGAAACCTCCCTTACAGCAACTCCCAAGAGGTGGGTGGTGCCGTTTGTCTTTAGAGATGTGGAAACTGAGGCGTTTCCCAGGATCACAGAGCTGGGGGCCGGGGAGCTGGGGGTGGGATTTGAATGCAGGTCTGCCTGATTCCCAAGCTCCTTTCACTGCACCCTCCCCGTGCCCGTATCTGCACTCATGCTCCCAGCCAGGCCCTCACACACAGTGGGTTCTCAGGATGGAAGTCAACTGAGCTGCAGAAGAAGCCCCCAGGAGACCTGAGCTAGCCATGGACGCAGCCGACTCACTGCCAGCAGGGCTTTTGCCCCGTTTAAAAGTCTTATTTGCCAGCTGGTATGGAAAACATCATTCATTCATTTAGCCATTTATTCATTTGACAAAGAAATGCCAGTAAACCTGGCAGTAGGTGAGTGCTTGGTGCCCTCTGATGGGGATGAGCAGGGTCTGGGCTGTCTGGGGAGGAGGATGAGGGGTCTCTGCCTGATGGGCCTGGCCCACCTACCCCTGGAAGTCTTGGTGCTGAGGTGCCACTATTTGCCTCCTCATCACCCAGGGCCTGGGGCCAGTTTGGGTTAGGGGAGAGGTTGGGGGCTCCCAGGCTGGATGTCAAAGAGGAGTTGGGTGATCTGGGGTACCTGCTGGCCCTGGGGGCTCTTCCCTCCTTCCACCACGTCTCTGTCTCTTTGCCCTCTGTCTGAAATCCCAGTGGGGACCCTGTGTGTTGACTGAGGGTGTGGTCTGTTGGTCAGGCACGTCTTCAGAGGGCAATGGGTAGGTGGCCAGGCACCCTGAGGCAGGGCCATTCATTCATTCATTCATTCCCCAAAGTTCATGGACACACCTAGTCCAAGCCCAGCCCAGTGCCTGGCTCTGGGGACCTCAAGATGACTCCAGCTCCAATCCTCTAGGAGCTACACTACCAATAGGTCACAGACCTCACAGACCTGGGCTCTGTCCCAACTGCCCTTATGAGCTTAGCTGAGCTAGTAAGCCTATGTTCTCATCTGTGGTTGTGGAAAGTATTCCCTGCCTGGCCTTTGTCACAGAGCCATGGGTGTGAAAGGCTGAGAACCTGCCGGGCATTCTTACGTCAGAGGTGACCCTGCCATCCTGGCACCTGGCACAGTGGCTCCCCGTAGCACTGTCCCTCCCCACGGCTGGGTGACGCTTTATGGTCCTTACTATGCAATGTTTTCTGGAGGAGTAGCAGGGACGGTTGTGCGTGGGAAGGGGAAGAGTTTTGCCGGAGCCATGGCATGTATGTTACACCCGACTCTACACCAACTCACTTCTTACTTTTTTTCTGAGATGGAGTCTTGCTCTGTTGCTCAGGCTGGAGTGCAGTGGCGACATCTCTGCTCACTGCAGTCTCCATCTGCCTCTTGGGTTCAAACGATTCTCCTGCCTCAGCCTCCAGAGTAGCTGGGACTACAGGCATGCACCACCATGCCCAACTAATTTTTTTTTTTTTTGTATTTTTAGTAGAGTCGGGGTTTCACCATATTGCCCAGGATGGTCTTGGACCCCTGACCTCAAGTGATCCTCCCGCCTCAGCCTCCCAAAGTGCTGGGATTACAAGCATGTGCCACTGTGCCTGGCCCGTTCTCACTTCTTCTTCTTTTTTTCTATTTAATTTTTTTTTATTGAGATAGAGTCTTACTCTGTCACCCAGGCTGGAGTGCAGTGGCCCAATCTCTGCTCACTGCAACCTCCACCTCCTGGGTTCAAGCAATTTTCCCACCTCAGCCTCCCAAGTAGCTGGGATTACAGGTGTGTGCCACCATGCCCGGCTAATTTTTCCTTTTTTTTTTTTTTTTTAGTAGAGACCGGGTTTTGCCATGTTGGCCAGGCTGGTCTCGAACTCCTGAACTCAAGTGATCCACCTGCCTCGGCCTCCCGAAGTGCTGGGATTATAGGCGTGAGCCACCCCACCCAGCCCCATTCTCACTTTTAAGCCATGCTTTTCTGTCCTCAGATGTGCTGCACACACACCTGCTCCAGGGCCTTTGCACTTGCTTTCCCCATCACCTCCAATACTCCTCCTGCTGACGTCTCTTGGTCTCCTTCCCTCGCTTCCTTCTGCTGAAGTAGACAATCCTGCCTGTAGGTGCTCCCTGCCAGGCACTCTCACTCCCTGACCTGCTTTGTATTCCTGTATAATGCTCTTGACCTATTCTATTTATTTCACTTTTATTATGTCTTCCCACAAGATTGTAAGTACCGTGAGGACAGGGACTCATTCACCACTGTAGACTCTAGCCTAGAAGAGGGTTTTTCAGTCAGTGCCTCTGACTTTAATTCTTTGTTGTGGGGCTGTCCCGTGAGCTGTAGGATGTTTAGCGACATCCCTGGCCTCTACTTATTGGATGGCAGTAGCGCCACCCTCCCTCGTGACAAAAATATCTCCAGATATTGCTAAGTGTCCTTTGGGGTTGGGGGATTGCCCCTGATTGAGAACCACTGGCCTAGGACAGTGCCTGGCACATAGTAAGTGTTCAAAAAATATTCATCTGACCTTGACCTTGATAATGGCCCTGTTTTACAGATGAGACGGGGGTTTGAAAAGTCAGTGGTGGCAGGGTGGGGTTCTGTTTGCCTCCATCTCTTGGGGTATTTTTCTGGGCTCCTCTTCCCATTGAGTGGTGTCTGCTGAGGTTAGGGGTCCTCTCCCCAAATTGCTCACCCCCTCGACATCCCTCGTGTAGTGAGGGATGGGGCCACTCACTGACGGTGACTCAGGGCCCCAGAATGCATGTGATTTACCCAGAAGCGGGCAAGGAGGGAAGCTGGGGTTTGGGGTGCCGGGGATGAACAGGAACAAAGGAGAGGCGCTGTGGCTCCCCGTTCTGGACCCTCGTCTGGCCACAGGGAAGCAGCACTGATGACTCTGGGGAAAGGCCCCGGCCTCTGAATCAGATAAACCTCAAGTCGCTGCTCTGCTGTTTTACTGGCTGTGTGACCTGGGCAAGTCTTTCTATCCCTCGGAGCCTCTGTGTTCTTATCTGTAAAATGGGAGTAATCCTAGCCTCACGGGCTGGCTGTCAGGATTAAAAGTGCTTTCTAATCCTGGCATTGGCAGCTATTTGAGCCATTGGTGGCTTTGCAGGTCTGACCCGACTCTCTGGGCCATGGGGTGGTGCTCGGGCCTAGGTGGGGACCCCTGTGGAGTCAGACTGTCTGCTCTGAGCCCCAGGGCCCTGAAGCTTGGGTGGCAGCCCTGCAGTTGCCCAGAGTTCCTGTCTAAGTGGCTTTGTTGCCCATCATCTCAGAAAGCAACTTCTTTCCTCCCTGCCTTTTCCTGTCTGTGCTTCTGCCCCAGTGCCCCCTGGCTGGGCTCTCAAACCCACTGCTTGACAGCCTGGTCTTAGGACACTGTATTGTGGCAAAGGCTGTGGGGTCAGGATATCCCCTCCCCTCCCTTTGCCACCCCTTTTAGTGAGTAACAGGTGCTGTGTGTTTTGGGGATGAGTGAAGGGTACATTTGGTGAAGCACAGAGAGAGTGCACAAGGCTTCAGTTTGCAAGATGGGCACGGGAAGATTCCAGGCCATCTCCAAAACCTCTTCCATCTCCAACCTCTGTGCTGCTGAAGGTTCTGTTTACTTGTGACCCTGAGAAGGGGATGCCCTATGGGGGCTCTTCTGAGATCATGCTGTCCATTTTCCTGCCTCCAAGTGACTTCTAAGACAGCATGGCTCTGAGGAAGGAGCACTGACTTGGGTGTTGGGAGATCACAGTTCCCATCTGAGCACCGTCACTGGCTTGCTGTGCTACCTTGCTTGGGTTACTTAACCTCTCTGGGCCTAAGCATCCCTATCTATGAAACCTAACAACCCTGGTTCCAATGCTTTCCTAGAATATTGGGGAAGTGTCGGCTTTGAGTATACTTGACAAAGGCCACAGATTGGGGGTGGGGTATATAAAAGTCTACAGGAAGGAGAGCCCAGGACTCCCCACTGTCAATATCTTGGTTCCCCAGCTTCTCTTCTTCTTGCTGACCTCAATCTCACTTGCTTTGGGTGGATTGATTTCCTGACTCAGGCTCCAGGGCCATCAAGAATTCACGGCTGCCTTTCAGCCTTCATGAAGGACATGGTGGAGCTCCTTAGGCAGAACTGGGGTTTGTGGATGTCCTGCCTCTCTGCCCCTTGGTACCTAGGTGGCACCTTTTCAAGTTCGGGAGCTAGATCCTTTCCCCTTCCCCACACTGTAGGAAAGTCCTTACTGTAGGCAGGCGCTGCAGAGCCTGCTGTCTGGGAACCCACAGGTTCAAGGAAGCCTTGAGCAGGAAGGGCGTTTTCCTGGAAGAAGCCCTTTGTCGCTGGTAATGGGTGCAGGCTGCTCTGACCCGGTTCTGAGTCCTGCCCCCTTCCAGGCCTAGGGCTTTGGGCCTTGATCACCTCTGCTGAGTAGCTGACTGCGGGGCTGGGGCTCTGATGCTCAGGACCCACCTCTCTGGGACCCACAGTCTTTTTCCACTGTGGCGTGTAGTGATGTCACAGGTGGCAGTGATGTCACTGTGGTTTGAGGTACTTGGCTGTGAGCCCCGGAGGAGGAAGTGTCTGTTCGCTGATGGGGGGTTGGAAGAGATCATTGACTTCTGCCCCAAGCGTGAGCCCCAAGTGTGCAGGGGGGAGTGCGGGGGGAGGGCTGTTGGCGGCGCATCCCAGGGCTCTGGCTCTGCCCTTGCATCTAGCCTGTCTTTCCTGTGGGCTGTGACAAGCCACTCTGCATCTCTGAGACTCCATTTCTTCTTCTTCTTCTTCTTCTTCTTCTTCTTCTTCTTCTTCTCCTTCTCCTTCTCCTTCTCCTTCTCCTTCTCCTTCTCCTTCTCCTTCTCCTTCTCCTTCTCCTTCTCCTTCTCCTTCTCCTTCTCCTTCTCCTTCTTCTTCTGATGGAGTCTGACTCCGTTGCCCAGGCTGGAGTGCAGTGGCGTGATCTTGGCTCACTGCAACCTCTGCCTCCCAGGTTCAAGCTATTCTCCAGCCTCAACCTTCCAAGTAACTGGGATTACAGGCATGCACCACCACACCCGGCTAGTTTTTGTATTTTTAGTAGAGATGGGGTTTCACCATGTTGGCCAGGCTGGTCTCGAACTCCTGACCTCAAGTGATCTGCCCGCCTTGGCCTCCCAAAGTGCTGGAATTACAGGCGTGAGCCACTGCGCCCAGCTTCCATTTCTTCTTTGAAAAGTAGGAGGGGTTGGAATTGTCACCCTGGAGGTTCATGGTTGCTAGATTATTGATTCTGTTGCTGGATTCAGGAGACCTGTTAGCTGGCTAGTTCACAGCAAGTATTGGGTGTTTGGAGGGGGGCTGCAGAGCCCCTTCTCAGGCCCCAGGAGGGCCAGCTGCCCTCCCTACCCCCTCTTTTGGACACTAGTGGGCATGTTCTGCTGGGAAAACAGACAGTGTAACCTGACTTCGAGGGCTGCAGGCTGAATCTCTTTCAGATGTACTGGCTCCTTGAGAGGCCTAGCAGATCTCTACTCTGTGGGTCCCTTTCGGAGCTGGGGCTCAGGTTTGACCCAGCCACTCTGACCGGAGACAGCGCAGAAATCACCAGGAGCATTTGTTTGTTTTCCTTTGCTGTCCAGACAGTGGCCCACCGTCTGCTTCAGTCTGAGCGTGGCCCTGCACTAGTGAGACTGATGTGGCCACAGGTTCAGAGAATCAGTGCGCCTGAGTGGGAGAGCAGAGCGGGAGGGGATTTGGAGGCAGGCGGGCTGTGGACAGGGAGGGGGGAGGACATCTTCCGAGCTGTCAGCGGGAGGCCTTCTTGAAGGTCTTTCAGGAGCAAGGCCAGAGGCCGTGGGAGTGGGCGGGGCCTGGGGCTGGGAGTCAGGGGTCTGAGGCCTCATCTTGGCCCGGCCTCTGCTTCCGGGAGAACTTGGCCAATTCCCTTCTCCTTTCTGAACCTTGGTGGCCCCAGCTGTCACTTGAGATTAGCAAGGACCTCCCTGGTCCCAGCAGGAGTGAGTGGCTTTGGGCAGGGGGTGGAGTGCAGATTGCACTGCCACGTCACCCAGCTCAGAAGGCCCAGGTGTGGTCCAGCTGTGGACTTGATTGTGAACTCCTGGGGAAGGGCTCTGGTCCTTTGCCTCAGTTAGCGGGACCCCCACCAGTGCCCTGGGTGCCCCTGCTGGCCCCTCCTCTCGCTGACCCCAGCCCCAGTTTCTGGCTGCAACTCACAGAGGCCCCAGGCTCCTGTGGCCCCATCACCAGCAGCTCCTGCTGTCATTTCCTGAGCCTCGCAAGCCCCTAATCCTGCTCCTTCCTGTCCTGGCCCCCAGCTCCCTCAAGCCCCACTCCTGCATCCCATTCTCCCTGGACATCACCCCTCCCACCCCTTGGCTCAATTTCCTTCCTGTCGTGGCTTGGTCCTTTGGTCATTGCCCTGGTCTTTTCTTGTCCCCTTCCTGATTCTGCCCTTCTCCAGGCCCACACGGGGAACCTCCTAACCGCTGAGCCCTGAAAGGTAGGCGGGTTTAGGATGAGTGGCTACAGGGAGGAGAATGGTGTGGGGAGAGAGATATGGAGGAAAGAATATTAGGGGACAGGCCGGGCACGGTGGCTCACGCCTGTAATCCCAGCACTTTGGGAGGCCAAGGCGGGCGGATCACTTGAGGTCAGGAGTTGGAGACCACCCTGGCCAACATGGTGAAACCCTGTCTCTACTGAAAAAAAAAAAAAAAATTAGCCAGGCGTGGTGGTGTGCACCTGTAGTCCCAGCTACTTGGGAGGCTGAGGTATGAGAATCACTTGAACCCCAGAGGCGGAGGTTGCCGTGAGCTGAGATCGCACCATTGCACTCCAGTCTGGGTGACAGAACGAGACCCTGTCTCAAAAAAGCAAAACAAAACAAAACAAAAACCGAATATTAGAGGACAATGTTAGGACTGTCCCAGCTGTCCTAGCTGGAGCCAAAGGTTTGTTGGGGACAGTGACAGCAGCACACGAGGCTGTAAGTTTAGGGCCAGTTTATGGAGGAGTAGTACCAATTACATTGAGAAAACTGTAGCAACTATAATTTGGGAGGAATTTTCTAAATACTTTACATGTGTTATTTAATCTTCCCATCAGCCCCAGGAGGTATGTGCATTTATCAGTCCCATTCTACAGATGAAAAGACTGAGGTCTATGAACTCCTTTATTTAAAAACAAAACAAAACCCCCTCAAGGCTGCCTGCTAAGAGGGGAGGAGTGTGGATTCAAGCCAGCATCCTTATTCCAGTGTCCATGCTCTCAGCCACCACACACACACTCCTATCAGGAGTTGGGGCAGTGGGGAGCCATTATAGTTTTTGAGCAAGAGAGTGACAGGGCAAAGATCACTGTGGCCTCAGTGTGAAGCACAGATGAGATGGAGAGACTGGAGGCAGGGAGGCCCATGAGGAGGCTGTCAACATGGTTCAGGTGACAGCTCTGGGTTGGTGAAGAAGCAGAGAACAGGAAGGAAGGGGCGAGAGGCTTGAGGGAGGAGGAGGAAGCCTTTGGACTGGGCCGTGGATATAGGGTGGGAACATAGGAGGTGAGGAGCATGCTCTCTCCACCTGCTTTTTGCAACATGCGGCCTCTCTGGCCTTAGCTCTGCCTGTCCTGAGCCCTGAGCCCTGAGCCCAATGGACCGATTCTGTTTTTTTTTTGAGATGGAGTCTTGCTCTTGTTGCCTAGGCTGGAGTGCAGTGGTGTGATCTTGGCTCACTGCAACCTCTGCCTTCTGAGTTCAAGCGATTCTCCCACCTCAGCCTCCCAAGTAGCTGGGACTACAGGCGTGCCCCACCACGCCTGGCTAATTTTTTGTATTTTTTTTAGTAGAGATGGTGTTTCGCCATGTTGGCCCGGCTGGTCTTGAACTCCTGACCTCAGGTGATCCACCTGCCTTGGCCTCCCAGAGTGCTGGGATTACAGGCGGGAGCCACCGTGCCCGGCCCCAGTGGACTGATTCTGGTCAGTGTCAACCCCATTTGTCCCTGGAGCTTTTGCAGTCGGTCACAGGGCCAGCCCGGTCCTGGTCACCGCTGGCTGGTTACCCCGGCTGGGTTGGGCAGGAGTCTGGGCAGGGCTGGTTGCTCATCTCAGGTATGAAATTGGCTGCACCCCCACTAGTGTGGGGGAGCAGGATTCCAGGGCCTGCCTGGCGCTGCTACCCCTGTGCCTCCAGACCCCTCGAGCTCCTCCCAGACCTTTGGCTTCGTTGACTGTGAGGTGAAAACAAAAGGGCTGCTCTCTGTCACTTCCCCTAGGGGCGGGCAGATGCTGGCAGGGCACAGAGAGCCGAGGGCTAAGAGCTGACATTTAGCCTGGCTACTCAGGAGACTGAGGCAGGAGAATCGCTTGAACCTGGGAGGCGGAGTTTGCAGTGAACCGAGATCGCGCCATTGCACTCCAGCCTGGGTGACAGGGTGAGATTCTGTCTCCAAAAAAAAAAAAAAAAGAAGAGCTGACATTTAGCGGGTGCTTCTTGGGTGCAATGCGCAAGAGACCGATGCATTAACTACACAGAGTGCCCTTCCTTGTCACAGCTACCTGGGGGCAGGGGAACATCATCCCCATTTTACAGAAGAGGCCTTTGAAGCACAGAGATTAACTGACGTACTTAGGGTTTTGCAGCTCACTAGAGGCAGAGCCAAGACTCCACCCCAGGTGGCCAGGCTCCTGAGCGCTATGCCTACCTCACCCTCCAATGAGGTGGTGGTGGAGGAGACCGTGAGCCGCTGTCACCTGAACACTGGTGCACTCAGTCTGCTGCTCTGAGGACGCCGCCCCCTCTCTTTGTAAGTCCATTTCCTGCCCATTTCTCATGCTAGCTCCAGCTCATTTCAACTAATTGAAAATTAAAACTTTGCTTCTGTTGAGCAATTCGGCATCGATGAGACGCCAGCTGTGGGCTGTGTGCTGGCTGTGTGTAGGGTGATGAGTAGCAGAAGCACGGGTGACACTGAGCTCTTTCCACTGCCGGGCACGGTGCCAAGCACGCCACGTATACTGACTTCATGAATCATAAAGCCCTGTGAAGGGGGCACTGTTTCTGTCGCCATTTTATAGATGATAAAGTGGAGGTGGGGGAATGGCAGAACTGGGATCAAAGCCCACGTGTCTGTGTCTGGCTCAGCGCCCATACAAGGGTGTCAAGGTTGCGGGGAGGCACGAGGGAACCAATAATTAACCAAAACTGGTCGGGTGTGGGCAGTATAGAGATGCACCCGGGTTGTCACAGGAGCCCCTAGGAGGGACCTCTGACCTCCCTGAAATGATGGCAGAGGGAACTCTTGAAAGAAGCTGAGAAGTCAGCACTGCCAGGTCGGGGGTGGCGGGTCAGGACGTTTGGGCAGAGGCAGCAGCAGTACGGGCATGGAGAAGGGGGCGGAGGAGCCAGGTGCTGCTTTGTGTTGTGACAGCAACAGGTGAGTGATGAATACAGGTGGGAGATGCTGGCAGGGGCTAAGGAGGTTGCGCAGGTGGTGGCAGCCGCTGGAAGCTTTTAAGGAGAGTCAGGCTTGATTGTAGGAAGGGGGCTTAGGTCCATCTGAAAGGGACAGAAGGCTGGGAACCAAGACCAAGGAGCCTGCAGCTGGCAGGAGATGCTGAGGGCAGCGAGGAGGAGGGGTCGTGGGAGATGGAGCAGGCGACATCAGCAGGCCCCTTGGAGGGTGACGGTGGGAGAGGCTGGGGCGTCTCTCATTAGACTCAGGGTTCCTTGCAGGCAGGGACCATGCCCGGCGTCTTTGTACCCTGGCATTTAGCACAAAGCCTGGCTCCAAGAACCGGATACCAGCCCAGTCTTCCTGTCTGCCCCCAGCTCATTTCTAAAGCAACATCACAGGCAGCGAGTCGGGAGTGGGATGTGTCACCCCCGGGTTGCCTGCCTGTGATGTGGTCAGTCCTTCCTAACGCAGATGCCATTCCTCTCCGTGACGGCAGACGGGCCTCCGCTGTCACTGGCCCTGGCGTTGCTGTGACGACCTGGCCTGATGTAGCTGCACCCTGCAGTCCATGGGGCTCCTGTGAACCCCCAAGGTTGAGACCCAAATGCCTCTGCTGCCTCCCACCACGCCCTAGGGGCCCCGCGACCCGCCATGCAAATGACGTGGTTTCCGCATTGCTTGAAGAGGGTTTCCTCTGTGTGGGGGTCCCTGGGTCCTTGGGCAGATACCTCTGCCCCTCCCCACAGCTTTGGCCCCTGCCCTAAGACCCTGGAGACCCTTTTGCCTGGGAGAGTCACTGAACCACCTGCCCCTGCTCACAGTGTGTTCACAGAAGAGTCACTCCCCTCTGTGGGCTCCTTGTCTGTAAAATGAGGGAGCAGGACAAGATCACAGGGTACAAAACTGTCAGAGGGCACAGAGGCTGATGTTGCTGCCATCAGCTCCTGGAGTGCCGCTCACTGGCTGCATGACCTTGGACAATTTGCACGAAATCTCCCAAGCCTCAATGTCTGCATCTGTAAAATGGATCATCCTGACCTCATTGCGTTAGTGCTAGGATAAAATAAAGAGAAGGTATATGAACGTGCCCAGCACTGTGCCTGCACACAGTAGGTACTTTTCCTGGATCTGAACAGTCTCTGTTCTTCCAGCTCTGTGTAAAGGCTTGATCTCGACCCCTAAAGCCTGAAGCTTCTCCCTGTGGCCACCTCCCCACCGCATCATCTTCCGTTCTCAGCGGGTAGATCCCTGCCCAGGGGGGACCCCCTGGGGAAGGCTGGGAGCATGACCTCTTCCCAAGGGTACGGCATCTAAAAGGGATCTCCGGAACATTGAAAAGCCATGAAGGCCGGGCACAGCGGCTCACGCCTGTAATCCCAGCACTTTGGGAGGCTGAGGGAGGAGGATCGCTTAAGGCCAGGAGTTCAAGACCAGTCTGGACAACATAGCAAGACCCGGTCTCTTTCTATAAATGAAAAAATAATAATAAAGCCATGAAGATCCCCAAAGAAGGCTGTGCTAATGGCGGCCGGAAGAGCAGAGGGCACCACAGATGCCGTGCTTTCAGCTTTTTCCTTCTCCTCCAGGCCTCCCTTCTTTCCTTCCTCTCTCGCTATTTATAAATAAGAGAAGGCATTGAGGGCCCCCACCTCGGGTACTTGCAGGGCCTTGGCCTGGGAACAGGACAAGCAGCAAGTCAGTTGACCCGGGGTTGCTCAATTCCCCAAGAGCTGACGCAAACTCCAGAATCAGACCTGCCCTGGCCACCTGGCCCTGCCCCTTACCAGCTAAGGGCTCCAGCAGAGTCCTAGTCTTGAGCGAATCTTATACCTGCAGCCCTGTCCACCAGCTGTGCTTCCTGAGTCCTCCAGGGTGAGGGGGCGTGGGGTCAGAAGAGAGGGGACGGTGTGCAGGGAGGGTGGAACCTGACTGACCGGGTCAGCCTTACTCTTCCAGCGGGGTCTTTTCTTCCTGGAGCTCGGCCCTCGGCAGCTCTCAGAAGCTCACCTTCTTGCAGGCTCTCACAGCCGCATCGTCCTCTGGCTGGGCTGCTCACAGACCCCGGCCCCTGGGTTTTGTCCACTCACCCAGACTCTGTTTTGGGGTCACATTACCCTTCCAGTGTTCCTCTGAGCAAAGTCCCTGTGAGTTAGCCCAAGGTCCCTGTCAAGGAGGACCACATCTGGCCTGTTGCACTCTTCTCCTTTGCCCCACCGAAGCCTCTGTCACACTGTCACAGCAGCGGGCCTGCCATGGTCTCCCCATGTAAGGCTTCCTGAGGAACGGGCCTGGTGCCAGCCTGGGGGTGAACTGCCAGCCCCAGGAGTCACAGGTCAGCTTCCCCACACTTACCCTGGAGGCAGGATGGAGGCCCCCTCCTTTGCAAGGCCCACACGGGCCATCTAACACCCCACTAAAGCCGGGCAGTTCGCTGCCCTGGGGTGTGTTCTCGCCTTGCCAGTTCTTGGCTAAAACCAAGGCAGGAAGAGCCCAGTTCCCATGTTCTGTAACATGGGTCTATGACCAGGGCCTTTGCAGGCCCCTTGCAGCGCCCCCATGGAGCCCCCAGGAGTCTGGGAGAAGATGATGAACCCAAGTGAGGACCTCCCCAGGGGCCTTTGCTCCTCACAAGAACCCCTGGAGGAGACAGGGCAAGGAGTACCACTCCCATTTTACAGGTGACAATGCCGAGGCTCAGAGAAAGTCCATGACACCCCCAAATCCCCCGGACCCACTACCCTGACCTCCTGGCGGTGCACAGAGCATGCCACGCACCTCTCCATATGCACATAGACCCTCTAACCTAAGTCAGCGCCCCTTCTACAAGGCCGGTGTCCAGCACACCTGGGAAAGGGGACATTTCTGGCCCTTTCCTCTCAGAAGTCGCCTGCTCGAGCTGCCCTCCCTGGGGGGAAGGGGATGGGGGCAGAAGCTGAGCATGGAAGCCCCTGCTAATCCACCCTCTGCTCTCTCCAGAGGCCCAGGACCAGCCCAACTCTGCCCCACATCCCAGCCCCCACCTCCCAGCTCGTGCTGTTTCTCCACCTCTCATGTGGATGGGCCACACACCACCCAGCACCCCTGAGGTCTGGTGAGGGACTGAGCCTTCGACACCCATCCTTAAGAACCCAGGGCTGGTCCTTTTGCTTAGAGCATCAACCAGGCCCACACTCTCATTTTACAGGCAGAGAAACTGAGGCACAGAGAACCTGGTTACTGCCCACAGCAGAGGAGACACTTGAGTGAGGACACAGAGGATCTTTGGGGTAGGGGCGGGCCTTGGGGTTGAGACCCAGTCTTCCTGGCCAGGGAGGAAACACAGGACTGGAGGTGAGGAGGCCTCTTTGAGGCTAGTTTCTTCATCTGTAACTTGGGAATAACAATAGGACTGGCCTCAGGGGGACCAGGGGAGGATTCAGAGAGGCTATGATGCTGGGACAGCTCTTCGTGATGACTGGCATGAAGCAGGCTTCTAGTAGATGCTCTACTGCTGCTTTCGTTCTCACCCTCACCCACCCGCTCTGGGCCCACTGCCCTGACCTCCTGACCAAGCACTGAGTGTGCCAAGGGCATCTCCCTGTCTCCCCGGCCCCGCACCTTGTGTCACCCTTTTCCTTAGCTCTTACCACCACCTTGAATTCTCTATTGAACGTGCATGTGTCTCCCCAGCTAAGATGACAACTTCCCGGGGGCAGGGATTTGATTTGTTCAATGCTACTGTTTACCCAGCACCTACAACACTGGGTGCTCAGCACGTCTGTTGAATGAATGAATGAATGAATCACTGCTTTCACCTTTGCCCCTGACTTTCTCCATGGACCACGGACAAGTGACTTGATCTCCCTGAGCTGTGAAATGGGGCCATTCACACCAGCTTTTTAGGGTGGAACTAGGATTTTATACAGTGCCTGCCATCTGGCCTGGCACATAGTAGTTGCTTAGCAAATATCCCATTGTTTTCCTTCCTCCCCAGAGGGCCAAAGCCAAGACCTGGAGGAGCAACAGGGTGGGGGTCTAACCCCTGGGTGACAGAGACAGCTCCCATCTGGGATGGAGGCTGCATGGTGGGAGGAGCTGCTGAGGTTGGGCCATTCAGCTTTGGGGCCCTTGGAGTCCTGGGTCTGTGTGGAGGGGGAAGGGAAGCTCTCTGGGCCCCAAGAGAAGGGAGGCAGGATTGGGGGTGGCAAGGATTGCAGCTCTTCTGGGATAGCCTTGGGCACACTGCTTTGTCTCCCTGAGCACCTGCGAATGTCAGTGAGAAGACCAGACAGTGGGTCTAACACGCACAGTTGCCCCTGGGAGGTAGCAGGTGCTCGGTACCGATGAGCTACCGCTAACTGCAGGTGCTACCTGTCTTAGAGGAGGGAGCCCAATCTGGAGGAGGGGAAATGGGAGCTGTGGACCCAGATGGGAGGCGGCTCAGAGACTGTGGGTGGGCCCTGATGAGCTTCTTATCCATAGTCCTCTATCCGCTTGCCGCCATCCTGGCCCTGGCATGGCCCAAAGTCTCTGGGAGACGAGGGGAGGTGGCTTTGCCTTTTTCCATCTCTGTTATCTCATCTGTGAAATGGGCACAATCAGACCTGCCTCACCAATTGGAATATAGATTTAGGTGCAGTTTTCTTTTTTCTTTCCTTTTATCTATTCTCTCTCTCTCTCTCTCTCTCTCTCTATGTATATATGTATAGCTATCTATTGATATTTTCTATCATCCATCTATTTATCTTGTATCTACTTTCTATTATCTCTATCATCTATTTATCTAATCTATCATCTATCTAGCTATCTTTCTATTTTATCTATCTATCTATCTGTTTGTCTGTCTGTTTTATCTATCTAGCTATTTTATCTATTTTATCTATCTATCTATCTATCTATCTATCTATCTATCTATCTATCTATCTATCTATTCTATCTACCTATCTATCTATCTATCTATCTATCTATCTAGCTAGCTAGCTAGCTAGCTATCTATTCTATCTACCTACCTATCTATCTATCTAGCTATCTATCTATTCTATCTACCTATCTATCTATCTATCTATCTATCTACCTACCTACCTACCTACATATCTATCCATCCTCTCCGATTCCCTCACCACTGGGTCTCAGATTCCCTGCCTGTTAAATAAATGGTCAGTTAACCCTCAACAGTGATTTTCAATTTTTCACTTGAGGCCCCCATATTTTGGAAGATTGTAGTTTGCTGAACACGCTGACTGAATCAAGTACTATCCAACTTATTTCCTCATTTTAACATGTCAAAGATCCCCTGTGGGGTGAGTGGGGTGTGAATTGGAGCCTCCCCAATCCAAGGCACAGGAACTGGAAGCTTCTGTAGCCCTGCATTTCCTAGAGAATGCTTGCCATGTTTTGGGGACCTCCTGGGGGGCCCCTGTACTGACCAGAGGCCGGCTCCCAGGGCTGTGGTTTGGGCCCAGCCCCCTGCTCCTGGGGACTGCTGCTGTGGAGGGAGTGACCTTTTGTTCTGCTTTGCCAAGGGGCTTTCTGTTCCTCATTGTTTAGCCATGACAAGGCTGTGGATTTTTTTTTTTTTTTCTGTCCAAGAGAATAAACAGGCCTGAGATTGCTCAAGGGAGCCGACCCCCTCTGCCAGCTACTGGGGGCTGGAGGCTCACAGAGCCAGGGAGGAAGTCCTACCCCCTCTGCCGGCTACCGGGGGGGCTGGAGCCACACAGAGCCAGGGAGGAAGTCCAGGGACGGTCACTCACAGCAAAGCCTCAGACAAGAGAGGAACCTGGAGGGGAGGAGGTGGGAGGCCACCACTCAGCCGGCCTGGGGGCCATGGGAGTCCAGCTGCCTGCCGTTAGTGGCCAGGAGCCCTCGTCCATTGCGGCTCTTGAGAGCCCAAACTTGGCCACGGCAGGGCTCTTTCCCATCAGGCCCTTTGAGCCCTGATGGGAAACCCTTCCCCAGCCAGGGTGGGATTTCTTGCTGCCGCCTGGAGCCGCCCTGGCCCTGTGGTTCTCAGGCCCTGGAGGAGTGAGGGGCTCCCCTGGTTACCCCAAGGGCACTCGTGGGGATGAAGCCCGCGGGATGCAGGATTCCCACGAGACCTGTGCTGGCCACTGTGCGGGGTGGGGGGCTGCCAGGGAAGAGGTGCAGCCCCTGCCTGCCTCAGGGATGCGATCTGAGGGAAGAGGCAGCTGTGTCTGGGAGGCCGTTCGGTCGGAGGGGGATAGGCACAGCCCCTGCCCTTGGGGAAGCGCCCAGCAGCAGCCTTCAGGGAAGGCAGTTTGGGGGTTTGCCGAGGGCCAGGAAGACCCTCTGCCGCAGTTAGTATTCGATGGAATGGCTTGTGCAGAGGGAGCTGCAGAAGCTGCCATTTCTCTGGGTTAGGGGCTCCCACAGCCTTTGGATGCCGGGTCTCGGCCATGAGCCCCCTCCGCCACCCCTCCCCCAGGTCACCTTGCTCAATCCAGGAGGCCGGATGATCAGAGTGTGTTCTGCAAAGGAGCGTGAGAATCACTGGGGAGATTTCCTTTTTCTTTTTCTTTCTCTTTTTTTAATGGTACAGCTTCCTGGGCCCACCCCTGAGATTCTGCACTTGTTTGGGGAGTGGGTGTTGGCTTCATGACAGGCACCCCTGGGTGCTTTGGACACAGGCAGTGAGCTCCCCCCACACTGTGTGAACCCCTGAGAAGGCTTCTCCTTTTGTCTAGGGTGCCTGGGAGTCTGCTCCAGCAGCAAACCGGGGAGGGGAGGGGTACTGGGACCGAGTGTGTGTGGCAGCACCGTGTCCAGGCAAACTGAGGCTCCAGACGGGGGTTACTTCTTCAGACCCTGTTATGCAGCATGGTTCCCACTGCCCGTGCCCAGAATTCACCATAGCTGATGGGCCTGGGGTGGGCCTCCGGGGCAGGCCAGGGTGGAAAGTGCATCTGTGTTTGAGCTTTGCGGCCCTGGCGCTGGAGTTAGATCCCTACAGGAAAGGACATTGTAACCCAGCCCGTGGTTGAGACTAGCAGCTGCTGAGCACCTACGCCCTGCTAGGCTGTGGGGCAACAGCAAAGGGTAACCCCCAGCCTGCAGCCTCAGGGGGGCTTCCCATCTAGCGAGGGGCCCAGGGAGGCCATGAGGAGAGCCATGAGGGAGGAAGGTGGGGACTCTGGGCCTGAGTGACTCCTTCAGGGTGGGGTGCGGGCAGGGAGCCTTCAGGAGGGAGGGTACTGCCTGAGCAGGGCTCTTAAGGGACACGTGGAATTTGTTACAGGAAGCACCAGGCCATTCCAGGCATAGAAATCAGCTGGGGTGCAAAGGCCTGGGGGTCAGAAGAGTGGCAGATTGCTCCATGGCAGGAAGCCCCAGCTCCTCTGGGTCGTTCCCGCTGAGGGATTCCAGCTGTTGGCACCGAGGGGTGCAGCCAGGGCAGGGTGGTGCTGCCTGCCAGGCTGAGGTGGGAGACAGCTGGGTTTCTAGCCCTGCTTGTCACTCGCTATAGGTGCAGCCAAACGCTCAGCAGGCCCAAACTCTGGGCAGTCCTGACTCCCAGGCAGTGCTGTGAGGAAGGGGAGGAGGAGGCACACTGAACCCACCTGCTACGTTGGCTGGTGGAAATTTGGCCAGGTCTGCACTGGCCCAGCGGTGCTGGGTGTCGTGACTGGTGTCTGCTCTGACTGGCTTGCTGACAGCTGAAGTCCAGGATAGGTCCATGGCCACGTTGTGCTGGTTTGTTAAATATTTTTAGTATCTCCCCTGCTCCTATATGTTAGGTACTGGAGTCCAGAGAGGTTAAGGCACTTGCCTAAGGCCACACAGCCGCTAAGTGGTGGAGTGAGGATTTGAAACCAGTTCTTTCTGACTCCCTGTATCCTTATCTATGGAGAGGCCCCATGACTCGTTCACTAAAGGTTATGGATCTCGATCTTGTACTGGCCACATGACTGCAGCTGGCAGTACAGTGGGGAGTGCGCCAGCCCTGGCTCTGACCTCCTAGAACTGCCCTTTGTTCATTTCCAGGTGACGCATCTGTGGGGGCCCCTGAAGGACTTGGGGTGTGTGTGTACACCCTCTTTGCTTGTACAGATGTGTTCACACCCATGTTTGCCTACATGTGAATGTCTCCATTCTGAGCTTGCTCTCAGCCTGGTAGAGGTGGCTAATTAATGCTTGTCCCTGAAAGCCCGGACTGCCAACCCCAGTCTTTCAGGAGAGAGGGCAGGACTCAGGGGCTTGCTCCCGGGGGTCCTGGGAAGGCACAATGGTGACAGTGCTGCAGCTCTGCACTCCTGGAGGGTCACTCAGAGACCCGAGAGAGGAGGGCTCTGCGTCTGCTCCTCTGTCCAGGGCTGTAGCTTCTCTGGGTGCCTTTGCTTTTCTCTTTTCTCCCCTCTTTTTTTTTTTTTTTCGAGATGGAGTTTTGCTCTGTCAATTAGGCTGGAAGTGCAGTGGCATGATCTCAGCTCACTGCAACCTCCTCCTCCCAGGTTCAGGGGATTCTCCTGCCTCAGCCTCCAGAGTAGCTGGGATTACAGGCACACGCCACTATGCCGGGATAATTTTGTATTTTTAGTAGAGACAGGGTTTTGCCTTGTTGGCCAGGCTGGTCTCGAACTCTTGACCTCAAGTGATCCACCTGCTTCGGCCTCCCAAAGTGCTGGGATTACAGGTGTGAGCCACCACACCTGGCCCTCTCTCTCTTTTCATTCATCACATTGTTCATCTCTTCCCGGAGGCATCCAGCACAGTCTTTGAGACTGTGAGCTGTGAAGTCAGACAGGACCCAGGTCCAAACCCTTCTCTGTCACTTACCAGGTCTGGGACCTTGGGCAGGTGACCTGCCCTCTCAGGCCTCGGTTTCCTGTTCTATAAAATGGCTGCAGTAGGGAAACCGTCTCCATCTTCATTGGGTGGTTGGGAAGTCTTGCTGAGACCACACACCTGTCTCAGGTAGGGTCTTCCAGAAGCAGAGCCTGAGGCAGGGATCTTTGTGAAAGTGATTTGCTAGGGAGGGCTCCCAGGAGAAGCAGGCAGGGCAGGTCAGGGGAGGGGGCTTAGCAGGGACGTTGTTCACCAGCTTCAGCCCAACACCACGGGGGTGGCTCTGGACCATGAATTGTACCAGGGTGGGTCCCACCTTGAGGCTGTGGAGCATTCATTATCAGCCAACACCCACAGCAGCTGGGGGAGCGGTGCCCTGCTGGCAGCAGGGGTCTGAGTGGGGTGCAACAGCACCCACCAATTCGAGCAGCAGAAACGCTTAGAACAGTGCCTGGTACCTAGGCAGTGCTTCAAAAATGGCAACGATTGTCATGGTCATAACCAACATTCAGCTGATGAGTGCCGGCTCTACGGTGGGTCCCATGTGAGAGATTGAGGGTCTAGAGATGACAAGGCTGCCACCTCTGCTGTCTGCATCACATGAGTGTGTGTGTACACATGTGTGTGCATACATACCCACAGGGGGTGGAAGGACAAGCAAGTAACCATTCCAGAACAATGAGATGACTGTTAGAGGGGTCATAACCCACGTTTAGAGAGAGCCGAGAGGAGGAGGAGGAGGAGCTTGAATTAGCCTTGGGTAGTCAGGGAGGGCTTCCCAGAGGTGGCAGCACTCATCTTGAAAGACAAAGGGATGTTTCAGGTGCAGGAGGGAAGGAGAGGTATCTTCCTTCCTCAGCAGAGGGCAGCTTTGTGCTGAGAACCCCCGTTCTCTGTGACCAAGGCCACTGTCTTCTGGATATCTGTCCCATGCAGTGTTAGGGGTCACCCAGCACTGGAGAAGGCCAGCAGAGTCAGTGCTTCTGCCTGCAGACATGACTAGGGTACACTGAGGTGGGGAGGCAGGGGAGGTAAAAGAAGGCACGAGCTCTCCTTCCTGTACCCTGCTCCAGGGGGAGAAACCTCCCCAGCCATCATCAGTGCAGACTGGCAGGGGGAGGGCCAAACATTTGCAGGGCGGGGACCTGGGCATCAGGCATGGCAGAACCCAGGGGCGGCCCTGTTGATGGCAGTCTTCCCTTCTTCCTTCCAGGTGGCATTTACACCCTACGCCCCGGAGCCCGGGAGCACATGCCGGCTCAGAGAATACTATGACCAGACAGCTCAGATGTGCTGCAGCAAATGCTCGCCGGGTGAGGGCAGCCACGGGGGCACTCGGGGCCCATGCCCTGGAGGAGCGTGTGTGTACAGGGGCTGGGGCGCAAGAGCATAGCCCTTGATTCTTACTGAACTCCTAGTTCTATGCACTGGCCCATGCTCCCTGCTGCTTCTGGGCCTGTGAACATGCTGTTCCCTCTTCCTGGCACACTTCCCAACTCCCTTTCCCTGATTAACTCCAACTTGCCCTTTAGACCTCAGCTGAAGATGTCCCCTCTTCCAGGAAGGCTGCCTGCCCCATACTGCCCAGCCGGTGGAGGAGGGGGAGGAGGAGCCTAAATTAGCTCCTGGGGGAGTCAGGGAGGGCTGCCTGGAGGAGGCAGCACTCAGCTTGAAAGACAAGTGCTGCCTCCTTTGAGCTCTCACTGGCCTCTGATGTTCCCATGGAAGCTCTTTCCTTGCTGTGGGATTATAGCCCGGTCCTGCTTCCTGTTGCCTCCACTGTGTGCTCCTCTAGGGCAGAGATTGTGGCTTGTTTTCTGCTGAATCCCCAGCACGTGGCGCAATGCCATGTAGGTGCTCAGTGCATATTTGACTGACTCTGTGAATGCTTACCCATTTCACAGATGGTAGACCTGAGGCCCAGCCACAGTTGGTGGAGCTAGGTAGCCTGACTCCTGGTGCCCTCCATCTATTCATTTGTGTCTGTATTCATTCATGTCATGATTATAAGGTATCTGCTGTGTGTTCTAAGTGCTGGGAATACACAGAGAGCAGGGCAGACAAAACCCTTGCCCTCGTGGAGTCTGCATTTTAACGGTGGATGCAGACAGATACATTAGGAGATGTGTGGTCCTGTCTATCTGTAAGTGCTGTAGAAAGACAAGGTCAGGTAAGGCGGGGGAGACAGAACGGGACATACTGTTTTACACAGGGTGGTCTGGGAAGGTCTCTCTGAGGAGGTGACATTTGGGCAGAGCCCTGCAGGAGGTGAGGGAGCAGGTCATGCATGTATACAGGGAACAGTGTGCCAGGAGGAAGCAACAGCATGTGCGAAGGCCTTGAAGTCGGAGCCTGTTTGGTGAGTTGGAGGAACAGCAGGGCCAGCATGTGTGGCCCAGGATGAGCGAAGGCGAGTACGGTAGGGGAGGAGGAGGAAGGAGTGAGCAGGGACCATGGTAAGGAGTTTAGATTTTATTCTGTCTGGGAGCCAATGGAGGGCTTTGAGCCGTTACCTTGAGATGTAGGTGGGCATATGAGTACCTGTCACCGTCCCTAGCCATTTTAAGACATCCTAGGGAAAGTGACTCTCTTCTTTCTTTTATTAACTGGAAGGGTCTCTTTAAGAAGTTACTAGAGAGGCTGAGGTGGGCGGACCACCGGAGGCCAGGAGTTTGAGACCAGCCTGGCCAACATGGTGGAACCCGTCTCTACTAAGAATACAAAAAAATAGCTGGGCATAATGGCAGGCACCTGTAATCCCAGCTACTTGGGAGGCTGAGGCAGGAGAATTGCTTGAGCCTGAGAGGCAGAGGTTGCAGTGAGCCGAGATTGTGCCACTGCACTCTAGCCTGGGCCACAGAGTGAGATTCTGTCTCAAAAAAAAAAAAAAAAAAAAAAGCAGCTACTGAGTCAACTTTTTTTTAAGGTTTCCGTTGGTGTTCTCTGTCCCTGGAATGCCTGCTTTCCAGGCCCATGCCCTTGTCCTTGATAGGATACCAGGGACTACATTCTTACTACCTGTTCCCCCTATCATTCATGCCCCTAGCTGGAGAATATTAGCCATCTATCAAGAAGGAAGAAACTGGCAAGCTAGTTCTTACTAAAGTGTGATTGACTGATAATAGGGCTCCAGTGGTGGAGGTTCAAGCATCTGGAAAGAGCAGAGAGGAATCTATTTTTGAGCAGAAGGGGTTCAGAAATGACGTGATAGCTGGTACAATACTAGATGGGAGATGATTCTGAGGAATTGGAACTCCACAGAATAGCCTTCCCAGCTGGGCTTTAGAACTCTGGACTTTGTGGGGACAGTGGATGAGCCCAGGGTCCTGGCAGAAGGCTCGCCCAGCTGAGACCTCTGGCCCTTGTTTCCTCAGGCCAACATGCAAAAGTCTTCTGTACCAAGACCTCGGACACCGTGTGTGACTCCTGTGAGGACAGCACATACACCCAGCTCTGGAACTGGGTTCCCGAGTGCTTGAGCTGTGGCTCCCGCTGTAGCTCTGGTGAGTAGGTTCAGAGAAAAAGGGGGCCCTTACACCCCTGCCTCCAACTTCCCCCGGCAACTCCAGCCTCTTTGGCTTCCAGCTGTCTGGAGTTACCCCAGGCTGGTTGTTGGAAGTGGCACAGGTGCAGCTGTTTACCCCTACCACTGGCATTTTCCTCCTCTGTCTCACCAAAGCCTCTTCACAGCCCCACGGGGCAGGCGGTGGGAGAACTGTGCCCACGTGAGGGTTGAGGAGGTGGTGCGTGGGAGAGTGGTGCGCATGCTCGTGCTGCGAGGAGCAGGACTGCGGGGAGGAGCGAAACTGCTGGGAAGAGCGGGACTGCGGGGAAGAGCGGGACTTCGGGGAGGAGCGGCACTGCGGGGAGGAGCAGGACTGCAGGGAGGAGCGGGACTGTGGGGAGGAGCGGGACTTCGGGGAGGAGCGGGACTGCGGGGGACGAGCGCGACTGCGGGGGACGAGCAGGACTGCGGAGAGTAGCGGGACTGCGGAGAGTAGCGGGACTGCGGAGAGTAGCAGGACTGCCGGTCCTGCCCCTGGACTCTGGCCGGTGTTGTGTGTGCCCCATGCTGAGGCGGTCCGCCAGCCTCCTGGAGATCCGCTGTCTGAGAGTGCTGGGCTGTCTGGGAGGGCAGCGTGGGTGTGGCGGAGGCAGGCGTGACCGTTTGCCGCCCTCTCGCTGCTCTAGACCAGGTGGAAACTCAAGCCTGCACTCGGGAACAGAACCGCATCTGCACCTGCAGGCCCGGCTGGTACTGCGCGCTGAGCAAGCAGGAGGGGTGCCGGCTGTGCGCGCCGCTGCGCAAGTGCCGCCCGGGCTTCGGCGTGGCCAGACCAGGTACGGGGTGGGGCTCAGGTCCTTGGGGACGCCCATGGGCCTCTCCTTTGTAGACATCCTTGCAGTGTCACGGGCATCAACCCATTAATTAGTCCAGCAGGGAGCACTGTTAGTGGTGGCCAGGTGCCTGCTACCCATCCGTCTGTCCACCTGTCCACCGTTCATTCTTCCTGCCAGCACTCCCGATTAGGCACCTCTTATGTACTGGAACCAGGAGACCCAGAGATGGATCAGACCAAGCCCTAAGCTAGGAAAGTTATGTGATGCTGCAAGATGAACTCACATAACTCTACAGCCCAATCCCGTGCATGTGTGTACAGGAATCTGTGTGTGTGCATGTGTGTACAGGCATCTGTGTGTGTGTGTGTGTGTGTGTGTGTGTGTAAGGGGTGGAGGTGCAGACAGAGCTCCTTGGGCCCCTCAGACCTCTCCTAGGGCTCTAGTGCCAAGGCCCAGCTGTCCCGCAGAGTGTCTGAGTGGTTGACAAGTTCGGATTGTTCCCTGAAGGAACTGAAACATCAGACGTGGTGTGCAAGCCCTGTGCCCCGGGGACGTTCTCCAACACGACTTCATCCACGGATATTTGCAGGCCCCACCAGATGTGAGTAGCTGAGTCCTTTGGTTCTGGAGGAGCAGGGAGGGGCTGTCCCTGGGTGACTGTGGGTCCAGGACACAGAGCAGCTCACCAACCACCATTGTCCAGACTGCTTTATCTGAGGGTGGCTCCCAGGATAAATGGCATGGTGGGCAGGACCTTGCCCTGGAAGGCAGGACTGGGTGGGTGCATGGGGAGGTGGGGGAGGGCTAGGAGGGGGTGGTCCTCAGAGAGGGCACACATCGTCACTCTCCTATCCTGCCTGCTGGGGCCCGTGAATGAGCCCAGCCACCCCAGCCACTCTGTCCCCTGCTGCCTCCTGACCAAGCCTCCTCCTCCTCCAGCTGTAACGTGGTGGCCATCCCTGGGAATGCAAGCATGGATGCAGTCTGCACGTCCACGTCCCCCACCCGGAGTATGGCCCCAGGGGCAGTACACTTACCCCAGCCAGTGTCCACACGATCCCAACACACGCAGCCAACTCCAGAACCCAGCACTGCTCCAAGCACCTCCTTCCTGCTCCCAATGGGCCCCAGCCCCCCAGCTGAAGGGAGCACTGGCGACTTCGCTCTTCCAGTTGGTAAGTCGCAAGAAGTCTCATTCATTCACTCCTTCTGTCTGCCTGTCTTTCTGTCTCTCTTTCTTCCTCTCCCATGGTTTTACTGAGAGCCCACGGGGGGCTGGACCCTGTGCCCTGTCCTGGGATACAGGTGGCAGTGAGACTGCTTTCTCCCCACACCTGGTGCTATCATTCAAAATCCCTAAGTGCGTGGGCTGGATGCAGTGGCTCAAGCCTGTAATCCCAGTGCTTTGGGAGGCCAAGGAGGCTGGAGGATTGCTTGAGGCTAAGAGTTTGAGGTCAGTCTGGGTAACACAGCGAGACTCCATCTCTATAAAAAAATTAAAAAATTATTTGGGTGGGATGGTGCCTATTGTCCCAGCTACTCAGGAGGCTGAGGTGGGAGGATCACATGAGCCCAGGAATTTGAGGCTGCATTGAGCTCTGATCGTGCCACTGCACTCCAGCCTGGGCAATGAGTGAGGTCCTATCTCAAAAACAAAACAAAACCAAACAAAACCCCTGGATAGGGGAGAGGTGGGGTCAGCAATTCACCTGAATATGCAGATGGTCTCCTTGCTGCTGTTTCTGATGAGCCCATTAGGCTAAGAAGACAGCGGGCTGGGCCAGGTCACCTCCAGGGGCTTCCATTCTGGGGTAGAACTGCATCAGGCCAGAGGTCTCAAACTAGTGGCCCTTAGGCTGAATGAGGCACACAGACATGATTGCTTTGTAATTGGATTTGAGAATCTCCGGCCTAGACTCGCCCCTCATTTGCAATGACCCGAAGCACCTTGGGTCCCTGGCTTGCCTGGCTGGCCCCTGGTACATTTGAGTTTGTTTTCTGTAGCTGTCTGAGCTTCTCTTTTCTTTCTAGGACTGATTGTGGGTGTGACAGCCTTGGGTCTACTAATAATAGGAGTGGTGAACTGTGTCATCATGACCCAGGTGAAAAGTAAGAG
The DNA here is from genome assembly GCF_000001405.40 of Homo sapiens. NCBI lineage: Eukaryota > Metazoa > Chordata > Mammalia > Primates > Hominidae > Homo > Homo sapiens. The sequence continues at coordinate 12,194,040 of NC_000001.11, forward strand.
TCCATCCTTCCTTCCTTCATCCACTTGTTCAGGAAGCTTTTGTGGGGTGCCTCCTGTGAGTCCAGCACTGGGCACAGCCTTAGGGGTCAGACAGAGCTGGATATGGGGGTCCTTGTTCTGTAGGAGCTTAAGGCCTGGGGTGAAGGTACCTCTGCTAACTTAATTACTAAAAGGCAAGAGGTGATCAGGGTTTTCTAAAGGGTAGGAGGAGTTCAGGATTCCTATCCAGGAAGCCTGGGGGATTCGGGCTTCCTGCAGCAGGTGGTCTCTGAGCTGGGTAAGATCTTGATGGGTGGAGTCTGTGCAGGGAAGGACACGCATCCTCAGTGGAGGCGCGGATGGTATAGATGGGGGACTGGAGAATGGTTGGGATGGTGGCAGGTGGAGTTGGGTGGGGGCTTCTGTGGACCTTGTCTGGTAGGCGATTGGTCCCCACAGGGCTGGGCCTCTCTGCTGGTTCTATGGGGCCCCATACTGCCCTCCTACTTAGGACAGATGTGCCTGAGGAAGTCAATCTCTTACTTGTCCCCTCTCCTCTTTATAGAGAAGCCCTTGTGCCTGCAGAGAGAAGCCAAGGTGGTGAGTGTCTCCACTGCCCTCTCCCCCTCTTCCCCTGGTCTCCTTCCCGGCGTGCTGGGCTGTCACAGAGGAAGCAGTGAATTCTGTCATTGGTCTGTCCAGTGTCAGGAGGTGTGCAGAGCCCTGGGAGGTGGAGGAAAGGCCGGGGAGTCAGGCAGCCCTCCATGGGCTAAGAGAGGCTGTGAGTGTGAAATGCTCCGGCAGAGAGCAGATGCCTTCGTGGCGTTCGTGGCAGGCACGTGGTCGTGGACCCACAGCGCAACCTTGGGCAGATGTGAAATTGCTCTATGGCTACTTCCTTACCATGAGATGGGGGTTGTGTCTGCTCGATCCAGCCTGCAGGGTGGTGCCATTCGGTCAGCTGACAATGATGTTTCTCCTTGCCTCCATTGTGTTTACAGAGCACTTTCTCAGAGAGCAGTGGTTTTCAAACTGAATTCTGGGATAGCCCAGTGTCCCACAGAGGGCCCTTGGGCGTGGGGGAAGTGGTCATCTCTCAGGTTTGAGGTAGAGGCTGTGGGGCTGGGCCCTGGGTCCTCCCAAAGCAACTCACCTTTGATCTGTTTTATAAAGTAGGGCCTGCGAAGGCTTTTTGTTAGAGACAGACCAACAGTGTGTCATATCATAGTATTTCATTCATTCTCCATCAGGAAGGCATTTGGCTGCAAGTAACCCCAAACCTACAGGTGACTTTAGAAAAAATGGCTTTATTTTTCTTGCATTGTAAGAAGTCAAGGGGTTGGTGTCTGCTGGAATGGCCTCCACTATCCCCTTGCATGGTGCCAGCAGGACCCCAGGCTCTGTCATCTTTAGTGTGTTGACTTTTGTTCTCTTGTTTGTGGCCTCATGTCATAAGATGGTAATCATCACTTCATATGTCACCTCTAAGTTTGAGGTGGGAAGAAGGGGCAGGTGGCCAGGTCAGCCATGGTGCCCTTATCAGTAAATCGGATGCCTTCCCAGAAGCCCTGGGTAGACTTCTTTCATCTCACTGACCAGACAGTGTCACATGACCACCCCTAGCTGCGAGGGAAGCTGGGAAAGAGGGTGTTTTGCTTTTCCAGCCTCTATGGAGGAGGAGGACAAGGGAGGGGGGTTGGAAGTGGGTATGGGGTGAGCCAGAACATACGTCTGTCACAGCCTTGCACCTGGTAGGCAGGGCAGGTTTTTTACCCAATTTGACAGATGAGAAAACAGAGTCTGATGAGTTTTCTCGACCTCAGGGGCAGGTAGAGAAAGAACTTCTCAACCTCATGGATATTTGAGACAACATCTTACTTAAGGGAGGCCAAGGTGGGAGGATTGCTTGAGTCTAGGAGTTCAAGACCAGCCTGGGAAACACAGTGAGACCCTATCCCTAAACAAAATTAAATAAAATAAATATTTTTAAAAAGGATCTTGGCTGGGCACGGTGGCTCACTCCTGTAATCCCAGCACTTTGGAAGGCCGAGGTAGATGGATCACTTGAGGTCAGGAGTTCAAGACTAGTCTGGCCATCATGGTAAAACCCCATCTCTACTAAAAACAGAAAAATTAGCCAGGCGTGGTGGCACGTGCCTGTAGTCTCAGCTACTCGGGAGGCTGAGGCAGGAGAGTCGCTTGAACCCGGGCAGTGGAGGTTGCAATGAGCTGAGATCACACCACTGCTCTCCAGCCTGGGCAATAGAGCAAGACTCCATCTCAAAAGAAAAAATAAAATAAAATAAATAAATAAAATATCTTACTTAGTTGTGGGGGCTGTCCCGTGCTATTCAGCAGCATCTTTGGTCTTTATTTACTTACATGCCAGCCTCATTCCCACTCCAGTGGTGACAATCAAAAATTCTCCAGACATCACCAAGTGTCCCCTGGAGGGCAAAATCACCCCTAGTGGAGAACCACTGCTCGAGGGAACAGCTCAGCCCTGGGCAGCCCAATACCCGAAGCTTACACCAGGTGTTTGGAATCAGATAGATTGATTTCATCCCCTGATTTTGGTGACAAGAAAAGAGATGCAGGGAGGAAAACTGAGTTGCTCAAGGTCGCACCGCAGTGTGTCTCTGGACTCCCATCTCAGTGCTCTTTGCCCTGCCCTACAGTATTTCAGTGGGGAGGAAATTTTCTCATTCCCCGGCGAGCGAGTTTCACTGCTCCCTTTCTCCAGCTTCAATTCAGTGACACTGACGGTTGCCGCCTGGTGGCGTGCGTAGAGCAGGTGTCTCCCCCAAGCTCTTCCGCAGCAGCCCAGCTGTCACCTTCCCTTTCCCCACCAAGCGTTTCCCAATCCTCTGTGCACTGAAGATGTCCTGGGTGTGGCCTAGCAGCCTCTGCTTCCCTTTTCCATTTTTTTTTTCTTTCTTTCTTTTTTTTTTTTTGAGACAGCTATGTCGCCCAGGCTGCAGTGCAGTGGCGCCCTCTTGGCTCACTGCAGCCTCCGCCTCCCGGGTTCGAGTGGTCATCCCACCTCAGCCTCCCAAGTAGATGGGACTATGGGCATGCGCCACCATGCCTGGCTAATTTTTATATTTTTAGTAGAGACGGGGTTTTGCCATGTTGGCCAGGCTGGTCTCAAACCCCTGACCTCAAGTGATCTGCCCACCTCGGTCTCCCAAAGTACTGGGATGAGAGGCATAAGCCACCACGCCTGGCCCCTTTCCTTTCACTGTTGCTCTCAGTGTTCACTGAATGTGAGTGACTCAAGTATCTGTTGAGTGCCCCAGTGGTGTGTCTAGTGCAGAAAAAAACCCCCAAACCCTGATTTGTGGTGTTTGCTAATTTCTGTGGTATAAACACTCACACTGTAGCCAGTTTCCAACTCCCAAGACCTTCCTGAATATGGAGTTGGGAGGAAATCTGCACAGGCCTGAGCTTATCCCAGCACAGCCCTGGCTGAGCCCTGCCAGGCTCTTTGTGACTGAGTCCCCACGCATCCCTGTGGGGCAGGGAGCATCATCACCCCCATTTTACAGAGGAGGAAACTGAGACTCTGGGAGGTTCCATTTTTCCTGTAGGATTAGATCATTAGGTGAGTGGCATAGCCCAGGTTTGAATCAGGTTTATGCCTGTGTCCCACGCTACTCCTCAACCAGCAGCTACTCCTGATAAGAGGCCAGTGGAGAGTCCTCTTGAGCTGGGCTGCTGGGCTTAGAGTGTGGACTCAGCACCCACCTGCTCCTCCTGCCACAGAAAGAACGTCCAGGGCATGGGAGACAGTGGCGTTCCTTTGTTTAGAAAACACCAACATGTGGCCGGGCGCCATGGCTCACGCCTGTAATCCCAGCACTTTGGGAGGCCGAGGGGGGCGGATCACGAGGTCAGGAGATCGAGACCATCCTGGCTAACACAGTGAAACCCCATCTCTACTAAAAATAAAAAAAATTAGCCGGGCGTGGTGGCGGGCGCCCGTAGTCCCAGCTACTCCGGAGGCTGAGGCAGAATAGCGTGAACCCGGGAGGTGGAGCTTGCAGTGTACTGAGATCGCACCACTGCACTCCAGCCTGGGCGATAGAGCGAGACTCCATCTCAAAAAAAAAAAAAAAAAAAACCAATATGTGAGCTTACCCACAATCACCCCCATGGACACGGACACACTCATGCACGGACCCACGTCTGATAACAGGTGCGAACATTTATCGGGTGTTGAACGGATGCCAGGCACTGTGCCCAGCGTTCTTTATTCTCACAGCCATGCTGCCACACGCAGGCAGTATGATTCTTGTCCCCCATTATATGGCCCAAGAATCATGGGCCCAGAGAAGTTAGTAACTTTCCCAGTGTGGCACAGCTAATGATCACGGCCTGGGACACGAACCTAGGAGTGTCTCTCCTCGCCACCCCAGCGCACACACTCACTACGTCACTCACAGATATGCACACATGCCCCCAACATAGACACACGTGTGCACGCTTCACACCCTCACGCCTGTAGACACAGGTGTGTGAGCCTTGTGAACACACAAACAGACGGACACAGCAGGAACCTGGAGGACCTGGCCCGTGGCTCTGCTGGGTCTCTGCTTCTGCCCAGCAGGGCTGGGCCAGGAGGGGCCGGGAGCTGAGGGTGCTGGCTGGCTGGCTGGCTGGCTGGAATTCTGTTTTTTTTTTTTTTTTTGAGAAAGAGTCTTGCTTTGTCGCCCAGGCTGGAGTGCAGTGGCACAATCTTGGCTCACTGCAAGCTCCGCCTCCCGGGTTCACACCATTCTCCTGCCTCAGCCTCCCAAGTAGCTGGGACTACAGGCACCCACCAGCTCGCCCAGCTAATTTTTTGTATTTTTAGTAGAGACGGGGTTTCACCTTGTTAGCCAGGATGGTCTCAATCTCCTGACCTCGTGATTCGGTGACCACCTCGGCCTCCCAAAGTGCTGGGATTACAGGTGTGAGCCACTGCGCCCGGCCCTGGGATCCTGTGTTTTGAATGAGGCTCCTCAGTACTCGGCTCTACTGGGGTCCCAGCCCAAGGAATAGGACTCAGCCTGCTTCTGTGCCACCTGGGGCTGCTTGAACTTTGCGACTTGTGGCTTGGGAGGAGGGAGGTGGCCGTGACCTTTGGGGGTTTTTGTTCTGCCTGGCTGTAGCCACCAGCAGAGGGGGTGGGGCACAGGCCAGAAAAACCCCTTTTGTGGGGTTGTGAGGAGTGACAATTGGCTGCTTCTCCTCCCCTTCCAGGCTCAGAGCAGGGCTGGGGGGCAGTTGTGGGCAGTGACCAGGGTCAGACCACCTGGGCGGAGGTTCAGCATGAACTTGCAATGCCCTCCATCTCTCCAAAACTGGGGGACCCAGCCCAGGGAGGGTGTGGGGGTTCCTGGGGAAGCTGGTCTAGGCTTCTGCTCCTGCCACGGACCAGCTGTGTGATGCTGGGCACAGGATGCACTTTCTCTGGGCCTCCGTGGCCTCTTGGGGATGGCTTGCACGAGATCCCTCCAGTCCTGAGTGAGAGGCTGTGGCCTTGGGGAATTAAGGGTGCAGGTGGCGCTCAGGTGTCCGAGAAGCCATGGGAGCCGGGGGCTGCAGGGATTGGACAGAGAGGACCCTGGTACTCGCATCTGTTCTCAGACCACATCTGGAATTGTAGCTCCCTCTGGAGGGAGGCAGGAGGTCTCAGCCTTTCTTGGGGGGCGGTGGCACCTGCGCTGCTCGCTCCACCCCTGCTCTCACCTCCCGCTGCAGTGCTGGCGAGCCCCATCAGCCCTTCACTCATCTCTACCCTCCTTCTTTCTGCCTGGGACACTTGTTTTCATCCTGGGCAGGCCAGGGGCCAGGGCAGCTGTTGGGAATGTGGCCTGTGCCATCTCCTTTTTTGCTGGGATCAGAAAACAATCGCTTAGAATTCCAAGGCAAGGGTGTGAGCGCCTGGCCAGCCAGTGGGAACAGACAACAGCCTGGGAGAGGAATTTCCAGCCTCTCTTCAGTGTGCGTGTCTGGAAATGGGGACCTTGCCTTGAGCCTCCAGAGTTGAAACCCCAGACACCCAGGAAAGGCCCTTTGGGATTTAGCCCAGCCACAGTATGTCCTAACCGTGACCTTGGGCAAGTAACTCAATCTCTCCGTGCCTCAGTTTCCACAAAGCAAGGATAACACTGGGTTGTTGGAAGAATCAATATAGATATTGTCTGGAGGGATGTAGGTACAGTGCATGGCATTGGGTGGCACTCAAATGTCAGCTAATAATATTATTATTATTCTACGGGAAGAAGACATCAGGGGAAGTTGCAGAGCAGCCTGTGGGCGGACTCTGGAACAAGAGGCTGAGGCAGTGCAGCAGAGGGTCTCAGACGTGAGCGCTCTCTGCCCCGGAATGATTGACTGAGCGCAAAGGTCTGCACGCTTTCTCTGTAAAGGGCCAGATGGTAGGAATTTCAGGCTTTGTGGACTGTATGGTCTCAGTGACAGCTACTCAAACCTGCCTCTGTAGCAAGAAAGCAGCTACATGCATAGACAGCACACACCCAACTGAGAGTGGTGTGTTCCTATCTAATTGTGCTACTGGACACCCAAACTTGAGCTTCCCACCATTCCATGTGCCGCAAATTATTCTTTTTTTTTGAGATGGAGTTTCACTCTTGTTGCCCAGCCTGGAGTGCAGTGGCTCGATCTCGCCTCACCACAACCTCTGCCTCCCAGGTTCAAGCGATTCTCCTGCCTCAGCCTCCTGAGTAGCTGGGATTACAGGCATGAGCCACCACGCCAGCTAATTTTGTATTTTTAGTAGAGACGGGGTTTTGCCATGTTGGTCAGGCTGGTCCCCAACTCCCTTCCTCAGGTGATCCGCCTGCCTCAGCCTCCCAAAGTGTTGGGATTACAGGCATGAGCCACCAAGCCTGGCCACAAATTATTCTTAAACATTTTTTTTTCAACCATTTAAAACATGAAAACCAGTGGGGTGTGGTGGTGCACGCCTGGTATCCCAGCACTTTGGGAGGCCAGGGTAGGAGGATGGCTTGAGCCCAGGAGTACAAGACCAGCCTGGGTAACATAGCACAACCCTGTCTCTACAAACAATCGACAACAAAAAAATTAGCCAGGAGCAGTGACACGTGCCTGTGGTCTCAGCTACTCAGGAGGTTGAGGCAGGAGGATCACTTGAGCCTGGAAAATCGAGGGCTATAGTCAGCTATGATTGTGCCACTCCACTCCTGCCTGAGCAACAGGGTGAGACCCTGTCTCAAAAAAAAAAAAAAAAAAAAAAAGTGAAAACCATTCTTAGTGGCAGGCTGTACTGGGCCTCTGGGCAATCATTTGCCTAGTTCTGATTTAACAAACTCTTGTATGGAGTTTACTATGTAATAGGCATTGTTTTAAGCACTTTACAAATATTCAGCCATCTAATCTTCACAACAACCCTATGAGGTAGGCTATTATTCTCCCTTTATAGAGTAAAAAAAAAAAAAAAGGCACAGAGAGGTTAAGTAACTTGTCCAAGGTCACACAGCAAGTGAGTGGTAGAGTCATGATTTGCACTTGTGTGGCCTGGGTTTAGAGTCCACACTCTTGGTTGCTAGGCTGGGCCATGTCTCCCTGTGCAGATGGGGTGAAGGAAAGCTGCTTTCCTTCTACTCCCTTATGCAAAATAAGGATGAAAATCCTGCCCCACCTCTAAGACTATTTGGTGAACAGGGCCAGGTATTCTCTGCCCTCATAGGACACTCTAGTAGAGCAGCTGGGTGCTAATAACAGAAACACAGAAACCACGGAGAATCACACCTCCCAAAAAGTGCCGTGTGTGGAAAGAACGTGCAAGGGTGGGCAGAAACGTCACGTAAACTGAGAAGTGCTGATGGCAGGAGGTGTGGATGGCAGTGGGAAGGAAGAGGGGAAGAAAGAGCTGGCTGGTGGGCTGACTGCTCTCCCCTACCACCCCCTGCCCATCCAGCCTCACTTGCCTGCCGATAAGGCCCGGGGTACACAGGGCCCCGAGCAGCAGCACCTGCTGATCACAGCGCCGAGCTCCAGCAGCAGCTCCCTGGAGAGCTCGGCCAGTGCGTTGGACAGAAGGGCGCCCACTCGGAACCAGCCACAGGCACCAGGCGTGGAGGCCAGTGGGGCCGGGGAGGCCCGGGCCAGCACCGGGAGCTCAGGTAAGAGGTGGGAGCACACCTGGCTTCTTCCCAAGCCTCCTTGGTCTTTCTCACCTGGTTTCTGTCTTAGCCATCTCCTCCTGAGCCTCCCCGCAGGGTGGGACGAGGCCTGAGCCACAGGGAACTTCCTTCGGTTCGCTGAACCTAAGTTCCCTCCCGCCTTTGCCCATGCTGGGCCTATCACCTCAAAATCCTCCCTTCTGTGGGACAACCCCAGCTTGTCCAAGTCCCTGGTATCTGGGGGAGGAGTTTTCCTGAAACCTTCTCCCTGCTACCACCCCCAGCTGGCCTGGCTGCTCCTCCGGGCTCACCATGCCCTGGCCTCCCTTTCACAGGACTGTCAGACTGCATGTACAGACATTGTCTTCTCCTGTCTCCCACGCCAGGCTGTGGGACACCTGGTGAGCCTGGATCATCTCATTCATCCCTGTATCTGCAGGCCCAACACGGCCCAGCTACTGATAATTAATCATAACAATCGCTTCTACTTATGGAAGGCTACGGAACAGCAGGCACTGTACTGGGCACTTTACATGCATAAAACTGACCTGCATGTCAATGCTAAGAGATAGTTCCTGTTGTTATCCCATTTTACAGATGAGGAAACTGAGCCCCAGAGAGGTTAAACAGCTTCTTCAAGGGCACATGGCTAGTAAACAGAAGAGCCAGACTCACCCCTAGGCTGTCGGGCTCCAGAGCCCTGGGATTGGAAGATGAATGAAGAAATGGTGGCTCCAGGGCTCCACTCACTGCAGTTTGTTGCTGGGTCTCTTTAGGTCTGAGGCACTGGGACTGTGGGGATTGTGTCCCATTTATGCAGGCTGCATTGTGCCCTGGACCTGGTCTATGACAGATGTCACTCCTGGTTGGCATCTCTAGGGCCCACACTGGAGGGGCCCCTGTACAGGGTCTGCTGGCCTGTGCCTCTCTCCCTCTTACCTGGCAGTGCCAGCCAGTGAGAATTCAGGGAATGACCATGAACTTGGGTCAGTCTGAGATCCTTGCCTGGCCACTCTGGTGCCATAAGAATTTGGGTGGGATGCTTAACCCTGCCAAGCCTTGGTTTTTTCACCTAGAGGTGAGCTATAGCGCCTCCTTGCCAGGGCTGGTGAGAGATGGGTGACATTGTGCCCAGCTGGGCACCAGACCAGGGCCAGGCTCCCTCTGGGCCGCCTCCAGGTGGGGACTGATGGCTGCAGCCCCCACCACGCAGCCCTCCTCCAGCTCACTCACCCCCAGCTGCTCCCCAGCTCACTGCGCCCCTGCCTCTTGCCTGCACTCATGCCACCCCTGCCTGCCACACCTGTTCCTACCTGCCCCCAACTGCCCACAGGAGCTGACGTGGCCATTTCTGTCTGCCCCATCATAGCCCCCAGCCTCCTCGGTGGGAGGTCTCATCAGTGCCCCTCACTCCATCCTGAGAACTCCCTATGGGAGGGCCTGGGCCAGTGCCTGGAAGAGATCAGGGGCCCTACACACTGTTGAATGAATGAATGAATGAGTGCGCTCCAATTATAAACTCTTAGTCTTTGCCCAGTTCTTGGATTCGTCTGATTTTTTTTTTTTAAATGGGGTCTCGCTCGTCGCCTAGGCTGGAGTGCAGTGGCGCAGTCTTGGCTGACTTATCTGCTCACCGCAGCCTCCGCCTCCCAGGTTCAAGTGATCCTCCCACCTCAGCTTCCCGAGTAGGCGGGATTACAGGCATGTGCCATCACGCCTGGCTAACTTTTGTACTTTTAGTAGAGATGGAGTTTCACCATGTTGGCCAGACTGGTCTCGAAATCCTGACCTCAGGTGATCCATCTGCCTCGGCCTCCCGAAGGGCTGGGATTACAGGCGTGAGCCAACATGCGCAGCCCATCTTTCTGATTTCTTAGCTACACCTGGTGTGGCTCCCTCCTTGGGCCAGGGTGGAGCCCTGACCATGTCTGCCCTCCCCTCTCCCCTCTGCCCCTTCTGCTCTGTGCTCCTTCTCCCGAGTCCCCCAGCCCGTGTCCCTGGCCTCTGTCTTCTCTTTCTCTCCCTCCCACCCCTAACACCTCCCTCCACTGTGGGAACCTGTAAACCCCAGGGTTGTGCCCCTTCATGGTCCCCCATCCACCCCCGCAATGTCTCATGCTCGATATACAAAGGCCATGGTGACTTTGGGTGACATTTGGGTGCTGTGGAGGCTCAGGGTGGAAATTTCCTTCCGGCCTTGTGATTTCAACCCTCCTCCCCCACCACATGCTTGGGGCTGTTTTGAGCACAGCAGGTTGCCAGCTCCATCCACCTCCCGGCTACCCTATCCGAGTAGTTGGAGTTAGGGAGAACCAGGCTGGGGTGAGGGCACTCAGCAGGCCCCTGCAGCAACAGCAGCAGCAACTCTCATTTTCTGAGGGGGCTACTTACTGTATGCCAGTCCCTTCATATTCATCTCAGCAAACCCACCGTCCAGTGCCTCCCCAACCAGTTAGAAAACTCAGTTGCCCACAGGGGCTGGGCAGGAAGGTGAGGCAAACCTTGGGCTGTCCTTGGCCGGATCTCCTGCATCTGGCTCCCAAGGGAAGCCATAAATCCAGATTTTTAAATGTAAACGCCTGAATTTTAAATGTTGGTAATCAATTCACTTAAAAACATCACCACCACCACCACCACCACCACCAACAAAAAAACCCGTAGACTTGTCCCTGTTACAGGCACTAGGAACACAGCAGGGAACAATCAAAAAGTCCCTGGTCTGGCCAGGCAAGGTGGCTCATGCCTGTAATCTCAGTACTTCAGGAGGCCAAGGCAGGAGGATCACTTGAGCCCAGGAGTTCGAGACTAGCCTGGGCAACATAGCAAGACCCCCGTCTCTACTAAAAAAATAAAAAAAAAAGTCCCTACCCTCCTGGGTTCAGAGTCTGGTTGGGGACCCCAGGAGCTGGGGGCTCTGGAGATCAGGAGATCACAGAAATGGGGAGGGACCCAGAGAGTGGTGGATAGGATGGGAAGTAAATGTCTCTAGAGAGGGAGGCCAGGGGGTGGAGGGCGCTTCGTGGAGGAGGTGGCCTTTGAGCTAAGGCCTGAGCACTAGAGAAGAGCTCTCTAGGCTGAGGGAGCGGCCTGTGCAAAGGCCCAGGGGACCTGAAGGGCTCAAGGGGCTGTAGCAGGGGGTGGGGAATGTGGCTGGAAGGAACCCCATCAAGGTCTTGGAGCGGCAGGAGAGGGGGTGGGAGAAGGCAGGCTCCAGATCAGACAGGGCCTGGTAGGCTGTAGCAAGGACTGTGGGTTTTTGAGCCCCCAAGGAAGTGATCTGCCAGGTTCAAGGGCCAGCTCTGGCTGCTGATGGGAAACAGATTTCAGAGGGGTGGGGTTGAAGCCAGGACAGATGGAGGCTGTTCACACCCATCCAGATGGGAGTGAGGGGAGGCTTCCATAGCCCACCATGCAGCAGCAGGGCAGGGTGACCCTTGCAGAAGTCATCTTTTGTTTTTGTTTGTTTTTGAGATGGAGTTTGGCTCTTTCGCCCAGGCTGGAGTGAAGTGACGTGATTTCGGCTCACTGCAACCTCCGTAGCCTGGGTTCAAGCTATTCTCCTGCCTCAGCCTCCCGAGTAGCTGGGATTATAGGCACCTGCCACCATACCCGGCTAATTTTTTTTTTTGTATTTTGAGTAGAGACAGAGTTTCACCATGTTGGCCAGGCTGGTCTCAAACTCCTGACCTCAGGCGATCCACCTGCCTTGGCCTCCCAAAGTGCTGGGATTACAGGCGTGAGCCACCCTGCCTGGTCCAGAAGTCATCTTTTGAAGGGAGACAAGGCAGGAATGATGGATGGGTGTGTGATATGAGAGAAAGATGGGTCCGAGGCTCTGGGCCCAAGCAGCTGGGTGGATGGCAGCAATGGGAACTGTGATGAGCAGGAGAGGTTTTGGATGCGAGATGGGAGTAGAATCAAGAGTTAAGTTGGAGGCTGAGCACGGTGGCTCACACCTGTAATCTCAGCGCTTTGCGAGGCTGAGGTAGGCAGATTCTTTGAGGTCAGGTGTTCGAGACCAACCCAGGCAACCTGGCGAAACCCTGTCTCTACAAAAAATTAGCAGGGTGCGGTGGCCTGTAGTCCCAGCTATTCAGGAGGCTGATGTGGGAGGATCACTTGAGGCCGGGAGGCAGAGGTCACAGTGAGTTGAGGGAGTGACACAGCACTCTTTTGAGACCCTGTCTCAAAAAAAAAAAAAAAAAAGACAGAAGAGACAGGGTCTCACTATGTTGCCCAGTCTGGTCTTGAACTCCTGGGCTCAAGCGATCCTACAAACTTGGCCTCCCAAGTAGACATCTGTTTTATATAATTGGCTCCTCCCATCTCTGGGGTGATTGGGGCTGGGTAGGTAGTGATGCTATTCTTATTCGGCAGAGGGGAAAATGAGGCACATGCAGGTTAAGTGACTTGCTCAAGGTCACACAGCAGAGCTGGGCTAGAATCTTGGTCTCGGCTCCTGGCCCAGTGCTCTTTCCCATGTGTCTGAATCTGCATCTTGGGCAGGGGTCCCTGGGCCCCACTCCTGGACCCCCGGACTGACCCCCACCCCATCTTGTGCTTAGCAGATTCTTCCCCTGGTGGCCATGGGACCCAGGTCAATGTCACCTGCATCGTGAACGTCTGTAGCAGCTCTGACCACAGCTCACAGTGCTCCTCCCAAGCCAGCTCCACAATGGGAGACACAGATTCCAGCCCCTCGGAGTCCCCGAAGGACGAGCAGGTCCCCTTCTCCAAGGAGGAATGTGCCTTTCGGTCACAGCTGGAGACGCCAGAGACCCTGCTGGGGAGCACCGAAGAGAAGCCCCTGCCCCTTGGAGTGCCTGATGCTGGGATGAAGCCCAGTTAACCAGGCCGGTGTGGGCTGTGTCGTAGCCAAGGTGGGCTGAGCCCTGGCAGGATGACCCTGCGAAGGGGCCCTGGTCCTTCCAGGCCCCCACCACTAGGACTCTGAGGCTCTTTCTGGGCCAAGTTCCTCTAGTGCCCTCCACAGCCGCAGCCTCCCTCTGACCTGCAGGCCAAGAGCAGAGGCAGCGAGTTGTGGAAAGCCTCTGCTGCCATGGCGTGTCCCTCTCGGAAGGCTGGCTGGGCATGGACGTTCGGGGCATGCTGGGGCAAGTCCCTGACTCTCTGTGACCTGCCCCGCCCAGCTGCACCTGCCAGCCTGGCTTCTGGAGCCCTTGGGTTTTTTGTTTGTTTGTTTGTTTGTTTGTTTGTTTCTCCCCCTGGGCTCTGCCCCAGCTCTGGCTTCCAGAAAACCCCAGCATCCTTTTCTGCAGAGGGGCTTTCTGGAGAGGAGGGATGCTGCCTGAGTCACCCATGAAGACAGGACAGTGCTTCAGCCTGAGGCTGAGACTGCGGGATGGTCCTGGGGCTCTGTGCAGGGAGGAGGTGGCAGCCCTGTAGGGAACGGGGTCCTTCAAGTTAGCTCAGGAGGCTTGGAAAGCATCACCTCAGGCCAGGTGCAGTGGCTCACGCCTATGATCCCAGCACTTTGGGAGGCTGAGGCGGGTGGATCACCTGAGGTTAGGAGTTCGAGACCAGCCTGGCCAACATGGTAAAACCCCATCTCTACTAAAAATACAGAAATTAGCCGGGCGTGGTGGCGGGCACCTATAGTCCCAGCTACTCAGAAGCCTGAGGCTGGGAAATCGTTTGAACCCGGGAAGCGGAGGTTGCAGGGAGCCGAGATCACGCCACTGCACTCCAGCCTGGGCGACAGAGCGAGAGTCTGTCTCAAAAGAAAAAAAAAAGCACCGCCTCCAAATGCCAACTTGTCCTTTTGTACCATGGTGTGAAAGTCAGATGCCCAGAGGGCCCAGGCAGGCCACCATATTCAGTGCTGTGGCCTGGGCAAGATAACGCACTTCTAACTAGAAATCTGCCAATTTTTTAAAAAAGTAAGTACCACTCAGGCCAACAAGCCAACGACAAAGCCAAACTCTGCCAGCCACATCCAACCCCCCACCTGCCATTTGCACCCTCCGCCTTCACTCCGGTGTGCCTGCAGCCCCGCGCCTCCTTCCTTGCTGTCCTAGGCCACACCATCTCCTTTCAGGGAATTTCAGGAACTAGAGATGACTGAGTCCTCGTAGCCATCTCTCTACTCCTACCTCAGCCTAGACCCTCCTCCTCCCCCAGAGGGGTGGGTTCCTCTTCCCCACTCCCCACCTTCAATTCCTGGGCCCCAAACGGGCTGCCCTGCCACTTTGGTACATGGCCAGTGTGATCCCAAGTGCCAGTCTTGTGTCTGCGTCTGTGTTGCGTGTCGTGGGTGTGTGTAGCCAAGGTCGGTAAGTTGAATGGCCTGCCTTGAAGCCACTGAAGCTGGGATTCCTCCCCATTAGAGTCAGCCTTCCCCCTCCCAGGGCCAGGGCCCTGCAGAGGGGAAACCAGTGTAGCCTTGCCCGGATTCTGGGAGGAAGCAGGTTGAGGGGCTCCTGGAAAGGCTCAGTCTCAGGAGCATGGGGATAAAGGAGAAGGCATGAAATTGTCTAGCAGAGCAGGGGCAGGGTGATAAATTGTTGATAAATTCCACTGGACTTGAGCTTGGCAGCTGAACTATTGGAGGGTGGGAGAGCCCAGCCATTACCATGGAGACAAGAAGGGTTTTCCACCCTGGAATCAAGATGTCAGACTGGCTGGCTGCAGTGACGTGCACCTGTACTCAGGAGGCTGAGGGGAGGATCACTGGAGCCCAGGAGTTTGAGGCTGCAGCGAGCTATGATCGCGCCACTACACTCCAGCCTGAGCAACAGAGTGAGACCCTGTCTCTTAAAGAAAAAAAAAGTCAGACTGCTGGGACTGGCCAGGTTTCTGCCCACATTGGACCCACATGAGGACATGATGGAGCGCACCTGCCCCCTGGTGGACAGTCCTGGGAGAACCTCAGGCTTCCTTGGCATCACAGGGCAGAGCCGGGAAGCGATGAATTTGGAGACTCTGTGGGGCCTTGGTTCCCTTGTGTGTGTGTGTTGATCCCAAGACAATGAAAGTTTGCACTGTATGCTGGACGGCATTCCTGCTTATCAATAAACCTGTTTGTTTTACACGTCGACCCCTGGCTCTGCCTGGGGTCTGGGCTTGGGTTTGTCCATGCTCCTACTTGTCTGCCACCCCTGTGTAAGGGGAGATGGCGTCACGGTCCCTGGAGTCTGGCTGGCCCCTGTTGTGACTGGACCACAGAGGGACCCCTGTTACAGCCGCCCCCTCAAGCCTGTGAACCATAAGAGAACTTCCTGCTCGGGACCACACAGCTGGCTGGGTTCCAAGTGTGCCCTGGTCTCATGCCTTCATCCTCCAGGTCTCCTGGGCCTGCTCTCAGGACCGGGATGGGGTCTCTGCAGATCCCTAGCAGCCTAGGCAGCCAGGCTCTGCCCTCCTGGGGACCCCACTCGGGGAGAGTGGTTGCCCCTGGGATACTCAGACCAGTACAGGGTTTTGGGGGCCCAGAGGACATCCCTGGGCCCAGGTAGGAGGTTAGAACAGGGTTCTGGAGATGACCTCTGACCTCCTCCTGAGGGATGAGCAGCAGTTTTCCAGAACAAAGGATTGCAGGGAACTGTCAGGCAAAAGGAGTTCTGAGTTTAAAGGCCTTAGCCTGGCCAGCATGGTGAAACCCCATCTCTACCAAAAATACAAAAAATTAGCTGGGCATGACGGTATGCACCTATAATCCCAGCTAGTCAGGAGGCCGAGGCACGAGAATTGCTTGAATCAAGGCAACAGAGGTTGCAGTGAGCTGAGATCGGGCCACTGCACTCCAGCCTGGGTGACAGAGTAAGAGTCTGTCTCCAAATAAAATAAATAAATAAAATCAATTAATTAGAAGAAAGCCTTGGAGGGGAGAGAGACCTTGGCCTGTGTATTGGTTCCACTGACCCCCTGGGTCACCATCGTCACTCCAGCTCCTGTGACTCCCTCAGTGGGACCATTTTCATTCTTGGTGATTATAGGATCTGTGATTGATGGAACGCCCCGCCTCCTGGCTTCTCGCCCTCCTCTCCTCCATGGTCCTGTCCTCCAGCCTGTCTCAGTCACTCAACCCTTGACCAAGGCTCCCCACACTTATTCCATAAAGAGCCAGGGAGCAAATTTATTTTAATTTTTTGAGACAAGGTCTCACTCTGTTACCCAAGCTGAAATGTGATCGTGGCTCACTGCAGCCCTGACCTCCAGTCGCAGCCTCTTGAGCAGCTAGGACTACAGGCATGGACCACTATGCCGAGCTAAATTTTAAATTTTTTTATTTTTATTTTTTGGGTTTCCCTGTGTTGCCCAGGCTGGTCTCGAACTCCTGGGCTCAAGTGATCCACCGGCCTGGGCCTCCTGAACTGCTGGGATTACAGGTGTGAGCCATTGCGCCTGACCAGAATCAATATTTTACACTTGGCAGGCCTTACAGTTTCTGCAACAACCACTCACCTGTGCTGTTGAAGTGTGAAAACAGCTGTGCACAGGACATGAAAGAATGGGCAGGAGGCGGATGTGGCCTTCGGGGTGTGCCCATGCCAGTGCCTTAGAGCCTGGCATTACTGATAACTGCACGCTAATCTCAATTTCAAGCATCCCACTTCCCCCCACCCCTACTTCCTCCTGTCTTTCTCCCTCAGTGGCACCTGCAGCTGTTGGTTACGTTTTCTCCCTTGTACGCACCCACGGCACTTTCTCCTGGTTTGTTGTTCTCTCTCTGGTTGAACCCAGCTCTCTGCCTGTGCCACACCTGCACGTCTGCACCTGGCTGGGGCAGGATGATGGCCTTCCACCATGCTGGCTGGTCGCGTTTTCATTTCATGATCATTAGACTTGGCTGGGCACAGTGGCTTATGCCTGTAATCCCAGCACTTTGGGAGGCTGAGGTGGGCAGACTGCTTGAGCTCAGGAGTTCAAGACCAGCCTGGGGCAACATGGTGAAACCTCATCTCCACAGAAAAATACAGAAACTAGCTGGGTGCGGTGGCACGTACCTGGAATCCCAGCTACCCATGAGGTTGAAGTGGGAGGATTGCTTGAGCCCAGGAGGCGGAGGTTGTTGTGAGCTGAGATCTTGCCACTGCACTCCAGCCTGGGGGATGGAAAAAAAGAATAAATTCTATGGGGGTCCTTGGTGCTGCCCAGCAGTGACAACAGGTCCCCTCCCCGATATATTAGTTCCTGTTGTTGCTATAACAAACCACACAAACTCAGTGGCTTAAAACAATACAATTTCATTCTCCTACAGCTCTGGGAGCCAGAAGTATAAAAGCAAGGTGTTGCCAGGCCTGCTAGGCTCAAATGGGGAATTTGTTCTTGGAGGCTTTAGGGGAGAATCTGATTCCTTGCCTTCAGCTTCCAGCGGTACCTGCATTCCTTGACTTATGGCCCCTTCGTCCATCTTCAGAGATAGCAACGGAATCTCTTCAGAAGTCAGATCTCCCTTTGCCTCCCAAGTGTAGGGACACCTGTAATTACAACGGACCACCCAGAAAATCCAGGACACTCTCCTCGTCTTAGCATCTTGGCCAGGTTTCAGGAATTCAGACATCAATGTCTTTGCAGGGGCAAAGACAACCATTGGTTATGCAGCCTACCAGCTCCTATTCACTCAGTCTCCCACTCTTTCTATTTATCTTTTAATTTTATTTATTTATTTATTTATTTTTTGAGATGGAGTCTCGCTCTGTCACCCAGGCTGGAGTGCAGTGGTGCGATCTCGGCTCACTGCAAGCTCTGCCTCCCGGGTTCAAGCGATTCTCCTGCCTCAGCCTCCCGAGTAGCTGGGATTATAGGTGACACCACCACGCCCAGCTAATTTTTGTATTTTTGGTAGAGAAGGGGTTTCGCCATGTTGGCCAGGCTGGTCTTAAACTCCTGACAGGTGATGCACCCACCTCAGCCTCCCAGAGTGTTGGGATTACAGGTGTGAGCCACTGCGCCTGGCCTATTTTATCTTTTAAATAAAAGGATTAATTGAGGTTTTTGTTTGAGACTGAGTACCACTCTGTGACCCAGGCTGGAGGGCAGTAGCGCAATCACAGCTCAATGCAGCCTGAAACTCCTGGGCTCAAGTGATCCTCCCACCTTGGCTTCCCAAAGTGCTGGGATTATAGGGATGAGCCACCACACCTTACCCCACTCTTCTAGATGGACTATTTCATGTGTTCTCCTTTATCCCCAAGCCTCTGTCCTCACCCCACCCTTACCTTCAGTTGGTTACCTTGCTGTCTATTTCACCGAGAAAATAAAACACAAGAGAATGCTTCATGCTTGCCCCACCACATCTGCCCTCTCACCCTGCATCTGTGCCCACAACCCTGGCCTTTGCCGTGACTGGGTCTGAGGACAGCGCCTCCCCTGCACGGGATCTTAGCATCTCTCCTGGCTCAAGGACATTGCTTCAGTGAGTCTCCTGTCTCTTTCCTTCAGCATCAATTTCTCTGGCTCCTGGATCTTTCCTGTTTGCATATAGACACCCTGAGGTTCCTCCCATTTGTGAAACAACCTCACACCCATTAGGACAACTACTATCAAAAACCCAGAAATTAGTAAGTGTTGGTGAAAATGTGGAGAGATGGAAAACCTTGTGCGTCGCTGAGGAGAGTGCACAGTGGTCCAACTGCTATGGGATACAGTGTGACAGCGACTCAAAACATGGAACATAGAATTACCATCTGATCCAGCAACTCCGCTTCTGGGTGTGTACCCTAAAGAACTGAAAACAGAGTCTCAAACAGATATTTGTACAGCAGTGCTCCCTGTTCATAATAGCCAAAAGGTGGAAACAACCTAGGTGTCCAAAAGGTGGAATGGATAAACAAAATGTGATCTACAGGCTGGGTGCAGTGGCTCACACCTGTAATCCCAGCACTTTGCAGGGCTGAGGCAGGTGGATCACCTGAGGTCAGGAGTTCGAGACCAACCTGGCCAACATGGTGAAACCCCATCTCTACTAAAAATACAAAAATGAGCCTGGCGTGGTGACACACGCCTGTAGTCCCAGCTACTCAGGAGGCTGAGACAGGAGAATCACTTGAACCCAGGAGGCGGAGGTTGCAGTGAGCCGAGGTCGCGCCACTGCACTCCAGCCTGGGTGACAGAGTGAGACTTCATCTCAAAAAAAAAAAAAAAAAAAAAGTGGTGTACAATGGAATATTCAACCTTAAAAAGGAAGGAAATTCTGACACGTGCTGCAACACGGATGCCTTGAGGACAAGGATCCCTTGTCCCTTATACTAAGTGAAATAAGCCAGTCACAAAAGGACAAATTCTGTATGTTTCCCGTACATGAGGTACCTGGAGTAGTAGGATTCATAGAGATGGAAAGTAGGGTGTTGGTTGCCAGAAGCTGGGAGAAGAGGGAATGGGGAGTCAGTGTTTAATGGGTGCAGAGTTTCAGTTTTTTGAAATGAAGAGTTCTAGGCCAGGCATGATGGCTCACGCCTGTAATCCCAGAACTTTGGGAAGCCGAGGTGGGTGGATCGCTTGAGTTCAGAAGTTCGAGACCATCCTGGACAACATAGCAAGACTCCGTCTCTATGAAAATGAGCTGGGCATGGTGGCATGCGCCTGTGGTCCCAGCTACTCAGGAGGCTAAGGCGGGAAGATTGTGCGAGCCCAGGAAGTCGAGGCTGCAGGGAGCCATGACCTGTGCCACTGTACTCCAGCCTGGGTGACAGGGCGAGACCCTAAAAAAAAAAAAAAAAAAAAAAGTTCTGCAGATGGATGGTGGTGATGGTTGCACAACAATATGAAATTACTTAATGCCACTGAACTATACACTTAATAATGGTTAAGATGAGAACTTTTAAACAAAAACCAAAAAAGAGCAACAACTACAAAAAGATGATAAAATTTTGTGGGAGGCCGAGGCGGGTGATCACCTGGGGTCAGGAGTTCGAGACCAGCCTGGCCAACATGGCGAAACCTCGTCTCTACTAAAAATACAAAAATTAGCCGGGTGTGGTGGCAGGCGCCTGTAATCCCAGCTACTCAGTAGGCTGAGGCAGGAGAATTGTTTGAACCTGGGAGGCAGAGGTTGCAGTGAGCCGAGATTGCACCATTGCACTCTAGCCTGGGAGAGAAGAGTGAAACTCCATCTCAAAAAAAAAAAATTGTTATGTGTATTTCACCACAATTAACAACAGAAACCTTGCTCACAATTCTTCCAGGCGCTGTCAGATTTCTCAGCTACTCTTACAGCAAAAACACCTGGAGAACAGCATATTCAGGTCTCCAATTTGTCTTCTCCCATTTTCTCATGTGCCCACCACTTGTGCCCCCTACTCTACTCAACCTGTCTTTTGACCAGGTCTCTATGAAACTCCATACGGCTAAATTCAATGATCAGCTTCAGTCCCCATCTCACTTCTCCTACAGGCAGGCGGTATTTGACCTGAGTGATCAATCTCCACTCCTTGGAAGTCTTTCCTTGCCTGGCTGTCAGGAGTCCACACCCCATGACTCTCCTGCCATCTCAGGGACCCCTTCTGCCTTCCTGCCTGGTTCCTCCTCATCTCATCAACGTCTGACTGATGAGGGGTCCCAGGGCTCAGTCCTTGCACCTCTTCTCCCTCTCCAACTCCCTCGTTGTGGATCCCATCCAGCTTTAAATACCTGAAATACATCCTGATACCTCCTGACGCTTGAAGGAACAAGTATGTATTGTGCTCTAGTTGCGGGGATTCAGTGGCTGCTAAAATGAAGCTTACGTAATGGGTAGGAAGAAAAGAAACATAATATTAGACAGGGATGAAGAAAATGAAGCTGGACACAGGGGACCAAGGGATGGAAGTGCCCTTTTGGATCAGGGAGGGGACCGGGAGAGGTAACCTGGGAGCAGAGGCCTGAGGGAGCCAGGGATCAGCCAAGCCTGCCCTTGGCCTGGGACAGTGGCAGGAAATGAGGCTGAGGAGTGGCCAGGTCCAAAGGATGGCCACTGTCCTGCTAAGGCAGACAACGGGACAAAGGACTCGCTGAAGAGGTTTCACCGGTGGGGGGATATGGCCAGATTTGTCTTTTGGAATGATGTCACCAGGTGCTGGGGAGAGAGGAGGTTGGAAAGTGCAGTTGTGGGGACTGCTTACCAGGAGGCAGGGGGCTCCTTCTGAAGCTCCCTTGCCTTGGCTATACTCGGGGGATGGCTGGAGAGAGATGGATTAGAAGCGGAGAGACCGGCAATGTGCTGGTTAGTCTCCATCCACCCCTCCGGTTCCCCTCTCTGCCCTGCTTTGTGCCCTGGGAGACTGCCTCCTGCACACACATTCCTGGACCCCTTTCCCTGAGGCTCCCAGCAGGGTTTGGCCATGGGAGAGCAGTAGCAGTGATACAGAATGGCCAGGCTCCTGGCTAAGCCCCACCCTTAAGCCTGGAACTGCTGCCCTAAGTGAAGACAGCTGACCCTATTTTTCTGCCCAAATGCTGCCTTTTTGGCCTGCCATGCCACTATTCTGTGCCCATAAAAAGACTTCAGCTGGCAGAGTGACACAAACGGCTGACTGGAGGAGATAACAAGCATCTGAGCAGAGAAGCAACTGAGCGTCAGAGACTACGGATAGACGTGATTAACTTCAGATGGCGTGGCTTCAGGGAAAGATCACCTTCCTGCATCATCCCCTTTTCAGCTCCCCTTCTGCTGAGAGCCCCTTTCACTGCTCAATAAAGTCTTCTGCATTCATCATCTTTCAATCCATCTGTGTGACCTGATTCTTCCTGGATGCCAGACAAGAATCTGCATGCTGAGAAGGCAGGGACTTGGATGCTGCTGTGGGGCCTGTACAGAGCCTGCTCCTACCAGAAAGGAGCGACTGGCCAGTTCCGGCATTCATTCCCTCTGGTCCTCGCACTCACTTGCTTACATGCTTTCTTTCACGAGGAGTGGCCAGCGGCAGGCTGAATGAAATGAGCCACTCCAATTCCTGCCTATGAAGGGGGCTAAGGGAACGATCCCAACTCATCAGGAGACTGGAGGATGGGAAGAAAGTGAGGCCAGGTGTGTATTCCCTACTCCCCTTCCCCTTCTGGTAGATTCTCCCTGCCACCACCACTGTGGCCCCATAGCTTCCCGCTAGTGCCTCTCCTTGTGGGTTCTTCTAATGCTTGCCTCTCCTTGGCAAAAGCGTTTTCCTTCAACTTGCCTGTGCCCTGTGTTTCCTGCACAGAGGCCATTGCAGCCCCAGCAGCTCTGGTGTTCACTCATGGTGTCATTGCTGTGGATGTTCACGTTTACTGAACATCCACTCTGCAGAGGCTGGGGCTGCACTGAGCTTGAGTCCCCATCTATATATACAATGGGGATAGTAACAGCACCAACCTGGTTGGGATGTCAATGTATGAAACATGAGCTGAGCCAGTGTGTGGATCATGGAAACTGGAATAAACCCCCTTTGAGAGCAGGGAATTGACTTGGTGCTGGGGGAGGAGGGCAGCTTTGGCTCCTTCCTCTCATAGGCATTGGACATCGGCTGGTGCTGAGCCCGAGGGACCAGATCCAGCGCTGCTGTTTCCCAGAGCTCACCACCTATCTGGAGACAGAGGAGGCACCAGATGATTCTGTTTGAGGGGGTCCATTTGGAGCAACCAGGGGCAGCCACCTGCCTGATACAGCAACCAGTCAGCATGGGCCAGGCTTGCAGCTTCTCTTGCCCATTTCTTTAATCAGGACAGAACATGTGGTTTGGCGGAGCTAGGACCAGCCTGGGTAGAGAAGGAATGTCTTTTTGAGTTCTCTTTATTGTTCTCATTCATTCATTATCATTATAGATGAACAAGCACAGAACCCAAAATTGTGGGTCCAGCCTGGCGCGGTGGCTCAAGCCTGTAATCCCAGCACTGTGGGAGGCTGAGGTGGGAGAATTGCTTGAGCCCAGGAAGTTGAGGCTGCAATAAACCGTGATCAAGTCGAGGCTGCAGTGAACCGTGATCGAGTCACTGTACTCCAGCCTGGGTGGCAGAGTGAGACCCTGTCTTTTTTTTTTTTTTTTTGAGACGGAGTCTTGCTCTGTCACCCAGGCTGGAGTGCAGTGGCCTGATCTCAGCTCACTGCAAGCTCCGCCTCCCAGGTTCACGCCATTCTCCTGCCTCAGCCTCCCAAATAGCTGGGACCACAGGCGCACGCCACCACGCCCGGTTAACTTTTTTGTATTTTTAGTAGAGATGGGGTTTCACCGTGTTAGCCAGGATGGTCTCGATCTCCTGACCTCGTGATCCGCCCACCTCGGCCTCCCAAAGTGCTGGGATTACAGGCATGAGCCACCACGCCCAGCCCCGAGACACTGTCTTAAAGAAGAAAAGTTGTAGGTCCTGGAAGCCTACCTGCCCAGGTGTGAATCCTGGATGCAACACTTCCTGTTGCTGTGACCTCAATCAAGTGAATGAATATCTCTGATGTCTCTGTGCCTTACTC
This sequence comes from Homo sapiens, assembly GCF_000001405.40. Lineage (NCBI taxonomy): Eukaryota > Metazoa > Chordata > Mammalia > Primates > Hominidae > Homo > Homo sapiens. Next base: position 12,217,551 of record NC_000001.11, read on the forward strand.
GCCTTATCTGTAAGATGGGATTAAAATCGTACCTCCCTCAGATTGTGGGATTACATCAGTTACTGTCTGAAATGCTTAGAACTGTGCCTGGCACATTGTCAGGGCTCCATACATGTTAATTGCTTTTTTTTTTTAATGTATAGGTGCTGAGAATGCTGCAGATAACAGCACAGGCAAGGTCCCTGTCCACCTGGAGCTGACACACTAGCAGGGACTATGTAAAGACAGACATGTAGGCTATGCCTGTAGTGGTAAGTGCTAAGAAAAATAAAGCAAAGTGAAGGGACAGATAGGGTTGCTGCCAGTTTGCAAGGTGGGTTGAGGAAGGCTTCTCTGAGGTGCTGGAGTTTAAGCAGACACCTTGGTGAGGGGAGGACAGGACAGCCATGGGACTATGGGGGGTGGGATGGGATATGGGGTTGGGAGAGTGGTGTGAAGCCATGGAAAGGACTTTGGCTTTTTTTTTTTTTTTTTTTTTTAGACAGAGTCTTGCTCTGTCTCCTAGGCTGGAGTACAGTGGTGTGATCTTGGCTCACTGCAACCCGGGTTCAAGTGATTCTCCTGCCTCAGGCTCCCAGGCAGCTGGGATTACAGTTGTCTGCCATCATACCTGGCTAATTTTTGTATTTTTAATAGAGACAGGGTTTTGCCATGTTGGCCAGGCCAGTCTTGAACTCCTGACTTCAGGTGATCCGCCTGCCTCAGCCTCCCAAAGTGCTGGGATTACAGGTGGGAGCCACCATGCTGGGCCGTTAGGTTTTATCTTCAGTGTCATGGGAGGGGCCTGAGCTGGGGAGTGTGGGAAGTTCCATAGCATTGTCTGAGCTAATGCTGAGAAAGCAGACTGGGTATGGTGGCTCACACCTGTAATCCCAGCACTTTGGGAGGCCCAAGGTGGGAGGATGGCTTGAGGCCAGGAGCTTAATACCATCCTGGGCAACATAGGGAGACCTCGTCTCTACCAAAAAATTAGCTAGATTGCTTGAGCTGTGATGGTGCCACTGCACTCCAGCCTGGGTGACAGAGCGAGACCCTGTCCCCAAAAAACCCCAAAATACCACAGTTGAGAAAGTGAGGTTGCATCATTTCAACTCGGTAACTGTCCTGCGAGATAGGCAAGGTACTCATTATCCCTGCTTTGCAGAGGAGGACATAGGGCTGGCAGGGCTGGGTTTGACACTTATCTTAGGATTGTGTTGGACAGGCTGTTTACTGTGGGAAGTTCCTGATAAGCAGCTCCTTAGAATTTCACAAGAAAGTCAAGGAAACCTGGATTTAAAGGGGTAGACATCTTTCTGGGGAAACTAGCAGCACCCTGAAAGCTAGGAGGTTGGGCTGAGCAGCTGCTTTGGGTGAATCTAAAGGCTGGGAATCCTAAGAGTGACTGTGCCTTGGTTCCACCACTATTTTGCCATGTGAACTTTGAGCAGCCTCTGTCCCCCTCTGGAGCTCAGAATCACCATCTGTGAGATGAGGGGGCTGGCCTCTGAGCTGTGGTCTATTTGCCTTTTCTCTCTCTTTCTCTTTTTTTTTTTTTTTTTTTGAGACAGAGTCTCACTCTGTCACCCAGGCTGGAGTGCAGTGGTGCAATCTCAGTTCACTGCAACCTCCACCTCCCGGGTTCAAGTGATTCTCCTGCCTCAGCCTCCCGAGTAGCTGGGACTACAGGCACCAGTCACCATGCCTGGCTAATTTTTTGTATTTTTAGTAGAGACAGGGTTTCAACATGTTGGCCAGGATGATCTCCATCTCCTGACCTCGTGATCCATCCACCTCAGTCTCCCAAAGTGCTGGGATTACAGGTATGAGCCACCGCGCCCGGCCACCTTTTCTCTTTTTTTCCCCATGGGGTGATGGTACCATCTATCCCTGGGCTGCTTGCACTTTCACAAGAGATTCTGGACCTGTGCTTCCAAATAGAGTAGCTACCAGGAACAGATGCTTCTGAGTACTTGAAACATGGCTAGTTCAGGTTGAGATGTGTAACATACATCTCAATACGAAATACCAAATATAGAAGACTTACTATGAAAAACTATATACAATATGTTCTTGGTATTTTTACATTGATTTACATGTTGAAATGGTCTTATTTTGGATATACTAGGTTAAATACAATATTAACTTCATTTTACCTGTTTCTTTTCACTCTGTGATTTGGCTACTAGACAATTTGAAATTTATGCATATGGCTTGCATTCTATTTCTATTGGACAGCACTGCCTTACAAAGTTAAAAGCCTTCAAGACCTAATTAAATTAATTCATAATTAAAATTGCAACTTCCTCACATCTGGGATCTTCCTACCCCCCACAGGGCTCTTATGGTACTTATCACCTTCTCAAATACTATATAATTTACATATCTGTTATATTTATTTCTTATTGTCTACACCTCCTGCTAGAATATAAACTCTAGGATGGCAAAGCTTTATTTTGCTTAGTCATAGGCTTAGAACAGTCCCAGGCAGCCAGGCTCGGTGGCCAGTGGCTCACTCCTATAATTCCAGCACTTTGGGAGGCTGAGATGGGTGGATTGTTGGAGCCCAGGGGTTCGAGACCAGCCTACTGAACATAGTGAGAGCCCCCCACCCATCTCTACAAAAAATCAAAAAATTAGCCAGGGCCGGGCACGGTGGCTCATGCCTATAATACCAGCATTTTGGGAGTCTGAGGTGGGCGGATCACTTGAAGCCAGGAGTTCACAACCAGCCTGGCCAACATGGCAAAACCCCGTCTCTACTAAAAATACAAAAATTAGCCAGGCATGGTGGTGCGTGCCTGTAGTCCCAGCTACTTGGGAGGCTGAGGCAGGAGAATCACTTGAACCTGGAGGCAGAGGTTGCAGTGAGCCGAGATTGTGCCACTGCACTCCAGCCTGGGTGACAGAGTGAGTCTCAAAAAAAAAAAAAATTAGTTGAGTGTGCACACCTGCAGTCTTAGCTACTTGGGAGGCTGAGGTGGGAGGATCACTTGAGCTCAGAAGATCGAGGCTGCAGTGAGCCATGATTGTGCCACTGCACTCCAGTCTGGGCAACAGAGTGAGACCAGGTCCAGCCCTCTCACTGCAAAAGAACAGTGCCAGGCACATAGTAGGTGCTCAGTTGACAGTGAATGATTGGATGAATGTAGGCAAAGAAGCATTCAGTTTTTTGTTTTGTTTTGTTTTGTTTTTTGGGCGGACAGGAAGTAGGATATTTATGGGTGGGCATAATTTATTGGGGGCAGCACAGTGAAAGCCCTCATGAGTACAAGGCTTGCCACTTCTCCAGGGGGCCATGACTAGGGATGGATTTGACCCCACAGCCATCTGGGCTGAGCTGTTTCTCAGCCACCACATATTCAAATTCATCTGCATTGAACTTGGTAAAGCCCCACTTCTTTGAGATGTGGACCTTCTGGTGGCCAGGGAACTTAAACGTGACCCTATGTAGGGCCCCAATCACATGCTCCTTGTTCTGCAGCTTGGTGTGGATGAACATGATGACTTGGCCAATGTGAACCCTGGCCACGGTGCCCTGGGGCTTTCCAAAGGCAACTTGCATGCCTGTCTGAAGCCTACACTGGGGACAATGCCAAGGTCAAAGACATTGGAAAGGGCTGTCTCCATAGTCCCTTAGAGAAAAACTCAGGCTGTCTACACAACAAAGGAAGCTGTTTGCAGCCATTACACATGGGGCCCTCAGCAGTTTCCAGAGTGGCCAAATCTTCAATTTTTCTAGAGATGTCCTAAATACAGATTTTCATGTGTAATCTCCAGATTTTTCTGTTTTCAGTAATTCAAATGAGCTTAAAGCATTGTGTGTGCCAACAGAAACATTTCTGCAGGAGTTTTGGCTACCTGTCTGCATCCCCTGTGGTCCAGATGATTCCAGAAACTGATATAGGAGGACAGGTGGGGAGGAACCTGATGTGGGGAGAGTGTGGAGCTGGGCTCTGCAAATCTGCCTGTCCCAGAAAACTTACTCCTTCTGGGCCAACATGCATCTAAGTGGGTGGTAATTAAGGAATGACCCCCATCTCCTGCAGCCCTTCCTCTGGTATGTCTACAACTAAAAAAAAGCAAGGTGATTTTTTTTTTTTTTTTAAAGAGGGTCTGTATTAGTCCATTTTCATACTGCTATGAAGAAATACCCAAGACTGGGTAATTTATAAGGAAAAAGAGGTTTAATGGACTCACAGTTCCACATGGCTAGGGAGGCCTCACATTCTTGGCAAAAGGCAAAGGGGGAGCAAAGGCATATCTTACGTGGTAGCAGGCTGGAGAGTGTATGCAGGGGAACTGCGCTTTATAAAACCACCAGATCTCATGAGACTTATTCACTATCATGAGGACAGTATGGGAAAAAACCCACCTCCATGATTTAATTACCTCTCACCAGGTCCCTCCCACAACATGTGGAGATTATGGGAGCTATAATTAAAGATGAGATTTGGGTGGGGACACAGCCAAACAATATCATTTTGTCCTTGGCCCCTCCAAAATCTCATGTCCTTACATTTCAAAACCAATCAGGCCTTTTCAACAGTCCTCCAAAGTCTTAACTCCTTTTGGCATTAACTCAAAAGTCTACAGTCCAAAGTCTCATCTGAGACAAGGCAAGTCACTTCCACCTATGAGTTTGTAAAATCAAAAGCAAGTTAGTTACTTCTTAGATACAATGGGGCATTGGGTAAATACACTTGTTCCAAATGGGAGAAATTGGCCAAAACAAATGGGCTATAGGCCCCATGCAAGTCTGAAACCCAGTGGGGCAGTCAAATCTTAAAGCTCCAAAATGATCTCCTTTGATTCCATGTCTCACATCCAGGTCAAGAGATGGGTTCCTATGGTCTTTGGCAGCTCTCCATCCTGTGGCTTTGCAGGGTACAGTCCCCCTCCTGGCTATTTTCATTGGCTGGGGTTGAGTGTCTGCAGCTTTTCCAGGTGCACAGTGCAAGATGTCCTACCATTCTAGGGTCTGGAGGATGGTGGCCCTCTTCTCACAGCTCCACTAGGCAGTGCCCCAGTGGGGACTCTGTGTGGGGGCTCCCATCCCACATTTCCTTTCTGTACTGCCCTAGCAGAAATTCTCTGTGAGGGCTCCACCTTGCAGCACACCTCTACCTAGTGTTTCCATTATCCTCTGAAATCTAGGCAGAGAGGTTCCCAAACCTCAATTCCTGACTTCCATGCACCTGCAGACCTAACAGCATGTGTAAGCTGCCAAGGCTTAGGGCTTGCACCCTCTGAAGCAATGGCCTGAGGTGTATGTTGGCCCCTTTTAGCCATGGCTGGGACACAGGGACCAAGTCCCAAGACTGCACAAAGCAGCAAGGCCCTGGGCCTGGCCCACAAAACCATTTTTTCCTCCTAGGCCTCCAGGTCTGTGATGGGAGGTACTGCCATGAAGACCTCTGACATGCCCTCTAGACATTTTCCCCATTGTCATGGTGATTAATGCTTGGCTTCTTATTACTTCTGCAAAGTTCTGCAACTGGGTTGAATTTCTCCCCATAAATTTTTTTTTTCTATCGCATTGTCAGTCTGCAAATTTTCCAAACTTTTATGCTTTTTTTTTTTTTTTTTTTTTGAGACGGAGTCTTGCTCTGTCGCCCAGGCTGGAGTGCAGTGGTGCAATCTGGGGTCACTGCAAGCTCTGCCTCCTGGGTTCACGCCATTCTCCTGCCTCAGCTTCCCAAGTAGCTGGGACTACAGGCACCTGCCACCAAGCCTGGCTAATTTTTTTTTTGTATTTTTAGTAGAGACGGGGTTTCACCATGTTAGCCAGGATGGTCTTGATCTCCTGACCTTTGTGATCTGCCCGCCTCAGCCTCCCAAAGTGCTGGGATTACAGGCGTGAGCCACCACACCCAGCCAACTGAATGCTTTTAAGAGCACTCAAGTCATCTCTTGAATGCTTTGCTACTTAGACATTTCTTCCCTCAGATACCCTAAATCATCTCTCTCATGTTCAAAGTTCCACAGATTTCTAGGCCAGGGGTGAAATGCTGTGAGTCTCTTTGCTAAAGCATACCAAGAATTACCTTTGCTTCAGTTTCCAATAAATTCTTTGTCTCCATCTGAGACCACCTCAGCCTGCACTTCATTGTCCATATCACTATAAGCATTTTGGTCAAAACCATTCAACAAGTCTCTAGGAAGCTCTGAACTTTCCCACATCTTCCTGTCTTCTTCTGAGCCCTCCGAACTGTTCCAGGCTCTGCCTGTTACCCAGTTCCAAAGTCTCTTCCACATTTTCTGGTATCTTGATAGGAGTACCCCACTCTACTGGTGCCAATTTACTGTATTGGTCCATTTTCATACTGCTATAAAGAAATATCCAAGACTGGGTAACTTATAAAGAAAAAGATGTTTAGGCTGGGCACAGTGGCTCACGTCTGTAATCCCAGCACTTTGGGAGGATGAGGCAGGTGGATCACAAGGTCAGGAGATCAAGACCCTCCTAGCCAACATGGTGAAACCCCATCTCTACTAAAAATACAAAAATTAGCTGGGCATGGTGCATGCCTGTAGTTCCAGCTACTTGGGAGGCTGAAGCAGGAGAAGCGCTTGAACCAGGGAGTCGGAGGTTTCAGTGAGCCAAGACTGTGCCACTGCACTCCAGCCTGGCAACAGAGCGAGACTCCATCTTAAAAAAAAAAAAAAAAGGAAAAGAGGTTTAATGGACTCACAGTTCCACATGGCTGGGGAGGCCTCACAATCATGGCAGAAGGCAAAAGAAGAGCAAAGGTACATCTTACATGGCAGCAGGCAAGAGAGCGTGTGCAGGGAAACTCCCCTTTATAAAACCATCAGATCTCATGAGATTTATTCACTATCAGCAAAACAGCATGGGAAAAACCTGCCCCCATGATTCAATTACCTCCCGTCAGGTCCCTCCCACAACATGTGGGGATTATGGGAGCTACATTTCAAGATGAGACGTGGGTGGGGACACAGCCAAACCACATCAGGGTCTTACTATGTTGCCCAGGCTGGTCTTGAATTCCTGGGCTCAAGAGATCCTCCCGCCTTGGCCTCCCAAAGTGCTAGGATTACAGGCATGAGCCACTATGTGCAGCCTAAACTGCTTTTCTTATATTCATACAACACTTCTGACTCCAAATTGTGGGTTTTCCACATCCCAAGCAATTCTCTAATTCTCTGAACACCAGTTGTGTGTCCTGAGATTCAATTCAATTCTGACACTACCTACCTGGCATTAGCAGAAGATCCCACAAGTAAAGGGCTCAGCCCCACAAGACTGCCCCACTTCAGATGCCAATCACTAGTCCAGGCCTTCTGTACTTCTGACTGATCAGCTATAAATTGGGGGTTCCCATGACCCCTCCCTTAGGTTTGATTATTTTCAATAATGGCACACAGAACTTAGGGAAACACTTTACTGTCTTTCTTTTTCTTTTTTCTTTTTTAGATGGAGTCTTGCTCTGTTGCAGGCTGGAGTGCATTGGCACAATCCCAGCTCACTGCAACCTTTGCCTCCTGGGTTCAAGCAATTCTCCTGCCTCGGCGTCCTGAGTGGCTGGGATTACAGGTACCTGCCACCATGCCTGGCTAATTTTTGTATTTTTAGTAGAGATGCGGTTTCACCATGTTGGTCAGGCTGGTCTCGAACTCCTGACTTCGTGATCCGCTTGCCTTGGCCTCCCAAAGTGCTGGGATTACAGGCGTGAGCCACTGCTCCTGGCCACTTTACTTTCATTTACAATTTATTATAAAGGATGCAACTAGTGGAAAAATGCACAGGCCAAGGTGTTAGAGATGGGGTGGGGCTTGGAAACACTGAACCTTTAGGGTTTTTTTGTTTTTTTTTGAGATGGAGTCTCTCTGTTGCCCAGGCGGGAGTGCAGTGGCCTGATCTCAGCTCACTGCAAGCTCTGCCTCCCAGGTTCACACCATTCTCCTGCCTCAGCCTCCCAAGTAGCTGGGACTACAGGCGCCCGCTACCATGCTCGGCTAAATTTTTTGTATTTTTAGTAGAGACAGGGTTTCACCATGTTGGCCAGGATGGTCTTGATCTCCTGACCTTGTGATGCACCTGTCTCGGCCTCCCAAAGTGCTGGGATTACAGGCGTGAGCCACTGTGCCCGACCACCTTTAGGGTTTTTACGTGGGCATGATTGACTGAATAATTGGCCATTGGTGATTGAACTCAATCTCCAATCCTCCCCGCAGGTCGGAGGCGGTCAAAGAGTGTGTGTTTTTGCGTGAGATAGGCCCACCCTCTCTCTAATAACATGGTTGCTCCCTCTGGAAACCAGCCCCATTCTGAAGCTGTCTAGGGACTTTCAGCCACCAGTCGTCTCAGGAACCTACGAAAAGACACTCTTATCTCTCTGGAGATCCTGGTGGTCCCAGGAACTCTTGGGTTGGGAACTTGGGGATGTTGACCAAAGAGTATAAAGTTTGGGCCAGGTATGGTGGTCACGCCTGTCATCCCAGCACTTTGGGAGGCCGAGGTGGGTGGATTACTTGAGGCTAGGAGTTTGAGACCAGCCTGGCCAACATGATGAAACACCGTCTCTACTAAAAGTACAAAAATTTGCCAGGCGTGGTGGTACATATCTGTAATCTCAACTACTGGGGAGGCTGAGGCAGGATAATCACTTGAACCTGGGAGGCAGAGGTTGCAGTGAGCTGAGATCGCGCCACTGCACTCCAGCCTGGGCAACTGGGTGACAGAGAGAGACTCCGTCTCAAAAAAAAAAAAAAGAAACAAAACAAAGAGTACGAAGTTTCAGTTAAACAAGAGAAAGAAGCTATAGTGATCTATTGCTCAGAATGGTGACTATAAGAAATAATACATTGCATATTTCAGAATTGCTAAAAGAGTAGGTTTTAAATGCTTTCATCTGGCCGGGCGCGGTGGCTCACGCCTGTAATCCCAGCACTTTGGGAGGCTGAGGCGGGCGGATCACGAGGTCAGGAGATCGAGACCATCCTGGCTAACACGGTGAAACCCCGTCTCTACTAAAAATACAAAAAAAATTAGCCGGGCATGGTAGCGGGCGCCTGTAGTCCCAGCTACCCGGGAGGCTGAGGCAGGAGAATGGCGTGAACCCGGGAGGCGGAGCTTGCAGTGAGCCAAGACAGCGCCACTGCAGTCCAGCCTGGGCGAAAGAGCGAGACTCCGTCTCAAAAAAAAAAAAAAAGTTTTCATCCAAAAAAGTATGTTAGCTGATGGATTTGTTCATTAGTGTGAATTAATCATTCCACATTGTAAATAGATATCAAAACAGTGCACTGTAGCCCATAAATATATACAATTATTTGTCAATTAAATTTTTGAAAAAAGCTGTGAGCAGTGTCTCCTGCCTGTAATCCCAGCACTTCGGGAGGCCAAGGTGGGAGGAATGCTTGAGCTCAGGGGTTCAAGACCAGCCTGGACAACATGGCAAAACCCCATCTCTACTAAAAATACAAAAATTAGCCGGGCGTGGTGGTGCACGTCGGGAATCCCAGCTACTCGGGAGGCTGAGGCATGAGAATCACTTGAACCTGGGAGGCAGAGGCTGCAGTGAGCCGAGATTGTGCCACTGCACTCCAGCCTGGGCGACAGAGTAAGATTGTCTCAAACAAACAAACAAACAAACAAACAAAACCCCCCAAATCAGCTGGGTGTGGTAGTGCATCTGTAGCCTGTAGTTCCTCTGACAGTTTTGTCTTTTCTGGAATTTCACAGAAATGAAATCACTACGGTATGTGGTCTTTTTCCACATAGCTAATACTTTTGAGGTTCCTCCAGATCGTGCCTGCGTCAGCCCTACTCACCTTTTTGTTGGTGAGTAGTGCTCCATTGTATGACTATGTTGCAATTTGTTTGTCCACTCTCCTGTTGATGGACATTTTGATTGTTTTTTTTTGTTTCTGGCTTTTATGAATAAAGCTGCTATGAGTGTTCATGTATAAGTCTTGGTGTGGGCATATGTTTTAATTTCTCTTGGCTAATATCTAGCAGTGGGATTGCTGTATGGTAAATGTATATTTAAACATTTATAGGAAACTGGGGGCACGAAGACTTTCAGTAATACTGGTCGAATCAATGGTGCCCAGGAATTTGCATTTTTGAGACAGGGTCTCTGTTGCGCAGGTTGGAGTGCACAGGCATGATCATTGCTCACTGTAACCTTGAACTCATGGGCTCAAGCAATCCTCCTCCCAGTAGTTGGGAGTACAGGCATGTGCCACCGTGCCCAGCTAATTTTTTCATTTATAATTTTTTGTAGAGATTGGGGTCTCCTTATGTTGCACAGGCTGGTCTTGAATTCCTGGCCTCAAAAAATCCCCCCCACTGCCTTGGCCTCCCAAAGTGCTAGGATTACTGGTGTGAGCCACGGTGCCAGGCCATGTGCAGTATTTTTTTGGATTTTTTTTGAGATGGAGTCTTGCTCTGTTGCCGAGGCTGGAGTGCAATGGCGAGATCTCGGCTCACTGCAACCTCTGCCTCCTGGGTTCAAGCAATTCTCCTGCCTTAGCCAGGAGAGTAGCTGGGATTACAGGCACCTGTGACCATGCCCGGCTAATTTTTGTATTTTTAGTAGAGATGGGGTTTTGCCAAGTTGGTCAGGCTGGTCCTGAACTCCTGACCTCAGGTGATCCACCCACATCTGCCTCCCAAAGTGCTGAGATTACAGGCATGAGCCACCGCGCCTGGCCTGGGCCATGTGCATTTCTAACAAGCTTCCCAGGTACAGCCAATTGTCTGTGCTAGGTGATCTGGACTTCGAGGTCCTTCACCTCTGAAGGACTGCCTTCCTTCCTCCTTCTGTCTGTGGAGTTCCAGGTTTTACTCCCAAACCTCAGCCCCAGAGGAGACCCAGCATCCAGATTCTGAGAGGTTGATCCCACCATACAGGAACCCCAGTCTTGCTCAGGAGTGAGTCAGCCCAACATGCACCCTCATTAGCTTAGCATCATGAGGGTTGGTAATTATTATGGTAAATACATGATTGTAACCTTGCCGTTCTGCTTCCTGCATCTTCTAATTTATATGAGCCTGAGGTCTCCCTCTTGCCCTTCTTGTGATAATGCAAGGAGGAAGTGTTCAGCTGTTCATTCATACACACTCATTGAGTCTTTTCTGTGCTAGGCAATGTCTAGGTGTTGAAGAAACACTGTGAAAGGGATAAAATCTCTGTTTTCAAGGTACTGGGGAAAGAACAACATATGTATAAACAAACAAGATAATCTCAGGGAGTATTAGGTTCCATGAATAAAATACAACAGGGTAATGGATAATGGAACTTTATTTTTATTTTCATTTTTGAGAGGGAGTCTCACTCTGTCTGGAGTGCAGAGGGGTGATCTCGGCTGACTGCAACCTCCGCCTCCCGGGTTCAAGTGATTCTCCTGCCTCAGCTTCCCCAGTAGCTGGGACTACAGGTGTGCACTACCACGCCCGGCTAATTTTTGTAGTTTTAGTAGAGATGGGGTTTCACTATGTTGGCCAGGCTGGTCTCAAACTCCTGACTTCAGTGATCCGCCCGCCTCAGCCTCCTGAAGTGCTGGGATTACAGGCATGAGCCACTGTGCCCAGCTCATAATGGAACCGTAGATAGGCACAAGTCCTCTCTGAGTGGAATATTTGAAGCCAGAGGGAGTCAGCTATACGAATATCCAGAGCTATTCTGTAGCTCTGGATTGGCCACAAGAGGGTATTGAGCACTGGAATTCTGGCTAGTTTGTACTGAGATGCGCAGTAAATGTAAAATATACCCGAATTTCAAAAACTTACTATAAAAAAGTTAACATATTGTATTAGTAATTTTTTCTTTTGGCGACATGTTGAGATGATCATATTTTGAACATATTGGATTAAATATATTAAAATGAAGTTCATTTTCTTCTTTTTCGTTTAAAAAAAATGTACTAGCTAGTAAATGTGGATTGCCTATGTGGCTGGCATTGTGTTTCTATTGGTCTGAGGAGAAGGGTCCTAGGTAGAGACAACGGCAAAGGTACAGTTCCTGGGGCAGAAACTGAAGGATGCTGAGGCAGAGTCGGCCGGGGAAAAAGTGGCTGAAATGGGAAGGGACCAGATCCAGTGGGACCTTGGTGGCAGCTCTGTAAGGAGGTGGGTTTTAACTGAAGTACGGTGGGGACGCCGTTTTAAGCAGGGAAGGGCAGGGTCTGAATTAACAGGCCCCTGTGGCTGCGAAGTGGGGAACGGACTGTGGGTGAGTGGGCCAGACGGACGGCCAATCGCACCTTTCGCTTGGATGGAAGGCAGGGTGGTTGTAGGTGGGAAGAATCCTGGGTTCCCATGCTGTCTGAACCAGAGTCATTTGTGGCCCTGCCCTCCCCTGGGACTCAATTTCCCCACCTATAAAATAAGCCCCAGTGTCCGCGAACCCTGGAGGGGCCCGCACCACTGCAGGAGCGGCCGCCGGCGCCAGGGGGCGCCTCCTCGATAACTCGGCGCTCGGCTGGCCAGGCACCGGCGCGTCGGCCGCTCGATTGGTCGGGTCGGGGCCGGCCTGAGCGCCGCGGGCCTGCGCCATTGAGGAGCGGCGGGGAGGAAACGCCGCGCAGCGCCGGGCTGGGGCGGGCGGCCCGGGACACCGACAGGTAGGGGCCGAGCGGCTCCGTGCCGGGCGGGGCCAGGGTCGGGAACTGCAGGGCCGGCGCGGACCCGCGGGCCGCCGCTAGGGCTCCGCCTGGACATGGGGGCCCGGGCCCACCCTGGGGAGAGCGATGCTAGGAGCCTGGGGGCCCCGTCGTCCGGCCTCGGTCTGAGCCCCTCGGGGTAACCCTGGGCGTCTGCTCCCCCCGGGCCCCAAGCCCGCCACCTCCGGGGACCCCTGCGTCCGAGTCCCCGCGAGCTCCCCAAGCACAGGCTCGGGGCTGGCTGAACCTCTGGGAACCCCGACGTCCGTGTCCTGGGGAGCCCGAGCCCCCGCTGGACCCCGGCACACTTTCCGGGGTCCCAGCAGCCTGGCGCCCTGGAATTGGGGGGTGTCAGTCCGCGCCTGTCCGCCTGAGCCTTGGTCTCAATGCAGGACCCCAGTGTGCGAGCCCCCCACATTACGCCGAAGAGTGGGGTGTCAGTTCTCTAGAATGCCTTAGCCACCTCCCTTAATCAGCCACCCGAGGTCACACTCTCGCGTGGAGACATCAGGCCTAAAACCTCTCTTTACCTTTTGCCCCCCAGGGTCACGCCCTGGCCCAGCCACTCCTCCTAGGTGTGGGATGCCAGACATCAGGCCTAAAACCTCTCTTTACCTTTTACCCCCCAGGGTCACGCCCTGGCCCAGCCACTCCTCCTAGGTATGGGATCCCGGCGCCGTTCCCTCCAGGTTTTACTTGGGTGGTGGGGTCTCTGTCCCCTGGAGGGGGCTGAGGGTTCCGAGAGCTGGGGGCGGGAGGGTTGTGGGAGCGTCGCCTTCCGGGCAGTGCCGTTCCTGTGGGGCCACCGGTCGCACAGCCGTCCCCGCCCCGGTTTTGGAGCTCCCTGGCGCCGGCAGCGTTCAGCCCTGGCCGCCTCGGGGAGGGACGCCCAGGTCCGGTTGCCAGTCCTTCCTATTCCCGGTCTGGCCGCTCCTCAGGGGAGGGGCCTGGCTCAAGGTCATGCCCGGCTGTCTGCCCGCCCGTGGGCTCAGCACTGATCCCTACTGTCACCCGCCCCACTGGGTAGGGGAGCCCAGGTGGGGGTTAGTGCCAGTGCCAGGCAGCTGCCTAGAAGTCCTGATGGACCGGAGTGTAAACACTTTGGGACTCTGGCCAGTCTGGCGGCCCTTGCTGACACTGAATTCCTTCAGGGAATCCTTGAAGTGGCCTCAAGCACGGTCTAGATGCTTAGCAGAGCAAATAATGGGTGCTTTCTGGTTTGGGCCTCAATGTTACTGACCAGGTTGCCTCACAATGCTAATCACTCATGCTTTTAAAATCTGTGCTTTGCATTCTTTTCCGTTTAGGGCAAGTAGGGTAGGGCCTGAACTTGTTTACAAACTGACAGTTGTTTCCCTTGATTTGGAGATAATTGGTAATTGGCACTCAGAGTTGGCATTTAGGGCCGAAATTAGTGGCAATAACTACAAAAATAAAGAGTACTCTGACCTTGGCTTCTTGCTCAAATTTGTTTGGAGTCCCCATAGTAAGATTAGTCAGTTTCACATTTGGTTTTCACAAATTTACTCCTTTCAAGTTATAATAGTGGCCGGGCACGGTGGCTCACGCCTGTAATCCCAGCACTTTGGGAGGCCAAAGTGGGCAGATCGCTTAAGGTCAGGATTTCAGACCAGCCTGGCCAACATGATGAAACCCTGTCTCTACCAAAAATACAAAACTTAGCCGGGGATGGTGGCAGGTGCCTGTAATCCCAGCTACTCAGGAGGCAGAGGTAGGAGAATCGCTTGAACCCAGGAGATGGCGGTTGCAGTGAGCCGAGATCCGAGATCCCGTCACTGCACTCCAGCCTGGGCGAGGGAGCAACACTCTGTCTCCAGAAAAAAAAGTTACAATAGAGAAATGTTTCTTTTATTCAGACTGTTGAGCATTTTTTTTAAAAAATTGTTCTTATAACATCTTCTTTAAACAAATGTAGCTAATAATTAGTTTTATGTAACTCTACCCTTAAAAAATATCTTTATATTCCATTTGCAGAAAAAAAAATCTTTGGAAAGAAATTGGTCAAATATTTTACCAAATGCTGTTTTTTTCTTTTTGCTGTCACTGTTGACCAATAAAAGTTAATCTTCTCTGGAAGTACAAGATATTGTTGACAAACAAAAGCCAGTTTTTCCAGGAGATTGAATTCATTCTTGTGGAGGCCTTGTGCTTCAGGTAGTTGTTGGATGGCAGCCTCTCAGTTGGGATAGGTGTATCTTCTGGCACTAAGATGAATCACTAGAGGTGGGGCAGCGTGCTTGGAGAGGATCCTGAAAGTAGGCTGGCTCCAGTGGGATGCGTGCCATGGCAAGTCTGTAGTGCCTGGCAGGGTGGCTGATGACTGACATGGTGGATCAGAACAAGATTTGAGGCTCACAGTTTCCACTGGGATCTTCTAGTTGAGCAATCTCAGAACCCAGTTAAACTTTTGTGTCTCAGTTTCCCTCATGTTGACTTTTTGTAATACTAAAATTAGTCTTTTTTTTTTTTTTTTTTTTTTTTTGGTAATACTGGTAAACACCAGTTATTATAACAGGCAGTAGTACCTACAAAATCTAAATACCGTGGCTGGAGCCAGAGGATTTCTGGAGTTTGGGGTTTGTAATAATCGACTAAGATTGTTCATTGTATCAGCGTCATCTGGTGCCCAGGTACCAGTAATGCAGTTCCAGGACATTTAAGAACAGTGATAAAGCACTGTCGCCTCTCTCCCATGTATATTATTTTATAAGTGATCCTCATGAACAAATTTGAGACATTTAATTTGGGCGGCCTAAATGAGGATCATTAAAGAATGTGAATTCTCCCCCCACCCCCAACTTTATTCAGGTTTGTTTCATGAGTTTCTTTTTCTTTTTTTTTTTGAGATGGAGTCTCACTCTGTCACCCAGGCTGGAGTGCGGTGGTGTGATCTTGGCTCACTGCAACCTCTGCCTCCCGGGTTCAAGGGATTCTCCTGCCTCAGCCTCCCGAGTAGCTGGGATTACAGGTGCCTGCCACCATGCCTGGCTAAGTTTTGTATTTTTGGTAGAGACAGGGTTTCACCATGTTGGCCAGGCTGGGTTTGGACTCCTGACCTCAGGTGATCCACCTGCCTCGGCCTCCCAAAGTGCTGGGACTCCAGGCGTGAGCCACCACCCCCGGCCTCTTTCATGAATTTCATTCAGACAATCTCTTACGGCATTTTCTGTCTTAATCTAGGATAAGGTTTCTTAACATTGGCTCTGTTGACATTTGGGTTGGATAATTCTTTGCTGTGGGAGCTGTCTTGTGTGTTGTAGGTTTAGCAGCTTCCGTGGTCTTTATTCACAAGATGCCAGTAGCAGCCCCTAAGTCATGATAAAAAATGCCTCCAGAGATTACTAAATTATGCCCATAGGAGAACCTCTGATCACGGCAGTCTAATCCCAAGGTAAATCAACATAAGCAAGCAATGGACAGTTACACTGAAAAGATAGACAGCTTTGAATTGTAGGTAATTTTTGGTAAATTTAAGAGTGACTATTCCCTGAAGCAGCATCAGAATGTAGGTGTTTTGGTTTGGCCCTCCAGTTACTGATGGGGACATCTTACAGAGCTTCTTGCCTCATCTTTTAAAACATCTGCAGCCGGGCGCAGTGGCTCATGCCTGTAATCCCAGCACTTTGGGTGGCTGAGGCGGGTGGATCACCTGAGGTCAGGAGTTTGGGACAGGCTGGTCAACATGGTGAAACCCCATCTCTACTAAAAATACAAAAAATCAGCTGGGTGTGGTGGTGGGCAGCTGTCATCCCAGCTACTTGGGAGGCTGAGGCAGGAGAATCGCTTGAACCCGGGAGGCAGAGATTGCAGTGAGCCGAGATTGTGCCACTGCACCCCAGCCTGGGTGACGAGAGCGAAACTGTCTCAAAACAAAAACAAAAACACAAACAAACAAAACCCAACAAAACATCTGTGCTTTGCATTCATCTACCTTCAGGCAGGTAGAGGAGGAAATTGGCTTAGAAAATCATCCTGTTTTTATGTTGATTTTCATTATTTTCCTTTCATAGATTTTTCTGTGACCATGAAAGAGAGAAATAAAGAATGATCCATGATTTCTAAACACCTTTTCCTGAGGATATAGTCATGTTGGAAGGCCTTGTAGCCTGGGTTCTCAATACCTATTTGGGAAAATATGTCAATAACCTGAACACTGACCAGCTCTCAGTTGCACTTCTCAAAGGTGAGTATTTCTCTGGGTGAGATACAGCTTTATAGGTGGCGTTTCTATTTTTGTATTTTTTTTGTTGTCCTGAGAATCATAAAACCTAATGCCCAGATGGCTTTGTACTAAATGTATGTAAAAAGGTCCCATATCATCCTGATGATTTTTCCAGAGTAACTTAAGTTTATAGCTATATTGTTGTAGATTTTAAGGAACTATTAAATATTAAAAAACAAAAACAAAATAAGCTACACTACTGGTGACTGTGCTTAGTCCCAGTTAACTTTTAGCTTTATGAAGCTTTATGGAGGCAGCCACAATGTACCGACAGTGGCATTGACTTTGGCTTCAAATACTGTTTTGTCACTTATTAGCTATGTGAACAATAGCTCATATTGAAATTCCAAGCCTCAGTTTCTTAGACAGAGATAATATACCTCCAGAGGGTTGCTTTAAGGATCAACTGGAATAACATTTAAAGCCCCTAGCCTGCTGGCATATAGTAAGCACTCAATAAAAGTTTTAAAATTGATTATTGTGAGGTGTTCAACAGAATTTCTGAGGTTTTGACTTGCTTAGTAGTAGAGTACCTGAAGCTTCAGACATTTTACCCTTTACAGGCCTAGACTTGGTAAATGCAGTCCCTGATTTGGCATGGGAATTCGAAAACTGCATTTTCTCCCTTTCCTTGTTTTAATTTAAATTCTCTTTGCTCAGCTCAAAATGGAGCTTTTTAACATACGTAGGGAAGAGAAGAAAGTCAGTTTGCCACGTGTGTAAAATCATAGGAAATGGGAAGGAGACTTCAAATACAGTGAAACCTCACCTTTGTGGATGTGAGTTTTGGTAAGTGGACCAGAGCAGGTTAGAGAGAACAGTGACACAGCTGTTTGCGTAGTCTGAGAATAGAGTACCGGTGGTTCACATGTTCCATTAAATGTGTTGCTTTCCGGCCAGGCGCGGTGGCTCATGCCTGTAATCCCAGTACTTTGGGAAGCTAAGGCAGGCGGATCACGAGGTCAGGAGTTTGAGACCAGCCTGGCCAACATGGTGAAACCTGTCTCTACTAAAAATACAAAAATTAGCTGGGTGTGGTGGCGGGTGCCTGTAATCCCACTACTCGGGAGGCTGAGGCAGGAGAATCGCTTGAAACCAGAAGGCGGAGGTTGCAGTGAGCCGAGGTCACACCACTGCACTCCAGCCTGGGCAACAAGAGTGAAACTCCATCG
Organism: Homo sapiens; assembly: GCF_000001405.40. Classification (NCBI taxonomy): domain Eukaryota; kingdom Metazoa; phylum Chordata; class Mammalia; order Primates; family Hominidae; genus Homo; species Homo sapiens. Next base: position 12,235,575 of record NC_000001.11, read on the forward strand.
CAAAAAATAAAAAATAAAAAAAAAGTGTTGCTTTTCATGTTTTTCTGACCAAATGATTGTGGCAGCGCTAGGCCATGGGCAGAGCCGTCATGGTCACGCCTCCCCACTCTCTTCCTTTCCTTTCCTATTCTCCTGGTTTTCCTCTTGTCCTGAAACGGGAGCTAAGTGGAAAGTGCGAGTGAGCAGTCTGTCAGGGAAGAGGATGCATTCAAAGTGCAATAGTAGTGTCAAGTTCACCTCTCTGGTCTCTTATTGAAGTTCTCAGACCCACTGTGAAGCTAACTACGTTGTATGACGTATAGATAACAGGGCCTAGAAAGAGAGCTGCAGACCACGACCCTGCTAATCAAAGAGCTGGTTCTGTCAGGAATCATGTGGCAAGAGCATTTGCCAAAGAAATGAGTAAATAGAAATGGATATCTGATGTGTTACAGAGTCGTACTAACATTTCTCAGCAGTTTTAGAATGTATCTTGTAACAACTGTGTTTATCTGGTACTTTAAACTGCTTTTCTGCCCTTATTTCCTTTCTAAAAACATTATTCTTTATGGCTTTTAATGAACCTGTGGAACTTGAAGAATGCTTCTCCGCAGGGTAGAACAATGCTTTTTCTTTTGTAACTGGTGTTAGTATGGTACCCAATGCTTATGGATCCAAAGCACATCACAGAGCGTGGCCAGAACAATCTTGGGGGCATGGAATTGTACTGAGGGAATGGCTTCGTAAAGAAGTTGGTGCTGCTTGTTCGTCTCTGACACAGTTAAGCAGTGTTTGGGAATAGAGAGGGTACTAGATAGGAATGAGAATGTTCTTTCTTTTTTTTTGAGACAGGGTTTCTTTCTGTCACCCAGGCTGGAGTGCAGTGGCGTGATTTCACCTCAATGCCACCTTGACCTTCTGTGCTCAAGCAGTCCTCCTGCCTCAGCCTCCCAAGCAGCTGGGACCACAGGCATGCACCACCACGCCCGGCTAATTTTTATATTTTTTTGGTAGAGATGGGGTTTTGCCATGTTGCTCAGGCAGCTCTTGAACTCCTGAGTTCAAGTGATCCTCCCACCTGGGCCTCCCAAAGTGCTGGGATTACAGGCATGTTCCACTGCACCCGGCCGAGAATGTCATTTCAATCCATCTACTGATATTTACTGTTCTAGATGCTTTGGGAGATGCAAAGAGGACTGAAATAGTGGTCAAGGGTATTGATTTTTTTAGCTAAACTATGTGTTTGAATCCCAGTTCTTCCATTTACCAGTAACCTGGGTAGGTTATCAGTTTCTTCATGCTTCACTCTCCCTTTTTGTAAATTGGAGATAATATTAACTATCTCGTAAGGTTCTGAGGACTAAGAAATTAATGTGGGTCAGAGAGCTTAGAGCTGTTCTTGGCATATTGTAGGCTCTCAGTCAATGTTAGTTATCATCCATCCTCATGATCATCAGTGTATGATTGGATTGGCTGATGGAGTGGACTTCAAAGAGATTGTGTGTGTGTGTATATATATATCTGTGTATGTATATATATATGTGTGTATGTGTGTATATATATATATCTGTGTGTGTATATATATGTGTGTGTGTATATATATGTAGATTGCATCCACATATGAAAAGTAACAAAATGCAAAGTAACATGAGTGTTTAAGAATGGAGATAGCATTTAAAGACAAATAAAAAAAATACAAAGTAACATGGGAGGATCACCTGAAGCCAGGAGTTCAAGACTAGCCTGGGCAATATGGTGAGATCCCTTTTCTACAAAAAAAAAAAAAAAAATTAGCTGGGTATGGTGGCGCATGCCTGTGGTCCCAGCTACTTGGGAGGCTGAGGTGGGAGGATCACTTGAGCTGGAGAGGTTGAGGTTGCATTGAGTTGTGTTCCCTCCACTGCACTCTGGCCTGGGCAACAGAGCAAGATGCTTTTCCCCCAAAAATTTTCACTTGTTCAGTCATTCAAAAACATTTATTGAGGTCGGGTGTGGTGCCTCACGCCTGTAATCCTAGCACTTCGGGAGGCCAAGGCCAGAGGATCACCTGAGGCCAGAAGTTCAAGACTAGCCTGGGCAACATGGTGAGATCCCTTCTCTAAAAAAAAAAATAAATAAATAAAATTAGCTGGGTGTTGTGGTGCACGCCTGTGGTTCCAGCTACTTGGGAGGCCCAGGTGGGAGGATCGCTTGAGCCCAGGAGGTCGAGGCTGCATTGAGCTATGTTCTTGTCACTGCACTGTAGCCTGGGCAACAGAGCAAGACCCTGTTTCAAAAACAAAAAAAGTTCATTGTTCAGTCATTTAAAAACATTTATTGAGGCTGGGCATGGTGGCTTACGCCTGTAATTCCAGCACTTTGGGAGGCCAAGGCGGGCATATCACTTGAAGCCAGGAGTTCGAGACCAGCCTGGGCAACATGATGAAACCCCGTCTGTACTAAAAATATAAAAGTTAGCGGGGGTGGTGGCGTGTGCCTGTAGTCCCAGCTGCTTGGGAGGCTGAGGCATGAGCATCACTTGCAGTGTGCTGTGGAGGCTGCAGTGAGCTGCGATGTCACCACTGTACTCCAACCTGGGTGACAGTGGGACCCTGTCTCAAAAAAAAAAAAAAGAAATATATGTATATATATCTCCCCCCCAAAATATATATATATAAAATAATCCCCAAAAAATCCCCCCCAAAAAATATATATATATACTTGTAATCCCCCAAAATACATACATATATATGTATACATACAGGCATGGTGGCACATGCCTGTAGTCCTGGCTACTGAGGAGGCTGAGGCAGGAAGATCCCTTGGTCCCAAGAGTTTGAGGCTGCAGTGAGCTGTGATTGTGCCACTGCACTGCAGCCTTGGCAACAGAGTGAGACCCTATCTCTAAAAAATAGTAATAATAATAAAATTACAAAAAAATTTTAAAGCAAATTGCTTGTTCTCTAAGCCTTTTTTTTTCCTCCACCTCAAAAATTGAGAAACTAATATTATTTATTTGTATTGTTGTGAGGATTAAATGAGATAATGTGTATGAAGTGCTTGGACACAGTAGGACCACACTAAATGGTAGCTGCTATTCTTTTTTTTTTTTTTTTTGAGAGGAAGTCTCACTCTGTCACCCAGGCTAGAGTGCAGTAGTAGGATCATAGCTCCCTGCAGCCTCGAACTTTTGGCGATCCTGAAGCGATCCTCCTGCCTCAGCCTCCAGGGTAGCTGGGACTACAGGTGCATGCTACCATACCTGGGTGATTTTTTATTTTTTGTAGATACAGGGTTTCACTATGTTGCCTAGGCTGGTCTGAAACTCTGGGCTCAAATGATGCTCCTGCTTGGCCTCCTAAAGTGCTGGGATTATGGGCATGAGCCACCATGCCCGTCTTGTTATTCCACCTCTATAGTCCCTGATCTCAGAGGACTGTTAACCTGTTTGGGAGACAAATTATACGGTAATACAAGGCAGTATAGATTAAATGATTATTCTGGAAATACAGGCATCATGCGATGGGGTGTGAAGGAAGAGAGCTGTCCATTTTGCCTGTAGGACTCTGGGAAGGTTATGGAGGTAGCTTTTGAGTGGATCTTTTTTTCTTTTTTCTTTTTTTGGAGACAGGGTCTTGCTCTATTGCCCCAGGAGTGCAATGGCACCATCAAGGTTCACTGCACCCTCAACCTCTCTGGGCTCAAGTAATCTTTCCATCTCAGCCTCCTGAGTAGCTGGGACTCCAGGCATGTACCACCATAGGTCCGGCTATTTGTTTTATTTTTTGTAGAGATGGGGTTTTACCATGTTGCCAAGGCTGGTCTTGAATTCTTGGGCTCAAGCAATCCTCCTGCCTTGGCCTCCCAAAGTTCTGGGATTATAGGCGTGAGCCACTGCGCCCAGCCTTAAGTGGATTTTAGCAGGATTTCCATAGGTGGCACTGGGCAGGTCCCCACATTCGAGGTGGAATGCACCCTGTGAGCAGAGGCTGAAAACTTGCAGGGTGTTTTTGAAATGGTTTGGGGCCAGAAGGTAGAGGCTGCCAGTGCCATGTCAAGGAATCTGAACTTCAGCCTGGGGGCCTATCGTATATTTGTAACCCAAAACATCCATTTCCCCTCCTTTTTGTTTTTATAAGCTCCGAACCTTAGGTTGACTCTTTAAATAACCTGGAGCAGCGGGAAGAGAGTTCAGTAGCCATTAGAAATTACTGAGAAATGACCTACCTCTAAATTACTCCCAGTTTAGTGAGTAGATTTCTTGCTAGCCTGAGATGAGGAGTTTTTGGATGAGACATCCGTGAGTAAGTCTGTAATGTCTGCCTGGAGTGAGTGACCCGCATTATCATTTATAAAGCACTCAGTACATTGGGGTCTGTCTGGAGTGAGTGACCTGCATTATCATTTATAAAGCACTCAGTACTTTGGGTGTTTTTCTGCTTGGCTCTTTGGAGGGACCTTTCCCTGCAGGGCCAGTGGGTGCATATTTGAGTGGGTGGGGACTAGGAAACCTTCAGTCTTAAACTACGGCCATGCTGTTTTGCCAGATTCATTTGCTTTTGGCTTGGTGTAGGCTGTTGTTTCTTCTCATTTTTTCCTTTACATTCTCTCTCTCCTTTCTAGATCTCCTCCTTTGCCCTCTTATGCTTCAGCTTTAATTTTTCGTGGTGCGAGTTGCCTGCAATTCCCTTTACTTTCCCAAGGTTGTACAGCTGCCAGGGAAGCCCAGAGCTCACCTGCCTTTGTGACAGATTTGGGTATTGAAAAATAAGGTGGTTCGGGCTGGGTGCGGTGGCTCACGCCTGTAATTCTAGCACTTTGGGAGGCCAAGGTGGGTGGATCACTTGAGGTCAGGAGTTCAAGACCAGCCTGATCAATATGGTGAAACCCTGTCTCTACTAAAAATACAAAAATTAGCTGGGTGTGGTGGCGGGCACCTATAGTCCCAGCTACTCGGGAGGCTGAGACTGGAGAATCGCTTGAACCCAGGAGGCGGAGTTTGCAGTGAGCCGAGATCGCGCCATTGCCCTCCAGCCTGGGCGACAAAAGCGAGATTCCATCTCAAAAAAAAAAAAAAAAAAAAAAAGGCAGTTCGAAGCATAAATCATGCTCTTCAAAAGAAGAAACTATTTAATTGCCCCCATTAAGTCTGTTTCAACCAAGGAAAATGTTTCATGATTTTTTTTTCCCCTTATGTTCATTTTCTCCCCAAATGTGGAAATGGGGTTGTTTCGCTGGGGTTACAAACTTTTTCTTTCTGTTAGTCGTAAGGTATGGTGGTGGGGCGGGGTGGGGGGTGGGGCATGGCCCATGTGGACAAATGTTCCTGCAAAAATCAACAAATAAATTGATTGTATTTGTTCAGATCCGCCAAGTTGCTAGATTTGAATTCTTTTTCTTCTTTTTTTTTCCCTTTTTCTTTTTAGAGATGGGGTCTAGCTTTGTCACCAAGGCTGGGAGTGCAGTTGTGTGAGTATAGCTCACTGCAGCCTTGACCTCCTGGGCTCAAGCGATCCTCCTGCCTCAGCCTCCCCAGTAGCTGGGACTACAGATGTGTGCTACCATGCCTGGCTAATTTTTAAAAATTTATTGTAGAGTTGGGGTCTTGCCGTATTGCCCAGGCTGGTCTTGAACTCCTGGGCTCAAGCGATTTCCCAGCCTCAGCCTCCCAAAGTGCTGGGATTACAGGGGTGAGCTGCCGCACCTGGCCTGAATTCTTCTTTAGAAGCCAGTAACCCACAAGTCCTGAACAATCATTTAAAGGGAAACATAATCATGTTTTTTGCATTATTTTGTACTTGGAGTAAAAGGCTCTCTTGCATTTCTTACTAATTAATGGTTGTTGTCTGTACTCCGTGTTCTTGAAAATGTATATCTCAGACAGATTTAGGTTGCTCAAAAATTGCCTTGTGTCTCGCAAACAATTTTGTAAAAACAATGGCAGTGATTTAAGGATGGGGACTCTGCCTTCTCTTTTTACATTTTCAGTGGCCATCACAGTGCCTCCCACAGAGCAGGGCTCTATATATGTGAGGGTGAATGGCTTGCATAGCCGGGAGAGTGATGGATCTAGCTGCCCTCTTGTCAGTTCACTTTCGGGTTTAAGTCATAAAAGTTGGGTCTGAAAACAATTTTCAGCGGCGGTCCTGTTCCTTCTTTTGCTTTCTGATCGGTTATTACACTTGTAAGTAGAGGTGCTAAGGAGTTCCCCAGAAGAGAAGAGTATAATTCCTTTTGAAGACCAGTTTCATTTAATTGGATCATAGACTTTTGAATACTGTTTGCACTATACTCATTTTGGGGAGGGGTTGGGGGTGGAAGGAACTTGTTAGAAACTGCAAATTTCTGTGCTTCAATCCCAGAGATTCAGAGGTAGTTGGTCTGCGGGTGGGGCCCAGGAGCCTGCATTTCATCCTAGGTGAGTCAGATTTTGATGTTCCTCTGGTAAATATTAGCCTAAGCAAGGGGTCAGCAAAGAGACCCGCCGGCCACATCTGGCCTGCAGACTAAGAATGGTTTTTGCATTTTTAAAGGTTGATAAAAAAAAAAAGGAGAATACGCAACAGACATCATATAAATCCTAAAATATTTACTATCTGTCCTGTTATGGAAAATGTAACTCTTGGTCTGAACTCTTCATCAGCGCCTAAGCTTCAGCTCTCATGTACGTGTTAGAGCGGACGGCCTGGAAATTCGTTTAGATGAAGCGTATGGGCTGGTGGTAGCACTACACATGATAAGCCTGTTCTAGATGTAAAACTTTCCCTTTAACCTACACATGATATAGCCTGTTCTAGGTGTAAAACTTTAACCTACACATGATGTAGCCCGTTCTAGATGTAAAACTTTCCTTTAACCTTCACATGACGTAGCCTATTCTATATGTAAAACTTTCCCTTTAACCTTCAATGCTTTACACACAGTAGGTGGCCTACTGTATTTGTTAAATGGATATTTCATGATGCTGTTTTTATTTTTAGGTGCTGTTGAATTAGAAAACTTGCCATTAAAGAAAGATGCCTTGAAAGAATTGGAATTACCATTTGAAGTCAAAGCTGGTATGTGGAACTAAAGGAGGGGGAAGAAATTTGAGTCTTAAATTGTTTGAGAGGTGAAAACTGAGAGCCCTGGAGTTTGTATTGATTTGGCCAGTTAGAGGAAGGATATAGCAAATGTTAGAGTTTAGGCCAGTCTTAAAGTGTGGTCTTTGGGCCACTCGTATCAGGATGACCTTGTGATGGTGGTGGGGAGGTCAGGTGATACCCGGACCGACTGAATCAGAATCTCTGAGGGAATGTCATTGAACCTACAGTGTTTAATAAGCACTCCAGGTGATTCTTATGTTTACTCAAGTGTGAGAACCTCTGTTCTACATTCAAGGTTTCCTTTTCTTTCCCCTTTCCCTTTTTCTTTTTCTTTTCTTTTCTTTTTTTTTTTTCAGATGGAGTCTCGCTCTGTCACCGAGGCTGGAGTGCCGTGGTGCGATCTCGGCTCACTGCAACCTCTGCCTCTCGGGTTGAAGCAATTCTTCTGCCTCAGCCTCTAGAGTAGCTGGGACTACAGGTGTGCACCACCATGCCCGGCTAATTTTTTTGTATTTTTAGTAGAGACGAGGTTTCGCCTTGTTGGCCAGGCTGGTCTTGAACTCCTGACCTCAGGTGATCTGCCTGTCTCGGCCTCCCAAAGTGCTGGGATTACGGGCGTGAGCCACCATGCCTGGCCTCCTTTTTATTTATGTATTTATTTATTTATGACAGGGTCTTGCTTTGTCACCCAGGCTGGAGTACAGGGATGCTATCATAGCTCACTACAGCTTTGAACTTCCAGGCTAAAGAGATCCTCCTGCCTCAGCTTCCCCAGCTATTAGTTGGAATAGTTGAATACAGCTGCGTGCCACCAAGCTTGGCTAAATTTCTGAATTTATTACTGGATTACACGGTTGATCATTTGATGTTGTCATTAAAAATACCATTGTTGGACTGGACTTGGTGGCTTTCACCTGGAATCCCAGCACTTTGGGAGGCTGAGGCAGGAGGATCACTTGAGGCCAGGAGTTCAAGACCAGCCTGGGCAACACTGCTTGACTCTTATAAATTGAACATAAAGAAAGCTTGTATTCTAGGAGGCTTGGCTAGAAATGGAAGAACTTGGGAAATAAATATCACAATTCTACCGAGCCGTTTGGCTTTCTCATCAGCCCAGGTTCTCATGAAGCATCAGAATTCTTTATTGAGAGAAGGCCAGCACCATTTACCTATGTTTCAGTTTGTGGTGGGTATGTTCAAGATTGAATATATCATAGGTCTGATGACTCCAACTAGTGCTTATCAACCAGACAATGACTAATGAACAAGAAATGAGTTTAGTGTCCATGGGCTTGTGCGGGACCCGGGGAAGAAAGACACCCTGAGCAAGTGTAAGATGTACTCCAGTTGGAAAAGGAGATAGTTTCTAGAGGAGGGATGTTACTGTTGATGTGGTAAAGTCTTCGCGAACTTTTTCCAGCTTATATAAGTCATTATACCTTATTCTTACAGATGTCAGCCTCCTAACACTTGTTTCACATGTGCAAGAGCCTGCTGCCTGTTGTTTTAAATAAAAAAAAGTAGTAACAGCAATCCATGCTCCTTAAACAAAATTGTAAAAATACCAAAAAATGGAAAGAATTAAAAATGTGTACAGATGGTGAACAAGACTTTCCTTCTCCTTCCAGGCTTCATTGGGAAAGTAACCCTTCAGATTCCCTTTTATCGCCCCCATGTGGACCCTTGGGTGATCTCCATCTCCAGCCTTCACTTAATTGGAGCCCCAGAGAAAATACAGGATTTCAATGATGAAAAGGAGAAGCTGTTGGAAAGGGAACGTAAGAAAGCACTACTTCAAGCCCTGGAGGAGAAATGGAAGGCAAGGCAGAGATCTTCTGGGCCATAAGAGCAGTTGTGGTGACACGTGTAAGATGAGCAAGAACACTAGATTGAGCTAATGCTGACTCTTGTCTTTGTAGAATGACCGCCAGCAGAAAGGGGAGTCCTATTGGTATTCAGTTACCGCCTCCGTAGTTACAAGGATTGTGGAGAATATTGAAGTAAGTCCTGCTGACTTTTATAAAAGTATCAACGTGAAAGGGATTTCTCAGGTTTAAACGTGTTTCTCCTCTTAGTTTCTCATTTCTCGTGGGCTCAGCTGATCTAGGGTGTAGATGGGGCTGGCTGCTCAGGTCTGCCCTTTTGTAGGCTGTGCCAAGAGGAAAACCTGACAAGCAAGTCCTAGGCTCTGTGGCAGACACAGAGTTTTCTTGTTTCTGCTGGCATGAGGAGGAGTTTTCACATCTCTTCCATTTCACTTCCCGCACTTTCTTTTTGAATGTTGGAATCCCACTTGCTCAAGGATTTATGGCCTAAGAATCCAGGTTACTTGACCTTGATGACTGTATGGTTTCAGGGTAAATCACTTCACCTCTCTGGTCTCAGTTTCTTCATCTGTAAAAGAGAGAGGTTGGATGCCTGGTCTCTAGTTGGTTACATAGTGAGTTGTGAAATTGCGAACAGCTCACTAAGATACCTAACCTCTTGCTGGTGTATCTGGTGGCAATTTGACGAGTTACAGGACTGGGGCTGTTGACCTTGCCCATGTTTTCTACTTCAATTATACTTTTGTTTCATCCTCAAAAACTTGATCAGGGTCCCACTAATTTTCGTGAATGTTTTAAGAGTTTGTCCATACTTACTACCTCTAGAAGTTTCTTGCAGTGCCAATGTGACAGAGGCCAAATGTGTTCAATGTATGTCATGTTCCCAAAAATTACAGTCTGAGGTTTTTGATTTCGTAACTTTCCTTTGACAAACAAATTTATAAAATATTAGTCATTATTTTCATTTTATCTTAGTTTAAGTAGTTTTATTGAGATATAGTTCTTATGCCAGAAAGTTCAGTCTTTTAAAGTGTACAATTTAATGTTTTTTAGTATATTTACAAGGTTGTGCGTTGGTCACCACTAAATAATTCCAGAACATTTTTATCATCCCAACAGGTAGTCACTGCCAAAGCTGGGCTTCGTGGCATGTACCTGTAATCCCAGCTACTTGGGAGGCTGGGGCAAGAGGATGACTTGAGCCGAGGAGTTGGGCTGCAAGGCTGTAGTGAGCTATAATAGTGCCCCTGCACCCCATTCTGGGCAACAGACCAAAACCCTGTATCTTAAAAAAAAAATAATAATTTAAAAAAGTAGTCATTGCCAATTCCCCTCTGCCTTCAGCCCCTGTCAATCACTAATCTACTTTCTTTCTAGATTTGCCTATTGTAGACATTTCATCTAAATGGAATCATGTAATATATAGCCTGGCCATTTTCACTTGACATAATGTTTTCAAGGGTCATCTGTGTAGTAGCATGTGTCAGCACTTTATTCCTTTTTATGACTGAATCATATATTCCATTGTATGGATTGTCAAAGATTAAACAAAGCTGGACCTCAGAGCAATGAAAACAGATTTTACTCTGTAACTACTGACAGTAGAGGAAAGAGCTGAGCTCCAGGCTGACTTGTGTGGAGGTAGCTGGGCCTTTTAAAGAGAGCTTGAGGGTGCAGGGAGGTGGAGTGAGTGGGTACTCAAGTGAAAAATTACAAGGCGTTGGTCGCTGTGAATGTCATTAGGCTAACTGTGTCCGCTGGCAGTGATCAAAGTTAGGATTCTATCCTCCCTCAGACTGGGAGATTGAGCCTTACCCTTCCTGATGATTACATTTCAAAGGAGTGGCTTTCAGGTCCTTAAGAAAGACACTCCTGAGCTGTAGGAGATACAGGTCGAGTATCCCAAATCTGAAAATCTGAAATCCTCCAAAGTTTGAAACTTTTTGAGTGCCCACATGATACTCAAAGGAAATGCTCATTGGAGCATTTTGGAGTTTGGATTTTTGGATTTGGGATACTCAGCCAGTTAAGTATAATGCAAATATTTCAAAATCCCCCCCAAAAATGAAATCCGGAACACTTCTTGTCCCAAGCCTTTCAGATAAGGGATACGTGACCTGTACATATACATCTCTCAGAGAAATGTCACAGTTGAATTGCTCTGCAAACCTATAAACCCTTTTCAGTAAACGTGCTATAAGAAAGGAAGGTCAGGGGCCTGTGTCAGGTGTTGTCTGGAATAAAGGGTACGTTCTTTTGATAGTCCTGAGCTTTACCAGGCAAGAACTCAGTAGAGGACTGTGTTGTCCCCAGGGACATGGCCTCGGGCTGCCAGAAGCCATATTAAAGTTTGGTCAAGTCTCTTTGGAATGGAATGTTCTTGCTGAGAGTCCTTGCGTTTCTCAGGACATACGACATTTTGTTTATTCATTCATGAGTTGCTGGACATTTGGGTTGGTTCTCCTTTTTGCTATTACGAATAATATTGCTGTAAACATTTGTGTATAGGGTTTTGGGTGAACATGTTTTCAGTTGTCTCAAATAGATATCTTGGAGTAGAATTGAGGAATTATGGGGTAACTCTGTTTACTTTTTGAGGAACTACCAAACTGTTTTCCAAAGAGGCTGCACTATTTTACGATATCACCAGCAATGTATGAGCATTTTGTTTCTCCATATCCTCATCAACATTTATTATTGATTATGGGGCTGGGCACGCCTGTAATCCCAGCACTTTGGGAGGCCAAGGCAGGCGGATTGCTTGAGGTCAGGAGATCGAGACCAGCCTGGTGAAACCCCGTCTCTGCTAAAAATACAAAATTAGCTAGACATGGTGGCATGTGCGTGTCGTCCCAGCTACTTGGTGGGGAGGCTGAGGCAGGAAAGTCGCTTGAACCCGGGAGACGGAGGTTGCAGTGAGCCAAGATCACACCATTGCACTCCAGCCTGGGCGACAAAGCGAGACTCCATCTCAAAAAAAAAAAAAGCCTGCAGAAATGGTGAGATAGCATTCTCTCTAACACCATTCAGGACAGAAAGAAAAAAATTAAAAAAAACCCAAAAAAAACCCAAAAAAAACAAAAACAAAAAGCAAACATTTATTATTCATTGTGTACTAGTGGGTGTGAAATGATGATCTTGCTATGATTTCGATTTGCATTTTCTTAATGGCGAAGGATACTGAATATTTTTCCGTGTATTTACTGGCCACTTGTGTATCTTTTTTTTGGAGAAATGTCTATTTGAATCCTTTGCCACAATTTTTTTTTTTTTTTTTTGAGACGGAGTCTCCCTCTGTTGCTCAGGCTGGAATGTGGTGGCGTGATCTCGGCTCACTGCAACCTCCGCCTCCCGGATTCAAGCGATTCTCCTGGCTCAGCCTCACGAGTAGCTGGGATTACAGGCCTGCGCTATCATGCCTGGCTAAGTTTTGTATTTTTGTATTTTTTTTTTTTTTTTGAGACAGTGTTGCTCTGTTGCCCAGGCTGGAGTGCAGTGCAGTGGCGTGATCCCGGCTCACTGCAAACTCCGCCTCCCGGGTTCATGCCATTCTCCTGCCTCAGCCTCCCAAGTAGCTGAGACTACAGGTGCCTGCCACCACGCCCCGCTAATTTTTTGTGTTTTTAATAGAGACGGGGTTTCACCATGTTGGCCAGTCTGGTCTCTAACTCCTGACCTCAGGTGATCCGACTGCCTCGGCCTCCCAAAGTGCTGGGATTACAGGCATGATCCACCGTGCCTGGCCATCCTTTGCCTATTTTACAAATCAGTTTATCTTTTTATTGTTGAGTTATAAGAGCTCTCTATATATTCTGAATACCAGATTCTTATCAGATTTGCAAGTACTTTCTCCCATTCTGTGGATTGTCTTTTTACTTTCTGTTATTATTATTATTATTATTATTATTGTTATTATTAAGACATAATCTCACTCCGTTGCCTAGGCTGGAGTGCAGTGGCACCATCATACCTTACTGCAGCCTCCATCTCATGGGCTCAAACAATCCTCCTGCCTCAGCCTCCTGAGTAGCTGAGACTGCAGGCTCGTGCCACCATACCTGGCTATTTAAAAAAAATTTTTAGTAGAAGTGAGGTCTTGCTATGTTGCCTAGGCTGGTCTCTAACTCTTGGGTTCAAGTAATATTCCTGCCTCAGCTTCCCAGAGTGCTGGGATTATAGGCATGAATCACTGTGCTCAACCTGTTATTATTTTTTAATTCATTGAAGCAGAGTGCCTTTCCTGTAGCCCACTTACAGGGAGGGGCTAGGGGAAATACATATATACATACATAGTTTATGTGCCTTGCTGGTTTCCTTGGTCCAGATGTGGGGACATAGAGGCAAGATGAAGATATCAACAGAGCAAGAGGAACAATTGTCTGTATACAATGGCTTTGCTTTCTTTAATTGCTTTTTTTTAAGGTGTCTTCTGAAATGATTTAATGAAAGTATTGGAGCTCTTTTGGTAAAACTAATCACAAAGTAACATTCAAGAGAGTTATGATAACATAATATAACATAACATAATATAACATATTATAACATAACATAACAAGAGAGTTATTATAACTCCCTTAGGAACTTATAGGACACTGGATATGTGTGTGTTGTGTTTGTATAAAGTGCCTGGTGTGGTTTCCTTTAGTGGCTCAAGGGCAGTTTGACCCCTAACTATAGTATTTCACCTACAGCAGTTATCTAAATGCTTTTTCTTTTTTCTTTTCTTTGGAACACTATTCTGCAGGTGCATCAGCTGCTTTTTCTTTTTTCTCTTTGCAGTTAAAAATTCAAGATGTCCATTTACGCTTTGAAGATGGTGTCACCAATCCCTCCCATCCTTTTGCTTTTGGCATCTGCATTAAGAATGTGTCCATGCAAAATGCTGTGAATGAGCCTGTGAGTATGAAATGTGATGACAAAGCAGGAAGAAAGCCATGCTCTAGGAATCTGGGGCTCTGCCTTTTGCCATTTTGTGTTATGTAAATGAATCACATTCTTTTCCATTGCCTTCTGTGATAGGCATGGGTGTCTCTTGTGTATTTGCAACAAATCAAATTTGCTGAAATAGGGAAACAGGTAATTTTCTCTGACCTTTGGTTATATCACTTTCATTTTATACATGAAGAAACTGAGGGGCAGAAAGGATTTTATTTTTGATTTTTTTCTCGTGTTATGTACACTCCCTGGGTAAACTCACTGTGTTTCATAGTTGTAGCTACCACCTGGGAATATTTGATGATGGCTTCCACATCTTGAACTCCATTCTCCACCCTTTGACCTTCATATTCGTGGTTTTCTTAAAACTACTGCTTGTCTCAAAACACACTCTGTTTCTTCACACTCTACACAAAAAACAACACTTTTGACACCAGACGTGTGAGGATTTTCCCCCACACGCCAAGCAGTTCTCCACATATCAACTCAGTGTCCTATAGTTCAAGTCAATTCTGACACTAATGGGTTACTGCAGACCCCGCTGGGTAAGGGCTTAGTCCCATAGGACCGCCTCCCACTTCAGATGCCAGTCACAAGGCCCAGGTTGTGACCGGTGCTTCTGACTAGAAGTTGGAGTTCCCACAGTTCCCCTCCTCAGGTTTGGTAATTTGCTAGGATGGCTCACAGAACTCAGGGAAACACTTTACTTACATTTGCTGGTTTATAATAAACGGTGTTATGAGGATACAGGTGAATATCTAGATAAAGAGGGCCACACCCCCCTCCAGTGTTCAGCAACCTGGAAGCTCAGCAGATCTCATGGTTCAAAGTTTTTATGCAGCTTAATCTCCAGCCCCATCACCCAGAGGTCAGTGAGTGGTGCTGAAAGGCCCAACCCTCTAATTACTTGATCTTTCTGTGATGAGCCCCATCTTGAGCCTGTCTAGGGACCCCAACAAAAGTCACTTAATTAGCATATACTGGGGTGTGATCATGAGGCTTTTTATGAACAACAATGACACTCCTGTCAGGAACTTCCAAGGGTTTTAGGAATTCTGTGCCAGGAACCAGGGAAAAAGACCAAATATATTTCATGTATGCCACAGCTTGTCATAACTAGAATGATCCTGTGTATTCCATCTGCCCATTTTGTCCCCTAAATGACGTATTTTTCTTTATTCCCTAACGTTACTGAATGTAAAAACCAACAATAACAGTTTTGAGCCCTTTTATATGGCAGGCACTGTTCTTAGCACTTTCCATGATTTAACTCATTTAATTCTCCTTGATTTTCACCACTGCTGTTATCCTAATAACCCTACTGAGGACACTACGGCACGAGAGGCGGAGTGAAAAGTGGAGCCAGGTCTTGAACCTGGGTGGACCAGCTCTAAGTTAGGGCTTGGCACACTGGCCGGTGGCCGAGTCTGGTTCCCCATCTGTTTTTGTAAATAAAGGTTTATTAGATCCCAGCCATGCTCATTAGTGTTGTCCACGGTGGAGTAGTGTAGTTGCAGCAGAGACTGCATGGCCTGCAGAGCCTAAGCTGTTGACTCTGCCATGCTCATTAGTGTTGTCCACGGTGGAGTAGTGTAGTTGCAGCAGAGACTGCATGGCCTGCAGAGCCTAAGCTGTTGACTCTGCCATGCTCATTAGTGTTGTCCACGGTGGAGTAGTGTAGTTGCAGCAGAGACTGCATGGCCTGCAGAGCCTAAGCTGTTGACTCTGCCATGCTCATTAGTGTTGTCCACGGTGGAGTAGTGTAGTTGCAGCAGAGACTGCATGGCCTGCAGAGCCTAAGCTGTTGACTCTGTGGCCCTTTATGGAAGAGCGTGCCATCCCTGCTCCTCACCCTGTGCTCCTGCCTGCCACACTGATCTCTAGAAGCTGTGTGCTCCTCCTTTCACTTCTTATGCTTCAGTTTCCATATCTAGTTATTCACAGTGTCGTGCTACTTTTTCTGACAAAGCATCTCAAACATAGCTCTTCCTGTCCATCCTCATATGACCGTCACCTTGCAGGATGCTGTCAGGTTTTACCTGGACTAATGAAATTCCCTGTTCTGTGATCTCCAGGATCTTTCCATTTGTCCTATACCAATGCTTTCCAGTGTTTTCCATGTCAGGACCCACACAGTAAAAAGATAGTATTTGTACAGTACACCGGGGCAAATGGCTGTGGCTGCTTGGGGCTGGAAGCGGCCAGCTGAGAGTAACCACGTTTCTAAGATGTAACTTGATCCCATACACTGGCTCATACTTGAGACACTCATAACTTTTTTTTTCCTGGCACACTGAAGGGAAAGCCCTACTTTACACTGTCACCAGACTTCTTTTTCTGAAACATACCTGATTGTGGTATCTGCCTGCATCAAAACGTTCAGCAGCTCCGCATCACCTAAGGCCTGAAGTCCAAACACCTTAGCATGGCATAAACTTCCTTTCCTAATGGATTTGATAACCAGGGCAGCCCTAACACATTGCCACAAACCAGATGGCTTAAAGCAACATAAATTTATTCTCTAGACGAGAGGTCTGAAGTCAAGGGGTTGTGGCTGATCAGTCCCTTCTGGAGGCTCTGAGGGAGAAACCGTCCCATGCGTCTCTCCTTGTCTAGTGGCTGCTGACGGTCATTGAGATTGCTCAGCTTGCAGGTGCTTCACGCAGCCTCTGCCTCCGTCTTCATGTGGCCTTCTCCTTGTGTCCTTTTTCTTCTTGTAAGGACAATACTCGTTAGATTAGGGCCTCCACTAAACCAGTATGACCTCTTAATTTGATTACATCTGCAAAGACCTAATTTTCGAATAAGGTTACATACACGCTTCTGTGTGGTTATGACTTTGTTTTGGGAAGGGAAGACACTATTCAACCTAGTGTATCTAGTAACATTCCAAGCTACTTTTCTCAACTCTTAGCTAACTCCTCATCCCAAATATGTATTCATCCACATGTACCAATACTGCCCCCACCGCACACATCCAGTGTTCCAGTTGTACAGACAGACTCACTGTTCCCTGAAGATATCAGGCCTTTTGTACGGTCACCCTTCCATATCCTCAGGTTCCATATCCATGGATTCCACCAACAGAGGATCGGAAAATACTCCCCCACTGGCTGGGTGCAGTGGCTCACGCCTGTAATCCCAGCACTTTGGGAGGCCGAGGCGGGCAGATCGCCTGAGTTCAGGAGTTCAAGACCAGTCTGGGAAACATGATGAAACCCCATCTCTATTAAAAATAAAAAAATTAGCCAGGCATGGTGGCATATACCTGTAGTCCCAGCTACTTGGGAGGCTGAGGCAGGAGAATCGCTTGAACCTGGGAAGTGAAGGTTGCAGTGAGCTGAGATCATGCCACTGCACTCCAGCCTGGGTGACAGAGTGAGATTCTGTCTCCAAAAAAAAAAAAAAACAAGAGAAGAAAATATTCCCCCTCCCCCTAAAAAACAAACAATAAAAAGAAAAATATAACAACAAAAAATAATATAAAAAAAAATTCAGGACTGGGCGTGGTGGCTCATGCCTGTAATCCCAGCACTTTGGGAGGCCGAGACGGGTGGATCACCTGAGGTCAGGAGTTCAAGACCAGCCTGGCCAACATGGAAAAACCCTGTCTCTACTAAAAATACAAAGTTAGCCGGGCATGGTGATGCATGCCTGTAATCCCAGCTATTCGGGAGGCTGAGGCAGGAGAATCACTTGAACCTGGGAGGTGGGGGTTGCGGTGAGCCGAGATCGTGCCGTTGTACTCCAGCCTGGGCAACAAGATCGAAACTCCATCTCAAAAAAAAAAAAAAAAATTCTGTATAACAATGATTTACATAGCATTTATGTTGTATTAGTTATTATAAGTAATCTAGAGATGATTTAAAGTGTACAGGGAGGATATATGGGTAGGTTATACGCAAATACTATGCCTTTTTAAGAGACTTGAGCATTTGCAGATTTTTGTATCTTTGAGGTTCCTGGAACCAACTCCCTGCTGATACTGAGGGAGGACTGTATGGTTGACCCAGCCCTTTCCTCCTACCCGACCATTTGCCTGAAACTTATATATCTTTCGACACTCATTTGCACAGTGACGTTTTCTTGTTTGCTCATAGCATCGTATAGATTCTTCTTCTGCTTCCCTCTGTGTCATTAAAATTATGTATTTGCCTGTTTGTATCGCCAGTTAGCTAGATTTTGAACTCTGTAAGAGCAGAAGCATGTTTTAATTGAGTTATATGTCCACAGCACCTTGCAAAGTACCTGACACATGATTCTTTACAAATGGTTTGTTGAATGAATGACATTCACGAATAAAGACAGTCATCCTATTTTCTTCTTTGTCTTTTTTACCTCAGGTACAGAAACTAATGCGGAAAAAGCAATTAGACGTAGCAGAATTTAGCATCTATTGGGATGTCGATTGCACTTTACTGGGGGATTTGCCTCAGATGGAGTTACAGGTACGATTTCGGCAGGGAGATTTGTTGCAAGACAGCATGGAAGGGAAGCGGCGTAGGGTCACTGCCACGGGGGCTTTTGTCTCTTGCCTCTCTGATTCCAGTTCCCACCCACTGTTCCTCTAAAGCCATTCACTCTCAAGTGTGTTTGCTTGAGGTACTTGCTATGTATGTGACTTCGAACAATATATAGTGCTTTGTTTTATGTATGTTTTAAATTTATACTAGACTATAGTTTTCTTTGGTTTATTTTATTCAGTGAAAGCTATGTTTTTAAGATGTTGCTGTTTGTACTTCCAATTCATTGCTCTGACCACTGCATAGTATTCCACCGTTTGCATGTTCACGTAACATACTTACACATCGAGATGTTTTCCATCATTTATTTATTTATTTTTGTAGAGATGGGGTCTCACTCTGTTGTCCATGCTGGTCTCAAACTCTTGTGCTCAAGCAATCCTCCTGCTTTGGCCTCCCAAAGTGCTGGGATTATAGGCATGAGCCCCCACACCCGGCCTAGGCATCCAGATTTTAAATGAACAGAGCACCAGGACTGAATCTTAAAGAGGAACTTTCTTACCACATTTATGTTTAAACTTCACCTTTGGTGGCATTCCCTTAAGTGATATTTAAAAAGTCATAAATCATCAGATATATTATTGTTTGTGAAGGATTAAAAAAATCTCAATCTTTTTTTTTTTTTTTTTTTTTTTTTTTTGAGATGGAGTCTCGCTCTGTCACCCAGGCTGGAGTGCAGTGGCGTAATCTTGGCTCACTGAGATCTTTGCCTCCCAGATGGAAGCAATTCTCCTGCCTCAGCCTCCCAAATAGCTGGGTTTACTGGTGCCCACCAACATGCCCAGCTAATGTTTGTATTTTTAGTAGAGATGGGGTTTCGCCATATTGGCCAGGCCGGCTGGTCTCGAACTCCTGACCTCAAGTGATCCACCCGCCTTGGCCTCCGAAAGTGCTGGGATTACAGGTGTGAGCTACCACACCCGGCCAGTTTAATCCTTCTGTAAATAATTTGTAGGTGGTTTAAGTGAAACGGGGGAAAATAACTCATTTTTTTCCTCCACCCAGGGTTATCTTTCACTTGGATACTATTGTACATGATGGCTTTCTTCTTTTTTTTTTTTTGAGACGGCATCTCGCTCGGTTGCCCGGGCTGGAGTGCAGTGGCACGATCTTGGCTCACTGCAACCTCCACCTCCCGGGTTCAAGTGATTCTCCTGCCTCAGCCTCCTGAGTAGCTGGGATTACAGGTGCATGCCACCACGCCCAGCTAATTTTTGTATTTTTAGTAGAGACGAGGTTTCGCCATGTTGGCCAGGCTGGTCTTGAACTCCTGACCTCAGGTGATACACCTGCCTCGGCTTCACAAAGTGCTGGGATTACAGGCGTGAGTCACCATGCCCGGCAGGTTTTTGTTTTAATTCGATTACATAAACCTGTATCCATACAGTAAAACAATATGCAGCTATAAATAATAAAGGTAAAGATCTTTATGATGAGTATGTAACAGTCTCTAACATATAGTATGAAGTTAAACAAACTAAGGTAAAAACAGCATATATAGCATTTATTTAAGAAAACAGAAAATTACAGGTTTATCTGCATATGTACAGAATGGCTTGGGTGGGAGACATAAGAAGCTGATGTCGTTGGTTGCCTCTGAGGAGGTAAGTGGGTGGCTGGGGGATGAGACTAGGAAAGAGATATTTGACCTTTTTTTTTTCCTTTAAAATTTTAAACGATGTGAGTGTATTACCTATTAAGAAATATAAAGGTTGGGCGTGGTGGCTCACGCCTGTAATCCCAGCACTTGGGAGACTGAGGTGGGCGGATCACAAGGTCAGGAGATCGAGACCATCCTGGCCAACATGGTGAAACCCCATCTGTACTAAAAATAAAAAAATTAGCTGGGCATGGGGGTGCATGCCTATAATCCCAGCTACTCGAGAGGCAGAAGTAGGAAAATTGCTTAAACCGGGGAGTCGGAGGTTGCAGTGAGCCGAGATTGCATCACTGCACTCCAGCCTGGCAACAGAGCAAGACTCGTCTCAAAAAAAAAAAAAAAGAAAGAAAAAAGAAATATAAATAATAATAAATTAAAAATACTAGAGAGTTTTATAACCCAGTTTTATAGTGTTTTTGGATTTTGATATAATACACTATTGATTAGATAACATACCAACATGTAACTTGATCCTAAAAACATTTGCTGTTGGCCAGGCACAGTGACTCATGCCTGTAATCTCAGCACTTTGGGAGGTGGGAGGATCACTTGAGCCTTGGGGTTCAAGACCAGACAGGGCAATATAGTGAGATCCTGTCCCTATATAAAAAGAATAAAAATGAATAAAAACAAAACAGACAAAAATATTTGCCGCTGTGACACAGCCTATGGCTGAGCTCCACTGTTTGTCATAAAACCCCAACATTGTAAAAGAGTGACTACCAGAAGGAAAGCCATTCGGAGCAGAGCAGGTGTTCTTGTGACACACAGGAGGCCATGGCCAGGAGCATGGAGAGTCGCAGCCATCACTACGTCCTGGAGCCTGTGTTTGCATCTGCTCTTTTGAAGAGAAACTGCTCCAAGAAGCCCCTGCGGTCTCGGCACAGTCCCCGTATTGATTGTGATATTCAGCTGGAGACCATTCCCTTGAAACTCTCTCAGGTATGCCCTTTCTTCTCAGTGGCATCTACTTACTGTCAAACTGGTGACTGCAGTGAAAGTCTTGATATTAACGTATCCTCAGCAGGAAAGAAAGTTCATGTGAGACCATTTCCCTCCAGACTAAAGTTGTGTTAGGTATAAAACTCACCGTCTGTTACATAGTTAAATTGGGTTGATCTCAGGTTAGTTTTTTTTTTTTTTTTTTTTAATTAGTTGGTGGTATGGATTGGAAAGGAGGCTAGTTTTGTTTTGGTATTTTTAAGAGCTGAACAAAAAATACAAGAGATACGGCAATGTATAGGCTTAACTGTCAGGGTTCAGAGAAACATGTCACTTGATGCTGATATTTTGGTCTTTCAGTTTGCACTGGGTTTCAATTCAGTGGATCAACTAATGTGAATTGTTCTTGTTAGATATAGGTCTTAACTGAGTAAAAGAAACAAACCTATTCTAACCTAGTATCTCTTAACCTCTAATACAAAGCTGCAATACCGGCAAATCATGGAATTCCTCAAGGAGCTGGAACGAAAGGAGAGGCAGGTGAAGTTCCGAAGGTGGAAACCCAAGGTGGCGATATCTAAGAAGTAAGGGCTTCTCAGTGTGGTCATGAAATTCATGTTAGAGCCTGTTCTTGCTATGTACATAGATCAGAAATATGCCTCACTGTCCTTTACCCATGTTTGGAGATAAAAGTACAGTTGATTTTTCTGGTCCTTGGAATGCCATTCCCATTGTTTATCATCATTGATATTCTTTCTGTATATTTATTTGGTGTCATTGGCTTACTCTTAGACTGAGTGTAGTAAAATTCAGAGGATCCTCTCAGTCTCATTTAGCAAGTAGACTGATGTTGCTCTGGTGGGATCTGGTGTGTATTATAAATACTTTAAATATTCTTTGAACCTACTTCCCTGTGTTTTTTCTCCCAGGTTGTTTGGTCAACATTTACATAGTACTCTTTGCAGCCTCCATAGCAAAACTAAATCCTGTTTTCATGTTGCAGTGATAAACTTGACCAGTCTGATATAATAAAGCTTTTTAAAGATCCTATGTATTTCCATGTCTTTAGTTAGAAGTATTCACTTAAAAATCTTTAGTAGTCAAATCCTCGGTAATTATCTTAAGATGGTATTTACCTTACAGTCAGCCTTCGATATTCTGTCAGTAGAGGGGAGGGATATTATAATTCAAACCAATTGAGAACTGTGTTATTGATATATAAATTGGGGATCTATTATTTGATGTTCTTTGGCAGATTTGCCTTCTCCACCTAGTGGTTTAATATTAAGACGAACTTAATATATAAACTGGTGGCTGACAAGAGAAAAGATGTCTCAGGAGAGGAGTGGGGTTATGTGGATTGTCCTGGATTGGTAGCCTTTTCGTTGCTTTTGTTGTAAGAAGTGATTACATCGTTATGGACTATTTCAGCTGCCGAGAATGGTGGTATTTTGCTTTGAATGCTAACTTGTATGAGATCAGAGAGCAGAGGAAACGTTGCACCTGGGACTTTATGTTGCACCGCGCTCGTGATGCTGTATCTTACACTGACAAATATTTCAACAAGTTAAAAGGAGGCCTGCTGTCCACAGATGACAAGGTAAGTGGACTGTGGTCTTGTGTTTCTTGTCTTATTCAGAAGATAAGAATGTTCTCTCAAAGACTAAAGAAAATGGGATCTGTGAAGTAATAAAGTCCCATGCCAAAGGGGCTAAATTTTATAGGATAGAGTTGGTCTTAGTAGAGTGAGAACTAAGCCAGGAGCATCCTCCACCTTCTGCTGCCCGAGGAGAGCCGGGCCATGGGGTAGGAGGAAGAAAAGACACCGTGGTCCTGCTATGCCTTTGCGCCCACACCCCTGCCCCCCAGCTCAAGAGACTGTTTCATACAGTCACCCGCCTCTCTTCAAAGCCTGATCCCAGTCCTAATTCTCTTACTTCAAAGTCTGTAATCTCTGTGAACTTTGGCCTACGTTTTCTATAATCCCAGTGGACTTGATTGACCTTGGATATTTAGGTTGTAGAGGCTAGGCAGAAAAGGGTGAAGTACGTGGTGAAGGCAAGCTCATGTTTTAGTTAATAGTAGGGCTAAAGGCCCTTAGAATGCCCCCTCCTGGAGCCCTGGCATGGGACCCCACCCCTTCTCTAGCTGTCTGCCTGCTCTCTTTTGGGGGAAGGTATTGGGGATTGCTTTGCTTCTTGTTTTATTTCAGTTTTGTGAGCATCAATTTTTGCAGTAGCAGCTTAGACTGTGTCTGAGATTTTGGCTCAGGTACTGCCCCTTAACTAACCACTTGTTTAGTAGACTCTTCTAAGCACAAAGGAATACTTTTCCCTTCAGCACCTGCTGTGTGGTCAGTGAGGGCAATGCTGAAGCCCTAGTGGTTAGTGCCTCTCCTGCCGGCACCCTGAGGCTGTGGCCCATTCACTTTGCTAATGCTTTTATCATCAGTGTCAGACATGGTTACTGACACAGGAACCTTATGAGAAGGATAAAATAAACCAGACATTTTGGATGATTTTCTTTTCTTTTCTTCTTCTTCTTTTTTTTTTTTGTGTGACAAGGTCTGGCTCTATTGCCTAGGCTGGAATACAGTGGCATGATCATGGTCACTGCAACCTCCGTCACCCTGGGCTCAAGCCATTCTCCCAACTCAGCCTTCCAAATAGCTGGGACTACAGGCCCGCATCACAACTGTCTAATTTTTTAATTTTTATGGAGATGAGTTTCATCCTTCTGCCCAGGCTGGTGTTGAACTCATGAGCTCAAGTGATTCACCTGCCTCAGCCTTCACCACCCCCAGCCTACTCTTTTTATTTTTTTTTTTTTTGAGACAGGATCTCCTTCTGTCATCCACGCTGGAGTGCAGTGGTGCAATCTTGGCTCACTGCAACCTCTGCCTCCTTGGTTCAAGGGATCCTCCCACCTCAGCCTCCTGAGTAGCTGCACGTCACCATGCCTGGCTAATTTTTGTATCATTTATAGAGACAGGGTTTCGCTGTGTTGCCCAGGCTGATCTGGAACTCCTGGGCTCAAGCAATTTGCCCGCTTTGGCCTCCCAAAGTGCTGGGATTACAGACCTGAGCCACTGCGCCCAGCCCTTGGATGATTTTCTTAAAGGCACACACAAAGACATAGAAGAAGAGAAAATCTTATTTACAACTGAGATGAGCAAGTAAAGACGTAAAATCTCCTTTGTTCTTAATGTTATGGTGTAAGAAGCAGTTCAGGACAGCTAATTCCGCTTTTAAAAAATGTAGCTGGGTATCATGGTTCTTTCCTAACTAGAGTGAAACAAGTGAAAATGACCACGTTCTTGCTAATCTCCTACATGAAGTATAAAAGAGCTAGGGCCTGCACACTTCCTGTGGAAACTTGGTCCTGGGTTTCAGGAAGAGCGATAACTAGGCTGCTTACTCCTCATCTGAGCTAAGGCATGTGGAAGCCCTTTGTAAACGGGGTCAGTGCTGTCCAAAGTGTGGGTGCTGCAATAGTCCATATGCTTTAGTGACTTTTTTTTTTTTTTTTTTTTTTTTTTTTGAGATGGAGTCTTGCTCTGTTGCCCAGGCTGGAGTGCAGTGGCGCCATCTCCACTCACTGCAGGCTCCGCCTCCTGGGTTCACACCATTCTCCTGCCTCAGCCTCCTGAGTAGCTGGGACTACAGGCGCCTGCCACCACGCCTGGCTAATTTTTTGTATTTTTAGTAGAGACGGGGTTTCACCATGTTAGCCAGGATGGTCTCAATCTCCTGACCTCGTGATCCGCCCATCTCGGCCTCCCAAAGTGCTGGGATTACAGGCGTGAGCCACCGCACCTGGCCACACTTTAGTGACTCTTAAAACTGAGTACTGCTGTTCTTCGCTCCCTCTCCATTCACCATTCATCTCAGGTGTCATGAAACTTGTTAGTGATTTTTTTTTTCCCCTTCTTTCATAGAGCTCAATTTCTGGAGAATTGTTGGTGATGTTTTTAAGACCAAATAACATCTACTGGATTATATGGAAAAGCTACTTAAGCCAGAAACAGCAATCATGGAACTATTTATCTTGTTTCTTGGCCTTCAGTGGAAATGCAGGGGACCAGAGAGGTTTCTGTGCTTTACTTTTAGTGGCTTGTGAGGGTGTCCAGTGTCTCTGGATCTACAACGTTTGTGTTTTTGTTTATTTGCTTTTGTTTTCACCCAAACAGGAGGAAATGTGTCGGATTGAAGAGGAACAGAGCTTTGAGGAATTGAAGATTTTGCGTGAACTGGTTCATGATCGATTTCACAAACAGGAAGAACTAGCAGAGGTAAGAAATCCTCTACAAGAGGATTTGTTCAGACCCAGCACACCCTGAGTGCTACAGTTTTGATGTGCTTGTGCTCCTGTGGGGAAACAGCAGCATATCACAGCTTGCTTTTATCTTTGAGTACTCATCTCTGCTCCTTTGTGATTGACACAGAGTCTGCGGGAGCCTCAGTTTGATTCTCCAGGAGCCTGTCCGGGAGCCCCAGAACCCGGTGGAGGCAGTGGGATGCTGCAGTATCTCCAGTCCTGGTTTCCTGGATGGGGTGGCTGGTACGGGCAGCAGACCCCAGAAGGGAATGTGGTTGAGGGACTGTCAGCAGAGCAACAGGAGCAGTGGATTCCTGAAGAGATCCTGGGTACGGTGGGAGCTGGCCTTCACTTGATTCAAACAAATTCGTCTGTTATTTGTGCAACAGCTTGTGGTATTTTTCAAATTTAACAAAAGTAGATATTTGGAGAACAGTTTATGTTCATAGAGGCTGAGAGAAGAAGTATTTTGGGAGATACTCCATTTGTAACTCTGTGACTAAATGTGCGTATTAATGCAGTTTCAGAAAGAGCTGAGAGGCAGAGCGTGTAAAAGAACTAAATTTGAGCAAGTTCAACAATTTTAAACTCTGAAGTTTGAATACCAGTCTAGAGCCTCTCTTAAACCTGCAGTGTCCGATATCTAGCCATAGGCACAAATGGCTAACTAAAATTTAATTCGAATTGAATACAAGTAAAAATTTAGTTTCTTAATTGCACTAGCACATTAGCCACGTGTGCTCCCAGTGCTCAGTAGCCACATGTGGTTAGTGGCCACTGTACTGGATATCGCAGATGCGGACCATTTCACCATGCTGGGCAGCACTGCTTTATACCATCCCTTATCATGAATCTTATCCTCCCTGGTTTGATAATAAGTTGATAAGATCCCTTAAAAAACAATTAGGGTTGTTTTACATTAGGAAATATTATAAAATAGTCACCCATGACTTTGGAGTTCTTTCTTAACAAAGGGAAAAATAGTTAAATAACATCATCATAACTGTGATCAGTCTGCTTGCTGGTGCTTTTTTATTCTTCCACGTTTTTTCTTACAGTCTTTTCTCCCTTACCATTTAGGCACTGAGGAGTTTTTTGACCCCACTGCAGATGCCTCGTGTATGAACACGTATACAAAGCGAGATCATGTCTTTGCCAAACTGAATTTGCAGTTGCAGCGAGGTACAGTGACTCTGTTACACAAGGAGCAAGGAACTCCTCAAATGAATGAAAGTGCTTTCATGCAGCTCGAGTTTTCAGGTACACTGCCCCCAAGAAACTACCTGCCACTGTTGTCTCTCTGTGGGCCAATGTCCAGGCGATTCTCATTATTTGCTGTGGGGATAGTCTAGAAAGTCAGTGCGAAAACTGTATTAGCTAATGTGGAACCATTGCTCTTAGGGGAAATACTGGGTTAGGTTCATGTGAACCTCTGGTCATAACATTCATCAACTGATCAGTACCTAACCTTAATTTTTAAAATGCGTGTCTGTATTTAAAGACATTTAATATAGATATACAGACAGTCCTTGACTTAGGATAGTTTGACTTTGGATTTTTCAACTTTACAAGTGGCACAAGAGTTATACACATTCAGTAGAAGTCATACTTCGGATTTTGAATTTTGATCTTTTCCTGGGCTAGAGATAGGTAGTATGATATTCTCTGAAGATGCTGGGCAGCAACAGTGAGCCACAGCTCCCAGTCAGCCATGCGGTCATGAGGTAAGCAGCTAATAGTCTACAGTGGACTGTGTGGCCAGATGATTTTGCCTACCTTTAGGCTAATGTAAGTATTCTGAGCACTTTTAAGGTGGGCTAGGCCAAGCTGTGATGTCCAGTAGGTTAGGTATATGAAATGCATTTTTGACTTACTGTATTTTCTTTCTTTTTTTTTTTTTTGAGACAGAGTCTTGCTCTGTCGCCTAGGCTGCAGTGCAGTGGCATGATCTTGGCTCACTGCAACCTCTGCCTCTTGGGTTCAAGCGATTTTCCTGCCTCAGCCTCCTGAGTAGCTGTGACTACAGGCGCGCGCCACCATGCCCAGCTAATTTTTGTATTTTTAGTGGAGACAAGGTATCGCTACGTTGGCCAGGCTGGTTTTGAACTCCTGACCTCAAGCAATCTGTCCTCCTCGGGTTCCCAAAGTGCCAGGATTACAGGCCTGAGCCATTGCGCTCAGCTGATTTATGATATTTTCAACTTATGGTGGGTTTATCATAACTCCATCCTAAGTCAAGGAGCATTGTGTTATTGATTTATTAACATTGAACTCATGGCCTATAGCACTATACCTCATGCCTGAATGAAGTTTCTCTAATACTCATATTTTTTTTGTAACGCACATCACAGTCTTCTTGCACTCAGGACCACTAGGCAGCGTTTTAGCACTAGGGGCTTGTTTTAAACAGTGAAACCACAAACAAAAAGCACAGAAGCATGAAAAACATGGCGCCAAATAGAAGACCATGGGAGGGATGCTTGTTCACAGTGTGAGAGCTGAAATGAGGAGGCAGAGCGTTGCCATGTTTGAACTCAGGTGGGAATGTGCATATCAGGTGGCTTGAATTTTTTTCTGCTCTGTGAGTGTCTGAATGACAGAGTGCCATGAGGATTAATTTTGGAGTTACAAATTTTAGCAAGTAAACAAATGTGCAAATATGGAATCTGTGAATAATGAGGATTGACTTGACAGTATTTGCCTTCTTTTTGTGACTTTGAATTAAAGGTGTATAAATAAATATGCAGATGTTTTTGTGACTTTGAATTAAAGGTGTATAAATAAATATGCAGATGTTTGGACATCTCACAAATATTTTTATTTCGGTCCATAAAACAGCAGCTTATTTGAGATTCCTGAGTGGCTGAAGGACAAATGATTTTTTTTAAAAAGCCAGTTTGTTTGACTTCATAATGTAGAAAATTGAGCTGTCATAAACTTAGTATTAACTAGCAGATTACTTGAACTGAATTGAAAAGGCACTATTTAAAATTCCTTCTGCTAGGAAACTTCTAATGGTGTTTGTGTGTTTAGACAGCTGGATAGATACAGGCACACTTGATTTTATTGCACTTTGCCTTATTGCACTTCATAGACACCACATTTTTTACAAATTGACAGTTTAAAAATGAGCAAGTCTATAGGTGCCATTTTTCCAACAGCATGTGCTCACTTTGTGTCTCTGTGTCACATTTTAGTAATTTGCCCAGTATTTCAAACTTTTCCATTATTATTCTGTCTCTTATGGTGATCTGTAATCACCAATTTGTAATGTTATTATTGTATTTGTTTTGGAGTGCTATGAACCATGCCCATAGAAGATGGTAACTTAGTCAATATTGTGTATGTTCCAACTGCTCCACCGACTGGCCATTTCCTTGTCTCTTTTCCTCTCCTGGGGCCTCCCTATTACCTGAGACACAATGTTGAAATTGGGCTAATAACCCTACAATGGCTTCTAAATGTTCAGGTGAAAGGAAGAGTCACATGTCTCTCACTTTAAATCAAAAGCTAAACGTGATTAAGCTTAGTGAGGAAGACGTCGAAAGCTGAGATAGGCCAAAAGCTAGGCCACTTGTGCCAAACAGTTAGCCAAGTTGTGAATGCAAAGGAAAAGTTCTGGAAGGAAATTATTAGTAAAAGTGCTACTTCAGCGAACACATGAATGATCAGAAAGCAAAGCAGCCTTACTGCTGCAATGGAGAAAGTTTGGTCTGGATAGAAGATCAAAGCAGCCACAGCCTTTCCTTAAGCCAAAGCCTAATGCACAGCAAGGCCTTAACTCATTTCAGTTCTGGGATGGCTGGAAGAGGTGAGGAAACTGCAGAAGAAAAGTTTGAAGCTAGCAGAGGCTGGTTCATGAGTTTGAAGGAAAGAAGCCATCTCCATAACATAAAAGTGCAAGGTGAAGCAGCCAGTGCTGATGGGGAAGCTGCAGCAAGTTATCCAGAAGATCCAGCTAAGATCCTTGCTATGCTAAATGATAGATTTTCATTGTAGATGAAAAGGCCTTCTATTGGAAGAAAATGCCATCTAGGACTTTTCATAGCTAGAGAGGAGAAGTCAATGCCTGGCTTCAAAGCTTCAAAGAACAGGCTGACTCTCTTGTTAGGGGCCAGTGCAGCTGGTGACTTTAAGTTGCTGATTTACCTTTCTGAAAATCCCAGGGCCCTTAAGAATTATGCTCAATCTCCTCTGCTTGTGTTCTATCAATGGAGCAACAAAGCTTGGATGATGCCAGTACATCTGTTTACAGCATGGTTTACAGAAGATTTTAAGGCCACTATTGAGACCTACTGCTCAGAAAAAAAGATTCCTTTCAAAATATTACTGCTCGTGGATAATGCATCCAGTCACTCAAGAGCTCTGCTGGGAGAAGTATAAAGAAATTAGTGTTGTTTTCATGCCTGCTAACACAACATCCATTCTGCAGCCCATGGATCCAGGAGTAATTTCAACATTCAAGTTTGTTTGTTTCTTTAATTAATTGCTTAATTTATTCAGAGATGAGCTCTCACTTTTTTGGCCAGGGTGGTCTCAAACTCCTGGCCTCAAACGATCCTCCTGCTTCAGCCCCCAAAGTGCTGGGATTGCAGGTGTGAGTTACCACTCCCAGCCTCAACTTTTATTATTCAAGAAATACATTGCATAGGCTGTAGCTGCCATAAATAGTGATTCCTCTGATGGACCTAGGTAAAGTATATAGAAAAGCTTCGGGAAAAGATTCACCATTCTAGATGCCATGAAGAACATTTGTAATTCGTGGAAGGAGGTCAAAATATCAGCATTAACAGGAGTTTGGAAGAAATCAACCCTCTTGGATGACTTTGAGGGATTCAAGACTTAAGTGGAGGAAGTAACTGCAAATGTGGGGTAAATAGCAAGAGAACTAGAATTAGAAGTGGAACCTGAAGATGTGACTGAATTGCTGGAATCTCATGATCAAACTTGAATGGATAAAGAGTTATTTCTTACAGATGAGCAAAGAAGGTAGTTTCTTGAGATGGAATCTACTCCTGGTGAAGATACTATGAACACTGTTGAAATGACAACCCAAGGCTGGGCGTGGTGGCTCACGCCTGTAATCCCAGCACTTCGGGAGGCCAAGGCAGGAGGATCATTTCAGGCCAGGAGTTCACAACCAGCCTGGGCAACATAGCAAGACCCTATCTCTACTAAAAATTAAAAAAAAAATTAGTTGGTCATGGTGACATGCTCCTGTAGTCCTAGCTACGTGGCAGACTGAGAGGTAGGAGGATCCCTTGAGCCCAGGACTTTGAAGTTACAGTGAGCTATGATTGCACCACTGCACTCCAGCCTGGGTGACAAAGCAAGACCTTGTCTCAAAAAAGAAAACAAAATAAAAAAGGAAATGACAATAAAGTTTTTAGGATACTAAATCAACTTAGTTGCTAATGGCAGGGTTTGAGAGGATTGACTGTGGTTTTGAAAGAAATTCTACTGTGGTTAAATACATGCTTTATCAAACAGCATCACCTGCTACAGAGAAATCTTCTGTGAAAGGAAGAGTCAGTTGATGTAGCAAACTTCGTTGTTGTCTTATTTTAAGAAATCACCACAGTCACCCCAACACTTCAGCAACCACGCCTTGATCAGTCAGCAGGCATCATCATGTAGGCAAGGCCTTCCATCAGCAAAAAGATTACAACTTGCTGAAGATTCACAGGATTGTTAGCACTTTCTAGCAATAAAATATTTTAAAATTAAGGTATCTATATTGTAGTTTCAGGCATAATGCTATTGCACACTCAGTACACTACTGTATAGTGTCAACATCACTTTTCTATGCACTGGGAAACCAAAACATTTGTGTGACTTGCTTTATTGTGATCCTCACTTTATTGCAGTGGTCTGGAACCAAACCCGCAATATCTCCAATATGTGCCTGTAGATAGATAGGGTTTTTTTGTTTGTTTGTTTAATTTCAAGGAAAAATAGTTCATCTATAATAATCTTCTGTAAAATAGAATATCTAATATTTTCAAAAACACATTAGGCTCTCATAAGCATTGTATCAACTATTTTATTTATCTTTTATAGATGTAAAACTTCTAGCAGAGTCTCTTCCTCGAAGAAATTCCTCGTTGCTTTCAGTCCGGTTGGGTGGACTGTTTCTTCGAGACCTGGCTACAGAAGGAACTATGTTTCCTCTTCTAGTCTTCCCTAATCCAGTATGTACAACAGTTGGATAGTTAATGTATCTAAGGTGTTGGTAAATTGTAGTCTGTTTTAGGCAAATGATAACTGATTCATTCTGACATTTGATCATCTTGAGACTGATGGGCTGGGATTAGAAAAGTTTCTTGAAATTGTTAAAGAGCAAATGTTGGTGACATTAATGGCTATGCCTTCTTGCACTCCTGTATTGTAGCCACCATGGTATATTTTGCTCTGATTTGGAAGAAAATGCTATAAGACCACTATTTTCTGCATTTCAAGGTCAATGTTTGGGTTTCCTCTGTATCTGACAGTCATTTTCATGCCTTCTGACCCTTAGTTACTGACATGAAATCTCGTCTCGCCAGGGTCCCAAAACAGAAACATCTCAAGTTTTCTATATATATGTAATTTTTAAAATATAATATACGTTATTAACGATAAGATCTTTGATCTTAAGTTGGCAACAAGCTGTCTAAATGGCTGAGTAGTTAACCCCTTATTCTGTCCATAGTTTTGTTTTGGTTGGGGGAACGTTATGGAGAGGGTGGGAAGGCTGACTTAAAGTTTGAAAAGTTAGACATGTTTAATTTTCATTTAGCAACTGTTCATTAAATGTGCCGAGTGCAAAGTAGCATATTGTCAGTACAAAGGAAAAGATGTGGTCTCACTAGATTGGAAAAAGGGCAGAAAACGAAACAATTCTGCAAGTAGTCAATCTGAGGTAAAGTGAGTTTTGATTTGATGGTGCTAAGGGAGTGTGTTGCTGAAGGGTAAGATGGGTTTGTTTAGTGAATTGTCCCCTCTCACGCTGACGTTTACGCATTTTTGTGTGTTTGTTTAATAGCAAAAAGAAGTTGGCAGAGTCTCACAATCTTTTGGTCTACAAACTACATCTGCAGACAGAAGTGATCATTACCCAGGTAATTTGTCCTATGTTGTTTTTTTAAAATTTTTAAATTTTTTAAATTAATTTTTCTTTGAGACAGGGCCTCGCTCTGTCACCCAGGCTGGAGTGCAGTGGTGTGATCTTGGCTCACTGCAACCTCTGCCTCCCGGGTTCGAGTGATTCTCATGCCCTTGCCAGGATTACTGGTGTGTGCCACCATGTCTGGGTAATTTTAGTATATTTAGTAGAGATGGGGTTTTGCTTTGTTGTCCAGGCTGGTCTTGAACTCCTGAGCTCAAGCCACCCACCCTCCTTGGCCTCCCAAAGTGCTGGGATTACAAGTGTGAGCCACCATGCCTGAGCTTTTTTTTTTTTTTTTTTTTTAATAATTTAAAAATTCTTTTTGGGGGACTTTCCAACAAAAACCAGATCAGTAGTCTTTGATCAGTAGTAAAAGAGGGAATGTTTTCTGTTTTGTGCGCAGTGGTTTGCTGTGTACACCAGGGTTTCACTTGAAGACAGCCTGGTCCTCTCTCAGTGGAGCTGCGAACTTGGGGCTAACTGGGCAACCTTGCAGGGTCTTCAGGTCCTTGGTTTCCATGATATGGGAGCTAATACAACAGGCCAGTCTACACAATTCCTGTGGAAAATTAAACAGTCAATCCTGATGAGGCTTTCTATTTTAAAGATAGGCATAAATGTGAACTAATTGAAAAATAATTTAGAAAATGTCTGTTTTTCCAGAATCCCTCACAGGTCTGTTAATAAGGCTATAGTTTTTGCCTTGTTCCGTGTTCTTATTCCTGTTCTTTCCTTTAGCTGCAGATCCAGATGGCCCCGTTTTTGAGATGCTGTATGAGAGAAATCCGGCGCACAGCCACTTTGAGAGGCGGCTCAATGTCAGCACAAGGCCCTTGAACATCATATACAATCCGCAGGCCATTAAAAAAGTAGCAGACTTTTTCTACAAGGGAAAGGTTCATACCTCAGGTTAACTTTTTTGTTTGTTTGATCTTATGTTCCTTTTGAAAAACATCTTTATTGTTATTTCTGGTGTTCTGGACAAGGGTTATTCAGATGCTCTGATAGTGACAAAAAAGGCCTGCAGAGTAAGTCAATAGGGTTGCCCTGTCCTGTTACTAAACCAGGGTAGATATTTGTGGACAGTCTTTTCCAAGAGAAATCTATATCCTTAAATATTTTCTCTTTGTTTGCCTCCATTTAGCGTGTATTTTTTCATACTTTTCATTTCTGTTTTTTTTCCCATTTTTATTTCATATTGTCATTCTGAATAATGGCACCAAAGAATAGCAGCTGTACTTTTTGAAAGCCACTACCTTTGAATCGGTACCTATCTTAAAATATTACCAAGAGTAATTGAAAGGCAATAAAATAGTATGGGGTGGGGGAGTTCATCATCTTTTTTAGGTTTCTCAATTGCAAAACATTCTTATAAAAATAGATGAAAGTACTACAGGCATAAAGTAGTTTCATGATATTGATTTAACCATGGCTGTATGTTCAGCCAGAATTGTAACTGGAAATCTGCATCTTGGAACTGAAAAGCAATGATCTCCATACTTTTTATTTCACTATGACAGTGGTTTCCTTGGCTACCCAGGATATTTTAGACCAGTGAACTGAGGAGGAATGTTCAAGAATTTCCTTCTAGATGACAGGATCAGTGGTCTCTTTGACCTCCTTTGTGCAGCATTAAATACTGCAAAGTTGTAAATGTAATCACTGATTTATTTATGCCTCCGTTTGTTCTCCAAGAAGATTTGAAACAGTAGGTGCAGAAAAAATACTTTTATGGACAGGGAGATTTATAAAACAATAGTATTTTCCTAAATGTCCCTTCCCCCTTTATTACAATGAATCTGTTTTAGTTTTTGGACTAGTTTTTTAGTCTCTTCATATAAACAGTAGCCATAAATGCCGTGACTTCATTGCTCTGTCACTGATAGAATATAGAAGGTGGCCAGGCACAATGGTTCATACCTGTAATCCTAGAACTTTGAGAGTCGAGGCTGGGGGATTGCTTGAGCCCAGGAGTTTGAGACTAGCCTGGGCAACATAGTGAGACCTCATCTCTACTAAAAATAAAAATAAAATAAAATTAATCAGGCATGGTGCTGTGTGCCTGTAGCCCCAGCTACTCGGGAGGCTGAGGCAGAAGGATTGCTTGAGGCTGGGAGTTCGAGGCTGCAGTGAGCTATGATTACACCACTGCACTCCAGCCTGGGCAACACAGCAAGACCCTGTCTTAAAAAGAAAGAATATAGAAAGGCTGGGTGTGGTGATTCACACCTGTAATCTCAGCACTTTGGGAGGCTGAGGCAGGCGGATCACTAGAGGTCAGGAGTTCAAGACCAGCCTAGCCAACATGGTGAAACCCTATCTCTACTAAAAATACAAAAATTAGCTGGGTGTGGTGGTGTGCACCTGTAATCCCAGCTACTCGGGAGGCAGGAGACTCGCTTGAACCTGGGAGGCGGAGGCTGCAGTGAGCCAAGATCATGCCACTGCACTCCAGCCTAGGAGACAGAGCGGGACTTTGTCTTAAAAAAGAAGAAGAAGAGAAAAAAAAGAATATAGAAGGCATTTCCTTTGAAATTCCATTTTCTCTTTCAGTGCTTTTTAAGAATTTTGAAATATAGTAGTTTGGAATCTTTCAGAAAATGGCTTAAGAAATTCTAGTAACTTAGGTACACTTCTCTCACTTGCCTCCTCTCCCCCCATGGCTGTCCATTCACTTACGCTTTTTTGTCTCATTCCTGTTACCCTGTATTATGCCAGGTCATACTGGAGTAAGAAACTGTTGTTACTGATTTGTTTTTTTCCTTGAGACAGGGTCTTGCTCTGTCACCCCAGGCTAGAGTGCAGTGGCGTGATCACGGCTCACTGCAGCCTCAGTCTCCTGGGCTCAGGCATCCTCCTGCCTTGGCCTCCCAAAGTGCTGGGATTACGAGTGTGAGCCACCATGCCCAGCCTGATTTTTTTTTTTTTAAGCTTTGATGGACATTCTTGGTGAGAATTGATGTAGCACTTTTGTTCACCCAGCCGTGTGAAAATTCTGACTCTGCTGTGTATTTCCAACCTTGCAGGTTTTGGTTATCAGTCTGAACTTGAGCTGAGAGTGGCTGAAGCTGCCCGAAGACAATATAACAAGCTGAAGATGCAGACCAAGGCAGAAATCCGGCAAACTCTTGATCGTTTGCTAGTGGGTGATTTCATTGTAAGTGGGCATCCATAAACACTCTTTGGGGATTGGGGAAGGGGCAGGAATTCTTTCCGTCAAGTCACTACTTACTGTAGATAGGCTTACTTATATCAATTATGCTGACTGAGTAAACTGAAAATATTAAATCCTTATCAGCTAGCATAGAATAGAATCTTGTGTCTTTTATAGTCAGGGTTTAGCTAATAAAATGAATGACTGTGACTAGATTCTGTGTCTCCTTGCACCAGGATGAGGTTACTTTCAAGACTCATCTTTGTGCTGGGTGCTATGGCTCACACCTGTAATCCCAGCACTTTGGGAGGCTGAGGTGGGCAGATCACTTGAGGTCAGGAGTTCGAGACCAGCCTGGCCAACATGGTGAAACCCCATCTCTACTAAAAATACAAGAATTAGCTGGGCATGGTGGTGGGTCCCTGTAATCCCAGCTGCTCAGGAGGCGGAGGCAGGAGAATCACTTGAACCTGGGAGGCGGAGGTTGCAGTGAGTCGAGATTGCACCACTGCACTCCAGCCTGGGCAACAGAGTGAGACTGTCTCAAAAAGAAGAAGAAAAAAAAAAGACTCGTGTTTGTTCCATTTTCCAGACCTGATACTTTGTGCATGTTTCATGTGAGAGTTTCTCTTTTTTGCTTACTGTTACCAGAAGAGACAACTGGAATGATGCCCCAGCTTCTATTCTAGGGTGTGATGATTAGGTACTTTGTGATGCCAAATGGCCAGCTGCCATGAGGATGCCATAGATAGGGAGGGCCAAGAGACATCTTCACAGTCCAGTAGGTAGGCTGGGCAAGGTGGCCCATGCCTATAATCCTGGCACTGGGGGAAGCGGAGGTGGGATGATCGTTTGAGCTCAGGAGTTCGAGACCAGCCTGGGCAACATAGTGAGACCTTGTCTCTACAAAAAATAAAAAAATTAGCTGGGCCTGGTAGCACATACCTGTAGTCCCAGCTGTTCAGGAGGCTGAGGCGGGAGGATTGCTTGAGCCCAGGAATTGGAGGGTGCAGTGAGCTATGATCTGCCCTCTAGCCTGGGTGACAGAGTGAGACCTTGTCTCAAGAAATCAAAATAGTCCAGTAAAGCACAGTTTCTCAGGTGACATGGAGGTGCACTGCTACAATACAGCAGCAGGTGGCACAGTGAGAAAAAGTGTGGCTTCTTTTGGACAGTGCAGAGTAAGTTATAGGTGTCAGAGAAGCAGAAATGATCCAAGTAAAATGTGGTGTGTAGTATGGGATGGAGAATTAGTCCTGTTTTTTGTTTTGGTGTGTGTGTGTGTGTGTGTGTGTGTGTGTGTGTGTGTTTCTACATAAAGTATGACAATTAGTATTCTTGTAAACAAAAGAGGTTTCTTTTTGGTAATGTAAATTAGCTTTTGCCACATACATACAGTTGAGGCTGATTTTGGTTGGAGGGAAGAACAATGAACAAATCATGAATTGGTGTGTTATTTATATTTCAAATGTCAAAGCTTATGTTTCTCACTAAGATATTTTGGCATGGAAGTTCATGGTTACCAATGCCCCTGAATAAGTAAAAATGTTTAGAATTCTATGTTTATTTGAATTCTATAATTTCTATAATCCTTTAAAGTATTAAACCCTGTAAATTAGAAACAAAATCTTTCTTAAGTACAGACTCTCCCCTATTTAGTTATTTGCTATTTTTTTTCTCCCCTGTTCAGATACTTGTCTGTGGTAATTTCTCAGATCCTCAAGCATTTACATCTACTTTTGTCTTAGACTTTTTGCTGTAATACATTAGATCACTGAGTCACTCCATAATCCTAGCTGCAGCTTCCAGAAATGCTTGAGCACCATGGATAAAGCTGTTGGGTTTCGGCAGTTATGGTTAATGACTGTTTTATTTGTACAGGAGGAGAGTAAACGATGGACCGTGCGGCTGGATATTTCTGCCCCTCAGGTGATATTTCCTGATGATTTCAAATTCAAGAATCCTGTGTTAGTTGTCGTGGATCTAGGAAGAATGCTTTTGACGAACACCCAAGGTATAGTGTGAGTGGGAAATAATGAAAACCTGCCTTGGTAGATGGATGATCTATCTATGATTATCTAAGTAAAGCTTAATAAAATGTTTATGTAACATTTTTATATGTAACATTTTTAAACTTCAAGGTTCATCTGTAACTTTTTAAATAATGAAATAATGAAAACATATCTTGGTAGATCGACCTGTCTATGATTATCTAAGTAAAGCTTAATAAAATGTTTACATAACATTTTAAGACCTGAGGGTTCACTTGTTACTTTTAAAATAATAGCTTTATTGAGATAATTCTAAGTTTTAAATGTATAGTGCGGTTGTTTTTGGTATGTGGATAGAATTGTGCAGTTCTCACTGCTATTTAATATCGGGAGGACTTTTGCATCTTCCCCGACTGAAACTCTGTGTGTACCCATTAAACACCAATTCCCCTTCTCGCTCCCCATCCCCTGGCAACCACTAATCTTTCTGTCTCTGGATTTGTCTGTTCTGAACATTTCATATGATGGAATAATGCCATATGTGGCCTTTTTTGTCTGGCTTTTTCGTTTAGCATGACATTTTCAAGGTTATTCTGTGTTGTAATATATACCGATACTTCCTTCCTTCGTATAGCCGAATAATAGTCCATCGTGTGGCTGTTCCGCGTTTTGTTTATCCTTTCATTTGTTCATGGCCATTTGAGTTGCTTCCACTCTTTTGCTATTAGGCATATTGCTGCTGTGAGCATTCATGTACAGGTTTTTGTATAAACATATATTTTCTTTTTCTTTTAAATTTTTTTTCTTTTTTATAGACCCCCATTTCTGCAATGTAGACATATATTTTTAATTCTTTATTTACCTAGAAGTGGAGTTGCTGAGCCATGTGGTAACTCTATGTTTTAATATTTTGAGGAAGTACCAAATTGTTTTTGTTTGTTTTTTTGAGATGGAGTCTCACTCTGTCGCCCAGGCTGGAGTGTGGTGGCGCCATCTCAGGTCACTGCAACCTCTGCCTCCCAGGTTCAAGCAATTCTCCTGCCTCAGCCTCCTGAGTAGCTGGAATTACAGGTGCCCACCACTATGCCCAGCTAATTTTTGTATCTTTAGTAGGGATGGGGTTTCTCCACGTTGGCCAGTCTGGTCTCAACTCCTGGCCTCAGGTGATCCGCCCACCTTGGCCTCCCAAAGTGCTGGGATTATAGGCGTGAGCCACCGCACCTGGCCAATTTTTTGTATTTTTAGTAGAGACAGGGTTTCGCCATGTTGGCCAGGCTGGTTTTGAACTCCTAACCTCAAAGTGATCTACCTGTCTTGGCGACCCAAAGTGCTGGGATTACAGGTGTGAGCCACCACGCCCGGCCAATTTTTGTATTTTTAGTAGAGATGGGGTTTCGCCATGTTGGCCAGGCAGGTCTCGAACTCCTAACCTCAAGCAATCTGCCTGTCTTAGTCTCCCAAAGTGCTGGGATTGCAGGTGTGAGCCACGATGCCCAGCCCCAGTGGTGTATTTTTATAGTTGTCTTGGCGCACTGCTCAGCTGGAGAAAGAGGAGCTGATTGTGGACTCTGGGGCCACACAATTGCATATTGATCAGTTACCGCTCACCAAGCACTACCTCGGCACTAGGAAGACTGTGTTGACCAAGAAAGATGAGACCTCTCTTCTCTCAGAACATTCCAGTGGATGCTGGGCCGTGGTGGCTCATGCCTGTAATACCCAGCACTTTGGGAGGCTGAGGTGGGTGGATTACATGAGGTCAGGAGTTCGAGGCCAGCCTGGCCAACATGGTGAAACCCTGTCTCTATTAAAATACAAAAAATTGGCCAGGTGCGGTGGCTCACGCCTGTAATCCCAGCACTTAGGGAGGCTGAGGTGGGTGGATCACCTGAGGTCAGGAGTTCGAGACCAGTCTGGCCAACATGGTGAAACCCTGTGTCTACTAAAAGTACAAAAATTAGCCAGTCATGGTAGCAGGCACATGTAATCCCAGCTGTCCGGGAGGCTGAGGCAGGAGAATCTCTTGAACCTGGGAGGTGGAGGTTGTAGTGAGCCAAGATCATGCCACTGCACTCCAGCCTGGGTGACAGAATGAGACTCCATCTCAAAAATAAATAAAAATAAATAAATAAAAATGTAAAAAATACAAAAAATTAGCCGGGCATGGTGGTACATGCCTGTAATCCCAGCTGCTTGGGAGGCCGAGACAGTAGAATCGCTTAAACCTGAGAGGCAGAGGTTGCAGTGAACTGAGATCGTGCCATTGCACTCCAGCCTGGGTGACAGAGTGAGACTTCACCTGAAATAAAAGAACATTCCAGTGGGGGAAACAAATGAACACACAGAAAAAGGAAAAGAAATAAAAGACTCTAGAGAGGGACGTAAGAAAGGGTTGGTGAAAGCAGCTCACGCCCATGGCAAGGCAGGGGAGAAGTGGGGAGGCAGCATTGGGTCAGCAGGTGGCGCTCATGTCAGGGGGCCTCCAGCTTTTTTCGTGTCCATACTTTTTTATATTTGTGTTTTGATTTCCAAATTTATAGGTAAATTCACACTTAGAAAATGGTAAACAAAGATATTATGCTTAAGAGTTTTCCTCAGTTTTCTTAAACAAACTGGGGTTGGTTGATTCTCTACCTTTCATAATTATTACATTAAGGGAAAGAGGAGGGAAATAGCAGACATATATTTGAATCTTCTTTTTTTTATCTTCAGATAACTCCAGGAGGAAAAGTAGGGATGGGTCAGCATCTGAAGAGACCCAGTTTAGTGATGATGAATATAAGACCCCCCTGGCCACACCTCCTAACACCCCACCTCCCGAGTCAAGCAGCAGCAACGGAGAGAAAACACCTCCCTTTTCTGGAGTTGAGTTCAGTGAAGAACAGCTTCAAGCACATTTAATGAGCACAAAGATGTATGAGAGGTACTCGCTGTCATTTATGGACCTCCAGATCATGGTTGGACGAGTGAAAGACAATTGGAAGCATGTCCAGGATATTGACGTGGGACCAACACATGTGGTAGAGAAGTTCAACGTTCACCTACAGTTAGAGCGTCGATTGATTTATACTTCAGATCCCAAATATCCAGGAGCCGTGCTCTCAGGCAACTTACCAGACTTAAAAATCCACATTAATGAAGATAAAATATCTGCACTAAAGAATTGCTTTGCTCTCCTCACCACCCCAGAAATGAAAACTTCTGACACTCAGATTAAAGAAAAGATTTTTCCCCAGGAGGAGCAGCGGGGAAGTTTGCAAGACTCCGTAATGAATTTAACCCAGAGCATTGTGTTGTTGGAGCAGCATACCCGCGAGGTTCTGGTGGAGTCGCAGCTCCTCCTGGCGGAATTTAAAGTGAACTGTATGCAGCTTGGTGTTGAGAGCAATGGCCGGTACATTTCTGTGCTCAAGGTGTTTGGTACCAATGCTCACTTTGTGAAGAGGCCTTATGATGCTGAAGTCTCCCTAACTGTTCATGGTTTGCTCCTGGTGGATACCATGCAGACATATGGTGCTGATTTTGACCTTTTGATGGCTTCACATAAGAACTTGAGCTTTGATATTCCAACGGGAAGCCTTCGGGATAGCAGGGCCCAGTCTCCTGTCTCTGGACCGAATGTGGCCCACTTAACTGATGGAGCTACACTGAACGACCGATCAGCTACTAGTGTTTCACTTGACAAAATTCTTACCAAAGAGCAAGAGTCCCTTATTAAGTTGGAATATCAGTTTGTGAGTTCAGAGTGCCCATCGATGAATTTAGACAGTACTCTTCAGGTGATTTCCCTACAGGTGAATAATTTAGATATTATCCTCAATCCAGAGACGATTGTGGAGCTAATTGGTTTTCTTCAAAAATCCTTTCCCAAGGAAAAAGATGATTTAAGTCCTCAACCTTTAATGACTGATTTTGAAAGAAGCTTCAGAGAACAAGGAACTTACCAGTCTACATATGAACAAAACACTGAGGTTGCAGTGGAAATCCATAGGCTGAACTTACTGCTTCTTCGGACAGTGGGCATGGCAAATAGAGAGAAATATGGCAGAAAAATTGCAACTGCAAGTATAGGTGGCACCAAAGTTAATGTCTCAATGGGTAGCACGTTTGACATGAATGGTTCTCTTGGCTGTTTACAGCTTATGGATTTGACACAAGATAACGTTAAAAACCAGTATGTTGTCAGCATTGGGAATTCTGTAGGCTATGAAAATATCATCAGTGATATTGGCTACTTTGAATCTGTGTTTGTCAGAATGGAAGATGCAGCCCTCACTGAAGCTTTGAGTTTCACGTTTGTTGAGAGATCTAAACAGGAGTGTTTTCTCAACCTGAAGATGGCTTCTTTACATTATAACCACTCTGCTAAGTTTTTGAAGGAGTTGACGTTATCCATGGATGAACTGGAAGAAAATTTTCGAGGTATGCTGAAAAGCGCAGCCACCAAAGTCACCACAGTACTAGCTACCAAGACTGCCGAGTATAGCGAGATGGTATCGCTCTTTGAAACTCCAAGGAAGACTCGGGAACCCTTTATCTTAGAGGAAAATGAAATATATGGGTTTGACCTAGCTTCGTCTCATTTGGACACTGTAAAGCTAATCTTGAACATAAACATTGAATCACCAGTTGTTTCTATCCCTCGGAAGCCGGGGAGTCCTGAGTTGTTGGTGGGACACTTGGGACAGATATTCATCCAGAATTTTGTGGCGGGAGATGATGAATCCAGAAGTGACCGTCTGCAGGTGGAAATCAAGGACATTAAACTGTATTCTTTGAATTGCACCCAGTTGGCAGGTAGAGAAGCTGTTGGGTCTGAAGGAAGCCGGATGTTTTGCCCACCTTCCGGGTCTGGCAGTGCCAACAGTCAGGAGGAAGCTCATTTCACACGACATGATTTCTTTGAATCTTTGCATAGAGGTCAAGGTGAGGAGCATCAGTCTTTTGTTCTATTTTGTTTAATGATTGAAAACCCAGCTCACGGAGTCCTTTGCGTAAAACAGCAACAATAAAATCCTTTTCTTTTAGAATAATCCTCAGTTAATATTTAAGAAATCAAAGAGTTTTAATAGAATGCCTTGTAGTAGGTTGGCATGTTTTCACCCTTTTCCATTTAATGTCATATTTGACAAAACAGGAATTTACTTACTTTTATTTTTATTTTTTTGGTTTTTTGAGACGGAGTTTTGCTCTTGTTGCCCAGGCTGGAGTGCAATGATGCAGTCTCAGCTCACTGCAACCTCTACCTCCCAGGTTCAAGTGATTCTCCTGGCTCAGCCTCCCAAGTAGCTGGGATTACTTACAGGCACCCGCTACCACGCCCGGCTAATTTTTGTATTTTTAGTAGAGACAGGGTTTCACCATGTTGGCCAGGCTGGTCTCGAACTCGTGACCTCAGGTGATCTGCCTGCCTCGGCCTCCCAAAGTGTTGGGATTACAAGTGTGACCAGCCGCGCCCAGGCAGGAATTTATTTTTTTGAAGTGTTCCAGCTTGAAACTGTATGAGTGCTCATTTACAGAGATGCTTCAGTGGATGGATGTTGTTAAAGTATTGTTTAATTTGGTCAAATATATCTGATTTTCTGTTCCCAAGCTGTCGATCCTTCCTAGTTAAACATTTTAGCCCAAGATGCCTCAAGGGGTTGATGTAAATAGTTTGTGGATATTATCTTCTTTAATATTCTGCCATCTTCTTCTATAATGGGTTGGTCCAAGGTTCTAAGAATAAAAGCTTATGTTTGTATTCTGGATCTGATCAGCTAAAACCAAACAGTCCAATCTGTTGGTCTTGGCACGCAGAGATCAGGTAAGTCCTAGAGCACGCCTTTATTTATTGGTGATGAAATTAATGCCTTTGAGAACTTACCCTTCTGTGGTCATCAGATGTTAATTCACTGATTTGTTTTTATACTTATCAAAAGATAGCTTTCTCTGCTTGGATAAAAGTTGTTTACTTAGAACTTGTATTGTCCTAGATTCTGATTTAGGCCTAATAAGAGGGATACATCTGTATCTGAAAGCTAGGTAAGGATGAATAATTCGGTTTGGAAAATGCCAGCTTGGGTGGCTCAGAGAAGCATAATGTAGTCTCTGGACTGGAATAATGTTCACCACATCGTGCTTTGAAGCTACCAAGTGGAGCATGTGATGAAAATATTGTTTCTTTTTTTGTGTAAATGTATCTTGTACCTCAGCTTGCTATGAGTTTTGGCCTCAGGATAGCTGTCAAGGTTTGCTCTCAATCATAGACCCCGGGTGCCAGGCTAACCTGCCCTCCTGGTCTAAGTGTAACTCATGGGCTGTATTTTGTATATTCTACGTTTAATCAGCAGTAATGAAGTAAATATTAAGGTTTATGGTCTATCATTTCATCTCTTTTATGCCAGCTTTTCACATCCTGAACAACACCACCATTCAGTTTAAACTGGAGAAGATCCCTATAGAGAGAGAATCTGAATTGACTTTTTCTCTTAGCCCAGATGACCTGGGAACTTCTAGCATCATGAAGATTGAAGGAAAATTTGTCAATCCAGTTCAGGTAAATTCATGTCAGGGCAGTTGAAGTCATATGTTTATATTAGTACTCTATAAATATGATATATATTTATGTATATTACATGTTGGAAGGAATATATATTTTCAAAGATATATCACCCATGCATAATACCATTGTTGAAACCTTGTTCCAATAATTGTGGAATCCTTTTGTCATGGGGAATCCGTCTTGTCAGCCTTTTTCATATGGAGGAGGGGTGGGTTATCTAGAGGAAGACGGCAGATTCTTAATTCCATTGACATTCAGAAATGGGGAAATGATTGCTTACAAAGTCAGAGTCTCCTTTCCCAGGAGGATATCATTCTTGTCACACTTAGACATACTTAACACAGCCAGTGAAACATTGTGATCATCTGAGCTGTGGACAGATCCTTTCAACAGAGAATTAGTCCTGCCCTCTCTGAAATGAAATGGGCCAGGATAGGGATTTCTTTTTTTATGGGCATGCATGTATGTATACACCTTTTCTTTTTTTTCCTTCAAAAGTGTCATTTTCCCTGATTTCACAGGGACGAGAGCAAAGAGTAGTACATTATAAAACAGCAGTGACAGGCAGGC
Organism: Homo sapiens; assembly: GCF_000001405.40. NCBI lineage: Eukaryota > Metazoa > Chordata > Mammalia > Primates > Hominidae > Homo > Homo sapiens. Next base: position 12,280,227 of record NC_000001.11, read on the forward strand.
TCTTAGGACGGTCTGTGGTCTGTGTCTGGCACAACAGTAGTTGGTCTGTGTCTGGCAGCTGTTCTGGAGTAACCCAGGAGTGCTGTTGATGGAGTGGGCCTGCCTTTTGACATTTGTGGTTCCTCCCAGGGGTCTCTGGGACCCCTGAGAGAACTACTCCAAAGCTTTCCCTTCTCAGACTAAGCTTTTGCCCCATCAGTGGTAGCTACCAGGACAAATTTTTCACCTTAAATCTAGCATGTGATGTAAATTCTATTGGATTATGTTGACTTACTTTTTTTTTTTTTTTTTTGAGACGGAGTCTCAGGCTACAGTGCCAGTGGTGTGATCTTGGCTCATTGCAACCTCTGCCTCCCAGATTCAAGCAGTTCTGCTGCTTCAGCCTCCTGGGTAGCTGTGATTACAGGCATTCGCCACCACACTGGCTAATTTTTGTATTTTTAGTAGAGACGGGGTTTCACCACATTGGCCAGGCTGGTCTTGAACTCCTTGCTTCAAGTGATCCTCCTGCCTTGGCCCCCGAAAGTGCTGGGATTACAGGTGTGTGCCACCATGCCCGGCCTATGTTGACTTATTTTTATGGTTACCATTGACTTAACTGTTGTTTTGATGAAAATCTTAAAAACGTTATTGTAGATAATTCTTTCTTTAAAAATAATTAAGATAATTATTTGAATTCTTTAATAATTGATTAGTAATTAATTTAATAATTTAATTTTTTAAAAAGTTGATTATGAAAGAATGTAAGCCTATACAAAAGTGGAATAGTCTAATGAGCTTTATGTGCCCATCACTCTGATTCCACTTATGAAGATTTTGCCACATTTGTTTTATCTATTTTTTTTTTTTTTGGTGAAATATTTTAAGGTAAATCCCAGATGTCATGCCATTATCACCCCTATGTATTTAGAGTGTATTTCCAAAAACTAGGTGCTTCTTCTTACATAACCACAGTGGTATTTCATGCCTTACAAAATTAATGAGCATTCTTTGATACTATCTAGTCGATTTTCAGATTTCAGAAATATTTTGGATCATTTCAAAAATGTCTTTGTTTTGGGTTTGTTGGAATCAGGATACAGACAATTGGAAGCATTGCATTTGGGTGATACATTGTGTAGGTCTCTGTTCATCTAGTTTCCCTCTCTTTTTTGTCCCCCCATGTCGTATTTTGTTGTGGAACTAAGTCAGTTGTCCTGTGGAATGTCCCACTTTCTGGATTTGGCTGTTCGTGTGCCACTTAATTTGTTCTCCCACATATTTCCTGTAAAATCTATAGAACAGGTTTAGTTCTATAGGTTTGACTGGATTCGGGTTTCTTTTTTGGCAGGGGAGTTGGGAGGTAGACTTCAGGTAGGTGGTGCTGTATACTTCATATTACTTTATATCAGGAGGCACATAATCAGGTCTTTTTTCTCTCTTATTGATGTTAAAGTGGATAATTGTATTTAGGTGGCAAGAGCCTTGATTTCTCCATTGCAAAATTCCCTGTCAGTCATTCACATAATGGTTTATTCCACTAATGAACTTCGATGGCACACATTATTTAATTAGGGGTTACAAAATGGTCACTTTTTCTAATTCCATCATTATTTCTGTATCTATTGGTTGGAATTCTTCTGTTAAAAATTGCCCTTCATTAAATAAAAAACTTGCCTGAAAATTTTTTTTTTTTTTTTGAGACAGGGTCTCACTCTGTGGCCCAGGCTGGAGTGCAGTGGCATGATCTCAGCTCACTGTGTCCTGCACCTCCTGGGCTCAAGCGGTCCTCCCACCTCTGCCTCCCAAGTAGCTGGGACTACAGGCCTGTGCCACCACACTCTGCTAATTTTGTATTTTTTGTAGAGACAAGAGTTTCACCATGTAGCCCAAGCTGGTCTTGAACTCCTGGGCTCACACAGTCTGCCTGCCTCGGCCTCTCAAAGGGCTGGGATTACAGACGTGAGCCACTGTGCCTGGCTGAAAATATTTTTAATAAGAAATTGTAATTAAAAATGAAGCAAAGGAGAAAGGAAACATAACTAATCATGGATCATCATCATTTTTATCTAAAAAGTACTACCAGTACTAAACATTGGCTGTTACTCTAACTGGTGATGATCAGCCAGTTTTAGAACCATGAACCTTGTTTCTCAATCCTGTGGTGTATCCACGCCAGACTTTTGTCAACACTCTTCAGTTTCTGCATTCATTTTTGTGGGGTCAGAAAAAGTGACTTTGTTGATTCAGGCATAATCCGCAGTACTTATTGAACTCTTATTGTATGTAGATTATTGTGTAGGGTGCTGAGGGAGGGCCTTGTGAACAGAAGTGGGTCATAAAGAGGTAAGGACAAAATAAATGAAAAGAGATAGTCTTTGCTATCAGGTAACTTACAGCCTCATGTAGGAATCATGTGGCAACTGTAGACATTTATGGGCATTACATCTACGTGCATTTAATAATAAGAGTAACTGAATTTTTCTCTTTTCAATACAGGTGGTGTTAGCAAAGCATGTATATGAGCAGGTTTTACAAACCCTGGACAATCTCGTGTACAGTGAAGATCTGAATAAGTATCCAGCCAGTGCTACCTCCTCCCCTTGCCCTGATTCTCCTCTGCCTCCCCTCAGTACCTGTGGAGAATCTTCTGTTGAAAGGAAGGAGAATGGATTGTTCAGCCACTCCAGCCTTTCTAACACCTCTCAGAAGTCATTGTCAGTGAAGGAAGTCAAATCCTTTACTCAGATTCAAGCCACCTTTTGTATATCAGAGCTTCAGGTTCAGCTAAGTGGAGATCTGACTTTGGGGGCCCAAGGTCTTGTGAGCTTAAAGTTTCAGGACTTTGAGGTGGAATTCAGTAAAGACCATCCCCAGACTTTATCTATTCAGATTGCCCTGCATTCTCTGCTGATGGAGGACTTATTGGAGAAGAATCCAGATTCTAAATATAAGAACCTGATGGTGTCTCGAGGAGCCCCTAAGCCATCTAGTTTAGCACAAAAAGAATACCTTTCTCAGTCTTGCCCCTCAGTGTCCAATGTGGAATATCCTGATATGCCTCGGTCTCTCCCTTCCCACATGGAAGAAGCTCCTAATGTCTTCCAGTTGTATCAAAGGCCCACCTCTGCGTCCCGGAAAAAGCAAAAGGAAGTCCAAGACAAGGACTATCCCTTGACCCCACCTCCTTCTCCAACAGTGGATGAGCCCAAGATACTTGTTGGAAAGAGTAAATTTGATGATTCCTTAGTCCACATCAACATATTCTTGGTAGATAAGAAACATCCAGAATTCTCTTCCAGTTACAATCGAGTTAACCGGAGCATTGATGTTGATTTTAATTGCTTGGATGTGCTGATCACACTGCAAACCTGGGTTGTGATATTAGACTTTTTTGGAATCGGCTCCACTGCAGACAACCACGCAATGAGGCTGCCTCCTGAGGGCATTCTGCACAACGTGAAGTTGGAGCCACATGCCTCCATGGAGTCTGGACTTCAGGATCCAGTGAACACCAAACTGGATCTCAAGGTATCCTCAGTTCCCTTTGGCTCCCTTAAGCTCTAAAAATGGATTTGGGCTTGTTGATTTAAATACAAGCACTTTACATTTACTTTGGAAAATATCTCTTGTTGGCAGGGGAGCTATCTAGTCTTCTAGGTGTTTGCTACGAAAGGTAGACATGAATATTTTGGGAAAGGTTTTACTGTAAATCCCATCTGGAGGCAGGGAAAATAAGTGGTTTAAGAATCTTACCTTTCCTTTGAGCTCTATAATTCAGTGGAGTTACTTTGCTTCTCTGAACCGTAGTTTCCTCATCTTCCATCATCTAAGATGACTAAATGAGGTGATGTGTGGAAGGCACCTAGCAAAGTGTGTAATCTGTAATAGCAACTTTAAAGTGTGGCTTTTGTTTCTGTCTCCCCATTCTCTCAGAACATTATTTGCTTGCATTGAGGGCAACAGCGTAACTGTTAAGAATGGTCTCAAAAGTTGGACTCCGTGAGTTTGAGTCCTGGTACTTTCACTGTACCCATATAGCTATGTGACCTGGGGCAAACCACTTGGCCTCTTTTGCCCTTAATGTTTTCATGAGTAAACTGAGGATGTTCAGTGGTGCCCCCATCATAGGGTTGTTGTAAGGCCCTCCACACAGTGTGTGGCACACAATAAGGATTTAATGAATGGTAGCCATTATTATTTTTATATTACATGGATTACCATACTTATAACTTGTCCTTGATACTCATACTGTAAGTATTAAGAAAAAAACCATAAAAAAGACAGCATTTGAGTTTAAGGCTATTCTGCTCTGTGTGATAGACCAGTAGGATGTGAAAGCAGTTAACCTGAATAGCCCATTCGAGGGCACATAGGCCTGCTGTCACTAGCACTCGTCCAGAGCCCTGGAACCCCGGCCGTGGCTGGTAACATTTGTGTGCCTCAAGGATGTTCTTTATCCACATGTCTTAGCATGTGTGGACTTGCACTTCCTGCTGGGGAGAAGTCAGGGAGGAGAATCACATTTTATCCTGTTGCCATTTTCTTATTTCCCTTGCTGATAGTAGGCCTCATTCCTCTAGAAATGGAAGACATCTCAGGGTAGAGATGGGAAAGGACCAGCTTACCTTTCTTGTTCAGTGTCTGGTGAATGAATGACTTTGCAGTACTCCGAGGCCTCTGGTACTTTTGGTTTAGCAAGGTGGATGGAACCTGGAGAGGCGTTAGCCATTCCTTTGGGCTTCATGTGTCTGTACCTGGAACTTTATTCTTGCAGTGTCTGTGATGATCTGCGTCAGGAACTCTTTGGTGTTGAATATGCAGTGCTCCCAGAGGGCTTTGCCTTGATTGATGTGGCTGGTTCTACAAGGGAATAGGACTGGATAAGTGTTCCTCAACAATGCATTTTTTAAAATAAGAATTTTTGACAAACATTTTTATTGTGAAAAAATTCAGATACATCACAGAGAAACAGTATAATGAACCCCCATTTGCCCAGTCCTATAATTCATCACATTTACTTTATGCCTTTTCTTCTTTGCTGAAGTATTTTATTTTATGTATTTATTTATTTATTTATTTATTTATTTATTTTTTTTTTTTGAGACGGAGTCTCGCTCTGTCGCCCAGGCTGGAGTGCAGTGGCGGGATCTTGGCTCACTGCAACCTCTGCCTCCTGGGTTCAAGCAATTCTCCTGCCTCAGTCTCCTGAGTAGCTGGGATTACAGGTGCGCGCCGCCATGCCCATCTAATTTTGTAGTTTTAGTAGAGATGGAGTTTAATCATGTTGGTCAGGCTGGTCTCAAACTCCTGACCTCAAGTGGTCTGCCTGCCTCAGTCTCCCAAAGTGCTGGGATTACAGGAGTGAGCCACTGCGCGTTGCCTGCTGAAGTATTTTAAAGCAAATTCCAGATATATCATTTCACTCTACATACGTCAGTATTTATTTCTAAAAAAACAATGGACATACCACAATGCATTGTCACGTCCAACTAACAAGAATTCCTTGGTATTTTCTAACACCAGTCCATAATCAGATTCTCTGATTGTCTCAAAAATGCCCTTTTATTGGTGGATTGTAGAGGAATGAATGGTTTAAGAAACTTCTTGTCTTTCTATTCTGTTGGTCTCTATAATTCAGTAGAATACTGTGCTTTTGTAAGCCAAAGTTTTCTCATTTACAAAATAAGGAGAATTAAATAAAATGATGCATGAATTTCTTTCTTCCTTTCCTTTCCTTTCCTTTCCTTTCCTTTCCTTTCCTTTCCTTTCCTTTCCTTTCCTTTCCTCTCCTCTCCTCTCCTCTCCTCTCCTCTCCTCCTCTCCCCTCCCCTCCCTTCCCTTCCTTTCCTTTCCTTCCCTTTCCTTCCTTTCCTTTCTTTCCTTCTTTTCGAAGGAGTCTTGCTCTGTTGCCCAGGCTGGAGTGCAATGGCATGATCTTGGCTCACTGCAGCCTCTGCCTCCTGGGTTCGAGCTATTCTCCTGCCTCAGTCCCTCGAGTAGCTGGGACTACAGATGTGTGCCACCACACCCTGCTAATCTTTGTGTTTTTAGTTGAGATGGGGTTTCACCATGTTGCCCAGGCTGGTCTCAAACTCCTGGCCTCAAGTGATCGGCCTGCCTTGGCCTCCCAAAGTGCTGGGATTACAGGCATGAGCCACTGTGCCCAGCCTGATGCATGAATATTTTTGAATCAGGATCCAGGTAAGGTTCCATGTTACATTTGCTGTCATGTCTTTTAAATCTCTTTTAATTATAGTGTATCTGCCCCCCTCCAACCCCACCGCCTATTGACTTGTTACAGAAACTGGATTAGTGCCTTGTAGAGTGTCCCACATTTTAGGTTTGTCTGTTTTCTTGTTTGACTGTTTGACTTCTTTTATCCTCTATTTTAACAAGTGGATGTTAGCTCTAGAGACCCCATCAGATTCAGTTCAGCTTGGTAAGAACATGCCAGAGGGGCTGCTGAGTGCTTCCTGTTGCATTGAGGCAGGAGGCATACAACGTCTGATCATCATCTGTTAGTGACACTAAGATTCGTGGGAAGAGCTGGTTCAAGTGGTGGTGGTGGTGGTTGGATTCCTCCAAACAAAGCATTTTTAGACCCAGTGTACATGTTCTTTTGGTAAAATTAAATGACTAGAGGTTTTCATTATTTTTATTTTATCTTTTTGAGACAGGGTCTTGCCCTATCACCCAGGCTGTAGTGCAGTGGTGCGATCTTGGCCCACTGCAACCTCTACCTCCTGGGTTCAAGCCATTCTTGTGCTTCTGCCTTCCAAATAGCTGGAATTACAGACACCTGCCACCATGCCCAGCTAGTTTTTCTGTTTTTAGTAGAGACGGGGTTTCATCATGTTGGCCAGGCTGGTCTTGAACTCCTGACCTCAAGTGATCATCCTGCCTCTGCCTCCCAAAGTGCTGGGATTACAGGTGTGAGCCACTGCATCCAGCTGACTAGAGGTTTTTAATTTCCCCATGATGATCTCGCCTTGAGATTCCTTCTGTGCCTGGGTCAGTGTCAGAAATCATACTGCAAGGGAACTGGAGTTCCCCCCACAAAGTCATTGCTCCAGCTATAGTAACCCATTGCTTTTTCTCTGTCTTCTTCTGTAAATGATTTTTTTTCTTCCTTTCCTTCTATTACATTCCTTTTTTCTTTTCCCATCTTTTTATCCTCCTGATTATTCATGCACCAGACATTTCTTGAGTACCTACTTTGTGGCAGGCACTGAAGACAAAGGGGTGAAGGCATGGTCCTTGCTGTTAAGGAGTGGAGGGTGTGAATTGAAGATTAAATCTGCTCTCAGTCTTTTCCTCACTCCTTCCTTCTCTTCCATCAGTGTTTTGTCCCCTGTGATGTTACTCAAAGCAAAAAAGGTTGTTGGGAACTGACTCAACAAATCCTAGACATATAAGATCTTTTTAATAGTTACAATTACAATATTGCATTATGAAATTTATTTGTTACAAAGAATGCTACTTCCAAGACAGGGGATTTTTTCTTCTATTTGTAGTTGTCCCTAGGAAAGAAAATCTTTGATTATGGCTTTTAGGTGAAGTCTCAGTTGGTTAATGGTGGGCTTCTATTAAATATTTGTTCAGAGGCAGTAAATGGGATTCTAAATCATATTTATCATTTTGTTTTGAAAAATTTATCAAAATGAGATTTAATGGATCTGTTTGAGTTACTATAGAATTGTATAATATTAATGATGAATGCCAAAATGAGAAAAATTATTTTTATAATGTAAAGCATCTCATGAACAGAAAATAGACAAGGCAAGCATAGAGAAGGCACCACAGAAACTGAAATTTAGACTGTCCAGTCTCCGCCCTGTCCTCAGGTCGTGGTTTCTCTGGCTTAAGAAAGCTGAAGTGAAATTGGCATTGTTAAAAGCATTACCTTCAAGTTTCCCAAGCCTTTTTGCATTTTCCTTGATTGCTCTGCCGTTTTCCTGAAAGATACCTTTTCTCCCCAGTAATATTGGCCTTGCTTTATCTTGTCTGTTCCTAGGTTCATTCACTTTCTCTAGTGCTGAATAAGACCACCAGTGAGCTTGCCAAAGCAAATGTGTCCAAATTAGTAGCACACCTGGAAATGATTGGTAAGTGGTGGGGGGTGGAGGGAAGCAAACTTGCAAAATCTGGTCAGCATTTGAACATTGTGATCACAAATTGATTGTCCTCACGTGCTGAGTAAGGTGTGGCAGTGGCTTGATTGTGGTTATTAGTCTGGCCAGGATTCATGGTGGTGGTTCCCAAATGCTGGCTTATGGATCAGAATCATCTGGATAGCTTGTTAAAAGTGCAGGTGTTGGCACAGCCTCTTCCCTCCTCCTGTCTCTCATCTCCTTCCCAAGAATCTGATTAAGTTGAGATGGAGCCCTGGTGTCTATCTGTGTTTTCAACAGACTCTATCTAGGGTGCCCATATAACTTTTTTTTGGTTCAAATTGGGATATTTTTGAGAGTTAAAGGGGACATCATTAATATAATTACCCCTAGAAAACGGGCATACAACAGGGCTGTCTCTGGGAAACCAGAGGATATGACTGCATCTAGAGTCATAAATTGGGGGAGCTACCAGTAGAGGCCATGGTGTTATGCAGGAGGACATTGTAGCAAAGCTGGCATTCTTTATTCTGTGTTTTTGAGACAGGATCTCGCTTGGTTGCCCAGGCTAGAGTGCAGTGGTGCAGTCTTGGCTCACTGCAGCCTCTGCCTCCTGGATTCAAGCGATTCTTTTGCCTCAGCCTTCCAGATAGCTGGAATTACAGGTGCATGCCACCATGCCCAACTAATTTTTGTATTTTTGGTAGAGACAGTGTTTCACTGTGTTGGCCAGGCTATTCTCGAACTCCTGACCTCAAGTCATCCTCCTGCCTCTGCCTCCCAAAGTGCTGGGATTACAGGTGTGAGCCACAGCACCTGGCCAGCATTCTCTCTAATGGGACTTTGTAAGTTAAAATTCTTAGTTGAATACAAGTGATCAACTACATCAGGTTCTAAATAGTAGGATTTTAAAAAAATAATATTTTAACTTATTTTTTTAAACTATAGAGACAGGGTTTCGCCATGTTGGCCAGACTGGTTTCAAACTCCTGGACTCAAACCATCCATCCACTTTGGCCTCCCAAAGTGCTGGGATTACAGGCGTGAGCCACCGTACCCAGCCTTTAGTAGAGATTTATGAAATGTGAAGTAAAACATTTTTCCTTTCCTAATTATCAAAGATTACAAAGCTCATGTTGATGCTGTAGTAAAAACAAGAATGTCTTTTGGGGAAGGAATGAACTGAGGCTGAGGTTTCATGCCTTGTGCAATTATTTTAGAAAAGCTTCTTAGAGGAGATTGGCTTTTTTTTTTTTTTCCTTCTTACAGCGTATTCCTGTTAATGGCCTTTAAGATTGGTAAAAGCTTGGTTATTTTTGTTAGAAGACATTAGGTATCTAAAATAAGTATGTGGCTGGGCACGGTGGCTCACGCCTGTAATCCTAGCACTTTGGGAGGCTGAGGTCAGGAGTTTGAGACAAGCCTGGGCAACATAGTGAGACCTCATCTCTACAAAAATAGTAAAAATTAACCAGTTGTGATGGCCAGTGCCTGTAGTCCCAGCGACTCAGGAGGCTGAGGTGGTTGGATTGCTTGAGCCTGGAAGGTCAAGGCTGCAGTGAGCCATGATTGTGCCACTGCACTGTAGCCTGGGCGACAGAGTGAGACCCTGTCTCAAAAAATAAAAAAAAAAATTGTGTTTTCAATTCATTGGGAGCTGAACTAGCATGCCAAATATACCTTAGTAATTGTTTTATCACGATAATTATGATAATAAATTTTGTTTTACAGAGGCAACGGTTCAGAATATTCCTTTTTAGTATCCATACAGTGTTAATAATGACTCATTATAGATTCACATTCTAGTCGTACATGTTTCAGTCACGTCTTCTTTCTTCTTTCCACCTTCCAGAAACTTCACTCATATATCAGAGTAGTTTCAAATCTGTGTCTCCAGTGCCTATCTACCTCATTAATTTTGGTCTTTCATTAAATCATACTAAAACATGCTTAATGTTGCTTGAATACCTAACATGTTTCTGACACGTCCTCCTTTATTCTTTTATCCAGAGTATAATTAATAGACCTAATGATGTTTATTTCTAGTTAGTGGTCTCATCTCAGAAAGCATCAAGTTTCTGTCTGTATTTATAAAGGTTTTATCCTTTAAATATGTAATGTTGCCGGGCGCGGTGGCTCACACCTGTAATCCTAGCATTTTGGGAGGCCAAGGCGGGCGGATCATGAGGTCAGGAGATCGAGACCATCCTGGCTAACACGGTGAAACCCCGTCTCTACTAAAAATACAGAAAATTAGTCAGGCATGGTGGTGGGCACCTGTAGTCCCAGCTACTCGGCGGGGCTGAGGCAGGAGAATGGCGTGAACCCGGGAGGCAGAACTTGCAGTGACCCCAGATCGCGCCACTGTACTCCAGCCTGGGCGACAGAGCTAGACTCTGTCTAAAAAAAAAAAAAAAATGTAATGTTGCTGTATTATTTCAGTCCCCTTTGGACTTCTGCATTGAGACTTTTTTTTTCCTTTTTTGCATTGAGACTTTGTTTTAAATATTGCATAAAATATTTTTTGGGGTATATTGGAATATGAAAATTTGCTTTTGAGGTTTGATTACAAAGTGAAAAGTCTGAGGCATGTGTATACCAGCTTTTGTTCCAGACATATTTAAGTTGTGTGACAAAAAAGGATACATAGTAATGTGTTCTAACTTTATCATCCCTAGAGGGAGACCTGGCCTTACAGGGCAGCATTGGGAGTCTGTCTCTAAGTGACCTCACATGCCATGGAGAGTTCTACAGAGAACGGTTCACTACCAGTGGTGAAGAAGCACTCATCTTCCAGACTTTTAAGTAAAAATGTCAATCTTTTTCTGACTTGATATTTTATCATAATACTTGCTGTTTCAGATTCTTGTTGGCTAGACAATAAAGAAAACTTTTAAAAATTTTTACCTTCTTAGAGGTGAAATTGAGAAGTTATGGTTATGAGGAGTTCTTCCTGACTTTAAATTTCATTAAAATGGATCTGTGTTGAAGTGGGCTACTTAAAGCTTCATAAACAGATGGGGTATGAGTTAGGTGCGGTGGGTCATGCCTGTAATCTAAGCTCTTTGGGAGGCCAAGGCAGATGGATTGCTTAAAGCCAGGAGTTCGAGACCACCCTTGGCAACATAGACACTGTCTCTATAGAAGAAAAAAGCCGTCTGTGTGTGGTGGTATGCAACTGTAGTTCTAGCTACTTGAGAGGCTGAGGTGGGAGGATCCCTTAATCCCAGGAGTTGGAGGCTGCAGTGAGCCATGACTGTGCTACTGCACTCCAGCCTGGGTGATGGAGGGGGGCCTTGTCTCAACACACACACGCACACCCACCCCAGATAGGGTATGATTGAATATTTCTGATTATTAAAAGCCCTGGGCTCTCTTGCTGGTTTTCCACGAACTTGGTGTATGTCCTGAGACAAGTCATGCAGTCTTCGTGCATCAGTTTTTCTATATATTAAGGGGACTGAATCATTAGAACATTTCTGAGCTTCCATGTAGCTCTAAAAGTTCTGGAATGATTTCAGCCTCAGAAGGTTGTTGAGGTTATGAGTTCATTATGCATTTTTGTTTATAAACATGATCTATATTGAATTGTTTCTATGTTAGATTTTAGAAAGGGATCTTCAGGCATGGCTGGTTATTAAAGAATTATTTTCTCAGGGCTGGGCGTGGTGGCTCACGCCTGTAATCCCAGCACTCTGGGAGGCTGAGGGAGGCAGATCACCTGAGGTCAGGAGTTTGAGACCAGCCTGGCCAACATGATGAAACCCCATCTCTACCAAAAATATAAAAATTAGCGGGGTGTGGTGGCAGGTACCTGTAATCCCAGCTAGTCGGGAGGCTGAGGCAGGAGAATAGCTTGAACCTGGGGGACGGAGGTTGCAGTGAGCCGGGATTGTGCCACTGCACCACTCCAGCCTGGGTGACAAGAGCGAAACTCCATCTCAAAAAAAAAAAAAAAAAAAAAAAAGCTTTTCTCAGAAAATAGGGAGTATAAAATGGTGGTTTTCAACCCTTTTTTTTTTCTTTTTTTTAATCTAAGAGGTATTAGAAAATATAGATGTCCAGGTCTGCCTCTACATATTCTGATTTAATTGGTCTAGGGCCATGCTCAGTCTCTTTTTTTTTTTTTTTTTTTTTTGAGACGAGGTCTCGCTCTGTCACCCAGACTGGAGTGCAGTAGTGTGATCTCAGCTCATTGCAACCTCTACCTCCCAGGCTCAAGCAATTCTTCCACCTCAGCCTTCTGTGTAGCTGGGACCACAGGCATGCACCATCACACCCGGCTAATTTTTTGTATTTTTGGGAGATAGGGTTTCACCATGTTGCCCAGGCTGGTCTCAAACTCCTGAACTCAGGCAGTCTACCGGCCTCGGCCTCCCAAAGTGTTGGGATTACAGGCGTGAGCCACCGTGCCTGGCCAGTGTGTGTGTTTTTTTTAAAATGCTGATGTTCAACCAAGGTTGAGAAAAACTGTTTCAAGAAGATATCTGAGGGCTTTTTCATTTTTAGGGGGTTATATGGTACCCTGCTGAGAATGGATTTGTTTGTGTTCTATACCTTGGTGTCATGAAGTCCGATAATTAATGTAAAATTCTCAATTTCCCGCCTAGCCCAAAATAAGTACTCAGCAATGTTGGTTGACTGTGTCCTATTTAATAATATTTTTATGGCACCATGCTCCATTAAACTCAGAACAATTTGTAGAAGTCTTCTAATTTATCTTCGACTATAGATTCCAGAACTCTTTGACTTACATTTGACTAAGTAAAAAGATGTCTTTCTGCCTCTAGAAGACAGTTTTTCCTAGAAACATTGATTCTGATGCCTAATTTTCTTTACCCATTAATTCATGGACTTATTTTTATTGTTTTTCACACATCCTCACAATCTTTGCCAGGAACATGGTGAGCAGGAATACTTACCTTTCAGGGCAGGGAGAAAGGTCAGAGCCTCAGGTGGCCTCTGAGTGACCTCAGTGCTAGAGCTGTCCACCTGTTTATACTCCTGGCTATCACACCTTTATCCCATCACAGAAGCTTACAAAAGGAGTAATTATTAGAGTTTGCTTTGTAAAGCCTAATTTTGGATTTCCATTTAATAATTAAAGCTGGTTTTAGGGAAGCCCCTAAACCAACCTGAGTTTTCTTGAAATACTAACTTGTGTCTTGCTGTTATCTGAGTCACACTTTTATCCTAATTTTTAGATACGGACGGCCTGACCCTCTGCTCCGGAGAGAACACGACATTCGCGTGAGCCTCCGGATGGCCTCTGTGCAGTATGTGCATACTCAGCGTTTCCAGGCAGAGGTGGTGGCCTTCATTCAGCATTTCACTCAGCTGCAGGATGTCTTAGGGCGCCAGCGAGCTGCTATTGAGGGGCAGACGGTAGGTAGCCTGGGCCCTCCAAGCTGCTTTTCCAGTTTGACTGATCAGTAGAACTTTTAGGCCTCTAGAGATGAATCTGGAAGAGTAAAGGTAAGTTATCCTTGCTAATATGTTCTCCGTGTAGATTAGCTACAGACATCTTTGTGTAATTGAAGAGCTTTGTTCCTTATTTATTGTATCTCACTTAAATTACCTTCAAACTTTAGCTTTCACTTTCTGTAAAAAAAGATAAGGGAGGTTTACAAAGAACACTTAAGACTTCTGGTCCCTTTTAGGACTTCAGTGGGGATGTTTCTCTTGGAAAGTGGTAGGTTTTTTCTAAATGCAGTAGATCAGAAGTTCTAAACTGAGTTCGTGGCCCCCGTGGGGTCCTGGTAGTTTATTCATGGCACATCCTAGGCCAAAGGAAACACCTAATGGTATTTCCGTTTACAAAGTAAGTCAGTCTAAACAACAAGTACATATGTCCTAACAACTTAGTAGGTGTTTGAAAAAATAATAACACATAAATGGAAAGAATAATATTTTATTTAATTCTTAAGTAACCACAATGACTGGTAGGAGGTATGTGCCTGTTAGGTATTGCATAACTTCTCAAACTTGGAATCAGGTTGGACATTACAACCCTCACTTCCTGTCCACATTTATCTTCTTATGGTACTTGCTTTTTCTCACAGCAACCGCTGAAGACCCAGCTTCGCAAAGATAATACCTTACTGAAAGGAGTATAGAATGATCTATTATTGAATGCCAACTACCACAAGCTACTAGTTAGTGCAGTGTCTGGCAGATGTTGTTTTTCCTTCAAAAATTTAAAATGTCCTGGCAGCCGGGTGTGGTGGCTCACGCCTGTAAATCCTAGCACTTTGGGAGGCCGAGGCGGGCAGATCACGAGGTCCAGAGATCGAGACCATCCTGGCCAACATGACGAAACCCCGTCTTTACTAAAATACAAAAATTAGCTGGGCATGGTGGCACGTGCCTGTAGTCCCAGCTATTCGGGAGGCTAAGGCAGGAGAATCGCTTGAACCTGGGAGGCGGAGGTTGGAGTGAGCCGAGGTGGCGCCACTGCACTCCAGTCTGGCGACAGAGCGAGACTCCGTCTCAAAAAAAAAAGTCCTGACAGCTGCAAGCCTTTGCCACCCTGTGGTGTCTCAGTGCAGTTTGGGAACCATAGAAAATAACAATGTACTTTTGTAACAACGTGTTATTTTTCCTTTTTTAAAAAAACTTTATGGCCAGGCGTGGTGGCTCACACCTGTAATCCCAGCACTTTGGGGGGCGAGGCGGGCAAATCACTTGAGCTCAGGAATTCGTGACCAGCCTGGGCAACATGGTGGAATTCTGTCTCTACAAGAAATACAGAAATTAGCCGGGTGTGGTGAGGCATGTGTCTGTAGTCCCAGGTACTTGGGAGGCTGAGGTGGGAGGATGGCTTGAGCCCAGGAGGTGGAGGTTGCAGTGAGCTGAGATCATGCCACCTGCACTTCAGCCTTGGTGACAGAGCCACCATGACTCAAAAAAAAAAAAAAAAAACAAAACTTTATTAGGTAAAAGATTATAATTTAATAAATAGATACTTTATAGTGGCAGCATTTTTAAAAATTACATTTTAATTTAAATAAAAAATGTTTGACTTGGTAGATATTGATTTGGTACAGTAGCAAAGTGAAAAAGGGCATTTGGAGAAAAGTCTCCTCAATTATTTTTCTCCAACTGTCTAGTTTCTCTCTCTGGAAGCAACGAGTGCTGTCGGTTTCCTGTGTATCTTCCAGAGAATGTATTTTTAAAAAATATACAAGTAGCATAATCAAATGATAGAAAATCTGGAAAAAAGAATCATACTAGTATCTCTGCACTATAGCATGTTTTAATTTGTTTCTGTTGTTTTCTATACATTTTTCTCTGAATTTGCTCATGGAATATATAACCTTTTTTTCTTTCTTTAACAACTCAAAAAAAATTTAGCGTTTTACACCTATAAAAGATTATCTGTAGCATGTATATATGTCACAGAGTATCATAATAAGATGAACATCTGTGAACCCACCTCTAACTAAAAATTAAAGCATCAGGAAGACAGCTGCCTGCATATGCTGTGTTCCTTCCCTATTCCGTTCCCCTGTCAACTCCTCGTGGAACCACTCTGGTGATTTTTGGGTCTATAAGATCCTTTAAAATTAAAAAGAAAAAATTTCTAAACGGTATCTTTTGCTTTGCTTGTGATCTTTATAAAAATGGTATTAAACCGTATTTAATGTTCCTTGACTTGCTTTTCCCCCCATTTAGTGTGTTGATAAGATTCATTCATATTGTTACATACGATAGCATTTATTTTTACCATTGCATTTCATTCTGTGTATAAATGATTTATCCATTTTCCTTTGGAACACTTGGGCTGTTTACAGTGTTTAGCTCTTATGTACTGTGAGTCCTGATGCACATACTTGAGACTTTCTCTGATCTCTGAGATACCTGGCAGTGGAATTACTGAGCCATAGGGTGTGCGCACATTTCTCTTCACTAGATAAAGCCAGATCGTTTTCCAAAACAGCTGTCTCAATGATAGTCTCCCATCAGCAGTGTATAATAATTTCTTTTAATTCATATCTTTGCCAACACTCTTATTGTCAGACTTTTTATTTGATATAAAATGATATTACATTTATGGTCTGCATATGCTTTTATAAAATAATTTAGATTGAGAAATAGCATACAGTGTATCAAGTATGTAAAACACTGTAATTTTATACATGCACTTTTAGAATCCAGCTATTTTTCCTAGCCTTTTTTAGAATCTTTTTCCATCTTGCTTTGCATTTTTCATAGATATCCTATGTAGCAACTATATAATCTATTAGTTTAACCATTTTCCTATTTTTAACATTTAAATTGCTTTCAGCTTTTCATTCTTATGACTAATGCTTCCATGAATATCTTTACAGAAGTGAAGTTTTTTTTTCACTTTTTGAATTATGTTTACAGTATTGATTCCTACAAATGGTACTGTTTTATCAAAGTTATGAACATTTTTGTGACTTTCAGTATGACTCTGCTAAATGTTTTCTGTTAGAATTGTTGTGTGCATTTAAAACAGTTATTTTTACATGTGTGGTTGAAACAGTGGTAAGTCTTATGGTGGTGAATCATTTGGGTTAGGAAACGAGATACTTGTATATTACTGAGTAATTGGGTTTAACTTCCTGGGTTAAGCAGAGTTGAACAATAAGTCTCAAGTTTTGCTTTATCAAATTATATAAGACAAGTAGGAGGTTAAAGGAATGTCTTTCTATTTTGAACATTGTTCAATATGTAGGCTTTGAAGAGAAGCTGATCTTCTCAAGAATCTTTAATTCTAGCTGTTTGAATTAGGTTTATATAGAGCTAAGATCTACTTTTATTTGTCGATAAGATTAAGAGGCTATTTTGTTTGAAATTTAAATTTCTTTCACCTTGTATTGGTGACACGTGTTTTTGACATGTAGCTGGGTTTTTATTCCTACATTTTCTGAGGTCTGTAAATAATGATTCAGTGGAACTTTGAATTTCTTTGTATTCTTAATGTTTGAAATTTTAAGAGTATCAGTTATACCAGATGTGTTTGGCCAAATATAAATTATTTCCCATATATTTTACCCCAGAAGTATGATGCAGTTTTTCTATGCCTTCCACTTTACATGTAACCTCTTATATTTGTTACACTTCTTCATTCACCTAGCAACTGGTATAGTAAAGTAATGCTGTGCGTTAGAAATCTTGGGACAAATATCTTGAGTGGGTTTTGCTTCCATTAGCTATGTGACCATCAGGGAGTTATTTTTCTTACTATTCTTCCCTTGACTCAGTTATAGTAGGAATACGGAGATAGCAGAATTAAGTAGCCTGTACTTTTGGCAATAATTATTTATATTAATGATGCTTTGGAGTTTTCAAAGTGCTTTCCTACACATTATCTCATTTGATCCTTATAACAACCCTGTTTGTTCATTTCTTCAGTAATTTAGGAATGAGTGTGTCATGCAGCTTGCCAGGTGCTAGGAACAGAGTGGAAAACAAGAAAGACAAGGTCATTGCCTTCATGGAGTTTATATTTCAGTGGGAGGATATAATCAAGGAAAAAAAGATAATTAGTTATGATAATACCTAATGAGGCGGTGGTCGGCAGATGTGTTACTTTCATTTTATAAGTGAGGAAACATTGTTAACTCTTAGCCCTGGTTGTCTGGCTCATGATTCAGTGTTTTTTCCATTAACATATAACTGAACGCATGTTCAAGATGTAAGTGCTAGTCAGGATGCCTGTATATATATAAATACATAGCTGTGTGTACAGGAAAAAAAGACTGAAAAGATATGGTGTTGATGTGGTAATAATAATAGCTGTTACATTTTCACCTCAGTTTCTGGGTGTATTGTCTCATTTAATCCCTATACCTCTTTGAGGTAGGGCTTATGGCTTATTATTATTCCCATTTTATAGATAAGGAAACGGAGGCACAGAGACTTTAACGACTTAACCAAGATAACCAAGCTACTAAGTGGCCAGGGGTTTATTAGTTTTATCTTTTAAAATAACCAACTTATTCAGGCCTGTATTATGGCCGAGGCATACTCTCAGCCAATAGACCACCTGTTCTTATAAAGAGGATATGTTCTGGGCTGGGCACGCTCACACCTGTAATCCCAGCACTTTGGGAGGCCAAGACGGGTGGATCACATGAGGCCGGGAGTTTGAGACCAGTCTGGCCAACATGGTGAAACCCCATCTCTCCTAAAAATACAAAAAATAGCTGGGCGTTGTGGCACGTGCCCGTAATCCCAGCTACTCGGGAGGCTGAGGCATGAGAATCTCACTTGAGGCCAGGAGGTGGAGTTTGTAGTGAGCTGAAATTGTGCCACTGTACTCCAGCCTGGGCAACACAGCAAGACTCTGTCTCAAAAAAAAAAAAAAAGTATGTTCTGTGGTTTTTGGGTGCAGTCATATTCTATAAATGTTTAATTGATTTTTCTCTGATTGTCGGTTTCCTATATCATTGACTTATGCTTTTTATTTTCTTCCTTCTACTTCAGATTTAATTTACTTTTCTTTTTCCAGCTTCTTAAGGTGGAAGCTTTCAATTACTGATTTTTAAGTCTTTATTGCTTTCTAAAGTCGTGGTGTAAATTTCTCTCTAAGCATAGTTTTAAGTGTATCCCACAAATTTTAATGTATTATGTCTTCCTTATCATTTTAGTGAAAATATTTTTCTGTTTCCCTTGTGATTTCTTCTGACCTAGGGGTTATTTAGAAGTGTGTAGTTTACTTTCCAAATATTTGGGGATTTTCCATTATCTTCTTGTTACTGACTTCCAGTTTAACTCCATGGTGGTCATAGAATATGCTCTGTATGATTTTAATTGTTTTATAAACTCACGAAACTTTTGGGAACCTGAGGTTATTTGGTGGTAAAATTAGGGAATTAATTATCCTCTGAGTCAGTTTTCCTTCCTCTTTCAGGTGAGAGATCAAGCCCAGCGCTGTTCACGGGTTCTCCTGGATATTGAGGCTGGTGCTCCCGTTCTCTTGATCCCAGAAAGTTCCAGATCAAATAATCTGATTGTAGCAAATTTGGGGAAGTTGAAAGTCAAAAATAAGTTTCTGTTTGCTGGTTTTCCTGGCACCTTTTCCCTACAAGATAAGGTGAGCAATCAGTATCCATTTCCTTTTCCGTTCAGCTAGTATTTGATCACTAATTGAAAAATTTGTATGCTGCTGTAAGATGATCCATAATTGCTATTACTTTTGTAGGGTATGTGGCTTGAAGAATTTTTTTTGGCATTTTATTGATATTTCAGTTAACCTTATGAATTGAGGTAGTGTAAATTATAACTCTTAGTAAATGTAGGTAGTAGAATTTTTTTTGACATTTTATTGATATTTCAATTAACCTTATGAATTGAGGTAGTGTAAATTATAACTCTTAGTAAATGTAGGTAGTAACTTGTTTTAGCAAACAAACCAATGGAATCAACCTTCCATCTTTTTATAATGCTTTCTTTATATAAAAGCATTCCTTCTATAATATAAACGTTTTAGACTCTGTGGCTTTTTTCAGAGGACGTGATTGGCCCGTGGTTTACTTGAAGCCATTTAAAAATGTCTTAATAATAACATCTGTACAGTATATTGCTTTACAGTTTTAAATTACTGTGGCACCTTTTTTTTTTTTTCAACTTTTGTTTTAGATACAGGGGGTACATGTGCAGGTTTCTTAGATGGGTATATTGCACCCAGATAGCATAGTACCCAATAGGTAGTTTTCCGACCCATTCCCCCCAACCCCCCGACTCCGCTCTAGTAGTTGATGTTAAACAAGTAAACGTGTTTCCCTGAGTTTTGTGAGCTCTCTTAGCAAATTATAGAACCTTAGGAGGGTATCTGTTGTTCTCATATTTATGACCATCCATGGATACTCAATGTTTAGCTCCCACTTACAAATGAGAATGTGTGGCATTTGCTTTGCTTTTTTTTTTTTTTTTTTGAAACAGAGTCTCACTCTGTTGCCAAGGCTGGAGTGCAGTGGCACTGTGTTGGCTCACTGTGACCTCCGTCTCCTGGGTTTAAGCAATTCTCCCGCCTCAGCCTCCCGATTAGCTGAGATTACAGGTACCAACCACCACACCCAGCGAGTTTTTATGTTTTTAGTAGAGACGAGGTTTCACCATGTTGGCCAGGTTGGTCTTGAACTCCTGACCTCAGGTTATCCACCCGCCTTGGCCTCCCAAAGTGCTGAGATTACAGGCATGAGCCACCATGCCCGGCCACATTTGCTTTTCTGTTCCTGCATTAATTCGCTTAGGATTATGGCTTCCAGCTCCATCCATGTTGCTGCAAAGGACATGATTTCATTCTTTTTTATGGCTGTGACTTATCCATTTCTCATAACAGTGTTTGGAGGTAATTAGGATGAGGACTGTTGTTATTTGTGTTTTACATTGGGGAAACTAGGATTCTTTGAGAATAAACAGTAAAAATGGAAACACCTAGTAATTCACAGACCCTTAAAGCTGAGAGGACCTTTTAGATGGTCCGATTAGTCCCCCTTCATCCATTTTTGCATTTGAGGAGACTGAGTGACATTTCTGGAACCAGAAATGAGGCCTTGTCATTCTTGGTGTGTGTTTTCATCATTCCTTGCTGGTTTCCACAGCAGCTCTTCAGTCTATTTGCTTATTCCTTGCAAACTCGTTTTAGTGTGTCAGAAAAGCACTTACTGAAATTCCCAGCTACTTATGCCTATTTTTAGTATAATAGCTAATAACGTAGGGAGAGAGATGGCCTTTGAGATGTATGTAAGATTTGATTGTAAGATTTAAAAACTGCCGAAAATAGCAATACATAGCTGCCATTTGCTGAATGCTTATTATACATCAGCCAGTGCTGTGCTCTTTACATATAAAAGGAAACAGCTCCCAATGCTTCTGACACCAGATGTGTTGGGTTTTCCCCCATACTAACCATTTTCCGACTGTGCAGATACCAACTTGTCTATAATTTAATTATGACATTAACCACTTGGAGTTAGCTTAAGACCCCACAGGTCCCTAAAGACTGCTCCCCACTCAGACACCAGTCACAAGTACAGGTCTCCTGTATGTCTGACAGACTAGCTATAAGCTTGGGGTTCCCACAATGCCTCCTGAGGTTCAGTAATTTGCTATAGTGGCTCATAGAACTCAGGGGAGCACATTTACTGGTTGAGCATAAAGGCTGTAATAAAGGATACAGCCAGATGAAGAGGTGCATAGGGCGAGACCCCGCAGCGTCCCGAACACAGAAGCTTTTGTGCCATGGAATTGGGGTGCTCCATCTCCTGGACTGCGGATGTATTCACCAACCTGATATCTCTCTGGACCCCATTGTTTAGGCTTTTAATGGAGTCCCCATTACATGGGCATAATTAATTAAATCATTGGCCATTTGTGATTAGACTCAATCTCTAGCCCCGCTGCTCTCCCTGGAGGCCTGGGCACTGAAACTGAAAGTTCCAACCCTCTAATCACACGGTTGCCTGTACTTCCAGCAACCCCCGTTCTAAAGCTATTTAAGGGTTTTTAGCCACCAGTTATCTCGTTAACATACACAAGGACATTTTATCACTCTGGAGATTCCAAGGGTCTTGGAAACTCTTGTGTCAGGGACTAAGACCAAATACAGTTATGGTCCCTTAGCTACAGGGAGATACTTGGAAGAATGATGCATCCTTAGGTGATTTCCTTGCTCTGTGATCATCATAGAGTGTCCTTACAAAACCGAAATGGCTTAGCTTACTGCACACCTAGGCTCTGTGCTATAGCCTGTTGCTCCTAGAATACAAGCCTGTACAGCACAGTACTGTGTTGAATACTGTAGGCAGTTGTAACACCATGGTTAAGTATTTGTGTATCTGAACATATCTAAATATAGAAAAGATACAATAAAAATGCTGCATTATAATCTTACGGGAGCATCATAGTATATGTGGTCTGTGGTTGACTGAAATGGCATTATGCGGTGCACAACTGTATTTATTTGTGGTAAATCTTTACTTTGAGGCCATACTAAAATTTTTAGGAGGAAATCAGTTCTAGCCAGATTGTGTGACCAAGTTCACCAGGACCATTTTTGTTTCTCTATCCTTCCTAAAAAGGTACTGGCCAGAGTTTCCTTATCAGATATATCTATGTATGGGTTTACCAGCAGGCCCTGAAGTTAGCCTCGGCAGAAGAATTGCCAAGATACTGAAGACATTTTTGCAAAAGGGTTCCTATTTTTTAAGTCAAATAATAGCACAGAGTTTGTAGTGTTTTAATGAAAAAAATTTCCCTGTATTTGTTTTTGAGGATTTGATTTTAAGTGGCAGTGCATACAAGGAGCGCTTTTTCTTCAAGGTATAATGTGCTTTTTTTGCAACCTGACTATTCTGAAAAACCTTATGGGATTCAGCAGTCAATCCACATTCACATGCTTTAAAAAGAAAATTAAAACCAACCCTTTAAAATATCTCATTACTTGAGAAAGCCTGCTTATTAACTTTTTTTTTTAAGTGTTTGAATTACTTTCATACTATGTAAAGATGTTGTTCTTAAGGCCCATTGAAAAGAATTCCTTTTTTTTTTTTTTTTTTTAGCCTTCACTAGTACGTTCTTGGTGATCTTATTTTATATCCTTAAATCTTAGAAAAACTATCTTACTGGGTACCAGTGATTGTTCTGTAGAATTCCATAAGGGCTGTTTGGAGTGTGTTGCTTGTTCAAGTATTTGTAAGCAGATAAACACATCTGTGAAGTTCACCTCCCCATGCATACAGTTAAATATAATTGATTACAGTCTATATGAAATGAATAATTACCTTCTTCACCAGCCATCATTTTGTATTTGCATTTGCCTTTGAATACATTTGCATGTGTGAGGTTTGTCTAATATGCATTCCAGTGGTTAAAGAACAGGAAATAATCCTGAAATCAAAGCTTGGAGACGGGTTATTTGCCCTTGAGTTCCAGGACTCCTGTGTGTTTGGAATTGTTTTACATAAATCCATGTCTTAATGAGTACAAGATTGAGTTTTTTTGCATATGCTTTTATTTCACTTTTCTCAACCATAGCTTATGCTTAAACCACAATTTCTAAGTCAAAATCTTTGAAAAGCTTTGGGTTAATCTTCTCAAGCCACTGATTTATTTAAACCAACTACAGAGAGGATGTAGAGATGAATCAAATGAAAGGGCAACAAACACTTTACAGAGTTTAAATAAACTAAGTGAGAGGGAAAGGTTTTAATGTTGAAATACTTAAATAATGACATTTACCTAGTAATCTGCCTTGCAAAAAAATAAAAAAATTGCAGAAAGCAAGAACTAGTTTCTTTTACTTGTAATTACTACTTGAGAGAACTGTGAAAGGGAGCAGTGTTTTTGTATTCTTTTCCAAAGCTGAGAGGAGTCAACATAAAGGCAGCCCTAGAGGGAGAGCCATCCTTCCTCTCTTCCCAGATTCGGTTGAGAATGGCAAGATGGGAACCATGATGCTACGGGAGCTGTGCAGACATGTAGCTCCGAGGCCTCCATGAAGAAGCCCTGGGAAGCTTAAAAGTCAATTATTGAATTGTTCTGGTGAAATAGATTTTCCTCTGTTAGCAGTTAACCGAATGAAGGTACTAAGTGTGTAAGAAAAGAGTAGTATTTTCAATAGAATTACTGAATCATTTTATTCTCTGTTAGCCCTTCTTAATTTGTATGTCCTTGAGCAGAAACATCATAGGAATGGCTGGCCTCTTTTGTTTTCATTTCTACAGTTACTTAGATGGGAAATGTAAACCCATGAGGGGAGACATCTAGAAGGTACAAACACATTGGAGCCATGTTGCCATTAGATGTCTTTTCTTAAAACAATATGCCCCTCCCCAAAAGCAAAGCAACAAACTGTCATATAGCTGAGAGACTTGCTTTTGCCGCATTTGACCTTGATTAAACCACTTGAAGCAATTGGCATCTTCACATTTGCTCTTGAGCCAAAAGATGGTATCTTCCTGCAGAAGTTTTCAGCAAGTATTGAACTATATGTAACATCTCTGCTGATAATTTTTTGTGGCAGTAAATGTCGTGATCCTGGTAGCCTCTTGTTTATGGGATCTGGGAGGCTGAGGGAAGTATAAGTATTATAGAGTCTTTGAAGACCCTAGGGACTGGGATAGGACTTTGGAGATATTAAAGATAGAGTCCCACCACCAGTGCTGCCCCCTTCCCATTTCCTGCATTCTAGTTTTATTTTGTTCCTTCCCAGGAATCTGTGCCTTCAGCTTCCCCAACGGGTATTCCCAAACACAGTCTGAGGAAAACGACAAGCACGGAGGAGCCCAGGGGAACCCATTCCCAGGGGCAGTTCACGATGCCTCTTGCTGGAATGAGCCTAGGAAGCCTGAAGAGTGAGTTTGTGCCCAGTACCTCCACCAAGCAGCAAGGGCCGCAACCCACACTGTCTGTTGGCCAAGAGTCCAGTAGTCCAGGTAAAAGAGGAGAAAAGCAACATAATACTGAAGGTGGGGAAATTCACAGGACTGTTGAGGAAACTGAGGGGGGTGGGCATTGTGTTCAAGCAAATGTTAACGAAGAGATAGCATTTCTTTAACGATGATGAGATTCTGATTTTGCTTTACAAGGTTTAAGAGTTTTGGGTGTAGATTTATCATTGGATGACTTGTAAAGTAGGGTTAAATTAGCACGATATAGTGTAATTAAAGAGATTTTTAGATAGCCTATTAGGACTTTTTTCTTATAGGTGAAAATAGTTGCCACCAGATAGTGATAGTATAAGTAGAAAGAGTCCTGCATTCTGCAAGCCACTACCCAGACACTGTCCTTGCAAACCACTAAGTCTAAAAAATATAAAAGAACACATTAAAAAATATTAGCGTAAATTAGGCAACAACAGAAATGCTGTAGCACAGAGTTTAAAAGACATGAACCATCTGGTTATTGGTGTTCTTCTCTCCAATATAAGAATTAGTCATTCCAAATGAGAACATTATTTTGGAGGCTTTTCTGGTTTTATGTATTTTTTTTTTCCCCTCAAGACAGGGTCTCTCACTGTCTCCCAGGCTAGAGTGCAGTGTTGTGATGATGGCTTACTGCAGCACTGACCTCCTGAGCTCACTCGATCCTCCCACCTCAGCCTCCTGAGTAGCTGGGACTACAGGCATGTGTCATCACGCTCAGCTAATTTTTGTGTGTGTGTGTTTGTGTGTTTTGTAGAGATGGGGTTTTGCTATGTTGCTCAGGCTGGGTCTTAAACTCCCGAGCTCAAGTGATCCTCCTGCCTCAGCCTCCCGAAGTGCTGGGGTTACAGGCATGAGCCCCCGGGCCTGGCCTCTTTTCTGTTGTTAAATGTGTTCTGGATGAGTCATGTGCCCGATAAGTGGGAGCTGCTCTGAGCTGCTAGAGACGGAGGCAGAATATGATGAGCTGCAAAGATCAGTCCAGTGTGATGAGACTTTGCAAGATGCAGGACACTAGCTGAGAGAGGCTGCTGAGTGTCTTGTTACATAGATCCGAGGAATTGTTAGCTCTCTCTGGTACCTTATAGTCCTAGAGGTGACAGGAAAGTGGTTTTAATTGTGTTGATCATTTAACAAGATAATTTTCATCCCCGTAGTAGTAGTTGTGAAACACTATGTGCCAAACATTGTGGTGCATTATTTACATTAATTATTTTGTTCACATTACACTCCTGCAGGGTTTTTATTTTTCTATTTTTATTTTTATTTTTATTTTTATTTTTTTGAGATGGAGTCTCACTCTGTTGCCCAGGCTGGAGTGCAGTGATGCGATCTTGGCTCACTGCAAGCTCCGCCTCCCGGGTTCACGCCATTCTCCTGCCTCAGCCTCCCGAGTAGCTGGGACTACAGGCGCCCGCCACCACGCCTGGCTAATTTTTTGTATTTTTTAGTAGAGATGGGGTTTCACCGTGTTAGCCAGGATGGTCTCGATCTCCTGACCTCGTGATCCGCCCCGATTTCACAGATGAAGAGGCAAAGGCTTGCAGAGATTGGGTAACCTGACCTGCCCAAGGTTATGAGGTAGTAATGGAAGAGTTGGACTACGAATTTTGGCAGTCTGACTCCAGAACCGAATTGTAACTGAACATGATACTGCTTGCCAGTCTGTCTGCATGCACATCTAGAACACAGAGGGGGCTGCACCTGAGGGCCACTCGGCATATGGTGCTTGCCGCCACTGATGTTATGACGTCTGTGATGATTAGGAACAAGGCCAGTCTTACATATGTATTGGTGGATGCCTTTAAGAAGTGATTTGGGATGTTTTATAGAAAGAATGTCTCTTTTTTAACAGTATATCTCCTACTGATTTGCTATTTGTTTCTGAAATTTCACTATTAATGATACATTGTCTTGGATTAAGACAGTGGTTTTCACACTGTTTCCATGTAATCCTAGGATTCCATAGCAGTACCCTAGAGCAGCAGTCCCCAACCTTTTTGGCATCAGGGACCAGTTTCATGGAAGACAATTTTTCCACAGACAGGGTTGGGGATGGTTTCAGGATGAAACTGTTCCACCGCAGATCATCAGGCATTAGATTCTCATAAGGAGCACACAATCTAGATCCTTCTCTTAGGCAATTCCCAATAGGGTTTGCACCCCAATGAAAATCTAATCCCACCGCTGATCTGACAGTAGGCAGAGCTCAGGTGGTAATGCTCGCTGACCTCCTACTGTGAGTACCTGTCTGTGGCCTGGGGATTTGGGACCCCTGCCCTGGAGAATCTCCAAAGCCTGCTTCATTCACTTTCCTTACCCCCTTCTAGCAGATCAGCTCTACTTTTATCTATTCCATGTATTTATCAATGTAAGTAACTAATAAAAAACTAATTTTTTCAGTGCCCACGTAATGCCAGGTGTTATGATATTTTATTCCCTAGTATATTAACATGCTGTTAGACATGGCTCCTCCTACAGTGCTACTTATAGACTAATGAAAAAGACATTGAGCATTTAAATATTGATAGATTATAATAAATGTTATCATGGAAAAGACAGAAGAAGAGAGAAGACTGAATTTAGATGAGAGGGGCGGGCCATGCCACCTGTAAGGCTGTTGAGGCAGCAAAGAGCTTGGCATTTTGGGGGTAACAAAGGACAGTAAGCCTGAGGCCTAGTGAGCAGGAGAGAGAATGGCTTGAAATGAGCTTGGGAAAGAAGGCAGTGGGCTTGTGCAGGGCCTTGTAGGGATTTGGGGGAGTTTTACAGAAATAATTTTGTTTCTTTTTTGTTTTGAGATGGAGTCTTGTTCTGCCCAGGCTGGAGTGCAGTGGCGTGATCTTGGCTCACTGCAACCTCTGCCTCCCGAGTTCAAGCCATTCTCCTGCCTCAGCCTCCTGAGTAGCTTGGATTTGGGCGCCCAACACCACCCCTGGCTAATTTTTATATTTTTAGTAGAGACTGGTTTCACCATGTTGGCCAGGCTGGTCTTGAACTCCTGACCTCAGGTGATCCACCTGCCTCAGCCTCCCAAAGTGCTGGGATTACAGGTGTGAGCCACCGCTCCCGGCTTACAGAAAGAATTTTGGATTAACCGTAGCCAGTAAGTGTATAAAATAAGTGAATGTTATGGACTGTTTATTTTTTTAAGGATTACTCAGGTATTTGGTGGGGAGAGTGGTTTTGTGAGGGCTAGAATGGAATTATGTAGGCCTAATGGAGGAGAGTTCTTTTTGGTCTAGGCAAGAATGAAGGTGGTTTGGATCTGGTCAGTGGAAATGGACGTGGTTACATGTGGCAGTATTTGTTTGAAAAAATAATTTTAGTGCTGGAGAAAGTTTGTAAACCTTTTGGTAGCATTGTGCGTGGGGAGGGATTGCCTATGGAGTCAGATTTCGTCATCAATCCCCCAGCCTCAGTTGTTGTCACAGCATGGGCATGAGACACCGTAGAACTGTGACGCGGTCTGTGCTTGGAGTGGAGGCGGGTGGGCAGGGTGTGTCGAGCACATGGAGCTTTGCATAAGGAGGTCTGGCTGCCATAGTGGAGACTCCTGGACAGCCAGTTTTCTGAGTAGTGGACAGTGTGGGGAAGCAGGCAGCTGTAAACATTTTCAAAGACAGAATGAGCTTTGCATTTTTTATTTGTTTAGTGCAACCCCTTTTTGGGTCCCCTTTTCTTCATTACCTCTCTTTCCTTGGGTCCTTGTAGAAGACCATGTCTGCCTGCTGGATTGCGTTGTCGTGGATCTCCAGGACATGGACATCTTTGCTGCAGAGAGACATCCGAGAGAATACTCGAAGGCACCAGAGGATAGTAGTGGAGATCTGATCTTCCCTTCCTATTTTGTGCGACAGACAGGAGGAAGCCTCTTAACCGAGCCTTGTAGGCTGAAATTGCAGGTGGAAAGGAATTTGGACAAGTGAGTGTTTTTTTTTTTTTTTGAGATGGAGTCTCGCTCTGTTCACCAGGCAGGGTGGAGTGCAGTGGCGCAATCTTGGCTCACTGCAACCTCCACCTCTGAGGTTCAAGTGATTCTCCTCAGCCTCAGCCTCCCAAGTAGCTGGGATTACAGGCACATGCTACCATGCCCGGCTAATTTTTGTATTTTTAGTAGAGATGGGGTTTTACCATGTTGTGGTCTTGAACTCCTGACCTCAGGTGTTCTGCCTGCCTCAGCCTCCCAAAGTGCTGGGATTACAGGCGTGAGCCACCATGCCCAGCCAATGTTTTATATCTGAATAACTGTCTATGATAAGTAGAATCTTAACGTGGAAATCAGTGCTATTAAGATAAGTTTGGAAGAACTAGTTATTCACTTATTTCTTCGTCTATTTAACAAATGTTTATTGAGTCCCTACTATGTGCTGAACATGAGGGCTACTGTGATGAAAGAGAAAACTAATTCCTTTGAAGGAACTTATGTTTTGTTGAGGGATACAGGTAGTTAAGCACATGATTCTAATTTAATGTTTGATTTGATCTTTTTTTTCTTTTTTTTTTTTTTTTTGAGATGGAGTCTCACTCTGTCACCAGGCTGGAGTATAGTGGCGAGATCTCAGCTCACTGCAACCTCCACCTCCCGGGTTCAAGCGATTCTCCTTCCTCAGCCTCCCAAGTAGCTGAGATTACAGGCGCATGCCACCACACCCAGCTAATTTTTGTGTTTTTAGTAGAGATGGGGTTTCACCATGTTGGCCAGGATGGTCTCGATCTCTTGACCTCGTGATCCACCTGCCTTGGCATGCCCGCCTTGGCATATGGACATGGTGGCTCATGCCTGTAATCCCAGCACTTTGGGAGGTCGAGGCGGCAGATCACAAGTTCAGGAGTTCAAGACCAGCCTGGCCAACATGGTGAAACCCCGTCTCTACTAAAAAAAAAATACAAAAATTAGCCAGGCATGGTGGCGTGTGCCTGTAATCCCAGCTACCGGGAAGGCTGAGGCAGGAGAATTGATTATACCAGGGAGGTGGAGGTTGCAGTGAGCCTAGATTGAGCCGCTGCACTTCAGCCTGGGTGACAGAGCAAGACTCAGTCTCAAAAAAAAAAAAAAAAAGAAAGAAAGAAAAACAGGTTTATTATTTGTATAGAGCATGATTTGAATCTCTTTTTGGCCACTCCCTTCACAGTTCTTGGTTTGGGCAAGTCATTTAATGTCACTTTTTTAGTTTCTTTCTGGATTAATGATACAACTTAGCTGTTCTCACTGGGATGTTTGTGTTTCAGTCTTACGTGTTATTCAAGTGCTCCCTGGCTGGTGTTCAGTTATGGTTGGCATGGGCTATATTTGGTTTTACTGGCTAAGCAGTCTTAAGAGGAGCTTCGTTATTTAGAAATTGAACACTTTGTTTTCTTTTCAAGCAATGCTTTCCAAAAAACAAAAAAAAAGCTTTCCTATTCAGCTTATCTAAACTTTCCCCACTCCCATCAGTGTTTCTGTGCAGATAATTGTATTCTGTTAGGCCTGATAGAAGGTGATGCTGAATGCAAGGTGTCCTGTCAGTCTCACACTGCACACACAGCAACCCGAGATGGCACTTGGTCAGCCGTCTCTGTTTTTCTTTGTTATTGCATCATTGTCTTTTAAAACTCTGTTGTATGTCGGCTTTTCTCTGCAGACAAAATAACTTTTCTTATATACCTCTGCCATTTCAAACACTAGCCCTCTCTATACTTAGAGCATAGTGTCTGTAGGATTCACAATGCCCAGTTCACCCATGGGAGGTTAGAGAAAGCTTTTTAGTATTGAGATGAGGTACAGATGTGTGCCCCTCCCCCTCTTCAACTTTACTTCTGTCCATCCCAGCTGAGATGACGAACCTATTCAGAGTTTATCCTCATGTCCCATCTGGGCTCAGTATGAAACACTGGTGTTTGCCTTTAGTTACCACTAAATCCAAAGAGTTAAATAAAGATCTTGGCATCTTTTCTTTATTGCTTTCCCAAGTGTAATATTTAAGCTCTTTGTGAGTCTCATGAGGTTTTCCTTATTAATAGATTAGTTACCTCATACTAGGTTTAAGGATTTCCCTCCCTCCATTTCTTGCTCCTTCCTTCCTTCCTTCCTTCCTTCCCTCCCTCCCTCCCTCCCTCCCTCCTTCCCTCCTTCCTTCCTTCCCTCCTTCCCTCCTTCCTTCCTTCCCTCCTTCCCTCCTTCCCTCCTTCCCTCCTTCCCTCCTTCCCTCCTTCCCTCCCTCTCTCCCTCTCTCCCTCCCACAGGGTCTCACTCTGTCACACAGGCTGGAATACAGTGGCACGATCACAGCTTACTGCACCCTTGACTTCCTGGGCTCAAGTGAACCCCCACCTCAGCCTCCTGAGTAGCTGGGACCACAAGTGCACACCACCATGCCCAGTTAATTTTTGCATTTTTTGTAGAGATGGGGTTTCACTATGTTGTCCAGGCTGGTCTCGAACTCCTGGGCTCAAGTGATCCTCCCACCTCAGCCTCCCAAAGTGCTGGGATTATAGGTGTGAGCCACCACACCTGGCCTGGTTTGAGGATTTTCTAAATGTAAATTTTGGGAGAAAAGGGGCTTTTTGTAGTTGAAGCATGACAGTCATATTAACTTGCTTCATTTGGAGCTACATGAAATTTTTGTCATTGGAAGTAGGAATTACCTACTTGATAATGTAGGTGAGTACATTTTAGCCCCGTTGTTTGGGCGTGAGCTATGTCAGTGTTAAGTTAGTGACTTGTCTGTGTAAGTGATCTTTTTTCTTTTTCATAGAGAAATAAGTCATACTGTGCCAGACATATCTATCCATGGCAATCTCTCCTCAGTCCACTGCTCTCTGGATCTGTATAAATACAAGCTGATCCGCGGCTTATTAGAGAACAACCTGGGAGAACCCATAGAGGAATTTATGCGGCCTTATGATTTACAAGATCCAAGAATTCATGTGAGTGAGACCTTATGTTCTTCTGTCACTCTCATAGTCTCAGCTGACGGTCACCCTGTGTATCTATTCCTCAAACTCACTTGGAGAAAGAAGGTGGAGCAACAAGCAAATTAGATTTCTTGGCGTATGAGCCTGTTTTTAGGATGGCATCATCAGCTGTGGATTGACGAGCATTTTCCTTTTGTAGACTGTCCTGAGTGGAGAAGTGTACACCTGTATGTGCTTCCTCATTGATATGGTGAATGTAAGTCTGGAGCTTAAAGATCCAAAAAGAAAAGAAGGTGCTGGGTCCCTAGCCAGGTATGCCTTTGATTATATTATTATACTGTTAGTAACAGTATCCAAATAATACACATGTTTTGCATTGACACAGAGCAGAGGTTGCAGAGTGGTGGCCCACAGATGGAATGTTGTCTGCAGAGTGTCTTTTGGTTGATCTACACAGTGCTTTTGAAAAGTTTAGATTCATGCTCTATCAGTCAACATAGGTTAGGTTATGCTGTAGTAACAGACAACCCCAAAGTATCAGTGACTTAAAACAGTGAAGATCTTTTTCTCCCTCATACTCTGTGACCATTGTGGGTCTGGGCTGCTCTGCTTGTTGTAGTCGCTTAGGGTGACAGAGCAGCTAGTGTTTTGATGTGCCAGCGGGAAAAATGAGCTCTGAATGGTGTTGAATGGCAACTAAATGCTCTGGCAGACTTTGTGGAACTAAAATATGGTCCCACACAGGGTGATGGAGTCAGAAAGTCCTGTCTTGCTGTGTGTCTGAGTAGTTACGGGGTGGGAGATGCAGAACCACTTGATGTGCAGCATTGATGCCTTGCTGGCCAACATTTTCAAAGTTAGGGGCTAGGCGCAGTGGCTCAGGCCTGTAGTCCCAGCACTTTAGGAAGCCAAGGAAGGAGGATTGCTTGAGGCCAGGAATTCCAGACTGGCCTGGGCAACATAGTGAGAGACCCTGTCTCTACAAAAAATTAAAAAACTAGCTGCGCATGGTGGTGCATGCCTGTAGTCCCAGCTACTCAAGGCGTTAAGGTGAGAGAATCACTTGAACCAGGAGATTGAGGCTGCAGTGAGCCATGATCACACCACTGCACTCCAGCCTAGGTGACAGCTGAAACCTGGTCCCTCCCGCCCCAAAAAGTTGCAGGATTTTATATAAAAGGTTTGTATTTAGCTTCTTTTGAAAAACTGGAAGCTTTGGCAATACTAGGTCCATGTTCTCACTTGGAAGCATCTGGAAGCGGAGTAGCAATTGCTCCCTTGAAATGGGGCATATGCTTACCTAGTCCTTCGCTTATTTCTGTCACTTCCTTAGTCAGTGTAAATGTATGAATTCGTGATTACTGGTGTGGAACTTTAAAAAGTGCATTTCACACTTAATAACCTTTTCATGTTGATCTCTTATCAGTCCTGTAAGCTGGGCGTACATCACTCTTTTCCAGATAGAGTTTCTGACTAGCTTAAGGTCGTATGACTGGGAAAGTGGTTTGGCATTTGAAAACAGGACTTCAAGGCCAGTGATTCCCTGCTGAAGCACTCTGTCTTCTAGTTAGTCTTTCTGTTGAAAGTCCGCCACGGTCTGTACCTAACTCAGCTGGTGAGAGCGTTGCATACTGAAACTGTGGTCCCACATTGGTGGTCTTGTGAGCTAGCAATTTTATTCTTTCCTTTTTTTTTTTTTTTTTTTTTTTTTTAAGACAGAATCTCTCTCTGTTGCCCAGGCGGGACTGCAGTGGTGCCATCTCGGCTCACTGCAACCTCCACATCCCTGGCTCAAGTGATCCTCCCACCTCAGCCCCACCGAGTAGCTGGGACTACAGGCATGAGCCACGTCACCCAGCGATTTTCTGTGATGATTGGCTGTGCCCTTAGTTTTTCTCAATATGGAATAATTCTGTATGTATTGTCATAATGGTACCGAGTAATTATGAATTCCTCATTGCAGCTTTCTCGGTTATGAAAAAACGATGGTTCCAAATGCATTTCCTGTTGGTAGATTAGTTGAATTATTCTCCATGTGAAGAGTATTATTTGTTCCCAGTACACTACAGCAGTTTCACATAAACAGTTGGACAGACCCTGGAGAGTGAAACATCCAGGCAAGCTAGAAGCTGACAGATGAAGGCCCAGAGGGACCCTTGACATCCTTTGGGGATATACAGCCTTCTTAGACTTCTGATGGGTCATGGGAATGATAACGGATTCAGAATATGTTAAACATGTGGTATTGTTACTTCTCATGCCGTTCCTATGAACAAGATCATCTCTTTGGAACTGGAAAAGTAAGATCCAAGGCACAGTGACACTAACTCCATTTTGAGGAGTCTATTAACAGAATCAACAAGAAAACTCAGAATGAAAGTTATTCTCCTTATGGGACTTAGATATATTTTTGATTTTGCTCGTTATCTCGAACTTATATACTTTTGTAAAATGGAAGAGTTGTGTTTCACATCTTGCTTGCTTTCTTTTCTCTCTTTTAGATTTGACTTCAAGAAATGCAAACTGCTCTATGAAAGTTTTTCCAACCAAACCAAGTCCATTAACTTGGTTTCCCATTCCATGATGGCTTTTGACACCCGTTATGCTGGGCAGAAGACCAGCCCTGGCATGACGAATGTGTTCAGCTGTATCTTTCAGCCCGCTAAGAACAGCAGCACCACCCAAGGGTCCATTCAGATTGAACTACATTTCAGGTAGCAGGTCCAGACCCTTCTCTGCCTTTCTTTGTGGAGACATTCCCTTTTGGGTCACGTCTTTGTTGGCTTTAGAACATCAAAAAACCAAGGAATCACTAGACAGATAAATAGATAATGGCTTAATCAGTGCAGTGTACTGTATATTAATGCATTATTCCTATAATCTTGCAGTTTCATTTATTGGCCAAAAGATGTCTCTGTTGCCTTTAAAAATAAAGTAGTTAAGAATTGAGCCTTAAAATCAATCTCCTTGTAAGCTGTAGACTGTTTTAATTTGTAAAGTGGCTTGGAGAAGGAAGAAATTATGCTGGTTTAAGGAAAAAAGTAAAAAGACTTTTGGTCTTTACAAATAATGGAAGGGAAGGTGGGTTTGACTTGAATTACCCATTCAAGTCTTACTGACTCATTATCCATGTATACATAGTTTTTACCTTTTTGAATTAGGTTATATTTTTCTTTCTGGTATTATGGGAGGCAGTGTTCTATATAGAAAGAACATATATTTTGGAATCAGACAGATCTGGGCTGAAAACCTTGCTCTCCTATTATCTAGCTATGTGTCCTTAGACAAGTTGTTTAGCCCCTTTGAGCCTCAACTTCCTCTTATATAAAATAGAAAATTACCTATACCCACCTCATGGGGTAGAGGTAATAATTAAAGTAATTCTGGCATATTGCTTGGCACAGTTGGCAGCTGTCATTGTTATGCTGATATAACATGTTGTTTTATGATATACCATTTGCTGATGTTATGGCTGAACATAGACCTTAAAACTGAAAAATTAGGCCTGGTCTAAAGAAGTCTTTCAGTGAAAACCCAAAAAGGAGACCCTCCCTTCTGTTAGTGCTTCATGTCATCAGACATGTTGTAAGTATAAACCACTAAGTAAAAAGATTGTGAAAAACTTTGTGTTTAAGCAAAAAACAGAACAAAAAGTCATCAGGATTATTCTTACATGTTTCTGTATGCCTGACATTTCAATGTGCTGTTCAGAATTCCCCAGGGTTTAGGTTTTGTTTTGTTTTTCGAGAGAGGTCATGATTTCTTCATATGCCTTTAGGAAATCTAGCAGAGTAGACATTTACATTTTTTTATGAACTTTAAAAGTTCAGGAGTAGGAATCCTAATTGCCTCTTATTGGGCCCTGCCATGAGCCAGGCACTTTAGCTACGCTCAGTATAATCCTGACAAGTCTGCAGAGGGGATGACTTCTTCCTCATTTTGCAGTTTCCAAGTTAGAAACTTGGATAAGGGTTAGTTCACTCTTCTAAGGTCACACAGCTCGTAGGTCAAGAAATCAGAGCTCAAACCTGGGTATGTGATGTTAAAGCCCATGATGTTTCCAACAGTCTTTGGACCTATCAGGTGTCTCGTCATTGGGCTGATTGCAGTCATGTGATAAGATGGCCCCATTTTGCAGTTCATTTGGTTGAAGATGTTTCCTTTGAACAAGAGGCTGGCATCTGTTTGTTCCATCTGGAGAAACATTTCTTTTTTTTTTTTGAGACGTAGTCTCACTCTGTCGCCTAGGCTGGAGTGCAGTGGCACGATCTCAGCTCACTGCAACCTCCGCCTCCCGGGTTCAAGTGATTCTCCTGTCTCAGCCTCCTGAGTAGCTGGGACTACAGGCTCCTGCCACCATGGCTGGCTAATTTTTGTATTTTTAGTAGAAACGGGGTTTCACCATATTGGCCAGGCTGGTCTCAAACTCCTGACCTTGTGATCTGCCCGCCTCAGCCTCCCAAAGTGCTGGGATTACAGGTGTGAGCCACCGTGCCCGGCCGAGAAACATTTCTTTTTGAGTTTACTTTATTATTATTGATCTGGCTTCTTAGACTGTCAGGTAGTTGTCTCCTTCTTATCATATTTTTAATATACAGGGAGCCTGGAAATATTTGTGTATTATAGGTGTATAATTGGAGTCAAATAATAAAGCCTTACCTTGGCTCTTGCTAACAGAAATACTATTGTTAGCAAGAGGAGTGAAATGTTCTTTAGATGGGAATTTTTGAACGCCTTTCGTGTCTGAAGAAGAATTACTCTTCTGTTGGGATCTTGTGTGTCAAATATAAATCACTTCACAGTGTTTAAAGGCTTGAAATATTTTCCAGAAAAGGGATCCAACACACTGTGACTTTCCAGTTAAATACAGAACTCTGACAATCTATGTTCAAAATGGGGTGGAAAAATTTTACTGAGGGCAACATTTTTTCTCCATTACACAAGAGTAGAGTGTTTCTGTGAAAAATGCTGTGTCTGTAAGAAGGAGCCATGCATCATGCTGCCCTTTTACTAGAGGCAGTGAGCCAGGTTTAGGGGAAATGAGGAGCAGAGAAACCAGCCTCAGAAATATTTCCAAGTTAGCTTTTCCCACATAGGAATACCTTTTATGTCAGGGAACCAGGTACATGTAGTAGCTACAACCCCAGAGTCGCTTTTGGGCTTACGGAACCAAGTTCAACCCAGAAAACCGCATTCAAGTGCTCCAGCCCCTGTTTCTCTTGTCCTACTCATCTGAGGCCTTATCCATTAGTAGGCTGGGCCTGCTGATGTACTAATAGGGCCTGGATGAAGCCCCTGACTGCATCATGGTTTGAAGTCAGGCCTGAGAGTCCTCGCTGGGTTTTCACGTCAAATGTAGACTTCGGAGCAATGGCAACTTGTCCCCCCACCCCCACCCCAACTCTACCTCTAGGTTACTTAGGGGACATTTATCCCTGGTAAATGTCATCTTACTTGTTCTCCTCGGGCCAAAAGATCTGGGCTGTCAGGTCAGTTTCAATTAGAGAAACAATCTAGTACTAGTGTGTGTAAACTTGGTATTATTTATAAAGAAATGATCCTAGACGTCAAAGAAGGAGTGCCTCATTGATCTTCTTGAAATAGCCCATAGGGAAAGAAAGTGACATTTATCAAATGACTGCTTTGTGCCTGGTGCTTTATTTCTTATCATATTAATATTCTTCATTTTATAAGTAGGGAAACAGGCTGAGAGAAGGTAGGTGGCTTTCGTAAGATAACACAGCTCGTAAATGGCAGTATTTAAGTCTGCGTCTCTGACTTCAAAGCCTGTGCTCTTTATCATACCAGAATTTCTTGACCTTAGCACTATCAACGTTTTGGGTCAGATAATTCCTTATTATGGGGCTGTCCTGTACATCGTGGGTTAGTTAACAGCATCCCTGGCCTCTACCTATACTAGATAGCAATAGCAACCCCCTCTAGTTGCAATTGCAATTGAAATGTGAATAAAAAATGTCTCCAAGGGCCAGGTGCAGTGGCCCACATCTGTAATCCTAGCACTTTGGGAGGCTGAGGCGGGAGGATCACTTGATCCCAGGAGTTTGAAGTTACAGTGAGCTGTGATCGTGCCACTGCATTCCAGTCTGGGCAACAGAGTGTGACCCTGTCTCTTAAAAAAAAAAGAAAAGAAATAATGTCTTCAGGGGAGCAAAACCATCTGATTGAGAACCACTGAGCTATACTACCTATGCTGCTTTCTTATAAAATGTTCCTTGTTGTTTAAAAATATGATTAACTTATTATACTGAATGTGTTATTAAACCAGTAATACACTGAATGTGTTATTCAACCAGTGTTCAAAGTTTACTGATACTCAAAGCAGGCAGTTTGGAAAATACCGGAATACCACCTGCCAAAACTGAGCAGTACATTTGCAGGTTATTGAAATAACCATGTTTCTTTTTTCCTATTTATTTTCTCCTGTCTTCTTTTTATAGATCTACCAAGGATTCCTCCTGCTTTACAGTAGTTCTCAACAATCTCCGTGTGTTTCTCATATTTGACTGGCTACTGTTAGTCCATGATTTTCTCCACACTCCCAGTGATATTAAGAAACAAAATCATGTTACTCCTTCTCGCCACCGTAACTCTAGCAGCGAATCTGCTATAGTTCCCAAAACTGTGAAGAGTGGAGTAGTTACCAAGCGGTCTTCCCTTCCTGTGTCCAATGAAAGGCACCTGGAGGTCAAGGTCAATGTAACAGGTGATTATATGTGGGTGTGATTCATTGGTGCTTAGTTTGGATGTTAGGCTCAATATCTGCCTTACAGGATGATTGCTCTTTTGCCTCCCATTTTTCACGTGAGCACTTACACATTTGCCTCTTTTACAGACCTGCAAGCATCAGAGGTCTTGGCCTCCATTTTCAGGTGGGAGCTGTCTGGCCCACTGAAGACTGCGGGGTCGCTTGTCCCTGTCCCCTGCCTGCCTAGTGCTTGTGTCTGGCCCGAGCACCCGCCTGGGCAGTGGTCTTTTTTTTTCCAGTGTACAGTCTGTCTGTAATTTGCCGTTTGATCTTTAGGGCCCTAACAGATGTGGTTTATGGAGTTTAGGCAAGTTTCGTATGTGAAAACCTCAGTTTTGAAGATAAGTAAGTGAGGAGATTTTTATTTTCATTACAAAAAGAATATTTTTCTTTGTATAGATGAATTTACTATGGCATTTGTTGACTAGCGAACTCATCTAGTGCATCTGTATGTATTTGTGTATTTATTGTTATGTTTCTGATACCTGTACCTGCTTCTCAGTGATTTTGATGAAGCTGGCTAGCACAATGCGTTTTACATGAGTTCAGTTACAAGCTTGATCTGTATATGGTTTTTGATAAAAACACAGTTTAAAGCAGAGTGAATTTACTATTAAATATATACACATAAGTTGAAAACTTACTGATTTCAAAAATCTCGATATTAAATTGGTCTGTTCTTTGTAAACAACCTTGTAAATAGCTACTTAGATGCATAGTGCCTGACCAGCATTAGTAGCTGAGTCTTCTCCCTGGAATTTTCAGTCAGGTCATCACTTAGAGAAAGGATGATTTTGTGAACTTCTGAATATCTCCTAGGCCTCCCAGGAGAACTGGGGTGCAGTTTCTCTGTCTAGTTTAGAAATATTCTAAAGAGAGAAATCACATCCC
Organism: Homo sapiens; assembly: GCF_000001405.40. NCBI lineage: Eukaryota > Metazoa > Chordata > Mammalia > Primates > Hominidae > Homo > Homo sapiens. The sequence continues at coordinate 12,319,271 of NC_000001.11, forward strand.
AGTCTTTCCTGCTGCTGCAGAGCTCTGTTGGTTCAGCTGCATGTGGCCAGATGCAGAGTATTGGTTCAGGATGACACTGTTAGTAAATGTCAGCAGACATTTTGGAGAAAAATCTTACTGGTTCATGTTGTTGCCTGGTGGAAATGCGCTCGCTGCCTTGTTTGCAACAGCCTGGTGTTTTCCAGCTTCCCAGCTCTGGCTTGATTGACGACGTTGTCCTTTCCAGGTACGGAGTTTGTGGTCATTGAAGATGTGTCCTGCTTCGACACCAATGCCATTATTCTGAAAGGCACCACAGTGCTCACCTATAAGCCCCGGTTTGTTGATCGCCCCTTTTCAGGAAGTTTGTTTGGCATTGAGGTAAGAAGTCTATGTGTTGATCACAGCACTGCGTGTTGGCTCACGAGCAAAGCATCTGGAAGAGAATTTTCCCTCTTAAACTTTCATGAGGGGAAGGAATTAATGAAATTGGAAGACCCTTGCCCTCTTTTCCTCTTTGTTTTCTCCCCAAATCTACCTGGCTATTCTAATGCATGGATTCAGTCTCCCAGTGTTAGTCTATAAATATGCAGAGGACATTTGCCTCTTTCTCTTACACCCTTTCTTCCTCAAGAAGTTCAAGGAGACTTTTCCAGTCCCCACTGCCCTGTCAGGCACCTTGTTGTGCCCTCTCGTTCTGCAGACCTCGTCCATGAAGGTGAGGCCGTGGGTCTCATTTCCCCTGCATCCCTCTCCTCACCTGGAGTGCAGCCCTGTGAAGAGCTAGGGCTTTGGGAAGGGAAACCTATTTATACAGAGTGCTAAGGATCTTATATGTTATCCTTTCAGGAATACCTGATCCATAAAAGGGCAGCTCTGCAGAGTCCTGCCTGGCTGAAAGGAGCGCATGGATAATAGTGGTGCTTTAGGCTCTCATGTCATCTCATGAAGAAGATAATTTGTGTTGGAGTGGCCTTTGTAGCTCGGAAATGTCATTATGCAATATTAGGCCAAAAGTGCTTTGTCTCTTGTTAAGCCATGGGGTGTGGAGACAGAAGGGGAATCGTGGCAGGTTCTTGTTTCTATCAGATGTTTGTACTTGACTCATCTCAGCTCACATTCCCCATGCCACACTGTTAGGATATTTGGTCGGGGTTCCTTTTGCTTTACGATCGGCCTTTTCATGCCCCTTTCTTTCCAGTGGTATTGCTCAAAGTTTGAAGGAATAAAACTTATTTTCACTGTTAGGAGTATATGGTTTATGGTTTTGAGACAAACATAGTGGAATAAAGCCTGTAGGGACTCTACTTCTTGACCACTTGTTTCTGTCTTGTAAAGAAACCTCCGTTTGAGAGGAAGGATTTGCATGCTGGTGTGATGTGAGTTGATCATGAAATTGCAATTCATCTGCCTTCCAAGCCACCACAATACTAGCTTTGAATGGAGAATCTTGCTGATTGATTAATGAACTGTCAGGTACAATTGGGTTTTGTGTAGCAGAAACCCCTGAAGGAAAAAGGAAAATGAAACTGTTCTGCTCTGAAGTCTTAGGACAACTACATGGCAAAATATTTGAGATCGCTGGAAACTCCTTTCAGTCCTGCCTTTGAGGCAGCACAATTGGATCTGAATTTTAAGACCAGCTTGATAAATCATCAGGGGAGAATTTATAAAGTATGAATTTTGAATATGGCAAAGGACCTTGCTGTCACATGTTTTTCACAGCACTAGGATAGGTCCCAAAAAGGTGGTGGAGGGGGTGAAGAGGGTAAGAAGGACCCAAATGATTGGTCTTTTCTTTCCGCTGTGCTCTTCCTGAGCATGCAAAATAATTTGGTCCTAGAACTGGAGTCCTTTCTCTCTCTCTCCCTTCTTTCTCTCTCCCAATGAATGTATTTATTTTTTAACCTTTTATTATAGAACATTTCAAACATATACAAAGTAAACAGAATAATATAATGAACTCCATATATACCTATCACCCAGTTTTAATAATATGTTTATTTTTAATTATGAAGATATTGTGAGGAGGGAAAATAATCATATATGATTTCTGATAGGTTATTTTGGTGTGTTTCTTTCCTTAAAGTTGGGGAGTAACATTATTTTGGGTTGTGTTTTCACTTTGTGTTGTAACTGTCTTCTTAAAATCCATATGGTCTTTTTTGTCATTTTTAAATGGCTGCAAATATTCCATTGAGTAGATGTGATATAACCTTGGCTGCTCTTAATTTTTTTTAACTATTAAATAATGGTTTAGTGAATTTTTTTCTTTTTTGGCTAGTTCCTAGAGAGAAGTAGGATTACTGGATCAAAGGGTGTGAGATTTGTAAGGCTTTCGGGGTGTATTGCTAAACTGCCTTTTCCTCTGGGTGAACCACTGCGTGTGCTCTCGGCAGCGGTGGGGGGCTTCACTCTTCACAGTATTTATTTCAGCAGTTGTTATGGGTCTTATGATAACACATGGCTGACTGCTTCTGAGATAGCCTCTTTGTGCTGGTAGTTGGACCCTTCCTAAATCAGACATTAATTCTCGCCATATTGCATTTCATTCTGTAGGTGTTTTCATGCCGACTAGGGAATGAGCATGATACAGCTCTTTCAATTGTGGATCCCGTACAAATTCAAATGGAGTTGGTGGGGAATTCTTCTTATCAAAATAGTTCAGGATTGATGGATGCATTCAATAGTGAAGATTTCCCACCTGTCCTGGAGGTAATGATGCAAAATCTGTGCAATACGTTGATATGCTCTCAAACACTGTCCTATGCAGGCACTCTTATTTGCTCTGAGCCCAACAACCTCTTTTTTTGTTTTGTTTTGTTTTGTTTTTTGAGATGGAGTCTTGCTCTGTCGCCCAGGCTGGAGTGCAGTGGTGCGATCTCGGCTCACTGCAAGCTCCACCTCCTGGGTTCACGTCATTCTCCTGCCTCAGCCTCCTGAGTAGCTGGGACTACAGGGGCCTGCCACCGTGCCCGGCTAATTTTTTGTATTTTTTAGTAGAGACAGGGTTTTACCGTGTTAGCCAGGATGGTCTCGATCTCCTCACCTCGTGATCCGCCCGCTACATGGTGCAGTTTTGTGACCATTTGACCTCATAGTTGAGACATCTTACCTTACGGTTATTAGTGCTTACTTTCAAGATCTTTGCAATCTTTTAAATGAGAAATTTGGTGCAGTATCTGTTGGACTTTTAGAAGTTGAAATAGGAATTACATCTGTAAGAGATATGGATGTAAAACCAATGCAGCTTTAAAAAATTGCTACCTTTTTTACATTTTGTTAGATTCAGTTACAAGCCCTGGATATCAGACTCTCCTATAATGATGTTCAGCTGTTTCTTGCCATTGCAAAATCCATCCCAGAGCAAGCTAATGCTGCAGTGCCAGACTCAGTGGCCCTGGAGTCAGACTCCGTTGGCACTTACCTTCCAGGTGCATCTCGCGTTGGAGAGGAAATCAGAGAAGGGACAAGACACACCTTAGATCCTGTCTTGGGTAGGTGTTTAACTATAAAACCCACTCAGTCTTGCTAATAACGCTTCTTCTTTTTGACTCTTAAAATTTTCTTTTGCACAACTAAATTGTACACAGTTTAATTGTATGTCATTAAGTATAACTGTAAGTCCTAAGTATGACTCTCTCATTTTTTAAAATTTAAAAACAAACAAAACATCCCTAACCAACTACTCCACTATTTTTCCTCTTTCAGTTTTTTCCAGAGTTACCTGGATAATGCCAAAGTTGAGTTTTAAGCTTTGAGAGTTCTCCTCTGAAATTATATGAGTAACACTAAGTTTTATTTTTAAGCTTTTATTATTAATTTATTGGTTTATTTTTAGACAGGGTCTTGCTCTGTCACCCAGGTTGGAGAGCAGTGGTGTGATCATAGCTTATTGCAGCCTCAAACTCCTGGGCCCAAGCTATCTTCACTCCTCAGCCTCCTGAGTAGCTGGGAGGGACTATAGGTGTGTGCCATCATGCCTCACTAATTTTTACCTTTTTTTTTTAGAGACGGGGTCTTGCTATTTTGCCCAGGCTGGTCTTGAGTTCCTGGTCTCGAGTAGTCCCCCTGCCTTAGCCTCCCAAAGTATTGGGATTACTGGTGTGAGCCACTACTGTGCCCACCTCTAATTTTAAGCTGTTTCAAACACAGTCAGGGGAAAATGTAGGGGCCAGATGGTGGAATGAAGGGGCCAGATGCGAAATAGACCTTCCCCCCCCACCCCAATTCCTGGCCAGGACACCACTTTAAAAACACAGTCAATATGAGGAAGAGACTCAAAGATTTCAGGGTACACTTGATAGAATTCTCCAATTAGGAGTCCAGTTTTGCTTAGAGAAATGAAATGTTTTAGTCACGGGTTTTTAAATTTCTTTTCTTTTTTTCTAAAATTAGTTTGTAGATTAATTTACATAAAATTATTTATGAAAATTTTATGCTATTTGTTTCCTAGAGTTACAGCTGGCTAGGCTGCAGGAGCTGGGATTCAGCATGGATGATTGTCGCAAAGCTCTTTTGGCGTGTCAAGGTAATTTGAACAGGGTTCTGTTACCCGTTGTTTATCTTGATGATATGCTTCCTTCCCATTTCCTCTCTTACTTCCACAAGGTGACTTAGAGAGCTGAGTGTGTTTGGAGGACGCTTTATGTGTCTTCTCTGGACTGCATATCATCTTAGGTCAGTAATAATAACGTCACCCAGGCTGGAGTGCAGTGGCGCCACCTCAGCTCACTGCAACCTCCACCTCCCCAGTTCAAGCCATTCTTCTGCCTCAGCCTCCTGAGTACCTGGGTTTATAGGCATGCGTCACCACACCTAGGTAATTTTTGTATTTTTAGTAGAGGTGGGGTTTCACCATGTTGGCCAGACTGGTCTCGAACTCCTGACTTCAAGTGATCTGCCCGCTTTGGCCTCCCAAAATGCCGGGATGACAGGCAGCAGTCTTTAGTAGTGGATAAGAATTTGGGTTCTGAGGCCAGGTGCGGTGGCTCATGCCTATAATCCCAACACTCTGGGAGCAGAGGCAGATGGATCGCCTGAGGTCAGGAGTTCAAGACCAGCCTGACCAACATGGCGAAACCGCATCTCTACTAAAAATACAAAATTAGCTGGCGTGGTGGCTCATGCCTGTAATCCAGCTACTCAGGAGGCTGAGGCAGGAGAATCGATTGAACCTGGGAGGCGGAGGTTGCAGTGAGCCAAGATCATGCCCCTGCACTACAGCCTAGGCAACAGAGCGAGACTCTGTCTCAAAAAAAAAGGGGCTCTGGAGCTGGCTGACTGGGTTCAGATCCTTACTGTCTGCCACTACCTATTAATGACTTTGGGAAGTGGCTTTAACCTCTGTGAACCAGTGCTTCCTTATCTGTAGAAAGAAGATAAGAGGCTGTCTCCCTCAGAGATTTGATGTAAGTAAATGACTATATGCAAAGCACTAAGAAAGTGCTAGCACACAGCAAGTGCTCTATAAATGTTAACCACTGTTACTAGTGGTTGTGCTAATGGCGGTGATATTGATAATTATGACCATTTATTGAAGTCCTGTATGCCTATCTTTGTGTTTTCTTTTTGCATCCTCTTCACAGCCCTTGGAGGCAGACATTATTATTCCCACTTGAAATGAGGAAACCAGCTCAGATTGGTTAGGTAAAACTTCTTAAGTAAACTTGGTGGAGGTCACATCTTAGTCCCCTACGATGGACTTAAAGCCAGGTCTACCTGCCTCCTAAATCTGTGTTCTTTCTACTCCATCTCACTTCCTTTCCATCTCCATGTTTCCCTTTCTCTTCAAAAAGAGAAGTACAGCACAGGCTGCATTTCCTTCCATCTTTTTTTTCCCCCTTTTTTAAAAGACAGGGTGTCACTCTGTTGCCCAGGCTGGAATGCAATCATAGCTGTGGCGCAATCATAGCTCACTGCAGCCTCCAACTCCTGGGCTCAAGCAATCCTCCTGCCTCAGCCTCCTTTCCAGTCTTTACACTTGTGTGCACTTTCTCTCTTTCTACTTCTCTTTTTTTTTTTCTTTGAGACAGAGTCTCGCTCTCTTGCCCAGGCTGGAGTGCAGTGGCGCGATCTTGGCCCACTGCAACCTCCGCCTCCCAGGTTCAAGTGATACTCCTGCCTCAGCCTTCTGAGTAGCTGGGATTACAGGTGCCCGCCACCATGCCCAGCTAATTTTTGTATTTTTAGTAGAGACAGGGTTTCCCTTTTTTGTACAGGCTGGTATTGAACTCCTGACCTCGTGATCCACCTGCCTTGGCCTCCCAAAGTGCTGAGATTACAGGCGTGAGCCACTGTACCCGGCCTCTTTCTACTTCTCTACCTACTGTGGACAGTATATCCAACACACACACATGCACACATTACATTTTTAATGTACTGGTAGATTCTGTTGCCAATACAATTTTATAGTCTTTTAAAAATATTTTATTGAATTATGATTGTAATTCTGTTATGATATACTTAATATATCAGCAGCATCTTCCCATGTCATTGAAATTATTTATCAATACTGATCTTTTTACATTGACTCTAAGGATATATTATAATTTACTTAATCATTCTTTACTTGTTATTCAATATTATACACACTTCTATGTAGTAAACATTTTTTGGTGTGAACTTTTGTCTATGTCTTTTAAGTATATCCTTGGTAGAGTGATCTATATTTTAAATACCAGACCAAAGGGTATAGATATATTTTTCAGGCTCTTTACTTGATTTCTTTTTTTTTTTTTAATTTTTCTTTTTTAAAATTTTTTTTGGGGCTCTTGAATCGACAAATCTTTTTCTAAAAAAATTGTATCTGGGTTATTCCAGCCAATTTATGTGTGAAAAGGCTTGTTTCATGACATACTGGTTTACATTAACTTACCTTTTGGATTCTGAAAAAAATGAAGGTAGACCTAGTTCTCATGTGTTCTTGGTTTTGTTTTACCCAGTCATTAGTTTTTGGTTTAATTAATTTTATACCCCTTAATGTTTACTTTTCCTATGCTTTTTACTCTTTCTTTAACAATTCGAGCACCTTTTTTTTTTTTTTTAATTAAAGTTCTGAGAACCTTTTGGATTTTTTTTTTTTTTTTTTTTTAATTTTAGATACTGGGTTTTGCTCTGTTACCCAGGCTGGAGTGTAGTGGTGGCACAATGATCATGGCTCACTCTAGCCTCAAACTCCTAGGCTCAAATGATCCTCCCACCTAAGCCTCCTGAGTAGCTGGGACTACAGGATGCACCACCATACGTGGCTAATTTTTAAATTTTTTGTAGAGACAGGTCTTGCTATGTTGCCCAGGCTGGTCTCAAATTCCTGACCTAAAGTGATCCCTTGCCTAAACCTCCCAAAGCATTGGGCTTATAAGCATTAGCCACTGTGCTCGGCCTCTGTTTGGTAATTTTTTTTTTTTTTGAGGCAGAGTTTTGCTCTTGTTGCCCAAGCTGGAGTGCAGTGGTGCAATCTTGGCTCCCTGCAACCTCCGCCTCCCAGGTGCAAGCGATTCTCCTGTCTCAGCCTCCCAAGTATCTGGGATTACAGGCACATGCCACCACGCCCAGCTAATTTTTGTTATTTTTAGTAGAGGCGGGGTTTCACCATGTTGGTCAGGATGGTCTCGATCTCCTGACCTCATGATCTGTCCGCCTTGGCCTCCCAAAGTGCTGGGATTACAGGTGTGAGCCACTGCACCCGACCAGTAATTTTTATTTCTTCAGTAGATAAAACTTAATTCCATCAGTAATTAATATGATAATAGCAACTGATGTGTATCTGTAATGTAGATAATAGCAAATAATGTTTATTACACTCCAGGCTTCACTCTGAGAACTTTCCATGTACTCATTCTTCCCTCTTCCTGTCAGTCCTTTTAAGTGGGTGCTGTCGGGCACAAAGAGATCAAATAACTTGCCCAAGAGCCAGCAGCTGGTAAGGGCAGAACAGGACCTGAAGCCAGGCCATCTTGCTCTGGAGCCCATGCCCTCGATCATTTACACTGTCCCTGGTACTGGCCTCTGGTGACTTAGGTACCAAGTGGCGCCGTGTCTGGATCCTCTCCTGTCCTCTTCTCTCCTCTCCTTCAACAGATGGCATGGTAGAGAGGGATGGCTTCCTGGAGGCATTTTGGGCCAGATCGTGAAAGGTGTGGTAAATTTGAGTGGAAGGTGTGCAACAAAATGTTTGCTTAAAAGCAGGATGATTATTATGCTGAGATTCCCTCCCACCCCCCACCCCCACCACCCCCACCCTCCTTTTTTATTAAGTCCAAGAATACTTCTGGGATCAAGGCTCTCTTGGCTTCCCAGTAGGTCTCTAGAGAATTTTATTTCTCTGTTTCCTCTGTGAGTGGCTAGGGTAGCTGTGGAAGCTGGTAGAACTGATCACTTCTTAATTTCTTTGAAGGCCAATTGAAAAAGGCAGCAAGTTGGTTGTTTAAGAATGCGGAACCTCTGAAGTCTCTTTCCTTGGCCTCCACCAGCCGAGATAGCCCAGGGGCTGTGGCAGCGCCATTGATCTCTGGCGTGGAGATCAAAGCTGAGAGTGTGTGCATCTGTTTCATCGATGACTGCATGGATTGTGATGTTCCTCTCGCTGAACTCACCTTTTCCCGTGAGTGTTGTACTGGTTTTCAGATTCATCTTGAATATTTCCAGTCATTGCTGAATTATTTGGGGCCTTTTTTTTTTTGTCATTCATACTCTATTTAGTCATTTGGGTGAAATTTAGATAATAGTTTTACATATGTTTTTCATTATGTATGTTTTAAAGAAACTTTTATTTGCCATATGTGGCCTTCAGCCTATAGCTTGGGAATAGGAATGGTCTTTGATAAAATTTCCATTGTATTAACATCTCTAGCTAAATAATTCCTGATCTCTTCATTTTTCTTATCTTTTTATGTATCTAAAGATTGTAGTGAATACTGCTAGGCATTTAACAGATAAGCTCAGACAATAATGGTTCTGTTGTATTATCTCTTGAAAATCAAAAACAAGAATCTTACTAGAAAGTGCACTTCTGAGTCTCCACCACAGGGCCTTGTAAGGGGTAAAACACTGTTTATATGTGAGCTGTCCTTTGCTAGAGTGGGGACCAAAGTAGGAGTACTCTATCCTTTTTTTTTTTTTTTTTTACCTCAAAGGTGAGGTCTTGTTTTGTTGCCCAAGGTTGGTCTCAAACGCATGGGCTCAAGCAGTTCTCCTGCTTCCCGAGTGGCTAGGATTAAAGTGGCCCACCATCACTTCTGGTGGGAGTACTTGATCCTTAAGTGCCTCACTGCAAGCAGTGTGAAGTTGAGGTCTTTTTTTTTTATGAGACGGAGTTTCGCTCTTGTTGCCCAGGCTGGAGTGCAGTGGTGCAATCTCGGCTCACCACAATCTCTGCCTCCTGGGTTCAAGCGATTCTTCTGCTTCAGTCCCCCGAGTAGCCGGGATTACAGGCATGTGCCACCATGCCTGGCTAATTTTGTATTTTTAGTAGAGACAGGGTTTCTCCATGTTGGTCAGGCCTGTCTCGACCTCCTGACCTCAGGGATCTGCCCGCCTCAGCCTCCCAAAGTGCTGGGATTACAGGCATGAGCCACCGCGCCTGGCGAGGTTGAGGTTTTGAGGAGAGTAAATGAAAATCTCCCTACTCTGTTTAGTTTTAACTTTCCATTGTTTCGATCTTGCCAGCCTCTTCTTCCTTCAGGTAAAGTTTGCTTCTGGGGCTTGAATCTGGCCTCTTGCACATTACAGAGCTTGCCCTTTCCCTGAGCTTCTATCTAGGGCACCACCAGGGCTACTTGGTTAAAAGTGACAACTGGAATTTTGACTGTTTTGATGAATATCTTTTCTGCAGAGACTAATTAGTTGATTTCTTATTTTTCTATGTCAATCTTAACATTTTGAGCTAATATTTATCAGAACATGACTTCTCTAATCAGTCTGCCCTCTTATCATTTTTCAGGTAGAAATATCTTTTTTTTATTTTTTATCTTTATTTTTTGAGACAAGAGTCTTGCTTTGTTGCCGGGCTGGAGTGCAGTGGCGCTATCTTGGCTCACTGCAACCTCCGCCTCCCGGGTCCAAGCAATTCTCCTGCCTCAGCCTCCCAAATAACTGGGATTACAGGCGCCCGCTACCACGCCCAGCCAGTTTTTGTATTTGTAGTAGAAATGGGGTTTCACCATGTTGGCCAGGATGGTCTCAATCTCCTGACCTCATGATCCACCCACCTTGGCCTCTCAAAGTGCTGGGATTTACAGGCATGAGCCACCGTACCTGGCCAGAAATATCTTTTATGTTCCCACAGGCTTCAGGTACACCTGGGTGCCAGGGCTGGCACTGTGGGAAGGCAAATGAGGTACTTGCCTCAGGCACAGAGTTTAAGAGGGTGCCAGAAAACTCAGTCATGGAGATAAATAATATCTCAGTGCCATATTTTTAAAAATTGATGCAAAAAAGTACATGATGAACAAAGTATCAGAATGTTGTGTGCTCTCCTTTGCGAGTATTAGCTCTAATGTTTCTTTAATGTCATCAGCAAAAGGCAGTTTTGGTTGCTCCTGCCCTGCCGCTGCAGTAAGGTTTGCTTTCATTGCAGGTCTGAATTTTCTTCAGCGTGTAAGAACTAGCCCTGAAGGCTATGCCCACTTCACCCTTTCTGGAGATTATTATAACCGTGCTCTTTCAGGTCAGTATAAAGCATATGTTATCATGGGATTTAAAAAATAAATTTAAATGTTTGCCTGGACCTATTGCTACGTAAATTTTACATGAAGGAAAGGGCAGGGGTGGGGTGGGACGGGGAAAGATGAAAAGCAAGTAGACTGCATAAACACAGAAAATAAGGATTTTCTGTTGTGCTAAAAACATATCTGATATGTTGCAACTAAAAAGATGTTTTTGGCTGGACGTGGTGGCTCACGCCTGTAATCCCAGCACTTTGGGAGGCTGAGGAGGGCGGATCACCCTGAGGTCAGGAGTTCGAGACCAGCCTGGCCAATGTGGCGAAACCCTGTCTCTACTAAAAATACAAAACTAGCTGGGCATGGTGGTGGGCGCCTGTAGTCCCAGCTACTTGGGAGGCTGAGGCAGGAGAATCACTTGAACCCGGCAGGCGGAGGTTGCAGTGAGCTGAGATCACACCACTGCACTCCAGCCTGCATGACAGAGCAAGGCTCTGTCTCAAAAAAAATTTAAAAAGTGATGTTTTTATAGTTAATTTTTTTTGGATCCTGCAGTTTGGCTCATTCTAGAATATGCCATTGCTCAATAGTGAAGGATCATTTATTTCGCCCTGAGAGTAGCTAAATTTCAAGGGAGATTTATGCCCACAAGCATTTTTTTGTTTGTTTTTTGAGACCGAGTCTCACTCTGTCACCCAGGCTGGAGTGCAGTGGCACGATCTCGGCTCACTGCAACTTCTGCCTCCAAGTTCAAGTGATTCCCCTGCCTCAGCCTCCCGAGTAGCTGGGATTACAGGCGCTTGCCACCATGCCCAGCTAATTTTTTGTATTTTTAGTAGAGATGGGGTTTCACCAGACTGGCCAGGCTGGTCTCGAACTCCTGACCTCAGGTGATCCACCTGCCTCAGCCTCCCAAAGTGGTGGGATTACAGGCGTGAGCCACTGCGCCCAGCCAAGCATTTTAAACCTCAAGTCCCTTCACTCCCCACTGGGTTTGTTTGTTTTATTAGAATCTACTGAGTCAGTGACACTATATATTCTGCCCTACCTGCTCCCTAGAAAAAACAAAAACAAACAAACGAAAAACCACTGCTGATCAGAGCAGGCTATTTTTTGGGAGACGTAAACCTCAATAATATCGCAAGCATTTTCAGGTTTCTTTCTTCCCATTTGAAAGACCAAGGTAAGAGCCTATACATACAGGTTGAAATTCAGAAGCCATAATATATTAGGGCCAAGTGGTTTGAGCAGTGAACTTTGCCTTAAGAGAGCTGAAAGAAGGTCTCATCGGAATTGGTAGTAGGCATGGACAGAATAATCAGAGTAGTGCTGGGCAGTCCAAGGTGTAAACCTCCGACGGCCTGCTCCCTTTAATTTCAGTAAGAAATTAAACCTCGATTTGTTGTGCTGCTGCTGAGTGTTCTAGAGTATTTATCACATTTAATTTTATGTTAGTTAACATTTTCCCTGTGTACCAGACTCACTTAAAGCTAACACCCTTATTTCTTCATTGTTCAAAATGTTTCACTTTAGAATGTAATCCCAGCGCTTTGGGAGGCCGAGGTGGGCGGATCATCAGGTCAGGAGATTGAGATCATGCTGGCTAACATGATGAAACCCCATCTCTACTAAAAAAAAAATACAAAAAATTAGCCGGGCGTGGTGGTGGGCACCTGTAGTCCCAGCTACTCGGGAGGCTGAGGCAGGAGAACGGTGTGAACCCAGGAGGTGGAGATTACAGTGAGCCAAGATCGTGCCACTGCACTCCAGCCTAGGCGACAGAGCGAGACTCTGTCTTAAAAAAAAAAAAAAAAAAAAAAAAGAATAATGGCCCAAGTCTTTCTAGTTGAGAGAAACTCTTGCATGTGGGAGCTATTTTTCTGAGAATCATTTGTTTTCTTAGGCCAAATATTGCTTACTTTTAAAGTTGTATGAACACATTCAGGTCACTAAATGTCAAATGGTGTAAGGAGTCTAATGTATCTACTGTGTGTTACATACTGATTTGGATTTGTTCAGTGGCTGATTGTGTGAGTCTATTTAAAGATCTGTTAAAAATTAATTGGCTTTGAAAAGTTGAGTCTTTTAAGTCACAGTGATGTACCATTTTTCACACCCAAGAGATTAGCAAAAATTAAGTGGGACACTACTAATTATTGGAACATATAAGCCATAGTACTTGCTATTAGAACTATACATTACTACCACTACTGTGTAAAACAATTTGGCATGACCTGGTAAATTTGAGTGTAAGCATACTCAACAACCCCGCAATGTGTTGCTTCTAGGTCTGTACCGTAGAGACTGTCTTGCCTGTGTGAACTACAGATGTATATAAGGCTGCTTATAGTATAGTATTCCAATAGCAATAAAACTGGAATCAAGTGAATGTCTTTCAGAAGTAGAATGGATAAATAAATTGTATATTCATTATAATGCATGTTAATATTCAGTAGTGAAAACAATGTACCACGGTGACCTGCGTCAATGTGATGTAGCAGTATGCTCAACAGTATGCTCAAAGACATATTGGTGAACAAGAATAGAAACTTGAAAAAGAATGCGCATGGGGATTCCATTTATGTAAAGATCACAAGCAGGACAGTCTAAATGTTCTTAAGAAAGGTATATATGCTTGGTAAAATTATAAAGAAGAGCAAGGAAATGATTAACTAAAAATTCAAGTGAATGGTCACCTGGAGTTGGGTGGGAGAGGGTTGGTGGGAAGGAGGGGAATGAGATGGTAGGGAATGGCCCTTGGGAACTTGTAATTTTCTATTTCTTAAGTTGAATAGTGAGTACACGAGTGTTAGTGGTATTATTTTATATGTTGTTTATATAGTTTTTGTGCATATTTTAAGAAAAAGAAAAAGTGAGCCTTCATATGTACCTATTTATTCAACCAATGTATTGGTCCTGTAACCAGGAGAATCAAATTTAATAGCTATTTAAGACACTTTATTATTTTTCCAATCTTAGTCTGAGACTCCTTTTTCCATCTTGAGTGTCTCAACACATCCCACCTGTTCTTTAGTGGAAGAGGGCACATACACTGCCTGCCCTCCTTCCTGCCACCTCTGGAAGACCATCGTGGGGGTACATATATGCCTTTCCACTTGTGTCTTCTGGACAACGCAGACATCTGTAGGGTGACCTGTAGCTAAAGGTGGTTGGTGCTTTTGTTGTGAAATTGAATTGGAAGTAGAAAGCTATTAAGCTCGAGTTTGTCCTTGCTGAACATTTGCGAGCAGTGTTCCCCTATAAACTCTTGATATCTGCTGAACAGATGTCTTATTTCCTGTGTTCTTTTAGGCTGGGAGCCATTTATTGAGCCTTGGCCATGCTCTGTATCCTGGCAACAGCAGGCAGCTAGTCGTCTCCATCCTCCTCGACTGAAGCTAGAAGCCAAGGCCAAACCTCGTTTGGATATCAATATCACTTCTGTGCTAATTGGTGAGTAGAAAGTTGTCTTTCATAGACTGATACCTTTCCGTACCTAAGTTCTGAGTCTGGAAGACTATTAATCCTGGTTTAGCAAATACCTGGGCCTGTACCAGGCATCACTTCTTCATCCTGACTGCTTTCCTGATCAACCCTAATAGCCTCTTGATTCTCAACCTGTTTCTCCACCGTTGGCATCCCATAATGATGCTATCAGTGGTTAAGCAAGAACTTAGATTACTTAGGAAACGTAAATGGCCGTGATGGACTTTCTCCTCATAATGCTTGGTCACTAGAGTTTATTAAATGTCCTGGAAGTGAGTTTAGATTAACTTTGCTCAAGCTATTCACGGACTAATTCTTAAAAGGTGTGATTTTGACCATATCTTTATAGTAGAATAAGTTGCCTTTGTTGTTTCCCATTATCATTTTGACCTAACTCTGAAAATGACTTGCTTAAGGGTTGCCAGGTTAGTGGTGTGTTATCTAAAAGTATCTTTGGCAACACTGAAATGTACATCTCTGGATTCAATGTCATGAATAAAAACTGCTCTATTGTTACAGTTCTGCCATCTAAAAGGAAAGCAATATAATCATACAATCAAGTAGTGTGTACCTTCACTGTGAAAACTCACATTCATTGTTTGATTTATTGATCTACTTGATCTGATTTTGGAATTACTATACTTTATCTTTGAGCGATAACACATACTATTGCAAATTGTGAACTTCCTTTGGTGTGTATGTTGGATTGAGGCTGTTAGAATATCCACTTCCTTACGCATGTCAGAGTTGGATGGAAAGAATGTATTGTGAAATGAGACCATAAGTTTGTTGACCCCCCAAATTTAAAACCACTGTTTATATGATCAGATTTCATCCACTAATTTGCCTAGTTGTTAATATCACCTAGATAATAGTAAGTTGACCCTGTGATTTCTCTAAACTGTATTGTTTTGACTCCTACATTGTTTCTCACAACATCTCTTACTCACAACATCTCTTACTCTAGAAGGTTAGAGAAAGTTTGTGGTAGTCTTTTGAAAAGCTGCAGTAAACAAGAGCTTACCTAAAGGTTCTTATTGGTGTTTCTGATGAGTACAGTATATGTCTCTTTAAGAATATCTTCTGGCCGTGCACATTGGCTCATGCCTGTTAACCCAGTTCTTCGAGAAGCCAAGATGGGAAGCTCATTTGAGGCCAGAAGTTCCAGACCAGCCTAGGCAAAATTGTGAGACCTTGTCTCTACAAAAATAAACAATTAGCTGGGCATAGTGGCGTGTGCCTGTAGTCCCAGCTACTCAGGAGGCTGAGGTGGAAGGATTACTTGAGTGCAGGAGTTCAAAGTTACAGTGAGCTATGATTGTGCCCGTGTACTCCAGCCTTGGAGACAGAGCAAGACCCTGTCTCTAAGAAACCAACCAAACAAAAAATCTTCCAAAAGGCATTCTCGTCAGTGGTAAAATTTGTTTTGTTTTTTTCACCTTCAATTCCTTGTTCCGAATACTATACTGAAACCCAGAAACGTAGCTATGACCTCTTGTGTTTAAATAAATATTACTTCTGTAGCCAAGTGTTCTAATTGAAAACCAGAAACCAATAATTCTTCTTCCAAAAAGTATAACATCTTAATTAGTATAAAAGATCTTCATCTAGGTGTGGTGCACTGTAATTGTTTTTGTTAACCTGCTATCCCCATTGTAATTCTCTCACAGAAGTAAAACTACTTGTGGAGAATTGTCTGCTGAATTTCAGCCTCTGGAGTGCAGTGGCATGATCTCGGCTCACTGCAACCTCCACCTCCTAGGTTCAAGCGATTGTCCTGCCTCAGCCTACTGAGTAGCTGGGACTACAGGTGCACGCCACCACGCCTACATAAGTTTTGTATTTTTAGTAGAGATGGGGTTTTGCTATGTGGGCCAGGCTGGCCTCAAACTCCTGGACTCAAGTGATCCGCCTGCCTGAGCCTCCCGAAGTGCTGAGATTACAGGCGTGAGCCACCGCGTCCGGCCTCCATATAAATTTTAGATTCAGCTTTTAAAATTCCACAAAATGCCCTATGGGTATTTTGATGGGGATTTTATTGAATCTATAGATTGGTTTGAAGAGAATCCACATCTTTAATGTCTTTCACATTATGATAGAGTTTTGTGGCGATGGTTGTCTATTCATGGTAATCTCTTTCAGTGGAGCGTGAGGCTCTCCAGGGCATAGACTTTCTCGGAATCTAGCACAGGCCAGGCATGTAATGAGACACTCAAT
Source organism: Homo sapiens (assembly GCF_000001405.40). Classification (NCBI taxonomy): domain Eukaryota; kingdom Metazoa; phylum Chordata; class Mammalia; order Primates; family Hominidae; genus Homo; species Homo sapiens. Next base: position 12,335,617 of record NC_000001.11, read on the forward strand.
AAAAGCTTGTTTTGCTGAATTGAAATTATTTGACTCGAACCCTCCATCTTTTTTAGTTCTCTTAATATCTCTGGGGGATTCTTTCTAGACCAGTATGTAAGTACCAAGGAATCGTGGATGGCAGATTACTGTAAAGATGACAAGGACATAGAGTCAGCTAAATCAGAAGACTGGATGGGCTCTTCGGTGGATCCTCCATGTTTTGGACAAAGTAAGAGTTTTCACTACATGTGTTTAACTAAATCACTTTTGACCTACAAAGCAATGCTTCACTGAGAAATTCAAATGGAACCATCATTCTGCGTGGAAAAACCTACAGGAAATTCTGACTATCTTCTGTAGTTCTGTTTTAGTCTTTGCAGGAGACAGTTTTCTGGCATGAACTACTGAACTTATAAATGTGGGCTGTAATTCCACCTTTGCGGGGGAGAAAAGATCTGCAACACGTAATTCCTAAATCCTGGTAATAATGCATATGAACTGGTGCACCTGAGAATGCATCAGGATCAGCTGTGGTTTGTGTTTTACTCTGCAAAACATTGGTTTTCTAATTGATCGGATTTTTTTGGCCAGATTTTTAAAAGCATCTAAAATGGTCTTCTAAATCTAGAGATAGAGGGTTTGGACATATTCTTGAAAAGAGGGCGAGCAGGAGCCCATGTGGAAAAAGTTGTTAAAAAGGGAGCCCTGTGCTGTTCATAGAGTATAAAAGAATTGAATGCCCTGCCTCTTGAAGAAAGAGGAGTCAGCTTGCTCTCTATTGATGATGCTTTCTTTCCTTATTTAATGCCTCGCCAGCTCTGTTTTCCTCAGAGCTGGGGAGATGGTGATGGACAACTGCATGGTCTTAGTTGTTCCACAAGCCATTGTCATCCAAATTCAACTCAGCTCCAACTCTTACAATGTGGTTTCTTTGGGGAGTCTTGGCTGGACTTCACATAGCTCATGAATACTTAAATATTCCATCTGGTCTGCAAACGTGTCATGGGAAGATTGGGTGTTCTTAGTGTGTGAAGTAATTGTACTGGTTCATCTCTCCTCAGGGTGAATAAGTGGACTTTCTGTCTGCCTTGTACTTCTAGAAAGAGACACAAAGAAATGTCAGCTGTGCTTGTTCTCTGTTTTCCCAGGCTGTTGCTTCTGAGTCTCAAGGTCATTACTTAGGAGCCAGGGCTTTTCAGATATTGTCAGCTTTGATTTTAGCTCCTCCTCCAACCTTCCCAATTTGTGTGTCAAGAAAATGTAACATAGTCTACCCAGAAGACTCTAAATAATCTTTGTAATATGTCCAAGAGAGTGTGTTTCTAAAACATTATTCATGCAGGGGCATCTTCAATTCAGAGTCAAACTCTAGCAAGGCCTGGTCTGCAAGATTCTGATGAAAGATTTTCTTGTCCCTCTCTTTCTTCTTTCCTTCTTCCCTCCCTGCCTCCCTTTCTTCCTTCCTTTTTAAAATTTTTGTCCCTCTCTCTTTCTCTATAGTTAAAAGGCTTCCTCATCTATATTAAATGCTGGTGCTGAGTTAAAGCTTGATTTTTATTTATTTAAAGATTTTTATGATTACTTAGGCTTATAAAAGTGTAATCTATCTTTTTAATAAGACATAACTTGAATATGCATAAATTTCCAAACCTCTTTTCTTATTGGAAATTCCTGGATGGTAGTACAGTACATTCCAGGATTGTATTCTTTTAGCAGGCCTACTAAAATGATCATTGGGAATTTATTTTGAAAGTGAGTAGGGTTCAACCTTGTTGAACTAATCATAAACTTTCAGGTCTTATTCAAGAATAGTAAGTCATATTCCTACAAAAGTTATGCTTTTTATTCAGACTGGCCTTAAAACAAGCTCTTGGGAATAGCCCTTAACATGAAATTTAGCCTAAGGGACCTGCTGCTTTCTCACTGTTTCTTTATCAGGGGAAAGAAAATACCAGCCTCCTTTTGACAAAATTGTTGGCTTTGTTCAGTCAGGGCTGAGATTTTGCAGGTAAACCTGGGCGGTGTGGCACTTCATTGAATTTATTAGTTTTGTATTCCAAGGACATTTTATGAAAATATCAAATATTCTGAAAACTTCCATGCTTGATTTAGAATTTAAATAAACACTATGAGACAACTCCTTGGTAGAGATTGTTTAAATTTGGAACACATACTGACTCTTCCCCTGAATTTTTGAGATCCCCTGAGACTGGCATTTTACTTCTGTGTTTTACCAGTTGGAATGGAGCAACCTTCACTAAAATCTGTACTGATGGATTTTTGTAACTTTTTAATGCCATTTAAGAACATAACACCTTTAAATTAAAAATCTTCAAAAGGCTCGTCATTCTGTTCAAGAGAAGGTTCAATACATATTCTTCTAATTCAGGAAAAAAAAAAAAAAAGCATGTTACTTTGATCCAGCCTCCACAATAAAAACTAGCATAAAAATGTGTTCACTTTGTCAAGTACATTCGTAGTGCTTAGTAATCACTGATGGGAATGACTCTGTACTTGCATGATGCTTGCTATTTTTGTAATGTTCTCTATTTGTGCTTATCGTTTGGAAGCAAGTCTTCTTATTTCACTGTATTTATTCTTAGCCTCTAACTTTGTCTCTCCTGTCTACCAGGCCTCCCCCTTGTCTACCTTAGAACTAGGAGTACAGCCAGTCTGACTAACCTAGAGCACCAGATCTATGCTAGAGGTACAGTATAGCCAAGCGAGGGCTTGCTTTATTTTCCTGTTTTAAGAACTTCCTTGTACATCAATTTTTTTTTTAATGAGTGGGAGTTGAATTGGGGGTATTCCATGTCGTGAGTACTTTAGTAATAGGAAAGAACATTTCCAACTGATGAACAGAGTGGTGCATATTATCAGCTGATTCTTATATTGTTTCCCTTCCATCTCCCTTAACTTTGGTGGAAATGGAATAAACTCCACAGTGTATGATGCAGAAATATGTTAATACAATGTCAGTTAGAGGTGATTTCTCATATTGAAGAGCAAGTGGATTGAGGAGCACCATGCTTCATCAAGCAGTGGTGCCACAAGTCTTAAGTTTATAAAATACCCACTGAAAATTCTCATGGGAAGGCATGGGGCTCTGCAACAGGCACTATAATAATAGGGATAGCGGAAAAAAAATTCTCAGTAAATAATTGCTTAGACACAAACCTTAATTTCTTTGGATGTCAGTTTTTGTGTTTAGGAGATAAAAAAGAAAATTTTCTTTATTTCTATCTCTGATCTTTGAAAGTTTCTTGAGAAATTCACTGGTAAGTGAATGTGGTAGAAAACACCATAATCATTGAGGAATTGGAGTCCCAAGATGTTCAGTTTTTGTTTTAGGGAGTGCAGTTTAATCTGAATGATTTATGTGTGTACATGGCAAATTCCAGATTATTCGTCATGATTTTTTTAAATAGAAAGAGACCACAGGAACTCCCTCTACCAGGAATATAGAACAGGGATGTTAATACTCAGGGTACATTGCCCTGGGTTTTTTTTTTCTGGACAATTTTACCAGGGTGGATGTTTGAGGGAGGGCTCACAAAGAAAGCCCAGAGCTGAATCTTAATTTATTTGTGTATTCCTGCTTCTAAGCTTTCTATATGTTACTTAATCTTTCAGGCTTAGCCAAGCATTATTCCTATTTAGCTGATAAGGACAGTGAGGTTCAGAGACACTAGGTGATTTGCCTTTATTCACTTGACCTCCTAGTAGCAAACCTAGTATTTTAATCTGCTTCTTATGATTTACAAACCAGGTCCTTTCTGATGGACTGAGCTGCTTACATAGCATGACAACCTACACTGTTTATAATGGCAAAATTACTGTGTGAAACAAGTCCGAAGGGGTAGAAATTTCCTTAGCTGGAGCTGTTTGAAGCTGAACTTGGATACGGGTAGCTTTAGACTCTCTCTCAGCCCATGAAGAAATTGGGTTTGGTCACTAGGGGCAGATTTTCTGAGGCCATTAGGGAATAATGTTCTCTTTGATGGACTTGGGAACTTTTGTCTCTGGTGCTGTGCCAAAGGCAAGTACATAGTTTATTTGGACCCTGGTGCAGAAGATGTCAGATTTGTTGCCTGATGTTGGGCTTGGATTTGCGTGCATGCTGTGTATTTTTATCCTCAGAGAAATGGGTTATTGAAGCCTGTGCCATTATGTCTCATCAATGCAAGAAGCTTGGAGACCTAAGCATTGTGCCTACCCATGCTATTTAACTCCAAAGCAGTATACTTGTGAATATATTTGTATGGATTCGCAGCACTTTATTCTGTATAACAAACTGATCAAAGCCATCTGCCACCTGTTCTTTTTAAATCTAATTTGCAAATGGAAACTTACAGTCTGGCTCACAGTGGGATATGAAAGCACATCTGGCTTCTTTTTCTCCTGGGCCCTTTATCTACTGTAATAAAAGCAGCTCTCTCATTGCACTCATAGAAGAGGGAGGTGCCTTTCAAAGTGCCACAGTAAATACCGTTTACCCTGCAGACAGCTCTTAAATTTTTTACTCCCCCTCTGCTCTTGTCAGCAGCCTTACAGCTACTCCTTAATTTTCTACTTGATGAGCACTAATTTTTTTTTTTAAAGCAAACTTTGGGAGCTAAGTAAGGCCATTGGGGTGAGAAATGGGCATATTCCTAGTGGAGATTATCTTTAGATGTATTTGGGGTATCTCTAAATGACTGACCACAAAATTGTGGGAATACCCTGGAGACTGCTCATTTGTTTAGCAGATTACTATATCTTAGACTCCCCTGAACCATCGTTGTTATCAAAATAGAACTTGCCTTGACCCAAAATTGCTTGGTTTGCATTGTTTACAGTACTAACCTTTCAAAACTTTAAAAGAGGTAAGAGAAAAAAGGGAGTGATTGCTTTTTAAAAGGCAGTGACAATTACCGACTGTTATGATACAGTCCCAGCCTCAGTCTGGAGGTTGCAGAAGGCAGGACATGTTGCAGTTTGTCTTCTCGATTTTGTTGACAGAAGATGTCCTGTAGGATGAATTCAGTTTTGCCTTAGTGTTCTCTGCAGTTAGCATTTGCAGCTTCCTGTAGATGTCATTTTCTCCCAGCTGCAGAGCATGTGGGTCATGGTCTTTCTCACGCTGTCTTCCTACTTTAATGCTAGACACATAAGAAGATTGAGCCACACCTCCCTTTTTTTTGTTGGTTGTGTACGTGTGTTGTGAACATGTCAACCAGGAGGCTTTCTCACACTGGTTTGCTGCTGCTGCCTCCCTATTTGTGTGGCCAGTGGAGGAGACAGGTCCTTGGTTAGAGGAGCTGCTGCCCTTCCTTTCAGTACTCTGTGTTCCATGTGGAACCACATAGCATGGGCAGTGGTACCTGCAGAGGGATCTGTCTGCCAAAGCAGCTGGGGCACCAGAAAGCCTGCTTTGGGTTTCTTACAATGTTTATAGTCAGGTCACCGCTCTTTAGAATTTGGTTACTTACAGTTTTGTATTGATTGTTGTTTCTTTCCACATTCCCTGATTAGAAGCTTTTTGTGCAATGAAGCCATATTTTATGTTCCTTTTATGGCTTCCATGGTACCCACCTTATAATAGATGGTGGTGGTATCTATGTTTAAAAAATGGGCTAACAATTTTGTTTGAAAAGCTTTGAGATGGTCTACTTCTGCCTTTCCAGGGAGACAAAAACAACTATTAGTATAAAAGAATAGGAAAGAATGTTTTTATTTTATTTTGTTACAAAATGCATACTATGACTGTAGGGTAACTTATGTAAAGGGAGACTTCCTTAAGGTAAAGGCTTTTTGGACAAAGTTTAAATAAGTACATATGATATATCTTGCTACATTTTAGGTTACCCACTTAGAATATAGTTCTTGGCAGCACTGGGGAGGTCCATTTTTATTTCTTTCGTGATTCCCACCAAGTTAGGTCCTGATGCCTTCTTCTGAGAGATAAGGCCTGTAAGAGTTGTGGAAGAATTGGGGGCTGGGAATAGTCAGGCAGGGACCAAATTCTCCCATAGCAGCCAGCAAATACGTGGAGCTTCCATTTGTCCTGTTCCTTCTTTCTTGCTTCCACCTTCAGCCCCTTTGCACAAGAGACAAATTTGGGCACTGTCTCCAGGTTGGGGGAGGGTCTCTGCCATGCAGATAGGGGCGTCTGCTCATAGCCTTCTTCTGTTTGTCGTAGCAGAGGTGAAAACCCCCAAGCGCCGGCAGCCATTTGTCCCCTTTGCTCTGAGGAACCACACGGGGTGCACTTTGTGGTTTGCCACCCTGACCACCACACCCACCAGGTAAGCAGTCAGTTTATATTACCCCGAGTCATCTCTGCCACCAAAGCCTTCTTGTGCCAGCCCAGTAGAGCAAGGTGGGCCCCCTCTTGAGGCTCTTGGGATGATATTTGAATGAATAACTTGCTGTCTTGCTGAGATTTATGATGGAGGTTCTGGTTTTGTAGAGAATCTATAGTCAGAGAAGCAGGTCCTGAGTCTAATTATGATCTTGTTTTTGGTATACCTTATGTTTAAAAGCCAAGCAAATTAAGGATGTGAGCAGGAAGTATGAAAAAGCCATTCCATCTTTTCTCCTCGATCTCTACCTTCTTTCCCATTTTAAAGAGCTATGTGTGGTTATCACACCAAATGTTTTGCCATTTTATTCCAAGATTGCTTTGAAAACATCCCCATTCTCCCTCTATCCCTAAAGAATTCTTTCATACCTAAAACGCACTTCAACCCAGATGGAATTGGGTGGAGTTTGGAGAACAAAGGAGACTTTACCTAAGCCAGGCGAGAACCTTTTCTAACAACTTTCTGCCTGTTTAGATCTTGGCTCAGCCTTCCAAGTACATGGTGGTCGTTCCAGCTGAGGTCATGAAGTGCATGGCATGAGTAACAGAATCCATTGATTTGAAATCACATTTCTCCGACCTCCCCCAAGTATGAGACTGCTCTAGAAGAGAAGCTTTTTTGTTTTAACAGTGTAGGTCTGTTAAATTCCAACTAATCACTTAAATGCCACTTGAAAAAGTCATGCCTTAATTCACATGTACCAGATTCTACTGCCTGAGGTAAGTGGCTACAGAGTGACAGCTTTCAGCTGTTTCTAAAATGTCAAATAAGTTGTGATTCAGCACGAAGATAGCTATAGTTAGCGACCCTCAAGGTCATTCTTTGTAGCTAGGTCATGCAGCCTTTTATTGCTGGGAATTGAGTTGTGAGAAGGTTCTGCTCTTCTGCACGGGGCTCCTGTGAGAGGGAGCTGGGAAGAAACAGGGACAGGCTGATGTCATCTGATTTGGTTCCAGAGCTGCACTCTCTCACAGTGGGAGTCCAGGGGTAGTTCCAGAAGGGAACGGAACATTTCTCGATGATACTCACAATGTTAGTGAATGGCGAGAAGTCCTTACAGGTGAAGAGATTCCCTTTGAATTTGAAGCAAGAGGAAAGTTAAGACACAGGTAAAGTATGGTTTATTCTTTTCTTTAAAAAAAAGAAAGTGGATGTAAGTGAGGGTCCCTAGTGTTTTGTCTTTTTACTTTCCTTATAAATGATTTTATTTTATTTTATTTTATCTTATCTTATTTTATTTTATTTTTGAGACAGGGTCTTCTTGCTCTGTTGCCCAGGCTGGAGTGCAGTGGCACGATCTCAGCTCACTGCAGCCTCTGCCTCCTGGGATCAAGCAACTCTCCTGCTTCAGCCTCCTGAGTAGCTGGGATTACAGGGATGCTCCACCACACCTGGCTAATTTTTTATTTTTAGTAGAGATGGGGTTTCATCATGTTGGCCAGGCTGGTCTCAAAATCCTGACCTCAAGTGATCCGCTTCGGCTTCCCAAAGTGCTGGGATTACAGGTGTGAGCCACCACACCTGGCCCCTTATTAATGATTTTAATGTCTTCTTTTTAAAAGATATTTCGTAAATCAGTGTTTCCTTTTATTATTTTATTTTATTTTATTTTTGTAGAGATGAGGTCTCACTGTGTTGCCCAGGCTGGTCTCAAACTCCTGGGCTCAAGCAGTTCTCTCACCTCGGCCTCCCAAAGTGCTGGGATTACAGGCGTGAGCCACTGCACCCAGCCTCCTTTTAAAAAATAAAGACTTTGCTGCCATCTTGGAAATACATGTCTTTTCATTAACTATCCATTTATTTGACATATGAGGTGATAACCTGTGTGTTTCACAGAATTTGGTGGAAACATAGACATATCATAACCCTCAAGTTTATTGCATCTTGGCCTGATTTTCATGATGGATTGGTGATATGGTATTCTTAAAAGATTCTCAAAGCATGTTGATTTCAATTTTAATTTACATATATGCCACGTAGTACTTTTAACAAGCAGCTAGTTTCAGGACTCAAAGCTAATAAGAAGACAAATTCTGATTCTAAAAAGAACTGATCTGGGGAGACTGCTAGCTGATGCATTCCTGAAGTACCCATACTCAAAACTGGAATGAATGTGAGAAAATGTTCTATCTGATTACTGAGAGATCATAAAATATCCAATAAAGTGTTGTATTATTTACAAGTATTTTTCTATGCACAGGCTATCCAGTGGATATGAATAGGTTAAGACAGCATTTGAATAGGTTAAGATTTAGTATTTGAGCCTCATATTTGTTTTCAAGCTGAGCTGAAATTGAAGAGATTGGCTTTAGCTTTCTGTAATCATGTGCTTTTTGTGGTGCTTTCAGTTCCTGAGTGTAAACTTGCTCCCAAGTCAAGCAGGTTTCCTTTTGCATAGCTTTGGTACCCACACACATTATTCCCAAGAAGCAAGAGTTCTGAACGTGTGGGTCTCCAGGGATTTTATAGGGAAAAAAAAAATCACTATGCTGGGCACACATGTGCTTGGAAGCCACTTTAGCTTCCAGGTAAGAGCAGTGAGCATTTTCCTGTTGGTCCCCACAGTTCTTGGAGAAGCTAACTACAGAACTGTTGGGAACATTTCTGGATAAGCCCATCCTCTGTCATATCAGAAAGGGTTTGACCTCTTTGTCATTTCTGTTTTTGTTTCCGTATTTCATAATCCATTTCAGGTCCCACTATTCTGCTTGAATTCTTCAAAATAAATGCCTTTTCTGGCTTTTTCCCCTTTTGGCACACTGCACCCCACTCCTTGCCTCCCTCCCCGCTTCCTGTCAGCCTCAAATCTAGTTCCCCATTTCACTTCTGGCTTGAATTAGGCAAAATCTAAAATAGAATTAAATGTGCAGTTTCCTCCTGTTCCTCCTGTTCTGCCCACTGCCTTCTGCTCCAGTTTCAGTCGAGCACAGGAGCCCTGAAATGAGCGCTGTGCCTCTCCTGCCCTGTCTGTAGTCACGTAGGGCTGGAGCCAAACAACTGCATGTGGTTCTGAGCGAATTAGGATTTCAACAAAGGAACCAAGAATAATTTTTTATGCATTTCCAAGAGTATGGTTATATGATTAAATCGCTACTGCATTTTTACCACCCCAGTGACATCATTATATAGGTTGGGGTGAGGGTTGGTGGGGGAAAGACCTTGGCTCGTGTTTAGGTTTTGCGTGGTTTGTACAATGGAGGATAAATGCCACTCTTACTCAGTCAAGCTTTACAGATCTTGCAGTTTGTGTTGTAAGTGTAAAACCCAGTTAAACTGTGCTCCTGATTTCCCTTGCATTAGGTAATCTCCAAAAGGTTTAGCCAACTGGGTTTTTACATCATATGTACTAAATCAGATTTGTGTCTTTGCTTCTACTTTTCATCCCTTCTGGAGATTGTGCCTAATATCTTTTTCTTTGTTCTGCCTGACAGACACACCCATGACCTCCGGATTCATCAACTGCAAGTGAGAGTAAATGGCTGGGAGCAAGTGAGCCCAGTGTCTGTGGACAAAGTCGGGACCTTTTTTCGATATGCAGCACCAGATAAAAATTCATCTTCCTCTACGGTGTGTGACATTCAGGAAGTCAGATGGTTAAGCGACTGTCAGGAAGTCAGATGGTTAAGCCTGTAATAAGCTTACTCTAATGAAACTTTCTTGTTCTTTCTTTCCCCTAATTCTAGGACTGACTGGGTCAGTCATAGGCATTGGTAATCAATATGTAGATAAGCCAGCCAATGGTTAGTTTCAGTAGAAAAACAAGATTTAAAATCAGCAGTAACACATTTCCTCACCTCTGTAGATCCATTTCATGCTAGCTGGCCTGACTGGCAGTTTACTAGTCTGCTGAACCTGAGTCTTGTTTTTATTTCACATATTGTTATGCTGTCCATATACACTGTGTTTTTAATATTTCTTATAATGCAGCACCTTGATCCTTTTACTCTGTGTCTCCAAATCTTTCTCTGTGGCACAAAGAGAGATGTCCACTGTCGTTTATTTTCTGATCACACATGCTCTCACATACCCTTCCTGCCTGTAGTCCCAGTGGTTGGAGGGACAGCCCAGGAAATGATGCAGGTGGCATCCCTGACTTGTACATGCAGGTGGAGGCTGACATCCTGGCTGACAGAGCTGCCATGGGTCCTCTTGCCCCATCCTCCTTCATACTTCATGGAACACTTGCACTTATTTTTGGGTAGCCAGTAGTGAGGTGGAAATGCAGACGTGCAGAGATATTGCAGCTTTCTTCATGAAAAATATTCTTAGAAAACACTGTTGCACAACTGTCCATTTTTACTGTTGCTCTTGTGCCCCAAGTTTCTTACAAAAAAACAAAAACAAAAACAAAAACAAAACCTTTTCAGGATTACTTTTCAGCCTAAGTTTATGTCTAGTAATGACAGGACCAGTTCCCTCATAGGTACCTTTCTTACTGCATTGATGTGTTGGGGAGAAATTTGGCATACGTTGAATGGTTATAAAATGAATATTGTTTTTTCCATATCTTTAAGAGGAGATGTTTTATCTTCATAGTAGACTATACTTTACTTGAAAGTATTTACAAACACGACCCTTTGAAGAAAATTATGTTGTCATTGAATTTAACGTTGCTAATTATCTTAAGTCTGTGCTGACTCTAACTTTTGAAATCTTTTTCAGATTGGCAGCCCAAGCAGCAGAACAAATATTATACATCCCCAGGTTTATGTAAGTATGATTTTCCTGTTGTCATTGTGTTTATTGCGTATATACACTGCACCTGAATCATGTGGATATACATTTCTTAATGATCAGAGAAACTTTATGACATATATGCGATTGAAATTTATCTCTGCCCTTTTCTATTAATGATTACCTTCCTTTTCCAAAAACTTGCAAGAAAATGTTTTCACCTAGCTTGGTGTGTGAGACTAAGTATTACAGGGAAGGAGAAGGAAAAGGCAAATGTTTGGTCCAAGGTCTCCTTTTCATTCTAAGTTAAAATAGAAATGAACCCTGGTATGACCATATGTGTTTCATAGTTTTGGGTCCAAAGGTCATGAAAGTAAATAAGAAGGAAAAAGTAGCAGTTTATTTCCTCTTTGGCTTTTGAAACATCATCACGAAATGACATTAACAAACTTATTCCAGGCTTTTATTTATAATTTCTTCTCCCTGATGATTGTAGGTTTTGAAACAAAATTTCAGGTAGGCCTGAACAATATCAAGGTTTGAAACAACATCAGGATTTCTTTTTTTTTTTTGAGACGGAGTCTCGCTCTGTTGCCCAGGCTGGAATGCAGTGGTGCCGTCTCAGCTCACTGCAACATCCGCCCCCCGGGTTCAAGCAATTCTCTTGCCTCAGCCTCCCAAGTAGCTGGGACTACAGGCACCTGCCACCACCCCCGGCTAATTTGTTGTATTTTTAGTAGAGATGGGGTTTCACCGTGTTAGCCAGGATGGTCTCGATCTCCTGACCTCGTGATCTGCCTGCCTCGGCCTCCCAGAGTGCTGGGATTACAGGTGTGAGCCAACGCGCCCAGCCTAGGATTTTAAGTAATTGTTACTGGCTTTGACTATTGGGGCCTTTTTTGGGTTGGGTCACTGGAAGCTGGAGCTTCGATGATGATTTATGCCTAGGATTGTGTCCTTCTAAAAACACTCTAGAAAATTGTAGTTTGCCTTTTTGTTTGGACTTCCTAGAAGTCTTGGTTCAAAACATGGAGCTCTTCATTTTATTGTTTATTGGATTGACTTTCACTTGCTGTTTGTCTTAATGAGAAAGTTGGCAGAATGAAAAGCTTGAATGTCATGCCATTTGTTTCTCCAGTAAAAAGCATTGTTAATATGTTCTGGACACTCATTCTAAGAGTAGTACTTTCAGACTTTTTCTTTGGTGTACCTAACATGGGATTTTTCTACTTTTAAGAAAATTTCCTGTCACATGGTATTAGCACAAAATGTGTGTTGAATGTGTGAATGAACATATGGAAAAATAACGTAATGGCGGTAACCCAAGACCAAAATAAATAATTGCCCTTCATTATGTTGAGTTTCTGAACCTTGGTGTCCTTTTTATGAACAAGTGATTATTTTTAAAGTTCTTTAAAATACAGACATTGGTTTTTGTGTAGACATGTCAACAAATAATATATGGACCTAAATAATATATTTTATGACATTTAGAAAAAAAGAAGTTATTATTTGTTCCTATGAAAGGCACACCAATGCAGACAATTCTTTCTTTTACACTTTCTGGATTTTACAAAGACAAATGTTAATCTCAGAAGACTTCCTTCTGTTTTTCTGTATTTGGGCAGTACCCAAGCCATTGTTTGGATATTAATCTAGGAGGAAAATAACACAGAAGGTAAATCATTTAATGTTTTGCAAAGTCCTACCTCATTATTTCTAATTTTAATTGTGTTGGATGTTCTTTATTTAATTCCCTGCCAGTAGAGTAGAAGACAAGCCTTTTTCAGTTTCGTTGTAAGGAACTCAGGGGCTTTATGAATCAAGGATAATTTCCAGCAGATACTTTCTTACCAAATTACAGGAAGTTTGGAAAATTGGATAGGTTATTATCACAGTCTCAGGTGAATGTTTTTAATAATGTTTCTAGAGGCTTAGGACTGATTTTTCTTAGTGACACACTTTGTGATATCACATCTGAGTGGATTATCTGTTTTTGTAGAACTTTTTAGAATTTTTTTTTTTAACAGTGTATAGGATGTTTACTCCCTTTAAAGTTGAATGGCTTTAGGGTTTTATGACTGATTTCACTGAAGAACTATAGTAGTAATAAGACACTTTTAAGGTAGACATTCTGATCGATATTATTGTATTTTATATGTTTTTTCAGAAACATAACTATTTTGTCTTTATCGCTCTTTCACAGTTCTCTTCACTCCCACCAGTGCGGGTGGTCTTTGCAGTGACTATGGAAGGCAGTGCACGGAAAGTCATCACTGTCCGGTCAGCCCTCATTGTGAGGAACAGACTTGAGACACCAATGGAACTAAGACTGGATAGCCCATCAGCTCCAGACAGTATGTTTTGATTGTCTAGCATATAGTAAATGCTGATAAATACTTCTTGACTGTTGTCAAGTCTCTTTTTCCCCAGTGGTATCTTCCCCAGCAGTCAGTATATATGGTCTGTCTTCTTTTGTCCTGAGATGGTCAATCTTTGGGGTGGAGGACCATTGCCTGAAAGTGTTAACCCTTATTTCTGTGGCAGAGCCAGTGGTGCTTCCTGCTATCATGCCAGGGGATTCGTTTGCTGTGCCTTTACACCTCACTTCTTGGCGGCTACAGGCCCGGCCCAAAGGATTGGGTGTATTTTTCTGTAAGGCTCCCATTCATTGGACCAATGTAGTGAAGACTGCAGAAATTAGTAGCAGTAAACGAGAGTGCCACTCTATGGACACAGAAAAAAGCCGATTTTTCAGGTATGTAGCACCACTGCAGTGACATGTCACTTTTGCCTTTTTTTTTTCTTTTGGAATGACTATTACCATTCTTTCTCTAAAGACCCTTAGAGATTCAGTTATCTTTATTTAAACTCTAAAGTTCTTATTCCTTGAGTTTTAGTTAGAGTTCATGAGAACTCAAGTGCTAACGGTTGGTGGGGTCTGGGGAGGCTTTATTACATGGGAGAGACAGCCAACACACATGCTATTTACACATACAAGATTAGAAGTTTGTGTTGTACAACAGCATAAAGAGAGGACATATAGAGACGGGAAGGAAAACAAACAGAAAATAACGAGTTCTCATTCCAAAATTGGAAAGCAAAATCCTGGGGTTTGGAGTTTTTTGAATGAGAGATTTCAAAATAATTTGAAGGTTTATGTACCTCATACTGACTTTCTTGAGAACTTTGACAAAATTGCCTAACCATTTAAACTCCTGTTTTCCCATTATACGGGAGTATGTTACTAGATTCAGTGTTGGAAATAATACTGGATTGCTATGTTACACCCTAACAAATTTAGACTTTCAACTTATTTAATGAGGATTAGCTTTAGTTTCTTTTATAGTGAAGACAGGCATTCATTTAGTCTAAACTTAGAGAAAAGATACAAGAATAGTGTAAAGAATTTCATTATACTCTTTACCCAGATCTGCAAATTGTTAACAGACTAAAGGAAGAAATACATCAAATACATAGCTGGAGTTGGTGATTTTAACACTTCTATTTCAGTAATTTATAGAACAAAGAAATCAATAAATATGTAAAAGATTTGAACAATGTTATCAATGAGCTTGTTATAATAGACATTTATATACAGATTATACATTCTTTTCAAGTATATGTGGAACACTTATCAAGAGAGATCATCTGCTGGGCCATAAAACAAAGATCAATAAATATTAAAGAACTAAAACCATACAGAATGTATTTCCTGATCACAATAGAAGTAAACTAGAAATAAACAATAAGAAGATACCTAATCCCAAATATTGGGACATTAAACAATGTATTTGTAAATAATCCATGGGTCAAAAAAGAGAAATCACAAAGGAACTTAGAAAATATTTTGAATCAAAAGGTAATAAAAGGCAGACATGTTTAAATATGGGGGATGCAGCAAAACCAGTTCCGAGGGTAGAAGTTATAGTTTGTAAATCCTCATATTAGAAAATGGGGAAGATCTTTGGTTAAGTCTCAATTAATTTAAAAAAAGAAAAGAAAATGAAGAATATATAAAATTGCTGATTTAATCTTCTGCCTTCAGAAGTTAGTTAAAGAACAGCAAATTCAAAACAAATAGGAAAAGGAAACAATAAAAATATGGATGGAAATCAGTGAACTAGAAAATAGAAAATCAACAATGTCAAAATTGACATAAATTTGACAAACTTCTAGCAAGACTTGCTGAAGGAGAAAAGACAGAACACACAAATTACCAATATAAGGAATGAAAAAAATGAGGCACTATTACAGATCCTATAGACATAAAAAGGATGAAAAGGAGGTAAGAACAATTTTATGCCAGTACATTCCAGATGTAAATGACACCTTTCTTGAAAAACACAAGTTATCAAAACTGATACAAAGAAGAAATAGAAAATCCAAATAACCCAGTATCTAAATTAAAAGAACTTCAACTGTTAGAAAAGCCTTTGTCCACAAAGAACACTATAGGCCCATATAACATTACTAGTGAATTCTACCAGACGTTTAAGGAGAAATAATAACAGTTTTACACAAGATCTCTCAGAAAATAGAAGAGGAAAGAACAATTCCGAACTCATTTTATGAGGCCAACATATCCCTAATACCAAAACCTGATACAGCTACTATGTAAAAACTGTGAGCCAGTGTTCCCCATGAAGAGGTGCAAATATCATTATTAAAAATTTTTTCTTGTTTTTTTTGAGGTGGAGTTTTGCTCTTGTCACCCAGGCTGGAGTGCAAGAGTGCAGTCTTGGTTCACTGCAACCTCCGCCTCTTGGATTCAAGCGATTCTCCTGCCTCAGCCTCCTGAGTAGCTGGGATTACAGGCGCCTGCCACCATGCCCAGCTAATTGTTGTATTTTTAGTAGAGATGAGGTTTCACCAGTTGGCCAGGCTGGTCTCAAACTCCTGACCTCAGGCAATCCACCCACCTTGGCCTCCCAAAGTGCTGGGATTACAGGCGTGAGCCACCGTGCCCAGCCAAGTTTTTCTTTTTTTGATTGAGACAGAGTCTTGCTGTGTCACCCAGGCTGCAGTGCAATGGTGTGATCTTGGCTCACTGCAGCCTCCGCCTCCCAGGTTCAAGTGATTCTCCTGCCTCAGCCTCCCGAGTAGCTGGGATTACAGGCACCCACCACCACAACCGGCTGATTTTTGTATTTTTAGTAGAGATGGGGTTTCACCATGTTGGCCAGGCTGGTCTTGAACTCCTGACCTCAAGCAGTCTGCCCACTTTGGCCTCCCAAAGTGCTGGGATTACAGGTGTGAGCCACTGTGCCCAGCCCTTTATCAAAATATTATGAAATGCAATCCAGCAAGTGGTTTATCCCAGAAATTTAAGATTAGCTTAATATTTGAAAATCAGTAAATGTAACTCATCATATTAAGAGACTAAAAGAAAGTCAAGTGCAGTGGCTCACGGCTATAATCCCAGCACTTTGGGAGGCCAAGGTGGGCAGCTCACTTGAGATCAGGGGTTCGAGACCAGCCTGGCCAATATGGTGAAACTCCGTCTCTAGTAAAAATACAACAAATTAGCCAGACATGGTGGTACACGCCTGTAATCCCAGCTACTCCAGAGGCTAAGGCAGGAGAATCGCTTGAATCTGGGAGGCAGAGGTTGCAGTGAACTGAGATCACACCACTGCACTCCAGCTTGGGTGACAGAGCGAGACTCTGTCTCAAAAAAATAAAGAAGGAGTACACAGGCCACAGAATTGGAAAAATACATATATCTGAGAAAGGATTTTTGCATGGAGTACATGAAGAACTTCCTACAGATCAACAATAAAAAGATAATAAAAAGAATAGACAAAAGAACGGACAATTTACAGAAGAAAATACCCAGCCAATAGACAAATGGAAAGATGCTCAGTGTGATTATTCACTAGGGAAATGCATACAGTGGGTAATGTTTTACTCTAATTGAAATGGCTGAAATAAAAAAAGAATGACAACACCAAGTGTTGACAAAGATGTGGAGCCACTAAACTCTCATAAGTAGCTAGTAGGAGTGTAAAATGGTATAACTACTTTGGAGAAATGTGTGGCAATTTCTTATAAAAGTTAAGTACTGGCCGGGCACAGTGGCTCACACCTGTAATCCCAGCACTTTGGGAGGCCAAGGTGGGGGATCACCTGAAGTCAGGAGTTCGAGACCAGCCTGACCAACATGGTAAAACCCCGTCTCTACTAAAAATACAACAAATTAGCCAGACATGGTGGTGCACTCCTGTAATCCCAGCTACTCAGGAGGCTGAGGCAGGAGAATGGCTTGAACCCAGGAGGCAGAGGTTGCAGTGAGCCAAGATAGCACTATTGCACTCCAGCCTGGGCAATAAGAGTGAAACTCAGTCTCAAAAAAAAAAAAAAAAAAAAAAAAAAAAAAAGGACCCAGCAAGGCCACTCTGGGGTATTTACCTAAAAGAAATGAAGATATATGTCCAAAAAATACTTGTACAAGAATGTTCATTTAACCCTAAACTGGGAAAAACCAATTGGCTATCAAGAGGATAATGAATAAATTAACAGCAATTTATTCATAACCATGGCATACTACTAGGAAGTGAAAAATTATCAAAGAGGATGTATAGAACAACATGGCTGAATCTTGTTGAGACTTTAAGTTTTAGAAGCCAGACATAGGCCGGGTGCGGTGGCTCACGCGTGTAATCCCAGCATTTTGGGAGGCCAAGGCAGGCAGATCACGAGGTCAGGAGATCAAGACCATCCCGGCTAACATGGTGAAACCCCATCTCTACTAAAAATACAAAAAATTAGCTGGACGTGGTGGTGGTCGCCTGTAGTCCCAGCTACTCGGAAGGCTGAGGCTGAAGAATGGCATGAACCCGGGAGGTGGAGCTTGCAGTGAGCCGAGACCGCTCCACTGCACTCCAGCCTGGGTGACAGAGCGAGACTGCATCTCAAAAAAAAAAAAAAAAAAAAAAAACCAGACATAAAGAGTAGTACATACTGCATGATTCCACTTATATATATGCAGTTCTATAACAGAAACAACTAATCCATAGTGATAAATGTTAGAAAGGGGTTGCCTGAATGATGGAGGAGAATATCGATTGGAAAAGGACATGAGGGAACTTTCTGGGGTGAGGGAAATAGCCTATAATTTATTTTGGATGGTGTTTATAGAGGTGTGTATAATTGTCAGAGCTCATCAAACTGAACATTTAAAATCTATACATATTATTGTGCATTTATATCTTAATAAATGTATTTGGATTGAAAACTGCAAATAATTTTACTCATTGAACCATCTTAATGTTATTCTTTCTCATACTTAGCTAAGGAGAAAAAATTTAAGTTCTTCATTAAGTCTGATGATTTTTACACCATTTTATCTTCATAGGTTTTGTGTGGCTATAAAGAAAGAGAATTATCCAGATTATATGCCCTCAAACATATTTTCTGACAGTGCAAAACAGATTTTCAGACAGCCTGGGCATACCATATATCTCCTGCCAACTGTGGTAATCTGCAACTTGCTACCCTGTGAACTTGATTTTTATGTTAAAGGAATGCCAATTAATGGGACGCTGAAACCTGGCAAGGAGGCAGCTCTCCATACAGCTGATACATCCCAGAACATTGAGCTGGGTAAGAATGTAGTCAGATGATCATTTGTCATAATCCTATGAAAATATCAATGAGTATTTTGTGATTATTTATTTGGTAAGCATCTTGGAGAAATTGGGGCACATATAATATCTCAATAAGCCAGCTCAAAGGAATCAGTGCAGTTAAAAAAAAATAACCTTTAGCTAGAGGTGGCGGCAGTACATGCCTGTAGTCCCAGCTTCTCAGGAGGCTGAGGCGGGAAGATTACTTGAGTCTAGAAGTTCGAGGCTTCAGTGAGCTATGTTCACGCTACTGCCCACCAGCCTGAGCAACAAAGTAAGACCCTGTCTCTTAAAAAAAAAGAACTTATAGAAAAGGATGAGAAAAAACTTATCAAGCCGAAAGGTTTACAGAGGAGGCACTCAACAGAGCCTTTTTTCTTACATTGCTACATGATGTATGATTGTAGGAAGTCATTTCATCTTTTTAAACTATGCTTTTCCCAAGCAAAATCTTATGCCTCTTCTCTTTTTATTGAAAGTATAAACGTTTGCTAAGCACTCACTCTATTCCAGGCATACCTGGGCTTTTTCACACTTGTAATCTCATGTAATCCTTATAGAAATAGTTATTTGCCCCATTTTACTGGGGAAGAAATGGGGGTTTGGAATGCATCAAGTAATTTTCAGTTGTAAGGGTTGTTAAAAGGAAAAGTTCAGCCAAATTAAATTTAAATGAGTTTAACTGAGCAATGAACAATTTGCAAATTGGGCAGCCCCCAGAATCACAGCAGATTCAGAGAGACTCCAGGGATGCCTCGTGGTCAGAACAAATGTATAGGCCAAAAAGGAAGTGACGTACAGAAATCAGAGGTGAAGTACAGAATCAGCTGGATTGGTTACAGGTTGGTGTTTGCCTTATTTGAACACAGTTGGAATACTCAGCAGTGTATGAGTGGGTTGAAGTGTGGCCCCTGGGATTGGCCAAGACTCAGCTGTTGTTACAGGTGCATAATCCTAAATCAGGTCTTCAATCTTGTCTACCTATTAAGTTAGCTGGCAGTTCATCCACAAAGATTCATATAGAAGTACGGAGTCCTCAGGCCATATTTAGTTTGCTTTAACAGGGTGAATGAAGTCAAAGTAGAGAATCATTGTCATATTTGCAACACTTGAAACAAAGAGGAATGGTGATCATGGTTAACAATATTGTATGGTGTATTTCATAAGAGCTAGAAGAGAGGATTTTTAGTATTCTAATTAGAAACGATGAATGTTTGAGATGATGAAAATGCTAAATACCCTAATTTGATCATTTCACAATGTGTATATGTATTGAGACATCTCACTGTACCCCCAAAATATGTACAGTTATTATTATGTGTCGATTAAAAATTTAATTTTTTTTTGAGATGGAGTCTCACTCTGTCACCCAGGGTTAGAATATCAAAATATCTAATTTATATCTAATCATATGGGTTAGGATATCTAACCCATATGATTATGCAATTTAGGCTCTCTAGTGTGATTCCAGGCCTTCTGGTTTGCTTATATTGATCCCTACCCTAGCTAGAGAGAAAGAGCCATTCTAATGAAGATTTTTGCAGTTAGATACTTAGTTATTGGTTTTTCCAAAAGGAATCCAATTTACTTTTGCTGTGAGCTATTTTGACAAATAGTGAGAACTCTGAAAGTTAATAGTTTGTATCTTCTTTAGGGGTATCACTGGAGAATTTCCCCCTCTGTAAAGAATTGCTCATTCCACCTGGAACCCAAAACTATATGGTGAGAATGCGACTCTATGACGTCAACCGTCGGCAGCTGAACCTCACCATCCGGATTGTGTGTCGAGCAGAAGGATCCTTAAAGATCTTCATTTCTGCTCCATATTGGCTGATTAACAAAACAGGTACATACAGGGGCTGCTCAAGTAGGTCTTTGGCGTTAGTCATGGGAATTCAGATTTATTTGCTTAGCTAACTAAATGGAGCCAATGCAAATAGATTACTTCAACAGTCTGAGCTGCTGAAACATTCCTGCTTCCATCATAAATGCTTAATCATGCTCAAAACTGTCTTTTTAGGCAAGAAACTGAGCCCACTAAATAGATTCAGTTTTCACTCTTTTCCCGCTTGATGGTTTTATTCATTCACCATTTGCATCTCTTTCAGATAGACTGGGTGGTATTGATGTAAACTTTTCTCTCCTTCCTAAAGGGTTGCCACTGATCTTCAGACAGGACAATGCCAAGACAGATGCTGCAGGCCAGTTTGAGGAGCATGAGCTGGCCCGTAGCCTGAGTCCTCTCTTATTCTGCTATGCTGACAAAGAGCAGCCAAACCTGTGAGTACAGTTATTTATGGGAAGGGGAAATAAGCTCCCAGGGAAGGGAAGAAATTAGTAAAGGCTATAATATATCCGTGTAAGTAGAAATATACTGTAGATAACAATCCTGACTTGGCAGGGGAATAGAACCATGACCTAATGGGATTTTTGGGGATCTAATTTCTATGTTATTTGATACTGAAAATAAACCATTTGGTTGGTTTATAATGAAAGCTAGTTTTATTTTACATGCATTGAAGTAGTTTTCCTATTCATAACTCTGCCAACGAAGAGAAAGCCACGAGTTCTCCTTCTCTGCTCTGCAGTTTTTCTTCCCCTGTAAACTTGGAGCACAGGCACAGGAGCTGTCATCAGAATGGACATAGGCTGGTTCTTTGGTGAAGCCGTCAGCCTCATTAATCCAATCCAGGATTTGTATCACATTTGGAAATTCATCCCTTTTACCTTTGAAGTAAAATGTGCCATTTTATGGTCTCAGAGCACTCATTGCATGTTTAAAAGCAGGGACAAAAAACAACTGTGAGGATTAGATGACATGTGCTTTTAATGTATGGTAGGAGCATTAATTCACTTTTGTTCTTGGTTTTGACATTTTGCTTTTTACAAGAGTCTTTTAATAGAGCTCTAATCAAAGATAAATGGGTGTATCCAATAATGCTAAAATGCCATACCGTGTTATCGGTAGAATCGTGCTGACAGCTTAACAGAAAGTCTTCTGGGGTACCACACTTCAGTGGGTACTGATGTGTTTACAAGGGAAGGTTGGAGTGTAGATTACCGTTTGAGGCATGGAAAGAGGATTGATGAGAGTTCTGGATATTGTAGGGGATGCAGCCAGCCTCTTGGCATGTGCAGCCAGCCCAGTCTCATTCTTCTCCTGAAATGATTTGGACAGTTTTAGATTTAGGACTTGACATGTGTCACACAGTGTGTTTTATCTGTGAATTCCACAGTTCCCAAAGCATTTCACATAGACCATCTCATTGGATTCTTCCCACCATCCCAATGGTTTAGGCAGGGCAGGAAATATTGTTATATTTTAAGATGAGGAAACAGGCTCAGAGAGATTGCTACCTGCCCAAGTTTACATCGCTTGTTAGTGGTAGAGCTGGAACACACATTCAGGAATTATGTTGTCGAAATCCATGACAGGACACTGGCCCACTAAACAGTGCTTTGCTATTGTAATAGTATCAGGCCGGCTGGGTACGGTGGCTCATGCCTGTAATCCCAGCACTTTGGGAGACCGAGGCGTATCCCAAGGTCAGGGGTTTGAGACCAGCCTGGCCAACGTGGTGAAACCCCTTCTCTACTAAAAATGCAAAAATTAGCCGGGTGTGGTGGCGCTCGCCTGTAGTCCCAGCTACTTGGGAGGCTGAGGCAGGAGAATCACTTGAACCTGGGAGGCGGAGGTTGCAGTGATCCTAGACTGTACCATTGCACTCCAGCCTGGGCGACAGAGCAAGATTCCACCTCAAAAAAAAAAAAAAAAGTATCAGCCCTTAGAAGTAATGCATCATACCTGTATCTTCTGTACATATGCTTCTTGTGCTTTTTAAAATGAACCCTTGAAACAGCAGAGTCAGGAAAGGATTAGTTTGACTTGAATTCTTTATTTTTAGGGGAATATTAGAAATTGCACCACTTTCCTCATGTGTTATATTCATAGAATCCTAATGTTTTCTCCTAAAGCATTTAGTTGTAGATGTCAGTAAATTTCACACACTGTTGTACTGTGGCTGCCTCTAAGATACAGCTTTAACCACTGATGAATTTTGTCACTGTGCTAGGGAATCACATGAGAGTGAGGAAGAGAGTCAGTGGTAGAGATGGAACTTGGGTGATAACTGTATTAGTGTTTCCCAATTAGAACAGGCAGATAAGACTTTCTTGTGGATGAATATCTACATCTTTGCTTTTCTGCCCCACAGCTGCACGATGAGAATCGGAAGGGGGATTCATCCAGAAGGCATGCCGGGCTGGTGTCAGGGCTTCTCCCTGGATGGTGGTAGTGGTGTCCGAGCTTTGAAAGTCATCCAGCAAGGAAACCGCCCAGGGCTGATCTATAACATTGGTGGGTTACATTTGGGGCAGCGGGACAATCAGAACCATTGGCCGATGACCTCAGGCTTGGAGGAATGACCTGGCCATGCATTTTGGCCTGACTACAAGTACTGATTTTCTTATTTGGCATTGGGTCAGGTATCTGTTCTCTGAATGCTACAGTGATATCAACACAGATCTATTCTCCTGGGGATCTGAGGAGCCACCTAAACACTGCCCTTTTGAGGTCTGTGGCTCTGTTTAATTTCAGACTCACCTGTGTCAGGAAAGTATCAGTTTGGCTTGAATCCTTGTTTTTCGGGGGAATAATAGGAACACTTAGCATGCCTTTCATCCTCCAAGTATTCCCACGCATTCATTAAAATTTGCAAGCCCTAAGAGGGTAAGAAGCATTGTTCTCCTTGAAACTGAAGGAGAGAGGTTAAGTGACCTGCCTAGATGCAAAGGGGAAGTCTGGGTCAGAAGTAGGATCAGGATTGGGGGATACAAATAAAATGCACTTGGTGGTTGTAGTAATTAAAGCAATCTCCAGACTCACTTTGCTTATGGAGATGGGAAGGGTGGAAAGGGGAGGGGAGGATACTGTACCCATATGCCTCATAGCCACTTGAGAACGCTCAAAAGATTCTCTAAAGGGTTAAGATAATTTGATTGAAATATGAATCAGGGTGAAAATTGTAGCAGCGCATCCTTTCAGTATATAATTTCCCAGCCTCTCAAAGCAATGTTTAGTTTTGAACATTGGAACACCATCTATGACTGCATGGTCCTGTAGAACTTTCTGTGATGATGGAGATGTTCTATTTTGCACTATCTAGTAGTAGCCACTAGCCACATGTGGCTGCTGAGCCCTGGAGAGCACATTAGTGAGAAGTAAGGCAAGTATGGCTGAGGAATTGAATTTTTATTTAATTTTAATGAATTTAGCTTTAAATAGCCACATATGGCTACTGGCACCGTATTGGACAGTATGCACATAGTGTCATAGTTCCTTCCTAGAGCAAGGAAAAACTGATGTGATATCATTTACATATTTATCCTGAGTCCCATGGAGAATCAAAGATATGTTTAAATGTCTGAGGATTTATTAATAAAAGAATCTTCCAAGTATAGTTTCCTCTTTGGATTTTTAATCATAGGTTTGTATTCATTCTCCCTTGACATGTGAACTGTCTTCTTAAAGTTGACATTAAGATTTTTAAAAGAAAGAAACTTGATTTGATCTTGCAGCACAGGATAGTTATCTTAACTTGTTCTCACTTTCGTTTGCTCCACCCTTTGAATAGGCAAAGGCTGCTTTATGCTGAGTTTGGCTTTCTGCTGGAGTGTTTTGCCCTTGATGTATTTTGCAAAGCAAGCTACCACAGGTTGACTGGAAGCTGTAGTTGGGACAAATTGGGATGGGAGGAGCTTGTTCCTTTTATAGCAGCTAGCACTAAGAACCACAGAATTCTTGCAGAGGCCAGTTGAGCAAACCGATCAGACATATGCAGTGATTACCCATATAAGCTGTTATGCTAGGAGCATTCACTAAAGCTCATGGCATATGTTTTGAGGGCTAAGACTGTGATTTAAGTTTTGTTGATCCACCTAGGGAAGGGATAGAGGGAGTGGGCTAAGATAGGACTTTATCATTCTTGAGGGTCATGAACTTTTGCCGTATATTCCCACAAGGGAATTTGTGGAATCTCCTGCTTGAATATTTTGAAGAATAGGATAGATAACCAACTCCCTATCAGGAAAGTTTAAAGCATAGTCCAAACTGAAAAGCCAGGGACAGGCTTGCCAGGTAGCCTCACATGGATCTCCAAAAAGAACGATTTTGTGCCTGTTGATCTTATCAACTTATTGATTTATCAGGGGTTTCCCAGGGCAATATAAGATGTGAAGGGGGAAAGAAGCCCACCTTTTTCCAAAGATTGAGTGTCTGTATTGTTCAGAGTACCCTAGACTCTTTTTATAATATTAAATTAGATACATCTTTTGTAGTTAGACTTTTTATTAGATATCACCTAACTATGATAATGTTGATTTCTGACAATGAAAGCTTCTCTGCATGTCACAGAAAGAAGTGATAGGGTATAGTTCCATATCCCAATATTACATAGCATTTCTTAGATACAGAGTTTTAGAGAGATTTTTGTGTGTGACTTTTCTCAGTCTTTCAGGTATTTTCAAGGCTTGTGTTAAAGGAACATCAGCATTTTCAAGCCAGTTTAAGTGAATTACGGCATTTACAGATTGGAATATTTATAATTGGGATTGTGTTGAGAAATCTATGACAGCCGGTTGTCAAATGCTAAGGTGGAGTTTTCTATTTTAATGGTTCTCTTGATACTTGATGACTGCTGAATGGAGTGCAGTCCTTGTATATGTCGCATCACAATACAAGCAAGCCTGATGAGGGTGCTGCTCCGGAGGCTGACTGCCTGGACTTGAATCCCAGTTATGGCACATA
The DNA here is from genome assembly GCF_000001405.40 of Homo sapiens. Lineage (NCBI taxonomy): Eukaryota > Metazoa > Chordata > Mammalia > Primates > Hominidae > Homo > Homo sapiens. The sequence continues at coordinate 12,361,050 of NC_000001.11, forward strand.
CTAGCTGCGTGACATAGAGTCAGTTACTTAGCTTTCCATGCCTTCGTTTCCTCATCTATAAAATGGAAATAATTAAAATATCTAACTTAGAAGGTTGTTATGGGGATTCAGTGTAAAGCCTTTGGGGGAGGACCTAGCATGTATTAAGAGACCAGTAATTATTATTATTGTTGTTGTTGTTGTTATTTTTATTATTTCTATGATAAATATTTTTATCAATGGGTGACCAGAGCTCAGCCCAGTACGTTGAATGTCATTGCTGTATTTATTGTCTGAATGAATGAGTGAATAAATTCATCCCACTGAATTTTTTATTTTTATTTTTATTTATTTATTTATTTATTTATTTATTTATTTTTTTTTTGAGACGGAGTCTCGCTCTGTCGCCCAGGCTGGAGTGCAGTGGCGGGATCTCGGCTCACTGCAAGCTCCGCCTCCCGGGTCCACGCCATTCTCCTGCCTCAGCCTCCCAAGTAGCTGGGACTACAGGCGCCCGCCACTACGCCCGGCTAATTTTTTGTATTTTTAGTAGAGACGGGGTTTCACCGTTTTAGCCGGGATGGTCTCGATCTCCTGACCTCGTGATCCGCCCGCCTCGGCCTCCCAAAGTGCTGGGATTACAGGCGTGAGCCACCACGCCCGGCCTGAATTTTTTATTTTTAAAAATTGTTATCAGAGTTTTTAAGATATTTCAGTGCTTTTCTATATTTGGAACCGGCTGTCTTGAGATTTCCTTTGGACTGTTTTCTTATTTTTTCCTAATACATAGTAGGCGCTGAAAACAGTAATTTTATAGATGAATAAATTCTTTTATTTATTTATTTTTTGAGACGGAGTCTCACACTGTCACCCAGACTAGAGTGTAATGGTGCAATCTTGGCTCATTGCAACCTCTGCCTCCCAAGTTCAAGCAATTCTCTTTCTTGCCTCAGCCTCCCGAGTAGCTGAGACTACAGGTGCGTGCCACCATGCCCAGCTAATTTTTGTATTTTTAGTAGAGATGGGGTTTCGCCATGTTGGCCAGGCTGGTCTTGAACTCCTGACCTCAAATGATCCACCCATCTCGGCCTCCCAAAGTGCTGGGATTACAGGCATGAGCCACCACACCCGGCCATGAATAAGTTCTATAGTACTTAGCATTATGTTTGAGCTGGATTCTTGGGCAATGGGCTAAAATAAAATACTGGAGAAGAGTCAGTAAAGTTTAGAACATTACAGAATCCAAGAAAGTAATCTGAAATTTCCACTGTATCTGTAAAAGTGGCAGGTTCTCTAGAAGGAAATTTTGTGTCCCAGGTGTAAGCCAAAAAGTATCATGTGAAACTGTTGTAAGTATTCAGCTTCATAAATGGAAACCTAACATATATGTGACTGGACACCTGTGTATTTTAGTTGCTGTTAAATGGTACACACTGTGTGAAGAAACTAGGAATTAAGGGGATGTTGATCTTGCCTCTGAACCTTTTTAAGGCCTAAATGGGAATAAGGAGTAATAATACTTTGAGTACAATTGCTGTTTTCATTACATTCCTAGAAGGTTCAATATCCTCTGGGTGATACAGTTATTTTCTCAGAGAAACTAAGTAACTGTGAAGGTTATTTATTTTTGTCAGACCAAGAGTTTTCTCTCTTCATGGTTAACTCATAAAAGTGGTTCTTGTTATTTGTAGGTATTGATGTCAAGAAAGGCCGAGGTCGATACATTGATACCTGCATGGTCATCTTTGCCCCCCGTTACCTGTTAGATAATAAATCATCTCACAAGCTTGCATTTGCACAGAGGGAATTTGCCAGGGGACAGGTGAGCAGTTTGCTTTTGAAGGATGAGAGTGCCTATTTAATAGCACGAGTTTTAATGTCATCTTCTGTGAAGACTGTACGTTCTGTGATGCAAGTAACTGCTCTGTGCCTTTGGTACCCAGATAGCTCCTGTTAGAGGGTAAGGCTCAGAGTAGGTACTCAGTAACACTTATTGTCATGAATCGACTTGTTGACTAAAGCCTGTGATCCTATGTGTTTTAGGGAACAGCCAATCCCGAAGGTTACATTTCCACCCTTCCTGGTTCCAGTGTGGTGTTCCACTGGCCTCGGAATGACTATGATCAGCTATTGTGTGTCAGACTGATGGACGTTCCCAATTGTATTTGGTCTGGAGGCTTTGAAGTCAACAAGAATAATTCCTTCCATATCAACATGAGGTAAGTTTGAGACTCTAAATATAGACAAAAAGGTAGCCCCTGTTTGAGATGCAGTACTGTAATAACAAGCCTTGTGTAAAATGGGCACAAATATTTCTGGCTCAGACAGAGGTCTTAGAACTTGCAAAGTCCAGGGAAGTGTGAGGGGATAATTTGATGGAATAAACTAAAGGAGGTGTTGCCCGTTTTGACCATGGTGTAATTGCTGTTGTCTAATCCAAAGAGTAACACTGAGCTCATATTTTGATTACCTGCAACTTTGAAAGGTCTGTCTGCATTTAGATGGTAACGCTCATTATAAATATTTTTGTATATTCTGACATATTTATACAAAACCTTCTTTCATTTGATGCTGTTCTAGTAAATCATCTGGCTTTCTACACCTAATGTGGTAACACTCAGTTCTTGTTAAGAAAAATTAACCAGGCCGGGCGCAGTGGCTCATGCCTGTAATCCTAGCACTTTGGGAGGCCGAGGCAGGCGGATCACGAGGTCAAGAGATTGAGACCATCCTGGCCAACATGATGAAACCCCGTCTCTACTAAAAATACAAAAATTAGCTGGGCGTGGTGGTGTGTGGCTGTAGTCACAGCTACTTAGGAGGCTGAGGCAGGAGAATCGCCTGAATCGGGGAGGCGGAGGTTGTGGTGAGCTCAGATCACGCCACTGCACTCCAGTCAGGCGACAGAGTAAGACTCTATCTCAAAAAAAAAAAAAAAAAAAAAAAAAAAAATCAGCCTTAATTAGCCCAGGATGATTTAAACTTTCTTCTTGCTTTCATCAAATACTTTAAAAAAATTATTTAAAAATATTTTAAATTGTGGTAAAACAGATATCAAATTTACTATCTTAACCATTTTTAAGTATACAGTTAACTGGTGTAAGTACATTTACATTATTATGGAAATAATCCCCCAAACTCTTTTCATCTTGCAAAACTGAAACTCTGTACCCGTTAAACTTAACTCCTCATTCCCATTCCCCTTAGTCCCTGGCCACCATGTTCTACTTGGTGTCTATAAATTTGACTACTCTAGGTACCTCATGTGAGTTTAATCATACGGTATTTGTCTTTTTGTGACTGGCTTATTTCACTTAGCATAATATTGTCAATGTCCATATTAACATTTTTGTTTATTCACCTATTAATGAACACTTGGGTTGCTTCCACCTTTGGCTATCATGAACTGCTGCGAACATAGGTTCGCATATGGGTTCAAGACCCTGCTTTCAGTTATTTTGGGTATAGATCCAGGTGTGGAATTGTTGGATCACATGATCATTCTGGTTTTAATTTTTTGAGGAACCACCATAGGTTTCTGCAGTCATTGCACCATTTTACTTTCCTGACACCAGTGCACAGGATTCCACTTTCTCCACAACCTCACCAACACTTGTTTTCTTTGTTTTTGACACAAGCCTTAAGTGATAGTCCCGCCTCTGTATAATGGGTATGAGGTGGTATCGCACTGTGGTTTAGATTCTTATTTCCTTAATGATTAGTGATGTTGAGCATCTTTTCATGTGCTTTTTGGCCATTTGTATATCTTCATTGGAAAAAATATCTGTTCAATTCCTTTGCCAATTTTTGAATTAGGTTGTTTTTGAATTGTAGGAATTCCTATTCTAAGCGTTTTATAGTTTTAGCTCTTACTTCTAGGTCTTTGATTTGTTTTGGGTTAATGTTTGTGTATGGCATAAGGTGAGGGTCCAGCTTCATTTTTTGGTATGTGGATATTTGGTTTTCTCAGCACTGTTTATTGAAAAGACTCTCCTTTCCCATTAAATGATCTTGGTACTGTTGTTGAAAATCATTTGACCCTACAGGTGGAAGTTTATTTCTGGGCACTCTAATCTATTTCATTGGTCTATATGTCTTTATGCCAGTACCACCCTGTTTTGATTATAGTTGCTTTGTATTAAATTTTGGAATAAGGAAATGTGAGACCTCCAACTTTGTTGTTCTTTTTCAAGGTTGTTTTCTCTATTCAGAGTTCCTTAGATCCATATGAATTTCAAGATGGATTTTTCTGTTTCTGCAAAAAATGCTATTGGGATGTTGATAGGGATTGCATTAAGTCCATAGGGTTTTGTAGTATTGACATCTTAAAAATTATGTTTTCCAGTCCCTGAACATGGGAAGTCTTTTCAGTTGTGTCTTTAGTTTCTTTCATCAGGCCGGGCATGGTGGCTCACGCCTGTAATCCCAGCACTTTCGGAGGCCTAGGTGGGCGGATCACGAGGTCAGGAGTTCCAGACCAGTCTGACCAACATGGTGAAACCCCATGTCTACTGAAAATACAAAAATTAGCCAGGCATGGTGGTGTGCACCTGTAATCCCAGCTACTCAGGAGGCTGAGGCAGGAGAATCACTTGAACCCAGGAGGCGGAGGTTGCAGTGACCCGAGATCGTGCCGTTGCACTCTAGCCTGGGTGACAGAGTGAGACTCTGTCTCAAAAAAAAAAAAAAAAATTCTTTCATCAAATGCTTTTGAAGTTAAAGAATCTGAAATCAGTGCTATTTCAACATGTTTAGAAGCAAAATTTAATCTTTTATACTTTATGGTCAGCTCTCTATTGAGAACACTATTACAAAGGAACAGAAGTATGATAATTTAACAATAGATATTCCAAAATAGTTCTTAAAATAGTGGTTTTGTTTTTGTTTTTGTTGGAAATAGAGTCTTGCTCTATTGCCCAGGCTTGAGTGCAGTGGTGCAATCATAGTTCACTGTGACTTTGAACACCTAGGCTCAAGTGACCCTCCTGCCTACTGAGTAGCTAGGACTATAGGCATGCACCACCATGCCTGGCTAATTTAAAAAAAAAAAAATAGAAAAAAGTAGAGACAAGGTCTCACTATGTTGCCCAGGCTGGTCTGGAACTTCTGGTCTCAAGTGATCCTCCTGCCCTGGCCTCCCAAAGTGCTAGGATTATAGGTGTGAGCCACCATACCTGGCCCCAAGATAGTATTTATATTTGACTTTTAAATGTATTATCTAATTCAATAGTGAGCCCTTCTTAATTATACTTTGCCCTTGTCTTTTTTAGTGTGAATTGGATCTGGATATAGTGGGTTTTAGGCTATGTTTTTAGGAGCTGTTGGGTTTTAAGGAGGTGACTCTAGTGCCCAAGGGAGCCTATTGGGTAGGGCTCTAGCACTCTCATCCCTACCTCAACCAGCACTTTTGTCTGTTAGCATAATGTGTTCCCCGTAAGATTTTATCTGGGTGAAGGAGTGGGGAGGGAAAAGGGATTCTATAGCGAAAACCACCATTGTTTTGTATATTCCCTGGGTAGAGGCAGCCCCTATCTGTTGTGTGAGAATTGGAAGCCAGTTTGGAGGAGGAGGAGGATGATTTGTGTAATTTTTGTTAATCCTTTTAAAATGGTTTTAACGGGCAGTCCTAAACTACTGCGAACAGACCTATGCCATCTATTTCATTTACTTTCCTCACCTTTTCATTTGGAAACAATTTAAACTATAGGAAAGTTACAAAAGTAGTAAATGAATATCCCTATATCTTGTACCTAGATTTAACCAGTTTTCAGCATCTTGCTACATGTTGCTTCTCTCTTCACATACATGAACACACATTTTCCTTTCTGAACTATTTGAAAGTAAATTAAAGTCATCATGATACTTAAGCCATAAAAACCTCACTTATCACCCAAAAATAGGGACATTTTTCTAATTAAATATAATACTATTGTCACATACTGATGAAATTTAACCTTGATATGTTTTCTAATAAATAGTTTTCATAGACTGAATGAATGACTAGAATGTCCTTCATAGCAACTCCCTTCCCATTGATCTAGGATCCAGTCAAGGATCATTTATTTTAGTTGCCACGTGTATTCTCTTGTCTTCTTTAATCTAGAGTAGTCCCGCTTTGCCCATTTTGTCTTTAGTGACATTGACATTTTTGAAGACTCCAAGCAAGTTTCTTGTAGAATGTCCTATTTTCTGCATTTGGGCAGTGATTTCCTGTCTGTAGATTTGGGTCAAATATTTTCGATAGCTATACTTTCTATGTGATGCTGTGTGTTTCCCACCATGTCACATCAGGATGCCTGTGATGTCTGTTGGTCTCATTATTGTTGGTGATAAGTTGTTCTTCACCTGGTTAAGGTGGTATCCAGCAGGCCTCTTTTTTGTGAAGTTTCCTTTGTTCTTTGTAAATAAGAATAATCCCATTGAGGGAATAATTTAAGACAAAGTGAATATTCTGTTTCCCAAAAACCTTTCATTCAATGGTTTAATGGTTCTTGAATCACTTATTACATTGGTGGTTGCGATGAAATTTATTTATTTATTTATTTATTTATTTATTTATTTTTGGAAACAGAGTCTCGCTCAGTCGCCCAGGCTGGAGTGCAGTGGCACAATCTCGGCTCCCTGGAGTGCAGTGGCGCGATCTCGGAGCTTCTCGGGAAGCTCCGCCTCCCAGGTTCACACCATTCTCCTGCTTCAGCCTCCTGAGTAGCTGGGACTACAGCTGCCTGCCACTAAGCCTGGCTAATATTTTTGTATTTTTAGTAGAGACGCAGTTTCGCTGTGTTAGCCAGGATGGTCTCGATCTCCTGACCACGTGATCCACCCATCTCAGCCTCCCGAAGTGCTGGGATTACAGGCGTGAGCCACCACACCCGGCTGCAATGCAGATTTTTAAAAAATTAATTATTTTATTTTTATTTTTAATTGAGATGAGGTCTCACCACGTTGCCCAGGCTGGTCTCGAACTCCTGGGCTAAAGTGATCCTCCCACCTTGGCCTCCCAAAGTGCTGGGATTATAGGTGTGAGCCACCATGCCCAGCCAGAAATGCTGATTTTTAATTCTCTAATTTCCTCTACATTTATTCACTGATATTTTTCCGTTAAGGTAAACTTTCCATTCCCTTCAGCGATTTTTCTGTATATATACACACACACATACATACATACACGTACATTACATCCATCCATCCTCTTCTTTACAGCAGAATATCAGCGTATAAATGTTGAGGAAATGGGAGAATTAGAAAATCACCATTTTGTAATCATATTACCAATTTCTACTTTTTTCAGATGATGGAGGAACACACAGTGGGCTGTAAGTTCAGTGGTATTGACTGAGGCCCAAACAGTGTTGTGATTGTCAGAAATATGAGAAGTAAGTGGATGGCATCTTGTCTCCTACATTTTATGTAGCCTCTTTTGTTTCCTTGTCCTGCAGGGATACCTTGGGAAAATGCTTCTTCCTACGAGTGGAAATTACTCTCCGAGGAGCTACGTATAGGATCTCATTTAGTGACACAGATCAGTTACCTCCTCCTTTCCGAATTGACAACTTTTCTAAGGTATCAAGTGGAGCTGAGAGCCAGTTTGACTGTTTCATGTGTGGGAGGGTGGAGTGTGTACTGCCCTTGACACAATGGTACAATACATTTTCAACTTGGGTTTAAAGGAAACTATATGGATAGGTTCTTTATATCTGGACAAGCCTAGAAATCCTTACCATTAAGAGGTGTTTTCTGCTGGTTATTTTGATTGCTAGGCAGCCTTGTCCAGGCAGAAGTAATCTTTTAGCTCCCAGATTTATTTATTTTGGCTAGAGTGGTTGGTTGACACTGTGCCTTCTGTAGACATCCCGTTCAAACAGAGGAAGACATCGGCTTGTCAGTGACAATGGGAATGGGCAATTCTGCTGTTGCTTAGTTACAGTGAGCATTTTAATAAATTTTTCAAGAAAGTCAATATGGAAATCATTAGATTTTATTTTAATTATGCTTTCAAATAATAATAGGTCTTATATGTGATGATCTGTAGCCAAATTCCAAAATACTTATTTTTTTCTGTATTCAAAATATATCATAGGGGGTTTGGGCTAGAAAGATGCCATTGGAAGGATGGAATTGCTCCCCTTAGATATTTGACTTGGCAAAGCGTTTAAAGCCTTTCATTCAATAGGATATATGTATATATGTGTGTGTGTATCTGTGTGTGTGTGTGTGTGTGTGTGTAGCACATGTCTTTTAATTGGTGAGTTTTTTTGGAATGTGCAAGATGATTAGAAACATTCGAAAGGTGAGATGATGAATTTCACTGGGGCTTATTTCCTGTGTAAGATTCATTTAGGAAGGATTTGGAACTTAAACCTACAAAGCACTGACTCACTTTTCAGTAACCCCACTCTGAATGAAAGTCCTCTTTGTCCTCTCTGCCATCACTCTAGGTCCCGGTTGTCTTTACTCAGCATGGCGTAGCTGAACCCAGGCTCCGGACTGAAGTGAAGCCCATGACTTCATTGGATTATGCCTGGGACGAACCCACCTTGCCACCTTTTATCACTCTGACTGTTAAAGGGGCAGGGTCCTCTGAGATCAACTGCAACATGAATGATTTCCAGGATAATCGGCAGCTTTATTATGAAAATTTCATTTACATTGCTGCTACATATACATTCTCTGGGTAATTCTTGATTAAATTACTGTTCCTATAAAGCAGAAGGTTCTAATTATTAACAGGTTTTAAATGTTAAGCAGTTTCTTAGGAGACCAAAGTACAAAGGAAGATTCTTTCATTCTTTACCAAACCCTGGGCTCAGTGTCTATCTTAAGAGGTCATGTAATTTAAACTCTTGACTTTTGGCTAGATTAAAATTTATCCAAAGAGTCAAGACCCTTCTTGTGTTAAAGATCTCTCCCAAGAATTCATTCTAGTATTTAAATTTTCTTTTTGCTATTTATTAGTCTGTTTTGCCTGTTTCCTCTTTTGAAACTGACTAATCTTCATCATAATTATTCAAGTCATCATTCTGACTCTCCTCCCACCATCCCATTGAGAATACTGGTTAAGCAGACACCTAAGGGTCTGTCTTAATATTCACCTAAAGCCAAATATAGTAGCTTAATTTCACAGAAATTCCATTGCCTTAGAATTATAATCTTCACTGTTGTTTGACTAGTTGTATTTAGAAAAGTCAGATGAAGAATATTGAGCTTATTTTAATTCTGTTAGATTGCCACGCAGAGATTCAAAACACTGGGCTTTCAGAAAGTAGTCATTCTACCAACATATAAATATAGCTTATTGTTTCTGTGCTGAAATAACAGGGCCAATTTTAAAGTGTATCTGTGAAGAAATGGAAAATAGCTTAATCTTTAACATTACAAATATAAATCACCTGATGAATAGGGCGTTTAAAGTCACATTCCTTTCCAAAATGTTCGGAACATTTTTGCATATGAATAAGATTTTTATACATGCCTGGGGCCCAGAAAATAATCTCTGGGTTTTTGCATTATCTCTCTCATCTGCTTAGAGTCCAGATTTCACTAGTAATAATTGAATCTGCAGAGAAGGACCATTCTTTCTTTGTCTGTTGACGTTCCCTTTGGGAACGATGGTGCTAGGATGTTTATCTTGTTGTAATTGAGTCAATATGTTTGTTTGTTGTTAATTTGTTTTTAAAGATTATGGCACTTAACAGTGGGACATGCTTAAGGTTTAATGCCTGAAAAACCGAATCTAAATCTGGTTGTTAGTCATGTTTTTCTCCTTATGTTCTATAAATTCCAGTAGTTACTAAGCTCTTTAACTGAAGAATCCTAGTGGAGGATTATGGGCTTAATGGGTTGAACCTATATGGAAGACATAAAAAGAGAAGCTCCTGGAATCTTGGTGTGCAGAATCTAACAGCAGAATTAGAATAATCTTGCTGTGCTAAGAGGTTGAACCATCTTTTGGAGTATATCAGATACTAATTATTTGCATTCTTGGAAGGAATAAATGATGAGGAAGAATAGTTTTTTTTTAATTTTGTTTTTGAGGTGAAACATAACATAAAAGTATTTTAAAGTGAACAGTTCAGTGGCATTTGGTACATTCATAATGTTGTGCCACCACCACCTCTTCGTAGTTCAGAGCATTTTTATCACCCCGAAAAGAAACCAAAACCTATTGAGCAGTCACTCCCCATTCCTCCCTGTCTCCAGCCGCAGGAAACCACCCATCTGCTTTTGGTCTCTATGGGTTGACCTATTCTGGACATTCACAGAAATGGAATCATAGGAGTGATCTTTTTTGTCTGGATTCTTTCACTTAGCATAATGTATCTGCGGTTTATACACATTGTAGCATGTGGCAATGCTTCATTCTTTTTTTTTTTTTTTTTGAGACCGAGTTTTGCTCTTGTTTCCCAGGCTGGAGTGCAGTGGTGTGATCTTGGCTCACTGTAACCTCCACCTCCCGGGTTCAAGCGATTCTCCTGCCTCAGACTCCTGAGTAGCTGGGATTACAGGTGCATGCCACCACGCCTGGCTGATTTTTTTGTATTTTTAGTAGAGATGGGATTTCACCATGTTGGTCAGGCTGGTCTCGAACTCCTGACTTCAGGCGATCCACCCACCTCTGCCTCCCAAAGTGCTGGGATTACAGGCTTGAGCCACTGCTCCTGGCCCATTTTTTTTATGAAAAGTACCCAGTATTTTTTGTGGCTGAATACTATGCTGTATACTACATTTTTGTTTATCCAGTTATTTGTTGATGGACATTTGGTTGTTTCTGCGTTTTGGCTATTGTAAACAGTGTTGCTATGAACATGCCTGTACATATATTTGTTTGAGTACTTGTTTTCAATTCTTTTGCTTTATACAGAAGAGTGGAGTTGCTGGGTTCTATTATAATTCTAAGTTTAACTTTTTGAGGAACCGCCATACTGTTTTCCACAGTGGCTAAACGATTGTACATTCCTACCAACAGTGTAGAGAGGTTCCAATTTCTCCACATCCTCACCAACATGTGTTGGTTTTTGTTTTTGTTTTTATTTTTATTTCTATTTTTGAGACAAGGTCTCTGTCACCCAGGCTGGAGTGCAGTGGCACAATCTTGGCCTGCTGCATCCTCAACCTCCTAGGATCAAACGGTCCTCCTGCTTCAGCCTCTCTCATAGCTGGGACTACAGGTATGCAGCACCACGCCCAGCTAATTGAAAAAAAATTTTTTTTTGGTAGAGACAGGGTCTCACTATTTTGCCCAGGCTGGTCTCAAACTCTTGGGCCCAAATGCTATCTACCTGCCACAGCCTCCCAAAGTGCTGGGATTACAGGTGTGAGTCACTGTGCCAGGCCTGGTTTTGTTTTGTTTTGTTTTGTTTTAAATGATACCCATCCTACTGGGTATGATGTGGTATCTCATTGTGGCTTTTGATTTGCATCCTTAGTAACTAATGATGTTATGCGTCTTTTCATGTGCTTATTAGTCATTTGTGTATATTATTTGGAGAAAGTGTATTCAAATACTTTCCATATTTCAAATGGAATTATTTACCTTTTTATTGTTGAATTGTCAGAGTTCTTCATATCTGGTCTCTTACCAGATGTATGATTTGCAATTTTTTTCTCCCATTATTTTTGTGAGTTTTCTTTTTACTTTTAGATTGTGTCCTTTCAAGCACAGAAGTTTCTCATTTTGGTCACATATAATTTATCTGCTTTGGGGGGAACAAAGATTACTTGTGCTTTTGGTGTCATGAAGACTAGTTTTTAACGCTGAATTAATCCATTACCTTTTTTTTTTTTTTTTTTTGCTAATAAGGGTTAATAGAAAGAGGAGAATAATCTAAATAAAACTTCCAAACATCCCTAAGTGTAGCCAGGCTGCAACATTCCATAAAGCTTAGGATTCTTTAGCTTCAGAGAAACGTAACACGATTGAATTGGAGGAAGTTGATTGGAACCCTTTGTTTTCTTTTCATCCTAAAGGGACTTCTGATTTCTTGCCAAGACTTGGGGATGCAGTGATGCTGATCATCTGCCTGGCAGAGTAAAGCTAATTTTTGGTCCCTTGAATTGTCTGGCTTGGTTTTTTTTTTTTTTTTTTTTTTTTTTTGCTTTTTTTGGGGGTTGGGGCAGAATCTCATTCTGTCACCCAGGCTAGAGTGTAGTGGTGCAGTCTCAGCTCACTGCAACCTCTGCCTCTCAGGTTCAAGCAATTCTCATACCTCTGCCTCGTGAGTAACTGGGATTACAGGGGCCTGCCTCCATGCCCGGCTAATTTTTGTGTTTTTAATAGAGACGGGATTTTGCCGTGTTGGTCAGGCTGGTTTCGAACTCCTGGCTTCAGCAGATCCACCTGCCTTGGCCTCCCAAAGTGCTGGGATTACAGGCAGGAGCCACCGTGCCTGGCCAAATTTTTTGCCTTTTTTTTTGGTGGGGGGGCCTCTAAAGATATATGGTTATACTTTTGCATCTGAATTTTAAGTCACTAAAATTATGAAGAGAAGAAAAATGTCAGAGTATGTCTTCTGAGAGATGAATCTTGGAACTGTGTAGGGAAAAAAATGCAACCCTGATCTTTCTGCTCTTGCATCAGACTTTTTCTTCTATCCTTTAAAAAATTTTCTTTTTAATAAAAGTTTTGGGCATTTGCTTATTAATACTTGAATACATGTGTGAGTATGTGTGTGTATACCTGTATATATATTTTTATGTAATATATATATTTTTTAAATTCTAGCTTGCAGGAGGGAACAGGCAGGCCTGTGGCTTCCAACAAGGCCATTACCTGTGCGGAGCTCGTTTTGGATGTCTCACCCAAGACACAAAGAGTCATTTTAAAAAAGAAGGTAAGAGAGCTTACAATCAGAGTTTAGAATACAAGGTTTTTAGCACTGGACGGGACTCAGGATCACCCAGTGCAGAGTCCTTATTTCATGATGAGGCCATAGGGACTTGTGTGGAACCCAGGCCTCTTGGCATTTCCAGGTCAGTGTTAGGGCGGATGAGTACCAGCTCAGGAGTAAGATGACTTCTGGAGTGGGATGTGATCACCAGGTGTGATCAGCAGAACGTGAATAATAAATATATGTGGAATTACTAAGGGCTGGGTGACTGTTAAGCAGACAAGAACAAATTTCTAAGATTAAGTAGCAATAATTGTAACATTTTATATAACATTTTATAACTTATAGAACATTTTCAGTTATTATTTCACTTGATAAGGATGACAGCTAGTAAATAGGTAATAAAAGAGTTACATTGACATTGAAAATTAGGTTAAAGTGTATGAACTGGCATGAAGAAATGGACCTCTCCTTTTTAGTTGGAAACCAAGTGTAGAAAGTTTGACATTTTAGGTTTTTGTTTGGTTTGTTTTTGTTTTTTTTACTTTTTATTTGGAAACAATCTCAGATTTCCAGAAAATTGGCAAGAATTTTACCAAAGTGGGGCTGTGATGTTGATTTGTCCCCTTACTGGTGACATTAACTTATTGCAGTTGATTAAGAAGGTGTGTGGTAGCCTTTTCCACTGAGAAGTGAGGCTACTCTTTTTCTTTTTATAATCAGTCAAGATTTTGTGGCGTGGTACGTTGAGACTACATAAACCTCCTATTTGTCATATTTTCTATATATGTATGCATATGTATATGTGTCATTCAGTATGGGCTGCTGTTTTATTCAGCGTGTTATCTGTTACTGTGTCAGTATGTGTATGCGTATGTATGTATGTATTTATTTATTTTTGAGATGGAGTCTTGCTCTGTTGCCTAGGCTGGAGTGCAATGGCATGATCTCAGCTCACTACAACCTCTGCCTCCTGGGTTCAAGTGATTCTCCTGCCTCAGCCTCCCGAGTAGCTGGGACTACAGGAGCCCACCACCACACCCAACTAATTCTTGTATTTTTAGTAGAGACGGGGTTTCGCCATGTTGGCCAGGCTGGTCTGGAACTCCTGACCTCAGGTAATCCGCCTGCCTTGGCCTCCGAAAGTGCTGGGATTACAGGCCTGAGCCACCATGCCCGGCCAGTATTTATTTTGATGCTCAGTTTTTCTTATCTTTGGCCAGTGGGAGCTCCTTTAACCTTCCGTGTGCTTTCAGCATGTGCCCTCACTCACTTCCTTACTTTCTGACACAGCAAGTTATCCTGGGTCAATCTTATATTTTTCCCTGCACCATTCCTGGAATTTGCCATTTCTCCAGGGAGCCCTCATCCCTTCTATCAGAGAATGGAATTTAGAAACCTGAGATTCATGAATTAGGTGCAGTTGTTGCTATTGTGGTGTTGTGGTTCCCAGGCTCTCTCAGAAGACAGACCTAGGGTTTTTTAATCTATGTATGCACAAATATACATATGTGTGTTTTATGTACATATTTATATACTGTACATATTTATTTCTATGTCTACATATCAAAATCTAGCAGTTCACACCAATATTTCCAATTCAAGTCCAGTATGACAAAGTTCATTCTAATTTTCTCCCTTTCCCTATTTGTACTTCCCTTGTCCAGCACTGAGAATATGTTTATTGATTTGATCAGTTCCCCTGAATGTAACAGTGTAACTCATCCTCCGTCACCACAGTTGTCCCATGTCCTGTATGAACACCCTGGTTTCTTCCCTTGGGCTCTGATCTCCATGTACTGGGCAGCCCTGCCCTCTTCCCACCCTGTCCTTCGCAGGAATGCCCTCCTCACCTCCCTCTGTGATGCTCCCATTAAACCCCTCCCCAACCTCCCAACTTGGCTTCAGCCCCTGCTCTGGGCTGCCCCATCGCTTAGGTGGATGCCTTTCTTGTTCCACATGCGCTTTAACAATTCCACACTGGGCCACCCCAACCCCCATCCCCACCACACACACAAGCCCCATGGAGTTCTGCCTTCCACAGTCCCATCTAAAGATTTTAGAACTAAATTATTAGGGAAGGGAGGAAGGGAACTGGAAGGAGAATGGTGCATCTCAGATTTTCAAGTGGAAATTTTGGTAGTTTCCAAATTATGATGAGCCTGGACAAATGGGCAGGCAGTAGAGGAATCCCAGTATGGAAACTTGATCTCACCTGGGTATGTCTGTGTTGATTCCCAGTCTGCAGCATCTACAGGATAACCGAGATGCTTTTCCTGTTGTTTCTGGTGCTGTGCAGAGATGCTTTCTGTTTCTGTGAACAGAGAAGCAAGCATGTGGGAATTGGAGATGGGAAGCACAGCTTAGCTTCATCTCTTTTTGCAGACAGAGGAGGCAGTAGCACACAGCAGAGACAGCATGATGTGTTTTTAGGTTTGAGTTCTGGCTTTGCCACTTAAAGATATATAGTATCTGGTATTTCCCATTTCTCTCAGTTTCATTTTTCAACTGACCTCCCAGGTTTGCTGGAAGGATTAGCTAAGATAATGTACATAAAGTGGTCTGTAAAGAGATGTAATGATAATAACACAACAAACATTTATTGAGGCTCTACCCTGTGCCAGGCATGTACTAATAAGCGTGTTACATTTATTACACTTATCACAAAAACCATGAGGCAATTTTTCTCGTTGACAGATCAGGAAACGGAGGCTCTAAGAGATTAAGTAACTTGTCCAAGGTCATTCAGCTTGTAAATTGTGTAGCTGGATCTCAGATCCTGGCATTTTGACTCCAATGTTCATGCTACTTTGTTAGTTTTTACCTTGTAGAATGTGATAAAAAGCTATCTGTCCGGCCAGGGGTAGCATGTAAATGAGTTTGTGGTACCCTGATGTGTCTGATGCTCTGGAGGAGTTCCTGCCTAGTGGGAGTGTATGTGATCCTGGCAGATCTAGCTGGAGTGTAGGTGTGACTGAAAAGGAATGATACAGATTGTGCTAGAGAGGCAACATAGCAGAGCAGTTAAGCGTGCTGACTCTGGAATCAGGCTGCAGAGATTCACATGTTGGACCTACCATCTAACTAGTTATTTCACTGTGGGGAAGTTACTTCATCTCACCGAGCCTTAACTTCCTCATCTATGAGGAGGGACATATGTCACTGGATTGTTTGCAGCAGTAAATGAGTTTTTTTCTTTTTTTCTTTCTTTTTTTTTTTTTGAGACGGAGTTTCGCTCTTGTTCCCCAGGCTAGAGTGCAATGGCGCAATCTTGGCTCACTGCAACCTCTGCCTCCTGGTTTCAAGTGATTCTCCTGCCTCAGTTTCCCGAGTAGCTGGGATTACAGGCATGCGCCACCACGCCCAGCTAATTTTTGTATTTTTAGTAGAGACGGGGTTTCACCATGTTGGCCAGGCTGGTCTTGAACTCCTGACCTCAGGTGATACACCTGCCTCGGCCTCCCAAAGTGCTTGGATTACAGGCATGAGCCACCACGCCCGGCCTAAATGAGTTGTTTTATGTAAGTCTTATGGACCAATGTCTAGCGCATAGTAAGTTCTCAGTAAGTATTATGACTTCTAGTATATAATGGATTATATAGACTTTCATGATTGACCTGGAAGCCCAACTGCTGTTTCCAAAATATTTCTAAAGAGAAAATATATTTAGAACTAGCAATCTGGCCAGGCACGGTAGCTCATGCCTTTAATCCCAGCACTTTGGGAGGCCGAGGCAGACAGATCACCTGAGGGCAGGAGTTTGAGACCAGCCTGGCCAACATGGCGAAACCCTGTCTCTACTAAAAATACAAAAATCAGCCAGGCGTGATGGTGCATGCCTGTAATCCCAGCTACTCGGGAGGCTGAGGCAGGAGAATTCGCCTGAACCCAGGAGGAGAGATTGTAGTGAGCCGAGATCGCACTATTTCACTCCAGCCTGGAGAACAGGAGCGAAACTCCATCCCAAAAAAAAAAAAAAAAAAAAAGAATTACTAGCAATCAATTAGCATAACCTTGAATACAACCAACTTAACACTTGTGATACAATCAATTCATGAAAATTGGACACCATCAATATAGTACGCTTTCCTTATAAACATTCGGGACGGGGAGGAAGACCTCTGGTAAATTCTGATTCAAAGTCAGATATTGAGCATATCGTATAGTCTTTATGTAATTGCACTCTTCTTTAAGGTAAGGGCACCGGACGGTCATCATCTGGAATGGCAGTGATCATGGCAGTATAGCTAGTGTAGGAGGCTGCCCCGCCATTTGTTTCTAATTTCTAAAAAAGGAAAAAAACTCGGTTATGAAAATAATACGTTTGTTAAAATGCACATTATTTGTAATGTTTGGTTGTTTGGTTCAAGAGGTTAGCATATTTTACCCTAAGAACAACAAAAGATAGATAACCATGAAAGTTTGAATTAAGCATTTATATAATGTGGAAAACGTCTAAATAAACTTCCTATATGAGAACTTATTTAGCCCTAGAGGAAGCTCTTGAAGTGAGGAGCTAGCTGTGGCTGCCCATAATGGCTCTTTCTCTTTTTGCTTGTACCTACTTAACAGGAACCAGGAAAGCGTTCTCAGCTGTGGAGGATGACAGGAACAGGAATGCTGGCCCATGAGGGCTCCTCAGTTCCTCACAATCCCAATAAGCCCTCAGCCGCCCGCTCCACCGAGGGGTCTGCCATCTTAGATATTGCTGGTCTCGCTGCAGTGACTGACAACAGGTAATTTTCTAGGCAACTTTTGATTCAAGCTCATTGCTTTCAAATTCAGACTCAGAGGAAATCTACAACAAAAACTAAGAGTTCTATAAATAAAGTAAAAATGTATATTTTTTTCAATGACAAAAACCTGTCATATTCCCAAATATGAGTATTGGGCTTTCCCTTTAAATATTTTAAGCTTTGATGAAATACCCATGCAGATGTTAAGAAACTTCAAACAATAAAATGGGTATAATGTGAAAAGTGATTATTTCTTCCACCCAAATTCCAGTCCGTCCTTATTCTGAGGAAGTAGTTTCTTTTTTACATCTTCCTAATAACTTTGTCAAATCCTTCAAAAGCAGAAATTAATTATTAAGAGAATAATCAGATGTATTTTTATGAATAAATCCTTGGATTCAAATTAGCTCTTTAAGTTTGAATAAGTTACTTGATTTGCCTGTGCCTTAGTTTCTCCATAAAAATCAGTGTGTTTTCAGTTAATACCTTATTTCCAGAAAAACTTTAGTTGACTTACAAGTTAGAACAGAAAAGAATTTAGAAATACAACAGAAAAAAGACTGTTGGAAAGATTTTACATGTATTTAGCAGCTATTCCTTCCATACTGCATGGTAAGTTGCCGTTTTGAGAATGCAAGAAGCCATATTACTGTGTGTTATGAAATCTTTAATGTCTTACTTTGTGTCCCCTCTTCATGTTTTTCCATTTTGCTTTATTCCTCTTTTCTTATCAAGAGATACCTAACTGCCCTAGGATTCAAGCTAACTACCCATTCAGTTTTAAGGGTGGAGGGCATTAGAAGGAAGAAGAGCAAAGCCATCATCCTCATGTTCCCTTCAGGCGTGAAACAGTTGACTCGGAGGTTTCATGGTTCATTGTGTATTCCGTTTTCCAGATACGAGCCACTGATGCTGAGAAAGCCTGACCGCAGGCGAAGCACAACTCAGACGTGGAGTTTCCGAGAAGGAAAACTGACCTGTGGGTTACATGGGTTGGTCGTCCAGGTCAGTCGTTTTTGATCCCCAATTGCAGCAAGCAGTGGTTGAGCCTTCTTTGAAACAAAGTCTCTACTAAGTTATACATGATGAATTGTTCAGTGGGAAAACTAGTTACAGAGCAATACTTATTCTATTCCATTTTAGTTAAAAGGAAGTCAGAGTTTTGTTGTGCATTTGTGTATTTTTTTTTTTTTTTGAGGTGGAGTCTTGCTCTGTCGCTCAGGCTGGAGTGCAGTGGCACAATCTCGGCTCACTGCAAGCTCCGCCTCCCGGGTTCACGCCATTCTCCTTCCTCAGCCTCCCGAGTAGCTGGGACTACAGGTGCCCGCCACCACGCCCGGCTAATTTTTTGTATTTTTTAGTAGAGATGGAGTTTCACCATGTTAGCCAGGATGGTCTCGATCTCCTAACCTCGTTATCCACCCGCCTTGGCCTCCCAAAGTGCTGGGATTACAGGCGTGAGCCACCGCGCCCAGCCCCGCATTTGTGTATGTTTACATGGGAAAAGTTCTTGGAGATGGTATGCAATACATGTGTTAAGAGTGATTGCCCTGGATGATAAGATATGTTTTTCATGGCTTACCTGGACTTTTTCTTTGATGTCATATATTACCAATGTAATTTTAAAAAGAAAAAAATTACCTATGTAATTTTAAAAAGAAAAAAATTACCTATGTAATTTTAAAAGTCCAGCACTAAGTTAGATGAATTAGATTTAGACCTGGGAAGTTAATGGCATAGCTGCAAGTCCTCTGTAAAGGGTTCTATGACATGGTGAGCATTCGCCAGGCATCTACATGCTCTTGATTCTGTTCATTTTGGCCTAAATAAGCATTGAATTGCTGTAGCAAATGTCAGAATGAAGATTGCTGGACAGTTTCCTCCTCAGCCAGTCTACCTCATGATAAACTCCCAGCTACTTTCTAAGCAAATATGTGTTTGGCAAATTACCAAGGGTTTGGATTTTCTGCCCTTTCTGGCTTCAGGCTGGGAATGAGAACAGGGGTCTGAGAAGTAGGAAGGTGTCTAGGAGGTTTGGACATGCAGTAGACTAGCACCTGCAATTGTGTGTGCAGTTCTGTCCAGCCTGGGATTTTACACAAAAGGGAAACAGGAGACTATCAGACTCTTGATAGAGAACTCTGAGTGTACTTAGATTGTACTCCAGGGCAGTTTGCAAAAACTGTAAGGAGCCTCTGACTGCTTTTGGTGAGATTTATTTTCTTTATCTCTATCGCCCTGAGCTTTTTTCATCAAAGACAAGCTGCTTACTTATATGTAGCACACATCTGGAATGGATTTGTGATTTTCAATTAGCAATACAATTCAAACTTCTAGAGGCAAAGAGGGCTTGTTATAATTGGTGGGTTTCATGTCTGACCCTGACTTCACTTCTAGTTTGTTTCTAAAGCCCATGTAATTCCAATGCTCTTGGAGCATTTTCTTCCTTAAAATCTTTTTTTGGTGTTTGTTGTTTTGTGAATCTATTTCATCATTTCCCTGCTTGTTAGTGACAGTATAATAACAGTATTCAGCAGAGCAGAATGTGTTTTGGTTAGGGAAGTAAGCTTGTTTCAATCTTATTATGCTGAATAAAGTCATTGAAGACATTAAAACATTTTCTGACACTGCTCTTATTAGGTTGTATATGCTCTTTCTTTCTAAACTTATAATAGCTATAAAAAGCTTTCTTTGTGTTGAAACCTGTACTATAAACCCTGCTCAAAGTTTGCTTTTCATGAGTCAATATTTAAAAGTTAACAAAGGGGATTTAGACACTCTTTGCCATTGTCTTCTCTAGCCTTGTGTTTGCTTTCCCACAGCCATAATCCTGTAGACTCGATTTACTTGGGGCATGTAGCAAGGTGTTTTCCTCCAAAGGCCTTGTTAAAGCAAACTAAATATGGCCTGAGAAGGACTCCGTACTTCTATAATTGAATCCCTGTGGACCAACTGTAACCTAGAGTAATCGGCAGGCAAGATTGAAATCCTTACTTAGGAGTATGTGCCTGTAACAATAGCTGAGACTTGGCCAGTCACAGCAGCCATACTTCCACCACTCACAGATGGCTGAGTGTTCAGACTGTGTTCAAATAAGGCAGACGCCAACCTGTAACCAATCCAGCTGTTTACTTCCAACTTCTGTACATCACTTCCCTTTCTTTGTCTATAAATTTGTTCTGACCACGAGGCATCCCTGGAGTCTCTCTGAATCTGCTGTGATTCTGGAGGCTGCCTGATTTGTGAATTGTTCATTGCTCAATTAAACCCCTTTAAATTTAATTCGGCTGAAGTCAGTCAGTCTGTCTTTTTTTCTTTTTCTTTCTTTTCTTTTCTTTCTTTCTTTCTTTCTTTCTTTCTTTCTTTCTTTCTTTCTTTCTTTCTTTCTTTCTCTCTCTCTCTCTCCTTCCTTCCTTTCTTCCTTCCTTCCTTCCTTTCTTTCTCTTTCTTTCTTTCTTTCTTCCCTTTCTTCTCTCTCTTTCTTTCTTTTTCTTTCTTTCTTTTTCCTTTTCCTCTTTTCTTTTCTTTTGACAAAGTGTCGCTCTTGTTGCCCGGGCTGGAGTACAATAGCACAATCTCAGTTCACTGCAACCTCCGCCTCCCGGGCTCAAGCGATTCTCCTGCCTCAGCCTCCTGAGTAGCTGGGATTACAGTTGCCTGCAACCATGCCTGGCTAATTTTTGTATTTTTAGTAGAGATAGGGTTTCACCATGTTGACCAGGCTGGTCTCAAACTCCTGACCTCAGATGATTCGCCCGCCTTGGCCTCCCGAAGTGCTGGGATTACAGGCTGAGCCACCTCGCCTGGCTTGAAGTTTTTCTTTTAACAGCCTGAATAACTGGGTATCAGGTGACATTCTCAACTCTGTATTCCATTCTAGAAGAAACACCATCTTTTGAGTATTTGGATTGGTTGTCCAGCCATAGGCCTGTTTGGGGAGGTTTTCAACTCAAGAATTTTCCTCTTACTGGAAAGCTGAATGATTATAATAATTATTTTCTATTTTCAGAATATTTCAGATTTTTAAGCAAACCCTAGTAAGAATACTCAAAGAAACAGCTAGTTTTGGCTACTTTTTTAGAAGTTTATTTTAATGACAAGAAGTTAGTACTAGTAAAAGGCAGAATTAAACTGATCTATGCATGAAATTATCTCTTATTCATAATTACCAAAATTTATGAGCATAACTTTTCATCTTACTGAAGTAATTCTCCTGTTTTTCATCATCTGCAAAGCTGAACAAATAGTAAAGGCTTTGTTGCACATTGATCATGACCCTCCAGAGGAGAATGTAAATTTAGGAACTTGTTTGAAATGATGTGTTAACTTGTCAAAGTCAGTGCCTCTGTCTTTTCTCACATGTCTCTACTCCAATGTCTTTTAGGCCAAAGGAGGACTTTCTGGTTTGTTTGATGGAGCTGAAGTTGTTCTTGGTCCTGACACTTCCATGGAGCTTTTGGGGCCAGTTCCACCTGAACAACAATTTATTAATCAAAAAATGAGACCTGGTTCTGGAATGTTATCCATCAGAGTCATCCCAGATGGACCAACTAGAGCACTCCAGGTGATAATTTGTCATAAGAGCTGATGTGAAACTCTGTACTTCCTCCACCCCCAATGATTACTCATTTAACAAATACTTATTGAACATGTTTATGCCAGATATGAAGATATGGTATCTTCATCTGTAAAATGGGGATAGGATCTACCTCACAAAGTTGTTACAAGAACTAAAGTACAACAAAAAGATAAGCGTAAAGTATAAACAAAGTATCAATGAAATATGTGGTAACCTAAAAAAGTATAAGATTTAAACAAGATAATGTTAACAGTGCATATTAATAGTGTTGTTAATTATTATTAATAACATAATATCTTAATAACATTAACAACAAGAAGATATGAGATCCTTAATCAGATAATTAAAATATTGTGTTAATGAGAGTAGGAGTGGAGGGTGTATGGAAAGGATTTGTATTCCCAGATTTAGAGGGTGGGGAGCTTCCTAAGAGAAGTAGTACTTAAACTGAGACCTAGAGTTTAACTGAAAGGAATTAGCCAAATAGAAAGGTACAGGTGGAGGGGCTGTGCCCTCAGTAATAAGCATGTTCATCAACAGGTATTTACTGAGCAGCTACTTGAGCCAGCACAGGTCTAGGTACGGAACATTTACCAGTGAACGGACAAAACTCCCTGCCTTCTTGGAGCTTACATTCTAGTGGGGATGGACCATCATTGACCAATAAACATAGGAAGTAAATGACATACGATGTGGAAGTTGACTAGTGAAGGCCCACAGGTAGCAGAGTGATCCTCAGCCCAAGTGGCACACAGAATGTGGTAAGAAAGAAGGCTGGAGATAGAAGCAGGGGCCAGATCATAAAAAGTCTGAGATACATACTAAAGAATTTGTGGTTTTTCTAAGGCAACAAGGAGTCAGGGAATGGCATGATTAGAAAATTGTTTTAGATCACTTCCTCTGGCTGCAATGTAGAGAAGCAGAGTGGGGCAAGACTGGAGATAGTGAAATACCAGGTAGGAGGCTCTTGCACTAATGTAAATGAAGGGTTATGGTGGCCTGAACTGGAAGAAGTGGCAGGGGTGGACATGAGGAGGCTGGAGAGAAATGGATAGAAATGAGAGCTTACTTAGGAGTAGAGTCAGGCAGATTTTGTGACTGAATGTGGGAATGAGGGAGAGGAAGGAGTCAGTAATGGCCTCCAAGGTTCTGATTTGGGCAACTCACAGGATGATAATCCAGATCACTAAGGGATGAACATGGAGCAGACTTGCAGAGGAAGGGAGGAGTTAGGTTTTGGACTTGTTGAGTTAAGGTAACTGTGTGATATCTATGTGAAGATGTCCATAAGTCATTGTAACTATGGCTCTGAAACCCAGGGGAGAGATCTGTGATGGGGATAAGGGTTTATTAGGTCATAGCGTAATCAGAACAAAGGAAAAAAAAGATGTTGGAATGTAGCAATGAGCTCTCTGAGATAGTGCATCACAATTCACAACACCACTTTTTATTTATTTATTTATTTATTTAGCTATGTCACTCTCTTTCACCTAGGCTGGAGGGAAGTGGCAAAATCATAGCTCATTATAGCCTCGAACTCCTGGGCTCAGGTGATCCTCCCACCTCAGCCTCCCGAATAGCTGGAACTTAAGTGCATGCCACCATGCTTAGCTAATTACTTTTCATTTTTTGTGGAGATAGGGTCTCGCTATGTTCCCCAGGCTGGTCTTGAACTTCTGGGATCAAGCGATCTTCCCACCTTAGCCTCGCAAGTAGCTTGGACTACAGGTGTGTGCCACTGTGCCGGCTCACAATACCACTTTAAAAAACAATCTTAAGGCAAAAATGAATGCAGTGATCTTGAGGTTTGCATATTTTGACTTGAGCTATAATTTGAGATCATCTGCAGATATCTAACCCCACTACGTGAGGCTCTCAAGGTGTATAGCTTGAGTTTGCCATGCAGACTTGAAACCAAGTTTGCTTCTTTATTACACAAATCTTACCTTACCAGTGCTTTGGAAACCATTCGCTTCCATAGGATTATTGATTATATAATGACTTTTGACCTACACAGTTGTTCTGGGTTAGAATAGGTTTCAATAAGGAAGAGTGAATCATCTTCTTGTGGTGTTTTATTTGACTTCAGATAACAGATTTCTGCCACCGGAAAAGCAGCCGTTCATATGAAGTGGATGAACTTCCTGTCACCGAACAAGAGCTGCAGAAATTAAAGAATCCAGATACAGAGCAGGAATTGGAAGTAAGGTCTAAATATTGTGAATTTATTTATTTGATCATCAGTTTTTTAGAATTTTACTTGGTGGTATTTTAGACCTTCTGTTTTCTTTCTATCCTGTATGATTCTAAATATGAGTTACGCTTCACAGTGTTTACTGTTTATCAGTGAATGTGTGAATGTATTATGTAAATGACAACAAAGTTTATGTGGAATCAGCATGTAGTAAGCATTGCTAAACTATTATTACAATAAAGGAAGCTAAATTGTTTGAATTTCAGTAAGATTTAAGACAAACAATTTTTTGTTTTTTGCTTCAGCCATCTCTGACATCTTCCTTCTGTTTTCTCTGTTTGGGATTGGAGAGTGACAAGTTTGAAAAGGAAGATGAGATGAACATGAAAAAGTATATTTATCTGACGTTTATTCAGTGATTTTTGAAAAAATCAAATGCCTATGTGTAAAACACTGTGTTGGGTGCTATGGAAGTGTAGTGGATAACAGATTATGAGCTTTCATCCCAAATAAGGTGAAAGATTACCAAATAATTAGATTTCTATAATGAAATGCAGAATGTCATCAGTCCTTTGATAGAGGTATCATCACATACTCTGGAGTTCTCGTTGGGGTGAAGGGTATGCCTAGAAAGCAAGGCTTCCAGTGAGATGATAGCATTTGAGCCCTCCAGGTAAATAATAGGACTCCCCTAAGTGGTTTTCATCTGCTGAGAGATCGGGAGTAGAGGAATGTAAAATGCTTTATTTTCTTATACTCTCCTGGATACTGTGAGCTGTGTTTAAAACAATCAGGGTGCCATATTTTGGTTTCCTTTCAGGTGCTTGTGAGGTTAGAAGGTGGAATTGGGTTGTCCTTAATTAATAAAGTCCCAGAAGAACTGGTCTTTGCAAGTCTTACAGGAATCAATGTGCACTATACACAGCTGGCAACCAGTCACATGCTTGAACTCAGCATACAGGATGTACAGGTAAGGGGGAAGTTCCAAAGCTGTTAGTCACCTTGTTTTCATGCTGATCACCCAACCAGATCTAATGTTTGATGTTCTAAGAACTTTAATGTTTTGGAGGAAATATCTTGTGGCCTTCAAAAAATCATTCTGTGAAATAGTTGTTTCTACCTACATTCGTCTCATTAATTTTTCTACATACAGCAGAATTCTGCATATATTAGAGGTAACTCAGTCAGGGTGTCATGGAGGAAGGTGACCCATGGTTCACCATCTTGCCAATAGAAAAACCAATAGGAAGTCATCTAACCATCATTCGGAGGGATTGAGGTCTGTCATAGGGAGAACAAACTAAAGAACTGGACTTTGCTTTCAGTCAAGATGGAGTAACAGGGACTAAATTTACCCTCCCACCTGAAACAACCCCAGAATCCAGATAAATAAGAAGACAATGGTATTGAGACACTGGACATCAGACAATGAAGGACAGTGCTTTGACAGGTGGGAAACAAACGAGCTGAGCCCTGTAATTGCCTTTCTTACCAATTTGAGAACGTTTCCAGGGAGGGGAGACCAAGCAAGTACCCAGCACAGTGGAGAAGTTGAGAAAACAGAGCTGAGAGTCTAGAGAGACCAAGGTATCTATAGTTATAGGATGGTACACTTGGGCATAGAGAGCTGCACAGAAAAACTCTGAAGATCTATAGACCGTCCCTCTTGAGTATTTAGCCAAGTATTAGTCAGTGATGTATGTGAGGAAACTACCCATCTGAAAGGATCAGAGGGAACAGTGCCTGCTGCCCACACAGGGCTAGGAATAGTGCTTGTGCCCACCAGCTGGACTGGAAAAACTAAGAATTTATGAGACGTTGGGAAGAGTCTCAGGAAAGCCTTGCCCTCATGATTAATTAGCCCTAAACTGAGCACTGCTATAGACTGCCTAAGAAATCATAAAAGGAAGATCCGAAAGAATCAACCTCTTCCCAAGTAAATTAACCATATCCTTGAATAAAGCTCAAGAAGATTATTGGAATATGACAATTTAGCACCCAACAAGGTAAAATTCACAATATCTGACATCCTATCAAAAATTACCAGGTGTGCAAAGGAGTAGGAAAACTTTCTATATAATGAGGAGACTAATTGGTCAAAACTGATTCACAACTGGCACAGATGTTAGAATTTTTGGAGGACGTTAAAACTGTTAATGTAACTGTATTCTCTGTGTTCAAAAGGTTAAGTAGGGAGACTAATTGGTCAAAACTGATTCACAACTGGCACAGATGTTAGAATTTTTGGAGGACGTTAAAACTGTTAATGTAACTGTATTCTCTGTGTTCAAAAGGTTAAGTAGCAATATGGAAGACATAAAAAAACTAAAGCTTGTAGAGATTAAAATGTAATGAAAACTACACTGGATGGAATATAGCACACAACTGTGAAGGAAACTATACCAAGGCACATCATAATCAAATTACTCAAAACCAGTGTTAAAGCAAAGGAACAAGAAAAAAAAGACATGCTATGTGCCAAGGAATAAAGATAAGAATGACAACAGATTTCTTTTTGGGAACAATGAGAGTGGGAAGACAATGAGCAACATCTTTAAAGTACTGAAAGGTATCAGCAGACCCATGCTACAAAAAATGTAAAAGAACATCATCAGGCAGAAGGAAAAAAATAGTATCAGATTGAAGTCTGTTCTACACAAAGTAATGAATACCAGAAATGATAACTACCTGGGTAAATATATAAGATTATTTTCTTCTTATTTAAAGTAAGAGTGAGATTCTTATCAACAATAGCATAAAGGCTGAAGGGGAGAAATGGAAGTCTATTAGTGTAATCTTATACATGATGTGGTATGATGTCACTTGAATGTAGAATTATAAAGATAAACAGCATAAACTCTTAAAGCAACCACCAAAATAACAAAGAGTTATAACTAATAATTCAGCAAAGGAGATAAAATGAAATTAGGCCAGGTGAGGTGGCTCACGCCTGTAATCCCAGCACTTTGGGAAGCTAAGGCAGGTGGATCACTTGAGGTCAGGAGTTCGGGACCAGCCTGGCCAACGTGGTGAAACCCCATCTCTACTAAAAATACAAAATTAGCCAGGTGTGGTGGCACACACCTGTAATCCCAGTTACTCGGGAGGCTGAGACAGGAGAATTGCTGGAACCTAGGAGGTGGAGGTTGCATTGAGCCAAGATTGTGCCACTGCACTCCAGCATGGTGACAGATGGAGACTCTTGTCTCAGGGGGAAAAAAAAAAAAAAGAAATCATAAAAAAATAATCCAAGAGAAGGCAGAAAACAGAAAGCAGGGAAAGGAATAGATAGGACAAATAAAAAATAATTAGCAAGATGGTAGACTCAAACCTAATGGTATCAATTAACTAAATTTAAATGTTGTAAACACCGTAATCAAAAGGCAGAGATTATCAAATTGTATAAAAAAGCAAGAACCAATTATATGTTGCCTACAAGAAACACACATTAAGGATAAAGACACAAATAGGTTAAAAGGAAAGAAGATGAAAAAAGATATAACATGTTGACCCTTGTCATAGGAAATGAGAATGACTAGATTAACATCAGACGGAATAGATTTCAAAGTAAAGAATATTACTGGTGTAGTCGGGGTTCTCTTAGAGGGACAGAACTAAAAGGATATGTATATAAGTATTAACTTACATGATCACAAGTTCCCACAATAGGCTGTCTGCAAGCTGAGGAGCAAGGAGAACCAGTCCGAGTCCCAAAACTGAAGAACTTGGAGTCCAATGTTCAAGGGCAGAAAGCATCCAGCATGGGAGAAAGATGTAGGCTGGGAGGGTAGGCCTGTCTCACATGTTTCTGCCTGCTTTATATTTGCTGGCAGCTGATTAGATTGCACCCACCAGATTAAGGGTGGATCTGCCTTTCCCAGCCCACTGACTCAAATGTTAATCTTTTTTGGCAGCACCCTCACAGACACACCCAGGATCAATACTTTGTATCCTTCAATCCAATCAAGTTGACACTCAGTATTAACCATCACAAGTCCACCCTTTGTCAACTGCCGAGATTATAAGGTCATAATTACACCTAACATAATACAGCCATCCTTCGTACAGCTGGAAACACACCAGTCCCCAACCCAAATACTATTACATAAAGTTAATGATGCTTGAATGCTGATATGAAGTCAATAAATCTATGTCACATAATGAAGGAGAAAGGAAATAAAATGAAGATATTTTCTTAGTACAAGTGTATACATGCACAAACATGTTTTTAACAAAAGAAAGAGGAAATACTCATGACAATTGCAGTCCTTGTTTCTGCAGCTGGTCATGTGGTCATAGCTAGTATTGATGATTACCCTTTCTACTACCCATTCTGTATTCCCTTTACCTTCAGCAAGCACCTCATCAGGTCATGGTTTTGTGGGATTTTTTCCTGGTGGAGTGACCCAAACCTTCCTTCCTGAGGGGTCTGGACCATTTGTAGTCCTGCCTGGATTGGGCTGTTGTAGTTTCCCATTGCCTTAATCACAGGGCATGGTAATCCTAAGAGATGCCCTAATGGATCTCCTGTATTCCATGCATAATCTTCCTTACCTCCATTGTGGAGTAGTAGACTGATTTCATCTTGATAATCTGGGTCAGTCACCCCAGCCAACACTGTAACTCCCTTCTTAGCCTCTTGACCTAAAGTTAGGCGGAGCCCAAAGTGTCCAGGTGGTAATCTTAACTTCCAGTTTAATGGAATCATTGTTTTGTCTCCTGGTGGCAGTGTTCCTCCCTCTGGAACTAAGACCTCTAAGCCAGGAGAACTAATGTTGCAGGAACAGAAAGCAAAAATTTTGCTAGTGGATCATTAGGGGTGATGATGAATGGTGCCACTTCCTCTTCCACCCATTGATTCCTGGACCTCTGAATCCTGGCCATGGGAGAAACAGTACCATATATTGGATGCTGATTCAGAGCATACATAGCCTTCTGGAGAACTTTGCCCCAGCTATTATCATCTAGTTGGCATTGTAATTGTGATTTCAAAAGGCCATTTCACCATTCTATCAATCCAGCTGCTTCAGGATGATGAGGAACATGGTAAGACCAGTGAATTCCATGAGCATGAGTCCACTGCCGCACTTCTTTAGCCGTAAGGTGAGTGCCTTGGTCAGAGGCAATGCTGTGTGGAATACCATGACAGTGGATAAGGCATTCCATGAGTCCACAGAGGTAGTCTTGGCAGAAGCATTGCATGCAGGATAGGCAAACCCGTATCTGGAGTAAGCGTCTATTCCAGTGAAGACAAACTCTGCCCTTTCCATGATGGAAGAGGTACAATATAATCAACCTGCCACCAGGTAGCTGGCTGATCACCCAGAAGAATGGTGCCATATCGAGGGCTCAGTGTTGGTCTCTGCTGCTGGCAAATTGGGCATTAAGCACTGGCTGTAGACAGGGCAGCCTTGGGGAGTGGAAGTCCATGTTGCTGAGCCCATGCATAACCTCCATCCCTGCCACCATGGCCACTTTGTTCATAGTCCCAGTGGGCGATGGCAGGAGTGGCTGGGGAAAGAGGCCGAGTGGTGTCCACAGAACAGGTCATCCTATCCACTTAGTTGTTAAAATCCTCCTCTGCTGAGGTCACCCATTGGTGAGCACTCACATGGGATACAAGTATCTTCAGTTTTTGACCACTCAGAGAGGTCCATCCACATACCTATTCCCAAATTTCTTTGTCACCAGTTTTCTAATCATGCTCTTCCAAGTCCCTGACCATCCATCCAGCCAAATCATTGGCTACCTCCCATGAATCAGTATATAATCACACATCTGGCCATTTCTTCTTCCATGCAAAGTGCATGACCAGATGCACTGCTCGAAGTTCTGCTCTCTGGGAAGATTTTCCTTAACTGCTGTCCTTCGGGGATGTCCTAGAAAGGGGCTGTAGTGCTGCAGCTGTCCACTTTTGGGTGGTGCCTGCATATCGTGCAGAACCATTTGTGAACCAGGCTCTAGTCTTCCCTTCCTCTGTCAATTGATCATGGGGAATTCCCCATGAAGCCATCAGTGCAGGCTAGGGGAGAGAAGGCAGGGTGGCAGGAGTGGAGACCATAGGCATTTGAGCCACTTCCTCATGTAACTTACTTGTGCCTTCAGGACCTGCTCGAGCCCAATCACATATATACCACTTCATTTGATGATGGAATGCTGCTGTGTACGACCCACTTTATGGCTAGATGGGTGGGTCAGAAAGCACCCAGTTCAGTTTGCAGGTGTGCACCACCACATGCAGCTAATTTATATATTTTTTGGTAGAGATGGGGTTTCACCACGTTGGCCAGCCTGATCTCTGACTCCTGACCTCAAGTGATTTGCCCACTTCAGCCTTTGTTTTTATTTTTAATTTGTAAATAAAATCTTTCATTTGGGTAACTGTAAATCTATGTGATCAAACAAAACATCTTATTTTATTTTATTGCTTTTTACAGCTAGTTAAGTGAAGCAGTGGGGATAAACACTTTTACTCCCAAAAGATGTTTTGTGTTTTTTTTAAATATTTTTTTTGAGACAAGAATCTTGCTCTGTCACCCAGGCTGGAGTGCAGTGGTCCTCCCTCGGGTCACTGCAACCTCCTCCTCCTGGGCTCAAGTGATCCTCCCACGTCAGCCTCCCAAGTAGCTGAGAATACAAGTGTGTGGTGCCACACTTGGCTGATTTTTGTATTTTTTGTGGAGACAGGGATCTTGCCGTGTTGGCCAGGCTGGTCTTGAACTCTTGGACTCGAGCCATCTGCCCGCCTAGGCCTCCCAGGGTCCTGGGATTATAGGTGTGAGCCACTGCATCCAACCCAAAAATGTTATTTTTCTTTTGCCATAAATGACTATATTAAGATCCTTGGCTGGGCCCGGTGGCTCACACCTGTAGTCTCAGCACTTTGGGAGGCCAAGGCGGGCAGATGGCCTGAGGTCAGGAGTTTGGCCAACATGGTGAAACTCCATCTCTATTAAAAATGCAAAGATTATCCGGGCAGTGGCGGGTGCCTGTGGTCTCAGCTACTTCGGAGGCTGAGACAGGAGAATCGCTTGGACCTGGGAGGTGGAGGTTGCAGTGAGCCGAGACCACTCCTTTACACTCCAGCCTGGGCAACAAGAGCAAGACTCTCTCAAAAAAAAAAAGTCCGTGATGAAATTTTAAGAAATTCTTGATTAAAATAATATTATTGTATAAATGTTAAAAAAAAAAAAAAAAAAAGAAAGCACACAGTTCAGGATGGGCAGTTCAGGTTGCGTGGTGACTTGATGACCCATAGTCAGATGTTCATTTTCCACCAAAGCCCAGTAACAGGCCAAGAGCTGTCTCTCAAAAGGACAGTAGTTATCTGCAGAAGATGGCAGGGCCTTCCTCCAAAATCCTAGAGGCCTCTGCTGTGATTCACCTATGGGGGCCTGCCAAAGGCTCCAAACAGCATCCCTATCTGCCACTGACACCTCAAGCACCATTGGATCTGCTGGGTCATATGGCCCAGATGGCAGAGCAGCTTGCACAGCAGCCTGGACCTGTTGCAGAGTCTTCTCCCATTCTGGACCCCTCAAAACTGGCAGCCTTTCGGGTCACTTAATAAATGGGCCGGAGTAATACACCCAAATGAGGAATGTGTTGCCTCCAAAATCCAAATAGGCCCACTAGGCATTGTAACTCTTTCTTGGTTGTAGGAGGGACCAAACGCAGCAACACCGTTAACTTAGAAGGAATGTCTTGGCAGGCCACACACCACTAGATCCCTAGAAATTTTGCTGAGGTAGAAGTTCCCTGAATTTTAGTCGGATTTATTTCCTATCCTCTGGCACGCAAATGTCTCACCAATAAGTCCAGTGTGTTTGCTACTTCTTGCTCACTGGATCCAATCTGCATAATGTCATCAGTGTAATGGACCAGTGTGATATTTTGCGGAAGCAAAAAGCAATCAAGGTCTCTCCAAATAAGATTATGACACAAACCTGGAGAGTTGATATACCCCTGCGGTTAGGACAGTAAAGGTATATTGCTAGCTTTGCCAGCTGAAGGCAAATTGCTTCTGGTAGGCCTTGTGGACAGGAATGGAGAAAAAGGCATTTGCCAAGTCAGTGGCTGCATACCAGGTACCAGGAGATGTGTTAATTTGCTCAAGCAATGAAACCCCACATCTGGTACAGCAGCTGCAATTGGAGTCACCATTTGGTTAAGCTTACGATAATCCACTGTTATTCTCCAAGATCCATCTGTCTTCTGCACGGGCCAAATGGAAGAGTTGAACAAGGATGTGGTGGGAATCACCACCCCTGCATCTTTCAAGTGGCACTAATCTCCACAATCCCTCCAGGGATGTGATACTGTTTTTGGTTTACTATTTTTCTAGGTAGAGGCAGCTCTAAGGGCTTCCATTTGGCCTTTCCCACCATACTAGCCCTCACCCTACCAGTCAAGGAGCCAATGTGGGGGTTCTGCCAGCTGTTAAGTATATCTATGCCAATTATGCATTCTGGCACTGGTGACATGACCACAGGATGAGTCTGGGGACCCACTGGACCCACTGTAAGTCAGACCTGAGCTAAAACTCCATTAATTACTTGACCTCCATAAGCCCCTACTTTAACTGGAGGGCAACAATGACATTTTGGGTCCCCTGAAATCAACGTCAGCTCAGAGCCAGTGTCCTGTATCCGCGAAATGTCTGATCCTTTCCCTTTCCCCAGTGCACAGTTACCCTGGTAAAAGGCTGGAGGTCTCCTTGGGAAGGATGGGAGAAAGATTCACTGCGTAAATTGTCGGCAATGTAGTGGGGTCCTTCCTCAAGGGGATCCGGCCTCCCCTTCATTCAAGGGGTTCTGGGTCTGTAAACTGGCTCAAGTCTAGAAATTGACTGAGGGGCCATGATTCTCTGTTTTTATAATTCAAACTAGTTTTTTGTCCATTCAACCTAGAAGTTTTCTGCTTGTATAAATTAAGTAGGAATGCAGCAGGCTTCCTATTAATTTCGCTTCTAGGAACACCATGATTAATTAGCCAGTGCCAGAGCTCTACATGAGTCAGACTATTCTGATTGCCACTTTGCCTCTGCTGTGCATTATGGTAGCTATGCCCACCTTGCCTTTGACGATTGAGTGCTGCCACTTGGCAACCTGCCACCTCGGGATCCAGTTATCCCCATTGTGTTTAAATTTTGTAGCTAATGATTGCTGTTCCCACCGTTAGATCTGACATACAGAGAAAAGCAATTACAGGGCTCTTCAAAGATGCAGGTGCTGCCCTTACAAATCTGTTCCGCAAGGCATTGGTCAAGGATATATCTTCTGGACCCTCCCAGCTGGGATGAGTAGGTCTGAAGTGGCTAATCCACTCCACCATCCCAGTCTCCCTAATCCTTTGGATCCCTTCCTGTACGTTAAACCAAAGGAGATCACACATTTCCACCTCTCTCACGGTGGGCCATCTTTTAATCCATATTTCAGCTAACCAAGTAAATAAACTATTAGAACCTTTTTTACCTCTCCAAGCTGCAACATTAAAAGCAGAATGCCTACTTAGTGGGCCCAGATCAATAAATCCTGATCCAACCCTATGTTCCTTCCACTATTATCCCATACCCTTAATATCCATTCCCGTATCTGTTCTCCAGATTTCTTTCTATATAAATTAGAGAACTCAAACAGTTCTTTTCGAGTGTAGTACACCTCCTCGTGAGTCACACTCTCAACCTCACATCTAGGGGCCTGCCGGGACTTTAGGTCTAGAAGCAAACAGGGGTGTTGGGGGTGACTCCTGAGGAGAATCAACATTACTTTGCCTGGCAGCTGCCTCAAGAGAGGTCATCACTGTTGCCTTAGGCAGCATAGGATTCATCTCCTCAGACAAAGGTGGAAAGCTGATGACAGCATGGGTTGAGGAGATGTTGCCACTACTGGGGATGGGGAAGCTCATCCTTCTGGCAAAAAAGGCTCATCAGAGTTTACAAACTCAGTTTCCCCGAGTTTCATCAGGGTCCTCCCACACATCCCCATTCCAAGTTGCAGGGTCCCATTCTTTTCCAATCATTGCCCTCACTTTAACAGCAGACATCTGGTGAGGCTGTGTGTGCATCTTTCGGCGTGCATCTTTCATTGCAGGTCAGCCACTTGCATGACAAGAGCTTGTGTCTGTTTTTCCACAATTTCAGCTCTTTCTCTGCAGGAGATAAGACTCTCACTTAGGGCAATCTTAGCAGATTTGAGGCTCAGTATCTGCTTCTGAAGCTGGGAGACAGAATCCCTGAGTTCATCATTTTCTTTCATTACTTTGTCCACTGAACTTAGGAGCAACCAACCAGCTTCATTATGTTACTTGGTTTTCTACATATGGTCAAAGGTATTATGTATAGAGTCACTAAAATCCTTGCCTCTCATGAGCGGTGAATCAGGAGTGTCAAATGCATTTATTTTGCATAATTCTCCAAACGGTTCACGCCAAGGACTATCAGCATTCTCCATACTATTAGAGGTAGAGTCCTTAGCAATTTTTTGGGGGGCTAATCATATTCAGCAGCCAACTCCAGAAACCCCAAAGCCAATGAAAGAACTCCATCCTTAATATTCTGTTCCTCTAGAACCACACCTGGTACCAAAATCTGTATTAGTCAGGGTTCTCTTAGAGGGATAGAACTAATAGGAGATATATATATATATATATATATATATATATATAGTTCTTTAAGATCAATAAAATTAATAAGCCTCTAACCAGTCTGAGCAGGAGAAAAAGAGAAGACATAGATTATTAATATCAGGAAAGAGAGAGATGCCAGACAAGCCAAATACTGACAAGTCTGGGGATGGGACTCCTGGGGGAGCTGCAAATTCCTTCTGGCTGCTGGAGTGTCTGCTAGGACTGCTTTGTTTGCAGTGTGACTGTAGGGCCGTTGGTTTTCAAGGCTACTGTGGAGCTGGGGTAGGGGTGAAGAGAATAGGACAAATTAAAATGCCACAGAGCTCGCTGTTCTCACTGAGTTTCAGCTTGTTTTCTTGAGTAAATGCTCCTTAGATTGTCGCAAGTTTTTTATTAACTTTCGGAGTTCTGAAAAAGTCGACCTTTACAATTTTTGGCAGAGTACTGTTAGTGTGCTATCAGAACAACTTCTATCTGTTTGTAACATCATACTTGGAACGCTTTTCCTTTATAAGCTTCATCAAAGTTTAAATATGTTCAGGAAACTAGTTCCTGGTAGACATTTCCAGAAGAAGAATCCAAAGCCCCAGACTGTGGTTCTTTTTCCCAAATGGACGAACTACATCCTTACTGGGAGTGTGTGCAATGTGTCTCCCATGACTGGGGCTCCTTCTCTCCCTTAACATGTCATGCGATTCCATCCAGATTGTCGAGGCCAGAACCTCTTTTCAGAAGAAATTTTTCTTTTATTATATATCACGAATAACAGAGAATTCAGGCTAATCGTATCCTATTTATTTGTGCACAGATAGAAAGTTAATATCTTGCAGCTATTTTTCCTTGTCCTCCTTTTTTCGACCTTACAGAGACAATTCAAGGAACCATTTGCTGTTCATTAGTTTCCTTAACTTTATTCTTTACTTTAAAAAGTTGTTTGTTTGTTTATTTGTTTGTTTATTTTGAGATGGAGTCTCACTCTGTCGCCCAGGCTGGAGTGCAGTGGTACGATCTCTGCTTACTGCAACCTCCGCCTCCCAGGTTCAAGTGATCCTCCAGCTTCAGCCTCCCAAATAGATGGGATTACAGGTGCCCGCCACCACGCCCAGCAATTTTCGTAGTTTTTAGTAGAGATGGGGTTTCGCCATGTTGGCCAGGCTGGTCTTGAACTCCTGACCTCAGGTGATCTGCACACCTTGGCCTCGCAGAGTGCTGGGATTACAGGCGTGAGCCACCACGCCTGGCCAAAAAGTTGTTTTTTCCTATAATACCTCTTTATGTGATGTATGCTGCAAATCATAGAAAATAATCAGGTTTGTACTTTACTGTGGTTACAGTGCTGCAAGAAGGAATTTTTAAAAATAGAAAATAGAGATCCTCTCCTTAGGCAGCATCCGATCTAATTAGGAGAATAAAACTAGGTAGAGTTAGTAATTCTCAGTTACGACGCCTTGTGTCAGATGTGTTTAGTGAAAGAACAAAGGAGAAGACAATATGGTCGAGCCCTTTATTGCCATTTCATATTTGGATGAGATAGGTAATGATTCATTCATTCAGTCCATTCTTACTGAGCATCAAGTGTGTGCCCGACACTGTACTAGGTTCTGGAGATATGGCTATGACTTCAAAAATGCAGGCTTTGCTCTTGAGCCAACAGCCTAGAGAGAAAGTCTGCCAATAAATATGCAGGCAGGCAAGCAAATGAATAATGACATTCTGTGATAACTGCTGTAAAGAATAGCTACTTTAGATAAAGTGCTACTTTAGAAAAAGTGGCTCAGGAAGATCTTCCTGAGGAAATGAGAGCTGAACTGAAACTTGGAGGAATAGAATGAGCAAACCATAGAGATGGTCACTAGAAACCATTTCAGGCAATTCAGAGACCCTGAGGAAGGAAGGACTTGCCCACATTTTAGAAACAATAAGGAGGCTCAGGTGAGGATGGTAGGGAACCTGAAAGAGTGGTGTGTGATGAAGCTGGAGAATTTGGTGCCAGTTCATGCAGGCCTTAGAGGCTGTGGTGAGAAGTCTGGTTTATCCTAAGAGAAAGGGAAACCACTGAATAGTGTAAAGGAAGGGTGTGTATGACTCGATTTATAGTTTACTGAAAGATCACTTTGGCTGCTATATAGAGAATACATTGTAGGAGGAAGGAATGGAAGTAGGAAAAAATACTCCAAGTCTCTTGCCCTTATCCCTGCCCTGAGAACAAACAGAAGAAAAGTCATTTCCAGTTGTACAGAAATGTCTATTTGGAAATCCCTGCAATACAATGGAGAGGTCAGAGGATTCGGTGCCAGAAATCTCTGCATTTGTATCCCACCTCTTCCACTTACAAGCTGTGCGAATGAGGGCAAGTAGTTTAACTTTTTTTTCTTTTTTTTTTTTTTGAGACGGAGTCTCGTTCTGTTGCCAACATAATTTAACTTCATTAAGCTTCTGTCTACTTGTTTGTAAAATGAGGAGGAATAATACCTAGCCTTTAGGGGTTTAGGAAGTGATATGATAGGGGGTGTGTGGAAAGTACCTGCAGATGGTCTCTTAGGGGTACCCAAAAAGATGGTCTGTCCTCTTTCCTCTTCCTGGTGGTGAACTTCGATGTGAGACAGAACAGGAAGATGGCTGCTTCCTGCAAGGAGCCTCTAGACATCCATGCATGTCTGAGTGTGGCAAGTGTCCTCTGTGATGGCACTGATACTGATCAGGGCTGTGTAAATAGAGTCAACCCTAATGCCGCTGACTTAATCGTTTCGTTCCCGAGAAGGGAGTTGACCTTAGTAGAGGAAACTGTTACAATTTGGTAGCCATTTGAGCTCCTGGTTCTCTAATTTAAATTGTCTTGAAGGAATTTGGAGCAAGAGAGAAGCATCGATAGCATAGTGTTTAGGAGTGCTGGCCTTGGGGTCAGACAGACCGAGATTCAAGTTCTAGTTTTGCCACTGACCAGCAGTGTGACCTGAAGCAAGGGCCTCTCTTCTCAGCTTCTTCCTCTGTGATATAAGGACAGAGCTCATGAAGTTGTCATAAGGATGGCAGCAAACCCTTAGTTTAACCACCAGCGTTACAGGTATGATGTGACTTGGGATCATGCATATGAAGTGGCTAGCATGGAGCTTCGCACATAGTATCACCTGTTTTATTTTTTTAATTAAATTTTTTGTTTCATTCAGCAGGTTGTGGACTTAAAAAATTACTTTTTTCAAATAGTTGATTTTTTTTTTTTTTTTGAGACGGAGTCTCTCTCTGTCACCCAGGCTGGAGTGCAGTGGCGCTATCTCGGCTCACTGCAACCTCTGCTTCCTGGGTTCAAGTGATTCTCCTGCCTCAGCCTCCTGAGTAGCTGGGATTACAGGGGCCCACGACCACGTCCAGCTAATTTTTGTATTTGTAGTAGAGACGGGGTTTCATCATGTTGGCCAGGCTGGTCTCAAACTCCTGACCTCGTGATCCGCCTGCCGCAACCTCCCAAAGTGCTGGGATTACAGGTGTGAGCCACTGCGCCTGGCCAGTAGTTGATTTTTTAACCAATGAATAAAAATTGTGTATAGTTGGCTGAGTGCGGTGGCTCACGCCTGTAATCCCAGCCCTTTGGGAGGCCAAGGTGGGCAGATCACCTGAGGTCAGGAGTTCAAGACCAACCTGACCAACATGGAGAAACCCCGTCTCTACTAAAAATATAAAATTAGCCGGGCATAGTGGTGCATGCCTGTAATCCCAGCTACTCAGGAGGCTGAGGCAGGAGAATCGCTTGAATCCAGGAGGCAGAGGTTGCAGTGAGCCAAGATTCCGCCACTGCACTTCAACCTGGGCAACAAGAGTGAAACTGTCTCAGAAAAACAAAAAAATATGTATATATTCATCGTGTACAACATGATGTTTGGAAATATTTTTATGTTGTGGAATGGCTAAATTGAGCTAATATATGTATTGCCTCACATACTTATTTTTTTGAGGTGAGAAAACAAAACCTATTCTCTTAGAAAAGCACTCCCCTAATGAAATTTAGCATCTGTTATTATGACTGCTTACTTTATTATGACTGCCCTTTTGTGAACTGCTATTGAGATCGAGTGAAATGACAAGGGTACTTTCTGAGCAACCTGCGCATTATGAGGCCCCACTCAAGCGTAAAAATGAAAACTGAGCCACTGGTCTGTTTTTGTTTTTGCTTTGCTACCTTTCCATGGCCGTAGGTGGACAATCAGCTCATTGGTACCACGCAGCCCTTCATGCTCTATGTGACTCCCCTGAGCAATGAGAATGAGGTCATCGAGACCGGCCCAGCTGTGCAAGTCAACGCAGTGAAGTTCCCCAGTAAGAGTGCACTGACCAACATCTACAAGGTGGGCTGGTGGAGGAGGCTGGTGGGTTGATGCCATGCTGGAACGTTGATTTGTTCTCTCACAGCCAAGTCTCAGAGCAGCAGTGCCGGGTGCTGATGGGAATAGCTCTGCAGGGTTAAACCACATGTGACATAATAGATTGTTTGGAGGAATTGACAGGAACTCCTCCTTCTCAGTTGTGTTTTCAGTGACCTTGCAGGTGACAGTTTGATGGTACTGAGTCCATATAGGCCAGAGTCCATATTCATCAGAGTGAAGTCACTGTAGGAAAGTATAGCATCTTCTAGATAGGTCAGGACCAGGCATGATCCAGATCTATTATTAAAAATAGAATAACCCCAGCTGGGCTCACTGGCTCTCACCTGTAATCTCAGCACTTTGGGAGGCTAAGGCGGGTGGATCTCTTGAGCCCAGGAGTTTGAGACCAGCTTGGGAAACATGGTGAAACCTCATTTCTATAAAAAATACAAAAATTAGCTGGACCTGGTGGCAAGCACCTGTGGTCCCAACTACTTACTTAGCAGGCTGAGGTGGGAGGTCCTGAGCCTGGGAGTTCGAGGCTACAGCGAGTCACGATCACACCACTGCACTCCAGCCTGGGTGATAGAGTGAGATGTGCACCTGCGCGCGCGCACACACACACACACACACACACACACACACACACACACACAATAACCCTGAAATATTGGGAAAGGGCTATGATGGGTCTGACCTTGAGACAGACGTGCTGCTACCTAAGTTACCACACTGTTTACCAAAAGCAGATAGTTACAAATGATAAACTTTCTTTCTTGGAGGAGTCTCCACGCACAAGCTAGCTGTTCCAGCAGCAAACTCTGGAAAAGTGGGAGCCAACCAGGGGTTGCTTCCCATATTTCTGGTCCTTTATCACCAGTGCTGATGGGACCAAGCCTGCCTGTAGCCCTCGGATCCACAAGCCCAGCCATGCTGCTCCTTAAATTAGCTGCCATCCATCTGAGCACACACCATAAAGTTCATCCACCACAGTGCATCTGAGGCTGGAATCCTGACTAATGAGGCCCAGATTGCCTGGGAACCAAACAATAGAATGGCAAACCATCTATTAAACATCTTTTGGAGTTTTTAGTTAATCATAACAATATAGAGAGAGATAACCCAGAAATAATTTGGCATTATAGTTATAAAGCCACATGATTAATGAAAGCATACCATGTCATTGAGGCCTTCTTAATAGCACAGATGAATGTTCCTTCTGGTGTTCACACTTTAAATCAGAATTTCTTTATCTCTAGCATCTGATGATCACAGCTCAGAGATTCACAGTGCAAATTGAGGAGAAACTGCTCCTCAAGCTGCTAAGTTTCTTTGGCTACGATCAAGCAGAATCAGGTAATGTTGAATGTTCTATGTCTGTGTTTGGGAATTGGTCCAAAGATGGTATTTTTGAGTCTGTTTGTAAAAATAGGTAGCCCCTTGGTGTCTGATAGGCTCCCTTTCCACATCTCAGCCTGAGCTAGGAAGCTAAGGCTTGTGTTTCAGTTGTGCTTTTTCAAAGTATTACTTGTTGTCTG
The DNA here is from genome assembly GCF_000001405.40 of Homo sapiens. Classification (NCBI taxonomy): domain Eukaryota; kingdom Metazoa; phylum Chordata; class Mammalia; order Primates; family Hominidae; genus Homo; species Homo sapiens. Next base: position 12,401,887 of record NC_000001.11, read on the forward strand.
AGTTATCTCTGTGAACTAAAGGAGCCATTCAGAGGGTCTTCTGGAATCCTGGAGTATCCAGTGGTATACCTTTGGGAAGCAGTATACTATTCCTCTTTGCTTTGCATTTTTTTGATTCATCTGCTCTAGGATGACAGAAATGATATTAGTCATTTAGCAAACCATTTTGTTTCCTAACCTTTGTTTCTTAAACAGACTCCAGGCCAAGAATCAGAAATCCCTTTGGCAGTTCCTTTGGTTTAGTTGAGAAAATAAAATTGGCTAGCCTCAATTCATTAACTTTTGACATCCAAACCCTTGTGCCTTTTTGTAATTACAAAGGTTTCTGCTTATTTACTCTCTTCTTTGTAGAAGAGAGTAAGATAAGCTATTGAAAAGCCCAGGTTTCCAGCAGTGCTACAGAAATAATTGAGCTGTTGCTTCTTTTCGATTCCTCATCACAGCCTTTCCTTCCGCTCTTAGATGGGCTTTTCATGGCTGTGTATACAGCTTAGAAAAAAGTCAGTAATACTCAGTCTTTTGAAGCCTAAACTAAATATTGAGCCTGAAGAAATGATAAGAAAGAGGCTTTTATGTTTATCTGCCCATGTTGGCTAGAGAAAAAAATCACTGGGAATGTGTGTACACATGTACATACATACACACAATGCAAGAAAAATATTTTTGTTCTTTTTATCCCAGATTTAGAATTTAAGCTTTAAGAGTATTTGGGATCAAGAGCAAGATCCTGTCTGTTTAATGCTGTGTTTTCCACTTTGGGTTGGAACGCCAGTGTTTATTTGTATTCAGACAGCCACTTGGGAGCCTGCCTGCCAGGTATCCATTCTGTTTTGGTACCTTCCTGGGAAGTTTTACTTTAAATTTGATTCGACATGCTTTTCTTGTAAATTTTCTTATAAGTTGCTGTAATAAATTTCTCCTCAAGCATGGATTTAGACTTTTGTAAAATCCTTGCCTGCCTTTCACTGAAGTGGGAGCTGACTAAGGGGTTGCTTCCCATGTTTTTGGTATGTTGTCACCAGTGCTGATGGGATGGGACAGAGGCAGCATGCAGCCCTCAGGTCCACAAGCCCAGTCCTGCTGCTCCTTAAAGTACCTGCCATCCTGTCTGTAGCTGTTTCTGCTTCCTCAGCATAAATGGGCAGGTCTCTGTTGCAGTATCATTTTTCTGTAAGTAGCACTGATGATAGCTTACAACATAAATGTGTTTGATAAGTAGGTATGTGCCAGCTCTCTGGTTTTATTTCCAAGGCACGTGAAGCCAAGGCAAAATATGCTGCCCAGTTGGATGTGCATACAGCATCAAGTGCAAAGAGCACATTGCTGTGTTGTAGCCCATGCTACTCCTGCTACTCCTTTTATTTCATGAGATGGCAAGTAAAAAATCTGCCTTGATTGTCCTATTTAAATGGATGTCCACCATTTGGGAGACAGGGCGCTGCTTGTAGTGATATTACGTCTTTACAGCCCGCAGCCTGATTCTTTTTCAGGCATTTATGTTTCACTCAGATTCGTGAATTGGTGATATCCATTTTGATTCAGTTACACTGCACTCCAAGACCTTATTTGGATATGATCCTAGGAAAATAAATTTAGATAATCTGGGTCATTGATAATAACATTGCTAACAAATACACCTGTGGCCTTTGGCTTTTCCATCTGGATGATTTTTTCCAAAGATGACATCTGTTGGATGGTATGGAGTCACAAGTTAACATGCTAGTCTTCTTTTTTGATAAACAACACAAAACAGATCTACTCTTACAAAGAATGGCATCAGAATACTATACACGTCACTGTACCCTCACAAACTAAATCGAGAGTGATAGATGGTTTCCTTTTTTTGATGATTTTTTTCTATGTGAATACAAAGTGGATTCTGTGGATCATGAGACTAAGAAATTCTTTTTTGTTTTTTTAATTCTTCCTTTGTACCAGAGGTGGAAAAATATGATGAAAACCTCCATGAAAAGACAGCTGAGCAAGGTGGAACACCAATTCGATACTACTTTGAAAATCTCAAAATCAGCATTCCTCAGATCAAGCTAAGTGTGTTCACCTCCAACAAGCTCCCATTGGATCTTAAGGTGAGCTGCTATTTGGGTAAATTTTTTTAGATGATTTTTCCTTGGAAAAGAATGAGTGTGTTTACTATTTGTTGTTTGTTGTTGTGTGTGTGTGTGCTTTTTTTTTTGTCCCTCATCATCATTCATAGCAGACATTTTATTTTTACAGATTTCCTTTTTCAGAAGGTTTATTGACTTACGTGTATTTGTCTTTAAAAAAAAAAAAAAAACGAAACTTAAATACGACATTGCCGAAGATCAAGGAGTAGCTCAAGAGATTCACAGATAATTCTGTAAAACCCATTTGCTCTCTGTTTAGCTCCTGGCTTACCTCAGTGAGATAAAAGCCTTTTTCCTAAAGTTGTGTCCAGGATCAAGAGAAAAAGCAGTCAAGACAGCATCTTCTTTTTGTGCCCGAGGCCTGCTCACCTTCCTACTTCTCTCTTCCTAAGTATCCACCTCTTTTTGAATGATTGTCACTAGGATTGTCTACTAGGAGTGTTTAAAGTCGACTCAGCCCACTTACCCACTGGGATATGGCCTTCTCTACCACCACATCAGGATGAAGCCCTTAGACCATCTTGATGACTACTTACTAGACACAGCCTGAACACCGTCTTCATTTTCAGCCATAAAGTTTATCTTCATCAAGGAAGAAAGCTGGGATTCAAATCCAAGCCTGTCTGACTCTAAAGTCTATTTTTTTTTTCACTATACTATGCTTCCCCATAGAACATAAGGAACCAGAGAATTTTAGACCTGTGAGTCCTCAGTGATGTACTTGCTTGGTAGACAGGGAAATTGAAGTTCAAAGTGTTTTGTCAGTCAAGGCTGTGTGGCTAGGAAGTGATAGGAGCAGGAGTGGATCCAGGGGTGTTAGAAAGTCTTTCCTTAGTTTGAGTCAAAGTCAGCCCCCTGCAGCTTGGACCCATTGGTTCTGGTTTTTCATTCTGTTGCACTTAAAGATAATACTCAAGACCTCCATCTTCCTACTAACCACCAGTCGAGGACTCTTCTCACTGCCCCATGCTGCCTCCTCTAAGATGCTACAAGATAGTCATCTTGCTGCGCAGAAACAGCTAGAGATATGAGCAGATAAGAAGTAAGTCTAGGGTCCTAACGTAGATGCCCGCAGGAGCTGCGCTGGCGATGCAGCGAGTGGAGCTGCACACCGGGGTGGTGTCGTGTCTGCCCAACCAGGAGTGCCTGCTCCATCTGAAGGGGCCGCCACAACCCGCTCCAGCCGCTTGCTGTCATGGAGGAATGTGAACCTGGTGTTGCCAGATCTTCAGATTTTTAAAGAGAAACCGGAAATCTGGATTTTTATGTGGAATCTCCTGGTTTTTAAACATTGGCAACCAATTCAAGTTTTTTGGTTTTTTTAAACCTTGTGGGCCTAACAAAACACATGTGTGGGCCTCATGTGGCCGTGTCTGCCAACTCACAGCTTCTAAAATTGACACACAGGTAATGAGACAGTAGTCTGGTCAACATCAGATCACATTTGGGTAAGGGTAGGGCAAGGGTGACAGCATTGGGGTGGCAAACTGGGGCCAAGCCACAGGGAGTGCTGGTGGGGACCTGGAGCAGGAATGGCTCTTGCAGCCATCTCTGGAAGAGTGCAGCGTGCCCTTCACTCACTGCCCTGTCTGCTTCATTCGCTTTAATTTCATGTTTCCCAGGAGATTAAAGATACTTATAGTTAGCATGGGAGTGAGGGGAAAACCATGGGAAAACCACTATCTTGTTAATATCCACAAGTATCCACTTGACTTGTGTGACCTTTGGAATGGGTTTGTTTGATAAAGTATATATTCACCCAGAGCACTTGGCACTTGCCCAGCAAACCAATGTGAAGCATTTCCTGAGGGTTGAGGACTTCTTGTTTTTAAAATCATCTTACTAAGAAACACAGACACCTCACTATTCCCTTCAAATTGCTCCCAGCAGAAAACTCCCCAGACTGAGAAAAGCAGTCTGATTTTCTGCAGTTGAAGTAGCTCCAGCCCCCCCCAGTTACATGATGGTTGTGTGTGCGCTCGGCATACAATCAACGAAATCATTTCAGTTGAATGTTTCATCTGGCACTGAATTGAAGGAACATTTTCAGGGCATTTTTCAAATCATTGTGAAACAATTACATGGAGCAGCCATGTGATGAGGTGTGTAGGGGGCACGCCGAGTGTAGTAAGTTAATGTTTCCAGCAGGGTGCGGGGAATTGGGACTAAAGAGTTAAATTCTCAGCTTGTGGGAGTCACATTTTACTGTGTCTTGAGTCTCCTAGTGGAGTCTGGGACTCATAAAATAATGTCATTTATTCAAAGAGTTTTCTAACAGAGTAATATGCCTTTATTAGTAGCTCTTAGAAGGGTACTATGCTCTTTTAGATGAATATATAATGGCTAAAAGTGTGTGCTTAGAAAATGGAGTCCTGTCCCTGAACAGGAGTCACGAGAGCCTGACTAAAAGGTAAACCACGTCTTTGGTATTGAAGGAATAATTATCTTGATTCTTCTGACTCCAGGCCAGAAGTGAGACTGTCAGAAATCTCAGAGGGAAGTCTCTTCAGGTTTACACTGAGGGTACATTGTTGCCAGATATAGTGTCTGTTCAAAAGGACTGAAAGCAGTTTCACATCTGCTATCTCAATTGGATTCCTTACTCTGCGGTGGAAGAATGGGGAGATAATAGTCCCATTTCACAAATGCAGAGACCAAAGCACAGCATTCCTGCCTGACTCCCCATTCTCTCCATTCTCTCAAGTTTGCGTGTTAGAAAGTGGCCGAGTGATACTGAAAATGCCAGGTAGTTTATACGTGTTTTTGGCTTTTTTTAAAGATCAAAAGAGGCCAGGAGCCTTTAAACGGTTTCATGAGGTGGCCTACAGCAGTCCTTTTTCCATTTAGAGCATTGGGGTATTACAAAAGAAGGGCTTTAATTGAGCAATCTAGTTTGGAAGAAAACCCACATTTTAATGGTCAGAGTGAGAGGGTGGGGGTTAGGGGGAGTTTCGAACAAAGACACTATTTAAAAAGCCTAAAACTGTCTTCTCAAAGGCTTGAAATAATTTGTTGGGAAACTTCAGACCCTTTACTTTTTTCCTCCCCTCCCTAAATAAAAACCAGATTTGTTAAAAGGAAAAAAGATCCAGTATTGTTAATTGTATTTCAGAAAGTGCCAGAGAGGGAAATATCCCTGTAGTTTTAAACATTGTCCCAAGAGGGAAATAGGCAAATACCCTGCTTCACATAAACAGTCTCTATGTACCATAAATAAACCTTTAAAGAATGAATTCCAGACAGTTTTGTTTAGTGCAGGATAAACTAAGAAAGGAAAGGACATGGCCGAGGGAATAGCTTGGGATCTGAGACCTTATGGTATATAGACAGGTATTTCTTCTTTCAACTCTATGAAGTTTCTGGAAGACTTCAGCAGTTTTCGCGTGGGGAGGTAGAAATAGACAGTTTCCTATTTTTATTAGGAGCTTATGAACACAAGATTGCCTTCTCCAAAATCCATTTTATAACAGGAAACTGTCTGCTGCTTGAGTAAATAAGCATCAACTTTGTATACTACTGTATTTGATTAGTCATTTAGTTACTACAAGAATAAGCCCTGTTTGGCTCGTTCCCTCATCTCGACTTTGACTGTCCAGATTAACCTGAAGGTGGCAGAATAATTCATACCACTGGGCTGTATCTCAGCTTTTTCAAATGTGGAGTCCCAAAAGCAGTAAATGACTAGGTAAGGATAACTTTTACTTAAGGGCCAGAATATTTCCTCGATTCAGACCAAGCACCTTAGTCATTCGGAAAGGTAATAGTGTCTATGATGAAGGTTTTGACATTTCAGTAGAGGTTTCAAAGTCTTTGCTACTTTGTGTGGTTCTTCTTTAATATTTGGTTGCAAGGACAAAGTTGGGGTATAAAAGCTTTTTACCTTAAGCCTTTGTTTTGATCTCATTTTCTCTTCTCTGAGAATAAAGTAACGCTCAAAGTAGTATTGGCAAAACAGAGTGCTGAACTGATTGTCAGTACCCTGTTTTCCCAGCGTGTTTATTTTATGACTCTAAGCAAAGCAGTTGAGCTTACTGAACGTTCACTCAGTTTCTCCGACAGTGAAATGAGGAAAATAAGGCCTGCTCACGTACTTTATCATCACTCACCATGAGGTGGGGTGAGGCATGGGTGAATGAATAGCAGAACATTTTTCAGGAGAAATAATACCCTCCATTCTGGCTTTCATGCTTTCTACCTAATAGGTAGTTGCTATTGTGAAAATGCACATATTCAAGTCTAAAATCAAGTAGCTAGCCATATGACTTTAGGCCATCCACTTAACATTTCTTGTTTTATTTATACCAAAGAGAGAGAGAGAGAGAGGGAGAGTTAGGCTGAATTAACTTGATGTTGGACTTTTTTGCGGGGTGGGGAAGACAGGGTCTCACTCTGTCAGGCTGAAGTGCAGTGGCATGATCACAGCTTACTGCAGCCTCAACCTCCTGGGCTCAGATGATCCTCTCACCTCAGCATCCCAGGTAGCTGGGATTATAGGTGCGTGCCACCATGCCTGGCTAATTTTTGTATTTTTTTGTAGAGACAGAGTTTTACCATGTTGCCCAGGCTGGTCTCAAACTCCTGGGCTCAAGTTATCTGCCCACCTCAGCCTCCCAAAGTGCTGGGATTACAGGCATGAGCCGCTGGGCCCAGCTCAACTTGAGGTTGCTATTAATCTCTAAAATATTCTGAAATTACTTAGCAGGAGGTTATCAGTGACTTCCCAAGGCACCAAGTCCAGTGACCTTTCTCTCTAGCCTTATCTTTGTAGCATCCTCTGCCATTTTGACATTGCTGACTTCCCTGTTCTTGACATCTGTCCTTTCTGGTTCTCCTCTTGCTCTGTTGCTTCTCTGCCTATTTCTGTTTTCGTTTATTCTACTTCTTCTTTTCCTGATCTGTATGTTAAAGGTCCAGATTTTTCTCTGTGAACTGTCTGGTTATGTCACTTGTCTATTTTTCTGTCAGGCCTTTTATCTCTTCTAATTTTAGAAGCTCTTTCTAAAAGTTATGTCTTTGATGAAAGTTGCAAGTATTTTTTCTTCAGCTTTTTGTCTTTTTACTTTGCTTTTGGCGTGTGTGTGTGTGTGTTTGTGTTTAATTATACAAGAGCTGTTTATTTTTATGTTGTCAAATTTATTAGTCTTTTGCTGTTTTGAATCTAATTTTTTTTTGAAAACTACATGTTCAGAGAAATTCTCTAGTAACAAACTGTAGAAATGATCCCTGAAAGCATAGTCTTGAATCTGAATTTTGAGTCACAAAAAAGTTTTCCCTTCTCTATGGTTTTAAAAAATTTCACCCTTTCTTCCATTATATGATTGAATTTCAATTAAATGTATTCTTGTTCCAAAATAATTTAAGGCAGTCTCAGAAGACACATGCAAAAAGATTATAAGTAAGAAAACAGAATAGAAATGTCATTAAGTTGCACATGAAATTTTAATATATAATAAAGAGACTTTAATTCAGTGGGGAGTATATAGACTTTTCAATAGTGCTATTAGACTAAATCACAATAGAAAAAATATAAAATTAGATTTATTCTTGACACTTTATGTAAGGATAAATTCCAAGTGAATCAGAGATTTACTGGTAATATTAGCATGAAAAAGTGTTTTTATATTCGGTAAGGAAGAGTATTTGGCATGCCTTGTAAACACCTTGAAATATCAATCATTTTAAATAAAGATATAATCAGAAAATAGACCCATATCCAGAGATTGTTAACCAGCTTATAGCAGACCCAGGCTAGTTGAGAACTTCAAGAAAAGACAGATCGTGGGGGCGGGGTTGGGGAGTGTCCATGTGAAGCCATTGGAAAGCTACCAAAACAGCCAGGACTGGAGAGTTCAAGATTTATGAGAGGAGAGAAACTCAGTAAGGTGAGCCCAACATTTATTTTGCTTTTATTCTTGAGACTTTTTCTGATTTGTAAGCAGTGTGGGGAGAAAGGTGAAGAAGCCAAGCAGAAAGCAGCTGCCAACAGGCAGAGAATGCAAGTAAAGCTTTTGGCAGTCTCATGGGGCTAGCAAAGCAAAACTTAGACTTCATTGCTACTAAGAGAGCTGGTAATTGAAGGGCTAATATCTTACAGAGAAGGGACAGGCAGAAAACAAACCCCAATAATCTGAGGTACTTTCTTTCTTGAGATATTTGATGATTTCTAAGTGACACAGTCTGAGAGAAATCAAGCAAAAAGTGGCAGCTAAGAGGCTGAAGAACTTAAACAGTCTTCTAAGCAGTTTTGTGGTACTAGGGAGATTAAAAGTGGAGGAATGGCATTGGTTTTCGTTGAGACTGCTAAAGGACTACACCAGGCCTCATAAGGACTAAAACACACCAGAACTTAGATAAAGACTGAAACACAGCCTTGAGAAAACCCAAACCCTGGTTGATTTAGGCATTATGCTTCTTACTCTAACTGCCTACCAGAAGCTAAAAACTCATCCAAAGTCTCTGTAAGTTTTCATACAAAATGTTGCATTCAGTCACAAATTACCAGGCCAAGATGAGATGAGACCAAGAGAAAAAACAAACACTAGAAACAGAACCATAGATAAACTGGATGTTGGTATTTTTAGACAGAGAATTTAAAATACTATGAAGGTATCTAAGAAGTTTACCAGAAAACTATAATTTTTTTAAAAAAATTATCAAATAATAAGGGAAAATTATAGACCAGCACTTTTTCATGAATATAGAAGAAAGAAATCTGAACAAAATATTAGTAAATCAAAAACAGAAATATGTAAGAAGGCTAATATAACCAAATTGGATTTTTTCCTGGAATGCACATTCAGTTTCACATTTGCAGATAAATTTGGTATTTTACCACATCAACACGATAAAATAGAATATGATTATTTAAAAATGCATAAAAGCTGTTTGACAAACTTTAACATCCATCTACAGTAAAAATTCAGCAAGCTAAAAATAGAAGATAACTGCTTTCATCTGTTTAGGTCTATCTGGTAAAAAGCTACAACAAACATCATACTAATTGGTGAGATAGTAAAAGCTTTTTCTTGAGATAAAGGAAAGATACCCATTATCACCACTTCTTTCACCGTTACACGGGAGTTCAGCCAGTAAAATAAGTCAAGGATGATCTTTTTGAAAAAGAAGTAAAAGGCATAGGAGCTGGAAAGGAAAATAAAAAGTTCGTTATTTGTAGAAAACACGATCGTTTACTAGAAAATCTAAAAGTATTTTCAGATTAGTTATTAGAATAAGTAAATTTAGTAAGGTCACTAGAGACAGTATAGAAAACAGTTATATTTCTACATGTCAGCAATAATAACAGAGAAAAGAAAAATTTGGAGGCTATTAAGAAAACAGGTCTGGGTGTGGTGGCTTACACCTGTAATCCCAGCACTTTGGGAGGCCTAGGTGGGAGGATCACTTGAGCCCAGGAGTTCAGGGCCAGCCTGGGCATCATAGGGAGACCCTGTCTCTACAAAAATGGAAGGAAGGAAGGAAGGAGGGAGGGATAGAGAGAAGGGGGAGGAGGAGAGAGAGATGAGAGGGAAGAGGAGGGAGGGAGGGAGGGAGAGAAAGAAAACATTAACTACTGTATCATTATCTATTATTGTGTAACAAATGACGCCAAATTGCAGTGGTTTAAAACAACCACCATCTTATTTGTTTACAATTCTGTGGGTTAATAATTTGGACTAGACCTAGCTGGGTGTTTCTTCTGCTGGTCTCACCAGTGGTTGTTCATATGGCTGCACTCACCTGGCAGTTAAACGCGATTAAATGGTATGAGATGACCTCAGTCTCATGTCCAGCGGATTGGTGCTGGCTGTCAGCAGAACCCCTTTCCACATGGTCTCCCATCTTCAAGGAAGCTACTCCCAGCTTCTTCACGTGGTGGAAGCATCAAAACAGGCAGTGCAGAAGCTCCAAGCTCTCTTGAGGCTCAGGCTCAAAGGTCACACATTATTATATCTCTCGCATCCTATTGGCTGAAGCAAATCACAAGGCTAGTGAAGATTCAGGTGGAGGGAACATAGACTTCACCACTTGACAGAAGATGCAAAGAATATGTGGTCATTTTAAATCTACCACAGTATCTAAGAATAAACCCAACCAAAGACGTATAAGACCTCTACACAGAAAACAATTAAACATTATTGTGAAAAATTAAAGACCCACATAGATGAAGGGACATACCATGTCGATAAGTTGGAAGATTCGGTAAAGTTGTCGTTGCTCCTCAAATTGATCTGTAGATTCAGTACAGTCCTGATGAAAATTCCAGCAGTTTTTTTGGAAGCAAATTGACAAGCTGATTCTAAAATTTCTCTGCAGTTGAAAAGCGCAAAGAGCAGCTAAGGTAACCCTGGAGAAAAAGTACAAAGTTGGGGAGAGCTTACACTATTCGATTTCAGAAATTATTACAAGACTACAGTAATTAAGACAGTGTGGCATTAGTAGAAAGCAGAGCAAAGTGAAACAGAAGAGAGAATCCAGAAATGGATGTATAATACCATCACGTGACTTTTGACAGCATTTATGCCATACTGCGGTAGTGGAACGGATGACCTTTTCAGTAAATATTACTTAGTTCAATATTTATCAGAAAAAAATGAATCTTGGCCACTCCCTCCTACCGTACATAAAAATAAATTCTAGGTGGAGCATAAATAAAATCTAGGTGTGAAGAGTAAAACAATAAAACTTGTATAAGTAAACGTGGGAATATCTTTATGACCTTGGTGTAGACAAAAATTTCTTAACCAGGACACAGAAAGCTCTTACCATATAAGAAAATATTGATAAGGCAGATTTCCTTAAAATTAAGACTGTCTGATCATTAAAAGACACCATTTAAAGAGTAGTAAGATAAGTCACAGAATGGAAGAAGATATTTGCAACACATCTGTTCAACAGAGGACTTGGTATACAGAATATATAAGAACTCCTACAAAGCAGTAAGAAATAAAAAACATGAACTCACTACAAAAATGAGCAAAATACTTCAATAAGCACTTCACAAAAAGATATCCAAATGGCTTATGCATTTAAAAGTTGCTTAATCTCACTTCTCAACTGAAAAGAGACTACGCTGAGGTACCATTACACACCCATCAGTTTATCTGTCAAAACTATGCTGAGATACCATTACACACTGTTCAGATTTTCTGGGTGTTTTTTTGTTTGTTTGTTTGTTTTTGTTTTTGGTCGTTGTTTGTTTTAAGTGACAGGGTCAGCCACGGTAATCCCAGCACTTTGGGAGGCTGAGATGGGTGGATCACTTGAGGCCAGGAGTTGAGCAACAAAGTGAGACCCTGTCTCTCCAAAATAAAAAAAAAAAAAATCAGCTGGGCGTGGTGGTATGTACCTGTAGGGGGAGGCTGAGGCAGGAGGATCACTTGAGCCCAGGAGGTCCAGGCTGCAGTGAGCCAAGATCCCGCCACTGTACTCCAGCCTGGGCAACAGAGACTTTGTTTTCTGTTTTTGAGAAAGAAAGAGTGAGGCAGGGTCTTACTCTGTCACCCAGGCTAAGTACAGTGGCATGATCTCAGCTTAGTGTGGCCTTGACCTTCAAAGTCCAAGTGATCCTCCTCCTCCAGCCTCCTGAATGGCTGAGACTACAGGCGCACGCCACCATGCCCAGTTAATTTTTAAACTTTTTGTAGAGACAAGGTCTTACTTCTTCACCCAGGCTGGTCTTGAACTTCTGGCCTCAAGCGATCCTCCCACCTCAGCTTCCCAAAGTGCTGGGATTACAGGCATGAGCCACCACTCCTAGCCAGAATATCTTTTTTTTTTTTTTTAAACGATCTATACCAAGTGTTGATGAGGGTGTAGAATAGCAAGGGATCTTGTAGACTGCTGAATGGAGCATAAACTGGTTTGACCACTTTGGAAAACTGTTTGGCAGAATATATTAAGATTGTGCATGTACATTCTTTATGACCCAGTTCCACTCCCAGGTATATGTCCAAGAAAAATGCATAAATGTGCCCCAAAAGACATAGCTAGGCAGGGAGCAGTGGTTCACAGCTGTAATCGCAGCACTTTGGGATGCCAAGGCAGGCGGATTGCTTGAGCCCAGGTGTTTGAGACCAGCCTGGGCAACATGGTGAAAACCCTTCTCTACAAAAAATACAAAAATTAGCTGGGCATGGTAGTTTGCACATGTAGCCTCACCTGCTAAGGAGGCTGAGGTGGGAGGATCGCGTGAGCCCAGGAGGTCAAGGCCGCAGTGAGCTGTGATTGTGCCACTGCATTCCAGCCAGGACAACAGAGTGAGAACCTGTTATCTAGTCTGCCATAGACATGTCTAATGTTGTTTATAGCAGCATTATTCATAATATCAAAAAGCCTGAAACAACCCAACTTTTGAACTTTTCATCAACAATGGTGGTTAAATACATTGTTTTATTCTTGCAATGGAGTATTTATATGGCAATGGACGTTAACAAACTACAGCTATATGCAACAATCTAGGAAACCCCCATATGTAATGTTGTCTATGAGAAGCCACCTACAACGAAGTGCATACTGATGATTCCATTTATATGCAGTTTAAAGCAGAAGAACTTACCTGTAGTGATAGATGTCATCACTGTGGTTGTCTTTGGGGAGGAAGGAGGAGGGAGTGGGAGCATGCTCATGGTGAGTGGGCTGCTTCCAAGATGGGGATAACAGTCTGCTTTCTGATCTGGTGGTGGTTACATTATTGTGTTCACTTTGGGAAAAATCATTTGGGTTTTGAACTATACATTTGATTAGTATACTTTTCTGTGTGTGTGGTTTACATCAGTCAAAAAGTAAAACATGACAAACAGATACAAAACAGACTAAAAGGAATTATGACACAAACTGATAGTGTTTATTTCTGTGTGATACATGTGACTTGGGTGATATATGTCTGTCTATATATGTATTTTTCCCTAGTATTTTACTTTTATAGTTATAGGGAAAATCCTTATTTATAAACATCAAAACCTGACCCTCATTCGAAAGTTAACATGACTTGTAGCTTTAATGGAATCTAGAATTATAGTATCACAGAAGGCCATCATATGACTTAAGTATGTCATTTCCTTTCTTCCCTAATTAGGCCCTAAAAAGCACCTTGGGGTTTCCTTTGATACGGTTTGAAGACGCTGTGATTAATCTAGATCCATTCACTCGGGTACATCCCTATGAGACCAAGGAGTTCATCATCAATGATATCCTCAAACATTTCCAGGAGGTGAGGCTTGGAGAAGTAATCATTGGCTGGAGCATAAGCAGAATGTTTGTTTTAGTTGTTTGGGAATTTTGGTTACTAAGGCATTACTATTGAGAACCCAGTTAAACATTTCAACTCTGTTGTGTTACGGGTCAGGTCACTTCCCAAGAAGCCCGTATGTGTCATGAAAATCCTGAGATAGTACATTTGACCTATGAGCTGTTAGTTTCATCCCTCAGAGCTAGTCTGAGGGGTTCCTGCTAGATTAATCATGACTCTTAATGGTTTAGTTGATGCTTTAATAATAACAAAATAATGTTTTTATTTACCAGGCATGGGCCTTCTTTCAGCAACTACACCCATGTTCTTAGAGTCTGTGGGATCCTGCATTTGGGTTGAACTTGAAATTTTTTAAATCACCTTGGACATTTTCCATTTTGTATTTATTATCCAGACTGCAAAGATCAAAAAGTAAAGGCAAGGCATAATCTTCAATGAATAGATAGGTCAAGATCGTATCAAATTTAATAGCTTTCAAAGTTAAAATATATTTTATTCTCACTTCCTTTTCTCCATTCCCCGTTTCCTTTTTTGACTATCCTAATTGGTGATATTTCCACCTAACTAAGGAAAGTGATACAGCAGATATCACTGGAACCTGGGATCAGGCAATTGGAAGTACAGAAAGAGTGGAGGGGCCAGTCATGGTGGCTCACACCTGTAATCCGAGTACTTGGTGGGAGGCCAAGGCAGGAGGATCACTTGAGCTCAGGAGTTCAAGACCAGCCTAGGCAACATATTGAGACCCCATCTCTACAAAATATAGAAAAAAAAGATTAGCTGGTTGTAGAGGTCTTGCCTGTAGTCCCAGCTACGGGAGGCTGAGGTAGGAGGACTGCTTGAGCCCAGGAGGTCAAGGCTGCAGTGAGCCACGGTGATGCCACCTCACCTCAGCCTGTGTGACTGAGACCCTGCTTCAGAGAAAGAAACAGTGGAGGTTTGCTTGATAAGTCTCTCCATGCCTTCTTCAGGCCCCCCACCCACACCACAGCTTATGAGAGGAACTGTAAATCTACCTCTCTTCCTCACTTTCCTTTTGTAATTCTCCCTGCTGGTGATTACTTCTCTATTTGTAGGCATGATGAAAAGGAGAGTATGATGTATATAGTAGCAAATACTCATAAGAATGCTTCCTGTTTCATAGCTATTTTTATTCTTCTAACTGGCTTGGAAGAGTATGTGTATTGGGATATGTGTATTGGGAGAAGCTTAGGTGGTGCTCCTGAAAGGACAGGAGATTATTTTGCAGTTGATGAAGATTAAAAGCTTTTAATCTCGTTACTTGTAGTAATGAGAATGGAGAACAAAATAGATTTCTAAGCTCTTCGCTTGGGACACTGGTATCTGCAAATATAAGTAGATGCTGATTGGACTTTTCTCTTCCTGTTCCATTTGGCAGGAACTCCTCAGCCAGGCAGCTCGAATCCTGGGATCAGTGGATTTTCTTGGCAATCCTATGGGGCTTTTGAATGATGTTTCTGAAGGGGTTACTGGACTGATAAAATATGGAAATGTCGGGGGCCTCATCAGAAATGTTACACACGGAGTATCAAACTCTGCTGCCAAGGTAAGGAAATAGAGGTGAAATTCCATTATAATTAACCTCACGAGTCCTCTACAGTACTACAATTTCTTTTATAGTTAATGGGCTGTGAAAAGTTATATTCATGGCTTTTGCTTCATTGCCCACATGCCTTGCCTTTTCCTCACCTCCAGTCACCTGCCACCAGGTGCACTGAGTCCACCTCTGAAATACCTCTTCCTCCTTCCTCTCCGTTGCCACTGCCTTAGTCCAGGCATTGCGTATGTCTTACCTGGGTCACTGCAATAGCCCCCAGCACCCTGGACCTTTCACGATGACCCCTACACCTTTCACTGTGCCACCAGAATGAACTCACTGGATTGTGCCATTCTCCTGCCTGAGATCTACCAGTTATTGCCCACAGTTTACAGGGAAAGTCCAAGCTGAAGTACAGCCTTCTATAATGACAACAACCTTTTAAGCCACCTGAAACCAGCAGCAGATGGACAGTGATGTCATTCTCCAGTATCTTGCAGCTAGTTGACTGGTTTGTTCACTGACATCTTAATTCGTGGACATTTTCTTAGTTCACTCTGTATTTTCTGGCAGGAATTGATTATATGCGAAGCTGGAAAAGGTGAAGCGAGTTGAAGGTAGTTGCTATTTGACATACAGCCCTCCAAAGAGCTCTGCTTTTTTTCTCTTCCTTTCATCTCAACACACTTTTCTTGTAGAGACTGGCTTTTTCATGAATGAACTCATTTGGAGGAAACACCTG
Organism: Homo sapiens; assembly: GCF_000001405.40. Lineage (NCBI taxonomy): Eukaryota > Metazoa > Chordata > Mammalia > Primates > Hominidae > Homo > Homo sapiens. Next base: position 12,417,561 of record NC_000001.11, read on the forward strand.
TACTCTCTGCTTATTTACTGTGGAGAGAGCATTTTTGTAGTGAGATCACAGGTGTACTTGCGCCACAGGGTGATATGACATAAAAGTAGCTTTACCAAAGAGATCTTTGTGGCACCGCGTAGAAATGTATCTTGAAGAGGAGGTAAGAGAGTCGAGTTGAATAGCATTTCTCTGTGGTATGGTGTTCTCGTTAATAATGTGTGAAAGCTGAGAATTTATTCTTTTTTCCCCAAACTATTTTCTAGGGATGATAGATTGGTCAGATCAGTTCTGTAGGATTATTGAACCAGACTAAAGTGTACTGTTTGGCTTGTGGTTCAAAATAAGCAACAGTCTTTTCTTTTTCTTTTTTCTTTTCTTTTTCGCGACAGAGTCTTGGTCTGTCGCCCAGACTGGAGTGCAATGGTGTGATCTCTGCTCACTACAACCTCTGCCTCCCGAGTTCAAGCAACTCTCCTGCCTCAGCCTCCCAAGTAGCTGGGATTACAGGTGCCCGGCACCACACCCCATTGATTTTTTGTATTTTTTAGTAGAGACGGAGTTTTGCCATTTGGCCAGGCTGGTCTCGAACTCCTGACCTCAAGTGATCCACCAACCTCGGCCTTCCAAAGTGCTGGGATTACAGGTGTGAGCCACTGTACCCAGACAGCAACAGTCTTTTAGAGAGACTTTCCCACTCATGGTTTGAAAGTGGTGAGACTCAGGTTCAAAGTCTGAACTAGCGTGTACTTTTCTGCCTTGAATCCTTTCTCACACTCCCATGTTCCCTTACCCCTCACGCATCATAAAACCTCATAGTGGTAACACAGATCCCTCACTCTTCTTGCTTTAGCTCTTGGACTTGATATAAATGAATGAACTTAAATATTTAGTTGTAAATGCCCAGTTAACATATTTTATTAAATTTTATTAACTTTATTGAATTCTAATTGACATAAGAAAGTCTTCTTGGTTTTATAATTTCTTTGTTTTTGTACCCTGGGCTTTACCATAATTTTAAAAATGAAGATGCTTATGATTTAACAATAGGACTTCCTCACTGTGGAATAGAAATGCACCTACTTTACAGGTTTATTGTGAGAACAAAATAAGGTATGACGTTACAAAAATTTTGAAAAATACAGAGTGAAGAAGATAAATAGGTCATTACTTTGACTGTAGTATTTGCATGGAGACTTGAGCCACCAGGAAGCCATTAGTGCTCTTGAAATGAAAACCAATCTATTATGAACTACAGAGAAGGAGGGTCTGGGACACTGAGAGTAGGAGAGTCAAACCCCATCAGGGCCAGTTTGACTCTTAGGAACCTCCATAGTTCACTGGGTTAAGAATGAAGAAGCTGTTCAAGTGCCTGTGACATCTCAACAGGAGAGACCTCCTAGGAGTTTCTCCAGGGTCTCCTGGCAACATCCTAGTGAAAGGATTGGCCCTTTATTCTCCTTGGTTTGTGGAAGTCTCGTTTGTTTCCTGGTTTTTCTGTTTTCCCTGAAAAACTGTTTTTGAAGCTTGAGGGTCAGCATGAGATTATAACTTAGGCAGAAAGAAAGGGCAGTGTCCTCCCTACCCCCACCCTCATCCTGGATCTATATGAAGGCCTGGGGGCAGTGATAATACATTTGATTTGGTATCATGCTTTGTATGTTGCCAGATTTATATAAGGGTATTGCTTTCCAGGGAACGAGTCCTCTGGTATGGGAACTTCCCTTCCCATGGGGTTGGGTTCCTTCATATAGTTGTCTTGCCTTTAATAAGCTACTAGTATTGGAGCCACAGGCTGCAGCTGAGGGGATTGCTATGTAATTTACAGGCATAGATTGTGTATTAGTCCATTCTTGCTTTGCTCTAAAGAAATACCTGAGACTGGGTAATTTATAAGAAAAGAGGTTTAATTGACTCATGGTTGTGCAGGCTGTACAGGAGGCATGATGCCAGCATCTGCTTCTGGCGAAGTCTTAGGAAGCTTCCAATCATGGTGGAAGGTGAAGCAGGTGTCTCACATGGCAGGAGTGGGAGCAAGGGAAAGAAGGGGGAGGTGCTACATACTTTTAAACAGCCAGATCTCATGAGAACTTGCTCAATATCATGAACACCAAGGGGATGGTACTAATCCATTCATAAGAAATCCACCCTTGTAATCCACATACCTCCCACCAGGTCCCAGCTCCAACATTGGGGATTATAATTCAACATGAGATTTGAGGGACAAACACCATACTATATCACATTGCTTAACATCAGGGATACATTTTGAGAATCATTTTACTAGGTGATTTCATTGCTGTGCGAACATCATAGAGTATACTTACACAAACCTAGATGGAATACAGCCTATTCCACACCTCGGCTATCGGCTCCTAGGCCGCAAAACTGTACAGCATGTTAAAGATATCTAAACCTAGAAAAGGTAGAGTAAAAGTATGGTATTATAATCTTATGGGTGGATTGTCGTATATGCAGCCCGTAGTTGACCAAATTGTTATTTGGCACATGACTGTATTTTGATACCAGCAATCTTAGGTGTTTATAGAGATGTAAAAACTAGTTATATCTCTAAGATGAGAAAGCAAATAAACACAAAATGACCACTTCTTATAGGAAATGGTAGATCTAAATGGGTCTATCAGTTGAATACCCATTCAGGTCATCTGTGATTCTGCACGTATGTGGTTGGACTAAAGATGTGCATTTTCTTGTAGTTTTGTGGGTTGAAATCAACGTTTAAAGTTGTTTTAGGGGAATGTTTTATTTGTTTCTCTGTGTAGACCAGAGGAGTTTGAGGAAGTACAAATGACCACAAGAATCAACTGTTGGCCTGTGTCAATTATTGCTTTAAAGAGTGCCTGAGTTCCAGTGATTAAAAAAGGGTCAGAGGGGACAGAACTGCACCTCATTGAGCCCCTGCCAGTGCACTGCACTTTACTGCAAAGACCAGAGGGCTTTAGCCTGGTTGAATGGGCTTTGAGTGTAGTGGAGAAGTTCATAAACCTCTTAAATTAATTGTAAATATTGTATAAATGTGCATTTTTCTGGGATGAGGGTCCAATGTTTCTTTTGTATCCTCAGGGAGAGATTCTTGCCTCCAAAGATTGTAAGCCATTATTATAGACATACGTTTGTACATTGAGGGGAGCTTGGGGCTGGTAGTCAGGATTGCCAGCACTTTAATTGTATTTCTACCTTTAAATAATCTTTTCCTCTGTTAAGAGATTTGTTTTTAACATTTATGAAAAGATGATGGTAACTCCCCCTGTCACACTGGCCTGAGGAGCAAAAGAGATGAAGTATATGAAACCCAGTGAGGAGTTAAAAGGAATTCATTCTGTCACATAAGAAGATAATAGACCTGTAGGGTTTAGTCATCTGTGGATAGATGCACAAATTTTAAATTTCAGGTCTATAGTGTATCCACTTGTGGAATTTCTCATTTCTTTTTTCTCCCCCCAGAGCGTTCCTGCAAAAGAAACGTCTCATTTCATCTCTGTTGTTTAATTTATTTAATACTGGCTTCAAGGAAATATAAGTAGGAAATAACCTATGCCCTTTTATCTCAGTTATTTCTCTTTGCCTTTCTTTCTCATCTCCCAACGCTAGAAATCAGCATATGGATTCAAATGTAAGATTTAAGTCTTAGCCACCAAATTGTGAGCATCTAACCCATGACTCCCCTGCCTGGGTCTTGGCAAGATGACTCTAGCCCTTAGCGGAACTTCAAAGATCTGATCCCATTCCTGAGGTCATGGCAAGGCAATCGCTTCTGGAAGGTCTTCTCTGAATGTGATTTATTTAAGAAAATGACAGCATTTCATATTCCAAACCCATGTCAGAGGAGAAAGTTTCTTTCTGCAGCATGAGTTGCAAAAAGTATACTTTCTTCTAGTTGTGTGTCATGTGAAGAATATCTGCAAGACACTCTAACATCTTTTAAAGGCAGAGAACTGGGAGGGCCCCCTATTGATGAAATTTCCTCTCTTATAGACTCTAGCTTCATTTTTACCTTCATTCTTGTGTGATATTTTCACATACATAGCTATCCTCAACAAAATAAATAAAGTACTTCTTAAATTAACAAAATCTCAGATATTAACAATAGAGCAAATGATCCCACTGTCTTTTCTGCCCCTGTAGAAACTGTGTTTGCTCTGCACCGTTGTTATCTGGTCTTCCTAAGGGAAGAAAGCCAACAGCATACTTAATTTCTTCCAGCAAAGGAGAGAAGCACTTTCAGTCATCACTAATGAAACCTCTGCTCATTCTGTCCTACTTTCCATCCCCCTTTTTTTGAGACAGTCTCACTCTATCGCCCAGGCTGGAGTGCAGTGGTGCAATCTCGGCTCACTGAACTCTCTGCCCTCCTGGGTTCAAGCGATCCTCCCACCTCAGCCTCCAGAGTAGCAGAGATTACAAGGATTACAAGCATGTGCCACCATGCTCGACTAATTTGTATTTTTAGTAGAGATGGGGTTTCACCATGTTGGCCAGGCTGGTCTTGAACTCCTGACCTCAAGTGATCTGCCCTCCTTGGCCTCCCAAAGTGCTGAGATTACACACTTGAGCCACTGCGCCCAGCCTCATCCCCTTCAGTATGTCTTTATCAAGTCAATATAGGATGCTTTTGATTCTGGGTACCTTTTTGATCCCATGTTTGTTTTGATTCTGTGTTTATGAATACAGATATTTTCATAATTTGTCGTGTTCTTAACAAATTATTTTCATAGTGGTTATTTGCTATTCATGTAAATTAGAATTCATTGTTCATTGTTTGCTACATGTTAATTTTACTAATAACTTTTATAGTTGTATGGTAGTTTTCTCTTTTGCTTTGTGGTATTTATTTCTACCAGGCCCAAATTTCCCAGCTCAAATTCTGCAGATCAAATTTTTGTCAAGGAGATGTGAGTTTTCTGCCACTTTTTAGTTAATGCATTTTATTCTATGTTGTTTTAGCCATTGTTTCATTGTCTTAAATCAGTTTTGTTTTTTATGAATTTGACAGAGATCTAATTTTTTAGATGATTTCTTGGTACAAACAGCATTAGTAGGAAAAGGTGTAGGAACAGGGTTGAAACACTGCACTTCATTGTGGAATACATACTAATGTATAAACATTTGTTGAGCACCTCCTGTTGGTTAGGCTTGGTGAGAGACCCTTTATATACATTGTCTTCTGTATGTTAAGCTCTATTCTGCCAATCAGGAAACTGAGAGTTAGAGAAGTTAAGTCTTCAAGGTCACACAGCTAGAGGTGACAGGGGTGGATCTGAATCCAAGTCCAGCTAATTTTGAAGGTCTTTTTTTTTTTTTTTTTCTTACAGGATGTTTTTCCTTTGTGTTTGTAAGGCATTCTTCTAGGCACTGCAGAGAATATGAAACATTAATTACTGCTGACTTCCCACCAGAAGCCTCTTATTTGATGTCACTGTGTAGCTGGTCAGTGACCACTATGGTAGCATTCTTGGCACAAAGCAGGCCCTCAGGAAGTGCTGGTGCCCACCGTCATTCTCGTGTTAGGTTGGTTGTGGCTGTCACTGTCTTCTTTATAGGCAATAAGAACCTTGGCAATTGCAACCATGGTTTTACTCATGTGATATCATTTGATCATCAGAATTACCTGGTCAGTAGCTAGATGGGCATTTTCAGCCCCATTATGTAAATGAAGAAACTGAGGCCCAGATTGGTCAGGTGACTTTCCCAAGATCAGCCAGGTCACTACAGAGCTGAGACCTGGCTCTTCTGTACTGGCATCTCAGTTCTCATTTTTAATTAGACTTTTGAGATATCACTTAACTACAAGATTTATTCTAGACATGCCTCTATGTGTTAAACAAATAAACCAAAAAAATAAAATAAAAAGCAAACCAAACAAAAAGCCCTACCTAGTCCCACAGTGAACTTTGATAACTTTTAGGAAAACTGTCTGAAGATAAATATAAGCAAGTTGAGACCGAGAAAACGAGAAATTCAGACAGTTCAGATAGTTCAGTAGAAAATCTAGCTAGGACTTTAAATACCATTTTGTTCCATTTCTTTGGTTTCTGTTTGGGACAGCAGTGTGGAGGAGCTGCTTCTTTTCGAAGCAAACCTTTCACCAGCCCTTTGTCCCAGGACACCAGATTTGGTGCCTAGCCATGATCCAGTGGAAACTGACTTTCCTGTCCCTGCACAGAGACTCTCAGCCAGCCCCTGCCATCAGCCAGCCTTCTATCATATATACTATGACCTTGTTGAGGAGAGAGGGGCCCATCTGCCTTTTGTTTAAGAAACAGCATTTTTTGTTGTTGTTTACTTTGCAGTCACTGTATTTATAAGGCTCAGACAAAACTAAGAGCAATGTTTATTCAAGGTGAAAATTTTATCTTTGCACAAAAGAATGCACTGAGTGAGTCCCTGCATGGATTCTGAAGGCGAAAAGGCAATTTATGACTTGTATCTGTTTTTGTCATTATGTATGACTGCTCCATTTTATAGTTGAGCTGATTATCCCCATAATAGCTTTTCCATGTACCTATAAGCAAGTAATAGGTGAATGCCTTCTCATAAGCATTGGGGTTTTAGTGTATTTAAGTTGGCACAAAACTTCAGGGTAAATGAAATTCACTTCAGACAGTGATCTTTCCCTTAGAGAATGTAAGGCTTTCTATTTTCAAAAAGACTTTGATCCTAAATAAGTCACCCGAGGGATTTCTTTTCCAGTCAAGAGGAGGTACCTTCGAGTTGTTGTACATAGGGAAATGACTCAAATTTTTGGCATCAGAATTTTTGTTTTATTTTCCTCTGATAATTTTGAGTACTAAAATCATTCCCTTAGTCTGAGCTCTTTTTGGTTAGAAGCAAATTTTAGATGCTGAATGACTCACCCTAACTTGGGCAACTGTCAACCATCTTGGGGGATCTAATAAAAGTGTATTTGTGGGGGCCGGGGTAGAGTGGTGTCATGAGAACTGCAAGTGACCAAAATTCACAGGCAGTCCCCATGTACCTCACTGAGCAGCCTCACGCATGAAGGAGCCAGGTGAGCAGAGTTTGCTCATGAAGGAGCCAGGTGAGCAGGGTTTAGCTTTCCCCCTTTTCCACCCTAATCAGGTAGCTCAGTAGCCAGAAGTGACAGAGCAGGGAATGAGTGATGCCACTATTGATGTCCTGTTTTTGAAACAGAAAGAAAAAGTTCAGAACTTCTTCATTTCCTAATGGTAGTTCAGTTAAGAACAAGCTTCTTCAGATTTCTTTTTTTTTAAGGCCTGAACATGTCATATTTGAGAGGAATTAACTTGATCTTCCAAAACTGGAGCCTGTGTGGTAGAAAAGTATATTCAGTTGCTAAGTTGAAAAGACAGAAAATATTTGTGTCCCCCAAAAGTAGTGGTTTTCTACCCTAGTGTAAACATGGTTTATAAAGGAATCATGTGTTCAAGCTTTCTTAGGTTGGCTGGTGACCCTTGGCATTGTGGTCATGCATCCCTTTTCTGTGATTCAGTATTCTTCACATCAGTCTTTGGCCTTTCTTGAAAAATTGTGACAAACTTTAAGTGAGATAAAATTTTCAAGACACTCACTCTGTTTGGAAGGTTCTTTCTAATTTTTTTTTTAAATTTCTTTCTACCTTATAATTGTTCTTTCTAAAAGTCTGTCTCCATCTTGAAGAAAAGCTGAATCAAAGTTTATTCTTAGGAGAAAGAGGGAATGTCTTGGTCAATATGACGGTTAAAAATCAGAAAGCAGGCCGGGCATGGTGACTGACACCTGTAATCCCAGCACTTTGGGAAGCCGAGGCAGGTGGGTCACCTGAGGTCAGGAATTCGAGACCAGCATGACCCAACATGGTGAAACCCCACCTGTACTATAAATACAAAAATTAGCTAAGCGTGGTGGTGCATGCCTGTAATCCCAGCTATTCAGGAGGCTGAAACAGGAGAATCGCTTGAACCCAGGAGGCGGAGGTTGCAGTGAGCTGAGATTGTGCCACTGCACTCCAGCCTGGGTGACAGAACAATGTTGTTTCTGTCTTAAAAAAAAAAAAAAATATCAGCGATGTGAAGAGTGTAGCCATCATTTATTAACTCCTACATGTCGAATATGGGCCTAGGATCTTTCCCTATGCTCTCTCATGTAACTTTCACATATACCCAATAGGAAGGAAGGAAGGAAGGGAGGAAGAGAGGGAGGGAGGGAGGGAAGGAGGATTAAGCCCATTTTACAGATGAGAAAAATTAGACTCAGACTCTTCAGGAACCTTGATTGAAATTTAATAATGACTCATTGGAGCTAGAAGTTTTCAAAAAAAATTAATTTGGGAGGCAGCCTCTATTTTTCCTCCACACAATGCAACTTCTCAGGTATAATCTTTTACCAAACTCAAAAGGTTGTAGAAGCAAAACCATGAGCCGTTGGAAACAACATTACTTAAAAGTAAAGCTCAAGCAGTCTTCCATTCATTCCCAACTTTAACACCTCTGTGTTGGGCCTTGGAATTTTCCAACTGTAATTTCTAAGTTTTCCGAATTAATCTTTACTATCTGGAAATCTCTAATCTAGTGTAAAAGGGTTGAAATGAGAGAAGAGGATTGGGAGATTTTTCTTCATTCAAATAGAAAATGTATGACTCAAAAGCATTTGAGTAAGCTGACGAAGCTGATGTTCCTGTTCCAAGATTTATTCAAATTTAAATCATGTGGGATGTGCAGTCCCCAGGCCTTTCCTCCCGCCTGGCCTGGGAAGCAGAGCAGAGCTTTGGACCACTTTGGTATGAGCTGACAGTGAGCTTCAGATCACTTTCCTGATGACTGTCTGCCTCTAAATGCTATGTGTTAAGTTGTAATTTCTTTAAGCCATTTCCTGAACTTCACTCCTTTAAGCATTTCTAAACAACTAGGATATCATTTTAAAATAATAGTGTTTAATTTTCAGGGCAGAGTACCCAGAATTAGGGAGAGTTGTGCATTCCCACTAACAGTTACAGGCAGAAAATAAACTCATTGTCCCCAGTAGTCCTTTTCTTTCCTTACCCTTTTCCCCTTAGTTTGTCCTATAGCTTTTCAAATTTTGTAGATTTTTTGTCTCTCAGTTCTGCTAACAGATTGGCTTTCAGATGCTTAGTGACACCATTGCTTGAATTAAGAAGCCAGAGGGAGAATGTTGGGGAGAGTGTGTTATTCCTGAGAGTTTTAAATTTAGTTCTGCAGCCGGGCACAGTGGTTCACACCTGCAATCCCAGCACCTTGGGAGGCTGAGGCGGGTGGATCGCCTGAGGTCAGGAGTTTGAGACCAGCCTTAACATGGTGAAACGTCGTCTCTACTAAAAATAAAAAAATTAGCTGGGTGTGGTGGCAGGCGCCTGTAATCCCAGCTACTCGGGAGGCTGAGGCAGGAGAATTGCTTGAACCTGGGAGGTGGAGGTTGCAGTGAGCCAAGATCATGCCATTGCACTCCAGCCTAGGCGACAAGAGTGAGTCTTCGTCTCAAGAAATAAATAAATAAATAAATAAATTTAGTTCTGTTGAACTGAACTATGGTTTGCTTCTTGGAGGAATGGAACAATATGATTTAGAGTTTCATCATTCCTTATTGGAAGAATAATAATACCACTTTATATTTGTCTCGATTTTTAGTTGTTGGTAAAGCATTTAGATATCTTTGATCCTTTCTATAAGCCTAAAACTAGGTAAATGGTATTATTATTGTCATTATTTTATTATTATTATTATTATTATTATTATTATTATTATTACTCCTGTTACCATTTTATGGATGAAGAAACGGAGACCCAGTGGAAGTAAATAATTTTGCTCAAGATGGCCAAACAAAAAGTGGTAGAGCTTTTGCACTTCTTCCTAGCTCCCCTGACTCCTGGAACATTGCTGGACAGCACAGTCAGCCCTCCATATCTGTGGGTTCTGTATTCATTAATTTAACCAACCACAGATCAAAACCGAAAAAAAAAAGGATAGTTGTGTCTGTACTGAACATGTACATGTTTTCTTCCTTGTCATTATTCCCTAAAGCATACAGGATAACAGCTATTTACATAGCATTTACATGGTAAAGTAATGTGTTATAAGTAATCTAGTGATGATTTATATACAGGAAGATGTGTGTAGGTTGTATACAAATACCACACTATTTTATATCAGGGACTTCAGCGTCTGTGGATGGATGGTGTCTTCTGCATGTCCAGGAACCAGTTCCCAATGGATACTGAGGGACAGCTGTACTTCTTAACCTGATACTGCAGGTTAAGATTCACAACATCGTCTCCATATTATAGTTGGGTTTTCCAATGCCAGTGTTGTCTGTGAGCCTTGTTAGCCTCTCCTTCCCTGCAGAATGAGTTTCAGAGAACAGAGGTGGAGAAAAATGTATCTTTCCCTCTTAGAGGCTTGTTGCACTGTTCATTAACCATGCTGCTATTTTTATGAGGCATTTCAGAGTCATATATCTGAGAGTTCACAAAGAAACAATGTATGACAAGAATAATTCTTGTAGCAGTTTTTGTGAGGCGGAGGATGGTAGGGAGAAAATTTAAGCTTATGTCAGGACATTACATTAAGTAATTTCTACAGTGTTGGGGATGAGGGAGAATCCCCCCTAAGAGGAAAAGGAAGGTACTTCTAGAAGCGGGTGAGAGTCTGGCTTTTCCTTGGCTTTCCTCATAGCCACATGATGGCATGTCCTGCCTGACTTGGAAGGGAGGCCTCAGCGTGTCCTGAAGTAGTGATGTGGAGGCGCAGTTGGTCCCTGGATACAGGCACAGGCATATCACACTCACCTCCAGCAGGCAAGGGGGAATTACAGCTTCGCTTTTCCTTTTCTATTACACACCAGTGGGGAAGCCCTCCAGTGCCATTCCTAAGAACAAGGACATTTTCTAGTTAGGCACATAAGGATGATCAAGATAAGCTCAAAAACTAGGAGCCACATTGGAGAAGTCAGGTTTAAAGTGTGCAGAGAACATGACAGAGAGTGGACTGTGCGCCATTTGTCCAGTCATGCTTGTGCTGTCCTCCCCTTGCGCTTGTACTCAGTCTTGCCTCTGATTGGGGTGCCCTTCTCTGTTTCTGGCCAGAGGCTCCAAGTCTGTAAGGCCCAGTCCACTTGCCATGTTAAGAATGTGATCTCTCCCCACTGTGAGTTCCCATGGCCCCGTGTGCTTCCATTACAGCAGGCACCAGATTTTACCTTGAAGTGTAACCATTTGTGCACACATCTCTGATATCCGTCAACATTTCTCACATCACCAATTAGGTGCTGGGCGCTGTGAAAGAATGTTAGAAAGGAAGACTTAGAAAATGTTTTCTTCTTTTTGTGAGGATGTGGAACAGGTAAGGCAGAGAAGGAGTAAGTAATGATAATCCAGAGGAAATAAGTATTGCAGTGGGGTCTGTGCAAACTGCACAGTTCCATGAGAGAAGTGCTGTGGGGCCAGGGGTAAGAACACTTGATTGTGTTCCTCAAGGATGAGATTGGCTGGAGACAAAAGATGGAATGCAACGGTCTGTATTTATTTGCATCCCAGAGTAGACCCTGTGGAGGGGGGCCAGGATTTTATCTGACAACTTTTTTTTTTTTTTTGCCAGTCTCCCCTCTAGCCATAAATAGTTATTGTAAGGAAAATTAAAGTGATCCAGGTTGTATCCATGTGGGCTGTCTTTTATCTGGCATAGCATTTTTCACATGCTGTACATTCAATGAATGTGTTATTGTCTAGCTATTTTCTTTTTTTATGGAAACAAACAAACCTTTTTTTTTTTCTCTTTTTGAGATGGAGTTTCACTCTTGTCACCCAGGCTGGAGTGCAGTGGTGTGATTTCAGCCCACTGCAACCTCTGCCGCCTAGGTTCAAGTGATTCTCCTGCCTCAGCCTCCCAAGTAGCTGGGATTACAGGCACCCACCACCATGCCAGGCTAATTTTTACAGTTTTAGTAGAGATGGGGTTTCGCCATGTTGGCCAGCTTGTCTCAAACTCTTGACCTCAGCTGATCCACCCACCTCGGCCTCCCAAAGTGCTGGCATTACAGGCGTGAGCCACTGCACTTAGCCCATACAAACTTTTTAAAAGTTTATTTACAAGTTTCCCCCCAAACATATCTGTAAGCTGGTGAATAGCCAAAATCGTACTATAGCAATACAGACAGGAAAAGGACATTGACTTTTAGGATCCTATTTCTTCTCCTCCCTTCCCCATGCCTCAGGTCTAGCACAGCACTGGGGCACAGCAAGCGCTTAGCAGATACTGACCTGGCTCTCATGAAGCCAGGTGGGCACTATTGATTGGACCCAGGCTTCGCTTAAGGTAGCAGGAAGCTGGTTTAGAGGAAGGAGAAGAAAACCTAGTCCCTTTTAATCTAATGAATTAAAATAATATTTATGGGAAATATTTGCTTTATTCCAGGAAAATGTTTGAAGTAAACATTTCCTGCAAGCTGTTGAATTTATATAATAAAACATTGGTTTGGAAACCTTAATTGTTTTCACTGAAGTGAAAATTAAGCAGAACATGCTTCCCAAACAGCCCCTTGTCTCAGTTTTGTTGCCATTGTAATGTTCAAAGCAGGATATTGTGGCCATTGAGGTAATTTTCTCTTTATTGGTAACTTGGAAATGAGCAAGGATCATGCCAAAGTTAGTTATAAAAGAGGAGGCACTCATGGCTCCTTGTAGTTTTATAGCAATTCAACCTTTGTAGCGTCCTCCTGTTACTATTTGATCTTCACAAACTTATGCATTAAAGAGTCAAGTTTATCCCCATTTGACGGATAAAGAAATTGAGTCACAGTGAAGGTAATTAACTTCTGGAGGGTCAAACAGGGAGTTTGTGGAAGAGGACCAGGCTCTTTACAGCCCCAAGCTCTTTTCAAAGACCATACTGCTGCTCTAGAAAGCACTCTTTCCTCCTTCAGGAATTAAAGCACTTTCACGTCTGTGAGATAATTTAACCTTGCAACATCCCAGTGGGGCCAGCAGGTTAGGTATGATTATCATTTCCCTTCCAGTGATGGGAAATTAAGTTACACAGGTTAAATGGTTTTGCCAAGACCGTGCAGTCAGTGTTGGAACCAGGGGATGGTGCCCAGGCTTCACAAACACTGAGCCCACTCTTTTCCTACCACACTAAGCCTTCTCAGAGGAGAGCCAGAGGAGCTTCTGATGCCTTGAAGACAGCTGTGAAACATCTTGCTTCCAAGAGGGCCTTGCTTTCCTAGCACCCACGCCAGATTGTGTGAATGCTTGGTTCTATAGTCTCAGCGGGTCATGCAAATCTCCAGTCCTACGATCACTAAGAAACAAAGCAAAAGGGGGCAAAGCCAGATAGATTTTACCAGCCTGTTTGGATTTTGTGTCCAGTAGAATTAGCAAGTGAAAGTTGTAGGATTGCTACAGAAGAGTTGCTTAGAAATCAATTAACGTGACAAACTGAGGTGCCTCAACAAATAAATTATATGGAGAGATAAAAGTTGTTAGGACTAAACACAGGAAGAATTTGCCACTTGTTTCTCTGTAAAAGGTAAAAACATAACAGTGAACTGTGTCTAACTTATGTTAAAAAATTGAATTTGGTGAGAAGCCTAGTTTTAATAATATTTCATATGATAATTTAAACTCTCTAACTTTTGCCTATTTAACCCCATCTTGTATTCTTCCTAAGAGATGTGTCAACACTAAAACTTTTCTTAGTTATTCCAGCTGAATATGGCAAAGCTACAATAGCTTTTCCCAGATGCAGACTCTTAACACAATCGCTGATATTCAGTAGAAACTCTTTGGATAGCAGATTTGGGAAAGAACCTTAAGGCCAGCCTTTAGCCCTCTCAAATTATAGGTAGAGAAACTGAGACCCTGTAAGGTTCTCAAAGCTAATTAGTCACAGGGCTAGCCCTCAAACCCAGGCTTTCTGGCTACAGATCTAGTATGATTGTTGAGACTGGGCCGGCAGCTTGTGGGCACCTGCTTGGTAGGAGTGAGGGGGAGAAAAGTAGTAGGGTGTAAGCCTTGCCTACTGTATATCTTCTCAGCGTTCTTTATTTTTTATCCATTTGTGTGTCTGTCTCCCATACTATACTGAGTTCCATGAGTACAAGGGACTAAGTCATACTCGTCTTGGTATCTTTAACCCTAAGCACTTAGCCTGTGATCTAGGAAGCCCTCAAGGGTTTGTTGCACTGAACCAGTCTGTTCTGTGTCAAGGTCAACTTACCGGAAGGGGCTGCAGGTAGTACAGCTCCTTAAAGCACCTTCTATTACTAGTCCTTCAGCAGAATCTTACCCAGTGAGTAAACCCATGCAAAACTTTTGCATCTCTCCTGAAAGCAGAACAAGACCTGCCCCCATGAAAAGAAAGAAATAGGGAATCCCTTTATAATTAGATTTAGTGGGCAGTGGTGAGATGTAGTAGAGATGAAACTTTAATAGACACATAGTCTTTGGGTGATGCCAAAATTAATCTAACTTTGTGGGTTAAAATGAATTTTAAAATTTTTCTAAATGTTCATATGTTTTTCTCTGTATGTTGTTAGAATTGTCATCGGGTTCTTTCTAAAGGCTGTGTGAAAGAAAAGAGCAAGCCAGGTGCGGTGGCTTACACCTGTAATCCCAGCACTTTGGGAGGCTGAGGCGGGCGGATAACCTGAGGTCGGGAGTTCGAGATTAGCCTGACTAACTTGGAGAAACCCCATCTCTACTAAAAATACAAAATTAGATGGGCATGGTGGTGCATGCCTGTAATTCCAGCTACTTGGAAGGCTGAGGCAGGAGAGTCGCTTGAACCTGGGGAGGCGGAGGTTGCTGTGAGCCTAGATTGTGCCATTGCACTCCGGCCTGGGCAACAAGAGCAAAACTCCGTCTCAAAAAAAAAAAAAAAGAAAAGAGCGAAAACATCTTTAGTACTGGTTCTTGCCCTAGGACAGAAGTGGCTGTTTGCTGTACCTCTCAGTGGACACTGAAAATGTGGATGTGTCCAGTTGCCTGCTGTCCAGCAACCCTGGAAGAACTTGTGATGGCTTTGTCTTCGTTATGAGAACACTTTGATCTGAACCCCTTTCCTTTTCTGAATCCTTTCCCTTTTTTTTTTTTTTTTAAGACAGTCTCACTGGCTGAAGTGCAATGGCACCATCTTGTCTCACTGCAACCTCTGCTTCTTGGGTTCAGGCAATCCTCCCAACCCGGCCTCCTGAGTAGCTGGGACTACGGGAGCACACCACCACACCTGGCTAAATTTTTTTTTCTCGTAGAGATGGGGTTTCTCTATGTTGCTCAGGCTGGTCTCTAACTCCTGGGCTGAAGTGATCCTCCTGCCTCAGCCTCCCAAAGTGCTGGGATTACAGGCATGAGCCACTGTGCCTGGCGTCTGAGTCCTCCTTCTAAAGGGAACCCACTGCACAGCATCTGGCTGCTGCCAACAAAATGACTGCCCCACCAGTCCCACAGGTGATGAGAGTTTGCAATGGCCTTCACAGCTTAGTACCTTAGTACCTTTTCTCTCCTGGTAACTTAGAATGGAAGCCCCATGGGGGCCCACGCATATCTGCGAGGGTGCACAGGCATGTGGCAGAATGAGCCAGGGGCCACCCTCTTGTTCTGGAGGTGCTGAGAGCCGGCCTGGCTGGGGGCTGTAACTGTCAGGCTGACTCCCAGCCACACTGTCCTCCCTGGAGTAGGTGCTCGAAACCTTTGCTTTTTGCCTTTTCGCTTTAATCTGGAACGCTTGGGGAAAAAAAAAAAACAAAAAAACAAAAAAACAACAACAAAACAGTAGACCAAATGGTGACTGAGTCCCAACCCTTCTTCAGGCCAGATGAAATCATGGTCCCTGCTGGCGCCATTCCTCCATCTCAGAGCCCTCACTTGGGTTCAGACCCTCAGTCACACAGGGAGCCCCGCCACAGCTGAAGTGTTTTGTCAGAGCAAGATTGCAAAGAGTTAACACTTTTGCTTTTTCGGAAAGTTATCTGTGAAGAGTATTAGTTGTTTAATAAAGCGTGCCTGCCCTCCCGATGAACCCGCCAGTGACTCTGCAGCTGGGGTCATTCCAAGTTCACGCAGTGGACTTTTGACTGCCTTCTGTGTCTGTGAAAACAGTCGGCAGCTCCTGCGGGGATCATTCATTCAGGCCTGTAACACAAAACTATTGCCAATGGGCACCTGCTGGGGCAGCTTCCCGGGAGGGCTGGGAGGAAGATACCAAACTCATCAGGCATCTGTGGAGATAAGAGCGGCAGGGGATCCACTGGGATCCCGCTAATCAGGCCTGCACTTAGACCCCACTGCCTGGCCAACAGGCTGGTGTCAGAATGTATTAGGCAGCCCTGGCCAGGATAGGATGTGAGCTAATTAAAGGCCTTTTACAAAGAGGAGGAGGTAGGGGGTGGGGAGAGAGAGAGAGTGAGAGAGAGAGAGAGAGAGTGTGTGTGTGTGTGTGTGTGGAGGAGGAGGAGGAGGAAAGAAGTTTGAAGTGCATTCCCCAAATTTCCAGCACATTCTTTATTCCTCTGTTTTATCCCTCAAAACAGAAGAAAACAAATTAGAGGCTGAGCATTTGGTTATTTCTAACCTGAAATTGTCATTCATTGTGCCTGATGCCGTATTGGTTTTAACTGCTATTTTTGTGGAATTACATATACTGTGAAAGACATCTTTTGCCGCAGTCTCCCTGGGAACATCCTGTTGTTGAAATGCCGTTGGTCAGCTGCTTGAATTTTGCCCTTTTCTCTGACTTTGACACATCAAGGCAAAAATAGGTACCTATTTGTGGTGTGTTCTAGGTTTCTCCCTTTTGCTTGGAAAATCCACTTGCCAGCTGTGAAGGGTGCTGCTGGGAGGATGAAATGAGTCAGTGCACAGCGTGTGCTCTTAAAGTTTGGTGGTTGAGGTGGCGGTGGTAGCAGCTTGGCTCTGTGGTTTAAAATGCCACAGCATGCACTATCTTGAAAATACTCAGTAGTCCTAGCATACAACTGGGTTTTAGTTACACCTACTTAAGGAAGAAAGCTCATTTGAAAGTGTTTGATTTTCCTGTACTTTCGTTTGTTTATTTAGCCTGTGTATTCCCCCCACCCCCAGTAAGCAGCAAACTAACTTATTTATAGGCCTCAGGTATGTTTAAATCTGTGGTATTTTCTTAATCAGCCTGATAATGATACATTTTTGAAAGCAGTTTTGTTCACACATAAACCTAAGCCTTTATTATATTATTCTGATACATTCCACATAAGCTTGTCTGTGCACAAAGAAACATTTAGATTAATCTTGTACTACATGGTAACAATCCTAGGAAATTCCAATCAAAAGCCAACAACCTGTTTCCTTCATTCTGGACTGTTGGTGGGTTTGTTTTTGTCTGTGGTCTGATAAGGAGTAACAACAATGTTAATTTTGTATTTCCTTGGCATTTGTCTCACATAATCTTTTGTCAAAGTTGACCAGTAGGCTTGTCAGGCTTGCCATGCAGTTTATGAAATAAATAGTTACAATGGAGTAGTTAACTTAGCCCTGCGGAATATGTTAGTGTATCCTTACCGTAAGTGTTTAAAATGTTAATTACATTTATCTTTATTTCTCAGCATTGCTATACAGAAAACATGGGATAGACACTGATACTGATTGCCCAGTTGAAATAAGTTTTGAATTTAGTAACTGAATGGATAGCTTTAAAAATGGTACTAATATTTTGGGAGACTGAGGTGAGCAGATTGCTTGAACTCAGGAGTTCGAGACCAGCCTGGGCAACATGACCAAAAAAAAAAAAAGTCTAAAAAATACAAAAATTAGCTGGGCGTGGTGGCACCCGCCTGTAGTCACACCTACATGGGAGGCTGAGGTGGGAGGATCATCCGAGCCTAGGAAGTTGAGGCTGCAGTGAGCTGTGTTTGCACCATCACATTCCAGCCTGGGTGACAGAGCAGGACCCTGTCTGAACAACAACAACAAAAAGATACTCATATTTATTGACTGCTTCACTATGTGCCAGGTACTGTTCTGAGTCTTCATACAAATTGATTTGTTTAATCCTCATAACGACCCTGTGGAATGCTAGTTTGTAAATGAGGATACTGACGTTCAGAGAAATTAACTAATTTGCCCAAGGTTACAAGGAGAGCCAGGCTAAGAACCGAGATTCTCTGATTCAGAGCCCGTCCTCTTAATACCAGTGCAAAAGCAGCACTCTATCTAGTAGGCTTCATTCTCGAACCTCTCTGCGATATATTTGCAGGGATTAACCATGTAAGGCTGTATTATCAAGGGGATACAGAGAATTTGAGTCACAGTTTAAAGTCATTTCCTGTGCTACCCTGTGTTGTATAATTAGCTCTTTTGTAGATGCTGTACCATCCAGGCCAAAGTGTGTGGCCGAAACCAGGAAATTGTTCTAACCCTGTCTGAGACACTTAGTGAAGGAGTTTTGACTTTGCTCTAACTCTACACATCGAGCTGACTATAGATTTATGTGCAAAAAGCATAACCTCATGTTAACAGGTCTATTTATTGTGTCTCTAGAGCAAGTTCACAACTATGTATGGACAACTAGAAATGCCAGGCTCTGTGCTAGGCACAGGGGACACAGACATAAACAAAACAAAGCCCTCTCCCCTTGGGGTCACCATCCAGCAGGGGAGGAGGACTTGCAGTCACACACATGTGGGAAAGTGTTCCAGGTTTGAGTTTGGTGTCTGTGGGGGTTCCTGTAGGGGGATCTCAGGAAGGGGTGGACTCTTCTACCCAGGACAAGGAAGGTCTGTACAGGGGAAGGCACGCCGGTGCCCAATCCTGAAGTCCAAGGAGATGCTTGCCATGTGGACAAGAGACAGGTGGGGACAAGAAGAGGCACACAGGGAGCAGTCCCAGCAGGAGGGAGCCTGGGGTGTGCAGCAGCAGGACTAGGGAGGGGTCAGTGGAGCTTAGCAGGTGGGCCTCTGGAATGAGGAGCTGGCCTAGTGGGGAAAGACTGGCTCATTGTACATCCCTTTGTTTTCCCTTGTTTCGCCCCCACCCACCACGTGAATTTAAAGGGGAAGAGACTTAACTGAATGTTTCACTTTTTGAGCCTAGTATTGTTATTTGTCATGATTTGACCATAATCTGCATATATACAATGTTAACTATTATTTTTTGCAAGTTTTTTTTTGTTTGTTTTTGTTTTTGAGACGGAGGTTTGCTCTTGTTGCCCAGGCTGGAGTGCAATGGCGTGATCTCGGCTCACCGCAACCTCCGCCTCCCAGATTCAAGCAATTCTCCTGCCTCTGCCTCCCGAGTAGCTGGGATTACAGGCATGCACCGCCACGCCTGGCTAATTTTGTATTTTTAGTAGAGACAGGGTTTCTCCATGTTGGTCAGGCTGGTCTCGAACTCCCGACCTCAGGTGATCCACCCACCTCAGCCTCCCAAAGTGCTGGGATTACACGCGTGAGCCACCGCTCCTGGCCTTTGCAAGTATTTTTATGTGGGTAAAACAGTTATACCTTTCACTGAGCGGGCCCAAACAAACAAAAACAACAGCCTGTCACACCGTGTGTGTGTGTGTGGCGGCGGGAGGGGGGTACCCAAAAACCCTGACTCACTTTTTATATAATTAGAGCTAAAACCAAACCAAGTCATGGCTTGTTTGCAGTAGGTAGATTGCAGAGTTACCAAACTGTTCTTTCTGACCAGAGTGACTCAGTCTAGTGCAAAGTCATGAACTGCCTCCAGCATTTCTCATTAACCTAATATCTCCATCTAGAGTAGAAATTCACCCTCCCTAAAGCCCAGAGGAAACAAACTAAGGGTCCTTGTGAAAGGAAAAGGCCTTTAGACCCTAAAACAACTGATTAGAAAGGCAGGACGAAAGGAGGGAGGGGGGCATTCTTTGTGCTTTCCTGTGCAATTTGGAGCTCAACAGATGAAGTGTTTGCCATTGATCCCCAAACCACATTTTGGGAAACTATCTGACCCCATTTGACTGGCCATTCAACTGTTCCACCATTTTCTTTACACAAAGCTAAACTAGATTTGAGCTAAATTTGAGAGGGAAGAGCACATTACATATGGGAATGTGGTTCATGGTTTTCTAACCCAACCCTCCCCTCCCCCATCCATTCCAATGAGTAGATTTTTCTCTGGAAATCCATCCTTTCTTTTTCCATTCAAGGCAACTAACAGTATCCAATTTTTGATTCGTAGTTTTAGTTTTCCATGTATAGACTAAAAGTGGATGTTTATCTTGAGACAGGAATGACTGTTTTTCTGCAATTGTTTAGACTAAGGCTAGGTAGATTTCCTGTGGACTTCTTGGAACCTTTGAGCCCTGATGTTTTCCCTGCGCTCAAAAATTACAGTGCTGGATGGCATCTTTCCAGCTGTTGGGATGGGAGACAGGCTGGGCCCTTTGACTCCTAAAATTGAACTTAGGTTGAGCTGGTTGGCAAATGTGGCAATGAAAGGGTTCCCTGAGCAAAACCTGGGAAAATATCAGTCTGGATATACTCTCCTAGCCCTGGCTTTCTTAGCACACCTTGATGTGTGTTCCGTAGCTGTCTTCCCACCCCCATCCCCTAAAACTTGAGCATCTGTAGCTCATCACTTATGTCCTGAACTCAGTAAACTGAGTCTCTGTTATAGGACTTAGAGAAATTTTCTTATACTATGGACTGAATGTGTCCCCCCAGAATTCATATGTTGAAATTCTAACCCCAAAGGTGTTGGTGTCAAGAGGTCATTGGGGGTGATTAGATCAAGGAATTGGTGCCCTTATCAAAGAGACCCCAGAGAGCTAGCCCACCCTTCTACCGTGTGAGGTTACAGTGAAAAGATGGCCATCTAGGAAGCAGGCCCTCATCAGACATTGAATCAGACACCGAATCTGCTGTCACCTTGATCTTGGACTTCCCATCCTCCAGAACTGTGAGAAACAAATTTCTGCTGTTTGTAAGCCACTCAGTTAACGGTATTTTGTTGTAGCAGCATGAACACACTGAGACAGCACATAACACAGAATGCTGTTTCTTTAAAATTTTCTTGAGTTTTTACCATGTGGTTTACTTGTCTTTTTCATTGATCCTTCCCTGTTCAGTGGGGAAACACAGATCAGCACCCAGCCCTTGCCGACCACATGAAACCTAAGATCTCACCTCCTCCTCCCTGGCAAAAGAAGAATTAGATAATGAGAGGTGTTCTGGTTTTGAGAGGAAGTTAACAAGTGTTGGGACGCTTGCACGTTAGAGCTGGCTGCCTGTGCTCTGAGTCAGAACTGAAATTTTGACATGTAAAGAAGAACTAATATTTGATCCTCTCCTGTGTGCCAGGCATAGCGCTAGCCACTTCATAGCTTTTTGGCTATTCTTCTCCATCTCCTTTCTGCCAGTTGCTCAAATACTTTGGAGTCATCCTTGGCTCCTTTCGGTCATGCCGCATGTCCAGTCCCTCAGCAGATCCCGAATCTGAACATATCCCTCCCGCGCCCACCTTCTAGTCCTCGTTCATCTTTGGCCTGGTTTTTATTGTAGTACACTTCTCCTTGCACCCTTGCTTCCTACTACTGACATTGAACCTCAGTACAACAACTAGAGTGATCCTGTCAAAACATAACAGATTTGGTCACCCAGCCCCTCCAGAGGCTTCCCGTTTCACTCCACATAGAAAATTCCAGCTTGTGCAACCTCACGAAGCCCACGAGGTCAGCCTCCTGCAGGCCTTTTCTGACCTGGTGCCTCACTGTCTCACCACCCTCCACCCCTCACCAGCTCCTGCCACACTGTTCTCGCTGCTTCTCAACCCTCTGCCTTCAAACGTCCACTCCAAGGTCTCTGCACTCAGTGTTCTCTTCCTGGAATGTTCTATGGCCACATGGTTTTCATCTACATTTTCTTTATCCAAATGTCACTTTCTCAGGGAGGCCCTTCCTGACATCCCCTCCCCCATCTAAAATTGCAGCCCCCTCCAGCTATACCTCTTCTCCTCCTCCCCTCTTGTTTTTCTACTTTTGTTACTGCTTTTATTTTACTTCTTTATACTATTTATTTTCTGTACAGCTATGAATACAACTGAAATGTGACATGAATTTTCATACAACATACGAATTTTGGAGGGACACACTCAGTCCATAGTATATGTAAATCTCATGAGGGCTGAAAGTTTTGTCTGTTTTGTTCACTGCTACATCCCCAGCCCTTAGAACAGTGCCTGGCAAATAGTGCTAAGTAAGTTTTTATTGATAGGAGGGAAGAAAGGGAAGAAGGAAGGAACAGACAGACCCTTGGAGTTAGGCATTATCTCCATTTATAGATGAAGACACTGAGGCTCTGAGAAGTTTCCCAAGATCACGCAGCCAATAAGTGAAACCACTTTGAGGTCACACATTTGAACCCTAATGTGTGACCCCAGAGCTTTTCTGATTTCTACTTTACTGTGCTGTTTTCCTATGGATGCCTCACCCTCATTTATGTCTGCAGTGAATATTGGCTCTATGAATTTGTATGCACATTTGTAGTGATATGAACACATTCAAATGTTTTAAAGGGAATACTGCATTAGAATCTCTTAGCTCCCTAGATGCTGCCTGTTGGATACTCCACTAAGCTTTCTACATTGCCGCCCAAGAACAAGTGATGCCTGGGCTCCTCTGAGAGAGAGAGGCGCTGAGAAATCTGTAAGCAACCGTTACTAAATATGTTTGCCATATTTCCAGTTACATCCAGGCTTTTCAGTATTGAGGGACATCATTTTGTGTTTTGATTCCTGGCATATTTGCTATCAGTATATGCTTTGGGGGTTTTCAGTGAATGAAAAATAAGAGGTGGTGTCAGCAATAAGTGTAGAACACTCTTAAAAGATATGGCTGTAGAGGGAAGAGCAGGGCTGGAGCAGCAGCTTGAATGCGAGGGAAAGCTAAAGGCAGGCTTTTTTAAGGTTGTGTAGATTAAGAGGAAGAGGCTGCAAAGATTGAAGCGATGAGAAAAGAGATGATTGACAGAGCAGTAGTAATATGCAGGACAGGGTCTTACAAGAGCACAGAAGAAGGGTTTGAATTCTTGGAAGAGTCAGTCTATTTATGCAATTTAAAGTGAAGGAAGGAGGCCAGGCGCGGTGGCTCACACCTGTAATCCCAGCACTTTGTGGGGCTGAGGTGGGTGGATCACTTGAGGCCAGGAGTTGGAGCTCAGCCTGGCCAGCATGGCAAAACCTCATCTCTACTGAAAATACAAAAATTAGCTGGACGTGGTGGTGGACACCTGTAATCCTGGCTACTCGGGAGGCTGAGGCGTGACAATCACTTGAGTCTGGGAGGCAGAGGTTGCAGTGAGCTGAGATCGTGCCACTGCACTCCAGCCTGGGCAACAGAGCGAGACTCTGCCTCAAAAAAATAAAAAATAATAAAATTAAAAAATAAAATGAAGGGAGGAAAAGATTTTTTTTTTTCTTTCGAGATGGAGTTTCACTCTTGTCACCCAGGGTGGAGTGCAATGGTGCAATCTCAGCTCGCTGCAACCTCCGCCTCCTGGGTTCAAGCGACTCTCCTGCCTCAGCCTCCTGAGTAGCTGGGACTACAGGTATGCGCCACCATGCCCGGCTAATTTTTGTAATTTTAGTAGAGACGGGGTTTCGCCATGTTGACCAGGCTGGTCTCAAAACTCCTGACGTGAGGTGATCTGCCCATCTCAACCTCCCAAAGTGCTGGGATTACAGGTGTGAGCAACTGTGCCCAACCAAGATTTGTTTTTCTTAGTGAAGTAAATAGAATCTGTCATTTGTATGAAATGGGGATGGAGTTGAAAAGGAATACAAAGCAAATCTCTATTGCACTCGAACTGTGTTTCAGGCACTGTCCGGGGCGGGGGACAGGGTACAAAGATGACCAGGGTGGCCTCCTGTCATTAAAGCATGGACGCCAGCTTTTCAGCATTGTATGCAGCACCCCAACCAGCCTTGTGAAGAAAAGAGATATGAACAAATGGTCACACAACAGTCGGATACCCACACTCAGAAAGCCACGTGCAGAGGCAGCACAGTGGGTAGAAGCAGTGGTTTGTGTGCATGGACAGGCATTCCTGAGGACCAGGTCGAAGTTGAGAAGTCACAGATTTGAAGGGTTCCTGCTGGTGGCAGGAACGATAAAAGTAGTAGCTGATGTTGGCACGACTCCATAATGAGCTGTCCCCCCACCTTCCTGCTAGATATTTCCATCTGGAGTCGCAAAGATCTTTCTTCTTCAATCCAAATCAATACCTTTCATCTGTTGTTTTCTGTTTAAGCGATAGCAGTCATTTGCAAGATATCATTGGTCATCTAAAGTCTATGTGGAAGGAATTAACTGAAATTCATTACTTGATCAGAGAGTATTTTTTGGTCCCATCTTTATTTTGCTTCTTTTTCTTTTTTTCTTGCTTCCCAGGCAATGCATAGTCCTTATACCACTTTATCTCCATTTGCCTTTTCCTATCTTTTTTGCTGTTATTGTCATGTATTTTAGTTCTACTTATATTATGCTTAACCCTCATAAAACATGATTTTTTTAGCTTAAATAATTGATATAATTTAGATCTCTACACATATTTATCCTGTATATTGGTACTTTCTGAGTTTAATTTTAATAAGCTGTGTCCTTAAACTTTTTAGAGTCAGATCTCTAAAACAACACTATCTGATAGAAATTCTCTTGTCAGATTAAAAAAGTAGAAACAAGTGAACTTATTTTTAATGTTTTGATTTAACTCATTATGTTTCAAATATTATTTCAATATGTAATCAATATGTAAAAATTGATTTATATTTTTCCCACTGTCTTTGAATTTATTATATATTTTATACATTGTATAGCATATCTTAATCTGTAGTACTAATCACCTTCTAAGTGCTCTGTAGTGTGTCAACTTATTGGACAGTGTGGCTGTAAACGAAGGTGAAACTAAAGTTACATGAAACAAACTTATATTGTGTGTTTCAACAGAAGAGTTTCAAGTTTCTGTGGCTAACTTGTTTGAATATACAAGTTATTATAATTCTCCATTACTATTTAGTCAGCTTCTCAAAACTTTTGCTAAGTGATTGTTTCCAAGATTTCCCTTACTTTTTTTTTTTTTTTTTCCTTTTCTCTGTAGACAGGGTCTGGCTTTGTCACCCAGGCTGGAGTGCAGTGGCATCATCACAGCTCACTGCAGCCTTTACGTCTCCTGGGCTTAAGCCATCCTCCCACCTCAGCCTCCTGAGTAACTGAGACTACAGGTGCATGCCACCACGCCCAGCTAATTTTTATAGAGACGGAATCTTGCCATATTGTCTAGATTGGTCTTGAACTCTTGGGTTCAAGTCATCCTCCCACCTCGGCCTCCCAAAGTGCTGGGATTACAGGCGTGAGCCACCATGCCCAGCCTAAGGTTTATTTCTTAAATTGAATTCTGCCTTTGGTAGCATGCTTAGAAAACAAGTTCCATTACATTTTTTAAATTGTAGAAGAGTTGATCATTAGAATATTGCGTAGTATATGTTCAGTTTAAAGAATGATGAAATGAAAACAAGGACCTAGCACTTAGCTTAGACAGTAGAATATACCAGTACTTTTCAAGCCTTCCAGGTGACATCTTCTTCCTTCACTTTATACCCTGAGGTGTTCACTGTCCTGAATATTGTTTTAATCAAATCTTTCTCTTCTGTTTACAGTTTTACCAAACATATATTTTTAATTCTGCCTGTTTTTAACTCACATATAAGTCATACTGAATATATTCTTTTGTGACCTTTTGTCACTTACTGTGACATTTTTGAGATTCATGCATGTTGATATATGTAGCTGTAGTTCATTCATTGTCACTGCTGTATAGTATTCCATTGCAGGAATGTGCTACAGTTTATTTATTTTACTATTAGACATTTGGACTGTTCCAGTGTTTTTGCTGGCATGAACTGATGTTGTTACAAATATTCTTGTTCATGTTTCCTGCAACACATATAAAAGTCTCTCCATTATGGGAGTTACTTGATTAGAGAGTATTTTTTGGTCCCATCTTTATTTTGCTTCTTTTTCTTTTTTTCTTGCTTCCCAGGCAATGCACAGTCCTTATACCAGTTGACCTCCATTTGCCTTTTCCTGTCTTTTTTGCTGTTATTGTCATGTATTTTAGTTCTACTTACATTATGTTTAACCCTCACAAAACATGATTTTTTTTTTTGGCTTAAATAATTGATATCCGTTAGATCTCTACACATATTTATCCCGTCTGCGTCTTTTATTCTTTTCTTTGCCTATCCATACCTCCATCTGGGCCCTTTTCCTTCTGCTAAAGAACTTCCTTTTGTGGCTCTTATGGCAATGAATTATCTCAGTTTTGTTTTTCTTTTTTTTTTTTTCTTGAGATGGTCTTGTTCTGTTGTCCAGGCTGGAGTACAGTGGCACAATCTTGGCTCACTGCAACCTCCACCTCCTGGATTCAAACGATTTTCCCACCTCAGCCCCCTGAGTAGCTGGGATTACAGGCACCCGCCATCGTGCCCGGCTAACTTGTATATTTTTTTAGAGACAGGGTTTCACCATGTTGGCCAGGCTGGTCTTGAACTCCTGACCTCAGGTGATCCGCCCGCCCATCCCAAAGTGCTGGGATTACAGGTGTGAGCCACCGTGCCCAGCTTCAGAAAACATCTTTCTTTCACCTATATTTTTGAAAGATATTTTTACTATGTTTATTCTTTCAGTCTTTTATGATATCATCCCATTGTTGTTCCATCCATTTCTCTTGAAACAGCTTTCAGTATTATTGTTTGTCCTTCAAAGGTAATGTGTCCTTTTTTTTCTTTGACAACTTCAAGATTTACTCTTTGTTTTTAGTTTCTATTAATAATATGCCTCGATATGATTCTCAGGCTTGGGATTTGTAGAACTTCTTGAATTTGCAGTGAAGTCTTTGGACGATTTTGGGAAACTCTTGGCCAGCGTCACTTTAAATATTGTTTCTGCCCCCTTTTTTTTCTTTCTTTTCCTTCTGTGACTCCAGTTATGCAGAATTTGGACCTTTTTTACTATGTCACTTACACCTCTCATGCTCTTTTCTGTATTTTCACCCCCTTGGTTTTTCTTCATGTTTCATCTGGATATTTTTTACTACCTCATTTTCTAGTTTGCTAATTCTGTCGACTCTGCTGTTTCACCATTTACTAAAATCTTAATGTTAGTTTTCTGGTAAAACTGTCCATCTTATTTTTCTTCTGAAGATAGTAATCATACTATACCAGTGATGAATCTTGTATTTTTTTTCTTAGTCTTCAGTCATTTAGTCCTGTTTTCTTACATATCTGGAAATTTTAATTGAATTCCTGACATTGTATAAGAAAGATTTTAGAGGTTCTGGCCAATGTTATTTTTCTCCAGAGAGGAGTTAAACTTCTTCTTTCCTTCTACCTCAGATACCCAGTTTTTAAATTTTCCCCCATGCATACCTCCCCTGCATTTTTAACTTTTTATTTGCGGCAAGGGGTAAATATTAGCAGGAGTTTCCCAGAGGGACTTGTATTTTTGAAAGGATCAAAGCCTGATGCTTAAAGGGAAGAGTCTAGAGGAAGGATTCTTTTTCTTGGGATAGACAATAGAAAGATGAGGTCAGAGACAGTGTGTGTGAGGTAGAAAGTAATCAGCTTCAACCCCTGGAGTCACAACAGAGGACTTAAGGAAACTGAGTCCTGAAGAATCCGTTCTGCTTAAGCAGGAAAGTTGGTGAATCTTTTTTATAAACAAGGGTTAATTAGTTCTCTTCTAAGTAAAAAGTACATTGAACCAGATCTCTCATTTTCCTATCTTTCTAGTCGTTGAAGGTTTTCTCTTAAAATCAACAAAAGGCATCAGGATAGGCCGTGTAGCCACCTTTGGAAAGGGCAGATGTTGAGTTAAGTGGATTCTGTTCTCTTCCATAGTCCAGGACTTTTCAGACCTGAAATCAGTTAACCTGGAGATGACTAATTCAGGTTCAAGACACCAGATCTGCTGGAAGTAGATGGGTGTGAATTTTTAATGTCCTTTCCCAGGTCACCCTTTGTGGATTGAGAGATAGCAAAGGTTGGAATGACGACTGAAAGGCCACTGAGGAATCCAAGGGACATCCTAGGCAAATCCTAGGCAAAGACCAGAGGTTTCTGAGGAACTGTTGGGAAGTAGCTAAGCTGCAAGTTTATTCCTATTTTAGCCCATCTGAAAAAAAATGGGAACATTTGAGTTCATTTTTAAAAGAACCTTCTTTTGACCTTTCATTTGAGCCTGGGATCAAGCCAGTTTTCTAAAGAAATGAGACAGGACTTAATTTAAGTACCTTAGATTTGAACTACCTCCCATTCCCATTCTACCTCCTCTGCAAAAGACAGGTTCAACTTCTTTGTTCTCCCAGATGCTAAAGACCAGTTCCCAATTGGTGGTCTTACCCAGATACATGACACTTGTGTATAAATAACTTCCCTGGACATTGCTAGAAGTGAAGTATCAGCTTTGCATGTGTAGCTTTCCCAAAATGCAGGTCTATCCTACCCACCACCATAAAAAGTTAGTTGTTAGAAACAATAGCTTAGTTTCCACTGTGAATGGTGTATTACTCTTAGATGGGTCAGGGGTATTTTGAATAGCAGAAGACTGGCAAAGATCAGCTGGACATGGTGGCTCACACCTGTAATCCCAGAACTTTGGGAGGCCAAGGTGGGCGGATCATGAGGTCAGGAGTTTGAGACCAGCCTGGCCAGCATGGTGTGAAACCCCATCTGTACTAAAAATACAAAAATTAGCCAGGCATGGTGTCGCGTGCCTGTAATCCCAGTCACTCAGGAGGCTGAGGCAGGAGAATTGCTTGACCCTAGGAGGCTGAGGTTGCAGTGAGCCAAGATCATGCCACTGCACTCCAGCCTGGGTGACAGATCAAGACTCCCTCTCAAAAAAGAAAAAAAAAAAAAAGAACAATGGCAAAGATCAAGAGGAATGAAGATTGAACCAAATGAACTTTCAAAATCTTCTTTTTTTACCCTAGGAGCATGGTTGGTTTTGCCTGCTTTCTCTCTATAGTCCTCTTTCTCTCCATAGTCCTCTTTCTTTCCATATCCCCCTATATTTGTATCTCCATATATGTCCATTACTGGTACATGAAACAGGCCTTTCCAGAGCAGTAGCTTCTTTTGGAGTTAGTTTGCTTGACCAGACCAGCTCTAACTTAGCAAATGTTTTAGCTTTGGTGTTCTACGTCCTTCAGGAAATCATTCTCCTATAAGAAGCTGGGGTGGAAGAGGAGACCTCTCCTCCATAGGCAGCACCTCTTGAAATCACTGGTCCCAATCTCCACCCCAGTCTGGCCTCCATCTTTCTTCCTAGTATAAATGGTACATACTAGTAATGTAAGCTGGTGTGGTGTGATGTGATCCACATAACGGACATGTACCAAGCCTCCTATTTCTTTGGGACCTGTTTCAGATTGTCAGAGTAGTAGCTTTGGGAAAAGAAGTAGATTCTAGGCCACGTGGCCTCCGGAAAGGTCTGGGTGATGGAAGTGGGCCAGGTGTCTGAGTTACGGATATGGATCAAGAAAGAACACTGGAGCCTGACTCCTCTTCCTTGTCCAGATATTTGCATGTAATTTTTCAGAAATTTTTTAATATACTTTTGTCAGCTGCCTTCCTTTGTCAGTTCTGCTACTTGGGAGAGAAAAGAGATATGCCTGATATCTCTGTATAATTTTCACTGGCATTTAGGAAGGAATTTTTCTACGAAGACAATAGCAAAAGTCATGGTTGGGTTACCTCTCTAGGTTACCCAGTATCACACATAGATACTTAGCAGACTTTTGCTGGAAATGCTCATGGTCTTTCCAGCTTTATCTGTAAAATGAGCATAATAATACTACCTCACAGGATTGTTGTGAGGATTAAGCTAGTTAAATATTTCATTGATGAGAGGCCCCAAAGACAGTGGCTGGCACATGACGAACGTTGTTGGCTGATGCTTATGATTCCAGAAGTTCCACTGTGGTCTTCAGTACTTGGAAGTTTGCCCTTACCTACTCTGCCACACACTCATCTAAAACTTAATTTATTTAAAGAAATAGTTGGGAACGGATTTCTTTCTAAAAACCTCAAAAAACTTATTCCAAACCCTTGAAACCTATTTTACTTTTGCCACAAGAAGCTCAGCTTATACTGGTGCCCAGCATCTATGATTATTCTCTCTGATGTCATCAGCCTCCTTTCTTCTAAGCCTTTGGCATTAAAGTGAATATATTTATTCATTTGAAATAAATACAAAGTACTTTGTAAGAATGGAGGTCTTGTGACTAGGAAGGAGATCATCTTGAGCTTCTTTTCTGTTGAGGAATGTTCGGTTTCATTTCTAAAGTTCTGTATTTTGCGATTTTAATTGACATATTTATGCTTTCCTTTGTTCCAGAATGGGCATGAGGTGATTTCCATAGTTTAGGATGAGACATGCAAGATTCAGTGGGGGAGAAAGAGGAGGGAACCGGAGAGCACTCATTGGAAGAAAGGATAGGATTTCCAGTAATAACCCTTTGATTTGTGTTTTTTTCCAAGTGCTTTCGTAACCAAGGTCGCCGTGGGTAACTCCATGGGTGGTGTTCTCCCTGTTTTGTAGATGAAGACACTGATTCTAAAGAGAGTGTGTCTTTTGCTCATGTTCACCCAGCTGATACTAATGACAAGAGTTGGCATCAGGACTCTGCTTTTGAGAGCCTGTGTGTTTTCTTGGAGTTGAAATAAGTTATCTGCCAAATCAGGCTTTATGGTGTGACCGCCATAGAGGGAATTTTTTTTCCTGCATTATAATCTATCTCCTGGTTCAGTACTGAGGCACAAGCTATTTATGCAAAAACCTTGTTAGAATGGCAAAACAGGAGCTCTCATGGGGTGGGAAGGCATATTCCCCATGGCCAGTGCTAACTGTATGGAAACCTGTCTTCAGGCTTCCCTCTGCATGCTTCATGGGGTTTCAGCAACAGACAAGTAGGGGTCTGGCATTTTCAACATAAGCATACCCCCCTTCTGCCAAAAAGTCCTACACTGGGTCCTAGCTGATGAAGAGCTGAAAGGCAGGACACAATTCCATCCACAGCTGGGCTTCAGGATTCATCCTTCCTTCATAATTCTTTATAATCAATGTAGAAAAACTATAGGGAAAATAGGATTTGACTAAGCCCCGACTTCTCTATGTTGAAGATCAGTTGTCTTGATTCTACCTGTGTACATCCTGCTTATTTCTGCGGTTTTTACTTTATAGCATACTCCACCAATCCTTTTTAAGGAAAAAGCAAAATCCTATTATGGGAATGCTTCAAACCACTCTGAGCTTCCAGATTAATCTGAAACAGCATCTGAGTTCACAACTGGGTCAGAGTTGCAGAATAGCAAGAGAAACTTGCCAGTTCAGCAGGCGTGTGTCTTGGGTTAGTTAAGACAGCAGGACAGTCCTGAGGCCTGACTTCCTTGCATGTGTTTCAACCTTGGGTGCTGAGATAATTCTGGGTGGCTTTAGATAACTTTGTTTCTTAACTGAAAAAGGAGTGTCTGTTGCCTGATAAGTGTTTATCCGTGAAATAGCAACATGGTGTGCATCTTAGGGTAGGAGGGCTTTTAGATCTCCAGAGACCAGGAAAAAAAAAAAAGCAAGGTCATTGGCTTAGGCATATTACTGGAATTAGGATGTCAGTCCCAACTTTAAAATGCCTGTATTGTTTTTATTCAGGGTCCCCTTTCTGGATTCCTCCCCTTTTTTTCTCTTTGCCTTAAGGGCTATACATAATCCATAACCAAGTAGAACTGAAAACAGACAAAAGCACTCCTCTTCTAGTGGATAGAAATCTGGAATCCAGAAATGCTTCCTTCTTGCCAAACCTCAACTTGTTCCGTGCCTTTTTTTTTTTTTTAAATGCCTCTTCCCAGCCTCCCCACCCTTTCGTGATTTGGCTGAGTGAGGACTAGCTGTTTGGTTTGCCTTTTATCAACAATAGATATTCACTGCTTTTCAGGTCACATTTTCCTTTAACTCTTCTCTGTTTATGAGTATCACAAAAGGGTTCTTCAACATCAAGGCAAAACTCACACTCAGAATACTTTTTAACTGTGGATATTTTGACAGTATGAAACGGAAGTCAGTGGTGAAGACTTTCGTTTTGAAGTGACTTAGGTCTTACATGACTCAAAGATGGTTTTCCTAGTAGTATACCAGCAGAGTTGAAAATGACTCTGAAATTGAAAGTCCCATACTACTTCTAAGAAACTTGTAAAAAGTGTTGGCCAAATGCTACACCAAACATTTTGCATTAATTATTCTCTTAACTCTTCAAAACAGTCCTTTGCAGGCCAGGCTCGGTGGCTTATGCCTGTAATCCTAGCACCTCGTGGGGCCGAGGTAGGCAGATCACATGAAGCCAGGAGTTCAAGACCAACCTGGCCAACACGGTGAGACCCTGTCTCTACTAAAAATACAAAAATTAGCCAGGCGTGGTGGCACACAACTGTAATCCCTGCTACGGGAGGCTGAGGCATGAGAACCGCTTGAACCCAGGAGGTGGAGGTTGCAGTGAGCTGTGATCGCACCACTGCACTCCAGCCTGGGTAACAGACTGAGACTCAGCCAGCAAAAAAAAAGAGCAATCCCTTACAGTAGAAAGTATGTGATTTTAGCAGATGGATAAACTGAGGTTCAGAGAAATTAAGCCTCTTCCACCAGCATGCGTGTTTGGTAACTGTCAGGGTAAGATTTGATTCCTTTGCTCCTGCTTGTTTGACTACATCGTGGCAACTCCCACAAAGTTCATGGCAGCCTTACTTAGAGGCACAATAGATAGTTGGGTTTTCCAAATTTATGAGTTCAGACATAGCTTATTGCAGACAATGCTGATTAGAATTAGAGCTGTGCTGGTAGCTGAGGTTTGCAGCTGTACAACCTTGTATAGTCTCTGACTTGTGGTGGTTTAACTTACAATTTTTTGACTTGACGATGACGTAAAAGCTATATGCATTCAGTAGAAACTGTACTTCAGATTTTGAGTTTTGATCTTCCTGGGCTGGTGACATGTGATCCGATTCTGTCGCAGTGCTGGGCACTAGGGCAGCCGCAGCTCCTAGTTAGCCACGTGATCATGAAGAGGGAACAAATACTCTACAGTGGGCCCTGCTGCCAGATGACTTCGCCCAGCTGTCAGCTAATGTAAGTGTTCCGGGCATGTTTAGATATGTTAGGTGTATGAAATTCATTTTTACTTAAAGCCTTTTCAACTTAAAAATGGGCTTACCCGGACGTAATCCCATCATAAGTCAAGGAGCATCTGTACTTGGAAGAATATAAAACTTCTCCATCACACTACGGAGTCCTGCCACTTCTCTCTTTTCCTGTTGTATTTGGTTACCATCTTCCCTGGTGACAAGGAAGATACTGCCACCAGCAATTACTCAGTGAGGCAAAGATATTAAAGAGGAAATTTCCATTAGGTAAATAACTGTGAAAGAAGAACCCAAGAGAAGGGAGAGAAATTCAAGCCCCAGCTCCTGTTACACTGGCCAAATGCCTTTGGCACCCCATGCTTGCTGAAGATCATAAAAGGGTCAGGTAAACTGATCAGACAGAACAGAGGAACACAGTGTGAATTTTTTCCCTTGCCCCATTCCAGTGTCTACTTGAATTTCAGTTTTAGAAAATCAACCCTTCGGAGCCAGGCCCCAAACCCAGGCTAATTTGCAGTGTCTCCATTTGTGTAGACAATGAGATTATTTTGGGAAGGAGGGTGTTGACAGAGTGTGTGTTAGCTATTCAGTAGAACTGGCATCTTGAAGTACTTCTGAGATTTTTACCCCCTTGCTGAAAATATTGCTTTATAGAAGTTAATGACTTTGGACTGTGGCCAGAATTCACAAGTATGGCATGTGTTGAAGTGAAAGGAAGGGGAAAATCATTGTCTTTGTGAGTGTAACACTAGATTTTCTGAAGGACATTTTGTTCCTTGGAACCTTTCATTTTAGCTAGAACAACATGCACTTGAAGCCTTAAGTATTTTGTGGACTTGAGATTGCTACAAAATGAGGTAGGCAGACTTAAGTCTCTGCAAATGCTCCTTCTGGTGTTAAGGTATTATAACCAAAGAGTTACAAATTGTCTGCAGATTACCTTCCAGTTGCTAGTCGCTTTCCCAGTTTAGAAGCCTAGCACACCCTGGTGCTGTTATGCCCTGCTGCAGATAGCTTCCGCTTTGCTGGGGGGATATGCCATGCCAGATGCTTTACGTGCACACTATCCCTGAATCCTCAAGACAGTCCTGCAGAATCTGATTATTCCCATTTTGCATATAAAGAAGTCAAAGTTTAGATAACATAATACTATTTTTATTGAATGTCTCATATGTATCAGGCTCTGTGCTATGTGCTTTACATGTATTACCTAATCCTTACAGCATCTTTGTAGGGAATATTTGTATCCCCATTTTGAAAAGGAGGAAAACAGAGGCCCGCAAAGGTTACTTGTCTGTGATCTCATAGCTGTTGGGTGTCACAGTCAAAATTCAAACTCAGGTGTGATTATCTTTCTATTATGCCACATCCATACTTCCCTACTGAGGTCTTGAAGGCAAGAGACAGAAACCACTTCTGATTTCTGATTCTCTGTCTCTAGCCTGCCGTACAAGTAGGGCTTCTGCACATGTTGGATTGCTTGGTTGACTGGGTGTGTAGTGGATTTGTACTTGCTCATATCGGGACTCATTTTTCCTTCGTCTGAATAATCTGGACCTCTATCTCCAGGCTTTACTTGTCACAAGACAGTGGGAGGATGGGATCATGAAGGATGGCCTGGGCCAGTCACTCCCTACATGATGGTGTAGCTCTTTTGGGTATCTCTGCCCTGTTTTGATGACCATCTTCAAAGTCAAGGACCTGGGTAAAATAGTGCTTCCAAGCTTCAGAGAAGAGCAAGGCCAGAGGGCACCCATGATGAGCACCACTGGAATTCCCTCCCTCCACAGCCCACTTGTTTTCTGCTGTCTTTGAGGGAGAAATAATGGCTGGGCAGGACTTACCTTCCCACTGAGGTGGGGAATGGGGTAGAATTAAGGATGCCTAACTAAATGCCTCCATAGTAAAAGGAGGCCACATGCTTTATGGTAGCCTGGATTCAATCCTCAGAGTGCAGTGAACTGGCCCAGGGCCCTGCCTTTACCACTGTATCCATCATTTGGCTGGCTTTGGTTTAGTTTCTGTAAAACGTCTTTCCCAGTAAAATCTGATTAACTACTCATCAATACAGGTTTGGTTGGATCATAGATTTCAACATCTACTCAAGTTTTCTGGGTTCTCAAAGCTGTATTTCTAGGGGTGAAGACTTTTGTAATGGTTGACTGTTAACAAGTGGCAAAGGACAAGTCCAGTTGGCTTGCATAAGCAATTTTTTATGGACAGAGAAACAGGAATTCAGACAGAAGTCCTACAGTAAGTTGAGATAGGTGTAGGTACCTTTCCATGGCAAAGGTCTTCATCTTACGGAAGAATCCAGCATTAGAGGGAAGAGTGATCTCTTAGGTCATCTCATCCCATCCTCCTTGGGTCAATACATTGTCTTTGTATAGAGAACACCCAGGACCCAGTTGGTGCTGGGGAGCTGAGGCTGCCACAGCAGACTTAGTTGGAAATTAAGCTTTTGGCATAGGCTCACTCATCAACTTTGGATATTAATTGATGGGAGTAGAAGAAGAGGGAGTGATATTGGGTATTCTGCCTAGATTATTCTCCCATATTCTCTTGGTGGGGGAGTATTATAGGATTTTTAACTTCCTCCTAGTTAGCTGCCAGCGATAGGTAAAGAGCACTTTACCCTATCTGTCTTCCAAGAAAGAGAATGTAAGCTCTTAGAAAGAATATAAGAGCTTGAGAGAAACAGGAAAGACCTGAATAAGACCCTGAATTGGCTGCGGTGCTCCTGGGTCTCTTCAGGTGGAGATGTGTCCCCTGGAGACACACAGGACATGGGCACGCGTCACTTAACTGTGGTTCTCACAGCGTCTGGGGCACCAGAGAGACACGTTTTTGTCTGGAACCTGAAGAACGCTGGCAGCCTACATAATTCTAAACATAGCAGGCACTCTTATTGATTCTTTCCAAAACAAAGGTCACATTTCCTTTCTGTGTAGTTTGTGTCCTGGGTTCCTGCTGACTGTTTTGTGTATACGATTGTTACCTTCTCAAAGAGACTGTCAGTTCTTGAGGGCAGGGTTCAAGGCTGCTGTTTGTTTGTGTTCTTCAGCAGTACCTAAATCTGTCCTGGGCTCAGAGGAAGTATTTAGTAAAGACATTCTACCTTGGGTTGTAGGTCACACAGTGCCAGAGCTGGAAAGGATTTTGGAAATCGTAGAGTCCAACACTCTAATTTTGTAAGTGGTACCACTCCAAAAACTTACTTGGGAGGCTGGTGTTTATCTGCTGGAAAGAGAGGATTTTATTATGTTAAACTATAGTGCAAATGACCATAATTCTAAACCTTTGACAGGCTTCCCTCAAACGCTGCAGGCATGTTCCTCCTTGGACTAGTAGCAGAGTAATAAGAACAGTAAGAATGCTAACTAGATACCAGGCCCCCGAGCCATTGTCATGAATGCTTCCAGCCACATGACAAAGTAGGTACTCTGGCTATTCTCCAGATGCAGAGGAGGCTCAGAGGTAGGTGACCTCGCTCAGGGTCATGTAGTTACCAGAATGGTCGAGGGAGGACTGAAGTTTGGTCAGATGCCCCAGCTTGTGGCCCTTCTCCTATACTGTGGTAACTCTCAGATGGGGTCTCTGACTGAAGCCACTCCTTAGTGATTCACGGTGCTAGCTTTGCAGCGTCGTGTGGTGTTTCCAGTTGTCCTAAAGGAAGTTATTAATTTTCATTAACTTTAATTCTCTCATTAGACAGGCAGTGATATGGAAGGCAAGGCAGAAAGCAAACAAATAATGATAGGGGTTACATCTCCAGAAAGGTCAGGAATCACTGCCCTAGGTTGTAAAATATTTGGACTGAGTAAAAGGCATGAGTCTTCCCATAGCTTCTTCCAGGAACTGTTGCTTTACATGGAATTGCTGCTGTGTTCACTAGTCCCTCTTCTGTGCCCAGAACTCACTGTCACATGTGTCAAGAATCCTCATGACTGAGGTTTCCAGGGCAGATCTGATCTGTGTAACACGCACCCTAACCCCCTTGCCAAAGGAGAATGAAATAGGCCCCTAGATGGCCACCCAGTTCCTGGGCCTTCCAGGCAGGCAGCTTGCCTTGAGGCTTTCCCCTGAGCCTTGTATCTAAGGAACATTCCTGTGAGTTTTCTAAGAGGTTAGTCCTGGGTCATTGGCACTTAAACCACTTGTTTTGGTAGATCCTTCCTGAGAAGGTTAATTATATATTTGATATCCTTCTCTTTTTATGCCTGAATGATGAGGATAAGTACTCTGTGGTTTATTAACTGTCACTTTAAACCTTTTCAGATTGTCTTGTGACAAAACAGAGTTTTATGTCCTTTTTATCCCAGCTTTGATGGATGAGACAGCTTTTCTGGTTAAAGTATGCCAGGATAAATAAAATCTCTGAATTGTGGAAAGGGTGGGTTTGCATTTGAAATCATGAGTTCAAGTCTGCCACCTCCTATGAACGGTGACCTAACCTGTTAATCTTTCCATCGATTTCGTTTTTGGCTTTTGACAAATGGAGCTTGGCACCTCATAGGTACTCAGTAATTATTGAATAAATGAAAGACAGCATTACTGGAGGGAGTTTGATGTCTCCAAATATTTGATACCAAACCCTAAAGCAACAATCTGACACATTTCCTGTTTTGAATTCCACTAATTCTTAGAGCAAAGAGCCTATGTTCTTACCATGATACAGTCCTGAAGCTCACTTCTCCCTCAAGACTATTTTGTTATACCTCTGATTTTTTCAGTAAATTTGGAGTAGTATTCTGGAAAGTGAATGTCATTAAAGATTTTTAGTAGTTGCTTTGCAAAGCCTAGTGTCCTCCATTGTATGCATCCCCCAATTGGTATGTGTCCAGTCCTTTTGAGAACCACTCAACCTGGGGCAGACAGTATAGGTAACTGCATTTAAAATATTTAAATTTATTTATATTTAAATTATTGGCCAGGCACAGTGGCTCACGCCTGTAATCCCAGCACTTTGGGAGGCCTAGGTGGGCAGATCACTTGAGGTCAGGAGTTCGAGACTAGCCTGACCAACATGGTGAAACCCCATCTCTGCTAAAAATACAAAAATTAGCCAGGTGTGGTGGTACACACCTGTAGTCTCAGCTACTCGGGAGCCTGAGGCAGGAGAATCACTTGAGCCTGGGAGGCGGAGGTTGTGATGAGATGAGATCACACCACTACAGACCAGCATGGGCTTATCTAATTGTATTTAATTTAAATTTATTTAAAGTAATTCAAATAGTAAAAATAGTGCCAAGACTTTAAAACTCTTCTCCTGCTTTTAACTCCTTCTAGTTTGCTGGAACATTATCAGATGGCTTAGGGAAGACGATGGACAATCGGCATCAGTCAGAGCGGGAGTACATCAGGTACCATGCAGCCACAAGTGGTGAACACCTTGTAGCCGGCATCCATGGCCTGGCTCATGGTAAGTCATGGGTGACATCAGGCTCTGCTGCTGCTGGTCCTCAGAGGCGCCTTTGTATCAATCTGATTGCAGCTATAAAAAAAGAAAGGTGGGCTGGGCGCGGTGGCTCATGCTTGTAATCCCAGCATTTTGGGAGGCCTAGGAGAGTGGATCATGAGGTCAGGAGTTTGAGACCAGCCTGGCCAACACAGTGAAACCCCGCCTCTACTAAGAATACAAAAATTAGGCCAGGCACAGTGGCTCAATCCTGTAATCCCAGCATTTTGGGAGGTCGAGGCGGGTGGATCATTTGAGGTCAGGAGTTTGAGACCAGTCTGGCCAACATGGTGGAACCCCATCTCTATCAAAAATACGAAAATTAGACAGGCGTGGTGGTACATGCCTGTAGTCCCAGCTACTCGGGAGGCTGAGGCAGGAGAATTGCTCGAACCCTGGAGGCAGAGGTTGCAATGAGCTGAGATCGTGCCACTGCACTCCAGCCTGGCAACAGAGCAAGACTCCAATTCAAAAAAAAAAAAAAAAAAAAAAAAGAAAAGGCTGACAACAGAGGAAATCCTGTGTTGGCGTACCTGATAGCCTTCCAAGCTCTCTTACTTTATCCTCCTTGCAGTTGAAATACGACAGCCGGTGAGAACTCCTCATTCGCTTTCTGAATGTTGTGCACATTGCAATTCCTTTTCGTTCTCTGGCTTCTGTTCCCAAAGTATCATAAGGTGTAATCAACCAGACCTGTTCTTAGAATTGTAGCTGCTACTTCTCTTAGAATTGTAACCTCTGCCTTCTCCTTACTGATCATTCCTTCCAAAGAAATTGAAATGAGGAATTTGTGGCCAGGTTTGTAGCCCAGGTGTTTTTTAGTTTTACATAAATGTGCATTCACTAAAATTATAAATTTATTTGCCTAAGAGATGTTGGTGATGGCATGAATGCATTTGGTCTCTGACTTTGAATTCTTTTAATGCTTTAATTCTGAGTCATTTGCCTTTTGTTGCATTTTTCTTAACAATTTCTTAGTACGGCATCCAAGGCCCTTGGAACTATAAATCCAGCCAATTTTCCAACCACCATCCTTCAGCCATGCTGCACTTTGGCCACACACAGCTATGTACTGCTTCCCAGGTGTGCTTCCAAGTCCTTGCTCACACATGGTCCTTCTGCTCTCCCTCCTCTGCCTCATTTCCTTGTCTATCAAAATCCTACTCAGCCTGTAAGTCCCAACTCAATACATTTTCCCAGCTCTATTGTCCCTGTTAGAGTTAATGACAGAGCACAGTCTGGGTTGTGTATGTCACCAGCTGTGTACATCTGATAGATTGAGAATGTGAGGAGGGGAGAAGGACCACTTTGCATTCACCTTTCTCCTTGTGTACCTCACATGACACCTGGCACATAGCTCATGCATAGTAAGGCTTAGTAAATTAAACTCTTTGTACCAGATCCTTAGGAACCATCCAAAGCTATCAGAGTCATATCAAGACTGATCAGTATTAATTATCTGCATTTGGAAGAAGAGGAAGGAATATAGACAGTAAAATATTATATTTCTATTTGTGCTTAGGACACGTTTAGAATAGAGTTTTTGTTTATCAGCTTTCCTAATGGTGAGATTTGGATCAAAATGCCTTTGCTTTTCCTAAGGCTGCCCAACCGTAAAGGGAGCTGTCCCTAAGGAGACGTCAGGCCAGAAGTGAAATTTGGCTGAAAGTAATTTGTTTATGGATTTTAAAAGTTGACTGTTGGGCAATCATTTGGGGTTAAGGTTTAATCATTCTTTCTCGTAATGGTAATGACAGTACATTGGACTCTTAGAAGACTTTTAAAATGAATATAAAATGCTTTGTTATGTGTGGTGGCCTTTATCTGGCCAGCATCCTTGTGACGTGGAGAGAGCATGGCTCTCCTCACTTTCTGGATGAACACACAAATGTGCTGAGAAAATGCATGATTGGTTCAAAGTTGCAAAATCACCTCCCATCAAGAATCATTCCTATAATATGTACAGCCTCTCCAGGAGCCAATGGCTTCATCCAAAGAGGATCCACTGAGCTCTGGGTTATACGAAGGCAGTATCCTAGAGTGAGAGTCTTCCCTTAGGATGAAAAGACCTTTAGAAGGTGATAAGAACCAGAATCCACTCAATCCCCTTGATGTAAGAAATGGGAATTGTGCTCAGTTCTCTCTGCAGGCCTTGCTGGACCCAGGTTCAGTCATGTTCTGTCTCTCAGGTCCCAGTCTGAATTCCTGTTCTGTGTGTGCTCTGCCAAAAACTTTGTTCAAAAGTTTGGGAAAGGGCTGGGTGCAGTGGCTCAGGACAGTAAGCCCAGCACTTTGGAAGACCTAGAGGGAGAATCGCTTGAGCCCAGGAGTTTAAGGCTGCAGCAAGCGGTAATCATGCCACTGCACTCCTGCCTGGGTGATAGACGGACACCCTGTTTCTAAAAAAAAAAAAAGTTTGGGAAAGAGATATTGCCTCACTGGAGCAAATTTACCCAGAATCCAAAAGAAATGTTGTGAATTGTTAGTACATTCTCACCCAAGGAGTTTCCTTTACCAATTTGTCTCACTAGAGCTGAAGAGTCTAGAGAGCTTCCTCACACCCCACTGTCAGAGGGTAAACATCCTGTGAGTGTCCCTGGCACAGGTCCTGGAGATGCTCCCTAGACGGGCTGCCTCTTCCCTTCAGTGACTGTGACCTCTTCAGCCTCTGCCAGCTTCTGGCCTCTTCTAAGGTGTTTTCAGCCATTGCTGTCAACTTGCAAAATGTTTGGAATGCCTTTTTGACCTGGATTGGTCTTTTGAACTGACTCCATTGAGGGTCCCAGCCAGCTTTCACAGCTTTTTGGGGTGCTCTTCATGAAGGTTTTATATAATCGCCGATACCGAATTTCATCAAAGCATGCAGTAGCTTTTACCTTATTTCAAGCATCCAGTGGGGTTGGCCAGTCACCCCCATAGTGTTCTTTGAAAATTGCAAATGTATACCATCAGCTCTCCATATCCACAGATTCAGCCAACCATGGATGGAAAATATTTGGGGGGAAAAAAGATTTCACGAAGTGCCAGAAAGCAAAATTTGAATTTGCCACACGTTTCAAATACTGTATTGACTCCACACAAATGAAGTGATATGTGGGCATCGTATTAGCTACAATAAATAATCTAGAGGTGATTTAACGTATACAGGACGGTGTGTGTAGGTTATATGCAAACACCTACAGCACATTATGTAAGGGACTTGAGCATCCTAGGATTTTGGTATCTGCAGGGGATCCTGGATCAATCCCACATGGATACTAAGGAACAACTACATTTAGTTATCTCTCTCTGCCTTAGATATCTTTCTTTTCTTTTCTTTTTTTTTTTTTTTTTGAGACAGTCTCGCTCGGTCGCCAGACTGGAGTGCAATGCTGCGATCTCGGCTCACTGCAACCTCTGCCTCCTGGGTTCAAGCAATTCTCCTGCCTTAGCCTCCCGAGTAGCTGGGACTACAGGCACGCATCACCACGCCCAGCTAATTTTTGTATTTTTAGTAAAGATGGGGTTTCACCATGTTGGCCAGGATGGTCTCGATCTCTTGACCTCGTGATCTGCCCGCCGCAGCCTCCCAAAGTGCTGGGATTATGGGCGTGAGCCACTGCGCCCAGCCTCTGCCTTATATTTCATAGGATGCCATCATCTTCAAACTTTCCCCGAAGGCCCAATTTTCTAGTCTCCTGTTGATTTAATCCTCTATCTGTATCCTCTCCTGATCGTCCGTAGGCTGCCCAAGCTCTGGGATCGAAAAATTGGCCACTGTTAACCTCTCAGCTTTTCTCTGATTTTTTTTTTTTTTTTTTTTTGAACTGGAGCACACTTTACTTCTGACTAACATGTAACATATATCCTCTGACTCTGGACTTAATGGGCAAATCTGCAGGATCCTCTTCTGTGAGTTGGCCTGTCTGTGGCCTCTCTGGCACAGAGATTAATAGAATGGCCTTAAGTTATCATTCCATAATCAAGGGGTTTGGCTTTAAATGCTTTTGCTTTTGTCCTCGTCAGGTTACAACAGCCCTTGTCTTTTTCACTAGGTATCATTGGTGGACTGACCAGTGTTATAACTTCGACAGTGGAAGGTGTGAAAACAGAAGGGGGTGTCAGCGGTTTCATATCTGGCCTTGGAAAAGGGCTTGTTGGCACTGTAACCAAGCCAGTGGCAGGCGCCCTGGATTTTGCATCAGAAACAGCCCAGGCGGTGAGAGACACAGCCACACTCAGCGGCCCCAGGTCAGTGGTGTGGGAAGAATGGCTTTTGCAGTTTCCAGCCTAGGTCTGCTGCTTCTCCTAATCCATACTGATGTGTTTAATTGTGCACTTTCTTAGTTATAGGGTTTTTAATTCAAATACTTGTAACTGAAATTTCTGATCTGCCTAATATAAAAAGATGAAAATGAGGTACAGAAACCTGGCATGAATTTTTTCAGATAAATATATATATAGCATATTTTATATATGCTATATATTTTATATATGTATGTATATATAGCATATTATATATAAGTATGTATAACTATATTATGTTATTTTTCTCCATTAGAGAGGTCAGAATTAGGATTAAACTGTTAGAAGCTTCTTCTGTTCACCAAGCCAACTGGATCCCCACATGCCTATGAAGAAAACTGTCAGATTGTAGTCTGGTTCTTACTCCTACACCCCGTGATATAGTTCTAGAATCCCCACTGTTGTTGTTCACCATGTGGGTCTGTTCCTTCTTAATTTTCCTTCCGCTTGAAAGTATCAGCCCCAACCCCATAAAGAAAAGTGCCACCCCCCATCCCCCCAGCAGGTCAGCAGTTCTGCTGTGGGATTGCTGTCTGGCCTTGATACCAGCTGAGACTGGAAATCAGGGACAGCCCATATGGTTCCAAACCCCACAGAACCCAACTGCTTTAACGTAGCTGTTTGCTTGAATGGCCTATTTTAGCCTCCCTTTTCCAGAGTGACTAATTGGGGATTCTTATCAACAAAGGGTATAATGAATGTTAAGGGCCCAGCCAAGCTAGACTCGACTTAAGCCCAGAAGGATTTTGCTGCTGCTTGGATAATAGATTTTCCCTGAGTGAATTAGTACGCCCTTTTAGAATGCCTAGGGCCTGGCCCACATCCACACCCTATCACTCCCTCAAATAGGATGTGAAGTGAAATTGTCCCCAATTGAAGTGAATCCATTTGTCTGTCACCAGGAAAACTTACTGAAGACACATTACTGCAGTAGGGGAAATGCTCCGATTGTGGACTGGGGCCATGCAGTGTGCTGTGCCAGAATGCCTTCCATCTGGAAGCAGCTGAGTAAACTCTGTATGGTTTACTTTAGTTAAGTTACATTCTATTCTCAGATACAAAACTAAAACAATCCTTGAGTATATTTTGAAGCATTTATGAAGTTGTGGGGAGGGGCAGGCAGTGAGGAGGCTTCGAAAGTATTTCCAGTTAGTTT
This sequence comes from Homo sapiens, assembly GCF_000001405.40. Taxonomy (NCBI): domain Eukaryota; kingdom Metazoa; phylum Chordata; class Mammalia; order Primates; family Hominidae; genus Homo; species Homo sapiens. Next base: position 12,461,607 of record NC_000001.11, read on the forward strand.
TTCCATCTCTGCTCGAAGCCCAAGAAGTCCACCTCCAGTATTTGTTAAGATAATAAGACTTAATGAAGTGTAAAGCTGAAGACGCCTAAGAGTTCCCAAAGAAGCATGTGTATTCTTAAAATGTCAAAATAGCCAAGGGATTGGTTGATTAAAAAGGGTTCAAGGTATATGTGATAAATTTTTTAAAGATGATTTTGTGCTGTGAAGTTTTAATAATGTTGACGAGAAAGAAACGGCTTGAATTTTATACATTGTCAGCTTGCAAGTCTTCATGGGGGTTTTTCATTCTTTTTAGGAGCACAAGTAATGTAGCCACAGTCACTGCAGAAAGAATGTCTTTGAGAGGGACATTCTTGTCATTTTTATTAGTTGTTCAACATTGCCACAGAAGTTTGATTTTCTGTCAGCCAGTACATAGCTGCCATTTATTCATTGCCTGTCAGTAAATAGTGATTGAAAATTTCCTATGAACTCAGGGTTGGGAATAGCAGAAACCAAAACTGTCTCTGGTCTCAAAGAGCTTATAATCAAGCAGGGCAGCAAACATAAAAAATTATATAAACACTTATTTGCTGAAATTGTGACAAATGACATCGAGGACACTTAGAGGGTGCCGTGAGACTATGATCAGAGAAGGTGATGGGGAGAAGGAGGGTGGCTAACCTAGTGATCAGGGGAGTTGAGACAGGCTTTTCTAGGAAAGTAATCTTTGAGGTGAAGCCTGGAGTATGAAGTAGGAGTTGGCCAGGTGAAGAGAAGAGAGAATCACCTTCCAGGTAAAAGGGAACTACTGTGTGTGCAACAGCAAAAGGAAGGAACTTATCTATGTGCCAGGCATTGTCTTTGTGCCTCCACGTGTGGAATCCCATTTAATCTTCATAGTTGATTTACAAATGAGGACAAGACAGTCCAGAGAAGTCATGGAGCTTGTCCACAGCCACACAGCTGGTGGGAAATGGTAGACCTAGACTTAGACCCAGCCTATGTCTTGACCCTGTGCCCAGCACCACTGCATTGCACCCTGCTGCCTGGGTCTGCGAGGAGGGGGCTCATTGGATTTCTCTTGTACGTGTTTCAGAGTCAGTTAGTGTCAAGATATGGCATTCCACATAGTTTCTTCCCTGCTGACTCAAGATTTACTTTACTATTACCTGCACACTGACATGATTCAGGTCTTGACCAACACTGCATTTTTGTCTGTCTGTTTCCTCTGGCCTGCCACCTTAGCCTTATCTGGACCTCAGCAGCAGAGACCATGCCCTCATGAAGGCACTGGGGAGCCGTTCACAGTCAGCACTGGCCACTCCTCATCTCAGCCCAATGAAGTTTTACATTTCCATGTAGATGAGGCACTCGGGATATAGAAAAGTTGTGCAGCTTGACTCAAAGCAGACAGTAATTGGGTAGCCTAATTGAAGTTTAACTGCAAGTTCCAACTTTGTAGGCTGCAGAAAAAAAGGAAAAAAAAAAACAACAACAACAAAGTTTAACTGCAAGTTTCATGAGACAGCGATCTGCCTAACCATTCACTCCTCCTAGAAGCAAAAGCTACCGTGATCATTGAGGCACAGCCGGTCTTCATATATCCTCAAAGGAGGGGGATTAGCTTCCACATCCCTTCTCTATTCCTGGAGGTGCCAGTAGTGGGAGAGTCATGGCAGAAGTTACCAGAGGCAAGTGGGGCAGAGGCAAGTAGGGTATATGTTTGGATCAGTGGATCAGTGTCCTTTATTGTGCAGAAAAAGCTAAAATTACAGATTCTTCTGAAGGGATACATAGCAGCCGTTTCACCAATGTCCCTCAGTCCATTTGTCCAGGTCCAGAAGTATTCATGAGGAGCTATGCGTTAGAAGAGAGCACTTGGGCTGGGCATGGTGGCTCACACCTGTAATCCAGCATTTTGGGAGGCCAAGGTGGGAGGATTGCTTGAGCCCAGGAGTTTGAGACCAGCCTGGGCAACACAATGCCCCCATCTCTTACAAAAAAAAAAACAAACCTGGATATGGTGGCGGGTGGTGTGCACCTCTGGTCCTTGCTACTTGGGAGGCTGAGGTGGGAAGATTGCTGAAGCCTGGAAGGTTGAGGCTGCAGTGAGCTATGATTGTGCCCCTGCACTCCAGCCTGGGCAACAGTGAGACCCTGTCAAACAAGGAAAGAGAACACTTGATCTGGAAAACAACAGGCCAGAGTCCCAGCCACCTTACTTATTAGCTTTGGGCCCTGGGTCAAGTCAAGACATCTATGTAAGACTCAGTTTTAGTTTTTTCATCTATAAAGTGGGGATAAATTTATCTCTCTGTTTATTCTGCTTCTCAGGGGTTTGAAGCCCAACCAGAGTTATTTTAATGTGGAAGCTATAAAGAACTATAAAAATGCTGGGTGATATTATTTTAAAGTCCTATTAAAGGAGCGCAGAGATCCTTGCAGGTGGAGAAATGTTTCAGTGCCAGTTTGTTCTGATGACACTGTATCTCTTAGGAACATACTGGCTCTAACACTATCACCGAGGGATAAATCACCCTGGTTTCTTGGAAGTGAGTTATAACCATCTCCAACCATCCCGGTTGATTGAACAGGATCCAGGGGTGTTACTCAGGGTTTTTCCCCACTGTTTAGACAACAGGGACTAACAAATGATTTGAAGGGATTAGAAGTGAGATTCTGACCGAGGGTTGACCTGAGCCCAGGGACCAAGCCAGGAATAGAACCCAAGAGTCCAAGAGTTCTGCCTCTGAGCCTGCAATTGGAATGAGACTTTCTGCTTCCTTTGTAATATTTCATCCAAGTAAAGGCTTAGATCTTAGCATCTATGTTTTAAAAGACCCAAATTTTAAGCAGATGATAGGAAAGTAAGCCATAAAACTGTGAAAGAGTACTCCTTCCAGTAATCCATCTGAAAAGTGGCCTTACAGGAAACATTGGCTCTTTTTTGTGTTTATTTGAACATGATTTTATTTATAGGGAACCCCCCCTCCTTATGTTCTTTTAGATTAAAATACTTCCAAGTTCCTCTCCTTGTTGGAGTGCGCTGGCATTCCAAGCGACAGCCACCTAACTTTCCTCTGAAATTTCCAGGCAACCCAATAGTTCTCAGGAAGGCAGGTGGGGGTGGGGAGAGAAGAGGGCGGAGGACTGCAGAGCCTTTGGCCTCAACATGAGTGTTGTGGACCAATATCCCCCACTGCATTTGTTCACTGTACAAGTATGTGTGGTTTGGAACTGAAATAAGAAACCTTTTCCAAGGCAACGTTCTGCTGGCTCAGGTTGCATCTTCTGGCCTACGTGTATTGGGCCACACTTTGTCTGTTCCCAAGTAAAGTTTATGAAAATGGCACAGATGCAGCCACACTTGAGGTGCCACTGAAGCTATGTGAAGAGCCTGCTACCCTTCAAACAGACCAGGCCCAAGCAAGGTGCCAAGCCATGTGAGAGTGCCCAGTCCACTGTGTAAATGTGACGGCCTTTGATGGTAGTGTTTGAAAAGATACTTAGTAGAAAGTTGCAGAGACCCGGGAGCAGCCATTTCACAAAAGAAGGCAAAAATACCTTTGAGAAGAAAGGAATGTCTGCCTCTGCACTATGTATTTGCTTGTTTGTTTCTCCAAATACCATCTGTTGCAGACTGGGGTGCATGACATTTTAGGTAAGTAGCAGATGAAGATTTATGAAGCTGGGCCCTGAGGTTTCCTCTAAAATATTTCTTCACCTTTTAAGTCAAGACCCAAAAGTGGGGAGAGAAGTAGGAGTTGGCAGAACTTGAAATATTTAAACTAATTTAGCAAAGCTCAGGAGTGTTGGAGCTTATCTCGTTATTTAAGTTAGATAAGGAGGAAGGGGAATTTGAAGGATAATGATAGATCAGTGTTTAAGAATACAGCCATCAGGACTGATAATGTTCTGGAATCCCGGGACCCTCGGATTGTGCACGTAGATGTAAATTCCATTTGCTCTGAGAACTTTTGAAAAAGAAAGTTTTTGGTTGATTTCACAGAAAAGATTTATGGTGGGCATATTTGACTTTTTCAGTAAAAATAGCCCCAAAACACCACCCAAAATCTGTTAAGACACTTCTCGTGAATGACCTCTTAGATGTGAAATGGAAATGGGTTTTCTTAAGGAAAGGCCCCTTTTGTTAACAATGTTTGCATGTTACTTATGACTCTCCAGGATAAAAGGACTAAGACTCTTTTGGGTCACCAGAGCCTGAATGCAGTCAGGTTGGACAGGTCAGCAAAAAGTCTGCAAAGAGGCCGGGTGTGGTGGCTCACGCCTGTAATCCCAGCACTTTGGGAGGCCGAGGTGGGCGGATCACGAGGTCAAGAGATCGAGACCATTCTGGCCAACATGTCGAAACCCTGTCTCTACTAAAAGTACAAAAATTAGCTGGGCGTGGTGGTGCGCGCCTGTACTCCCAGCTACTTGGGAGGCTGAGGCAGGAGAATTGCTTGAACCCGGGAGGCGGAGGTTGCAGTGAGCCGAGATTGCGCCACTGCACTCCAGCCTGGCGACAGAGCGAGACTCCATCTAAAAAAAAAAAAAAAATAGTCTGCAAAGAGAACTTAGGAAATGCTTCCATTAACTTTTTCATCCTAGCTGGGTAATACTGCTTTTAATTACTCTGCTCTGAGAGCAGCCATTTCTTATACTTGGTATTACACATAGGACATCAAACAGAATTGGCTTGAATTGAGCCTTTAGGGAACTTCCAAAGGTAAAGATTGAGTAAAGATTCAAATGTTTATTAGGATATACCAGTGTTCATTTTTTTCCCACTAATATTCCATTCAAGGCAGGAGACTAGGCTGATATCCCATGTATCTAGAGTGGATCAAGTCCAATATTTCTTTCAGAGTTCCTGTTCCTTAAAACTGTAAATGGGTTTTATATTTTATTCCATGTTTGGCTTAATAAGAAAATATTTTTAATTGCTACCTGGTAAAATTAACATTTCAGAAAGATCTGATATGTTATCCTGTGGCTCCTGCCTCATACTTATCTAGGAAGTTCCAGCACGCTCCTTCCAGATGAGTCCGGTACGCTGTAGTAGCATCCATATAGAGGCATGTATATGGTAGAGGTGAAAAGCTGGAACTTGTACCTGTTTGACCCTAAGGCTCTAGTTCTAATCTTTGGGCATATCTGTCTTTTGGCTTGGTGTAACATCTGCTGCTTGGGACAGCCATTGTGTTAGTTAACATGTCAGTTTCATCACGAAAAAGGCATTACATTTCAGTGAAACTGAAAAATTATTGCTATATCCAGCTGAAGGGAAGGGACTGTCAAATATCTCCTCTGTTGTCCAAACATGGCACAGTAGATATAGTGACAGTCCCTTTATCTTCTACTCACCCTTGCGTATATATTTGTGAGGTGAGAGCCATATATTCTCACTTCCTGATCTTGCCAAACCAGGTCCTTCCAGAGAATGCTTGAAGGTAGATGGGTCATTTTCTCATTCCTCCCTCTACGTGAGCAACCCCAGAAGAACACTAAGACCTGTGTTGATGACATTGGATGTCTCACTTGGCTCTGAAATTAAGCTGATGAAATTATAGGATCGGATATTTTATTTTATTTTTTTTCAAGACAGAGTCTTGCTCTGTCGCCCAGGCTGGAATGCAGTGGCACAACCTCGGCTCACTGCATCCTCCACCTCCCGGGTTCAAGCAGTTCTCCTGCCTCAGCCTCCAAAGTAGCTGGGATGGCAGGCGCACGCCACCTCGCCCAGCTAATTCTTATATTTTTAGTAGAGATGGGGTTTCACCATGTTGGCCAGGCCGGTCTCGAACTCCTGACCTCATGATCTGCCGACCTTGGCCTTTCAAAGTGTTGGGATTACAGGCGTGAGCCACCACACCCAGTCAGGATCAGATATTTTAAAGAAGCATCTTAACAGTCCTTCATGCCTTATAAGTTAAAATTCCTCTCACAGGAACGTAAGCAGAGAAATCTTATTTTCTGAGACAGGCTTCTTCCCTCTCGCTGAACTCTAAATACTGTATTCCCCTTTCACTCAAAGGCCCCAGACGATGCCATTCTCATTATAACATAACTTATGGAAAGCTCAGATCTATTGTTGGAAAAAATGCAAAGTGTGTGTGTTCATGCACACACGTGTTTGAGAAAAGCCTTTCCATTTCTGAAATCCCAAGAGTCATTTTTATGCAAGATTATCTGTTAGGAAAAAACCCACTTTTTTGGTCATGGTACATTATAATCATTTCTAGAAAGGAGAGCGTCTAATTTTTGCCATTTTTGGCATGCAGAGATGACTGACTTCATAGAAACCACACTATCCTGCTTCCAAAAGAAAAAAAAAAAACCTACTGAATTTACATCTGAATCAACATCTCTTCAAAGTCCAGTCCTTGCATCTCAACCAGCAGGTCCTTGTGCAAAGAAAATGAATGGGAAGTGTGATTTGGGGTTATTCCATTTACTTTCTGATTTGGGGTTATTCCATTTAAAAATGAAATAATGTTGCCATTATACATCTGTAGTCCCTTCTGTGTTCAGTGAATTTGTTTTTAAAACTCTAACGTGACACCTAATATTACATACATAAGATAAGACATTTGAGATTTTTGGTTTGAACTTCAAGAAAAAATAAAACGGTGTCTATTTCTTTTTGAGAAAAAATTTGTATTTTGTGCATTAGAGAAGGTTGAAGAGCCATTTGTTATTTGTGGAACTCCTCTGTAAAGGCATTGGATTTACTTATTTTTAGATTTTCATGACTATCCCATGCCTCATGTTTTTCCCTTACAGAATCATCCACCTTTGCCCAAGATAAAATTGAAATCTTTAACAAGAGGACCCAGGTTTGAGTTCAGCTCCCCTGCTCCCAGAGAGCTTTAGACTGTAAGATAATTCTGAGATACACACAGGACATTTGGACTAGCAGGGACTTAAAGACTCACTGTTGTATTACAGATTATGGCTCGGAAGCACTGAGGGAAGGAAAGATAGGTGTGGGTGTTATAATTCACCCGTGGTTTTCTTGCCCTGATGTATTTATCTGGTACTCTTTTGCCAGTCTCCTTCTCAAAGACATTTTCTTGCTAAATTTCTTACTAACTTGTCAAATGGAGGGAAAATAAGATTGAATTAGTAAAACATTCTTATCACAATATACTCTAAAAGAGGCTGGGCGCGGTGGCTCACGCCTGTAATCCCAACACTTTGGGAGGCTGGGGCGGGTAGATCATTTGAGCTCACAAGCTCGAGACCAGCCTGGGCAACATAGTGAAACCCTGTCTCTATAAAAATATACAAAAATTACCCGGGTATGGTGGCACGCGCCTGTGGTCCCAGCTACTCCAGAGGTTGAGGCAAGAAAATCGCTTGAGCCCAGGAGGTCAAGGCTGCAGTGAGCTGAGATTGCACCACTGCACTCCAGCCTGGGTGATGGGAGTGAAACCCTGTCTCAAAGAAAAAAAAAAAAACAAAAAACTTTTGTTATATTGGGCTTATATAATTCAAATTAATAATGTTACTTATCTATATCCTTAGTGGATTTACTTTAATACATTGAGGAAACCGCTTTCTGATTAGCAGAGAGAATTTGTACATATGGGTTCTTTTAGAACAGAGGGTCTCAAAATACGGTCTAGGGACCCCCTGCGGAACCCCAGATCCATAACCTAAAACCTATTTGTATATATTCATGTACTTATATATGAATTTATAGATATAACAATTTTTATAATAGTATTCTCTAATGAGTATACAGTGGAGTTTTCCAGAAGCTACACAATGTATGATATTGTAACAGATTGACTGTAGAAGCAGATAGGTGAATACAGCTGTTTTCCAGTTAGCAAGACTTAAGAGATTTACAAAAATGTGCAGGTGCCACTCTCCTCACCTTCTGTGACTCTGCATACATGCCACCAGCCAACAAACGTACCTGGTTAATTTTTTTGACAAGCTGCTCTAGTTGAAAATACAGTGATTGATAATCCATCATCTTGCTGATAAGTAGCACATATCGGCAATGATGGGCTAATTCGGACTAAACCGTAGGAGCCGCTGTAATGCAATGCTTCCCTTTGGCTTCCTGCCAACAGTTGTCAGCCCTCCTGGTTTGCTCCTGACTTTTACTGGGTTTCTAGAAGTAACAATTGGAAATATTTTATCACATATCAGAAAGACCTCTTACAATAATTTACCTAATTTAGTTCTTCACCTTAACCTACCATCCCAATAAATTTTAATTTCGGCAGGGTAGTAAGTGTAGAGCAGATTACTTCAAAGTGCAGAATCTTGTCCAAAGGCTGCTTGGTTGTGTTTGCACTGCCCTGACTCTTGCAGGTACTCGAGAAGGTGTATCTGTTTCAGAATTCACTTGCCAAAACCTCAACTTTCTCCCCTAGCAAAGTTGCTGGAGTAGGATAAACCCACAGTATTTGGATAAGCTCCTTTGAACTCCTTGTAGAAAGCAGTTTTTATGAGGCAGTTGTTCTGTGTTAACACCAGAGACAATTCCTAGCAGATTTCCCCAAACATACTTCAAACATCGATAATGGCAGGGGTGACCCAAACTGTATCATAAAATCCCAGGGACTGCAGGAGACTTCAAAGGGGAGACAGAGCAAAACCTCACTTCTCGTTATGAGGAGTATGGGTCACAGGAATCCTGGCTAGAATCCATGGTAACCTCGCGGAGTAATGCCAGGATGGACAGAGGCCAGGGCTCATCAGTTCCCTAGACTTTACTAATTGACCCCAGCAGCACAGTTAGAGTGGTAATAACTGGCACCTGCCCACCTCCTGAGGTGTTAGAGGCCAAATTACCACATGTGAAGTGCTTTTCTATCCTTTAGTGAGAAGATGCAAACCTTGAAGTGTGTTTCTATTTTTGTTTGAACTATCGAGGGCCCAGTTAATTCAGTTGAGCCAATTCTGACCTTGGGATATTCAGATCCATCACTTAGTATGTACAGGCAAATTGACAGTAGAAATTTATTGAGTCTTGAACTCCTACTATATTTCAGGCATTTAATAAGTATTAAATACTGGGAATATTTAAATAATTGAGGACAAACTGCTCTGAAGAATCACCAAGCTGTTTGGTTTGTGTGTTAATATTCTTAAGCCACTCTTACGTGTTCATTAAAGCAAGTTTCCCTATAGTTTTCTTGAAGAACTCATTTTTTAGTGATTTGACTTACTCTTTATTCTTGAAAACAACAAAATTGCATTTGTGCATATGGTATGTGTTGAGGGGGGTAATTACAGGCATTTTTTCCCTCATTACCGGGTCCGTTACAGCTCCTTGAAAACAAATAGTTATAGTTTTACTAATTGTTTATAAAATTAGCTAATGATCCTTTGATTTTTTAGTTTTTTTATACCTTAGCTGTATTTAATAAATATTTAGTATCTTCTGTGCAATTAATAAGAACAATGGGGGCCAGGCATGGTGGCTCAAGCCTGTAATCCCAGGACTTTGGGAGGCTGAAGTGGGCAGATCACCTGAGGCCAGAGTTCAAGACTAGCCTGGCCAACATGATGAAATCCTGTCTCCACTAAAAATACAGAAATCAGCTGGGCATAGTGGCACACGCCTGTAGTCCCAGCTACTCAGGAGGCTGAGACATGAGAATCGCTTGAACCTAGGAGGCAGAGGTTGCAGTGAGCCGAAATCATGCCACTGCACTCCAGCCTGGGTGACAGAGTAAGACTCTGTCTCAAAAAAAGAAGAAGAACAGTGTTTAAAAACCTGTTATTTTTACCTGAATTATTTTGCTACGACAAATTTATCTTTCAAATTAGATTTTATCAAAGTAGATATGTATTCACTTTTTTAAGTTGAAGTCTTTCTAAATGTCTAAAACCAAAACACAGTAATCTCCTGCCCTACCTTTCCCTGATTCCTGCTCCCTCAGAGGCAATCACTTTCAACACTTTGGGCTGTTTCTTCAATGTGGAGGTATTTACCTTTATATTTCATAAATAAACCAACTGCTATTTCTTGACATCATTTGACTTCATGTTGTTATACATACATGTTTCCTTTCCCCATTTTTCAGTACAGTTATATGATCCTTTTTGAATAACTTAGTATTCCATTTTTACGTTATTATGACTGTGTAAATAGTATTCCCAGTGAAGCCCCCCACCCAGGTCACTTTGATGATGTTTCCTTTTTAAATGTTGTGCTTTGTTTTTTTCTCCTTGGAGTTAGTAACTGCTCTTTCAGTATTGTCTGCTTTGTTTTCTATATGCACATTCGTAATTTATTCTCAAATGCTTATTTAGTTTCCACATTTTTTTAACCCTGGGCCTAGTAACTCGTTTTTCTTTAAAAAAGAAAAAAAAAATTTTATGTTCCTATTGCTAATTTATCCACAAACACTCTTCTGTATGTGTACAAATGCACTGAGTAATTTATTGGTTTCTAATTAAATTCTCCCTCTTGATGTCCTCTGCTCCCATCTGACTGGTTGTTGTCTAGCTATTTTTGTCTCTAAGCTATTTTTCTATAGTAGTACTATAGCAGTACTATTCTGAGTTTCTTTCTTCCATTTATTTGTTTTGGTCTTTTTCTTTCATGAATAGAGACAGTCCCCAGAGAATCTGGTGATTCTTGACTATCTGTTCTACTCCTCTTTAAAGATGAGGCACTAAAAAGCCAATTGGGAGCTCTTGGTTTGAGGCTGAGGGGGCCTTACTGTGGAATGATCAAGTGGGGACCTGCTGACTCTGGGCTCCTGTTGAGAGGAGCAAAACTGAATGGGGATGAGAGAGGGGACCTGAAGCTCTAACTGCTTCCCATGCAGCCTTTTAACCAATCTTCCTGTTTTCACCTCACTCCAGGCCTATCTGTTTCTCCTTTATGCTCCAGGCCTTCAGAGCTACTTGCTGCCTCCATCTTTCTGAAATGCAGTGGAGGCCACCATCCTAATTAGCTTTCTGCTTTGTGGCTTCCACTCCCTCAAGGCTTACATTTCAGCGCCACGTGTCCATCTGCTTTTCAGCTTCTAAAATATTGTTGACACCTTCTCTTTATCCTTTTGGATTTGTGCCATTTGTATCCCTTTGCTTTCCCTTTAGAGGGGTCTCTGGACTAGATCTGTCATGTTTAATCAGAAGTCCTATAATTTAGACTTTTCACTAATTTGTGTTTCCTTTCTTGGTGTTCTTTCCCCTTTACCCCCAACTAGTGGCTCTGAATTAGTGTGGTTTTATGAAACCCATATCCATTCAGCCATGGTTCTATGTATTATCTCATTTAGGCATCACAGCAGCTTTTGCACAGCATCTGCTCAGGCAGTCTGTGGCTCTTCTTTCCCCGAAAGATTGAGAATACATCTGGTGAGAAGCCGTTGCCAGTCCCAGCCCCTGCTTTGAGTCTGGTATTGGTCTTTAATCTCTCATTCTGTGTGTTGTAAAGAAACAGGTTGTGGAAGGCTCTTGTCAGATCCCAGGAACATGAAAGAAATAGCACACCCTACGGTAGTGACATGGCCCTGTCACCACCCCTCATTGAACCATAAAAGCTATTCAGAGGGGCCAGCAGCTGGGGAGCGACTGTACTTAGATCCTGGGTGCTGATGGGTGTTTTGTAGTTTCCAAGGGAAGTTGCTGAAAGTTTTCTTATCTTGACACTCCAAGGGCAAGAGGTCTTTCTTCAAAGAGAAGCGCTTGTTTCAGAAAAAGATGTGGAAAGGACGTAAAATCACAGGTTCTTCCCCAGTTCTGAAAAAGAAATAGGAAGGGGCAACGTGGCAGTCAGTGTGAAAAGAAACCACGCATTTGCAGGAAGCAAGAAGGGGTTCCGCAGCACTGGCTGCTTCCGGCATCTGCAGTGCGAGGGTAAACAGGCCTACTGGGGAGTCGGTTGGCCCTGGGTTTGAGTCATTGGGCTGCTGCTTGGCTGTGACCTGGAACAAGTTTTTCCCCTCTTAATCTCTCTGAGATGAGATTCCTTTGAGTCATATGCCTACCTCGGTGGGTGGTTACGTGGATTAAATTATATCATGTATATAAAGCACTCAGCCTGGCATGTGGCATGCAGGTAGGGCTCAAGAAATGGTGTCAGTGTGAATATTCTCCCCTGAATGTTGGAATGTTGTGTGAAGGTGAAACAGGGATTGTGTCCCTAGCTCTTACTTAAATTCAACCCTGTCCCCGAATTCTTGCTGACCACCTGCTAGAGTGTGAGGACTAGGAGTTCATGTGCTTGGCTGGGCTTTTGTCCTTCCCATTCTCTTTCTTCACACAAAATGAACAGTTGAACTCAGGCCACCAAACCTGGTTGAGTTGCTGGGTGGAGGGACTCTCCTGGGCTCTGAGCCTTTGTGTGTGGGAACCGCACTGGAAAAGGTGTGCAGAGGCCACGAACTTGCTCTGAACCCACTTGTGAAGAGCAGGTGACCCCAAACTATTGTTAGTGTCTGCTGTAAATGATATGCCTCTGGGTTCGAGCAGAGTTCAGCCAAAAGCCCCACATGACATGGAAATCTGTCCTGGAGCCAGGTTTGTCGGGTAAAAGTTATGTAGCAAATGTCTCCAAACATTGGCATCTGTTGTCTGCCGAGACTAGGACAACCGAGAATGATGGAGTGCTTAAGGAAATTAGGATGGGGCATGCGACCCTGTAACAGCTGATAAACTGTTTCAGGCCACCGTGGCTCATCCAGCTCTTTTGATAAACAGCTTTAAAAGCATTACGTGGTTTGGAAAGCATTCTTCAAAAATGGTTATATTTTCCAGACGCATGACAGTCCACTGTTCAGTATTATTTAAGGGTTTTAAATTGTAGAATCAGATTCCTTTTCAGTGGGGCTCTTGGAACTGTCGAGGGCTGATCTGTCTGACTCCCACCAGGACAATCTCACAACAATATTATTATGTAGGTCGGGGTCCCCTAGGTCTGTTAAAAAAAAAAAAGTTCAGGGCTAAGCGTTTAAGAGGAAAAACTATTTCTTTCATTTCTAGCTAAGTCTGATGGGCCCTTTCAAACACTGCTTTCATCATGCACCTTTTATTTCACGATTTCTGCATAATGAAAATACAAGATCGATAACTGTGGATTATCGTAATGCCTTGAGCCTTTGAAAATGAACATTTTCTAGATTATAAATGTTCCCTTTGTAATTCATTTCAAACTTCATCCTCCCATTTGTCCTAATTCCCGAAATTTAACTGTTGCCTTTTGAGCCTCCTAGGAAATTCTGGGTATCCTTTAGGCAAGGGAGGTAGCTCTTGGGGGAATAGCATTCAGGCCACAGGCAATTCATTTGCGACTTGGGCTCTTCTTAGAACATATGATAAGTACAACGCACTGTAGTGACAGATTTTTTAAAAACCCTATTAAAGCCCAATATACTAATGCAGATTTTTTTTTTTTAAGTTTTAGAGAGATTCATGGGATTTTATTCTTTTTCCCAAAGGCAGTGGTGGAGCTGACAGAGTAGCATGGAGCCTCGTCCTGATGTATTGTGCGGAAGTGGCAGCAGTTCACATTCATTCAGTTTGTCAGCATAGGATCAGTTCCTTCTTGACTCAACTCTCTGTGATCAAAATAAGCTATTGGATGTTCCCTTTGGGTACTGGAAGCAGCTTGGCCCCTTGGCAAGAGAACAGGATTGCAAATCACAAGAGCAGAGCCCTGACTCCAGCTCTGATGCTACTGTGCTTTGTGACCTTGTGCAGACAGCTTTATATCCCCATCTCAGGTCATTCTCCCCCATACAAAGGGGGAGAGGGTCATCCTTGCCCTGGTCATGTCTGCATGGCTGAGGTGAATAACTAGTTGTGTAACTTCCTGGAGGAGTGGCACAGAGGAAGCTCCCTTCCTAGGGCTGGCTCTGCCATCAGGGAGGAAGCTGGATATTAGAATGAAGAAAAAGCCCATGCAGAATATATGGCAGCCCGATAATGGATTCTAAAAATAAAAAAGCACTAGGTTAATCTGCAGCTGTAGTGTACCTAAAGTATTCTTTGGCAGGTTGTGGCCCTAGCCTAATCCCCAGCTGGACTTAGCACCATTTAAGTGAGTTACATCTCATCCCCGCAAGGGATTGAGTCTGTAGCCAATTTGGCCTTGTCACCACTTCAGCCCTCCCTCTGATTTCACCTTTGGGAAAACTACAAAGTGGCCCCAGACATACATAGCAGGCTTGATCACATGGGTGGAGTCTGTCAGGACAGCATACATCAAATAAAATGTCCAGGGAACCTGTTGTAAATAAACCACTTCCCGCATGCTCAGTCATCGTGGAGGTACTTGAATGTTTAGTTTCTTTTAGCTGATGGCCAAGAAATCAATGTTTAAAAAAAAAAAAACAAAAAACAAAAAAACACCTTGACAGAGGCATTTTGTACAAGAATGGTGTGTGGGTGTGAAAAAGTAAATTCCAAAACATATTTCCTTTTAGTTCCCAAACCCATATTAGATGAGTACTTCTTAGCCTTGGCCACAGTGCTAGAGTAAATAGCAGTGTCACATAGCTCGTGGAACAGGCAAACCACAGAATGTACAAGAGAGAAGCGTGCACACCAGTGAGTCTGCTATGGCAGCTCTCTTTGTCCTGGTTTCTACATCTCATTTGTAAGCAACTTGTGTTCCTGCATTTTCAGAGTTTGGCCAGTTTATTTACTTAGAATTGCATGTTCCTGGAATATTGTCATAAAAGTGATCCTGAGATAGAAAAAGTCAACAGGAAGCAGGGGCATTGAGTTTATAAGTTCTCAGTCTGTCTTGGCCCATATTAAAGTCTCATTCTCAGGGGTAGGTCCAGCTTTCCAAATTTTAATATATCAGAGACTCCTGATGCATCTGGGCTCATGATGGGCCAAAGTAGGCCTTCAGGAGTCCTCGTGTTACACACTCAACGCCTAATGGAGACTGGATTCATTTACGTGTATTAATGTAACCTGCGTGATCATGTGAGTGCAAGTGCTTTGTAGATTGTCCTGGGAGATGTGGCATATTATGACTAAAGACTTAATTGAACCCTGAACATGTATATGAATAACTGGAGACAGATTGACTGGATTACACATTTTTCTTGAAAATTTCCTAAATTTAGCCTACCTCTTTGTTGCCTTTTATTTCCCAGCTTAAGTGGTTCTCTATAACACTATATTTTAAACAAACCAGAACAAATAGTATACAAAAGCATAGACAAGAGGGATATAACAAGAGATGGTTTTCTGTGATCCGTGGCACCTCCTCTCTACCCTGCCTCCACCACCAAAAGGGGCTTTAAATTAAGATTCGGAATGGCAAATTCACTTACCAGCTCCAAACACAGTAGACAAGGAAACCTTGTGAGGAAAATCCGAGAGTATATTTACAGTTTCTGTTCAGAAATACATAGCTTAACTTCGAAGGAGGAAGCGTGACTTTTCACCTGCAGATAGAACTAGGGTCTGATTTGAAACAGACCACTGGCTTCACTGAACCCCATCAAAGAAGTCTGCTTCTGCCCGGAATTGGAAAGTGCCAGTGGGCATGTAGTTGCTAGTATGGGATTTCTGTTTTTATTTTTAACAAGCTTGGGCCCAACTCTTAGTATCAAGATGGGTGAAGACAAAACTGACCAGAAAAACACGTATCAAGTCAGCAGTGGCTCACCCCTCAGAGGCCATTTTTCCCACCTGCTCCTCTTATACCTTTGGTTTGTTTTTGGTTTTGGATTTTTTCTCTATGTTCCTCCTACTCTTTCTTTCTCTATTTTGCTTGGGCCTTCGTTAGAAGAGTTCTAGTAATCATTTCAGACTTCCAAAATTCAACCCAGTAGCCTCATTTTACAGGTGGACCCACTAATACACAACAGCTCGATGTGACAAACCATAGACTCACAGTTAATCACTTGGAGAGCCTGGATTCACCTCCGCGATGACCTGCCTTTCCAGCCCTCCAGTGGCGTCCTCTGTAGTGAGTTGTAAATGTGCCACTCTAGAACATTCCAGGAAAGCCCTCCTCTTGGGCTAAACTCTAAAACTAAAATGAAGTCCTGCCCATGTGAGCTGCTTGTTTAACACTTTGGATGCTAATCAGAGCATTAATGAGAACACATGGATAGATTCGGCAGGTCTAATGCTTGGGACCTTCTCCTATTTGATTCCATAAGACTAAATCCCCTATAAACACTTCCCTCCTGTGCACACACACATGCATTCACATACAGCACTCACGTATCCCTCCCTTATAGCCAAAGACCGAAAAATAAATTTTTTTTTTCTACATTAAAAATAAGACCAGCTAGTAACCAGGGTTGGCATTCCCATCTCCTGTGGAACCTGGAAGGACTAGCAGATAGCTATAGAGATCTGTCTCCTTTTTAGTGTGGTTGTATTAAGGGCAATCTTGCCTCCCATGGCACCCCAGAAAATCCAGGAGTTCAAGTGGGGGTGCACTGTAGGAGGACTCAGCAGCTGTTTTATGGAAGGTTCGTCAGGGATCAGACTGAAGATTTTGCTTTTGTGAGAACAAAGTGAAATGTGACATTCAGGAGCAGCTCGGGGCCTATATATAGGGGCCCAGGGCCTGCTGGGATGGGGTTTTACACTTGGGCTGTCCTTTTGCCCTTCCCCTGAACTCTTTTCACTTCAGTCATGAGCAAACAGTCAGTGCCTGAACTAACAACCCTGTAGTCCTCCGAAGCACGGCTGGCTTACAGTACCGAACAAAGGGAGGGAGTGCCGCGTGGGCCGGCCCAGGCCGAGGAATGCGGCTTCAGGGTTCTGCTCCATAAATTTAACCAGCACGACGAAAAGGAGATAATATGAGCCTTCGTGATGATCTGAAAGGGGGAGGTTCTGTGTCCCATTGATTGCGGTCTGGCCCAATGCCAGGCCCAAGCCTGACCGACAGTTGAACCATATCATTAAGGCGTGTAATACAGCTCGAGTCTTGTACTGCCGCCAATGAGTGCATATCCACAGGGCAAAAGTTTATAAAGAGTCGAGGCTGTCCTGTTTAACCCTCTCACACTGCATGTAATAGAACCAGCTGCCATTCAGAACTTGCCCATCTGAGGTCATAAAGGAAAGCCTGCACGTTTCTTTTCTTCAAACAGCTTTTCAGGACTGGGGAGAGGAAGAAACGCTGTCTAGAGAGGGTCAAGGCACGGTGATGTTTCTCTCTGGAGAAGCAAAGCAGTCTGCCTCCCTCCCCCCGGCCAGAAACGGGACACCTTAGTGCTTTCTTCAGAGTAGCTCTCTGTTTGTGGTATAATGTTGCTGGAGGAAACAGGGCTGACACCACAGGAAACCTGCCTGTCTCCAAGGAGGCCGCATCGGTGGCAGAGGTGGGTCAGATGCCGGCCGTGGAGTGCTCTTGTCAAGCTTGGGATGATGCCGTTTTCCTTCCCCATCACCTCGAAAGCTGTTAATAGCCTTGCTTTCTGGCCTTCCACAGCTACGCCCAGGTGCTAAAACAGAGCAGGTGGAAGGCCGCCCCACGGAGTGGCCTGTGAGCCCAGAGTTCTCACTGTCCGAGGCCGGTGGCCCCATGGGAACTCTGTCCATTCAATAGGGAGGGCATGTAGAAATAGGCACATTGTCACAGCAAGGCCTGGAGTGGCCTGGGTTCTTACAGTGGGCACTGCATTGAGGAAATGGGCAGACAAACAAGGATTTAGCATAAGTATAGTCAGAAAGAAAGGGCTGCCTGTGTTCAAAGGACAAAAGGAAGAAAGTGGGCGAAGGGGTAGTTTAGTCCTGTCCATCAGCCAGTCACGTTCTTTGGCCAAACTCGGGACCTGCCTGTGCTTTGTCCATGGTGTCCAGGAAGAAATCTGTGTCTGTCACTTCCAGATTGCTGCTTGTCTGCAATGGACAATGCCTCTTAGGCAGACACCTGCTCGGGATGACAGTGCTGCAGAAATTGATCCAAAACATTGACTAGCTTGCATGGTATCGCTGTCATTAGTATTCAGTCTTCACAACCACCCTATGAGGTGGGTGCTATACTTTCCCCATTGTACAGATGGGAAAGTTGAGGCACACAGGGGATACGTAACTTGTCTAAGATCTCAGAGGTAGTAAGGAAGGGAACCAGAATGTGGACCCTGGCCAACTGAACACAGAGTACATGCTCCTAATCTCTGTGCTGCTTCTGGGCCATCTCTCGGTCCCTCACATCGAAAGACCTCATGATTTCAATCCAAAGCATCTGACCAAGTGTTAGGTCTACTTCCTTTCGATTCTTGGATATGAAGGGTAGGAGCTTAATATCTGCCTATAGCCCAGAAGATTTGTGCAAAGACCCTGGTTCACTTGGAGAGGAGGTACTATAAAATTTGGACCCCACAATGCGAATGAAGGGTATGTATTGAATTCCCTCAGCCCACCAGCTTAACACAGAGACAGTGTGAGGGATATACTATAGCTGGGAAGCTTGGAAGGGCTCATGTTCAAGGGCCTCTTTGGGCCAAACAGCAGTGGGCCTGAGCATGGAGAGACCCTGGCCTTTTAGTGCCAGTGCCTAGAGAAGCAGGTCACTAAGCTTTGTGCCCAGGAGCTGTGCTGTCCCTGGTCCATCCCTGTGTACCCCATTCCACTCCTGAAATAATGAACTACTGCAGCCTTCCAAGTTCACAGTGTGCCAGTTTGTCACAGAATAGCAGTGACACTTCTCTGCTGCAACCCATCTTTGCTCTGCCATGCTGCCAAGACCATCTTCACCAGGCGGTAACCTGGGAACTCCAGCTGGTACACAGTACAAGAAGCCTCCGCAGTAGACTGTCCCAGGTGCATGTGCTCAGTATGTCATAGCCATCTCCTTTTGGAGGCCAGGGAGAGCTTCTGTTTGGGTGCCACGGATCCTGGACAGAAGCTTTCTAGAGGTAGGAGAAGAGACTAAATGGCTGGCCAACCCAGAGATTGTTGGATTGTGTTATGATTCCATGGTCAAAGTGCTTTAAAAACCTAGAAATTGGCTCTGGTAGTGAGTCCCAGGATGGAGCTAACTTACGATCTGGACTCCATTACATGATTGCTAATCCTGAAGTTCAGCAAACGTTGGTACTGGCTGACTTTTAATGGAGTACCTGTTTGAGGGTTCTCCTCATCATGTATTTAAGGTTAAATTGTATAAAGGAATTCTGCTGCTCTTTTGAAATTTTCTGGTTCTGTTTAACCATACCTAAAAATGCCATGAGGTAGCCAGATGATTGACTAACTGGGATTTATGGAAATTCTTATCTGCAAAAATCTCAAGACAAAGAGGGCACTAACTAGAAGGTTCCCAGTGCTTTATGTAACATGCAGAAGGAAGTCTGGTCTCAGCTTCTTGGATCTGAGCAATCCTTTGGAAAGGGAGCAATGAAGAGCAGTAACTGAAGACTCATTTCCTGCCTTCTGTGTGACTCACTCTCCTTTGTCAACTTCAAGTTTGCCCTAGGCCTGCTTGCTTCTCTCCACCCCAAGGAACTTGGTCTTTGGAAGACACAGGCACCTGCCCTCTCTGTCTGCCTTTTGCCCCCAGGTCCAGAGGGAGAAACAAACCCTCAGTTGGAGGAAAGTCTAGAGCACAGGCTTTGTGTTGCTCAGAGAAGCATGACAGGAAGTGGTGCTGTTGCCTCTGCATTGGCCGACTCCTGGCTGCACCTGCTTTTCCCAGAGGCACGGGGAGGCCCAGGCAGGGGCCCAGGGCCTGCTGCTGATCAGTTTGTCCTGCTTGCAAGTCTGCATCCCAGTACCCAACGGGGCCAAGTAGAAAAGGCACATAGTGTAGTGTGAGCCGTAGCTGTCACCAGATGGGTCTTTCCCCTCCGTGCCCAACCCCTTCCCTGACCTGAAAGGGCCTAGCCTCTTTCCCCACTGGCTTCCACCAAGTTCTAACACATTTTATATATATCGATTTCCAGGCTTGTAGAGGCAAGACCTACAGTCCAGGAGTTCAAATGGATTCAGTGTTGTTGGTTCTTGTTTCCTAGAAGGACAAGTGCTCTGAAGGTTTGGTGTCAACTCTGACCCAAGGGGTGTATCTGATTTTTATGAAGGCACAGAAATGCACCTGAGGTGACCCCAAGTCCTTCTCTTTTATTTTTTGATTTCCCACCACCTGGATCATTAATTCTGCTTTCAAGGGGGATGGGGAAAGGAGAACATTTCAAAGCAAAGTTGATTTGGTCTCTGAACCAGCTTGTCTTCTAGGCTGTAGTTCACCCTGATGAGAATCAGAAAGGACAGTCTGTAAACCCCTTCACTCTAGTGACTCTGCAGCTGGGGAGCCTCAAAACCAGTTCCAGATGTTCTCTCTCCCTATATTGGCCAGAAGGGAATTTCGGGCAAGCAAGGAGGCAGAGAGCTTTTGCCCATTCATTGAGTACCCCTGTCTGCAAACTGTGTCTTGCTTCATGGCACTTTAGGGAGAGTGCTGAGCACCTGGGTCCATTTGGGACCAGCCAGCCCTTCCTGTTCCTCGGTTAGAGGCATGCTGCTCCAAGCTGGCTGGTTACTGCAAGCAAGAGAAGCCCGCCTTCCTGCTGTTCAGGGTCAGAAAGCAAGACCGTGCTGGAGAAGTAAGTCAGGCAGGCTAGGAAGGAGACCTGCAGATGACCCTTGGGTTAACAAAGCAACTTTCACGGCCCTGTTCACCACCAGCTAGGATAGTACAGGGCTTTGCCTCCCAATCTTGGGAGACGAGGCATAGATAGTAATGGTCAACTGATGGCCCTTTACTCTTGAGAAACTCCACCCAGCCTCCCCTTATCCAGAAGAAAGCCATTCCTGACTAAGCCTGGCCATTCTGACGCCTTCTTTCTTAGTCTGCACCCAGCCTGTGCTGTATGCGGTATATGATGGTAGAAATTTGCACTCTTCATGCTTTGATTTTAAATGCATATTAGACATTTTGGCATTTGTGCCTGAATGCTCTCTGTATCATCTTTTTTAAAACATAGTTTGATTATGTAAGTTAAAGAATGTACAAATGTAAACTTCTGAAAATACATACAATATATGATTTCTTAGAGTGTATGGACACTGCTCCAGAGGCCTTGCATGAATTATCTCTTTAATCCTTACAAAACGAATGTGATGGGTACTATTATTCCCACTTCAAAGAAGAAAATAAAAAGGACTTATTCTCCCTGGGCATTGACAAGCAAAGAGATTAATAATGGTAACCCCACCAGACATCTCTATGGGTATATATGTGTATATACACTAGTATACATATATGTATACATAGTATACATATATGTATACATAGTATACATATATATATACTAGTATATATATATGATTTGACATGAATGGGAGTACATATGTTGATGTCTAATCTTTTTCACTCCACAATGGTGCTAGAACGTCTTTCCATTCCAAAAATCATTTTTAACATTTACATAATATTATAATACAAATATTCCATAAGCTACTTAACTAGTTCCCCATTGATGGATGTTTTTAATTTGTTGCTGTTGTAAGCATCCTCTACATATATCCCATCTTACTTGAATAATTCTCTCCTTAGGCTAAAGTCCTAAAACTATGATTGCTGGATTTAAGGGTGTGTATATTTTCTGCTTTGAAACACATTGTGAATTGCCTTCTAGGGAGTTGAAACAATTTGTACTCCCACCCACAGTGTGTGAGAGGACTGACTCCTCCAGCCGTGTACCAGCTCTGGCTATTCATTCATTCAGAATTCAGTCAAGAATTACATGAAGTAGCTGCAGTGTGCCAGATACTGTACTCAGAACCAGGCATTGTTACTCTTTTAAGTCTTTGCCAATCTGAAAGAGTGAGTATCTGTGTTACTACTTGCATTTCTTTGAGAATTAGAAGCGTTGAAACATCTTTTCGTGTTTCAGTTGGCCATTTGGATTTTTCTTCTTTTGTGAATTACATTGCGTATTCTTTGCTTCAATCTTTTTAAACCCGTTAAGGTCAGAATTTGTCTTTTTAGTGTGTGGTTTTTTTTTAATTCTTATCTAGTGTTGGTCTAACCCTTCCAACAGTTGTCATTTAGCCAGTTTGTCATCCATGTAAGTACATATCTTTCTTCCAGATATTAACAAAGTTTATATCAGTCTCTTGGTGAATTCCGTTCCTGTAAGTTAGAATCTGCATCATGACTTTATAAAAGACCATCACTGTGCCTACAGTTCTTTAGGAATCGCTTTGGCATTAAGAATGAGGCTTCAGCCAGGCACGGTGGCTCACGCCTGTAATCCCAGCACTTTGGGAGGCCGAGGTGGGCGGATCACGAGGTCAGGAGTTCGAGACCAGCCTGACCAACATGGTGAAACCCCGTCTCTACTAAAAATACAAAAATTACCTGGGTGTGGTGGCGCACCCCTGTAATCCCAGCTACTCAGGAGGCTGAGGCAGGAGAATCACTTGAACCCGGGATGTGGAGGTTGCAGTGAGCCGAGATGGTGCCACTGCACTCCAGCTGGGCAACAGAGTGGGACTCCCTCTCAAAAAAAAAAAAATAAAAATAAGAATGAGGCTTCAGCCAGATGTTTTTGGATTATATGTGGCGTGGCCTATTACATGGTTTTTATTTTTGTTTCCTCCTATTTCTTAGTATTTCTTTCCACCAGTTCCTGTTGTAAAACGTGACCAGTTGGTACTGATGCTGTACATCCTTGTATTAGTAAAAATCCTGCTGTGCCTGGAGGCAGGGACCTGCTTGGGCCAGGCCTTCCCAGGAAGCCCGTCCTACCCTCTGTAGCATATAGTGCCGGACCACCCCAGCGCTCCCACTTACCTCCTTCACTCTTTCATTGTTGATACATGGGCTAGGTTTCCTACAGAGTCACTTCAAGGATGTAGATCTTATCCTCCCAATTGGATTGTGAGTTTGTTGTTATTGCCTTTTTTGGTATTCCTCAAGGATGTTCAGAATACCTCACATAGTGATGGACTCAGAGTACCTATTAAAGAGATTTTCATTAAAATCACACCATTCAGTAAGTTGACCAAGTACATCAAGAGAGTCAGAAAGACCCAAGATCTAGTTTGGCTTTGCCAGGCATAGCTTCCTCATCCATAAAATGAAATACTAGTAAGATACTTCCTTATGTGAATCTTGGGAGGCTCGGAGTGTCCAGTACACATTCAGCACTCAGTCAGTGCAGCTGTAGAGACATAGCGTGGACCTTGGTGGCCCAGCAGTCTCAATCCTGGTTTCTTCTGACCTAAGATTGGTGGGAAAGTACAGATAAAAGCTGGTTGAGGAGGTGTTGATAGCACAGAGTGTTTTTACGGAGTGTCCTCGGAGGGTTACATGCTCCTTTTTGTTGAATCCGAATCTTTTTTTTTTTCTAATATGGAGCCTCATAATCATTCAAGGACTCAGTGTGATGCCACAGGTTTCAAACTTGCCAGTTCGTCTCTTATGTTCTGCCAATTTTTTAAAAGTGGGAATATGAGTGCATGTGCACGTGTACACACACGTGTGTGTGTGTGTGTCTTTGTGTATGTAAAATGCTTGGGATAAAAAAAGATGGATCAAATTTTGTCTGGCATGGCATAGCAACTCTCACCTCTAGTATCCTCTAAACATTTAACCAAATGGACTTTAACTGGTTTACTTCAATTCTATTTTTATTTTCGTAGTCATTTAAATGTATGGGGAGCCAACTCTTTCAAATGAGACATTTTGTCATTAAAACATGTTATTTAGTTTAACCGCATGGGCCCGGCTTCAGCAACATTGAGGACTGTGAAGAGGGTTCTGAGCGGCTGTTCTCTCCTGACCTGACCGCAGCAGTGACCCACCAGCTTGCAATGCACGCAAACTGAAACAGGCAGGATGGCCAGCCCAGGGTTGTCTGCACGGTGGTCTTGGCATCTGTACCTTAGGTTGCCAGCTCCTGGCCCTCCTTGCCTGCATTTGGTGGCCCTTGGCCCTGCCGTGTCATATGGCACAAGAGCCCTTCTGGCCCGCATCACCCTGTGTACTGATTAGGCAGGAATCAGCAAATCCGTTGAGTGCATGTTTAATGTGACACAGATGTGGGACATACTACAGATCTTTCTGCTTTACAAATTTTCAGCTTTTTGCATTTCATCAGTGTTGCTTATTATTTACAGAATGTAACTTGAGACATCAGAACAGATTGTAATTTTTAAAAAGGTTGTTGGGGGGGTGGGCCCGCAGGGGATCTGGGAGAAAAAATCCAGTAGTGTGGAATGTTGTTTGCTGTCCAGACCAAACAAACCAGTTTGCCAAGGGTTGATGGACTATGACAATCAGTCCAATTCATGTTAACACTGGGGGCACTTAATTAAAAGGCAGCTTGACCTCCTTATCACCAAATAAAGAATAATCTTTTGTTACCAGGTTGACCGTCGCAGCACCAGGCAGAAATGTACCCCTTGTAGAGGCACTGAAGGGTACCACCAAGCTGCCAGCTCGTGTCCTGCCTCCTTCCTGTCCACAGAGAAAGGCACCATTGAACCCAGTCCCCACTCAGACATGTGGATATTCTTGCCTCATGCCTGCTGTGGCTTTACACCCAGGCGCTATGGCAAGAGGCGGAAAAAAGAAATCTCTTCCTTTGCCCAAAAATCCAAGATACTCTTGAGGGCATTGGAATGATGAGCCAGGCCAGTTTGACACAAGTTCAAGGAGAAGGTACCATCTCTTGCTTCTAGAGGGGCACATCTGGCTAGAGGTGGCCCTGGCTTCTGAGAAAGCTCAGCCATAGGTTACATTTAAGGGCAAACAATGAAAAGCACCAGCTGGTCGGGAGGAAGATGAGGAGGAGTGGGTGATTGGTTGCTTCTT
Organism: Homo sapiens; assembly: GCF_000001405.40. NCBI lineage: Eukaryota > Metazoa > Chordata > Mammalia > Primates > Hominidae > Homo > Homo sapiens. The sequence continues at coordinate 12,486,313 of NC_000001.11, forward strand.
TCCTGTGTCTAGTTCTAAAGAACTTAAAACTTGGGTCCAAAATAATGAGAGCCGTGTTGTAAAAATCATTTGAAGAGAGTTCTCCTGGGGAATGTGAGCTAGTGCCGTGACCTGATCCCTTGGTCAGATGGTTCTGAGCTGTTTAAGTGCTGAGTGTCAACTGTCTACAGGGAGCCAGGCCCCTGAGGAGCGGCCAGGGTTCCAAGCCCCACTGTTCTTTTCCTTCCTGGAAAAGTGCAGACGGTGCACGTTCCCCGGAGGCCACCAGGCAGCTCTCCAGTTGCCCTCTGGGTGAACGTGACCCAGGTCGGTAACTTTCTAGTGTCCCCCCCACGTTGGAATGATCAGCATTCCTGTACTCCAGGGGTTCTTGAGTTCTTGAGTTGTTACCAACGCCCTGCCTTTCTCTGGCTCAGATTCAGAGGAGGAGTTCCACTGCGGACTGCCGCTTCTTCACCCTCTGGGCTTCGGAAGCAGCACGTCTGGCTCCCCTGCACCCAGTCCTCAGTCTTGTGGCCCTGGTCTGCCCCTTTATCACATGTCTTGAGCACCCTCTCAGCACACAGCACCGTTCTGAGCGCTGAGGTGCGACCATGCATAGAAGAGACAAGAATCCCTGGTTCCGCATGGCTTCCCTCAACACCTACGTTTCCAGGCCATGGCTTGGGTTCAGAAGAATCACCCTCCCTGGAAGAGATGAGTGACTGGAAGGAGAGCATGTCACTGGCTCCCCTGAGACCCTCCCAAGAGCCTCAGTTTCTCCCTCTACCACCTGAAGTCTAACTGCAGGGCCTGAAACAGATTCTCTTTAAAAACCCATGAGTGTGGTGACTGCATAGGTTTTCATTCTCCTGAGTTCTTAATTTCCGTGTCCCTAGCACTTTTTGAAGCATCTGCTCCTGTTGCCCCTTTCTTTTCCTCCTCACCCTCCTCCATAGTCTCTGTTTGATAGTAGAAGGAGATTTAAAACCTCCAGGCTGAGTGAACAGGCGGTCTTGAAAAAGCAAACAAATCGGGTCAGGCACGGTGGCTCACGCCTGTAATCCCCAGCACTTTGGGAGGCCGAGGTGGGCGGATCACAAGGTCAGGAGTTCGAGACCAGCCTGGCCAATATGGTGAAACCCCGTCTCTACTAAAAATACAAAAAAATTAGCCGGGCATGGTGCCGTATACCTGTAATCCCAGCTACTTGGGAGGCTGAGGCAGGAGAATTGCTTGAACCCAGGAGGTGGAGGTTGCAGTGAGCCGAGATCACACCACTACACTGCAGCCTGGGCGACAGAGCGAGATTCCATCTCAAAAAAAAAAAAAAAGCAAACAAATCACAAAGCAGGTCCCCTCTGGGGGCTGGAGCATCCTCATATCTGCTTGGCTTTGGTCACTGAAAGAGGCCCTGGGGGAGGGGGCTTCAGGGCTTCCCAGGGGAGAGGTGACAGTTAGGACACACGCCTCCCCCACTTCAGTCAAGGCAGCTTCATTGTCAGCGGTTGTACGTACTAAGATTGTGTTACAAACTTCATTTGCAGAAAGTGTTTTACCCCTGAAATTTTTTTTTGAAAGCGCCTGCTGTGAGTTTTATTAATGGCACTTTTCTAAAACTTCATTAATTTCAATTATGAGAATTTGATATCTGGTGTAATTCATTGAGCTGCTAGTTTGATTTGCTCTAGCTCGTTTTAAAAAGCTCTGTCAGGCAACAGGATATGGATGGGAGTGGGTCAGGTGAGTGAAAACGTTTTAAGCACTCCTTTCTTCAGAAAACACCTCTGTACCCACATGGGGTGTGCTCCTCAGGAGTCATTCAGACAGGTCCAGGAGAACTTGTCCCCCAGGGTGCTCCGTCCAGATACAATTTTAAATACTGCACTTTCGCATTTTGGTATTTTCAATGGACTTGACACCCAATAATTCTGAATAAAGGTAGGAAAGAGGGAGATGATTAACTTTTACAAGTACCTACTATGTGCCAGGCACTATGCTACACATTCTTCATATTTTATCTCAACATTATCAACCAAGTAGGTATTAAGTTCTCACCTATTGATGAGGAATCTGAGGCTAAGAACAATCTAGTAACTTCTTCAGTGTCACCCAGCTAATAAGTGACTGGGATTTCAGCCTGTGTTTGTCTTTTTCCAGTCTATGTTTGTTCCTTTATACTACTTTGTTCTTAAATTTCATCTCTTCTCTTAAAAGAGGTCAACTTTGGGAGAAGGTAGATAATATATAAACATTGAAAGAAAAAGATTATATAATCATTTGCCAGAAATAAATCTGAAAATATTGGGCTGGACACGGTGGCCCACACCTGCAATCCCAGCACTTTCAGAGGCTAAGGCAGGAAAATCATTTGAACCAAAAAAAAAAAAAAAAAAAAAAAGTAGTGAAAATGTATGGTTTATTAATGTAATCAGCTTGTTATTATTAGCATGCGTACTTAATAGCCACAAAATAAAGCTTACCAGAGATGGTGTATTTCGGTCCTTGTGAAATATCTTGGGATTGGCATTAGAGGTGACAGGTTAGCAAGGAATTTGATAATGGCTTGAGAGATTCCAATAAGCACTACACTCTCTGACTCAGAATGTTCTACTTAGAACACAAAGAAAGCTTACAATTGTAAAGCGCCTTGTTCTTCCATGATGTTGAAAGTTGCAAACCACTTTATAGGTTGTCTACTATTTTGTAAAAGCAAAGCAAACCCAGAATGCATGCAAAAATTATGGCCTTTAAAGAAATCCAAGCCTTTTAGGCTCCATTCTTACTATAACATGATCTATTTTCTTGGAATTCTTTATAAAGTAACTCTGCCCCTCCCCACCCAGCCATTAACAGGTAGTCTCGCCCCTGAGGCAGTTGACTAAGAAAAAAAATCTGGAGTATTTTTGTCTTAGAGTTTAAATCCCAATAGGTGTATCTGTTGGCATTAGTCCTACCAGCTGTCACAGTTGCAGTGTCATGGGGTCCCCAAAACATGTGTTAAATTATGGGAAGCCTTGACCCCTATAAACAAGTCAGGTGTGAATCCCACTGATGGGAGAAAACCCAGCCCAGGAAATGTCATCCCTGCTGCTGGATGTCAAATTGCTAAAAACTTAACAATATCAATATAATTTCTAATGATTTCTTGAATCAACATCTTTCTTACATTTTCAATGGCAATAGTACAACATGGGATTTTATGTGTGTTATGCATGTATGACTTGAGAACTCTAGGGAGAGGTAAGTAGAATGTTAACAAGAAAGCAAAGGGGAAAGGAAAATACTTCAGTTTGAAGCAGTGAGCCTCCCCAGTAGGAAAACTAAGTACAAGAGGTTGGATGTTACACCCTAGCCCATCTTAGATCCCAGACACCTCAACTAGGGTTCCTCGTGTGCACCCATGGCACTCTAAATAATACACTAATAAAAAGAATAGGTAGCATTTTATCGAGTGCCTATTATGTGCTAGACTCTGTTCTAAGCACTGTACATGTATTGACTTATCTACTCCTCACAACAACCCATCATTACCCCCACTTTATAGATGAGAAAACCATCGCTCCAAGAAGTCACATAATTTGCCTGTGGTTACAGTTCGTAAGTGGTGGAGCTGGGATTCAAACCCACTGGGCAGGCTGGCTCCAGAGCCGATCCTCTCAGCCATTATATTATGCTGCCTACTCTAGTGCTCCCTGTCTCTCCTACTGCTTCCCTGCTGTGTTCTTGTTGCCATTTCTGTTCATCTCCTCCACTGAATTGCTGTAAGCTCCCTGGATACTTAATTCATCCCAGTCTTCTTCAGGACCTAGTGCTGGCCTCTGCATATGATAGTTTGGGAAAGGTTGGTTGAATAGGGGACTGGAGGAGGCAGGCACAAACCATTTGCAGGGCTCTAAGTAGGCTCGTTTTTCTGGCTACCCTAGTTTGGATCCTTAGTCAGTAATTCCATTTAAGAACCAATCTCTACTAGCATAGGGTTTCTTTCTGCCCAACCTATTTTCCATGTGTCCAAAATCCAAATTGTCCCAACCTACGGATTGAATACTATCTTTGAGTGGGTTCTAGAAGGTGTATTTCTCTTTCTCTTGAAACCTTGGGGAAGAATTTCTCATGTAAACAGAGGCAAACTTTAGAAATTTTCATCCTCTAATAGAGTCTTCTCTGATTACAGTTTGCACTGAAAGGAGTAAAATCTGTTTATGGAGAAGAAATGCTTTTCCACTTCGTCTTTAGAAGTAGATGCATGTGGCCAAGAGGAGGGAGCTACACGTCAGAGGTAGTTGCAGCCTATGGCATGATGGGAGCTACAGGTCCGAGATAGATGCAGCCCACAGCATGGTGGGAGCTACAGATCTGAGATAGATGCAGCCCATGGCATGGTGGGAGCTACAGGTCTGAGATAGATGCAGCCCACGGCCTGGTGGGAGCTACAGGTCCAAGATAGATGAAGCCCACGGCATGGTGGGAGCTACAGGTCCGAGATAGATGCAGCCCACGGCATGGTGGGAGCTACAGGTCCAAGACAGATGCAGCCCATGGCATGGTGGGAGCTACAGGTCCAAGACAGATGCAGCCCACGGCATGGTGGGCTTCTTGGGCTTGCAGACATTGTACTGCTGTGGATACCAGAGGGTTTTTCACCAATTCGTCTACTCTACTGCAGACAGTACTATTTAGACAGACTGCGGGGTTTCTCTTAGAGAAATGACAAATGTTTGATTAGGCCATTTGGTCAAGAACCCTGGTATCTTGTAGCTGTTATCAGTGACCAGTATTGGAAGAGGTAGTCTGGATTGACCTTCGTTCTCAGTCTAATTGTGCACACTCGAGCACAGTATATATCAGTAAGATACTTGATTAAAACAAAAGCCCTGGACACATACATAAAGTGAATGCAAGCACAACCCATCACACAACCCTTAAGGAAGATGGCAGCCATCAGTTGAATAAACATTCTATGATGCTAACGTCACATGTGTGACATACACTTTCTACTCACTTACTGATTGTTTTTGAACATCACTTGGCTGATAGACATTGGCCATGACAGACTTCTCAACCAAATTAAGCTGTGTAGGGGTATGTGTATGTGTGCACAGCATCTGTCTTAACTAACAGACCTATGACATAGTTACTCATCGTATAAGCTACGAATAATTAATGCCTGGCTAAATGTTGACTTTCAGGCTGAAAGGCAAGATCAACCAAGTGGAATTGGCTGGATCTCCCTGTGTCACCTTGTTTGGATTTACTGTTGATTTTTTTTTTAAAAGACATGAGTTGTTACTACTCTGATCATTGGTTTTGGGCCTCCGGTGTATATCAGATAGCAATGGCCAGATGCAGGCACACTCTGTATTGATTGCCCTCACTGGAAGGATATCTGCAGTGTATCAGCCACTGTATCCACAGCCCCTTCCCTGGGGGAAGAGTCCTCCATGCTGTACAGCAGACTCCCTGACATTTTCATAGAGTTCAAAGCTCAAGTTGGTTTGGTGCTGACATTCTGGATTAGCTGGTTGACTGGAAGGACTGCTTCTTTCTATACACTGTGAAATTTGTAAACCGCAGCAGCTGAGGGCTTAACATGGCCGACAAGCTCCAGCTGGCAGCAATTAAATATACCGCAGACCTTTGGCCAAACAAAGGTTTGTGGAGGCAGAGTTGCTGCATGTGCGCTGAACAGACTCCTAGGTTGAGTGTTGGTTCATAAGAGATGCTGTCGACTAAGGAGAGGTGAGTGGGTGGATTTTGGCCACCTCTTGTTCGGTGATCCATTGTCCCCAGAATTATTGTATCAAGACCCTGCCCAAGTAGCAGCAAAGGTGGTCAGAGGAAAGGAACAAAGCCACCAGGGAGGCCGCAGGCCTAACAGTGGTGGGCCTGAGTCGTTTAGACGTTGATCTGCTGCTGTAGCACCAATGGCAGGATCTGCAGCTACTCCACTTTTTTAAATTTATTAATTTATGTATTTATTGGGTACCACTATGCTGTAGGCTATAGGCTGAAAGGAGAAGATGGGAATGAAAAAACAATAAGAAGACATTTAATATCCATTCAAGCAGCAAAGATTCAAGAGTCTAGACCAGTGCTATCCAAAATACAATTTAAATTTAAAATTCAGTCCTTTAGTTACACTGGCCACATTTCACATGCTCAGTAGCCACACGTGGTCAGTAGCTATGTATTGGACAGTGCTGTCCTAGACAATACCAAGTGTTGGATATAGATCGCTAGGGCCCCTTAAATGCCTCATTGGCAGGAATGTAAAAATGGTTCAGCCACTTCGAACGCAGTTTGGATTATCTTGTTAAGTGAACGTTTATATCTTGTGAGCCAGCAAATTCCCCCTAGATAGATTCTCAAAGTTCACCAGGAAACACGTACAGGAATGTTCATAATAGCATCATTTGTAATAGCAGAACCTGGAAGAAACCCATGTGCCATCAACAGGAAGATGGATATATCATGGGATAGTCATACAATGGAATATGAACAAAGCAGAGACATGGTGAATTAATCATGGCTACACACAAAAGAATACCTGAATCTTAGCAATGTGACAGCGACATCCTTTTTCAAAAGCCCAAAACTAAACCCAAAGAACATAACAAGAATGTACTGGAGCATCCTTTGAAATGTGGTAAGGCTACATAAAAAAGAAAAGCACAGGAATGAGAAACACAAGATTCAGAACAGCGGCTGCCTTAGTTAAAGGAGGAACAGGGATTTGGGGTGGCAGAAGACCAACTTGTGGTCCACGATTGAGTGATGGAGTTTTTTTTTTTTTGCTTTCACAGATGTTTATTTCAAATAAATAAAGAGAGCCCAATGATGAGAGTGGGCCTTGAACTGAGGATAATAAGCCCAGTCCTAAAGACCAGTTATTAAAAAAAAAAAAAAAAAAGGACTGGCCGGGTGCGGTGGCTCACGCCTGTAATGCCAGCACTTTGGGAGGCCGAGGCGGGTGGATCACGAGGTCAGGAGACCATCGTGGCTAACACGGTGAAACCCCGTCTCTAATAAAAATATAAAAAAATTAGCTGGGCATGGTGGCGGGCGCCTCTAATCCCAGCTACTCGGGAGGCTGAGGCAGGAGAATGGCATGAACCTGGGAGGCAGAGCTTGCAGTGAGCCAAGATTGCACCATTGCACTCCAGCCTGGGTGACAGAGCGAGACTCCATCTCAAAAAAAAAAAAAAAAAAAGACTAGAGTCCTTTCCCTCCAGGTGCTCATAGGCTTACTGGAACATACAGGAAAGTCACTTAAAAATGGACACACTGTCACTGAGCATGAACAAATGTAGGACTGCTGTTACATGGTCATACTCGTTTAAAAGGCCTACTTGAACGTACAGTGTCACATCAACAGATGAAGAAAACAGCGTCGTCACACAGTGGCCTGGGCTGAAGAACTTCACTTTAAACTTTTTGCTGGCTTACGAGGTTTGAAAACACTAGCTTACTGTTAGCTTTTTACATTATTTTAGTAATTCTTTAAGATTGGAACTAAATTTGTTCATATGCAGTGACTTCAAATACTCTCCCCCTACCCACAGCCTACCAACTTGGACCTGAGAAGGTAAATTTTTAGTTGAGTTTTAGAGAAGAAAGAAGAGTTTTTCAGGCACTGACATTGATGAGGTGATACAGGAGTGGGGGGAAAATTCCTTTAATCCAGCTTTCTGCTTCTAGGAAGAGTATGCCTTCTGGAAGTCCTTGTATTCATAAGACTGTAACAGAAGATGTTTCCTTTTAGGGTAAAATTGAACTCATCTGTCTTTTCTTCCATGTTGATGTGAAAAATTAGCCTTGAATGCCACAGTGAGCTCCCCTAGTCAGCAGTGTTGAGCACTGAATCCAACCTTGCCCTTGATATTATTTGATCAAAAGTCAAGAACCCTGGAAATGGGAAGATAGTTTGTGGCCTGTTGTGAAGACAGTCAAGAAAAGAAACATAATGATAGTCAGTGTGTATCCTCAGGGGAGCCACTCTGCTTTTGTATTCTCTGATGTTTTGGTGGGTTTGCAGTTTACAGGTTAAAAAATAATGTATTGGGAGTGGGGGTGAGGTTGGATCACTGAAACCTGGGTAAGGCTCTGAGGGAGTCCACTGAGTCAGGAAATAACTGTTTACACTAGAAAGCTGTTTGATCGTGTGAGAAGATCAACAAGGTGAGCCCTTTACTCCCATTCTCAACTATTCTGGAGCTGTCATGAGATTAAATTTTTAAGAGCTCGGGTCCAGAAACAAGCCATCTTTCGTTGGCTTCTCTGGCTTCCTCGGATCCACCAGAGGCATTTAGGACTTCAGCAAGTTTTCTCCTGCCTGGTAGCATGTTTTCCCTCAGCTTTGAGTACTAATGAAAATCCTGCTTCATGTAAGGGAAAGGCCTGTCATCAGTGTCCGCTTCAGGACACTGCCGTCATGTCCCTTTCTGTGTTTTGATCAGTGGGGCAGACAGAGACAGCCTTGTCCTTTCTGTCAGGAAGATGGGGTTCTAGCTGCTTCATATTTTGCCTCAATGTTGATTTTGCTTTCAGGGCTCAAAATCCTTAGTCTTCAAACTCTCCACCAAAGCTTGCATACTGGCCTTCCTGTTTAGCTCAATTAATGGCCCTTATACCGTCTGCCAGCCACCAGGCACTCACTCGTTTATTCGGCTTATCCTGACTGCTGCTCTACCATAAACCAGACACTGTTCTCCATCCCAGGAATGCAGTGAATGAAACAAATTCCCCCTCTCCTGGAGCTTCCAGTCCACATGGGAGCCAAGCAGTAAATAACATGTTTATCCACCTGGGATGGAAAGCAAATGTGCTTTGAGCAGATGACTGACTTGATGTAACTTACCTTTTTTTTTTTTTTTTTTGAGACAGAGTCTTGCTCTGTCGCCCAGGCTGGAGTGCAGTGGCAGGATCTCGGCTCACTGCAAGCTCCGCCTCCCAGGTTCATGCCATTCTCCTGCCTCAGCCTCCTGAATAGCTGGGACTACAGGCGCCCGCCACTCCCCCGCCCACCCCAGCTAATTTTTTGTATTTTTAGTAGTATTTTTAGTTTCACCGTGTTAGCCAGGATGATCTTGATCTCCTGACCCTGTGATCCATCCGCCTCGGCCTCCCAAAGTGCTGGGATTACAGGCGTGAGCCACTGCGCCCGGCCGATGTAACATCTTTTGAAAGGGCCATTCTCATTGCCATGAGGAGAGTGGACAAGGATGGAAGGAAAGAGAACAAATTATGAGACTACTGTAATAATATATTACAAATCCAGGGATCCTTTGTTAGTTATGATCGAGATGGAGAAATAGTCAGATTTGGGATATATATTGAATTTGAGCCTGCAGGCCTCCCAGTTGATTGGGGAAGATATGTTGAGACGAGTCTGAATCAAACCTTACGTTGAAAGTGATGAGGAAGCAGACCCTGCCATATTCCTCTTGGAGAGCCTTTGGGCTTCTACCATGTAGCCTGACAGAGAGGTCAGCAGGACTGCCCTGGGGAAAGGATACTTTATTAGCCTGTGTAGGCAGTTATTGGAATGACAGCAAGTGCTTTGCTAGGCAAGGAGATAAGAACAGAGCTCTGCTACGTGGAGAGGCACGCCAAGCTCCTTCCCCCAACCCCGCTGCCTGCAGAGGTTACCAGCATCCTCTCGGCAGCAGTCGTCCAGCTTCTCTCCTGATGGGTTAGCAGCGGCCCCTCTACCGCCCTCCCCACTTTCGATCGATATTTGGGCTCTGAGTAGCCAACTGTAAGCCTGCGTCTTGAAGGAAAAATTGAGACTGGCGGGGTATGTGAGTGTGTGATATAAACACAATGGGTTTTTTACTCTTTCCCTTAGTGCAGATCATTGAAACTTCTATAAAGTCTCTGTAATACCCTTAGAGAGTACAATTAATAGTACTGAAGACGTCCTTATAACTGAACTTTTGTAAAATTATTGCTGGATTTTTGTCTTTCCAGCACACATTAAACCTCACCAAGGTATGGGGCTGTCCTTCAGATGTCACAGCCTGATGAACTGAGTGCTGACCTGGCTTTGGGAGCACTTTTCAGTTATCCCAGCTGTGCATGGCCCATTGCATGGCCTGTGACAATTTTCTGGGGTTGTTTCTGTCCATATTTCCAACCTGACTTGCCCACCAGGGCACTTTCTGCCCTTGTAAGTAAATCTCTATGCTGCTTACTGTTAGTTCCTGTTTCTGAAGTGCTGATTCGATGTGTAAGGCTTCTCCTCTCTTTTAGATCTGTCTAGAGAGGAGTGTTTTGCTTCAGTGAGCTCCAGGAACAAATAATAAGTACAGCAAGTACAAGGCCGAGGACAGACCCAGTGCACTCTTATCAGTCATCTGAAATATGCACAGCCTTTCCAAGACAAATGTGCACTCCTGTTTCTAGGAAAACACCAGAAAGTACTTACCAATTACCCTGTATATGCTGTGTGGAAAAAGACAACATCAGCCTACCCTGAAAGCCATAACAAAGCAGATTCCTCCGGGCCGCCGACAGCTGAGTGGCCCGAGTTAGAGCCTCTGCAGAATCCCAGCCTGTGGCCTGGGCCAGGTCCAGGTCCAGGTCCAGGTCCAGGTCCAGGTCCAGGTCCAGGGGGCATTCTTCCCCTCGCATGATTACCACGTCCCTCACCCTTTGCCCAAGGAACTGACCTCATCTTAGAAGAAGTCTCAAGGGTTGGTGTGTTCTTACTAAGTGCCCAGGATTTTCTTCCAGACCCATCACAAATCCAAAGATGGCTCTCCTGAAGAGAGGCCTAAAAAAGAGGGTGCGGCCCAGGGGGATCTATTATAGTAATAACCGCAGGAACGAGAGCCGCCGCTGGTGGGCAGCTCACCATCCGCCAGGAGCAGGCTTGGCGGGCACTGTTTTATTTGGTCTTCACAGCAGTCCTCTAAGGTAGGTGTCATCGTCCTGTTTCAGAGAGAAAACGGAAACTGAGGGTTAAGGAAGGTAACCAACTTATCCATGATCACATGGCCAGAAAATGGTAGAGGCAGGATTCAAAGTCAAATGAGGGTCTTTAACCGCTATTTCATGGTGTATTCACAGGCAGTACTGTAGGTTAATTCTGTTCACTAAATGTAAAGTATGTCTCGTATTACAGAGTGCTTTTGTCTTAGTGAGAAAGGAAAATCATTTTAACCTGCACACTTAACCTCTTGGCTTTATGTCCATTTACCCATCTAGGACTCAAGCACAGAGGGTTCGGAAACCGCGTTGCTGCACGGGGCCCCAGGGGCTGCTTCCCCGATATTCTGAGAGCCAGGCGGAAGGACAGGAGCAGCTCTTCAAACTCACAGACAACATACAGGACGAATTGTAAGTTAGAGCATGGGAAACCAGCCCTGTGGGTCTACTGAGTTGCCTCTTCTTTTGATCCTGAGAAGTCTCCATCTGATCTGAGTTATTTTCATGACTCTTGGACCTTAGATCTGGTCAAAGAATTCCTTGCCCCAAATGTTTTTTAGATTTAGATATAACTGATGCTAAACAGCCTTTTACTCAAAGCAGTGGTTCTCAACTGTGTGCCATAGCCTGGCCTTAGTGTTTTGTTTCTAGAAAATGACAGTCTCTTTCTAGTTAGTTCAAAGAGAGAAGATCATGAATAAAATGTTCTCAATTTTAAGGTTTTTCTCCTGTAAAAATTTCTTAAAGTTTGATATCCCATTTTTGCCGCAGAATGCTAGCAAAACAAAACAGAAAAACAAATAGCAAACAACTAATAGTTGGACATTTTGGAAATGTATTTTTCGTAAGATTGCTTCGTTACTCTTTAAATATGGAGCCTTATATACCTTGTCATATCTTCAGTTAGTGATATTATTCCTAGTTGACACGGTAGAGTTAAGTATTTCACTATTTTAGGATATTTTGCAGAGATCCTTGTAGCATGAAAGTGCTCTATAACCTGAATAGGTGTTAGAACCACCAGCCCACAGAAAGCAGTTAGTTGTGTCTGGGAGTAGCAAAATACTAGATTAATTTCTTCTGATGCTTATTTGCCATCTCCTTTAAGGTAAAGCGAGCGTGGGGGATTCTGAGTGCTGTGGGTGTTTTTCGGTGGGTGGAGGAATGTCTGAAATAGACGTCAACTGTCAGGATAGTCTTCAGAGTCATTGTTAGGGACAGTGTTAAGTAGATCTCATCTCATAGTTTCATGGTAGTATTTGAATGGGGATATCAAAAGCCAACTCCAGAAGGTATTTGTTGCTTGCCGGATAGAATGGCATCTTCCTACATGTGCCTTGTGTGACCCCTGTGGTGTTATTAGAAGGTCTCTTGAAGATGGAGTTGTACTTTCTTGTTTCGTCTACTTGGGTTGCCATTATAAAATATGATAGGCTGGGCAGCTTAAGCAACAGAAATTTGTCTTCTCACAGTTCTAAAGGCTGAGAGGTCCAGGATCAAGGCATCTTCTGATTCTGCTGCTGCTGGGGGTTCTCTTCCTGGCTTGCAGATAGCCCTCTTCTCACTGTGTCCCCACATTGCAGAGAGAGAGGGGGAGCTCTCTGGTGTCTCTTATAAGGGTACTAATCCTATCAGCTCAGGGCCCCAACCTTATGACTTAATTTAACTGTAATTACTTTCTTACTCCAAATGGTCACATTGGGGTTAGGGCTTCCACATATGAATTGGCGGGGAGGGGGTAACTCTGTCCACAGCAGGTGTTGCTAATAGGTTCTGCCGTTTCAGTCCAGTGCCCAGAGTGCCCATCAGTTCACTCCAGAACTGCTCCAGTTCATTCCTTGGGGCAGGGATTTGGTACCATGACTGCTCTTGATATTGCTTTGTAGATGGAACTTTTAGCCTTTGGATGGGGGGTCTAGAGACCCCCCATCCAAATTTCTCAGGTCTGGCAGGATGTGGTGCAGAGTCTACTACAATGGCAGCCCTGTGAGGCTGGGATTTTTGCCTGTTCCATTCAGGAAAGAATCCTCAGCACATAGAACAGTGCCTGGCATCTAATAGGTACCCAGTACATATAGCCAGATAGCTGCAGTTCAGCATTTGTGTTCACATGCGTCCATTTTCCATTCATTTGGGGGTTTTTTAGTCACAGGCTAAATGAGATTATAAATTATTGCATGTTTTCTTTTCACTTTCCTCCCCAACTCACCTCTATTCAAGTCGAACTATCTCTGGTCACTGTGAAATTTGTTTGCAATAGAAGAAATTGCGTGGTACAGCCAACATAGGACTGCTCCCAGTGAGATACACACATTGAAAAACAGAGCCAGAGAGAGCTAAAAACTGGAATCGAAATGAAATCAGTAAAATAGCTTTCATGAAACTCATGAAATTCATATGAACTAGGAAGAGATATTGGCATGAATGAATTTTGACTTTAAAGATGAAAACCATGTGTCTCCACCCAAGTTGTGGGTTAAATCTTGCCAATGAATGCTGAAGGAGGCACGTGACCACGGCCTTCCCAAGTGTACAAGGAAGAAGCCATCAGGGAGTGTGTCGCATGTTCCTCTGAAGTGTCCTCAGTTGTCAGCCTGGGTCTTCGCGGTGGAGTGAACATTACACTCATCACTCTGCAAGAAAGGAGTTTTCAGGAAAAGCCCACGAGCGCCAAATTATACCTCTGACTTTTATCCTAGATTTGTAATTAAAAACATGTTTAAAGACCTAATTATTTGCGTATTTCCCTTCAGAGTTAACCCCTTTAAAGGATCTTTAATACCTTGCTCTACTGTTCTGACTAAATGTTTCCACATTTTTTTCCAGTTAGGCTCACTGTTTCACTTCTGGAAAATATTGTGTAATTATTTCCCGATGGAGTGAAAACCCCACGAAGTCCCCAGTGCCTTGGTGACTTCAACTTTATTCTCCCAGATCGAGTTGCATTTAATTTTGTCATTCTATTTAATTAATTAATATTAAAAAGATAGTTACCAACGTATGATTTCTGGTCTGGCCAGCTGAAAAGTCTTCACTTTCAAATTAATCATATATTCCTCTGATAAGTTGCACAATTGTCATTGCTTCCCATCTTTCTCAGTTTTGGTTTTGAAACAGGATCTGGATTAAGATGATGTTAAAGTAAAATTTGTCCTATATGGTGAAATTAATTTTTCTTTCTAACTCATGTCTCATTTGTAGCCAGAAACTCATTTTCTTTTTTTTAAGGTACCTATTTTATTTCTAATACTGCATCACCTATAACGGTGCACACCAGGCTGGTGAGCAGTAGGGTGGCTCCTGCCTTTTAAAAAATGCTCATGAGCAACCCACATGACCTACGAAGCTGCTCTAATGTACTGCTTTCTGGAATTAAGACAATTTAAATTGTACTTTTAAAATATAGTTTTAGAAAGTAACATTTATGGGATTTTTTAAATACAGAAAAGTATAAAAAATAAAAGTACCCTATGCATCCACCAGCCAGATAAGTTGTTCCTCTTTTCAATTTTTTGTAGAGATGAGGTCTCGCCATGTTGCCCAGGCTGGTCCGAACTCCTGGCCTCAAGTCATCCTCCCACCTCAGCCTCCCAAAGAGCTATGAGGCCAAAGTGGGAGGATCGCTTGAGGCCGGGAGTTCAAGACCAGCCTGAGCAACATGGCAAAACCCCATCCATACAAAAGTTAGCCGGGCATGGTGGCACACACCTCTATCCCCAGCTACTTGGGAAGCTGAGGTGGGAGGATGGTTTGAGCCTGGGAGGTCAAGGCTGCAGTGAGCTGAGATCACGCCACTGCACTCCAGCCTGGGTGACAGAGTGAGACCCTGTCTCAAAAAGATACTCATATGCATGGTTAGCAAATCCAAGAGTATAGAAGAAAATAAAATCAAGAGTAAAAGTCTCTTTTCTTATCTACTTTGTAAACATGCTGTTTACGATTTTTGTATCTTGTCTCCTTGAGAAATTTCACAGAGAGAGAGCAATCAGGAAAATTTTTGAGCGCACCATATAATATTGATTCTAATAGCATATCATTATAAATACAAACCTTATAGTAACATATGTAGTCTCAAGGACTATATATGTTTCATTCCTTCTGAGGAATGGAATAGAATTTATTAGCTTCCATTTCCTAAACCAGGAAATAATGTACTAGTAACTGTTGACACTTACAGAATTGGCCATTTGTTGATACACCTCTGAATTAAAACTTGGATTTGGCAGATGGCTCAGCTACTCTGATAAAGTTAAAGGTTTGCTAAATCTTTAAAAGCTAAATCAGGAGTTCTAAGAGAAGTTTTCAACTTTCCTACTGGTAACATGTGTCCAGCATCCAAAGTTGCCTGTGCACTGGCAAATTTCTTGCCTTACCCTAATGCCAGTGTCATTTTCTGAGACAGACTAACGCATACATTTATTGAATCCTACTATGTGCCAGGGTGAGTAAGAAATTTCCTCTGTCCTCAGTGCGTTCACAGTTTAGCAGGGGAAGCAGACACTGTATTACCAACAACCTATAACATATATTGCTGTTAAAATAGAAGTATGAGCAACGTATTATGGAACCACAGATGGGAAGTGATTAATTTATACTGGAAAGCCAGGGAAGGCTTCACAGAGAAGGCGCTGGATGAGTCGCCTGACCTTGCAGGAGGCGGAGGAATGTGCCAAGGAGAGAAGGCGCCTGGGCAGAGCACAGTGCTGGGCAGATACACGGGACAGAAGAGCTCACGGCAGGTCTGGGGAATTTGGGGTCAGCTTTTTGTAGCAGCAGCACGTGTGGAAAGAAGGAGCAGAGGCTGGAAGGGTGGGTTCCCAGGCCTGTTGCTGAAGGCTGACCTTAGTGGTCATGCCGAGGAGCTTGCCTCTCCTGTAGGTGGGAGTGAGATTGTGAGGAAGAGGATCCCACTCAAAATTCGTCATGAAAAATAAAACCTTGACAGCAGCAGGTAGAGAGACTGAAGGCAGGAAGCCAGTTAGGAGGCCCGTGGGATAGTCCAGGTAGAAGGTGGAGAGGCCTGAACACAGTGGCCGTAACGATGACTAGAAGAGGACAGATTGGAGAGGCATTTAGGAGGCAGCATCAGTGGAACCCTCAACTGCTAAATTGGAATCTGAGTGAGGAGGAGGGTTGAGAGTGGCTTCGGGCTCCTTGCCTGTCTGGTTGATGAGGCTGGGGGTGCTGAAGAGCAAGGGTTGGAGAAGGAGCATCTCCCCAGTGGACGAGCTGAGGTCCCCTGAAGAGGGCCTGGCACTCAGAGCGACACTGGGCCCAGACATGGAGTCAGGGCCATAGGTGGACCTGGGGTGGGTAACGCCTAGGGGTAGAGGAGCCTGTTCCAGGAGCTCTGAGTCAGGCTTCTGATTTTGAAATGACTCCAGAGGGAGTAGAATCAGGTATATAAATGAGTTAATATCGAAAAAAAAAAAAAAGAGCAGGAGGAAAATTAAGTAGAGTGGCTGAAACAGTTACTTGGCAGATTTCTCCCTGAGAGAAGCTGGTCATGAGTCTGTTTTCCATGTGGCCTTCTAGAGAGACATCTCTCTCCAATCTGCTGATGAGAGGATGTGTGGGGAAAGGAGGGGTCATCCCCCACAGGTTTGGGGTAACTGGGCACCTGTTCTCAACAGAAGAGCTACCATTAACTGCGGATCTCTTCTGTGTGGGGCACGTAGATTAGCTCACACCATCACAGTGGCCCTGCAGAGTAGACCCATGGGGTTCTACACATCAGGATGGGGAAGCTCTGGGCAAAGTGAGAGGCGGAGACGACTGGCATCAGGGTGGCTGGCTCCCCTGGCGAGGCTGCAGTGTGGCTTGGGAGGACGTTGTGACCTGCCCCAGAGGAGGCCTGAGGCTGCTGTTGATGCTACCATGGCTGCTGTTGTTGAGAATGCCCCGTGGTTCATGGTTTATGGATGACATTAGTGATGGTGCATTCTACTAAGGCGGCACTGGCTCCTGGCAGATTCACCCACTCTTAGCACCTGTCATCTTGGAAAAGGGTGTAAGCTGGTGCTGCAGCCTTCCCTTCTCTCAGAAGAAACTTTCTGACACTGAGCCCCAAGCCCAGAGTATCCTCTTTCTCTCCTTAAAGGGGAGTTAAAACTTTTTTCTTTCTTCTTCTTCTTTTTTTTTTTAATAGAGATGGGGTCTCACTATGTGGCCCAGGATGGTCTCAAACTCCTGGGCTCCAGCGATCCTCCCACCTCAGCTTCCCAAAGTGCTGGGATTATAGGTGGGAGCCACCATGCTCTGCCCTAAGAGTTGAAACTTTTAACCGAGGTTTAAGAATAGTATAAAAATCCTATTTTTTAAATAGAATCAATTATAGTATCTACAGCAACCTAAAATGTGTCAACTGAATACTGAGGTGACTTCTCTAGGTCTCAGATTGGAAGGATAAAGCTTATCTGATGCTGTGTGTTTCTGGCTGCATTTTTTTGCTCCCCTTTCCTCTCAGTTAATAGCAGATCAGAGAACAGAAGGAGTTTGCTCAGGGCCACCTGAGACCACGGTGGCCTTCTTCCCTTGAGGTTTTTCCAACAGTCACTCATTCGTGGACCAAAAGCAGGCCTTGCGGGAAGCTTGATTCTAAGGGCAGTGAAGACAGGAGAGCCTGGGGTTGAGACTACAAAGCAGTGTGAGCACTCAAGGAACCTCAAGTGAGGCAAAGGAAAGCCTGGGAGAACTAGGCCAGGGAAGGGGAATTACCTGTGGCTTTAGGGAAAGGGAACGGAAGAAGGTGCAGCTTGGCAGAGGGGAGGGCGGGGAGCGTGCCGCGTTTGCCAGGCTTCTCTTACCACCCTGAGTTTTGCTGCTTCTCTCACAGAGTGACAAGTTTGATATGAGGCTCCATTAGATAAGGGGTCTGGTCTGGAGCTGTTTAATTATTCTTTGATGTGTTTGGCAGATTTTGTAAAAAAAAGAAAAAGAAAAAATTAAAATTAATAATAATAACGATGATGATGCAACCCAAAGCCCTGGCCATTGTGGGATGCAGGAAAGCCTCAGGAGGATGATGGGGACAGAGCTGTGGCCACCTGGTCCCTGGGGTCACTGCCCAGTTCCAGCTGTGGCCTCACTCTCTCCCTTCTCCTTCTTCAGCCAGACCCTTGGCTCTGATCTGCTTTTGATTTGAAAGGACTTTAGAACATTTCATGCACAATTTCCAGAAATATGTTATTATCAGTAGCAGCTTCGGGGCATGCACAGGGTCCTGGACTTACAGGACAGAGATCCGTGTGGAGTGACAGCACTGCCTTCCTCCACTTACCTTTCTGTATGGCCATGAATTCCTTGACCTCCGTGCTCACTTTGTGAAGAAAACTGGCAGGGATTACCCTCTCCATCAGAGAGATGAAAGAGTCTGAGCTACCAAGAAAGCAACGGACTCGGCCAGAGTCAGCCAGCGGGCCGGGCTTTCCTGCCAGCTCGGCCTGTGTTTCCTTCGCTGTGCTCTCTACTTTTCCGGAGGGCGTCCCAGCTCAGAGTCACCCCTCCTCCAGAAGTGGTTCTGGCCTGATGGAGGACTTGAACCATCTGGGGCATCTTGGAAAAGAGTCTGTTTGAAAGCCTATAGAAGTGTTCCAGGATGGAAAGCACACTAGTCATGTCGGCCACTCTGGCCTGGGTGTGAGAGCATCTGCCCGGATGGGAAGCCCTTGGCTGACATGTAAATGTCAGCTATGTCAAGTGCCCAGGGTGGTGGCGCTGGGGGCTGGGGGCTGGGGGCTGGGCAATGAGGTGGAAGTGCCTGTGCTGTGCTCACCTAGAGGAAGGAACCTCACATCTCAGTTGGATTTTTCATGCACATTCCTGCTGTCATCCCAATCATGGTGGCCAACTTTGGAGTCTCCTTGGAGAGCCCGTGACGGCCTCAGTGGCTGTGCACCAGGCCCACCGATGCTCAGGGGTGTAGGCTGCTTCCGGGTCTCATCTCAGATCCCCGCCAGTTCTGGCTGGCGCTGTGTCACCTCTTCTCTGTGTCAGGATCATTTTTATCCCTCTCTGTCTGTCTTTCTGTCTTTCCCTGTGCCCTCCTTTCTTCCCCGGACCAGCTATTTCAGATTCCATTCAACTCTGTTCAGTGATGCTGCCGCTCTCAATGCGGTTAGAGCGCAAGATGTGAGAACGTCTGTGCTGAGTGGCCTAAACACTGAAGGCTGCGGGTCTTTCTAATTTCAGCATTGAGACTTTACAAGTCCACATTCTTGGCATTGCCAACCAGTTAGAATAGAACAATAAATCCCAGTTTTTGTCATGGGCGTCTGTAATTAAAATGGCAACTGGAACAAGGCAGTCACTTACTGAGCGCTGATGGGGTGGCCAACTCTGTGGGGTGCTCAGGAAGACACGGGGCTGTGAGATATGGACTCCACTTAGAGGGCTCACCTCGTAGTCAGCAAAGAGACTTATCCAGGACATGTGGAAAGAATGAGTTTGTGCTTGGCCATGCTTTGGGGGCCATCACAATTAAATGCTCAAAAGTGGAGGAGGGGCTGGAGTATGTGGGGGATGCTTCACAGAGAAGTTAGAACCTGTGATCCTTGCGGGGAGGGGGATGGGATCTAGAGAAGTTGGGAGAGCAGGTGTGCGTCCTGCACGGACCCCAAGTGAGCGAGGGCCCGGCAGCCTGCTCCCCTCGACAGGCAGGCCACCTCCTGCCCCCAGGCTTCTGCCCCCTTCAGAGGACCTGGGAACAACGCCGTTCTGGACCCAGGTTTCAGAACACTTCCAGGTGGAGCCTGGCTCTGAGCAATTCAGTTTGCCAGCAGGAGCTCGACTGCCACTCCGTCGTCAGCCTTTAGTATTCCTGCCACTGTCCATCCTTGTCTGCTGTCCCTGGACACTGCAGCCCCATTGTGAAGGGCTGTCACAAGATGCAGGGGAGGCAGCCAGGCCCGGGAGAACTGTCACACTGTTCCCAAGGTTCACTGCTCTTCATTCAGTGGCCAGAGAGGTTTGATGTGCATAAATTTCCACTTTGAATGTGTGAGCTCCATGATAGAGGAATTCAGTTTTGTTGGAGTGGCCCTAAAGCTCCTGAAGTAACAACTAGAAGTTTCCAAAAGGAAGATGACAGTTTTACCTAAGAAAGCGTTTTCTGACTCTTTGAGTTTTCTGAACATGAAGTGGATGGGGGGGTGCCCTGTCCCTGGAGGTGCTGAGCTTAGAGAGGGAGGAAGCGGATGGGGAGGTGCAGGTGTTTTAACGCCAGGCTGTCTCTTCATGGCGTGCCATTTGGTGAACCTGTTTAATTCTGCTTTTCCCCCCTCAGCTTTCAGCGCCCCCAGCTGCGTCTTCTCGCCCCTTCATGTTTCCCTCTCCTCTGCCAGGCAGTGAACTTTCTCAGCTGCTCCTTCAGTTTCACATTGAAAGGCATCGTGTTTTCTGTTTTGTCCAATAGAGTATTGTTACAGTTTTCTGTAAGCTTTAAGCTATCCAAAAATGCTCACAGAAAAACAACAAACACCCACAAGATAGAATTTCAGGATTTAGAAGTATTTCCCGGCAAGGGGGCCGGGATTCGCACTCAGGCCCTGGGGCCACAGAGCCCGCAGTGGGCCTCCCCCTGATGCTGGGCGAAGCCCCAGGTGTCACTCCTGTGTTCCCGTCTCGCTTTGCAGCTTCATCGCTGTGGAGAACATTGACAGCTACTGCGTGCTCATCTCCTCCAAAGCTGTTTACTTCCTGAAAAGTGGAGACTACGTGGATCGAGAAGCCATTTTCCTAGAAGTCAAATACGATGACCTCTACCACTGCCTTGTCTCCAAAGACCATGGGAAGGTGTATGTGCAGGTGACCAAGAAAGCCGTGAGCACGAGCAGTGGAGTGTCCATCCCCGGCCCCTCCCACCAGAAGCCCATGGTGAGTGCCTGGCTGTTCTCAGGCTCCTGAGGGGCGGGGCCAGGGCCTCGATGCCTCTGCCCTGCTTCCCCGTCCTCAGCAGGAGCTCATTTAGGAGGTTGAGGCTGGGCCCTTCCCAGGAGTGCTGCCTCTCAGTCCTGAACATGGGAGGGGCCCAGGGTATGTTCACGGGGCGATGCTGCCCTCCCAGCTGGCCCATGGGTGACCCTGGGAACATTAACTGCCTCACAACGTTTGTGCCTCAGTTACCCGTAGATGTAGTGAGGGTAACAATACTTACTCTCGTTGGTGATAAGGAACAGCTAACACAACACACAGGGTTTTTCTGCTCCCAAAATGGGATTCTTCAGTGCACCAAATCGAAGAAAGCACTGGAGCTCACGCTGGTTTCTCCATTGTTTCTCCTTAACAGTGGAAACCGTAACTTTTGTTCTAGTAGCATCTAGCATGCTCAATAATTATTTGTAAATAAAAGTTATACTTTCCCTCCAAAGGGGACAAGGTATTGTTATGACAAGGCTTTTAAATAATAAAGCTCCTGCGAATAGCTAACGTTCCTAGAGGGCTGGCTGTCTTGTGGGTTGTCTGATCACTGTGTTGCTGTCATCCCCTCCTCACTATTGGTCATAGCAGGTGATTCATTCAAGGCTACACAGCTGACCTTGAGGAGCCGGGGTTCAAATCCGAGTGGCTTGGCACCAGAGCTGGCTGCAGAGCCTCTTGCGGATCTGTCTCTGGCCAGTCGGCCCTGGAGGCTTGCCATGACACCCAGGTGTTAGTCCTGCTCATTCTCACCCGGCATACCCGGATTTTGAAGCTTGCATTCAAGAATGATACATTAATCAAAAGGGCCTGCCCACCTCTGCTCTCTCTATGGATCGGAAATAGCGCCAGCCTTATTGGGCCTCTCTCCTCCGGAGTCCTTTGGCCTCCCCCTGCTCATGAATGCATTTGGGCCTGTTTGGACTTGTGTAAGGCTCCCGTGGGGTCATTGGCTTAAGTTAGAGCTGGCTGATGAAGAGGGCGAGCACCTCAAAGTGTGAGTATTTCTCCAGATCCCTTCACTGTAGCAGGTGGGCAGCCTCGCCCACTATACTTCTGCCCCTTTCAAAGCAGGTGGGCAGAGAGGTGTTTGTGGTAAGAAAGACCTAGAGGCTTTTGTTCGCTGATTCTTCTTCCTTCATCAGCCATCACCAGACCTTAGATGTGAATCCCCCATTCTTGCTCTTGGTCTTACCTCTGCAGATCAGTTATGGCCGTGGGGGGGAGTTCCCAAATGTCAGGTGAGTATGGGTTGGCTGTACAGTCCTGGGGAATGTTTAAAAAGACCGGCTGGGCGCAGTGGCTCATGCCTGTAATCCCAGCACTTTGGGAGGCCGAGGCGGGCGGATCACGAGGTCAGGAGTTCGAGACCATCCTGGCTAACACGGTGAAACCCCATCTCTACTTAAAAAAAAAAAAAAAAAAAAAAATCGTTAGCTGTGCACATGCCTGTAGTCCCAGCTACTCGGGAGGCTGAGGCAGGAGAATCGCTTGAACCCGGGAGGCGGAGGTTGCAGTGAACCAAGATTGCGCCTAGGCGACAGAGACTCCGTCTCAAAAAAAAAAAAAAAATTGCAGGGACCCACCCCAGACTTGTGAGTGCGAGTGAAGCAGGAGCAGCCCTGGCCATCACTGTTTCTTTGACGTGTACATCCCATCCTGAGATGCAGCTGGGCTGGGAGCCGCCACCTGGGTGGATCTGATTCCTGGATTTCCCCATCCTGGGGACAGGTGACCCATCCTGTTCTCCTCCTTAGGTCCATGTGAAATCTGAGGTCCTTGCTGTCAAGTTGTCACAAGAAATAAACTACGCAAAGAGCCTCTACTATGAACAGCAGCTTATGTTAAGACTCAGCGAAAACCGAGAGCAGCTGGAGCTGGACTCCTGAAGCCCCGCTGCTGAGATGGGCGCTCCCGACACAGCGCAGACCCACCAGGAGGAAAGAGGCCCAGCTCTCAGCTGACGATGGAGGCAGAACCGGAGTCGGGTTTGGGGAAGTTGTCAAGGAATGAGGGAAAGTAAATCCTCATGAGGAAAAGTACAAATGGAAATCGTATTAATTTGTGAGGCAGGGAGTTATTTTAGATTATGGGAAATAATTTTTAAAGGTATTGGTTAAATAACGTTTAAAAACATGTACTGAGATGAATCTAATTTTTAGATTGCCCTGTATTTTGTTAACATGTATATATGTACAACAGTGTGTTTGTAAATATATAGGAACGTTTCTGAACAGGGTCTGTGCTATGTGTAAAGGTTTGTTAACTGTAAAGTAATATAAAGTTATATTGGATCTTCTATTGCACTAATTCTAGATGTCTAATTCAGGATACTGTCTATAGAAAGGCATTCTTAAAAGTTAAAGAATGTTACGTCTTAGTTTTGGAGACTAAAGTATTCCCAGTAAAGTGGGTTGAGGTGAGGGCTGTGGTCCTGAAAGGGACGCCTTTGACATCGTGGCTGTCCAGTTGGGCTGTGAGCTGTGGCACCCAGGACTGGCGCTGGCCCTTCAGAAGGATCTAGGAGAGGGGCTTGGGAGCCCACTTTTAATTTCTCACCCCCATTTTACAAAGAGTGCTTAGATTCTTACAAATTATGATGTAAGTTATCCATTTGGCTTTTTCCTAACTAGTCTTACCAAACTTAGGGGGAAACCTGTGCTCCATTACCACATGGGTGCAAGTCAGCATTGTAAGTTTTCTCAGGTTATTATTATTAGAGAGGTTGGAAACATTGGTAAACTCTGTTGATTGAGAAGGAAAAAAAAAGTCCCATTGAACTGTTGCAACAAATCAGAAATCCACATAAAAGTGCTCTCCTGCCTGGGCAGCAACAACCAAGAACAAAGCCCCGGGACTGTTTTCTTTTTAATAAAGCCACAGGCAGGCATCGTAGCTCCACAGCCCGAGGGGACACAGGATGGAAACCCCAGGATGAGAAGGGAGCAGGGAGAGTTCCAGAAAGGGGGATGAAATAGGAGTATTAAAAAGCTGCGTTGGTAAGTTTTTCATGGAACCAAGATTTGACAAAGGCATCTCTTATCCTTGGTTTTAAATTCCTGCTGGGAGCAAGGCCTGGTATGAGCGCCCTGGGTCTTGTTTTTGGTGTTTCGCTTTTCTGTAAGGATTAAGCAGATAGGGAGAAGGGAAAAGGGGCCTCACTTTAGAATGAATGAGTCACCTTGTGATTTTTAAATTTTTATTTTAATAAAGCTAATCAATTTCTACAACCTTGTCACATGTAGCTGAGTCTGGGATGACTCAGTGGATCAGTGGATGCGTG
Organism: Homo sapiens; assembly: GCF_000001405.40. Taxonomy (NCBI): domain Eukaryota; kingdom Metazoa; phylum Chordata; class Mammalia; order Primates; family Hominidae; genus Homo; species Homo sapiens. Next base: position 12,510,419 of record NC_000001.11, read on the forward strand.
GAAGGTTTTGGTGTTTATAACTCATGACCCAAATCCTTCCAAGACACAAATGAAGCTAATCTTCTTCCCCTCCCTTTCCTCTCCCACTTCCCCTCTGTGTCTGTGTCTGTGTGTGTGTGTGTGTGTGTGTGTGTGTGCGCGCGCGCGCGTGCATGCAGAGAGGAAGGAAGGGAGCTTTAGCACAAGTAGCTACATAGTGTTCAAGGATCAGCTTTCTTGAACTCCGAGGCTTGGTTGCCTTTGCTGAACTCCAAGTTAGTGGATTGCAGAATGGAAACTTGGCTTTTGCGGCACTGGGTGAGTTTTAGTTTGTGTGTGTCTTGCTGGGGGGTGGTGATGATTGTCTCAGCACTCACGCACTGCACAAGATGGCAGCAGGATACAGCACTGCACAAGATGGCAGCTCCTCTGCAGCTTCCTCCTCAGCCTCCCTCCTTGCACCCCCACAGGTTTGGCTTGTGGTTTTTGTCATCAGTAACCTACTGCCTGAGATCATGATCTCTTAAAAGATGAGACTCTCGGAAGGGTTGATTGTATGCGTCAGTGAGCCTTCTATCACCTTCTGGAACAAAGTCACTTGAAATCTCTTGATGAGATTAAGGAGTTTAGTGTTACTAAGAAAATCTGCTTTGGGCCGCAGCAGTGCTGGGTGTTCTCAGACCTGACTGAGGAAGTTAGCTGCGGGCTGCCCTGTGGGCTGGTGCTTCAGGAGGAATCCAGAGAAGTGTTCAGATGCCCCCCTTGGGCTCCTTTCTAATTTTAATCAGCTCTTTAAATAGCTGCCCATCTCCTGTGATTGCACAACCAAGCACTTTGACATTTGCACCTTAGGAGAGGCAGATGTTAAAATGGAATCCAAAGACCACCTAGGGCGGGGCTGGGTGGGAGATGGGAGGGCCAACTGCGAGCTGCTCCACTTCTCAGCTCTCCCCTGCCCTGCAGCCCTGGGCCAGACAAGGCCAGAAGGTTTCAGGGGCATTTGACATCCCCTCCTGGTTCTCACCAGGAAAACATCCAAAGCTTTGGAGGAAACAGGCCCTGCCCCTGGCTCCTTAAATGCCCCGTCTCTTTGTAAACTGATATTCAGCCAGCAATGCCTAAGACTTTGTTAAGATCATTTCTACTGCTTTTCTTTCTGCTTCAAACACACAGTTCGTCTCTGAGGAAAGTAAAATAAATGGAATAAGAGTAAATTGGGTAAGGAGATATCCAAAGCTACCCAGTCCCTTGACCCAGCACAGTTGGCCGACCCGTGTCACTCCCTGGCTGTCGCTGCTTCTCTGTGCTCACTGAAGGGTGAGCCAGGCCAGTGCTTCCCCAGCCCCTGGGCCTGGTCACTACACAGTGGAAAACAGACAAGCGGCCCCTTCCCCAAATCCCAAGAGTGTCTTGCTGCTTGGTGGGTGCTCATCGCAATGTTCTGAAGGCTCCAGGGCCACTTTGTTTGTAAGTATGATCTGGGCCTCAAAATACCATAGTAGCTGCTTGATAAAATTCTAAAAATATCTGGTTCTCTATTATGTAAACACTATTACAGTCACCAGTGTGTGAAGACTCTTGAGTCTGGTTCTCATATCAGAGTCATCATTTTTCTTCCTGTGGAATAAAATGCCTTGTGGACTTCCCAAACTTGTTCTTTTGTTTTCTTCTGGTCTCTTGGTGATCCACAGCTTCTAGAGCTATCACCAGTGACAAATACCAAACATAGTGTGATGTTCACAATAAAATGTGGCCTCTGCCCCCAGGCCTGGGGAAGCACCCCCACACCTTAACCAGTCTCAGCCTCCCAAGAGTAAGTAGTAGTCTCCGCGCTACACTGGCTGCTGATCAGTCCATTCTGAGGTTCCTGGTCCAAGCCCCAGCAGGACAGACGTCACACTTAGGGTTTAGGCAGCTGAAGAAGAAACAGCAAAGGAGGCCGGGCATGGTGACTCATGCCTGTAATCCCAGCACTTTGGGAGGCTGAGGCAGGCGGATCACAAGGTCAGGAGATTGAGACCATCCTGGCTAACATGATGAAACCTCATCTCTAACCCCGACTATATCGCCCCTCTCTATTCCATCCACTCCACCTCAAAATTAATAACCTTGTGTGTCGCCCAAATTTTCACCACGTTATATAATTATGTGTATAACTAAAACTACAAAAAATTAGCTGGGCATGGTGGTGGGCGCCTGTAGTCCCAGCTACTTGGGAGGCTGAGGCAGGAGAATCACTTGAACCCGGGAGGCGGAGGTTGCAGTGAGCCGAGATCACACCGCTGCACTCCAGCCTGGCACAACAGCCTGGCAACTCTGTCTCAACAACAACAACAACAACAACAAAACAGCAAAGGAGGCTCAGCAGGATCATCCAGAGATGGAGTGACACCAGGAGGGTATGGATCCTAGAAGCTGAGGCCAGAAAGGTTTCAAAGACTACCGAGGGCTGCTACTAAGTCAGGTGGGATTCGGACCAACAATTATCAGTGGACCTAGCAATGCTGAAGTCACTAGAGACCTTTCTAAGAGCTGTTTCAATGGAGCATTGGAGGTGAAAGCCGGGTTGGAGTAGATTCAAGAGGAAAATGGAAGGAGAGAAATAACAACAGCTCTCTACAGGAATCTGGCCATAAATGGAGAGAACTGACCGGAAATTCAAGAGGGCAGGGAAGGAATAAGGGAGAAGAGGGCCTGGCGGGCCAGGAAGATGGGTGGAGGTGGGGGAGCTTGAGATTCCATTGATTGCTCCTGATTTCTCACATCAGGCAAGAATGAATACAGGGCGGGAAGTGATGCTGATTTGGAGAGAGAGAAGGTGCACGTAGTCATGTAGGGTAACGGGAAAGGGAATAGGCCACAGAAGCATGGTATGTTTGCCGGGCGACATTAAGGACCCATTTGACGTTGATGACCGTGAATGTACAGTGGAATCGGGCAGCCTGGCTGTATTCTTGTCCGGCCACATGTAGCTGCACAGCTTCAGTGTTGTAGAACAGGCAAAGAACTGGCTTTAATCAAGAAATGTTCCCCTCACCTATTCAAGTACCTCATCCACCATTGCCCAGTTGAACTGGCCAAGAGCCAATCAGAACAAAATGTCAACAGAAATCCAAAAGCCTAGAGAAGGGAGGGGCTACGCTTTCCAAACCAAAGCACAGCTTCTGAAGACTATGCCCCTTCCAAGTGGGAGAGACAGTGGAAGGTGTGGTTAACAACCCCCACACGCGCACACAATTAGACTCTTTTCAGGGGTTCACAGATGCAGTGGGACAGTCAGTGTTTGACAGTGAACCAGCCAGGCACTCCAGGGCATGGGGATGTCATTGACATAGAAAGGGTATGTGTATGACGATCTTCCATTTCCTCAGCCAAATTCAGCAAGCCGTCTTGCAGGTATTGGTTGGCTGCAAACACAGCTTTCACCCCAGCTCTTTAGACCAAGAATGTGATTTCTAGCACCGTAAGAGATACTTGATGTTTGCTGTTCACTGGACACTGCATCCCAAGACCCTAATAACAGAAAGTGCTTCCTGAAAACACACCCAAGCATGTTCATTATTATTTAGAAGTTTGGATTAACCTGGAAGAGCACTTCTTCAGGAAATTGGAAGTGAGATTGCACTCGCATCTGCAAGGGTCTTGAAGATCATCCAAGTTGTGGCTCTCTGGCTGAGGGCATGATAAAAGCAATCATAAAGACCAAAGAAAGGGACTGTAAACCTAGCGCTTTAGGAAGCCAAGCCAGGAGGATCAAGACCAGCCTGGGCAACAGAGGGAGACCCTGTCTCTACAAAAAAAAAAAAAAAAAAAGGTCGGGCATGGTGATGGATGCCTGCAGTCCCAGCTTCTTGAGAGGCTGAGGCAAGAGGATCACTTAAGCCCAGGAGGTTAAGGCTGCAGTGAGTTATGACTGCACCACTGTACTCTAGCCTGGGTGACAGAGCAAGACTGTGTCAAAAAAAACTCACTGCTGAATAATCCTACTGACACTTTTTAAAAGTAGTCTTCCCTTTTTGCTCCCCCCACTATATCGCCCCTCTCTATTCCATCCACTCCACCTCAAAATTAATAACCTTGTGTGTCGCCCAAATTTTCACGACGTTATATAATTATGTATGGTTTCATAAGCAGATATACATATTCATAGATTCCTAACATTTGTGTTTACAAAAATGGAATCTATTAAACACTGTTCTGTGACTTGCTTTTTTTTCTCACTGTTCCCTCAGGCTGGTATCACTCTAGTTTATTCTCTGAAGTGCTGCATGTTCATTAATGATGTAAGTGTTCTATAATTTACTCACCTATTCCTGCTTCAATGGGCATTCACTTTGCTTTCCAGCTGCTTCCACCCTGCCCCGAAGATCAACACTGCAATAGATGCCCTCCTATGTATGCATTTACACGCCAGTTCTATTTCTGTGCAGTCCTTTCCCGGGAGCTGATTAGTTAGGAGGTATGTTCCGGACCACTTTCCCCCAGTGCTGGTAGGAATGTGAAGGGCAGCACCCATCTCTGCGCCTCTTACCTGTGTGATGGGTACGAAGTGATAGTTCATTGTTACTTTATCTTGCGTGTCCCCAGCAGCGAATTTGACCATCGTTTTGTTTGTTGGCATTTGGATTTACTGTTAGGAATGGCATTTGCTGAATTATAGCAAATGCCTTTCAGCATCTGTTATTATGAACAGTTTATTATTATACTGTTTCTTCTCCTTTAATTTTTGTTTAAGTAACATGTTGATAGATTTCCTGATATGGAACCACTCTTAATCCCTGGAATTAATGGATTCCACTTGGATAAAATGTGTTAGTTTGTTATTCTTTTGATACATTCCTGGCTCTTTTTGCTAATATTTTGAGTCTTGGCACTTTTTAAGTGAAAGGGGCCTATAATTTTCTTTTTTTCAGAGTAACCTTTTTTTTTTTTCTTTTGAGACAGGGTCTCACTCTGTTGCCCAGGCTGGAGGGCAGTGGCTCAGTCTTGGCTCACCGCAACCTTGAACTCCTGGGCTCAAGCGATCCTCCCACCTCTTCTTCCCATGGAGCTGGGGCTATAGGCGTGTGCCACCTTGCCTGGCTAATTTTTTTTATTTTGAGTAGAGATCGGGTCTTACTGTGTTGCCCAGGCTGGTCTCAAACTCCTGGACTCAACTGATCCACCTGCCTCAGCTTCCCAAAGTGCTGGGATTATAGGCATGAACCACTGTGCCCGGTCTCTTCATCAGACTTTAGGATGAAAATTATGCTGTCTTCGTAGAATGGACTGGGGAACTTAACACCATTTGGCTTACAATACTTAAATTACATTAGAATTTTCTGTTCTGTTTTTCAAAGCTTGGATAAAAGCGGGCTGTAAACCCTTGGGTTATAAAACTTTTTTTTGAGATGGAGTCTCGCTCTGTCACCCAGGCTGGAGTGCAGTGGCGCGATGTCGGCTCACTGCAAGCTCAGCCTCCCGGGTTCAGGCCGTTCTCCTGCCTCAGCCTCCTGAGTAGCTGGGACTACAGGTACCTGCAACCACGCCCGGCCAATTTTTTGTATTTTTAGTAGAGACGGGGTTTCACTACGTTAGCCAGGATGGTCTCAATCTCCTGACCTCGTGATCCACCCGCCTCAGCCTCCCAAAGTGCTGGGATTACAGGCGTGAGCCACCGTGCCCGGCCCCCCTTTTTTTTTTTTTTTTTTTGAGTCGGAGTCTCTCTCTGTTGCCCAGGCTGGAGTGCAGTGGCGCGATCTTGGTTCACTGCAAGCTCTGCCTCCTGTGTTCACACCATTCTCCTGCCTCAGCCTCCCGAGTAGCTGGGATTACAGGTGCCCGCCACCACACCCGGCTAATTTTGTTTTTGTATTTTTAATAGAGATGGGGTTTCACTGTGTTAGCCAGGATGGTCTTGATCTCCTGACCTCATGATCCACCCACCTCGGCCTCCCAAAGTGCTGGGATTACAGGCGTGAGCCACTGCACCTGACTTTTGTTTAAGAGACAAGGTCTTGCTTTGTCACCCAGGCTGGAGTGCAGCGGTATGATCATAGCTCCCTGTAGTCTTGAACTCCTGGCCTCAAGCCATCCTCCTGCCTCAGCCTCCCAAGTATCTGGGACCACCGGCACATGCCACCATGCCCAGCTAATTTATTTTCTTTTTTGTAGAGGCAGGTCTCTCGCTTTTTGCCAAGGCTGGTCTCGAATTCCTAGCTTCAAGTAATTCTCCTGCCTCGGCCTCCCAAAGAGCTGGGATTATAGACATGAGCCTGGCCTAGAACTCTTTTTTTTTTTTTTTTTGAGACTGAGTCTAGCTCTGTCACCCAGGCTGGAGTGCAGTAGCACAATTTCAGCACACTACAACCTCGGCCTCGTGGGTGCAAGCAATTCGCCTGCCTCACCTCCCAAGTAACTGGGACTACAGGCGCCCGACACCACGCCCGGCTAATTTTGTGTGTGGGTATTTTAGTAGAGACAGGGTTTCACCGTGTTGCCCAGGCTGGTCTCGAACTTCTGAACTCAGGCAATCCGCTCGTCTCGGCCTCCCAAAGTGCTAGGATTACAGGCATGAGCCACTGCGCCTGGGCTAGAACTCTTTTCAGTGGTGCCATTTAATCATCATCCCACACTCTACTCTGTTTATTGGAGTATTCAAGTTTTCCATTTCTTCATAGGTCAATTTTGGTAACATTTGATTTTTTTAAATCATTCAGTTCTCTTAACTTTTTGAATTTGTTGCTGGTACAGTTGCATGTATTCTCTTAAAATTATTTTGAGGCCTCATATCTGGTTATTTCTCCTTTCTCATTCCTTATCTTGCGTGTTTTTACCTTTTTTTCATAACTAAGTTTTTGAGGATGTTAGTGTTCTTTTCAAAGAACCGGTTCGAAATGTACTTTTCTTTGCTACTTTTTGTTATTTTATTGATCACATCTTTAATCTTTTGTTCTCTATACGTGGCCTGTTTTGATTTATTTTACTATTCTTGCTTTCTAAGGTAAGTATTTTGTTGTGTAGTGCTGTATTTTTTTCATCTTTCTTCTTGAATAATAATGACATTTTTAGGTTATAAATTTTCCTCTGGTACTCAGTTTGCCTCATTAATTTTGGCAGTAAGCATTCTCCTTTTATTGCTTTCTATGTAGTCTTTAATTTTGCTTTTAATTTCTTCTTTGATCTAAGGATTACCTACTTGTTAATTTCCAAATATTATCTTATCTATCTATCTATCTATCTATCTATCTATCTATCTATCTATCTATCTATGTGAGACGAAGTCTGGCTATGTCGCCGAGGCTGGAGTGCAGTGGTGCAATCTTGGCTCACTGCAACCTCCGCCTCCCAGGTTCAAGTTATTCTCCTGCCTCAGCCTCCCGAGTAGCTGGGACTTGGTATGCCACACACCCGGCTAATTTTTTGTATTTCTAATAGAGATGGGGTTTCACCATGTTGGCCAGGCTGGTCTCGAACTCCTGACCTCAAGCAATCCTCCCGCCTCAGCCTCCCAAAGTGCTGGGATTATAGGCATGAGCCACTGTGCCCAGCCAAATTATCTCCTTTAAATTAATGTTTTGAATTTTATTGGATTGTGATCAGTAAATAAATGTAACCTGAAGATTTCTACACTCTAGAAACATCTGGGCTGCGCGCAGGGGCTCATGCCTCTAATCCCAGCACTTTGGGAGGCCAAGGTGGGCGGATCACTTCAGCTCAGGAGTTTGAGATCAGTCTGGGCAACACAGCGAAACCCCATCTCTGCAAAATATACAAAAATGAGCCTGGCGTGGTGGTGCGTGCCTCAGTCCCAGCTACTTGGGTGAGAGGATCCCTTGAGCCGGGGAGGTTGAGGCTGCAGTGAGCCATAACCACTGCACTCCAGCCTGGATAACAAAAGTGAGACTCTGACCAAAAAAAAAAAAAAAAAAAAAAAAAATTCATTGTAATTTTCTTATTGTCCAAGTACTTGATCAGTTTATGTAAATGTTCCAGGGCCAGGCTCAGTGGCTCATGCCTGTAATCCCAGCACTTTGGGAGGCCGAGGCGGACAGATCATGAGGTCAGGAGTTCAAGACTAGAATGGCCAATATGGTGAAACCTCGTCTCTACTAAAAATACAAAAAAATTAGTTGGGCGTGGTGGCGTGCGCCTGTAGTCCCAGCTACTTGGGAGGCTGAGGCAGAAGAATTGCTTGAACCCAGGAGGCGGAGGTTGCAGTGAGCCGAGATCGTGCCACTGCACTCCATCCTGGGCGACAGAGCGAGACTCCATATAAAATAAATAAATAAATATTCCATGAACATATGAAACAAAAGTATATTATCTCTTTGAGGCATACAAATAGAGATAGACAGACAGACACACAGAACTTTGTAGACTATCTGAATTAAGTCCTACAGGATCTTATTTTGTGTGTGGGAGAGACTGCCTTGCATCTTCAAGTGGCCTGCGGGGCAGAGTCTCTAACTCCAGCTATATCCTTTGGAAGTGCAGTAAGTGCTTAAAGTAAACAAAGTTAGAAGAAAGGAAAAAGAAGAACACAGCAGTCTTAATTAAGCTTCCTCCAAATACTCCAGTTGGAACTTCAGAAGGATTTGACGCTGGAACAATTGCACTGCAGAGCTGCCTGCCCCACGCCCAGGAGCGGGGCCAACCCACTTGTCGCTGAGGGGAGCCAGATCGTGTTCTCCCACAGTCTTACCCAAGGAGCACGGCCAGCGTCAGCAGCTCCCAGGGGCTCATAAAACTTCACACCTCATGCTTATTCTGGTCTGACTCAAAAGCACAGAAAGGTCACGGGTACGTTTTGACTTGGAGGAAATGTGTGAATCTAGACCAACTTGGCTCTTGGAAACCCCGGGCAAGTGAGCCCCCAAGGGAGGGGGTGTGTGGGAGACGGGAGGGGGCGGTGCTGGGAGGGGGCGGGTGCTGAAACAGCTCCCAGGGCCACTTTAGAGGGAAAATTCCTGCCTTTTGGGCGTATTTTCCTAAGATGCTTAAGGGGTACACAGAGACTTCTGGGAAGCTTGGCAAAGCCTGCAGAAAGGCAACTCTCGATCTGTTCCATGGTTTGTCCACAGAGATCGAGCATCCCTAGGTGTTCCCAGACAACACACGTGAGTCTGATGCTACAGAACCTAACCCTCTGCCCCTCCAGCAACAGGGAGGCACTTCCAGCCCCTGCTCTTGAGCACGTACTGGGTGCCAGGCTCGGTACTGGATGCGTGGATGTACAGTGAATAGGGTGGCATTCTTGCTGCCCTCACTGAGCTAGCTATACTAGTGGTGGACGTCAGGGTGTGACAGGGAAGACTCAACCGAGAAAGAGGCAGATGGTCTGAGTCCAGCAAGAGTGAGGAGAGTTCATGAGGCACCGGGAAGAGGACAGTGTCCTTTTGGAGCCCTGAGGCAGGGACCTGCTTAGCACAGCTGAGTCCCAGGATCCCTGGACTAGCTGGAGCACAATGAGAGGAGGTGGGGGGCGCAGCCGGGCCAGGTCATGTTGGACTCTGTAAGCCACGCTAGGAGAGGCTATAAGCAGAGGGTTCCACAGTGAGGTTGGCATCGCAAAAGAAATACCTGTCTGGCTGCAGATGGAGACAGGGTAGCATGAGTTAGTAGTGGAGAGCAGCTGCAATAGCCCAGGCAAGAAATAAGGAGGCTTGGATGAGGATGGGGGCAGAGAGATGGAAGGGAGCCAATAGAATCCGGATATGTTTTTGAGGGAGAACAGAAAAACCAGTGAGATTGATTTCATGCACAGATTAGGGGCCAAGCACCGTGGCTTACGCCTGCAATCCCAACACTTTGGAAGATGGAGGCGGAAGGATCACCAGAGCCCAGGAGTTTGAAACTTCAAAACCAGCCTGGGCAACATAGCAAGACCCCATCTCTAAAAAAAAAAAAAAAAATTAGCTGGCCCTGGTGGCACACGCCTGTAGTCCCAGCTACTAAGGAGACCAAGACAGGAGAATTACTTGAGTCCTAAAGTCAAGGGTGCAGTGAGCCGTGATTGCACCACTGCACTCCACCTTGGGAGACAGAGCAAGACTTGTCTCAAAAAAAAAAAGAGAGAGAGATTAGGGAAAAAGAAATATCAAGGGTAGCTTCTGGGTTTCTAGCTTAAGCAACCAGTGATGTGTTTTAAACCATGGGGGCAGATTTGATGATAATGAGAGTAGAATTTGAGATGAGAAGGGGGCCTGGACAAGCCCTAAGGAGCTCCAGCATGTGATGGATGTGTGTAGGAGCACGAGCAAAGGAGATGGCGAAGGAGCAACTGGAGAGGTGGCTGGCAAAATAGAAGACAATGCTTCGGCCCGGCGCGGTGGCTCACGCCTGTAATCCCAGCACTTTGGGAGGCCGAGGTGGGCAGAACACGAGGTCAGGAGATCGAGACCATCCTGGCTAACACGGTGAAACCCCGTCTCTACTAAAAATACAAAAAAACATTAGCCAGGCGCAGTGGCAGGTGCCTGTAGTCCCAGCTACTCGGGAGGCTGAGGCAGGAGAATGACGTGAACCCGGAAGGTGGAGCTTGCAGTGAGCCGAGATCATGCCACTGTACTCCAGCCTGGGTGACAGAGTGAGACTCCATCTCAAAAAAAAAAAAGACAGTGCTTCGAGAAGGAAGACACAGTCAACTGGATTGCATGGCACTAAAACGCCAAGTAAGACATATGTTGTATTCAACAATGTAGAGGACATTGCCTGTAAGTTTTGTTGGAATTTCAGACAGAGCAAAGTTAGGCAGAATGAAGCACCAATGGCAGGTTAAGGAGAGATCGTGAGTATGACACAGTGGCCATGGAACTTTGGCCCATGACAGTGACTTACAAGGGCGGTCGGTGGGAGTAGGAGCCTGCGTGCTGGAGAGAGTGCAGATCCAGCCTGCAAACAATTAAAAAACAATAATAAAACTAGGACTAAAAGCCGGCTGCTTTTTACTATCACTGTGCTCTTGGCAATTCTAAACAAAATCTGGAGATTTGGGGTGGAGATAAAATTCTCCTCCCCTCAAAAATCTTTAGTGAGTTTAAATTCCAGTGAGTTTTAGTAGATATGTAGGCAAGCTTTAAATTAGTACACTGTAGTACTTTTCCTTTAGTAAATCTTGTACACCACGTGGACATTAATTCTGAGATCTGCCGGTTATGCAGTGGTTTGCCCACCAAGCGTGGACTCAGCTAACACACCTTCATTTCAAGAGAATGTTCTAATGGTTTGGAATTGTTCAGGCTTGCTCGGGGCACAGTGGAGTCCCTAACCCCCCTGTTCCAACATATTCCTGCATTTAAACAGATTTTAAGACAAAGCAATGGGACTTGAGTTGCTTCAATGCTGTCATTCTGTGTGACCACTTGCGGTTTTATTTTATTTATTTATTTTTTTTTGAGACGGAATTTCACTCCTGTTGCCAGGCTGGAGTGCCATGATGCGATCTCGGCTCACTGCAACCTCCACCTCCCGGGTTCAAGCATTCTCCTGCCTCAGCCTCCCATGTAGTTGAAATTGCAGGCATGCACCACCACATCCAGCTAATGTTTGTATTTTTAGTAGAGACGAGGTTTCACCATGTTGGCCGGGCTGGTCTCGAACTCCTGACCTCAAGCTGAGATTTGCCTGTCTCAGCCTCCCAGAGCGCTGGGATTACAGGTGTGAGCCACTGCACCCGACCTCACTTGCAGTTTATTTGTGTTTTAAAACTTAAAGAGTGAGGTCAGGCGCAGTAGCTCATGCCTGTAATCCCAACACTTTGGGAGGTCGGTCAAGGCAGGTGGATCGCCTGAGGTCAGGAGTTTGAGACCAGCCTGGCCAACATGGTGAAAACCCATGTCTACTAAAAAAACAAAAAAATTAGCTGGGCATGGTGGTGCGCACCTGTAATCCCAGCTACTCAGTAGGCTGAGGCAGGAAAATCGCTTGAACTCGGGAGGTAGAGGTTGCAGTGAGCTGAGATCGTGCCACTGCACTCCAGCCTGGGCGACAGAGAGAGACTCTGTCTCAAAAAAAAAACCTTAGAGAGTGAAACAGAATCCAGACTAGGAAGGGCAATCTTTTTGTCTGGTAAGTGCAAATTTTAGTTCATCCATGAAATGTAAAGAAAATTGTTATGTTAGCAGTATGATTTTATAATTGCCACAATTTCAGTGTACCTTTTGCTGATGATCTTCTTAAAATCCACTTATTAGTTACTGGAGAATTATTTAAATAGACATTTGTTATATAGGGCTATCACCAAAAGACCAAAATTCAAATCATTAAGTAAATATAAAAAATATATAGCAATGGCCGGATGCAGTGGCTCACACCTGTAATCCCAGCACTTTGGGAGGCCGAGGCGGGCGTATCATCTGAAGTCAGGAGTTGAAGACCAGCCTGGCCAACATGGAGAAACCCCGTCTCTACTAAAGATACAAAAATTAGCCCGGCGTGGTGGCAGGCGCCTGTAATCCCAGCTACTTGGGAGACTGAGGCAGGAGAATTGTTTGAACCCGGGAGGCGGAGGTTGCGGTGAGCTGAGATCGCGCCGCTGAACTCCAGCCTGGGCAACAGAACAAGACTCTGTCTCAAAAAAGCAAACAAACCAACAAAAAACCTGTAATAAGAGTAAGTAATTGTGCCCTTTTGTACTGTCATACTTTTGTACTGTGATTGTGTATTTTTAAAGTTCAATAAAAAATTTTCACCATCCACATTTATTTTATTCTTATTGTTTCATTCATTAGTATTAGTGAAGATATTAGGTTGCTGCAGAGGTAATTGCTGGGTTTTTTTTTCTTTGAGATAGAATTTCACTCTTGTTGCCCAGGCTGGAGTGCAATGGCACAATCTCGGCTCACTGCAACCTCTGCCTCCTGGGTTCAAGCGATTCTCCTGCCTCAGCCTCCCGAGCAGCTGGGATTACAGGCATGCGCCACCACGTCCAGCTAATTTTGTATTTTTAGTAGAGACAGGGTTTCTCCATGTTGGTCAGGCTGGTCTCGAACTCCCGACCTCAGGTGATTAGCCCGCCTTGGCCTCCCAAAGTGCTGGGATTACAGGCGTGAGCCACCGTGCCTGGCAGGTAATTGCTGTTTTTGTCATTGAAAGTAGTTTTGTCATATTGAGAAAGGAAGAGTTAAAAAACAAAAAAAAACTCAGAAGAGTTCTATGGGCTTCCAGCCTACTAAGCACACCACTGGTCCAAGGTAAGGGTCCTGGCGGATGTCCAATGTCTGTCATCCCTGGAGATGGGAGAGGAGTTGGGTCTGACAATTGGGACCACCAGACTAAGCCAAGGCCCCTTATGGAGTTGGTGAGAGAAGTTCCGCAAAGGACTGAAACATCTTCAGTGCAGCCTGAATTGGGGAAGGGAAGGACAGGTGGGTGAGGGGAGATCCAGAATGAAAGAGCCCTGAACTGGAGTTTTATGGGAGCTTGGAATGAACTGTTTTCCAATCCTGTGCCCCACCGTGTCCCACGCCACACTAATCCTGTCCCCAGAGGCAGCTACTTTGACTTCTTTTCCAATGTCTTCTTGTATTTAACTCTGTTTTTCCAAATATCATGTTTTCACCTATTTTTGCATTTTTTTTTTCCAATTGCAGGTGTGGTCTACTGATTTTCTACTGTGGAGGATTAGGCTTTGGTTCTCTCCGTCCCCCCCACAATCTCCCCAAAATATTCCACACTGGGGAGAAAAGGAGAAACATTGTTACAGATCCTAGATGTTTATAGGATAGCAGAGGAATATTATGAATAACTTCCTGCCTTTAAATCTAACAATGCAGATAAAATGGACACATTTCTTGAAAGGCACAAATTACAAAACTTCATAGGAGAAACGGGAAATTTGAATAGCCCTACATCTATTAACGAAATTAAATTTTTAATTAAAAACCTTCCCCTACACAAAAAATCCAGGCCCAGATGGCTTCACTTGAGTGAATTCCACTCAAGGAAAAATTACTATCAACCCTACACAAATCCACACTAGAGAAGAAAGCACTTTCCAATTCATTTTATGATAAACAAACTATAGTATACCATAAGGTTGGAATACTACGCAGCAATGAAAACCCACAAACTGCTGACACACAAAGCCACCTAGAGGAGCTCAGAATCATGCAGAGTGAAAGGAGGGTAATGGCCAAGCTAAGCTTTAAAAAAAGAGTTAGTGGTGTGAAGAGGCATGAATGGGAGTGAGCAGAGAGAGATTTTCTCTTTGAGAACAGGAAGCCAGTGACCTAAATGAGTAAAGGTGCCTCCGGCCTTGGCTGCTCCCTGAGATAGAGAACTGGGAGATAGCCGGGCACGGTGGCTCACGCCTGTAATCCCAGCACTTTGGGAGGCCGAGGCAGGTGGATCACAAGGTCAGGAGACCAAGACCATCCTGGCTAACACGGTGAAACCCCGTCTCTACTAAAAATACAAAAAATTAGCTGGACATGGTGGCAGGCGCCTGTAGTCCCAGCTACTCAGGAGGCTGAGCAAGAGAATCACTTGAACCTGGGAGGCAGAGGTTGCAGTGAGCCGTGATCGCGCCACTGCACTCCAGCCTGGGCAACAGAATGAGACTCCATCTCAAAAAAAAAAAAAAAGAGAACTGGGAGGCCATCTTAGGTGACGGGTTTCACTTTGGACACATTGAACATGGGGCCCTGCAGAGCATCCAGTTAGCAGCATTAGAAAGGTAGAGATGGGGGAGTCATTCTTTTGGAGACAGTAGTTTGTTAGTTTGTTTGTTTGTTTATTTTTTGGAGACAGAGTCTCACTCTGCTGCCCAGTCTGGAGTGCAGTGCTGCGATCTCAGCTCACTGCAACTTCTGCCTCCCAGGTTCAAGCGATTCTCCTGCCTCAGCCTCCTGAGTAGCTGCGACTACAGAAATGTGCCACCACGCCTGGCTAATTTTTGTGTTTTTAGTAGAGACGGGGGAGACAGTAGTTTAAATAAGTCCTGGCGTGAATGCCTTACCCAGAGGGGGCATAAAATGAGGGGTCTAAGGCCAGCACCCTGGGAAATGTCAACGTAAGAACTGCCAGGGGAGGAGGATCCAGGAAGGGTCAGTGATGGGGATGACAAAGGGGGTGTCATGGGGAAAAGGGCAGAGGAGGAGGGACTAGTGACCACCTCTGCTCTGAGGTCATGTGGAGCAAGACTGAAAAGAGGCCGGGGATTGGGAAATGAGGCCACTGGTGGCCTTGTCCCTGGCGGCTCTGGGATGTGGGCCAGAAGCCAGTCCCTGGTGTTGAAATAGGATCCAAAGGTGAAGAAGGGAGTGTAGATGTATCTTTAAAATTTGACTGTGGGAGGGAGGGTGGTTTTGGTTTTTGCCATGTTGGTGTTTTAAAAGCAGCAGGGAGTTGAGCTGCTTGTGGACTGGAAGGAAGGAGCCAGCAGACAGGGAGGAGAGGAGGGGAAGTGGGTAGTGAAGGGGAGAGAGAATAGCCAGGGGTGGTGGGCAGAAGGAGAGGAAATGGAACCCTAGAGGCCTGGGCAGGAGGCCTCTTGCTGTTGAGCTGCGGCCGGCTGTATTTTGAGACCTTAACCTTCACCTTCTCAGCTGTGTTGGATGCGGCCTCCAGAGGCCCAGGAGAGGTGGGGATCAGACGGGGTTCAACAGGGAGCCAGAACCATGAGGTCTGTCGTGGAATAAAGGATGTATTCTAGGAGTCAGGCCTCACCCAGCTGTGGCGGGGGTGGAGGGCAAGGAGGACTGCCGAGGGGGCTGGGGTGGGCGTCTTTGGGAGGTGTCTTCTGTGAGTTTGCAGCAAAGGGTCTGGGGTGGGTCTGGGGTGGGCCTGGGGTCGGCCTGGGGTCAGTGTTGGTCAGCAAGGCCAGCCTCACCTTTGCCTCTCAAATCACGGGTGCCTTCCCTCTTGACAACTCTGCCCTGAGACCTACAGGAAGTGGATTCTGAGAAATATGGCTTCCACCGTTACCAAGTGGACCAGCGCTGTCCCATAGAAATAATGCAAGTCACCCGGGCTCCTGGAATCCCAGCACTTTGGGAGGCCGAGGCAGGCGGATCCCTTGAGGCCAGGAGTTTGAGATCAGCCTGGCCAACATGGCGAAACACCATCTCTATCTTTACTAAAAATATAAAAATGAGCTGGGCATGGCGATGCATGCCTGTAATCCCAGGACGTTGCAGTGAGTGAGATGGTGCCACTGCACTCCAGCCGGGGCAACAGAGCAAGACTCTGTATCCAAAAAGAAAAACAAAGAAACAATGCAAGTCACACATGTAATTTAAAATTGTCTAGGCTGGGAGCAGTGGCTGACACCTATAATCCCAGTACTTTGGGAGGCTGAGGCGGGAGGATTGCTTGAGCTCAGGAGTTCAAGACCAGCTGGGGAAACATAGTGAGAACTTGTCTCTATTTTAAAAATTAAAAAAAAAAAATGAGCTGGGCATCGTGGCACATGTCTGTAGTCCCAGCTACTAGGGAGGCTGAGGCTTCTTGAGCCCAGGAGGTAGAGGCTGCAGTGAGCTGAGATCGAACCACTGCACTCCAGCCTCGGCAACAGAGCAAGACCCTGTCACTAAAAAATAAAAATAAATAGGCTGGGCATGGTGGCTCACGCCTGTAACCCCAGCACTTTGGGAGGCTGAGGCTGGCAGATCATGAGGTCAGGAGTTTGAGACCAGCCTCACCAACATGGTGAAACCCCGTCTCTACTAAAAATAGAAAAATTAGTCAGGTGTGGTGGCACACACCTGTAATCCCAGCTACTCGGGAGGCTGAGGCAGGAGAATTGCTTGAACCTGGGAGGCGGAGGTTGCAGTGAGCCGAGATTGCGCCATTGCACTCTAGCCTGGGTGACAGAGTGAAACTCCATCTCAAAAAATAATAAATAAATAAATAAATAAATATAAAAAGAAATAAAAATAAAATTTTCTAGGTGACCCATTTTTTAAGAAGGAAAAAGAAATGGAAAGTTAATTTTAATAATTAAAGACAATATGTCCAAGACATTATCATGTAATGTATAATCATTAGAAAACATTGTTAATGAGATGCTTTATGTTGTGATTTTGCACTAAATCTTTGAAATGTGGTGCCTGTTTCACACTTACAGAACAGCTCAACTCCAAATAGGCGCATTTCCATCGCCTCCATCGCCGCTGTAGCTGGTGGCTGTCAGATTGGACAGCACGGTAGAGGCGGGTCAGGAAATGCAAGGAGAGCACTTTTGGAAGCGTCTGGATCCTGGGCCCTCGGGGAGGGCAGGGCCTGGGTCCTGATGTGAGGAGCCTGGAGCCTGTCCGTGGCCGAGAGGGCCTCCTTCCTCCTTCCTGGCCGACACGTCACCTGCTCCGTCCAGTCCACGAGAAGCAGCTGTGGCCCAAGCCCATGACCTGCCTTTCTTCCCCAGCGTCACCATCTGTGGCAGCCTGGGATACGCATGAGCTCCTCAGGAGGGCGGGTGAGTGGACTTTCCAGCGCGGGCTGGAGGTGATCTCAAAGGGCACAAGGGTTGGAACTGAACCAGCCATGCCAGGGGACGCGGGTTTGGTCGGAGCCCTGTGGGAAGGGAAGGCCCCTCTGCTCCAGGCCCTCCAGGATCTCCAACCATGGCCCAAATGGCCACCATGATGATGCCCACCTACGGGCTTTGGTGCTTCGGGAGTGTCTTGCTGGGTGAAGGGCAGGTCGCTATCAGATGCATCTGTTTAATTTTAGAGCTCCGTGGAACACACATCTGGATGACAGGAGGGAGCCAGGAGCTGTGAGAAGACGGGGGAGCTGCCGCCGCAAGAATGCAAGACCCACGGGCTCTACGATGCGGGGGAGCAGCGGGCATCTGAGGAAGGGGCGTCAGGGGCACATGGCCAGCCCTCTTCACCCCACAGTCTGCCCCAGGCCAGCCCCACTAGGAGTGACCCATTTTCTCCTAGCAGGATTCCTTGCATGGGGTGGCCTGGACCCAAAACACCCGCTCTGAGGATTCCCTGTTAACCACAGAGAAGGTTGACTCAAGTTTCTTTATTTGGCCATGAAACTGTGGGGCATCTCACGGTGCTTCTTGGGTCCACTGGAGAGCCCTGGAAGCTCAGAAGAGGCAAGAGGGGCCTACTTCTCCCTTGTTTGGGCTTTGTTTGCTAAATACCAATATTAGATTAGGCAACTCTGCAAACAAAACCAAGGCCTGGCCAGCTGCCCAGGGTGTTTAAAGTCCAAGACATGAAGGCAGGACGTGTGCCCGTGGACTTGCACACGCAAGCAGGCCGAGGGGAGAGCAGCCCGGCAGAGACCTTGGTGGTCCAGGGCTGAGCAAAGGCTTCCCCCACCGGTCCATCCCAGTGCGCTCAGCACAGGAGTTAGCGGCCACACACTTCAACCATTGTCTTATTTTAGAAAATGACATCTGCTGGGCGCGGTGACTCACGCCTGTAATCCCAGCATTTTGAGAGGGCAAGGTCAGGAGTGATCACTTTGGGTGGACCACGAGGTCAGGAGTTCAAGATCAGCCTGGCCAACATGGTGAAACTCCGTCTCTACTCAAAATACAAAAATTAGCCAGGCGTGGTGGCTCACACTTATAATCCCAGCTACCTGGGAGGCTGAGGCAGGAGAATGGCTTGAACCTGGGAGGCGGAGGTTGTAGTGAGCCGAGACTGCTCCACTGGACTGCAGCCTGGGTGACAGAGCGAGACTCCGTCTCAAAAAAAAAAAAAAAGAAGATGACATCCATGATGTTAATAAAAGCGGAGGTATTAGGGGAAGGGAGACATCCTGTCAACTTTTCATCAGCTCACATTTGACCCTCAGCTTTTTTCTGTTAATCTAGTTATCATATCAACAGCGTTCTCACAAATGACCAAAGACAGTGTCGGTGGCTCTTAGTGTTTGAAAGTAAAAATGTATAATATTTTTAAAATGCCAACAGACTGAAAACAGGAATGAGGCATCATTGGTTGTAAACTGTCTCCTGAGCTGGTAATTCCATCTCCATCTCAAGCAGAAAAAACATACCCGTGTGCCCAGGGGCTCTCACCCCAGCACACCTCTTGCCCACTTAGCCTAGTTGATGGTCAAATTACTGAGTGGAGTTTAAATGCCCTTCAGACTTTATAGGTGGAATTCCTGAAACGCGTCTATCTGGAAGAGGAGAGGTAGTAGTATTGGGAAGGGAACAGGAAGTAGGCGGTGTGGAGTGCTGTTTGTTAAATGCTATCTCTTACCGTCTGTGTTTGTTTCTACTTAGCTTGCCTTATCTCTCTCCTCCCGCCCACTCTGTCATTCAACTACCCAGTTCCCCACCCTGGTTTCTTGTGTATTTTTTTCCAGGAAGACACACACACACACACACATTTATATATATATAAAATAGGCCAGATCCCATCCTTCCTGGGTCCACCCTTCCTGGGCAGCCCCTCAACCCAGCACACAAACACACTGTTATTTTTCTCATCTCAATTCTCAATCCACCCTTGATCTTGTACCCCAATCCAGCCACTGCTCAATTCTTTGCTTTCTTTAAAATACAATTTGTCAAATTATATGTATGTGTGTTGGCAATTACATATATACCTGTATATTTACTCTCCACCCCTCTTTTTTCTTTTCTTTTTTCTTTTTTTTTGATGGAGTCTTGCTCTGTCACCCAGACTGTAGTGCAGTGGCCCAATCTTGGCTCACTGCAACCTCCACCTCCCGGGTTCAAGCGATTCTCCTAGCTCAGCCCCCCAAGTAGCTGGGATTACAGGTGTGTGCCACCATGCCTGGCTAATTTTATTTTTTGTATTTTTAGTAGAGACAGAGTTTCACTATGTTGGCCAGGCTGGTCCCGAACTCCTGGCCTCAAATGATCTGCCCGCCTTGGCCTCCCAAAGTGCTGGGATTACAGGCGTGAGCCACCACACCCAGCCTCTCTTTTTATTTTTTACAAAGATTCTAGCTTAGTACTTCCTTGCATTTTTCACTTTGTCTTGGAGATCATTCCTTATCAGCACATGACCTTTCTTTTATTTTTTATTTTTAAAGGCTTGTCAAGTGAAGCGGTGGGAGTGGAGAAGGAGCAAAGAAATCTGTTAACTGGTTGGGATCGGTGAGTTGTAAGCAGCCGCATAAAGAACATTTCTGTTTTCTTGGATTACAACATGATTTCCATTGTATAGAAATACCGTATTTATTCCGCCAGTCCCCCACCCATAGTCACTTAAGTTGTTTCCAGCCTTCCCAATCTTCTTGCTGTTACAAGGCTGCCACGAATCACCTTGTGTATACTTGATTTTTCTGATAAGTTAAAAAGTCCTAGAGGAGAAATTGCCCAATCCTTTGTGCACCTGTAATTTTGATAAATATTGCTAAGTTGCCTTCCATAAGGTTTGTACCAATTTACACAGCCACCGGCAATGAATGAGAGTGCACTTACCCACACCCCTACCAATGCAATCTGTTAGCAAATTTTCTGAACTTTGCCAATTTGGAGAAAATGGGTATTTCAGCGTAGTTTGAATGTATACTTACTTCTCTTGTGGGAAATTATGTTTAAGAGCCATTTCCTTTTCCGTGAACTATGTTTTAAAAATCTTTTCTGGTTTGTTTGTTTTATTGAGATGGAGTCTCACTCTGTTCCCCAGGCTGGAGTGCAGTGTGGTGCAATCTCAGCTCACTGCAGCCTCCGTCTCCCGGGTTCAAGTGATTCTCCTCCTCAGCCTCCCAAGTAGCTGGGAACTATAGGGTCGCGCCACCACACCCGGCTAATTTTTGTATTTTTAGTGGAGACAGGGTTTCACCAGGTTGGCCAGGCTGGTCTTGAACTCCTGACCTCAAGTGATCTGCCTGCCTTGGCTTCCCAAAGTGCTGGGATTACAGGCATGAGCCACCGTGCTCAGCCTCTTATCTGTTTTTTTATCCTTATCTGTGTTTTCAATCCTTATCTGCTTATTTTAAAGGCTGAAACAAATCCCTAAATGTTAAAAAAAAAAAAAATAGAAAAATTATACAGCAGCACTCTTGTTCTAGCCTCTTATCATGGGATAGCTTCCCATGATTAACTTGAATTATCTTGAGACAAAGACCTGGAGAAGAACAGGGGCACAGGAGTCTCAGAGACTGGGGAGAATCCTGCCCAAGCTGCCCCATTCTCTGGAGGCCTGGCCACAGGGCAGGGCCCAGAGGCTCAGGCTGTCACCACCTTGGGGAAGAGTCCCCTTCTCCAGCTCTGTCCCCCTGACACATGAACACAGCTCCCCTTCAGGCTGACTCTCCTGCCTAGGCCCAGCATCCCATCCTCTCTTGCCTACTGAAAGACACTGTATCTAAAGCTGTCCACTCACTGTCCCCGATCACCAGATCCCACTACTCCTGGATCCCTCCTGGACCCACCCCTCCTGGGTAGCCCCACCAGCACACAAACACACTGTTACTTCTCGCCTCTTATCCACCCTTGATCCTGTAGCCCAATCCAGCCACTGCTCAATTCTTTGCTGTCTTTATTTTTATTATTTTCACTTATTTATTTTTTTGAGACTGAGTCTTGCTCTGTCTCCCAGGCTGGAGCACAGTAGCGCGATCTCAGCTCGCTGCAGCCTCCGCCCCCCAGGTTCAAGCAATTCCCCTGCCTCAGCCTCCCCAGTAGCTGGGATTACAGGCACACACCACAACGCCCAGCCAACTTTTGTTATTTTTAGTAGAGACAGGGTTTTGCCATGTTGGTCAGGCCGGTTTAAACTCCTGACCTCAGGTGATCCGCCCGCCGTGGCCTCCCAAAGTGCTGGGATTACAGGCGTGAGCCACTGCGCCCAGCCTGGCTCTCTTTAAAAATATAATTTCTCAAAAGATTGAAGTTTCTCTCTCCGCCTTCTCTTCTCATAGTCTCTGTTGCAAACCCTCTATATTGCTATTGATTTGTTACGTATGCTTGTTCTGTCAATACCTCTGAGAGGAGTGTCAGAATTTCCAGTTATGATGGTGGAGTTCTTGATTTCTTCTTTGAGTTCTGTCAGTTTTGGCTTCCTGTATTTTTTTTTTTTTTTGAGACAATGTATTAGTCAAGGTTCTCTAGAGGGACACAACTCATAGGATAGATGTATATATGAAGGCGAATTTATTAAGCAGTATTGACTCACACGAAGGCGAAGTTCCACAATAGGCCGTCTACAAGCCGAGGAGCAAGGAGGCCAGTCCGAGTCCCCAAACCTCAAAAGTAGGGAAGCCGACAGTGTAGCCTTCTGTCTGTGGCCAATGGCCCGAGAGTCCCTGTCAAACCACTGGTATAAGTCCAAGAGTCCAAAAGCTGAAGAACTTGTAGTCCAATGTTCAAGGGCAGGAAGCATCCAGCACGGGAGAAAGATGAAGGCTGGAAAACTCAGCCAGTCTGGTTCTTCCACGTTCCTCTGCCTGCTTTTATCCTAGCCGCAGTGGCAGCTGATTAGATGGTGCCCACCCAGATTGAGGGTGGGTCTGCCTCTTCCAGTCCACTAACTCAAATGTTAATTTCCTCTGGCAACACCCTCACAGACACGCTCAGGAACAATATTTTGCATCCTTCAATCCAATCGATCAAGTTGACACGCAATATTAACCATCACAGGCAGGGTCTGGCTCTCTTGCCCAGGCTGGAGTGTAGTGGCACAATCTCAACTCACTGCAACCTCTGCCTCTTGGGCTCAAACGATCCTCCCACTTCAGCCTCCCGAGTAGCTGGGACTACAGGCACATGCCACCGTGCTTGTCTAATTTTCGTATTTTTTATAGAAACAGGGTTTTGCTGTGTTGCCCAGGCTGTTCTCAAAATCCTGGGTTCAAGTGATTCTCATGCCTTGGCCTCCCAAAGTATTGGGATTACAGGCATGAGCCAGGGCGCCCAGCCTGCTTCATGTATTGAAGCTGGGTTCATGTACATTTAGATTATGCCTTCTTGATGAATTGATTTTTTTGTTATGAAATGGTCTTCTTTATTTCTGGTAATATTATTTGTCCTGAAGTACTCTTTGTCTGATACTAATATAGCCACATAAGCATTCTTTGATTAGTGTTTATATGCCATACCTTTTTTCCCCATTCTTTTTACTTTCTTAATTTTGGTGTTCATATTCTTAGAGAGGAGCGTATTATTGGGTCTCATTCTTGTACCCCATGTGATATTCTCTGTTTTTCACTTGTAGTCCATTTATGTTTAATGTAATTGTACATGGGTTTAAGTCTACCATTTTTCTGTATGCCTTGTATTTGTTTCATCTGTTCCTTGTTTCTTTGTTTTTTACTTTTCTTTCTTATTTTGGATTAAGTGTATTTTAGAATTGTCTTTTATGTGCTCTCTTGGCTTTTTTTTTAAAAATAGACTTCATTTTTGAGAGGAGTTTCAGGTTCACAGCAAGATTGAGTAGAAAGCACAGAGAATTCTCACATGGCCCCTGTCCCTCCCCGCCCGCAACTTCCCCCACTACTGACATCCCATAACACTGTGATTTGTTTCTTACAGTCAGTGAACCTACACTGACACTTATTATCTCCACTGACTTTTAAACTTCCTTGTTGTTTGTTTGTTTAAACTTTCTTGTTTGTTTATTTGTTTAGTGTGCTCTAGAGATTGCAATATTCATCTTTAATTTATCATAGACTGCCTTGAATGGATAGTATGTAATTTCCCATATTATGTAAAAACTTTGAACAGAATAGTTTCATTTACACTTTTCCTTCTCTTTGTGCAATTGTTGTCCTATATTTTATTTCTACCTTTGTTATAAACACCACTATTCATCATTATTATTTTTGCTTTCACTAGTTGGTAGGTTTTTTGTTTTTGTTTTTGTTTTTTTTGAGATGGAATCTCACTCTGTCACCCAGGCTGGAGTGCGATGGTACAATCTCGGCTCACTGCAACCTCTACCTCCCGGGTTCAAGCGATTCTCCTGCCTCAGTCTCCTGAGTGGCTGGGATTACAGGCGTGAGCCACCACACCCGGCTAATTTTTGTATTTTTAGTAGAGACGGAGTTTTGCCATGTTGGCCAGGCTGGTCTTGAACTCCTGACCTCAGGTGACCCGCCAGCCTCGGCTTCCCAAAGTGCTGGGATTATACGCGTGAGCCACTGTGCCCAGCCTTAAATAAATTTTTATAAACATCTACTTATTTTTACCATTTCTGGTGTTTTTTATTCCTTCCCCAAAATCTAAGATTCCATTTGGGTCACCTTTTTTTTTTTTTTTTTTTTTTGAGACGGAGTCTCGCTCTGTTGCTCAGGCTGGAGTGCAGTGGCATGGTCTCGGCTCACTGCAAGCTCCACCTCCAAGGTTCACGCCATTCTCCTGCCTCAGCCTCCCGAGTAGCTGGGACTACAGGCACCTGCCACCACGCCCAGCTAATTTTTTGTATTTTTAGTAGAGATGGGGTTTCACTGTGTTAGCCAGGATGGTCTCGACCTCCTGACCTTGTGATCCACCCGCCTCGGCCTCCCAAAGTGCTGGGATTACAGGCTTGAGCCACCACACCTGGCCCATTTGGGTCACCTAAAGAACATTCTTTAGTGTTTGGTGTGTGTGTGTGTGTGTGTGTGTGTGTGTGTGTGTGTGTTTGACAGAGTTTTGCTCTGTTGCCCAGGCTGGAGTGCAGTAGTGCAATCACTACTCACTGCAGCCTCGACCTCCAGGGCTAAAGCGATCCTCCCACCTCAGCCTCCTGAATAGCTAGGACTACAGGCATGCGTCACCACACCTGGCTAATTTTTTAGATTCTTTGTTAAGACGAGGTTTCACTTTATTGCTCAGTCTGGTTTCGAACTCCTGGGCCCAAGTGATCCTCCCACCACGGCCTCCCAAAATGCTGGGATTACAGGCATGAGGCACGGCACCTGGCCTATCTCAATTTTTGTTCTCCTGAAAATGTCTTTATTTTACCTTGAGTTTTGAAGGATATTTTCACAGGATGAAGAATTCTACATTCCTTCAGCACTTTAAATATATCATTCTATTATCTTTGGTTTCTACAGTTTCTGATCAGAAGTCAGCCATAATTCTTATTTTTGTTCTCTTGGATGTGATGTGTCCATATTTCTCCAGCTGATTCTTAAGAATGCTTTCTTTGTCCTTAGTTTTTAGCAGTTCGACTATGATGGTCTAGGTGTAGTATTTCTGTATTTATCCAGTTTAGGATGTGCTGAGCTTTTTGAATCCGTGGGTTGCTATAGTTCATCCGTTTTGGAAAGTGGCCATTACCTCTTCCAATATTTCCTTTGTCCCATTTTCTCTCCCTTTCATTCTGCAACTCCAAATAAAAGCATATTAGCTCATTTAATATTGTCCCACGTTTTTGAATGCTTTGTTGTGTCTTATTTGATTATTCTTTCTTTCTCTGTGTGCCTCAGTTTTGATAATTTCTGTTGACTTGTCTTGAGTTCATAGATTCTTTATTCTGCCATGTCTAATATGCTATTAAGCACGTCCAAAAAATTCTTTATTTCAGATTCTGTATTTTTCAGTTCTAGAATTTCCATTTAAAAATTTTCATTTCAGCCAAGCACGGAGGCTTACACCTGTTATCCTAGCACTTTGGGAGGATTGCTTGAGACCAGGAGCTCAAGACCAGCCTGGGTAACATAGGGAGACCTTCTCTCTACAAATAAATACATATGTAATTTTCAAAATTATTTTTAAAGGTTTTCATTTCTATGTTGAATTTCCCCATCTGCTCACGTTTTGTCTCCCTTTCCACTAAATCCTTTAATATATTTATGTATTTTAATGCCTTTGTCTGCTAATTCCAACATCTGGATTATATTGACTTTGCTGCTACTGACTGCTTTTTTCTTCTTCTCTTGTCAATGGTTCATATTCCCTGCTTCTTTACCTGTCTAGTAATTTTTTATTATATGCTAAACATTTTGAGTGCCTCATTGTAGAAACTCTGGGTTATGATACTATCCTCTGAAGAGTGTTAAACATTTTTTTCTGGCAGTTAACTAACTGGTGGATTGTCTTGATTTTGTTAAAGATTGATTTTAGACTTCGTTAGGGTGGTTCTATTTCAGTTTTAGTCACAGTTTTAGGAGGAAGCCCTTACTCTTAAGGTATGATCTTTACTTCTGAATGGTAGCCTTTCTGGATTTCTCTGTGGTTCCCTCCTTTTTGGTAACCTGCCCACAAATTCTAGCTGTTTTTGCTGCCCTGAACCCTGAGCTTCCTTTTCTCTACCCAGAGAGACTGTGACTCTCTGCTTGTAATCCTCTTCCTGGTACCACAGTTTGAAAATTACCCCAAGGCAGAAAGTCAAGGGGGATGTGTAGTTCAGCCTTTTGTGTTTCCCTTTTTAAAGGATTGTAGCATGGCAATGCCTGCAGTCTAATGCCTAATAATTGTTTCATATATTTTGACCATTTTTGCAGTTATTTGTGACAGATTTGTCCAGTACCAACTACTCTGCCATGGATAGAACCAGAAATTTCTCCTTTTCTCTGAGCCCTTGCCAATTAAGCTTTCATCCCCACAACCTCACCCTTTCCAGATAATCAATGACATTCATATTTCAAACTCTAATCTTCATGATAAGGCCTTATCTAATCTGAATAAAAGCTGTATTTGTCATGATTGAGCACTCTCTCTCCTTCTTTTTTTTTTTTTTTTTGAGATGGAGTCTCATTCTGTCACCCAGGCTGGAGTGCAGTGGCACAATCTTGGCTCACTGCAACCTCTGCCTCCTGGGTTCAGGTGATTCTCCTGCCTCAGCCTCCTGAGTAGCTGGAACCACAGGTGCGTGCCACCACGCCCGGCTAATTTTTTGTACTTTTAGTAGAGTTGGGTTTTCACCATGTTAGCCAGGATGGTCTCGATCTCCTGGCCTCGTGATCTGCCCACCTTGGCCTCCCAAAGTGCTGGGATTACAGGCGTGAGCCACCGTGCCCAGCCACTCTCTCCTTCTTGAAAGTTTTTTTTTTTTTACTTTGTTTCCAGAATACCCAATTCCTTCATTTTCCTCCTACTTCACTCGTTATTCTTTGTTCTCATCTTCCTGGCCTCCAAATGTTGGAGAGCCGCAGCATTCACTGTAAGTCCTCTTCCTTTCTTCAGCCAAACTCTCCTTGGTTATCTCTCTGAGTCCTATGGCTTTAAATATCATCTGTATATGGGCAGGTCTCATAGTCTTATCTCCCGCCTGAATTTCTGCCCTGAAATTCAAACTCAGAGCTCCATCTGCCTCTCAATGTCTCCATTTAGAAGCCTAAAAAGCATGCCTTACTTAACATGTCCAAAACTGACCAAGCCTGCCTCTCCTTTGGTCTTACCCATCTTAATAAATAACTCCATTTTCCCAGTTGCTCAAGCCAACCATTTTGGAATCATCCTGGAAACTTCTCTTTTATTCGAACCCCATATCCAATCCATCAGAAAATCCTGTTGGCCCGACCTTGGAAAGCTACCCCACCATCATCTCCCTCCTGGATTATTACTGTAGCATTCTCAATGGTTCCTTGCTTCCTCCCTTGCCTCCTGTGCCAGCTGAGACCACTGCAGAATGTAGATGAGCTGTATCCTCTGACAGATACAGAGATTGCAGAGAGGTTAGCAGACGGGCTGATTACAAGCTGCGGGTGGGATCAGGGGTACCAACAAGAGACGGTGACGTATCCTCTTACCATCCCTAAGATGGGTGAGAGTCAAAGCTGCCGGCCCCCTGATAGGAGCCATAGCCTTTGGTAGAAAAAGTCAGCTACTTCCAAACTACAGCCTAGTGGAGACAGAGAGCCAGGGAAATCAATACCCTCCCCTCTCCTCTTGCCCTCTGATCTCCTGCTCTGTCTCCCACTGGCTGAGCCTAACTGGAAGCTGGAGGGTTGGGGAGCCCACTGATATAGTCCACAGAGGGCAGCCTCCCAGGGCAGAGAGCAGGGTGAACAAAGGGAGAGTAAATTTAGAAGGCAAATGGTGAATATCCCAAACCCCTCTGCTTGCCCACAGCTGCACACACCATCCATGGCCCAGTCTTCATGTAGCTGCCAGAGTGATCTATGCACTACTGGGGACCAGAGGTGAGGGGTGGGGGTCACAGGATGGATGGAGCCTGGATCTATGGGACACTAAAGGGAGGAGGGCTGCTTGCCCACCAGGAATGCTGATCTTTCCTTAAGAGAGCAAGATAAAAACCTCTATTGTGTTTGAGTTACTAAATGTTTGGGAGTCTATTACAGTTTAGCCACTTATCTTAGACACATGTAAAGCAAGGGTAATAGTTATATCATCCCTACAGGGCTATCAGGGGAATTAAATAAGCTATAATTGCTTAGAACAATGCTTGGCATAAGTTCTTAAGCAATGGTAACAATTATTATTATTATTACTATTATTATTGAGACAGTCTCAGTCTGTCTCCCAGTCTGGAGTGCAGTGGTGCAATCTCAGCTCATTGCAACCTCTGCTTCCTGTGCTCAAGTGATCTTCCCACCTCAGCTTCCCGAGTAGCTGGGACTACAGGCACACGTCACCATGCCTGGCTAATTTTTTGTAGAGACAGGGTTTTGCCATGTTGCCCAGGCTGGTCTTGAACTCCTGGCAGATCCTCAAGTGATCTCCCTGCCTTGGCCTCACAAAGTGCTGGAATTACAGGTGTGAGTCACTGCACCCGGTCCAATTATTATTTTTATTTAATATGTAAAATTAATATGAAAGCATACTATTAATTATGTTTTTGCGAATGCCTTGTTATAGACTTTGAGGGGTTCTTCCAGAGAGTTGAAGAATTGTGGAGTGTGTGTGTGTGTGTGTGTGTGTGTGTGTGTGTGTGTATACATATATATATAGAGAGAGAGAGAGAATTCCAGCCACCTCACCCCACACCCCAAGAGGCTGCTGATCCACTTGCCCTCCAGGCAGAGTGCCCAGGAGAAAAGAGAGCTGGTTCCTGACTTGCTTTAGGATGGGGCAGACGTTCCTCTGTGCCATGTTCCAGGCCAAAACCTTATGAAGGCCTAGCACCTTCACTCATGTGCTTTTGGGAGCCCCAAGTCACTGAATAGTCTGGCTACCCTGCAGGACAGACCACATGGAGAGGCCATGTAAGACAGGGAGAGAGGCCCCGAGACTCCACAGGGACAGAGAGACAGGCACAGCCATCCTCGTGAACCAGGTGTCCCAGCCTTCTGGGTGTCCCCACAAAGATGCCACATGCCTGAGCCATGTTGAACCCTTCAGCCCAGAAGAGCCCCAGCAAACAGCCCCTCCAGCCACCACCCCAGCAGATGATGGAGCAGATGATTCACCTAGCTGAGCCCTGTCCACCCTCAGGTTCAAACAAGATCATCAAATGGCTGGGTGTTTTTTTGTTTGGTTGGTTTGGTTTGGTTTTTTGAGAGAGGGTCTTGCTCTGTGGCCCAGGCTAGAGTGCAAGTGACTCAGTGCAGCCTTGAACTCCTGGACTCAAGTGATCTTCCTGCCTCAGCCTCCTGAGTGGCTGGGACTACAGGTGTGCCCCATTAATCCAGCTAATTTTTATATTTTTTGATAGAGGTGGGATCTCACTATGTTGGCCAGGCTGGTCTCGAACTCCTGACCTCAAGCAATCCTCCCACTTTGGTCTCTCAAAGTGCTAGTTTTACAGACATGAGTCACCATGCCTGGAGATAATTGTTTTAAGCCATAAAGTTTTGGGGTGGTTTGTGACGTTGCCACAACAGCAAGCCGAGCCTGCCCGTGTGAGCAGGAGGTGGGTGGGTACTTGCTGCTTTGAATTTCCCTTCCAGTTGGGGGAGCTGGAAATTCAAAGTCGCAAGTACCCACCCCACCCGCTGCTCACATACGCAGGCTTGGGAAGGAACGGAACACCAAGGGCCGGCTGCTTGGGTGTGTTGCAACCAGACGCCCGCAGGCCTTGGATGGATGGAATTCTCCAGGCATCCGTGGTGGGGGGACCGGCTCCTGCCCCCTTGGCCGAGAGGGCTGAGCTCACTCAGCGTCTCCATTCCTCTTCTTGATTGGCACTTTAATGAGGGCAGAAGGGGCTGACCCCCTGCCAGGGGACCGGTTCATGCCCCGTTTATCTCACAGCCCGAGTCAGACTAAAACAACATCGCAGGCCGAGCGGCCAGGAGCCAGCAGGGCCGGGAGCCCCCGCCCTCGGTGATGGATTGAGTGACCGCGGCGAGTTGGCAGCTGAAGTGTGTGGTGGCCGCACCGTCCTGTCAGCCTGCAACAAAGGAGGCCGGCCTGGCCCGGCCCTCACGCCAAACGGCTCCCCTCCCAGGGACAGCTCCGAAGGCTGCCTTTCCCTCCACCCTCCCCCAACTCCAACGCCAAGTTCCCAGAGGCAGGCTGAGGCCAGAGCCCAGTGTGCGGGGAGGGGCACTGTCCTGGGGTCCTGGGTGCGGTGCATGGGGGTGGGAAATCCTGGGCTTGCAGGCGGAGCTGGTGCTGAGAACGTCCTCTCGGGCTCCTGGCTTCAGGGCCCAGCACTGGACCCTTCCTGACGGTGCAGAGGAGGGGCTCCCTGGTCCAGCAATCCCTGAAGGATCCCAGCTGGGCCTTTTACTTGCTGTGCAACCTTGAGTGAGTTTGTCAACCTCTCTGAACCTCTCCTCATCTGTCAGAGGCGAATCCTGCTTATAACTACATCCCTGGGTTCTTTTGAGGATGAAATGAGACTTGCTGGCAGAGCCTCCCTTCCAGAAAGCAGGCTCCTACACGTGAGGCCTCGGTTTACCTGGGCGGTACTGACCATCTCCCCAGTGCCCCTGCCTGGGTTGAATGACTCTGAGAGGAGCCACTGGTGGTAAAGAACCCCCCAACTCCCGCTGTCAGGAATTGTCACCAGCTGCCACCATAAGTACCACAGCGCTGCAGCTTAGGGGTAGACCCCTTTTTACACATGGAGAAACTGAAGCTCAGAGACGTAAATGTGCCCAGTGTCCTGCAGAGAGTGAGACAGGTCAGGGACGCCAACCCAGAGCTGCCTGGCTCCGAAGTCTATGCGGCTGCTCCCAAGGCCCTGAGCTGTGGGCTGGAATTTCCCTGTAAGGACAGGGTCGTAAGTGACAGCCCCCAGTGCTCGCAGAGGCAAAGGGCCAGAGCCTGATTTGCAACGTGCGCCTCGACAGCCATGAAGTGCTCCAGGGGGGCAGCCTTTCCCATGCCTTCCTGGGGCCACAGAGTGCAGTTGAGCTCAGCAGCTTGGAGGAGGTGCAGGGGGCCGGCCTCAGCCCCTGGGTCTCCAGGTGTGGGGACCTACATCAGGAACAGGACAGTCTTTGCAGTCCCAGCTGCTCTGTCCCCAGAGCTGGGGAGGGGAGAAGACAGAGCTGGACAAATGGCTCATCAGATCCCAGAGAGCCCTGGAAGGGGAGGAAGGGGCCTTCCCGGGCCTTGTCTGGATAGCTCAGTCCTCCCAGGAGGGGAAGAAACCAGCCTCCGCTTGCAGATTTCACCTCCCTGTGAACTCCCAAAGGGCGGGAGGCCAAGCCGCAGCTGAGGTCAGAGAAAGTAGCAGGGTGACCGTGGGGCTCCACGTGGCCCTCCCTCACTCTCTGCCACGGGCCCTCCAAAAACAGGCTTCTGCCCCTCAGCGCCTCCAACAGCCTTTCCCCACCACCAGACAAAAGATGAGCTGAGCTGCCCAGCTGGTGGATCAGGGCTCTGAGGGTGGGCTAAACCAGTAGAGGCTTCCCCCAAACTCTGATTCACCAGACGAGGAGAAACCCAGCCTTTTGGCCCCAAGAATCCCGGTGCCCCACCCTGGATCCAGCCCTGAGTGGGCCCTTAAAACTGTTTCCTCCCACCCCAAGTGCTTTGCATCTATTATTCCCTTTGTGTCAAAAAGTCTTGTCCCCATTTGCCCGGTTAATTCTAAGTCAGCCATCAGAGCTCATGACACAGGTCGCTTCCTCAGGGAAGCCTTCCGTGACTGACACCCCTCCTGGCAGACCCCTGGTCAGAATAAGTCCCTCCCTGTACCGTAGTCCACGTGGCTCTGCCAGCCCTTCCTTTGCAGCTTTGCGCATGTTAAATGTCATGTTTCGTGGATTTGTGTTGATGATAAGCTCCCGATGCAGAGATGGTAGGGACCATCTCTGCTCACGTGTCTGTCCCCAGGCCCAGAAGACAGCCTGGCACACGGCAGGTGCCTGATGAGCACTTGTGGACTGGATGGCATTGGCCAGTGTGCATCTCCCAGGAACTCTGCTGTGAACTCCGCTTGGGCAGGGACATGTCTGTTTTGTTCACCATTGTGTCCCCAAAATTCAAAGTCTTGCACCTAGAACACTCTTGTTGGATATTTGATAATGAGTGAGTTTGCTGCAAAAGGAAAAAAAGCAAGAACAATAACAATTACCACCATAAAATAAGAAAACGGACCCAGAATAGAATTTGAGGCAAGAGACCCTCTGAATGAGGAGATTCTAAGTCCTTTCATTCCAGAAGAATTATCCTGTGTGCTTCAGTGAGCCAAATCCCCAGGGAACAAATGACATCAGGGAAAGCTGCCTGAGCCCAGGACAAAATCAACTAAATTGCTCCAACTGGTAAACCTCCTGGCTCTCATTTCAGCCCACTGAGTCTTAGAGAGTTGGTGGCGGGGGGCGGTGGGGGGGTTGGGGGTAGAGCATAGAATAGCAGGAGTGTGACTCTAATGTAACCCAGGACAGGAAATGTTTCCAATGTTCTAAATTTTGTGGACAAAGTAAAATGTCAGGAAACAGGAAGCAAAAGAGTGGCTACAATATATAAAGAATTCATTAAAATAAACAAGAAAAACATTGAGTTTAATGTAGACAAACAGAGGACGTGAAAGAATCACTTACATATGAAGAAACTAGAGTTGGGCAGTCAGCATTCATTGAATGCTTATCTGTATTAGACACTGAAGTAAGTTTTACATCTCACTTCATTAGCACAGGGAGTATAGCAAGAAAATCCAACCAAATGGCCAAGCACAGTGGCTCCCACCTATAATACCAGCACTTTGGGAGGCCAAGGTGGGAGAATTACTCGAGCCCAAGAGTTCAAGAGAAGCCTGAGCAGCATAGCGAGATCTCATCTCTACAGATAAAATAATTGGCTAGGGATGGTGGCACTCACCAGTGGTTCCGGCTACTGGGGAGGCTGAGGTGGGAGGATCATTTGAGTCCAGGAGGTCGAGGCTGCAGTGAGCCATCCAGGATAATGCCACCACACTTCAGCCTGGGCGACAGAGATCCTGTCAAAAAAAAAAAAAAGAAAGAAAGAAAAAAGAAAAAGAAAGAAGAAAGAAAGAAAGAAGAAAGAAAGAAAGAAAGAAAGAAAATCCAACCAACAAATGTACGTTTCTAATTTTTTTGTATATTATTTACAAAGTTCTATAATCCTTTTGTTTGTCCCAAGAAAATTCCTGCATTCCTGTCTTAATTAAATCTCTCCAACCAACCAGTTTTCTGCAGAATATAATTCATTCATTCAGGTATGAAATGATGAAAACTGTTTACATAGCCACAACCCTGATAACTACGTCTGGGATGAAATTAATTTATTTCTGAGGCGTCTGGGTTCCGCAGATGACGTAATTACTATTGGACATTCAAACTACTCCTAAGACTCATTTAGGGTAGTTCTGAGACACACTGGCAATATGGAAATAGGTCGTAAGTTCTTGGGGCAAAGACCATGTTTTGATTTTGCTATTCTGAAAGTACCGCATGTATCTAAAGCTCCTATAAATAAACAAATCAAGATCAAATGATTGGTTGAATTGGACAAAAAGAAAAACTTACCAGCTGGAAATGGCAGCATTCCCAGTTTATATCTGACCCGGTTGGGGCTCAGAGGTTAATTAACATGGCAAGCTCACGTGCTCTGAGTTCACGTGATTGTCCTCACTCATCATCAAAGAGGGGGAAACTAAGGCAGTATTAAGAGGCTATTTTATATTTACAAAATGAATTTAAAACAAGGTTTTTTTCTTTGAGACAAGGTCTCGCTCTGGCACCCAGATTGGAGTCCAGTGGTGTGATCATGGCTTAGTGCAATCTGCCCATCTCAGTGGGACCACGGGTGGAACTGCCCGCATGTGCCACCATGCCCGGCTAATTTTAATTTTTTTTTGGTAGAAAAAGGGCCTCCCTATCTCCCTATGTTGACCAGACTTGTCTTAAACTCCTGGGCTCAAGTGATCCTCCTGCCTCAGCCTCCCAAAGTGCAGGTATTACAGGCATGAGCCACTGCACCAGGAAAAGAAAAGTGTTCTCAAGGTCACACCCAGGATTCTGAAGCATGCAGAGAAATTCAGGTACTCACTCTGCTGTTGAAGGTATTGCAAATTGCTGTCGTACTTAGAAATTAACTCACACCCAGAGAAAGAAAGTCATAAAACGATGTTTCCATCCCAGTAATTCTCTATTGGAATTCATCCCAAGGAAAAGGTTTATGAGATGCAAAGGGCCAGAACCATTCAAACATGCACGGCTGCATTATTGTGAGCGGAAAAAACTGGAAACAACCTAAACATCCACTATCAAAAAAACTTTCCAAAAATACGGTAAAACCCCACGAAGGAATAGTAGAAAACTATTACAATGATATTTAAAAGGAGAAATTTAAAGATTATGCAGAAATACAAAAAACATCTGTGAAAGCGTTAAGCAAAAATCATAAATTATAAAAACGATTGAAAAAATTGGGTACTTGGTGAGTGCCCAATTTTCTTTTAAATTTTTTTCTTTTCTTGTCACGATATCATCTTTGTAATAATACTGATTAAATATTTTAAAACAATGAGCCCATGGACGGACTATCTGCTCTGGGAAGCCCCTGGCTGGGGAACTGTGGGAAAGACAGGAAGCGGAAAGGTCATGGTCCCTGGGGGAAATCCCACCGCGGGTGGGCACAGCTTCAGGAAGAACCTGTTTCTCTGGGGAGCAGGATGGTGATGACCACAGTGACCCATTTTTAAAGCAGTCAGCTCTCTTTGAAGGATCACATAAGTTTAACTTGTGATCCCTTCCTTCCTCCCTTCATTCATTCAACACATCTGAATGGAGCGCTTCCTCTGTGACAGACACAGGTTTAATGAGGTAGTTGGGGAAAACAAACCACCTCGATGCAGCGAAATCTCAGCCTAGATCTGAATGCATGTTGGCATTATTTTATTTTTTAAAAAAATTATGTATCGGCCAGGCACCCTGACTCACGCCTGTAATCCCAGCACTTTGGGAGGCCGAGGTGGGCGGATCACCGGAGGTCAGGAGTTTGAGACCAGCCTGGCCAACATGGAGACACCCCGTCTCTACTAAAGATACAAAAATTAGCCCGTCATGGTGGAAACGCCTGTAATCCCAGCTACGCGGGAGGCTGAGGCAGGAGAATCGCTTGAACCCGGAAGGTGGAGGTTGTAATCAGCTGAGATTGTGCCACTGCACTCCAGCCTGGGGGACAAGAGTGAGACTTCGTCTCAAAAAACAAAATAAAAATAAAAATAATTATGTATCATTTTTATTTATTTATTTTGAGATGGGATCTCACTCAGTCGCCCAGGCAGTGGCACAGTCTTAGCTCACTGCAACCTCCGCCTCTGGTGCTTAAGCGATCTTCCTGCCTCAGCCTCAGCCTCCCGAGTAGCTGGCACTACAGGCGCCTGCCACCATGCTGGGCTAATTTTTATACTTATTTATTTATTTATTTATTTATTTATTTAGAGATGGAATCTTGCTCTGTCACCAGGCTGGAGTGCAGTGGCACAATCTTGGCTCACTGCAACCTCCAACTCCCTGGTTGAAGTGATTCTCCTGCCTCAGCCTCCTGAATAGCTGAGATTACAGGCATGCGCCACCATGCCCAGCTAATTTTTGTATTTCTAGTAGAGATGGGGTTTCACCACGTTGGCCAGGATGGTCTCGATCTCCTGACCTCATGATCTGCCCGCCTCAGCCTCCCAAAGTGCTGGGATTACAGGAATGAGCCACCGCGCCCGGCCAGTTTTTGTAGGGACGGGATTTCAGCATGTTGCCTACGCTGGTCTTGAACCCTTGGACTCAAGCCTCCCAAAATGTTGGGATTACAGGCATGAGCCACCGCGCCTTGCTGTATCATTTTTACAATTAGAAAACATAGAGCTATGGCCCAGCACTTTGGGACACCGAGGCGGGTGGACTGCCTGAGGTCAGGAGTTGGAGACCAGCCTGGCAAACATGGCTAAACCCTGACTCTACTAAAAAAATATAAAAATTAGCCAGGCATGGTGGCATGCCCCTGTAATCCCAGCTACTCCCGAGGCTGAGGCAGGATAATCTCTTGAACCTGGGAGGCAGAGGTTGCAGTGAGCCGAGATCACGCCATTGCACTCCGGCCTGGGCCACAGAGACAGACTATGTCTCAAAACAACAACAACAAAAACAAAAACAACAACAACGAAAGAAAGAAAACATAGCGCGAATTGCATGTTAGTAAACAATGGTGATGGTTTATGGAGTCCCAGAAACATTCCCTGAAGTCAGACACCTCTTCATAGGAGAGCCAGAGCCTCATTCTTTCCACCCTGGGCCCAAGTTCCCCATCTCCCTGGCCATAGCCTATGATGATGGGGTAATGACCACAGGGTTCATCCCGTTAGGTCCCCATCCAGGAGCTGGCAGGCTCCTGAGCCCGGGAGGATGGGGTAGGAGGGTGTGGCTAGTCTGCGCAGCGGAGCCCCACTCTTACAAGCACAACTCAAGGGATTGTGTTCTTGACATGATTGGCCCCAAACTGGGTCCATTTGTTTCATGGGAAAGATGGCTCTGGGTCCAGCAGAGGAGCAGGCAGCCTATGGGTCCCCAGTCCCAGAATATAGACCTCGGGGGTCTATATCTCACCAGGGATGGTCCAATCCTCCCTTCCTACAGAGACCTCAGGCCTGTCAGCACCAAACGCCTCCCCAGGGAGAGAAGAAAGTTACAGATGGCAGGGACAAAGCATTCGGGTTTTCATTTCCTCCACGGGGTGTTGGCCACATTGGAACGTCTGTGACTGCGAGAACGGGGGCCAAATGCTCCCACGTGCTTGCCAAGCTGCGAGTACAATTCCTCCTCCTCCACCCTCTCTCCAGGGGATGCTCGCTTCCCAAGCAGCTGCATTTTTTTTTTCTCCTCCTCAGTTCTGGAGAAGGTTGATACTGAGTTCCCATTTTACAGAAACCCAAACTGAGACTGCAGGGCCTGAAGCCAGGATGGGAATGACAGAGCCAGAAGGACTGGCTCCCAATGACGAGCCTCCCAGAGGGCTCGTCTGTCCTGGGTCCTCCATGTGGTGGACAGGATCAGAGGGTGCCCTCGTTAGGGAGATGGGGTCGCCTCAATTCAACAACAGGAGGACAATCTACCAAGAAGCCCAAGGGCGAATCTCAGCTCATGACCTTGGCGTGGCCCCTGCTATTTCCTGGCCCGTAACACTGCCCCGCGGCCCTGTGCTTCTGCTCTGCCCAGCTCTCGACCTCAGCTCACACCACTCTCCTTACACAGGTGTCCCTCCTGTCATTCGGACCTCAGCTCAAAGGCCACCTCCTCTGAGAGGCCTGTGCTGACAGCCCCCACCAAAGCTGCCCTCCAAGGATTCCATCCACCTGGCATTTGCCCTGTGGGTGGTCTGTGCCCACATCTGTCTGCCCACCTCCTGCCCCCTCTCTGTCACTCTCCCCTCTGTGGACGCAGGCACCAGCCCAGTGCTCAGCATGCCACAGCCACCCAGTGCCGTGGAGTGAAGGGACATCAGGCCACTCGCAGGGCCCCAGGGCATCCTCTTGTGCCCGCCTGGGTCACCCTTCACCCCGGCCGAGCTCCACGTGGATTTGGGCCCTGCATCTTCTTGGGGAACCATCTGAGGATCTGGGCTGGGCAGGCAGCAGCGGAGGAGATTGGCAGAGGAAGGCGGCAGGAGGCCGGGGCCTGTGACCAGACCGCCAGGTCTCGTCCTGCTCTCCTGCTGACCCTATTTCCTGGGGGGACCAGACACTTCCACTGTCTCCCCCTAAGCCCATAAGCCACCACTCTGTGGCTACCTAGAGGTTTCTGTCCATGATGTCTGGTCCAGGTGGGCTCCAGTGAGTGAGGGGCAAACCTTTGGGGCAGGAGCCTGGGGCATGGCCATTGCCCGGGAGTCCCTGAACCCACTTTTCCAGAGGGAGGGGCTCTTCCCTTCTTCCCTGAAGGTGGAGCTGTCCCGTAAGGGGTGGCTCAGGTTGGAAACAAGCAAAGAGAAGAAGGGTTGGGCGAGAGGGTCACGCCTGGGAGAAGCCCCAGAGCACCAGGGCCAACTTCAGATGGAATGACCCTGGCCCCCGACAAGGGTCCCCTGTCCCTGTCAAGGGCAGATGCTGGGGTTCGCCAGGGTTGTGTGACCGGCCAAGGTGAGGGCATTGGAGAGGGAGGGAGGGAGGGAGGGAGGGAGGGAGGAAGCTTGGCCACCCTGCCCAAGTGTGGACCTCAGGCTGGGCCAAGCCCTGAGCTTCCAGGTGAAGTCACGAGAGCTCCTTGCTGGGCCCTTGGCTGGGGAGTCTGTCCCGAGCCCTCCATCCTCAGCCTCACCTGGGCTGGCAGTGGGGGAAGAGGCAGGTGACAACCCCCCCGAGAGGTGACAGCCCTGGGGCGGGAGCCGCCGCCACCTGAGAGTGGGTGAGGAGCAGGTTAGCTGGGTGAAAAGTTCACAGTGAGGGGAGCTGTCTGTTCCCTCGCTTAATTTATCCACTATTTGGCTAACCTTGCTCTGAACCCAGGCCCTGAGACCCCTCTCCCTTCTCCCCCGCCTCCCCACTGGGCTTCCGAGCCCCGCCACCAGACCTCCCGCCCAAGCCCTGAGGCAGGGACGTGCTGGCCTTGAAGAGGCCTGGGGCCCGGGCGCCGGGAGAGGATGGCTACATGGCTGTGGACAGTTATTTATGACCGCAGTCTTCCCATCTTCAGTAACCAAAATAAAGTCCGGTTGCCGGCGAGGTGCAGGCCCCCGAACGCCAGACATCCGCCAGCCAGCCTCGGAAGGCGCCCCGCCCGCCCGCCTTCGCCAAACACACAACTGCTCGGGAGACAGTGACCTTTCCTGTGGGGGCCATCTGTCATCCTGGCTTTGGGCGGGAGCCAGACACATGGACCAGCCGGCCTCGGAAGGGAGGCTGGCCTCCTTCCCTGGCCCTGGGGTGGCCTCCGGGCCTTCGGTCTGCCTCTGATGGCTCAGGGTCTGATCTCTGAAGACCCTTCCTCACCTCGGTCTCCCTTTCCCTTTGACAGATGCGGCAAGGCTGTGGAGAGAGGGAGTTCAGAGGGATTCGGGTTGGGGGTGGAGGGCAGAGGACAGTCGCCATAGTGACAGTGCCACTGACCACGCGGGATCCCAGGTTGTGCAAAAGGCCTGGCACATGTGACTTCCATCATCCATGAAGCAGCTCGGTCTTCCAGCCTGGGAGACGCGGCTGGGGGTGGCGGGGAGTCACTTCCTTACTTCTCCAAGCTGGTGGTGACCGAACAACCCAGGTCACTCTGACCCCAAAGCCAGCTGCGCTCTCAGCCCCTGGACTCTCTTTCCCATTCTCACTTTTCATTCTTTCATTGAAATCCCTTTTTGGCAACTATAAAAGCCATTTGTGTTGGCAGCAGCCAGTGGAAACACAAAGATAGACAAAGAGTGAATCATCCCAGCCGCAGCCCCGCCCCCCATATCTCAGGTGACCTTTTCTCCACGGTCTCCGCACTCACAAATGCACACAAGCGTGTGGACACCTGGGCGTGTGTGTCAGCAGGGAATCGCTTGTTTTGACAATAATAGGATCCCCACCACACATTCCTCCGCAGCTGTTTACTAACCGTGCCGCGCGGGGCAGCCCCGGCTCCAACATATCTGAGTCATTCTTGTTCATAGCTGCACGAGATTCCTAATCTGGGATGAATCGCGGTTAATATCACTTGCTTACTTTTTTTTTGTTTTTTTGAGACAGGGTCTTGCCTTGTCATCCAGGCTGGAGTGCAGTGGTGCGATCATAGCTCACTGCAGCCTTGACCTCCCGGGCTCAAACGATCTTCCCACCTCAGCCTCCTGAGTAGCAGGGACTACAGATGCTCATCCCTACGCCCTGCTAATTTTTAATTTTTTTTTTTTTTTTGTAGAGACGTCCCACTATGTTGCCCAGGCTGGTCTTAAACTCCTTTTTCTAGAACCAGCCGCAGCCCCTCAGCTGCCATTTTTCTCCCTGTGGCTGGGGAGGGGTGGAGCAGGGCTAATTCCACTCCTGCAAGGAAGG
Organism: Homo sapiens; assembly: GCF_000001405.40. Taxonomy (NCBI): domain Eukaryota; kingdom Metazoa; phylum Chordata; class Mammalia; order Primates; family Hominidae; genus Homo; species Homo sapiens. The sequence goes on from NC_000001.11 coordinate 12,550,525, forward strand.
GCAGAGCCAGAGACAGATGGGGTTGACCCTGGGGGTTCCCCGTCCCTGACCCAGGGCCGCCTGTGATGGACTGCCGGACAGAACTGGTCAGCTGCCGACACCACACTGCCAGGTGCCCACCAGGACGCCCACCGACTGCCAGTCAGGAGGGGCCAGCAGTCAGGAGGGGTCTTAAGCAATCCTCCCACCTTGGCCTCCCAAAGTGTTGGGATTACAGGCGTGAGCCACGGCTCCTGGCCACCTGCTTGCTTTTGTAATGGGGTAGGCCCCACACACAGAGCAGAGTTCTGAAGTGTACAGCTCAGTCAGTGTCACGTGTGTGTGGCCACCCCTCAGATCATGACACCCAACATTTCCTGCCCCCAGAGGTTTTCCCCCCAACCATAGCAGCCCTAAAGGTGGCCACTCGGGTTACCTCGATCTCACAGATGAGTTGCACTTGTCTTTGAACCTCATCATACAGAAGACAGTCTTTTGTATCTGGCTTCCTTTGCTCAATGTTTTGTTTGTGTCACCCGTGTTACTGCATGTGGCCGGGAGGTGTTCATTTTCATTGCTGTGTAGTGTTCCATTGTATGAGTACCTACCATAAGTCATCCATACTCCTAACTGATGCAAATTTGCATCATTTTCTTGTTTCTTTTTCAACACAAATGATGCTGCCATGAGCATTGGTCCTCATTCCCCTTTGTGTGCTAGCACTTTTATACATAAAGGAGAGATTCCTGGCTGGATTTCCTGGCTCACACCTGCAATCCCAGCACTTTGAGAGGCCGAGGCAGGTGGATCACCTGAGCTCAGGAGTTTGAGATCAGCCTGACCAATATGGTGAAACCCCGTCTCTACTAAAAATACAAAAAATTAGCTGGGCGTGGTGGCGGGTGCCTGTAATCCCAACTATTCGGGAGGCTGAGTGAGGAGAATTGCTTGAGCCCGGGAGGCAGAGGTTGCAGTGAGCTGAGATCAAGCCATTGCACTCTAGCCTGGGTGACAGAGCGAGACTCTGTCTCAAAAAAAAAAAAAAAAAAAAAAAAAAAAAAAGGAGAGACTCCATCTTCCCATGTGTTAATGAGAATGAAATTTTTTCTTTAATACTTGTCCAGAAAGATAATGTTTCTTCCACTCTGGAAAATCACCCAGCAAAACTTATGGACCCTCATTGGCTGGACCAGGTCAGAAAGAGCCTTTTAGGCCTTGCTGAAGAGTCACATAAGATTTATCCTGTGGGCAATGGGGAGCCATTGAAGGTTCTACACAGAAGATGGCATGGTCAGATCTGTGCTCTGGAAAGGACTCCCTGGCTCTGTGGTGGGGGACTCAGAGTCCATGGAGTGGGACACTGCAGACATTTAAGAGACTGTCCAAAAGTGCAGGTGAGACAGAGGGGAGGGGAGAGCCAGGGAAGAGGAAGGGGAAGAACTGTCAGGACTTCCTGAGAGATCAGCCAAAGGCACAGCTCAGGGGAGGAAGAGCTGAGAAAAGGATGGTGGTGTCCAGGGATCTTGTTCCTGCCTCCCCTGGGGACCCAGGTCCCAGCAGGACAGCCTCATCTCAGGATCCCAGCCCTGGAAACACAGGTGGCAGGGGCCAGGTCCTGCTCCACTCTTCCACGCTGGGTCTGGGTGCTGGCTGCTCCCTGAATCCTGACTTCTTCATCAGGCAGGGGCCACAGCCCCACCTCCCAGGAGTGACGTAGGAGGAACCACACAATGCAAACTCAGCAACGCCCTGGAAGCGTCACAGCATGATGGAAGCACGTGGCATTATCACGGCGACGTTCGGCTCTTTGAGGACTGGGGCCTGGAGCTCCTCCGCTTGTCCAGAACTCCATGACACACACTGGCCCTCAGCCTTCTGCCCTGTCCCTGTAGCAGGAGGATGACCTGCTGCTCTCCCCATCCTACCCTGGCCCTGGGCCAGCACCCCACCCTCAGCCTCCCTGTAGCAGGGGGATGACCTACTGCTCCCCGCGTCCTACCCTAGCCCTGCGCCAGCACCCCACCCTCCCATTGCCCACCAGGCTGCCCTGTCAGCCCCTCCCAGCCCAGGCACAGGGACCCATTCTTTTTCCTAAGGGGCTTTCTTGGCCTGGGGGGCTGGCATAAGGCACAAAGCACTAATGAGGTGGGCAGCCGCCCCACGGCGCCTGCACAGAGGGGCCAGCCTTCTTCTTCAGCGACCAGGCCCCCACCCCGGACCTGTTCACTCCGCTCAGATCTGCCCACGCCTTACAGTGACCCGTCCCGCCCTGGGCTTTGGGCAGGAGCCAGACACACGGAAGGGAGGCCGGCCTCCTTCCCTGGCCTTGGGGTGGCCTCCGGGCCTTCGGTCTGCCTCTGATGGCTCAGTGTCTGATCTCCGAAGTGTTGGAAGTGTTGGCCACCTCGTCTCTTGTCTGGATGATGGACGGGCTCCCTGCTTCCACCTGCGTCCTCCACAGTCCGGCTGTCTGCAACTGGAATGCCCTTTCTCAAATGCAGGCCTCATCATGGCTCCTCCCTGCTCTGGCACCTTCTCCCTTGGGAAAAGATCCGCGATCCCTACAAGGCCCATTATGTGCTCTTCAATGTGGCCTATCCCGAGCCCGGAGCCCTGGCGCTCATGCCCTCACTGCAGCTGCTCACTGCCTTCCATTGCCTGGAACACCTTCCCCTCCCCAGTCTTGCCTGCGTGCTGGCTCACATATCACTTCCCACAAGGCCTCTCCACCCCATCTAATACGCACCATGGCCCCCTCCACAATCTGCTGAAAGCTCAGTGCGACGAGCCCCTGCCCAAGTTCACGGCCACATCCCCACTGCCTGACCTACAGTTGGCCTTTAAGAACTATTTGTTGGAAGCAGAGTGACACTGAATGAGCAGGGACAGACCAGGCACCCATTCCAACATTTCCCGAATTCCTCCACCCCAGGGCCACTGGCTCCAGCTCCCAGAGGGCACTGCTGGCCCCAAATGGCCTCTTGCTGTGGCAGGACAGGGGCTCCTGCTACCCCTTGAGGACAAAAGGCTTTTAGAACCAGCCCCAGCCCCCCAGAGGCCATTTTTCTCCCCTTGGCTGGGGAGCGGTGGAGCAGGGCTAATTCCACTCCTGCAAGGAAGGGCAGAGACAGACGGGGTTGATCCCAGGGGTTCCCTGTCCCTGCCCCAGGGCAGCCCATGATGGACTGCCAGACAGGACTGGTCAGCTGCCAACAGCACACTGCCAGCTGCCCACCAGGACGCCCACTGACTGCCAGTCAGGAGGGGCCAGCAGTCAGGAGGGGGCTGCCAACTACCTGTCACTGTGCTGGCCAACTGTCAATCAGGACAGGACAGAGACCCAGGAGCTCAGGGCTGCCTGTCAGGGCACAGGCCAGCTGTCACTCAGAAAGGCCCAGGAGCAAGTCAAGGAGTCTACCAATGGCCATTTCTGGTGACAGCTATTGCTTTTGGTGCCCAGCATCCTTTCACTCTTCCCCTGGCAAGGGCAGCCCACTGGGCTTCCAGGGAACCTACCCTCTCCAACTTGTAGTCTGTGTGTCTCCACGGGCTGATTCCCTCCTTGGCTGCAGGGACAGAAGACCACAAGACTCAGGGCTGGCCAATCAGAGCATTGCAGTCTTCTGGCCACTGTGATTGGCTTATACGTGGACATGTGACTCAACTCGAGCCAACCAGAACCAATCAGAACTAACTCTGGGTCAGTAGAGAGAGACTCTCTTCCTGCTGCCCTTGTACCTGGGAGGGTGGCTGTCAGGTGGAGCTGAGGCAGCCAGTTTGTCATCATGAGAGAAAGATGTCTGAGGATGAAGCCAGCCCAGAGGATGTGGAAATGAAAGACAGAGAAAGAGAAACTGGGTCCTGGCTGCGTCCTGCTTCCACTCTGGATCCAGCCATAACTGAAACCCATGATCATTGGGCTTTCCAGTTACAAGAATCAATAAATGCCTCCTTTTTGCCCGAGCAAGAATTGCTGTGAATGGGACCAGAAACCACTCGGGGAGTTTTCTAGTGTCTCACTGGGGGCCCATTGGCTGGTCAGGGCACCAGCCCCTGTCTGAGGCTTGGGATGTTTCCAGAGGAACTTCTGACTGAAAGCATGAGACAAACAGGCCCCGTACCTGCCTCCCCGCCCCTGGCTGCTGAGGCGTGGGCATCCTCATGACGCGATGGATCAGATGCTCCCCCAGCCTTTGACTCAGCAACGAGGGAAGCAGACAAGCAGAGAGGGTGCGGGTGGTGGCAGCAGGGAGCGCCCAGGGCCAGCAGGGTCTCCTAGGGTTCAGCGGCGACGGCTGCAGCCAGGGCACCTGCACCCACCAGACCAGCCTAGGGCAGGACTTGCAGGCTGGGGTCTGGCTGCATCTCTTGATGTCTGCCTAGGTTTTGAGCTTCCTACATCCATTTGAGACACTCTGCAGGAAACGTCAGTGTCCTTTGCCAGGGACTAGGGCACCCCAGGGAGAGAGTCCCTGGCTTGAGGCTGGTGAACCCCTGGCTGGCTTACCACTGCTCACACACTGGGCAGGCCCTCCGTGAATGCCACTTCCTCACTCTACTTATTTTTTTTTTGAGATACAGTTGCGTTCTGTTGTTCAGACTGGAGTGCAATGGCATGATCTCGGCCCACTGCAGCCTTGACCTGACGGGCTCGGGTGATCCTCCCACCTCAGCCTCCTGAGTAGCTGGGACCACAGGCACATGCCAGCACGCCTGGCTGATATCTTTAATTATTTTTGTAGAGACAAGGTCTCCCTGTGTTGCCTAGGTCTCAAACTCCTGGGCTCAAGTGATCCTCCCACCTTGGCCTCCCAAAATGCTGGGATTACAGGAATGAGCCCCTGCACCTGGCCTCATTCTTGTTAAGTGTCCCTCAAAGCACCTGGCAGAGTGCTGGGCACATTTTAGGGGCTCCAGGAATTGGCCAGAGGAGCAGTCTGCCCATGGGTGCTGCTTTGTGCCAAGCCTTGGGGCCTGGAGAGGGGGAGAAGGTGGGCAAGTGTGTATTCTGAGGAAGGGTTGGAGCATGGAAGACGTGGATGCTCTGCTTCCTTCTGGGCCCACAGTGAAGAGGGCAGGGCTGCCCCCAGTGAGTGCTGGAAGGAGATCCATGCCTCATCGCAGGACAGGGGACCCGGAAGCCGACCTGAGGCTGGCCTTGGCCCACCTGCAACAGGCAGCAGGCAGTTAGGCAAAGGTGTGCTGGAACCTGGCGGCGACACTGACATGGATTGGGCGGGAGGAGGCCAGGTCCTGGACTGCATAAAGATATTGATGAATAACGGCAAGCACCGTCTCTGCACTCTTTACACAGTAGGCTTCTTATTCAAGAAATCACAAAACTCAGGGATTAACAGCCAGGATTTCGCAACTAGTTTTTGGGGTTCAAATCTCAGCTCTACTGGTTACTAGCTGTGAATAAGCCCTGGGAAGATGACCTCACCTCTCTCTACCTCAGTTCCCTGTAAAATATTGGGAAATTTTCATTATTAAATGTATATAACTTAGGGTCTATCCCATATGAAGCACACAATGAGTTATTACTTTTATTATAATAGAATATAAAATACGATGTAATACAAATTTATTAATTTGTTACTTGGTATTAATACCAAGCACACATGCATTAATTTATGGCATGTATTACTCCCTTGATTTTTACAAGCAACTTTATGGAGGACAGGGTTATTAGTCCCATCCTATAGATGAAGAAACTGAGGCTCACAGAGGTTAAGTTAAGGTGAAGGTGAAGCTCCAGGTCCCACAGAGCCAGGATTCGGAATCTCAGCCAGTCATGGCTGGCTCCAAACTCCAGTCTCTTCCCTTCTCCGCAAGCTCCATGGCTCCCAGATAGGCTGGCCAAGTCGGTTTGCAGCCAGTGTGGACAGCAAAGGAGATTGGCCTGGCATGGCTGAGAAGGGTGGTCTAGGGCCAGAACCCCACCCACCCAACCCCTCCAAGAAGCCCATTGCCTGAGGAATCCACCGTGGCATCTGGGGGATGTTTAGCCTTCTCTCGTGCCCACAGCCAGGCCCCAGGCTGGGGCTCTGCCCACAGTCCCCTTGTGACCTTCCCAAGCAGGATCCAGTTACATCACAGCAGCAGCTCGAAGGAACAAACACAGCTTGTGTCTGCTTCCAACGGCTTATTTCTCTTGTCTTGTGAATACTGAGAAATGAAAGGAATGATAAGGATTTGTGGGCTGGAGGGGGGAAGGCAGCCTGGAAAATTCTGCAGTGCTGGCGGAACTCACCAAGAGGGTGGAGTGAAGTTTTCAAACCAGCTCCAAAGAGGGAGAGATTCAAGTGGTTACATGGAAGGCCCAAGAGGTTTCCTGGCTCCCCCTTGGCAGGTTAAGGGCCCAGCCCTGGGGCAGATGGTTCCCCTCCCGGTTCTGCTGCGGGCCTCTCTGTGGTCAGGACCCGGAAGCTCTCTGGGCCTCAGTTTCTTCAGCTACTCAGTGCCAATAATGCCAGCTCCCACTGCTCCGGGTTAAGAAGAAGAAATGAGAAAATGTGTGTAGACCAGGGGTTCCTGACAGGGGATGATTTAACTCCTTCAGGCAGGGGTCCCTAAGGTATTGGTCCATGGCCTGTTAGGAAATGGGCCGCACAGCAGGAGGTGAGCGGAAGGCAAATGAGCGAAGCTTCCTCTGTATTTACAGCCGCTCGCCATCGCTTGCATTGCCGCCTGAGCTCCGCCTCCTGTCAGATCAGCCGCAGCATTAGATTCTCACTGGAGCTTGAACCCTCTTGTGAACGGTGCATGAGAGGGATCTAGGTTGCATGCTCCTTATGAGAATCTAATGCCTGATGATCTGTGTCTCCCATCAGCCCCAGATGAGACCATCTAGTTACAGGAAAACAAGCTCAGGGTTCCCTCTGATTCTACATTATGGTGAGTTGTATAATTATTACATTGTGCAATTACAATGTAATAATAATAGAAGTAGAGTTCACATAAATGTAATGTGGTTGAATCATCCCAAAACCATCCCTGCCACCACGGCCCATGGAAAAATTCTTCCACAAAGCCAGTCCCTGGTGCAAATAAGGTTGGGGACCACTGCCTTAGGGGACATTTGGTAATGTCCTGAGACTCTTTGGGTTGTCACAACTGGGGGCAGACGAAGGTGCTTGTGGCAACCAGGGAGTGGAGATGGGGAAGCTGCCAGACCCCTACAGAGCATGGGACAGCCCCACCACAAAGAAGAATCCCGTCTGGGAAGCCAGCAGTGCTGCTGTTGAGGAAATGCTGATATTGACATCAAACACTGAATAATCTGTGTTGGTTTCCCTGTTCAAGGGCCCGTGTGGAAGTGAAAGGGAAGGTGAGTGGGAAAACGGGGTGTTTGGGGTAAACAGCAAAGCACCCATGTTGGCTGCCTCCAAAGAAAGATTTGGGCTGGGTGCAGTGGCTCACGCCTCTAATCCCAGCACTTTGGGAGGCCTAGGCAGGTGGATCACCTGAGGTTGAGAGTTCGAGACCAGCCTGACCAACAAGGTGAAACCCCGTCTCTGCTAAAAATACAAAACTAGCTGGGCATGGTGGCACATGACTGTAATCCCAGCTACTTGGGAGGCCGAGGCAGGAGAATCACTTGAACCCGGGAGGCAGAGGTTACAGTGACCCGAGATCACACCATTGCACTCCAGCCTGGGCAACAAGAGCAAAACTCCATCTCGAAAAACAACAACAACAAAAACAAACAAAAAAAAAACAAGAAGAAGAAGAAGAAGAATTTGTCCCTCTTGGTTCAGACAGCAAACATTCACTGAATGGCACTCTTGCTGGCACTCTTCCCGGTGCTGAGAAAAGTGGCCACCCCTGCTCTCCTGGGGTGTCTCATCCAGAGGGGGAGAGAGACTCAGACAGAGCAAGAAAGTAATAAGTAAAAATAGCCCCAAATATCCGTTGATAGTGACGAATAAATGGATGAACAACTTGTGGGAGAGCCGTAGAGCCGTACTGTGAAGATGATTCGGCAATAACAAGGAACGAAGTCCTGATTCACGCTCCACCGTGGATGAACCTCAAAAACGTGATGCTCGTGAAGGAAGCCGCTCATGAACGGCCACATGCTGTAGGATTCCGTGTATATGAAGTGTCCGGAGCAGGCACATCCACAGAGACAGAAGTAGATTGGGGGTTTCCAAGGGCTGAGTTGGGGGAAGATGGAGAGAGGCTGCTAATGAGCACACGGTTTCTTTTTGGGGTGATGAAACTGTCCTAAAATGATTATGGTGATGTTCACATAACTCTGTGAATATGCTGAGTGCCACTGAATTGCACACTTGAATAGGCAAATTGTGTGGTGTGAGTTATATCTCAATAAACCTGGGAAATATAAAAAATAGACAGGAGGCAGTGGCTCATGCCTGAAATCCTGGGGCGCTTTGTAATCCTGAGGCCAAAGAGGGAGGATTGCTTGGGTCCAGCAGTTCAAGACCAGCCTGGGCAATATTGTGAGACCCCCATCTCGAAAATAAAAATAAAAATATATAAAAAATAATAGTGGCAAGTGGTGAGATGATTGATGAATAAAATAAGCAAAAGGCTGAGGTGGAGCAACTCGGAGCCACCGTAGCTGGCTGGGACACCTCCGGGAGGTGACGTCTGAGGCGGGGCTTGCGAGCTGGGATGGGAGAAGATGGAGACAGAGCTCCAGGTGGAGGAGACTGCATGGTGTGGGTGTGTGCAGGGAGCCCCAAGTGCTCTCAGTGAGAGCTCAGCATCTTGTCAGAAGGGGGAGAGAGAGAGAGACTGAGCTGTGGAATGTGAGCCGCCGAGATACTAGAATGGTGTCTGGGTGATCATGTAGACGGAACCCATTGACATCTGTGATGTGGCCACTATGCCAGAAACCCTCAGAAATATTTCCTCACTGTTGCTCAACACCTGGACGGATAGCCCAGCTTCCCTGCATAGGGCAGATTTATTTATTTATTGAGACGGAGTCTTGCTCTGTCGCTCAGGCTGGAGTGCAGTGGCGCGATCTTGACTCACTGCAAGCTCTGCCTCCCTGGTTCAAGCAATTCTCCTGCCTCAGCCTCCTGAGTAGCTGGGACTACAGGCGTGCACCACCACGCTCGGCTAATTTTTTTGTGTTTTTAGTAGAGGCAGGGTTTCTCCATGTTGGCCAGGCTGGTCTCGAACTCCTGACCTCAGGTGATCCGCCCGCCTCGGCCTCCCAACGTACTGGGATTACAGGTGTGAGCCACCAACCCGGCCAGGGCAGATTTATTTGCAAAGTGCTTTTTCATTATTCCTCTCATGAGAATCCTCCAAATCCCCAGGGGAAAGATGGGCAGGGGATGGGGTACTAAGGGGCTCCTAGTAGTTCAAACCAGAGAAGTCGGTGACCTCCTGGAGTCACACAGCCAGGCACTGTCTGGCCAGCCTCCTGGATCAGCCCAGGCCTCCCTGAACTGGCCTTCCTAGCCAGCAAGTCTGTGATGAAGCCTCTTTTTTTTTCTGAGATGGAGTCTCGCTCTGTCGCCCAGGCTGGAGTGCAGTGGCATGATCTCGGCTCACTGCAAGCTCTGCCTCCTGGGTTCACACCATTCTCCTGCCTCAGCCTCCCGAGTAGCTGGGACTACAGGCGCCTGCCACCACGCCTGGCTAATTTTTTGTATTTTCAGTAGAGACAGGGTTTCACCGTGTTAGCCAGGATGGTCTAGATCTCCTGACCTTGTGATCCGCCCACCTCGGCCTCCCAAAGTGATGGGATTACAGGTGTGAGCCACCGCACCCGGCTATGAAGCCTCTTTGAGAGCCCTCCCTCTGAGGCCTGCTGCCTCCCAAGGGGACCCACGTGCTAGAGCAGCTCCCAGCAGGGCAGGGCAGTGAAGATCCTGCCACTCCCAGCAGTGCCTTCTGCAGAGCTTCTTTTATTCTCTTCCCGAGCCATAGAGATTTGGGTGCCAAGGGTCTGCCCACAGCCAGCAATGGTGGGAGGTGCAGAGAATGTCCTGTAAATATCCTGCCCACCTGCTATGTGCTGGAGGACCACAGCCCATTCCCATGTAGACTTCCTGTCCTGCAGGGCCCCTTTGCTCTGCCCTCCCCAGGGGCCTCCCCTGCTCCTCACTCACCACCATGTTGGGGTTTTCCTTTTTTTTTTTTTTTCCTTTGAGACAGAGTCTCGCTGTGATGCCCAGGCTGGAGTGCAGTGGCGCAATCTCAGCTCACTTCAACCTTTGCCTCCTGGGTTCAAGCGATTCTTGTGTCTCAGCCTCCTGAGTAGCTGGGATTACAGGCACACACCACCGCACCTGCACCCAGCTAATTTTTGTATTTTTAGTAGAGACGGGGTTTCACCATGTTGGCCAGGCTGGTGTTTTTTTTGTTTTTTTTTGTTTTTGAGTCAGAGTGTCGCTCTGTGGCCCAGGCTGGAGTGCAGTGGCACGATCTCGGCTCACTGCAACCTCCACCTCCTGGGTTCAAGTGATTCTCCTGTCTTAGTCTCCCGAGCAGCTGGGACTACAGGCAGGTGCCACCACGCCCAGCTAATTTTTTGTATTTTTAGTACAGATGGGGTTTCACCCTTTTAGCCAGGATAGTCTTGATCTCCTGACCTTGTGATCTGCCCACCTCAGCCTCCCAAAGTGCTGGGATTACAGGCGTGAGCCACTGCGCCTGGCCAGCCAGGCTGGTCTTGAACTCCTGGCGTCAAGTGATCCACCTGCCTCAGCCTCCCAAATTGCTGGGATTACAGGCATGAGCCACTGTGCCCAGCCCATGTTGGTGTGTTCCGAGCCACAGCTTCATCCCACCCCAATCACATGGGAACCAGCCAGGCTTTGCAGGATACTGCTGTCACAGGCCAAACCAAGGCGGTGAGCCCATGTGTTCTGGGGGACAGCTGGGTCCTGGCTGGGAGCCGTGGGAGCCACCAGCATCACACCACGCCCTCAGAAGTTCACAGGGCCTTCTTAGATCCCATGAGCACTGGATGCTTACCACAGCCCCAGGAGGCAGGTAGGGACCTGCATCACCTCTGCTCTGCAGGTGAAAAAAGTTCACGTCACACTAAAAGTTGGCGGAGCCAGGATTTGAACCCGGGCCAGTGGAACTCCAGCGTGTGAATTTCCTCCCTCCAAATATCAGGGCCTCCCACCTCTTGGGGAGTCCCCTGGCCTCATGGTGGGTCTGGGAGAACTGGGGCACCCTGGAAGGGGCATCTAAGCACCAGGGCTGCTGTGAGTTGAGTGCCTCAGGGGGTTGTGGGGGCTGGACCCTGTACAGCTCAGAGGCAGTGGCCCCCTGGCCCAGTCTGAGCCACCTCTGGTTCACAGTGGACAGCCCTCATTTATGGAGAGCTGTGTGGTAACAAATATCAGTAAATCACATCACAGTGTGACAGCCCCACTCTCAGGGAGCTCAGCATGCCAGGGATGTCCCCAAGTCTTCCTTTTGGGTTGAGGGATGATATGGCTTGGCTCTGTGTCCCCACCCAAATCTCATATTGAATTTTAATCCCCAGGTTTGGGGGTGGGACCTGGTGAGAGGTGTTTGAATCATGGGGATAGATTTCCCCTTTGCTGTTCTCATGATAATGAGTGAGTTTCCATGAGATCTGGTTGTTTAAAAGTGTGTAGCCCTGGCCAGGAATGGTGGTTCACACCTGTAATCCCAGCACTTTGGGAGGCCAAGGTAGGCGGATCACAAGATCAGGAGTTTGAGACCAGCCTGGCCAAAATAGTGAAACGACCTCTCTATAAAAAGTACAAAAATTAGCCAGGAGTGGTGACATGCCTGTAGTCCCAGCTACTCGGGAGGCTGAGGCAGGAGGATTGCTTGAACCTGGGAGGCGGAGGTTGCAGTGAGCTGAGATTGCACCATTGCACTCCAGCCTGGGTGACAGAGTGAAACTCTGTCTAAAAAAAAAAAAAGGTGTACCCCTTCCTTCTTTGCTCTCTCTCCTGCTGCCATGTGAATATGTGCTTACTTCCCCTTCACCCTTCCACCATGATTGTACATTTCCTGAGGCCTCCCCCACCATGCCTCTTGTACAGCCTGTGGAATGGTGAGTCAATTAAATCTCTTTTCTTTATAAATTATCTAGTCTCAGGTAGTTCTTTATAGCAGTGTGAGAATGGCACTAAAATTGATACCAGACGAGTGGGCCATTGTTATAAAGATACCTGAAAATGTGGAAGCGACTTTGGAACTGAGTATTAAGCAGAGGTTGGAATAGTTTGGAGGTCCCAGAAGAAAACAGGAAGATGTGGGAAAATTTGGAACTTCCTAGAGATTTGTTGAATGGTTGTGACCAAAATGCAGATAGTGATATGGACAGTAAAGTCTAAGCTGAGGTGGTCTCAGATGGAGAGGAGGAACTTACTGGAATTGGAAAGATCACTCTTGCTGTGCTTTAGCAAAGAGACTGGCAGCATCGTGTCCCTGCTCTAGGAATCTGTGGAACTTTGAGCTTGAGAGAGATGATTTAGGGTATCTGGCAGAAGAAGTTTCCAAGCAGCAAAGCATTCAAGAGGTGACCTAGCTGCTTCTAACTGCATATGCTCATATGTGTTCACAAAGAGATGGTCTGAAATTGAAACTTGTACTTAAAAGGGAAGCAGAACATAAAAGTTAGGAAAATTTGCAGCCTGACCATGTGGTAGAAAAGAAAACCCATTTTTTGGTGTGTGTGTAGGGGAGATTCAAGGCTGTAGAAATTTGCTTAAGTAAAGAGGAGCTGAATGTTAATAGTCAAGATAATGGGGAAAATGCCTCCAGGACATGTCAGAGACCTTTGCACAGCCCCTCCCATCATAGGCCTGGAGGCCTAGGAGAGAAAAATGGTTTTGTGGGCCAGGCCCAGAGCCCTGGTGCCTTGGGACATGATGCCCTGCATCCAGCTGCTCTAGCTCCAGCTGTGGCTAAAAGGCGCCAATGTACAGCTTGGGCCATTGCTTCAGTGGGTGCAAACCCCAAGCCTTGGCAGCTTTCACGTGGTGCTGGGCTTGTGGGTGCGCAGAGGGCAAGAGTTGAGGCTTGGGAGCCTCCACTTAGATTTCAGAGGATGTATGGAACACCTGGATGTCCAGAGAGAAGTCTTCTGGAGGGGTGGAGCCCTCATGGAGAACTTCTACTATAGTAGTGCGGAGGGGAAATGTGGGGTTGTAGCCCCCACACAGAGTCCCCACTAGTGCACTGCCTAGTGGAGCTGTGAGAAGAGGGCCACTGTCCTCCTGACCCCAAAATGGTAGATCCACCAACAGCTTTCACTGTGTGCCTGGAAAGCCATAGGCACTCAACACCAGCTTGTGAAAGCAGCTGTTGGGCCTGTACTCTGCAGAGCCACAGGGGTGGTGCTGCCCAAAGCCTTGGGAACCTACTTCTTGTGTCATCGTGGCCTGGATGTGATACATGGAGTCAAAGGAGATTATTTTGGAACTTTAAGATTTAATGACTGCCCAGCTGGGTTTTGGACTTGTGTGGGGTCTGTAGCCCCTTTATTTTGGCCAATTTCTCCCCTTTGGAATGGGAGCATTTACCCAATGCCTGTACCTCCATTGTATCATGGAAGTAACTAACTTGTTTTGATTTACAGGCTCATAGGCAGAAGGGACTTGCCTTGTCTCAGATGAGACTTTGGATTTGGACTTTTGAGCTAATGCTGGAATGAGTTAAGACTTTGGGAGACTGTTGGAAAGGCATAATTGGTTTTGAAATGTGAGAAAGACATAAGATTTGGGAGGGGCCAGGGATGGAATCATATGTTTTGGCTCTGTGTCTCCATTCAAATCTCATGTTGAATTGTAATCCCCAATGTTGGGGGAGGGACCTGGTGGGAGGTGATCGAATCATGAGGGCGGATTTCTCCCTCCCTATTCTTGTGATAGTGGGTAAGTTCTCATGAGCTCTCGTTGTTTAAAAGTGTGTGGCATTCTCCCCTTCTGTCTCTCTCCTGCTGGCCATGTGAAGATGTGATTGCTTCCCCTTTGCCTTCTGCCATGATTCCTGAGGTTAATGTTCCTGAGGCCTCCCCAGCCATGCTTCCTGTACAGCCTGTGGAACCAGGAGCCAATTAAACCTCTTTTCTTTATAAATTACCCAGTCTTGGGTAGTTCTTTATAGCAGTGTGAGAATGAACTAATACAAGGGACATTTGTCACCTCCTGGCTTTTCCTCAAGTGAGGGGTGCCCATATATAGAAGCCCTCTTCACAGGCATAGACCTCTGGGTTCTTATCACAGACCTGCTTCCCCTGGAAGGCCTCTCCTGAATATCAGAGAAGACCCCTCAGGGTCAGAAGTCCCAGATGTGCTGTGGTGGGTGGGGGTTGCTTCTCACCGTAGATGACCCTCTTGTCCACAAACCACAACCATCTTCTTCCCTCTGTGCTGATTAGGACTGGGGCAGTGGGGTTCGTGTATTTGTGACCTGGCTCCTTTTTTGATCCCCACTGAACTGGGACATCCCCAGGGGCAAGGGCTGTCTGCCTCATCAGGCAGAGCTGTCCGTGTGATCAGCCCAGGAGCTTTCTGTCACCCTGGTCCCTCCCGGACATCAGTTTGGCTCAAGAAGAAGAAAGTCCATTTGTCAAAGCATTCTGTCCCCTGGGAGCAGGGCAGTGGCCACAGACTCAATTCCTGACCATTCACCAGGCCGGATAGTCCAAGCCCCTGGAATGGTGCCAGCATGGGGCTTGGGTCTGCTGCCTCCCTGGGCTGGATCCCTACCTCCAATCTGGTTTTCCTTGGGGATGGGGAGGAACCCTAAGCATGGCAATGAGGTTATTTCCCAGGACCCAAGTCCTCTTCCCAGGGTTGGCCTGCCCCATCCTGCCCCTTGGGGGTTTGGCACTTGTCACTCTTCTTTGCATGGCCAAGCTAAGGACAGAATTAGCTCTCCACGCTCACTCTCAAGGCTCTCTGAGTGCTAAACCATCTGGGAGAGGGACCAGAATGGGGCCTCCTGGGATTCTGCCCAGTGCTTTTTCTTTTGGTTCCTCTGGGAAAAGATCCAGAAAAAGACTGAAAGCTCCTGGCTGAGAGGGAGGGGGTGGGGTGGGACCAGGCCCTGCCCTTCTGAGCCCCTGGGGCTCTGGGACGCCAGGGTCCCACTCTGCTAACACAGCGATTGGTTCTCAATGCAACTGGGGAGGGCTGGCGGGGCTTGCAACTCCCAGAGTCCAATCAGACTTTAGGGATCCTTGTTGCACTCCTTTGGGAAGTCAAGGCAGAAGGGTTGCTTAAGCCAGGAATTCCAGACTAGCCTGGGCAACATAGCGAGACCCTATCTTTACAAAAAAATGATGAAGTGAGCCAGGCGTGGTGGCACATGCCTGTAATCTCAGCTACTCGAGAGGCTGAGGTGGGAGGATTGCTTGAGCCTGGGAGGTGGAGGCTGCAGTGGCCATGATCGGGCCACTGCACTCCAGCCTGGGCAACAGAGTGAGGACCTAAATAAGTTTAGCGTGAGATGAACACTGACAGTTGCCTCTTTAGGGCTCTGCTTAGCACCTCCTGTGCCCTCCCAAAAGTCACTGTGTCCTTGGGCTTGCAGTTGGAAGCCATACAGCTGCTTCCCTCTGTCCTCAACCTATATTTTAATTTTTGCTCATGATGTCTTCTTCCCTGGCATGGCAGAGCCTGGTTCAGAACTAACGACTACTCCTCCACGCGGGATTGTATTTCCTGCTATGTTAATAGCGGCTCCACCACGTGCCCTGTTCCAGCTAATGAAATGTGAGCAGAAGTGACAGTGTTGTTTCCAGGTGGAAACTTCAAGAGCCAGTGCACAGTTCACCAGGTATGTCTACCCTGTGCCATAAGACATCCTCCCTGAGGCCCCCTGGTCAGCCTGAGTTTCAGAGCGAAGATGACACGGAGCACACCTGTAGCCATTCTTGAAGGACTAGTAGCAGTAATAAGGCAGAAACCTTCATTGTTGGAAGCCACTGAGATTTGGGCGTCACATTCTGGCTGCGCCACATCAAGGCTGTTGGAAGTCTCCAGAGCGGTCTCGGAGTTGTGTTTTTTTGGTCTTCAGCTGCTGCCAAGTGGCATGGATAATGAAGAGTTAAAATGTTATGCCTGGGGACTGACCTCCATTCTAGGTACTCATTCAAGAGTGGCTACAGGCCGGGCGTGGTAGCTCATTCCAGTAATCCCAGCACTTTGGGAGGCTGAGGGAGGAGGATTGCTTGAGCCTAGGGGTTCAAGACCAGCCTGGACAACATAGCAAGACCTCTGTCTTTACGAAAAATAAAAAGAAAACAGTTGGGCGTGGTGGCATGCACCTGTAGTCCCAGCAACTCCGGAGGCTGAGGTGGAGGATTGTTTGAGCCCAGGAGGTTGAGGCTGCAGTGAGCCGTGATTGTGCCATTCCACTCCACACTCCAGCCTGGGTGACAGAGCAAGTTCCCATGTTTAAAAAAAAAAAAAAGAGAAGAAGAAAAAAAGCATGGCTATAATCGTGACTTGGCATTTCTGCACATAGACCAGACTGATGATCACCTGAGCTATGTCTAATATTCTCTAAGCTGGGAGGTTTCAGCCTGAGGTTTGCATGTAGGTTAAGACTTTATGTAACTCTTGGGGAAGCTTCTGGGTTGGGTCAGAGGGCTGTGACCTCCTTCACCTCCCGGGGACCTTGCCTGCTCCCCTCCTGCCACCCTGGCACTCATCTGCAAGAGCTGTGTGGAATGGAGTTTACTTGCTATGAAATGACATGGCCCACTTTCTTCCCCACTGCCCAAGGTGAGGTTTATTAAGCTTGTGGCAGCAGGGAGCGTGCACCCTGGAGGAAGCAGGGGGCATCTCTACTAGGTCATTTTGGCCGTGACTTTGCCCCATTGATGGAACCAGGGCCGATCTCTTCTGCCACTCCAGACCTCCCCCTGCCCCTGTGATCAAATGGGACTCGGTCTGTAGCACCCCTCGGCACTGGCCTTATGGTGAGGAGTTGTCACTGTGTTTCCGGTGACTTGTGATCCTTTCCTACCCAGATTATTGGCTTCTTGTACTAGTGGTTCTTCTCAGCAACGTTCCCCTCTCTGCACCACACACACCCTAGGTAGACAGTGGGTGCTCCATAAACACTGGTTTTGCTCTCCTGAGTTGGTGGCCTGGAGGCTGGTGGTGCCATGGCAGGACAGAGGGCATCTCTAGCTGTGGCCAGCTGTTTGCAGACTGTTTCATAAAGGTCACACCAAGGAGACAAAGCGGCTTCAACCCATGGCTGCTGGGAGGGGCCTGGTGGAGCTGGCGAGGAACCCAGCACCCCTCTCTGCCCCTAGGCCTGGGCTCCACTTTCTCTCCTGATTTCGGCCCCCTTCTCTCCACCCTTGGCAGTTGGGGACCTTGAACTGACCAGTTCTCTCTCAAAGGATGGAGTTTTATGGTTGGGACTGGCTCCCTCCCAACTGCCCACGGAAGATTTGAACAAAGGAAATCACAAAAGCCATCTCTCTTTATTTTTCATTCCTGCCGTTCAACCAGTTTGTGCAAGCTGAGGATGAGTGGGTTTTGGAACGGGAGGCAGAGCATCTGGGGACAGACCCTCCTGGAAATGGTCTATGCACACTGCTGAGGCTGGTTAGACTTGAGAAGCAATTGACAATAAACTCTACAGAACTGGAAATGTTCAAAAGTGTCAAGGTGGCTTCTGGCTGTTTTCCTGCCTCCCTGTGGGGGTCAGTTATACCCATCAGTCCTGTGCAAAGGTCCTGGGACTGGCCCAGGGGCAGCCGGATTCTTCGCTGGGGACAGGAGCTGTCCTGCTCACCCAGCAGAAGCATGCCAATGGACAGGTGCTCGGGTGTGTGCCCAGGTGCTGTGGCCCCCAAACTCCGTGGCTCCTCAAGCATGTCTTCATCCTGTCTCTATGTCCGCCCTTTGAAAGTGTTCATGCAGGTGTAGGTTCCTGAGAATTTGTGGATCTCCTCGAGTGCAGCCTGTGGAAGTATGCTGGAGTAGGAGGAAGAAAAGAAGATAGCGATGGTTAGTGGGGCAGGATCCAGGGGCTGGGTCGCTGGTGGCCATGTGAGACGGGGCAGCAGAGGGCTGGTTCCTGAAAGTGCTCCCCACACCTCCAAGCCACACACCAGTTTCTCCCCAAACCCCCACCCTCCCCAGGGGAAGAGCTTTCAAATAAGTGGATAAGCAGCTGTTAAAAGGGCAGGGGGAGGCTGGGCGCGGTGGCTCATGTCTATAATCCAAGTACTTTGGGAGGCCGAGATGGGCGGATCGCTTGAGCCCAGGAATTCAAGACCAGCCTGGGCAATATGGTGAAACCCTGTCTCTACAAAAATATACAAAAATTAGCTGGGCATGGTGGCATGTGCCTATAGTCCTAGCTACTGGGGAGGCTGAGGTGGGAGGATGGCTTGAACCCAAGAGGTGGAGGTTGAAGTGAGCTGAGATTGTACCGCTGCATTCCAGCCTGGGTGGCAGAGCCAGACCCTGTCTCAAAAATTCTTTTCAGACTGGGCGTGGTGGCTCATGCCTGTAATCCCAGCACTTTGGGAGGCCAAGGTGGGTGGATCACCTCAGGAGTTCGAGAACAGCCTAGCCAACATGGCAAAACCCTGTCTTTACTAAAAATACAAAAATTAGCTGGGCGTGGTGGTGGGCACCTGTAATCCCAGCTACTCGGGAGACTGAGGCAGGAGAATTGCTTGACCTGGGAGGCGGA
Organism: Homo sapiens; assembly: GCF_000001405.40. Taxonomy (NCBI): domain Eukaryota; kingdom Metazoa; phylum Chordata; class Mammalia; order Primates; family Hominidae; genus Homo; species Homo sapiens. Next base: position 12,569,152 of record NC_000001.11, read on the forward strand.
GGTTTCGGTGGGCCGAGATCGCGCCGTTGCACTCCAGCCTGGGCGACAAGAGTAAAACTCTGTCCCCTCTCTCTCTCTCTCACACACACACACACACACACACACACACACTCTTTTTAAAATATATATTTTAAAAAGGCAGAGAGTGAGTGAGTGGTCAGAGCAAACTTTTTTTTTAATTTAAAATTTTTATCTTTTTCCTAGATCCTGAAACAGAGCTCATTTTTTTATTTTTAATTTTTGTGGGTACATAGTAGGTATATATATTTATGGGGTACATGAAATACTTTGATACAGGCATGCAAATGTATAATAATCACATCAGCATAAATGGGGTATCCATCACCTCAAGCATTTATCTGTTGTGTTACAAACAATCCAACTATACTCTTTTAGTTTTTTTATTTATTTTTATGTTTATTATATTTTTTTGAGACAGAGTCTCACTCTGTTGCCCAGGCTGGAGTGCAGTGGTGCGATCTGGGGTCACTGCAACCTCTGCTTCCTGGGTTCAAGTGATTTTCCTGCCTGAGCCTCCTGAGAAGCTGGAATTACAGGCATGCGCCACCATGCCCGCCTAATTTCTGTATTTTTAGTAGAGACAGGGTTTCGCCATGTTGGCCAGGCTGGTCTTGAACTCCTGACCTCAGGTGATCTGCCTGCCTCGGCCTTCCAAAGTGCTGGGATTATAGGCGTGAGCCACTGCGCCCGGCCCTTTTAGTTATTTTTAATCGTACAATTAAATTATTATTAACTATAGTCACCCTGCTGTGCTATCAAAGACTTGTTCTTATTCGGTCTATTTTTTGTACCCATTAAAAACAAATGATGGTTAGGTGCCACTAAGTAGGTGACAATGGCTTAATCTGTCTGTGCTCCTTGTCGAGGGGAGTGCTGACCTTCTCTCCCTTCATACAACACACTTTCAAAACCAGGCTCTTAGCATCTTGGTGCCCACAGGCAGCTCAGAGATCCATCGATCCCAACTGCCCCTGATTCCACAAAGATGACGGTGTGGATCTGAGGAATCAGGTTCGATTTGGGTGTCACATCCTCTGGGGAAGCGTCCTGGGCTCACCTTCAGGCTTCTCCTCGTACAACCGGAGTTCCGACGCTTCCCCAGCAAGCCCTGGTGTAGTCCCCACCCGTTTACTTGTCAAGCCTGTGGGGGCCTTCATGGCGGGTATTTCATCTCTGATCCCCAGGCCCTCACATGGGCCCGGCACAGAGAGGGCCCTCAGGCTGTTTGGTGACTCAAACTGAAGGGTCCTGGCCCACTCTAAGTACAAGATGAAAAGGGTTCACTTCCAGCTGGAGCAATCTGGAAGGCTTCCTGGGGGTGGTGGTATTAGAGTTGAGCCTTGCTTTCTCCTGGGGAAGGTGAGGAGGGATGCAGTTCAGAGAATGGGGAGCGGGGTGGCTCCTGCTTCCTGTTCAAAAGTAGTTGTGGGGAAGGTTGGAAAATGAAGGCTGAGGGCTTACTGTGGAGAGCGCTGAGGTGTTCTAGACCAACTTTTCTCTAGAAAGCTCTGGAAGTCTTCTAAGAAGCTCCCCTGAGGTGGAGGGTGGCAGCCTGACCTCAGTGAGGACCTGAGCCCCTGATCAACTAGGGGCTCCTAGAGACGGCTGAGGAGCATCTCAGACCCGAGGTCAGGATGGACTGAGGGAGGCCGAGGTGTGGCCTGGATGCCCCTGGGTGCCCCCTTCCCTGTGCCTCTGAAAGGGCTTTGAGTTTGGGGAAGAGAGGGCTGATCGGGCTTGCGCCTCAGTTTCGAGGTTTCTGTGCCCTGCATGTGTTGGGGCAGCCCCTCAGCTGGGGCTCACCATGTCCCAGCAGCCAGGGCAGAAGTTGGCTTTCCTGGGAGTGCATGTTGCATGAGAGCAGGGGCCAGCCTGGCACTTGGGGGCTTACCTTCCTGAAAAGGACTTCCAGGTCAGAGGGGCTCAGTCAGGAGGGGGCCAGAGCCCCAGGGGAGCCAAGAGCCCATGGTCACTTGTGGCACCAGGGACAAGGATCTCCTGCTGTACTAAGAGGCCCAAGAAAACTGAGTGTGGGACTGGGATGGGAAGGATTTGCTGCACAAAGCCTGGAAAGTTCTAGGGGAATAGGATGCCAGGCAAATTCTGGAGGAGGAGTCTCTCATTTATAAAGCCTGCCTCCCCAAAGTGGTCTGCCCTGCTACATCCCACCCGACTGGTACTAAGACGCTTCTGTGAATTCTGAGCCCTTGGCATCAAGATCCCCATGTTCCCTCTAATAGTAAACTTCCTGAGGGCAGGGGCTATGTCCAATAGGCTGTAGAACAGTGGTTCTCAAAGTGAGGTCCAGGAACCTTTGGGGTACCCGGGATCTCTTCAGGGGTCTGTGAGGTCAATTTTTTTTTTTTTTTTTTTTTGAGACGGAGTCTTGTTCTTGTTGCCCAGGCTGGAGTGCGGTGGTGCGATCTCGGCTCACCTCAACCTCTGCCTCCTGGGTTCCGGCAATTTTCCTGCCTCAGCCTCCCAGGTAGCTGGGATTACAGGCACACGCCACCACACCCAGCTAATTTTTTTTGTATTTTTAGTACAGACAGGGTTTCTCCATGTTGGTCAGGCTGGTCTCGAACTCCCAACCTCAGGTGATCCACCCACCTCGGCCTCCCAAAGTGCTGGGATTACAGGCGTGAGCCACCGTGCCCGGCCACATTGTTTCTGTAATAATACTAAGATGTTATTTGTCTTTTCACTTTCATTCTCTCAGTGAATGGTAGAATTTTCCAGAGGCTACGTGACACGAGATATCACAACAAATTGAAATCAGATGCACATATAAGAATCCAATTGTCTTCAATTAAGCCAAACAAAGAGATTTGCAAAAAGGTAGAACAATGCCACTCCTGACTACATTTATTTTGTTTTAGAATACATAACTAGTTGTCATAAAAATATATTTATATTAATGTAATGGGTTTGTTATAGCTATTTATAAATGAATAAATATTATAAACAAATGTATACAACTTACAACATTTTTCTGGCTTTTAATTTCTTTTTTGAGATGGAGTCTTGCTGAGTCACCCAGGCTGGAGTGCAGTGGCACGATCTCGGCTCACTGCAAGCTCCACCTCCTGGGTTCACACCATTCTCCTGCCTCAGCCTCCCGAGTAGCTAAGACTACAGGCGCCCACCACCATGCCCAGCTACTTTCTTTTTGTATTTTTAGTAGAGACAAGGTTTCGCCATTTTAGCCAGGATGGTCTCAATCTCTTGACCTCGTGATCCACCTGCCTCGGCCTCCCAAAGTGCTAGGATTACAGGCGTGAGCCACTGCGCCTGGCCCTGGCTTTTAATTTCTAATATAGTAAATAGCGATAGCTACAACTCACATTAACAAAAGCTCTTTGGGTTCCTCCATACTTTTTAAAACTCTAAGGGGCCCCGTGACTAACAAGTTTGAGAACTGCTGCCCCACAGTAAGTACAGTACATCAGCAGCAAATGTGCCAGCACTCCTCATGCTCATGCCCGCAGCAGACATGACTAATAGATCACATGCGTACTTTCCCCTGACCCAGAGTGTTCTTTCCCAGCCCCATACCTTTTCAAGATAACGAGGGCATGCATTGTCCATGGGAGGAGGAGGAGGGCCTGGTTGAGCTGCACAGCTTCCACTGTCCTCCGGGCCACCGTCTCCGGCTTCAGTGGGGGAAAGAGGTTGGGAAACCTGAACACAGGAAGAGACACAGTGGGTTTCTCCTGGAGAGGCATGTGCTTATCTGGAAGTCTTTATGAGGCTGACATGTCTGGGTCACCCTTTGGCTTTTCCTGTCTGAGAGATTCGAGGCCTGCTTGGAATACTCCCTCTACCCCACACCCATCCAGGTGCCACATTCCCTCACTCCTCCAGGCACACAGGGGTCTCTTCTTGAGTCAAGGACTTCTAGCCCACCCACTGGGGACCCACTCTCCCAAGCCCTCCAAGGGCTCCCAGTGCCCTAGGGCTTGGCCTTTCCATGGCCCTGCGTAATCTGGGCCCTGGTTGTCCTTCTGAGTCCTTTTCCCTACACTCTGCTCCTTCAGGACAGGCCCATTTCTGTTCTTGTCACATCACATGCTCGGGTCAGGGCTTTTTGCCAGCTCTCTCAACAGCCTGGCTCTCTCCTCCCAGCTCCTCCTTTGGGAGACATTTCAGGCCAGTCCATCCAAAGCGACCTCTGATCCTGTCCCCTGCTAATTTCCTTGACCGCGTTCACCCCACCTAGGAAGACCTTGCTTTTTGGGTTGTTTCCTTGTCAGTGGCCTGTCTCCGCCATCAGGCAATGAGTTCCATGAGGGTGGAGGCCTGGTCGGTCCTGCTCCCCTGCATCTAGCACAGCATCTGATACATAGTATGTGCTCAATAAATACTTGAAGGACTGAACACACTGATGACTTGCTGCTTCCCAAATGTGTCCTGCTCATTCTGTCTGGAGGCAGGGGCTTGGCTAGCGATGGCTGGGGCTCAGCTTGCTGGTTCACTAACTCACTCACTGATTCATTGATTCAAAGATTTGCACAGTGCTTTCCATGGGATCTCAAAATGAATGAATGAATGATTGCATAAGCAAACATCAGGGGCTTCTCATGACTATTTAAAAGCATCTGACCCTAGATCCAAACAATGATGATGTTCCCTACGTGCCAGACTCATGTACAAATTATTCTCCTGATTTACAGATAAGGAAACCGAGGCTGTATTGAGTCAGTAGGGCGCTAAGGATTCAAACCTGGCCAATGCTCTATCACCTTTGCTCACTGCTCTTCCTGCCCTTCCTGGATCTATAGGTGCAGGGCTCATGTTGCTGGCTCTGACCCCAATCCCACAAAGAGCTTGTGATCCGCTCTGGCACCAGGAAGATTAAGGGTGATGAATCACCCAGGTTTGATGTCATTCCTCAGCAACAGGCAGCCCTTGGACTCCCAGCAGGGGTTTGGCCTCAGAGGGTACATGAATCTTACCCCCTGCCCTGTAATTCCTTTGTCATCACAATGATGATTCTTTTTTTATTTTTTATTTTTGAGTCCAGGGTCTCACTTTGTTACCCAGGCTGGAGTGCAGTGACGTGATCACAGCTCACTGCAGCCTCGACCTCCCTGGGCTCAAGTAATCCTCCTGCCTCAGCCACCCGAGTAGCTGGGACTACAGGTGCACACACCATGCCCAGATAATTTTTATATTTTTTGTAGAGATGGGGTTTTGCCATGTTGCCCAGGCTGGCAACTCCTGGGCTGAAGTGATTCCCCTGCCTCAGCCTCCCAAAGCACTGGGATTACTGGTGTGAACCCAGCTACCACGCCTGGCCATGATGGTGATTCTGAGGCCCACAGCCCTGTGGTCAAGAGGGGCCAGCCTCTGCCATTCTACAGAGATGAACGTGTTGAGGCAGCTCACTGATACTGGAGTCCTACAGGTGTCGTGGGCGGTCTGGATTCTCTGGCTTCCACCTGTGGCCTGGCCTGTCTCTTGGGAAAGGGAAGGCAGGATGGACAGACCAAAGTCCATGGGCTTGACGGGAATCCTTCTTGGTAAGACCCCTGCCAGGGAAGCCGACAGAGGAGGCCTCAAGCACGTCTGTGCGCAGGATTTTCTCCTTCCTCTCCACGGTGTGTGGGATGGGGACACGGGGAACTGGCACAGCTATTAACTCCCATGGAAGCAGTGCAAATTCGTGGAAGAAGCATGCTTAGCTAGCCAGTTTCAAGCTATGTGGACTTGGGCAGGTAACTTTGCTTCTCTGAGCCTCAGTTCCCTCATCTGTAAAATGGGAATAAAAGCTCTCTTCCAGGGTTGCTGTGAGGGCCAAATGCAGCAGCACTTGTAAAGTGTCTAGTGGTTCTAGGTGGTTCTATGGCTGGAACATCGAAGAGGCTCAATTGGCTGGGCGTGGTGGCTCATGCCTGTAACCCCAGCACTTTGGGAGGCTGAGGCAGGTGGATCACTTGAGGCCAGGAGTTCAAGACCAGCCTGGGCAACACGGCGAAACACTGTCTCTACCAAAAATACAAAAATTAGCCGGGCATGGAGTCAGGTGCCTGTAATCCCAGCTACTCGGGAGGCTGAGACAGGAGAATTGCTTGAACCTGGGAGGCGGAGGTTGCAGTGAGCCAAGATCACATGACTGCACTCTAGCCTGGGCGACAGAGCAAGACTTTGTATCAAAAGAAAAAAAAAAAAAGAGGCTCAATAAATAGCAATTTATAAACAATAACATCCACTGACATGGCCAGTCTTGCTGGGAAACTCACTCATTTTGTCCTAAACATGTCTTCACATTTAACCCATTTAACCCTGGGAGGCTGCTAAGCATGGTTGTAGGAGGAAACCCATGCTTTTATCCATTTTTTATTCTTTTAGGAAATGGGAGTTGGTTAGGTACCCATCTTCCTTGTACTACTCTTCTGGCCGAGCCCTTGGGGCTCCCCTGCACAACCATAGGTAGCTAATGTTCACCTAGTGCTTGCTACTTGCCAGGCGTGGCCAGATGACTCACACACAGGAGCTCATCTAACCCATGAAAAGGGGATACTATTATTATTATTATTATTATTCATTTTTGAGGTGGGGTCTTGCTGTGTTGCCCAGGCTGGAGTGCAATTGTGCAATCTCAGCTCACTGCAACCTCCACCTCCCAGGTTCAAGCGATCCTCCTGCCTCAGCCTCCTGAGTAGCTGGGATTACAGGCACCCACCACCATGCCTGGCTAATTTTTGTATTTTTAGTAGAGACAGGGTTTCACCGTGTTGGCCAGGCTGGTCTTGAACTCCTGACCTCAGGTGACCTGCCCGCCTTGGCCTCCCAAAGTGCTGGGATTACAGGCGTGAGCCACCGTGCCCAGCTGGGGATACTATTATTATGAATCTCTTTTTAGAGGTGAGGAAACTGAAGCAGAGAAAAGTCAAGTAACTTGGCCAAGGTCACACAGAGCTGGGATTTGACCCCAGGCAGTTTGGGTTCACGCTCTGAAAAAATGTGGCAGGAAAACCTTGAATTTCCTTCTTAAAGTGGTAGGAAAGAAGCTATGCTAGAAGGTGAAATAGACACACAAACTCGATGTCTGCAATGTCCTGCTTGCTTCTGTGCTCAGGACACCCAATTAGAACTGCAGACTGCCGGCTGGGCGTGGTGGCTCACGCCTGTAATCCCAGCACTTTGGGAGGCCGAGGTGGACGGATCACGAGGTCAGGAGATTGAGACCATCCTGGCTAACACGGTGAAACCCTGTCTCTACCAAAAATACAAAAAATTAGCTGGGCGTGGTGGTGGGCACCTGTAGTCCCAGCTACTTGGGAGGCTGAGGCAGGAGAATGGCATGAACCCGGGAGACGGAGCTTGCAGTGAGCCGAGATGGCACCACTGCACTCCAGCCTGGGCGACAGAGCAAGATTCCGTCTTAAAAAAAAAAACAAAACAAAACTGCAGACTGCCACTGATGCACTTCTGTCCAGTATGCATTTATTGAGCACCTTCTGTATACTCAGATGAAAAGAAACCAAACCAAAACCCATGGGGGAAAAAGCCAACAGGAAACATTAGTAGCCATTAGTCTAGACTCCTCGAAATTCAGAATTGATGACAATTTGCATGCAAACCAGGTGGTCTGCTAGGAAAATTAATAACATGCATTTATGAAGATGTTTATTGTTAGGAAAAATAATAAAAGCAGCAGCTCCTTATTGAGCATCTAGTATCCGGGCTTTGCACTAGATGTGTTACATGTATTATTTCTAATTTCCTGGGCTCAAGCCATCCTCCTGCCTCAGCCTCCCAAAGTGCTGGGATTGCAGTCATGAGCCACCAAGCCCGGTATTTTTGATTCTCAACAATCAACACCGCACTGTCCCGATTAATAGTAACTAAGGCGTAATGAGTGACTCCCACGTGGCATGCACTACACTAAATTGTCTCACTGAATTCTCCTCATGACCCTTCCGTGTCATCCTCATTTTTGGAAGCAGCTGCAATATATAATCAGAAGGTGAAGCACTGTACGCTGGATTGCAAAAAACCAGGGAGAATAGTATTTGAGTAATTCCCGGTTTTCATTCATCGATGACGTCATGCCCCTACATAACTGCACATCATTAAAGCGCCATTTATTGGGCACTTAATATGTACCACACACGGTGTTCCCTGCCAGATTCCACTTTGTCCTCACTGCAGAACCTATGATGGAGACATTCGCGCACCCCATCTTGCAGATCAGCCACAGCAGTAATTAACGGGACCCAATGTCACAGAGTACATCACAGCTATGAGGGAGTCACCACCCCAGGTGGCATGAGCTCTAGACCAGTGGTCCCCGTTCCCCTTGACTTAACTGGTTTGGAGGAGGAGTGGTGGGACCTCCCTATTACTCATTTTAAATTGAGCTACGGCCAGGCGTGGTGGCTCACACCTGTCATCCCTGCACTTTGGGAGGCTGAGGTGGGTGGATCACCTGAGGTTGGGAGTTTGAGATCAGCCTGGCCGACATAGTGAAACCCCGTCTGTATTAAAAATACAAAAATTAGCTGGGTGCAAGCGCACGCCTGTAATCCCAGCTACTCGGGAGGCTGAGGCAGGAGAATCACTTGAACCCAGGAGGTGGAGGTTGCAGTGAGCCGAGATCGCGCCACTGCACTCCAGCCTGGGCAACGGAGCGAAACTCCATCTCAATAAATAACTAAATAAACAAACAAATAAATTGAGCTATAATTTGCATATAACAAAAGGTATACATCTTAAGCAGACAGTTTGATTAACTTTCACGTATTTAATGACTGCTAAGTTCAAGAAGAGAGAACATTTCTGAAGGTCTTGCTAGTTCCCTCGCCTCCCTCCCAGGTTACACCCCCAGCCCTCCAGGGGAAGCCACGGGTCTGATTTCCATCACCCTAACCCAGTTTTGCCTGTTTTGGAACTTCATACAGGTGGAACCAGGCAGAATGCACCCTATGTCTCAAGCTCCCTTCGCCCTGCACGACGCTGTGGAGGTGCATCTCCCTCATTTGACCTTTAGACACATCCCGCTGCATGCCTGTAGCTCTGGTAGTTTCCTATAAGCTCCCTGAACCAAGCAGCAGGACCCTCCCCATCGTGGCATCACTGCCTTGCAGACCGAGAACCAGGTAAGACAGCGTCAAACAGAGGGTAGAGGCTCCTTGGTGACTTTTTGTTTTGAGACAGGGTCTCACTCTCTCTCCCAGGCTGGAGTGCAGTCGCACAATCACAGCTCACTTGCAGCCTCAACTTCCTGGGCTCAAGCAATTGATCCTCCCACCTCAGCCTCCCAGATAGCTGGGAATACAGGTGTGCATCACCATGCCCAGCTAATTTTTTATTTTTTTTAGACACAGGGTTTCTCCATGCTGCCCAGGCTGGTCTCAAACTGGATTGCTGGGCTCAAGCGATCCACCTGCCTTGGCTTCCCAAAATGCTAGGATTATAGGTATGAGGCACCGTGCCTAGCCCGATTTTTATATCAGAGCTCTTTCTGCAGTTGGCTGACTGAATGGCTTGGGGAGGCAGGTGAGAAGGCTGGTCTCAAGGTGGGTCCCCTGCTCACTGACCTGACTCTCATGCCCTGGAACATCTCGGTGCTGGTGTGGAAGGGCAGCACTGTGGTGGCGCTGACTCCCGGACAGTCCAGCAGCCCCAGGGTCAGGCTCTCCATGAAGGCGAAGGCTGACGCTTTGGATGTGCAGTAGTCGATGGCACCGGGGATGGCAGACAGTGCCAGCACGGAGTTGAGGCACACGATGTGGCCATTCTGCAGCTCCAGCATACGCGGCAGGAAGGCCTTGGTGGTCTGAGGGCAGATGGGGTGTCAGGGTGGAGCAGCTGCAGCTCTGACAACCCCTCCACCTTTCTTTCGGGGAGAACAGCCCACCCCGGACACACATGATGCTCTAGGGCCCGAGCCTTCCTGCGAGGGAGAGGGCCGAGGGCTCCCTGCCCCAGGACACCGAGCATATTTCACAAAGTCTGATGTGTCCTAGAGCTGGTCATTCGTCTTGTCTGGCCACCTTGTTCGTGGACATCCCTGCTGGCCTGAGCCCAAGCCCTGGCAAATCATCCCCTCCCCTCCATCCTGCCTGGGCTCCCTGCACGCCCGGGGCTGGCTCTGGCCCCGGATAGCCCTTACCCAGAACTGGCCCAGGGTGTTGATGTGTTGGGACTTGAGGAGGGCATCATCATCACTGTCCATTAGGCTCTTCCCATGGACCACGGCGGCATTGTTCACCAGGATGGTGATGTCACCCACCTGCAGGCGAGAGGGAGCCACGGGGCCATGAGGGCAGCCAGCCCAGGGCCAACGATATATGTTTTTTGTTTGTTTGTTTTTGAGATGGAGTCTCACTCTGTTGTCCAGGCTGGAGTGCAGTGGCACCATCTCGGCTCACTGCCACCTCCGCCTCCTGGGTTCAAGCGATTCTCATGCCTCAGCCTCCCAAGTAGCTGGGATTACAGGCTCCTGCCACCATGCCTGGCTAATTTTTATATTTTTAGTAGAGATGGGGTTTCACCATGTTGGCCAGGCTAATCTTGTTCTGACCTCAAGTGACCCGCCTGCCTCGGTCTCCCAAAATGCTGGGATTACAGGTGTGAGCCACCGCACCCGGTCCAATATACTTTTTAAAAGGGATATGGCTTACTCCTAAGTGAACGAGTAATTTCTGAGTCCATTTATGATCAATCAATTGATGTGTTATTTACAAGTTTTTCTTAGATATTCCTTCCCGCAGGCCACTTTCTGCCAGCCTAGTTCCAGTTATCCTGCATACATAGAGGCCCAGCAGCCACCTGGCCGTACCACCAGCAGCCACAGGGCCTGGGGAAGAGAACTGCGTCTCTGAGCGCCAGTCTTGATTTGTGAGATGGGGCTAATGCCGCACCAGGACTGTTCTGAGGAGGAGAAATAATTTATGGCACACACCGTACCTGGCACACAGCATATTTATAATAAATGAGTTTACTGCGACATAAAAACAGTTAACATTACCACGTGCCAGACAGTCAGGGTGGGTTTCCCTCTCTTGGAGGTCACTGATATATTTAGCCCAAACAGATGACTGGAGTCAGAAGGATTTTCCCAGAGGCCAATGGGACATTTGCCCCGCCACAGTCCTGGAGAGAAACCCACACGGTCTACATTTCCAAGGGAACAACAGATGATTACGCCTGTTACGTAATCAACCCTAATCCCTGCCTATGTAACTGGGGCCAGCTTCATGGGAGAGTCCCCAAAGGTGCCCCGGGCAAAGCCATTCTGCCATAAGCAGAGCTCTCTTCCAGGCCACATGAGAATGTTCTCTTTGCCCGGAATTAGCCTGTGGTCAGCTGTGCTAGGAATAGACCCTCCCAGGCTACAGACCTTCTCCCGGACGGCCTTGGCCGTCTGGTACACCTCCTCCCGGTTGCCCACATCACAGATGAAGTAATGGCACTCAGTGCCCATCTGCCGGATCTCCTCCGTCGTCTCCTTCAGGCATTTCTCAGTCCGGCCCCAGAGAACAATCTGGAAGAAGATAATAACAACGCAGAACAAATGGTCATTAAGCCACAGTGATGCAACAATTGCCACCAGAAATTCAGGATTTAAAGTCATTTGTCTTGAAATGACTGGCCTCCCTGGTTCCACCCAAAGATAAAGAATACAACATAGATTAATAATATAACTTTTGTTTTTTTTGAGGCAGGATCTTCTTCTGTTGCCCAGGCTAGAACGCAGCAGTGCGATCATAGCTCACTGCAGCCTCAAACTCCTGGGCTCAAGAGATCCTCCCATCCCAGCCTCCGGAGTGGCTGGGACCACAGGTGCATGCTACCATACCTAGCTAATTTTTTTAAAAAAAATTTTGTAGAGTAGGGGTATTCTTATGTTGCCCAGGCTGGTCTTGAACTCCTGGGTTCAAGCAATCCTCCCACCTCGGCCTCTCAAGTGCTGGGATTACAGGTATGAGCCACTGCCCCCAGCCAACAATATAACTTTTTAAAGGGATATGATCTACTTTTAAGTGAACCAGTAGTTTCTGAGCCCACTTATGATCAATCAATTGATGTGTATTTACAAGTTTTTCTTGTATATTACTTTTAGCAGGCTGCCTCCTGCCAGTGCAGTTCATTTCCTGTAAATGTAGAGGCAACAGCAGAGCTCTTTATGCACAATGCTCCAGAATGCTCTCCATTAGGAATCAGCTGGCTTCACCGATTAGGTCTAGAGCCAGGATTATTAAGACCAGCTGGTAGCATAGATGGGACCATTCCAGCCTCAAGGTTCACAGGAGCTAAGCCGAGCCTCCCATCTAGCTTCAGTCACTCCCCTAAGGATATTCTGGAAGGGCAGTGACGAGGCTGCCACTGAGAAGGAAGCATGGCCTCACCCGGCAGGTAACAAACATGGACTCATTACGCCAGAAGGTGACCTTGGCAGGACCACTGAGGGTTTGGGCAAATTTATGAATGGCCAGCCCATAAAAGGCTCAGAAGAGAAGCCTGGCTAATTCTTAACCTTGACCTAACGGAGGACGACGCACCTCCCCACGATGTGTCACTGGGGTCAGTGAGGCCTCTGTTGGTAAAAGGGCCTGGAGTCGGATGACAGGGGGACCAAGAGCCCTAACTAAGAACCAGCTTCACCAGCACAGAGGGAGAAAGGCAGGGGGCTGAACACCGCCCAGAGGTCAGAAGCAGAGACAGGAAGAGCCGAAAGGGTTTTGGGAATTCGTCCGGTGGGCTTCTATTTTTGTTTCTTTTCTCTTTTATTTAAGACTATCAGTGAAATTCCCCCTTAAAAAATATCCAACGTGGAAACCCCAACGCGTGAAACCTAGAAAAGGAATAAAACACCTGACTCCATAATATTTTCTTACTCTAAAGGTTGCTAATGAGAACAAAATGGCTGCTTTGGGAAGGTAAACATTTTAAACTGGGGGTTACAGATGGCGGCTCCAATGACATCAGACCCAGATCCAACTGATTTCTCTATTTTGCTTTGTTACACGGTATAGAGAAAAGTCACATTGATAAGGAGTTGCTAATGGTAACCGTTTATCCGCTGCTCACCTTGAAATCTCAAGACTGTCACTTAAGCAGAGAGGGCACAAAACAGGCCTAGCTGGCGGCTCTCAGAAATTCCGGTATTCTCCAATGGAATCGATTTTTTAAATTAGAGTTTTAAAAGCTTTCAAAATATTTTACAAAAAAATAAGTGTTCTCTAAAGCCCAGTTTGAAAACCCCACTTAGTCTAGCCACTTTATTTTAATTAAGGTCTTGAAATACAGGAAGGGCTTAACAAGTGGGTCCCGTCAGTTCCTCTCAATGACGGTACAAGTCCTTCAAAGGCAGATGGACTGCAATTAAACAGGCTCCAAGGGACACTTTCTTGTCTGTTGAACTAAAAACAGAATGTGTTCCTCCAGGAGAAGCTGGGAGGTTCAGTTCATGGAAAAGAAAAAAGACAAACATTTGTTCCAGGCAGGCAATTTGGTGTAGGCCTCCTCCACTCCTCTGGACCACCCCCCGCCTTGCCTTGCAGCCATTGTCATCCAGGTTCCTTTATTCCTCCCTTATCATCCTGTGTATACAGCCACCCATCCATCTATCTGTCCATCCGTCCACTCTCCCGTTCACCAGTCCATCCATCTATCCACCACACTTCATCCATCCATCCCTCCCTCGTCTACCCAACTCCATCCATCCATCCATCCATCCATCCATCCATCCCTCCCTCCCTCATCTACCCTACTCCATCCATCCATGCATCCATCCATCCACTTACCCACCCCACTCCATCCATCCATCCACTCACCTACTTCTCCACCCATCCATCCATCTATCCATCCCTCACCTACCCCACTGTACCCACTGTACCCACTCACCTACCCAACTCCATCCACTCATCCACTCACCTACCCCATTCCATTAATCTGTCCACTCACCTATCCCACTCCATCCATCCATCCATGCATTCATCCACACACCTACCCTACTCCATCCATCCACTCACCCACCCCACTCCATCCATCCATCCACTCACCTGCTTCTCCACCCATCCATCCATCTATCCATCCCTCACCTACCCCACTGTACCCACTCACCTACCCAACTCCATCTACCCATCCCCTCACTTACCCCATTCCATTAGTCTATCCACTCACCTACCCTACTCCATTCATCCATCCATCCATCCATCCATCCATCCACCCACCCATCCATTCCTCACCCACCCCACCCCATCCATCCATCCATCCATCCACTCACCTACTTATCCATCCATCCATCCATCCATCCATCCACTCACCTACTTATCCATCCATCCATCCACCCATCCACTCACCTACTTATCCATCCATCCATCCATCCATCCATCCACCCATCCATCCCTCACCCACCCCACTCCATCCACCCATCCATCCACCCATCCATCCACTCACCTACTTATCCATCCATCCATCCATCCATCCATCCATCCATCCATCCATCCCTCCCTCACATACCCCACTCCATCCATCCATCCATTCATCTGTCCATCCATCCATCCACCCATTCATCCACTCACCTACCCTACTCCATCCATTCATGCATCCATCCATGCACTCACCCACTCCACTCCATCTGTCCATCCATCCATGCATCCATCCATCCCCCCACCCATCCCTCATCTACCCTACTCCATCTATCCAACCATCCACTCACCTACTCCACTTCATCCATCCATGCATTCATGCATCCATCCATCCATTTACTCACCTGCCCAATTCCATTCATCTATCCATTCATCCACCCACCCACCCACCCACCCATCAGCCCCACTGCACCCATCCATCCATCTGGTTTCTGAGTATGTCAGCCCAAGGGGTAGGTAATCATTGGTTTCCATTCTTCTGTTCTGGTCCCTGCCTAACCCCATCCTACCTCTGGCTCCTATGTGTAACAGGACCATGGGGCTTGCACAGTCCCCTGGGGTCTGGCTGAGGTAGGGAGAGGTGCCTCTGGGGGCCCTAAGAATTGCTGGGCAAATTGACAGAGAGGAAAGCTTAAAGCTGGGGGCTTGCAGGAAGGTATAGGGTTCAGATGTCCGTGGAGACAAGTGGTCACCCCAGCACTGTTGACCTAGCTGGAAGACCACCCTGGAGAGGAAGTGGAGCAGGGCTGAGGGAGAAGGAATGAAGGCTGTCTCCCACTGTCTTCCGTGGGCCAGGAAGCCCCCCAGGCAGGGCCCTAACACTTGGCTGTTTCCTTTCAAGGGTCTGTTGAGGGTGCCCCAGGCGGGCTGGGGAACCGGCCTCACCTCTCCCTGGCACCATGATAGGTTTGCCTTTCTGCCTCCTCACCCCCCCACCCCCCAGGCCCCAATTCTATCCCGTTCACATCCCAGTGCCCAGCATAGCACATTCTGTTTGTTGAATGAATGAATGAATGAATGACAGTTCAGGTACACAGGTGGACGGGGAAGGGAGGTGTTTTAACTTCTGTAAGAGGAGAGACCACCCATCCCCTTGGCTAAGCCATTTAGGGCCCCAGAACCTTCCACTCAAGTCTACCTGGGCGCCCCAGAGCATCAGCACCTTCCTGGCCGGGCCTTGGGTGAGGAGCAGCTTTCACAGGGCAAGGCTTCGGTCTCAGACGGAGGTGAGGCTCTGGCTGCTGTGCGCATGCCCTGCTGAGCATCCCTGTGCCAGGCTCTGTGTGTTTTTGTAACTGGGTTTCTGTAGTATGTCTCTGTAAGTGTGTGTGTGTGTGTGTCTGTGTGGGTCTCTATGAGTGTATCTGTGAGTGTGTCAGTGTGTCTGTCTCTCCGTGTGTCTGTGGGTGTCTCTCTGTATGAGTGTATGTGTCTGTGGGTGTGTGTCTGTGTGCATCTCTGTGTGTGTGTGTGTCTCTGTGTGTCTGAGTGTGTGTCTCTGTGAGTATGTGTGTGTGTGTCTGTGGGTGTCTCTCTGTGTGAATGTATGTGTCTGGGTGTCTCTGTGTGAGAGAGAGTGTGTGTGTGTCTCAGTGTGTCTCTGTGTGTCTGTGGGTGTCTGAGTGTATGTTTCTGTGTGTGTGTGTGTCTGTGTATCTCTGTGTGTGTGTGTCTATGTGAGTGTGTGTCTCTGTGTCTCTGAGTGTGTGTCTCTCTGTGTCTGTGTGTGTCTCTCTATGTGAGTGTATGTGTCTGTGTGTCTCTATGTGTCTCTGTGTGTCTGTGTCTCTGTGTGAGTGTGTGTCTGTGTCTCTGTGTGAGTGTGTGTCTGTGTGTGACTGTGTGTGTGTGAGTGAGTGTGTAGCCATGTGTGCTGTTGTGTTTCCTCAGGTCCTTGGTGGATGCTGGGAGTCGCAGGGAAGCGCGGCTGGGCACCTTCCATCTTAGGAACCGGTAGCGTCTCTGAAGTGCTGGGCTGGCGCCTGAGTGAGCTGAGTGGAGGGAATGGGTCCCTTTCCCTGGTAGGTGCTGCCCTGTGGAGCTGCCCCAGCCACTGTCCCTTCCTGGCTCCTCTTCCCCCTCCAGCCTCCTACCCTGACCCTTCTGGGGAATCTGCGTCACTGACCAGGTAACTGGCAGATACCGCTCTGCAGGCCCGCCCAGGTGGCTCCTGCCAGAATTCCCTGGAGGTGACCTGCACAGCTGACAGGACAAGGGTCCCACCCAAGGCCATCATGAGCATGAGGACTGGGCGGGCGGAGGCGGGCGTCTGAGGGTATGTGGGTTGGGGGCCTGCAGAGGGGACTGATTTCTGAGCCCTTGGAACCAGTGCGGCTGCCTCTTAGTGAACTCGGGACAGGCAGCAGCTGGGAAGGCCAGAGGCCTGGAATTTACTCTTAAGCAGGGTTTATAGAATAAGGGCTGGGGTGGCTCAACACCTCCAAGGCCTCTCCTCCTCTTCCCTCCCATCTGGGGCAAATGGTGAGCTTCTGTCCCCTTCTCTCTCCCAGTGACTGGTAGGGGGAGGCAGGAAGGGGAGAAAGACCTCTGGTCTCCGGGGCCCCGGGCTGTCCTGCCCTTGCCCAGAGCTGCTCTCAAGGCGGCTATAGCCAGACAGATTCCTCAGCAGCCCTCTGCGCTGAAGGCTGTCATTATCCGTGGTCACAGTGGAGAAAACCGTAGCTCAAAGGAGTTAAGTAACTCACCCCACGCCACCCACTGTGAAACAGGATTTGAACCCAGAGCCTTGGCCCTTTGCAGAGGCACCCCTAAGCCCCCAGGCACGGTGGGGTCGTCTGAGCTTTGAGGGTTCCACTCTCCTCACATGCAACCCCACGCCCCGCGTTCATCCCCACCCAGCCAGCCTTCTCCTGCTTCGTCTCCTCCAATGTCCACAACAGCCCCGTCCATCCAGCACCACACGGACAGCCGGCTATGGGCTGGGGTGGTGATCCAACAGAGAATGAAGCAGATGTAATCCTACTTCAAGGAACCCACATTCCAGTGGGGGAAGACAGAGAAGGAACCAGAAAACAGTCAGTCACAAATGACAGTAAGTGGGATAAAGAATAAACAAGAAAACCTCATTTGCATCGGGGAATTGACAAGGTAGCCATATCATAATTTTAAAGATAAGGAAACTGCAGTTCAGAGAGGCTAAGCAACTCGTCTGAGGTCACACAGCAACTGAATAATGGAGCTGGGATTTGAACCAAGGTCATGTCCAGCTCCACAGGCTGTGGGGATTGCACCACCACTCACTGTCCTGTAAGAGAAAGCACATCTCCTCTCTTCAAGGGGTCCTGTGGGGATTAAGCTGGCAGAAGCTGGCACCCACTAACTAACTGCTCAGTACCCACTCCCTGTTGGTATTTCCCGTGGGGAGGAAAAGCTGAGAAAATCATAGCACTGCCTCTGATACACCCTCTTCACTGCCTCTGATACACCCTCTTCACTGCCTCTGATACACCCTCTTCTGCAGGCTTTAAAATGATAAGTGACACGACATGGAAAAATGCTCAGGAGTCTAATGTTCAGACAAAAGGGGTGCAGCACTATTTGAATAAGATAATCTCAACTCTAAACTTTTTTTTTTTTTTTTTTTGAGACAGAGTCTCACTCTGTTGCCCAGGCCGGAGTGCAGTGGCGCAATCATGACTCACTGCAGCCTCCATTTCCTGGGCTCAGGTGATCCTCCCACCTCAGCCTCCCAAGTAGCTGGGACCAGAGGTGCAAGCCACTACTCCTGGCTAATTTTTATATTTTTTGTAGAGATGGGGTTTTGCCATGTTTCCCAGGCTGGTCTCAAGCTCCTGGGGCTCAAGTGATTCTCCCACCTCAGCCTCCCAAAGTGCTGGGATTACAGGCATAAGCCACCAGGTCACTGGAAGTCAACAGGCTACACAGAGATGGGTGTCTCAGGCAGGATCACAGCTGACTGTCGTTTGCTTCTTTATATTTGTATAAGCAAAAAATATCTCTAAAGAACAAGTATTGTTATTTATGATCTTAAAAATAGAAGGTGGGGCTGGGTGTGGTGGCTTAGGAGGCTGAGGTGGGAGGATTGCTTGAGCCCAGGGGACAGAGGCTGCAGTGAGCCAAGATCTCACCACTGCACTCCAGCCTGGATGACAGAGAGAGAGCCGGTCTCAAAAAAACAAAAACCAAAAAACAAAACAAAACAAAACAAAACAAAAAACAACAGAAGGTAGAGTAAAAGCTTCCCCATGGATCACTCTCCAAATAGATTCTTTACACACAGGTAATGTCACTCAGCCCTTTGGGTCCAACCCCTTGTCCCCCAGCCCCCGAGTGGTGCTCTTCGGGGGCCCTCATCCATTGGCAAGTGACTGTCTATTCACATCTCTCTTCCTGTTGTTGAGTGAGTGAGGGAGGGAGCCTGCCGGGGATCCACAGCTCCCAGTTTCCACTCACTCATTACACAGTGCTCTTGGCCCTGCATGTGCTGTCACGGCCATTTGGGGTCTATATCCTGTCTCTTAGAGGACAGGGACTAAATCTCTCAAATTCAGGTTTCTCCTGTGTCCCTACCTGGTGCCCGGCCCGGGCTGTTTTTCTCTGTTTCAAATGCCAGGGCTACTTATGGACTCCTATTCAACCTGCAAAACCCTACTTGAATGCTCCCTCAGTTCTGAAGCCTCCCTGGCTGCTCCTTCCAGCCTCCCCACAACAACAACAGCACCACCACTATATAATGGCTAAATCTGTTGAGCAGTTGCCATGGGCCAGACACTGTGCTGAGTACATGGATATGTTTTCTTCTTTAATCCTCACAACCCCTCGAGGTGGGTATGTTTACCTTCTGCATTTAATAGGTAAGCCGCAGACAGACAGTGACTCACCCAAGGTCATGCAGCTCATAAGAGCAGATCTGCCTGACTCAGGATACCCATTCCTCACTGCTAACACTAGTCTTTTTTCAACCTCCACTAGTGCACAGATGTGAGCATGCTGACTGGTGAACACCCCTGCCTCTCCCATGAGCGTGCAAGGTCCTCCAGGGAATCTTATTCATCTCGTAACCCCAGCATCCAGCATGGGCCAGGCACAAGAGTAAAAGCTCAGCTAACATCATCACAAGACACCAGCCCCAGGAGGATACCGAGTGCCCCTTCTCTACCCAGCCTTGCCTTCCTAGCCCAGAGGGGCTTGCACTAATGCTGGACTTGGCTTTCATTCCTGGAGTTCAGCTGCAGCGCACCCTCCCACCGGCGACATGAGCTGGGTGGTCTCTGGGTGCGTCCCAGGAGGAGCATCTGTTTATAATTGGCAGCCCCTGAAAGATCTGAGACCCTGGGCAGGTCTTTGGCAGGCCAGCTCATGTCCCATGGGCCCCATGTTTTGGAGCTGGATCGGTGCTGACTTGGCTTCTCAGAGGGAAAGAAAATACCCGCCAGAGACCCCAAACCACAGCAGGCTGGGCGGTGGGGTGGGAAGGTCACAGCGTGGAGGGTGCACAGCTCTCTGCTCCTGGCCCCTCCAGTAGGAGGCTGTTAATAAAAATCCATCCCTGTGGTCAGATGAGAATGAGCAGGCAAGCAACATCTAGCTTTTAAGACATTAAGGTTAGAATGGGGTGCTAGATAGCAGAGGGTGAGTGTGAGCGTGGCATAGGTTACTACTAGAATTTCCCCCTTTCACAACCCTGTCTATTTCCAAAAGGAGAGACCCTTTCTCGAGTAGAGCAGCTTAGAACATGGGCTCTGGAGCCAGACTGCCTGGGTTCAATTCTTTAACAGTTATGAATTAACATGATCTTAACCTCTATGAATTAAGGTTTAAAACATCCACTCTTTTTCTTTTCTTTTCTTTTTCTTTTTTTTTTTTTTTGAGATGGAGGCTTGCTCTGTGGGCTAGGCTGGAGTGCAGTGGCGCGATCTCGGCTCACTGCCTCCTCTGCTTCCTGGGTTTGAGCGATTCTCCTGCCTCAGCCTCCCAAGTAGCTGGGATCACAGGTGTGCACCACCACACCCAGCTAATTTTTGTATTTTTAGTTGAGATGGGGTTTCACCATAATTCACCAATATGGTGAATTACAGGTGTGAGCCACCGTGCCCAGCCTAAAACACCCACTTTGAAGAGTAGTTGGGAGGATTAAGAAAGGGCACAATAAATGCCAGCTGTGGGCTGGATATGTTGGCTCACGCCTATATTCCCAGCACTTTGGGAGGCCGAGGTGGGGGAATTACTTGAGGCCAGGAGTTCAAGATCAGCCTGGGCAACATAGCAAGACTCTGTCTCTGTTTTGTAAAAAGCTAGCTGTCATTATTATTATTATTATTATTATTATTAGCACAGCAACAGAAATAGATCCCCCTTTGCAGTAGAAGATCCACATACCCTGTTGGGGAAACAGTTGCCCGGAAGACCCCATCTGGTCTCCACCTCCATCTGACTACCCTAGGCACAGCCTTGACTGGGGCAAAACCACAGAATCTTGCTATTTCTTGATTCCATCCTTCCACCTTACTTAGAAGGCTCTCCTTTTTCTACGTCCCCAAGCCTGAGAAGGTAGAGACCAGCTGTCAAAACTGTCCACCTGCAGAGCAAGCTGCGGGGGGATTTCTTAGGGAGGAGAGGTTTTCAAGCAGAGCCCCAAGGAACTCTGGGGGTTCTGGTGAGGAGCCTCTGGAGGTGCTGAGGGTGGGGTGGGGAGCAAGCAGATATCATTCCAGGCTTCTCCTCACTCCTGCCCCAGTCACCCAGAGTGGTGACACTTTAGGTTTCTAGAATAGTCATTTCTTTTGCTTTGAGATGATGTTTCACTCTTGTTGCCCAGACTGGAGTGCAGTGGCGTGATCTTGGCTCACTGAAACCTTCACCTCCTGGGTTCCAGCAATTCTCCTGCCTCAGCCTCCCGAGTAGCTGGGATTACAGGCATGCGCCACCACGCCCGGCTAATTTTGTAATTTTAGTAGAGACGGGGTTTCTCCATGTTGGCCAAGCTGGTCTCGAACTCCTGACCTCAGGTGATCCACCTGCCTCGGCCTCCCAAAGTGCTGGGATTACAGGCGTGAGCCACCGTGCCCGACCTAGAATAGTCATTTCTACAAAGACTCTGTCGCTAAAAAAAAAAAATAGTTGGAATGTGACTCTGAATCCGCAGCCTCTTCCTCCCCAGCACAGCCCTGGAAGGAAGCCTGCTTTCTCCGAATGGACTCCAGTGGGATCCCTCTAGCTGTCACCCATTGAGAGTGCTGGCCTGTCACTCGGGCACACCCAACAAGCCTACCAGCCCTTCTGCTTCCAGTGCAGATCCACACTGATCACACTGATCAAAACTGATCCACAATGATCAGGTACCGACTTCCAGCATCTCCTTCCCAGACTTTCTAATCCCTTCCACCTTTTTTTCTGGGAGGCCTGTTTTCCAGACTCTACACAATCCAGTCTGCATGCTGTCAGGTAAAAGGATGGGGACAGAGAGATCGTGCGATTCTGTGGTTTTGTCCCACTCAAGGCTGTTTCTAGGGGAGGAGACAGACATAGAGCTTCGGGTTTTCCAGGCAACCATTACCCCAGCAGGGTTCTGGATCTTCCATCAGCAAGGGGGATCTATATCTGTTGCTGTACTAATAAAAATAGTAACAGCTAGCATTTATTGGTGTAGCCCTAGGTCGTTACAGGTGCCCCACGGCTGACCCCAGGAGGTCAGAGGTGACAGAAGCCACTGGGCCTGTCAGGGACTTCGGCTAGGTCCTTATGTGTCCTTCCTGTTCCTGCACTGCTGGGCTGCTGAAGCCTAGGCAGGTCTCTCCCACGTAGCCCTGCAAAACAGGCTTTCCCTGGCTCCAGGCCCCTGTTTTGGCCTGCCGAGAATGTTTTGGCTACCGCTGGCTCAGCTGTTGGGGAGGATTGTGATGAAGCTCCTCAAATTAGATCAGCCAGTGGTGTCGCCCTCCCACAAGTCCCTGACCGCAACCTGGAGCAGGGCAGAGACTTCCTCCAGGCGGACGTCCAGCCTGGAACTGGCCCGCTTGGGAGGCACAGGAATGACAGTAGCTCTGACATGCACGTGGGGCTCACTAGCTGGCCACACTGCCTCAGCATGGGTGCCGTGGGGCGTCTAGTCCTCTGTCAGCTCAGAAGGGCTCATACCCGAGAAAACTGATACACGAAGGGGCTATGTAATTCCAAGCGGTAAGCGGTAGAGCTGGGACCTCAACTTATGCAATCTGTGCCCTTGGCCACTGACTTTACCTGCGGGAGCAAAATGACCCCACGAAACAACATATTCATTCAGTGCACAGGTACAGTGAGCTGATGCCATGTCCAAGGACTGGACAGAAAGGTGTCCACCTCCCAGGGAATGAGGGAAAGGTGCGGTCATCATTCGGTCTTGATGACCAAGTGGTTATGAAAGGCATGGCAGAGATGTTCCTTGCCCCTCTGCGAGGACACTGGGGCTCTGATGGGGCTCAGGTGGGAGGACAGGTGAGGACAGAAGCTGTTCTGAGCATGGGTCAGCACAGTGCCCAGGGCTGGTGTTTGCTGTGAGGGGGTATGGGGTTTGCCTGGAGCACCCTTGCTCTCCAAGTGGGCGGGGTGGGACTGTGACAAGCACTCACCGCCACCACAGTGAACAATCTGTGGACCTTTACTGCAGGCTGGATCCTGCTCTGGGCTCTTAGACTGAATCCTCTCGGCTGCCCGGATGTGGTACAGTCGGCTGATTAGTGTCCCCTGAGAAGCTGAGTCCAAGTCCTAACCCTTGGTACCTGTGAATGTGACCTTATGCTGAAAGAGGGTCTTTGGAATTGAGTAGCTGTAATTGAGTTGGGGATCTCAAAGTGAGATCACCCTGGGTTAGGGTGGGCTCTGAGTCTAAGGACTAGTGTCCTCATGAGAGACAGAAGAAAGACATACACAGAGGAGAGGAAGGCCGCGTGAAGATGGAAGCAGAGACGGCAGTGAGGCGGCCACAAGCCACGCGATGCCAGGAGCTGCCAAGAGCCACCAGGAGCTGAAAGAGACAAGGAAGGATCCTTCCCTAGAGCCCGGGAGGGAGTGGGGCCCTGCTGACACCTGGAGTTTGGACTTCTGGTACCCAGAAATGTGAGAGCAGCTTTGGTGTTTTGGGCCACACAGCTGGTGGTCATTTGTTGTGCCATTGACAGGAAACTAACACAAATGGGCTCCATTATCCTCATTCAATAGAGGAGGCCAAGCGAGGCCCAGCCCCAGGCTCCCGAGGCTGGGAAGTGACGGAGGCTGCTTCCCCTCCACACCACTCCCTGTTTTCAGATGCCAAGCTCTTTTTAACCTCCGAAGGCTCTTCACTGTCCCACATTAAGTGTTTTCTCTCACTGTATGCCCACTCCACCACGCACCCTGTCAGCCTGACCTCTGAAATCCAGAGGCTTCTCACCACTTCTCGCCACCTCCACGGCGCCTTGGGGCCCTGCCTCAGCGCCCTTCACCTGGAGCACAAGTGGACCCCTCACCTGGTCCCAAAAGGTCACTTGGCTGCTACCTTTGCCCCAGGGCCCCTGCCTCAGTCTGTTCTCAACACAACAGCCAGAGATCCTTCTAGAATGTGTCAGACCACATCACCCTGCTTATGACTACTGATGGCTGCCCATCTCACAGACTGGAATCTAGTGTTTACTGGGATCGCAGGCCCTTCCTGGTCTGCCCCATCCCTCGTCTCAGCTACTCCCTCCTAGGTCTCGGCCCTGCAGAAGCACTGGCCCCCTCTACCTTAGGGCCTTTGTACTGGCTGCTCTCTGTTCTCTTTTCCCAAGTATCCCTCTCCTTGTAGGGCACCCTCTTTTCTTTTTAAAAAATTATTATGATTATTATTATTTGTAGAGACGGGGGTATCACATTGTTGCCCAGGCTGGTCTTGAACTCCTGGCTTCAAGTGATCCTCCTGCCTCAGTCTCCCAAAGTGCTGGGATTACAGGAGTGAGGTACCACACCTGGCCACCTTCTCACAGGTTCTGCTCAAGTGTCTCTTTACCCAAGAGGTCTTCATGTAAAATGCCCCAACCCCACAAACACCAGCTCTGATTTGATTTACAAATCTACCCTTCTTTGATTTCCTCCTTCCCAGTTGCTGAGACAGGCATGTCTCCCCCTGTGATGAGCACCTAGTGTTCCTGAGGACACTCCTTCAAATGCTAAAACCACGCCCTGCCAAGAGCCAGTACGTGACAACTGGGCAGTCTCCACCTCATCCCTGGGTGTGATTCTTGCGAAACTTTTTGGTTCTGGGACCACTCAGAAAACTCTCCAGGGAAACGATCACAAAAGCTGACTCTGGGCAGGCAGAACACTGCTCACTCCCAGCCAGAAACCCACGGGCTGATGTTTCTTTTCACAAACATCCCCAGCCTACAAGACTGGCCAGGGGCTCCACCTCCATCTGACTGCCCAGGGCCGCACTTGGCAAAACACGGAGGCAGAGAAACTCAGGCTAGAGTTCATGGCTGACACCTCACAACCTTTGCCCTTTTCCCCCACTGGACCTCTTGCTGGAAAGTGCTGGGTGACCTTGGGGTGGGGGTGCCAAGGAGAGGAGGGAGGAGCCAGCATCTACAGACCACCCTTCCCTCACAGCACACATCTCCAGATTACTGTCCACCGGGGTGGGATTCAAATTTGGACAGTCTAAGTAACTCATGCAGGCTGCACTACTAGAAGTTTCAAAGCAAGGCTCGGACTCCAAAGGGAAGCTCTTTTAACAACCCTGTCCTGCCTCATTCATTCATTCAAGGACTATTTGTGGAATTGTGTGCACCAGGCACTTTGGAGGCCCTGGGATCCAGCGGGGAATACATTTATCTCACTTGCGGAGTTTGCTTGTGTGTAAGTCCGGGGACAATGAGCATGAACACTTGTTCACGTGAACGAATGACTGTATAGTAAGTAGTTTTCTAGCCACTAGAAAGTGCTAGATGTGCATGGGAGGAACACATAGCTTTGTAGGGGGTTGGAGGGAGTGATTATGGGGTGGGAGTGGTATTCAGATGGTGGGGGAAAGGTGCAGGGAAGTCCTCTTGGTTAAAGTAACATTTTGGAAGAGACCTGAGGGAAGTGAAGGAGGGAGCGATACAGACGCGTGGAGGAAGAGCATCCCTGGTGGAGGGAACAGTTGGTGCAAAGGCCCTGGGGTGGGAATGAGCTTCCCCAGCACGGAGACCAGTGTGGAAGAGCAAGCGGGAGACACCAGCCACAGCAGGACTTTGAATTCTTTTCTGAGATGGGGTAGATTGGGAGGTTGTAAGGAGAAAAAAGACAGCCTCTGACATGAAGCTGGAAGGGGCTGGGCTGGGATGCTTAGGTGATGGGAGAAGAGGGATTCTGGACGGTTGCAGAGCTGGGTGCTGGAGAAAGTGAGCTTCCCAGAGGACACCAGAGCGTTTGGCCTGAGAAAATGGAAGAATGAGGTTGCCGTTCCCTGAGCCCCAGCGCCTCCCTCTCCAGGAGGGTTGGCTCTGGCAAGCCCCAGGTGTGCAGGAAGAGAATCCCAGGTCCCTTCAGCTTCCAGAACAATTGGTTTACGCAGAGGGAGGGGAGGGGAGGCGGTGAGCGAGAAAGCAGTTCCAGGTGGCAAAGGCAGCTCCGGGGGAAGAGGCTGCCCCAGCGCCTGGGACCCACCTAGCGCAGCGGGGGTGAGCCCAGTTTCCAATAACAAAGTGCCCGGGCCGTCCCAACCCTGGCCCTGACAGCTAACGAGCTGCAGCCGGCTCGGTGCGCGGCCGGGAGGCCAGCCTGGCTCACATGATGGCGTGAGGGGGTGGCAGGAGGAGCCGCCAAGCCTCAGCGGGTCGGGCAGGAGGCTCCAGGAAGTCTTTCTGAAAGTGGGCCCAGGGGCGGGCGCGGGGCGGGGCCGCGGGGGTCCCGGGAGGGGCTGGGCGGGGCTGCAGTGCCGGGTGGGGATCGGGCTGGGATCCCAAGCGGCGGATGGGAAAGGGGTGGAAAGGGGATGGGAAGGGGCGGGAGATAGATGGGGAGGGGGCGGGGCGAGGCTGGGGTCCTGGGTGCAGACTGGAGGGCGACTGGGTGGAGCGGGTGAGGAGGGGGCCAGGTGGTGTCCCGGGAGCAGATAGGGAGGGCTTTGCGGGGAAAGCGGGGAAACAGGTTGGGGTCCTGGGCCGGGCGGCGAAGGAAGGCCGAGGTGCGGTCAGGGTGCAGATGGGGGGCGATGGGACAGGCTGGGGGCTGTGGAGAGGAGCTGGGTTGGGATCCCGGGTGCAGCTGGGGAGGGGACAGGGTAGGTGGCTGCAGAAGGGGGCTGGGTTGAGGTCTCAGGTGCAGACGAGGAGGGGCTGGGCGGAGGGGGTGAGGAGGGGAGCCGGGCTGGGGGCCGGGGCGCTGCTGGGGTCCCCCTCCCGCCCCGGGACCGTCCGCTCTTGCCCAGACCCGTCGGTAAACAGACGCCGTGATGTCACGGGCGCCGCTGACCTGTGGCTGAACCCGGAGCTGTAAATGAGATGCAAGGTGCCAGCAGCCTCCGGCCGCAGGGCCTACGAGCCACACGCGCTCCTCCGCCGGCCCGAGGTTACCCCAGCTGCACACACGGACAGGATGCTGCAAACGCCACCAGACATTGCAACACGCAGCCAGTCTGCTGGCCGCTGCGTGAACCGTCCCGGCAGCCCTCGCCGCCCCTCTGGCGGGCACCCACCTCCCTGGAGCGGCCTCGCTCCCCTCGAGCACCCCTGGGGGCTGGCAGCTCCCACCCCTCCGGGGGCAGCCTCTCCTCTAGGGTCTCTGTCTCCGCTTCCCCGAGAAGCCTCTAAACCCGAGGGCTGGGCCTCCGGGGTCAGCTTCGGGTTTTCGTGGGAAGAGATTGGGGAGGTGCCTGCCTTTGCTCTGGGCTTTCTGGGAAGCTCATTACTTCTCCCTTGCAAAGCCTGGTTGGGGGGTTGCAGGGATGGCTTCCAGGTATAAAGAGGTATAAAAGTGTCCCGTTGGCCGCGCACCGCCCCTCCCTTCCGAAGCAGGGGGCCTGTTTATCCCGCGGAGCTCCCAGAGCAGCCCTGGACCGCACTAACTTGGCAGCCAGCGCTCAGAGCTGAGAGCCTGCACTGCCCTTTGGAATGAAAAGCAGCCTGGTTGGGGCCTCAAGGAATCTGCTCTGGAGTTGATTTGCTGTGTGACTTTTGGATGAGTCACTTGGCATCTCTGAGCTTCACCATCTCCATCTGGGGAAGTGGGGAAAACTGAAACTGGCCTCCCTGTGCTGGTGTGGGGAAGGTCAAAAGTGCAAGAAAATGCTCACCAAACCGCAGGGCCGGTCAGAAGCCTCAGGTGCAGGGGGCCTGGCACGGGGAGAACTTGGAGACCCTCAGAGAAACCAAGGCTGCCCTTCTCCTCACCCACTGCCCCCCCAAACTGAGCCTCTGGGTTTATTGTGAGAAGCCGGGGTGACGAGGTCTTTGGGGATGAATAGTCCCCCCTGGCTCAAGGAGACCCCCATTGACTCCCCTACTTGGACCTCATTAACTAATGATCACCCTGCCTTGTGGGGGGTGGGGAACCTAGAAATGACCCCAGATCTCCCCCCGCCCTAGACGGAGTCTCACTCTGTCACCCAGGCTGGAGTGCAGTGGCGCGATCTCGGCTCACTGCAACCTCCGCCTCCCGGGTTCAAGCGATTCTCCTGCCTCAGCCTCTCGAGTGCCTGGGATTACAGGCGCCCACCACCGCACCTGGCTAATTTTTGTATTTTTAGTAGAGACAGGGTTTCACCATCTTGGCCAGGCTGGTCTCGAACTCCTGACCTCAACTGGTCCACCCACCTCAGCCTTCCAAAGTGTTGGGATTACAGGCGTGAGCCATGGCGCCCGGCCTGAAATGACCCCAGATCTTTAGCGAGTACTCATGGAGTGCAACAAGGCACAGCTGAACTCCAGCCCTGATTCCAGCTTCTCCTTCACTGAATTTAATCTTTAACATCCTTCTGCCTCACATCCCTCTGCTTTCTTGTCTTTGCAGCACTTGGTCACTATCTGAAGTGATGGTGGTTATTTGTTTGCTTGGTTTTTGTCTATTTCTCCCATTCTCAAACACACACACTCTCTAGAATGTAGGCTGTCCAAGGAATTTCCAGGCCTGGCTTGGTAATTGGGTGCCCAGTGACTGTGTGAATGAATGAATGAAATAGTTTTGCCTCTTCTGTGAAACATTAGTAACTTCCCTTTGAGGGGAACTTGGGAGGAATGAAGTTGACAACCTGTGTGCTATGGCTGTCGTTAGGACCAGCCACATCATTCGCAGGGTCCCTGGTTCAAAAATTGTAAAGAATTGCAAGATGGTGACAGCCGAGCCTCAAACCAAGTGTAGGGCGCTTCTGAGAGCAGGGCCAGTGAGAATCCCTGGGTCACACCCAGGAAGCCAGCCCCAGCCATCGCACAGAGGGTGCCCAACAGGAACACCCAGTGGGACCTCGTGCCAAGTCACAAGCCTTCCACGCTCCCCCAGGCAGCAGGAAACACAAACACAGCTCCGGCAGAGCCACTCCAGGAAGAACGTATCACACATCCCCAGCAGACAGGTGACACCTGCCAAACTAAAAGTTGCCCGCACATCCAGTCTCTACATGTGCAGGGGCAGTGGACATGGCAGCGTATGAGCTGTAGGGGAAAGAGGAATAATAACAACAGGTAACCTGGGCAACATGGTGAAAGCCTGTCTCCACTAAAAATACAAAAGTTAGCCAGGCATGGTGGTGCGCGCCTGTAGTCCCGGCCACTGGGGAGGATCACGTGAGCCTGGGAGGTTGAGGCTGCAATAACCTGAGATCGCACCAATGCACTCCAGCCTGAGTGATGGAGTGAGACTCTGTCTCGGCAAGTAAAATAAAACAAAAAAAAATAACAACAGTACTCATCATAATTAGCATTTATTTAGGAGCTTCTCTGAGTTCAACAGTGAGGTTTACGGCCCCTTATCCTCCGTTCTAGAATCCAAAAAGCTCTAAAATCCTACATTTATTTTTGACACACGCGTTTAGAGCAAGCCCTAATTGGAACCATCATGAGGCTAGTTCTGGTCTCTTTATCCCACTGTGGTAACTATCACTGTGATTACGGGTGGCTGCCCTAGACCTTGCTGTGGGCATCACTAGGTATATGGCCTATCTGCTGGATTGCATTTCTAAAGTCCAAAACATCAGACCTATGAGACACAGCTAGCCTTAAGGGTTTCAGATAAGGGTCTGTAGACTTGAACTCGGCTTCTTTTTAGAGACAAGGCACTGAGACCCTGGAAGTATAAGTAATTAGTCAAGAGCAAAGCCAGGAACTAGCTGAGCAGAGACCCCCAAACCGGTTGGCGGTACCCCTCAGAGCTGCTAGCAGAAGAAAGAATTCAGCTCTTGTTTTGGAAAAGGAAATAAACATTTTACTGGAGTATCTCAGCATCTCCCTCATACTCCAACATGAAATTCAGAGGTCACTGAGCTGGTAGGCTCAATCACACACCAGGCTGATGTGTCCCAGGGAGACCTTCAGCTAATTAAACGTAATTTATGGACCAGCCTCTAAGGACAAGCCTTAAATTACTTGCAAGCTGTGCCAAGGTAGCTATCCTACAGGCTATTAATTAGGAATCGGTTTAATCTCTGCTAGGACGAAGGTCAACTGCCTTGGAGTTAACCCTTCCGGCTGACTGGTCTCATGCTATCAGGCTGTGGCTCTGGGCCCAGAGGGCCAGGGGATTCAGAGGAAGCGGGACATTCAATGGGAAATGGCCAGGCCAGCACACCCTGCAAAGACCAGGATGCTGGGAGAAAAGCCAGGCCCTTGGCCCATAGGGCCAGTTGAGGCGGGAATTTTCCCAAGCACCAGCCCCACAGAAAGTGATTTTCCGTGGTCCTCAGAGAGCATCACATCCCTCCAACATCAGAGAATTCTGTGGAAAATCAGGCTTCCGTCACCTTCCAGTAATGTGGGCTGGTCGTGCATCCTGTAGAAAGCCTTCAGTGGCTCCCTAGTGCTCTCCCAATCATGTCCAGACTTCACCCCACAACCACCAGGCTCTATGAGGTATGGCCCTGGCCATCTCTCTCCACTCCCTGCTCACACTTTTGTTCTGGCCAGGCCAGGGTCTTTTTCCCAAAGGAAACAAACTCTCTCATCTCCTATTTTCTAGCTCTGCTCTTTCCCTCTGCCTGGGATATTTTCCTTCTGCTGCTTCCATCTCATCCTTAACGCCTCAGCTTAGACCCCAGTCCTAGGCACAGCCAGGTTTCCTTTCCTAGAAGCCAGACTGCCTGGATTCGAATCCCATGGCTACCTGGGCTGTGTGACCTTGGGCAAGTATTTAACGTCTCTGAGCCCTAGTATTTCCATCTTTAAACTGGGAACAGTGACTGTGTCATAGGGTTGCTCTGAGGAGTAAATCAGATTGTCATGTAAATTGTTTAACACGTGGGTAGCACTTTATTAACAACAAAGACTGGTTGGAAGCCCCCGTCTGTGCTTGCAGCTGCCTTCAGCCATGGTCCACCCTACCAAGGCATGTAGGCTCAGAGAGGTCCAGTAACTTGCTCAAGGTCACACGGCAAGTGAATAGAAGAGCCAGCATATGAACTTTGGTGTGGTTGACTCCTGAACTCAAAATCTGAATCTCTATGCTTTACTGGCTCCTTGTGAAAGAAAGAACCGCACATCTGTGTGTGTGTGTGTGTACACGTACACACACACACACACAATCACACAAACATTTCCACTGACTTGAAGGCTCAGGAGATATCCCCAAAGCCAAGGCATGGATCTGCTGGCTGAGGAGGTGTGAGCCCTCGGAGGGCACCATGTGCCCAGTCCACACTGACCTTGTGTCTTGCCATCCCTTAAGGACCCCGTCTCCTCTGCTGTGTGCTCATAGGGAAGTGGCCCGGAGAGGCCAGGTCAGACTCTTAATTCTTTGGCATCTGAGATGTAAGAACACGGGCCGTGCAGCCAAGGGTGGACAGACGCCATGTGGGTGTGTCTGGCAGGACTGCCTGCCTGCATGAAGGTCACGCTGCCCTTTACAGTCACACTGGCCCCAGCTCCCCATGGTGACCTGCTACCAGGCCTGTGAGAGGGGCCACTGCTTGCTGGGCTGTGGGAGCACTAAAAGGAAGACCCCCCTCACCAACCACCTTGGAAGGACCCAATATCATCTCTGTTCTGCTCCCCTGCCCGCAGCTGGAGGGGAGGGAGAGCTGGCCTCTCGCACCTGTGAAGTATCACTAGCAACCATGACCTAGCAAAGGGCTTCCTTTCCTCTCATATCACAGTCTATCTCTCTATCTATCGTCTAGAAAAGTTTCCAAAGTCAGTCTGTTGACAACCTGCTGGACTTTGGTGGCTGAGCATTTTGCCTCTTTGAACTACAATCTCCTTGAAGGCAGAGATTTTAGTTCAACCCTGAAAAGTCCATTCTATCTTTTTTTTCTTGGGGAGATGGGTGGGGGGTTGGGGGGCGCGGTGGTAAGGCATCAGTAAATGACCTGATAAGGTCTGCAGGATTAGCTCTGGAGGGCTGCCTGATACAGGCAGGCCTGGCTCTCCTGGCTGTTTCCACGTGGCATGACTGGAAGATGAGTGTTGTCCTTCCACAAGAAGGTGTACTGGACCCCTTGCTCCTGCTCATTGTATCCCCCCATCTGCCCTGCAGAAGCCGACCTCCCGACTCCCAAACCCTATGGCTTGGCTGGGGCTGGTATACCCCTGGCTCAGAGTCTGGCCATGACCCACAGCTGGCCAAATAGAGCACCATTTCCTTGGTTCAGGCTCACCCAGTCACTGCCAGAGAGACCCAATTCCTGGACCCTTCCAGGACTTCTGGGCAAAGAACACCTGTCTGTCTACTTGAATGGGAGCTGGAAAGGTTACGTTACGAGCAGCAGGGGGCAGGTGTGAGCAGCCCCGTGGCAGAGAGGTCTGCCTCAAAGTGAGGGGAGAGAGAAACTCTCCTGAGTCCTGACAGCACTGAGCCCCTGGAGACATGCCCAAAGTCAGCCCTACCCAGGGACTTCTGGTCCCATGAGTCAATAAACCAATCTGAGGAACACCTCCAGAGCCCCCATCGGGAAAGCTGGAGGTGATGTTGTTTGACCCATATAGACTGCCTGGCTACGGACTCCACTAGGGGCCATCAATGCCATCTCTTCCGTGAAACTATCAACCAAAAGGCAAGACTCATTGGTTACAAGCAGACACCCTGGGTTCCAATCCTGCTGGGTCATTTACTAGCTGTGTGATTCTAAGTTACTGACTCTCAGAGTCCTGTTGGTAAGAAGAAGATGATAACGGTACCCACGCTGGAAGGTTACTTCGAGTAGTAAATGACCTTGTGACGTGTCAGGGCTTAGAACAGTCCCTGGCACACAGTAGGTGCTCAGTAATCACTGGCTCTAACTAGCTACAATGGGTCGGTCATGCATTCATTTAGGCAACAACCATTTATTAAGTATCTACTGTGGGCCAGATACTGTGCCAGTTGCCAGATACTTGGTGAGTGAGAGGGCATGCCCCCTGCCCCTGTGGATATCAACAAGCAGCCACAAAGCGTGGTGAGTTGCTATGGTAACCCCTGACTTTGGCCTCACCGCAGCCCGGTCCTGACCAATTGAGCTACTTGGACGCAGAGATCAAAATGACTAATGCCTTGTGCAGGGGAAGTTGGATGGTTGTGGGGGTTGGGCAGCCAGGACCAGAGAGGAGGCTGTACCCCTGACCAGCCTCAGCCCCTGGGTTGCAGAAAGGCCTATGTTGGACCAGCCCCTGCCTGGGAAGACAGGGGCTGTGCCACGGGTCATCTCAACAGAGGTGAGGCCTCGGGTGGAAGGGAGATGGCCAGACTCCCTGTAGGGAGTGGTTCCCTCCCACAGACTTCTAGAAAGGGTCAAAGTCTCCAATTCCCCCTGAGGGCTTCTGTGGCAGGGGCACAACTCTCTGCTTCCCGGGGGAGTCCCAGAACCAAGGTTGAGTCAGGCCAGTGGGTTTTTTGCCTTTTTTCTCTGATGTCCTGCTGAGCATCTGCTCTAATATGCAGAAGGAGAAGGGCTGGAGCAGGGGGTATCCACCGCCCCCCACCCCCAGGGCCATTGCCCCACCTGGAAGGAGTGGTTGTCTCTTGGAAACGCTCTTGCCATTACCCAGGAGGTGATAGGAGCTTTTTCACTACATTTCCACACCTTCATTTTTCAGATGAGGGAACCAAAGCCCAGAGAGGGTTGCTCGCCCAAGGTCACACAGCAGGTCACTGGGAGGCCCCTCATAATCTACAGCATTAGGCACTGGTTTCCAGCAGCCCTGGCCGGCACCACAAATTGCATGAGTGCTCTGGCCGGAGCCGGCCTCTACCGCCCAAAAGATTTTGGCTGCTGTGACACTGCCTTTGGGCCAGGTCTGGGCTTTGGGGCTGGGGTTGTCAAGGCACACTCTCCCAGGGATGGGTGCTTTGGAGGCAGGGAGGGCCAGGGAGAAGCCTCCTGTGTCCTTTCTGGCAGATGGATTTGGGCTGAGTCCCCCTTGGAGAGGCTGTCTCAGCCCCGCTTGGGCATTCAGAGCTTCTAGCTTGTGGGCACCCCAGAGGTAGAGGAGGTGCCGAGGCTGAGGGCAGGAGGGGTTCCACACATCTGGGGTGGGAGTGTGGGTCCCTCTCCTGAGGGGCAAAAGCCCAAGCGAACTAGAGGGCATTTGGTCCAGAAGCCACAGCACCTTGGAGTAAAGAGCCAAAGGTGGAGGTGTCATTAAAGAGGGGACATCCAGCAAATCCAAGAAGGGTCCATCGAGGAGAGGGAGCGGGCTGAGTCATTTCCTTGAAGCATCATTTTCAAGCCTTATTTTTTTCCTTTCTTTAAAACAATGACTTTCTTTCAAAATGCACACCAAAATCTTAACATGGAATTGTAAGCCACAAAACAGAAGTGACAACACTGATCTGGTCCGCAGGAAGGAGGGGTCCCTCAGAACCCTCCCTGCTCCATCTCCCACGTGGCCCTACCTTCTTGGGGCCTCTAGGGTGCTCCGGAACCCAGTTTGAAAACCTGGACCTTGAACCTCAGCTGGCGCTGAGGTCCGCATGGGGACCGCGGGGCTTGGAGGCTGGTAGAAGTGGTTGGGGGAGGTGGGACGCAGACAGGAGACCGTGTTCCCTAGGAGGCTGTTTCAGTGTGGACAAGATCATCATACGCTTCACTCATCAAAATCCCCGAAAGGCTGCTGAAAAGAGGATTTAAGGCCACATTCCTTGAAGTAGGGATGGCCAATGAGGTAAGAAAGGCTGGGGCCCAGTGGCCTTCACCAGGCTGACCATTGGTGGCCTTAAGCACCAAGCCACACATCTGTACTCTCCACCCTGAGCTTGCCCTGGCTTCAGTGTCACAGGATACCAGGGCGTTCCCTGCCTCTCACACGAGCTCTCGCCCTGAGCCTGCATCTGAGCCTGTAGGACTTGGATGGGTTTTGATTGTATCTAGTCCAAGCCTTCTTAACCCAGAGTCTGGGATAGGCGACAGGGGTACATGACCCCTTAAAAGTACAAAACTTTCAGTTGCACCTTCTTCCTGGGATAGAGTTCATATTTTCTTCAGACCCTTGAAGGGCTCTACAACCAGCAGAAAAATGGAGAGTTCCTGCAACCCCCTCAGTTGCCACCTCCTTCGAGAAGTCTTCTAAGATTTCCCTTAATTTACAGTGATCAAAGCTCTCAGGCCACGCAGAGCTCAGTGACCTCGGGCTTAACTGGAGGGAGCTGTCACTCACTCTCTCCTCTGCAGCTGGGTCTCTGCATGTTAAGATGTCACACTGGTTGTCAAATGAAAGAAATTCAACTGTGCTATTACCCTGCTTGTCAGTTTACTCTTTAAAAGAAACCCTGATAACTGAGGACTATTTTATTCCTTTGGCAAGTCTCCCATTCATTGTATGCAAATACTGCTACTCAGTGCTCTAAATGATGTTTGTGTAAAAGCGGATTTCACTACATCCCTGCCCGCATCCTGTTGACTCATTCACTGCTTATCACCGCTCTCTCCAGAACCCTCTGTGTACTAAGCCCCATTACTTAACAGCTTGTCTCTTGACCTCTCCATGACCCTGAATGAGGCAGGCCAGGCCAGGCTGAGATTATTTGTTGCAGTGGGAAAAGATGGAGTGTTGAAGCTGGGAAACCTGGGTTCAGAATCTGCCCTCAGCGACGTGTCCCAGGACGGCCACTTCACCTGGATCTCAGAAATGCGTGCTGCTGGCCGGGTGCGGTGGCTCACGCCTGTAATCCCCGCACTTTGGGAGGCTGAGGCGGGTGGATCACAAGGTCAAGAGATCGAGACCATCCTGGCCAACATGGTGAAACCCCATCTATATTAAAAATACAAAAATTAGCTGGGGTGGCGCATGCCTGTAATCCCAGCTACTTGGGAGGCTGAGGCAGGAGAATTACTTGAACCTGGGAGGCGGAGGCAGGAGAATCGTTTGAACCCGGGAGGAGGTGGAGGTTGCAATGAACCGAGATCGTGCCACTGCACTCCAGCCTGCGCGACTGGCAAAACTCCATCTCAAAAAAAAAAAAAAAAAAAGGTCAAGGAAGACAATGAATGTGCAAAAGCACTGTGCAGTCATGTAGAGTACCAAGTCACGTGTGTTACCATCGTCACACACATTGTCACAGTCATGTACAGTGCCACAGCCATGTATATTACCATGGTCATGTACAGTATAGGTCTTGTATATTACCACGGTTATGTACAGTATCAATCTTGTATATTACCATGGTCATGTACAGTATCATTCTTGCATATTAATATGGTCTTGTAGAGTATCCATCTTGTATATTACCAAGGTCATATACAGTATCTATCTTGTATATTACCATAGTCATGTACAATACCATGTCCTGTACAGTACCATAGTCATTAATAGCACCCTGTATATTAATAGTGCCATGTATATTCCCATGTATATTAACAGTACCATGTATAGTAATAGTGCCATGTATATTCCTACATTCATGCTTTTACCACAATCATGTACAAAGGGTCTTCAAAAAGTTCAAGGAAAATGCGTATTACGAAAAAACTAGGCATATATTTGAGATTTTTTTTGCCCCAAAATAACTAACTTGTTATAACATGACTAAATGGGATCTAGTTTGAGGCACTAAGAAGGATAAGACATCAGTTTGAAAAGAACTCCTATCAGAGCAACATAAATTCTCCTAAAACTGAAGCAAGAACAAACATCAAATTTACAGTGAAGCTTGCTTAGATGGAAGAACGGTGAAATCACTGATACTTTATGAAAAGTTTATGGGGACAATGCCCTAAAGAAATCAGCAGTTGGCTAGGTGCGGTGCCTCACACCTGTAATCCCAGCACTTTGGGAGGCCGAGGCAGGCGGATCACAAGGTCAAGAGACTGAGATCATCCTGGCCAACATGGTGAAATCCCGTCTCTACTAAAAATACAAAAATTAGCCAGCATGGTGACGTGCGCCTGTAGTCCCAGCTACTTGGGAGGCTGAGGCAGGAGAATTGCTTGAACCCAGGAGGCGGAGGTTGCAGTGAGCTGAGATCATGTCACTGCACTCCAGCCTGGCGACAGAGTGAGACTCTGTCTCAAAAAAAAAAAAAAAAAAATAGAAATCAGCAGTAGTTAATAAATGGATAACTTGTTAAGAAGGGATGAGATGATGTTGAAGATAAAGCCTGAAGTGCCAGACCATCCACATCAAATTAGAAAGAAAAAATTCATCTTGTTTGTGCTCTAACTGAAGAGGACTGACAATTAACAGCAAAAAAAAAAAAAAAAAAGCCAATACCATAGACATCTCCATTGGTTCAGCATACACAATTCTGACTGAAAAATTAAAGTTGAACAAACTTTCCACTTGATGGGCACCAAAACCACTGCATCCAGATCAGGTGCAGATGAGAGCAAAGCTTTCAATGAAAATTTTATTTTATTTTATTTTATTTATTTATTTTTTTGAGACCGAGTTTCACTCTTGTTGTCCAGGCTGGAGTGCAATGACGTGATCTTGGCTCACGGCAACCTCCGCCTCCCGGGTTCAAGCGATTCTCCTGCCTCAGCCTCCCGAGTAGCTGAGATTACAGGCATGTGCCACCATGCCAAGCTAATTTTTTTTTTTTGTATTTTTAGTAGAGATGGGGTTTCTCCATGTTGGTCAGGCTGGTCTTGAACTCCCGACCAGGTGATCCGCCCGCCTCAGCCTCCCAAAGTGCTGGGATTACAGGTGTGAGCCACCGTGCCCAGCTGCTTTCAACAAAAATTTTAAACAAGTGGGATCAAGATCTTGAAGCATTTCTTCAAAGAACTGTAAGAGAGGATGAAGCATTAACCACTACAATCCTGAAGACAAAGCACAATCAAAGCAATGGCTACCAAGAGGTGGACATGGCCCAGTCAAAGCAAAAGCAGACCGACCAAGAGCAAAGGTCATGGCAATAGTTTTTTTGGGATGTTCAAGGCATTTTGCTTGTTAAGTTTCTGGAGGGACAAGAACAATAATATCTGCTTATAATGAGAGTGTTTTGAGAAAGTTAGCCAAAACTTTAACAGAAAAACACCCAGGAAAGCCTCACCAGATGGTCCTGCTCCACTAAGACAAGGTTCGCATTCATTCCTCTCATCAAACAAGGACAATTTTGTGAGGGTTTTGATGGGAAATCATTAGGCATCCACTTTACAGTCCTGATTTGGCTGTTTCTAACTTCCTTTTGTTTCTTAATCTTAAAAAATCTTTAAAGGGTGATACAGTTAAGCATTGTGTCCCCACCCAAATCTCATCTTGAATTATAATCCCCATAATCCCCATCTGCCAAGGGAGAGATGAGGTGGCCGTAATTGGATCATGGGAGTAGTTTCCTCTATGCTGTTCTCATGATAGTGAGGGAGCTCTCACGTGATCTGATGGTTTTATAAGTGTTCGGTAGTTCCTTCTAAGTTCATTCTCCTTCCTGCTGCCTTGTGAAGAAGGTGCCTTGCTTCCCCTTCTCCTTCTGCCATGATGGTAAGTTTCCTGAGGCCTCCTCAGCCATGTGTAACTGTGAGTCAATTAAACTTCTTTCCTTTATAAATTACTCAGTCTCTAATATTTCTCTATAGCAATGTGAGAAAGGACTAAGACAAAGGGCATCCATTTCTCTTCAGCTAATGATGTAAAAAAAAAGACTGTATTGACATGGCTGAACTCTCAGGACCCTCAGTTATTTAGGGATGGACTAGATGGCTGGTATCATCGCTTACAAAAGTGTCTTGTAACTTGATGAAGTTTATGTTGAGAAATAAAATATATATATTTGTGTATATGTGTGTGTGTGTATGTGTGTGTGTGTGTATATATGGAGAGAGGGAGAAAGACGCAGTCTTGCTCTGTTGCCCAGGCTGAAGTGCAGTGGTGCGATCTCCACTCACTGCAAACTCCACCTCCCAGGTTCAAGTGATTCTCCTGCCTCAGTCTCCCGAGTAGCTGGGATCCCAGGCATGCACCACCATGCCAGATAATTTTTGTATTTTTAGTAGAGATGGGGTCTCATCCCGTTGGACAGGCTGGTCTCGAACTCCTGACGTCAAGTGATCTGCCCGCCTCGGCCTCCCACAGTGCTGGGAATACAGGAGTGAGCCACTGTGCCTGGCCTATATTTTTTATTTTCATCCTTTAATTCCATTTTCCACCACCTTTTTGAAGTCCCCTTGTATATTACCACAGTCACGTATATTACCAATCGTGTATGGTACCACAGACATGTAGAGTACCACGGTCATGAATATTACTAGGAACGCAAGGAAGCCATCAGCATCCAGTTCAGAAGCCACAGGAATCTAAGCCTGAGTGAAGGATGTGAGTCTGTGCCCACCCTGCACCCTCTTGCCTCCTCCCTGCTCCCCAGCACCCTGGAAAGCCTGGACAAAGGAATGACATCACTGCTGGAGGATCCTGCTGAAGTCATGCTGAGAAGGGCTGCCTTCTTTTAATTTTCAAGTGTTGGTTGATCGATGCTGGTGTCCTCTTTTCCTCCTGCCCCCTGCCCCTGCCCCTGCCTGTGTCATTGCCCTCACTGACTTCATGACAATGACTCACAGAATCAAAGGGTAGAAGGGACCTAGGAGGTTGTCCAGAACCTAACCTCCCCCAGTGCAGAAATCTCGACACCATGTTTGCTTAAAGAGCAACCTGTTCCAAAGGGCAGGAAGGTGTTCCTCTTGCAGGGCCCAGGTCTGCATTTTCGAGCCCTCCCCACGGGCCTAGCATGGGCCTCCAGAACCATCTAGAACAGGTCCCATGCCTCTGTGGTACTGGAATGCAGCTGATACCCTCTCTTGCCTCTTAAGCAGTCAACTATACTCCCATGGATTTGCCACCCAACCTAAGTCATGGCTTCTAGCCCTTGTCACCCAGCCTGCTCCCTGGATACCTTCCAGTTGGTCAAGGGCCCTGTCAAAGTGCTGGCCCACATGGACACAATACCCCAGAAGTCGTTTGACAAAGTAGGACTGAAAAGCATCTCCTTCATTCTAAGCACCAGCACAATTATCTGATTTTATTCAGAGGGGTTAAGCACTACTGCCATTAGAAGCCTGCTTGTTGGTGCCAACTCATCCTTCCACAGTGTTAGGAGATTTTTCAGTCTGGGGATGGTGGTCACTCCAAGAACACTAAGTGTCACAAGGAGAGAACCTTGTTTATGAGGTTCCCTGCCGCATCTCCAAGGCCTAGTTTGCTGAATCAATGAACAGAGCCAACATAGTCACGATTCCTCAGAGCCGTGTCACCCTGAAGCTGGTTGTCACTTCCTCACCTAAGTTACCAGCAAGAAAGATCAGGATCTGGCTGGGAGCAGGGCTGCCCAGCAGAGCCCTGAGGGCTGGGTGCCAGCTGCCTCCCACCCCCTCCAACAGTGGCACCCCGGACTGCCTAGATTCTCCATTACCCTCAGCCCAGACACTTCCATCTTGACAGTAAAAGATATCAGAGGAGGCCCTCAGCATCCTCCAAAACTCTAGTGCAATGCTGACAGCATTCCCTGAGCTCTGGGAAGCTCTCAAAGAAGGTGGCGAAGCAAGTCTGGGTGATATTTTTGGAGGAGGCATGGAAACCTGGCGGCCTCCTAGCAGGTCCCCCACCCCTGGCCTGACACCTCCACCACCTGCCTGTCACAGCAGCCAGGGGATCCTGCTAAGGCTTGGGTGAGGGCATGATGCTTGAGTCGTGGGGCCAGCTAGGTCTACCTGTCCTACATGGGAACCTGTCTCCCTCAGTTCTTCCTCCCCACTCACTCACTGCTTCAGCCACACTGGCCACCTCTTGGTCCTCAGACACTCCACTCTCTCCTCAGAGCCCTTGCCCTGTCCTCTTCCTGGAATGCTACTGCTCCCTTCCCACCATGCCCTCGCCTCCTTCAGGTCTTTCCTCGTGTCTCCTTCTCAGTGTGGCCTTCCTTATACCCTACCTAGAATCTCAGGCCCTCGCATTCCCATCCTTCTTGCCTCATTGGTTTTCTCCTCATTGCTTATAATGACAATTCAATGTTCTGTTTTATTTATTTA
Source organism: Homo sapiens (assembly GCF_000001405.40). NCBI lineage: Eukaryota > Metazoa > Chordata > Mammalia > Primates > Hominidae > Homo > Homo sapiens. Next base: position 12,610,087 of record NC_000001.11, read on the forward strand.
TTTATTTTTTGAGACAGAGTCTCCCACTGTTGCTCAGGCTGGAGTGCAGTGGCATGATCTCTGCTCACTGCAACCTCCGCCTCCCAGGTTCAAGCAATTCTCGTGCCTCAGACTCCCAAGTAGCTGGGATTATAAGTGCGCTCTACCATGCCCAGCAATTTTTTTTTTTTTTTTGTATTATTAGTAGAGAAGGAGGGTTTCACCATGTTGGGTCAAGCTGGTCTTGAACTCCTGACCTCAAGTGTTCCGCCTGCCTTAGCCTCCTAAAGTGCTGGGATTACAGGCATGAGAATGTACTGTTCTACTGATCTTGCTTTTTATCTGTCTCTCTTACTAAAATGCCAGCTCTCACTACATGGGTGGGGATTTTCATCTGCTTTGCTCCCTGCATGCCTTCAGTGCCCAGAACAGTGCCTGGCATATAGTAGGTGCTCAGTAAATGTGCTGAATGTATGAATAAGTGAATAAATGAATGAGTTCCCACCAACCATTCATTCATTTGCTAACCCGGCACTTTCTTGTTGAGAATCTAGGCATGTGCTCATTTTCAGATTCTAAGATCTCACTCATTTCAGGGGTGCCACAGCAATGAGCACACATTTGGGCATGCTAGTGTCTAAATAGACTCACTTTTCTCATTTCCAATGGGCTTCAATGGTTTCGTAATCCTCGTGGTTCATCTGAATAATATGTTTGAAATGTTTCAAGTATCTTATGGACTTATATTTTTGGATTGTGTCTCCTGAAGACAACGGTGAGCACAGCCTTATAAAATTCTGGGTGTGTTCATGCTTTTGTCCAAGGATAAGGGAGAACGTGTAGGGTGTGGGACCCATCCCGCACTGATGCTCAAAACTGTGGTAGGATATCGCTGGTAGTGGCAGGTTAAGACAAGGGCTTTTGTTACAGCGATTGTGACAACCAGATACACTTCCTGGTTAGAAAGGACACCTCATAAATACAGCCGAGATCACTTTCTCAAGGCAGACGGCCTCGGCAAATACCAAGATGGAAATGAACCAGAGAAAGTAACTGCAAAGATACAGAGATCAGAAGGGCTTGGAAGGGATCTGTGCAGCCATAAACAAGTGCGCTTCATCTGAAAAGATGGAAGCTCAGAAGAGCTTGAAGTCGAAATGAGAATTAGCAGAAGGGCTGGGTGCACTGAAAATGAACTTGACTCAGAGTCAGTATTGCTAGATGGAGGAGGCATTCCTGAAAGCCCAAATAGAAAAGTTGGTGAATTTAGAAGAAAAAAACCAGGAAATTTTGTTTGACATGCTAGTCAGGGAATTTGGGTCCCTTATTCCTTTAGAAGCGACAGTTTGGAAATACTAACGTCTTCTGCAAGAGCTGAAATAAATCCATGGCAGACAGCTACCTGTTGAGGGAGTTTTGAATGGGTGTGGGGCTCTGCGGAGCTGGGGCACAGCACATCTTCCAACTCTGAGTTGCTTCTTTTTCATTTGGTGGCATCTGATGACTAGCAAAGGCTGAGATCAGTGATGGGGACAAATGCTTTCTTCACCTGGAAGTCTCCTGCTTGCAATTCAGGGAAGCCTGGCAATCCGTTGCTTTCTTGGGTTGACTGATGTGTAAGACGAGAATTTTTGAGCGTGCCGGGATCTTAGGGATCATTGTAACCCCTCTCATTTTATAGGTGTGCTTCTCAGCTGCAACCTGGAGAAGGTAGTAACTTTTCCAGGGTCAAGAACCCAGTCTTGGCTGGGTGTGGAAGCTCATACCTGTAATCCCAGCACTTTGGAAGGTCAAGAAGGAAGGATTGCTTGAGCCCAAGAGTTCGAGACTAACCTAAGCAACATAGGGAGACTCCCGTCTCTATTTTTAAAATAAATAAATAAATAAATAAATAAAAGCTCAGTCTCTGGCCTCCTGCACAAGTGAGCAAGACTGCAGGGGGGCGTGGTCCCAGAGGTAGACACCTTTGTTCCCCCAAGGGAAGGGCCTGGGGGAGTAAGAAGGAGATGTTTGTTTATTCATGAGACAGGCTCATTTGTAAGGTCAGTTGTGACCGATGCTCTAAGCAGAAACACTTCCAGATGTCACAGGTAGGACAGGTAGCCTACCTGCCTGCTTTCAGGCTGCACAGAGTGAGGATGGGAGAGATGGGCCACTGCTCTCTCCCTGTAAATTGGTTAGTGCAGCTGTTTTGGCCTGATGACTCTAGGGACCCACAGATGACCTGTCTGGACCCTTCTCTTCTCTTTCTCTTTTTTTCTATTCTCACCAGTACTGACCTGACTCAGAGTCTGAGGTGTAAACTCCCTGCTTACCTCCCTATCCCACAATACAATGTTTTCTTGCTTCCCTTTCCTCTTCCCTCCCGCAATTCCAGCCAGGTAGAGCTTTTGATCAGGTGGTTTCTTGTACCTAGATTTCCCTTGTCACACCCCTTCTGGTTGAAACACTTGACCTTCTTCAAGGCTCAGTCGAATGCTCCTTCCTTCATGAAACCTTTCATGAGCACCTGCTATAAATTAACTGCTCCTCTGTGCTTCCACTGTGTAGCATCTCCCAAACTTCACGCCCATCCAGAACTTCAGAATGTCACCTCATTTGGAAAGAGAGTTTTTGGAGCTATAACTAGTTAAGGATCTTGAGATGCAATCACATTGGATTTAGTGTGTGCCCTGAATCCAATAACTAGTGTCCTTATAAGAAGATGATGGGGGTGGGCACGGTGGCTCACACCTGTAATCCGAGCACTTCGGGAGGCTGAGGCAGGTGGATCACCTGAGGTTGGGAGTTCGAGACCAGCCTGACCAACATGGAGAAACCCCATCTCTACTAAAAATACAAAATGAGTTGGGCATGGTGGCACGCACGCCTGTAATCCCAGCTACTCGGAAGGCTGAGACAGGAGAATCGCTTGAATCTGGGAGGCGGAGGTTGCAGTGAGCCAAGATCACGCCATTGCACTCCAGCCTGGGCAATAAGAGCAAAACTCTGTTTCAAAAAAAAAAAAAGGAGATGACGGGACGTAGACACACACAGCAAGGAAGGCCATGGGATGATGAAAGGAGAGACTGGAGCCATGCTTCCATAAGCCAAGGAGCATCAGGAGCCACCAGGAGCTGGAAGAGATGACGAAGGATCTTCCCGTAGTCTTTTGAGTGGAGAGGAACCCAGAACCCTGCTGATGCCTTGATTTCAGACTTCTGGCCTCCAGAACCACAAGAGAATACATTTTGTTGTAGTAAGCCGTCAAGTTTGTCCTAATTGGTCATGGTAACCACAGGAAGCACATACAGATGGTGACTTGTGCCTTCACTGTAAGCACCTGGCCACACTCTAGGTCTTTATTCATCTTTGCTACATTTTCTTACAGGCCCAGAGCTGTGCCAAACACCGAACAGATACCCCAGGTAGGTTTGCTAAGCTAGGTCTCTCAGAGATGGTGTCAAGGGACTTATAAGCTTGGGCTGGCCCCAGGGCTAGGGATGGGAAGGACACAGGACTTGCTGAATGGAAGTGCTGGAGAATGGGGTTCATAAATCTACTCACAGTGCTAGTTCCTGGCTGGGTGCTGTAGGAACAGGGCTATCTACCCACATGCTGTAAATTCACTGACAGCAAGACAGAACTCCAAGCCAGTTCCCATACTACCTTCCTGAAATACCTCCCCTCAGACTACCTCTCGGAAGTGGGAATTGAGTTTTTTTGTTTGTTTGTTTGTTTTTGAGACAGAGTTTTGCTCTGTCGCCCAGGCTGGAGTGCAATGGCGTGATCTAGGCTCACTGCAACCTCTACCTCCTGGGTTCAAGCACTTCTCCTGCCTCAGCCTCCCGAGTAGCTGGGATTACGGGCGCTTACCACCAGGCCTGGATAATTTTTTGTATTTTTAGTCGAGATGGGGAGTCACCATGTTGGCCAGGCTGGTCTCGAACTCCTGACCTCAAGTGATCCGCCTGCCTCAGCCTCCCAAAGTGCTGGGATTACAGGCATGAGCCACTGCTCCCAGCCAAGGTCCTGGAGTTCCTGACGTGGTATTAGGCCCACGTATGTTGCCCCACCTCCCAAGGTTTGCAATCATGGCCCAAGACTTTCGTCCAGCCACTTGCTGGATACCAGACCAAAGGCGGGGATGGTCCCTACAAATACTTCTAAATGAACGGTCCACTTCTCCTCTCAGGGGCTCCTGCTAACACCATGTCAAACTCAAAGACTGGAGCCGGGGCTGACCACTAGCCAGAAGTTAGTTCCCTTGGAGGGAAGGGGAATAAGTTTAAGGTTTGTGAATGCTTTTGTGGAAGGAATTCTAGGAGGGCAAAGAAAATTAAAAAGCAAGACCTTTACGCCTAGAAACCCTAACCATGACTGGCCCTGCCTCAGTTTGCCACAGTGCACTGTGGGTAAGGAGAGATGTGTCCGGAGCTTTCAAATTCTTACAGCCTTAGTGTGCCTTTAAAAAAAAAAAAACCCTCGCTTATTTGGGCCACCTTTGCACCCTAAGGCTCACCACCACCCACAAATATTGCCAAATCCTATTTAACTCAAGGTCATTATGGGAAACTGGGTTGTCAACTCTCTCCCTCCTTCCCAAATAAACAGATAACTCCTGGACACGTCAGCTCTTTGCAGAGACTCTGGTACACTTTTTTTTTTTTTTTTTTTTTGCTTTTTGGGGTCTTCCCCCTCCCAGATCCAGTCCCACCAGAATCTAGGCTGGGAAGCTCTCAGATGCAGCCACCAGAATCTAGGCTGGGAAGCTCTCAGATGCAGCCTCCACTTCCATCAAGAGGAGAAGGGATGTCATCTGTGGTTCCACACAGCCGCCCCCTGTCTAGTATCACTGCAGGCTGCGGGTGGCACTGGACCTCTCTGGTCTAGTACTCTTGGGCCACCCCCAAGCCCACTGTTCACACCTGTCCCCAACCCATAATTTCCCCACTCCCTCGACACTTGACCCTTTGTTCCCAACCCCACTAGGCCTCAAAACACTCCTGGCTCTGGGGGTTTGTCCCAAAGTCCTCTCATTGGTGTTAGGCAAGAAGCCACAATTCCAAACTCCCCACCATGACAGCAAACAGAAGCCTCATTATAAAGTAGCTCCAGAAGCCTCATTATAAAGTAGCTCCAGAAGCCTCATTATAAAGTAGCTCCAGTAATTGGTCAGATAATGGCGAGTTACAGGGAGCACTGCTGGTCATCCTGACAAGTCAGATGACTGAACCGAGCATGAATGGCACTCGAAGTTTCACAGGCCCCCATGGATCCTGTTTTTGTTTTTGGTGACCCTGACACCAATTTAAGACACATTTCTAATTGGCCCTGGCTGGATTCCCTGGAAGAGGACGTCCAGTCCAAGTTAGGTGGGGTTTGGTTCCCGGTGCGTGAACTTGCAGGCTCCACTCTGTACTATCACACCCACCCCCCAATGCCATACACTTCTTTCAATTTAGGATTGTTTATAGTCAGTCGAGTTTTTCCAGATTGACTAAGAGTTCCTCATCTGCCTACTGTAGTCAGCTACAAGAACAGTAAAAGAGACCCAGGACTTGGGCCAGCTGGAAGACTCAGAAAAAAGTTTCTGTGGGATGCAGACAGCTAAAGAATGACAATCACATGCAATTGTCCCAAACCCCACGTCCGCCCCAAAGGACACCCTCATCTGCCCTTTTCAGTCCCCTTCACAAAGAGCTTCAGGAGCCCTTTTATGGGGCATCGCCTCAAGGAAATGAAACTGCTGAGAACAACTCTGACTTCCCCTTATTCGTTGTGTCCAAGGGTTAAAAACGCTTCCCAACTCCCCCTCCAAATGCAAGGTCAAGCGGCTGTCCAAACCACCCAAGGAGAAGAGGGAGTCCTGGACAGCCAGACCCCTGCTAGCTTGGCCACCACAGGCTCCGGCCAGCCCGGCTAGGGAAGAGTTAATCGGATCGGCTTTGGCTGATAGTTCAGGCTCCAAAGTTCAGTCCCAGTCAGAGCCACCCCGGAGGAATTGTAAATCTCAGGGCAGTATTTAACAAAACAAAAGCAACCTGGAATTACATGCAGGTTTGGTTTTCTACAGTACATATTTACTTAATCCCCAAGGTATGCGGCTCCATGTCAGATCAGCTGGCTTTGCGGCCCTTTCACCCCCCTAGTTCACAACAGTTTAAGTTTCAAACTAATTCCCTGTTTTCGCTCTTCCTCTTCACAGGGCTGGCTGGAGACAGCCTGGCCTGCCTCCCTCTCCTGATGGCTCTGGTCACCGCGTGAGTCAGCCTGGCCTGGGCTGGGAGTTGGGTGACAGCCTGCCCACTCTCCCCACTCTGGCACCAGGTCTCCAAAACCTGGAGCAAGGGGTGCCAGGACCACCAAAAAGTTAAAGGCCGTGTTTGGTGGGCAGGACCCTCCTTGCAGCACCACCTTCCAGCTAAATGGGGAGGGATCCCTGGGGGGTGTACTGGGGGGGAGGGGACAGGGTTGAAGGTGAGAACAAGGGCTCTTTATCAGTAGCTGCTTACCCTGGCCTCCTCTTTCCTGCTTTCCAAACACCTGGGCCTCTCAGTGTCGGTCCGGCCAGACTACTGCATACAAGACCGCTCTTCCCTTTTCAAACCCAAACCAAGTACCCTCTCTCGTGTCTTCAGAGCTGCAGCCGCCCAGGTTGGGGCTGGGTAGCGGGTTGCCAAGGAAAATACGAGGCGCCAGCTAGCAGGCGGCTCCCAGCTCTACCCAGGAGTGCGCACACCCTGCACTCACCAGGGTGGCGGCAAGAAAAAGGGGGGAAGGCGGGGGAGGGGGGCACAACACCTTCCTTTGGGAGGCAGGAATGTGGGAAATGGTGGGTCTCTTAGGTTTCAGGGTGGGGGTGAATAGCCAGTCAGCCAGCCACCGATCCCAAAGGAGCGGATCAACTCTGAACCTGCCAAAAAAGACAGTCCGGTGCCCGGGAAATTTACAAGGTGAAACCGACTAGCTCAGCACTCGTGGGTGGCGCGGAGAAGTGGGGTGGCCGGCGACTCTCAGCTCCCGGGCGCGGGATCCCGCAGCGGCAGCAGGTGGGCTTACCCCCGCCCCTGCGGCCCCCCACTCCCTGGAGTCGCAGTGCCTGGTACCTTTCTGGCGCCGCGCTCCGCGAACTCGCGGGCGAGCTGACGCCCGATGCCTCTCCCGCCGCCGGTGATGAGGACGTTCTCCCGCGACAGGTCCCGCAGCTTGGCGGGCAGCACCAGTCCGACGGCTGCTTTCACCACCAGATAGATCATCTGTAGAGGGAACATCACCAGCGCGCCCAGCCGTTTCCACACCATCCTCCGCGCCGCGGAGCCGGGCAGGGGGCGAAACTCCCCGGGCCGAGCAATACAGGAATTAAAAAACACCCCGAACAATAAATAGTAAACCGAATAAGGAGGAGAGAGGCGTCCCACCTGGCCACTCTTGAAATCACCTCTTCCCAAATGCAAAGCACCGGGTGAGAAAAAGAAAAAAAAAAAAAAAAAAAAGATAAATTCTCCTCTGGGGGAGAAAAAGCGTCTCCTAAGGTTGGGACGGTAAAAGAGGTGGAGGGGGAAGCCGGAGGTGGAAAGTTCTAACAAGAAGTTTCTTGCCCCAGCAGCCGTTTCGGCTGGGGAATTCTCAGGTAATGTTTACAGACTGACAGAGGAGTTTAGGGAGGGGAAGAAAAAAAAAAAAAGGCACCAACCACACGCGCGCACCCTGCCTCGGTCCCGCGGTTTCAAAGTGCAAGATTAAAAAAAAAAAAAAAAAAAAAAAAAAAGCTGATTCCAAATTGTAGCGCCCCCACCCCCACCCCGTCTCCAGAAAAAAAAAAAAAAAAAAAGTGGGGGGAAAAAGTGCTTGGAGCTCCCAATTTCAGCCCGCGAAAGTCTCCCGACTCATTGCTATTCTTGGGCTCAGGAAATTGCTTAAACGCGATCTGATTGCCAGCAACGTGCAGGAGAAGTGGGGGGTCCGGGTGTCAGTTTCTTTACGTGCAGCGCTCGCCCTCGCGCGCGCTCGCTCGCTCCGGCTCCCTCCCTCCCTCTCTGTTCCAGCAGAGGCTGGGAGTTGCCGCTCGATCCAGCTCCCCTTCTCTCCCTTTTTAGCATTTATTGCCTTCTTTTTGTCCTTTCCAACTTGGAGAGGGTCCGGGTGTGGAGCGCGCGTGGATCGGACGCCTTGGTCTGCGCGGCCCTATTCATTCGCTCCCCGGGCAGCCGCGTCGCGGAGAGGGCGGCCCCTTTTTCCCCCATTTTTTCAATACCCCATTAAGTCTGATTGACAGTTAAAGTTGTTGGGAGGCTTCACTACCGTTCCTCTGAGTGGCTGCTGCGGCCTCCCCTCCCCCTGCGCCGTCGCGGGGAGCGCGCATAAGGCGCGCACTCGGGCTCGCCGGGACTCGCGCTCTCCCGGGACTGGCTCCCCTCTCTGCAAGCCGGGACTTGCCGCCGGTGTCCCTGAGGGCTCGCAGCTGTAACTCGAACACGCTGGAACCGACTCCGGCGAGCCGGCTGCCTTCTCGAGACGTTCCTCCTTGCCCGGGCCGCCCGCGGGCCAGGTGATCACCCCGAGTGTGGAGCAGGCCCGGGGGAGCTTGCGTATGCCTTGATCCAACCAGGTCACCCAGGGTTTTATTTCAGGTCATTTGGTCATCCTCGGCCTCCAGGTAGGATCAGGAAGCCACTCCTCACCTTTGCCCGGACCTCTTCTGTGTTCACGTAGAGTGGACTTTTAAAAGCCTGACCCAAGTGCCTCACGATGCTTAGGGGGAAGCCGCTGGGGAGCAGGACTTTGCTTTGAGGGGAGGGAGTAGTCAAGGTAAAGGAACCTCTGCTCCGAGTGCCAATAAAATCCCCACAAGATTAGCTGGGAGCATATTTATTGCTCATCTGAGCTAGAATTACCTTGACTGACACCAATTTCCTTAATAACAAAAGCCTGTAAACAAAACGTCCTATTCGTGCGCCCCTGTGCTGTGCAGCCAGCGTCTCCTGTCCTTGGGTCTCCCTGGACTGCCCTGGCGGGGCACCCACCTTCTAACCTCCTGCCCTTCCCGACCGGAATGTCTCCCCTGCTGGAGGGTGGGACCGAGCTATTTAGAGTTGTCTGTTGCAGGAAGTCTGGGAGGTGAGTCACTAAAAAGCAGCCCCAGTTCAAAGTGCTGATGGGACTTGCCTCCCGCCCCCCTGCACGTTCCCGGGGCCGGAGGAGCGAGAGCGAAGCAGGGAGCTGCCCTGTAATCTGGGGCAGCCGTTTCCAGCCCGCGACTTGTTCAGACGGCGATTCCTGGGCCTCACCCCCAGAGATTCTGATTCAGCAGGGCTGGGTGCGCTGGGATCGGTACTTTCAATGCTCCGCCTGGTGAGAAAGTCACTTCGAAAAACGCTGATCTGCGGGGAGGGGAGGCTGGGATTACCTCGTCACCTGCAAAGACCTAGTTCTGGGGAGAGGTTCTGCAGGGGAGGATCTTCCTTCTGGGTGAAAAGCCACTGGAAGAGCAAAAGGCAGGAGAGGCTTAGGATGAGCAACTGTCCTGCACTGAGGGCCTATATTCTGACACAGTCCTTCCCCTGACCTTGCAATCGGGGGACTGTTATCCCATCGTCCAGGTTACCCAGCCAGGAAGTGCAGGAGGGGGGATCCCAATCCAAACCTCTTCCCACTCTGACCAGACGGGAGGAGAGAAGTGGAGGATGGGGTTCAGCTAAGGGTTGCAGAGCAGAGACCCCCCCACCCCCCTAACGCCCCCAAGAGTCTGACCGAAGGGCGGACCAATGTCTCCATCAGACCCCAGGGCCGGAATCCATTGTGGTGACGGCCTCCTCTCATCTTCGAGGTCTGTAAAAATGGGAAAGCGATTCCAGCCTGGGAGTGACAGGCCTTTCCCACCCAGCAGCGGCTGGTGTCCGCCAGGCCTGCGAAGAAGCCTGGAAAGATCTGAAGACAGAACCAGGCTGCAAAAGCGGGCTTTGCTCATCTGTTGTCCTCGGAGCCGCCTGGTGGCCCAGATAGGATACTGCGCCTCCGAGCTGCCCGGCCTCCAACCCAGCGGCGTTCCTGCTAACTAGCCATGCTTTTCTTCCAGGCATTTCTCTCATGTAAGGTTAACACCCCAAGTCTAAAAGGGCTTGTGAAGATCATAGTCCTCCTCCCCCACCCCAAACACACTTTTATGGCTGGGGAAACTAAAGCCAAAAGATATGAAGCAACTCATATACAGAGATGCATTTTCACCCCGGTCAGATGCCAGACCGGCTGGGTAACCGTTAGGTCCCTCTTACATCTCTCTGGTTGTGTGCCTGGGATGGAGGGCAGACGGTGGGAAGGAGGTCGGGAACCCAAATTGGCCTTTAGTGCCTCAGGGCCTTTACACAGTTTCTGATTGAATTTCCTTAACAGCCCAGGGAGGCTCGTGCCCATTTATTGCAGGAGGAAACAGGCTCAGTAAATCTAAGTAACTTGTGCAATGCCACGCAACCTGCTTCTCAAAAGGTTTGGGATGAAATCAGAGGGAAAAAGAACATGTCAGACATTCCCCAAAGGAACTGACAGTTCCAGAAGCTGGCCTGAGGTGGATGGTGGCCTTTTTTTCTACTTGGTCCATCTTTCAGGATGTGGTTTTTGTGGGACTGGCAGCTCTGCAAGCCACACGTTTCTCCCAGCATCAACTGCTCAGAGAGAAACTTGTCACCTCCTCTGTTGCCCTCCCCCGAGGTCCCTGGGAAGATGGGGCCAAGGAGACCTTGTGTGGGGGTGATGTGTGTGTGCACAGTTCAGCAGGCTGGCCCTGAGGGTCGTGTGGCCTGGCTTCAGTGAGAACAGCAGGGACACGTCCTCTCTGCCTTTCCCTCCCTCCCCCAGCCTTTATCCTTTGCTCTTGTACCCTCTCCTGGAATTTAACTCAGGGCAGAGTTTGAAATTTCACATCCCAGGTCTGTCCCTGAAAATGTGAAAGGAGGCTTTCTGGGCTTGAAGGGAAGAGGCGAGCTGCAGTTGGGAGAACTAACTTTTTCCGTGGCTCAGCTCCCCCGGTGCAGCGAGGATCCACACTCACCCTGTGGTTCCTGGACCAGAAGCCTGTTAGAAATGCAGAATCCAGGCCGGGTGCGGTGGCTCATGCCTGTAATTCCAGCACTTTGGGAGGCCGAGGTAGGCGGATCACCTGAGGCCAGGAGTTTGAGACCAGCCTGGGCAACATGGGGAAACCCAGTTTCTATAAAAAATACAAAAATGAGCCTGGTACAGTGGGATGCACCTGTAATCTCAGCTATTTGGGAGGCTGAGGCAGGAGAATCGCTTGAACCCGGTAGGTGGAGGTTGCAGTGAGCTGAGATTGTGCCACTGTACTCCAGCCTGGGCCACAGAGCAAGACTCTGTCTCAAAAAAACAAAAAGAAATGCAGAATCCCAGGCCCCACCCTGGCCCTCCTGAATCAGGCTCTGCTTTTTACTGAACGAGATCCCCAGGTGCTCCTTTGCTCACTGAGGTTTGAAAAGCGCTGAGGCTGGGTCCCGCAGGCAGGAGGAGGACTTTGGGTTTCATCTGCAGTGCGATGAGGGCCTTTGGGAGGGGGCTGTGGAGCAAAGGCAGATGTGATGGAATCTCTGTTTTCGGAGTCTGCTCAGGCTGCTGGGTCCAGGATAGCTCTGGGTACTGAGTGGTTGTCGGGAGAACAGTGAGGAGGCCATTGGTACTCAGGCCAGGGATGGCCACGGGCCACCAGCTCATGATGGGTGAACAGTGACACCTGGAGCTCTGCTGCCATGAGTGCCCAGCTCAGGGACTTTGGGGTGGGGATGGGGGGCCCCTTCCTTCCTCTCCCCTCCCCTCCCAAGAGACTGCAGTCACCGGAGCCAAATCCCAGCAGGTCTGTGCTCACTGCTGAGCTGTTCTGCCTCCTTCCTGACCCTTCCTCCAGCTCTTGAGCAGGATTTTAATACCAATGACTTGGTGTGATTGACACACACAAATGCATGTGCACACAGACACACGTGGACTCACACACGTACATGGCTTTGCGGGACAATTGGCTACTTTCCCCTGAGCAGAACAAGCTGGCAGTGTTTAGCCAGGGAGATTTGGAAAACTGCCTGGTCTAGTGGAAAAAAGTGTTCCACGAAGTTTAACATCAGCTGCCCTGGAGGGTCTCTTCGTGGAGACAGGCTCCTGGGAAAACATGAGTTGTATGCGATGGCCGACTGGGCAGTTTGCCTGGCCAGAGGCAACAGAGAGGAGAAAACAGGCATCAGGTGAGTGGAAAATCCCTGTAGGGAGAGGACCCATGGGGACCATGGTCCAGGAAAGCAAATCTGCAAAGGCCAGAGACGATTTAAAACCCTCATAAAACACGTCCCCTTCCTAATACAGAACATTTGCCAAGAGGGCCCCTTTCCTCCTCGGTGAGGCCTGGTGGGTAAAACTGGACATATAAAAGCAGGTTAGACGGCTCCCCTCAGTCCAAGGAATGCCTCCCCCATGCCCCGCCACAGGTGAGTATTTTCCATGGAACTGCGTCTGTCTCTTCTGGGCATGGGCTTAGGTTTTTTTTCATTATTGTTTGGAATCCCAGGCCGAGGCAGCAGGGAAGTAAGTTCTTTTGGCTCCATAGGAGGGGTGCTGGGGCAGCCGTGTTTATTCTGGCTGCCAGGGTCGGGTGGAAATGCAGGCGGGAGCCAAGGCTGAAACATGGCAGGAACACGGAGGAGTGGGAGGGATGTGCTTAGCAAGGGAACAGGCCCCAGGGTGTCACCGTGTCACCTGAGAAAGTTTGGGCCGAGGCCAGAGGGCACCCACCGGTCCTCACCTGTGTCCTGCCTCTGGGCCGGTCATGTCATTCTAAACCAGGGCGTGGAGTATGGGTTTGAGATTAGCATGGCTGGGGTAAGATCCAAGCTCTGCCGCTTATTATCTGTGTAAATCCGGGCAGATGATTTGCCTCTCTGAGCCTCAGTTTCCTCATCCCTAAAGTGGGAATGTTGTCACTACTGAAATGACATCTCTGCAGGGCCTGGGGTGGGGCCTGGCAGGGAGATGCTAGTGGTCATTTGTGTCCTTCTCCTGGCTTCATGTCCTCAAGGAACACACTCTCTGGGGTGGGGCTGGGGCTGAGGGGGGAGCCTGGGAGGCAGGGACAGAGAGTCATGGGGGTGACAGAGAGAGATGGTGGGAGACAGAGCTGGGGCCATGGGAATGCTAAATCCTTACCCTAAACCAAGAGTCAGCGGACCTTTTCCATAAAGGGGCCACATGAATCTCTCAAAACAACTCACCTCTGCTGTTCTAGCATGAAAGCAGTGACCAACTGGAAATGAATGAGTTGTGGGCGTGTTCCAATAAATCCTTATTTATGAACACAGGCATTTGAATTTCATGCAACTTTCACACGTCATGAAATATCATTCTTGTTTTGATTATTTTCCAACCATTTAAAACTGAAAACCACTCAGACTTGCAAACTGCATAAAAAAAGGCAGTGGTCCAGATTTGGTCTGTGGACTGTTTTCAGTTTGTCAACGTCTCTCCTCTACCACTAGCAAGCTAGCAAACTTCAGTCTGTCAAGTCCTAAGAAATAAATGAAGCAGTCTCAGGAAGGCAAAATCTACTTTCCAGGCTGGGCACGGTGGCTCATGCCTGTCATCCCAGCACTTTGAGAAGCCGAGGCAGGAGGATCACTTGAGTCCAGTAGCTCAAGACCAGCAACTTAGTGAGTTCAAGGACAACACAGTAAAACCCCATCTCTAAAAATATAGAAAAATTAGCCAGGTGCAGTGGTGCATACCTATAGTCCCAATTACTCAGGAGGCTGAGGCAGGGGGATTGCTTGAATCCAGGAGGTGGAGGCTGCAGTGAGCTGTGATTGTACCACTGCACTCTAGCTTGGATGACAGAGTGAGACCTTGTCTCAAAAAAAAAAAAAAAAATCTGCTTTTCTGTCTATACTCTTTCTGGAAATACATTCACAAAGACCCAGGTTTTTGTTTTTTTGTTTGTTTTTAAATAAAGTGTTACTGTCACCCAGGCTGGAATGCAGTGGTGCAGTCATGGCTCACTGCAGCCTCCACTTCTGGGGCTCAGTCGATCTTCCTGCCTCAGCCTCCTGAGCAGCTGAGACTACAGGCACGCACTGCCACAGCTGGCTGATTTTTGTATTTTTTTTTTTTTTTGTAGTTATGGGGCCTCACCATGTTGCCCATGCTGCCTCGAACTCCTAGGCTCAAGCAATCCGCCCATCTTGGCCTCCCAAAGTGCTGGAACTACAGGCGTGAGACACCATGCCCGGCCTAACCCAGGTTTTAATATCCACTGTAAGAAGAAGTTGTTAAAGAGGTCACGCAGGAGACTGATTTCATTGAGAGGTTAAAACAAAACAAAACAAAACAAAACAAAAGCCCGTGACTCTAGTGATGGATTTGTCATCACAAGGAGCTACCATTTATTGAGTGCTTCCCATACCCTGGTACTTCTTTCGCTCCTTAAAGGTAATATCTCATCTGGTCCTAACTGAACTGATGAGGACAGAGACCTCCAAAGATTCAATAACTTGCCCAAGGCCACTGCTTCTAACTGCCTCTGACAATGGGCCTCTCTCAGGATTTATGATGTCGCTGCCATTTTTTAGAAGGGCTCTCTAAGATGGCAAGCATAGCCCAGTCCCTGCCTTCAGGTGGGGAGGCAGACAGGAGGCTCCCTGGCTTTGCATGAATATCCTGGGTCCTCAGCCACCTGTGTCCACGTTACGGTTAGGGTTAGAGTTAGAGTTAGGGCTAGGGTTAGCTTGCCTGTCATCCGGCTTGTCTCTCTCCGTGGGCAGAGTGCATAAAGGTGCTTCCTGCCAGCCATGGCTCCCTTCAATGACTACTCTATCATTGAAAAGCTCTGTTTGGCCAATTATTTCAATATCTTTTTTCTTTTTTTTGAGTTAGAATCTTGCTCTGTCACCCAGGCTGGAGTGCAGTAGCACGGTCTCAGTTTACTGCAACCTCTGCCTCCCGGGTTCAAGCGATTCTCCTGCCTCAGCCTCCCGAGTAGGTGAACTACAGGAGCCCGCCACCATGCCCGGCTAATTTTTGTATTTTCAGTAGAGTCGGGGTTTTGCCATGTTGGCCAGGCTGGTCTCAAACTCCCAACTTCAGGTGATCCACCCACCTCCACCTCCCAAAGCGCTGGGATTACAGGCGTGAGCCACTGCGCCCGGCCTATTTCAATATCTTAATGCATGTTGCCCTAATCAGTTTATAAAAACAAGTAGAAAACAGACAAATTGGAAGTGCATAAATTTGTAATATGAAGATTATGTCTCAAACTCAAGAAACTTAATTATTTTACCTTTTACTGAATGCTTACTAGATGCCAGGTGCAGTGCGTCATGTGGAGTATCTTACTTGGCTGCGACAGCCTGCTGCTGAGGGGACACCATTGCTGTTCCCATTTCACAGATTAGGAAACTGAGGCCCAGAGAGGACGGGGTAACATGTCAAAATCATGCAGTTTTAAGTGGCGTTACTGGAACACAGGTGGAACAGGCAGATCCTCTGGATGTTATGAACCTGCAGCCTCAGTCAGGTGCTAGTTGGGTTTTTGATGGGCAGAAGAAAACAAGGACAACAAAACGCAAAAAACGTGCACACTGGGCCAGGCGTGGTGGCTCACACCTGCAATCCCAGCACTTTGAGAGGCTGAGGTGGGTGGATCACTTGAGGTCAGGAGTTTAAGACCAGCATGGCCAACATGGTGAAACCCCGTCTCTACTAAAAATTAGAAAAATTAGCCGGGCATGGTGGAAGATACCTGTAATCCCAGCACTTTGGGAGGCTGAGGCAGGAGGATTGCTTGAACCGAGGAGATGGAGGTTGTAGTGAGCCAATATAGCACCACTGGACTCCAGCCTGGGTGACAGAGTGAGACTTTGTCTCCAAAAACAAACAAACAAAACGTGCACACTGGCCAAGCGTGGTGGCTCACACCTGTAATCCCAGCACTTTGGGAGGCTGAGGCAGGTGGATCACTTGAGGTCAGGAGTTTAAGACCAGCGTGGCCAATATGGTGAAACCCCATCTCTACTAAAAATTACAAAATTGGCCAGGCATGGTGGCATGCACCTGTAATCCCAGCTACTCAGGAGGCTGAGGCAGGAGAATTGCTTGAACCCAGGAGGTGGAGGTTGTAGGGAGCCAAGAGAGCACCACTGCACTCCAGCCTGGGCAACAGAGCAAGACTTTGTCTCAAAAAACAAACAAGGAAACAAAAAAACTGTGCACACTGGCCAGGTATGGTGGTGGCTCACATCTGTAATCCCAGCACTTTGGGAGGCCACGGCAAGCAGATTGCTTGAGTCCAGGAGTTTGAGACCAGCCTGGGCAACATGGTGAAACCCTGTCTCCACTAAAAATGCAAAAATTAGCCGGGCGTGGTGATGTGTGCCTGTAGTCCCAACTACTCGGGATGTTGAGGTGGGAGAATCACCTGAGCTGGGGGAGTTGAGGCTGCAGTGAGTCGTGATCTCACCACTGCACTCCATCCTGGGCAACCGGAGTGAGATCCTGTCTAAAACGAAACAAAACAAAACAACAAAAAGTATATTGACAGTATACTACATTGTTAAAAATTTAGTCTAGGAAGCAAGGTATAATTGGGAATTGTATTATTATTATTTTTCAGCTGCCTGGGAATAGAAGTCAATTTTTCCGTATTGATAGCAGTGAAATTCTTACAGGGTTAGGATACAAAATTGAATCACCAGTATGATCCTGTTTTTGGAATGAAAAGCCCCATAGTGTATGTCCATATTTATTTAGTTACTGTTTGGTTGGGATTTACTGTGTGTCAGGTTGTACACTAAATGCTTTATATTCATTTAATCTCATTTAACCAAAAGAACTCCCTGGAGGTAGGATCTATAGTCTCCTTTTACATCGCTGGAAATGGAGGTAAAGCAACTTGGCCAAGTTCACGGAGCCAGTGAGTGGCAAATAAGGGATTAGAATTCAGCTCGGTTTTACATCAAAGCCCATTGTCTCTGCTTCTGTCTCTGCTCCCTGCTCTGAAGCTCTCTGTCTCTCTGTGAGCACACACATGCCTGCACACAGAAAAAAGACAGGAAGGAAACACAGAATGTTGACAGTGGCTGTCTGTGGATGATGGCAGTACATGTGATTTTATCTTCTTTTAATGCCTTTTTACATATTCTCTATGTTTTATAATGAGTTTCTATGAAAAAAAATCCACCGTATGATCTTCTGTAAAAGCATGCTTGTTTTACAGTCCAGGGGTAAGGCCAGAGAGCCCCTGACCACGGGCCTCTGAAACACTCTCCTAAAAAATAAGACAGAGAGGGGAGCCAGGACCTTGGCTTCTTGGAACTGCCTAATCCGTCCTATAATACCTTGCTTTGTAGGAAAGTTCTGTGCATAAATCCCATAAAATCCCATAATGTGGTGCTGACACTGAGCCTCCCCAGAACAAAATCCGCTAATGATCACTGCTCGCCAGGAGCCTGCAGAAAGCCATCAGACATGTTGCAACCCCCCATGCCTGCCTCCTGCCTAAGCCCTTTCTAATAAGGACTCTTTTCATGAGTTCATAAAAACACTTTGTTCAGATCATGTTGGGTCTTTATTTCATTTTTTTTTCTTTTTTTTGAGACAGAGTCTCGCTCTGTCACCCAGACAGGAGTGCAGTGGCGTGATCTCGGCTCACTGCAAGCTCCGCCTCCTGGATTCATGCCATTCTCCTGCCTCAGCCTCCCGAGTAGCTGGGACTACAGGCGCCCACCACCACGCCCGGCTAATTTTTTTTTTTAAATATTTTTAGTAGAGACGAGGTTTCACCGTGTTAGCCAGGATGGTCTTGATCTCCTGACTTCGTGATCCATCCGCCTTGGCCTCCCAAAGTGCTGGGATTACAGGCGTGAGCCACCATGCCTGGCCTATTTCATCTTAGTCAAACACTGAACATCTATGGGGCCAGAAGGGGTTGAGGGCTGCCCTTCAGTTTTGGGACCCAGAGAGAAAAAAACAACAGATTTGTAAAACCAGGAATGAATACCTCCCTCCTCACCCTGTTGCTTACCCTGTTGCCTCACCCTGGGATAGGACCTTTCTAAGGTTGCTTTAGGGGATGAGAGTGGCCTCACCTGCAAAAAGGTCAGGAGTTCGAGACTAGCCTGGCCAATGTGGTGAAACCCTGTCTCTACCAAAAATACAAAAATTAGCCAGGCGTGGTGGCGGGTGCCTGTAGTCCCACCTACTCGGGAGGCTGAGGCAGGAGAATTGCTTGAACCTGGGAGGCGGAGGTTGCAGTGAGCCGAGATCGTGCCACTGCACTCCAGCCTGGGCGACAGAGCAAGACTCTGTCTCAAAAAAAAAAAAAAAAAAAAAAAGAAAAAGAAAAGAAAAACCTCTAACCTCCAAGTCTTCAACAAGATTGATTTGTATAATAACTCTGTCTCCTGCATGGTATGGCCAGTCTCGGGTCAATTAAACTCTTTGTTTACTGCAATGCCATGGTCTCAATGGATTGGTTTTGTCTGTGCAGCAGGCAGGAAGAACCCACTGGGTGGTTACCAAACAACCCAATGTACGTGGCAGGTACAAACTCATTTTTCCAGATCAAGAAACTGAAGATAGAGAGGAGAAATAACCTGTCCAAATCTTGTGTGTGATTGGCAACCTCTTGAGGAGTAGGAACTGGATCAGCTTTGTGGACACGTGACCTGGGCTGTTCCACAGGCCCCCACACTGAGGAGGGCCCCACGCCTGTTTCAGTGGTCTGCTGTGGAAATCCTTAATTTTTTTTTTTTTTTTTTTTGAGACAGAGTCTCACTTTGTTGCCCAGGCTGGAGTGCAGTGGCGCAATCTCAGCTCACTGCAACTTCTGCCTCCCGGGTTCAAGTGATTCTCCTGCCTCAGCCTCCCTAGTAGCTGGGATTACAGATGTGCACCACCATGCCCAGCTAATTTTTGTATTTTTAGTGGAGAACAGGTTTCACCATGTTGGTCAGGCTGGTCTTGAACTCCTGACCTCGTGATCCACCCACCTCTGCCTCCCAAAGTGCTGGGATTACAGGCGTGAGCCACTGCGCCTGGCCTGTGGAAATCCTTAATTTGTGAATGAGGTGCCTGCATTTCATTTTGCACCTGCAAATGATGTAGCTGGTCCTGCATGTGGCCCCTTTCCCAGACCGTGACCTATTAGGGCTGTGCACCCAATGAAGATGGCTGTCAGAATGCCAGAAACACTTTATGGCATGCGTTTATTTACTTGTCGCTCTCCCCACTCTTCCACCCCTTCCAGCCTGGGGACTGTTTGGGGGCAGCACAGAGGAGATGTGCAGGAAATGTTTGTTGAATGAATTTTCTCATGAATGAATGGACTGTTGATTCAACCAAGACAAAGGAAGGCCAGGTGCCCATTGGTGGAGGTTTTCTCTCAGGCTGGCCTGGGGGCAAAGCAGACACTTGCCTTGCTCTGCCTCTCTACTGCTCCCAAATTTACTGTTTCAAATTAGCTTCTGGTTGGTGGCCTTGGCAGGTTGGGGAGGAGGGTGAGGGGAAGGCACTGGGAGGAAACAAAGGCTTCTGTTAAGAATAGGGGCAGGTGTGGAGCAGGGAAGCTCTGCTGTTTTGCATAAAACCAGGAGCCAGCCCTCTGCTCTCCTAAGCCTCAAGCACTCCTCAAAGACCACCTGGCTTCAGGAATCCTGGGGCAGCTTACACGCTGGACTCCCCATTGACCCATCTTAGCTGCCCCTTTGTCTCCTTTCAGAAGGGTGCAGAGGCCCCCCAGAGAGCTTCCTTGTGATAGGGGCTGGGCAGTCAGCCAGACCCTCCTCATTTCTATTTACCCTTCAACAGAAGGTGGGGGCAGTCAAATGCCACCTCCTCCCAGAGTCCTCCCAGGTTTCCCCAAGGCTAAGTGTTTTCATTACCCTTGGCATGTTTACCACCCTGAGCTTCTAATGAATTCAAAATAATGTTTTTGGGCAACCTTCACAAGAATTGACTCCCAAGATGGTGAGGACACAGATAATCAATGTGGCTACATTCAATTCTGGCAAAAAGATCCGATGAGCTGGGACGACTGTGATCCCCCCAACCCCTGCATATCTGCAGGACTCGCTCCTCCACCTTCTACAGGTCTCAGCTCAGTGTCACTGAGGACTTCACTAACACTGTAATGACGGCAGCGGCAGGCCATCTGGAGTGGCTACTGCCATCATGCCAGCTGCAGCAGGGAGGCGAGGCTGGGGCTGCATGTTCCATGGAGCTGGTGGGAGCTGGGGACAAGCAGGAGTCCCATCCCTCTGTGTTGGGGCAGGAGCTCCCCGGCTGCTGCTGCAGCCATCAAAGCCAAAGCTGTGGACCAAGGCATCCCTGTACTCTCGGGGCCCAAGAGCAGGCAGGAGCCCTGCCCTCTGGGGACAGATGCAGCCACCCAAACCTTGGCTGCAGACCCAGGCCTCATGCTCCGCAGAGCAGGCAGGAGCCCCATACCCCTGGGTGCAGGTGCAGCTACCCAAACTGCAGCTGCAGACCCAGGCATCCCCGCACTCTTGGGGTCCAAGAAGGTCCCCCACCCTCGCAGGCTCAGAAGTGCCTGCTCCCGCTGCCTGGCTTCTCCCTGCTGTTGGTGCCAGCTCTGATCTCAGAGCAAAGTCGGGGCTGAGTCTGGGTGCTGTTGCAGCCGGTCTGGATCTTCGCACACTCAGGGCAGTGTTGACATGCTAGCCCCTTGCTGCCTTGGCCCCCTCTGGACTTTGGGAACCAACAACCTTAGGAGGGAAGCCAAGGGGGGCTGAGGGCAGCAGGCACCCTTTGGCACCTACAGCCTAGGTGCCAAAAACAGCAGCAGGAGGCAGACAGGTTCCTTAGCAGAAGGGGGTGGTGAGACCCCAGTGAGACCTTACCTTCAGGCTAGGAGAGTCTGAAAACTGGGGGCTGGGCTGCCAGTTCTGCAGAGCAGGAACTTGTGGTGCCTTTTCCGGGCCCACCTATGGCCACCCATGGACCAATCAGCGTGCAATTCTTCCCCTCTGAGGCCCATAAAAGCCCCAAGATCAGCCAGAGCTGAGCGGATGTCAGGATGACCAGCTGCAGAGTAGCTACCCACTTCAGGGCCTCCTCTCTGTTGAGAGCTACAGAGACGATGGGATGACCTGCCTGCAGAGATGAGCCACCCACTCTATGGTCTCCTCTCTGCTGAGAGCTGCACAGATGACTGGATGACCAGCTGCAGAGAGGAGCTACCCTCTCCGCTAGGAGCTGAACACTTGTGGGAACACCCTGGCTGCAGAAAGGAGCTGCCCCCTGCCAGTTTCCTCTGAGCTGTTCTATTGCTCAATAAAGCTCCTCTTCATCTTGCACTTCCTCTTGTCTGTGTACCTCATTCTTCCTGGTTGCAGGACAAGAACTCAGGACCCACCGAATGGTGAGACTAAAAGAGCTGTAACACAAACAGGGTTGAGACATGCCCCTTGCTTGCCATGCTGTGGGTGAAGAGAAGGAGAGAAGAGCTGTGGCCCTTCAGGGAGCCCAGACCTGAGAGCTCCCTAAGCCAGGGCTGTGACTCCCTCTTTTGGGCCCTGCAGTTCCTGGTGTCTCCAAGCTTCTGAATGCCACTGTGTTCCCTGGTGCCAACTGTGGAAGCTACTTGCAGCGTGCCTGGTCTGGCTGCAGCCTCGCAGAGAGCCAGCGACTTTGCCGGCACCTGGAGCTGCTCATCCTGCTGCAGCAGCTGGCATGTCTGTCTGTGCACAGTGGCCGGACCCTGTACCTACTCATACACCCCTTGCCATTCCTCCTCTGATTTGCAGGTGTGGGACCCAGGCCAGCAGTGTGAGCTGAGCTCAACCTGCCAGGCCAAGTAGGTGAAGGAAACCCAGCGGGCCTGAGCAAAACCTGGGCAAAGGCGCCCCCAGCCACAGAGGTTTCCGGCCAGAAAAATGACAACCTAAAGATCCCATAACAGTAATGTTCCCCCATTCTGCACCCCCCATCTCCTCCTTTGCCTTTTCTCTGGAGCACTTCTCTTGGGAGCACATGGATGCTGCTTTAATAGCTGTGTTATTCATAATGACCAACAAACAGAAACAACACAAATGTCTGCAGATTAATGAATGGATGAATAGAATGTGGCAAATCCATACAGTGCAATATTATTTGGCAGTGAAAAGGAATGAAATATACTGTATATGCATTAGCCTTGAAACATAAGTGAAAAAGCTAGTCACAAAGACCACACGTTGTCCAATTCTGTTTCTATGAAATGTCCAAAACAGGCAGCCATAGAGACAGAAATCAGGTCAGTGGTTGCTAGGGCATGGGGGAGGGGGAAAGGGGAGTGACTGCTACTGGCGACAGAATTTAAGAGGGGAGATGGTAAAAATGTTCAAAAATTGATTGCAGTGATGGCTGCACCACTCTATAAATATACTAAAACCCATTAAATTGTACACTTAAGTTTTTTTCGTTTCCTTTTTGTTTTTTGAGACAAGATCTTGTTTTATCACCTAGGCTGGAGTGCCGTGGTGCAATCACGGCTCACTGCAGCCTCTGCCTCCCAGGGCTTAAGCGATCCTCCCACTTCCCTCTCCTGAATAGCTGGGACCACAGACTCTCACCATCACACCCAACAAGTTTTTGTGTTTTTTTTTTTTTTTTTTTGGAGACAGGGTCTCCCTATGTTGCCCAGGCTGGTCTTGAACTCCTGGGCTCAAGCAATCCACCTGCCTTGGCCTCCCAAAATGCTGGGATTACAGGCAGGAGCCACCACAACAACCTTGAATTATACATTTTAAACAGGTGAATTGTATGGTATGTGAATTACATCTCAATAAAGCTGTTACAAACAAAGAGAAAAGCCCCACAGGGGTAAGATGTCCACATGAGTAGTTGTAGACACTGCCCTTCTCCCTCACATCTAGCGGAGGTCAGGGGACAGGCAGAAATCACTGATCACAGAAGTGGATTCACACTTGTGAGATGTCCCAGAGGAGAGGACAGAGTGTCGTGTGAGTGGCAGGTAAGTGGGGCATTTGCCAAGGGCAGGGTTGGGGGAATTGAGGAAGTTTTATTGGAGGAAATCGTGGAGGTGAGAAAACCACCGAGGTTTCTCTGTCCCAAACACTTGAACTTCCAGGTCATACTGTCCCTGTGTGACCAGGTGTCTCAAGGAAGTGGACTTTCTGTGCTTTCAGCTCTAATTGGGGTAGGTAGGAGCCCCCCACCCCCACAAGGTGATGGTGCCCTGGGCACTTGTTGGATGTCTTGTGTTATTTTATTTTTATTTACTTATTTTTTTTGAGACAGAGTCTTGTTCTGTCACCCAGGCTGGAGTGCAGTGGCTGGATCTCGGCTCACTGCAAGCTCCGCCTCCAAGGTTCACACCATTCTCCTGCCTCAGTCTCCCGAGTAGCTGGGACTACAGGTGCCCACCACCACGCCCGGCTAATTTTTTGTATTTTTTAGTAGAGACGGGATTTCACCGTGTTAGCCAGGATGGTCTTGATCTCCTGACCTCGTGATCCACCCGCCTCGGCCTCCCAAAATGCTGGGATTACAGGCGTGAGCCACCACGCCCGGCCGGATGTGTTGTGTTGTTGTTTTTTTTTTTACTTTTAAATTTTTGTGGGTACATAGCAGGTGTATATATTTGTGGGGTACCTGAGATATTTTGATACAGGCATACAGTCTGTAATGATCACGTCGGGGTAAATGGGAATCTATAATCTTAAGCATTTATCCTTTGTCTTATAAACAATCCAATCATACCTTTAGTTATTTTTAAATGTAAAATTAAATTATTATATTTTTCTTTCTTTAGAAATGAGGTCTCACTATGTTGCTCAGACTGGTCTCAAATTCCTGAGCTCAAGCGATCTTCCCACTTCCGCCTCCCAAAGTGCTGGAATTACAGGCGTGAGCCACCGCGCCAGGCCGTTAAATTATGACTGAGTATAGCCACCATGCTGGGCTGTCAAATACTAGTTCTTATTCATTCTATTTTTTGTATCCATTCACCATCCTCACTCCCCCCCCACCCCCTCATGAGGTTTTAAAGGCTGAGTGGCAGCCAGACCTGGTTCAAATCCTCTGTAGCAAGTTGGAAGGGGGTCCCCCAAAAGATACATCTCCATCCTAATCTCTGAATGTGTGAATGTGACTTGACTTGGAAAGGGTCTTTGCAGATTTGACTAAGGATCTCAAGATGAGGTCATTTTGGAATAGCCAGAGGGGCTCCAAATCCAACGACAGGTGTCATTATGAGAGAAGACAGACGCCCAGGGAAGAGAAGGCCGATGTGAGGACAGAGGCAGAGACTGGAGTGGCGCAGCTGCAAGCCGCAGAACCCTGGAGCCACCGGAAGCTGCAAGAGGCCAGGAAGTGATACAGGAGCTAAAAATAAATTATTTAGGAGGATAGTGAGGGTAAGAGAGTCCTCGGTAAGGTTTTCTCTTTAATAAAAAGCAGCCCCCATATCATTTTTTTCTTTTTCTTTTTTTGAGACGAAGTTTCCCTCTTGTTGCCCAGGCTGGAGTGTAATGGCGCGATCTCGGTTCACAGCAACCTCCGCCTCCCGGGTTCAACCGATTCCTCAGCCTCCCGAGTAGCTGGGATTACAGGCATGGGCCACCACGCCTGGCTAATTATGTATTTTTAGTAGAGACGGGGGTTTCTCCATGTTGGTCAGGCTGGTCTCGAACTGGCGACCTTAGGTGATCTGCCCGCCTCGGCCTCCCAAAGTACTAGGATTACAGGCAAATCATTTTTTTTTCCTAACAAAAAACAGCCTGAAAAATCAAGCTGCAAACAGATAAGCAAGCTGGAAGCTGGCGTAGGGAAATGCCGGCAGGAAATTACTATGTGCCTGTGTGTACGTGGGAATTTCCTATGTGCCCATTGGAAACGGCTATCTGGGGGCCAGGCATGTTCAACATGGAGGCCACATGTGCAGTAAAGAAGCAGACAATGCGGCGCTGGCCAGGTGGAGACCCCAACTGTATAACAAAAGATTAGGGTGGGATGGCCAGCTTCTTCGTGCGCTATGTAAAGGGAACACCTGGTCCAACCAATCCTCTGCGCCCTATGTAAATCAGACACCGCCTCCTCAAGCTCATCTACAAAACCGACCGCATCTCGCTGCAAACTGGGAGGGAGCTTTTCCCTTTTGCCTATTAAACTTCCACCCTTAAACTCACTCCTTGCGTGTGTGCATCCTTAAGTTCCTTGGCGTGAGGCAACGAACCTGGGGTATTACCCCAGGCAAATGATGCCGCTTCAGAAGGATTCCCCTAGAACCTCTGGAGGGACTGTGGCCCTGCCCACCCCTTGATTTTGGACTTCCAGCCTCCAGAATTGTGAGAGAATGCATCTATGTCATTTTAAGCCACCGAGTTTGTGATCATTTGCTCCGCATCAACAGGACACGGATATTCCTCCTTCTTCACTTAAACAGCGCCTCACCTGGAGCATAGTTCTTAATGCCCCTGGGCCTTGGCTTCCACATCTGTGAAATGGGGACAGCTGGAGTGCCTACATCAGGGGTGTGTGAGGGCTTCTTGATAAGAGTCAGGGGTAGAGCTCTCAGAGGGAGGCTTGGCACCCCCTAAGTGCCCCTTGCCGGGCAGTGAGCCCCACACACTAGTTCTATCCTCCTGCAGGGGCACAAGGGGACATTAGAAAACCCAGCCTCAAGGTCTGGCTTGTCACAGCTAAGACAGGACCTCGGCTAGTCACGGGTTGTCAAGGCTGTCTTATGGGAAATGGTGCGGATGACTCCACCTCTATTACGTCTTTTTTTTTTTTTTTTTTTTGACGGAGTCTTGCTCTGTCCCCAGGCTGGAGTGCAGTGGTGCGATCTTGGCTCACTGCAACCTCCGCCTCCTGGGTTCAAGTGATTCTCCTGCCTCAGCCTCCTGAGTAGCTGGGACTACAGGCGTGTGCCACCACACCCGGCTAATTTTTGTATTTTTAGTAGAGACGGGATTTCACCATGTTGGCCAGGATAATCTCGATCTCTTGACCTTGTGATCCGCCTGCCTTGGTCTCCCAAAGTGCTGGGATTACAGGCGTGAGCCACCACACCCGGCCCCGTGATGTCATTTTTAACCCTGTTAGTTAGAGGGAAGGCGAATCTCACGGTGGCCAGACACAGCCCCTGGGGTGGGCTCCCTGGTTTAGAGTCCAGTTCTGCCACCCACTTGCTGTGTGCCCGTGGGCAAGTCACTTCACTTCTTCCTACCTTGGTTTCCTGCTGTAAAATGGGTACAGTGTCCATTACGCCACTACCCCTTCGTGTTTACTGACGCTTAGACCAGTGCTGGAAAATGCCACATGGTCATGAAATAGATGTCAGGCTCCTGACCAAGGTCATTCCTTTGAATTTGAAACCCAACCAAGTTTCTGCCTGAAAGGAAACTGCCTCTTCACCGCTGGCCCCCACCCTGCCTCCCAAGGGAAGCTTACACCCCAGGAAAGTCCTCTGGCTGAACATTGCTCAGCGGTTTACCAGCTAACGCTTCGGGAGGCTGGGGGGAGGTAGATGAGTACCTTGGCCCTTGCCCCTGCGTGCCTGGGTTTCTCCCACAGGAAGACAAACCCATCCTCCTGGTGTGAGTCCTCCCAGGCCTGGGATGGAAATGCTGCTTTGGCCCAAATATCAGGTCATATGGCCTGTTTTCTCAAGGGCTTCCCCCTTGAATTCTTGGAATTCTTGGCTAGCAGGGAGGGCTCCCAAGGGATC
The DNA here is from genome assembly GCF_000001405.40 of Homo sapiens. Lineage (NCBI taxonomy): Eukaryota > Metazoa > Chordata > Mammalia > Primates > Hominidae > Homo > Homo sapiens. Next base: position 12,636,776 of record NC_000001.11, read on the forward strand.
TGCTCCCAGGTCTGGGTTAGCTGGGCTGATTTACAGCATAGGGCACTGCCTGTGGCCTAGGGAATGGGATGGGGTGGGGAGAGGGCACTGAGGGTGGGGATTTCCACAGCTTGGTGAGGCCATGGGTGTTCTGGTGGGGGACCGGCCTCACCCCATCTTCCCCAGATAGCTTGGGGCTTCCTGGGGATGCCAAACACAGACAACTGCTGAGAAATGTTGGCTGTCACTCTTTCTCCCTCCTGCCCCTTCCAAGGTTGTGGACATAGCAGGATGGACTTTTTTTGCTGTAAGTGACAAAAGGGTAATTATGCGGTGAGCCGGCTGTGTGCTGGGTACAGGGAGGTTGATCTGCCACCCAGAACACCTTGTTTTTCCTCTCTGGACTCTGTTTTGGAACATTGGTTCAACCCCCCACCCCCCTCAGTTGTACTTTCTGTGTCTCCAGTTTTTAATTCCAGAAAGGCACAGCCTCCATAAGTTCAAGTCTGTCTGTCCATCCATCCATCTGTCAGACCTGATAAAAGAAAAACTTCAGCCAAATTAAATTTAAAGGAGTTTAATTGAGAAATGAATGATTCATGAATAAGGCAGCCCCCAGAATCATGGGAGATTCACAGAGACTCCAGTGGAGCCACGTGGTGGAAGAAGATTTCTTTTTTTTTTTTTTTTGAGATGGAGACTCCCTGTGACACCCAGACTGGAGTGCAATGGTGCCATCACTGTTCACTGCAATCTCCACCTCCCAGGTTCAAATGATTCTCCTGCCTCAGCCTCCCGAGTTGCTGAGACTACAGGTGCGTGCCACCACATCCAGCTAATTTTTGTATTTTTAGAAGAGACAAGGTTTCACCATATTGGCCAGGCTGGTCTCAAACTCCTGACCTCAAGTGATAAAAAAGCTCATCAACTAATTTTTTTTTTTTTTTTTTTTGAGATGGGGTCTCACTCTGTTGCCTAGGCTGGTCTCGAACTCCTAGGCTCAAACAATCCTGCCTCGGCCTCCCAAAGTGCCAGGATTACAGGCATGAGCCACCAATCTGGCCACGTGGTAGAAGATTTACAGACAAAAAAAAGGGAAGAGAGGTACAGAAATTGGCAGCGAGGTACCGAAACAGGATGGCCTTTGCCTTATTTGAACACAGTTTGAACACTTGGCAGGCTCTGAGTGGTTGAAGTTTGGCCGCTGGGATTGGCCAAGACTCAGTTATTGTTACAAGCGCATACTTCTATGTTAGGTTTTCAATCTTGTCTAACTATTAAGCTGGTTACAGTATGTCTACGGGGACTCAAATATGGAAGTATGGAGTCCTTCTCAGGCCATATTTAGTTTGCTTTAACAGACCTGAGAGGAGACAGGGCAGTGCTTGGGCTCTGGGCTGAGCCCTTCTACCTCTGGCTCTATGAATGTGGGCGAGTGAGTCTGGCATTCTGGGGCTTGGTATCCTCATCTGTGAAGTAGGGATCACGCCAGTACCTTCCTCTAGGGTGTTGCAGACATTGAACAAATTCCTACAGGTAAGGCACTTCACAGCTGTGCCTGGGCCATTGCAGACACTTAACCAATGTTGGACTTAGTTATTTTTGTTGCCGTTATTGTTACATTGGAATATGGGAACCTGTATGAAATTAACACACAGCCTCACACACTTGCTAGAAACCTCTTTCCCTTTGGGAATGATCTTGGGAAAGTGAGGCAATCTTGTAGAGTGTGAGTTTCATCTCCATGTGCTTACCTCAGAGGGCTGTTGGTAGGACACTGCTTGGCACACAAGGAGTCCTCAGTAAATGGCAACTATTTATTAGTTGAATTACTGCCTCGAGTACCTAGAGTGCTAGCCACAAGCAACCCCACCAGATGTGCCAAATAGCTCGTGCATCCTTACCTCTTCTGGGCTTTTGGAAATATCAGGATAATACCACATACCCCCATTGCTGTCCTCACAGATCCCTGAGGTCTAAAATCCCTCATCCAAGCCACATGGAGTGGAGGTCATGAGAAGGGAAGGGTTTGGGAGATTAGAACCTAAAGCTCATTAGAATTTTCCTTCTTTTCCTTTCTTTCTTTCTTTCTTTCTTTCTTTCTTTCTTTCTTTCTTTCTTTCTTTCTTTCTTTCTTCTTTCTTTCTTTCTTTCTTCTCTCTCTTTCTTTCTCTCTTTCTTCTTTCTCTTTTTCTTTCTTCTTTCTCCCTTCCTTCCTTCCTTCCTTCTCTCTGTCTTTCTTTTCTTTTCTTTTTTTTTTTTTTGAGACAGGATCTCTCTCTGTCACCCCAGGCTGTCATGCAGTGGTGTGATCACAGCTCACTGCAGCCTCAACCTCCCGGGCTCAAGTGATCCTTGCACCTCAGCCTCCCGAGTAGCTGGAACTACAGGCGTGTGCCACCATGCCCCACTGATTTTAAACATTTTTTTTTCTTGGAAATGGGGTCTCACTCTATTGCCCAGGCTGGTCTCAAACTTCTGGGTTCAAGTGATCCTCCTTCCTTGGCCTCCCAAAGTGCTGGGATTACAGGCATGAGTGCTTGGCCTACTGAATAATATTTTGTTGCATAGATGTGATAGTTAGTGCTAGCTATCAACTCGACTGGGTTAAGGAATACCTAGAAACCTGGTCAAGCATCATTTTTGGGTGTCTCTATGAGGGGGTTTCCATTGATTAGCATGTGAATCTGAGTGAACTAGGTGGGTAAGATCTGCCCTCAAGGTGGGCGGCCACCATCTAATCTGCTGGGGGTCCAGAGAGAATCAAAACAAAGAAAAGCCTAATGTGTTCATGTATCTGCTGGAGCTTGAATGTACTCTTCCTCTCTTATACTTGGACAGCAACTCCAGGCTCTCTGGCTTTTTAACTCTAGGACTTGCACCAGTGGTACCCCGTGCCCCCTGAGTTCTCAGGCATTTGGCCTTGGATAGAGAATTACACCATCAGCTTCCCTGGTTCTGAGGCCTTTGGACTTGGACTGATCCACGCTACCAGCATCCCAGGGTTTCCAGCTTGCAGTTGACCTGTTGTGGGACTTCTCAGCCTCCATAACTGTGTAAGCCAATTCCCCTAATAAATCCCCGCTTATAGCTCTCTCTCTATGTCCTATTGGTTTGATCTTTCTGGAGAACCCTGATACAATATATATACCACATTGTTTACCTGTTCACCGGTTGATGGACATTTGGATTGTCTCCACTTTTGGGGTATTATAAATAATGTTGCTCTGACCATTTATAGATAGGGTTTTGTGTAGACACATGTTTTCAATTCTCTTGTGTATATACCTAAAGTGGACTTGCTAGGTCATATGATAATTCTATGTTCAATAAATTTTGAGGAACTGCTAAAATCTTTCCAAAGTGGCTGCAGCATTTTACATTTTCACAAGGAATGTGAGTTCCAGTTTCTCCACATCCTTGACAATACTTGTTATTATCTGTCTTTTTTATTATAGCCATCGAGAAGTGTTCCCTTCTCTTCTGTTTTTAAGAAGAGTTTGTGAAGAATTGGAATGAATTCTTCTTTAAGTGTTTGGAATAATTTACCAGTGATGCCATCTCTTTGCATTGATCATAGTTGGAGTTTGTTGGAAATAAGAGCTTGGAGCTGCAAAGAAAACGAGCACTCAAACAAAAGATTTCTCGGCAAGGCAAATTTACTTCTGCAGAAGGGTGCTGCCTGCATCAGTCATGATCGCAAGTGCGCAAGGAACAAAGGAGACAAGGGTTTTTATCCCTAACACAGCTTCTGTTTCTGTGTCTTTTCCACATTGGCTGGAGTTGGACTGCACAATTTAAGCTAACCTGATTGGCTAAAACTTGAAATTTTTCCAAATAGGGTAGATGGGGAAGAAGGGGTAGGTGGTAAAACTTTTCCAAATATGGTAAACTGAAACTCTTAAACACATAACTTGTAAAGAAAGGAGGGGAGTGGGGGATTGTCCATTAAGGCATGTTTGGGCATGTTTAGGCACGGCAAGGATGGAAAGGCTTGTTTGGAGAACAAGAATTTATCCTTTCTAGCAATGTGAAAGGATGCTAGTCGCTAAAAGGAACAAGGAAGTTTGAAGAGGAACTGATTATTTCTGGCAGAGTTCATTTAGCTTCTTGGATATATAGAATAACATTTTTCAACAGATTTAGGAAGCTTTCAGTCGTTATTTCTTGGAATATTTTTATGTTCCTTTTTCTCACTTTTCTCCTTCTGGTACTCCCATTATATGTACATTGCTGCACCTAATGGTGCCCCACTTTTCCCTGAAATGCTGTTTATTTTTCCTCATTAATTTTCTTTGTCTTTCTGATTGCATCATTTCTATTGCTATACTCTCAGGTCTGTTGATTCTTTCTTCCAGCTGAAATCTACTGTTGGGCCCCCAAAGTGAATATTTCATTTTTGTTGTTATACCTTCCAATCCCATAATTTCAGTTTGCCCTTTAAAAAAATCATTGCTATTTCTTTACTGGTGTTTTCTATTTGATGAAACATTGTCATTATATTCTTCTTTTACTTCATTAAACATTATTTTCTTTAGTTCTTTGAACATATTTATAATAGCTGCTTTAAAGGCTTTGTTAACTCTGACATCTGGGCCCTCTCAAAGGCAACTTCTGTCACTGATGTTTTTTCTTTGTATAGGTTATACTTTTCTGTTTCTTTGCATGTCTCATTTTTTGTGGAAGATTAGAGATTTTGGATACTACATTGTAGCAACTCTGGATACTAATCCCTCCCCCCAGTTCTCCCTGAGCTTATCGCTTATGTTGTTTACTTATTTATTTGTTTGTTTTCTTTTTTGAGACAGGGTCTCACTCTGTTGCCCAGGCTGGAGTGCCATGGTGTGATCATAGCTCACTGCAGCCTTGACCTCCCCTGCTCAAGTGATCCTCCCACTTCAGCCACTCAAGTAGCTGGGACTACAAGCATGCACTATGTTTTTTTTTTTTTTTTTTAAGATGGAGTCTCGCTCTGTCACCCAGGCTGGAGTGCCGTGGCGCAATCTCAGCTCACTGCAAGCTCTGCCTCCTGGGTTCATACCATTCTCCTGCCTCAGCCTCCCGAGTAGCTGGGACTACAGGTGCCCACCACCACGCCTGGCTAATATTTTGTATTTTTAGTAGAGACGGGGTTGCACCATGTTAGCCAGGATGGTCTTGATCTCCTGACCTTGCCCGCCTTGGCCTCTCAAAGTGCTGGGATTACAGGCCTGAGCCACTGTGCCAGATGCACTATTTTTTTAATTTTTATTTTCATAGAAATGGGGTTTCACCATGTTGCCCAGGCTGGTGTTGAACTCCTGAGCTCAAATGATTCACTGCTTTAGCCTCCCAAAGTGCTGGGATTACAGGCACGAGCCCCTGTGTTCTGACCTTCTTTATTTGTTTAATGATGTGGATAAGCTATTTCAGTAAAGTCTATTTCCTTTGCAGTGTGCAGCTTCTAATATCACACCTCAGGTGGTGCAGCCTTGGTCCTGTGTACAGTCACCCTAAGAATGCAGTGTTTTCCACAGGGCTGTCTTGACTTTCTCCTTCCCTGATCTCTCTGTTAAGCTCTGTGCCTCTGTTGGTCTCACACCCAACTATTAGCCTCCACTAACTGCAGGCTAATTGTCCTACTGTTTTCAAAAATGCTCTGGGGGCAGTAATTGCGCTATCTGCTTTTCCAGGCCAAGCTCCTCCCGTGTGTGCTATCTTCAGGGGTATCCATAAACATGCTTAAGAAACCAAAAATTACATTATTTGTCATGAGTTTTAAAAAGATAATTACACCTGGCCGGGCATGGTGGCTCACACCTGTAATCCCAGCACTTTGGGAGGCTGAGATGGGTGGATCACGAGGTCTGGAGATCGAGACCATCCTGGCTGACGTGGTGAAACCCCGTCTCTACTAAAAATACAAAAAAATTAGCCGGGCGTGGTGGGGGGCGCCTGTAGTCCCAGTTACTCCGGAGGCTGAGGCAGGAGAATGGCGTGAACCTGGGAGGCGGAGCTTGCAGTGAGCTGAGATCACACCACTGCACTCCAGCCTGGGTGACAGAGCGAGACTCCATCTCAAAAAAAAAAACAAAAAACAAACAAACAAACAACAACGACAAAAGATAATTACACCTAGCCAGAATAGTGAATCTTATAACCCTCTAAGAGAAACCTAAGTAAACTCTTACAAAGATACAATGACGTAAAAACACAAAAATCTGCCATGCATATACTCACTGGGGTAAAGCCTCTTCTATAACTTTTGTTTTCTGAAACAAACCAAACAAACAAACAAAAAACCAAAAACCTAAAACATAAATAATAGGAATGAAAAAGGGGGTCTGCCTTCTAGTTCCAAGCTCCTGCAGCACTCGGAGGTTAATAACTTTCCCTTCCAGTCCCCTTGGGTGGTTTCACTTCAGAGTGCCTCCAGTAAAACACCTCCCTGTGAATAAATGGCTTTCCCTAGCACCCAAGGGAGCAGATTTTCAGCAAATTTGTTGAGTGTGTGTGTCAAGAGGAAGACACCAGTGAGTCCCCCTGGTGTAGCAGTTGAGCAACTTCTTTGCCAGTTCAGCAAATTCACACTATGCCCTTTCCAACAAGAGCTGGGTCTCATCCCTATGGGTGGAAACGGGGTCTTTCTTGGGTGCTCTATTTAAGCCCTAAGGGTAGTGGTATTTTCTTATATGTATAGTTTCTATATTCTCCCTTTTTTTTTTTTTTTTTTTTTTTTTTGAGACAGAGTCTCGTTCTGTTGCCCAGGCTGGAGTGCAGTAGTGCGATCTCGGCTCACTGCAACCTCCAGCTCCCAGGTTCAAGCGATTCTCCAGCTTCAGCCTCCCGAGTAGCTGGGATTACAGGCATGTGCCACCATGCCCGGCTAATTTTTGTAGTTTTGGTAGAGAGGGGGTTTCACCCTGTTGGCCAGGCTGGTCTTGAACTCCTGGCCTCAAGTGATCCTCCCAGCTCAGCCTCCCAAAGTGCTGAGATTACAGGTGGGATTACCACCGTGCTCGGCCCAAATTAAAATTTCTAAAATTTTCAGGCTCAAAGCCTATTTCCTGAAATGGTTCCAATCATTTCTTTCTCTCTTAGAAGAAAGTAACGTGGATAAAAATTGTCCCCAAACCAGCCCTTGGCACCATTTTTAGAGGCGGAATATGAGGCTGGATAAAGCCCAGTTTTGCCTGCAATGGCATTCCTGTCTCCCGTCCCAGGACCCCAGAAGATTATGACTACCAGAAAACACGCCAGTCTTTGCCCTGATCTGGCCAGAGGCCCAGAGGGTACATAGGCGGTGACAGAGTGAGACCTTGTTTCAAAAAACAAAACAAAACTGGGGTTAGGGAAGCTAGCTAGGGAGCTGGGGTGAGACGTGCTGTGCTCACCCTAACCACACTCTGACAAGGAAAGCTGGCGAAGTCTCTTATCTTACAGTTGAAAGATCAGGCCCTGGAGGCCTATATAACCCATATGAGATCTCTTTCTAGGGTTCCCAGGAGCCGAGGTGCCCATCTGAGCCTGATCTTCCTGAAATCTTTGGGAAGCTCACCTTCCAAGACTCCCCATGATGAGCAGTATTGATTTTTCTGGGTCCCCACATTGCTTAGGGAAATAGGTTCCTCCACCTCCCATTGGCCTTTTTGTGCTTACCCTGAGAAGCTGTGTCAGGCCACTGTGTCAGGTGTCAGGCTTAGCCCAGAGAGAGTGAGGTGGAGGAGGCGGAGGGTGTAACCCAGCCAGGTCCTCTTCACATAAGCTATCAGACAAGCTCCTCAGGGCAGCAGCTCCTCAAGGCCCCAGGAACATGGCTGTCCCCTGGCTAGTGCTACTCTTGGCATTGCCCATCTTTTTCCTGGGGGTCTTTGTCTGGGCTGTCTTTGAGCACTTCCTCACCACGGATATCCCTGCTACCTTGCAGCATCCTGCCAAGTTGAGATTCCTGCATTGCATATTCCTCTACCTGGTCACTTTGGTGAGTTTACTCTCAGGCCACGTCGTAACCTGGGGGCTTCTTCTCTTGTTCTCAGTACCTTACCCTCTTTTCCCTCTTTCACTTCCCTTCTGTCTCTCTCTCTTCGGACTCCCTCAAGATAGACTTGTCTCTTCTGTATCTGCTATTCTGTTTGCCTCTCTCTTCCCTCCCTCCGTTCCTTCCCCCTTCCCATAGCCTGCCTGCCTTTCTTCCTCTCTCCCTCCCTTCCTTCCCTCCTTCTCTCCCTCCTTTCCTTTCTTTTTTCCTTCTTTCCTTCCCTCCTTCCCTCTCCTTCCTCCTTCCCTCATTCTCTCCCTTCCTCCCTATCTCCTTCATTCCCTCCCTCCCTTCCTTCCTTCCCTCCTTCTCCGCTCCTTTCCTTCCTTTTTCCTTCTTTCTTTCTCTCCCTCCCTCCTTCCTTCCTCCTTCCCTCCTTCCTTCATTCTCTCTCTTCCTATCTCCTTCCTTCCCTCCCTCCTTCCTTTCTTCTTTCCCTTCTTCCTTCCTCCCTATCTCCTTTCTTCCTTCCCTCCTCCCTCCCTCCCTCCCTCCCTCCCTTCCTTCCTTGTTTCCTTCCTACCTTCCTTCCTTCCCTCCTTTTGTTCCGTTCTTCCTTCCTCTCTCCTGCTCTCTCTAACTCCCTTCCTTTCTTCCTTTAGCATCAAACATTTACCGAGTGCCAATCACTGGGCTCTTTTCTGAGAATTCAAAAACAATTTCAGACCCAGTTCCTGCCTTCCCCGGGCTTGTGGCCTGACAGCCCCTGCCCCTCCTTCAGCCGCGCACACTTTCACCCTCAGTGCACTGACTTACCTATAGGTTGTTTCTATTTTATTTTACTTTTTTGAGACGGGGTCTTGCTCTGTTGCCCAGGCTGGAGTGCAGTGGTGCAATCATGGCTCAGTGCAGCCTCAACCTCCTGGGCTCAAGCGATCCTTTCCATCTCAGCCTCCCAAGTAGCTGGGACTACAGGTGCGCACCACCATGCCCGGCTAATTTTTGTACTTTTGGTAGAGACAGGGTTTCGCTATGTTGCCCAGGCTGGTCTAGAACTCCTGGGCTCAAGCAATCTGCCCGCCTTGGCCTCCCAAAGTGTAGGGATTGCAGGTGTGAGCCACTGCACCTAGCTTCACAGGTGTTTTTTTCCTTATTCATCTCTGTAAGCCCAGTCCCACTCACAGAGCCTGGTATCTGGTAGGTGCTTACTTTTGTTGGTATACATGAATTTACCCAGCATTTCTGAGTGGCCGTGCCAGCCAGGCTCTGAGCAGGGCTTGGGGATTGGGGGTTTGGGGTGGACCAGCATGCACCCAGAGTTGCAGTGGATTTGGAAACAGTGGTGTGACATCTTGTTTGTGGCAGGCAACCTGAGTTAACCCCAATGTCCCAACCCTAGGTGGAGACCTTATAGAAGCCAAACAGCTCCTACTGATTCCAGGGCAGCTGTGGAGGAGGATGAGGAGGCCACGCTTAACTGACAGCAGGGCTTAGGAATAAGGAACAGAGACAGCAGCCGGACTGCCTGAGTGTGTGTCCCAGCTCTGTCACTCACTCGCTGTGCGGTCCTGCACCATTTACTTAACCTCTCTGTGTCTCAGTTTCCTCATCTGGGAGGGTTAATATGTCTAGAGATGTTTAGTGAATTCGTAAAATACATCTCTGTGCTGCTGGAAGTGTTCCCCATGGGTTACAAAAACATTTTCTAAAAGATCACTTTTAGAGACACCGACAAGTTCAGTGTGCAGTGGCATCAATGCCACTGACGCAAGGAGACAGGACAAGGATGTAGAAAGTACTCGTGTCCTCTCATTTGGAGAATGCAATCAGCCTGGAATTAGGCAGTCTCAAGCCAGTGGCTGCAATCCACATGGAGTTACTAGTTGGGTTAGAGCCCCAGGATTTAAAACGAGGGCCTAAGATGTTCAGGTGGCCCAGAGAAATGGAGATTTTTCTGTCAGTGTTTCTCCTCAAAAGTAGCCCACAAGCTAAACATCTACTGATGACAGCTGCTATGGGCTGTTCACAGGGGACTCTGAGATGGGTCTGCAGCCGCTGAAAGGGTGGATTCAGCTTGTGGCGTCCTCTCTCGATCCCTCCGGCACTGGGGCCTCCCAGGGCACACTGCCCATCATGGGGTGATGATGATGAGGATGAGGACATACAGTAGTGAATGTTCATTCGGTTCCAGAGGACAGATAGACAACACAGGAACAAGAAGTTTAGGGAGGACAAGGAAAAAGCTAAAAAGAGTCTATGGCCAGGAAATCAAGAGCTTTGTTTCGGTATCAGACCACCCTCTGAGCCCTGAAGCCCTCACTTACTCGTTTTGTGGACTCATGTTTTTGTGCCTTTATTTTCTTCTCTGAAAAGTGAGGATTTTTTTTTTTTTTTTTTTCTGAGACAGGGTCTCACTCTGTCACCCAGGCAGGAGTGCAGTGGCGTGAACACGGCTCACTGCAGCCTCCACCTCCTGGGTTCAAGTGATCCTCCCACCTCAGCCTCCCATGTAGCTCGGACCACAGGCGTGCACCTTCACATCACGCCTGGCTAATTTTTTGATATTTTGTACAGATGGGGTCTTGCTACGTTGCCAAGGCTGATCTTAAACTCCTGGATTCAAGCAATCCTCCTGCCTTGGCCTCCCAAAGTGCTAGGATTACAGGCATGAACCACTGTGCACGGCCCTGGGGAGGCTTTTTATAGGGTGACATGGGGATTAAATGAGAAAAGCACTGAAAATGCACAGCACCAGTGCTGGGTGCTTAGAAAGTCTCGATAAAAGTCAATTATTCATAGTATGCTTATCAAGTCCCTGAAGGCAAAGATGTAGCATTTCTTGAAATTATTATAGATTTAAAAGTTGCTATGAATGATTTCAGCCTTACTAAAATATATAAACAGTAATATAACAAACACTATTGCTTTTCTTTTTCTTTCTTTCTTTCTTTTTTTTTTTTTGAGACAGTCTCAGTCTCTTACCATGTAGGCTGAAGTGCAGTGGCACAATCATGGCTTACTGCAGCCTCGACCTCCTGGGCTCAGGTGATCCTCCCACTTCAGCGTCCTGAGTAGCTAAGACTATAGGCGCCTGCCACCATGCCCAGATAACTTTTTTGTATTTTTTGTAGAGACCAGGTTTTGCCATGTTGCCTAGGCTGGTCTTGAACTCCTGGGCTCAAGAGATCCGCCTGCCTTGGCCTCCCAAACTGTTAGGATTACAGACATGAGCCACTGTGCCCAGCCACTATCGCTTTTCTGTTTTTGTTTTTGAGATGGAGTCTTGCTCTGTCACCCAGGCTGGAGTGCAGTTGTGCAATCTCAGCTCACTGCACTGCAACCTCTGCCTCCCAGGTTCAAGCGATTCTCCTGCCTCAGCCTCCCGAGTAGCTGGGACTACAGGTGCGTGCCACCACGCCTGGCTAATTTTTTGTATTTTTAGTAGAGATGGGGTTTCACCATGTTAGCCAGGATGGTCTTGATCTCCTGACCTTGTGATCCGCCTGCCTCGGCCTCCCAAAGTGCTGGGATTGCAGGCATGAGCCACCGCAGCCGGACTGCTTTTCTTTTAAAGGGCAAATGATGCAATATTTGTCAAGGAGTTTCAACAGCTATTTAAAATTCTGGACCTCAGATCCTTCCTTCCTTCCTTCCTTCCTTCCTTCCTTCCTTCCTTCCTTTCTTTCCTTCTTTCCTTTTTTTTGAGATGGAGTCTCACTCTGTCGCCCAGGCTGAAGTGCAGTGGCATGATCTTGGCTCACTGCAACCGCCATCTTCCGGGTTCAAGTAATTTTCCCACCTCAGCCTCTTGAGCAGCTGGGACCACAGGCATGCACCACTGTGCCTGGGTTTTTTTTTTTTTTGTATGTTTTGTAGAGATGGGGTTTCTTCATGTTGTCCAGGCTGGTCTTGAACTCCTGGGCTCAAGCAGTCTGCCAGCTTCGGCTTCCCAAAGTGCTGGGATTACAGGCGTGAGCCACCACTCCTGGCCACTGGACCTCAGATATTTTTAAAATCTCGATGCTCCCATGTATAATCTTAATAATCAGTTTTCCTCTCTGCCTCTGTCCTAAGTTACCAGCTATAGAAAATGTGGACTCAGAATTGGAAAACCAAACCAAAACCAAAACAAAGTAACTTCGTGGCATAGCTAGTGGCCATCACACGGTACAGCGTGATGTTAAACTTTCCGGGGTAGCGCGATGCCTATGGAGGGTTAATATCACACTTCATTGTTCAAAATCCCCTAAACAAACGTTTCCTGTTCTAGATGCTGGAGACAGAGGGGAAGGTGCTGAGACCTTTGCTCATGAGAAGCATTTGGTTTGGTGGTAGGAACAAACATGGGTGATCAGATCCACACAGTAAAGCCCCAGAGGAGTTCTAAAGAAATCTTTGGAGGCAGAGGTTGCAGTGAGCTGAGAATGTGCCACTGCACTCCAACCTGGGCAACAGGGTACTGAGGGCCTCCAAGAAGGCAGTGGCCATTACTATGAGAGGGAGGAGGATGGCCCCACGTGAACATGACTCTTGAGCCTGGATATGAAAGTCAGTTTGGTGTCCAACCACCTGCTGAACAGGTAAGAAAGGCTCCCAGGAAACAAAGGGAGGCATGGAGAAGCCCACAGTGTGTGGGCAAACAGGGAAGACAGCTGGGGAGATTAGTGCTGGGGCCAGCCTACCCTGACAACAGGGGCCACGACTTAGGGAGCTCACAGCCGAGCAGGTGAAGATCCATGCTGGTACAACATAGAGGCCTGGGGTTTTCGGATGTGGGTCAGTTGATGGGAAAAGCAGGTGACCTCCACCTTGCAGATCAACTCATTCTCCTCCAACTAAAGCAGGGAAATCATTATTTTGTTTGGAGTTCCTTTAGGAGGACCTCTTCATGGAGGGAACCGATTGGGGTAGTCCGTGCAACCTCAGACAAGACCCAGTGGGTGCAAGCAAGAGAAAGGGTGGGGCTCACACTGGCCAGGACCCACTGGGGAGACACTCTATGTAGGTGATCACATCCCATCCTCACACCTCATCCTTGGACTATACACAACATGCTTCTCATTTTGGGAAGCTCAGAGACAAATTGAAGCTCAGAGACAGTGATGCCCAAGGCTTTTCAGTTCATTGGAGTTTGGGGTCAGACTTGAGCTTGGATAGGCTTGGCTCTGAAACCCAAGCTCTTTCTTGGTTAGCAGTTGAGAACACAAATTTTGCATCTTACTTGTTGAACAACCCTGGGCAAGGAACTTGACCTTGGCATGTCTTAACTTCCTGATTTATAAAATGGAGCTGGTAATTATGCCTGACTTAGAAAGGTTGCTGAGAAGTTTAATCAAGTTAATGATCCAAGCCACTTGGGCCAGTACTGACACATTGTAAATGTCTGATAAGTATCAGCTGTTCTTGTTCTTGTCATTCTTATCATTCCTTGCTGTTTTCCTTATGACAAAGACACACTCCAAATGTGAGGTCTGTGGGAGAGATTATCCAGAATCGCTGAAATGTACTTAGTACATGAAATATGACACCTTGTAACTGTATTTCGTGAAATATTCAGATGTTGAATTGTTTATAAGTAGAGTGACCGTATTAGTTTAAAAACACATTACTCCCTTGACCTGAGCCCACAACAGACATCCCTAACTGATCACGTTGCTCTTTTTCATTGAACACGGACACAGTTAGGAATCCTTCCTAACCCAGAAGAATGATCTGTTGATACAGGTGAGGAACTATCTTTGCATCCCAGGCTGGGGAGAGTCCAGCACAGAGCTATAGAGAGGGAAGTTGCTGGCCAGTTGCCTTGGCCAACTGGCTTTTCTTTTTTTTTTTTTTTCCCCGAGATGGAGTCTCTCTCTGTTGCCAGGCTGGAGTGCAGTGGTGCGATCTCAGTTCACTGCAACCTCTGACTCCCAGGTTCAAGTGATTCTCCTGCCTCAGCCTCCCGAGTAGCTGGGACTACAGGCGCTCGCCACCATGCCCAGCTGATTTTTGTAATTTTAGTAGAGATGGGGTTTCACCATGTCGGCCAGAATGGTCTTGATCTCTTGACCTCATGAGCCGTCCACCTCGGCCTCCCAAAGTGCTGGGATTACAGGCGTGAGCCACTGCGCCCGGCCAACAATTGGCTTTTCTAAGTCAGTGGCTTCTTCCCAGTCAGCCCCAAGCTAGGCTACCCTTTGGCAAATTCACATCATTATTCAATCAAGAGCCTCTGGGGAGAAAAGTTGGAAAACCCAGCCCTCTACCTGGACACAGTCCAGAGCCTATGGATTCCTGAAGAGCCCCCTGTACCTACAGGAGGCAGGTGAGAAACTGTGAAAACATCCTAACAATTCTAAGTGTCAGGGAATCTACCATCCAGATTCTAACCTCTCCTAACGTCTGGCTTTCTTTTGTTACCTCCAACAGGGGAATATATTTGAGAAGCTGGGAATTTGCTCCATGCCCAAATTTATTCGTTTTTTACATGATAGCGTGAGAATTAAAAAGGACCCTGAACTTGTGGTGACCGACCTGCGTTTTGGGACGATACCCGTGAGGCTGTTCCAGCCGAAGGCAGCATCCTCCAGACCCCGGCGAGGCATCATCTTCTACCATGGAGGGGCCACAGTATTTGGGAGCCTGGGTAAGGGGCTTCCCTGTGGCTTTGTAGAGGAAGGGCCTCATCTGCATGCATAGCCTAGCTCATGCCTCCCGCAAGAACCCTTCTACAGTAGCTTAAAGGAATCAGTTGTTGGAGATTTTTATAGCGTTAATAGCCCAGACTAAGGGCTTTGGGCTCAGGTCAGTAGATAGTGTGGCAGCTGACATGGGAATCCTTTTCTTTTCTTTAATATGATGGTCTCAGTCAAGATGGGGACAGCAGTGGTCATGGTGGGGCTGTCGCAGAGGCTGTGGACTCCTCTCTCCCCTTTCTACTCCTAGTCATTGGCCTGCCCTGTCTCATTTACAATGATCCCAAACCCATGTATTTCCCTCTAGCTCTGCAGTATCATCATGACCCAAGACCCCATCCTTGCTTGCCTGCCTCCTTGCATCCCAGCCTCCCAGCCACGGGTCTCCCTGATTCACCTCTCGCCCCTCATATCTGGTCCCCATCCAGCAGCTAGGAGGATTTTTTTTTTTTTTTTTTGAGATGGAGTCTCGCTCTGTCGCTCAGGCTGGAGTGCAGTGGCGTGATCTCGGCTCACTGCAAGCTGCGCCTCTCGGGTTCACGCCATTCTCCTGCCTCAGCCTCCCAAGTAGCTGGGACTACAGGTGCCTGCCACCGTGACCAGCTAATTTTTTTTTTTTTGTATTTTTAGTAGAGACGGGGTTTCACTGTGGTCTTGATCTCCTGACCTCATGATCTACCCGCCTCGGCCTCCCAAAGTGCTGGGATTACAGGCGTGAGCCACCACGCCCAGCCTTCCAGAGGGATCTTTTAAAAATACAAGTCAGAGCTTGTCAGTCCTGCACTTAAATCTCTCCTGTGCCCTTCCATGAAACCCAGACTCCTCCCACAGCCTCACCCGGGTCACCTGTGGTGTCCTTTACCCGTTCACTCAGCTGCAGTCCCAATACGCGTCTATCTGCTGCAGACACTTAAGCTCCTTCTCACCACCGTTCTCTACCTGCTGTTTCCTCAGTCTCAAAAGATACCCTTCCCACCCCTGTCATTGCATGGCTGACTACGCCTGGTTCTTTCAGTTGTATCTCAACTGTCCCTCCCCAGAGTTGTCTTGATACCGGTGGGCTGGGGGATGTCCCCAAAGGCCAGTGGCACCTCCAGCTGGTGTCCCTGCTCTTGAAACCGTTGGGAGAATGAATTCAAGGACAAGTCAGAAAATAGTGAAAATACAGAGATTTGTTGCAAAGGAAAAAGCACACACTCAAGAAAAGGAAGTGGGATGGACTCAAGAGAGACAGGCGCAAAGAAATGCTACCTTTATGCATTTCTTTAACCAAGGGGTGGACTATTCATGAAAATTCTTGGAAAAAGATGATGTTTTCTCGGAACTGTGGTGCCACCCATTTATACACCAAATATGGTGTCCCCATAACTGTCCTGTCGCTGGTGGGTGTGTGTTTAACATGTTAATGAACACATAAGGAGGTCCTAGGAGAAGCCCAGGTCCAATCCAGTGCCATGTTGGGTCCAGTCGGTCTTAGCCAGCTTGGTCCACACCCTGGCTTTTCAGGGTTTTATCACCTTCTGCGGCTATTTCAACAATTTCCTTTTGCTAGTCATGTGAAACCGCTGCCTGGAATTTTCTATTCTTCTGCGACCACCCTGTGTAATTCCTATCTCATTTTTTTTCCCTCAGAGATTTCCATCTCCTATACTTAGGGGTTGATGACGGGGGAGGTCAGTCTTCAGTATCTACTTTCTGCTGATTAGGGGTCTTGGCCCCGCCTAGTGTAGGCTTGGAAATCTCTGGATGCCTAGCCTATGGGTGACCCAAGGTGGGTCATCAGGAGGATCTGAATCTGAGGCAGGGATTGGTTGGAATCCTTCAGGGCCATCCTTTTGACATGGAACTGTTGCAGTCTATTAGATTGGTGTGAAAGTAATTGCAGTGTTTGCCATAAAAGGCAAAAACCATTTGCGTCAAGAAGACATAAACTTTACAAAGAGATTAAACAAGCAAGGACCCAAGATCAGAAGTCATAAGACAGCTATTGGAGGACCCAGGAAAGGTAGGACTCATGTCACACTTGGTAGGTATCCCTGGATGGAGTCCCACATGGCTTCAGCAGTGACGTTATTGAAATTATACAGCCGGATAGCCTGTTGGTAAAACTTTGAACATGCAGTTCAGCTAATCCTGAATTGTTGATATAAGAACAACAGGTATGGTTTATTACCGCACAAACCCTTCTGAGTGGTTTATGCTCTGGTCCTGTTAGGGCCTCGTACAATGGCTTAGTAATGAGCGCAAATCCTGGGATCCAAATCCTGTAAAACCTTGGCACACCCAGGAAAGTTCTAAGTTGCTGCTTTGTTTGTGGAGGTCCTACCTTCAAGACTGCCTCCTTTCATTTGATGGACAAGGTCTGGTTCCCTGGGCTTAGGATGTGCCCCGGATATTTTACTTTACTTCAGGTTTAGAAATCTGGGCCTTGGATGAAGAGAACCTATACCCTCTTTTTCCCAGGAAGTTTAGGACCTGAATGCCATTCTTCTCTGAGTCCTCTCAGAGGGACTGCATACAAGGATAATATCCACGTATTAGAGTATCCCCCCCTTTCTAGCTCTAGCTCCCTTAATTCTCATGCCAAGGGATTTACAAACATGTGAGTCCTATCCCCAAAGCCTGGAGGCAGTACCATCCAGGTGTGCTGTAGGGAAATAGTAGTTCCAGGATCAGTTCTCTCAAAAGCAAACAAATACTGAGATTCAGGGTGCAGAGAGAAACCATCCATAAGATCTAATACCATGAACCAATTGGTGTCTCCCAGTATTTGGGTAAATACGGTATAAAGATTTGGCACTATAGGATGTAAGAGAATTACGGTCTCATTGTAAGTCTTGAACTACTGTTTGGTTTTTGGACAGGAAAGACAGGAGTATTACAAGGAGATCTGCCTGGAACCAGGAGGCCATGTTTTAACAACTTCTCAATTAGAGGTTGCAGTCTTTGCCTGGCTTCTGATTTGAGAGGATATTGATCCTTGTATGGGGAATTATTTTTGTCTTTTAAAGAGATGATCACTGACTGAGCATGTATTGCTTTGCCAGGAGTTTCTTGGTTCCATACTTGTGGGTCTACTTGAGACCTTATTTCGGTGTGTGAGTGGGTCTCCTGTTTTTCTGAGGCTGATTTAGAAGCAGCAAGCATTGCCGATAAGGAGGGCTTTCTAGGGCCTGATAGAGTGGCTCATTTATTGGGATGGCTAGGAAGTCCCATCCCTGTGGGGGTTCAGTCAGGCTGGTGGGAAAAATTTTAGTTATAATAGCCACAAACCTTCTTGGAAGGCCTGAAGGTTTTTGCAAAAATCTCAGGATAAGGTTATGGCTGAAGGCAACCTAATCCTTACCTTGAGTAAATAGCTTAAAGTGGGTACAAAGGAAGATAGAACAGTTTATCTAAATAGCTTGTTTACTCACGTGGTCCTAAGACTAACCTTTGATCATTCATGGGCAAGACGGCCCTCTCCGGGGTAGGGGTGACCAGGTTAATTACCCACAGGTGTGTTGACTCAAGCCTTTGTCAATTAATCTTTACTGAATAAATACGAGTCTCGCTGGCTGGTCAGGGCTGTGGCCACTGACTCTTTACAGCACCTTGCTTGGTGTCTGTAAACGGCTCGGACACTCAGCCGGACTGGCAAAGCAGAATACATGTCAGTACATGTTATTCATCCGTTGTTGGGTCAGGGTCTCGCACATCCCAACAAACAAATGGGACATTCCGACATAATTAGAAACTCATGAGTTAATATATATACTATATAGACTATACTATATATATGGTCCTAGCCTGCAGTTCAGGGGTAAAGTAAAGCACTTTGATTTTGGGGTGCCATCAACACCTGTGACACTGTAGTTTTTGGAGGATAAGGGCCCAGGGTGGCTGTTTAGGAGAGAGTAACTGGCCCCTGAGTCAATTACGAAATTAATATTTTTACCAGCCATGTCAAGAGTCACTGAGGCTCCTCAGTTGTGATGACCATGATTTTTGTGGGGGCTGCCAGGAACCTCAGGCCTCTTCAGTTCTCAGTTATGGCCATTATGGCATCGGGTGTCCCCTGCCTTCAGAGCTCAGGGCAGTCCCTTTTCCAGTGGGCCTTCTGCTTGTAGTGAGGGCAGGGTCTAGGTGGGCTCCCTGGCTGGGACATCATTGCTCCAGTGTCCCAGCTTTTCACACTTGAAGCAGTAACCATTGCCTGCAGGTTTGCTGTTAGGCCCGTTTCACCAACGACTGAAGCCTCCCTCTGGGTGACCCTGGGTTTGTGGGGCACTGGTTGCAGAGTTACAAGGATGGCTATCATTTGGGCTTGCACTTCATCCCATTGTTTGCCATGCCGGGTCTTTTCAGCCTTTTCAGCCCTGTCCCTATTATTGAATATCCCAAAAGCTACATCAAGCATTTGATTAACAGGCATTTGGAGTCCCAAAGCCAATTTCTGTAATTTTCTCCTGATGTTGGGCACTGACTGGCTAATAAAGGGTTCTGATAAAGAGCCATGAAGGCCTATATATATGGTATTTCAGTCCATTTCTCCTGAGATTTACAAAAAAGACCTAATCACAAGATGGTATTAAAATTTAGGGTTTCATTCTCTGGCCATTGCACCCTATTTTCCAACTTATATTGGGGCCAAATGGTGTTATAGAAAGAAATGAGTTTCTTCTAAGCCCATCAAGTTTAAAATTACTCCAGTTTTTAAGAATGTGTCCCAAAGGGGAGTTGACAGAGACGGAAAGTTACCCATGGCCTTGGCTTGTCCTTGGCATGACTTGAGACAGAAGGGGAAAATAACAGTATGGTTCCCTCATGGATGGACTGGTCCTGGCATTTTATGAAATGTCCCTTGTGATTGGCCAGCTCCATGTCCACACCAGGGAGACAGGCATCCCAGTTCCCTTGGCTGGCTGCCTCAGCATCCAGGCATCCCTGGAGCCCTACTGTCCTCGGCATCTAGGCATCTCTGGAGTCTCAGTGTTGCCCAGGCATCTGTGGCCCCTGGGGCTTTGGAAATGGGAAGGTCGAGAAGGGCAAGCTGTGGGCCTGCAAGCTTGCTGATATCCATCTGAACATTTACCACCAGGTAAAGCTTGGGAGTAGAGATGATTCAGTATGGCCAAAAAATAGGGACCTTGAAGGGAGCACTTGGCATTCCAGAGAACAGTATCTAAGGGGCCTACCCTGCTGCGTCTAAAGAGTTCACTAAGCTTTCGGGTGAAGTGTGAGGAAGAAGCATGAGAAGAGAAAATCACAACAGTAAGGTTTAAAGAAAGACAAGGAGAAAACATTTTCCAACTAGCGTCAGTGTATTGGCACAGCTGGTCCCTTGGGAAAACAGAAGCCCCTTCCCAGGAAAAAGTCATAGTGCTCCTTGGAAACCATCCATCCACTGCCTGGTATGGGTTTTTACCCTACCACCCTCATTAGCCTCGTGTCAGGGAGGACCATGGTGCCTCAAAGCTACTCAGTGTAAGGCTGGGCATGGTAGCTTATGCTTGGAATCCCAGCACTTTGGGAGGTTGAGGCAGGTGGACTGCTCGAGCTCAGGAGTTCAAGACTGGCCCTGGCAACATGGTGAAACACCCCTTCTCTACAAAAAATACAAAAGTTAGCTGGGCATGGTGACACATGCCTATAGTCCCAGCTACTCAGGAGGCTGAAGCAGGAGGATTGTTTGAGCCCGGGAGGCAGAGGTTGCAGTGAGCTGAGATCACACCACTGCACTCCAGTCTGGGTGACAGAGAAAGACTGTCTCAAAAAAAAAAAAAAAAAAAAAAAAATCAAACAAACAAAACCCCAAACTACTCTGTGTAGGTTGAAAATTTCTCATCTCTGCTTGTGACCCATCAGGGTGAATTGGGTTTTCCAGACTGAGGGAAACAGCAGCAGGGAGGCAGGCTGTAGCTAGCTCCAAGAAAGAAGGAAGAAAGTAGTAATTCCAGAGAACAAGAGGACTCAAACTAAGGTTGGAGCGGGACTTACCAATTGCCAGTGGTTCTAAAATGGGAGCGATGATGTTCCTGACTGGCTCGCCACAAAGATGATACTGCTGGTCTGGGGGAGGTCCCCAAATGCCATTGGGACGTTGACCCTCGCCAGTGTTCAGGCTCTTGACACTATCATGAGAATGAATTCAAGGACGAGTCAGAAAATGGTGAAAGTACGGAGATTTATTGCAAAGGGAAAAGCACATAGTCAAGAAAAGAGTGCAGGCAGACTCAAGAGAGACACGTGCGAGGAGGATTGGGGCTGCTACCTTTATAGGTTTCTTTAACCAAGGGGCGGAATATTCATGAAAATTCCTGGAAAATGGCGGAGTTTTCTCAGAACTGTGGTGGGTCCACACCCATTCTGGGACCAAAATGGGTGTCCCAGAACTGCCATGGTACTAGTGGGTGTGTGTTTAGTATGTTGATGACATAGAAGGAGGTCCTAGGAGAGACTCAGGTCAAATCCGGTGCCATGTTGGGTCCAGTCAGTCTTAGCCAGCTTGGCCAACACCCTGGCTTTTCAGGGTTTTATCAGTCTCTAGCTTCTGCAGCCATTTCAAGTTTCCTTTTGCTCATTGTGTGAAACTGCTGCCTGGAATTGTCTTGTCTTGCCTTCTCTTCTCCCCTTCTCTCTCTCTCTCTCTTTCTTTCTCTTTCTTTCCTTCCTTCCTTCCTTCCTTCCTTTCTTTTTCTCTTTCTTTCTTTCTTTCTTTCTCTTTCTTTCTCTCTTTCTTTCCTTCCTTCCTTCCTTCCTTCCTTCCTTCCTTTCTTTCTTTCTTTCTTTCTTTCTTTTTCTCTTTCTCTCTTTCTTTCTCTCTTTCTTTCTTTTCCCCTCCCTCTCCTCCCTTCCTCACTCCCTCCTTCCCCTTCCTTCCTTCCTTCCTTTTTCTTTCTTTCTTTCGAAACAGAGTCTTACTCTGTCACCCAGGCTGGAGCACAGTTGCACAATCTCAGCTCACTGCAACCTCCACCTCCCGGATTCAAGCGAGTATCGTGCCTCAGCCTCCCAAGCAGCTGAGATTACAGGCGCGTGCCACCACACCTGGATAATTTTTGTATTTTTAGTAGAGACGGGGTTTTGCCATGTTGGCCAAGCTGGTGTCGAACTCCTGACCTCAGGTGATCCACCCGCCTTGGCCTCCCAAAGTACTGGGATTACACGGGTGAGCCACCACGCGTGGCCTGGAATTTTCTATTCTCCTGTAACCACCCTGTGTTATTCCTGTCTCAGCCTCCCTGGACATCTTATCTAAGAACTCTCCTTGCTGACTGCTGCCCTGCCCTGCACCCCTGTATCCACCCCCGGCGCTGATGCTGCCCTGCCCTGCCCCCCGTGTACACCCCGTGCACTGATACTGCCCTGCCCTGCACCCGTTTCCACCCCCAGCGCTGATGCTGCCCTGCCCTGCACCCTGGTCTCCACCCCCGGCTTCATCCTTGTTAATTTTCTTCAGGTACTTGACACAGTCGGAGCTCATTTTGTTCTTTCATGGGTTTCCATATTCAGTACTTGACTCCCCCACTAAAAATGAAGAGTGCAAGAAGTTTTGTTTGTTGCTGGATCCTCAGTGCCTGTTGTTTTCATTTTTTGAATTGAATGAATGAATGCACGAATGAATAGATGGATGGATGGGGGAATAAGTGGATGAAAGGATGAGCTTGCGAATGAACAAATGGATATGGATGTATGGACCGACGCATGGACACATACGAGAAAAATTTGCCCATAGGAAAAGGCGGGCTTCTCCCGGTACATAACTTCCCCGAGATTAGGATGTACTGCCACCTGGTGGTGGGAGTGACGAAGGACAGTCTCTAGCTGGATCTGTTGTCATGGGAACAGAACCCAGTTCCTGGCCTCATGGACCTGACAGTCACCTGAGGGAGCTGGACACTGAAGTTATTGCAGATCATGATAACACAGGTGGCATGGAGAATCTCACAGCATCATTCCGATTTAGCTCTTCTCATCAGAGAAGTCAGATTTGACCTCAGGCTCAATGGATGAGGAGGATCTGGCCCTTTGGAAGCCGGAAAAGAGCCTTCTAGGTGAGGGCCGGGGCTAGAGGGAGGCACTTGCTTCAGGCTCCAAATTCAGAGGATGCCAAAACATTCATTAATCAAGATAAGTAATATTTTAATGCAATGTTTAAAAAAACAAATATTAATGCAAAACAATTATGATGAACAAAATGTCAAAATGTATACACAGGCAGGACCCAACAGGGCACAGCAAGTGTGCAAGTGAAAAATAGAAGCCTGTTTATATACATATATATATTTTAAGGACAGGATCTTGCTCTGTCACCCAGGATGGAGTGCAGTGGCGTGATCACAGCTCACTGCAGCTTCCAACTCCTGGGTTCAAGTGATCCTCCTGCTTCAGCCTCCCGAGTAGCTGGGACCACAGGCATGCACCACCACCCCTAGGTAATTATTTATGTATTTGTTTGTTTATTTTGAGACAGGATCTCACTCTGTTGTCCAGGCTGGGGTGTAGTGATGCAATTATGGCTCACTGCAGCCTCAACCTCCTGGGCTCAGGTGATCCTCCTGCCTCAGCCTCCTGAGTAGCTGGGACCACAGGCATGTACCACCATGCCTGGCTAATTTTTCAGTTATTTGTAGAGACGGCATTTCCCTGTGTTGCCAGGCTAGTCTTGAACTACTGGGGTCAAGTGATCCCCCCACCTTGGCCTTCCAAAGTGTTGGGGTTACAGGAGTGAGCCACTGTGCCTGGCCTAATTATTTTTACAGAGACGGGGTCTTGCTATATTGCCTAGCCTGGTCTCAAACTTCTGGGCTCAAGTGATCCTCTTGCCTTGGCTTCCCAAAGTGCTGGGATTACAGGTGTGAGCCACTGCACCCAGCCAAGCCTATTTAAAATTTTGATATTTTGTTCAACATACAATTTTTTGGCATTAATTGTGATTTCTTAATTGCATCCAAATGTTATTTTTCTGTATGGCTGAGTGTTGTGGGGCTCCCTTGATTTTGCACCCAAGGCGATGTCTTGCCTACCTCACCCTAGTCCTGGCCCTATTAAGTCTAAGTGGGAGGGACAGTAAGTGCAAAGCTCTGAAACAGGGACTACCTGACATGCTTGGGAAAGGAGGAATGTCTGGGTTACATCGGGAAGATGACACCCAGGTTGGCCCCGGGTGTCTAGCAGAGGTCTTTACTTTGTCTGGGCCTTAAAATCACCTGCGAATTTTAAAGTCATATTCATACCCAGATCATACCCCAGGCTAAGTGGGCAGGACCCAGGCATCAGCATTTTTTTTTTGAGATGGAGTCTTGCTCTGTCACCCAGGCTGGAGTGCAGTGGCATGATCTCGGCTCACTGCAACCTCCGCCTCCCGGGTTCAAGCAATTCTTCTGCCTCAGCCTCCTGAGTAGCTGGGACTACAGGCATGTGCCACCATGCCCGGCTAATTTTTGTATTTTTAGTAGAGACGGGGTTTCACCATACTGGCCAGGTTGGTCTCAAACTCCTGACCTCGTGATCCACCCACCTCGGCCTCCCAAAGTGCTGGGATTACAGGCATGAACCAGGGCATCAGTATTTTTAAACAGCTCATCAGATGACTGCAATGTGCAGCCAGGGCTGAGACCTACTAGTATGGAAACTTCAACTTAGGGGCTGACTGCTCCGACTCAATTTAGACCCCTCTGTGCCTCTGGCTCCATTCAGAACCATTGTCATCTCCCTCAAAGAGCATTAATGAGGCATGCACCCACTTCAGCAACCTCCTCCAAACCCTGGAATTACCTGGTGTGATTTAGAAAATCCTGATGCCTGAGCTTCCATGCTAGAGATTCTGATTTAATTGGTTTGAGGTTTAGCCTGGGCCTGAGGACTTGTAAAAACTCCCTGGTACCTCTATGTATGGCTGAAGTTGAGAATGACTGCATTAGAAGTGTATTTGGCAGTGATTCTGTGTCTGCCACTGTGCTAGTATGTTCTACGTACTCATATTGACGGACCTGCCTCTGAGAACTTCATATGCACCACTCTACTCATAGAAACATCCCGTCCAACCCTTGTTTATTTCTTGATCAATATAAATTTATAGTTATTATTAACATCCTAGGGCAGGCATGCCTAACTTCCCTTGGTTTTTTTCCATTTCAGATCACTAAGATTTCCAGGTTCCTGGTTTCCTCCACTGTAAAATAAATGTTGCAGAAAGTGAGCCCCAAGGTGAATTTGAGTCCCAAAATTCAGGAGGCTGGGGACAGATGTATGATTTGGCCTGGTTTTTTGGCTCTGTCCAGGCAGAGGAGGCAAGGATAGAAACAGAGAGGATGCCACACCCCACACCAAGACTGTCAGCTGGCTCTTCCTGGGGGCTGTGGTGAGATGGTTTGGGTCCTACTCATGCGCTGCTGCTCTGAGTGTTTTTGTCTTGCAGATTGTTACCATGGCCTGTGCAATTATCTGGCCCGGGAGACTGAATCTGTACTTCTGATGATTGGGTGAGTTTCTGGAGACAGCTGGTAGGTTCCACAGGGGTGAGAGGAGATAGGGTAAGTTCATGGGTGATTTGTAGATCAGAGAGGCCCTAACTCCCAAGAGGCAACTCTTGGACATGCATCCACAGAGACAGGCGCAGCAGTGCTCGAAAGAGCAAAAACCTGAAAGCAACCCACATGTCCATGAACGGGGGCGTGCATGAATAAACCTCAGCACAGCAACTGTTAGATTACATAGCCAAGAAGATATTATGGATTTTTCCACAGCCATTTAAATAAATGAACTAGAAAGGTGTACCATGTTGCAAATGAATCTTAGTAGTATAAAACTAAGTGAAAAATGTTCAAAAAATTACATAAAGCCTGATACTCATTTTGCAAAGGTAAAAACGTTAAAACCAAAAGAATACTTTCGAGGAAAACACATAGACGTAACAAGACAATGTAACATAGAAAGAAAAAAATGATAGATACAGGATTCAGGGTAACCATTCATTAAGTTGGAGGAGAAGCAAAATGGCATGATGGTGGGGTTGGTGAAGGTGATGCGCAAGATTCTGGCTGTTGTTTGGGGTGATGGTTCTGCAGGTGCTTATTGCATTGTTAAAAACTAACTAAGCTTCTGGTCCTACAGGAACTAGTGTTGAGAGTGTCTTAAGATACAACCCTGGTCCTATAAAAACAAAAGGGAGATGGAGGCATCTTTAGAGTGGATGGAGGGGGCAGTAGGGGCTACTCACTAGGATTCTGGTTCTTGGCTCAAGAGATCTCACATCACTGGGAAAGAGTTTAGAGAAGGCCAGCGAGAGAAATTAAAATCTGCCTTTTTAGATTCTACCTCTACAATGGACCTCCTCAAACCTTAGCTGCCCCTAGGCTTTGGTAGACAGAATAGCTGTGTGACTTAAACAAAGTCACTTAACATCTCTGGTCCTCTCTGATGAGATTGAGGAAGCCAGCACTTTCTAGTATTCATCAACATACCTCCCAGGTGGCTTACCATTGTGTCTGAAATTCCACCATTACAGTCTATGTCACCAAAGCCCTTTGTGATAATAAAAACATCCCTTGAACAGGTAGCACATAAAGGTATCAATAAGCACCTGCATTAATACCTTGTAGGAAATTGCTTAGGATGCCATTATCCCAGATACTTAGACCTGGTGCACGGGCCAGGGCAGTTTTGATAGAGTGGCTCATGGAGCTGCATGCACAGATAAGGGCTTCCAGGAGGCTGCAGGGAGACAGTAGCTGAGAGGAGACTCCCTGAGAGACACTGAAGGAAGGGAGATGTCTAAGGCCTGGATGGGACTCCCTACCCGAACTCTTGGAGAAGATGGGTCTTTTGACCTTTGGTTCTGCGAAGCCTTCACCTCTGGGTGAGTTTCTTAGTTTGGGCTGCTGTAACAAATTACCATAGATGGGGCAGCTTAAACAACACTTTGATTTCTCAGAGTTTTGGAGGCTAGAAGTCCAGGATCAGGGTGTCAGCATGGTCAGGCTCTGGTGAAGACCCTTTTCCAGGCTGTAGACTGCCAGCTTCTCCTTGTATCCTAGAATGGCAGAAAGAGAAGCCAGAGAGCTCTCTAATGCCTCCTTCATAAGGGCACTAATCCCATTCATGAGGGCTCCACCCTCATGACCTGATCACTTTCCTAAGGCCCCACTTCCTAATACCCTTGCATTGCAGTGTAGGATTTCAACATGGGAATTTTAGGGGGACACACACATTCAGTCTATCACAGTGAGCAAGAGAGAAGTGTAGGGAGGCACAGGAGAATTTCTGCCTCTTTCTGGCAGGTCACAGATTTTGCCAATAGAAAGTACCTAATATTTGTTATCCCCTTCATCATGTTGGAGTCATATATTCAACATTTGGTGAGGAGTATTCATTTCTAGAAATGGGAAAATGAAAGCTGAGGTTTGTACTCTCTGCTACCAGGTGAAGGGGCCACCTCCCTGCAAGGACCCTCTAAGAAGCATGTGTTTCGCCTGAGCTTAAATAGGAACCTGCTTCGATAACATTGATAGATTTATCAATATATTGACCATCTAGGAAATGGCCAATAAGATTATTGGGTGATAATTGTTTCCTAGATGGGCACTAAATTATGCTGCAATCAATCAAACTCTATTTTGAAAGATGAGGTGTTAACTTTTAAAGGAAACAAAATTCAAGGTATAATAGAAGGAAGTGTTTTCAAAATGGTTCTTTTGAACCCTAGAGTTCCCTGTGATGCCTTAGAGGCAGCTATGGAGGTCAAAGAAGAAGAAGAAAGAGTGAGGGCTTATGTTCCTTACCCTTGGGCAAAACCAGAACAACTGCATTTGTTTATTTTATACAATGGGGCTCTCATATAATTTTTTTCTTCGAAATGAAAAAAATAATTTTGTCGTTCTAAGTTGAAAGCCACTAGTCTAAGGTGTTATTTTTCCTTATGAGCTTCTTCCAAATTTAATGTGATAATTAGAATATACCTTTTTGATGTTTTCTTTTCTTTTTCTTTTTTCTTTTGTTTTCTTTCTTTTTTTTTTGAGATGGAGTCTCACTCTCTCCCAGGCTGGAGTGCAGTGGCACAATCTCGGCTCACTGCAACCTCCACTTCCTGGGTTCAAGTGACTCTCCTGTCTCAGCCTCCCAAGTGCCTGGGATTACAGGCTCCCACCACCACACCCCGCTAATTTTTGTATTTTTAGTAGAGATGGGGTTTCACCATGTTGGCCAGGCTGGTCTTGAACTCCTGAGGTTGAGTGATCCTCAGCCTCCCAAAGTGCTGGGATTACAGGCGTAAGCCACCGCCCGGCCTTGATGTTTTCAATGATAGATTGTAAGAACAGAAAAGATGATTAGCAGCCACTTCAACTTAACATTTAAGAGAACAATTATTTAGATAAACTCTCTACTCCAATCAGTTAAGCCAAACTGTTTCTATTTTTTTATTCATTCCTTTCTATTATCTTAATCTCAATTTATGCATTAATTAGCTTGTTCATTACTGCTTTTAAAAGCTCATTTTAAAGTTCCTTTTCTTTGCCCTTGAATTTCTTTGAGGGGACATACTTCGGAAGCCAAACCTCAGGATACTGAAGACCAACGCCCTAGTGTTCTTCACCAGCTGCTGGCACCCGGGTCTTCTGCAGCTTGAGCTGTGGGTTTCCAGGCTAGCTTTCCGTCTCTACATTACACCTTCAGAACACTCCCTGCCCCTCTTGCCTCCCACACTGGAGTGCAGTGGTGTAATCACAGCTCACTGCAGCCTCAACCTTCTGGGCTCAAGCAATCCTCCTGCCTCAGCCTCCTGAGTAACTGAGACTACAAGTGTGTGCCACCATGCATGCCTAGCCAATTCTTTTAAATTAGATTTTTGATTTTTTTTCGTTTTGTTTTTGAGATGGAGTCTCGCTCTGTCGCCCAGGCTGGAGTGCAGTGGCTCGATCTAGGCTCACGGCAAGCTCTGCCTCCTGAGTTCAGGCCATTCTCCTGCCTCAGCCTCCTGAGTAGCTGGGACTATAGGCGCCCGCCACCACGCCTGGCTAATTTTTTGTATTTTGTTTAGTAGAGACGGGGTTTCACCGTGTTAGCCAGGATGGTCTCGATCTCCTGACCTCGTGATCCACCCGCCTTGGCCTCCCAGAGTGCTGGGATTACAGGCATGAGTCACCGTGCCCGGCCTAGATTTTTGATTAAAAAAAAAATTCTGCCTGAAAGTAGCTTCCTCTTGACTTTAACTTTAGTGTTCTCTCTCCCTTTCTCTACAGACAAACAGTGGGACTGGTAGTGGTTTCATTTGCCTTTTTTTCAGCCATTGCTGGTTGTTTTGCTCCCAAAGCAAATAGCTTCAATGAAAACAAAGTTGCATCACCTCGTATAGAGTTTACGGGAAGCTGACAGAGCACAGGTTTGGAGTTAAGAATCCTTGCCTGTATGACTCTAGGCAGGTTCTTCACATGCTCATAGGAAGACAATGGGGATAAAATCCTTATTTCATAGGGTTATTCTGAGGATTTAATCAGATATAGTCTTGTAAGGGGGTTGAGGATTCTGTTGAAACAGCTCCCTAGCAACACTGTCCACACTGGTGTAGTGTTGCTCCCTGTTTTCGTTTTAGGTACCGCAAGCTTCCTGACCACCATTCCCCTGCCCTTTTCCAAGACTGCATGAATGCCTCCATTCACTTCCTGAAGGCCCTGGAAACCTATGGGGTGGACCCCTCCAGGGTTGTGGTCTGTGGAGAAAGCGTCGGAGGTGCAGCGGTGGCCGCCATCACCCAGGCCTTGGTGGGCAGATCAGATCTTCCCCGGATCCGGGCTCAGGTTCTGATTTATCCAGTTGTCCAGGCATTCTGTTTGCAGTTGCCATCCTTTCAGCAGAACCAAAATGTCCCATTACTTTCCCGGAAGTTCATGGTGACTTCTCTGTGTAACTATCTGGCCATTGACCTCTCCTGGCGTGACGCCATCTTGAACGGCACTTGTGTACCCCCAGACGTCTGGAGGAAGTACGAGAAGTGGCTCAGCCCTGACAACATCCCCAAGAAATTTAAGAACAGAGGCTACCAACCCTGGTCTCCCGGCCCTTTTAATGAAGCTGCCTATCTAGAAGCCAAACATATGCTGGATGTAGAAAATTCACCCCTGATAGCAGATGATGAGGTCATCGCTCAGCTTCCTGAGGCCTTCCTGGTGAGCTGTGAGAATGACATACTCCGTGATGACAGCTTGCTCTATAAGAAGCGCTTGGAGGACCAGGGGGTCCGCGTGACATGGTACCACCTGTATGATGGTTTTCACGGATCCATTATCTTTTTTGATAAGAAGGCTCTCTCTTTCCCATGTTCCCTGAAGATTGTGAATGCTGTAGTCAGTTATATAAAGGGCATATGATAGTAACCCTGGGGCCCCGAGGAGGAAGGGGCAAGTATGGACTCTACCAGAAACCGGGTGCTTTAGTGAGTTCTATTTTATTGACTAAAGAGGTGCTACATCAATGCTTGGGGCAGCTGGGAAGGGTGAGAAGTAAGCTAACAGTCTTGCTTAGTATTCAAGAAAATCCAAACTGTGTCTGTTTCCTTCCAGCACTAACAATGTCCATTGCTGGATCTAGCGACATTCTCTAACATTCCCATTTAGGTGAAATAAATATCAAAAGGAGAAAAAAATGCCTTTAAAAATTTCTCAAAGCCCCAACATATAAGATCTGTGCAGAATAAATGCCAACAACTGGTCATACCGTCAGTGGTGAATTTGTATCCATGAAGTCAAAGTATTGCTGGAGGGGGCATCTAATTGTTCCTGCGGCCAAAGGTCACTGGGTCAAATCTCGACTTTGATTGGCTCCAGCTGGTCTGAGAAATGCTGTTGCAATGAAATTCTACCCTTGACAATGAAGATCTCAGAGGGGATTGTGGGAAAGAGAGAGACAGGGAAAGAGGCAAGAGGAAAGGAACAGAAGAAAAGGGTGGGCTCTGGGGAGCTGTGAGCTTTGCCTGGGCTCAAGTCTTTAATCTGAATTCCAAAAGCAGACCACTGGGTACTAACAGGTAGGTTCACCAAGTCAGGGATGTCTTGAGAACCTCTGGATGCCATCTGGAATATGGAAACTGCATTTCCTAAGGCAGTAAGGTGCTAGCCTGTTTTCTTCAATGAGCTTGTATATTGTTCTCACTTTTTCTTTTTGTTTTGAGATGGAGTCTCACTCTGTCGCCTAGGCTGGAGTGCAGTGGTGCAATCTCGGCTCACTGCAACCTCTGCTTCCCAGGTTCAAGCGATTCTCCTGCCTCAGCCTCCTGAGTAGCTGGGATTACAGGTGTATACCACCAAGCCTGGCTAATTTTTATATTTTTTAGTAGAGATGGGGTTTCACCATGTTGACCAGGCTGGTCTTGAACTCCTGACCTCGTGATCCACCCACCTTGGACTCCCAAAGTGTTGGGATTACAGGCCTGAGCCACCATGCCAGACTATTCTCACTTTTATAAAGAACCAAGCCATAGCTTAGCCATGCCAATTTCTCTGCTCACAGAGAAAAGGAAGGGAATATTTGTATTGCATGTTAGAGGTGACCCACACTAGTGTTTGCTTGGGCCCATGTTTGCTAGATATACCTGTAATACCCCTGGGCCTCAGTGCTGTCAGTCTCACCAAAGTCCCACCCAAATGCTGAAGCTGGAGGCTTTCCCAACCATAGCCTCAGTGGGTACCAACGACCTCACCTATGACTGATGGAGGAGGGGGTCCTACAGAAGTCTTGGTTCTTTGCAATAAGAGCAGGCATCCACACAGTCAATTTGGGTTGGGCCCCTGGGGGCATGAGCAGACATTGTGACTAATGGATTATACGTAAGCAGCTTTGATGGAAGGGTGTGTTAAGTATCTATTGGTGTGTAACGTTATTACCACAAACATGGTGGCTTAAAACAATACACATTTATTAGCTCACAGTTTCTGTGGGTCAGGAGCCTGAGTACAGTTTAGCTGGGTTGTTGGCTTAGTCAGGGGCTGTGTTGGTAGCCTCTTGCGGGCTACAATCAAGGTGTTGGGGCTGTGGTCTCATCTGAGACTCAATTGGGGAAGGATCTACTCTCAAGCTTCGTCAGGTTGTTGGCAGAATTCAATTCCTTGTGATTATAGACTGAGGACTTCAGTTTCTTGCAAGCTGTGGTCAGAGATCAATCTCAGCTTCTAGAGGTCACCCACAGTGTCTTGACACATGAAATTCTCCAAATGACTGCAAGGGAGAGACAGACTCCAGCAAGGTAGCTACTAGAACTAATGCAAGGTAATCACAAGCACATATCACATACATGCCATCACCTTTGCCATATGCTGTTGGTTAGAAGCAATTCATAAGCCTTGTCCACCCAAAGGGATTTCATATGGGTATGACCACTGGGGAGTGGGGACCATGAGGCCACCTTAGAGCATGTCTTCCACAGAAGGCCTTACCAGAAGGTGCTGGGAAGAACAGTCAACCCAACTTCTCAGCCTGAGAAACTCAGGTTAGTCTGTAACCATTGGCCTGACTTGGAGCTAGTGACCAATGGTTCCCCCAGTAGAGTCCTCTAATCTTTCCCCAACTCTCCCTTCCCCTACTCCCATTACTCCCATCTGGCCTTCCCTGGGTGGAGTAATTTGCACCTTCTTCTAAGCTATTCCTAGCATATTTTTATGACATAAACTGTATGTCCTTGTATTAGGTAGGGTCCAATCAGGAGAAAGAAACCATATCAGCAGTCTTCTTCTTTTCTCTCAAAAGTCTTTATCAGCCTCTAAGTACAATCACATTTTCATAAGACATTTTCTACCTCTGAGAACCTAGCTAAAACTTATATCCAGGAACACTTATAAGAAATTGTGAACACAGAAGTCACTAGACACTAGTTCTGAATTGACACCAATCTTGAGGACAGTGTTTCTGTGGCTTTCCCAGTCAAAGTGGGGGCTTTCTGTAGTCAGGTGACAAATGAAGTCTTGCCTCAAGTCCAACTCACACTGGGCCCAATTTCTCCACAGACACATGTGTTCATTATATCTCTAGTGGCTCAATATATGATTGAAATAGACATATGTGGAAACTGGCAGAATCCTGCATTGGCTCTATAATCAAAGAGATGTGGGTCATTATGGCAGGAAGCACTATGTGGAAGGCCCTGGACCTTTCCCTGCCTACCAAGATAATAAGTCAGAAGCAGTGCTGCACCACACAGGGAACTACAGAGATTCATACCACCCTAGGAGACTTCAAAGAAGCACCTATCACACCCTGATCTAATTCAGCAGTTTGAAATTTGCAGAAGTCTGATCTATCTTGGAGAATGCATATGAGTGATTCTAAAATTACTCATGCAATGATTTCGACTGCAGCTGTTCTTCGAGCTGTAGCATCATACTGGAACAAGTAAACACAGCTCCTGGCACTTGGTAAGCAGCTGACCTGGCAGATGCCTTTTGTTCCATACCAACTTGTAAGGAATACCAGCAGCCACCTGCCTTTATCTGGAAGTGGTAACAGTATACTTTTACCGTCCTGCCTCAGGGAAATGCCAATATTGCTTTCTGCTCTAATATAGTCCTCAGAGATTGTAATTGCTTTGACAGTCCAGAAAGCATCATGATAATCCATTATGTTGATGGCATTATACTTATTGGATCTGTTAGGCAGGAAGCAGCATGTAGTTTAGAATACCTTAGGAAGACATATGCAAAGTGAAAGAAACTCCAAAACAATTAAGGGACAGCTACATCAGTGAAGTTTCTGGTGGTTTGGTGATGTGGAGAATGTTGAAATATTTGCTCCAAGGTGAAAGACAAGTTGCTGCATTTGTGCCATCTGCAATGAAAAATGCACAATGCTTATTAGGGCTTTTGGATTTTGAAGGCAACATATAGCACATTTGTGCCAGCTATTTCCATCCAACTAGAAAATTCCCCATAGCCTGCCTGCCTGCCTGCCTGTTTCAAGTGGGAAACAGAGCAAGAGAAGGCTCTGTAGCAAGCTCAGGCTGTTATAGAAGCTGCTCTGCCCACTTGGGAACCCTAACATTGACTGGATTGCTGGCATACTATTAATGCCAGCCAGCCATTAGAGACACTGTCAACCTGTGCCCTCCAGTGAATATAGCTTCCACTTGGTGAATCCCCAAATTGTAAACAGTGCTTTCTCTTTCTTTTTTTTTTTTCTCTCTTTTTTAGAAAGGGTCTGGCTTTGTTGCCCAAAGTCAGAGTGCAGTAGAGAGGGAATGCAGTGGTGTGATCTTGGCTCACTGCAACCTCAGCCTCCTGAACTCAAACCATCCTCCCACCTCAACCTTCCCAGTAGCTGGGACCACAGGCATGCTCCACCATGCCAGGCTAATTTTTTGGCATTTTTGGTGGTGATGGAGTTTCGCCATGTTGCCAAGGCTGGTCTGAAACTCCTGAGCTCAAGTGATTCTCCCTCCTCAGTCTCCCAAAATGCCAGGATTATAGATGTGAGCCACAGCACCTGGCAAACAGTGCTTTCTTTCAAGAAGTACCATGTATGCCCCTGGGGCTGAAGTTCTTATGTGGAAGCCACGTATTATCTTGTCCTCTTTCCCTCAAATATAGTAACTTGTATTTTTCCTAGGAGGAGAAAGCCTTGTATGTGTTTTTTTGCATATTTAAGGAAACACTGCTATGGCCCTGAGATGCACCCAGGCCAGCCTCACCTTGCCACCCAGGGTTACTGTGAACGATAGCATTACCTTAGATTTCCTTGTTATGGGCCAAGGTGGAGTCTGTGTAATTGCTATTACATCTTGCTGTGGCTAAATCAATGCTGCCGGCCAAGCAGAAAAATCAGTACAAACACTTATAAAGCAAGCCACCTAGCTTTCTAAGGTAAGCCCAGATGGTTGATCAGATTTGTTCAACTGGTCAGTTCTCCCATAGATTAGCCTGATCCTGCTGTTTGGAGTCCTGTAGATAGTAGCCTTTATTAAATACTTTACAGGATAAATTGGAGATTCCCTCCATCCCCAGCCTTTGTCAGTCAGATTAATCAGAGTGGCTAAAGGCGTGGGATACTCATGGAAAAATCTCCCAGAAGCCAAGATCAAGTAATGAGTGGTGAAGATTGCAGGGAGACCATTCTCCCTGGGTTTCTCACATTTCTGTGCCTGTTGTGAACAGAAGCACTGATGGCCTTTGATCCAGATTGTCTTTTTGAGGATGTTTGTAGAGTAATCAATCTTGGAAGATATAGTGTTTTCTCTTGCACCAGGGGGCAAGTTTATTTACTGTCTAGTATCATAAAGATACTAGATCTTTTGGATATTACATATTTGTCAGGTGGGTAGGTTGCAAAAGTTTTCTCCCATTCTGTAGGTTGCTTGTTCACTCTGATGCTAGTTTCTTTTGCTGTGCAGAAGCTCTTTAGTTTAATTAGATCCCATTTGTTCATTTTGGCTTTGCTGCAGTTGTTTTTGGTGTTTTCATCATGAAGGTTTTGCTTATGCCTATGTCCCGAATGGTATTGCCTAGGCTTTCTTCCAGGGTTTTTATGGTTTTGGGTTTTACATTTAAGTCTTTAATCCATCTTGAGTTAATTTTTGTATAAGGTGTAAGGAAGGGGTCCAGTTTCAGTTTTCTGCATATGGCTAGCCAGCTTTCCCAGCACCATTTATTAAATAGGGAATCCTTTCCCCTGTTGCTTGTTTTTGTCAGGTTTGTCAAAGATCAGATGGATGTAGATGTGTGGTGTTATTTCTGAGGTCTGTGTTCTCTTCCACTGGTTTATGTGTCTGTTTTGGTATCAGTACCATGTTGTTTTGGTTACCGTAGCCTTGTGGTATAGTTTGAAGTCAGGTAGCATGATACTTCCAACTTTGTTATTTTTGCTTAGGATTGCCTTGACTATATGGGCTCTTTTTTGGTTCCATAGGAAATTTAAGTAGTTTTTTCTAATCCTGTGAAGAATGTCAATAGTAGTTTGATGGGAATAGCATTGAATCTATAAATTACTTTGGGCAGTATGGCCATTTTCATGACTTTGATTCTTCCTATCCATGAGGATGGGCAAAGGATATGAACAGACACTTCTCAAAAGAAGACATTTATGCAGCCAATGAACATATGAAAAAAACTCAACATCACTGATAATTAGAGAAATGCAAGTGAAAATCACAACGAGATACCATCTTATGCCAGACAGAATGGAAATTATTAAAAAGTCAAGAAACAATTGATGCTGGTGAGGCTGTGGAGAAATAGGAACACTTTTACATTGTTGGTGGGAATGTAAATTAGTTCAACCATTGTGGAAGACAATGTGGGGATTCCTCAAGAATCTAGAACCAGAAATACCATTTGACCCAGCAATCTCATTATTGAGTATATACCCAAAGGAATATAAATCATTCTACTATAAAGGCACATGCACACTTAATGCACACTTATGTTTATTGTGGCACTAATCACAATAGCAAAGACACAGAACCAATCCAAATGCCTATCAGTGAGAGACTGGACAAAGAAAATGTGGTACATATCACCATGGAATACTTTGCAGCCATAAAAAAGAATGAGTTCATGTCCTTTGTAGGGACATGGATGAAGCTGGAAGCCATCATTCTCAGCAAACTAACAGAGGACAGGAAAGCAAACACCGTATGTTTTTACTCGTAAGTGGGAGTTGAACAATGAGAACACATGAACACAGGGAGGGGAACAACACACATCAGCGCCTGTCAGGGGGTGGGGGGCAAGGGGAGGGAGAGCATTAGGAAAAACACCAAATGCACGTGGGGCTTAAAACTTAGATGACGGGTTGCTAGGTGCAGCAAACCACCATGGCACCTGTATACCTAACTAACAAACCTGCACATTCTGCACATGTATCCCAGAATTTAAAGTTACAAAAAAAAAAAAGATAATAGGGAAAAGGTTAGGCAGGTTTTCTTGCTTATAGAAGATTTGGAGTCCCTGAAGGTCAGAGTTCCTCACCTGTGATGCACCCCTACCATGCACACCATCCACCTGGGCTTCTCTGTGTCATTCCCATGGGATCTGGGAGGCAAGGAGAACCAACGCTAATGTGAAGTTCATTCTGTTTGCCATGCTATACATAATAATAATCTTTGAATCTGAGCCTGACATCTCATGTTTTCTGGCAGTATCCATGAAACTGTGGATAGTTTATTGTTTGCAAGTAGACTTATTAGTCTTATTATTTTGCAAGTAGGATAAAATATTAGTTTGCAAGTAGGATAAAAATCTGAGACCTATTCCCCAGTTCTTGACATACCCTTGACATAGTTCTATTTTGTCACCTGAAACAATGTTTGCTTGTTTGTTTTTTTTTGAGACAGAGTCTCACCCTGTTGCCCAGGCTGGAGTGCAGTGGCCCGATCTTGGCTCACTGCAAGCTCCACCTCCTGGGTTCATGCCATTCTCCTGCCTCAGCCTCCCCAGTAGCTGGAACTACAGACGCCCGCCACCATGCCTGGCTAATTTTTTTTTTTGTATTTTTAGTAGAGACGAGGTTTCACCGTGTTAGCCAGGATGGTCTCGATCTCCTGACCTTGTGATCCACCTGCCTTGGCCTCCCAAAGTGCTGGGATTACAGGCCTGAGCCACCGCCCCTGGCCAACAATGTTAAGGTTTGTCAGTAGAAGGTGCTGGAGAAATATTGGAAAAGGGCGGGCTTCTCGTCTTAGTTCTGGTGTACTCTTCTTGCCAGATGTCTGCAGTTTGTGTTTTCTCTACCACGGTTTCCTGCAGCATTCAGTTTTGCCAACATGTGGGGCCCACTGAGAAAGGCTTCTCTGATGTCTAGCTCCTACAGTACCCAGCGGCCATCACACTCAGTGACCAGCAGCCTCCTTTGGTAACATTCAGATGGTTTTGCAGCAGAGTGTCACCAACTAGACACTCTCCCATGAATGGCTTTTTGGCACCTTTTCTAGTTACCTATGACCATGTCCTCTAAAATAAGGTCAGATCTTGACCTAGGAGCAGTGGCTGTTCTTTATATCTGTGACTCCCTGTTTCTGTCTCCTGGGTTGAACCTAACACAGAATCTAAAGTACTTGCTACTTTCTGCTCATATGATCCAGTCAGCACAATGTCACTGATGTATCAGATCAGTGTGATGTTTACAGGAATATCATGATCCTCATCTCTGAAGAGTATATTATGGCAGAAAACAGAATTGACATAGCCCTGAGGTGAGAATGTAAAGGTATACTGTTAGCCCTGCTAGATAAAGGCAGGTGGCTTGTGGTATTCCTTACAAAATTGGTATGGAACAAAAGGCATCTGCCAGGTCAGTAGCTGCTTACCAAGTGCCAGGAGCTGTGTTTACTTGCTCCCATATGATGCTACAGCTGGAAAAACAGCTGCAATTGAATTATAAAATTACTGCATGAGCAGTTTTAGAATCACCCACAAACATTCTCCAAGATCAATCTGATTTTTGCACATTTCTCATTGGTGAATTAAATCAGGGTGCAATAGGTGCTTCTTTGAAGTCTTCTAGAGTGGTATGAATCTCTGCAGTTCCTGGGGGTAGGAAGGGGCAGCACTGCTTCTGGCTTATTGTCTTGGTAGGGAAGGGAAGTCCAGGGCCTTCCACATAGTGCTTCCTACCACAGTGACACTCATCCCTTTGGTCAGAGCGCCAATGTAGGATTCTGCTAGTTTTCACATATGTCTATTTCA
Source organism: Homo sapiens (assembly GCF_000001405.40). Classification (NCBI taxonomy): domain Eukaryota; kingdom Metazoa; phylum Chordata; class Mammalia; order Primates; family Hominidae; genus Homo; species Homo sapiens. Next base: position 12,675,031 of record NC_000001.11, read on the forward strand.
ATGATACATTGAGGCACTAGAGATATAACAAACACACGTGTCTTTGGACCAATTGGGCCCAGTGTGAGTTGGACTTGAGGCAAGATTTCATCTGTCACCTGATTACAGTGAGCCCCGACTTTGAGAGAACCACCAGCACTACAGGTCCCTAGGACAAGTCTTAATTTAGAATCTATGTGTACCGATTCCTGAACAATTTGAATGTTTCCTTTTCTCCTGTGCACAGTCACTCTGGTAAATGACTGCAGATCCCTTTGGGGAGGGCTTGGGGAAGATTTAGAGTGTATACTTGAGGCAAAGCTGGAGGGTCCTTCCTCAGGGAGACCCAGGCTCTACTTTTATCAAGGGTTTCTGTATCTGTGGAGTGACTTAGGTTTGGAAACTGGATGAGAGGTCATGGCTCTACTGTGGTGACTTAAGTGGTTTATAGGCACTAGACCTGGAGCTTTTTTTAAATTAAAAAAATCACTCTAATAAACTGATGATATATTTCATTCCTGAGACACCATGATCACTTAGCCACTGCCTAGATTTCTGTGGGCTGAGCATTCTGATTACTGGGACATCCCTCTTGCTTTTTTTTTTTTTTTTTGAGACAGGGCCTTACTCTGTCACACAGGCTGGAGGGCAGTAGCATAAACATGACTCGCTATAGCCTCACGCTCTTGAGCTCAAGCGATCCCCCTGCCATGGCCTCCCAAATAGCTGGAACCATAAGCATGTGCCACCATGGCCAGCTAATTATAAATTTTTTTTTTGTAGAGAGAGGGTCCCACTATATTGTCCAGGCTGGTTGCAAACTCCTGGGCTCAAGCAATCCTCCCACCTCAGCCTTCCAAAGTGCTGGGATTACAGGCATGAGCCAGCATAATCTGTGAGCCAGGATTACAGGAGAGATGCCCCGCGTCTCTCCTGCTTTTTATGGTAAATGCACTCACCTTGCTTTTGGTGATGAAGTGTTGCCGCTAGTCCTCTACTGCTCTGTGATATTGTATTACTCAGGGTTCTCTAGAGAGACAGAACTAATAGGATAGATATACATCTAAAGGGGAATTGTATTAAGTATTAACTCACATGATCACAAGGTCCCACAACAGGACGTCTGCAAGCTGAGGAGCAAGGAGAGCCAGTCCGAATTCCAAAACTGAAGAAATTGAAGTCCAATGTTCGAGGACGGAAAGGGTCCAGCATGGGAGAAAGATGTAGGGTGGGAGGCTAGGCCCATCTCATCTTTTCCTGTTTTCTGCCTCTTTATATTCTAGCTGCACTGGCAGCTGGTTAGACAGTGCCCACCCAGATCAAGGGTGGGTCTGCCTTTCCCAGCTCACTGACTCAAATGTTAATCTCCTTTGGCAACACCCTCACAGACACACCCAGGATTAATACTTTGCATCCCTCAATCCAATCAACTTGACACTCAGTATTAACCATCACAGATACCATTATCTTGAATAAAGTTAGAAAGACCATCTCAATGTGGCCTCCTCCACAGTCATACCTGCTTACTAAGGAGAATAATCAGAGACATTTTTTTTTTTTGGTTGTTGTTGTTGCTTTGAGACGGAGTTTTGCTCTTGTTGCCCAGGCTGGAGTGCAGCGGCGTGATCTCGGCTCACTGCAACCTCCGCCTCCTGAGTTCAAGTGATTTTCCTGCCTCAGCCTCCTGAGTAGCTGGGATTACAGGTGCCCGCTACCACACCCGGCTACTTTTTTGCATTTTTAGTAGAGACAGGGTTGCATCATGTTAGCCAGGCTGGTCTTGAACCCCTTACCTCAGGTGATCCACCTGCCTCGACCTCCCAAAGTGCAGGGATTACAGGCATGAGCCACTGCCCCTGGCCTCAGACATTTTTAAGGGTATAGATGTCCTCCACAAAAATGAATTTCTTGGTGTGTTAGTAAGGGAACTGTCTTCTGTGCCTTCTTGGCATTTGTAGTTGGGGGGTGATCGTGCAGGTTGCAAAAGAGAAATCCAGTCCAACAGTCCCATCTCCATAAGACTTTGGATTTCCTTCTACAAATAGTGCTGGGGAAACCCTGGCATCTCAACTTCATTAAATGTAAGCCATACCACTGTGCCCAAGGTTAAGTTTACAACCACATTTTGGCCAGGTGCAGTGGCTCATACCTGTAATCCCAGCACCCTGGGAGGCCAAGGAAGATGGCTTGAGTCCAGGAGTTTAAGACTAGCCTGGGCAACATGGTGAAATTCCGTCGCTACAAAAAATACAAAAAATTAGTTGGGCATGGTGGCACATGCCTGTGGTCTCAGCTACTTGGGAAGCTGAGGTGGGAGAATCACCCGAGCCTGGAAAGTCAAGCCTGCAGTGAGCTATGATCATGCCATTGCACTCCAGCCTGGGTGACAGAGTGAGACCCTGTCTCAAACAAATAAATAAATAAACATTAAAAATTACCAACACATTTTTAGGTTTTTGTACTTCCCTACTTCGGGTATTAAAAATATGTGTTGGTTGTCTACTACTACTACATAGCAAATTACCCCAAATCTTTGCAACTAAAAACAGCAAGTATTCACTATTTCCCAGTTTTCGTGGGGCAGTAGTCTGAACACAGCCTTGCTGGGAGTCTCTGGCTCAGGATCTCTCATGGGATGTAATCAAGTGTCAGCCAGGGCTGCCATCATCTCAATGCTCAGCTGGGGAAAGATTAGCTTCCTTGGCCACTCATGTGGCTGTTGGCAAACCTCAGGGCTTCACTGGCTGTTGGCTAAAGACATCATTGTGAAGCAGAACACTGTGTACCAGTTACCAGTTCCAGGGGAGAGGTCCAAACACTTCTGCCCATTGCATCTTGGTACTGGAATGGCCAAAGGAAACACAACCTAGTTAAACACTGAATGGAGCAAGCTTGACTTACATAGAGAAGAGGCAGAGGATGATCAGCTTCAAATGTGGTACATATACACCATGGAATGCTACAAAGCCATAACAAAGAATGAGATCATGTCCTTTGCAGCAACATGGATGGAACTGGAGGCCATTATCCTACGTGAAACTTGGGAACAGAAAACCAAATACCACATATTCTCACTTATAAGTCAGAGCTAAACATGGAGAATGCATGGTCACAAAAAAGGAACAGGCACTGGGACCTACTTGAGTGTAAAGGATGGGAGGATGGAGAAGATTGACAAACTACCTGTCGAGTACTATGCTCATTACCTGGGCGATGAAATAATCTGTACCCCAAACCCCTGTGACATGCTATTTACCTATATAAAAAACCTGCACAAGTACCCCTGAACCTAAAATAAAAGTTAAAAAAAAAAGTGTCAATAGTGTGTCCCCATGGCCAGCAAAGCCCCCATGGCCAGTGAGTCTCTCCTGGGGCAGCTGACACAGGGCAATTGGTTACATGCACCTCTCTCATGCTGTAGTTGAAGGACCCCATTCCCTCCCATGGAGACAGACACAGCAGTGGAGTTGGCCAGATGCCATGTGATGCCCATGCTTAGGCAGAACAAAGGAGCACACACTAGCAACAGGGAAAGATCTTCCCACACAAGGCAGCAAGCCTAGCACAGGTCATGTTATGAAATGTCCCAGCCCCAACGTCCATTCTGATGTGGCCAAATGGGGGTGGAAAGATTGCATGTGGGAGACTGCCTTTCCCAGCTCCCCACATGGCAGCTGGCTTCAGAGTGAGTGAGCCAGAGAGTGAGAGAGGAAGCAAGGGAGGGGGTGCCCCGTATACCCAGAGGGAAGCCTCAGTCTCTTTGTTGTTACTATAAAAGTGTATTATAAAACCTGATCTTGGAAGTGACATCTCATCAGTTTTGCCATAATTCTATTCATTCCTTTTTATGGCTGAATAACATTCCATTGTATGAATATACCACAATTTGTCTATTCATTCATCCACTGATGAACACTTGGGTTGTCTCCACTTTTTGGCTGTCATTAGCAATGCTGCTATGAACAATGGCATGCAAGAATCTGTCTGAGTTCCTGTTTTCAATTCTTTTGGGCATATACCTAGGAGTGGAATTGCTGGGTCATACATTGAACTTTTGTAGGGACTTCCCAATCAAAGTAATTTTTTTTTTTGAGATGGAGTCTCACGCTTCACTCAGAGGTGTAGTGGTGCAATCTCGGCTCGCTGCAACCTCTGCCTCCTGGGTTCAAGCAATTTTCCTGGCTCAACCTCCTGAGCAGCTGGGATTAAAGGTGTGCCACCACACCCGGCTAATTTTTTTTTTTTTTTTTTTTTTTTTTTAGTAGAGACGAGGTTTCACCATGTTGGCCAGGCTGGTCTTCAACTCCTAACCTCAAGAGATCTGCCTGCCTTGGCCTCCCAAAGTGCTGGGATTACAGGTGTGAGCCACCACACCTGGCCCCTAAAGTAATTTTTAAAAACATAAGTCAGGTCATCTTACTCCCTTGCATAAAACCATCAATGTTGGCCAGGTATGGTGGCTCACGCCTGTAATCCTAGCACTTTGGGAGGCTGAGGCAGGTGGATCACCTGAGGTCGGGAGTTTGAGACCAGCCTGGACAACATAATGATGGCAGGTGCCTGTAATCCCAGCTACTTGAGAGGCTGAGGCAGGAGAATTGCTTGAACCTGGGAGGCAGAGGTTGCAGTGAGCCAAGATCATGCCACTGCACTCTAGCCTGGGTGACAGAGTGAGATCCTGTCTCAAAAAAAAAAAAAAAAAAAAAAGGGTGGGGTGAGGTAGTACAAGTTGGTCCTGCCTGAGAAGGGCAGATTGAGTCCTTAAGTGCAAACCTAGTTGGTTAAAACAAGTCCTATTGCTCGCTGGTCAGGAAAGAGACTTCAGTTAGGTAAGTGAGGGTCCAGCATACTGAGGTAGCTTAAGAGTGTGTGGTTGTTTATCAGCTTTGGATGGTTAGGATCAGTGGTCATGAACCATAGCACTGTGTTTTAATAGCTCCCAGGCAAGTGTTGCCACTGGTGAAAAGTTTATCTTTCATCATCTAGAAGAGGACAAAAAACCTTTTATGTTCTAGGGATGGGACCCTGGAAATTAAACTGACAAAAGACAGATGAACAGGAGAAAAGGCATACAAATTTTATTTGATATTAGTATTTTTATGTGGCATGGGGGCTTTCTAGAAAGTGAAAACCCCCAAAGAAGCAATGAGGCTGGAGAACTTATATACCATTTTGACAATGAACAATAAATTTATAGAGAAGTGAGAAGACAAAGGAAAAAGGGGGTTAGGCTTTTAAGGGTGGCAAACTGTGGGAAGGTAAATATATGGGTAAACAGATGAAGATAGAAGTTGTTTTGTAAATTTTGTATGTAAATGTCTTTAGGTGCTGTCTCTGGGCTGATGAGAGTCTAGAGTCATCTTCCTCTGCCCTTCCTGGTACAAAAGAGGGAAGAGGATGCTTTCACAAAGGAGAATTTATAGAACATAAATTTATATATTTACATATATGTTCATAGAATATATTTGCTTTTTAGGCAAATAAGTGTTTACTGTTTTCTCAGTTGTCTTCAGCTCAATATAATCCTTATGTCAAAGCAGCATATTTTGGGGGAGCATTTTCTGATCCCCTACAATAGTCTTCAAGTTTTATCTCATTTAATTTCCTGAGTCCAGTAGGATATTAGTATCCACCTTTGGCGGACTAAATGACTTGCCCAAAGCCAACAGCTAGTTAGGTGTAGGACCAGGATTTGAACCCAGGCTCTCTGGCTGCAGAACATACACCATAGAGCATGGGCTCAGTAGGTGTGCATTGAATGGCATCTAATTCTGCTGCTCCACAGTCATGCGCTGGGAACTTGGTGAGGCCCGTACAGAGCATTTCCCTGGCTTGGGGAATACACATCTTTATATGTATTGAAAAATACCAGAAATGGCCAATTTTGGTCTCTTTTTCAGGTTGTACCGAGGAGAGAGAATTTCCTGAGTCTTCAGGTTTCTTGCTGAACCCTAAATCTGCAGGTAGCCAGCTGGGTGACTTAGAAAAAGTTTCTTAATTTCTCTAGACCATGGTGTTTTCACTTGTAAAATGGGTTCCTTTTTAGTCTTTTAAGTCTCTAACTTCGATAGAACAAAGGTGGACTATCCTAAGCTGGAGCTGATTTCATTTTGCTGTTTACTTTCTGGGATGTTTGAAATATTGTTTTTCAGGTTTGTTGCTATTTTGCTTGGGAAGCATGTCTGTTCACCACCTTATTCATTTAGATTCATTTCTTTAGTCTTTTATTCTTTCCTTTTTTTTTTTTTTTTTTTTTTTTTGAGACAAGGTCTCACTCTGTTGCCCAGGCTGGAGTGCAGTGGTGCGATTGTGGCTCACAGCAGCCTCAACCTCCCAGGCTTAAGCCATCTTTGCATCTCAGCTTCCCAAGTTGCTAGGACCACAGGTGTGCACCACTACACCTGGCTAATTAAAAAAAATTCGTGGAGATGGGGTCTCCCTAGGTTGCCCAGGCTAGTCTCAAACTCCTGTGCTCAAGGATCCTCTTGCCTTGGCCTCCCAAAATGTTGGGATTATAGACATGAGCCACTGCACCTGGCTCCTTAGTCTTTTATTCAGTAAACATTGATGGGACATCTGGCCTGTGCTGGGCAACTCTGCTAAATGTAGGGCCTTGAAGCAGGGGTGGGGTGAGGGAGATCTGGGAATAAATGGCAGGAGGTCTAAGGCCTTCCCAGCCCATTCCTGGGACAATCTCAGGAAATCCTCTGTCCTCAACACAACCTGAAAAAGAAGCCACATATCTACAACCATCTGATCTTTGACAAACCTGACAAAAACAAGAAATGGGGAAATGATTCCCTATTTAATAAATGGTGCTGGGAAAACTGGCTAGCCATATGTAGAGAGCTGAAACTGGGTCCCTTCCTTACACCTTATACAAAAATTAATTCAAGATGGATTAAAGACTTAAATGTTAGCTCTGAAACCATAAAAACCCTAGAAGAAAACCTAGGCAATACCACTCAGGACATAGCATGGGCAAGGACTTCATGTCTAAAACACCAAAAGCAATGGCAACAAAAGCCAAAATTGACAAATGGGATCGAATTAAACTAAAGAGCTTCTGCACAGCAAAAGAAACTACCATCAGAGTGAACAGGCAACCTACAGAATGGGAGAAAATTTTTGCAATCTACTCATCTGACAAAGGGCTAATATCCAGAATCTACAACGAACTCAAACAAATTTACAAGAAAAAACAAACAATCCCATCAAAAAGTGGGTGAAGGATATGAACAGACACTTCTCAAAAGAAGACATTTATGCAGCCAAAAGACACATGAAAAAATGCTCACCATCACTGGCCATCAGAGAAATGCAAATCAAACCACAATGAGATACCATCTCACACCAGTTAGAATGGCGATCATTAAAAAGTCAGGAAACAACAGGTGCTGAAGAGGATGTGGAGAAATAGGAACACTTTTACACTGTTGGTGGGACTGTAAACTAGTTCAACCATTGTGGAAGTCAGTGTGGCGATTCCTCAGGGATCTAGAACTAGAAATACCATTTGACCCAGCAATCCCATTACTGGGTATATACCCAAAGGATTATAAATCATGTTGCTATATAGACACATGCACATGTATGTTTATTGCGGCACTATTCACAATAGCAAAGACTTGGAACCAAGCCAAATGTCCAACAATGATAGACTGGATTAAGAAAATGTGGCACATATACACCATGGAATACCATGCAGCCATAAAAAAAGATGAGTTCATGTCCTTTGTAGGGACATGGATGAAGCTGGAAACCATCATTCTCAGCAAACTATCGCAAGGACAGAAAACCAAACACTGCATGTTCTCGCTCATAGTTGGGAATTGAACAATGAGAACACCTGGACACAGGAAGGGGAACATCACACACCGGGGCCTATTGAGGGTGGGGGAAGTGGGGAGGGATAGCATTAGGAGATATACCTAATGTTAAATGACGAGTTAATGGGTGCAGCACACCAACATGGCACATGTATACATATGTAACTAACCTGCATGTTGTGCACATGTACCCTAAAACTTAAAGTATAATAAAAAAAGATATCAATTTAAAAGTCAAAGAATAAACAATTAGAGTGCCAAGAAAAAAAAAAAGAAAAAAAGGGCTGTTTTCCAGTATTTTTCAATAAATAGAAAGATGTGCCTCCCTGAGCTAAGGCAGAGCTATGAACAGTCCTCACAAAGGTCCCAGTGTGAGTGTGGAGTAGGAGAATTAGATGCCAGTCAACACACACCTACTGAGCCCATGCTCTGGGCAAGGCACTGTTCGAGGTCCACGCGGTGGTGAGCGACAAGGCCGGGGCTTGCTTGGAGCTTCCTTTCTAGCGGGAGGAGATGGACAAGTGGAATGCACTCAGCATCCCACTAAAACAAACAAGGCTCTGGTTGGGAGAGCGCTGTGGAGAGGAAAAGGCAGGAGGGATGGTAATGCCTATCCAGGAGGAGTCGTGGGGACCCTGCCTCATCAAAGTGACCCTTGACTCAACTGCTGGAGGAGGTGAGGGAGTGTAACTCAGGAACTCTGGAAGAGGCCAGTGTGGCGGGGACAGAGAGAACAGGGGGCCGGGGAGATGGTATTAGGGGAGCTGTGGGATGAGGGACCGTGTAAGGCCTTGAGGATATTATAAAGTCTTTGGTGTTTCCTTGAGTGAGATGGGGGCCACATGGAAGGCCCACAGGTATATAACCTGCCAACCAGAGTCTTCTCCCCAGGTATTGCCTTTGCATGGATGAATCTGTTTGCAGAACACCTGATTGAACTCAGTCGTTCAGGACCTGGCTGGGAATGAAACTCATCAACTAATTTTTTTTTTTGAGACAAAGTCTCACTATGTTGCCCAGGCTGGTCTTGAACTCCTAGGCTCAAGCAATCATCCTACCTTGGCCTCCCAAAGTGCTGGGATTGCAGGCATAAGCCATCACGCCTGGCCTCATCAACAAATTTTTGTGGGAAGATTGTGGCTACCAGGTTCCAGCTGCACCTTTTCCACACACAGGAATCAAAGTTACCCTTGCTACAGGCTTACCTGTGGCTCTTTATCCCTGAGTGCTGCCTTTGTCACGTTTAGACAGGTAGATCTCCAGGGAATTACCCTGTGTCTCACCAAATACATGGCACATGCTCAAGAAGTCACAGAAAAGGCAGCTAGCCTTTGCAGAGTGCCTTCTTTGTAGATTTCCATTAATAACTTTCTTTAATCCACCTAGAAGCCCCCTGAGGTACATTTCATTATTCCCACTTTGTTGGTGAGATACCTGAGATGATGGGTGTCATTGATTTACCTAAAACCATACAGCTTTAAGCAGAAGTGGGAGTTGAACACAGGTCTTCCCAGCTGTAAACGCTGTGCTGGAAGGGGCTCCAGTCAAGGGCAAGTTCTGGGTCAGCCATTCAGCTTTGTTCTGGACTATGCATGGGGAAGGGGCCCATGAAAGACATCATGTGGCCCTGTTCCTCAAACTAGCGGCTTTCCACAAACGTTTGTTGAATGAATGCATCAAAAAATAAATGAAGACACTAAAGTACCTTGGAAAGTACTGAGCCACATGCTGGTCAGAGATGAGTTAAGAGCCAGTATCGATTCAAGACTAATTGGGCTGGGGGTGTTTTGTACAGAGGCTGAGAAGAAATTCTGTCCCGTAAGGACAGAACAAGGATTTTTGTCTTGATCACATCCACCCTAATTCTTAGAGCTTTATGAGTAGCTTCTGATATTTACCTGCTGTAGAGGAGACAGCTCAGGGTACATCTGTCTTAGTCTGTTTGCATTGCTATAAGGGAATACTTGAGGCTCAGTCATTTATAAAGAAAAGAGGTTTATTTGGTTCATGGTTCTGCAGTCTGTACAGGAAGCATGGCACCAGCGTCTGTTTCTGGTGGGAGACCCAGGAAACTTCCAGTCGTGGTGGAAGGCAAAGGGGAGCAAGCATCGTGGAGTGAGAGGAGGAAAGAGGGAGGGGAGAGAGGTGCCAGGTTCCTCTTCAACAATCAGCTCCCTTGTGACCAAATAGGGCAAGAACTCACACGCACTCCCACAAGAATGGCACCAAGCCCTTCATGAGGGATCGGCCCCCATGACCCAAGCACCTCCCACCAGGTCCCATCCCCAACACTGGGGATCACATTTCAACATGAAATTTGGAGGGGACAAACATCCAAACTATATCAACATCCAAAATGGTAGTTTCGCACATAAACCTAGACTGAGGCAGGCGGCAAGTCTGGGCAGTATCAGCTGGGTGAAAAGAATTGCTTGGTCCTAAAATCAATCAACTGGTCTCTCTCTTTCCCTCCTTCCACCTTTCAAACAGGGGCAGATTTTTGAGAAGCTGGGAACTTGCTTCATGCCCAGATATGTCTGTTTTATAGATGACAGCGTGAAAATAAAGAAGGGCTCTAAACTGGTGGTGATCAGCCTGCATTTTAGGATGACACTCATGAGGCTGTTCCAGCTCAAGGGAGACATCATCTTCTACCACAGAGTGGGCAGGGAGTTTGGAAGCCTGGGTAAGGGGCTTCCCTGAGGCTTCCTAAGGGATGGTCCTCATTTGCTGGTACACAGTAAGCTCTCAACAGGGTTTGCCAGCTGAATGCATAAGTGATGAACAAACAGCATCTTCTCCTGGTCTGTCCTTTCTACTGTCCAGGGAGTCTATACCAGTCATGACTTAATGGCATGAAGCTGCCTAGAACTGTTCATTGTAAGGCCCAAAATTCCATATCTGCAATTCCAATGTCCAGACATTTGAGAAAACTGAGAATTTTTTCATGACTTATTTGGCTGCCAAATCTGACCTGAGTTCATTTGTTGGTACCTTCAGATTTAAACCGAAACAAGAATACTTATTTATTCCAGTTATTTATTATTATTATTATTTTGCAGATGGGGTCTTACAATGTTGCCCAAGCTGGTCTCAAACTCTTAAGCTCAAGCAATCCTCTCACCCCAGCCTCCCAAAGTGCTGGGATTCCAGGCATGAGCCAACAAACCTGGCTCCACTTATTTATTTATTCCACATTTTATGCCCGTATTTATTCCACATAATTTATGCTTTATGTATTCCACTTATGTGAGTGTTCATAGGTTTGCTGCAGAAATGTTCATGTGTGTAATAATGGAATATTTTCCAGTGTCCCACTAGGCTGATGTGTATTTGTTTATGTATCATATTATCTTTTTTTTAATTTTTTTTTTTTGAGATGGGAGTTTTGCTGTTGTTGCCCAGGCTGGAGTGCAATGGCGTGATCTCAGCTCACTGCAACCTCTGCCTGCTGGGTTCAAGCGATTCTCCTGCCTCAGCCTCCTGAGTAGCTGGGATTACAGGCATGTGCCACCATGCCTGGTTAATTTTTGTATTTTTAGTAGAGACAGGGTTTCACTATGTTGGCCAGGCTGGTCTCGAACTCCTGACCTCAGGTGATCCACCCGCCTCCGCCTCCCAAAATGCTGGGATTACAGGTGTGAGCCATTAAGTCTGGCCCATATTATCTCTTTATAACTATTACACCATCACAAACATATAGGAAACCACAATGAGATATCAACACACTTTCATGAGGCTGGCTAAAAAAAAAAAAAAAAAAAGGAATGGCATCAAATGTTGGCAAGGATGAAGGATGAAGAGAAACTGGATCACTCATTAATTTGGGGGTGGGAGTGTGAAATGGTGAAGCCTCACTGGAAGAGCCTGGCAGTTTCTCACAAAACTCAACATGCACTTACCCTATGACCCAGCAATTGCCCTCTTGGGCAAATCCCAGAGAAATTAAAGACTTATGACCAGGTGCAGTGGTTCATGCCTGTAATCTCAGCAGTTTGGGAGGCTGGGGCAGGCGGATCACAAGGTCAGGAGTTTGAGACCAGCCTGGCCAACATGGTGAAACCCCATCTCTACTAAAAATACAAAAACTAGCCGGGCATGGTGGCAGATGCCTGTAGTCCCAGCTACTCAGGAGGCTGAGGCAGGAGAATCGGTTGAACCTGGGAGGCAGAGGTTGCAGTGAGCCCAGATAGCACCACTGCACTCCAGCCTGGGCAACAGAGGGAGACTCCATCTCAAAAAGGAAAAAAAAAAAAAGACTTATGTTCACATAAATTGAATTGAAGACTTATGTTCACTTATGCCCATATCTGCATGTGAATGTTCATAGCAGCTTTATTTATAATAGCCCCAAACTAGAAGCAAACCGAATGTTCCTGAAAGGGTGAATGGTTAAACAAACCACGGTCCATGCAGATCAAAGGATGCTGCTCAGCAAAAAGAAGGAATAAACTACTGATGCATGCAACAACTCAGGTAGATCTCCAGGGAATGACACTGAGTGAAATAAGCCAATCTCCAAAGGTTACTCACTATGTGATTCCTTTTATACAATATTCTTGAAATGACAAGTTATAAAGATGGAGAACACACAGTAGTTGCTAAGGGTGGGGAAGAGGAGAGGTAAATGTAGCTATAAAAGAGTAGATCAGGTTTGCTTGTAACAGAATTGTTCTGTATCTTGACTGCGGTGGCTGGGGGTTATATGAGTCTACATATAAGATAACATTGCATAGAGCTGAACTACACACACACACACACACACACACACACACACACACACACACACACGAATGCATGTAACCAATATTGAGTTCCTGAGTGTGACGTTCTATAGTTAGGTCCCATGCTACCACTGGGGGAAAACTGGTGAAGCATTTACAGGATCTCTCTGCTTTACTTCTTAAAACTGCAGGTGAATCTCCAGTGATCTCAAAATGAAAAGTGAAAAAAAAAAAACAAAAACAGAAACACAAAGAAGTGCTAAGCACCGCAATGCTGGTGACGGGGGATATGAGCACGTGCTGGTATTGGTGGCATGCATGAGCTCACTATTCCTGGGGAGCAGCTGGAATGAGCCTTTGCACAGCCTTTGTTGCCACAATTCGGCTCATGGAGATTCATCCTAAAGAACAGCTCAAAAGGAGAAAATGCTAAGTAACAAAAGCATAGAAACGACTTCAGTGTCCCCCATTTGCGTCATGCAAATCAGGGTATATTAGTTAACTCTGGAATATTATGCAGCCATTAAAATAATAAACACAAAGATTATATGAGAGGTAGGAAATTGTATATGATATATACAATTTTATATCAATTCTATATAAACAATTTAATGTCAGTTGTATATATTCAATTTTATATCTCATATATAATTTTTTTTTGAGAGAGGGTCTCGCTCTGTTGCCCAGGCTGGAGTGCAGTGGTATGATCTTGGCTCTCTGCAGCCTCAGTCTCCTGAGCTCAAATGATCCTCCCACCTCAGCCTCCCAAGTAGCTGGGACTACAGACATGCACCACCACACCTGGCTAATGTTTGTATTTCTCTGTAGAGACCGAGTTTCGTCATGTTGCCCAGGCTGGTCTTAAACTCCTGAGCTCGAGTCATCTGCCCACCTTGACCTCCCAAAGTGCTGGGATTACAGGCGCGGGCCACCGCACTGTGCCAAAGACCTTAAAAATTTTTGTTGAACAAATAATTTTATAAAAGCAATTCTTTTAATGGGGGAAAAGCAGAGTAAGTGTTCAGTAAGATTTCCAAAAACAAAGTCGAGTTTCTTCTTGGAAACCAAGCAATGGAGATATTCAAAAATATATAACCTAAACACAGAGCTACAAAAACCTGGCCTTCCTGAAGAGAATCAGTGTTTGATGACCTCGACTTTTGGACCTTCCTTTCCCCGGTCATCACCAGCAATTAGCAGCAATTGTAAATTCTCATCAGCTTATTACCCTTTTCTTAATAACCAAGCCCCAAGCCCTCCAGTGAAAGGCTGTGTTTTTTTGTTGTTTTTGTTTTTCTGTTTGTTTGTTTGTTTTTTGAGACAAGGTTTCTCTCTGTCACTCAGGCTGGAGTGCAGTGGTGTGATCACTGCTCACTGCAACCTCTGGCTCCTGGGCCCCAGAAATCCCCCACTTCAGCCTCCTGAGTAGCTGGGATTACAGGCATGCACCATCAGGCCTGGCTAATGTTTTCGTATTTTTGGCAGAGACGGGGTTTTGCAATGTTGCTCAGGCTAGTTTTGAACTTGTGAGCTCAAGTGATCTGCCCACCTCAGTCTCCCAAAGTGTTGGGATTACAGACGTGAGCCCTGTGCCCGGCCGGCTGTGTCTTATGAGTAGCACCTTTTCCCTTCACCTGGTGCTGGTTCCTCATCAGTTCCTGTTATAACCACTGTGAGTTCTAACGTAAATTCTATTTCCTCATTAATGGTTGCAATAGAGTCCATTCAAGTTGAGAAACATTTTCTGTAAGAGAAAGCCGAGGTGAGGTTCTGTTCAGATGTTGATGTAAGAAGCTTGTAGGTAGAAAATAGATATAAGCTTTGATGTGAGAATAAAACCACTTATTTTTGCCACCTTGTCAACCATTCAACAAATATTTATGCAATGACTGCAGGTGTCAGCCACTGTCCTAGCTCTAGGGTATAGGATTGACTAAAACCTGACTGTAGGCCGGGCGCAGTGGCTCACGCCTGTAATCCCAGCACTTTGGGAGGCTGAGGGGGGCGGATCACGAGGTCAGGAGATCGAGACCAGCTTGGCCAACATGGTGAAACCCCATCTCTACTAAAAATACAAAAATTAGCCGGGCGTGGTGGTGTGCGCCTGTAATCCCAGCTACTCAGGAGGCTGAAGCAGGAGAATCGCTTGAATCAGGGAGGTGGAGGTTGCAGTGAGCCAAGATCACACCACTGCACTCCAGCCTGGGTGACAGAGCAAGACTCCATCTAAAAAAAAATAATAATAAAAAATAATAAATAAACAAAATAAAATAATAAAAAAATAAAAAGCCATAATAATAAAAGCAGTATGCTGCCTATGTAGGAACTGACAGAATAAAGGTCTAAGGTACCACAAATCAGTGAAGAAAAGGTGGTAGTTTAGGAGATGGTGGTGTGAAATCTTGTTCAATTCATGAAGAGAAATAAGGTGGACTAATGCCTTACACTATCTATTCTTCTGCTGTAAAGATACGCCCAGAGAAAGTTACCAGAAAGATGACAGTCTTGGAGAAAAAGCATGCAATATCTAAAAGCAACAAGGAAATCTGGAATACATAAGGAACTCCTGAAAACCAACAGAAAAGACAAAAAAACCTAAGAGTGGGCAAAGAATGTCACCACCAATTCACAGAGTGGGAAATGTAAACGCTACATGCAGATGAAAAAATCTTCAAATCCACTGTAAATGAAAAATGTAAAACAACAGCATGCATTGACAGTCTTTCAGATTGGCAAGAATCAGAACAAAGGGCCACTGTGGAGGATGAGAAAAAATGAATTGCTCATTGCTGGTAAGAGAGGGGCCCTTGCCAGGCATTTGAAAGACGTTGGCAGCATTTCTTCAGTTACACCTGTGTTTACCCTATATTCTAGCTGTCCCTCCTCTGGGTGTGTACTCCATGTCAGTTGCTACTGAGGACCATGACAGAACACACACACAAGGACATCCATCAGAGTGTTTCTGGAGGCAACCTGCTTTCATTCCTAAGATAATGGAAAAGTAGACTGCTTGCATTGATATTATGAAATACTATTCAACAATTTTAGAGAACACTTCTGATGTACATACAGCAACATAGACCTTAAAAACTCAGTGTTGAATTAAAAATATATATAACAAACAGAATGAGAACAATGATAGAACAATTGTGTAAATTAAGAAATACACACACCCACAAAAACAATGCAATGTGTATTTTTTTTTTTTTGACCGAGTCTCGCTCTGTCGCCCAGGCTGGAGTGCAGTGGCGCGATCTCTGCTTACGGCAAGCTCCGCCTCCCGGGTTCACGTCATTCTCCCGCCTCAGCCTCCCGAGTAGCTGGGACTACAGGCGCCCGCCACCACGCCTGGCTAATTTTTTGTATTTTTTAGTAGAGACGGGGTTTCACCGTGTTAGCCAGGATGGTCTCGATCTCCTGACCTCGTGATCCACCCGCCTCGGCCTCCCAAAGTGCTGGGATTACAGGCGTGAGCCACCGCGCCCGGCCAATAATGTGAGCAGGAAGCTGAAGTTGGTCAGGGGCTCACGTCTCCAGGCAGGACCACTAGACTTGGATGAGAGCCTGGGGCATCTGAGTGGGGTTACATCAGCACAGAGAGAGATTACTAAATATGACGTGCAGAAGCCACTTGGTCCAGATCCTTCCTGTTCCCCAGGAAGGCTTCTGGGGAACAGGTGAGGGAAGGGACTTTTCCTCATAGCCATTAGTGGTAGAGGCAGGCATGGAAGCCACGTTTTCCGATGCTTGCTCAGAGGGATTTTCCTTCTGCACTTCATCTTTTTGGCCACGGGAAGGCGATTTTGCAAGGGTGGGGGTGGGGGCAATGGGGCATCTGGAGACCGTTGTCCGCATCCATGTTTATAAGGATGATGGATGGGTTAGCCATGTAGATAACCATATAGATAACCCCATCCATGTCTGCTCAAAAGGATAGCTGGGAATGGTGAGATTGGCTAATTCTTTATGGAATATGAGCGAAGCAACCAATAGCATCCATTGAAATAACATGCGCACAGAGGAAGAGCATCTTTTCTAACTGATTCTTAATGAGATGTGGCGCAGTGGCGAGCATCCCCACTGCACTACTCATGAGGGCGGGGCTCAAATCCTTGTCCTGCTATAAAATGCAGGTGGCCCTGGACAAATATGTATTGAATACCTATCATGTGTTAGGCGTTATCCTATCCAGTGCGATACATCTGTAAACAAAACAGATAAAAATCCCTGGCCAGGGGTCTCAGGGCTATACCCTTAGAACCCTGTCTTCCTCTTTTCATTCCTCCACGGAAAGAATACACTTGATGGCAGTGTACCCCAAAGTACAGGTATAAATGTCTAAGGAGCACACATTTTGAAGGTTGACTCTGCAATCTCAAATTAGAGGTAAGGCCAGCAAGATAGTAAACAGAATGAGACACAAGACATAATTTTGGCAAATGAGACAGGGCATAGAGAAAGATTCATCACCAGAGGAAGAAGCAGACTTCGATGGAGAGAATCCAGGTAACTATGGGGTTGGCATACAAGTGTAACAAGGGAGGCAGATGGTCATAGGCCAGTTTCTAGTTCAGTTTTGCTTAAGATCAGCCATGTGTGCTGTGGGAAGTTGCCCTGATGCAGTCGTACCCCCAAGTACAATCAGGCAAGCAATTCTAGAGGTCACTGAAGAGAAGTGTTCATGGACAAAATTAAGATGATCTAGTCCCAGGGTTTAAATCCATTTAGAACATACCAAGGAGAAAGAGATGAGGACGTTAATTCGTGGAGGAGAAGGTACCAGGGGGTGGAAGGTTCACACATGTTCCATCTGTGGTAACCCAATGTTCATGGGCCCTCTCTCTCTACCGTATCTGCCTTCCTCTCTGTTGGTGTGGTTAAGAGGACAAGAGTAGAACTTGAATAACGTGGGGTGGGGGCAACAGAATGGAGGGTACCTGGAGCCAATACACACACTTACTCTCTTGGAGAGGCACAGAGAGACACAGGGGTGAGT
The DNA here is from genome assembly GCF_000001405.40 of Homo sapiens. Classification (NCBI taxonomy): domain Eukaryota; kingdom Metazoa; phylum Chordata; class Mammalia; order Primates; family Hominidae; genus Homo; species Homo sapiens. The sequence goes on from NC_000001.11 coordinate 12,692,559, forward strand.
CCACACCATGGCGGCTGCTCACTCACTAGCTTGTTGAGGAGCTGTGAATTTTATCTGCATTCGTTGGGAGAGGATGTGCAGGGCCAGAACAGGCCCATATTGGGTGCTTAGGATCCCCATAGCAGTCAACCCAGGCCTGGCATACTTCTGACTCATGACTTAATCTTTCTGTTCCTTTCCTTCTGTAAGTGGTACCCTTGTTTATTCCATCAAATATTCCATGTATCTACTGCATTATTTTTTTAGACAGGGTCTCACTCTGTCATCCAAGCTGGAATGCAGTGGCATGATCACAGCTCATTGCAGCCTCCATATCCTGGGCTCAAGTGATCCTCCTGCCTCAGCCTTGCTATCATTAAGTTCCCGCTGACCACCAAGTCTGCCATGAAGAAGACAGAAGACAACAACACACTTGTGTTCTCTGTGGATGTTAAAGCCAACAAGTATCAGATTGCAGGCATGAGCCACTGTGCCTGGCTGAATATTCTTAAATAATAAGACAAATATTCATTATACCAGGCTTTTCCTTTTCTACCTTTACAATGAGTAAGAACTTTTTGCCCAGTTGTTGCCCAATCTGTGTCCCGGAGATGCCCTTTCCAGTCTTTTCAAGAATGGTAGGATAGGGTGTCATTAAAATGTGAGTGAGTCAAAGGAAGCGAAAGGAGAGGTGTTCGGGGGCTGCTGTAAGCTTTGTGATATGTGGACTGTGGTGGTTGAAAAGACATGACCTTGGCCTTAGAGTCAGATTTGAATTGAATTGCATTTAAATCATGTTGGATTTGAATTGAATTGGGTTTGAATCTCAGCTCTGTTGGCTTCTTACCAGCTGGCTGAATGTGGACAGATTGCTTCATTATATGCTTCTGTTGCCTCATCCATGAAAACGGATCTAATAGTGGTCTCAGAACTCTGCCTTCCCAGCAGTCATGGGCTGATATGGTTTGGTTCTGTGTCCCCGCCAAATCTCATTTGAAATGGAATCTCTGATGCTGGACGTAGAACCTGATGGGAGGAGATTGTATCCAGGGGGTGGTTTCGAGTGTGTGGCACCTCCCTGCCTCTTTCTTCCTCCTGCTCCGGCCGTGTGAAGTGCTGGCTCCCCCTTTGCCTTTTCCATGACTGGCAGCTTCGTGAGGCCTCTCAGAGGCAGAAGCTGCTATGCTTCCTGTACAGCCTGCAGAATTGTGAGCCAATGAAACCTCTTTTCTTTATAAATTACCCGGTCTCAGGTATTTCTTTCTTTCTTTTTTTTTTTGAGACAGAGTCTTACTCTGTCGCTGAGGCTGGAGTGCAGTGGCGTGATCTTGGCTCACTGCAACCTCCACCTCCCGGGTTCAAGCGATTCTCCTGCCTCAGCCTCCCAAGTAGCTGGGTCCACAGGTGCGTGCCACCATGCCCAGCTAATTTTTTTGTATTTTTAGTACAGACAGGGTTTCACCGTGTTAGGCAGGATGATCTCGATCTCTTGACCTTGTGATCCACCCGCCTCGGCCTCCCAAAGTGCTGGGATTACAAGCGTGAGCCACTGCGCCTGGCTTCAGGTATTTCTTTATAGCAGTGCAAGAACGGACTAATACACGGGCCCTTTGGGTTCTGGGGTAACATAGAGGAGCCAGAGGCTGCAAAATCTGAGGAGACATGAGTTTAAACTGGTTTCAAAGAAATAAACTTCACACAAACTATGCGTGCTGTCTCCAGAGTTTTTGAGCTTCTACCTCTTCTCATTCTACCACCACTGCCTGTATCCTTCAATAAACATAATCAGAAGAGCAAGAGAATGAGGTTTCATGCTGCCCTTGCCCCCAGTCCATGTGGCATCATTTATCATCTGTTCAGAAGTGATTGATTGGGCACTTAGAGTATGTGCTAGACACTGGGATACCACAGTGAGTGAAATAGCTATTCTTGCCCTTGCTGGAATTGTAATTTCACTGGGGAAACAGAAAATCAGCGGAATCACAAATACATATTATCCAAATTCTACATTGAGCAGAAGATGAAGAGGAGAGAGCCATCATCAAGAATAATGAACAGCTGGCTGGGCGCAGTGGCTCACACCTGTAATCCTAGCACTTTGGGAAGCCTAGGTGGGCAGATCACCTGAGGTCAGGAGTTCGAGACCAGCCTGGCCAACATGGCGCAACCCCATCTCTACTAAGAATATAAAAATTAGCTGGGCATGGTGGCAAGCACCTGTAATCCCAGCTACTCGGGAGGCTGAGGCAGGAGAATCGCTTGAACCTGGGAGGCGGAGATTGAAGTGAGCCGAGATTGTACCATTGCACTCCAGCCTGGGTGAAAAGAGCAAAACTCCATATAAAAAAAAAAAGAAAAAGAAAAAGAATAATGAACAGGGATCAATATAGATGTGTTTGGAATACAGGATCTAAGGACCCAGGGATGGCTTGGGTGCAAGGTTGTGGGAACAGGAAGAGTAATGGATAACTCCAGCAGTTCTGGCAGAAGAGATGGTAGTGTGATTTGCTTAGGTGTGGAAGCCTGAGAGAGAAACAGGCAGAAAAGGTCATATCAAGAGGGCAGTTGCATTTTAAAAAGTTTAAAATTTTTGTGGGTACATAGTAGGTATATATCTATTTATGGGACATGAGTTGTTTTGATACTGGCATGCAATGCGTAATAATTATATCATGGAGAATGGGGTAGTATCCAATCCCTCAAGTATTTATCCTTTGTGTTATAAACAATCCAATTATACTCTTTTAGTTATTTTTAAATGTACAATTAAATTATTATTGACTGTAGTCACTCTGTTGTGCTTTCAAATAGTAGGCCTTATTCATTCTTTCTAACTATTTTTTTGTACTCACTAACCATCTCCACTTCCCCCTCACCCTTACCACTGCCCTTCCCAGCCTCTGATAACTATCCTTTATCTTGATGAGTTCAATTGTTTTGATTTTTAGATCCCACAAATAGGTGAAAACGTGCAATGCTTGTCTTTCTGTGCCTGGCTTATTTCACTTAGCACAGTGATCTCCAGTTCCATCCATGTTATTGCAAAGACAGGATCTCATTCTGTTTTATGGCTGAAGAGTTCTTGGCAGATGCATTTTTGCATCTGAAACTCTGGAGAGAGCACAGAGCTGAAGATAGAAGGCTTTGTGGGCAGCACTTACAGCTATGGGGGTAAAGAGTGTTGAGGAAGAGAAGGAATGGAGTTCTGATCCCAAAGCCCAACATTTGGAAGGAAGATGGAGGAGGAGGAGGTGGAGGAAAAATAGTCTGTCTTTGGACGGACTGTGGTTTACAAGACCAACACATAGGTCTTGGCTAGAATCTTCTTGCCCCAGGCCATATAGAAAAATTAATGTTGTGTAGATTTTATACATCGTGTGAAAATAACTTGAGTTTCTCTCAAGAAAGCCATAAAATGCAAGATACGCACAAAGGTTAATTACAAACAAATCGTTCAGAACAAAGAGAAAGCTCAGATTTATTTCATTTTGCCTGGAGAAAGGTAGCCCTGAGTTCTAACACAGGTGAGTGGGAGAAGAAAATGGATTCAGAAACGCCCCCAATCTCCCACGCTAGTGACCAGCCTGACGCATTTCAGTTTTAGGTGGTCGATAAGTCCTCTTTATGCTTTTTGTTTGTTTTTGTTTTTAGATGGGGTCTCTGTTATCTAGGCTGGAGTGCAGAGGAGCAATCTCGGCTCACTGTAACCTCTGCCTCCCAGCTCAAGCCATCTTCCCATGTCAGCCTCTGGAGTAGCTGGGACCACAGGCATGCACCACCACGCCCGGCTAATTTTTTGTATTTTTGGTAGAGATGGGATTTCACCTTGTTGCCCAGGCTAATCTCGAACTCCTGAGTGCAAGCCATCCGACTGCCTCGGCCTCCCAAAATGCTGGGATTACAGGCGTGAGCCACCGCACCTGGCCTTCTCTATGTTTCTTAGCAAGAAGTGTCCACAATAGATGATGCTGTGATGATGGAAACAGATCACTTAAGTGCCTGCTTCTGTGTCTGGCCCATAAATAGAGATGAGTAGGTGTGTTTTTCCTCTTTCAGTGCCAGATAAAAATGTTTCCAGGGGGTTGAGAGTTATCACATTGAGTCTCACAGTATTGCATTGACTGTCACAGTATCACAGCACTTGTGTTTAAGGAACCCTTATTTTACTTCATGATGGTCCCAAAGTGCTGGCAATTCAGACATGGCAAAGAGAAGCCATAAAGTGCTTCCTTTAAGCGAAAAGGTGAAACTTCTTGACTTAATAAGGAGAGAAAGAAATCATATGCTGAGGTTGCTAAAATCTACAGTAAGAATGAATCTTCCAAAATTGCGAAGTCATCTGTGGTGGAAGGTGGAAGGGCAAGACAGTAGGAGAGAGAGAGAGAGACAAAAGGGGGCTGAACTCAACCTTTTAAAGGAACTCACTTCCGTGATAGCAAACCTACTCCCACAATAGTGGCTTTAATCCATTTATGATGGCAGAGCCCTCATGGCCTAACCACCTCTTAAAGGTGCCACTATATTGTTATTAATATAATGGCAATTAAATTTGAAAATGAGTTTGGGAAGGGACAGATATTCACACCATAGCCATATCCTAGAAACCTCCCTCATTCCTTCTTCTGGTCATTATGCCATAGATTTGATCTGTTTTGCCTGAATTTGAACTTAATACAATGGAATGTGCTGTTTCACATCTGGTCCCTTTTGCTGAAGGTTATATTGGTGAGATTCATCTATGTTTGGACTTCGCTGTAGTTTGTTTGTTCTCGTGGCTGTTTAGTATTCCACTGTGTGAATCAATGAGCATTTATTCATCCATTCTCCTCTTGATGGGCATCTGGATTCTGTTCAGTTGTGGGCTATCATGAAGAGAGCTGCTGTAAATATTTGGCTCTGTCTCCTTTAGTGCACACATTCATGAATTTCTGTTGGATACATCCTTGCTGGATCCTAGGGTTTGCATGCGTTCAGATTTAGTAGATACTTCCAAACAGTTTTCAAAGCGGTTGTGCTAATTCCCAGCAGTGTGTGAGAGTTTGGCATGCTCCACGTCATTTCCAATGCTTAGTTTTATAATATTTTTTCCTATGCATCACACTGGTTTTACTTTGCATTCCCCAGATGACTAATGAAATTGAAATTGTCCTGTGTGTATTGGCCACATTTGACACATGTGTGTTGCATATTCTCTTTTGTAAAGGGCCTCTTCAAATATTTGCTCATTTTTCTATTACATTTTCAGTCTTTTTGCTTTGTAGGAGTTCTTTATATGTTTTGAATGTGTTTCACTTGTTGGAAATAGGTATTGTATTGCAAATATCTTCCCACTCTACAGGTTGTCTTTTTCCTCTCTTCATGGTATCTTCTTTTTTTAATTAACTTTTTTGTTGTTGTTTTTGTTCTTGAGGCAGGGTCTCGTGCTGTTGCCCAGGCTGAAATGCAGTGATCATGACTCACTGCAGCCTTAACCGCCCAGGCTCAAGTGATCTTACTGCCTCAGCCTCCCATGTAGCTGGGACACAGGCCCGTGCCACCATGCCCAGCTAATTTTTAATTTTTTAAAAAATTATTTGTAGAGATGGCATCTCACTTTGTTGCCCAGGCTGGTCTTGAACTCCTGGGCCCCAGTGATCTTCTTGCCTCAACCTCCCAAAGCACTGAGATTATAAATGTGAGCCATGGTTCCCGGCCCTTCATGGTATCTTTTGATGAACAGAGAAGTTCTCAATCTTAATATGGTCCAGTTTATCCTTCTCTCCCCTGCTCTCTGGCATTTACGGTTAGTGCTTTTAGTTTTCCTTAAGAAATCTTTATCATTGTTTCATATGCTACATTTTCATCTGCAACCCATCTGAAATTTATTCTTTTGCATAGTGTAGTATTGAAAATGTCATGCTTCCTTGACAGCCCTGCACTGCGTACAATCTTTGTCATAAATCAGGTGGCCATGTATGTGTGAATTAGTTTCTGGATTCCTCTTCTGCTACACTGGTTTGCTACACTTGCACTGATAGTGTACTGTTTAATTATAGTAGCCTTCCAATAATTTTAACATCTGATAGTGTAAATCTTGGTTCTTTGCATTTCCACATATATTTTAAGTAAACTTGTCAATTTCTGCAAAAAAAAAAAGCAGATAAAATTTTGATTGGGAATGAATTAAGTTAAAAGATCAAATTGGGGAGAATTTATATTTTTCACTATCAAGTCTTCCAGTCTATGAGAATAGTATTCTGCATGTCTTTTAGTGTTCTTTAATTTCCCTCAATAATGTTTCATAGTTTTCAATATAGAGATCTCAAACATTTTTCAGTAGATTAATTCCTAGCTATTTGAGGTTTTGAAGTGATATTATAAATATCTTTTTAATTATTTTAATTCACTTTTTACATTTACACACAGTAAAGTTTAAAATTTTGGTGTGCAACTGTATAAGTTTTGATAAAGTGCATATAGTTGTATAACCACCACTATGATCAAGGTATAGAATAACTCCATCATCTAAAAAAATTCCCTCATGTTGCCCTTCTGAGGTCAGCCACTTCCTCCATTCCCAGCACTTGTAAGTCACAGATCTCTGGTGTCTTTTGAAATTTTTCATTATCTATTCGTTTGAAATTGGAATATAAAAATACAATTGAATTTTGTATATTGATCTTATATTCAATAGCCTTCCTGTATTCATTTACTAACTCTGCTAGTTTTTCTGTAGGTTCTTTTGGGTGTTCTATATATGCAATCATGTCCACACTGGATAGTGACAGTTTTATTCCTTCATTTCCAGTTCTTAAGCTTTTTATTCCTTTTTCTTGTCTTATTGTACTGGCTAGGACTTCTAGTATAATGTTAAATAGATGTGGTGATAGTGGGCATCCCTGTCTTATTCCAGATTTCTGGAAAAAGCTTCCAATATTTTAACACTAACTATGATGCTTCCTGTAGGCACTACGTATCAGATTAAGGAAGATTCCTTCTATTCTCAGTTAAAATTTTTTATCATAAAGGAATGTTGAATTTCAGATTATTTTTGAGGATAAAGTGAAATAATCTATGCAAAAAGCCTTATATATTGCAGATTCACATTAAATATTAGCTTATTTTTCCTTCTTCCCTATACACTCTGATTATCTTGTGCAGTTGACTCTGAATTTATAGTTCTTCTTGATCCAGTTCTATTTCAGAATATTGGGAGGAAGCCATTAAAGATATTTAATCTGTTCTGGATTTATATAGCTACTCTACAATGTGAAATAGCTAAAGAGAGCCCAGTAATTGTGTTTTCCAAGATGGTTTTATTTTATTGATTTTCGAATTCTGAATTGGTTACTAGAGCCTGAACGTGTCAAGCTACTAAACAGCTTGTGGATACAGGAGGAAGTGGACTTGTATTTCATTTGGGGAGCTGAGGGTAGGTGTCATTTCTGTAGTGTCTAGTGGGAAAACTTGCATTTGCCAAGTACATGAAACTAATGTGATCTCTCATCTTTGAGAAACATGAAGAATTTATTTTGTAGTTCAGAGAATTTCAACAACACTATTATGTCTTCAAACCTGGGTTCAATGGATAACAGTTAAGGAGCACGTAAACTTGGGGGGGAAAAGAAATCACATTGTTATTTTCATCAACCTCTAATAGAAATTTAGTTTCTTTCTTGTATAAATGTAGGCCATGAGCCACAGTAATATTGCCTGTATGTGGACTTTATCACCAGTGGAAATCAAAGATATTTTCATATCACATTTCAGTTATGGCAGATATCACAAAGCACCTTTTATGCTCATCATTACTTCAAGATATGGTGGTTACTGAGCCACCACTAGTAACCACTTATTACTGAACACTTTTTTGAAAAAAGCACTTATATTACTGTTTCAGAAATGGAAAAAAATATTTCAACAACTCTATTTCTTTTCTTTTCTTTGACGGGTCTCACTCTGTCACTCAGGCTGGAGTGCAGTGGCACCACCTTGGCTCACTGCAGCCTGGATTTCCTGGGCTCAGGTGATCCTCCTACCTCAGCCTCCCAAGTAGCTGGAACTACAGGTGTGTTCTACCACGCCCAGCTAATTTTTGTATTTTTTGTAGAGACGGGGATTTGCCACATTGCCCAGGCTGGTCTCAAACTCCTGAGCTGAAGATAACCTCCACCTGGGGCAAAGATGTGGAAGCAACCTAGATGCCCTCTAGCAGTGAACTGGGTAAAGAAAATGTGGTACAAATACAGCATGGAATACTATGAAGCCATAAAAAGAATGAAATCATGTGTTTGTAGCAACATGAATGCAGCTGGAGGCCTTATACTAAGGAAATTAACACAGGAACAGAAAACCAAATACCACATATTTTCACTTATAAATGGGAGCTAAACACTGAGTACACATGGCCATGAAGAAGGGAACAGTAGACTCTGGGGCCTACTTGAGGGTGAAGGGTGGGAAGAGAGGGTAAGGATTGAAAAACTACCTATAGGATATTATGTTGATTACCTTGGGTGACAAAACTATCTATACACCAAACCCCATGACACATAACTTACCTGCACATATACCTGTCGAACCTAAAAGTTGGAAAGCAAAAAAAGCATTTGCAATAAAATTGCACCCAAGTGGGCACATGATTGAAAGTTGGAAAACAGAATGAAAGAAGAGGAGAATGTATGCCTCCTGGAAGGGTCAACTAAGCTGCCACACCAGAGGCATGGAATTCTCATTAGAGAGGAGAGAGTGCTACTGAGTCTTCAGGTGGTGCCCTGAAAACTAAAGAGTTTCAGGTGAGAGTTACGTTGGTGACAGCAGCTGATGTAGTAAAAACTTATTGCAGACATCTTGATTGCAACTGCAGAAGCAAATCTCACATGCATATTTCTCAAACCCAAAGGGGCTTGAAAGGGCTAGGCACGCCCCACCTCTGTAGGCTGAATAATGCTCCCCGCAAGGATGTTCCTGTCCAACTCCCCCCAACCTGTTAATATGTGACCTTACATGGCCAAAGGGACTTTGCAAACGTGATTAAATGAAAGATTTTGGGAGGGGGAGATGACCTTGATGATGTGCGTGGGCTTGATGTAGCCATAAAAGCCATAAAGGTCCTTCTAAGAAGGAGGCAGGAGAGCCGAGTGATTTGGGGAATGGATCACGAGTCAGGAAATGCGGGTGCCTTCTAGAGGCAAGAAAAGGGAAGGAAGCCGGGATGAGCCTCCAGAAAAGCCAGCCCTGCTGACACCATTTTTTCTTTTTTTTGACAGAGTCTCACTCCATGGCCCAGGCTGGAGTGCAATGGTGCTATCTTGGCTCAAGGCAACCTCTGCTTCCTGGGCTCAAGCAATTCTCGTGCCTCAGCCTCCCGAGTAGCTGGGACCACAAGTGTGTGCCATGACGTCCAGCTAACTTTTGTATTTTTAGTAGAGACTGGGTCTTACCATGTTGGCCAGGCTGGTCTCAAACTCTGGACCTCAAGTGATCCACCCGCCTCAGCCTCCCAAAGCACTGGGATTACAGGCATAAGCCACCACACCCAGCCTCTGGCTGACATCTTAACTGTAGACTTCTGACCTCCAGAATGGGAGGAACATATATTTTAAGCCACTAAGATTGTGGTAATGTGTTACAGCAGCAAGAGGAAACTAATACAGACTGGGTGTGGTTGCTCATGCCTGTAATCCCAGCATATTGGGAACTTGAGGCAGGAGGATAACTTAGACCAGGAGTTCGAGACAAGCCTGGCCAATGTGGCAAAACCCCATCTCTACTAAAAAAAAAAAAAAAAAAAAAAAATTAGCCAAGCATGGTAGCCTGTAGTCCCAGCTACGTGGGAGGCTGAGGCACGAGGATCACTTGAATCTGGGAGGTGGAGGTTGCAGTGAGCAGATATCACACCACTGCACTCCAGCCTGGGTGATAGAGTGAGACTCTGTCTCAAAAAAGAAAAAAAAAAAAAAAAGGAAACGAATACAGCCTCCCACCTCCCTTCCTCTATGTACTTCTCAACATTAATCCAGAAATGGAATAGGAGACAAGGAGCTAGAGACCAATCTATCCCAGTGCTGGAGTGCTGGACATTGTCCGTCTGCCCCCTGGGGTCCCTTTGTCCCTCTGTCCTCCCTCCACCTGCTGTTTGCCCTGGGAAGCCGACCTGGATGGACCCCATTGGCAGCCTCCTTTATCCTTGCCTTTCCAAAGGGTTTGGGCAGTGGGTATGTCTGAGTGAGAGCTTAGGTGTGAGCCACCGTGCCCGGCCTGAATGTATACTTAGAACATGAAAAGAAATCATAGCCAATTACACATTTTTAAAGGCTGAGCATATTACAAACATCATGAAAATTCCAAAAGTAGGATTTAAATGCCTGACACAGCTTTATACTACAGGTCAGGGACCCCAAAACTTCAGTTTTATTCACACAGAAAAAAAAAAAAAGGACAGTGATACATGAAACTGAACACGTAGTACTTGGGCAAGTAAAGAAAAAAGATTTTTAAAAATCAGGAAGTGTGAAGAGCTGATAGATGACTCTTTGGTCATCAAGCAAAATCTTAGCCCTAACCCAGATTTGTGACCCAGGTGTCTACTGTGCAATGAGCTGGAGCTCCTGCTCAGGTTTGCCCCTGCTGAGTCAAGCTTTCCATAGGGGCTGGATGGCAAGTAGGTCAATAGTGTGCCCTTTGAGCGCTGAGAGTTTTCTTTGCCAATTGAAATGGTGGCACTGTGCAAAATAAGAGGCCCCAAGAAGGCCTTTCTTGGAGAAGAGGTCCCCTATGACTTCCACTTATGAGTTTTCTGACCTTGGGGAAACTACTTAACATCTGTGAAGCTCAGTCTCCTTATCCATAAAATGGGCACAAGAATAGGATCTCCCTAAGGGTTGATGTGGAACGAAGTGTGTTAACACATGTGAAGAGATTGGCACAGCACCGCACTTGAAGCAGGGATCTCAGCTTCCTTGTACAGATGGAGAAACTGAAATCGTTGAGAGAGGGTGAGTGAATTGCCAGCATCATAGTGCTTCTTTGGGGGCAGAATTTGGAAAGGCAGCACAGGCATCTGTGTTCTTTTCACCGTATTGTCTCTCCTCTCAGTGGTGGGAACACACAGCTCAAGGATCTGAATCAGCAGCATTACTGGGAGATGGTCTTCTGCCATGCACTCAGAAGATAAAAGCAAAAAGGAATAAGCCATCATTATGCAGAATTAAACTAAATTTAGACTCGTGTGTTGCAGAAGTCCCTCAAAGCCTTCCTGCTTTCATTGTAGTAATATTAATCAGGAGAGGCCCTCTGCCTAACCCACAGTTCTGCACCTCAGTAGCTTCACACAACAAACTTGCAGAGCTCGATCCTGCCACAGCTCACACAGATGATTCTGGCTGGGTCCTCTCCTGGACAGCTCACCTCCAAGAATGGTGCAGATGTTATATGTAAAGTTTTGGCACTGCAAAAGAAATGGCACTTGAATAAAAATTTTTCTTCTCAGCAAGGCAATTTACTTCTATAGAAGGGTGCACCCTTACAGATGGAGCAATGGTGAGCACACACTTGGACAAGGGATGGGAAGGGGTACTTATCCCTGGTGCACGTGGCCCCTGCTGCTGTGTCATCCCCTTATTGGCTAGGGTTAGACCACGCAGGCTAAACTAATTCTGACTGGCTAATTTAAAGAGAGTGATGGGGTGAGTGGTTTGGCGGGAAAAATGAATGAGTCAGGGTGGAGCAGGTAATCAGAATGAATGAGGTAATTGGAATCAGTCAGGGCAGAGCAGGTAATCGGAATGAGTCAGGGTGGAGCAGGTGATCTAAAAAGATTGCTTTACGAGGAAGTTAAGTTTAAAAATAGAAGGTAAAAAATTGAACATACTGACATATTGATTCATTGAAGAGAAATTTAGAACTCATATCTAATAATTCCTTCTTTTTGCATTTTCCTTACAGTTCTTTCTCTTCAAACTTTTTTAACATGTCTTGGCTTAGTTGTTCTGCTTGATTTTCCAAAAGAAGAAGCTTCTCTGGATAAGGTGGAGAATAGTTAAGGGAGGTTTTAGTAAGTGCCATATCTATGAGCCTCTGCACCAATCCACAGATGCATGGTATGACACACCACTCGACAAGAATTAATACAACCATTATGGCTGTGAGGTAAGTAAGAATTGAGGCTGTTATTCCTTTCCATTTACTGAGCCACTTTTCTAGCCATCATGTAAAGGGGTCTTTTACCCCTGAGTTGTTGGCTAACTCATTGGACAGAGCAGTCAGACCTTGGAATGCCTTTGTTATACTTCCATCAGGGGCCGTGTTGTTTGGGATGAAGGTACAACATTGAGTTTTAATCATGATGCAAACTCCTCCGCTTTCTGCTAATATCACGTCTAGGGCTATCCTATTTTCCAAAGCCATCTGGCTAGTGGCCCCTAATTGCTCAGCTATTCCTTTAACAGCATCTCTAGTGTAGCTAATAAATCGCTGTTAGTTGTAGTAGGTGTAGTTTATCCAATCTACATTGTTATTAATTGCCACCCATCGAAATATTGACTCAAATCCTGCAGCTATTTGATTTTGGGCTTTAAATTGATCTGGTATTCCCCGTGGGACTCCAATTGCATCTAAATAGATGTGAGAGTCAAAATACTCATAAGTGGTTTCTCTTGCTTTACAGTGTCTTATTTTTCCTTCCTCTGGCTGGTGAAATGCCAGGGTGAAAGGATAGCTGTAGGGAGACCCCCTGAAACTATTGCTATGGAATAAAAGATGAAATGCTCCTGATTATTGTAAATACAAAATTGCATTCAGGATTGTGTAAAGACAATGCCAGGTTGGACTGCCAGAATGAGCCAACAGCACGTGATGTGCTTCCCCCTGAAGAGAGCCTATGAATGGACGTGCAGTCAGGGAGGTTTCACATCACCAAGATTCCTATCCCAGAAAAGCAGATGTTCATAGCTCTGGGAATGGAATGTGACCCTTGTGGAGAGCCTATAAATGGATGCATGAGGGGTGCCTGTCCATATGGATAAGATAGGGCTATAAATGCCCTCATCTTGCCATGGCTCTTCTAGGCCTCTTTAGGGTTATGGCATACTCCTTTCTGAGAATTTCTGGTCTAACCAGTTGTCTAGCTTCACGTCCTGTTTCTATGAATTGTTTGTAACCAGCTTTTGCTGCTACTGTTACTGCTGATTAATATCTTGCTAATCATAGGTTATGGAAAGACTGTTTCTGTTTTAAGGCTATGTTAGAAATTACTGATGCACACACTATATTGTAAATTCTTACCTTGTATACTGTACTTCTGCATACAGATATTATGTTGAAGAATTACTTCATCCCCATGTGACTATCTCACCTCATAATCAAATGACCCTAAGTCCCTCACTAACCTACCCCCACCCTCACTAAACTTGATAATAAATGCTGGTATATCCAGTGCATTGTTGGCACCGCAGGACCAGAAGGTGGTGACCCCTTGGACCCAGCTTTCGCTATGTTGTGTGTCTATTATTTCTTGAACTGCTGACCTGCCTGGGAACAAAGAAAGAGCCCCATTGCATTGCGGGCTGCTGGCCAGATCCTGCAATAGATAGCCAATTGGACTAAAGCACAAGTGCCACTCCAGTTACTCAGCACAGTGTCCAGTAAAGGTCCACCACAATACCACCACACATCCACTTGGGGATGAACAAGGGCTGACTGATTGGTAAGCTCTTGAAAATTCTTAAGCTCACTGCAACCCTTCAGGTCTCCAAGGAACGCTAAATTTCCTCCCTGTCATGAGATACACGAAGTGAATTTAGTGTTGGGAGATGGAAGCTAGATTGCCCTTGGGGGCTGACCCACAGGGTGTTGAACTTCAGGATATAGCAGAGAGAGAGAGAGCTTGGCACAACTTGTTACCCCAGGCTGTAGTATCCTGGAAAAGAGCTACCATTCAGCCCAAGCCCAGTCGACTGGAGGACCATCCTAGTGGACAGGGGACAATCTGGCCCTCTGGCCTGCCATGCACACAAGGATAACAGTTGCTTTTGTTTAACGTGCAGATGGAATATTTGATCCCTTCCAACCAGGCATTTGCATCTTGGTCCTGTCTCAATTGCCAAAGTTTGTTTTAAGTCTTTAATTTCTATGATAGCTACCTTGGTTTTGTTGTGAGATGGAGGAGGAGCACTTGTTCCATTGTGAGAGGTTTTGGAAGAAGGTTTAGAGGAAGGTGCAGGCAGTGGGGGATCAAAAAAATGCATTTCAAAGAATCCAGTATGCTCTGTCCCTGAAACCTCTGCCCCTATACCATAAAACCAGCTTAAAGAAGGGAACAGGCTTAGAAAAGGGGAAAAGCTTTGAGGGTTTGACATAACCTCTATGGGATTGCACTGGTTTAGCTGACAGTTAGGGGGGGCGTCCCTTTAGTAAAATGAATGTATGGTTTTAGGAAATTACAAAAACCCATAGGGGCAGTCCATCCTTGCTCTTTAGTGGTCCACAGAACGTTGGACCAACTACAGCATAAAAGCTCCACATTGGGGGCAAGATTCCTGGTTGACACTGGGGTCTTTATCAAATTCTCCCCGGATTAAATGGTCCCAATTCACTAATACCCAGTCTGAGGAGAGCCAGGAGGGACAGAGGTACTTTTCTGAAGTAGAGAGCTGTCTTTGACTTGGCAAGTCCCCACAGGGTATAACAAGGCAAGCATTGAATGCAGTAGTTTGAGGCAAAGTTGACTTGGTTATGTTAATAACTAGATGGTCAGCAATAGAGAGAAGGAAGAAGAAAGAGTAATAGAATAGATGAAAGAGAGTTAAATTCTTCTTAGCTTTAGTTTGGTAGGGTTTTCCCCTGGGACTATGGCCCACCAGTCTGGAGGGGGTGGCACTTTCTTGACTTGGGTGTGATAAGTCCATCCTCTCTCTGCCGTGTGGACTATGGTTTCAGTAGTTAGGAGCACTAAGTAGGGACCTTCCCAGGCTGGCTCGAGCTTCTCCTCTTTCCAGCTTTTGATGAGGATGTGATCCCCAGGCTGATGTTGATGCACTGGGAACTCCAAGGGTGGCGCCTGTGCCAATAGACCTTTAGTTTTAAGAGAAGAGAAAGTAGAAGATAGACCAAGTATATAATTTTTGAGAAATTGATCTTTTGTTTCAAAGGTAGGAATATCAGCAGTAGAGTTCAAATAAGGCAATCCGTAGAGCATCTCATAAGGAGAAAGACCAATATCTTTCAGTGGTGCAGTTCGAATTCTCAGCAGGGTGATAGGAAGACACTTGGTCCATGGCAATTGAGTCTCTAAGACTAATTTGGTTAAGTGGTCCTTTAAAGTCTGATTCATTCTTGGCCTGGTGCTGTGGCTTATGCCTGCAATCCCAGCACTTTGGGAGGCTGAGGTGGGTGGATCACGAGGTCAAGAGATCGAGATCACCCTGGCTAACATGGTGAAACCTGTCTCTACTAAAAATACAAAAAATTAGCGAGGCATGGTGGTGGGCGCCTGTAGTCCCAGCTACTTGGGAGGCTGAGGCAGGAGAATGGCAAGAACCCAGGAGGCAGAGCTTGGAGTGACCTGAGAATGTGCCACTACACTCCAGCCTGGGCTACAGAGCAACACTCCATCTCAAAAAAAAAAAAAAGTCTGATTCATTCTTTATACTCTCCCTGATGAGGGTGGGTGCCAGGGAGTATGGTATTCCCATCTAATGTCTAATGTTTGGGATAGCCTTTTAATAATGTGTGTGGTGAAATGAGTTCCAGTGTCTGAGTCAATATTTTATATTAGTGCAAACCTGGATACTATATTTTCAATTAGGGCCTTAACTACATTATTGGCTGTCACATTTGAAAAGGGGATAGCTTCGACTCAATGAGTGAGGTGGTCTATTATTGCTAGTAAATATTTTAGATAACCTATTGGAGGCATTTCTGTGTAATCAACTTGGATACTTTGGAATGGCCTTAGGCCTGGATTCCTTCCCCTGAGAGGTAATCTTTTTATAGTTTGTTTATTAGTTTTCTTACATACTAAGCAACTATCTGTAACCTGTTTGGCCAGGGTGTAAATTCCTATATAACCATAAACTCTGATAACTTCATCACACAAGGCCTGGGGCCCCCAATGGGTCCCTTGATGTAGTTGGGATAAGATTTCCCTCATAAGGGATTTAGACAGCGTTTCTCTCTGGTCTGGCAATACCCATTTTCCTACTGAATTCTCTTTAGTGCCTATTTTTATTAGTTTTTCTTTTTCAGTGGAAGAGAAAATGGGGATTACGGTAGGAGGAGGGAGGTAGGGAGTTAAATGAAAAATACGTGTTTCAGAAGACACAGTAGCATGTTTGGCTACCTCATCTGCTAGGTTATTTCCTTGACTTTCAAAAGAAAGTCTTTTCTGATGTCTGGGAACGTGGACAATAGCTATTTCTTCCAGCAACTGAAGATTGTTGAATACTTGGCTATTAGCTCCTTGTGAACAAGGTCTTGACCTTTACTATTAATGAGACCTCATTCAGTCCAAATTTTCCCAAACATATGGGCCACTCCAAAGGCATACCTGGAATCTGTATAGATGGTTCCTTCCTGGTTATGCAAGTACTCTAAGGCTTGGCTGAGTGCAAACAGCTCACACGTTTGAGCAGACCAACAGTTGGGCAATTTTCCTGACTATTTCTGCAAGAATTTCTCCATCAATCACTGAATACCCATTGTGTCTTTTTCTCTCAATCACTCAGGAGGAACTATTTATCAATAAGTGCTGTCCAGTCTGGAAGGGAGTTTCTCCTAAGTCTGGTTGAACCTTTGTGTGGTAATCAATTAAATCTAGACATGTGTGTTCCCTCCTTAAATTTGGATTCTCTGTTAGGAAACCTGCTGGGATGAGTCAATTATCAGTGGTTAATGTGAAATCATTCTTTTCTAACAGAATGGCCTCATACTTTAAGATTCTTGAGTCAGTAAGCCATCTCCCTGCTCTCTTGTTTAAGATAGTTCTAAGTTGGTGAGGCATGTTTACTGTCAGTTTTCCTCCAAAGGTTAACTTTCTACATTCCTCAACTAATATTGCTGTAGCCGTGATGGACTGGATGCATTGAGGCCATCCACAAGTGACTGGGTCTAAGACCTTTGATAGGAAGGCCATGGGCTGCCGGCGGCCTCCATGTTCTTGAGACAGCACTCCTAAAGCTACCCCACTGTCCACATTAACAAAAAGGTGGAATGGATTTTCTAGGGAGGGTAAGGCTAAAACGGGCAGTTATGAGCTTTTCTTTCAGCTCCTCAACTTGATCAACTTCCTCAGAATTCCACAGGAGACGGTTAGCCTTCTCCTGGGCAAGTTTTTGATATAACAATTTACTGTGCAGTGCATATGAGTCAGTCCATAAGTGGCAGTATCTGACTAATCCTAAAAATTTCCTGAGTTCTTGTTTAGTTTGAGGCAAGGGTAAGGACACGATTCCCTTGATTCATTCAGGCCCTATTCTTTGCTTGCCTGCACTTATTAAGTGGCCTAAATATTTAACTTCAGGCTCTACATACTGAAGCTTTCTTTTTGAGACTCATAGCCCCTCAAACTGCAGATGGTTAAGAATATGTGTAGAGAAGTCAGTCTTATATTTTCACCAGATATAAGAAGATCGTCCACGTACTGGAGAAGGCATATTTGTTCTGGGATGAAAATTTTTTCTAATACTTGTTCTAAAATTTGGCTGAAAAGATTAGGGGAGTCTGTGAACCCTCTGGGTAAGACTGTCCATCAATATTGTTGTTTCCACCCTGAGTGGGGATCCTCCCACTCAAAAGCAAATATAACTTGGTTGTCTTCAGCCAGGGGACATGCCTAAAAAGCATCCTTCAAATCTATTACAGTAAACCATTGATGATTATATGGAATCTTGCTGAGAATAGTGTAAGGATTGGGGACAACAGGGTAGGTAGTCTGGACTATTTTGTTAATAGCTCTAAGGTCCTTTACTAGTTGGTATGACCTGTCTGATTTCTTGACTGGCAGTATTGGGGTGTTATAAGGGGACATACAGGGCTCAAGAAGCCCATCTTTAATAAGACCTTGAATTATAGGCTTCAACCCTATCCTACCTTCCAAGGGAATAGTGTATTGCTTCCTTCTTACTACTTCTCCGGGGGTTTAACTTGATGTGGATTGGAGGGACTCAGAGTTTCCCTTGGTTCCCGTCTTTGGACCACACATTAGGATTAATATATTTTTCATTTGCAGTGGTGAGTAGGTTTAATGAGGTGAGGAATCCTCTTGGACTGACTTGTAGACCTATGCTCAACTTTAACATTAAATCCCTTCCCAATAATTTAGTTCCTGCTTCAGGGATTAATAAGAACTGAATATGAGCTGAGTGATCCTGGTATCTAACTTCTAAAATTTTTGCTCTAAATCCTTCCCCGTTTACCCCAGAGACTTAAAGTTCCTCTGAGGAGGAGACA
This sequence comes from Homo sapiens, assembly GCF_000001405.40. Lineage (NCBI taxonomy): Eukaryota > Metazoa > Chordata > Mammalia > Primates > Hominidae > Homo > Homo sapiens. The sequence continues at coordinate 12,710,964 of NC_000001.11, forward strand.
TTAGATGGGGGGAAACAAACAGAGGAGCGAGTGGCCCCTGAATCGACTAAAAAGGTGATAAGCTCATGTTTGGGTCCCACCTCTAAATTTATCAAGGGCTCCTGGTGGGACTCAAGAAAAAAGAGACAGAGCCCCTAACTCCCCTATTCTTCCTCAAAAGTCATGAGTGGAAGGGCTTCTTTTTCCTTTCTTAATTCAGGACATCCTCTCTTGAAGGCCTGTTCTTCCACATCTATAGCACCTATCTTTCCCTTCCTCCCTCTTAGTTCTGGGATTCTTTAACCCTGCTCCCACAAACTCTTTAGGGGGCCTGGCAGATGAGGGCTTTGGTCCTCCAGATGGAGACTGGGGTCTTTTAAAGGAGGGTTTGGACCCTTTATAGTTTTTGGCTCCCTGGAAACTCTGTCTAGAAGTACCTGGATTTGGAGCCATCTGTTGGAAGGTGGATAACATAAGTTTTGTCTTTTGTTTCTGTTTTTCTTTGTCCCTTCTCACATATAATTTCTGAGCTTCCCTAAGCTCACTTAGGGGACAGTCTTCCCAATTGTCTATTTTTTTAGCTTTTTTTGAAATGTCTGGCCAACTTTTAGTGACAAATTTGAGTTTCAACATTCCTTGCCTAAGGGGATCATCCAAATTGAGGCATGCATATTGCCTCATTTGCTCTCTTAATCTGTCCAGGAATCTCAGAGGCCCTTCATCCTTTTCCTGTTGTATATCAAGTGTTTTAGAAAGATTTTGGCTTTGGGGTACTGATTCCTGAATTCCTTTTATTATTATCTCCCTTAGGTCCTGCATATTTTCCTGGTGATCTGCGTTGTTATTGTCCCACTGGGGGTCTCGGGTGGGGAATTTCTGGCCTGCAGTAGGAATGTTTTCACCAGGAGGGTGCTCACATTCCCAAACTACCATAGCAGTCCTACGAATCATACTCCTTTCTTCCCCTGAAAAGAGGGTGCCCAAGATGAACATTAACTTGGCCCAAGTGTATAACTGAGGTCCTAAGAATTGGTCAATTTGGTCTGTCACTCTGTAAGGGTCATCTAGTAGTGGTTTAAGCTCCTTTTTAAAATTCTGGACTTCTGAACTGGTTAAGGGAACATTTTCAAAGCCAATGGCCCCCTACTCCTTGTGGTACCTCTTTCAAATGGAAGAGAATTGGGACTGACCCCTTAGGTATGGAGGGAATTGGGAAATTCTGAATATCTTTTTTTACATTGTTCTACCTCATGCTGGATTCCTTTTAGAGAGGGGTAAAAGTATTTAGGTTGGGAGGGAACAGGCTGGTGGGATGGTAATTCCCAAGAGTCAGTAAGGAGGAGGGGTAACGTGAGTAGAGGAAGGATTTGGAATGGGATATGAGGCAGCAGTAGCTGCCTGAGGGGAAGGATTGGGGATACTGAGCAGGGGAAATAGTCTAGGGGATTCCATGCACTGGAATTTTTAGGCATGAGAGCTGGCTCCTCTGACTTTTCATTTTGAGTGCCAGATTGGGTTTTTAAGGGAAAAAGGAGGGCAGGCCCTTCCCTCCAGCAAAGAGCATAGCCTAGTTCTTCTTGAGACACTGAATTTTATAATTAACATATTGGATTAGAAGCTGACACATTACATCCTCATTTGACCCAAACTTTGGCCAGAAGATTGAGGGTTTGAGGATGGGTCCCTGAGTCCAAATAAAACATCAATATTTTATCGTTTTTTTGCTTTTTCTTATGTTTAGTCCTTTCATTATCCTTCCAGTATTTTAGCATGAGACCTAGGGGGCTCTCTGGGGGGATATCTTTGCTACTATCTTTATCCTTCTTGCTCCCTATCTTGCTTGGGGTATTTCCCATATTGATGGTTTTGGGGTAAGGTTCAACTTCCCTTACTGGAAATTTCTTGTCTTTTGGGGTGAGGCTCAATTTCCCTTATTGGAAATTTCTTGCCTTTTCTACTACTGGAGGTTTTTGTGAAGTTCAATCCCCCCTAATGGAGATGTCTCATCTCTTTTTAACCTCTAAGCCACCCCAACAAAGGAGTACTTCACCGCCCCCCCGCGACATTCTTACCTTGGTCCCAACCAACAAGGAAATACTTTACCAGCTCCTGCAGTGTCTTTTCCTCGGTCCATGTGCAGACTTTAGTGGCCATTATGGAGGATCCTTTACCCCAGGTTGCTGGCCAGTTTCTTTCCACATTGCTGAGAGCTCGGGTTATTTCTCACATGGGGTGGGTCCTGATTTTTCACCCCTGAGGCCCTCACAAGGGGGCAGGGTGCGCCTCCTCCTGAGACAGAAGCAGAGACCGCTCCTGGAGGGAAATGTAATCCTGGACGTATAAATTGAGAAGCTTAACAGAAGATACAAGGTCCAAATAAAAGAAGGAGAAAAATAAGTATTAAAGGACTAAGAATTGGGAGGACCCAGGACATCCAATTAGAGAGTGCCCAAGAGGGTTGAGCATAATTACTTGCTTGGTTGGTGAGTTTTTGGGAAAAGACCATTAGTCCGTTTTACCTTTCCTGACCATATCCAGGCCATCACCAATCATTCTATATGACAAATGCTCCCTTTAACAACCCCACAATATTGCCCTTTACCACAAAATCTTCTGTCAGCTTAATCTCTCCCACTCTAAGTTCCCATGCTGCCCCTAATCCCCCTCGAAGCAGCCCTGAGAAACATCACCCATTATCTCTCCATAGTACCCCGAAAATTTTTCACTGCCCCAACACTTCAACACTATTTTGTTTTATTTTTCTTATTAATATAAGAAGACAGGAATGTCAGGCCTCTGAGCCCAAACCTGCATGTATACATCCAGATGGCCTGAAGCAAGTGAAGAATCACAAAAGAAGTGAAAATGGCTGCTTCCTGCCTTAACTGATGACATTCCACCATTGTGATTTGTTCCTGCCCCACCTTAACTGAGCCATTAACCTTGTGAAACCTTCTCCTGGCTCAGAACCTCCCCCACTGAGCACCTTGTGACCCCCGCCCCTGCCCGTAAGAGAAAAACCCCCTTTGACTGTAATTTTCCACTACTCACCCAAATCCTATAAAACAACTCCACCCCATCTCTCTTCGCTGACTCTCTTTTCGGACTCAGACTGCCTGCACCCAGGTGAAATAAACAGCCTTGTTGCTCACACAAAGTCTGTTTGGTGGTCTCTTTACACAGACACGCGTGACACCCAGCACTTTGGGAGGCCAAAGCGGGTGGATCACCTGAGGTCAGGAGTTCGTGACCAGCTTGGCCAACATGGTGAAAACCCATCTCTACTAAAATAACAAAATAAAAAATAACTAAAAATACAAAAAAAATTAGCTGGCATGGTGTCACACACCTGTAGTCCTAGCTATTCGGGAGGCTGAGGCAGGAGAATTGCTTGAACCCGGGAGGCGGAGGTCGCAATGAGCTGAGATTGTGCCATTGCACTCCAGGTTGGGTGACAGAGAGAGACTCAGTCTCTCTCTCTCACACACACACACAAATAAATCAATAAAAATAAAAATTAGATGGGCATGCATGGTGGTGCACACCTGTAGTCCCAGCTACTCCAGAGGCCGAGGTGGGAAGATTACTTGAGCCTGGGAGATGGAGGCTGCAGTGAGCCAAGATTGCACCACTGCACTCCAGCCTGGGTGACAGCATGAGACCCCATCTCAGAAAAAAAAAAAAAGAAAGAAAGAAAGAATGCTTCAGGCTGGCTTCCTGACATCTAATTAAGTCTTCCCACGTGCCAGACTCATACTAGTGCTTGACACAGGCTGGTGTTCTTGAGGCAGCCAACAGTCCTATGGAGTGGGGAGTACTATTATTATCCCCATTTGACAAACTTGGAAACTGAGGCTGATTGCACATAACGTGCTCATGATCAGCATGCTGGCATTTGGCAGAGCCAGGATTCAAATTCAAGTGTTGCAAATGCAGGGTTTCTCAACCACCATACTATCGGCTTGCTGGACTGCATAAGTCTTTGTGCATTGCAGGATGTTTGGCAATATCCCTGGCCTCTTGTCTATGACACTCTAGAACCAGCCCTCTGGCCCTTCCTGAGTGGGGACAACAAAAATGTTTCTGATATTCCCATATCTTCTGGGAGGTAAAATCTCTCCTGTCTGAGAACCACTGCTCTCTCACTCAAGCTGGGAGGCGGGAGACACAGCAGATATTACTATTGTTACTGCAGATGTGGGACTTGGTTGTTAGGGAAGATTTCCAATGGTGACATCAACCTCTGACCTGACCTGGAAAGGCAAGCAAGCACAGTTTCCCAGATTTGCAAGAAAGAGGAAAGCAAGCACAGTTTCCCAGATTTGCAAGAAAGAGGACAAAGCCTGTCTATTCATTCTCTCACTCCATAGGCATTTGCTGAGCACCTACAAAGTACCAAGCCCCAATCCAGCCTCTGGTGATAAAATGGCACAAAAAGAAAATTCCTGTCCTCCCAGACAATAAACAGACAAGTGAGGCAGGTGATGATAAAGGTCACAGGGAAAAACCAAGCAGTGGGGGGGTGAGGAAGGTGGGGGATGGGGAAGATGGGGGATGGGGAAGGTGGAGGATGAGGAAGGTGGGGGATGTGGAAGGTGGGGGGGTGGAAAGGGTGGGGGATGGGGAAGGTGGGGCTGGGGAAGGTGGGCGTAGGCATGCTGGCGGGAGTTAAATTTTAAATAAGATTGCCAGGGATGGCCTCACTGAGAAGGCAACATTTGAGCAGAGACCAGCAAGAGGGGAGGCATGGAGTCTAGCCGAGGTCTAGGGGAAGAATGGTGTACAGAGAATGGCTTGCCGTACAACAGCTCTGGGACATCCTCCACAGGCTGATGGATGGATGATAAGCTGGAGTTGAATCACAGAGTGGGGGGATGAGGTCCGAGGGCCGGTGGGAGGAATCGTGTTTATGATGTCCATTGTGACTTGGTGGCTTATCCAAGACTATTTCTAGTTAGCAGTGCCAGATTGTAAGCTGGGACTCTAGAACTTTCTTTTGTGGCTGGATCCGGCTGGATGGGCCACTTTCTTCTCTGCATGGGCCCTGTCCTAGAACCACATCCTCACCTGAGCCTGTGACTCACCTGGGCTGGGCCAGTGTTTGTGGGACCCAGGGAGGTGGGGGAGGACAGGTGTGACTTATAAGTGGAGGAGGTCTGCTGGCTCTGAACCATGTCCTAAATGGTTTACACTGCGCACAGCTTCCTCTCAGCCCGCTCTGAGCTGGAAGCAGCATGTGGGACCTGGCCCTGATCTTCCTCGCAGCAGCCTGCGTGTTCTCACTAGGGGTCACTCTGTGGGTCATTTGCAGCCATTTTTTCACTGTGCACATCCCTGCAGCGGTTGGCCACCCTGTGAAACTGAGAGTCCTCCATTGCATCTTCCAGCTGCTGTTGACTTGGGTGAGTTTTGTGCTTTATGTGTCCCCTCCAGCTGACCATTAAGGAAGGCGGCAGGAAAAATCACACACCGGAAGCTTCTAGCTGAATGAACACCGGTATCATGGGGCCTGCAGTGACAGCTGATCAGACCTTCTGAAATGTGCATAATCCCTATTAGGTGGTTCTCAGCCTCTTTGGGTGTTTCTGAAGCTGGCCCTGGCTAATATTCACAAAATTCAAAGAATGATCTGCTTTCTCAGTTAACAGAAAGAAAAAACCAGTCTGGTTCTATTCACCTGAGTGTCTCCCGCTGACTTTCTTTTTGTTGTTGTTGGTTTGTTTTATTTTTAAAATTGAGGTAAAATATGCATATAAAATTTACCATCTTTCGCATTTTTAAGTGTACCTTTCACGTGTCCATAAATGTGTCCATATTATTCACAGCACTCACCACTCTCAGAAGTTGTGAAGATATGAATGAATTTTCCTGAGTCTCTGGGCCCCCACTGCTATCTACCTGTTAGCTAGAGCCAGCAAGCCACAAAGTAAAAGGGTAGCGGATGAGTAGATTAGTGCCGGTGAGCAAAATTACAGAATGTGACTTTAAAAATATGTTGTTGCTTTTGAGAGCTAGAAAGCTGCCTAGGGAATATAGTTTGGTTCTGCTTCTGGTGTAATTTGTTAAAATACCTGTAAATGGAACTGTGTAGGTGTTGCCAATACGGATTTCTTGTACTTTTTCTTGTGCCTTGACAGAAACTGAATATACAAAATATTTTTTGTAAGTTTCTTACATAACGAAAAGCAATTGCCAGTGCCTCTTCTCAAGAGACACCCTAGGTGTGTCTTCTATGCTATTCAAAATAATTTCTATGCTATTCAAAAGAATGTAGCTATTACCTAAAAGAGAAGATCCCGGGAACTCTAGGCTTCTGATCTCCAGTCAGCTTTTATAAGATGCAGTGATTGGGTCCTAGGTTTTCCTACCCTTGATGCTCAGATTCTGTAGTCCAGGCTCCCAAATACAGTGACTCGATTTCCTCTTTTGCAAAGTAGGGAAAATTGCTCCTACTTCACAGGGTTTTGTGGAGACTCCATGAATAACCCTCTCCAGAAGGCTTATTATAATGCCTGACACAGAGGGAGCCCTCCTTAAATAGTAGCCATTGTTACTCTTTGTTGATTCTTTTATTTTTTATGCAAAGATGTGTTATGCAACTGCTGTGTGTCCTACGCCAGTCCTGGGCTCTAGGGCCAATGACAGGTGAGAGAGGTAAAGTTCCACAGGTCTGCCTTTAGGGAGCTTGTAGGGTCCAGGCAGTGGGCAGCGGGGAAGTGGTCTATAAAGAAGCTAACCCACAATAGAACAAGCTACAGATAAACAGCTTCCCAAAGCGGAGAATGCAAGGAGGACAGCAAAACCCGTCAGGGGAGCCGAGCAGGGCTTCTCTCCTGGGGCATCTTGAGCCCCCGGGGCCACAGAACACAAGGGGGTCATGGATTTGGATCACAGAACATAAGGGGGTCATGGATTTGGGTCACAGAACACAAGGGGGTCATGGATTTGGATGGGGTCAAAATTACCCCATGTTCACAACTAACTTCCAATTGAAATTCTTCTCATGAGGAATGAAGGCAACAAACCACAGTCCTGAAAGCCAGACCTCGACTTTTCACCAAGAGAAATCAGACATATTTGCATTGCCTATTAGATATTGCGAAAACTCATGTATTCTCCTCATTTCTTTGAAACTAGGGTAGTATCAGGCAGCAGTTAGATCTTATTACTCTATGTGCTAGTAAGGAAGAACCTATATTATTATGACATACATTTTAATATTTTGATAAGTATATTTAAATAACACTGCTTTTCTTTATAATCCCATGTATTTATTTTATGTATTTAAAAATGTTCTGGGCTGGGTGTAGTGGCTTACACCTGTAATCCCAGCACTTTGGGAGGCTGAGGTGGGAGGACTGTTTGAGTCCAGGAGTTTGAGACCAGCCTGGGTGACATAATGAGGCCTCTTCTCTCCAAAAAAAAAAAAAAAAAAAAAAAGTTCTCAAATGAGGCCTGCAGCTTTTCCCAAGGCCAAAATGGCTGTGGCACAGACAAGGATTAGGAAACACTGGAAAGGATACCCAGAGGGAGAGCCCTCTTTATTTACGTATTTTTAACTCTTTTTTTTTGAGCTGGAGTTTTACTCTTGTTGCCCAGGCTGGAGTGCAATGGCATGATCTCGGCTTACTGCAACCTCTGCCTCTAGGGTTCAAGAGATTCTTCTGCCTCAGCCTCTCGAGTAGCCGGGAATACAGGAGCCCACCACCACACCCACCCGGCTAATTTTTGTATTTTCAGTAGAGACTGGGTTTCACCATGTTGGCCAGGCTGGCCTTGAACTCCTGACCTCAAGTGACCCACCAGCCTTGGCCTCCCAAAGTGCTGGGATTACAGGTATCAGCCACTGTGCCTGGCTGTATTTTCAACCCTTTATGCAAACTTTGACATATACCAAAGGGGAACAGGGTGCCCACTCTCCAGTGTCACCATCACTGACTCCTGGCCTGTCTCCCTTCCCTGTGTCCCTAAATGTCTCTAACTTTTCCCTCATTTTCATTTATTTAAGAAGCCAATGGACATCATATTATTTTATCCTAAAAATTTTCAGTAGGCATTTTCAAAAGATATGAACTCCCCCTTCCTGTTTTTAAAAAATGTACCCACACTATAGTTAGCTACACAGGCTTGGGGTGGCCAGATTGGCTGGGACGGCACAGGAAGGCCTCCCTGGAAACAGATGTTGCGCCCAGGCTGAGGTGGAGCAGGGCCTCGTGGTGGAGGTGGGTGTTGCAAGTAGAGGGACCATCAAGGGTGCCCAGAAGCCTGGCTTGTAGTGGCTGCAGTGGAAGGTGTCAGGAGAGTGGGTTGAGAGGGGCTGGCTGGTGCTGTGGCCACCTGGGCCTGCATGGGAGTGGATTTTCCTGCAGGTGTCCTGAGGGAACTGAGGGCTTGAGTAGGGCTGTAATCCAATCTGACTGCAGTTTCCAAAAACTCCTTTTGCCACCTGTGGAGGGCAGGTTGTGAAGGCCAGACTCCAGATGGCCTGTGAAGAAACCCATCTCGACCCATCATTTCTTCTCTCTCCAACAGGGGATGATATTTGAGAAGCTCAGAATCTGTTCTATGCCCCAATTTTTCTGTTTCATGCAAGATCTGCCTCCGCTAAAGTATGACCCCGATGTTGTGGTCACGGATTTCCGCTTTGGGACAATCCCTGTGAAGCTGTACCAACCCAAGGCATCCACCTGCACCCTGAAGCCTGGCATCGTGTACTACCACGGTGGCGGGGGCGTCATGGGGAGTTTGAGTAAGAACCATTTTCTCAGACCTCCTAAAGGGTGGTGGCACCCCTTAACATAACTTGGAAGAATGGGCATCTTCCTGGGACTTAAAGTATGCTATTATTATCAGGGAACACCAGGGCAGTTCATGGTTTGCAGATCATTGAGGGGGCAAAAATATGGCATATATTGCCCTCTTATGTATCTCCTTATTTACATAAATGTAATCCTTAGTTAAATTAACAATACTGTAATATAAGGAAGGATACTGTAAGGTAAAGATCCTGAAATGTACCCTTACTTGCATTTATATGTGTACATATGTATGTACATATAAATGTATACATGTATATTTCACTATTTTACTTATAATCACCACCTCTATTTAGTTGGAAATAAGGATATTTTAAATGAAAAGAATTAAAACACAGCATTTTGTTTCACATCAGGTTTTGCTAAGACAAATTCTGGTACAGACAGACAGGAAGATTTGAGAAAAATCAATGAGAGGAAAAAGTCACTATTGAGACAATTTTACTGTCTTAGTTATTACCCCCAGGGAATTAGGGGAGAGGAAACACCTTTATTTGCTTTCAGTAGTGCTTTCTAATCTGTGGAATGCCAGGGTCCCAGTGTGGGAGCCTTTGAGAATAAAGGATTTAATGCAATGGTGGTGTGGTTTGGTCTGTATGAGAATGATAGTAACAGCCAATATTTATTAAGCAATATTCATTAATATTACTAATTACATGCAGGCACTGTGAGAACCCTATATGTGGATGATCTCATTCCAACTCCAACACTCTACGAGTTAGATATTTTCATTACCCCAGTTCACAGATGAGGAAATCAAGCCTCAGGAGGTTAAGAGACTTGCTAGGCACTATGTTAGCTCAAGCTAGAAAGGGGCAAAGTTGAGATTTGAACTCCAGTCTGAATCCAGAGCTCACACCCTAAACCTCTGCGTTCTACAGTCAAAGAGCTTCACAGATATTTTTAATGGCTTGTAGGATGGATTGGAGGGTGGGCGTCTTAGAGAAAGTTGTTCAGGCAGTACCACGAAGGAGAATCAGTGAGAAGATTGACCGGAAGTTTGCTGGAGTAGAGGAAAACCTAGTCGGCATCGGCCCAAGTGCTGTGTCTGTAGGAAGAAGACGGTGACAATGGCTGGCAAAGGAAGCCTTCCTAGTGAATCTTAAAAACCATTTATTTTCTAGAAACCCACCATGGCATATGCTCTCGTTTGTGCAAGGAGAGTGACTCCGTGGTTCTGGCAGTTGGGTGAGTAAAGGGGAGATCCCAGGGAGCCAGCAAGGAGCAAGGCTCTGATGTGGAGAGATGGGGTGAGAAGTAGAAATGGGGGTGGGGGGTGGGGGATGGGAGCAGATGGGAGCTGGAGGAAGCCCAGAGGTGGGGATGGGCTGGGAGAAGCCAGTGAAGAGAGAAAAAGAAGGCGGCTGGGTGTGGTGGCTCACGCCTGTAATCCCAACACTTTGGGAGGCCACGGTGGGCAGAATGCTTGAGCCCAGGAGTTCAGACCAGCCTGGGCAACATAGTGAGACCCCATTTTTACAAAAAATACAAAAATTAGCCAGGTGTGGTGGCATATGTCTGTAGTCCCAGCTACTTGGGAGGCCGAGGAGGAAGAAGCACCTGAGCCTGGGAGGTTGCAGTGAGCCGTGATTGCGCCACTACACTCAGCCTGGGTGACAGAACAAGACCCTGTCTTAAAACAAACAAAACAAAACAAGAAAAAGAGAGTGAAAGAAAAATAAGGGGAGGTGAAGAGAGATGGAGAGACAGAGAATGGGGAACCCCTTCCTCTGTGCATGTGGGCCTTGGGTTTGTTTAAACAGAGGCGTTTTGTGCATTTTGAAGCTGGGTAGGAGGTGGTCTTTTTTAAGCAGTTCAGGTGCAGAGTTTCACTGCAGGAACACTTGGACAACATAGCTCTTCTTTGAGTAAAACAACCCTGCACCTCCTTCTGCTAAATGCCTGTGGTACCCCGCACCATCACTCAAACAACCCGAAATGCTGCCACGTTCACTTCCAAGTGCTCCCAAAAGGGAGGTCCCCCTGGCTGAGACCCACTGAAGAAAGTGAGAAAAACAAAAACAAAAACAAACCCATTGTCTCTCCTAACAGATCTCTGACAGTCACCGCCCAGCCTGGAGCCTCAAAGAGGGCGTGGTGGGCATGGGGTCCCCTGTCCTGCTGCCTGATGCAGCATCACACACGTGGTTCCTCCTGGTTAAGTTTCCCTGTAGTTTCATTTAAAGGTACACACTTTAAAGAAATATCAGTTCTCTGCATCTCAGTGGGGGTACATCTGCCAGCTTTCTTGTGGCACAGCTACCTGAGGTGAGTAGAAAACGAAGAGATGAAGCCGGGTGCAGTGGCTCACGCTTGTAATCCCAGCACGAGGCCAAGGTGGGTGGATCACTTGAGGCCAGGAGTTCAAGACCAGCCTGGCCAACACGGTGAAACCTTGTCTCTACTAAAAATACAAAAATTAGCCAGGTGTGGTGGCATGTGCCTGTAGCCCCAGCTACTCAGGAGGCTGAGGCAGGAGAATCACTTGAACCCAGAAGGCAGAGGTTACAGTGAGCTGAGATGGCGCCACTGCACTCCAGCCTGGGTGACAGAGTGAGATTCCGTCTGAAAAAAAAAAAAAAAAAAAAAAATGGAAAAGAAAATGAAGAGATGAGATGAGAGAGAGACCTGGATAAACCCCTGACTTTACAATTCTCAGCTCCAGAAGGGTTTCTACCATGGGATCATGGGATGTTGCCGGACACCTTGTCATTCTGATTGTACCAAACCAAGAGATCGTCAGTAGAACATGCTAGCAAGTCTCTGCCAGAAAGTTCTTTTCTAAATCCAAGGTAGACAGGATTTTGGAGTTAAGGGCATTGCTTTCCAGGATGTCCTATTCCCGGGTGGCCTGAAATGGGGGTATGGAATGGAAACAGCTGATGGAAGTTTTGTTTGTTGCTCCCATAGAGTGTTTCTTTGTCTTTTTTTTTTTTTTAATTTGTGACCAGCATTTAAAAATAGTGAACTTTCTCACAAAACCTGGATTTCTGGAATCTCTTAGCAATACCAGGTAGGCAGGGCAGCCATGGTGTTGAGTGTGCATAGCTTGTTTGGAAGAGTGCTGTGTATCTCTGGCCTCTGGTGGTACAGTCAGTCCTCAGCAATGTCGACAGGTTCTTGGAACTGTAACTTGGAGTGAAACCAATTTTACCTATTACAAAACCTAGGCTAATTGATATAGACAGAATCAAGCTCTGATGGTATAATTCTGGTCACAAAAACACCAGCTAATTTATTTAAAAATTTTTTAAAAATTTATTTTACTACTTTTATGTTTTATAATTTTCTTTAGTAGAGACGAGGTCTTGCCATGTTGCCCAGGCTGGTCTCAAACTTCTGAGCTCAGGCAATCCTTCTTCCTCAGCTTCTCAGAGTGCTGAGGTTATAAGTGTGAGCCACTATGCCTGCCCTAACCTTCTAAATAAAGAAAAACACCTGCTAATATTAAAAATTGAAATAAAAGTGAGCTATACATATATTTTTAAAAGATTAAAAAAAATAATAATTATTTACCCAATTTTTGGTGAATCAGTGAGTGATGGTGGTCATTCTGGTGGTGGGTTAAATCTAGGAATAAATGTTTACAAGGTAAAAATTGTCAGGAGTACCTCTGACTGTCTCCCAGTTCAAAACCACTCACAAATGTGGCAGCCTCATTGAGAGCTTCTGTACTGCATCATTTATTTTTGTGTAGATGTATGATTATTGTAAACTTTATGCATTTTTTTGTTTTTGAGATGGGATCTCACCCTGTCACCTAGGCTGGAGTACAGTGGTGCGATCTCAGCTCACTGCAACCTCTGCCTCCTGGGCTCAAGTGATTCTTGTGCCTCAGTCTCCTGAGTAGCTGGGACCACAGACACACACCACCACGCCTGGCTAATTTTTTGTATTTTTGGTAGAGGCAGGGTTTCACCTTGTTGCCCAGGCTGGTTTTGAACTCCTGAGCTCAGGCGATTCATCTGCCTTGGCCTCCCAAAGTGCTGGGATTATAGGCTTGAGCCACTGTGCTTGGCTGACTTTATAATTTTTTTTTTTTGAGACAGAGTTTCACTCTTGTTGCCCAGGTTGGAGTGCAAGAGCGCGATCTCGGCTCACCACAACTTCTGCCTCCTGGGTTCAAGGGATTCTTCTGCCTCAGCCTTCCTGAGTAGCTGGGATTACAGGCATGCACCACCACGCCCGGTTAATTTTGTATTTTTAGTAGAGACGGGGTTTCTCCATGTTGGTCAGGCTGGTCTTGAACTCCTGACCTCAGGTGATCCACCTGCCTCGGCCTCCCAAAGTGCTGGGATTACAGGCGTGAGCCACTGCACCCGGTTGGCTTTATGCATTTTTATTTTGCAATAATTTATATTCCTTCATCTATTCCTTTTCCAACTCACTTATTCTAGTTCAGGGTCGTGGGTGGCTGGATCCTATCCCTGCAGCTCAGGGAACAAGGCAGGAACCAACCCTGGACAGGACACCCACCTATTGCAGGGCACACTCACACCTACAACCACATTCACTTGGACCGGGACAATTTAGACATGCTCATGAATGTAACATACACATCTTTGGGATGTGGGAGGAAACTGGAGGACTGGGAGAAAACCCACACAGACATGAGGAGAATGTGCAAACTCCACACAAACAGTAGTAGCCCAGGCTGGAATCGTTTTTCTTTCTTTCATCAATATAATGAAACAATGTTGAATGAAATGACATTATTTGAGACCCTGCTTTTTTTTTCTTCTTTGAGACAGGGTCTCACTCTGTCACCCAGGCTGGAGTGCAGTGGCATGGTCACAGCTCACTGCAGCCTCAACCTCCCAGGCCCAAGTGATCCACCTGCCTCACCCTCCTGAGTAGCTGGGACTACATGTATCCACCACCATGCCCAGCTAATTTTTTATACTCTTTGTAGAGGTGGGGTCTCACCATGTTGCCCAGGCTGGGCTTGAACTCTTGGACTCAATGGATCGGCCCATCTCAGCCTCCCAAAGTGCTGAAATTAAAGGCATGAGCCACCGGCCTGGCCAACCTGCTGTATTTAAGTCTACAAGATCTCCCTTAACAAAATCTGTAGGTATGGCATGATTAATTAAAAACCCAAGCAGGTCTTGAAGTTGCTCATACAAGAATCATAAAACAGGAAGCAGGAGCAGGTGAGTCAGGGAAGCAACATGAGGCAGGTTCAGGAAGATGGGGCTAGTGTGGGTGATATTTACATTGTTGGCCAATTGGTGGATGTCTCGTGACACAGGTCCCCCATTAGGGCATTGAGACAGTAGGAATGGCACCTGCCTAGGTATGTGGGCTTTATGTGTCTCATCTCATTTAAGCCTCACACCTAACTTTAACTGCTCAAGTTTCACAAAGGGAAGTGAATGGACTAATTTGGGCTAAAAGATGCTAGACGCTGATATTTTGGATCTGCCGGGGCGTTATCAACTGTGTTTCTTGATTCCTTTTTAGTTACCGCAAGTTACCTAAGCATAAGTTTCCAGTGCCAGTAAGAGACTGCTTGGTGGCCACCATCCACTTCCTGAAGTCCCTGGATGCATATGGAGTGGATCCAGCCCGGGTTGTGGTCTGCGGTGACAGTTTCGGAGGGGCAATAGCCGCAGTGGTTTGTCAACAACTTGTGGACAGGCCAGATCTGCCCCGGATCCGGGCTCAGATCCTGATCTATGCCATTCTCCAAGCCCTGGATTTACAAACCCCTTCGTTTCAACAGAGGAAAAACATCCCACTGCTCACCTGGAGTTTCATCTGCTACTTTTTTTTTCAAAACCTGGATTTCAGCTCCTCCTGGCAAGAGGTCATCATGAAAGGTGCCCATTTGCCTGCTGAAGTCTGGGAAAAGTACAGAAAGTGGTTGGGCCCAGAAAACATCCCTGAGAGGTTTAAGGAGAGGGGTTACCAACTGAAGCCCCATGAGCCCATGAATGAAGCTGCTTACTTGGAAGTAAGTGTTGTCCTGGATGTGATGTGCTCGCCCCTGATTGCAGAAGATGACATAGTGTCTCAGCTCCCGGAAACCTGCATCGTGAGCTGTGAGTATGATGCTCTCCGGGACAATTCACTGTTGTACAAGAAAAGGCTGGAAGACCTGGGAGTGCCCGTGACCTGGCACCATATGGAGGATGGTTTCCATGGAGTGCTCAGGACCATTGACATGAGCTTCTTGCACTTTCCCTGCTCCATGAGAATTCTGAGTGCATTAGTTCAATTTGTAAAGGGACTGTGACCATCTTTCTTCTCTGCTGGTACTGCGGTGTGGATTCCACTGGCATCCAGCCTCCCACAGGGCTCTCTGTTGCTGATTTAGGTGGTGCATAGTGGGGCTAGGGAGGGGGTAGAGGTTGCTGTCACCTTTCTGGTCCAGGTTCTAGAACCACACAATGCATGCTCCTGATGTCCAGAGGACGTGGTAGAAAAGACAGGTTTGGAGGTGGGAGTGTGGCTGTCTCTATTCTCTGTTGGGAAAACCTGGGCTGACAATATTCAGTGGCCATTTGTGGGAGTGAATCAGCCGGTAAGAGCTGTTCTCAGCCTCCCTAAGGGGCAGTTCAGGCTCCCAGATTGATCCAGACTGTGTGTGACTTTCGTCCATTTGACTTGACTTTGGAATAGCACAAGGGCATCATGTACTTCACGAGGCTTTCCCAATGTGGCTCAGAGGCAGGAGCTCTGATGCTCTGGGCTGCTGTGAGGTGGTGGTGGTGGTAGAGAAACTGGCTTCACCCACCTACTCTTCTGTGAACAGTAGTGACTTTTCCCGCTGTTTCTCAGCCTCTGGGATCAGAGTCTTCACTGTCTGGGCTGGAAACTTTAAGATAGAATGGATAGAGCTTCCACAGTGGTTGGCATCTAGTGGTGGATGAAGACAGCCTGCAGCTGCCCGACTTGGGGAGCTCTGGAGCTCCTGGAATCAAAGCCTGTCTTCCAACCAGAAGCCCCAAGGCAATGTTCTAAGAATTTGAGAAGAGAAGTTGGGAGGGAAGTGGGGTCCTGAGTTAGAGACCCATGAAGGCTGAGTCTAACCAGATAACCCTGTCCACAGTGCAAAGTCAAGACAGCCAAAGGAACAGAAGATGTATTTGTGAAAACTATTTCTTTTTTAAGACATGGAACCAACTCAAATTGGCCTCTATTAGAAAGACAATAGATTGGCTTAGGTAGGGATGCATGCTAGGCATACATCAGGCAAGGTTTGATCCAGGAACTCACACAGTGCCATCAGCTGTCCTGTCTTCTCTGCTCTGCTCTTCTCTCCTCTGTGTTAATGCCACCTTCTCCTCTTCATACGGTGGCACTGAGCAGCTTCATGCCTACCTTCCTCCAGGGTCAAGTTCATTATCATGGACTTGCCTCATGCTCAGCAGTCCCAGAAAAAAGCCTAATTGCAACTTGATGGCTTTGTTGGCTTTCTGAGCAATGTGTCCAGTTGCCACAGTGAAGGGAATGGAATAATCTAACTCACCATTCCCAAGTCCTATGCCATCCTGAGAGTGGGGGGTGGAGTCAATTCACCTTGGTGCTTGGACTAAGCATGAGGTGGTGAGTGACAACGTTCCTAATTGAAGGGTAGGGTAAATGGTTGTTGGGTGGACACCAACACTTATTCTACTACAGAAGCTAAATTGAACCCTCAGGCAGGGTACGTGAAAGTGGCAAGAGATGTCAAGACCACTGGGCAAGTTGGCCAGTTGTTCCTTAGGAATGAAAATTCTTTTGAAAGGAATGGCCAGGGTCCTCTGCTGGCCCCACTTGGTCTTCTGGAGGCTCTGATCTTGGTTGGTTAGTGGTCTTTACAGGCCAAGGTCAAGGCCATTGCACAAAAAACCCTGTGCATGCCCTTAACTTGCTTTCAGTTGAATATTTGGGCTGAACTATGAGGCAGAGAGGAATCCCATTGGGTGGCTCCTTGCTGCATTCGCAGTTGACCAGCATGGGGTTTGTTGGAGAAATAGGAACCATCCCCTGAAAACACACACTATGGTAGCCACTCAACTGTTGAAAGGCACTGGAGTCCAATGGGTGAGGCCGCCTCTGAGACAAGCCTCTGAGTTGAGGCTGGGAGAGGCTCCCTCCTTGGAGTGTTGCTTTTTTTGTTTCACCCCTGCCTCTGGAGATGGGTAGAGGAACATGAGCTGACCTTCTGGGAAGTGAGGTTGGTGAGGAGTTGCTGAGGCACTGCAGGGCCATGCCCAGTAGAGAGGAATGTATAACATTTTAAGAGGCTGAGAGCACCCCTTGTTGGGCGCATGCCCATGGCAGCTTCCTTCTGCCGATCATGGGAGAAATCAAGCACTTTCACCTAATGGCTAGATGATTGATTTTGGGATGAAATTCTCCACTCCTCTCCTTTACCACATCACCACTATCCTTCCTGCAATACATCCACGAGACTCACTGAGTGGAAAAGGGATAGGAATGAATGTTCACCCAGGGCCAGCTACATGCTAGGCACTGTACTGGACCATTTAAATTTGCCACCTCTTATGTTCCTCACATTAATCTTACAGAGTAGGTACAGACATACCTATGGATATTGCAGATTCAGTTCCAGACCACAGCAATAAAGCAAGTCACATGAATTTTTTGCTTTCCTTAGTGCATGTAAAAGTTACATTTCCACTATATTATAGTTTATTAAGTGTGCAATAGCATTATGTCTTTAAAAAGCATGTACATACCTTAATTTAAAAATACCTTGTTGCTGAAAAATGCTAACAATCATCTGAGCCTTCAGTGATTGCAGTAGCCTAGGCTACTATTTTCTATGTGGGGTTTGCACATTCTGCCCATGTCTGCGTGGGTTTTCTCTGAGTTCTCCAGCTTCCTCCCACATTCCAAAGATGTGTATGTTACATTCATGGGAATGTCTAAATTGTCGTAATCTTTTTGCTGGTTGATGGTCTTGCCTTGATGTTGATGCTGCAGGTGGTGGTTGCTGAAGGTGGGGGAGGCTGTGGCAATTTCTTAAAATAAAATAAGACAACAGTGGATTTGCCACATCAATGGACTCTTCCTTTCATGAAAGATTTCTCTGTAGCAGATGATGCTGTTCAATAGCATTTTACCCACAGTAGAATTTCTTTCAAAACTGGAGGTGGTCCTCTCAAACCCTATGCTACTTTATCGATGAAGTTTATGTAGTATTCTAAATCTTTTGTTGTCATTTCAACAGTGTTCATAGCATTTTCACCCAGAGTAGATTCCATCTCAAGAAACCACGATTTTTGCTTATCTGTAGGAAGCAAATCCTTATCTGGCCAACTTATTCATGAGATTGAAGCAATTCAGTCATATTTTCAGGCTCCACTCCTAATTCTAGTTCTCTTGTTATTTCCACCACATCTGCAGTTACATCTTCCACTGAAGTCATGAACCCCTCAAAGTCATCCATAAGGGTTGGAATCAACTTCTTCCAAACTGTTAATGATGTTATTTTGACCACCTCCCATAAATCATGAATGTTCCTCATGGCATCTGGAATGGTGAATTCTTTTTAGAAGTTTTCCAGTTTACTTTGCTGAGGTCCATAAGAGGACTCACTGTCTATGACAACTATAGCCTTACAAATTGTATTTCTTAAATAATTGGACTTGAAAGTCAAAATACTCCTTGATCCACAGGCTGCAGAAGGGATGTTGTGTCAGCAGGCATGAACACTACTTTAACCTTGTACATCTTCATCAGAGTTCTTGGGTTATCAAGTGTCTTGTAAATAAGCAGTAATATTTTCAAAGAAATCTTTTATTCTGAGCAGTAGGTCTCAACAGTGGGCTTAAAATATCTAGTAAACCATGCTGTAAATAGATGTGCTGGCACCCAGGCTTCTTTGTTCCATTTATAGAGCACAGGGAGGCTAGATTTAGCATAATTTTTCAGGGCCCATTCTTGGAATGGAAATGAGCATTGGCTTCAACTTAAAGTCACCAGCTGCATTAGCTCCTAACAAGAGAGTCAGCCTGTTCTTTGAAGCTTTGAAGGCAGGCATTGACTTCTTCTCTCTAGCTATGAAAGCCCTAGATGGCATCTTCTTCCCATAGAAGGCTGTTTCATCTACAATGAAAATCTTTTGTTTCATGTAATCACCTTCATCAATCATCTTAGCTGAGTCTCCTGGATACCTTGCTGCAGCTTCCCCATCAGCTCTCCTTCACCTTGCACTTTTATGATTATGTTATGGAGACAACTTCTTTCTTTCAACCTCTTGAACCAAACCCTGGCTAGCTTCCTCACTTCCCCCTCAGCCTTCATGGAATGAAAGAGTTAGGCTCTTCCTCTGGATTAGGCTTTGGTTTACAGGAATGCTGTGGCTGGTTTGATCTCCTATTCAGATCATTACATTTTCCTGCATGTCAGCAATAAGGCTGTTTTTCTTTCTTATCTATCATGTTTCTCTGGAGTAGCACTTTTAATTTCCTTCAAGAACATTTCCTTTGCATTCACAAGTTGGGTAACTGGTGTAAATGATAGAGCTTTTGGCCTGTCTCAGCTTTTGACATGCCTTCCTCACTAAGTTTAATCATTTCTAGCTTTTGATTTCAAGTGAGAAATGTGTGACTCTTCCTTTCACCTGAACATTTACAGTTCCTTGTAGGGTTATTAATTAGCCAAATTTCAATATTGTTGAAATCTCAGGGAATAGGGAGGCCCTAAGGGAGGGAGAGAGATGGGAGGGTGTCAGTCAGTGGAGCAGTCAGAACACACAACATTTATTAAGTTCACTGTCTTATATGGGTGTGGTTCGTGGCACCAAAACAATTACAGTAGTAACACCAAGATTACTGACCACAAGCCAGGCATGGTGGTGCATGCTGTGGCCCCAGCCACTCAGGAGGCTGAGTTGGGAGGATTGCTTGAACCCAGGAATTTGAATACAACCTCTGCAACATAGTGAGACACCTGTCTCTAAAATTTTTTTTTTTTTTAATTTAAGAAAGGAAACAAGGCCAGGGGCAGTGGCTCACTCCTGTAATCCCTCCTAATGCTATCCCTCCCCTTGTCCCCCACTCCCCGACAGGCCCTGGTGTGTGATGTTCCCCTCTCTGTGTCCATGTATTCTCATTGTTCAACTCCCACTTGTGAGTGAGAAATGCGGTGTTTGGTTTTCTGTTCCTGTGTTAGTTTGCTCAGAATGATGGTTTCTAGCTTCATCCATGTCCCTGCAAAGGACATGAACTTATCCTCTTTTATGGCTGCATAGTATTCTATGGTGTATATGTGCCACATTTTCTTTATCCAG
Source organism: Homo sapiens (assembly GCF_000001405.40). Classification (NCBI taxonomy): domain Eukaryota; kingdom Metazoa; phylum Chordata; class Mammalia; order Primates; family Hominidae; genus Homo; species Homo sapiens. The sequence continues at coordinate 12,731,007 of NC_000001.11, forward strand.
TCTATCATTGATGGGCATCTGGGTTGGTTCCAAGTCTTTGCTATTGTAAATAGTGCTGCAATAAACATATGTGTCCATGTGTCTTTATAGTAGAATGATTTATAATCCTTTAGGTATATGCCCAGTAATGGGATTGCTGGGTCAAATGGTATTTCTGGTTCTAGATCCTTGAGGAATCGCCACACTGTCTTCCACAATGGTTGAACTAATTTACACTCCCACCAACAGTGTAAAAGTTTTCCTATTTCTCCATATCCTCTCCAGCATCTGTTGTTACTTGACTTTTTAATAATTGCCATTCTAACTGGCATGAGATGGTATCTCATTGTGGTTTTGATTTGCATTTCTCTAATGACCAGTGATGGTGAGCTTTTTTTCATGTTTGTTGGCCACGTAATGTTTTCTTTTGAGAAGTGTCTGTTCATATCCTTCACCCACTTTTTGATGAGGTTGTTTGTTTTTTTCTTGTAAATTTGTTTAAGTTCCTTGTGGAGTGTGGATATTAGACCTTTGTCAGATGGAGAGATTGCAAATTTTTCTCGCATTCTGTAGGTTGCCTGTTCACTCTGATGATCGTTTCTTTTGCTGAGCAGAAGCTCTTTAGTTTAATTAGATCCCATTTGTCAATTTTGGCTTTCGTTGCAATTGCTTTTGGTATTTTAGTCATGAAGTCTTTGCCCATGCCTGTGTCCTGAATGGTATTGCCTAGGTTTTCTTTTAGGGTTTTTATGGTTTTAGGTCTCATGTTTAAGTCTTTAATTCATCTTGAGTTAATTTTTGTATAAGGTGTAAGGAAGGGGTCCAGTTTCAGTTTTCTGCATATGGCTAGCCAGCTTCCCCAACACCATTGATTAAATAGGGAATCCTTTCCCCGTTGCTTGTGTTTGTCAGGTTTGTCAAAGATCAGATGGTTGTAGACATGTGGTGTTATTGCTGAGGCCTCTGTTCTGTTCCATTGGTCTTCATGTCTGTTTTGGTACCAGTATCATGCTGTTTTGGTTATTGTAGCCTTGTAGTATAGTTTGAAGTCAGATAGCATCATGCCTCCAGCTTTGTTCTTTTTGCTTAGGATTGTCTTGGATATATGGGCTCCTTTTTGGTTCCATATGAAATTTAAAGTAGTTTTTTCTAATTCTGTGAAGGAAGTCAATGGTAGCTTGATGGGAATAGCATTGAATCTATACATTACTTGGGGCTGTATGGCCATTTTCACAATATTGATTCTTCCTATCCATGAGCATGGAATGTTTTCTATTTGTTTGTGCCCTCTCTTATTTCCTTGAGCAGTCCTTTGTAGTTCTCCTTGAAAAAATCCTCAGGTCCCTTGTAAGTTGTGTTCCTAGGTATTTTATTCTCTTTGTAGCGATTGTGAATGGGAGTTCACTCATGATTTGAGTCTCTGTTTGTCTATTGTTGGTGTATAGGAATGACTGGGCTTTTGCACATTGATTTTGTATCCTGAGACTTTGCTGAAGTTGCTTATCAGCTTAAGGAGATTTTGGTCTGAGATGATGGGGTTTTCTAATTATACAATTATGTCATCTGCAAACAGAGATAATTTGACTTCCTCTCTTCCTGTTTGAATGCCATTTATTTCTTTCTCTTGCCTGATTGCCCTGGCCAGAACTTCCAATACTATGCTGAATAGGAGTGGTGAGAGGGGGCATCCTTGTCCTGTGTTGGTTTTTTAAAAGGAATACTTCCAGCTTTTGCCCATTCAGTATGATATTGGCTATGGGTTTGTCATAAGTAGCTCATCATTTTGAGATATGTTCCATCAATATCTAGTTTATTGAGTGTTTTTAGCATGAAGAGGTGTTTAATTTTATTGAAGGCCTTTTCTGCATCTAGTGAGATAATTATGTGGTTTTTGTCTTTGGTTCTGTTTATGTGATGGATTATGTTTATTGATTTGCATATGTTGAACCAGTCTTGCATGCCAGGGATGAAGCTGACTTGATCATGGTGGATAAGCTTTTCGATGTGCTGCTGGATTCGGTTTGCCAGTATTTTATTGAGGATTTTCACATCGATGTTCATCAGGGATATTAGTCTGAACTTTTCTTTTTTTGTTGTGTCTCTGCCAGGTTTTGGTATCAGGATGATGCTGGCCTCATAAAATGAGTTAGGGAGGAGTCCCTCTTTTTGTACTGTTTGGAATAGTTTCAGAAGGAATGGTACCAGCTGTTCTTTGTATCTCTGTTAGAATTTGGCTGTGAATCTGTCTGGTCCTGGGCTTTTTTTTTTTTTTTTGGTTGGTAGGCTATTAATTACTGCCTCAATTTCAGAACTTTTTGTTGTTCTATTCAGGGATTTGACTTCTTCCTGGTTTAGTCTTCGGAGGGTGTATGTGTCCAGAATTTATCCTTTTCTTCTAGATTTTCTAGTTTATTTAAGTAGAGGTGTTTATAGTGTTCTCAGATGGTAGTTTGTATTTCTGTGGAATCAGTGGTAATATCTCCTTTATCATTTTTTATTGTATCTGTTTGATTCTTCTCTCTTTCCTTCTTGATTAGTCTGGCTAGCAGTCTACTTTTTTCATCTTTTCAAAAAATCAGCTCCTGGATTCATTGATTTTTTGAAGGGTTTTTTTATGTCTCTATGTCCTTCAGGTCTACTCTGATCTTAGTTATTTCTTGTCTTCTGCTAGCTTTTGAATTTGTTTGCTCTTGCTTCTCTAGTTCTTTTAATTGTGATGTTACAGTGTTGATTTTAGATCTTTCCCCCTTTCTCCTGTGGGCATTTAGTGCTATAAATTTCCCTCTAAACACTGCTTTCAGCTGTGTCCCAGAGATTCTGGTACATTGAGTCTTTGTTTTCATTGGTTTCAATGAACTTATTTATTTCTGCCTTAATTTCATTATTTACCCAGTAGTCATTCAGGAGCAGATTGTTTAGTTTCCATGTAGTTGTGTGGTTTTGAGTGAATTTCTTAATCTTGAGTTCTAATTTGATTGCACTGTGGTCTGAGAGACTGTTTGTTATGATTTCTGTTCTTTTGCATTTGCTGAGGAGTGTTTTACTTCCAATTATATGGTCAATTTTAGAATAAGTGCTATGTGGTGCTGAGAAGAGTGTATATTCTGTTGATTTGGGGTGGAGAGTTCTGTAGATGTCTATTAGGTCTGCCAGAGCTGAGTTCAAGTCCTGAATATCCTTGTTAATTTTCTGTCTCGTTGATCTGTCTAATATTGACAGTGGGGTGTTAAAGTCTCCCACTATTATTGTGTGGGAGTGAGTTTTCACTCAATAGTATATCTAAGAAATTCAGCCTGAGAAAAATAGATTTGCCTTACTCTTTTTAGCTGCTGAATAGTATTCTGTAGTTTGGCAATATTACACTTTTTAGCCATTCCCTACTGTTGGACACATTTGGTCTGTTTTTCAGTTTCTCAATGTGACAAACAAATTTGTAGTGAGCATTTCTGCACACATCTCCTTCTGCACATGTGATTCTCTGTGATAGATCCAAGAACTGTTAGCAGGGTACAACTTAAATGTTGATAAATACTAACAAAATGCTTGTTTCATTTCCTTTTATCATCAGATCTCAGTTGGGAGGGAAGTAGTCACATTGTAACAACCAATCCCTAAAGCAAAAAGAAAACTGATGGGTTTGATAATTGTAGGATGGGAAGTAGTTGGTACGGTATATCTGTATTTTAAAAGGAAAGTTCCTTGACTCAAACCATTAGTGGGTTTTTGCCTCAAATATCCTTGCCTCCATTTAACAAAGCAAAAGTTGTCAGAGTCAGCAAACTGGTTCCTAGTTATGCAGATTGCCAAAGCTTGTTTGGTTCCCTGACAAGAGCACCGCTGCTCCAACATGGCAGCTGGCTGTCTTGCAAATTGCTGTACAAGGTTAAATCAGATAAGGCAGTGCCTGGGGTTCAGTTTCAAAGCATTTCTAGTCATAGTAAAAACACTCAATGCTCTATCTCCATTACTATGAAATAATTCCCTGGCTGTCATCACTAAAGAACCGAGGAGTTTTAATTTTATGTGGAAGAGATAAATTTTGGACTTGTTGCTGCTGCATTCCCAAGGCCCCTCCAGGAGGTAGAATGATGCAGAACACGTGATCTGGAGCCAATCAGAGACCCAACATTTAACCTCCCAGCCCCTCAGTTTTCTTGCCTTGAAATGGGGATCATCATATCTAATGGGTTGTTCATGCTGACTTAATGAAAGTTGTGATTAGGTATATGCTGCTTGTTAGACTCAATTGTAGGGGGTAGGGAGTGCTGTTGACTGGACTCACAGCAAAGCCCTTGGTGGGGTTAAGAAGTTAGTCTTGTATGCAGGAATTCTCTATTCAAAGAGAATCTAGAATGACTTCCCTTGGGATTCTTCTGCCCCAAATTTTCAAATACACTCTGCTAATGAAGGAAAAGGAATAAATTTTGTTACTAGAGTAAACTTGGTTTAGGCACAAAGAGAAGAAAGAATTGACAATTTTTTTGACCTTTTCTATGTGACAAACATTTTACCGGGTGCTTTTAGGTGACATCTCATTGAATCCTCATCATGTTATGAAGCATATAATATGTCTTCCTAATTCATAGGTCAGGAAACCAAGGTTGACATGGCCAGGAAACTTGTTCAAAGTTTCTTGGTAAGTGGTAGAACTGGAATTGGAAGCCAAGTTGGTCTGAGTTCCAAATCCACCACCCTACAACCATTCGGTTCCCATTGCAATAACCTGAAACTGATTTGCCATCTTTAAGAAGTGTTTCTAGGTCATAGTGGATGAGGAGTGAAGAAGTCAATTCATTATTCACTCCTTGAGTCCCACTTTAGACTTTGCATTTCCGGTAAGCCTTCCTACTCCAGTCAGGTTTATAGTCTTCTCCTTCTGGCTTGCATAGCATACTGTAGTTCCTTTATCATAGTTCTGAGCACATTGCATTGTGATTATACAGTGACTGAAAATGTGAATGGGATTGGATTAAAGTGTTCCATAATCCAATCCATATATTGGATTAAAGTGGTGCCCAATTTCTAATGTTCACAGGTGCTTGGAAAAGCAAATGGCAATCATCTCTGGAGGAAGGAAACATTCTAGGCTTTACATTGTTTTTGCAAAGAATTTTTAAGATACCAGCTACGTGAGAAGAAAAGAGCTAGAAGTAAGAACCCACAGAAACAAGAGTAAAAATAAGAAAAGAAAAGAAAAATCCAAATTCTGTAAAAGAGGTCTGCTTACTATGCTGAAGGAGATAAAAATCTAAATTTGAAATTTGAGGAAGTTGAAACTGGTAATTTAAAAGTTCAGAAGGCAAAACGAAATTTAAAAAATTAAAATGGAAAAAATAACATAGCATTAATACACACACACACACACACACACAAACACACACACGTATATATAGGAAACAAATAGAAATTCCAGAACTGAAGAATACAGTAAACAAAATAAAAATTCAACAGATAGACTTGTCAAAAGAAAAACTTCAGCCAAGTTAAACTTAAAGGAGTTTAATTGAGCAGTGAATGATTCACAAATTGGGCAGCCCTCATAATCATAGCAGATTCAGAGAGACTTCAGAGGTGCCTTGTGGTGAGAACAAATTTATAGACAAAAAACAAAAAACAAAAAACGGGGGGGATGTTTCATACAGAAATTGGAGGTGAGGTACAGAAACAGCTGGATTGGTTACAGGTTGGCTTTTGCCTTATTTGAACACAGTTTGAACACTCAGCAGCCTGTGGATGGCTGAAATATGGCTTCTGGGAATGGCCAAGACCCAGCTGTTGTTACAGGTGCATACTCCTACGTTAGGTTTTCAGTCTTGTCTGCCTATTAAGCTAGGTTATGATTTGTCTACAAGGACTCAAACAGAGAAGTACAGAGTCCTCCTCAGGCCATATTTAGTTCGCTTTAACAGGCTTGATTTCACCTTAGACACACCTGAAGAAAAGTTATGTAAACTGGAATCTAGGTCGGAAGAAACTATAAGAAATCAAGCATGAAGAGACAAAAGGATAGAAAATACAGAAGAGGGGACCAGAAGCATTGAGGATTCAGTGATAAGAAAGAACAAATATGTAATTGTTTTCCTAAAAGGAGAGTGGAAAGAAAGGAGGCAGCAGCCATATTTGAACAGATAATAGCTGAGAATTTCCTAAAATGATTGAAAGACATTTACCCATAAATCCAAGAAGCATATTGCAAGCAGTGTAAAGCAATCCACTCCTACCTAGATATATCAGAATAATGCTGCAGGAAACCAAAGATAAAGAGAAAATCTTAAAAACAAAACAAAACAAAATAATCGCCCAGATACCTTAAAAGAATTAATAAACTGACACTTGTTTTCTCAGAAGCAACAATGACAGTCAGGAAACAGTGGAAAAATTTATTCCACGTGTGAAGAAAAGTAACTGCCAAACTTGAATTCTACCATCACCGAAAATATCCTTCAGAATCAAAGTGAAATAAAGATGTTTTCAGATAAATAGAAACTGAGGAAGTTTGCCACTAGCAGAACTCCTTTAAAGGAAATTCTAAAGGGTTCTTCAGGAAAAAGGGAAATGATCACAGATGGGAGGTCAGAGATGCAGAATGGAATAAAAAATAATGCAAATGGCAAATATGTGGGCAAATCTAAGTAAATGCTAACTATAAAATGATAATAATAATAACTCATGTAATGTAAAATATGTAGGAGAGAGAATTAAAGTACATAATAGCATATAGATCTGGAAGGGACCAAATAGAGTTAAATTGTTCTAAGGTCCTTGAGTTTTCTGGGAGGAGGGTAAAAGTATCAACCAAGATTAGACTTTGCTAAGTCATGAGTGCATGGTAATTTCTTTGGTAAACACTAAAGTAATAGAAAATAGTTTAGTCCACTATGGGAGGCAGAAAAATAATAGTTAAGGGAATTTATATCCTTAAAACAACAATTAAGGGAATTTATAGTCTTAAAAGCATATAGAAGAAAGGAATAAAGGCTGAAAATTAATGAACTAAACATCCATCTCAAAAAACTAGAAAACTGATAGTAAAACAAATCCAAAGAAAATATAAGGAAGATAATGAAAAAAATAAAGTTTTTAAAAGTATTTTTTATTTACTTTTATTTTTTAAATTATTTTTTATATCTTTAAAGGAAAATTTCTAAAATAAAACAATCACACAATAGAGATGATCAACCATGCCATGTTTTGGCTCTTGGAAAAGACGGATAAAATTGGTAATATCTGGTGAGACCAATAAAGTAAAAGAGAAAAGCCATAAATAGTAAATATTAGGCATAAAGGGAACTTTAATACAGGCCCTAGAGATATAAAAAGATAATAAGAAGACATTATGAGCAACATATGTCAAAAATTTTGAAAATTTAGGTGCAACGTATAAATTCCTAGAAAAATACAACTTACCAAAACTGGGAAAGGAAACAGAAAACCTACGTAATTTTGTACCTAATAAAGATAGTGAATCTAAAATAGAAAAGCCTTCCAACAAAAACAAGACCAAACAGAAACCTCTTGGCCCAGATGGCTTGATTTATGTAATATTCAAGGAAGAAGTAACACTCAGCCACACACACACACACAAAACCTGATTTAAAAATGAGCAAAGGCAAAGAACTAAAAATAGAATTACAGTTAGACCTAACAATCGCATTACTAAGTATTTACCCAAAGGAAAATAAACCCTTCTACCAAAAAGACACCTATACCTGTATGTGTATTGCGGCACTATTTACAACAGCAAAGACATGGAATCAACCCTGGTGCCCCTCAATGGTGTGGCTTGGATAAAGGAAATGTGGTACAGGCTGGGTGCAGGGGCACACGCCTGTAATCCCAGCACTTTGGGAGGCCAAGGTGGGCAGATCACTTGAGCCTAGGAGCTCGAGACCAGCCTGGGCAACATGATGAAACCTCGTCTCTACCAAAAATACAAAAATTAGCCAGGTGTGGTGGTATGCACCTGCAGTCCCAGCTACTCAGGAGGCTGAGATAGGGGGATTGCTTGAGCCTGGGAAGTTGAGGCTGCAATGAGCTGTGATCATGTCACTGCACTTCAGCCTAAGTGACAGAGTGAGACCCTGTCTCTGAAAAGACAAGAAAAGAAAATTGGTACATATACATTATGGAATACTACACAGCCAGAAAAAGGAATGAAATCATGTACAATGTGGCAACATAGATGCAGCTGGGGGCCATTATCCTAAGTGAATTAATGCAGAAACAGAAAACCAAAAACCACATGTTCTCACTCATAAGTGGGAGCTCAACACTGGGGACACATGGGCACAAACACGGGAACAGTGGACACCAGGGATTCCAAAAGTGGGGAGGGAGAAGGAGGGCAAGCGTTGAAAACTCCCTATTGGGTACTATGTTCACTACTTGGGTGGCAGGATCATTAGAAGCCCAAGCTCTAGGATCTTGCAATACATGCGTGTAAAAACCTGCACATTCACCCCTTGAACCTAAAATAAAAAATGAAGCAAAACAAAACAATGGGCAAAGGACTTGAATAGACATTTCTCTAAAGTAGATCTATAAATGGCCAATGAGCACATGACAAGATGCTCAATACCATTAGTCATTAGGGGAAATTAAATTCACAATGACATACCACTTCACACCCACGAGGCTGGTTATTGTTTAAAAACTGGAAAATAACAAGTGTTGGTGAGGAGGCAGAGAAATGGGAACCCTCGTGCTCTGCTGGTGGGAATGAGAAATGATGCAGATGCTGTGGAAAACAGATGCTTTTGTGGTTCGTGAACCTGATGATTGGGTGTTCATGTATGTGTGTGAGATGTACCACCCTCGAACCTTGTTATGACGTCAGCACATTACCCATCTGACCTGGAAAAAAAAAAGAGAGAAGAAAGCAGTTTTGTGGTGCCAATTTCATCCTAGGTATAAACCCAAAGAACTGAAGGCAGGGATTCAAACAGCTACTTGTATACTAGTGTTCATACCAGGATTATATTTACAAAAGCCAGAAGGTGAAAACACATCAAATGTCCATCACCAGATGAATGGATAAACAATGTGTTAAATACATACAACGGAAATACCATCCAGCCTAAAGAGGAATGCAGTTCTGATACATGCTACAACATAGATGAATCTTGACAACATTATCTCAATGCAAGAAAACTGACACAGGAGGACAAGTATTATATGATTCCACTTATATGAGATACCTAGACCAGGCAAATTCACAGAGACAAAGGAGAAGAGAGAATACCAGGGGTTTAGGAGAAGGGGAGAATGGGGAGTTACAGCTTAATTGGTACAGAGTTTCTGTTTGGGATGCTGAAAAAGTTCCGGAAGGTGTGGAGCAATGGAAACACCCGTACACTCATGGTGGGAATGTAAATTGATACTACTCTCTGGAAAATAATTGGCATTATCTAGTACAGCTGGAGACACATATGCACTCTCTGATGTAGCAATTCCACTCCTACGTATTTATTCTAGAGCAGTGGGTTTCAAAGTGAGACCCACAGATGCTTGGAGGTCCCAAGTCCCTTTCAAGGGGCCTGGAGGGTCAAAACAATTTTCTTTTTTTTCTTTTACTTTTTTTTTTGAGATGGAGTCTCGCTCTTGTTGCCCAGGCTGGAGGCAATGGTGCGATCTCGGCTCACTGCAACCTCCACCTCCCGGGTTCAAGCAATTCTCTTTCCTCAGCCTCCCGAGTAGCTGGGATTACAGGTGCCCGCCACAATGCCTGGCTAATTTTTTGTATTTTTAGTAGAGATGGGCTTTCACTATGTTGGCCAGGCTGGTCTTGAACTCCTGACCTCGTGATCCGCTCGCCTCGGCCTCCCAAAGTGTTGGGATTACAGGTGTGAGCCACCGTGCCCAGCCGACAATTTTCATAATAATACTAACTTGTTATTTGCCCTTTTCTACAGTGCTTTTTTTTTTTTTTTTTTTTTTTGAGACAGAATTTCGCTCTTGTCACCCAGGCTGGAGTACAATGGCACGATCTTGGCTCACTGCAACCTTTACCTCCTGGTTCAAGTGATTCTCCTGCCTCAGCCTCCCAAGTAGCTGAGGAGGCGTGCACCACCACCCTCTGGCTAATTTTTGTATTATGAGTAGATACAGGGTTTCACCATGTTGGCCAGGCTGTTCTCGAACTCCTGACCTCAGGTGATCCACCTGCCTCGGCCTCCCAAAGTGCTGGAATTACAGGTGCGAGCCACTGCGCCTGGTCCACAGTGCTTACTTTGATGGTGCAAAAGCATTTGTGGGTAAAATTGCTGGCACCTGTGAACGAATCAAGGCCGTGCCATTAATTATATTAGTATCCTTTATTCTTCACTGCCACACACTCACAGTTTAAACAAAAAAATTAAGTTCACTTAAGAATGTCCTTTGATGAAGAAGTAACAGTTATTTGATCAAATCTTGACCCTGAGCAAATGCCTTTTTAGCACTCTGTGTGATGAAATGGGAAAGAGATACAAATAAGGCACTGACGTTGCACATCCAAGGGTGAGGGCTGTCTTGAGAAAGAGCATTTGTGTGGATTATTGAGTTGTGACCTGAATTAATTAGCCAGGCTTTTTTTTTTTTTAAATGAAACACCATTTTTACTTGACAGACCATGATTATTCACAGACAAACCATGATTATTTAAATTTGAATTTTTTTTTTTTTTTTTTTTTTTTTTGAGACGGAGTCTCACTCTGTTGCCTAGGCTGGAGCTGTGGTGCGATCTCGGCTCACAGCAAACTTCGCCTCCCAGGTTTGAGCAATTCTCCTGTCTCAGCCTCCCGATGAAATGTTCTCTTGATGTTTCCTTGAAAATGAATGAGGTAAGTCTGTCGCTTCAAGGAAAACAACTGAGATTAATTGTTGCCAATAACAAAATTTTGAGCTTTCAAACTAGAACTAGAATTTTGGAAAGCTTGCGTCCACCGCTGTGAGCTTAACAACTTCCTAATAGTTCAATGCTTTTCTGACCATATCAGTAATGATGTTAGCAAATGTGATTTTTTCTTTTTTGAGACAGGGTCTCACTTTGTTGCCCAGGCTAGAGTGCAGTGGTGCAATCGCTGCTTACTGTAGCCTTGACCTCCTGGGCTCAGGCCATCCTCCTACCTCACTCTCCCAGTAGCTGGGACTACAACTGTGCATCACCACGCCTGGCTAATTTTTGTATTTGTTTGTAAAGATGGAGTTTTGTCATGTTGCCCAGGCTGATCTTGAACTCCTGGGCTCAAGTGATCTGCTCGCCTCAGCCTCCCAAAGTGCTGGTATTACAAGGTGTGAGCCACTGTAACCAGCAGCAAGTGTGCTTTTTAAAAATATTGTATAGTTTGGAAGAGCTACACAGCTTAGTAAAGCAATATTTTCCAGATGACCACCAAAATCACCAATGGGCAAAAAATTTATTCAAATTTTTTGTTTTGGAAAATGGATTTAATCTTTATTAAAAAATTAATTATGTTAACATGAAATGAGTTTTTTTTTGTTATTTGGAAATTAATAAATATATTTTAAATTTCTGTTTTAATTTCTTTCTTTCTTTTTTTGAGACAGGGTCTTTCTCTGTCACCCAGGCTGGAGTGCAGTGGCATGATCGTAGCTCCCTGTAGCCTCAAACTCCTGGGCTCAAGGGATCCTCCCATCTCAGCCTCCTTAGTAGCTGGGACTACAGGCGTGCATTACCACGCCTGGCTATTTTTTGTGTATATATTTTTTTAAGAAATGGAGCTTCACCACGTTGCCCAGGCTGGTCTTGAGCTCCTGGGGCTCAAGTAATTCTCCTGCCTTGGCCTCCCGAAATGCTGGGTTTACACACATGAGCCACTGTGCCCAGACTGTTTTAATTTCTAATATGGTAAACATTGATGAATATAACCAGTAACATGTTGACAAACTCATTTTCTGGGAAAAAAAACCCAGCAGCCTGATATGTAGCCTTTGCCAATTCTGTGGTGTAAATATTCCCACTGCGACTGATGTCAAGCTACCAATGTGACTTCATAGAGCATGGGATTGGGAAGAGATCGAAACTGGCTCTCATGAGCAGGTGCTACCTGGCTCCAGCACCACTAATATAATCCACATTTAAAAAGCCCTCTGAGTCCTCAATAATTTTTATGAGATTAAGAGGTCCCAAGGCCAAAATGCTTAAGACCCACTGCCCTAGAGAAATGGCTATATTTGAGCACCAGGATATACGTATCATGTGATCTGAGAGACCAAAATAGACGCCCCTGTATCAACTAAGACCCTAAGGCTAAGGAAACAAAAGCTACCTACAGGTTGAGGGTTCAGAGCTTGGCTGGCCTGATAATTTTTTTTTTTGAGACAAAGTCTTGTTCTGTCACCCAGGCTGGAGTGCAGTGGCAAGATGATGGCTCACTGCAATCTCTACCTCTTGGGCTTAAGGAATCCTCCCACATCAGCCTCCCGTGTAGCTGGTACCACAGTCATACACCACCACACCTGGCTAATTTTTGTGTATTTTGTAGAGACAGGGTTTCATCATGTGGTCCAGGCTTGTCTCGAACACCTGGGCTCAAGCAATCTACCTGCCTTGGCCTCCCAAAGTGCTGAGATTATAGGCATGAGCCACCGTGCTCGGTCTCAGCATGGCAAATTTCTAATCTTCTGTGGCTATAGGAAAAAAGACCCTTGCTAAACTCCCTAATAATAGGGCCCCTCAGGCTGATTTACAACCTAGGCCACTACAACTCTGATTGGACAGAGGACTGGCCTTACAAACATTCTTTTCTGGCAAGTTATTGCAGACCTAAAGCCAGTTTCAGCCAGCTTATAGAGGCTGTGCACAAACTCTCTTTGTGTCCTATATTTCACCTTTTGACATAAAGAACCAAATTCCACCTCATTTAATATTAAAACCTGGCCCACACTTTGCAAACCGGTATCACCAATAAAGCTGTCCTGCTATTCAGCCACCCTGGTGGTCTTTCGGATGACGATCATGTACAAAACAGTCATAGCAGCCATGTCTATGTGCAACATGGGTGAATCTTAAACACATTAACAATATTGGGGAAAACAAGCTAGACTTGAGTAAATACATACGATAGGATTCCATTTATATGTAGTCCACAAACACGCAAAGCTAAACATTATTGTTTAGGAAAGATGTATGTTACATACATGTTTTTCCATTGTGTATGTGCTCAGTTCCACTCATAAGTATGTATAGCTTCCCCCCAAACCTGCTGAATATATATAAACACAGGCCTTGTGAAGCATGAAACCCAACCTGTCCTTCCTCTCTTGGAAGAGAGAGTACCTCTGATCCATGCTGGAGACTGTCTCTCTGTGCAGTTTGCAAACTGCTATCGCCATTAAAGCTCTTCTTTTTACTATTTAGCCATGCTGGTGGTCTTTCCAATGACTGTCATGTATAAAACAGTCACAGCAACCATGGTTACATGCAAAATGCGTGAATCTTAAAAATATTAACCCCACTGGGGAAATCAGACTCATTGCATACTATAGGATTGAAACTATATGAAAGTCCCCAAACAGGCAAAACTGAACATTATTGTTTAAGAGCATACTTTGGCAGTAAGCATATAAAGAAAAGCAAGGAAGTGATTGCTATAGAAGTCAAGAGAGTGGTTTCCTTTAGGGGAGGAATGGGTTGTGAGTGGGAGGGACATGTGGAGTACTTTGGGCGTGCTGGCGATATTTTATTTCTTGACCAGCTCAGTGTTTTTTGTGGGGTTTTGCTATTCCATAATTCATTTATCTGTACATTTATTTTTAACGTACTTTTTGATATTTGTGTTTTATGCGACAATAAAAGGTTTTGAAAATTGAATTATACCGCGCTAGGTGTGGTGGCTCATGCCTGTAATCCCAGAACTTTGGGAGGCCGAGGCGGGCGGATCACGAGGTCAGGAGATTGAGACCATCCTGGCTAACACGGTGAAACCTCGTCTCTACTAAAAATACAAAAAATTAGCTGGGCGTGGTGGCAGGCGCCTGTAGTCCCAGCTACTTGGGAGGATGAGGCAGGAGAATGGCGTGAACCTGGGAGGCAGAGCTTGCAGTGAGCCGAGATCATCCCACTGCACTCCAGCCTGGGCGACGGAGCGAGACTCTGTCTCAAAAAAAAAAAAAAATTAAATTATACCGAACGCATGCCTCCTCTGCATGTTAATTGGAAGGACACCTCCTCTTCCTAGCTCCAGCCCTGCCCCAACTGTGGTCTCTGCTAAATAAAGGTTTATTCTAACCTGCAGAACATCTTTCATGGTCATTTCCTGCCTCAGGCTTAGTTTCAAGATGGAACACATAGTTTCCTGGAGTTCCTCTATTTTTGTTTGAAGGCCATTGGAAACTTTCTCTGAATTGCCTAGCGAAATCCAGCCTCTTCACTTTTAGCAAGCAATACTATAGCACACAGAGTTTTGTTTAGTTAACCACATGTTATAGGCATCTTTTAAAGTCAGCCTTTAAAACTCTTGCAGAGGATTTCATCATCTGGATGTATTACAGTTTATTGAACAAGCCCTCTGCTGATGGATATCTTGGTGCTTTTTGACTTTTTTTTTTTCCTAATGAATGAGCAAGACAAAGGCCCTTATCTCATTGGACTGAGCTCTGTGGGGATGGTGCCCAGGTCTAATTGCTAATGCATTGCAGCTGTAGCTAAGCACCTGGCATAGAATGGGAAATGATTGTGGAATGAATGAATGAAGACTGAGCAAATGAAGCATATTATACCAGTGTGAGCACAAAGACAGAATTCTTTGTGCAAGCCCCTACAAAGTAGCAGATAGGAAATGAATGGAGCCCACTGGTTTAGGTCTGAACCAGCGTGGATTTAAATCCCATCACAACTGCATGATGTTAGGCAGCTACTTAATCTCTTTGCTTCAGTGTCCTCATCTGTAAAATGGGTATAATAATGGCATCTGCGTCAGAGGGCTGCTGTGAGGATTAAACAGGTGAATAAATGTGCATAAATGTCTTTGCTTGGAGCAAGCACATCAACATTCATTAAATAGTAGCAGACTTTAACTCACCCCAAATGTGAAAGTGTAGCAAGGATGATACTAGTATTGTGGTGAGAACACAGAAACCAGGTTCTTCTGGCGACTGCTTTTGTGGTGTGGTGGTTGGTTTGATTTGTTTCTGTGAGGTCAATTTTGCTTCTGCAGAATCAGCTGTTCTCTTACAGAGAGTATTTATACTCAGAGTCTGTCACCATGGAGACAGTCAACAGTAGAGAATCCAAGATAGATCAACTCTCCCTAAAGGCTGACAGTGAACTCTTGGGGCCGTTTTATTCTCTGAGGTTAGCAAGG